>NC_000004.12:37839016-40339016 GCF_000001405.40 Homo sapiens | reverse complement strand
GGTTAGTCCTCACGCCCTGCCTGTGTCAATGAAATTATCAGATATTACTCTCCTGCACTCTGCAGACGAGAGTGTGGTAATGGACAATGTGGTTTGTTTTCTTGCTCTGTGTGTGTGTGTGTGTGAGAGAGAGAGGGAGAGAGAGAGACAGAGAGAGAGAGAGACAGAGACAGAGACAGAGAGAGCGAGCACGGGGAGGGAGGGTAAACTGGAGGAATAAAGCCCAGTATTTGAATGTTATCTTCCTGTTATATTCCTTGGGAAGGAATACAGATGATTCCTCTGGCCACTCAGAGTTGGGAATGGACAGAAAAACAGGGCTATGATTCCAGAGCTCATGACCCTTAGATGAGCTCTCTGAGTAAGGAGTGAGACTAAAATCCAGGCTGCAACCCACCCGTGCTGCTTCCTTAAAGGAAATCCATGCCCACTGGAAGCCTCCACCCAGGGGAGCCCCCTGAGCTGCCCCTCATTCACATAGGTCTGAGCCACAGAGGAACTCTTCCCACTCCACAGAAACTTGGGTTCCAGAATAAAAACAGAGAGAAGCTCTTTCAACAACAGGCGGGGCCACTGAGCTTGAACTGTGACCAGAGATCTGGTATTTTTCTCAAAATGCAGCCCATGGACCCACAGTGCCCACGTCTTCCGGAGCTTGTAGAAATGCAGAATCACAGGCCCGCCCCACACCCATGGAATCACAATCTGTATTTTAACAAACTCCCTGGGCGATTCATATGCACCTTACAGCTTGCGAAACATAAACTTTACCTACCCGTTATACAATGCCCCTTGCTCTGAGACCGGGAAAACGTCACTTTGTATCCCGTAAACTGGTTCATCCTCCACTCCACACAAAGCCCCAAATCCACAGGTCAGTTTCTAGATGGCCCATTCCGGTTTAATTAATTATTGATACATGATCTTGGATGGTGAGTGTCACTGTTAAGAGTTGAATTGTGTCCCTGAAAAATTCACATATTGAAGTCTTAGCCCCCAACACTCAGAATGTGACTTGATTTGAGAATAGTATCATGAAGATGTAATTAGTTAGGTTAAGATGAAGTCACGCTGGAGTAGGGTGGACATCTAATCCAATATGGCTGGTGTCCTTATAGAAAGGGGAAATTTGGACACAGGGAACACACAGGAGAATGCCATGTGAAGATGAAGGCAGAGCTCAGAGTGACGCTTCTATAATGCCAAGAACACCAAAGACTGCCAGCAAACCACCATTAGCTAGAAGAGAGGCCTGGTACAGATCCTCCCTCACAGCCCTCAGAGGAAACCACGCTGTCAACCCCTTCATCTCAGGCATCTCAACTCCAGAACTGTGAGATAACACATTTTTGTTAAGTCATCTAATCTGTGCTACTCTGTTATGGCAAAGTTAGCCCTAGCAAACTAATGCAGCCTCCACTTTCCCACCTGAAAAAGGGGCATGTAGATGGATGGTTTCTTTCCAGCTCTAAGCTTTTATGACATATTATTTCCTGATCTAAGATTCTATGTCTCTTATTTCAGTAAGTCCTAGGAACATGGATTAATATTTAATTTCATGCATGTTTTAAACATTCCTTTTTCATTATGTTTAAATTCTATGAAATCAACACGTTCATGCCTGAAAAGCCTCAGTTCTGAGCTGCACTTACTTGTTATATAAGACGATGTCTGGCCTCCACACGAGGTCACTGGGGATCCTGATGGAGTCTAGGCCATCGTACTGATCTCGGTCCCACGTGAGATAGGCATCGTGCCAGATTTGGCGGATCCACAAATAAGCAGTCAGAATTTGGTTTCTTTCATCCTACACAATGAATCCAGATGTCGCTTTACCTAGCAGACACTTGAAATGTTTTCCACTGATAGGACACTTGTTCTTCACAATAGGAATTTCACAAACACTCATCAAATTTCAATAAGTAAAGTGAGAGCTTTATTCTTTATTTATTCTATCCCCTTGATTGACTGCCAAGATCATATTTTTTTTCCTCCTAGATTTAGTGTTCAGAATGTAAAGTGGACAAATATTTTAGTATTGATATCTTTGCATAGATCAACTGCCTATATTTCCTGAAAATTGATCAATGAATGATGTACTTGAAAGCAAAAGTCAGGAAATAACAATGTGCAGAAGGAAAATCTTTCAAGTTTCATAACATTGTGTAATTAAACATAGATAAGCACTAATAAGCTATGCCATCTTAAAACACTACCTTTTTTAAAAAATTGAGATTGGCCGGGCGCGGTGGCTCATGCCTGTAATCCCAGCACTTTGGGAGGCCGAGGCGGGCGAATCATGAGGTCAGGAGATTGAGACCATCCTGACTAACACGGTAAAACCCTGTCTCTACTAAAAATACAAAAAAAAAATTAGCCGGGTGTGGTGGCGGGTGCCTGTAGTCTCAGCTACTCAGGAGGCTGAGGCAGGAGAATGGTGTGAACCCAGGAGGCAGAGCTTACAGTGAGCGGAGATCATGCCACTGCACTCCAGCCTGGGTGACAGCAAGACTCCGTCTCAAAAAAAAAATTAAGATCAAATTCACATTAAAACTCACCATTTTAATCATTTTCGAAGGGAACAATGCACCGGCTTCCAATATATTCACAACGTTGTGCAACCATCACCACTGCCTAATTCAAGATCATTTCTTCCCCCCGCAAAGAAACGCCGTAATCATTAAGAACTCACTGGCCGTTTTCCCCGTCCTCCCCACAGACCCCGGCAACCTCTATGCCGTTTTCTGTCTCTACGGATTTACCTCTTTTGGACATTTTATATAAATGGCTGCATACAGTATGTAACCCCATCTTTCTTTAGATTATCTAAGACTGTTACAGTTAATGACCAGGATTAGGTAACGTTTCTTGAAATTAATTAGTTTTGTAGAAAGCTTCCTTTTCCCGACATTCTCTTCTCCCACCAGCTTGCTTAAGGAGCTATCATTCCCTCTCAAATTCCCAGTTAAGACATTCTCTTCAGAAAGCATGGTTGTTTATCCTCTAAGAATCATTCCACAGAGTCAGCACCATGTGTTACTCACCATATCCTTAATCTGAGAGAGCGTAATCTGCAGGGTCACATTCAGGACTTTATCTGTATCTTCCACTGGACGAAGAGCATTAGAATAATCTTCAAAAAGGTCATTAAACAACTTCTGAGCATATTTTCCATCTGCCGTCTCTGCAGCTACTCAACAAGAGGGATCTGGATTAACATTCAGAGTGTTGTGTGTATTTCAAGACAAACAACACAAGACTGAGGTCTAAAATGGGGGATGGCCCAACACTGGCGAGGGACAAGCTTTGGGTGGATGGATGAGTTGTTTTTCTGGCATGCCCTACCAAGATCAGAGTCAGTAGGAAGCACAGAACACTTCCATGCGGTTGAATCATCTGTTTTGTCTTCCCTGTCCTGCCCCACCTCCCACCAAAGCAATAGCCCCAGATGAGACAAGATAGGTTACGTGTCACCAGCCTCTCACCTCTCAGTCTGGAAGCAGCAAAGTAGATCCAGCAAAAGGAGATGCAGGAATGGGACCAGTTCATCTTTTTCCTGAGCCTCTATAATAAAGTCTCAGTCAGGCAGCGTGGTCTTCCACTTCCCCCTATGAATACAAAGGATCTGGGCACAAGGAGCCCACACCGCTGCAGCCTTATGGCGGGAGAGCTCAGGCTTGCATTGCATGCAGGACCGAGATCCTGAGATCCAGGCCTGCCCTCCCTCCCCTCCGGTAATTTGAGACTGGCAGCTCCAGTGGCTGAGAAGCCGGGAACCCAGGGTGTGTTAGGTCCAACAGTGCTGTTGTGGGGGGCCATCTCAGTTGAGGGTCCCTAGCCACCCTCAGCAGAAACAACCAGACAGAAAAGGAGGTAGATGCAGGCAACAGGGGTATGCCTGACACCCCAGAGACTCCATCTAAGCAGAATGGGAGATTTCTACACCCACCATGAGCAGAGTCAGCCTGAGTCCAGGGACTAAGGGAAGCCTAAAAGACTGAGCCATGGGACGGCTGTCCAGAAAGACTCTACGTGCTTTTAGCAGCATTTGAAGAGGGAAAGAGACACGGTTCTATGATCTCCAGAATATATTGGCATTTTGGTTTTTTCTCTGCCTCAGCTTCTGATCCCTCCTGCAGCTGTCCCACTGGGCATGGATCTTGCATAGTAAATGTTTGTGAGTATATATGTGAGGGGGTGTGCTGGATGGGCGGATAATCACTCGCTTAAGAAGCAGCAACACTGTGAGTTGGATTTGGACTTGACCACCTGGGTTTGACTGCCAGCCAAACCCTGACGAGCTCTATTATTCTGTAAAAGTCACCTAACCTCTCTGAGCCTTCCAGAACTACAGACTGGGGAAAATAATATTTTCTCTCTCTAGAGCTACTGAGATAACTGTATGTGAAAGCACTTTCTAAATATCAGTAATTATCATCTTTGATCAGCTTTGCATACCCAGAATTTCTATACTCACCAAGTCACCCAGGATTTACCAGCTCGAAAAAAAAAAAGAAAAACTGGTTCAAAGGCTGACCAAATCAGCATGAGAATAATAACCAATGGTGATATTGCTAATGATGACACCCTTTGCATTTGAATGCTACTTCATATAAAGTTTCAGTCATTTCTCATATGTGATATAATTTTACTCCTATAAAAAAATGTCAATTTTCAATTGCTGCTTAGTCTGGAAACTCATGTCTGTCTCTCCTCTTGCCTGGGGAAACTGCTTTGGAAAACCATATTAAGATAATTTGGTTGCCTGGAATTGGAGCGAGGAAATTGGATAGCTCTGTTTCATCAGGTTACAGCCGCCTGATGAGTCACCCCATCCCTCTTCGGGAATGTATCCTCTGAGTGGAACAGACACTCAAGCCATCGGCAAAGTGTTTCTTAATTGCCTATCCCATTGTGTTGATTGTGAAGACATTATTTTTCTGACGCCCCTAGTCTGACTCATTCATCAAATGACACAATTCCGGGTGCCCACGCTCAGTCCTCCTTCAGCAAACCATCCGCTCCAGAATCTCAGAGGCAGAAGGTAATTTTGAAATTGAGTTTAATGCCTCACTTCTATATGAGGAAACTGAGGCCCAGGGATGCAGAGTGGCTTCCCTCCAGCAGTGATCGGCCAGAGACAGGATCCAGGCCACCTGCCCCAATCCACTGTGCTCCCTGCAACACTAACAATGCATCTCTTCCTTCTCGTTGTCTTTCATCAATATGGCTTTTGATGCCAGCTGGGTGGTGACTTCCTTGTGTGTAGAGGATCTTTACCTCATATGTCTTGGATTCCTTACAGCACTCACAGGGTTGAATTGTAGTTGACACAGGGCCTACCTTGAATGGTGTCCCTTCCCTTCCTATACCACTCCCCTCCCTTCAGGGTCCCTTCTCCCCTCAGGGGCCTCTTTTAGGTTGAAGCTGCTGAGAACCTTTGCCCATTGGGGTCCAGTGTCCTGGGGGGCATCCCTGACTCCATTCCAGGAGGATGATGGCAGTGCTCCCATTCCTTAGAATAGAGTCCTGTCTGACAAAGAATCCTAGTGAATTCTATGGCTAAAATATCCTCTGCCCAGCAGCAGAGTGGGGATGGGAAGAACAAATACCTTCATTCTGCTACATGTGTTTTTTAAAACAAAAATTACAAGAGTCAAACATCATGTTTTGCAAAGGATTTTTTCCCTGCAAATGAATATGGCATGAATATTTTCTCCATTTCATTAAGTACAGGATCAGAGCACTTCTAACCTGTAAAGAGCTCTTTGAGGACCATCTAGCTAAGGTCACTCATGTTACAGATAAAGAAACTGAGGACTAGAGAGGTCAGAAGCCTTCGCAAGGACATAACCCATCGTCCTGACTCAATACAGTGCTCCTTACACAACACCAGTTCATCTGGTGAGGAAGCTCAGAGGAAATCAAGGTCAAGTGTGCCTTTAGGAGGCTTGGGAATGCACTTCCTTTCAGCCAAGGGCAGGTGGGACTTCGATCTGCCCCACAGGAAGGTGGGTAAAGGATGCTGACTCTCCACCAAGAACCATGCCAGAGACCCTCAACCTCCCCAGGAGGCTGGGCTCTTCACAGAGGAGTGCTGTCCTAGGCACTCAGAGCCATGACGCATGCTAACCAATGCTTCACAACTCACTGAAATGGCAGGAGATACCTCAATGGGATGCCATCCCCAAGGACCTATTTCACTTCTACTTTCTAAATTTGCTGGATTTATCCTAGATATGTGTCTTGAAAAACAAACAAACAAAACAAACAAACAAAAAAACCCCCTCAAAGCTCCTTTAAAAGACAGCTACATGAATTCCTTCACCTTGCACCAGAGTTTAGGATAAGATTGGTAGTTAGGACGCAAAGTCATGCCAAAAGGGCTGCCCATGGCACCACTCTCCAAACATTTTAGGGTTTACTTCTGTCTTTGTTTTCTATTTCTTCTTCTTTTTTTTTTTTTTTTGAGATTGAGTCTTGCTCTGTTGCCCAGGCTGGAATGCAGTGGCGTGATCTCAGCTCACTGCAACCTCCACGTCCTGGGTTCAAGCAATTCTGTGCCTCAGCCTCCCAAGTAGCTGGTATTACAGGCACCTGCCATCACGCCCGGCTTTTTTTTTTTTTTTTTTTTTTTTTTTTTTGTATTTTTAGTAGAGATGGGGTTTCACCATCTTGGCCAGGCTGGTCTTGAACTCCTGACCTCGTGATTCACCTGCCTCAGCCTTCCAAAGTGCTGGGATTACAGGTGAGTCACCATGCCCAGCCACTTCGTATTCTTGATCAAAAGCAGTATAATGTAGAGTTTAAGAGCACAGACCCTGGAGTTGAACTGCTTGGATTCAAGTCCAACCCCACCACTTACTAGCTGTGTAAGCTCAGCCAGATTATTCGACCTCAGTTTCTTCATCTATAAAATGGGGACAATTATAAATAGTGCCTACCTCTTGGGGTTGTTTTGAGGACTGAATCAGTTAATGCATGTGGAACCCTAAAAATAGTGCTTGACCATAAAATTGCTGGATAAATGATCATTAAAGGGGAAAATGACATGCTAAGCATGTCATTTGTAGCTCAATGCCACTATTTGTTTATTTATATATTTATTTATTTAATTTATTTATTTTTCCTCCCCTCTTCCTCTCCCCCTTCCATCTCTCTCCCTCACCCAATCTCTCTCCCAACTTCTTGACAGACCTGGTTAGAGGATAATTGTTTTATGTGACAAGCAATTTGTACTGTGGGTGGAAGAATATCAGTCCTACTATTTTCTTGTTGTCCTTTTTTATTGTGATGTTAATATTATTGTCAGTCCACCGTGGATTTATTTATTTACTTACTTATTTCTGCAGTAGTCTTTTTAATCCTCTTATCCATTTTGTGAGAGTTACACAATCTAACTCCGTCACAGAGATTGGCAAACTCTCTGCAAAGAGCTAGATAGTAAATATTTTCATCTTGGCAGGCCATATGGTCTCTGTACCAACTACTCTTCTCTGCCATTGTACTATGAAAGCAGCCTATAGCAAAATGAATGTGTGGCTATGTTCCAATAAAACTTTATTTACGAAAATAGGTGGCAGGGCATAGTTTGTTGACCCCTGACATAGATAAACAGATCCATAAATCCACTTTGCTCATGAAAATTGCAATAGGAAACAGCGTTCCAGATGAAGAAGGGGCAAAGCCTGCAGGGAAAAGAGCTTGACATGCGCAGACGCATGGCAGGGCCAGGGCTGACTCCCACTGCAGCTCAGCCAGTGAGACTCAAACTGCCTTCCAGCGGAGGCTCTGGGCATGGAAGAACCCTTTCTAATAAGGAATCAGAAATGTAAGAGAACTGGAAAGAGTAGGAAGCAACCCTGTTGGATGTCTGGAGGCTGGGCAAGCCTCCTCACTTCCACAGGGTGACCGTGATAGTGTCGTGGATGAGGAATTAGAGTTTCCAGATATAGGTGATGGTGGGAACTGTGGCTACAGCCAGGCCAGGGGCTGGCAGGGTGAGCAGCAGGGGAATGGGTCAGAAGTTCAAGTGAGTCTCTCTGGGGTCCCCATGAATAAGGACAGGACTGGAGGGCAGAACTCTGGCAGTTTCACTGAGAAGTACAGAGTCCCAGAACACAGTTTTGTTTCTAGATTGCTAGAAATCCTAGCAACTCCCTTCCCCAGCTGTACTCAAATCCATTGGCCTGGGGAAGTGCAGGTTAGATCAGAACAAAAGCGATTCAGGAAGGGGAGGAAGGAGGACCTCTGGGCCAACAGGAACGTCGGACCGGAGCTCATTATGGTGTGGGCACCTGAAGGTGATCACACTGGGCATGGAGCCGATTCTCCTTTTGTGACTGCATGTGCCTGTGTCTCACTCTTGTCCCACTGTACTCTGGCTCTGTCAGTGGTGTGTAGTGGACTGGAAAACTCTTCTGAGTGAAACCCAGCGGGACAATCTCTCTTGGTGCTTCTGGGCATCGTGAAGGAAATGAACTTTCCTAACCTAACTTCAAACAGATCCAACTCCTGCGCATCATCCTCGCTTCTTCTCTCTCAAACCCCATGTATTAGTCTACTTGGACTCCCACAACAAAATACCATAGACCAGGTGAATTAAAAACAGAAATTTATTTTCTCACAGTCCTGCCTCCGTGCCTAAGGACCAGCTCATCCAAGAATCAGCTGGAAGTCCAGACCAAGGTGTGGGCAGGGCTGGTTTCCCCCAAGGCCTTTCTTCTTGGCTTGCAGATGGCTGTCTTCTCTTTGTGTCCTTACAGGGTCTCCTCTGTGCATGTCTGGGTCCTAATCTCTTCTTCTCAGATCCCCATGAATAAGGACAGGCCTGGAGGGCAGGGCTCTGGCAATTTCCCTAAGAGATACAGAGTCCCAGAGTTCTGTTTGGTTTCTAGGTTGTGACCCTATTCCCCGATTGTACCGAAACCCGTTGTCTCCTCAGATGAAATTAGTCCCGCCCCAGTGACCTCACTTAACCTTAATTACCTCTTTAAAGACCATATCTCCAAATATGGTCACATTCTTCAGTACTGGGGGTTAGGATTTCAGCGTGTGAATTCTGTAGGATGCAATTCAACCTGGAACACCCCACATCCAATCTGTGAATGAATCCCAGCAGTTCCACCTTCACAACATATCGGGAACCCAGCCGCCTCTCCCCACCTTCCCTATTGTCTTCCTGGTCTAAGCCATTGCTGACTGCCATCTGCACCAACCACACTTGCCTCCTAGCAGCCAACGGTGCCCCTGAATTCCCTTCTCCAGGTAAGAGCCAGACGGTCATTTTATTTCATTTCATCTATTTTTTATTTCTATTTTTATTTTTTTAATTTAATTTTTTTTTTTTGAGACGGAGTCTCACTCTGTCACCCAGGCTGGAGTGCAGTGGCACAATCTCAGCTCACTGCCTCCCAGGTTCAAGCAATTCTCCTGCCTCAGCCTCCCAAGTAGCTGGGATTACAGGTGCCTGCCACCATGCCTGGCTAATTTTTGTATTTTTAGTAGAGACAGGGTTTCACCATGTTGGCCAAGCTGGTCACAAACTCCTGAGCTCCAGCGATCCACCTGCCTCAGAGTCCCAAAGTGCTGGGATTACAGGCATGAGCCACCATGACCAGCCTATTTTTAAATAATTTATAAGATGGGGGTCTCACTGTGTTGCCCAGGTTGGGGTGCAGCAGCTATTCACTGCACTCCCTCATTATCATTGTGCACTGTGGCCTCCAATTCCTGGGCTCAAGAGATCCTCCCATCTCAGCCTCCCAGATAGCTGGGACTACAAGTACATGCCACCAAGCCCAGCCAGGTGGTCATCTTAAAACACAAATCTGATCATGTCACCCCTCTGCCCAGTGGATTCTCTCCAGTGGATTCTCACCTTATTTGGAATAAAAGCCAAAATCCTTACTGGCAACTACAAGGCCGTACGTGATGTCTCCCCCGACTTTCCTTCTCCAACACTCTCCCCCTCGCTCATGTAGCTCCAGCCGTGCTGGCCTCCTTGCATTCCACATGCACACTGCGCCCCTCCTTCTGTTCCCTCTGCCTGGAGCACCATTAGCATATCCTCCTGACTCCCCTTCTTCTTCCTCCTGGGTTCTGCCTAGTGCCTCCTTATCAGAAGCCCTTCCCTGATGATGTTACGTAGAGTAACATCCCAGCCCTCTCTCCATCTCTGGGATCCACCCTTCCTCGCACTTAGGACCAGCTGACCTGCATGTATGCATTGCACTTGGTAGTTATCGTCTGTCTCCCTACTAAAATTAAGTTCCACAAAAGTGGGGGCTTTGTCATGTTCTGTGCTATTCTCCCAGATACAGAGAGGATATTAGAGGATATTTGTTGATGCATAAATGAGTAATATCTAGAATGAGAAATCTAAGGAATTAAGAAGTAAGGGAAAGGCCAGCTTTCAGACAAAGAATGGTGGGTATATTTCCTATGATTCATAAGCTTACCTGATTTTTTTAGCACTCATGGCCAGGATGTTATTTACAGCCTTACATTGTCAGTCTACTGCTGTGTTATATTTTAACCTATGTCAAAGCAAAATTCCTTGAGAACATGGACCATAATTTTTCCCTTATACATAGTCCTAGCTCAAGGGAAACAACCACCAAATCCAGTTAGCAGCATCTGCCAAGGATGCAGGGGGAGGGTGTGGAGGCATCTCCCCATGTCTCTGCTGACCTAATGCAACAGAAAGGACCTAAGGACACAGGAGGAGTCCTATGGCCCCAGTTCAAGTCCTAGGACCACCACTTACTAGTCATGTTAGTAGTAATTATTTCTCAGAGTCTCATTTTCTCATTTGTATAAAGGAAGATTATAATATTTTACCCAAAAGGGTTATTGTGAGGATTCAAGAGAAAGCAGATAAAGTACCAAGCACACACCTGGCACAAAGCAAGACTCTCAGTGAATGCCACTATGATTCCCCTTGCCAAACCACACAGGCTACGGTAGTCAGAAAGCACCCACTGGTAAAAAGAAACTCATAAAGTTGCCAACAGAAGAGCCAAGTTCATGAAGAGACATGAGTGGGTGATAAGAGACATGCAGTTTTCTGGGTCAGGAGAGCAGCTGATATATGATCCAGGGTATCCAGTATGTCCAAGTGAGTGATCTGGGGACTGTAGCGGGCTCTGATGTCTGTGCTTTGTCAGAGGGTGCATACTATTTTCCCTGAAATCCCCTGAGGGAATATATTTGAAAGCTATAAAACTGTACAGTGTGGTATAGGGTGAGTATCTCCTGGCTTCCTCCTGTTTCTGGGGTCTTTCTTTGCTGCACAGAGGAGACCTCATCCATGGGAGATTTCTGTCCTCAATGGTAGCCCACTTGCTCCTTGGGACTTCTCAGACATTTTCCTTTGTTCTTGAGTTTCCGACCCCTTCTCATCCCAGGAGGTTCTCACCCCACTGGCTCTGCTTCCTCTTCTCATAGCAGACCCTGCAGTCACAATTGTGCAATATTTCCCTGCTCGTTGCAAACACTGTCTCTCTGCTAACATTGTAAGAGTTAGGCAAATGACAAGCATGGGAAAAAGCAGAAGGGGCACACTCTGCTCTTCTGTTAACAGTAGCACGCTACTTCAAGGATGCTAATCATAGAGAAGGGGAGCTGGGAGATTCGGAGACAACACTGTGCAAACCCAGCTGATACCCTTCCCAGGCTATTCTGAGAGCTACCAGCCCCCAACCTCTCCCACAGCTTCTGCCCCCTTAGAAGCAGCATGGCCCCATGGCCCCAAGACCTCACTCATCTCCCGCTCCCCCATCCTCTGCCCTGTTCTGGAAAGTGGGCACTAAAGGGACATGTTAAAACTGAAAAGAGGCAAGGAGGTGCTTTCTCCCAGTCAGCAACGCGCTGCTCCATCTCCCACCCCACCTGCCCACCTGCCCTCAGTGTCTCTTCGGCTAGGCCTACTTAGCCGAGAGCAGCCCCGTGGGTATGAATGGCCTAGGTGCCTGCTTCTGGAAGCATGTTTGGAAGGAAGCAGGGAGGGTACTGAAAGGTAAAGCAGGAGAACTGGAAGATTTTATTCCCAAGTGTTTTCCTCAAAGACACTTTTTAACTTTCTCCGTTTCTTCTTCTCACTTACCTCACCATTGCCATTGACATAGGCTCTGTACACCAAGGAGCTGAACGAGAGGAATCCAGGAGAGCCACAGAAAGGACAAGGGGAACCAGTGCAGGGGGATGGACGCACATCCGCTGACCACGTAAAAGCCAGGCCAGAAGCTAGGCTCTTAGCCTAGCTAAGGCTAGGTTTTCTCAGTGCCTTTCTGAGCCATATTGGAGCCTGAAAAAAAAAAAGAGAGAGAGAATATTGGCAATACTAATCCTGTTTTTTTTTGTTGTTGTTGTTATTGGTTTTTTGTTTGTTTGTTTGTTTGACAGAATTTCTCTCTGTCGCCCAGGCTGGAGTGCAATGGCATGATCTCAGCTCACTGCAACCTCCACCTCCAGGGTTCAAGCAATTCTCCTCCTTTAGCCTCCCAAGTAGCTGGGACTACAAGCATGCATCACCACACCCAGCTAATTTTTACATTTTTAGTAGAGATGGGGTTTCACCATGTTGGCCAGGCTGGTCTCGAACTCCTGACCCCAGGCGATCCACCTGCCTCAGCCTCCCAAAGTGCTGGGATTACAGGCATGAGCCACCATGCCCAGCCACTAATCCTGTTTTTAAACTTTGGTATTTTTATTTATAATGAAATATTTTGCATTAATTTTGATGTTTAGAAATATTGTATTAAGGCCAAGCATGGTGGCTTATGCTTGTAATCCCAACACTTTGAGAGGTCGAGGTGGGAGGATCACTTGAGGCCAGGACTTCAAGACCAGCCTGGGCAATAAAATGAGACCCCCATCTCTACCAAAAAAAGAAAAGAAAAGTTCTTTTAAATTAGCCAGGCATGGTGATGCGTACCTGCAGTCCCTCCTACATGGGGGAGGCTGAGGCAGGAGGATCACTTGAGCCCAGGAGTTTAAAGCTGTAGTAAGCTATGATCACACAACTGCACTCTGGTCTGGGTGACAGATAGAGATCCTGTCTCAAAAAAATTTATCTATATTCATTACTAATATTTTTGGCTCCCCCTTAAATGTGCACTGGAAGCAAGTGCCTCTCCTGCCTCACTCTGGTCCTGGCCCTGATGAGATTCAGCCCAGCTGATGGAACTGGTCAATTCACCTGGTTGATGATTTTTTTCAGAAAGAAAGAGTGAAAGCTCTAAAAATAATCTTTAAAAATCAAAGTCTATTTTTTTAAATGTGCAATTCTACTAAAATAATTAAGAAAGGAGTGAAATTCTCAGCCACAAAAAGAAACCAAATTTAGACACAATTCAAATCCTTTATCTTCTGACAAAGCCAAGGTACTTCACCTTCTCAGCCACCAGGTGTCTCTGTAAACTCCCTGCAGGCCTCTGCACAGGGCACTGCAGATAACGTCATATGTGAAATCTGCTGTTTTTAACCAGCTCTAAAGAGACAGCACATACAAAGAAAAAAAAAACAGCTTGAAATATAACAGCTTCAAATACCAAATTTACAGTGATCCGTCCATTTATCCAGGATTTCTGGCTAATAGCCAAGTGCTTATGATAATCAAATCTATTAACAGATTTAAGCTAAGAAATAGATTATTAGAGTCAAGTTGTCCTAATCAATACACTTTCTAGAATGTTCCTGCTTTATTGTTTTCTCGTATCTTATCTGGATTAATTTCTAACGGAGTATAATTCTGCAAGATCAAAATAGAGTATTCCAGGAACTAACTCTTCCCCTGGTTTGGAGGACTGGATTTTACCCAATTCTTTAGGGTAGAGAATTTTTTGTTGTTTTTGTTTTTGTTGAGGCAGAGTCTCACTCTGTCGCCCAGGCTGGAGTGCAGTGGCACGCTCTCGGCTCACTGCAACCTCCACCTCCCGGGTTCAAGCGATTCTACTGCTTCAGCCTCCCGAGTAGCCAGGACTGCAGGCGCGCAACACCACGCCAGGCTAATTTTTTTTATTTTTTGTATTTTTAGTAGAGACAAGGTTTTACCATGTTGGCCAGGCTGGTTTTGAACTCCTGACCTCAAGTGATCCGTCCGCCTTGGCCTCCGAAAGTGCTGGGATTACAGGTGTGAGCCACCGTGCCCAGTCCTGGGTAGGGAATTTTGAAAACAATATTTAAACCTTTTGTTTATGTTTAAAAAAAATCAGTGCATGAAGTGCTATGGGAGGCCCAGAAAACAAAGTAGTGGGAAGGTTGTACTATTCTTTCAAAGTAAGTTTACCTCGGCTTGTTGTCATCCTTTCCCTTCACATCCTCACCTCACCCCTCAGAAGAAAATGTAACACTTCAGTGAACAGACCATTTCCTCTGAATTTAACATTTTTGTGAGTTAATTCTGCAAATAAGCACTTCGTTCAACACCGTGGGGGACCATCGATCCTTCTTCCAAAGGTCCGGGAAAATGACTCTTGGGAGAGACCTCTGTGATGAGACTCCATGAGCTTCTCTAGCCCGTCTAAGATAGCATTTGTTCTTCATTTTAAAATTGCTACTCATAACAATCCCAATAGGAACATGGCTAATGTTCACAGTGAGGTGCTCACTACTTATTTTAGTACAGTCATTTCTCTGGGTTTCCACGGCAGGAAAACTCCAGCTTTTCTCTTAACTTCCTACGCAATTCCTCCTCATCTGCTTCTTCCCTCAATGTTGGATTTCTCAGGATTCAGTCCCAAGCCTTCTTCTCTTGGTCAAGGTAGAAGAAAATCTTAGCAGTTATAATGAAACCTCAAACTATAAGAAAAGAGGGAGTAATAGTGGGTTCCATGATGCCAAATTAGTTGCATGTCCTGAAGAGGATTGCCAGCCACAGGCTCCATCCCTCATATCTAGGTAGCTGCATCCTTTCTATGAGTCATCTGGGCTTTAAATGGCCATCAGATCACAGGAGGTTTCGTTCAAATGCAGATTCTGAGTCAGGAGGCCTGACTGAGGCTGAGATTCTGCATCCCACGTGATATAGATGCTGCTGGCCCATGGACCACACATTGAGTAGCAAGGTTTAGATGATCATATAATTATAATGAGATATTGATAAAACATACCTAAATTATCAATCACACCAACAGATCAAATCAATATATAATAATGGCTGAACTGGGATAGGGAAGCTGATTTTGAAAAATTTAAAGAATATATGCTTCTGGTTTCCAAAACTCAAAATCTATTCGAAGAGAAAAGGGACCTAAAAGTTCCATGAAATCAGAAACAAGATTCTGTTTTTTCAAAGGGCCCAACCTAAAGATTGATTGTGGCAGGGCGCGATGGCTCACGCCTGTAATCCGAGCACTTTGGGAGGCCGAGGCGGGCGGATCACCTGAGGTCAGGAGTTCAAGACCAGCCTCAACATGGAGAAACCCTGTCTCTACTAAAAATACAAAATTAACCAGGCGTGGTGGTGCATGCCCGTAATCCCAGCTACTCAGGAGGCTGAGGCAGGAGAATTGCTTGAACCCGGGAGGCAGAGGCTGCAGTGAGCCGAGATTGCCCCACTGCACTCCAGCCTGGGCAACAGAGCAAGATTCTGTCTGAAAAAAAAAAAAAAAGCAATGTTATGTCATAATTTCTGTAATCTTTGTGATAACTAGTATGTTTTGCCAGTTTTTAAAGGCTTTTAAGGTATTTAAGATCCAATGGATTTGTGTTGTAATTTTAATCAAGCAAAAAACCAAAAAAACGAACTTAATTTAGGCATGCAATTAACACTTAAATGTTTGGGAAAAAATATTTTCTTAAAAGCATAAGTTTTACTTTATTAGTTATAAATATACTACACACATAGAGAAATGCTGACTGTTGACTAAAAGAATGCTAATTGCTTCACAAATTTATGAGAAGGTCTTGCCGACCTTGTAGTATATCAAACGTGTCAAGTTCCTGCCAACGCAAGATTTCTGCAGTTCCTTTCTCCTAGAATGTGCTTCTCCAACCTTTGCTTGCCTATTTGTGTGTCTGTGTGCTTAATGACTCTTTTATCTTGGATTGTGAATTCTGTGACCATGGAAACAGTTTACCATGGTAATCTTTATACCTCTGCAAAGGTTGCTGGTATTATCCCATTTACAGAAGGCAGGCTTGGAGAGTTTTAAGTAGCATGTCCAAGTTGCAGTGCTGGGATAGAACCGAGGTCTTTCTTACTTGTGAGTCCATGAACATTATTGTGACACTGAGTTCAATAAACAGTGATCACTGATTGAATGCTGCTCAGGTCATCTGCTGTGTTCTGCAAACGCAAAGTCACAGAATTATGGGACCTCCCAGAGCTCTCCTTGAAAAGAACATTTGGGGCAAAACTTTAAACACTACTCCCTTGAAGAGCCAATCATAGAAAACACAATGAAAATATACATCTGTCATTTAGGCCTTAATATAAATTATGCCCCTTGCTCTTTACAAAAATCCATGGACTGATAAGAAAATGAAGGCTGTGCAAAGTGATATTTCCTAGCTTTTTGCATGGAAAGGCAGCATAGCATAGTTAGGAGTAGTGAAGAGTCCCTGAAAGGATTCTGGGTTCAGGCTGTCTGGGTTCAAATCATCGAATTGCCACGTTTTAGCTGGTGGCCTGGGGAAAGTTGTTTAAACTCTCTGTGTTCAGTTTACTCATCTCTAAAGGGGGCAGAACAAAGACTCTGTCATGAGGTTGTTCTGAGGATTGAATGAGGTGATACACATAAAAAGCTTACAACACTGACGACATCTCTAAAAGTAGAGAGCAAACATTTGCTTCATGTCTGATACTCTGTGACAGACGCTCAACTCATACTTGAACCCAGGACATTAGACTTGCATTTCTTTTCCACCGGATCAGACTATACTTCACCATCCATTTTGGCTAGAATGTGCTAACATTTTTGCCCTGCAGGCACGAGCTGCCCTCTGCGTAGCTCTCTTCCTCGTTTCCATGGCTGCATTTCTTTTTCCTGCGTAATTGAAAACCCCAACTGCAGAGGCAGGTTTATTTATAGCTGAAAAATTAGTGTTATTTAGCTTGAGCTTTTCTGCAACCATCAGTCCATTACTGTAAGAGCATCCACATTTACATTGCAACATCCTTCTGTTTTCCCAGTGCCCTGTAATTCTTAATTAGCTACTCAAAACAATGTTTATTGAATGTCTATAGAGAGAGAAACCTGATCCAGCCTTTTTACATCCAAAACCAGTATCTACCCAAAGCTCAGACTCTCACATACCAACCACTTCCTGGACAGCTCTGCTTGGAGATTCCATAGCATTTCAGATGTGGTCAAGTGGAACTCACTATCTTCCCCTGGCCTGCCATGGGTTCCTGGTTTTGATGAAGAAAGTCACCATTTCCCAGTCCCCCATGCCAGATACTGGGAGTTGTCCCAGATTCCCCTCACATACTACTACATCCCATCTGCTACCAGGCTCCATCAATCCTGTCTGCTAAGCCCACGCCATCCCTCTTATCACCCCAAACCCCTACAAGGTAGTATTTCCTGGACTATTGAAAACCATCTTGGGGCTGTTCCTTCTTCCTTCAGTCTCCTTTTCCTCTAGTCCCCACTCACACTGCTGTTACTTCAATGTTTTGGACTCTGACCATGTTACACTCCCCTGCCTGTATGAAATCCTCCCATGTCCCCCATCACCCACAGGATGAAGGCCCTGCTCTAAATCATGGCATAGGAGACCCTTCAAACTCTCTGTCCTGCCTTCCTCACCAGGTGCATCGCCTGCCATCCCACATAGCTTTTTTTCTCTTTTCTTTTCTTTTTTTCCCCTCTATTTATTTATTTATTTATTTATTTAAGACGGAGTCTGGCTCTGTCGCCCAAGCTGGCGTACAGTGGCACGATCTCGGCTCACTGCAACCTCCACTTCCCGGGTTCAAGTGATTCTCCTGCCTCATCCTCCTGAGTAGCTGGGATTACAGGCATGCATCACCACACCTGGCTAATTTTTGTATTTTCAGTAGAGACGGGGTTTCCCTATGTTGGCCAGGCTAGTCTCAAACTCCTGACCTCAGGTGATCTGCCCACCTAGGCCTCCCAAAGTGCTGGGATTACAGGCATGAGCCACCGCACCCGGCCCCACATAGCTCTAATAGCAAGGTGATTTGCTGCACTCTCTCGGGCCTCCATGCTGTTTCCATGTTGTCCCTCAGCCTGGAATAGTTGTCCCCTCCATGCCCAACCAGTGAACAGCTTCTCTTTCAAGTCTCATCTTGAAAATCACCTAATCGAGAAAGCCCTTTCCAACCTCCCAGGCAGAATTCCGTGCTTCCTCTCCTATGTTCTTGTGGTTTCTGGTACATACTTCTATCACAGTGCCCATCCCGTTACTCAACTGTTTACCTATTGTCTCCCCGGCCAGACTGAGCATCTCTCAGATGCTCCATTTGTCTTGGTATCCCCAGTATTTGATATACAAGAGGTGTCCAATAAATGCTCATGAAATACATGATTGTAGTGGTGAGAGCCAGGCCTGACAGAGATCTCTTGATTGGCAGTCACCCTCCTCCCATGCCACAATTCCCCAGGCAGTCTTGGCTGGCCTTCCCTGGGCAGTGACGCTTCTGGTGTCCGCGGTGAGAGGATGGTGGCAGCTGAGTGTCTTAACCTTAATGTGCACACACCTGTGCCAAGCATGGCTCCCTAAAGGGCAGCCTTAAGAGCAAGATGAAACAACCTTGGATGTAAATGCGCCTGGCAGAGAAACTAGCCCCACTGTGACCCAGCTTGTCAGAGTGGATCCCCGTTGCGGAACGGATGTGCTGTGTTTGGGAGCTGACAGATTCCAGTCAAAATGGAAGGACCTAAATGAATTTAGATTCCACCTTTGACCTAGCCTGGATGCAGAGGCTCATGCCTGTAATCCCAGCACTTTGGGAGGCCGAGGCAGGCAGATCACTTGAGATCAGGAGTTCGAGACCAGCCTGGCCAACATGGCAAAACCCCACCTCTACTAAAAATATAAAAATTAGCTGGGCGTGGTGGCAGGCGCCTATAATCCCAGATTCTCGGGAAGCTGAGGCAAAAGAATCACTTGAACCCGGGAGGTGGAGGTTGCAGTGAGCCGAGATCGCACCACTGCAGTCCAGCCTGGGCGACAGAGTGAGACTCTGTTTCAAAAAAAAAAAAAAAATTCTACCTTTGACCTAAATCCAGTGTAGTAATAGCCAAGATAAGTAAGATAAGTACAAGCTCAAGAGTTAAGCTTCTGGAGAAAAGAGAACTGTATTTAACTTAACTTAGGTTGTAAGCCCCTCAGCAGAGGGGAGTGGATCACCTTTTTGATGAGAATACATGTTTTAAGATAAATATTAAAACCACTTCCAGCTGGTCATGGTGGCTCACACCTGTAATCCCAGCACTTTGGGAGGCTAAGGTGGGTGGATCACAAGGTCAGGAGTTCGAGACCAGCCTGGCCAAAATGGTGAAACCCCATCTCTACTAAAAATACAAACATCAGCCTGGCATGGTGGTGGGCGCCTGTAGTCCCGGCTACTTGGGAAGCTGAGGCAGGAAAATCGCTTGAACCCGGGATGCAGAAGTTGCAGTGAGCCAAGATCTGGCCACTGCACTCCAGCCTGGGTGACAGAGCGAGACTCTGTCTCAAACAACACAAAACAAAACAAAAAAAATATTTCCTAGTTTCCCAGTAGAAACAGGCACTGAGAGGTGAGTTTTGATCAGAATAGTGCTGCAAAATCCACTCATACTGCAAATATTTACTGAATGCTGGGCAGAGAGTTCACAAGAATTAACTACACATCATCTCATCCTTCAAGGTGATTATGGAATATTTAGAGGAAAAAGACAAATTTCTAAGAAAAGCTGAATAACAATAAAAGTTAAATAAGTAATGCAAGCAAGAAGACTATTTTTTTTTTTTTTTTGAGAGAAGTCTCACTCTTGTTCCCCAGGCTGGAGTTCAATGGCACAGTCTCGGCTCACTGCAACCTCCATCTCCCGGGTTCAAAAGATTCTCCTGCCTCAGCCTCCCAAGTAGCTGGGATTACAGGCGCCTGCCACCAGGTCCGGCTAATTTTTTTGTATTTTTGGTAGAGACGGGGTTTCACCATGTTGGCCAGGCTGGTCTCAAATTCCTGACCTCAGGAGATCCACCTGCCTTGGCCTCCCAAAGTGCTGGGATTACAGGCGTGAGCCACTGCACCTGACTCTTTTTTTTTTTTTTTTTGACAGGGTCTTGCTTTGTCACCCACTGGAGTGCAATGGTGCAATCTCAGGTCATTGCAACCTCTGCCTCCTGGACTCAAGCGATCCTCCCACCTCGGCCTCCAGAGAGCTGGGACCACAGGCACCGCCACCACATCCAGCTACTTTTTTTTTTTATTTTTAGTAGAGACAGGGATTTCACCATGTTGCCCGGGCTAGTCCCGAACTCCTAAGCTCAAGCGATTTGCCCACATCAGCCTCCCACAGTGCTGGGATTATAGGCGTGAGCCACTGCACCCTGCCAACTATTCCTTAAAGGCGTGACTCGCTGCCAAATGAGAGGTCTGAACCAGAAGTTCAGAGAAGGGAAAGAAGGTTGTGCCTCCAGGGTGGACTGATCCATAGGAGGCAGAGACCAAAAACGAGGCTCTCACTTGACGGACTGGACCAGCAAGATGGAGTGCATGGTGGAGGCGTGGGGGTGCATCTTGGTAGAAAAAAAGCCTTTGGGATTTGGGACTGGAGTTTCTGTTCTGTCATTTATTAGTGAGAGATCTCAGGCATTTTTAAAAAATCTTCTTTGCACCTCAGTTTCCTCATGGGTGAAAGGAATAATATTATCTACCCCACTGGGCTCCACATATCATTCAGACCACAAGCATCTGTGGAGTCTACTTATACTAAGCCCTTTTGATAAGCCCTGGAGTACAAGATGAAAAGAGAAGGGCCTGCCCTCAAGAGCTGCCAGAGAAGGAGGGGCAGTCACTGTTGGTCCCTCTCTTCATTTACCTTCCAGGGGTCTGTCTTTTTGTTTGTTTGTTTGTTTGTTTGTTTTGTTTTGTTTTTTGTGTGTGTGAGAGATGGAGTCTCACTCTGTCATCCAGGCTGGAGTGCAGTGGCACGATCTCGGCTCACTGCAAGCTTCGCCTCCTGGATTCAAGCAATTCTACTGCCTCAGCCTCCGGAGTAGCTGGGACTGGAACTACAGGCGCCCGCCACCAAGCCCGGCTAATTTTTTTTTTTTTTTTTTTTTTTTTTTTTTTTTTTGTATTTTTAGTAGAGACAGGGGTTTCACCGTGTTAGCCAGGATGGTCTCGATCTCCTGACCTCGTAATCTGCCCGCCTCGGCCTCCCAAAGTGCTGGGATTACAGACAGGCGTGAGCCACCGTGCCCGGCCCAGAGGTCTGTCATTTTAAAGCAGCAGTGGTCAGAACCATGAGCCACATACATGGAATGCAGGACATTGGTTCAGAAGTTTGAAGACAGAACAAGCTCTTCACCATCCACAACGGAAGGTTCCTGCCTTCCTGTCCCGCGTTCTGTGAGGAAATGCGTCTGTCCCTCTGGAGCTCCTGATTTTCAAGGCTTCTCCCCTGAGCTTTGATGAAGTCTGGGGGAGCCAGCGTCAAAGGCAGCACACTCTAGTCACCTGCGATCGTTACCCAAAGAGCCTGCTGTTGACCTCACGTCACTTCATTTTTTTAATTGCAAAAGACAACCACTAGGGGGCCTAGGAGCGAGACGCTGAGCTCCGATTCCATTTATCAGGCAAATAGCCTTTCCTTCTTGCTGAAAAACGCAGTCAAGGTCAACAAAACACACACCGTGGGCTGAGAACAATACCTTCTGCACCTTCTGCAAACGCTTAGTGAAGAACGCATCTCCCTTGAGGCTAAAAAATATTCTTAACTCAGACCATCCTCCACAGCCCATCAGGCTGGGCCAAGCGTTTCTTAGCCCTGATTCCATTTTTCAGTGTTTCCTTCTGATTAAAAGCCCTTTGGCACAGCAGGATTGTCTATAATAATGGTAAATGACTCACATGATGATGAGGCAATCTTTTCACATCCTGAGCTACAATCCGTCTTGTAAAGCCTTGCAACGGCCTCAATTACAGCCCTGGATTCTCAGCAGAGGCACAGAGTGGGGGTTTTTGCTTGATTCTCTCTCCCCTCTCAGTTTCCCACACCTTATGCAGAGGCTTGAATGTCTAATGTACTGTACATTAGACATTCCTATAGCATCCTATAGCATCCTATAGCAATCCTCATTAAAATCAATCACTCATTTGAAAAAAAAAAAAGCAAGCAAAGAAAAAGGAAGGAAGAAAGAAAGAAAAGAAAAGAAAAGATGGAGGAAAAAAGAAAGAAAAAAAATGATCAGGCCCCTAGGGGCCTCTGAGGTCACAGTAACTCAAGTCCCCATGACCAAAACTGGGTGGCAAAGCTTATTTTTCCTTAGCAGGAGTCTGCTTTTGCAAAGGTTCGTCTCTTACATTTTCTTTCAGACACTCACGCACACTCCAGCAACAATGGAAATGAACATAATTTCCCAAGCAGGTTGCCTAGAAACCACTCCTGTGTTTCTGAAACTAATTTAAACATGAAAATTCAGCTCCTGACTCATGCCAGGAATGCACGTCATAATTTTCTCAGTATTTTACTTTCTTTTTCTTTCACATTACAAAATAATGCATGCTTACTGCAGAAAAAAAGTGAAAAGAATATGAAAATACAAAGGTTCAGAAAATAAAGAATCTCCTGTAATCTCACTACCAGAGGCAACTTCTGTTGTCATTTGGGAATATTTTCTTCTAGGCTTTTTATTTTTCTATGCATTTTTAACATCATGGAGATTAACACAGATTTTACATCAAGATTAATAGTGAATTTAATTAGCATATTGTCAGTATTTCTCCATCTGGTGAAATTTTCAGAAACTTGATTTTTAAAAGACCGCATTATATTACAGTTCATTTTCCCAATATTAATCATTCTCTAAATGCTAGATGTTTAGGTTATTTCTAATTTTTCACCATTATAATGTCACAATGATCAACTTAATACAAAATAGTTATTATATCTTTATTTCTCCAGGATAACATCATAAAAGGAGTTTCAAAGAGGATAAACATTTCAAAACTTTTTAAATATTGAACAAATACATGTTTATGTTTTTTTTTATTAAACAGTACATTAAAAACAAATTTCCTTCTCCACTCTCTACAGGTAGCCCCTGTTTCTGTGAATACACAGCACATGTGTATGATTTGTCTATTTGACACTGTACATTGTTCTATCACTTGCTTTTTTGACTTATTGTATCTCAGACATCTTTCCATATCAATTCAAATTGATCCATTCTTTTTAGAATTTGCAGAATATTCCATTAGATGATGTATTATCACTTATTTGCCCTAGACAAAACCTCTTAATGCACTGGACACATATGCAGTGAGCTGGGGTCCCTAGCAATGGGTCTGAATCTATACTGTTCCATCCACACCACACCTTTACTGGAAGGGAACAGATGATGGCAAAGGTAACTGCCTTATCTGGCTGGAATTAGTGTTATATTCTAACCCAGAGGTCTCCAAACTTTTCTGATCTCTCCATTTACTGATTCAAATTTTGAGCATGCTCCCCTATTTATGTATTTTTTAAATTTATAGATTACATACATATATATGACTTTATAAAATAGAGTCACGTGCTACAAAACATTTCAGTCAACGCGAAGTGGCCACATATACTGTGATCCCATATACTGTGTAACCATTGTGTTATAACTGCCTACAATATTCAGTAAGATCACATACTGTACAAGTTGATAGCCTAGGAGCAAAGGCTATACCATTTAGGTTTGCGTAAGTACACTTTATGATGTCCACATGATGATGAAATCACCTAACAATGCATTTCTCACAAAATGTCCACATCGTTAAGTGACATGACTAAATTATTGTTCATCTCACAGGACAGACACCAAAAAGGATATCTTAGTGAATATCCATTTTGAATTAAAGATGAAATAAATATATTAAATTATTTATTTATATAATAACAATTGTATACAATATAATAAAAGAATTTTGCTCTTTTTGACAAGCACAATGTGACTGAATATGCTTCATTATATTTTAAAATATTGGTTTAACATCTTGTATTACAGTTACTCTGAGGTCTGATTTTAAATTCAGCATATTTTAATTGTCAATGTAAGGTTGTCGTCGCAGGAAGAGACTCCTCACAAATATACATAGATCTAAACAAAGAAGAGTATTGTTCACCAATCTTACAATCTCACCAACCAAAAATGCAGTATTTTGGAAATTCACCTTCACTTACAGTATTCAGTTTATCTTTGATTTGTGGTTACTTTGTAGAAATCTTTTAAAGCTAAGTATCCATTTTATGCACTTTAGTTTAATTAAAATTAAATAATATGTTCCCTGAATCCACTTACCCAGGCCCATATCCAAAAGCGGACTCTCAATCTCCCACTTCAAATCTGCATTTCCCTCCACTTCATCCCAGTTACTGACAACTCCAGGCTCCAGTTGCTCGGGCCAGAAAACTTGGGGCTCTCCATTGCCCCTTCCCTTTCTCTCAACTCCACATGGAATTAATCAAAAAATCCTAATAGCTGTACCTTCAAGACATATCCAGAACCCAAATGCCCCGTGTCCCTTTTCCTATCACTGTCCTGGTCTAAGCCACCATCTTCTCTCGCCTGAAATACCGAAATGACAGCCTGACCATGTGGCCGGTTCCTGCCCTTCCCCTCCATGGTCTGTGCATCACAGCAGCATGTGTGTGTCCTTTAAGAGTTGTATTCTTTTTAATTATTTTTTATTAGGAAAAGATTTAAACTTACAGAAAGTTACAAGAATAAAAATACTACAAAAAATAGCCTGTTCCCTTACACCATAGCCACCTATAGTTAGCATTTTGCATGTCTTTTATCTACCTACCCAGCTCTCTCTCTCTGTCTCCTCTCTAAATACTAATATTTCACGGCCCTTTACTCCTAAACATTTCAGTGTGTATTTCTTAAGAATATTCTCTTCCATAACCATAGTTCAGTTACAAACCTCAGTAAATGTAACATTGATAAGGCCGGGTGTAGTGGCTCATGCCTGTACTCCCAGCACTTTGGGAGGCCAAGGCGGGTGGATCACTTGAGGTCAGGAGTTCAAGACCAGCCTGGCTAGCAGGGTGAAATCCCCTCTCTTTTAAAAATACAAAAATTAGCTGGGCGTGGTGGCACATGCCTATAATCCTAGCTACTCGGGAGGCTGAGGCAAGAGAATCGCTTGAATCCAGGAGGTGGAGGTTGGAGTGAGCGGTGATCGTGCCACTGCACTCCAGCCTAGGCAACAGAGAGAGACTCTATATTTAAAAAAAAAAAAAAATTGATATAGTAGTTTTATCTAGCCTACCATCTGTTTTCTCATTTTCTGGTTGACCCAATGATGTCTTATATATCATTTTTTCCCTTTTAGTATAGAATACAGTCTAAGATCAGGGTTACATACCGTATTTAGCTGCCGCAACTGTTGTCTACTTTAATTTGGAAGATTTTACACTGCCTTTCTTTGTCTTTTACAATACTATCATTTTTGGAGAATACTAGTCCCCTCTTTTCTATTTTTAAATAGAATTTTCTCATTTGGGGTTTTTTGATGTTTCCCATCATTAAATTCAGGTTATGCATTCCTGGACAGCACATTAAATAGGTGATACTGTGTCCTTTTTGGAGCATCACATCTGGAAGCACACAAGGTCCATCTGCCCCTTACTGGTGACATAAATTTTGATCACCCAATCAACGTGTTGTTTGACTTCTCCACTGTAGAATTACTATTTTTTCTCTTGTAACCAATAAGCAATCTGTGAATAGGTACTTTAAAAATCATGCAAATATCCTGCTCCTCATCAGAATTTCCACTTAAATTTAGCAACTATTAATGATCCTTGCCTGAGCCAGCTTTCACTTGGATGGTGGCAAATGATGATTTTCTAACTCCAGCTCACCCTGCACATTTACCAGTTAGCACTTTGCAGGATTCTACTGTAAGCAAGATCCCCCCACCTCCTCCTTATCTACTTATTATCAGTATGCACATGTAGATTTCCATTTTTCTTCCCCTGCCCCTTTTTTTTTGAGACAGAGTCTCCCTCTGTCACCTAGGCTGGAGTGCAGTGGCACAATCACAGCTCACTGCAGCCTCGACCTCCCAGGCTCAAGTGATCCTCCCACCTCAGCCCCCCAAGTAGCTGGGACTACAAGCATGAGCCACAACACCTGGCTAATTTCTTAAATTTTTTGTAGAGATGGGGTCTAGTGATATAGCCTAGGCTGGGGATTCCTATTTTTCAATAGTTCACATCCCATTGCTGTCCTTAATTACTTTGGTGCTCAAATTGTGTCCGATTTGCCCAGGGGTAGCCCCTTCACACTGGCTCCTGTGTCCTTGCTTTAAAATCAGATCACGTAACTTTCTGGATCCCTTCTCCTTTGATTCAGGCTTGGTCTGCCTGAAGCTGAAAGTCATCCTAGGAAGAGGGAAGATGGTACCCCAGATGCTGCAACCAG
Source organism: Homo sapiens (assembly GCF_000001405.40). NCBI lineage: Eukaryota > Metazoa > Chordata > Mammalia > Primates > Hominidae > Homo > Homo sapiens. The sequence goes on along the minus strand of NC_000004.12, from coordinate 40,312,424 downwards.
GAGTACCTGTCCTCCTCGTCACAAGGCCAGTCTCCAGGGAGTCTCTGTCAAAACAAGAGCAAGGCTCAGCTTGGGATGGAGACGTGCCACCCAGTGCCCCATTTCCTAGTTGGATGTTTGATTTGTCCTCTTCCTGCCACCACCCTGCTCAGCCACTCTATCACACAGAACTAGAAAAGTCACATCTTGTAGCCATGGTGACCAACTAGCACACAGGTTCGCTCTCTGGCCGCAAGAAGCAGACAAAGTAGCTTTTCTGTTTGCAGTTTAGCTCTTTATTAAGGCCCAGATGCTAGGGTTTGCTGGCTATCTGTAAGGAATTGAGCAATTGCAGGTTATGTTTTTCTTTCTTGGGTGTGGTTGGGGGGTGTTCTTTCAAACATAGCGTGTCTTAGCAACTGAAAGGAATTGTAAGAGGGCTCCTTTGGTCTGTGGCTAATCCAGGTGCCTTTGGGATCCCCATTTCCTCGAGATTAGTGTGCTCACAGCTGATACCCTCTTTATCAACTGGCTCCATATGCTTCCTGTCCCCGCAGTTTGAGACGGGCGAAGGCAGCCGCTACTGCTCGGTATAAACAGAGACTTCACAACTGTGAGGGTCTTTGTCGGTTCCTTCAGACCTTCTGCTTCCAAAGCTCAATAGGAACATAAAGTGGATCTCCCAGCCAAAGACTTCACTTCTAGCCAAAAGGAAGGAGTTTTGCAAGGTTAAAAGGATAACTGGGGGCCAGAAATTGGTTATCTATATTCCTTTTTTTTTTTTTTTTTTTTGAGATGGAGTTTCACTCTTGTTGCCCAGGCTGGAGTGAAGTGGTGCAATCTCAGCTCACTGCAACCTCCAGATTTAAGCAATTCTCCTGCCTCAGCCTCCCGAGTAGCTGGGACTACAGGTGCCCGCCACCACACCCTCCTAATTTTTTTGTATTTTTAGTAGAGATGGGGTTTCACCGTGTTAGCCAGGATGGTCTCTATCTCCTGACCTTGTAATCCACCCCCGCCCGGCCTCCCAAAGTGCTGGGATTACAGGCATGAGCCACCTCGCCCAGCCAGTTATGTGTATTCTTAATTATTCACAACATTAAATGTTCACGATTGAAAGGAAGAAAAAATACATTCATTGTCTATTTAACTGCCTGATGCCATGACAAGTATATATAGTCATCATTGTAGAGCAGGAAGTAACCTCATCTGAGAGAAACTGAGCTCTGGAATGTTAGGTAACTCTCTCAAGGCCATGATAGTGGCGAGAGGCAGAGCCAGACTACAATCTCCGCGTCCCGGCCGAGGCTTAGAGTATTAGCCGTTGTTCCAGCAGCATTTCCTCGATGACAGGAGGGAAATGCTAGAGCTTCTTTTTAGTTCTGGGATCTGATCCTTCTTGGGTCTGAACATCTTTCACAACGCCAGCCATCGGCTTATAGAGGAGATTGCTGATTGTCTCCAAAATCCATTCTCTAATTCTTCAGTAATAAAATGTCAAATGTTACCAAGGCCCATGGTTGCTCTGCCTCATTCCCCAGTATACCTGACAGTGAACTCATGTCTGAGGACTGGTCAGCAGGATGTAAGGGAGAGTGGTGAGCACTTCTCTTTCTTTTCTTTTTTCTTTTTTTTTCTTTTTGAGACAGAGTCTCGCTTTGTTGCTGGGGACTGGGGTGCAGTGGTGCCATCTCAGCTCACTGCAACCTCCGTCTTCCAGGTTCAAGTGATTCTCCTGCCTCAGCCTCCTGAGTAGCTGGGACTGCAGGTATGTGTTACCATGCCTGGCTAATTTTTGTATTTTTAGTACAGATGGGGTTTCACTGTGTTGTCCAGGCTGGTCTCGAACTCCTGACCTCTGGTGATCCTCTCACTTTGGCCTCCGAAAGTGCTGAGATTACAGGCATGTGCCACCGCACCTGGCCAGTGAGCACTTTAAAGAACTAGAATGTACCCTTCTCTGTTCCTTTCCTCCTGACCAGTGACTGAAACGCTGAACCAAGCTTGGAGCTGGAGCAGCCATTTTGGGCCACGAGGTAGAAGCCATGTGTTGAAGAGAATGGAACAAGATGGAAGAAACCTGGTGATCAGGGAGCCGCCATAACAGTCTTGGGTTGTCTCTGTTTACATGAGAGGTAAATAAATTATTATTATTATTATTATTATTTTGAGATGCAGTATCGCTCTGTCACCCAGGCTGGAGTGCAGTGGCACGATCTCAGCTCACTACAACCTCCACCTAAGCAATTCGCTTGCCTCAGCCTCCCGAGTAGCTGGGACTATGGGTACCTGCCACCAGGCCTGGCTAATTTTTGTATTTTTGGTAGAGATGGGCTTTCACCATGTTGACTAGGCTGGTCTCGAACTCCTGGCCTCAAGTGATCCACCCACCTCGGCCTCCCAATGTGCTGGGATTGCAGGCATGAGCCATCACACCCAGCCTTTATTATATCCAGTGATTTAACAAAAACCACTTATATTTGGGGTTCTCAGTTATAAGTATTATGTTCGAACACAGAAAGTGAAACTATTTGAAAGTTTCTTGTAGAATTGGCTGGGAAGAAAGGCAATTCATTCCCTTTGAAGGATTTCATTCCCGGGATGTGGCTGCCTGCTTAAAGAGCAGGTTCCATTCTGTAGAGGAAGCTTGGGAGACAAGGAAAGACCCTCATTTCAAAAATATAGCCACTTCACTTCCTGCTGACTTGAGTTTTTGTTTTGTTAAACTGGTTTCTCTTTTAAAACAAATGTCCCCTCAGTAAACTAAGCTCATTTGTTGTTCACACCTGAGAACCAGAGCATCCTCTGCTGATTAGTAAGGAGTTTGGGGGAAGGGGAGTTGCGACTAGGCTGCAGGAGGAAGTGACACTTGGGGGAGGATAGGCCAAGGTGGTGGGATTGATGGGACTCGGAAAGTCCCTGAAAGCAGGGAAACAAAGAAGTGGGAGAAGGGCCAGACAGGGTCGCGCTCACGCTCTAAATCGCACTGGCTCGGCTTTGACTTGCTCTCAAGACACTGGGAACAGCGCGTGAACACCAGAGGGCAGCAGCGCAAGATGAAATTAACAGGGACTCTTCACAGGGCCCCTGGCTTCAGGTCTCAGGGAGAGCCAGCCTTCCCATCCAACCTGGATCTGCCTGGTTTCCTTTGTCCAAAGTCAACCAGGGTGGAAGACTTCAACCAAAGTGGGCAGGGCCCACTTTCATACACATTCCTTCAGGGATTCCTGGTGATGGTCGTTCCCCCTCTCTAGTCCACTGATGCCATCTCTATCACACATTTAACATTGTATTAAAATAGTCTTTAATGTGGGTTATATATGCTTCTTACCTAGCCACACCCTAAGCAATCAGACCTGTGAAATGATGATTTTGGTGTGCTGGTGTGTGTATGTTATAATTATTACATTAGAATATCTATATCACCAGAAAATCATCTATCACCTATAGGATGTATATCACACTTGGAAAAATGTTGCATTACTTCATTAAATTCCCCCCAATGACCCAATGAAGAAAGTGATATTATTCTCCCCATTTTCTAGATGAGGAAACTGAGGCTCAGAGAGGTTAAATATCTTCCTCAAGAATTTTCGCCAGAGCTGGGATTTGAACCAAGGTCTGCTTGACTTAGAAGGCAGTGGTCCTTGCTTTCTCCCGAGGAGAAGGGAGCAGAGATACCTAAAGATGCCTGACTCCCAATCCCATGGGAACATGCCCCCTGCGGGCTCACTTCCTCTCCTCTTTGTCTTCAATTTCTAAGAATGTCTTCTTTTCACTAAAACAAAACACTCCAGAATGCATTCTGCATGAATAAAGACTGCCAACTCCATGGCAGAAATAACATACCTTTTGGGAATGTTTATCACTTCTAAAATGATGATAAAGAAATTCAACAGTTTGTATTTCTGGACGAACTAGGGGAGAAGAGGAAATAAAGTATCTACAGAGTATCACAACACACCTACAGGAAGCTGAGCAAAGTAGACTAATCACACTGGGCCCGGAGGACGGCTGGTAACAGAAACCTCAACGTTTATCTGAAGTGACTGCTCATCCCCGGGCACCACGGTGACAGGTGTGATAGAAAGATAAAACCCTAGACTCTGCTGCTCACCTGCCGTTGGGCCTTGGTCAAGCCACTTCTCTCTGAGCTTCAACTGCCCCATCTGTAAGAGGATAACAATTCCGGCCTCAGGGGGTCATCATAGCAACAAATGAGGAACCTGTAAATTAGTGCGAAAACACCCCACTTACTACTACTGTTTTTAAATGATTGTGAGAGTAAAAAGGGCCTTCGTGTTCAGAACCCAATCAGCTTAGAGTGAATTGTAGCACTTGGCAAATACTGCCTTTTCTGCTTGGAAACTTCACTTAAAAAGAAAAAAAAAATGAGGTCAAAGAGCGATTCCTAAAGCAAAAGAAAATTGCTAAACTTTAGACTATTCCTGACCCCAAAGTCCTCCTTCAGACCATGTTTCCCCTTTTTCACTCATATCTAGCCCAACATGCATAAATCCTTGCTTCTACCAGAGGGCCACACAGAGGAATGGACAGACAGGAAGAGTCTTTGCCCAATTAGTTTCACTTCCTCCCTGGCACCCCATGGTCACAGCCCTGGAGAATTGTTTTCTGCGGCGCTGAGGGCTACATTTTCGTTTTAACCAGCGCAAGGTAGGCAAGAGACTTAAGTCAGAGAGCTTGATGATGTAATGAATTTGCCAGCTGCCAACGACACTAGGACCTCATCACATTTCTTTGTTTTCCTTTCTAACCCCAAATCTAGCAGGCATCCCTGTTCTCATTAACAAAGCCTCCTATTAGCACCATTGCTCCCTAACTACCATCGGACCTCACAGGGAGAAGTTCTGTATCGAGAACAGTAGAGCAAAAAGACAGGAGGAAAGCAAGTCCCCAACATCATGCAGCCCACATACTAGCTCTGGATGGCTTACGTACGATGAAATCTCCAAGATGCCTTCCAAAAACCAGATGACCCTGTCCTTTCTGGAACTACCGCCGTCCCTTGTAACTCTGTAAGCTTCATTTCCAACCTCATCCTGCTCTAACTCGAGCACAAACATAAGTCTGTAGAACCACAGTGGCCTTGGGGGCATCATTCTCTTTGCCTTGTCAACATTTCTATTTTATATCCCTCCCTGCTCCTGTCTAGAGGTTGGTACTCAGTCTCCTGAGACTCATCTTATAGATAGAGCTTGATGGACCACGGGGAGAGGGCATCACTCCTGCTACAGTCTGAATGCACACACCTGGGGCCCAGCTGCCCAACCTTCCACCGCTGAAGTTCAAACAGTTGCATCTTAGACAACTCCTCCACTTCTAATCAGCCCAGCATAGAGGGAGTTTGGAGGTGTCAGACACCCATCAATGGCTGAGAGAGAAAGAAATATAGTGAAAGACCTGTTAGCAGTTCTGTTGTGCCCAACAGAACTCTCATTTGTCTTATGTCTAAAAAGCTGGCCATTGACTTTCAACAGGATTTCACTGATGCTATTAGAAAATATTTTACCACTAAATGAAAATAAAGATAAACTGCCTTTCTGAAGATGCAAAAGGTAAGAGATAATACATAAAAATGCAAGTTGATCAAATTTCACTTGATGTTTGATGACCCTCAGTGTCCCAGAACATTGCTTTGGGAATTATTTTCTCCTTTGATCTTGCAGAACAGTGTGAATGGACATAGAGGCCATTTGTATAAAAGAGGAACCTAAGGACGTAGGGGAAAACAAAAGAATCTGTCAGGGATGGGAAAAGCACACCCATTTAAATATGCAGAAACCTTAATGCCAGTGTCTGGCTAGCTATTAAGCAGTAATTCCTTCTCTATCCCTTATCATATCTACCAGTTACTCTGCAAGATTCTTCAGTGTAAAGAGCACTGTAAAATGTATTTTTCAGATTTATCTCGTCTTTTTGCCAGATCAGCCCACCCCATGCATATCTGCCAGCTGCCTCTTACACAATCCCTCAGAGCCCACGGAGCTGCACTGTGGGCCCTCAGATGATCTGATGCAGGTATAGAACCCCTCCCCCACATTCTTTTCTTGCTAGCTTGCCTCCATTACAAACCATCTTCCTCACTCAGATATTTTCAATCCTGGTAGTTTTTGCTTGTTTGTTTGAGACAGGGTTTCACGCTGTCACCCAGGCTGGAGTGCAGTGGTGCAATCATAGCTCACTGCAGCCTTGACCTCCTGGGCTCAAGTGATTCTCCTTCCTCAGCCTCCCAAAGTGCTGGGTTTACAGGCGTGAGCCACTGCACCTGACTTCCCCAGCAGTTTTGACCGTGATCTCATTTGCCTCTTTCTCCTGATTAGGCCAGCATTAGAGCATCCAAGAGGCTGCATAATATGGAATAAACATAGGTCATTAGATTTAAATCAAAATTCTGGCTTTTTACTTCCTAGCGATGCAAGCTTTGTTGAGTTCCTTAACTTTTCTTAGCACTTCTGCTTTTTAAAAAAAGTTGCTATAATACTAAATCGTAGGATTTTTGAGATAACTAAATGAGAAAATGTGCATAAGACTTGCAGCACCTTAAGTGCTCAGTAAATAGCAACTCTTTTTTTCCCGCTTCTATTTCCCAAAATAGTCCTGGCTGGGAAGACTCATTGTCACAGGCTACACTAAATAGTTTGGTATTATTATTACTCAGATTTCATTCAATACTTTCATTCATCATTCTAAGGAACACAATAACATGTCATTTTTGGCATCTGCCTCTGGGGAAGTAATAGCGTCATTTTTTCATAGATCATTTTCATAACTGGCCCTTTGCCCTCACATAATACCACAGGGTGGGCTCAGACCGAAACTGTCAAGATCCTCAATGGTTTCGCACTTAGCACCAGCCTCCGTTGGTCCCTTGGAAACCGGAACAGTACCAACCAAGAAGTTTCTACTTCGCTTCTACTCAGATGGCACTGCCGAGAAAAGGTGGGAGGGCTGCCTGCTCAAGTGTGGCCTTTAAAGACAAAGTGGAGAAGAAAAAGAGGTGAGAATGTGGTGCAGTAGTCTGTGAACCTGAGATATGCAGCGGTGGGAAATAGCGGCCCCTAAGGAGCCATTTGTATAAACCAGTTCACAGCTACATGCAATGTGCCACCTGCAAACAGAGCCTCTGAGACATAGAAAGGGTTTTCCAATATTGCTTTTACCATAGAAAGGATTATGGCTCATCTTGGTTCTCGGTGAAATTTGGTTTGATGCTGCCTGCACAGTTCCAGAGTTTCTTGGTCTAAGCCAGGGGCCACAGGCCCCCTTACAAACAAGATGTTTTCTTTAAGATATAACTGAGGCTGCTGTAAAAATGAGAGATAAAAACAGAACTTTGTTTTTCTTAGGTAAGAGTGTGAGCATAAGCCTTCCAGAGCTGCCATGTGATTCCATGATGTTGGGGATGTAGTTTCTTCCTGTCTTTTTGCTCTAGTATGCTCCATACACAGCTTCCATCTTGTGATAGCACATGGCTGCCCCAGCTGCCACTATCCCATCCACACTCCAACAGGCAGGAAGAAGAACTAGAGCAAGAGAAGACATCCTGCTTTCCATTAAAGGCAGTCTGGAAATTCCAAGCATCAATTCCACAATCATCTCCTTGGCCAGAACTTAGTAACTGGCCCACACCTAGCTGCAAGGGAAGCTGGAATTGTAATCCTAGGGGGACCATCATGAGTCCATCTGGAACATTACTATGGAAGAACAGAATGCAATATTGGGGAACAGCTAGCACTCTGCACAAAGGACTAGACAGGAATATAAACCAGTGATTCTTGCCAGGTGTAAGGACATATGTGTATCTTTTGTGGGCAGTGGAGCACAGAGCAAACAGGGAGAGCCCCATTTTAAGCAGCAGCCCCTTTCACCTTAGATGATGTGGTCATGCAGAAATTCAGGCTCCATGTTCAACTCTGCTGTTTTCAAAAGAAGCCAGGAATCAACATTTTAAAAAATAATGAAATCTTGGCCAGGCACGGTGGCTCATGCTGTAATCCCAGCACTTTGGGAGGCCAAGGCAGGTGGATCACCTGAGGTCAGGAGTTCGAGACCAGTTTGGCCAACACGGAGAAATCCCATCTCCACTAAAAAAAAAAAAAAAAAAAATACAAAAAATTAGCCAGGTGCATTGGCTTACACCAGTAGTCCCAACTACTCGGGAGGCTGAGGCAGGAGGATTGCTTGAACCTGGGAGGCAGAGGTTGCAATGAGCTGAGATGGCACCACTGCACTCCAGCCTGGGCAACAGAGCGAGACTCCTTCTCAAAAAAAATAAAATAAAATAAAATATAAAATAAAAATATAAAATCTTTCCATTTTAGAATGTTGGTTCAATTTTTTTTTTAGATTCTGTGTGGGCCCAACAGATCTGTGGACTGGATATGGCCCAGTAGCTGCCATTTGGGGCTCTATATTGATTCGATTTGCATGAAAATGTCCATTGTGCTTAACTCTGCCTAAAATGCAAAATTTTGGGAATCCAAAATTAGAGTTAAAAGGCAAATAGGCTTAGTAAAGAGCTGTTACCAAGACAAAGCCTTCAAAGTACTTAATTTGTTTGGCTTGTTAGTCGGGCACTGAAACACAAGAAAATCACAAATTGGTTTTGAATGGGTCACAATGTCCAAGTAGTTACTTAACCAGGAAAATGAACTGGAAGAAACTCTCAAGTTCAATTTTTCAACATGTTTCATGTGTGAGATGGAAATGATATGCATGGCAGCCATGCTAATGCCGCTGGATCTCCTGCTGTGGGGAGCGTGATTGATGGTCACCCCGAAGCTGCCTTTCTGGATCCAACACCATGGCTACAGGGAGGCTGCACTTCCTGCCAGCTGCTCCAACCAATGACTGAGCACAGAAGAGGGACAATTCCAATAGTCCACTTTGGCTCCAGGATTCTTTACCAGCCTGGCCAAACCTTTCTTGTAAACTGACTGCAGTCTCAGGCTCCTCCAACCCAATCCTCCTTCCTTCTCTCCTTCCATTTATTTATTTATTTATTTATTTATTTATTTATTTATTTTGATACAAAGTCTTGCTCTGTTGCCCAGGATGGAGTGCAGTGGTGCAATCTCAGCTCACTGCAACCTCCACCTTCCGGGTTCAAGCGATCCTCCTGCCTCAGCCTCCTGAGGAGCTGGTATTACAGGCACCCGCCACCACACCTGGCTAATTTTTGTATTTTTAGTAGAGACAGGGTTTTGCCATGTTGGCCAGGCTGGTCTTGAACTCCTGACCTCAGGTGATCCATCCTCCTCAGCCTCCCAAAGTGCTGAGATTACAGACATGAGCCACCACGCCCGGCCTCCTTCTCTCCTTCCTGGTACAGATGTCAGAACTCCTCTCCCCACTTTCTCTGGCCTCCTCCTTTATCCTTCACAGGTGTGTCCCTCATAAATCTCTTGCACCTCTAATACCATCTTGGCATCTGCTTCTCAGCAGACTCCCAACTAGCACATGATGCTAAAGACAGCAGCAGCGCGTCTAGGGGCTAACTCTGTGCACAGTTCTGAGAATAGAACTAGAGTCTCTGGCAAGAATAATAATCATGGCTAACTTTATAGAGCACATACTGTGTTCTAGTACCATGTATTTCAGCCCTGCATGAGTTGTCTTCACAAAAGTCCTCAGGTAGGTGATGAATTTCTGGTCTCCTGATTTTACAGATGTGGAACTAGGTTAAATAACTTGCTCATCTTCCCACAGGTGGTAGGCAGTGATTCAAACCCAAGTTAATATGGCTCCCCAGCCACTCATACATCAAATATCCATGTACTCCCTTCCCAGTTTTTACTATCTTCAACTATCACCACACTCTATCCTCATGACTTTTATTATTTATGAATAGCACTCATACAATTATTTACTTCCTATTTTTCTTTAAATTAATTGATTTTGAAAACTAGAACATGTTTATTTTAAAAGGAAACACAGTAGCCCTAAGGTAAATGGTAGACTGCTATCCCTTGCCATACATTTAAGGTAATCCTAAAGATAATTATCACAAAGAGAGAGCAATATTGTCAAATTTTATTTAGACAATATTATAACATTTAACTAGACACTATATCTAACTAAAGACTAATTCCAAGGTCTGCACTCACTTTGGTTTTGTTATGTATAAAGGGAGAGAAGTAGATGTTAGGTGTTAAAGATAGCTTCAAACGAAGACTTTTTCTTGACAAAACCAGAAAGATTGAAAACATTTGAAAAGGGACTAACTTTCTCAGTGTGTGACTCAATGCTCTTGATCCTTTGTATCCCTAAAATCCTCTTGTCGGGGTACAATTTGGGAACTAACGACTGATATGAATATGGAGAATGCTCATTTGAATAAGGAAAAATTGTATAGAATTGTCCCAAAAGAAAATAAAATCAATTTCATTACTCTCCAACCTCAACTGGTTCTCCATAACACAACTGTGCACCCTGGTTTATCTAGAGGGTGCAATCTTTTTAAAAGTAAAACAAACCGGAGCCTGCAGCACAAGTGAACCCTGCCTTTTTGGCAGGTGTATCCGGTAGAGAAACAAAACACCGCTCTGTGGTTAGGCTACTGGTGCTCTGGAGTTCAGCACATTCACAAATCAGCCTGTCTGGGAGGGGGCTCAACCACACACATAGACCCAGGGCCTTTGTAAAAATATCTCCCAGCCTCTTTGGGTTCGGAAGACAGTGCTGATCCGGAGCTGAGCAACAGCGACAGGCAAGTGTGGGCCACCCCACCTGCCTGGCTGTGCACTGGGCCCTTTCCAGCCCCAGCCATCATGTTACTTATATAGACAACAGATAAAATCCTACTGCACCGATTGCAGAGCTTGGCTGCAGTATAGACACATTTCAAGAAGTCATACCCCACTGTCCAGGGTTTAACCCCAAAAGACAAGACCAATATCTAGTCACTCTGTGAATTAGACAGTGTTTTGAGTCCCATAAGAAGGTGGAGAGGGTTTCTCACCAACCCTCCTTTCTGCCTCTGTGTTCCTCAGTCAGTTTCCATGATGTATCATTTGTATTTGGATTGCTGAGTGGTCGGCAGATTTAATTGGCTCTGGAAGTAGAGAAAGGACTGGGATGCCACGTGGAGAAGTGTTTCCTCTGTTCATCCACAAGAAGTCCCAGTCTAGGCCAGGCGCGGTGGCACATGCCTGTAATCCCAGCTCTTTGGGAGGCTGAGATTAGGACTTCGAGACCAGCCTGGCCGACATTGTGAAACCCCATCTCTACTCAAAATAAATAAACAAATTAGCCAGGAGTGGTGGCAGGCACCTATAATCCCAACTGCTTGGGAGGCTGAGGCAGGATAATTGCTTGAACCCAGGAGGCAGAGGTCGCAGTGAGTCAAGATCGTGCCACTGCACTCCAGCCTAGGCAACAGAGTGAGACTTGGTCTCAAAAAAAAAAAAAAAAGGTCCCAGTCTTGTGCCCATTTTGCAGATGGGAACTCAGAGGCTGAAATGAGTCACTGAATGCTGAGGTCTGACAGCAGGTCTCTGGCAGTTCCTTATGCTGTATTTCCTTAGACCTCTGGATTTCTGGCATATTATTCTTTTGAGTAAATCACTACCCCCACCTGACATAAATCGTAAAGAAGGAGAAATAATTAATACTTGCCAAATACTAAATACCTTAAATAGCTCCCATTTAATGCTAAAACCCCATGAGGTTGAGATATATATATGTTTATCGTCTCCCCTCTACCAAAGAGGAAATTGAAATACAAAGAGGTTGTCGAAGATTGCCCAAAGCGAGGAATCAAGCCCAAGTAGTCTGACCTCAGTGTTCAAACTCAAAATCACTATGCTGCCGTCTGAGGCAAATATACCTGCATTCAAATCCAGGCTCTATCTACTAGTAGAGATGTGTGTCTTGAGCAAATCCCTTGACCATTCTGGCCAGATGGTCACTTTACATATGTCCATCTTCTCATATGTAAAAATGGATAAAAATATTCCTTACCACTTACGGCTGGTAAGAAGAGAAGTTAAATGAGGTAATGCAGGTACCATGCTTTGCATGGTGTCCCGCTTGCAGGAAGAGCTCAATAAATGGTAAGTATTATTAGCAACATCATCATATCCCAAAGGATCAGCCACCTCTCTGTGGCTGATCTGGGCAGGGGAAGCCCACAAGACAGAGAAAAACTCATCCTCCTCAAGTGGTCTTTCCCCTTCAAAGCTGCATGCCCCACGCATGTGCAGGGGGCCCTACAAAACACTTTCAGAGCCATCAAGGATGTTTGGAGACAGTGACAAAATCCAGGAGATAGATGGCATCATAGACCTCTGAGAACCAGTCAGTGTGCTGAAGATCTACATGTGCCCCAGGACATTTCAGAGAATGAGTTCACTGTGAGCAGTGAACTGAGGAATGCCCACTCCTTGATGAGAACCATAAAGTTTGCAGAAATTCTACATATAATGGTTTTAAAACCGGTCTCAAAATTCTTTGACTCTGCCCACAATGAGAGGTGCGGTCCAATTCCCTTACCCTTGAATATGGGCTGGGCTTAGTGACACTGGGTGACTTCCAAAGTTACATTACAAAGGATATTTACCTTGGCTATCTCTCAGGATGCTTGCTTTTCAATTCTGCCTCCCATGGTAGGAGGAAACTCACGTGACAATGGAGAGGTTGGGTATAGGTGCTCTGGTCCTCAGTCCCAGGAGAAGTCCTAATGAACAAGCCAGACTTTGGGATGACCCCAGCCTCAGTCACGATCTGACTGCACCTCATGAGAGGCTCCAAGTGAGAACCACTTCCTGAACCCAATCAATAAGAAATAATTATTGTGTTTGCCTCTAAGTTTGGAGTCGTTTGTTATACTGCAATAAATACTTGGAACACTCATTTTTATTAATTTATTTTAAAATAGGCTGGGTGCAGTGGCTCATGCCTATAATCCCAACATGTTGGGAGGCCAAGGCAGGAGGATCGCTTGAGCCTAGGAGTTTGAGACCACCTGAACAACATAGAGAGAACCCCATCTCTAGAAAAAATTTTAAAAAAATTAGCTACGCGTGGTGGCACACACCTGTGGTCCCAGCTACTCCGGAGGCTGAAGCAGGAGGCTTGCTTTTGTCCAGAGACTTGAGGCTGCAGTAAGCCGTGATGGCAGCACTGTGCCCTAGCATGGGCAACAGAGCAAGACCCTTTCTCTTAATAAATTAAGTAAGTGAAATAAAAATAACTGTAATAAGAACTAGAAATAGGAGTCACTTTATGCTTTCTCCTGAGGAAAAAGTGGCGAGGTAGCCTTCCATTGGAATAAGCCTGAGAAGTATTCTTTAGCTCCCTAAGCCATCAAAACTAGGAAAGCTTTGTCATGGATTGACCCTTGAAGGCCTCTTTGAAGCAAGACTGGGGCCAATAGAGAAGCAGAGCCTGATCCCTAGGCAGGTGCAGCATGTCAGGCTGTAAATACTAACACAGAGGTTGTCAGCAAACCATCAGGCAACACCAAGCATTTTCCAGGAGTGTTAGCAAAGTTATTGGCCCTTGACACTTGTGGAAGTGAACATTGCAAGCCTCAGCAGCTCCAGATCACCAGGTGAGAGGTGATTGGATCATAGAGGTGGATTCCCCCATGCTGTTCTTGTGATAGTGAGTGAGTTCTCATGAGATCTGATGGTTTTATAAGGCAGTTTTCCCTGCTCTTGCTCACTCTCTCTTTCCTGCCACCCTGTAAAGAAAGTCTTTGCTTCCCCTTCCTCTTCCGCCATGATTGTAAGTTTCCTGAGGCCTCCCCAGCCATGTGGAACTGAGCCAATTAAACCTCTTTTCTTATAAACTACCCAGTCTTGAGCAGTTCTTTATAGCAGTATGAAAACAGACTAATACACATATATATACAGACAAACACACAGGCACACAGGGCTCTACTACCTTGCTAACTGTGACTTGAACAAATTATGTAAACTCTCTTTGTCTTGGTTTTTTCATGTCTAAAGTGGAGATAATAATACTTTCCTCATACAAGTGTTGATATGTAAATGAACTTCAAATACTAAGAGCAATCGAATAGAGCATGCTCAATGAATATAAATTATGACAATAATCCATACATATATGTACACACATAAAAAAGAGACTGAAGGCCAGGCACTGTGGCTCAAGCCTGTAATCCCAGCATTTTAGGAGGCCAAGGCAGGAGGATCACTTGAACCCAAAAGTTCGAGATCAGCTTGGGCAATATAACAAGATGCCATCTCTACAAAAAAAAAATTGTTTTTAATTAGCCAGGTGTGGTGGCGCATGCCTATAGTCACAGCTGCTCAGGAGGCTGAGGCAGGAGGATCACTTGAGCCCAGGAGGTTGAGGGTGCACTACAGCCTGGGTGACAAAGCAAGACCCTGTTTCAAAACAAACAACGAAAAAAGAGAGACTGAAAGAAATTACTCCAAAGAGTTACTGTGGTTATCTCTGGGACCTTTTTAACACTCTAAATTTAGTTTTTAACGTTCAATATTTTTTAAATTGACTTAATCAGTGGGATTTTTAGGTCTAGGAAAATAAAGATGGAGGATAAATTAACGCTCAGCCATGTGGTACAGATGCAAGATGTTGTAGAGGTTTGTTAGATGGAGATCAGTGAGGACTACAACAGTCAGGATAGGTTTCTTAGGGGTGGTGGTGCTCAAGATAGACATGGGAGGATAGCTGCCTTTTCCAAGGACTGGTTCCATTCACTTTTCTTCTCTCTTTCTCTTTGTCTCTCTCTCTCTCTTTGTCTCTCTCTCTCTCTCTCTCTCTCTCTCACACACACACACACACACACACACACACAGATGCATACATGGACATTCACACTGTTTTGATCTCCAACTACACCAGATGCTGAGGCAATAAAGAAACCATCCCTGTCTTGAGGAATTTCCTAATGTGCAAAGTACACACATAAACAAGCATCCTTTTAATTTAATACAGCAAGTATTTAGTATAGCACCAGCCACACATTAATGCTCAGCCACGTGGCTCAGTAGGAGCACAGGCACAGTATATTAGCCCACCCTGGCCTTCGGATTGGCTAATTCTTAGAAGTGGAATTTATTGAGAAATTTCTTAGTCATCTCTGGCTCCTATGGCAAAATAGCATAGACTGGGTGGCTTAAACAACAGCTTTTATTTCTCACAGTTCTGAAGGTTGGAAGTCTAAGATTATGGTGCCAGTAGACTCAGTATCTGGTGAAGGCTCACTTTCTGGCTTGCAAACAGCCACCTTCTTGCTGTACTCTCATACAGCAGGGGTGCCAGGGCAGCAGCCCAGGGATAGAGCTCTGGTGTCTCTTCCTCTTTTTAAAAGGGCACTAATCCCACCATGGGGCTTCATTTTCATGACCTAATTACTTCCCGAAGGCATCCCCCCTCTAATATTATCATGTTGTGATTAGGATTTCAAAGTATGAATTTTTTTTTTTTTTTTTTTTTTTTTTTTTGAGACAGAGTTTCACTCTTGTCGCCCAGGCTGGAGTGCAATGGCACAATCTTGGCTCACTGCAACCTCCGCCTCCTGGGTTCAAGCCATTCTCCTGCCTCAGCCTCCCAAGTAGCTGGGATTACAGGTGCATGCCACCACACCTGGTTAATTTCTGTATTTTTAGTAGAGACAGGTTTCACCATGTTGGCCAGTCTGGTCTCGAACTCCTGACCTCAGATGATCCACCTGCCTCGGCCTCCCAAAGTACTAGAATTACAGGCATGAGCCACCACACCTGGCCTTCAAAGCATGAATTTTAGGGGGGTATAAACATTCAGTCCACATCAAAGGATGAGTAATGACATGGTATATGCAGTAAACTATGAGCAGTTACCTACCAAAAGAGAACCCTTCAAATGTTTTCCCTCCCCACAGAATCCTTTCCACAAACAAAAAATTATATGCAAGAACCCAGTAGATAAAATTAGGTTGGCTGGCCTGCTGCCATGGACCACACCTGTAATCCCAGCACTTTGGGAGGCTCGAGGTGGGCAGATCACTTGAGGTTAGGCGTTCCAGACCAGCCTGGCCAACATGGTGAAACCCCATCTCTACTAAAAATACAAAATTAGCTAGGCATGATGGCAGGTGCCTGTAATCCCAGCTACTTGGGAGGCTGAGGCAGGAGAATTGCTTGAACCCATGAGGCAGAGGTTGCAGTGAGTTGAGATCACACCACTGCACTCCAGCCTGGGCAACAAGAGCAAAACTCACCTAAAAAAAAAAATGTATGCAGCTGTGGTTAATTTTGTCTGTCCACTTGGCTAGGCCATGGTACCCAGATATTTGGTCAAACAGCAGTTTGGATGTTGCTGTGAAGGTATTTTTTAGATAAGATTGACATTTAAATGTGTGGACTTTGAGTAAAGCAGATTACCCTCTGTAATGTGAGTGGGTCTCATTCGATCAGTTGAAGTCCTTAAGAGAAAAAAGACTGACTCCCTTGAGAAAGAGGGAATTCTGTCTGCGAACTGCCTTCAGACTTGCACTGAAACATTAACTCTTCCTGTGTTTCTAGCCTGCTCCCAAGCTTTGGATTTGCCAGACTCCCTAAAATGTGAGCCAATTCTTTAAAATTAATATGGATCAATTGATAGGTAGATGATAGAGAGATGGGAATAGATGACAGATGGAGATGGAGGTGGAGGTGGAGATGGAGACAGAGAGGGAGATAGAAATGGAGGTGGAGGTGGCGAGAGACGGAGATGGAGATGGAGGTGGAGATGGAGGCAGAGATGGAGATGGAGATGGAGTCAGAGATGGGGATGGAGATGGAAGCAGAGACGGAGATGGAGATGGAGGCAGAAATGGAGACGGAGATGGTGGTAGAGATGGAGATGGAGATGGAGGCAGAGATGGAGATGGAGATGGAGGTGGAGATGGAGGCAGAGATGGAGATGGAGGTGGAGATGGAGATGGAGGCGGAGATGGAGATGGAGGCAGAGATGGAGATGGAGATGGAGGCAGAGATGGAGGTGGAGCTGGAGGCAGAGATGGAGGTGGAGACGTAGGCAGAGATGGAGGTGGAGATGGAGGCAGAGATGGAGATGGAGATGGAAGCAGAGATGGAGATGGAGGCAGAAATGGAGATGGAGATGGAGGCAGAGATGGAGATGGAGGTGGAGATGGAAATGGAGGCAGAGATGGAGATGGAGGCACAGATGGAGATGGAGATGGAGGCAGAAATGGAGATGGAGATGGAGGCAGAGATGGAAATGGAGGCAGAGATGGAGATGGAGGCAGAGATGGAGATTGAGGCAGAGATGGAGATGGAGATGGAGGTAGAGATGGAGATGGAGATGGAGATGTAGGCAGAGATGGAGATGGAGATGGAGGCAGAGATGGAGATGTAGGCAGAGATGGAGATGGAGGCAGAGATGGAGATGGAGGTGGAGATGGAGATGGAGGCAGAGATGGAGATGGAGGCAGAGATGGAGATGGAGGTGGAGATGGAAATGGAGGCAGAGATGGAGATGGAGGCACAGATGGAGATGGAGATGGAGGCAGAAATGGAGATGGAGATGGAGGCAGAGATGGAGATGGAGATGGAGGCAGAGATGGAGATGAAGATGGAGGCAGAGATGGAGATGGAGATGGAGGTGGAGATGGAGGCAGAGATGGAGATGGAGATGGAGGTGGAGATGGAGGCAGAGATAGAGGTGGAGATGGAGGCACAGATGGAGATGGAGATAGAGGCAGAGATGGAGATGGAGGCAGAAATGGAGATGGAGATGGAGGCAGAGATGGAGATGGAGATGGAGGCAGAGATGGAGATGGAGATGGAGGCAGAGATGGAGATGGAGATTGAGGCAGAGATGTAGACGGAGGCAGAGATGGAGATGGAGGCAGAGATGGAAATGGAGATGGAGGTGGAGATGGAGACTGAGGTGGAGATGGAGGCAGAGATGGAAATGGAGATGGAGGCAGAGATGGAGATGGAGATAGAGGCAGAGATGGAAATGGAGATGGAAGTGGAGGTGGAGATGGAGATGGAGGTGGGGGTGGAGATAGAGAGGGAGATGGAAATGGAGGTGGAGGTGGAGATGGAGACAGATAGAGATGGAGATGGAGATGGAAATAGAGGTGGGGATAGAGATGGAGGTGGAGATGAAGATGGAGGCAGAGATGGAAATGGAGATGGAAGTGGAGATGGAGATGGAGATGGAGGCAGAGATGGAAGTGGAAGTGAAGATGGAGGTGAAGGTGGAGGGAGATAGAGATAGAGATGGAGATGGAGATGGAGATGGAGGTGGGGGTGGGGGTGGGAGTGGAAATGGAGAGGGAGAGGGATAGAGATAGAAATGGAGGTGGAGATGGAGATAGAGAGAGAGAGAGAGAGGTGGAGATAGAGGTGGAGATGGAGGTGGAGATGGAGATAGATCCTATTGGTTCTGTTTTTCTGGTGAGCTCTAATGCAGTGGCCTGCCCCATTGTCCAGTTAGCTGGGGATAGAGTAGAGGGAGGAATAAAGTGCTGATCTGTAATGGTTTACTAATTCAACCTCCTCACACTTCCTCCCCAAACAATGGGCTCAAAAGGTGGAGCAGGCCATGCTCTTAATTGGCAGTCCTCTGATAACATCACCATCCAGCATCACCACGCCCAGCTAATTTTTGTATTTTTAGTAGAGACAAGGTTTCACCATGTTGGCCAGGCTAGTCTTGAACTACTGACCTTAAGTGATCCACCTGCCTCTGCCTCCCAAAGTGCTGGGATTACAGGCGTGAGCCACTGTGCCGGCCAACCTTTAAATACATTCCAGTTATAATGCTTAACATTCAGAGATCTCTGTGCACTGGATTCAATCTCTATTCCTGGTCCCTCCTTTTACAATTGGTAGATTGATTACTGTGCCCCAGTGTTCACTGTGTCCCCCTAAGAAGATTGTGCATTCACATCCTTTGCCCTGTTACTTGCAGGCCCCACGTGGGAGAATTAGACATTCCTACTCCATTGACGTAGAGCTTGTCCACACAACTTGCTTTGCCCAATAAAATGTAATCAGACGTGACTTACACCGATCCTAGCATAAACTTTAAATGGTTGTGTGGCTTGACTGAACAAAGGGCAGGTGTCCTCTAGCAAGGTGGGGGAAAAGAGTGTAGAACTCATGAAGATTTTTCTACTTTTCTGGCAAAAAAAGTATCAGCTGCCCCCTCTGAAACTTTTTCTAGGAAGTCTAGATTGTACACTCTGCTGTAGTGTGAAATTATTTCATTTTAAGCAATAAACAGCCTGTGCTTCTTAAGAGCTTGTTAAATCACTTAAGATTTGGGATGTTTACATGACAGACCAATTGATTTCTGTGAATTTTAACTCATTGTTTTTGGGAAAAGTGTCTTAAAATAGTGTCTTGCTTTATTTTCACCATGTAGCCAGATACGAAAAATATCTTAACAGCTGGTGCCAGACTCCCAATTTGAGTGTGAAATATCTTTGTTTAGGACAATAGCTTTCTAGGTCATTTGGGATGGAAAGTGAGACCCTGAGATTTGAGAGAACCATTCTGTTTTGGAAATAAGTATGAATCGGGGGCAAGAAGCAGAGGGAGAGAGCTGAGATAAAATTAGAGTGGAAAGAGAAAATGAAGAGAAAGTACAAGATTAAGCAAACCCCGGAATCCAGTTGGTTGAAGCAAAGAGGGATTTTTGTGCCCCCGAAAACCCTCTCTTCCCTTCCTGCACAGTAAAAGCTTTCCAGCGGGGCACACCATGGCTCTGTGAAAGACTCCACTTCCCAGACTGCATTGCAGCCAGTGTGATCATGTGACTATGTTGCAACAATGGAATGAGAATGGAAGTGATGTCTACATCCTCTTCCTTAGAAAGGAAATCCTTGGCCTCCATTCCCTCCTTTTCTCCCCTTCTGATGGGCTGTTTGTGGATGTGATTTGACTCAGCTTTGACCATGCAGATGAGGACATAACCACTCCTAGGGGATGATGACACACCAGATAGAAGGAACAGTGGTTTGAGTGACTGTGGGCAGTAGACCTTCCCCTCACTTGGACTGTTAAGCTCTGGGCTGAGAGAGAGAGATAAAACCACTGTACGTTGCTGGGAATGGGAGGGGGATATTATTGTTTCAACATCTTAGCCTAAATCTCAACTAACACAATGGCAGAAATCACTATGGAGTTTTTGAAAAACAGAGATAAGGCCGGGCACAGTGGCTCAAGCCTGTAATCCCAGCACTTTGGGAGGCTGAGGCAGGGGGATCACAAGGTCAAGAGATCGAGACCATCTTGGCCAACATGGTGAAACCCCATCTCTACTAAAAATACAAAAATTAGCCAGGCGTGGTGGCGGGTGCCTGTAGTCCCAGCTACTCAGGAGGCTAAGGCAGGAGAATTGCTTGAACCTGGGAGGTGGAGTTTGCAGTGAGCCGAGATTGCACCACTGCACTCCAGCCTGGGCGACAGAGCAAGATTCCATCTCAAAAAAAAAAAAAAAAAAAAAAGAGAAAGAAAGAAAGAAAAGAAAAACAGAAATAAATCTAATTTGTTTTAAAAAATGTGCATTATCTGCATGGTAAATCCCTCCATCTTTTGACTTTTGGCAAAATCTGTTACAAACATAAGGGCTTTATGCAAGTGAAAGTCTTGGTAGAAATGAAGGAAAGACACTGGTTTCCACAGCTGGGCTGACAGAGCACAGATCGGGGAAGACACATGCAGGATGGGCCAGAAACTGAAATAATTTCACAGAAGCAGGAGCTCCAAGCCAAAGATTTCCATGATGATAGGAGCTCACCTGAATTCACAGAAATCAGGGAGGCCATGGACTTTGCACAGAATATGAAATGGAAGAATGTTCCAATCCAATCTAAGTCACAGGGGACAGGAGAACCCTGATGGACACCTGGGCCAAAACAGAATAATTAATCCAAGAAGGCAGGAATGTGTAAGAATTAAGAGTACAGATTCTAGAGTTGGACTTGAGGTTCCAATCTCTACACTACCACCTACAATTATGTAACTTGAGGGAAGTTACTTGAACGTCTGTGAATTGGGTATAATAATAATATCTACCTCATAGTGTTGTCATAGAGAAATAAAATGAAGAATATAAATAAAGCATGTAAAGCACTTAGCAGAGTGCTTGACTGAGCAGAATGCCTTGTAACCACCCAATGGGTTCACCTTCCCTACTACCTAGACAGAGCCAGTTTCTCAAGATGGGGGAATTGCAATAGAGAAACAGTAATTCACTCAGAGCCAGCTGTGTGGGAGACCAGAGTTTTATTATTATTCAAATCAGTCTCCCTGATCATTTGGGGATCAGAGTTTTGAAGGATAATTTGGTGGGTGGGGGAAGGCTGGTGAGTTGAGAGTGCTGATTGTTTGGGTCAGAGATGAAATTATAGGGAGTTGAAGCTGTCCTCTTGCAGTGAGTCAGTTCCTGAATGGGGACCGCAAGATCAGATGAGCCAGTTTATGGATCCAGGTGATGTCAGCTGATCCATCAAGTGCAGAGTCTGCAAAATATCTCAAGCACTGATGTCAGGAACAGTTTAGGGAGGGTCACAATCTTGTAGCCTCCAGCTGCATGACTCCTAAACCATAATTTCTAATCTTGTGGCTAATTTGTTAGTCCTACAAAGGCAGTCTAGTCCCCAGGCAAAAAGGAGGTTTGTTCTGAGAAAGGGCTGTTATCATCTTTGTTTTAAACTATAGTTCCTCCCAAAGTTAGTTCAGCCTACACCCAGGAATGAACAAGGACAGTTTGGAGGTTAGAAGCAATATCAAGTTGGTTAGGTCAGATCGCTTTCACTGTCTCAGTTATAATTTTGCAATGGCAGTTTCAGCCTGATACATGATAATGAAAAAATTCACCTTTATTGTTAATGATAGCTAACGAATTTCATCCTAGTACGCATATAAGACCCAAGCTATAATTCAAGGCTCAGACAAAAATCACCAACTTTGAGGCTCCTTTGGCAACGTCATATGCTCAAAGGTTTCTTACTTGACCTGAGGAAGGAGGGTGGGCAGGAGGGTTTCGATCCAGCATGTGAGGTGTGCAGGACATGATCTGGAGCTCCATCGTTCAGATGAGAAAACAAAGTTGAGAAAGGTGCCTGTCAGTCTATTCAGGCTGCTATAACAAAATACTGCAGACTGGATGCTTACAAACAACAGAAATTTATTTTTCACAGTTCTGGAGAATAGGAAATCCAAGCTCAAGACACTAGCAGATGGAGTGAAACTGCTTCCTCCTAGACAGCTGCCTTCATAATCCAACCCCATCAGCAGAAAGAGTGAAGGGTCTCTCTGGGGCATCTTTTATAAGGGCATTAATCCCATCATGAGGGCAGAACCTCACCTCCCAAAGCCTCCACCTCTGTAAGGGGATGAGGCGGAAGGTGAAGATTTCAACCTATGAATTTGGCAGGGACCAGTATAAACAGACCATAGCAGTGCCTGAGATAGCAAGTTAGTGGCAGAACGAGAAGTAAAACTACAGTCTCCATCATTTGAGTTCCAAGACATTTTTGCAAAACCAGATTGAGAACAAAATAATAACACTGATACTGAAGTTTCAGGCTACCTCATACCTCCCTGCTCCTTCCCCCCGTGTCCCTTCTGAGTAAGCTACCCACTATCCTCTCAGCAATTCAGGCAAGAAAACCGCAGTCATTCTGTCCTTCCTGTTTTCCCTTACCCCCTACGTCTAATCAGCTTTCAAGTTGTGTCTATTTCATCTCCAAAATTGCTCTCAAATTCATCTACTTCTTCCCACCTCCACTGCCACCAGCCTGTTTCAACCCGCCCACAGTAGCCTCTTAATTGGTATCCACATTGGCCCTCTCATTTTTCTCTCCTCTTGGCAGCCAAATACATTTTTTAAAACACAATTGTAATCATTCCTGTCCCTGCCTGATGGCTTCCATTGTTTCCCACAGTGTCAGGACAAAGTCCAATCAGCCACCTGGTTAGTTTTAGCTTACAACACTCTCACTGGATTTCTTTTCTTTTTTTCTGTTTTCTTTTTTTTTTTTTTAAGACGGAGTTTTGCTCTTATTGCCCAGGCTGGAGTGCAGTGGTGCAATCTCAGCTTACTGCAACCTCCACCTCCCAGGTTCAAGCGATTCTCTTGCCTCAGCCTCCCGAGTAGCTGGGATTACAGGTGCGTGCCACCATGCCCAGCTAATTTTGTATTTTTAGTAGAGACGGGGTTTCACCATGCTGGCCAGGCTGGTCTCAAACTCCCAACCTCAGGTGATCCACCCACCTCGGCCTCCCAAAGTGCTGAGATTATAGGCATAAGCCACCGCGCCCAACCTCTCACTGGATTTCTAAGTACAAACCACACCAGTTTTTCTGTTTCCAGGACAAAATTCTCTGCTTTTGAATTTTCCCCAGTTTCCTCAGCCTAGGTCTTTCCTTCTCCACCTCCCTTCATCCAGCCAACTCAAAAACATTTTTATCAAGCTCCTAGTATGTGCCAAACACTGTTCTAGGCCACCAAGGTAGTTAAGCTGTTTTGTACCATGAATCCTATTAGTAACCAGGTGAAAACTTACGGACCCTTTATTCAGGCTAAGGCTTTATAAATGCATAAAATAAACAGAGAGGCTTATAAAAGAAGCCAAATGTATTGAAACAGTTACCAAGGTATTTTTAAATTGTGATATAGTAACTTCCTTTTTTTTTTTTGAGACGGAGTGTTGCTCTTGTCACCCAGGCCGGAGTGCAATGGAGCGGTCTCGGCTCAGCTCACTGCAACCTCTGCCTCCCAGGTTCAAACAATTATCTTGCCTCAGCCTCCGAAGTAGCTGGAATTATGGGCACTCACCACCACCCCCAGCTAATTTTTGTATTTTTAGAAGAGACAGGGTTTCACTATGTTGGCCAGGCTCGTCGCAAGCTTCTGTCCTCAGGTGATCCACCCACCTCGGCCTCCCAAAGTGCTGAGATTACAGACTTGAGCCACCGCACCTGGCCTTACATATTTCTTTATTGCAGTAAATAACAAGATCTAGCAATAGGTCTAACAAATACTATAACCTCATAGTAGTGATCAGCATAAATGATATTTCAAGATATCTATAAACCTGTAGCGTGTGACACAGTCCCAAATCCAGTTCATACGACTGTGGTTTGTTGCCTACATTCATGACAGAGGAAATACTAAACTTCAGTTAGGGATTAGTGAAAATAAAGATGCGGGTTTTATTTTTCTATGGAAATTCGTAAAGCCCAAACTCTATCCACAGACCCCAGAGGTTCCCCTGGATTAGTTTAATCCTGGGGAATATACGAAGATATACGAGGAAACCAGACTGACACGGGAACTTACGTTGTGGTTGGAGCAGGCTGATAAATGAGATAATTTTACAAGATAATTGTGATGAGTTGTTGAAGGACAATAAGCAAAATAATTCCAGATGATAATGAATCGTTGAAAGAAAATAAAACGATTGAGATTAACTTGCAACTAGGATGGTTGAGGAGGGTGATTAGAAAAGACCTCCCAGGGCGGGGCGCAGTGGCTCAAGCCTGTAATCCCAGCACCTTGGGAGTCCGAGGCAGGTGGATCACGAGGTCAGGAGTTCAAGATCAGCCTGGCCAAGATGGTGAAACCCTGTCTCTACTAAAAATACAAAAATTAGCCAGGAGTGGTGGCGGGCAGCTACTTGGGAGGCTGAGGCAGGGAATGCTTGAACCCGGGAGGCAGAGGTTGCAGTGAGCTGAGATCACGCCATTGCACTCCAGCCTGGGTGACAGAGTGAGACTCCGTCTCAAAAAAAAAAAGAGAGAAAAGACCTCCCAAGAGGTGACCCCAGCTAAAACCCAAAGGAGGAGAAGGAACTAGTCCCATGAAAAGCCAGGGAAGACTGTTACAAAGAAGGAGACAAGACGAGGCAGGCCCTGGCATAGCAAGGTGACATGATTTGGATCTGTGTCCCCAGGCAAATCTCACATTGAATTGTAATCCTCAACGTTGGATATGGGGCCTGGGGGGAGGTGTTGGATCATGGGGGCATACTTCCCCCTTGGTATTGTTCTCATGATAGAGTTCTTGTGAGATACCGTTGTTTAAAAGTGTGTGGCACCTCCCCACTCTCTCTCTTGCTCCTGCTCCGTGCCTACTTCTCCTTCGCCTTCCCCAGTGATTGTAAGTTTCCTGAGGCTTCCCCAGAAGAAGAAGCCACTATGCTTCCTGTACAGTCTGCAGAACCATGTGCCAATTAAACCTCTTTTCTTTATAAATTACCCAGTCTCAGGTATTTCTTTTTTTCTTTTTTTTGAGACAGAGTCTCGCTCTGTCACCCAAGCTGGAGGGCTGGAATGCAGTGGTGCAATCTCAGCTCACTGCAACCTCCGCCTCCTGGGTTCAAGCGATTCTCCTGCCTCAGCCTCCCGTGTAGTTGGGATTACAGGTGCACACCACCATGCCTGACTAATTTTTGTATTTTTAGTAGAGATGGGGTTTCACTATGTTGGCCAGGCCTGTCTCAAACTCCTGACCTCGTGATCCACCCGCCTTGGTCTCCCAAAGTGCTGGGATTACAGGCATGAGCCACCATGCCCGGCCTCAGGTATTTCTTTACAGTGGTGTGAGAACAAACTAATACACATGGGCCAGGCACCAACTACAGTGTGACCACCTCACAGTGCTGGGAGATGAAGTCAGAGAAGCAGGCACACATCAATCCAAAAGGCCGATGAAGGAAGTCCCTGAGCTCCTACTTGGGTTCCCTTCTCTGGAAAATTAGGATGACACTCACAGCATCCCAGGGTTATTCTGGGAGCCCTTGAGATAATGTGAGTGAAAGGAACTGGTAAACCCACCCTCCCTGGGTGCTCCCCATGGGTCACACGTCACACCATTAATTCTCACAGTTGTCATATGAAGTGCATGCTATGAGGGCCCCCATTTCTCTAAGGGGTTAAGTAATTTGCTTAAGGTCATTTAAGTGGTACATGACAAAGCTAGAACTCAGGCTAAGCTACCTGACTCTCTAAAGCCCTTACACTTGACTTTTTCTACCTCTCGTCAATTTTTTTGTTTTTCGTTTTTTTGTTTTTTGTTTTTGAGACAAGATCTCACTCTGTCACCCAGGCTGAAGTGCAATGGCACAAATTCAGCTCAGTGCAATCTCAATCTCCAGGGCTTAACCAATCCTTCAGCCTCGGCCTCCTGAGTAGCTGAGACTACAGGTGCACACCACCACACCTGGCTGATTTTTTTTTTTTTTTTTTTTTTAGTAGAGATGGGGTTTCACCATGTCGCCCAGGTCAATCTCCTGAGCTCAAGCAATCCTCCCACTTCAGCCTTCCAAAGTGCCAAGAATACAGGCCTGGCCCACATGAACTATTTCAAATCAAATGCACCCACTTCCCCAATTGCTTCCAGAACATGACTGTCCACACAAGATTTTTCCCCCATGCAGAGCAGGGTCTCCAAGGAGGAGAAGCTAAAATCCAAAGCGAGCAGCTAAATGCTGCATAGCCTGAGGGAAGCCACTTAGCCCTCTGTTAAAACCAGCAGAACCATGGCAACCCACTCCCAGAGCCAGGATTGTAAGAGTCCAACAGAGAAAATCAGCCTGAATCAATGCAAGGAGGCGAGGTGTTCCATTCTTTCCAAGGGCAGCCGGCTTGTCCTCCGTCAGCACCCTGAAGGGCTCAAAGCAGCCCCCTCCACAGCCTACCCCTGACCTCTAGGCTTGCTGCCAGCCCGCTGAGGACTCCTCATCCTTCTGTGCACTTGGTCCCCATCCCCTTCCCACCAGAAGGTTCTCTCCTGAAATAGATGAGGGCTAAGACTTTGCAGGGCACAGAATTTTGCTGTGTTCACCTTCCTAAAACAGCCCCAATCCAGCCAGGCAGTGTTTCCTTCCCAGTTTCAGGGAGGTAAGAAAAAGAGGGAGAATCAGGCAGAGGGTGAGGGCTGTGCAGACCTTTTCTCTTTTCCCACTTACTCTGTCTTCTCTTTCTTTTTGCTCCTTTTTTTTTTTTTTTTTTTTTTATCCTGTGAAAGAGAATCTCATTCTGTCGCCCAGGCTGGTGTGCAGTGGCACGATCTCGGCTCACTGCAACCTCCGCCTCCCAGGTTCAAGTGATTCTCCTGCCTCAGACTCCTGAGTAGCTGGGATTACAGGCGCCCACCACCATGCCTGGATAATTTTTTGTATTTTTAGTAGAGGCAGGGTTTCACCATGTTGGGACTGGTCTCGAGCTCCTGACCTCAAGTGGTCTGCCTGCCTCGGCCTCCCAAAGTGCTGGGATTACAGGCATGAGCCACCACACCTGGCCTCTTTTCACCCTTTCTCCAACAACTTGACCTCAGAGCCTTCCCTTCAAGGTCCCTTGGATGATCTCCTTCCAATGGGTGCTTCAGCCTAAAGTATTTGAAATACAGGTTCTTCCCGCTTTGTCCAGGTGTGTGGGGGCAATGTGAGCCCTGCCTCCTCCTGCTGCGTCCAGGATGGGAAAAGGAATCAGCAGTTCTGCGCTCTGGTTTGTTTCAGGCCTTCACCCAATACCCAAAGACGTTGCTGGGCTGTGGGGGGTCATTTCAATGCCCTGGGGGCCAAGTGTTTCCCAGCACCTTGGACCACCTCTTTTAGACCACGTAGTGCATCTTCCTACCTTTTAATTTCACCGTCACCTGCAAGACTGAGGATGCCCCAGAAATGACAGACGGGAACTTTTTACTGAGTCTTCAGCCATGTGCTAAGTGTCTTACACACATTTCCTTGTTTAAACTTCCTGATTATGTTATGAGATGGATACTTGTATTATCCCATTCAATAGAAAACTATTATTTTGCAGGACAGAAAACTAATGTTTAATTTTTCCTAAAGGGATCTTGTTATGTTGTCCAGTTTGGAGTGCAGTGGCTATTCACACGCACAACGATCGTGCGCTACGGCCTTGAACTCCTGGTCTTAAACATCCTCCTGCCTCAGCCTCCTGAGTAGCTGGGACTAGAGAAGCTGATATTTAGGAAGTTTAATAATTTGCCCAAGATCACTTAAGCTTTTACATTCAGGTCATCTAACATCATGCTTTTTACTTCCCTAGATAGGGGTCCATTGGTCAAAGAACGAGTCTAGATCCTTTCCACGGCAATTAGACCAAAGTTTACTTTGGGCCCCAGATTGATTTACCAACCTGAGGTGACGTGGGTACTGTTGTGTCATGGAGACTCTTACGCAGATACGGTAAAATGGTCATAGACTCCTTTGTGAATGGAAAACATGAACTGCCCCTCAGCTTGCTACAGGCGTCCCACGGAAGTGCAGGCTCCACTGACTCATAGGCGTGGCAGACACCTAATGATGGCAGCAGCCTCCTTCTTTGTTGTGGCTTCCCTCTTGAGCTCATCTTGCCAAACTGCAAGAGAGTAATAAAATTCCTTCCATTCAGCCGGGCGTGGTGGCTCATGGCTGTAATCCCAGCACTTTGGGAGGCCAAGGCAGGCAGATCACGAAGTCAAGAGATCGAGACCACCCTGGCCAACATGGAGAAACCCCGTCTCTACTAAAAATACAAAAATTAGCCGGCCATGGTGGCACATGCCTGTAATCCCAGCTATTCAGGAGGCTGAGGCAGGAGAATCACGCTAACCCAGGAGGCTGAGGTTGCAGTGAGCCAAGATCATGCCACTGCACCCCAGCCTGGCAACAGAGCGATACTCCGTCTCAAAAATAAATCCTTCCATTCAACTAAATTCCTACTCATCTCGCCACAGCTCCTCAGGAGGGAGGGAAAACAAAGCAAAGCAAAGGGAGTGAGCGGGGGAGCAGGCTCGCCATAGGTGGGAGGGAGATGGGCTGCACCAACCTGAACAACCTGACACTCTGCCTCTCACAGCTGACGGATGGAAAATATGTGAAGAGGTGGATGACTGCCCTCAAGCTGTGCTCACAACACAACAGACACTGAAGGTTGCCAGGAAAAAAAAACAGACGCTAGGAGATGGAGGCCTCATGTAAAGAAATGGGAGGGGCACTCGTCACGTTTTCATTCCTGGCCTGTCGCTAAGACCCTCAGGACCTAGTTCTCCTCAGCCTGGGCCCTGGCACCATCAGGGCACTTCCTAGCTTCCCTGTCTTGGCATAGTGTTTCCCTTGGGAGGGAAGCAGCCTGAGGGCAGGGTAGCAGCTCTTCATTCCCGTGTGTCCCAGCTCCCACCAGGTGTGCACCCCATATGGCTTAGGACCCTTTAGGGAAATAAACTCATGAAACTCTGAGACCCAGGAGGCAGCCTAAAGAGTCCTTTGAAATCAGACCCGTTTTCTCCTGGGAAACACAAGCCCTTAACCTAACTAAGAAAGTGCAGCGGCGACCAGGCATGGTGGCTCATGCCTGTAATCCCAGCTACTCAGGAGGCTGAGGTGGGAGGATCGCTTGAGGCAAGGAATTCAAGACCAGCCTGGGCAGCATAGTAAGACCCCTATCTCTACATTTTTTTTTAATTAGCCAGGCATGGTGATATGCGCCTATAGTCCCAGCTGCTTGGGAGGCTGAGGTAGGAGGATTGCTTGAGCCCAGGAGTTCAAGCCTGCAGTGAGCTATGATCGTGCTGCTGCACTCCAGCCTCGGCAAGAGAGTGAGACCCTGTCTCAAAAAAAAAAAAAAAAAAAAAGAAAGAAAGAAAGAAAAAAGAAAACAAAAAAAAAGGTGCATGGGACAAGGTGGGGAATGAAGCTACAGTGGGGTAAAGAAGGTGTATGTGTGTGTGTGTGTGTGTGCACATATAGACCCTAATCATAGCACCATTGAGTCCTTTGAGGTAACTGCCCAATAAATAGCATTTCTCTTCCCTACCTGGGTTCTGAACAAGATAAGAAATAGAAGGGAAGAGGTCAGGCTTGGTGGCCCGTGCCTGTAATCGCAGCACTTTGGGAGGCCAATCTGGGTGGATCACCTAAGGTCAAGAGTTTGAGACCAGCCTGGCTAACATGGTGAAATCTGATCTCTACTAAAAATACAAAACTTAGCCAGGTGTGGTAGTGGCCGCTTACTTGGGAGGCTGAGGCAGGAAAATCGCTTGAACCCAGGAGGTGGAGGTTGCAGTGAGCTGAAATTGCACCATTGCACTCCAGCCTAGGCAACAAGAGTGAAACTCCATCTCAAAGAAAGAAAGAAAGAAATAGAAGGGAAGAAAAAGCTGGAGGCCAAATGTCACCTTTATTACTGCTACAGATAGGTAGGAAGACATTGCCTAGTGTGAGAGCCAAATGAACCACAGAATCAAGTGGATCACCAGCCCATTCTCAGGAGTGCTCACCAGGGGTGGGCTGGGGAGATGCTACAGTCCTGGGGGAACTTGCAGCACGAAGGAGCAGGGAGATCACACGCTACCCTTGGCCAGGCCTGGCCGCAAGAGAATAAAGGGAAGAGCTAAACTGAACATACACAGTTGTTTCCTCAAATTTACCAAGTAGATAAGTCACTTCATGTATTAGTCCGTTTTCACACTGCTGATAAAGACATACCCAAGACTGGGTAATTTATAAAGAAAAAGAGGTTTACTGGACTCACAGTTCCACGTGTTTGGAGAGGCCTCACAATCATGGTGGAAAGTGAAAGACACATCTTACATGGCAGCAGGCAAGAAGAGACTGAGAGCCAAGTGAAAGGGGAGACCCCTTATAAAACCATCAGATCTGGTGAGACTTCTTTACTACCGCAAGAACAGTATGGGAAAAACCTCCCTCATGATTCAATTATCTCCTGCTGGGTCCCTCCCACAACACATGGGAATTATGGGAGCTACAATTCAAGATGAGATTTGGGTGGGGACACAGCCAAACCATATCACTCCACTTCCAGGGTGTGGAATGTATAAAAGGGCAAAGAAAGAGACTCCGAGTTATATCAGTGAAGTTCCCTTCAGGGGAGGGAAGAAGTGTGCCCCACAACAAGCATCTGTAACATTGAATCACATGAAGAAAGTGTTCATTTACATAATGTCTCCCACTTCCAACTGTAAGCCCCTTAAGGGAAGAATTGCGATTTATTTATCATTGTTTGTCAAAGTCTTATACTCAGAAGACAAGCAAATGTTTGCTGAATGAATGGAGACCTAGAGTCTAGATAGACCTAAGTTCAGTTCTCCTCAGCAAATTACTACAGAAACTTGAGCAAGTTATTTACCCAGAGGTTGTAAACCGATGGCCCACAAACCACATCCAGCTCTAATATGATCTCTTTGACCCCCCAGTGTCTTAAAAGTTTGTAAATTCGATGAAGCTTTTAAAACTTGGGAGATTTCACATAAAGATCTGGATCTCTGGCTTCTGAAAACTTGGAAGACTTATGGTAGATTGAGGCAAAAAAAATAATGGCCTCAATTTTTCACCCCTCTCTTTGTCTACACACTGTGCAACATCGCTTTCAGTTCTTCCCATAAAGGCTGAATATATCATCCTCCTTTGTCTCTGGATTGGATTTGTGACTTGTCTTGGTCAATAGAATGTGACAGAAATGATAGTTTTTCCATTCTGAGCCTGGACCTAAGAGACCTTGTACACTTCCTCTCTTTCTTTCTTGGAACCTTTGAAGACCCCATGTGAACAACCTTGGGCTGGCCTGCTGAAGGATGAGAGACCATACCAAGTTGTCTCAGTTGTTCCAGCCAAGACTCAAGACATGTGAAGGGACCTAGCCAAGATTAGCAAAGCCAGCCCACCGCTCACCCACCTGCTAACCACACATGCATGAGCAATTCCAGCCAAGAGTAGAAGGCCCAACCACCTGATTCATAGGTTGTAGACAATAATAAGTGCCTATTGTTTTAAGCTACTGAGCTTTGGGGGTAGTTTGTTACATAACAATAACTAACTGAAACACTTGGCCATGTAGGGCCGGCTGTTCCTCATCACAACACTTAACTGGGGCTGGGCACAGTGACTCACACCTGTAATCCCAACACTTTGAGAGGCCAAGGCTGGAGGATCGCTTGAGCCCAGGATCGCTTTGAGACCAGCCTGGGCAACATAGCAAGACATCGTCTCTACAAATAATAATAATAATAATAAAAATTAGCCAGTTATGGTGGCATGCACCTGCGGTCACAGCTACTTGGGAGAGTAAAGTGGGAGAATTGCTTGAGCCCAGGCAGTCAAGGCTGCAGTGAGCCGTGATCATGCTACTGCACTCTAGCCTGGGTGACAGAGTGAGACCCCATCTCAAAAAAAGAAAAAAAAAATCTTAGCTGGGGCTGAGTAGCCCCTTGAGATGAGGCATGAATTTTGCAACTTCCAACTGCATGCCAACCACTATCATCTCAATGACTATACATATTTGTATACCAAAAGAGATTGAGAGAACTGTGTAGTCTAAGAAAAATTAGAAAGTGGAGGAAAAATTTACAGATTGCTCTCCATCTTCATGGGTTCTGCAGCCATGGATTCAATCAACTATTGATAGAAAAGATTTGGAAAACAATATTGCATCTGTACTGAATGTGCACAGACTTTTTTTCTTGTCGTTATTTCCTAAACAATACAGTATAACAACAATTTACATAACATTTACATTGTATTTGGTACTGTAAGTAATCTAGAGATGATTTAAAGTATATGGTAGGAAATGCATAGATTATATGCAAATACCATGCCATTTTATATTAGGAACTTGAGCCTCCCTGAATTTTAGTATCCTGGGCTGGGGATCCTGGATCCAATCCCCTACAAATACCAAGGATGACTGTATGTTCTTACTCTGACTCCCTGTACCTGCTTAATTTCTAGATACACTTCAGTTTGAGCTCTTGTTTTAATCCCCTCAGGCTTCGTCTGTAAAAATGAGGTTAAACACATATGCATCAGAGGATTCTTTAAGGATTAAGTTAGGTTTAGCGAATAACATTGGGGTTTTTTTGTTTTTTGTTTTTTTTTGAGACGGAGTCTCGCTCTGTCGCCCAGGCTGGAGTGCAGTGGCGCGATCTCGGCTCACTGCAAGCTCCGCCCCCTGGGTTCACGCCCTTCTCCTGCCTCAGCCTCCCGAGTATCTGGGACTACAGGCGCCTGCCCGGCTTATTTTTTGTATATTTAGTAGAGACGGGGTTTCACCGTGTTAGCCAGGATGGTCTCGATCTCCTGACCTCGTGATCCACCCGCCTCGGCCTCCCAAAGTGCTGGGATTACAGGCTTGAGCCACCGTGCCCGGCCAGCATTGGGGTTTAATGCATAAATTCCAGAGCTAGACTGCCAGGGTTAAGATCCCAGTTTTGCCACTTACTAACTAAATCCATGCATTGTGCCTACTACTGCCCTGATAGATGTTCAATAAAGCTACTTTTGTTCCTTTCCCTTGTTAAAAATCTTTCTAATCTTCACATTGTTTCAGCATGTTGTTATCAATCAAAGCTAACTTTAAAGGAGATTATTATTATTTTATTTATTTATTTATTTATTTATTTATTTATTTATTTATTGAGATGGAATCTTGCTCTGTTGCCCAGGTTGAAGTGCAGTGGCACGATCTCTGCTCACTACAACCTCCACCTCCTGAGTCCAAGCAATTTTCCTGCCTCAGCCTCCTGAGTAGCTGAGTACAGGTGCATACCACCATGCCCAGCTAATTTTTGTGTTTTTAGTAGAGATGGGGTTTCACCACATTGGCCAGGCTGATCTCAAACTCCTGGCCTCATGTGATCCACCCGCCCCAGCCTCCCAAAGTGCTGGGATTAGAGGTGTGAGCTACCGCACCCAGCCAAGATTATTATTTTAGAGATATACTAAGAACTGATAGAGATAAACACAATGTCAATTTTTTGAGTATTTTACAAGAATTATAAAATTATTATTTATACCTGGTGCAGTGCAGTGGCTCACACCAGTAATCCCAGTGCTTTGAGAGGCTGAGTTATGAGGATCACTTGAGGCTAGGAGTTTGAGACCAGCCTGAACAACATAGCAAGATCTCATCCTAACAAAAAAATTATAAAATTAGCTGGACATGGCCAGGTGTGGTGGCTCACGCCTGTAATCCCAGAACTTTAGGAGGCTGAGGTAGGTGGATCACCTGATGTCAGGAGTTCGAGACCAGCCTGGGCAACATGGTGAAACCCCATCTCTACTAAAAATACAAAAATTAGCCAGGCATGGTGGTACATGCCTGTAGTCCTAGCTACTTGGGAGGATGAGGCAGGTGAATTGCTTGAACCTGGGAGGTGAGATGGAGGCGGTTCAGTGAACCGAGATGAAACCACTGCACTCCAGCCTGGGTGACAGAGTGAAACTCTGTCTCAAAAAAAAAAAAAAAAAAAATTAGCTGGACATATTGGTGCATGCCTGTAGTCCTAGCTACTTGGGAGGCCAAAGTGGGAAGATCACTTGAGCCTAGGCATCCGAGCCTGCAGTGAATTCTGATTCCACCACTGTACTCCAGCCTGGACAACAGAGTGAGACCCTGTCTCTATAAATAAATATACATGCATAAATTAAATTAAATTAAATATTTATTCCTTCTGACTGAGGTACAAACACCTTCTGAAGAGATCCTAGAGAAATAATAGAGGCAAAAACACATGGATATTTACAGTGTCCATTCAAGCAAGAAAAATGCATCCATAAAATAAATATCACTATGGGAAAACATGGAAATTTGTTTAGAAAAAATGTTAAGTGAAAAAAATACACAAAATAGTATGTACACATTAGTTGCAATTCTATTAAAATATAACTACAGTTGGAAAGGGTTGGAAGAGAATGTAGGACAATATAGTTACTGTGTCAAACATGTAAGATTTTAATAAAATAATTAACAAGTATACTATAATTTTAAAATTTGGAAAATATAGGTCATTATACTATCATAATAAGTGTTTAAGTATTTGCAGGGCATGACTCAGTGTATTATAATACATAATTCTATTAGCATTTATGAGTAAATTTAATTTTGAGAATTGGTGTGAATAAGAATAAGCTATTATAAAAGCAAAAAAATTTGTCCCCTGAAGGTCTGCAATTTGAATGCTTACACGCAGAGACTTTTCCTCACTTCCATTCTCACACCTGCTTGCATACCTCCTTGTGGAACCAAATAGAACAGAACAAAATTCTAACACCTCCAGCTCAGATCAAACTATAACAGGCCTGGCTGGGCGCGGTGGCTCACGTCTGTAATCCCAGCAATTTGGGAGGCCGAGGCGGGCGGATCACCTGAGGTCAGGAGTTCAAGACCACCCTGGCCAACATGGTGAAACCCCGTCTCTACTAAAAATACAAAAAGTAGCCGGGTGTGGTGGCACTCGCCTGTAGTCCCAGCTACTTGGGAGGCTGAGGCAGGAGGATCGCTTGAACCTGGGAGGCGGAGGTTGCAGTGAGCTGAGATTGCACCACTGCACTCCAGCCTGGGTGACAGAGGAAGACTCTGTCTCTAAAAAGAAAACAAAAACAAAAACAAACTATATCAGGGAAATAAACTAAGTTTCCATCCTTGACAATTACTCTTAAATGAGGACAGGATGCTGTTCTCAACCAACCAGGTAGAACAGCATAATCCCAGTCTGCCCAGATTTACAACCCTGGCTCCATGCCGTGTGATGGAATATCACACCTAGTGTGTTATGGTCACACTCAGCTTTTCAACATGTCGCCTGTAGCTACAGAAAGAAAGGACCATCTCCCTCCTCCTGGGTGCTAACACTGAGTAGAAGCCCCTTTACCCACTCTGACATTCTTCCACAGGAGGAAGAAGCAAGAACTTATTTGGGTGTGGGTACTTTTGTGGTTTAGGTTAACAATGGAGGAAGAGGGCTACTGAATGAAGTCGGCTTAATTGATTTGATGAGCTTGGTGAAGCTCAGTTCTCTTTTTTTTTTTTTTTTTTTTGAGACAGAGCCTCACTTTGTTACCCAGGCTGGAGTGCAATGGCACGATCTTGGCTCACTGCAACCTCCACCTCCTGGGTTCAAATGATTCTCCTGCCTCAGCCTCCTGAGTAGCTGGGATTACAGGCACCTGC
Organism: Homo sapiens; assembly: GCF_000001405.40. Taxonomy (NCBI): domain Eukaryota; kingdom Metazoa; phylum Chordata; class Mammalia; order Primates; family Hominidae; genus Homo; species Homo sapiens. The sequence goes on along the minus strand of NC_000004.12, from coordinate 40,276,512 downwards.
CACCACGCCCAGCTATTTTTTGTATTTTTAGTAGAAACAGGGTTTCACTATGTTGGCCAGGCTGGTCTCGAACTCCTGACCTCATGATCTGCCCACCTTGGCCTCCCAAAGTGCTGGGATTACAGGCATGAGCCACCGCGCCCAGCTTCTCAGTTCTCTTTCTATATCTTGCCAGTTGAATATGGACTCTTGTTTTCCTGTCTTTAACATGGATTAATTCTCTTTTTGCCCATTCCTACTTCACAGTTGGTGGCGATGAAGGCAACTAATGAGTAGTGAGTACCTACTATGTGCCAGGCCCTATGCTAAGCTCTTCATATTCATTTATCTCACTTAGTCCCCACTGAAACCCCATAAGAAAGGTATTTATGGCTAGGCACAGTGGCTCACGCCTGTAATCCCAGCACTTTGGGGGCAGAGGAGGGTGGGTCACTTGAGATCAGGAGTTCAAGATCAGCCTGGCCAACATGGTGAAACCCCATCTCTACTAAAATACAAAAAATATTAGCCGAGTGTGGTGGCTGGCTAACATAGTAAAATGCCATCTCTACTAAAAAGACAAAAATTAGCTGGGTCTGATAGCACATGCCTATAGTCCCAGTTACTCAGGAGGCTAAGGCAAGAGAATCGCTTGAACCCAAGAGGCAGAGGTTGCAGTGAGCCAAGACCATGCCATTGCACTCCAGCTTGGGTGACAGAGTGAGACGCTGTCTCAAAAAAAAAAAAAAAAAAAAAAAATAGCTGGAAGACACATGTTAGAAGAGTAATGAAAAGAGAAGACTACATCTTATTCCTTGTATGCAGTATTGGGTTCCAAAATAAACTTTAATTCTGAAACACTATTCCCTACTTCTTGTAGCATCTAAAAAAAAAAAATTTTAATTGCTCTAAGCCCGTGGAACTTGTAGTCATGCACTACCAGCTCAGAGCACCAGAAGAGACCTTCCTGATTATAGAGGCCAGTGGCCTCCTTTTGTAATTGAAGACAATGGCAGAAGAGCAGGTCACAGTAAGGCCACACAGAGCTCCAGCCCAAGCCTAATTTACCAGGCCTCCTTTAGTTCTCTGCTGGCCCCTTCCGCAGTTTTAATCCCTGTCCAGATGCTTCTTAGAAACACTGAAAATTTTACCTGCCCCTCTTCTCCCTCACTCCCTCCCCCACCCTCAAGCAACCACATCTTAGGGTTCTTGGTCATCATCAAGCGCTCTGTGCCTGCTGGGCTGCCTGTGTTCACAGAGCTCCACATGCAAGTGCAGGAAGGTCTGCAGGTATGAGCTTTGATTAAGCTGAGAGACTCCCCTTAGACTCAAGCTGTCCTCAGCCAACCACAGGCAAGTCTTATTATTCTGCAGCAAAGAGGGTCCTACCACATGTACTCACATTTGAAGGCAACTGCAGCAGAGATGTCAGCAGAACTGGCTGAAAATTGCTTCTATACTCTTTGCACGTTCATGCAGTAGTAGAGATATCATATATAACTGCTATAGTTTGAATGTTTCCCCCCAAAGCTCATGTGTTGGAAACTTAATCCCCAATGCAACAGTGTTAAGAGGTGGGACAGTGTTAAGAGGCTCTGCCCTCATGAGTGGATTAATGCTGTTCTTGAAGAGTGGGTTAATTATCACGGGAGTGGGTTCCTGATGAAATGACATGATCAGCCAGAGCTCTTCCCCACCATCTGTCTCTCATGCACTTGTCTTCTCTTGCTCTTCCACCTTCTGCCATGGCAAGATGCAGTAAGAGACCCCTCACCAGATGTGGGCCTCTTGACCTTGGACTTCTCAGCCTCCAGAAGGTAAGAAATAAATCCCTATTCTTAATAACTTACCTGGTCTGTGATATTTTGTTATGGCAACACAAAATGGACTAAGACAATAACTAAATCAAATACAGAGATCTATAGAAATACAGCTAATGAAGGCTCCATTCTTTAAGTTTTGAGTTAGACAAAACTAAAAATTCTCTATGAGACACACTCCAATCAAGCTTTTGCCAACATCTTTCTGCTAAAACTGCTCTCAGTAAGGTTACTGCTACATTGATAAACGCAATGGATGATTCTCAGTTCTCTTCTACTTGAATCATCAGTAGCACTGGACGCAGGTAAAGACAGGGCCAATTCCTAGATAATGTTACTTGGTGAAGATTCATTCATGCTCTGGTGACAAAGGTTTGGTAATTAACACCAAAATGGACCAGTATTCTTTGTAGTTGTTGAATATATATTTGTGCTTAAGTTAATGGAGTACAGGTCCATCTGTGAAATAGATTCAGTTCTTTTTTCTTTTTTTTTTTTTTTTTTTTTTTTTTTGAGACAGAGTTTCACTCTGTCGTCCGGGCTGGAGTGCAGTGGCGTGATCTCAGCTCACTGCAACCTCCGCCTCCCAGGGTCAAGTGATTCTCTCACTTCAGCTTCCTGAGTAGCTGGGATTACAGGCACATGTCACCACATCTGGCTAATTTTTGTATATTTTGTAGAGACAGGTTTCACCATGTTGCCCAGACTGGTCTTGAACTCCTGAGCTCAAGAAATTTGACCGCCTTGACCTCATGTGCTGGGATTACCTGTGTGAACCACCATGTCCGGCCTAGATTCAGTTCTTAACTATACTTTTTGTCTTTAGGAAGAGCCAAGTTATCACGTTTGTGTAGAGAATTGCTTCAGAGGTGGATTAAGCTAAGAAGATATAGTATTATCAACTACTACCCATACCCTTGCCACTCGGTGAGTCTTCACTATGCATCAGAAACTGCATAGTCTGTAGCAAAGGTCACAGACTTTCTGGAGCTTTCTGTAACCTCACTCCCTGGATTTGAATTCTGGCTCTGAGGCTTATCAATGAAGAGAACAAGAAAGATATACAACATGTAGGGCGTGAGCAGTTGCATAAATTGTTCACTGCATAAAGATACCCAGTCAAGGAGTGAGTGGCAGCTGTAATTCTGCCCACGCTCCTCTCACCAAGCCAGTCTTGCAATGTATCCAGTGCAAGGTAATGTCCATCCACAGGAGAAGTTCTTTGCTTACAGAGGTGCGTCTGTTCAGAGGACACGACATTTTTTTTTCTTTTTTAAAATTTAATTTAATTTTATTTTTTTGAGATGGAGTTTCACTCTTGTTGCCCAGGCTGGAGTGCAATGGTATGCATCTCAGCTCACCGCAACCTCCACCTCCCGGGTTCAAGCAAGTCTCCTGCCTCAGCCTCCCGAGTAGCTGAGATTACAGGCATGCGCCACCACACCCAGCTAATTTTATATTTTTAGTAGAGAAGGGGTTTCCCATGTTGGTCAGGCTGGTCTTGAATTCCTGGACTCAGGTGATCCGCCCTCCTCAGCCTCCCAAAGTGCTGGGATTATAGGCGTGAGCCACGGCGCCCAGCCTGACTTTTTCCAATTTATACAAAGATGCCAAATGACCAAGCAGCAGCCCTGAAACTGGGTTCTCATGAGGCAGAAATTGGAGCTTTTATCCTCAATATAATTTGGTTATGGATCAGTTATATTTAGAACCCCAAAGCCCAGAACACTGCCTGGCACACATCAGCACTCAACAAATATTTGTTGGATAAATGAATATAAAACAATCGGAGGCCGGTGGCTCACGCCTATAATCCCAGGACTTTGGGAGGCCAAGGTGGGCGGATCACTTGGGGTCAAGGGTTCGAGACCAGCCTGGCCAACATGGCAAAACCCTGTCTCTACCAAGAAATACAAAAATTAGCCAGGCGTGATGGCGCATGCCTGTAGTCCCAGCTACTAGAGAAGCAGAGGTGGAAGAATTCCTTGAACAAGGGAGGCACAGAGGTTACAGTGAGCCGAGATCACACCACTGCACACCAGCCTGGGCGACAAAGTGAGACCCTTTATCAAAAAAAACCAAAAAAAGGCCAAGAGCAAGATATAAGTGCTGAGTGTTGAGGAATATAGTTGCACTTCTCAAATTGTGGTCCAGGAACCCCTGGGGTTCCCTAAGACTTCAGAGAACCATGAAGTCAAAACTATTTTCATAATGATACTGTTGACAAACAGAGTCGAACTCTGTAAAATATTTGAAAAGACTTTTTCTGAGCCAAATATGAGTGACCGTGGCCCATGACACAGCCCTCAGGAGGTCCTGAGAACATTGCCTAAGGTGGTCGGGCCGTGGCTTGGTTTTATGCATTTTAGGGAGGCATGAGACATCAATCAAATACATTTAAGAAATACATTGGTTTGGTCCAGAAAGGCGGGCCAACTCAAAGCAGGAGGGCCTCCAGGCTATAGGTGAATTTAAACATTTTCTGGTTGACAATTGGTTGAGTTTGTCTAAAGACCTGGGATAGATAGAAAGGGAATGTTCAGGTTAAGATAGAGATTGTGGAGACCAAAGTTCTTTGGAAGTCTTATAGTGGCTGCCCTTAGAGACAATAGATGACAAATGTTTCCTGTTCAGATCTTAATTAATCTCTTTAGCACTGGGAGGGTCTGGAAGAAAAAAATCTAACTATGTTAATAGAGATTCTTTACATATACAAATTTTTCCCCACAAAGAACAGCTTTGCAGGGCCACTTCAAATATGTCAAAGAAACATGTTTTGGGGTAAAAATATTTTGATTTCTTGTCTGGTAATGTTACGCCAGAGTCAGGTTGGAAAGTAAGTCACGATATATAGTATAGGGTTAAATAAAACCCATCTGATAAGAATGTATGATTCATAGGGCATGACTCCCCAGACCCCTTAGGTAGGAATTTGGGCAAGATAAAAAAAAAAATCAGAGTTTAGTCCTCAATACTAAAGCCTTACTTGTCTATTTCACTCTCATTTTCTACAAATATACAAAGTTCAAAAAGCTCATTGATATGGTTTCAGATTCCGCATCGCAACTAACCTTTCAGAAACTATAACTTAATTTTTGGAATACTATCAAAGAAAAATATCCACAATGATCTGAAAAGGCTATTAAAATACTTCTCTTTGTTCTAACTACATGTGTGAAGCTGAATTTTCTTCATGTATTGAATCCAAGACAACAAATTGCAAAGTGCACCAAATTGAATGCAGAAGCAGATCTGAGATCCAGCTGTCATCTGCTAAGTTAAACACTAAAACAATTGGCAAAAACATAAGACAATGGCTATCTTCTCATCAAAATTTTTTAAGTAAAATATAGTTATTTTTATTTTAAGAATATATTATTTATGCTAACATCTGCTGGGTTTATTATTGTTACTTCGAATTAATATATAAATATTTTATAACTGTTGGGCGTGGTGGTTCACGCCTGTAATCCCAGCACTTTGGGAGGCCGAGGAGGGTGGATCACCTGAGGTCAGGAGTTTGAGACCAGCCTGGCTAATACGGTGAAACCCCATCTCTACTAAAATTACAAAAAAATTAGCAGGGCGTGGTGGTGGGGGGCCAGTAATCCCAGCTACTCGGGAGGCTGAGGCAAGAGAATCGCTTGAACCCGGGAGGCAGAGGTTGCAGTGAGCCCAGATTGCGCCATTGCACTCCAGCCTGGACGACAAGAGCAAAACTCCGTCTCAAAAAAGAAAAAAAAAAAAAAAAAAAGAGAAACAGCTTCCTCTATAGAGGAAGAGGTTTCCAAGCAGAAAGGACTGGCTGGCAGTGAATGCGCAGAATTTTATAGTCCGGTTTGAGGAGGCGGTGTCTGATTTACATAGGGCTCATAAATTGGTTTGATCAGGTATGACATTGACATAGCCGGTGGGGAAGGCTGGTTGCCCCACCTATTTGCATCTTCTTATGCAAATAGGCTTTCCAGCTGATCTGCACCATCTTGTCTGCTTTTTTTCTTTTTTGAGATGAAATCTCGCTCTGTCGCCCAGGTTGGAATGCAGTGGCACTGTCTCGGCTCACTGCAACCTCGGGTTCAAGCAATTCTCGGCTCACTGCCTCCCGGGTTCAAGCAATTCTCCTGCCTCAGCTTCCCAAGTAGCTGGCACTATAGGCACATGCCACCACGCCCGGCTAATTTTTTGTATTTTAGTGGAGACGGGGTTTCACCCCGTTGCCCAGGCTGGCCTCGAACTCCTGAGTTCAGGCAATCGACCCGCCTCGGCCTCCCAAAGTGCTAGGATTGCAGACGTGAGCCACAGTGCCCGGCCCATCTTGTTGGCTCTTTGCAGCACACGTGGCTGGCAGAGAAGGGAATACGGAGCCGCCATCTTGAAAATGTCTAGTCCTTAGTTCCTGCCGGCAGTCACCCCAGTAAGCTCCCAGCTTGCAGGCTGCTCTTTGTTAGAAAATGATTTGGGACTGCTTTTCATTAAAAAGAAAAGCCTTACTGCGGAATCCCATACCCTTGCAATCTGCCTGATTTCTTCTTAACTCCTGTATCACTAATATAAAGCAAACTAGATTATCAGAACCATCTGGAGAACTTTGTGGAAATACAGATTCTAGGCTCCTCCCCTCTACATTGTAATTTGGTAGAGCTGGAATAGAGCTCTGAAAATTTGTATTTCATAAGAACTCTCCCAGTAATTCTGATCATCAGTCATTGGTAGAAACAATAAATATATTAAAAATTTGGAGAAATACAGGACCAAAATCAATTGTCAGACAAGGCTTCAATTATTCAACAAACATTTCTCATGTACAGACTATGTTCCAGGGACCACTGGGACCATTGGACAGACACCAGTGAACAAGACTCAGGCCCTCTTCTAAGAAAGCTCACAGACCAGTGAGCGAGATGGAGGTAGAGAGTTGGAGCACATGGTGTTGTACCTGATAGGGAAAATGGAATGCTATTGGAACACAGAGACAGGGTTCCTCACTTCAGAAGAGCTGACCTCAAATGACACAGAGGATCTAGAGAACCAAGAGGAATGGATGACAAGGACATCATGAGTGATGGCCTAGAGCCAAATGGCTGTGATGCTCCTGTTGTGGATATTGATTTAAAAGCCAAACTCTAAAATACTTTAAGAGATTTATTCTGAGCCAAATATGAGGACCATGACCCATGCATGACACAGCCCTAGGAGGTCCTAAGAACATGTGCCTCTGTGGTTGGGTTACAGCTTGATTTTGTACATTTCAGGGGAGTTACAGGCAGACATCAATCAATACATGTGAAGTATACATTGGTTCAGTCCAGAAAGGCCAGACAACTCTAAGTGGATGTCTTTGGAGGACTTCTAGGTCATAAGTGGATTCAAAGATTTTTTTTGTTTGGCAATGGGTTGAGAGTTAAGTTATTATCTAAAGACGCAGAATCAATACAAAGGAGTGTCTGGGCTAAGATAAGGGGTTGTGGAGATTAAGGTTCTTATTATGTAGATGAAGTCTCATAGGTGGACACCCTTAGAGGCAACAGATGACAAATGTTTCCTATTCAGACCTTTAAAAAGTGCCATACTCTCAGCTAATCTCTTCAGGATCCAAAAAAAAAAAACCTGGAAAGGGAAGAGGATTCTCTACAGAATGTAAATTTCAGCCAGGTGCAGTGGCTCACGCCTGTAATCCCAGCACTTTGGGAGGCTGAGGTGGGAGGATCGCTTGAGCCCATGAGTTCAAGACCAGACATACATTTCTCCCATAAGAGACAGCTTTGTGGGGCCATATCTAAATACATCAGATAAATATATTTGAGGATAAAATAATTTCCTTCAGGGCCTGCTATCTGACATGTGGCACGATACTAGAGTTAGGTTGGAATTTGGTATCTTATTGCTACAAAAGCCTGTTTTGTCAGTCTTAAGATCTCCATTTTAATTTTGTTGTTGTTGTTATATGGTTTTTGTTTGTTTGGTTGTTTGGTTTTTGTCTCTTTTTTTTTTTTTTTTTCTGAGTTTCACTCTGTTGCCCAGGCTGGAGTGCAGTGACATGATCTTAGCTTACTGCAACCTCCAACTCCTAGGTTCAAGTGATTCTCCTGCCTCAGCCTCCCGAGTAGCTGGGATTACAGGTGCACACCACCACGCCCGGCTAATTTTTTGTATTTTTAGTAGAGACAGGATTTCACCATGTTGGCCAGGCTGGTCTCAAACTCCTGACTTCAGGTGATCCACCCATCTCGGCCTCCCAAAGTGCTGGGATTACAGGTGTGAGCCACTGGGCCTGGTCTTTGTTTTGATTTTTTTAGAGAAAAGGTATCCTTCTGTTGCCCAGGTTCCTATTTTAATATTAATGCTGGTCAGTTGTGCCTGAATTCCAAAGAAAGGAGGGTATAATGTGGCATGTCCAACCCCCTTTCCCACGATGGCCTGAACTAATTTTTCAGGTTTACTTTAGAATTCCTTTGGCCAAGAAGGGGGGTCCATTCAGTCCGTTGAGTGACTTAAACTTTTATTTTTGGTTTACATGGGTAGTACATTAGCCAGCCTGGCTGGGGTGAAGGGCTGGCTGGGGAACAGAGCAAGAGAAAGGCATATAGGTGGGACTAGAGGCCTTTAACCCCAACAAGAGAGCTGCTTGGATTACAGTTCATGGTACACAATGGAGGGTAGCTTGGAGGGTGGTGGGCTGAAGAATGGGATGGCCTCTAGTTGGCAATTAGAATAATATGATTCTGGGGGCCATCCAAGGTAGTCAGGAAAATAAGCAACACTGTTCATGCTCATGGTTAAAAAAAAAAATTAGATAACCTGCCAAAAATCAGACAGTGGGGTAAAATTAATTTAATAAACCCTCCCTGAACTTTCTGTGCCTTTTTCTTAGAGGATTTCATGAATCCTTTTGTAGCAGCAGCTCTTAAAATTCCGGGGTCATGGACTCTTGAGACTCTGATGAAAGCTTTTGATAGTCTCTCCAAGAACACAATGAATTAAAGCAAAAAATTGTATGTGGCTAGGCAGCATTTCTCTACTCTCATGTTCCCTTACCTTTATATCTTCTTTTCTTCTTTCTGAAAGAGAGGTCATTTGATAAGGAGTAGGGGTGGGGGGAGCGGCGAGTAGCGGGGAGAAAAAAGATGCTTTCAGCAGAATCAGGCACCAGAGCTTTCCTAGAAGAGGTAGTGAATATTTGCAGCAGAAAGTTTAGGTGTAGAAATTTTATTCTGAAATATAGGAAGCCTCTTCCTGGTGTCAGAGGCATTTGAACCAGAGCAACATCATCATGAATAGGAGCTGGGTAAAATGAGGCTGAGACCTACTGGGCTGCATTCCCAGACGGTTAAGGCATTCTAAGTCACAGGATGAGATAGGAGGTCAGCACAAGATACAGGTCATAAAGACCTTGCTGATAAAACAGTTTGCAGTAAAGAAGCCAGCCAAAACCCACCAAAACCAAGATGGCCACAAGAGTGACCTCTGATCATCATCACTGCTACACTCCCGCCATGACAGTTTACAAATGCCATGGCAACGTCAGGAAGTTACTCTATATGGTCTAAAAAGGGGAGACATAATTAATCCACCCCTTGTTTAGCATATCATCAAGAAATAACCAGAAAAATGGACAACCAGCAGCCCTTGGGGGTTCTCTGTCTATGGAGTAGCCATTCTTTTATTCCTTTACTTTCCTAATAAACTTGCTTTCACTCTACTGTACGGGCTCACCCTCAATTCTTTCTTGTGCGAGATCCAAGACCCCTCTCTTGGGGTCTGGATCAGTACCCCTTTCCTGTAACATTGGGAAGTAAAAAAAAAGCAATACAGGGATGGAAATGTGAAAGGAAAATAAATCTCGAGACCCCAAAATCACAAAGCCAAGGGAAAAGACAGGCTGGGAACTATGTCACGCAAACCTGCCTCCCATTTTATTCCTAAATAAGATGGCTACAAAGATAAAAAGCTCCATACTTCCCTCACAATTTACCTACAAGGAAATTCCTTGTGGACAAAGGACAGACAGAACAGAACTCAAAGTCATCCCTTAGAGGCTCACATGGGACAAATCCGTATCCAATTGCTTCCTCTGCCCTATTATTTATGTAAAATTGCAGATTCACTGAGCCAGACTAAATTTTGTATTCAGTGGAAGGTTGATCAAGGACTCCGAAGAGTCCACTGCAGCCTTTTGTCTTTTGACTACTTATGACGTGGAAGTCTCCGCCTCACGTTGTCCCACCTTCCCAGACTAAACCAATGTACATCTTACATGTATTGATGTCTCGTGTCTCCCTAAAATGCATAAAAGCAAGATGTGTCTGACTACCTTGGGTACATGTTGTCAGGACCTTCCAAGGCTGTGTCACAAGCAGATTCTTAACTTTGAAAAAATAAACTTTCTAAATTGATTGAGACCTGTCTCAGATACCTTTTGGTTTATAGAAACAAGGAGAGAGTCCAAGTTTGGTGGAAGAGGGAAGGGAGCAATTAACTAGATTTTGTAGAGTTTGGTGGATGCCTCGATGGAGAAAGTAAAGAGCTGTACTCAATGAGTAAGAGTGATGGCCTCATAGTCAGGCTTTCTGGAAATGGACTGTACCTTTACACTCATCGAATACTGTAGCCATAACCGAGGGCAGTTTTACCACTTCTTATTTCAGTTCCTTGTGAGCCTTCATCTGCCACAGCATTTGGAATGAGTCTTCCTCCAGTCAGGGCTGCTGATCACAGTTGCACAGGCCGTTCACTGAACAAGGCAGAGGGGACAGTGGAGACTGAAATCTAGCTGTGCTGGGCTTGCCAAAACTCTGTGGGCTGGCATAGGGCGGTGTGCAGGCAGAGCAGGCACCATTTTCTGACTCTCACAAAGGATCCTGCAGGCTGGCAGCGCTGTACCTACCACCTGCCTAAGGCTCTGCTCTTTCTCTTCTGCCTCCGCCTCTTCCCTTCACCCTCGCCATGGCAGAGAATTAGACTTGTCAAGTTTCCACAATATGATGCAGGCTAGAAACACTGGACAGGCTGCCATCTCCCTCCTCCCTCTCCCTTCCCTCTGCTCCTCCCTCTCTCCCTCATCCCTCTCCCATAAGTTCTTCCACATGGATTCACTTTTTCAGAGAAAGTAGATTGAGGTTGAAGCAGAAAAATGACTCAGTATGTGACAAGTGTGTTTCTCCTACCAATAGCATGAAGAAAACAGACGCAGACGGTTTTCAGCAGCCTCTTTTCTCTCGGCCCAAGCCTCAAGCTAACAGAAATGTTGTGAAAAAGAACAGCCGATAAATGGTCCCTGAGTGACAGCCACAGAGTTAAAACCACAGGAGGGCTCTGCCTGCTCCCACAGCTGCAGGGTGATGAGGCTTTGCTGGGTTCCAGATCACAGGCCTGCAGTGGCCCAGGCTCCAGCGTTAGTCCTGTCTCCCCAAGGAGCCCAGGCCCAGGCTGGCTTCTTCCCTGCCCACTACTCAGGAGGAGCTTCGACCCTGTGGGAACTGGCAGTGTTGCCGCAAAGGCAAGCCCTCTGACTTTCTCGCTTCAGGCAGCCCCTGCTCGCCCTCAGGCACTAGGCACCTGCTTGACCCCTTTCCCAGGCCCATGGGGCATCTGCTCCTCCCATCTCAGGCCTGAGGGAGAAGCAACAGCCCAGAGCTTGACCCGGAGCAGATAATGCAACCGGCTTTGCAAAAATCTTAACTAAGGCAATTATGACAGTGAAAGAGGTCAGACCTAACTGACCCCATCTTCCTTCAAACCTCTCAACTGTCTTTATTCATTTGTGGGTATAGGCTGAACTAGCCTTGGGAAGGAATTTAGTTTATAGTTTACACTCTGAAACAAAATTGATAATAGCCTTTTCCCGAAAAACCCCTTTTTGCCTGGGGACCAGTTTGCCTTTGTAGGATTAACAAATTATCTACAAGATTAGAAATTACAGTTTAGCAGCCATGCAGCCTTTGGCTGCAAGAGTCTGAACCTCTCCAAATTGCTCCTGGGAATGACATCATTGTTGCGAAACCTAACATCAGTGCTTGAGATATTTTGCAGACTCTGCATTCCAATGCAGCAGATGACACCACCTAGACTGATAATCCGGCTCAATCAGTTCTGCAATCCCACCCAGGAGCAGAAGTCAGCAAGAACACCTCAATTCGACCCCCTATGATTTCATCTTCAACCCGACCAGTGAGCACTCTCCACTCTCCGAGCCCATACCACCAAATTATCCTTAAGAACTCTGATCCCCAAATGCTCAGGGAGATTGATTTGAGTAACAATAAGACTCCAGTCTCCCGCACAGCCGGCTCTACATGAATTACTCTCTCTCTCTTTTTTTTTTTTTATTTTTGAGACGGAGTCTCACTCTGTCACCCAGGCTGGAGTGCAGCGATTCAGTCTCGGATCACTGCAACCTCTGCCTCTTGGGTTCAAGCAATTATCTGCCTCAGCCTCCCAAGTAGCTGGGATTACAGGTGCCCGCCACCACACCCAGCTACCTTTTTTGTATTTTCAGTAGAGACGGGGTTTCACCACCTTGGCCAGGCTGGTCTTGAATTCCTGACCTCGTGATCCACCTTCCTCGGCCTCCCAAAGTGCTGGGATTATAGGCATGAGCCACCACACCCGGCCTGAATTACTCTTTCTCTATTGCAATTCCCCTGTCCTGAGAAATCAACTCTGTCTAGGCACCCAGCAAGGTGAACCCATTGGGTGGTTACGGTAATACCCTGGAACTCCAGGACTCTACTTGAGGAGATGTAAGGACAGCAAAACTCCATCCACTTCCATGCTCTTAGGGTCTCAGCTGGGCACAAAGGCTAAATTGATGTAAGATCGATTAACAGGAGAAAAGCATACAACTTTATTTCATATAAGTTTTACATGGCACGGGAGCCCTGCTAAGGAAATGAAGACGCCCAAAGAAGCAGCTAGAGTCAGTTACTTATTAATATATACTGGATTGGACCAAGAGTAGTAAGTTGTGAAGAAGCAACTAAATTATGTAGAGAGGCTTAAAAGATAAGAGTTATTTGAACAAGGTCTGTGCAGAATACTCCTGGTCTCTACTTCTCAACCTCAAAGATAAGGATGTTGTGTCTTTCACACTCGAATTTCATCTGCTTTTTTTTTTTTTTTTTTTGAGACGGAGTTTCGCTCTTGTTGCCCAGGCTAGAGTGCAATGGCGCGATCACAGCTCACTGCAACCTCCACTTCCTGGGTTCAAGCAATTCTTCTGCCTCAGCCTCCCAAGTAGCTGGGGTTACACGCGTGCACCACCACGACTGGCTAATTTTGTATTTTTAGTAGAGATGAGGTTTCACCATGTTGGTCAGGCTGGTCTGGAACTCCCGACCTGAGATGATCCACCCGCCTTGGCCTCCCAAAGTGCTGGGATTACAGGTGTGAGCCACCATGCCCGGCCCATCTCCTGCTTTTAAGAAACAGCACAGAGGTCGGAGTGACCTTGCACCCACTGTTTTCCATATACCTTTAACTTAAAAGTCAATATGCCAGAATGGCATGTTTTGGATGGCATATTCTTAATTCTTTCAGAGATCAGGGGTCCATAGTCATCACCATCATAATCATCATCATGTGCATGTAGGGTGCACTAATACATGCTGGGCAGATACCACGCCCTTTCCATTCCATATTCACTCTCACAGCCACCTCCTGAGGTATTATTGTCTCCATTTCACAGATGACAAAACTGAGACTCAGAAATACTATAAAGCTTTCTCAGGGTCACTGAGTCCCACCAACTCCATCAACCCATCAGAATTCTCTCCTTCCCTCTCTTTAGTTATGACCACGTGTTGTAACTGTATTGCAGCCTTTCTTCAAGTGAAATGGCCTCTAGGAGTCTATTTCCAAGATTCACACTTGATAGGGCATTTTATAGGAAAAGAGAATGGCCAGACAGTCATTGTTAGACTAGACACAGAATAAAAGAATGGCTGGTTAGGCCAGACATGGTGGCTGACGCCTGTAATCCCAGCACTTTGGGAGGCTGAGGGGGGCTGATTGCCTGAGGTCAGGAGTTTGAACCCAGCCTGGCCAACACGGTGAAACCCCTGTTTCTACTAAAAATACAAAAATTACCAGGCGTGGTGGCACACGCCTGTAGTCCCAGCTACTTGGGAGGCTGAGGCAGAAGAATCACTTGAACCCGGGAGGTGGAGGTTGCAGTGAGCCGAGATTGCCCCACTGCACTCCAGCCTGGGTGACAGAGCAAGACTCCATCTTAAAAAAAAAAAAAAAAAAAAAAATATATATATATATATATATATATATATATATATGGTTAAAGGTCAACTGGGCTGTTGTCTGAAAGTCTGCAGGGGGTCAGGGAGCAGGGTAGGTGTGACTTGTTTCCCAGAACAAGCCTTAATCCCATCAAAGTCCATCAGAAAACAGCTTGGGCATTTTATCAGGAGCACTGAGTTTCTCCCCAGAAGGAAGTTGTGAATTACATCACATCCAAAAAAGGGTCTGTCCCAGACCAGGCCTGGGGCAATTTTTCTTTTCAGTGCTATCATGGTGAACATGACATTCTATTGATGACTAGACTATTCCAATTCAATTATATAATCATAACACATGGTCATGGTGTCACAGCAATCACTTGAGAACAGAATAAGCCCAAATCATCTATATGTCTGGCTTATAACAGATATGTAATGAATGTTTTATTCTGTGAATGAGTGAACTTCCCTAAACGGAGAAGGAATGAGTGAATTAGATCATCACTGTTCAAAGTGCAACCTGCCATCCAGGGCAGGTCTGTAAACTGTTACTGGACCATGGCAAGGTGAGAAAGAAAATAAACTTTTTATCTGAGGAATATGAGCCCTTTTAAGTGATCAGGCCCAGAGAGGCATTAAAATGAGACAGCAGTCATGGCTCACTCCACCCCCTACCTGTAGGAAATCAGTCAGGGTGGTAGGAAAAATTATAGGGAAAGACACAAACCTTCTTAGAAGGCAGGGAGGTTTTGCAAAAGCTTCAGGAGAGGATTATGGCTGAAGGCAGCCAAATTCTCTTGTCCGGGGGCTGAGAACAAAAGGCAGATAACAGGGGAATGTAAAGGAACTTATCTAGATAAATCTGTTTACTTATGTCTCCAGAAACCAACCTTTGCTCATTCGTGTGCAGGACTGCTCTCTACTTGGGGGGGTCGACAATGTTAATCACCCCAAATTGTGTTTGCTCCAAGCCTTTGTCGTTAAATCTGTACTAAATAAATGCGAGTGTCTCTGGCTTATGGGAGCTGCTGCTGCTGCACTCTTGCTGGTGGTGCTAAGCGGCAGTCCCCTAGCCACGCTGTCAGGTAAAACACCTGTGTCAGCGTACTTCCTTCATCCATCTCTCAGCCAGAGTCTGGCAGCAACTACCACCTTGAGCTAAGTATTTATTTTGAAGCCTCCTGCTATATAGACTCTAGACTGAATGTCTCCACCAAGTACCCATAAATTTACCTAACATATGCCATATGCTAGACAACATTATTCACACACTATAGTTCAACAACATATAGTCAATTACTAATCAATGTTATCCCTGTAACCCTGCAAAAATTCCTGAAAAAACAACTTTTGCAATTGCCCTCTCTCCTGATTGATCCTTTTTTCCTTAAAAACCTCTCCTTTATTCTCAGGAGAACTTCTCAGTGTTTCCTCGGTTGCAGTCCTTAGCCTTGGCCCAAATGGACTCTATATTAATTTTGCCTCAATTTCCTCCTTTAGGTTGACAAAGGTAAGCACAGAAATCGAGAGAATGACATATGGAAAAAGTTTTATAGCAACTGGACAATGTATGTTGAGTCTAAATAATGCAGGAGTTCGGCCAGCACGGTGGCTCATGCCTGTAATCTCAGCACTTTGGGAGGCTCAGGCAGGGGGATCACCTGAGGTCAAGAGTTCCAGACCAGTCTGGCCAACACGGTGAAACCCTGTCTCTCCTAAAAATACAAAAATTAGCCAGGCATGGTGGCAGGTGCCTGTAGTCCCAGCTACTTGGGAGGCTGAGGCAGGAGAATCGCTTGAACCCGAGAGGCGGAGGTTGCAGTGCGTCCAGATTGCACCATCGCACTCCAGCCTGGGTGACAAGGGTGAAACTCCTTCTCAAATAATTATAATAATAAAGGAGTTAAGAAGAAACTGCTTAGGCAGTTAGTGAGGGTATGGGAGTCCTCGGTAAGGTTTTCCTTTTTGTTATTTATTTTATTTTATTTTATTTTATTTGAGACGGAGTCTCCCTCTGTCCCCCAGGCTGGAGTGCAGTGGCGCGATCTCGGCTCACTGCAAGCTCTGCCTCCCGGGTTCACGTCATTCTCCTGCCTCAGCCTCCCGAGTAGCTGAGACTACAGGCGCCTGCCACCACGTCTGGCTAATTTTTTGTATGTTTTTAGTAGAGACAGGGTTTCACCGTATTAGCCAGGAAGGTCTCGATCTCCTGATCTCGTGATCCACCTGCCTCGGCCTCCCAAAGTGCTGGGATTACAGGCGTGAGCCACAGCGCCAGGATTACAGGCGTGAGCCACAGCGCCTGGCAAGGTTTTCCTTTTTAATGAAAAGTAGCCCCAAAATCATTTTCTAACACAGAACAGCCTGTAAAATCGAGCTGCAAACATAGACAAGCAAGTGGAAAGCTTGCACAGGTGAATGCCAGCAGGAAAAAAGCTACCTGGGACTAGGCATGTTCAAAATGGCGGCTCCATCTTCCCTTCTCTTTGCCAGCCATGTGTATAGTAAGGAGCAGACAATATGGCGCAAGTCAAGTGGAAAGCCCATTTAATGGCATGGTAAGATTAGGGTGGGGTGGCCAGCCTTCACCGAGCACTATGTAAACGTCACACCTGATCAAACCAATCTGTGGGCCCTATGTAAATCAGACACCGCCTCCTCCAGCCTGCCTATAAAATCCGGTGCACTCCGCCACTGGCTTGTCTTTCCTTATGGAAGGCACTCTCTCTCACTAGAGAAAGAGCTATTCTCCTTTCTCTTTATTTTGCCTATTAAACCTCCACTCCTAAATTCCTTGTGTGTGTGCATGTCCTGAATCTTCTTGGCGCAAGATGATGAACCCTGGGTATTTACCCAAGACGATGCCGCGTCATAATAATAATAAAAAAATAGATTTACATTTTAATATGTTCTTGGTTTTTGTTTTTTCTTTTTTTTTCCTACGAATTCTTTGTCCTTCCCCCTCACCCCCCCGACTTGGAATTCACTGTGCTTTTAAACAGTATACAGCTGTAGTGATTGGGTTTTGTTTGTTTGTTTTATTTTAAGATTCTTCACCACAGCAGTTAATCAGATGATAATAGACCCGCTGGGAAGGGCAGACTTCAGCATATGAGAGGTTCCATTCCCTTTTTTTTTTTTTTTTTTTTTTTTTGAGATGGAGTCTCTCTGTCACCAGGCTGGAGTGCAGTGGCTCGATCTCAGCTCACTGCAGCCTGCCCCTCCTGGGTTCAAGCAATTCTTCTGCCTCAGCCTCCCGAGTAGCTGGGATTACAAATGTGTGCCAACACGCCCAGCTAATGTTTTTGTATTTTTGGTAGAGATGGGGATTCACCATGTTGGCCAGGATGGTCTTGATCTCTTGAACCCCTTGATCTGCCTGCCTCGGCCTCCCAAAGTGCTGTGATTACAGGCGTGAGCCACTGTGCCCAGCTGAGAGGTTCCATTCCTAAGAAAATGCCCTGGCAGAGAAAGGAACCCTGAGTCCCCTCTACACAAACTTTTAGCCAGTCAAACCTAACAACAGCCCCACCTCAGCTGACCAGTCTTTTTCTGGAGGAGAGGGAAGTTAGAGGTGTCCATTCAGGGTTCCCCATCTGAAGCTTCTTAGAGCCGTGCTGCAGCTTGAAGCCTCAGCACGTGTTCTCCCTACCCCACCCCCAAGCTTCAGAAAGAACCAGGGAGAATCAGAGACCTTAGCATCGAAGCAGAGCGAAATCCGAGGCTCGGTGTTGTGGCAGGATGGGGGTTTTCTTCCCCCCTTCCCCACTCCTTTCCTTCCTCCCCTCGGCCCCCTCCCCTTTCTTCCTGGGGGGAAGTCTGTTAAAATGGAGGAAAGTGACTAGGCGAGCCTAAAACACACAGCAGTTTCTTCTGACTGGTGTCAAGAGTATCAAGAGGGAGGCGTGTTGGTTTCCTAGCTGTTCTACTCTGGGTCATCCGCAAGGCTTGAGCCTCCTCCGGGGACAAAGGGAATCTGATACAGCACCTTCACCATGGAGGCCAACCTTGCAGGAAAGGCAGAGAAGGACGGCAGAAAAAGATGGAGGCCGGGGTGGGGATGCGAAGGAGCAGCAAAGACAGAGAGAGGAGAGCCGGCCGATGGTCGCCACACTCTGGAAGGAACGTGCAGGTGACTTGAAAGGAAGTTAAAGAAATCTCTGTGGCCAGGCGCGGTGGCTCATGCCTGTAATCCCAGCACTTTGGGAGGCCGAAGCAGGCAGAACACCTGAGGTTACGAGTTGGAGACCAGCCTGGCCAACATGGTAAAACCCTGTCTCTACCAAAAATACAAAAATTAGCTGGGCATGGTGGCAGACACCTGTAATCCCAGCTACTCAGGAGGCTAAGGTGGGAGGATTGCTTGAACCCGGGAGGCGGAGGTTGCAGTGAGCCAAGATCACACCACTGCATTCCAGCCTGGGCAACAGAGTAAGACTCAGAAAAAAAAAACAAAACTCTCTGGACTTTACATCTGTCATACTAAGATTTTTCTTTCCAGGATTGGGATGTTCCCTATAAGCCCTCCCAGTTTATGTAACCAAGGAGTTAGAATGTGCAACCCAATAGGTGGGCCCATTATTGGAAGGGTGGTAGTCAGGAGGCCAGGCTGGGGGCCAGGTTGCCGGGACTGAATCCTGACTCTACCACATGCCAGTGTCTTACCTTGAGTAAGTTTCCTCATCTGTAAAGGGTGGATGAAAATTCTACTTTTATCTTGGGTGCTTACAATAAGTAAATAAATTAATATATGTAAAGTACATAGTGCTGGATATATCTGAGGTTATTACTATGAGTCTAAGCAAGGCTATTTATATATGTGTATGTATATATCTATTTGTGTGTGTGTATATATATATATGCATGTGTGCATGCACACATACACACACACACACACCCCTTAGAAGCCCATGGATACAATTAACAAACATGGTTACAGGTTCCTTGGAAAAATCTAGGCTAACACACTGCCATTACACAGTGTAGGAGTATGTATATTCGTTAACATACTGATACTGAAAGCTGTTCACAATATAATAAATGAAAAAAGTAGATTGCAAATCAGATTGCACCATACGAACCTATTTTTGTAAAAATACACACATATGTGGATAAGAAAAAGTCTGGAATGGTAGAGACAAAAAAAGATGTAACAGTAGCTATTGAAGTGTTTTTTATTATCATTTTGTTTCATTGCTTCTAATCTTTTCACCAATGAATGTGCAATATCTGTGGGTTTTCTTAGGATAGACATAGAAAGACATCAATATAAAGAATCTCTTTCCGTTATGATTTCTTTCACTTGTGCCAACCAGGCTAGATTGCAGATTTTCCTGAGGAGCATTTGGGGAAAGGGGTGGGAGAGTATCTCTGGGGTGCCCCTGAACACACAAAGCCCCAGCCTGAGTTGTTCAGGACACACAGCTCTAGCAGTTGAGCTTATTGCTAATAAGCCAGGCAGTGCCTCTGGCTGGCTGGCGTGTCCTGTGTCTTCCTGTTCTCTACTCACTGGTTTCATGTGCTAGCCTTTGTCTCTGACATTTTCTTTCTTTTTTTTTTTCTTGAGATGGAGTCTCTCTCTGTCACCCAGGATGGAGTGCAGTGGTATGATCTTGGCTCGCTGCAACCTCTCCCTCCTGGGTTCAAGTGATTCTCCTCCCTCAGCCTCCCAAGTAGCTGGGACTACAGGTGCCTGCCACCACGCCCAGCTAACTTTTGTATTTTTAGTAGAGACGGGGTTTCACTATGTTGGCCAGGCTGGTCTGGAAATCCTGACCTCAGGTGATCTGCTCGCTTCAGCCTCCCAAAACGCTGGGATTACAGGCATGAGCCACCACACCCAGCAGCCTTTAAACTTCCATCACAGAAACCTGAAACGAATAGGCAGAGTCCAAAGCTCCATGTTAGAGGCTGGAAGTTCTGAGGCCTGCAGGAACAAGTGAGAGCCCTTGGGAGCCAAAGCCTGGCCCTCAAGTCCCGACTTGCCCAAAGCCATCTGTGTGTCTTGGGCAAAGAGGAGAGTCAGTTTCTTCATCTGTAAGATGATAGGATTGGGCTAAATCCTCCCTGAGGTCCCCTTCAACTCCAAAAAATGGGAGTCCAGTAAATAACAGAGAAGCCGGGGAAAATGTTCTGCCATGTTGATTTAGGTTTGAGCTCAATGAAAGGATCTACACTAACAAGAGATTAAAAAAAAATTGTATGGGTTTGCATGCAGTATCCAGAGAAGTAAGGTAAATACAGTTTGAGGCCTGGATTTATGGATTATTTCCTTCTTTCTGACTTTTCCATTTGTTAAACAGAGATAGCATCAATATCTGTTTACTCAATGAATGCCTAGCAGACAACCACACAGTAAGTGGGTTCAGTTAAAAAAATATGCTCTGACAATAAGGGTGAAAATAGTGACAGCCAAGGCTTGGATGGAAGACCTCACTTCTGGTCAGTGAGTGCATGTGTGTGGCCTGGATGAGCCATGTCACCCTCCTGGACCTCATCTCTTACACTAACACCTCACAGGGTCATCCAGAGCATCAGATGAAAGCATCATCGAATGGAAAAAAGGGAGTTTGGAGCAAGAGATCTAAGTACAAATCCTGATTCTGCCAAGCATTAGTTACATGGTCACAGATGAGTCATTTAGCATTCCTGAACCTTAGCTTCCTTGCCTGCAAAATGAGTCAAGTAATAATAACCCACAGCATTGCTGTGATGTCATAGGAGACAGTGTACACAAAGTACTTTATAACCTCTAGAGTGCTGACCAAATGCTGGCAATTGTTATAATAAGACAAGGAAAAGCACTTTGGAAAATTTTAAAGTACTAAATGAATTAATGTGTGGAGTTGATGACTGTGAGGATTGATTCACTTAAGAAATGTGGTTCAGCATTACTATGGGCACAGCACTGTTTGATGCTAGAGCAATCAAAGTTGGGTGAGAGAGGTACCCCCGGGCTGCAGACAGAAGCGATGAAGAGGAGGAAGAGAAAGGGGAGAGGGAGGAGATGTATTTGAGAAGTACACATGTGCAGTGATTTACCTAGGGCTGTCTGAAAACTTTTTAAAAAAATATCTTCAGTCCAACACCTCAGTAAGTCAATTCCCCAAGACAACAGATCTACGATGCAACAACTGCCCTTGGGTTAGCTCTGGTGACTCACTTGTAAATTGCACCCATATCTGTTTCAATTAGTGTAAAAGTTCTACAGACAGACTGTGCCGCCTTATTATGTTCTATTTAAACAAGGCTACAAAGGACGTTCAACTGCATCAATAGTTGGGCTCCAGCAAGCTGCAGCCTCGCTGCTTCTCAACCCTGTGCTGCCACAAGCACACATGCTCAGCCTGCAGATTCTTGGAATCTCTCCTCAGGGCCCTGCAGGCGAGGTCTTCACTCTGAGTCCTATGTAGGCCCTGAGTTCTAGTCATTTCCTTCCTTTTGTGCAGAATCCATTAGAAACCGCTTGCCTGTGTAACCCCCCAGCACCACCCTGGTTCTATGAATCATGCCAATTTTCTGTTCTGCTCTATTTGATAATCCATCCCCTCAAACTGCCCCAATTCAGTCATTCCCAGCAGGCAGACAGATGGATTAGAATCCCCAATGAAGGCAGTCACTGCTGGAGGGTGCTGTGCAATATTGAACACTCATCATGGTAAAAAGCATGTGTGTCCCTCGCAGGGCAATAGGGAAAAACCTAAGCCTGCTTTCTTTTACAAAGAGGTTGTTTGTGTTAAAACCAGATCACTGATGTGGTCTGTCAACATCATTCGGGCCTCTGCTCTATCAGGCCTCCCTATCCTACCAAAATGCTAAATATCCTCTCTCCCTTTTCCTAATTTATTTTCTTAATAGCACCGAACATCCATCTACATTGTTCATTGTTCTTTTTTTTTTTTTTGAGACAGAGTCTCTTTCTGTCGCCCAGGCTGGAGTGCAGTTGCATGATCTCGGCTCACTGAAACCTCCGCTTCCTGGATTCAAGCGATTCTCGTGCCTCAGCTTCCCAAGTGGCTGGGACTACAAGCGCCCACCACCATGCCTGGCTAATTTTTTGTATTTTAGTAGAGACAGGGTTTCACTGTGTTAGCCAGGATGGTCTCGATCTCCTGACCTCATGATCCACCCGCCTCGGCCTCCCAAAGTGCTGGGATTACAGGCGTGAGCCACTGCACCCAGCTACATTGATCTTATCTGTTTATTTTATAACTACTGTTCACACCCCTATCCCTAATTAAATCCTTAAACTCTATGAAAGCGGGAACTTTGGCTATTGCACAGCTTGACACTAAGGCCAAGGTGCAATGATAGAAACACAAGTAAATAATTAGGAAACAACACGGCAAGTCCAGCTATGGAGAGATGCTCTGTGAGTCACTGAGTCCTCCACTTTCTCTGAATAAACCCCGTAAAGAACCTAAAGAACTCAGTACATTCTGAGTAAATAAACAAGTGAATGGAGATGTCTTCACATACGATAAGGGACTGAGCCTCTGTTGATCCCTTCTGTGAGATATTGAAAGTTACCTATTTGTGCTAAGAAACAATACTAGAAAGAATTCAAGTACAGCAAACATGGGTTGAAAAGCAAGTGTATGAAAAGCGAACAAGTAAAAACCCCAGGTTCCTCTCTTCTTAGGAAGTTTACAGAAAAGAGCAGCAAAGAGTAGGACGAGTGAGGTGGTCTGGGTCTACCACCAATTTGTGGGCTTAGGCAGGTCAGGCAATGGTCTCAATACCTGTGTCTTCATCCATAAACAGTAGAATCCTGCCAGCTCTGAGGTGTATAACAGTAGAATGACATAGCTGCCATTTATTGTACTAGACATAGTGTAGCCTTTACCCACATTAGCTCCTTTAATGCTCACTATGTTATTTTCTCCATTTTACAGATGAGGAAACTGACACACAAAGAGGTTAGTTAACTTACACAAGGCTGTAGAGCCTAGTGAGTGGCAGAGCTGAGATTCAAGTTCAGACAGTTTTGCTTTAGAACCCAAACTTTAAATTTTTTTAATTAATTATATCATACACACAAAAGAATACATAAAATATATCTGGATATTTTGAAGAATAAATAATAGGAAAAAATCAATGAACACTCAAGTGCCTATGTCCCAAACTTAAAAATAGAACATTACCAATACCTGTGACACCCCGGGACCAGAAGAGGTAATCACTTACTTTAATGATTTCTGTGTTTAAAACAATTTTTTTTTTTTTGAGACGAAGTCTCGCTCTATCTCCAGGCTAGAGTGCACTGGCGCGATCTCAGCTCACTGCAACCTCCCCCTCCCTGGTTCAAGCAATTCTCCTGCCTCAGCCTCCTGAGTAGCTGGGACTACAGGCATGCGCCACCACGCCCAGCTGATTTTTGTATTTTTAGTAGAGACAGGGTTTCACCATGTTGGCCAGGATGGTCTCCATCTCTTGACCTCGTGATCCGCCTGCCTCAGCCTCCCAAAGTGCTGGGATTACAGGCGTGAGCCATCACACTTGGCAGAAAACCATTTTTAACCCTAACACTATTATGTTTTGCTTGCATTTGAACTTCATATAAGTGAAATCATACTCCATATATTATTTTACTACTTGCTTTTTTCTTTCAACATTGTCTATGCTCGTTCATATTGATATGTATAGCTAAAATGTATTCTTTTTTATTGCTGCATAATATTCCATGGGTGAATACACCATTTTTTAGCCATTCTCTGTTGATGCCATTGGGTCATTTCTAGTTTTTGCTATTATCTACAATGCTACTAATAACATTTTCGTATATGTCTCCCAGAAAATCTATGCCAACATATCTCTAGAGCATGAAATTTCTGGGTTAAGAGTATAGGATATTCAACACTACTAATGCCAAAATTTTATGCCAATTTACACTCCTGCAAGCAGCATCTGAGTTCCTATTGTTTCATTTCCTTATTAATGGTCAATAGTGTCATGCTTTTCTTTTCTTTTTCTTTTTTTTTTTTTTTTTTTTTGAGACAGAGTCTTGCTCTGTTGCCCAGGATGGAGTGCAATGATGTGATCTCAGCTCACTGCAATCTCTGCCTCCCAGGTTCAAGTGATTCTTCTGCCTCAGCCTCCCCAGTAGCTAGGACTACAGGCACATGCCACCATATCTGCTAATTTTTTTTTTTTTTTTTTTTTTTTTTTTTGAGACAGAGTCTTGCTCTGTAACCCAGGCTGGAGTGCAGTGGCTCAATCTCGGCTCACTGCAACCTCCACCTCCCAGGTTCAAGCTATTCTCCTGCCTCAGCCTCTCGAGTAGCTGGGATTACAGGCATGCGCCACCATGCCAGGCTAATTTTGTATTTTTAGTAGAGACGGGGTTTCACCATGTTGGGCAGGCTCAGCCTCCCAAAGTGCTGGGATTATAGGCATGAGCCACCATGCCCAGCCAATGTCATATTTTTGAATTCCCTTGCCAATATGGTGGTTTGAAAATGGTATTTTGTGGATAGGTTTTGTTTTCATTCCCCTGAGTTCAAGTGAGAAGAAGCACCTTTTCCAGTGCTTATTGGTCATGTGTATTTTTTCTTCTGGGAAATATCCGGTTTAAAACTGGGCTATTTTTCTTATTGATTTATAGTTGTTCTTTATATATTATGGATAATAGCAGAGCTTCTTGAATATAAATATATTGTTAGAAGATCCACAATTTTTGAATGTTGCTATCCCAGAACTATTCTTTTGTTCATTCAGATTAGAATTAACCAAACTCCTCCTTTCTCTTCCAAGCAAATAGATGTTAAGAGTGGTATTTCGTAGGTTTTGAGGCTCAGGAAAAGGCAGTTGCCCAGACCTGCAACTCATATCCTTCAGTAGGGATTTGAGTAATCATTTAATGACAGACTATGTAGATGACTAATGAGTGTATCACTCAGAGTCCTACAGGAAATGAAATTTATTCCAGGTGATTCAAATGAAGAGACTTGAATGAAAGCACTACTTAGGTCAGGATCAAAGGACCACATTAAGGATGCTGCTGCATCCAAAGACAAGGACCAGCAGGAAGCCATTACCCCCCATAGGGTTGAGGGCGAGGAGAGGAAGCACTGCCCTAGAGCCCAGTAGAAGCTGGAGCCATGTTGTTTTGTTTTGTTTTGTTTTGTTTTGTTTTGTTTTGTTTTTTGAAACAGAGTCTGGCTCTGTCGCCCAGGTTGGAGTGCACTGGCGCGATCTCCGCTCACTGCAAGCTCTGGCTTCCAGGTTCACGCCATTTTCCTGCCTCAGCCTCCCGAGTAGCTGGGACTACAGGCGCCTGCCACCGCGCCCGGCTAATTTTTTTTTTGTATTTTTAGTACAGGCGGGGTTTCACCGTGTTAGCCAGGATGGGCTCGATCTCCTGACTTCATGATCCACCCGCCTCGGCCTCCCAAATTGCTGGGATTACACGCGTGAGCCACCACGCCCGGCCGAAGCTGGAGCCATGGAAGAGAAACTTCCCAGTAGGAGCTGGAGCCACGGAGGGACTCATGACTATTGCCAAATAAGTAGCACCAAAGCCAGAAACGCATAGGGAAAAAACAGCCAACTGTTCTCCCCTGCTACCCTCTGATTTCCTGCCAGAGTGTCCACTGGCTGAATTCAAGTGGAAGCCAGGCAGGAAGAGATGCGGGTGATTCAGTCCACACGGTTAGTCTCCCAGGCCCAGAGGAGGGCAGGGAAAGGTGAAAGATGGAAATGGAAGAGTGGGGGCAGCAAGCAGAGAGCAGCCAGGACAGTGGGACGTGAATTACCTGAGATTTTATTATGGGAAGAATGACAAAAGGAAGCTCCCGTAGGAAGACTGCCAAGCTCTCATCATCACCATTTCCCTGCAGTATGTAACAAGGATCATTGTCACCATCTTAAATTAGCAAGTGTAATGAACACTTAATATAATTATAGATATAATTTTTAGCTGGTCAAGTTTAATTATGCCAAAATTACTTGGTAAAACTGGGACATTTTGTGGTTTTTTTGTTCTTTTGTTTTTTTTTTTTTTAGACGTAGTCTCGCTCTATCCCCCAGGCTGGAGGGCAGTGGCACAATCTCGGCTCACTGCAACTTCTGCCTCCTGGGTTCAAGTGATTCTCCTGCCTTGGCCTCCCGAGTAGCCAGGACTACAGGCACCTGCCACCATGCCCTGCTAATTTTTGTATTTTTGTAGAGACAGGGTTTCACCATGTTGGCCAGGATGGCCTCGATCTCTTGATCTCGTGATACAGCCGCCTCGGCCTCCCAAAGTGCTGGGATTACAGGCGTGAGCCACCGTGCCAGGCCCAGTTTTTGTATTTTTAATAGAGATGGGGTTTCACCATGTTATCCAGGCTGTTCTTGAACTCCTAGCCTCAGGTGATCCACCACCCTTGGCCTCCCAAAGTGCTGGGATTACAAGCATGAGCCACCACACCCAGCCTCAGTGTCTTATCAACAGGAAGAGAATATCTACCTTGTGAATTGTTATGAGCATTAAATGAGATGACGTACCTAAACTACCTACCAGGGGTGCTGGAACCAGCAGGCATTCCAATGTATTTTGTTGCTATTATCATTATCCCTAAGTATCGTTTTATTCATCTTACTCTAGCTAACAATGTTACAAGTGGTGTTTATGTCTGTGCCAATTTTTCATCCTATGATCCACTTTTTAACAAGTTTTAGGATATTCTAATCTGATCTGGAATATTCAGCCTATGTCTCTGCATTGGGATCTACCAAAAACATAATAACAACACCATTTGAACAATAGTTTACAAATATAAAACACTTCCACAATCTTTTTTTTTTTTTTGAGACGGAGTCCCGCTGTGTCACCCAGGCTGGAGTAATGGCATGATCTTGGCTCACTGCAACCTCTGCCTCCCAATTCCTGCCTCAGCCTCCTGAGTAGCTGGGATTACAGGTGTCTGCCACCACGCCCGGCTAATTTTTGTAGAGACAGGGTTTTGCCATGTTGGCCAGGCTGGTCTCTAACTTCTGACTTCAGATGATCTGCCTGCCTTGGCCTCCCAAAGTGCTGGGATTACAGGCGTGAGCCAACAAGCCCGGCCCACAATCATTATTGTACCAATATTTATACAGTATCCTAGGAATTCATATCTCTGCTTTAACAAAGGGAAACTAAGGCTGAAAGATACACAACCCAGATTTTCTGACCCCAGAATACATCACGATTGTCTGGTCTCTCCACTCCCTCATCATGGCTTTTTATCTACCATTAGTATTGAGTTCCAGGTCGGGATGCATTTTAGAATCTACCAAAAAGCTAATGTAGACTTCAGGTTTAATCAAGAACTTTTTATGAACTCATAGCTCAAATAATTTTCAGAGCTTATCTTTTCTTGTGAAAACCTGCTTGACATCTTAGCCATTGATTATGTTTCTTTGCTTTATCTGGACAGATACAGTCTCACGAAAAGTAAGTTCCTACTATTGAGTTGTACTGACCCCACTCAACTTGTAAGCATTTCTTTCTCAGCACTGGGGCCGAGCACTCACAGAGCCCTGTCCCCTCTGTCATGTCATAACTCTACAGATGCACCAAAGTGAGTCCTTTCATCACATTTCATTCTGGGTAAAGGGCGCCTCCTAAGTACGAAATCCTTGAAAGAGAAGAGCCAAACTCTCCTCTTCCCTGTCACTCCCTTGTTCAAAGGAAATACCTGAAACCTGAGGGGTGGAAAAGTGAGATAAGAAAAAGAGAATATTGGCCAGGCACGGTGGCCCACGCCTGTAATCTCAACACTTTGGGAGACCGAGGCGGGTGGAGCACCTGAGGTCAGGAGTTCAAGACCAGCCTGACCAACATGGTGAAACTCCATTTCTACTAAAAATACAAAATTAGCCAGGCGTAATGGAACATGCCTGTAATCTCAGCTACTTGGGAGGCTGAGGCAGGAGAATCACTTGAACCCAGAAAGCAGAGGTTGCAGTGAGCCGAGAGTGCACCATTGCACTCCAGCCTGGGCGACAAGAGCAAAACTCCATCTCCAAAAAACAAAACAAACAAACAAACAAAAAATGAAGAGAAAGAGAATATTGGCTGGGCACAGTGGCTCACACCTGTAATCTTAGCACTCTGGGAGGCCAGGGTGGGAAGATCGCTTGAGCCCAGGAGTTCAAGACCAGCCTGGGCAACGTAGTGAGACCCTGTCTCTATAATTTTTAAAATTAGCCAAGTTTGGTGGTGTGCACCCATGGTCCCAGCTACTTGGGAGGCTGAGGTGGGAGGATCACTTGAGCTCCAGAAGTTGAGGCTGCAGTGAGCCATGATCACACCACTACACTCCACTGTGGGTGTCAGAGCAAAACCCTGTCTCAAAAAAAGTTTTTTAATAAAAAAAGAAAAAGAGAATATTTCCCAAGCTTTTTATAACATTAAATAATGGTGTATTTCATCTCTGCCAATTTATATGCAATCAGCCTTTGGAGTTATGCTTTAAATACCAAGGATTGGAATGGAGACCTTTGCAAATGATGGTGTTGTGTGACATAGGTGGGTCCCATTCTCATTGCCAGAAAGACAAGGGCAGGACAAAGGTCAGACTTGGAATATTTTATTTAAAAATATATTTTTCCAGCTACTCGGGAGACCGAGGCAGGAGAATGGCATGAACCCGGGAGGCAGAGCTTGCAGTGAGCGGAGATCACACCACTGCACTCCAGCCTGGGTGACAGAGCGAGACTCCGTCTCAAAAAAATAAAAAAAATCTAAAAATTAAAAAATAAAAATAAAAATATATTTTTTAAAATACAGGCTACTTGACTGGCAGGGGTGGAGCTGCAAGCTACATGAGGTCGGATGTGGCAAAGCCATTCAGTCAAGCTGCTCTGGGAGGAAGTGGGGCAGGGTGGTTTTGAGCAGACCCACTTGAGACTCCTGGGGCAGCCACTCACCTGCTGCATGGGCTTGGCCTTGTCACATCAACATGCTGAGCCTCAGTTTCCTCATGTAAGATGGGACTCAGTATAATGTGGGCCTACACACATGTGGCAAAAGAATGCTTCGCTCGGTGGCCGGCACAGCACATCTGAAGCACTGAACAAACTTAATCAGGATGCTTCTAGCTTTCTTGTCACTCACTGCACTGGATTCTGCTGCCCAGTTAACTAGTCAGTGGAAAGTAAGACAGAATAGAATTGCTATGGATGGAATGTTTGTGTCCCCACAAATCTCAAAATGTTGAGGCCTAATCCCCAGTGTGATGGTATTTGGAGGTGAGGACTTTGCGAGGTATTAGATCATGAGGGTTGAGCCCTCATGAATGGGATTATTATCCTTAGAAGAAGAAACACCAGAAAGATGATCTCTTGCTCTACCATGTGAGAACACAGCAAGAAGACAGCCATTGCAAACCAGGCAGAGGGGTCTCACCAGAACCCAACCATGCTGTCCCTTGCCTTGGACTTCCCAGCCTCCAGAACTGTGAGAGATAAATTTCTGTTATTGAAGTCCCCTAGTCTATGGTTTTCCACTATAGCAGCCCAGGCTGACAGAGACAAGAATGAACTACCCGACCATGAAAATTAACTCTTTAATGTCATCAAGAACATATTTAATGCTGCTACTTGGAATAGTTAAGAATCGATATGCAATAGTCTACAAAAAGGTACCACAAATTTTGAAGTATAAGAAACCTGTGTCTGCATCTAGGCAGGCAAAAGTAAGTATGTGCTTATGTAGAACACACAACACACGGATTCTACCCATATGACCTATTTTTCTTCTTACCCCTACAAGGCTGGTGAGGGTCTGCTTGCTTTCTATAACCACTGTGTGGCACAGAAGCCCAATTACTGTCTTTCTCTCCATTTCAGTTTAACACAACTTTACCTCCATTGCCTTCCCTGTGCTGAGCCCTGGGGACACTGAGGAGACCAGGAGGCAGTGCTACCTTCAAGAACAGCAGTCTAGCAGGAAGACAGACACTTATCGGCTCCATTTCTGCCAGATTCTGCCACTGGAAAGGGTTTACACATAGATTCCTGGTCTCAGGTATGAGAGTTCCCAGACGGAGCTGTTAAGCTTGGCTCCCGCCAACAGGTGGAGGTCTCACCTGTGTGTCTTTGCCCAGGTGACAGCAAAGCCATTTGAGTGTGCCCTCTCTGGCCTTCCCTTCCTGCTCTGCTGCCACCGTGGAACCACCTCCTCTTCCTTCACTTAGGATCATGTATGGTGGCCCTTCCCACTTTCAGATACCCACCCCCATCTCTCTTCAACAAGAGAGAAAGAAAAGCCTGGGGGACAGCCCACTGCAGTGAATAGAAATTCCTTCCCACTGACATGTTAAATACCTCTCATGGCAAAGGCTGGCCCTGAACACCCGCATCCGTGATTTAAGACTCTGTGGGTTGAGGGAGAAGAAGAGAATCCCAGGGATATCAGAGGATATGAGATCCCTTCCCCTCCCCTGCCCGGTCATCTTTCAAGCCCCCCAACCCTGAGCTGAGAACTAGAGACACGGGCTCTCCAATCAAGGGAGGCGGGTGACTTAGAGGTGAGTACAAGCCACCGCCTGGAGAGCAGAGAAGTCTGAGTGAAGGCAGCTGTGTCAGCCCCAGGGAACCGAGGCAATCCTCCCACCAGAGATCAAGACCCCGGTCCCAGGCCTTTTACTGGCTGTGGATAGGAGGAGAGAGAGAAGGAGAAAGCAATGTGTGAATGAGCACACATTTGGTTTTTGATACTGATTATAGCTGTAAGGAATTGACCACACAAGGGAACAGAGAAACTGGTTTGGCTATGTCAACATAATTCTAATCAAAGTCATTTATGCCAGCCACCTTACCTTTTGTGTGTAATAGTCACGTTACCCCATAACAATGATGTACCTTCATAAAGGTGGTTCAGAGTGTTTCTAAGTTTTGATTAGGGCAGTAATTGATTGATCTATCTAGGTGCCAGCCTTTGCAATTTCTTTCTTTTTTTTCTTTTCTTTTTTTTTTTTTTGAGATGGAGTCTCCCTCTGTTGCCCAGGCTGGAGTGCAGTGGCGCGATCTTGGCTTACTGCAACCTCCGCCTCCCAGGTTCGAGCAATTCTTTTGCCTCAGCCTCTTGAGTAGCTAGAACTACAGGCATGTGCCACCACACCCAGCTAATTTTTAGCTAATATTTAGAAGAGACGGGGTTTCACCATGTTGGCCAGGCTGGTCTTGAACTCCTGGCCTCGTGATCCACCCGTCTCAGCCTCCCAAAGTGAGCCACCACGCCCTGCCCAACCCAGCCTTTGCAATTTCTACCTTAAGTTATGTAGTCCTCTGTTCTCCACTTTAACAGATGAGCAACACCATTGCTTTTAAACTATTCGATAGAATGAGGTTTGAGTTGTGTGTGTGAGAGCAGGTTGTGTGCGAGTATGTGTGTGTCTATTTATTCAGTATTTCCCCTGATAACTTTCTGTTCTCTGAGCAGTTGCTATATAGCTTTCTTATTCCTGTGCTTGGAATTTGATTTTTCTTTTTTGAAGGCTGTAAATTCTACCTTTTTTCCCTTACATACACATATATATGTAGATATCCCCCCAATAAGCCTAACTAGACCTTACGATTCATAAATTATGTTGCCACAACAGCTCAGTTTAGACAAATTTATAACAAATTTGTGAAATTAACAGAACTTTGAGACCCCTGTCTTTCACAGGACCTGCAGTCGCCTGGGAACCACCCTACCAGAAGTGAAAGTGACACTCTCTTGCTTCTGTTCCAAGTTCTGTTGCCATTGCTTGGAGCAGTCTGATTCTCTACCTGAAAGATGGTGTTTCAATCAATCTTGGTGAATGAGAGGAGAATATTTAGTGCATAACTGGAGTTGAGTGAAAGACAATATAGTAAATAAATGAATGATGTTTTATCATTTCAGAAAAATATAGTGATAACTTTAAAATCATTAGGCAGTATTAGGATATCTTATGGAACTGTATTTTATATCCAACTGTGAATAACAGGTAAGTAGAAAACAAATTGCAAAGATTCATTTATGGTCATTTTTAAATTTGATTACCCATTTAAATCCAGCAGCCAAGTGGTTTCAACAGACTTTCTACTTGAGGTGAAAATAATAACACTACAAACATATGGCAGAGCTTCGTACAAGCATTTCACTCACAGAGGAGTTTATGTTTTCGAGGATGTAGGAAAAGATTTTCCAAGTGTGAAAACTAAATATATACAAAAGCAATACATTTTGTTATTAGTTAAATAAAATGTGTCTTTAAATATGGAATTCTTTGAAAAACTCACTTCATCGTCCAAAATTATGGAGACTATTTCACTTTTTTAATCAAAGATGGAATATTCATCACAGTTCCCCAAGGGATTTTCTAACTGGCCTGGGCAAGGAGTTCACTTGTAGAGTGTAGTTAGTGAAAACATCCAGTGGCCAAGCCTCATCAATAACTGTATCCAAAAGGAGACGCTGCTTGGGGTGTACCCAGAGAAAACACCAAGCTTTCCTGGCTTCCCGGCCCTCCCTCTCCCCATTAGTCTTTGGGGTGCATACATAAGTGTTGTGTGAAGTCTCTTGGGGTTTAGAAGATCTTGCACTCATTGATGGAGAAGAGCCTCCTTCTGTTTCGTCTCCTGGCCTGGTTGACGGCAGTTCGGACGGCGCACTCAAACACCTGCTGTACTCCCCGATTGCTAAGGGCTGAGCACTCCAGGTAGCCCTTGGCTCTGACATCCTGGGCCAGTTTCTTCCCTTCCATGGCATTGACGCAGGAGGCCCTGTGGGGCCCCATCTCCCGCTGGTCAGTCTGGGTGGCCACCACCAGCACAGGGGTACAGGGCAAGTTGCTCCTAATTTCACCAATCCACTTGTTCTTCAAGTTCAGGAATGAGTTATGGTTGGCCACAGAGTAGCACATCAGCACCACGTCTGCCTGCTGGTAGGACAGGGGCCGGATGCTTCTGAAGGCGTCATTGCCGGCTGTGTCCCAGAGGCCCAGGCTGATCTGGATGCCATCCATGAAGACGTCCACCCCTGTGTTCTCGTACACTGTGGGCTTGTAGGCCTCCGGGAAGGTCTCGGAGGTGAAGCGCACCAACAGAGAGGTTTTCCCCACAGCAGAGTCGCCCACCAACACGCACTTGATGGAACTCAGCATCTTCCCAGCCTGCTGTCCTACTCTGAAGTCCAGAATCCCAGGGAAAAGAGCCCTCAGTGGGCAGCTGCAGCACACGCCATTCAGCAAGGGGAATGCAAGCCAGGTAGGTCTGTGTCCTCAGGACCTCTGACGGCGATTTGCAGAATGTTACTTCTCCCTGCCCATCCAAGCACCGTCTGCTTTGAAAACCTCCAAAGCCTAGTCTTCAACTGGAACAGAAAGAGAAGGGGGAAAATGAAGTCTTTCTTTCTTTCTTGCCTTTTTTGAAGATAAGGGGCTTCCTCATTGGCAAACTGATTAAATGTGGGGTAATCTCAGTGTAGCCATCCAACCCCGCTTGTGCAATCCACTCTTCCCCTCACAGGGAGAGCTTAGATCTGTCTTCCCCCAACACACACACACACACACACACACACACACACACACACACACACACACACAAATGCCTCCCGGTCAAGAAGCAGAAGCTGACTTTATCTGTAAAATCACTCAAGCACTAAAAAACACAAGCAACTGCTCTGACTGCAACATGAAATAGACCTCAGTAGCAACCTGGTGTGTGAAGGAGAAGTTTCCAAACAGCTCTCTGTCGGCTTCTACTCCAAGAAGTGGCAAAGGCCCCGAGAGCGTTCTCCACGGCTTCAGTTTCTGATGGATCTAGCCATGTTGGAAACTGCAAGAAACAAGAACGTTATGAGCGACAGATACTATATGCATTTCTTTTTGTTTATTGACTAATCACACAGTCCTTGGTTTATGGGAATATGTGTTGTAATAGGGGAAAAGAAATTACTAGAACTCTAAAAATTTGCTGTGGTTTTTCCCTTGAGGTTTTTCCAAAAACTGGTAAGAGATGCAACAGACTGGCCTTAGAGTTATCTGCATCTGAAATCAGGCACTGTCACCTACACATGGCTTTGAGCACGCTGCTTGAACTCCACACCTCAGCTTACACATCTGCAAGATTGTGATAAATTTAGGAACCACTTCTCAGAGATGCTGTGAGGATTAAGTTATTTCTTTCTTTTAACATTTTTGGTGGCCATCTGTGTATCCCGAACTCCGCTAGGCCCCTGGTTAAACAAAATAACTTGCTTGAAAGCAACCATATTCAGTGCCTGTCACTTAAACAGAGGACTGCATAAATGGGACAATCTGAATTTCATTAAAGGCCAAATAAATTCTCATTCAGTGCAGTGGGAAAGCCCCAGGCAATGAGCTCCGCCTTGGAGACAGTGTCGTGTCTGCTGTGGCACAATATCACAAGGCCAGCCCAGCTCCAGACGAAGGAAAAGTCTTTCAGACCAAAATTCAGAGTAAAGGTTATTCCTGCAACCTGGGCTTGTAACCTCCCCTCCCTGGCGATCTTCCTGACATGTGTCATGCAGGGCAATACAAAGCAAACCTACACGTCTGATTTAAACATAATTTTTAAGTCACTTCTCTAAATCCTGGCATTCCTTTCCAAAACATTTATTTTTTCTTTTTCTTTTTTCTGAGACAGGATCTCGCTCTGTCGCCCAGACTGGAGTGCAGTGGTGTCATCACAGCTCACTGCAGCCTGGACCTCCTGGGCTCAAGAGATCCTCCCACCTCAGCCTCCCGAGTAGCTGGGACTACATGTGTGTGCCACCACACCGGGCTAATTTATTGCTTTTTTTGTAGAGACACAGTCTCACTATGTTGCCCAGGCTGGTCATGAACTCCTGGCCTCAGGGATCCTCCTGCCTCAGCCTCCCAAAGTGTTGGGATTACAGGTGTGAGCCACCGCGTCCGGCTGCCAAGACATTTTTATCCTCGTCAACCCACTGTCCCTGTTGTTTAATTATACCTAATAGCTTTTGCAAATGAGTTAGCCATATAAATAATTCACATGATACATATTCATGTTTTTAAACACATGTAAGCCAGGTGACCTTGGCCAAATTACTTAACCTCTCTGAACCTTGGTTTTCTCATAAAAATGAAAATAAGAAAAGGACTTTCCTCATGTGATCACTGTAAGGATTCAGAATGTGGAGAGTCTGATTTAGCACAAAACCTGGCATCTGGGAATTATAGGAAGCCATCGAGTTATCCATTTCACTACTATCTGAAATGCCAAATCCTGAATGTCCATAGCGGAGGGACCACTTTGCCAAATGTTTACCTGGACTCTTTCTCCAGACTCACACCAGGTTACTGTCACACACCGTGGTCATGGACCCCATTTGAGACTAGACCTTTGAGGAAGGACTCCTTGAGGGCTCCATAGGCTTCCGTTAAACTTTAGATCCTTAGACCAAGAGGCAACTTAAATATATGCATTTGTGACTTAGTCCAGAGCCAAGACCTCTTAAGACATTTCTATGTTTTATTTTTTTAATTTAATTTAATTATCTTATTTTTTATAAATAGAGTGGGGGTCTCATTATATTGTTCAGGCTGGTCTCAAACTCCTGAGCTCAAGCAGTCCTCCCACCTCAGCCTCCCAAAGTGCTGGGATTACAGGCATGAGCTACTGCACCTGGCCTTAAGTTTTATTTGACCCCAGTGTAGCAGGGCCAGAATTAGGAAAAATGTACATGCTTCGGACATTTATTTATTTATTTATTTTAATTTTATTTTTTTGAAATGGAGTTTTGCTCTGTTGCCCAGGCTGGAGTGCAGTGGCTCGATCTCGGCTCACTGCAACCTCTGCCTCCTGGGTTTAAGCAATTCTCATGCCTCAGCCTCCCGAGCAGCTGGGACTACAGGCATGCACTATCATACCCAGCTAATTTTTGTATTTTTAGTACAGACAGGGTTTCACCATGTTGCCAAGGTTGGTCTTGAACTCCTGACCTCAAATGATCCACCCGCCTTGGCCTCCCAAAGTGCTGGGATTACAGGCGTGAGTCACCACACACAGCCACTGGCCACCTTTATTTATTTTTTGAGACAGAGTCTTGCTCTATCTCCCATGCTGGAGACAGAGTACAATGGTGGTTCACTGCAGCCTCCACCTCCCAAGTGATCTTCCCACCTCAGCCTCCCAAGTAGCTAGGACTATGAGCACTCACCACCAAGATCAGCTAATTTTGTTTAGTTTGTGTAGAGACAAGGTCTCACTATGTTGCTGAGGCTGGTCCCGAACTCCTGGGCTCAAGTGATCTTCTCGCCTCAGCCTCCCAAAGTGTTGGAATTACAGGCATGAGTCACCACACTCAGCCCTTTTGGTTATTTAAATAAACTTTCCAATAAACTGACTGAGCTAAAGCCAAATTTCCTGAGTGAATATCTGCAAAAGGAAATTAATAAGGCATAATTGTTAAGGTCATGGGCTTTAAAGTCAGGTGGACCTGGCATTGAATCTGAGCTGCCCAACCGACTACCTATGTGACGAACTTGGAAGATTTTCTTAACCTCCTTAAGCCTCAGTTTCCTCCTCTGTAAAATCAATGTAATAATATTATATCTGTATCACAGGTTGTTGAGAGTATTAAGTGTGCTTAGAGCTGAGAGTGCAAAATTCTTTTTTTTTTTTTCTTGAGACGGAGTCTCGCTCTGTTGCTCAGGCTGGAGTGCAGTGGTGTGATCTCAGCTCACTGCAACCTCCAACTCCCGGGTTCAAGTGATTCTCCTGCCTCAACCTCCCGAGTAGCTGGGATTACAGGCACCACCACCACGCCTGGCTAATTTTTGTATTTTTAGTGGAGATGGGGTTTCACCATGTTGGCCAGACTGCTCTCAAACTCCTGGGCTCAAGTGATCTGCCCACCTTGGCCTCCCAAAGTGCTGGGATTACAGGCGTGAGCCACTGTGCCTGGCCTAGAGTGCAAAATTCTTAGCAGGTGCATAATATAAACACATTGTATGTACATAGTAAACACACAGTAAGTAGTCCCTATTAATAACATTCTCAAATAACAATTACTAAATATAATGATAAACAGTTATTAACTCTAAGTAGGGAATTTAAAGTAGCACAAAAGAGGTTTCTCCAGCAAAGGGTGTTCTGTGTGTCTCATACCCAGACATGGCTACAAAAAGAGAAAGAAAGAGAGAGACTCCTGTCTAAGCTTTGCTACCTAGAGAGTCAGAAAGGAGAAAAAGTCTCTGTTCAATCAAGTGACCCTCATGTGCCAGCCAGTTCTGACCCCAAGTGGCCCATCAAGTCAGCTTTCAGGGCCTCAGTTTCCCAAACTGTAAAGCAGTTTCTGATAGTTTTATTAAAACTGAAGCCAAAGTAGGAACATTTATTACCTGCTGCAGTGAATACGAAAACAAACCACCGCATCATTGTGCGGCAGTAAAGATGGATGATAAGCCTTGAGGAGGGGAGGAGCCTTGGCAGATGCCTAAATATGGAGCTGTGGGAGGAGGGGAGGTAGGGGAGGAGCTGCAGTCCAAGGCAGAGCCATACCCTATAAGGACATGACAGATAATCTTCAGAATGGGTCACATGTGTCCAGGAGTGAGCTGCCGCGGGTTACATCATCAGCATGTGAGTCTGATGGGCTTGAATTCAGCGGAATTTCTCCTAAAGAAATTCTCCCTAAAAGGGCTTCTGGGTGAAAAAAAGTGAGTCTTCCGTGGTATTTCCCAAGTGGCTAACTGGCAAGAGTGGCCCAAGTATGTCTCTTCGTACGGAAGAGTTACGAGAGCGTCATGGGTGATGACACTGAGTGGCCCTCCAGGCCGTTCTTCTCAGGCTTTGAATCAGATAGAATTAATGAGCCTTCACCTCCAGAGCCTCCGGGGTCTCCATAATTTGATGCTCTTGCCCTTTTTCCTCTTTCTACCATTTTCATAGAAAAGGGTCCCTCAACAGGCCTCCAGGGTTCACACGCACAGAGACAGAGGAGGGAAGGGAGGCTTCACGTTGCAAAAGCAACAGAGTTGGGCCCTTCTGCCCACTCTGGCAAAGAGACCAAGATAGACACAAGTGAGGGATTAGGGGAAGAGACATCCTAACCCATTTCCTCCTCCGGAGAACTGAGGGCTGTTCAGTAGGAAATCCTGGTTTCCTTTTGGCCTCAATTCTAACGGCCATGCTAACAGACACCAATTCTCCACCTGACGCCCTCCACAGGCTCGCTCTGTGCCATCCTATTGGCTGGAAAGACCTGCTCTTCACTCAGCCCCCAACTCCCACTCCTTCTGGAAAGCCTTCCTTGACCACCAGTGCTCCCCAGCCGCTGCCAGATCAGATGCCCCCGCCAGATCAGATGCCCCCGCCAGATCAGATGCCCCCTGCTGTGTTCCCAAAATACCTCTATGTACATTTGACATGGAAACCACCACTCTGATGAAATGGCTCGTCTTCTCAGTTGTAAAATGGAATCAGATTTGCCCTGCCCTCTTCACTGTGAGCTCATACGGATCAGGTGGAAATGATAACAATACAGAAATAATTTCCGTTTGTACTTTTACAATACTTTGTACATTTGGAAATGCTCTCTTCTTGGTTTTGCGAGAAAGTCTTTTTAGAACAATACATCATAATATAGAGCTAAAGTGAAATTATGACTATTATTAACCGATTGTTATTATTGCAGGTTTGAAGTTAGCTGGGCTTTGGTGGAGGTAGCTTACTTCAAAATGCTGATGGAATCCTCAGCTGTCTTTTTTTAAAAATATGAGTCCATCGCCAGTTGGGGATGGCCTATCAATTACAGAGAATACATCTAAATGTCATCCTCCTCAAGGAGCTTTGGACAAAGGACCTGTGCTGGTAGCAGCTGATTCATTCACTAAGAAAATTGATTCCACCATGAATCTAACACAATTAAATGGCCAGGAAGTCACCATGCTCCTCAGCAACCCATCTCTAGCCAGCACCTTCAATAGCCCCTTCATAGCCTAGCAGGGACATCACAGCAAAAGCAGGCCTTTCTCAGGATGGATGAGGCCATGGGGCTCCCCAGCTGGGAAGTGGGGCTGAGTGCTTTGTTCTTTTTTTTTTTTTTTTGAGACGGAGTCTCACTCTGTCCCCCAGGCTTGTATGCAGTGGCACGATATTGGCTCACTGCCGCCTCCACCTCCCGGGTTCAAGTGATTCTCCTGCCTCAGTCTCCTGAGTAGCTGGGACTACAGGCATCCATCACCATGACCGGCTATTTTTTTGTATTTTTTAGTAGAGAAGGGGTTTTGCCATGTTGGCCAGGATGGTCTTGAACGCCTGACCTCAGGTGATCCACCCACCTCGGCCTCCCAAAGTGCCGGGATTACAGGCGTGAGCCACCTTACCCGGCCAGTGCTTTGTTCTTGTGGGGAAAGGGAAGCAATTCCAAAAACCTTAAGCAACTTTAGAAAAAAAAGGTGTAACCATCTCTAAACTTTTTCACTCCAAAACCTTACTAGTTTTCACTATCTAACAAATAGACACTTGTATATATCTTCTAAATATTTTTCAGATTTAAGCTTTTTAAAATTTCAACATTGTCTACACACTGGCTAGATTTCAGCTAAATAGATTTCCACGGTTTCGACAATTCCTAACTGCACACCTATTCCTCACTGTCTTTGGGTTAGTTCCGTATTTCACCATAATTAGCTATATATGTGTACATAAGTGTATGTGCAGAGATATAACTTTATATACGTAAGGTATAGGTAAGTTACTTTTTTTTTTTTTAATGGAGTCTCACTCTGTCGCCAGGCTGGACTGCACTGGCACGATCTCGGCTCACTGCAACCTCCACCTCCCGGGTTCAAGCAATTCTTTTGCCTCAGCCTCCCAAGTAGCTTGGGACTACGGGAGCACACCACCACGCCCAGCTAATTTTTGTATTTTTTTAGTTGAGATGGGGTTTCACCATGTTGGCCAGGATGGTCTCGATCTCCTGACCTCGTGATTCACCTGCCTCAGCTTCCCAAAGTGCTGGGATTACAGGCATGAGCCACCGCAGCCAGCCGGTAAGTTACTTTTATGGGGGATGATTTTCTTGGGAATGTGTATATTCACAAGTGTGGCATTACTGGGTCAATGGGTCATTTTGTGACTTGATTTTACATTTATTGAACATCTTCCAAGTACTATACTGAGTACTTTGCACATATTATTTATTAATTGTTTTATTCATGTCCTTTAAAAAAGACATTTACTTAGGGTGTCCTGTATGGCAGGCACTGTAACAGGTTCTGAGGAAATAATCGTGAACAAGAGATGCTGTATTTTAGAGATTATCATGTCACAATCACAGAGGCTTCAAGAGGTTGGCAATCTTGGCCACAGTCACACAGCAAGGAATGGCAGAGGCAAAGTTAGACCCAACTAGAGTCTGACTTCAAAGCATTGGCAGCTCCAAGTGTCACCAACACACACTGTAATTCCCATCAGCCTTCTCCAAGGCATCTCAAACAAAGTTGTTTTCTATGCAGACCCAGTTTCAAGACATTTTTCCTAGCCACCCCTTTTTTTTTTCTTTTTTTTTTTTTCTTTAAGACAGGCTCTTACTCTGTGTGCCAGGCTGGAGTGCAGTGGCACAATCACAGCTCACTGCAGCCTGGACCTCCCGGGTTCAAACAATCCTCCTGCCTCACATTCCTGAAGAGCTGGGACTACAGTTGCGTGCTACTATGACCAGCTAATTATTTTTATTTTTTATTTTTGTATAAACAAAGGTCTCACTATGTTGCCCAAGCTGGTCTCCAACTCCTGGGTTCAAGCAATCCTCTTGCCTCAGCCTCCCAAAGTGCTGGGATTACAGGCATGAGCTACTGCCCTAGGTTGTACCCAGCTCTTCAGACCAGGTCTCTACTCCTATTCTCTTCCTGAAAATAAACCAGTTCTTGCTTTTTTTTTTTCTTTTTTCTTTTTTTTTTTTTTTTTTGAGATGAAGTTTCGCTCTTTTTGCCCAGGCTGGAATGCAATGGCGCAATCTCAGCTCACTGCAATCTCCACCTCCTGGGTTCAAGTGATTCTCCTGCCTCAGCCTCCCGAGTAGCTGGGATTACAAGGTGCATGCCACCAAGCCCAGCTAATTTTGTAATTTTAGTAGAGACGGGGTTTCACCATGTTGGCCAGGCTGGTCTCAAACTCCTGACCTCAGGTGATCCACCCACCTTGGCCTCCCAAAGTGCTGGGATTACAGGCGTGAGCCACCATGTCCGGCCCAGTTCTTGATGTTTTAAAGGACATCTGTTGCTTCCTGATCTGGATGCTGGTTCCACAAGTGTGTGCAGTTTGTGAAAATCCACCAAGCTGTATACCCACGTGGTGTTCACTTTCCTGTATGTAGATAAAACTTCAATAAAAAGCATTTTTAAAAATAAGGTTACCACCTTTGTGGTGAACATCTTCTCAAGTGGCATTTTATCTTAAGTTTTACTTGCAAGAATTTATTTCACCAATCTGAATCCTATCTTAATAATTCCCCCTACTGTGTTGCTAATTGCTACAAATAATCACTAGATTTTCTCTCAAAACCACAGAAAGAAATCATTTTTAAGTCAGTGTACTTTCATACATAGATCATCTCTGTTTGAAACAGATTTTGTTCTGAAAGTTTGTTTGCAAGATGCTGGTTTGCTTGGCCAGGCACAGTGGCTCACATTTGTAATCCCAGTGCTTTGGGAGGCTGATGTGGAAGGACCACTTGAGGCCAGGAGTTCAATGCCAGCCTGGGCAACATAGCAAGACCCTGTTTCTACAAAAAAAAAAAAAAAAAAAAAAAAAAGATGCTGATTTGCAACTTTTAACATAAGTTCACCAGAATAAAAAATGTTAAGCAGTATTTATGTTCCTAAGCCTGAAGCATATTAAACCCCTTTATAGTTGAATTAAAACAAAACATTGCCAAGTCCTGAAGCCTTTTATTATTTCAACATATTAAGCTCTGAAGCCTCTCTGAGCCGTGTGTCCTGCCCTCTGGTCCCCAATCACACCGGGACCGTGGTCCCCTTCCCCTCCTCTGGTCCAGCAACTCTGCCCTGACTGGTCTCTTCCACTCCCAGGAGCACAATCAAGGAATCGTTGCCTGAGGTCTAGAGTTCTTAGTCCGGTTCAATTTCAGAGTCAAATACAAGACTAGCCAGCTAGGCAACCACCCAGAGCACCCTTAGAAACTCATCTCAAAACTAAAGTGATGGGGAAATGCATTTCCTACTTCTTTTCTCAAAATAGTTGGAATAGCCTGAAAAACTGCTTGGAGTTGAGGGTGCAACCCCAAGAGGTGTGCTCAGGGAAGGACACGTGGTCTCTGAACTTCTTTTAGGGAATGTGGATCTTGTTTACCAAAGACTCGTGTTTTCTCAGTTGGGTATCCATGTTTGGGGCCTGAGCTGAACTGTTCTAGGAAAAAGAGAGCAAAAAGGCAAATCATGCCTATCTAATCATTCTATAATGTCACGATGCTATAAAGTAAGGTTGTCAAACTATGGCCCACGCATGGCTGAATCCAGCCCGCCACCTGGTTTTGTAGGGCCATAAATTGAGAATGGTTTTTACATTTTATTTCATTTTATTTTATTTTATTTTATTTTATTTTATTTTATTTGAGAGGGAGTATTACTCTGTCGCCCAGGCTGGACTGCAGTGGCATGATCCCGGCTCACTGCAACCTCTGCCTCCCAAGTTCAAGCGATTCTCCTGCCTCAGCCTCCCAAGTAGCTGGGATTACAGGTGGTTTTTACATTTTTTAATGGTTGAAAAAAATCCAAAGGAGGAAAATATTTTATGACATGTGAAAATTATATGAAATTCAAGTTTCAGGTTTCACAAATAGCATTTTATTGGAACACAGTCATGCCCATTCATTGACATGTTGCCTATGACTGCTTTCTCGCTGCAACATAAAGTTGCAACCAAGCCTAAAATATTTTCAATTTGGTCTTTACACAAAAAAGTTTGCCAACTCCTACTAGACAGAAAGGTAGTTCAGAGTAAGAAGGGGCATGTAGACCTGGGGTCAGGCAGGCTTGGGTTTGGCTCCAATGTCTGCCACTTAAATGTGTGACCTTGGGGCAATTACTTAACGTCTCTGACCTTCGGTTCCTTTGACAACAAAGTCAACTATGCATAGTGTCTACAGCACAGACTCTGGAACCATACTGCCTTTCAGCCCCACTGGCTATGTGATCTCATAAAGGTCACTTAACTTCTCTAAGCCCCTCTTCCCTAATTGTAAATAGGCAATAATAACGGTGCCTACCTGGTGTGAGTTGGTTGATGGTATTATTTTTAATAATAAAAATTAAAATAAAATAATGATACCTACCTTACAAGGTGGTTGTACAGAATTAAATGGGTAGTGCATGTAAACCACATTGAATAGTGCCTGGCACAGAGTGAGTACCGTAGAAGTATTTACCATTATTATAATTTACCTTGAGGGGTTGTCGTAAGATGGTTCTGAGCTAGTGTATGTCATGAGCCTAAAACAGTGCCTGGAACAAAACAGGTACTAGCAAATAGTAGCTGCTATGATGATGATGATATGAACCAGTACTACAGACACACAGGAGAGGGAGCATTAATTCTCGAGATGGGAGAAAGGAGTGGTGATTTGGGAGCCCCGCATTTAAAAGGTGACAGCTGATCTGTAGGATGAGTAAGATTTTGATAAGCAACAGAGAAGAAAGGCTTTGGGGGTGGGGAGAAGCATGTGCAAAGGCCCAGGGGCATGAAAATACATGTTTGATTTGGGGAAGTAGAAGAAGTTCAGGGAGGTTGCACTGTGGGCTGCTCAGTGGGGAGCAGGAAGTGGCCGGTGGAGGGATTATGGGAGATGAGCCTGTGATTTTATACAATCCAAGGTTGCCTTCTGCTCATCAGCAGCCACAGCACACTATTAGCTCCAGCTGACTCCAGTTAAAATCAGTTAACAGTCAATTAAAATCCCTGGGTCTTTGGCACATAAAATGTTACTAGCCAGGCACAGTGGCTCCTGCCTATAATCCCAGCACTTTGGGAAGCCAAGGCAGGAGGATCACCTGAACCCAGGAGTTCAAGACCAGCCTGGGCAACATGATGAGACCCCTGCCCCCCGCCTCCGGTGCCTCACCACCAAGTCTATACTAAAAAAAAAAAAATTAGCCAGGCATGGTGGAGCATGCCTATAGTCCCAGCTAGTTGGGAGGCTGAGGCAGGAGGATTACTTGAGCCCAGGAAGCTGAAGCTGCAGTAAGCCATTATCACACCACTGCACTCCAGCCTGGGCAACAAAGCAAGACCCTGTCTCAAAAAATAAAAAAACTGTTACCAATCCATTCTCTTTTAACTTAAATGTTACTAACCTCTTTGAGCACCTACTCTGTGTCAGGCATTGAAGCCAAGTTAAAGAAAACACAGCTTCTGCCTTCAAAAAAACTTACAGTCTAATGGCAACACCAGACATAAACTT
Source organism: Homo sapiens (assembly GCF_000001405.40). NCBI lineage: Eukaryota > Metazoa > Chordata > Mammalia > Primates > Hominidae > Homo > Homo sapiens. The sequence goes on along the minus strand of NC_000004.12, from coordinate 40,232,080 downwards.
CAGCAAGGATCTGAGGGAGGAACAAATAAAGTGCCAACAAAGGGAAAAAGGTGCTACCTGCAACTAGCAGGAATCAAGGAAGGCTTTGTGGAGGCCATGGTATTAGAACATGACCCTTAAAACCACTGAGCTTGAGATGCACAGAGAAGAAAGAGAAACATGAGCAATGAAGGAAAAACCTAGGGCACCTAGAAGGGTGAGAGGCAGCTCAGTTGGGCTAAAAGGCGGAGCCCAGAATGGGAGATCAAGCTGGGCTGTAGGAAGCTCATTCTTGTGGCAGGTTAGGCTGGATTGCAGGTGGGAAAGACCAAAGAGGCAAGTGGGAGGCTCCTGCCGTTGGGATCAAGGATGACTTTATCCAGAGCAGATGCTGTGAGACAAGAAAGAGGGAGAGAAGCCCCAGCAACATCCACGAGGCGGAACTGACACGCAGGCCTGAAACAAGGTGATTCTGAGGCTGTAGGCCTGGGGGCCTGGGAGAAGCTGCTGGCAAACATAGGCAGCACCAGAGGAGAGAGACAGATCTGTGAGATCCATGAAGAGGTGGGTGTTTCCCACTGGGGGGCCTGCTGAAGAGACAGAGCGCTTTCAGGAGAGCCACAGGCTGCCGTCATATGACAAGGCTATCGTTTACTGAATGAAGGGGAAGAGAAGTGGGGTAGCCAGGGTCATCTTCCTCTCCCATGAGCTTTGACATGAAATCTTTAGCTAGAAACATGTTCTCTTCTATGTTATGTATAGCAAAAAAAAAAAAAAAAAAAATCACCTAAGAATAGGTGGGTCTTGCACAAACCAATTTGCTCCTATATTGAAATCCATTAACATAACATCGTACGGGTCTATTCACAGACACAGGAAAAGGCTTCCTAAGCTAAATGGGTGGAAAGCAGGTTTCAAAATGGCAGGTTTCAAAATGGCCTGTACAGGAGATTCCAGAGCTGTGAAAATGTCTAGAGTGGTGCCCACTGGCTTGTCTCTGGGTCCTGGGGTTGTATGTGATTCCCATTTTCTTCTCCTTGCTTAAGTGCATTTAAAAATGTGTCCACGATACGCATGTGCTATTTGCGCAGTTTTGAAGAAGTGCTTCCTGTATGTTGTTTTGTCTTTTTAATGTGGTCTCAGAAGGGAACAAAAAGGCTGGGCTGGTCCCTTGAAGCTACAGAAAATTTCTGTGAATCCCTATCAGTGACTCTGAAAATTTTTCTAGGTCTACACTGCTGAATTCGTTTACAATTCCTAGAAGCACTAACTCCAACTTCTGATTCCCTTTTAAAGGTCTGTTTCATTCTCTCCTCCTTGCAAAGGAGATGAGCAAAGCTGAATAATTCTGCCTCCTGAATCACAGCTGTTCATAGCTATCCTCAGCCCCAAGCCACCTCTTCTTTCTTCTTACTCATAAGAGTTTTAAAAGTCCAGGCTGAGAGCCAGGCGCGGTGGCTCACGTCTGTAATCCCAGCACTTTGGGAGGCTAAGGGGGGTGGATCACTTTTAGTAGAGATGGGGTTTTGCCATGTTGCGGATAGTCTTGAACTAGCCGCAACATGGCGAAACCCCATCTCTACTAAAAACACAGACAAAAAAAATTAGCTGGGCCTGGTGGCCTGTGCCTGTAGTCCCAGCTATTCGGGAGGCTGGGTCAGGAAAATCGCTTGAACCTGGGAGGCAGAGGCTGCAGTGAGCTGAGATCACACTACTGCACTCCATCCTGGACAACAGAGGGAGGCCTGGACTCAAAAAAGTCCAGGCCGGGTGCCATGACTCACACCTGTATTCACACACTCTGGGAGGCCAAGGCAGGTGGATCACTTGAGGTCAGGAATTCTAGACCAGCCTGGCCAACATGGCGAAACCCCGTTTCTACTAAAAATACAAAAATTAGCCCGTCATGGTGGTTAATAATCCCAGCTACTCAGGAGGCTGTAGCAGGAGAATCGCTTGAACTTAGGAGGCAGAGGTCGCAGTGAGGGGGGATCGTGCCACTGCACTCCAGCCTGGATGGCAGAGTGAGACTCCGTCTCAAAAAAAAAAGAAGTCCTTTTTATATTCTTTTAGATATTCAAATAAATATGAATATGGCCTGGGTATTAGATGACATTTAAGAACTATTGCTAATTTTGTTAGGTGATAACTGTATTGTCAGGTCCTTATTTATCAATCAATTTGTCAATTGTATTTTAAGGCCCTTATCTGATAGAGATGTTGATGTATTGATGAGGAAAATCAATAAGATGTCAGGGATTTATTTTATATTATTCCAGAAAACAAGCAAAAACAATGGATAAAGTAAGATTGGAAAAGTGTTAAGAACTATTGAGGTTGAGTGGTGGGTATACAGGGGTATATTAGCCTATTCTCTCCTCTTTGGTGTAGCTTCAAAACTTTTCGTGTTAAAAGTTTTAAAGCGTGGGGGCTTTTGTTTTCTTTCTTTCTTTTTTTTTTTTTTTTTGAGATGGCGTTTCACTCTTGTTGCCCAGGCTGGAGTGCAATGGCAAGATCTCAACTCACTGCAACCTCCACCCCCAAGGTTCAAGCGATTCTCCTGCCTCAGCCTCCCGAGTAGCTCAGACTACAGGCATGTGCCACCATGCCAGCTAATTTTGTACTTTTAGTAGAGACGGGGTTTCTCCATGTTGGTCAGGCTGGTCTCAAACTCCCGACCTCAGGTGATCCACCCTCCTCAGCCTTCCAAAGTGTTGGGATTACAGGTGTGAGCCACCGCGCCAGGTCCCAAGCTGTAGTTTTATTCTTACTCTCTGGTTATAGAGAAAATGCAGAAAAGCATCACCAAAAGAGAAAAGTATACTTTACGCTATAGTGACTTTTTCAAGTATTTGAAGGCATGTTCATGGAAGTGGCAAAAGGATGACAGCACAGAGGCTTAGAGCCTGCCTCCTGGTGGAGGGATATGGAAGAGGAAAGCCACAGTCCTGGGTAAGGATTCCCAGACAAGTCAGGGAAGAAAATCTTGCGCTTCAATACAGACTCTACCTGCAACTCAGTAAGACATCACTATCTATTCCTGGGAAGTAAGGGCCATCTCTAGAACATAAGCCAAAGGAGGCCAAAGGAGGCCCCTGAGATGACCCAAACTCAACTTTCTAACTGGTATCGTTACCTTCACTAACTTCCCTCGGCCCTCCCTGGGTAGAATTCTGCAGAATTAGCTCTTTGCAAAAGAACAAACGTCATAATGAAAATACCTTAAAAAGAAAAGAAACTCAAGAGTGAAAATGCATTACCCACACGAAACCAGATGAGAAGTCAAAGTAACTCTGAGAGTGAGGAAGACCCTCTGCCCTGGGGGTTCTTGTTGTCTGAAAAGGTGAGGGGGCTTTGGAGGTTTCTATCTTAGTATTTTGTGTTTTCCCCTTAGACGTAAACGTAGCCTTTGTCTGTGAAAATATGAAATCTGCCTGATGTCTGGATAGACCTCCACCAAGTTCAAGATACTTCCCAGCTGTAAAGCACCATCTCTGACTAAGAAAACCATCACATCTCAAGGTTCCCCCCATCCCCAACCCCAGAACCACCAACCACCACCACCATCCAACACACATATTTAAGCCATTGGTGGTGGACAGCATTTCCTGCTTTTACTTGCTGGTCCAAACAGATTGAAGATGACCTCCCTATTGTAACTTCTCTCCTCATTTTTTCCAGACCATTTCTATATATCCTATTTTCTGATTATAAAAGTAGTACATACACATTATAGAACATTTCGAAAACACTGATCCAAAGAAGATAAAAATCAGTTACCACCTAGAACCAAAAGCTGTAAAATATTAGCATACATTTTTCTGGGGTTTTTTATTCAGTGCATCATTTTTTTCCAAAACTAAGAATACCATACTTTATATGCAGTTTGGCATCTTGTTTTTCTTAATTTAACATTTAGGTCTTAATTTAACATTCTATGTCAAGATTCTTGACATAGAAAATGGCTGCATAAAATTTCATTATGTAAATATAGCATCATTTATTTAACCAATTGCCTACTGTTGGATAGTTTAATAATTCCTTATTTTCACTATAGCAACATTGAGTGAATATTTTTAATATAAATATATGATTATTTCTTTAGGATAAATAGATATGAGAGCAACTGCTGGAACAGAAGAGATAAAAAATTGAACCAATTTATATTCCATGTATGGGCCTATCACTGCATCTCTCTATCAACTCTCACTGGGTATAATATTTGCAAGTTTGACTTGTTTTCATTTGCATTTCATTTACAACTGGTGAAGATTAAAATTTTCTCATCTGTTTCTTGACAACATATATTTTTTCTTTTGTAAGTCATCAGTTTTACCTACTTTTCCAGCAAGACGGTCATTGTTTCTTAATGACTTTTAAAATCCTTTTAGAGATTAAGGATATTAATCTTTTATGATTAAATGTGTTGCAAATATATATATATATATAGTGCCCAGGTATTCTGGGAATTCCCCAGATTCCTGGTACTCCCCCTTCACTGAGCAAACCCTAAACAGAATGTAAAGTAGCATGTTCCCTGCTGCGGAAAAAAAACTCAGCATGATGAGATGCCTGAAAGGTCATCTAATTCAACATACTCATTTCTCCCATGAGGAAACCAAGGACTTGAGAGAAGTGGTTAAGCTGCTGGGGGCCCACACGAGGCCCAGAAACTGAACCAGCTGAGTCAGCACACTTTCCATCTACACAGGATTTTTTCAGATACACATTATGCCTACATTGTATAGCCCATACTTAATTTCCTTAATATTTTAAGCACAATGCTCATATAGCTAGATAGACATGCCAAATTATTCACACAGTAGCAACCTTTATTTCTTTGCCTTTTTCCCACAGAAAGATTTTATTGTGTACTGATGGCTTTTTACTCAAAAGGTAGCTGTCAATGTTTTTTGTTTGTTTTTGTTTTTGTTTTTTGTTTGCTTGTTTTCAGAGTCTCACTGTCACCCAGGCTGGAGTGCAGTGGCGAGATCGGCTCACTGCAACCTCCACCTCTCAGGTTCAAGTGATTCTCGTGTCTCAGCCTCCCGAGTAGCTGGAATTACAGGCATGCACCACCACACCCGGATAATTTTTGTATTTTTAGTAGAAACGGGATTTCGCCATGTTGGCCAGGCTGGTCTCGAACTCCTGACCTCAAGTGATCCACCTGCCTTGGCCTCCCAAAGTGCTGAGATTACAGGCGTGAGCCACCACACCCAGCCACAGCTCCCAGTTTTAATATAAAAATACTTTTTAAACACCTGTTCCCTTTCTCATCCACTTCCTTCGAGATGGATCATCTCTTTTTAGGAGAAATCATTAAGCTTTCCAGCATTCTCTAGAAGTAGGATAACCCCTTAACTTGCAGATTGCTTAAGCTATAAAAGAAGTCAAGGCATTTAATAATTTGTTCTGGATATGCAGCCCAGAGCACTGGAAGGAGTGAGGTGATTTAGTTTTAGTTTCAGTGTGTAAGGCTGCCGATATGCAATTGTTTGCAAAGGGCCCATGTTGTGGAGTTGACAGTCACGGTTAGATATTTTTTTCTTTTTCTTTTTTTTTTTTTTTTTTTGAGATGGAGTTTCACTCTTGTTACCCAGGCTGGAGTGCAATGGCGTGATCTCGGCTCACCACAAACTCCACCTCCTGGGTTCATGCGATTCTCCTGCCTCAGCCTCCCAAGTAGCTGGAATAACAGGCATGCGCCACCACACCCAGCTAATTTTGTATTTTTAGTAGAGATGGGGTTTCTCCATGTTGGTCAGGCTAGTCTTGAACTCCCGACCTCAGGTGATCCGCCCGCCTCAGCCTCCCAAAGTGCTGGGACTACAGGCATGAGCCACCGCACCCAGACAGTCACGGTTAGATTTTCATCTCCCTTGCTGAGCAGCAGTATAACCTTGGGCAAGTCACATAACTACAACTGCAAAATGTGAATTAATCATGCATCGTTTGCAGGATTTTTTTTTTAAGGCAACTGAAAAGAATCTATCTCCCATGCCTAGATGAATGCCTGGCCCTTAGCAGATAAGGATAACAATAAACACATTTGCCAGACGCTGTTTGAAGTGCTTTATAAAAATTACCTCCTTTAATCATTACAACAAGACTGCATGTGGTCAATATCATTTTTGTCTCATTTTTACAGCTGGGGGAACTAGGGCACAGAGAAGTAAAGTACCTTGTCCAAGATGACAAGCTAATGAGAAGAGATGCTGGGGTTCAGACTCTGGCAGTCCAGCCTCTGAGCCCATTCATAGGTCTCTACCTCCCCTCTCCCTACCTCTCTCTTAGTGAGAGCCTGCCTATCCTTCAAACCTTGATGAAACTGAGCAATCCTAAAACAGTGGCAGAGGGTGAGGAAGAAAGGCCGGAAATACATTTTTCTGCTGGTGGGTGATTTCCTTCTTACTACAAGCCTGATTTCTTACAGCATTTTAAAGATTCTTCCTCAGTCAGACACTCTCACACACCATTTGATGAGCAGAAGACCACCATCTTTGCAGAGCGCACTTGAACAGAATCCAGCGGCGTCCTTCGTGTATTTGACACCCACAACTGATCATCTATCAACCTCTCTCCTCTAGGTGACAAAATTATTTTCCTAGCAATGCGTAAGAATCAGGAACAGACTGTTTATTTTTTATTCCTTCTTTAGCTTTAAAAGAAACAAGTTACTTTTTTTTTTAATTGAACTTTAAAAAAATCATTCAGGTCAGGTGTACTGGCCGACATCTATAATCCCAGAACTTTGGAAGGCCGAGGCAGGAGGATTGCTCAAGGCCAGGAGTTTGAGACCAGCCTGGGAAACACAGCAAGATTAGCCGGGTGTGGTGGTGCATGCCTGTAAGTCCAGCTACTTGGGAGGCTGAGATATGAGAATCACTTGAACCTGGGAGGTGGAGGTTGCAGTGAGCCGATTTCGCCAGTGCACTCCAGCCTAGGTGACAAAGTGAGACTGTCTGAAAACAAACAAACAAAAAACAAAAATGAACAAACATCTCTACCAAAAAGTTCTTTTAATTAGTTGGGCATGGTAGCATGTACCTGTAGCCTTAGCTACTCAGGAGGCTGAGACAGGGAATGGCTTGAGCCCAGGAGATCAAGGCTGCAGTGAGCCATGATCACAACACTGCACTCCAGCCTGGATGACAAAGTGAGACCCTGTCTCTAAAAAATAATAACAATAATTCAGTAAGATATTTCATGTATGAATTAAAACTTGCACTTACCAATCAGCATTAATTATACTTTGTAGTTTGCATTCTCCTTTGTTGTTTCAAATTTAAATACAAAACTCTGAGAGAATAACGGAATTGAGGTAACTCGAGTTCTGTTCCGGGGTTTCTACAATCACTGTGCTATCATTGTTTATGTCTAATCTGCAGCTTAAACTCAGGACTATGCTGTGCCATAGAAGCTGAAGATGCAACTTGGCCCCAAAGCTCTAGTGAAAGCTGTACACACCATTAAGAACTTACTCTGACTTTTTCACTGCCAGCGCATGGTGATAATAAAAAACAGACCCACACTGGTTTTATTACTGTTTTAAAATTCTATATAAATGATATACCCCCTTACTTCCTGTACTTAGGGGGGACCCCTTGCACCACTCCATCCTTTAAGTCCTTGCCAGTATCTATTAAACTTTTAAATGCGGAGACCTTTTAATCCAGCAATTCCAATTCTTTCAACACGTTGTACTGATGTGTCTACACAAGTAGTCAAGATATGCAAGAATTTCCATTGCTACATTATTCACGACAGCAAAAAAAGAACTGGAAAGATCTGAAAGGTCCATTAAGACGCAGGGGTTAAATTAATTATGCCATATCCATTCGATAGAATCCACTCAGCATTAGAAGGAATTAGGTCAGCCTGTTCGTATTGCCCAGGAAGGGTATGATATACAGACATACCTTACAGATATCGCGGGTTCAGTTCCAGACCACTGCAATAAAGTGAATCTTGCAATAAAGTGAGTCACACAGTTTTTTTTGTTTCCTAGTGCACATAAAAGTTATGTTGGCCAGGAGCAGTGGCTCGAGCCTGTAATCCCAGCACTTTGGGAGGCCGAGGCAGGCAGATCACCTGAGGTCGAGAGTTCAAGACCAGCCTGACCAACATGGAGAAACCCTGTCTCTACTAAAAATACAAACTTAGCCAGGCATGGTGGCACATGCCTGTAATCCCAGCTACTTGGGAGGCTGAGGCAGGAGAATTGCTTGAACCCAGGAGGCAGAAGTTGCAGTGAGCCAAGATCGTGCCATTGCACTCCAGCCTGGGCAACAAGAGCGAAACTCCATCTCAAAAAAAAAAAAAAAAAAAAAACAAGTTATGTTTACACTATACATGATGTCTAAAAGTATACATGGCTTAATTTAAAAATATTTTATTGCTTAAAAATGCTAACAATACAGCCTGGACAACACAATGGGACTCTGTCTAGATAAAAATTTTTTTTTAATTAGCCAGGTATGGTAATGCACACTTGTAATCCCAGCTACTCAGGAGGCTGAGGTGGGAGGATCACTTGACTCCGGGAGGCTACAGTGAGCTATGATTGCACCACTGCACTCCAGCCTGGGCAACAGAGCAAGACCCTCTCTAAAAAAAAAAAAAAAAAAAAAAAGCTAACAATCATCTGAGCCTTCAGCAAGTCCTAATCTTTTTGCCTCAATGTTGATGGCTGCCAATTGATCAGGGTAGTGGTTGCTGCAGGTTGGAGTGGCTGTGGCTATTTCTTAAAATAAGACAACAATGAAGTTTGCCACACTGATTGATTCTTCCTTTCATGAAAGATTTCTCTGTAGCATGAAATGCATTTTATCCACAGCAGAACTTCTTGCAAATTAGAGCTAATCCTCTCAAACCCTGCCACTGCTTTATCAAGTAAGTTTATGTAATATTCTAAATCTTTTGTTGCCATTTCAACAGTTTTCACAGTATATTCACCAGAAGTAGATTCTGTCTCAAGAAATTACTTTCTTGGCTCATCTGTAAGAAGCAATTCCTCATACATTAAATTTTAACATGAGATTACAGACATTCAGTCCCACCTTCAGCCTCCTCTTCTAATTCTAGCTCTCTTGCTCCTTCTACCACATCTGCAGTTACTTCCTCCACTAGCATCTTAAATCCCTCAAGTCAGTCATGAGGCTTGGAATCAACTTCTTCCAAACTCCAGTTAATGTTGCTATTTTGACCTTCTGCCATGAATCACAAATGTTCTGAATGGCATCTAAAATGGTAGATCCTTTCAGAAGATTTTAAATTTACTTTGCCTAGATTCATCAAAGGAATCACTATCTATAGCAGCTATAGCCTTACAAAATGTATTCTTAAATAATAAGATTTGAAAGTTGAAATGACTCCTTGATCCATGGGTTGCAGAATAGATATTGTGTTAACAGGCATGAAAACAGCATTAATCTCCTTGTACATCTCCATCAGAGCTCTTGGGTGACTAGGTGCGTTGTCCATGAGCTGTAATATTTTGAAAGGAATCTTTTTCCTGAGCAGTAGGTCTCAACAGTGGGCTTAAATTATTCAGTAGACATTGCTGTAAATAGATGTGTTGTCATTCAGGCTTTAGTTGTTCCATTTATAGAGCACAGGCAAAGTAGATTTAGCATAATTCTTAAGGCCCTAGGATCTGTTGGAATGGTAAATGAGTACTGGCTTTACCTTAAAGCAACCAGCTGCATTAGCCCCTAACTAGACAGTCAGCCTGTTCTTTGAAGCTTTGAAGCCAAGTATTGACCTCTTACTAGCTGTGAAAGTCCTAGATGGCATCTTCTTCCAATAGAAGGCCATTTTGTTTCCATTGAAAATTCTATTGTACACTGTAGCCACCTTCATCAATGACCTTAGCTAGATCTTCTGGATAACTTGCTGTAGTTTATTCATCAGGACCTGCTGCCTCTCTTTATACTTTGGTGTTATGAAGATGGCTTCTTTCCTTAAACCTAGTGAACCAACTTCTGCTATCTTCATACTTTTCTTCTGCAGCTTCCTCACTTCATTCAACCTTCATAGAATTGAAGCAAGTTAGGGCCTTGTTCTGGATTAGTCTTTGGCTTAAAGAAATTGTATAGCTGGTTTGATCTTCTACCCAGACCACTAAAGCTTTGTCCAAGCAGTAAGGCTGTTTCACTTCCTTATCATTCATGTGTTCCCAGGAGTTGAACTTTTCATTTCTTCAATAAATTTTCCTTTGCATTGACAACCTGGCTAACTGGCAAGAGACCTAGTTTTCGGCCTCTCTCAGCTTTCAACATGCCTTCCTCATTAAACTTAATGATTTCTAGCTTTTGATTTAAAGTGAGAGACACATGACTCTTCCTTTCACTTAAACACTGAGAGGCCATTATAGGTTTATTAACTGGCCTAATTTCAATATCATTGTGTCTCAGAGAATAGGGAGGCCCAAAGGGAGGAAGAGAGGTGGGGGAACAGCCGGAGCAGTCAGAACACGTACAACATTTATCCATTAAGTTTGCTATCTTATATGGGCATGATTCATCGTGCCCCAAAACAATTGCAACAGTAACATCAAAGATCACTGATCACAGATGACCATAACAGATACAATAATAATGAAAACGTTTGAATTATTTTGAGAATTACCAAAATGTGACAGAGCCATGAAGTGAGCATACGCTGTTGGGAAAATGGTGCCGATAGACTCGCTCAACACAGAGTTGCCACAAACCTTCAGTTTGTGTAAAATGCAATATCTGTGGAGCGCAATCAAATGAGGTATTCCTGTATTAGTAACTGAAAAAAAGCAACCAGTTGAACAATCTGGGAAGGGTTTTCCATTTATGTAGAAAGATAAATGTCCAAACTTTGTCTGGTGCGATCTATCTTCCCTTGCCGAGAAGGACATTGGCCCAGGCAGAGGAAAGGTCTCTGCAATGATGGGTAAATCGAGATTTACTGGGAATTCTCAGCTCACCTTTCACATGTCCCTCTATAGAATAAATTGTACTAGGAACATAGCAGTTACTCCCTCAATTGCCTAAGGGAGAAGAGGAACAAAGAGGAATAATCTAAGAACACAAGTTTATTCAGATTTTCTTAATTTTTTCAATCTTCTTTTGAAATATAGACATATGTACTTTTTATACAGATAATATTATAGATACATAGCAATAGGATAAAATATTTCCTTAGATGCTCAGCTTCTGATTAAGGATCAGAAAGATCAAGAAACTGAGCAAAACAAATATATAATGACCCTGAAACTACCAGGATATTCCAGAGCAAAATTCTTTTTTAATGGTTCAGTTCATTGCTTACGCATATATAGTGTTCTATTAACATGACATTTCAAATCCATAGAAGTCTAAAAAAAGGGACAGAATATCTGCCTTTAATTGTCTTTAAACTAGGCCTACTTTTAAGGAGCCTAATGGGGCAGAAGATAATAAAGAAAATGTTAATGTAGTTTAGACTAGGCCCAGAGGTTAAAAAAATTTTTTTTTTTACTTAGTTAATAATGTCTCTGATCCTCACTTTTTTTTCTCTATAGAAGAAATGATTTCATTTGGAGAGGTCATGCAATGGCCACACAAAGGCAGAATGGTGTGGCTGTACTTCATCACCATAAAGTACCATATAGCTAGGACCTCAGAGAATAAAATGCTAAATTAAAGAGAGGAGACGCAATGTTCTGCGTATAAATGACCTCACTCTCCGGTTCGTCCTGCAAAAAATTAAAATTTAAACAGCCAAGTTCTATAATAAAGGTAAATGCAAAATGCCAAGAGAACACTAAGGACAGAGTGTTAAAATCTTCCAGGGTGGTGGGGTGGGGAGGGGGAGAGGAGGAACATTTGAACTTGGTCTTGGAGGAGAGAAAGAAATAGGACTGGTGGACCGCATGCAGGCAGAGGAAGCGGCTGGTGCCCAGGTGTGCACGTGGGTATTTGGAGAATAGACAGCTGGCTATGGTGGCTGAAGCACAGGTGGAAGATGATGTTGGAAAGGGACAATGGGGCCAATTTGTAAAAAGCCCTTTATGCCATATTAAGTATAAGATAACCTCCATCCAGCCGAGTTCTCTCTCTTTACTTTTCTCCTCGGCCCTGTCCCTGCTTTACCTAGCCAATGCAGTTTCTCATGCATTTTTCTGAAGCTATTACATTATTACATAAATTCACATGCTGTAAGTACGAATGCATATAATAATTACACACACATTTTTATATTCAAACAACAGCATACTACTTTGCTGCAATTTCTCCAGACTATGCAACATTGCTGACACTCTCCCTGGTCTTTCCTGCTTTGACAGCTTCAATCCTGCTGCTGCAAGCTTTCCTGCCCTGGCTCTTCCTGGTGAACTTCTACCCATCCCAGAGCCCAGCTCAGATGCTACCTCTTGTATGAGGCCTTCCCAATAAGCAATATATTTCTCCCTTATTTGAGCTCACATGGCATCTTTAAATGTTTTTACATTTTTTGAATAGTGATTACATGCCTATAGTAACATTTTAAAAGTATAAAAGTGAAAAATATACCTCCCTCCTATGGTGCCCAGGCCATTTTCCCAGACGCAACCATCAGACTAAGTTTCTCATGCATTTTTCCAAAGCTATTACATTATTACATGAATCCACATGCATATATATATGAATGTATGTGTATAATTATCACACACACTTTTTTTTTTTTTTTTTTTGAGATGGAGTCTCACTCTGTCCCCAAGCTGGAGTGCAGTGGTGCGATCTCGGCTCACTGCAACCTCCGCCTCCTGGGTTCAAGTGATTCGCCTGCCTCAGCCTCCCATGTAGCTGGGACTTCAGGCATGTGCCACCATGCCCAGCTAATTTTTGTATTTTTAGTAGAGATGGAGTTTCACCATGTTGGCCAGGATGGTCTCAAACTCCTGACTTCAGGTGATCCACCCACCTTGGCCTCCCAAAGTGCTAGGATTACAGGCGTGAGCCACCGCGCCCAGCCACACACACATTTTTATATACAAACTACAGCATACTATACTGTACTCCATGATGCCTTTCTCACTTAGTAATAGATTGTAAATCTTTTTCCTTATCAGTAGATTGAGTCACCCAACTCTTTCTAAATTCCTTTAGTACAGGACTAAACAATTCCTTCCATTATGGATCAATCTTAAAATACAAATATAATATTAAATATAAATGAAGAGTCAATGTGGTGGTTGAGACTTTCTCACTATACTGTATATAGAGGCAGCTTGTGGTGATCAGAGCCCTGGACTGACCATCAGGCTTGAATCCCAGCTCTACTCCTAGTGACACGACCTTGCTTACGCCATTTAGCCACTCCAAACCTGTTTTTTCATCCGCAAAATGAGGCATTGAACTAGATGGGCTCTCAGGGCCCCTCCAAGGCTGGTAGTTCATGTTTCTGTGAACCATCAATATCACATGCTGCCTTGAGAGCAGATTTGAACAGAGAAAAGGGTGAAGGAGCAGAGAGAGCCTAAAGCTCCTGCCACCAGATGAACTTTTTCCCCTCCCAAGCTGTTCCTCATGCCTTCCTTGACTTCCCTAGCCTTACCTCTCCACCCCCAGCCTTGGCCCTGCATTTTTTGGCATGCCTGCAAAAAAGCCCTCAGCCTGGGCTCATTAGCCGAGCTAAGCACAGGGGGCCCTAGCACGTGTCTGATTTCCAAGACTGTGTTCAGTAGCCCCTGTCTTAGATTTACACAAGGTAGAACAGAATTTGGGCATGTTTTCCTGGGAACATGTTCCAGCCCAGTTTAGAGTCCACTGGTCATTGTAGACAGAACGTGCATATAATAAATACCTGAGAGAGCTCTCGGAAGCTTGGAGAAACCACCAGCTCATCTGCAGACTCTCAGTAGCAGAACAACCACGTGGCCAAGGAGGCTGAGAGGCCTAGAGGTGAGTGTCCTTTGGACTCGATGAAATCCTTCCGTTCTCCAAAGCATCCTCGTGCTTTGCCGGACAAAAAGGCAGCCGTGGGTCATTATCACTCACTTGCCTCCCAAATGTTCATACCAAGGACAGAAGTTTTGTACCTTGTACAAAGCACTCCATACCTTAAAACAGTCAAATATCATGGACCAGATGTCCATCAGGAGAGCAACTGGTATATGCTCTAAACTGGAAAGGTGCTCCCTGACCATCTGCTCTTAGAAGGGTGATTTGTGGCTGTCACTAGGTTACCCACAGCTCCAATATGGAGTTGGACATCCATCTTTGACGCCACTCGAGTAGCACACACAGCTATTATCGACATGTTTGAAACCAGGAGGCATAATCCTAATTCCGTTTCTAGCAGCAGGGACTTTCAGAAAACACACTCCTTGTGGAATTAATTTGCCATTTCTATTTATTTTTGCCTTAATTTGTCTCTACTTCTAAAATACAAGTCAAGCTGCCACACAAAATAACTTGTATAAGGTGGGAGGAAGACAATATGCCTCTTTTATCATTGAATTCCTTACTATTGTAGAACAATATTTAATAATGTGGGGAAAAGTATGTGACAACATTGTTATATGGATCAAAGAAAGGCAAGTTCAAATCGGTATGTGCAACGTAATCCTGATTTTTTAGTAAAAATAGAGAGAGGAAAAAAGTAAGAAACTATACTAAGATTTTAACAATGCTCATACTGGTGCAATTACAAATTTTTTGTGTGTGCTTATCTATGTTTTCTGAGTTTCCTTCACAGACATATACCACTTCTATAACAAAAAAAAAGTAAAAATAAAATCGCATGATCCTTTGTAAAAGAAAATACAAACACATCCTGTCATTTCTTCCCGGGAAGAGGTAACATTTGCTAGTGTCACTGGATAGTCACTTTAAGAAAGTATGGCCCAGCAGGACTGGATCCTGGGTCAGGATTAACCCCTAACTGATGAAATTACTTGAACAACTCCAAGACCCCGACCCTCCTGCCACATCTGACAGAGGAGCAAGTCTCAGTAGGTCTGTAAGTTCCCTTCTCACTCATTCTAGAAGTCCTCAGAGCAGGTCTCTTTCACACACCACTCAAAACAATTTTTTAAATTTGTAATATTCCAGTGATTTGGACTGTGTCCAACCCATCCTGCTCAGCATGCTAGAAAGATTTCTAGGAGAACTAAGATCCTAGGAATATTGGTTTCTTGGATAATATCATTGGATTCCACTGTAATGACTTATGGGAACTTGTTTCCTTTCGTCATTGAGACCAGAATAGTCAAGTTAGTCAAAATCTGAAAGATCATCTTCTAATCCTGCCCCCAAATTTCAGTCATCTGATAACCATATTTGAACTATCATTTATGTGGTATGTTTTAAAAATCAACTCTAAGTGAACTCATATGGCCTTGTCCTAAGCAATTAAATAGATGAAATCATAGATTTGATTGTCACTTATAATTTTTTTCTGAAAACATTCAAAGAAACATATACCTACTAAAAACATTTTTTAAATGCTTGCCCTAAAAAGATCTTGTTTCCCACCATTGGTACACACATTGTGCTTGGGGAAATTTATATCCAATCCAATCCTCAAAGTTTTCAGAGAAACTGACACTTAGAGAAATAAACCTCTTGCCTAAAGAATCATATTTTTGTCAAAAGTCCTTATGTTTTTATTTTTTGTTTCTTTTTTTTTATTGAGATGGAGTCTCACTGTGTCGCCCAGGCTGGAGTGCAGTGGTGCGATCTCGGCTTACTGCCACCTCTGCCTCCCGGGTTGAAGCAATTCTCCTGCCTCAGCCTCTGGAGTAGCTGGGATTACAGGCACCTGCCACCACGCCCGGCTAGTTTTTGTATTTTTAATCGAGACGGGGTTTCACCATGTTGGCCAGGCTGGTCTCAAACTCCTGAGCTCAAGCAATTCACCCACCTCGGTCTCCCAAAGTTCTGGGATTACAAGCATGAGCCCCTGTGCATGGCCTAAAAACCATTTTCTTAAAAGTATCAAAGAGCTAAAAAAAAAAAAAAAAATAGCAACTGTCAGGCCAAAACCTAAGAATAAAGGAGAAGCCAGTGAGGTAAACAGCATTTGTCAGCTGAAAGAAATGGCGATGAAAAAGCGGAAAACGAGCTGCAGTTCCGATGGCTTCATGGGGCAAGGATGACAGAAGTCAAAGGTCAGAGTCCACCCAGGGTGGAAAAACTAATGGACCCCAATATATATATTTTACTTATTTGTTTGTTTTTTGATACAGAGTCTCGCTCTGTCACCCAGGCTGGACTGCAGTGGCGTGATTTTGGCTCACCACCCTCTCCACCTCCCAGGTTCAAGCGATTCTCATGCCTCAGTCTCCTGAGTAGCTGGGATTACAGGCATGCACCACCACACCAGGCTAATTTTTGCATTTTTAGTAGAGATGGGTGTTGGCCAGGCTGGTCTTGAACTCTTGACCTCAAGTGATCCACCCGCCTTGGCCTCCCAAAGTGCTGGGATTACAGGCGTGAGCCACTGCGTCCCACTTCCCAATACATATATTTTAGCCAGAACCCCAAAGGGTACACCATAAGGGTAAGGGTGAGTCAGAAGTAATTCCACCCCCTTCCCTATCCCAAGAAACTGGAGAGGGGCATTACCTTAGACTCTGTTTAGAGAAGGAAGGAAAGGAAGGAGGGAGCGAGGGAGGACCAGGAAAAGACACACAGTGCTTGAAAGATTGGAGTCCACCCAGGTAACTGGCATAAGTTTTCAAAACCCTCTCTGAAGAAATATTTTTATCCGAGGCCTTGGGAAACTCATACCAATCATTTTTCTATGGCAATGAAGAGCCCACAAAGACAGACCTTTTATTATCTTAAGGCATGCATTACTACCTAAAGCAAGAGGGACAAAAGGAGAAGAGAAATTGCGGTGGTGCTCAAAACTCATGGTCTCCTATTTCCCTCATTCTCAGGACTCCAGCTTGGCACCCACTCCTGATACCCCTGATGTCTCGTAAGAGGAACCTCGCTGGACATATGGTGTTGCAGTTTGAAAGAAAATGGGCAGCCTTACCGGGTAGTTTTTATCAAGATAATGAATTTGCCATGTTCTTGGCTTCACCTCTTACCCTCAGAAATCTGATTCCCTCAACTAACAAGAAAGTATATGACTTTACAGTCACAAGATTTGCTTATATATCGGATGCCAATTCATTTGCTGACCATGAGAAACGCAGCTCTCGTCAGGACTAGAATACCATCAACACAGCCTGTGTATTCTTTCCCCACGGGGAGAGCCATTGGAAAGCCAAGCTATGACACCAAGACATTCCCTGGTCAACAGGGACTCAGAGTGGAAGGAGGTGACTGAATGATCCAAGAATATGCATTAGCCTAAGCCTTACCCTCTCCCCCATGGTCTTATCCATGGGATCAAAACTGGGGAAGTCCATTAGCCAAGGTTCTCTCTCCACTGATAATGCATGGATGGGCACTGCCAGAATATGATTCTCAAACATGCCTGTTTTCCATGGATGACTAACTCCCAACTTTCTGATTAGTATCTCTTCATATGAATCCAACTTCTCCAGAGGACTCTAATCCTCTTCATGTAGTAGGCTTCCCTAGGCTTGCCTTGGTAGCCCCAAGCCTACCTGAAATTACTTTCAAGAGACAATTGTAACTCAGAGGCTGAGGTGGGAGGATCGCTTGAGGCCAGGAGTCTGAGACCAGTCTGGGCAATATAGTAAAACTCTGTCTCTAAAAAATAAAAAAGAGACAACAAAGAAATACAAAAGAGCCCACCCCAGGACGTAAGCATTAGCTAACCTTCTGAAATCTCATAACCCCAAAGTGAATTGAAATGTACCAGAGGGTAATCCCCAAACACCATCTACCTTTCTCTAACCACCTCGCCACCTGTGCATGATGCCCATATCTTGTAACCTTCTCGTATACTGTGCAAACATTCATCAGAAAGCTTCCTTCCGCCCCGCCTTCCCCAAAGTGCCACCCGTACCACCATCTGCGAACCAAATAGCAAAGGAGGAGATTAAGGAACCTGCATCACATCAAGCAAGTCTTCACAGTACTGTATGCTTCATGCATTTAAGCTTTTAAAATAAAGGAACTAGGCCAGGCACAGTGGCTCACACCTGTAATCCCAACACTTTGGGAAGCTGAGGCGGGCAGATCACTTGAGCACAGGAGTTTGAGAGCAGTCTGGCCAACATGGTGAAACCCTGTCTCCACTAAAAATACAAAAATTAGCCGGGCGTGGTGGCACACACCTGTAATCCCAGCTACTCAGGAGGCTGAGCAGGAGAATCACTTAAACCTGGGAGGCGGAAGTTGCAGTGACTGGGGATCATGCCACTGCACTCCAGCCTGGGAGACAGAGCAAGACTCTATCTCAACAAAAAAGAAAAATTTTTAAAAAGGAACTAGAAGAAGGAAAATTACAATGGAGAGGCTCAGGAGCAGCGGTCTAGGGCAGCTGTCCTCAGATGACCCATCTGAGTGCAATCGCTACCCAGGTACCATCTGGAATTTTTGCCTCCACTCCTCTCTCACCAGAGCGATTCTTTGGTAACTAGGAACTATGCCCTCACATCTGTTGTTATTAGTTGTCTTAACCAGACCCTAACAAGGATTTTTTTTAGAGAATTTTTGTTTTGTTTTGTATGAAGAAATCTTACTAAATCTGACTAAAATTAAATTTTAAAACCTCCCAGAAGACTCTTCCGTGTTCCATTTCCCATGAGGCTTTACAAACCTGGCCCAAGATGGGTGTGTGTGTGAGAGAGAGAGAGAGAGAAAAAAAAAAAAAGAGAAACGAGAGAGAGAGAGAGAGAAGTCAGGAACTAGAAGAGTGAGACCCACACTTGCCATTTTTCTAAAACAAGGTTCAAGGCAACTTTCACTATCATAGTTAGCTACCCATGGGTAAACTGTGTCTCCTCTTTTTTGCACCGTTGTTCACATAATGATACAGAGGGTTTTGTTTTTGTACCACACAAAAAGTCTGTTTTCCCTTCTCCCTCTTTTAATGATATTCTCCTGGCTGAATTCTAGTGTCTTCCCAACCATGAGTCATCTCTGCTATTCCTGCATAAAGTAGAGTGTTCTGGGCCTCTCACTTCTAAGAAGGACTATAGTTTAGAAAAATCTGATAAGATGATAAGATCCCCACAGCACACGTCTCGCTCTGAGATTATTAGGGACTCAGTTTAGGGGAACCTTCCCTATAGGGAGATGGCAAAGGAAGCAGTTCCCCAATCTATCAGCAGTGGCTGCCATCCACATGATAAGGATCCCCTGCAAGGAAGTCTGACCCTGGGGGTTTCAGCCAGCTGGCACGGCCAGCATCCAACAAGTCCCCATCAGGGAGCATCTTACCAGAAGGTCCCTGCTTACATGGAGTGAATCAAGGGTGATAAAAAGTCCTCTCCCTACCAAATATATCTTCCATCCTTGGAGCAGCCCTTTCTCTTGAGGTTTGGTACTTTGTTGAAATGCAAATATCCCTGAAAGGTAAAGACTTTTTTTTACCATTAGCATGTTTACACAAATGTGCATCCAGTCCCATTCTTTCCTCAAAGCCAGTTTTGATTGGAGGAGAAGGAAGTTTTTTAAAAAATCACCTATATACAAAAGAGAGGTGAGGATCAGAAGATATATCTTCCTGGGCATTAATCCTATTCTCTCGCCCATTCCCAGCTAAGTGCAAGCCCTCGTTGACTTCAAATAGCACCGGTAGCCCACCAGTTTTCCATGTCATCTGTGGATTATCTGAAGTGACATTAATCTGAACTCTCAACAATATCAATCATGCAATAATTCCTCAAACGTGTTGCACTCTGACGATAGGCTGGCAATATTCTAGATTTTGCACAGAGGACAAAGGAAACTGAGGAAGTCTAATCCATCCCAAGGTCAAGTGTCCAATGTATGGATGAAGATTGCCTAGGTTCATAATATTGATCATAACGAAGATGTTAAGGAAGGATTTGGCAGTTAATTCGCTTCATTTGCTATCCACCCTACAGTCCTAGGAAGTATCTGTATTCATAATTTATAAAGCAGTTGAGGCCCAGGGTAGTGAAGTCAGGGCAGCCTCCAAATTTAATCATCTAAATCATTATGTACCCTGGGAGTTGTTTACAATGTTTTCCTGGGAAGATGTATTTTTAAAGCATCGGATGACTCAGAAGCATAGTCCAGCTGGAGGAATACTGTTAGACAGCTCGGGGCAGCTTTCTCAGACAGCTTTTCATTTGACCATCACAATTCGAGAAGGAAGGATTTTGACATTATAATTCCCATTTTACAACTGAAGCAGCTTAGGCACAGAAAAAACAATCCAGCTAAAAAGTAAAACAAAACAAAACAAATCTTCTCTCTTTTTCCATTTTATTTCCTTTTCATCTCTTACAAACAAACTAACGGAACTATCAGAACTAATTATCTCATGCACAATCATTTATGACTCCACTGTTTGCAAAACCTCTTTTGGTCTTTGTACCATCCACATAAGAGCAATCAAACAGCTCGCTAAAAATCCTGTGAAACTACCCCCAAGACATCACCTATGACGCTTAAATGTCTTCCTGCATCACTTCATTTTTGCCATTAAAAATAATCAACATTACACTTTGGGAGGCCGAGGCAGGCGGATCACTTGAGGCCGGGAGTTCAAGACCAGCCTGGCCAACATAGTGAAAGCCCGTCTCTGCTAAAAATACAACAACAAAAAAATTAGCCAGGCATGGTGGTACACGTCTGTAATCCCAGCTACTTGTGAGGCTGAGGCACAAGAATCTCTTGAGCCCAGGAGGCAGAGGTTGCAGTGAGCTGAGATTGCACCACTGCACTCTGGCCTCGGTGAGAAAGAGAGAGGCTGTCTCAAAATAAATAAATAAATAAAATTTAAAAAAAATAGAAATAAAGTATATGTTAAATAAAATGTTGTTTGTTCCATTCAACTTACAAAACATACCTCTTGAGGGACTAGTGTGCTAATATACAAAGATATACATCGAAATAAGACACAGTTCCCACTTTTAAGATGTTTACAGTACAATGAGAGAAGACCAACAACAATTACAACATAAAGTAAGCTGTTCATTAATTTAATGTATGACATTCTCTACGGCACGCATTGTTAGTTTGCCACTCCATACCTGTGCCTCTCTTTGTCATCAGTAATAGATAATACGTAAGCTTCAGGCAATGGATCATGTTTGGTCTAGCCCAGTATTTCTCAACTTTTTTTCAACATCATCTCCCTAAGAGCATTTTTAGACGCTTTTTTCCTAATTGCCCCATGCATGAAATTTTAATACCATAGACAAATTATATGTCTGCATATATGCTGTATGTATAACTGTGCTTTATACATATAGAGTGGGATATTTTTCCTGCCTTTTCCCTCCCACAAAAGCAATATCCTTCCCTTAAGGGATGATATCAACAGCACCACCCCATCTACGCCCCACCACAACCCTCACCCTATTCTCCACCATGTTCCCCACACCCACCCACCCTGCCTGTTAGGAATGTATGCTCTAAGGGAATTGTTAATAATAAGTCTATTTCCTGTTTCCCACCTTCACGGCAGCTGGAGTGGCTGTGTAACCTAGTTCTACCAATGACACGGAAGCTGATATCTGGGAGGCCTCCGGGAAAATTCTTGGTTTCCTGGAAAATGAGACAACCACTGCCAACTCATCCTCCTTTCCACCCCAACCTTCCCGTGCGTCTTGAATGGAGTACATGGCTAGAAGCTGCAGCAATCATCGTGCAGCCATGACAAAAGACAACAAAATGGCAGGCAGTCTTATTGAGCCATTGGCCCAGGGCCGGAAACGCAGACCTCCGAATTCCTGTTACGTGGAGAAATGAATCCTGGTTGCTTTAAGTCCCCGTTGGTAGGTATTGTATCACTTTCAATTACACAATTGTTATACAAAGCATTGTTCATTGATCAGCTGGGTTCATTACAAGCAATAGCTGTCCTCTTATGATCATGAATTATTGTTAAACCAAGCCGGAAAGAAACACAGAAACACACACACACACACACACACACACACACACACGCACACAATGTAATCAGGAATATTACACAAATCAGACACGAGATTTCACTCCGTTTAAGAGGAAAAGTCTTTTTCACTAAACGAATCAACTTTTCAAAGAGTTATATGATATTCCAACTAATATTTGGCATTTTGAATTAACAAACTTTTAGATATTTGGTATTACTGTGTAGAGAAATGGCCATGAAAAGATACAAGGTAATTTTCCTTTATTTTCCTACTTTACACAGAATGAATATATTTATGATTTACCTAGAAGATATGTCTTTCAAAATATTTGAAAGTCAATTCTTTTCTAATTGAATATTTAAGATGCATAAGGAAAATGTGCTTCTTAAAGGATCTCTTGACTGGGCGCCATGGCTCAGGCCTGTAATCCCAGCACTTTGGGAGGCCGAGGTGGGTGAATATGCTTGAAGAATTCAAGACCAGTCTGGGCAACATGGTGAAACCCCATCTCTACAAAAAAATACAAAACTTAGCCGGCATGGTGGTGCATTCCTGTAGTCCCAGCAATTCGGGAGGCTGAGGTGGGAGAATCACCTGACCCCAGGAGGTGGAAGGTGCAGTGAGCCATCATCATGCCACTGCACTCTAGCCTGGGCAACAGAGTGACATCCTGTCTCACTAAAAGAAAAAAGAAAAAAAAATCTCTTTGGGAACCTTTTTACAGGTTAAAATGTAGAAATAATCGTCTGTATTCATCACTTGAATATTTTATATTTTGCTTAAAGCCTGATACTAGCTAATGCTAATTATCTCATATTTTAAAAACAGAAACCACTCACAAACTTAACTGATAATTCCAACATCTCTCACTAAAAGTCGTTTTCTATGCTTTGAGAAACTCAAAATCCCTCTAAATCTAAAGAGCCTCTAAATTTTATTAGATACAATTTAATTATAGACTTAGGGCTTTCAAAGCATTAGGTTTCTTTCAAAATGTCAGAAAAAACTCTCATGTCAGAATCATTTTAACTAATTTCTTTATTAACCTCACACCAAAAACTGACATTCTGTTAATAAGGATTATTGGCCTTTTTTATATACAAACAATATATGCTACTTATAAAAAAGACAGGAAAAAATGAAAAACATTTTAAATCATGTAATCTTATCACACACTAGATAATTTCTAACATATTTATTTACCTCCATATTCTGAATTCATGTATAAGAATACATATATAGGCCTTTTTATATTATAAATACAAATATTATATGTATATATTTTTTGAGACAGGGTCTCACTTTGTCACCTTTATCACCTTATACATTTCTGTTGGGCATTTTAAGTTGTTTCTTGGTTTCTCTATTATTAGCAGACACCATTGTGTTGAGAAGTCTTGCTTTTATAATAAAACACCTTGCGTTGTTGTCTTAGGAATAATTCTTAAACATGGTCAAAGACTATGAACAATTTAAAGCTGATCATTCATGTTGCTGCCCAAAACTCACAATTTTTCTGAAAAAAGGCCTTTCGAAAGCCTCCTAAAAAAATTCAAAATAATAATTGAGAACAGAGCATATTAAGTGGAGAGAAGAAGGAATATTTAGCTCGTTTTCCTGACTGGCTGATGATATTGTTTATAAATTGTACTTTGGCCAATATTTGGTAGGAAAAGAAAAAACTTGATTATAATTTAAAAGTTTCTAAGCAAACCTTAAAGACTATAAAGGCAACTGAACTTGTTATTTATTCTGCATTTTACATTGGTTACTAATTCGTTAATGAAACAGTTCTTAAGAGTTGTTAAGCACTCCCAAAATTGGCAAAGGAAACAAAAAGTAACTATAATTAATGGATAAAATAATGAGCTACGTACCTGTTGAGAAATAAAATCAATCACGACCAAATTTATAAAGGAAGGAGCACTAACATTTAAATTCCAAATAGCTCGATTGATTGTAGGGAAATAAAAAGAGTATGATCATTTTAGTCCTCCAAAGAAAGGACAAGTAAATCAGAGGAAGCTGGAAGATAATATAACTTTTTAAGGTTGATCGGTCACAGGTCCAAAAAAAAGTAGATATAAACGTAGGCTGAAAACGCTGGTGATTTTTTTTTTTAACACAATTGTACCATCTAGTTTTTTTAAATTATTATTTATTTATTTGTTTTTTGAGACCAAGTCTCACTCTGTTGCCCAGGCTGGAGTGCAGTGGCATGATCTCAGCTCACTGCAACCTCCGCCTCCTGGGTTCAAGCAATTCTGTGCCTCAGCCTCCCATGTAGCTGGGATTACAGGTGTGAGCAACCACGCCTGGCTAATTTTTGTATTTTTAGTAGAGACCAGGTTTCACTATGTTGGCCAGGCTGGTCTCGAACTCCTGACCTCAGGTAATCCGTTCGCCTTGGCCTCCCAAAGTGCCGGGATTACAGGCGTGAGCCACAGTGCCCGGCCACCATCTAGTTTTTAAACAGAAACCACAAGCATCTAGCCCCTGCTGGAGGAGAAACTTTAATTTTTCCTTCCATATATGTGTGTGATGGGTCTTTCCTGGTGACATATTAAGTGGGTAGTACTTGGGGAAATCCAAAACTATTAGTTTGGGGTTTGAACTCTGGACCGACGTTTTACGTAGAACCCTCCTGCTGCATCCTGAAAACCATCCATGTGTTTTCATAGCTCTAGAATGTAATAGAAACACTGCCACAATGTACATTTCAATTGCTTTTCCTGAAATGTAGAGGATGAAAAAAAAGGAAAGATAGCTATAGGACTCAGAAAAAATACTCATAGTTGCCTTTTGTTAATTCAAATGATCCTACAATTATTAGCTGTATTTCTATCACATTAGGAAGCAATGTTTATGCTTCTTTCTATAGATTTTGCACATCGTGGAGGAAAAACACTGGGATGATGACTTTTTTTTTTTTTTTGAGATGGAGTCTCAGTCTGTTGTCTGGGCCGGAGTGCAGTGGCACGATCTCTGCTCACTGCAAACTCTGCCTCCCAGGTTCAAGCAATTCCCTGCCTCAGCCTCCCGAGTAGCTGGGATTAAAGGTGCCTGCCACCATGCCTGGCTAATTTTTGTAGTTTTAGAAGAGACGGGGTTTCACCATCTTGGCCAGGCTGGTCTTGAACTCCTGACCTCGTGATCCGCCCGCTTCAGCCTCCCAAAGTGCTGGGATTACAGGCATGAGCCACCGCGCCCAGCCTGATGGCAATTTTAATACATAAACACTTACAAATAAGATGTATACAAGTATATTTAACCTAAAAGGCATATGACATATTTGCTACAACAAATATCCATTACTATTATATTTTTAAAGTAGAAATTATTATAGATATTTCTCTGATATTGCCGGATATTCTGTGTTTAGGAATATAGTGACAATATTGTTTTGGCACATATAGGAAATTGTGGTATTGTCAATAAGTAAGGGTTTTTCTGGCTTTTCCCCTCCTATTTCCTGTACGTGCCTCCAACCCTCTCTCCTACTTCCTTATCACATGAAGAAGACAGAGAAAGACTACTATTGATATAATTTTCAGCAAGTTACTGCCCAAAGAGTAGAGCTTGAGGAAAATCAGGTTTTATCAAGAAAAAGTATGCCAAAGGGGACTTTTAGGCCCCTTAAAGGTTTTTGTAATTGATTTTACATCATTTAAATTTGACTCTAAATATATTGAGTTTCCTTTTCCTTGTTAGAAGGAATAATTACAGGCATTCTTATGCTTCTCAACCACAGTTGGGATCATTTTCAGCTCAAAACTGGAACAAAGACCAGAAGAATTTTTTGTGGCAACTGAGAAAAAAAAATGCAAGAAAGGGAGAAAAAGGTTCGTAGTAAGGGTTGTATATTTAGAGTCTCTCAAGAAGGTGACAGCTGGACCTGGAGGGAAGACAAATTAAAAGTAGGGGTCCTGCCTGAAAGAAAGGAAAAGAGCCAAGGAAGAGATTTGTGCCAGTCCATTCTCTGCATGGGCAACTAGGTTGCTAGACATAATGACCTGGCAGGGGAAAATAATCTCCAGGAGGTAAGAGGAGTAGAGACTTTGCTACCAGCCTTTGGTGTACATGGAATATTTGTGTTTTGAGGGCTGTGACTGTATGATGCAATATTATTATTAAAATAGATATTGAAACTTACAAGAAATGTAGTCATGGATGTGCAATAATTAAAATGGTTATAGACATGAAGGCACACTGATTACTGGAACATATTTGTTATAGATTTTCCCTTTCTATCTCAAAGACAGATTTCCAATTTTTATGCTATCCCACACCAAGAGAACCTTGACTCACCATGTATTTAGTCAATTTCACATTCTTTTTCTCCGGAGGGATGAAGATGAAGTGCGTTTCTCTTTCTCATCCAGTGTCAATCCACTGTATGACCGTGACATGAGAATGTGGCCTCATCTTACCACTTCCAGTAGGGTTGGCTAATTTAAACAGACGGGTTTGGGGTAAGTCTCCATACCCTGCCTGATACCACAGTCTGGGAGGACAGGAAATGAACAAAGCCCTGAGCTTTCAGCTGAAAACACTCAGTTCCCCAAATTGCAGGTCAGATACCCACTAATGGAAGATGACCAACAGGGCTTCTGTGATCAAAAGGCTACACAGGAAAAGAACTATCTTCAAAGTTATCAAAGCCCAACCAGATGTTCAGCTTCAGATAAGACAACTACATCTTACACCCAGAAGGGAGCACTTTACCCACCGGCTAATGCTAATGCCTTTCACCCTAAAAGCAGCTGGGCTGGGTATCCAGTACGTTGCTTAGGGGCATCAGCTGACCCCACACTACTCACTACACTCTAGAGTTGGCCAGATCAGTGCTTACAACCTGCCTGCATTTCTTTTTCTTGTAAACTGAGTCTCACTTTGTTGCCCAGACTGCAGTGCAGTGACACGATCTTGGCTCACTGAAACCTCTGTCTCCTGGATTCAAGCGATTCTCCTGCCTCAGCCTCCAGAGTAGCTAGGATTACAGGCTCATGTGCCACCACGCCCAGCTAATTTTGTATTTTTAGTAGAGCTGGGGCTTTGCCATGTTGGCCAGGCTGATTTCGAACTCCTGACCTCAGATGATCTGCCTGCCTCGGCCTCCCAAAGTGCTGGGATTACAAGTGTGAGCCACCTCGCCCGGCCCTGCCTGCATTTCTTGTGCCACCCAAGGCATCACGAGCTGATAAGTAAGACATTAAAGTGGCATCTTGAGAGACTGCTTTCCCAAATGGGAACCAACCCTGGCTTCACATGAGAGAATTCAGAACTAAGGATTTAGAGCATTAATCATATGTTATCTGAAGGGAAACAACTCTAGCCCCACATGCTACTCATTTTAAGGATCTGATGCTATAAAACTACACCTGTATCCGCCATCTTACCCTCATTTCAGCCATCAATTGGAGAAGCAGCATTTCTGTCTTTAGGGGCTTAATCTGATGTCAGTAATAACCAGAACTTCCTCTGCAATGCTCCCTCTGCTGAGGGCAGAGCTCCTCACTTGAGGCCTCTAGATCCCTGAGAGTCCATGAATGGGTTTTAGAGGGTCCTTATATCCCCTAGGACTGTGCAGCAAATGTTCATGGCCCTGTGTGAGAAAGTCTTTGGCTCTCATCACATTGTCAAACGAATCTGTGACCAAAACTAGTGATTAGGAAACATTGCTCCAAAGCACAAGCCAATCAGTCCATGAAAAACCCTGTTAGGTGGGGAATAGAATAGTCAGCGCGTGCTTGTAGAAAGAGGTCTGATTTCAGGCGTTAGACCCTTGCACATCCGACAGACCCTGTGACTTGCGCCTCCAATGTGAAGATGGGTTGTTAACTTATCCTTGATTTACCACATCATGTCTCAAGAGATCAGAGGCCCTGACGATGGGGAATGTGATTAAAGTAAAAGAATCATCTCCACTTTAAGAAGAGCACGAGACATTGAAGGCTATTTGAAAGCTATTACAATCACTAAACTTCCAAAGCCAGGTGAAGCAGATAATCTCAGAACAGTGGCTACTGCGATGTCATTCACTTTCATATGTTTATTTTGTGATATAATGTTGTTGTGGCATAAGTCTAATTGTTATTACTATTTTGAGTGCTGAGTTCTGTATATAAAATACTACATTTCATCAAAAAATATACTTTCTTTTCTTCTTTAACATAATGTTATCATACAGTAAGGTCCAGAGTGTTTTCTGTCCGTAGCACTCCCATATTCTACCACGGGTTTAATAACCACCGCTCGATGGCCTGAAATAGAATGTTTATGGGTCCCAGACTCTCCCCATGACCATCTTTCTCTGTGCTCATAGTTCCCCTAGTCACAGCTACTTTTAATTGGTTCAAGTGCTGGACAAAATTGTTTAACTGTGGAAGAGGATTTTGTGCCACAAACTATATTCCTTTAAGGAATATCGTAAGTACAGCTTCCTGGTTTTTGCTGTTTGTTTCTATAACAAATAAATAACTTGTCCCTCTGGGCTTTCTCTGTTTTCATTCCCCTTTTACATTATAAGTCCTTCAATTCTGAGCCTTTAAGTAGCGGCTTCACCTTCAACACACACACACACACTCTCTCTCTCTCACACACACACACACACACACACTCACAGATATACCTTCCCTGGACAAAACCAAACTGTTGCATTTATTCCACTAGTGTTTCTCAAAGTGTAATCTGCAGGCAATTCACATCAGAGTCTTCATAGGGTGGGAGGATTTGTTAAAAATGCATATTCCTGCCAACCTCTAGACCAACCGTATCAGAATGCATGGAGATGGAACCTGGATGCTAAATTAGTTAACTCTTCCCGCACTCATCCAGGTGATTCTTAAACACACTAAAACTTGAGAACTGGCCGGGCGCGGTGGCTCACGCCTGTAATCCCAGCACTTTGGGAGGCCGAGGCGGGCGGATCACGAGGTCAGGAGATCGAGACCATCCTGGCTAACACGGTGAAACTCCGTCTCAACTAAAAATACAAAATAATTAGCGGGGCCTGGTGGCGGGCACCTGTATTCCCAGCTACTCCGGAGGCTGAGGCAGGAGAATGGCGTGAACCCGGGAAGCGGAGCTTGCAGTGAGCCAAGATCATGCCACTGCACTCCAGCCTGGGCAACAGAGCGAGACTCCATCTCAAAAAATAAAAAATTTAAAAAAAACTAAAAATAAATAAATAAATAAAACTTGAGAACCATTGCTCTACAAAAATCATTTCCTTTCTGGTGTCAGCCCCTATTTTTTTCAGGTCAAAATGGAGTTAATTTCTTATCCATGTTGTTCACCTCTGAGATCAGCGTCTCCTTGTCTCTTCCTAAGAAACCTTCTCTCGCCTGTCTCTCTGGCCTTTGATGGTAGTTTTTCTCTGGGCTATTTCTCAGTCCTTGCAGTCTACTTTTAGCAAGTCCTCAGGACACAGTTACTTACTTCTTCCTCCTCCTTAAGCTGCTCTAAAGAAACCCCTTTAGCATCCACAGCTCACACTGCCTAGCTCCAAACTCCCTTTACAATACCCTGCCCAGGGATTCACAGTAACATCTACCGGTTAAAGGTAAAGCCCCATGTGGTTCACAAAACTCATAGCCTTCCTCCTAAATGTTAAAACTACTCAAGATCACTTATTAACAGGTGTTCTCCAAATTTCTTAAATGAACACACACCACGACTACAATAAACAAAATAAAAACAAATTCTACTATTTCACCATTCTAACATACCAAATGCTGTCATTCATTTTTTTACGGCTCACATTTAATTCTTATTCACAACAAAATCAGAATGTAATTAAAATTTTTAATTCTGATTTTCTAACCTAACATCATATCAAACATATTTTCATAACCATCATAACTATGATTTTTAATGACTTTAAAAGAACCCATGGGCTGTGCGCAGTGACGTGCCTGTAATCCTAGCACTTTGGGAGGCCAAGGCAGGAGGATCACTTGATCCCAGGAGATGGAGACCAGGCTGGGCAACAAAGTGAGACCCCGTCTCTACAAAAAAAAAGTTAGCCAAGTGTGGTGGCACACGCCTGTGGTCCCAGCTACTTGGGAGGCTAAGGCAGGAGGATCAAATGAGCACAGGAGGTCAAGGCTGAGTGAGCTGTGATTACACACTGCACTCCAGCCTGGGTGACAAAACAAGACCCTGTCTTAAAAAAAAAAAAAAAAAAAAAAAAACTCATGGAGTTAATGTTGCCAGAACTCCTATTGCTTAGTGTTCAGGGTATTTTCAGATTTTGCTGCTATAAATGATAATACAGTGAATATGTTCATGCATATTACTTTTCTTTGAATTATTTATTCGGAATAAATTTCCAGGGGTGGAATGAATGGATCAAAGTGTATGAACACTTTAATGGCTCTTGATACATATCGTCAAATTGCCATATTTGTATTTTACACAGTTCCTCAGTAGCATGCTAGTAAACGTTTAACAACATGCTTGCCCCCCGCCCCGAAAAAAAAAAGGTGGGGAGCCTGATTTATTGTGTTTGCTGATTTTCACAGTGTACTTTTACCATAGCCAATTTCAAGCCACCATCATGACATCGCTGAATGCAAAATTGAAAACAGATGCTCAGATAGCACAATATTATATAGCATTTCCATCACACAGATAAAGAGAAGTCAATAATGTCACTGGCTTGGAAAATTTCTGAAAATATTACAATCAGCACTTGAGAGCAAGCCGGTTCTAGAACACCACTGTAAACATCTCCCTTGATATTTTGCAACAGCACATCTTTTTTTTTTTTTCATTGAAATCATTGAAAATTCACCCTGTTCCCATCTGTGTGACAATGAGCATGCTTTTAGGTCCATAGATGATGCAAATAATGAATAAAACCTAATGCAAAAAAAAAGGGGGGGATAGAGTGAACATCTAACACCTGTCCGGGTTGAATAATTCTGTCTACCCACCCTCAAACATTCATTTTACCGTGCTTTTTTCCATGAGGTCATGTATACAAATGATTCAATCATTTATTTACTTAACGAGGCACTGAATGGATGACTATACGTAGTTCTCAGGCAAATGTGATGAGAACCGTATCTTCTGTTTCTTAACCACTCTCTTCCTTGGGTTTCTTTTCTACGAAATGGGGAAGAGGTCACTGTGACTTCAGTTTTACGAGAAACTGAGTGCAGAGATAAGAAAGGTTCAACTTGTGCTCTAAGAAGCACTTGAACATTCAGTAATGCTCTGGAAATTTCTTCCAAAAGCAATTCATTAGTATTCTATTTTACCAGAAAAGAATGTGATTTGGTGCTTTCGCTTGAAAGCAACATCCCCTCTTTGGGCTGCCCCGGAATAATATATAGCTTCTACATGTATACAACACTTTGGTTTTTAAATGAGCGGCACCGTACGTTTGCGTGTTAAAATGCGGGTATGACTGAGCTAAACATCCTCATATCCTGGACCCAGTCACCCCGCTCCCGATAACTCATCTCAAGGAATGAACTCAAAACAAAGGAAAATACTTGCTGTGTGAAGATATTAATCACAATAGAGAGTAGATCAATTTGCCTCATTTCAGCACTTATTCAACTTACGGTTTCTGGGGCCCTGGTAGGAGAGTTCTGGATTCTTGGTTCCTAAATCCCCACCTGCAAAACGACCACTTTCCAAGTTGTTTTGGGGCTTGTATTTTTTAATCACACAGATTCCTGGACCTCACGTGAGGGCTGGGGTATGAGACATGGAATTTCAGTTTCTTAAAAGCTCCCCAGGTGGTTTTGCTGTCCAGCCAGCTTTAGAAACCACTATTCCACAGTGAGACACCAGACACATGATCGTGGTCTCTGAACAACTGTCCACATCCGGGGAACAGTATGACAACTTCTTGTGCAAGTCGTCAAAAGGTTGTTCAGGGCATTCAAGCAGTTGCTAGAGTCAAATGGCTAAAGAGCTCACAGAGGAGCCCTAAGTTTCTGGCACCCTTCCACCCCCCTGGGGTCATCCTTTCCATCTCTGACACCCTCCTTGCTCTCACAGCCCACCCCAGCCCCCACACTGTCATGCTGCCTCCCAGCCTCCACCTGTGCACCCCATCCTGACTTGTGCCCATCCCTTTTCATACACAAAGCTCCAGAGTCTCCTCCCTTAGGACACCAGTGGGACTCTAGAAGGAACACTATCACCGTGTGACTCACGTCATCTGCACACATAATTAGGAATCCCCTGCACAATTAACATGCCAGGTGGATTTGCATTTTTTTAAAGGAGGCTTTTAATCCAAAAAAATATTTATAACCTAGAGAGTGGAATGGGGAAGGAGGATGCTTTTTAATCCTGGCTTTCACCCAGATCCAAGCATCCCAAACCCAAATAAGCACTCACTGCCACAATGATCCCCACTCCTAAGTAGAAATGGAATTTTAGCTGTGCCTTGCTAGCACTAAAATTAACACATTGTAAGATAAAATAATTTAATTTAAACTGGGCAAGGAAGAAAGGTCATGCTCTCTGCCTCTAATGAAAAGCACCTCTAGAATTCCACCCCAAGCGTTCAGAGAGCGACGTCAACCAAGGAGGCCCACAAGTAATGCAGCGGATACTGAGAGGACCTCTCTCATCTCATAAGCTAGAGAAACTGTTACCAAATGGCTTAAAATAGCGGTTTCCAAGTTTGTTTTCCTTCTTTCATATGTATTCTCACTAGAAAAACACCCAACCCCTGTGCCTTGTCCATATTTGGTGCTCAAAAAACGTTAATTCCCAGCCTCCACCTGTCACCCTACTTTCCCTGGAAAGGAATGTTGGGATTAGGAGAGTTAGCTTTGCAGGCTTCTTGCTCTTAAGCCAGGGCTCATAACACCTTCATTTGTGGCAATAGCCAAGTCCTTAATAAGAATCATAAGAGTTGCATCTATTGAGAGATTTTTTTTTCAGTCAGGCACTAGGCTACATGCTTTACATATTTTTATCTCATTTGATCTCTACGACAACCCTCTGAGGTAGGTATTTTCAGTTATTATTACTGTTATTAGAGATATTTTGTGAATTTTTTTTTTAATCTGAGCATTGAAGAAGTTAAGTAACTTGTCTGAGGTTCCCACAGCCCAGAAATGATAGAATGATAGAATGGGGATTCCATGCAAAGTGATCTGGCTCAAAAGTTGGGTTCTTATTCACCGTGCTGTATGTTTGTTATTATATGGGTTCAGATATTTTATGGTCCAGAAAAAAAGTGTCTGAATTATTATGATCTACTGACTCTCTAAACAACGTCCAGAAAAAGAACAGAAGCATACCCGTGCCATCTCATTTAGACATGCAAAGAAAGTAGCACATATTTCATGGAATTTGGGGACTGGCTTTTGAGGAATAGAGACTTGCTTATCATTCATCAACCAACTCGTTCTCCCAAGAGGAAGGCCACTTTAATTCCTGGATAATTGAAGGGCCTCCTTAAAATGAAGAAACCAGAGGTGGAGGTCTTACTGGTACCCCGAGCCACACGAACCTTTCTCTGCATAAATGATGTCCTAAGGGAAGACAGTAGAGGGCAAATGGAGGCCCACAGCCAGGCACAGGGATGCAGAAAGCAGCCCCAAGTGGGAAGAGGCCACGCTCGACAAGCTCCCTCTCACATGGAATTCTGCTGGTGCCGTGAGAGCCGAGGAAGCGCAGCCGCAGGGCAGAAGGAGACCAAGGACTATTGAATGGGGTCACTTCTCCCCAGTGCCTGCAAGGTCCTCGCTTTTGTGTCCACACCCTAACTGTCTAATCTGATTTCCTGCAATGTGTAAAACAAACTGTCTTCTCTTCTCCAGTGTCTCTTCAACTGGCCTTATCATCTCCAGGTCAGTCTCGCCTTTGTGCCTTTGCCCACAAGGTCCTCCCAGTCTGAAATCACCTGCCCCTTCTCCTTCTACCGACACTTCGCATTCTTCCAAAGCCCAGATCTTCCTGACAACTCCAGTTTGCCCCCAGGCCCCCTCCATGGAATTCACAGAACTCTTCAAGCCTGTGCTGCCCCACTCATCACTGAATTCTCATCTTGCATTGCTTCCTAAATTTTACTTCTTATCACAACTACCAGATTATAGGGTCCTTCAAAGTAGAGATTTTTAAAATATTTCTCTTATATCCTCCACGGCACCAGCTTAGAACCAATAAGGGGACACCAACTACTTGTTGCCTGCTTGAATACGTCAATGGCAACTTTCATTTAGTAAAGCACCTAAAACCGGTGATTTCCCAAACTTTGTTTAGTTACAACTCAGGCTACTGACTGGTACCTCGTAGCATATCTCCAAATCAAACCACCTCAGAAGAAAGATTAAATTTAATTAAAAAATACATGTTATACATCATAGAGCACTTTTGGGAAATGGTCATTAACATTGGCAATAGGTGAAAAACACAAGCTAGAAATTCCAGATTGAAATCTACATCATTTAGACTTCGGTTCTGTTTCTTTTCTGAACTAGACAACTTTAAAATTCATATTTGCACAACTTAGAGCATCTTTAGATTTACTTCATCAAACCTTGGGTAGTATTTAAACTACCCATACAGTTGAGCTCAGCCACAGTCACAAGCATATGCATTCTCTAGAATATCTGGAAAACCAAAAAGCCAACTATTGTAACTTTTCATGTTTCAAAAATCTTGTTAGGACTGTGGTGAGGGGCAGTGAATATCAAAGCAACACTCACCCCCCCGACCCCCGTCCCCCTGTAAATTGATTCTACACCTTACAGCAGGTAGCTCAGAGTCATTACGATGTTTGGCCTAGAGTAAAAGCTAAATAAAATTAGAAAAATTTCTTTTGACACCAAAGAAATACTTTTAAGGAAGCAAAATCCTTACCTGTTGCAGAATGCCGAAGAAATGTCTTGACAGTAAAATGACTGACTCCGGAAATCAAATTTGTTCAACAAAAGCAGGTGAAAACAAAAGCGGCCCAAGCCTTTTCACTGTGGTTGATTTCCTCATAGGATCAACCTCTCCCTCGTTCCCGAGAATATTAACTGATTCACACTGGAAGAACTGAAAATACAACAGTTGGGCTGGCAGGGAGTCCACCCCAAGATGGTTGGGTTAGTGTGTGTGGGGCAGCAGGAGCAATCCGAATGTGACAAAAGAGATTAGCAAGTTCCTGTGCCTAAGTCAATTTCCTGTAGCCGGCTTCTCCGCAGAGGGGGTTTCATTTGTGTGGGTTTAGGGGGGTGTGTGTGCACGTGCGTTTCTCTCCATTAGAATATGAAACTTCCCCAGATCAGAGGCAGAATAAGGCCTTTGCCGCACCGCTGGGTTTGCGTTTAATTTATCCCCCACCCTACTCCGAGACTATGTTTCTCTCCCCCTTAGCCCCATTTTCCTCCAGCAAAGCCCTACGTAAAACTGAAGAAAGGAAGACTGAAGAGTCCAAATGATTCCTCATGGAAGTAAAATTACCAAAAAAAAAAAAAAAAAAAGTCCATGCCACTGACCAATCTTGGTTAATTTGAGCTTAGGAAACAACACCTTAGAACTTTCCCCCCATCAGCTTGGGGAAAACAAGAGGTGGATTGTCTGCTTCGCTTTGCTGCATTAAAAACTATCAAATATTTTGCAAAGAACAGAGGCAGGCTTAGTGAGAGTTCGAGCAGCCCCCTGCCGTGCGTTCACCCCTGTATGGACGAGCACCTGGGCTGGGAGTTACCTGGCGATGAGTTGTTTTTTCAGACTCCTCAGAGTTTCATTATTTGCCTAAAAACACAAGTTTACTTGTTTTGTCCTAATGGGCAATCCAGGTGTAGAGACCATCTGCAACTACTTAGGTTATGGCTAAACGCCTAACCCAACAAATTGAACTTTTGTGATGTGGTCACAACCGCCTGTGCCCCAAATCCCTGAATAACTAACTGTTGATGCTACTGCTCACGGTGATAGCTTGGTCAAAATACCTGCCGACCGTAAGGATAAAGTCAACTCCATGCCTTTTATTTTATTTTATCAGTGCATCGGCCCCACACTCAAAGATTTGAGTTTAATTGAGCTGGGTTGGGACCGGACATCAATATTATTTTAAACCCCTCTGATTATTCTAAAGTACTGCTGCCACTCTAATGGATGAGAAGGAGGAAAGAACATTCCACGTAGAGGCAAATAGTATGTGCAAAGGCCCTGAGGTGGGAAAGAGGTTGGCATGTTCAAAGAAGTGAAAGCAGATGACTGTGCTTGCAGCATAGTTGTAGAGGGAATCAATGGTACAAGGTGAGCATTCTTATCAATAGACACCCAATTACCAAGTTCACAAGACTTCCACATGAACCCATGTGTCAATTTGTTAATGCACAGTAAGAACTCAATCTGCCAGCTGAGATCCTCGAGCCTTCTGAAGAGCACATTATCTCCTAGAAAATCCTCTGTGGGAGGCCAGGTGCAGTGGCGGTGGCTCACACCTGTAATGCCAGCACTTTAGGAGGCTGAGCGGGGAGCATTGCTTGAACCTAGGAGTTCGGGACCAGCCTGGGCAACGTAGTGAGATCCCATCTCTACAAAAATTAGCTGGGCAACCACACCTGTAGTCCCAGCTACTCAGGAGTCCGAGGCAGGAGGATTGCTTGAACCCATGAGGTTGAGGTTGCAGTGAGCTGTGATCCACCACCACACTCCAGCCTGGGGACACAGCAAGACCCTGTCTCGAAAAAAGAGAGAGAGGGACAGACAGAAGGAGGGAAGGGAAGGAAAAGGAAGAGAAGGGGAGGGAAGGAAGGAAGGAAGGAAGGAAGGAAGGAAGGAAGGAAGGAAGGAAGGAAGGAAGGAAGGAAAAGAAAGAAAGGAAAGAAAGGGAAAATCCTCTGTGGAAAGCCAGATCACCATGGTGATGTTATCAGCTGAGCAGAACATAAGCTTGTGGATATTTTCTTTATCTACTTCTGGTTTTGTTCATCAAAGGATTTAGAGCATCTGGCAAAAATACTTACACCTTAGCAAAATGAAACAATTAAAAACAAGAAATTTGAAAATGAGGCCAAGAGAAGTGAAGACAAAAATGACACTAAAACTGGGGGTGAGGTTAATTACAGAGAATGTATGCCACGTGGTTCTATGCTCTTCAGCAACTGGTATGAAGCAGGAAATATCACCACACAGAAAGCTCATTGCCCGCGGGAGAAACATAAACACATAGCTCAGAATCATGAGGTCTTCCTGGCTCCCCAGTGCTGAGATTAAAGAGAAACTTTGCCCCCTGGATTCCCATAGAGAAGACAACACGGCTGAAGTGAAACACCATGTTTAGACTCCACGCAGCCAGCCACAAGTCCGTGAGGTGGTTCCTTACGCTGTTCCTCCATATATGCTGATTGCATCTCACCGAAGAGTTTACTAAAAGCAACTCCAGGGTGTGCGGCAGGGAGAGTGCAGCAGGAGATTAGTAAGAATGTGCCACCCCACAGCACCACTTTGATGTTCCAGTTTTATCCAGAGATGAAAAATGACTTCATGGGCCGGGCGCAGTGGCTCACGCCTATAATCCCCACACTTTGGGAGGCCGAGGCAGGCGAATTGTTTGAGCCCAGGAGTCCAAGACCAGCCTGAGCAACATAGCGACACCCAGTCTCTAAAATAATACTAATAATAACAATGACAATAGGCCGAGTGCTGTGGCTCACGCCTATAATCCCAAAACTTTGGGAGGCCGAGGAGGGCAGATCGCTTGAGGTCAGGAGTTCGAGACCAGCCTGGCCAACATGGTGAAACCCCGTCTCTTCTAAAAATACAAAAATTAGCCAGGCACGGTAGCTCATGCCTGTAATCCCAGCTACTCGAGAGGCTGAGGCAGGATAATTGCTTGAACCCAGTAGGCAGAGGTTGTAGTGAGGCAAGATCATACCACTGCACTCCAGCCTGGGCAACAGAGTGAGACGTCAGCCTAAAAAATAATAATAATAATAATAATAAAGAAAAATGACTTCAGATATGCTTCAGAAAATTCAGGATAAAAAGTTTCTCTCATCCAAGTTTCTAAAAGATTTAAAGAGGCAAAGAGTTCAAAATTGGTTGCCCCTCCAACAGGAGATCCAGTGTCCTTTAAGGGGGACAATGTCTCCCCTTCAGAAAGCAGAGGAGTCAGACAAGGACAGCTGCCTGTATGGACAGATCCCCTCCATCTCCTAAGTAGAAGGGGAGATGAGGCTCTGCCCTTTGGGAAACAAAGCAAGAAACGCCACCAGCATGATTTATAACGAGCTCCAGGCCTCAGGCCTTGTACCATTTTCTGCACGAAAGTGGAGACGTACTCCAGAGTCAGGATGGACTGGGTGTGTCCCACCCCATCCTGGAAAGGACTAGGAAGGGCATTGTCATACCTGGCTGCGAGACCCCTGTCCCTTTCACCCCCTGGCTGACCACCCTTCTGCTTCTGAAGAACTGGTTTTCTGTGCCTGGAATTGCCAGTTTTAGATGATCTGGTACAGTCCAGCGTTGGGCTTCCTCCTGCTCCTGACCTACACGCCTCTAATCTTCACACAGTTTAATCTCAGAGAGGATTTTCTTAGGGGGAGGGGACAGGGGGTTGCCATCTAATTTTCTTCCTTCCTTGAAAATGTCTTTTTGGTGTTTCTCTCTTTCTCTCTCCCCACTCCCCTCCTCCCCCACCCCGCCCCTCCTCTCCTCTCTCTCTCTCTCTCTCTCTCTCTCTCGCTCTCATTCTTTTAACAGACTTTTAACCGACAGGGGTAGTGGTGAGGGGAGGAAGCAAACGCTGAAAATACATGCAAACATTCACAGACATACACGCACCCAAGCCCCAGGGCGTGTCCCTTCTGACGCTGTGCAGTCTGTCCTTGGGATGGGGTTGGGAGAAATCCTGGGGACTTCAGAGTGGCAGGAGGAGGGAAACCATGGGTCCACAGTTCGTAACTGGGAATCAGAGCCCCCCTCTGAGCCATCTTCCAGGAAGCCATCTGTAGCCACCACCCACCTCCATTGCAAGCCCAGTGAGGTGCCCTCCCAAGGGCTCCATAGCACGTCGTGTTAACACGGCCAGAGCACTCACCAAATGGCCCTGCAGTGTTCACTTCAGAGGTCCCAGGGCTCAGGGTCCAGCCTTGCCCACTCAGAAATCCAAGGTACTGAACAACCACTTTCTGACCAATAAATAGATTGATTCTCCCATCTCACAGCCTCACAGCTGCCCTTTATGGTAAACACTTTAAACCCTATTTTAACAGCCAAGGAAACAGAGACTTCAGCTGGTTAAATGATTTGCATAAGACCCTATGGCCTAAGAAAACCAGAACCAAGATTCACCCCATTCATCTGTCCTGGCTGTCACTCCCGCTGCCTCCCCACAGAGAGAACTGAACCACCGTGGGCAACGAGGAGCAG
Organism: Homo sapiens; assembly: GCF_000001405.40. NCBI lineage: Eukaryota > Metazoa > Chordata > Mammalia > Primates > Hominidae > Homo > Homo sapiens. Next base: position 40,192,791 of record NC_000004.12, on the reverse strand, counting down.
CCAGAGCCCCAAGGCCCATTTTCTTGGCCCTAAACATGCCCCCTCCAGGATTCCCTGTGCAAACGGTCCCCTTCAGGTCAAGGTGAAAAAGCAAAGACTTACTTTCTCAAAACCACCTTCATCAGAAATGTTCTCTGATATGGCAAAAGAACAGCTTACTTTAATATTCTCCTGTGAACAAAGACCTCTTTTATTGAGGTTTTTTAAATAATATGACAACTACTTGTGTACCCTGAACTCATGCATAAGTACTATGTTTGCTCATTGCAAAGGTGTTGTGCCACTTACGCCAGCGAAAACTCTTAATGACAATTGTAATTGTATGAATAGTAAATCTTAGAAACCTTGAGACTTGAGTCATCTACTAAATTATTTCAACGCTGGGTTAGTAAGATGCCTTTCCCTCCCCCTTGCTATTAGCATATTAACAGAAATGATGTAGATTCAGTGGGTAGCTTTTAATGTTTACACAGACCCTCATTTATGCCACCTAATAAAATATTTCAGTGAGTTGTGAAGATAGGTAATATGTACTAAAACCTTGTCTGAAGGCTTTGAATTTCAAACTCAGGCCATTAGTCGTATTGCAATTATTCTCACCCAGCTCCCCACTGGATGATGAACAACTGTATTAAAACAAAATATCCTTTCTTTCTGATTGAGAGATTTCATGATGGGAACTATAAAATGTTAAGAGAATGATCTTAATTCTGATGTAACTTTTAGTGTAAAAATACATTCATATAAAATACTTTTTAAATGCTGAATATTGAAATAGCTTCAAAATGCCACAGGCTAGAAATCTCATGGGTGATTTCCTCTTTATGCATTTTAATTCATTATTAAAAAAAAAAAACCAGCCTCCCTAACCAGGTAATAGCATTTGAAACATCTTCTAGCTTCCCTCTTATTGCCATAACCATAAAAACATCATTTCCCCTGCTGTTATTCTCATCATTTATTTTCTCTTTAAATATGTTAATGTATCATAACATATTGCTTTTTGTTTCAGTGAATATTCGGTTCTCAGGATTCTCAGCTGCCATGTTTATTCTGGTTTGTTTGCCCTGGATTACTGTATTGATCTAGCAAACATTCACATCCTGGTTCGTTTTATTGCAGAGCCATAATTCATAAGAAGACAGAGTCTTGTTGCGGAAGATGATAGCACCCAAAGTAATAATTCAAGCTGTGGCTCTAAAGTTATGATACAACTTTTTCTAAAAAGTCTGTCAGAGCAGAGCAAATGTAGTCAAATGACCGTTTCCCTTCAAAGCAGTCCCTCGATAGTTGATGCGCTTTTGCAACATCACAGACATGAGTCAAAGTGCATTTAGACCCTTTTTACAATATCCTTGAGAGACAGCTTAATAAACTACAAAACAAAACCAGTATCTGCATTCTGTTCACAACTTGTTTTTGACTCAAAATAGTATATGGCTTTTTAACCCACCTTATTCACTGGATGTAGCTCCGAATGGCTGTCTCCTAAAATCAAATCCACTCTAAAAGGAAAAAGATTTTGCAATCATTGACAAAGTTTTTAAAGATTGTGCGGCAGGCTCTGAGAGTGAGTCCAGAGGAGGAGTTTAAAATGTAGTGTTAGTAAGAGCAGTATCTTTGGGTCAAGGGCCCGAGCTCCTAGGGAATGACTGCAAAGCACAGGACATGCACAGTGATGTAGAAATTCATCAGCGTGAAGAGTGAAGAAGAAGGTGATCACTGCTTCTTCTCAAACTCATGTCTTACTCGTTGCATTGATAGGGATCTTCAGTTTGAGCACAAACATCACAGGGTAACTGCAACCCAGCACATCTGCTCACAGCGGGCGTTGCAAACATTTCAGTTGTAAGGCAGGGCAGACCGAGTGTTAATTTGCCATCTTTTCAAAGTAACAGATCTCCTCACTGTTCTGGAGGGAACAGGTTGAAGCTTAAACTGAAAGGCAATCTGAAATTTTGGAGAAAGTATACATTTGGATTCAGACAAAGCAAGATTCGAATCCCGGCTCCACTTATTACTAAGGATGAGGCCCCGATCTACCCAACTGCAAAACAGGTATAATATCTAGCTTGGAAGAGTTCTATTTAAAAAAAAAAAAAAAAAACCTGACTCATGCTTGGAATACAGTGAATGCTCAATACACAGTGGCTGTTATTAGCCACTCCTCTTTTGGATTTTTGCTTTCTGGAGTTTTTTTCCCCCTCCATCCGTACCCCCTCTTTAAATAACAACTGTTGAATTGAAAAATTTGAGAAGCTTTGGCAGGGCCCAAATTCACGTGGAATAAAGTCACAGAAACTCACACATCACTCAGAGGATTCTAATGTCATGTGTTTATTGTCACAATGAGTTAAAAGGACACAGAAAATTTAAAATCAAATTGTTAATGACATTTTATTCCTTATGCATAATCTGAGCAATGCAGAATCTTCAGAGGTGCCTCCTGAAGCCATCTGGTTGCCCCGTTACAAATGCCCTAAGATAAATGAGAATTTATCCTTTCATTCAACAAATATTTACTGAACACTTGCTATAATACTTATTGAGCACTCGGCTAGGTGCCAGGGAGACAGCAGCGAACAACAAGAACAGAAATAGCCTGCTCGCCTGAGTTTATATCTACGTATTAGGAAGACAAGCAATGAATATGAAACTCTAGTAGTAGAATATGTTACAGTGAGCTAATTACTAAGAAGAAAAGCAAAGTAAGGAAGGGGGATAGAAAACTTGGAGGGTGCATATTTAAAAAGGATGGTCAGGAAAGTCCTTCATAGAAAGACGAAAAATGTAAAGTCTTTTAAAAAATATCCTAAAGCCATTTTAATGTTCAATGGTCTTATTTTATGTTTGTGTGTGTGTGTGTGTGTATGTGTCTGTGTGTGTGTGTGTGTTTGAGACAGACTCTCCCCTCTCCCCATGTCGCCCAGGCTGGAGTGCAGCAGCACAATCTCTGCTCACTGCAACCTCCACCTCCCGGGTTCAAGCGATTCTCCTGCCTCAGCCTCCTAAGTAGCTGGGATTACAGGGGCCTACCACCATGCCCAGCTAATTTTTGTATTTTTAGTAGAGATGGGGTTTCAGCATGTAGGCCAGACTGGTCTCAAACTCCTGACCTTAGGTGATCTGCCCCCCTCAGCCTCCCAGAGTGCTGGGATTACAGGCGTGAGCCACCGCGCCTCGCCATAATGTTCAATGGTCTTTATCATCGGCGTAAATCCGTAGGTTTAATGATCATCAGGTATCACCAAGTCCTGGCTCCTCCTTGCTGATGCACAGTCCGCTTCCTATTCTGCCCATACCTGCGAGCGGGAGAAGCTGATCACGCAGCTTTACTCGGGGGCCAAGTTGGTGCTCATCTCTCAGCCCCATTCCTCCACTTCACTGCTCAGTCCTCCACCCTTCTGAGTCCTTTCTGAGTCTCTTCTCTGAATCTTTGAAAGTCTTTTCCATCACAGACTGCCATGGAGAGAGAACTATAACCAGAGCCAAGTACCTAGTGGAAAATTCCAGGGTTGTAGGGTTGTAGGAGCTTTTTCAAGACGCAGCACCACCATGCTGCTTTCTTCTTCAGCTTGTTATTCTCTGCTCCCTTGATGGTGTTTTGTTTTGTTTTGTTTTGTTTTGTTTTGTTTTGTTTTGTGTTTGAGACAGAGTCCCGCTCTGGCGCCAGGCTGGAGTGCAGTGGCGCAATCGTGGCTCACTGCAACCTCCCCCTCCCAGGTTCAAGCGATTCTCTTGCCTCAGCCTCCTGAGTAGCTGGAATTAAAGGCACACACCACCATGCCCGGCTAATTTTTTGTATTTTTAGTAGAGACGGGGTTTTGCCATATTGGCCAGGCTGGTCTCAAACTCCTGACCTCAGGTGATCCACCCGCCTCGGCCTCCCAAAATGTTGGGATTACAGGCATGAGCCACTGCACCCGGCCTCCCTTGATCTTTGTAATCAGAGCATACTGATAATTTCATAATAATGGTCACACTGCCTTACCATTTATTAGGCACTACATTAGTCAGTAAAGCACTTTTTTTTTTTTTTTTTTTTTTGAGATGGAGTCTCACTCTGTCACCCAGGCCCGAGTGCACTGGCGCCATCTCAGCTCATTGCAACCTGCGCCTCCCAGGCTCAGGTGATCCTCCCAACCTCAGCCTCCTGAGTAGCTGGAACCACAGGCACACACCACCCCGCCCAGCTAATTTTTGTACTTTTTGTAGAGTCGGGTTTCCCTATGTTGCCCAGGCTGGTCGGAAAATCCTGGGCTCAAGGGATCCGCCTGCCTCAGCCTCTCAAAGTGCTGGGATTGCAGGTGTGAGCCACTGCATCCGGCCCAGTTAAGCACTTTATATGCATTTTCCCACTTAATCATCCCAATAATTATGAGGTAGGTACCACTGTTATCTCCATTTGCAAAGGAGGAAACTGAGGCACAGAGAGATTAAGTATCTTGCTCAGGGCCACATGGGCAATAAACAGCACAGCCTGTGATTCCATAGTCTACCTTTGCACATCTTTATGATGGTAGCCGGTTGACTTTTGCCAATATCTTTGGTATCCTTGACTTCAGGCTGTGGCTACATCATTTAAATATTACTTGTTTGGTCTCTCCACTAAGTGAGTACCCCAGCCTCTCAAGCTGGTTTGCCTGATCCTGAATTCCAAATGGCTCATTGACAAAGATCAATTTGAAACTTCAAAGGCTACTATTATTCTCATCCAAAAAAGAAGAAACATTTTCTTTTGTTGTTGTTGTTTTTCCTCCCTCCTCCAGAAGAAACCTTTTCCTTTGCCCTCACTCTGTTCCTTGCACTTTTAAAGAACAGTTCTTTGTCTCTTTTTGTCTTTTTATTCCTAAGATGCCTGTAATTTCCTGGGTTAGCCCAAGTTTTAGACATTCATTTTTAAATGCCATTTTTATTAGCTATCACCATCATACAACTAAGCAAAAGGAATTCCACCCACTAACGCACAGTTTCTGCTGATGATGTGAACGACATGTGTGAGAATGGCTTTCATCTGCCCTCCTGAGTTTTGGAAGATGTTACAGACATATGCTGATTTATAGATGAGGTGTGTGATTGTCTTCTGAAAGTCACTCAAAACTAGAATTGATATGACTTGTCAATTCATAATCTGAACAGGTTAGCTCTCTTAAGTGAATAAAATGCATCTTAGGCTGGGCACAGTGGCTCACGCTTGTAATCCTAGTGCTTTGGGAGGCCAAGGTGGGAGGATCACTTGAGCCCAGGAGTTTGAGACCAGCCTGGGCAACATAGCAAGACCCCATCTCTACAAAAAAATAGAACAATTTTAAAAATAAATAAATAACTGTGTCATATAGTGACATATAACCAACACAAGGAAGTCAGGGTATGTCCTGAGTTGGAAAGTAAATGACCAGTGTCGTTTTAATTACATGTAGCCATTTAAATTTTTTTTTGCACAAATGTCCAGAATGTGTACAGATTTTTGGCTTTGGATGAATGTAGGCTTTGTTTGTTTGTTTTTAAAGATTCCATTTACAGTATTAAAAATGGTCAAGAAAATCAGCTTACCAGAACACAGCACACTCCTTAAGTTTTCCTTACTTCAAGAGAAATTTTATAGTTGACCTATTGGCAAATCAGGAATAATCTGGCTAAAGCTTTGGGAGGCCAGATTCAGATTAGCATATCCCTTCTTCCTCACCAATTAATTTCTTGTCTTGGTAGTATTCCCTGCTTAAGATAAATGATAAATGTTGAGTCAGTGAAGTAAAATTGTGAATTTCATTCACTTTATTACTGATGCAATTATCATGAAAAGAACCAGCTTAAAATATCTGTGTGAAAATGAGTACTTATTTATAAATTGCAATTGGGCCCATAGATAAAAAACAACAGTGACAACAACAAAATATGTCATCCAGATGAGACTTGATACCAGTTGGCATGACTTATCAGGAAAAATAGTCATGGGCTCAATGAAAGAGAGACAAGTATGGGCACGAGTCAACCATGTTCTTCTTGAAGGCAATGATTTCCTTTCTTTGATCCTGGTGGCTCAGTCCTAGGAAGCAGACAATATCAGCTCACTGCAAATCAAAAAATCTTTAATGACATGGGAACATGCTCACAATATACTGTTAAGTGAAAAAAGCAGGTTACAAAACGAATTTGGATTCAACTTGTTGTATACACACATGCCAATGTTTATAGAGGCAACCTCTAGGTCAGGGGTCCCCAGTCCTGGGGCTGCAGACCAGTACCCACCCGTGGCCTGTTAGGAACTGGGCCGCACAGCAGGAGGTGAGCAGTGGGCAAGTGAGTATTTCAGGCATGAGCCATGCTGCCCAGCCACATATTTCCCAAATGTTCTGTAATGAGCATCTATCATTTAGATGAACCAGATGAAAAGTTGTTGTTCCTTTTTTATTTTTCTTAATTTCATTGAGCAAGTCTACCTAAGTTTTCTCTATAAACCCTTGTCACTGCTTCGGTCACAATGTTTTACATAATAACCAGTGATTTTTATAGCAGTTGATTCTCAGGGGAGAATCACTGAACCACAGCTAAGCATAGCAAAGTCATCTTCCTCATTACTCAGCTTACATAGGATCATATTTAGAGGATTCCAACCCAATGCCAATTCAAACTTCCAGACAGACTCCAAAAACAAGGGATTCCAGAGGCTTTTGCATCAAACCTCTTAAAAGGCCTGTCTTAACTTTCCCTTAAAATGGAAATTATACCTGGGAAACACATCCTGGGCAATCTCAGTAGCTTTCTCTTCTCATGGGAAGATAAAGGAGTACTCAAAAATAAAAAAGTGAGGTTTCTGGGTAATTAATTCAGTGTCTGTGCTCAAAAAGAAAGAGGTAGTGGGAAATGCTTGAGGATCATTAGAGGAAAACATGTTTGTGACAAGTGCAGTCAAGGATTGCAAGGTCTGGTTTCAAACTAAGCCTGCTGCGTTCTCATTATTATTATTATTACCTAAATTATTGTAGCTGTGCATTTTTTTAATCATTTAAAAGAAAAGGAAGTAGTTTTGTAATTTCTCCTAAATGAGTACCTTCCTGCTTACATGGCATTTTAAATTACATATAAAATTTCAAGATTAGTCATAAACAAATGTTTTTTGCTTTTTTTAAAAACCACATAAACCTTTTAAAAAGTAAAATTTCTATTAAAATGTTTTTTTCCAAATAATAAGTTTAAGTTCTCAAATGTTTACCAAAAACAAAACAAGCTTTACAATTTTGAGCAAACCTATCTCTATAGTATTTATTATTCAAAATAGAAAATAAAATTGTTTTTGTTCTCTAATTCTTGTCTTTTAATCTTCTAAATATACAATAATGAGATTTCTAAAAATACTTTGAAAGGGTATTCACATTACTAAGTTTTCTTTTAACTTTAAATTTTTTTCTTTCAAATTCAATTTACAATAGCCTTTTATATTATCATTTATCACAAGAAAACCATAAAACAGCAAAAACCACTATTGCTATTATTAGCAACATCTTCACTTTGTAAATGAGAAAAGTGAAGTTCAGAAAGGTTAAGCAACTTACATAAGGCCACACAGCCAATGAGTAAGGGGACTCCCTGAATCAATTTACTTCTACAGCATTTCCCCTTACAGAAGACAAATTACTTTTCAAATTAATTCATTACAGGACAACAAGAGGCACACGTCGAATGGAAGGGAGACCTGAAAAAAATAGAGAAAAACTGTTATTTTTAAAGGGACATGGATTTATTATTACAAAGAGTAAGCTATAAAATTAAACTATCTGTACAGTAAAATCCCAATTTATTTTTTATTTTATTTATTTATTTATTTATTTATTTTTTGAGACAGAGTCTTGCTCTGTTGCCCAGGCTGGAGTGCAGTGGCGCAATGTCGGCTCACTGCAACCTCCGCCTCCCAGGTTCAAGCGATTCTTACGCCTCAGCCTCCCGAGCAGCTGGGATTACAAATGTGTGCCACCACGCCCAGATAATTTTTGTGTTTTCAGTAGAGATGGGGTTTCTCCATGTTGGCCAGGCTAGTCTCGAACTCCTGATCTTTGATGATCCACCTGCCTCGGCCTCCCAAAGTGCTGGGATTACAGGCATGAGCCACCATGCCCAGCCCAAATCTCAATTTAATATGAAAAAAATTTTTCACGTCTGAAAGGCAACAAATAATTAGACCCGATAGTAATAGTGACTGTCTCTGAATGGTAAAATTGGAGATAATTTTTTCACTTTTTTCTTTAATTTTTTGTACTCTGCAGATTTTTAATGATCAGTAAGGATTAACTCTATAATCAGAAAAATAAACATTACAATCTATTTTTAATAAAGAGCTGTACTCATATAGTTTATTCTCTTCAGTGATTCTCTAATGTATTTGGTTTCACTTCAGTTTTTTGCTTTGCTGGGAATTTTTTATTTAAAAAAAAAAAGGCAGATGAAGTTTCATTGTAAAGAAAAAAAAATAATGTGAAGTCCAGTGCTGCATTTTGAGGGCCTGTTTCTCCATTCTAGCCCGTGCAGCCATACAGGGAAGCTTCTGAGAACTTAATCTGAAAACCATTTTTGTGGTTTTCTTTGTCTCCACAGTAAGTCCCACGTTTAACATAGATGACTACCTGCCCGATAGTCATGTCTTCTTCCTTGCTAAAGAACCTCTATTTTGAGATGGACAAAATGTTCTGTTCCAGGGGGTGAATCATGATGTCTAAGACTGAAAAAGAATCTTCTGATTCCTGCTTCTCAGCTTCCCCTGCAGCTATGAGTGGCTGTGTGACCCAGTCCTCATCAACGAAATGTTCGGGAAAGTCTTGCTTGCTCCTGGGAGAGGTCCTCCTCACCAGTTAAAGTAGACACGGGCAGGAGCACCCGTCTTCCTTACATGCTTTGGGTGTAGCCGTGGAGAATTAGATGCCTTGAAGGTTGCAGCAGCCCTGAGGACAAGCAAAGAAACCCAAAAAACTGCAGAGAGACACAGCAGAAGCCTGGCATTGTTGACTCACTTACCACCTCTTACTTTTTATTATGTGAGATAAATGTCTTACCTAAGCCACAGTTCATTACTCTAATACTTGACTGTCTTCTAATGATATAGTAACAAATAACAAAAAGCTTATGACGTTGAAGCTACCAACCTCTTATAAAATGTAAAAAGTAGGCCGGTCGCAGTGGCTCACGCCTGTAATCCCGGCACTTTGGGAGGCCGAGGCGGGCGGATCACGAGGTCAGAAGGTCGAGACCATCCTGGCTAACATGGTGAAACCCCGTCTCTACTAAAAATACAAAAAAATTAGCTGGGCACGGTAGCGGGCTCCTGTAGTCCCAGCTACTCGGGAGGCTGAGGCAGGAGAATGGCGTAAACCCGGGAGGCGGAGCTTGCAGTGAGCAGAGATCGCGCCACTGCACTCCAGCCTGGGCGACAGAGCCAGACGCCGTCTCAAAAAAAAAAAAAAAATGTAAAAAGTAGTTTAGCCAATACCCAACCTAAATGGCCAAAAATGTAGAATACTGTATAGAAATGATTGGTAGATTATCTTACTGGGATGTTACACACGGTCATTTGAAAATAGTATTTGGGAAGATCATGTGACCACATAAGGAGATGCTCATGATACAAGGTTACGTGCAAAAAGAGAAACAGGACTTGGGATTGTATCTGTGCATTATGACTACAACAGTGTTTCCAAAGACTATGAGGAAGCAAAGCCAAACCACTAACAGGAATTGTCTTAGGGTAACATGGTTGGTTTTATACATTCCTCTATTTTCTAAATGTTGGAACTTACACAATTTTTATATTAAAAAATATTAAATGGGGCCACGCATGGTGGCTCATGTCTGTAATCCCAGCACATTGGGAGGCTGAGGTGGGCAGATCACCTGAGGTCAGAAGTTCAAGACCAGCCTGGCCAACATGGTGAAACCCCGTCTCTACTAAAAATGCAAACATTAGCTGGGCGTGGTGACAGGTGCCTGTAATCCCAGCTACTTGGGAGGCTGAGACAGGAGAATCGCTTGAACCTGGGAGGCAGAGGTTCCATTGAGCTGAGATCCAGCCACTGCACTCCAGTCTGGGCAACAGAACAAGACTCTGTCTCTCTATACATATGTATATATATATTAAATGGACCAGCCTGGGCAACATGGCGAAACCTCGTCTCTACAAAAAAAAAATTTTAGCCCGGCATGGTGGCGTGCACCTGTAGTCTCAGCTTCTTGGGCACTGAGGTGGGAGGATCGCTTGAGCCTGGGAGGTGGAGACTGCAGTGAGCTGTGTTCCCGCCACTGCACTCCAGCCTGGGTGACAAAGTGAGACCCTGTCTCAAAATAAATAAATAAATAAAATGAACTCAGACAAGCAATTAGCTTACATCCCTGGAAGGATTTATACCAAATACAAGGATCTATTTGGCTCCCTACTGCCTACAGGACAAAAGGAAACTTCTCAGCCTGACCCTCAAAGCCTTTCCTAACGTGGCATCTGCCTCTCTTTCTAGCCTGATCTTTCACCCATGTCCTGTTCGAAGCACATGAACACCTTTTCCTGTCTCTGCGCATGTTCTTGTATCAGCCTGAAAAGCCTTTACTGTATGCAAGGTAAAACACTGTTAGTTGTGTTAGAGACTGCTGACTATCCCCCAAAATCCGTTTCCTTAGCAACAGAACATAATTTTCAACTGAGCACTGTAGCCAATAATAAAGGTTATTTTTCCCAATCTTCTTTTCAGCTGAATGTAGTCATGTGGCTAAGTCCTGGGTAATGGGGTGTAAGCAACCTCCAGGCAATCCCAGGAATGTCTTTAATGGGAAGAAGTACTCTCTTCTTTGTCCTTTCTCTTTTTTGGAGACAGAGTCTTGCTCTGTTGCACAGGCTGGAGTGCAGTAGCATGATCTCAGCTCACTGCAACCTCCGCCACCTGGGTTCAAGCAATTGTCATGCCTCAGCCTCCATAGTAGTTGGGACTACCGGTGTGTGCCACCATGCTCGGCTAATTTTTGTATTTTTTAGTAGAGACGGGGTTTCACCATGTTGGCCAGGCTGGTCTTGAACTCCTGACCTCAGGTGATCTGCCTGCCTTAGCCTCCCAAAGTGCTGGGACTAACAGGCGTGAGCCACCGCACCCGGACTTCTTTGTCCTTTCCTTCTTAAGTGCTTACTTAAGTTTGAGCAGCCACCTTGAACTGTGAAATGAAAGCCGCGAGTTGAGCTCGGAGGAACAAGAGAGAAGAAAGCCAAGTCCCTGAAGATGACATTGCTGCCATACCAGCCTTGGAGCACCTACCTCTCAGTTTCATTTGCACAGTAGGGAAAAACCAACTTCTATCTTGCACAGCCCACCATTGCTTGGGGGTTTTCTGTCACATACAATTTAATCTAATCCTAATTGATATGTTAATCTACAAGATGAGCTAGTATCGAAAATGTTTTGAGAAGAAGGGATGACAACAGTAGCACTGAATTGCTATCCGGAAGAAACGAACAGAAAGTTGGGGAAGTTTCAAGCTTGCTTGAAAAAGAAAACAGAGACAAGAAGAGACAGTGGGTTAGCAATATGGTGACAGGCTAGAGCCACCAATGACTATTTTAGGGGAGAGAACAAGGGCAAAGATTTGGCCAATGTATATATATTTTTTTCTTTTTTGAGACAGACTCTCGCTCTGTCACCCAGGCTGGAGTGCAATGGCGAGGTCTCAGATTACTGCAACCTCTGCCTCCCAGGTTCAAGCAATTCTCCTGTCTCAGCCTCCCGAGTAGCTGGGACTACAGGCACATGCCACCATGCCCGGCTAATTTTTGTATTTTTAGTAGAGATGAGGTTTCACCATCTTGGTCAGGCTGGTCTCGGACTCCCGACCTCATGATCCACCCGCCTCAGCCTCCCAAAGTGCTGGGATTACAGGTGTGAGCCACCGTGCCTGGCCTACAGTTTTTCTTTATACCAGGATAAGGTCATGGTAGACATATTGTTTTACAACTTATTTTTGTTTTGTTTTCACCAATCAATATAGCAAGGACAAGAAGTCTGGAAAATAGATTAACCTCACCCTTTAATAGCAACATAATAGTCCATTGTATGGAAGTACCATAATTAATTTAACTAGCCCATCTTGATGTATTTCACTTTTTTGCTATTACCAACAGTGCTATACTTGTACAAAATGATGTAACACGTTTTGTAATTGTGAACTGAATTGATTGTACATGAATGAATTGTGCATGAGTAATTAAGTATTCCTGTGGAATAATGACAGGAAGTGACTTTGCAGGTTTCAGAGTAGATTTTTTTTTTATTGTAGTAGATATTGCCAAATCCACTCCAGGGAAGTCCACCAGTGATGTATGAGAGTGACTAACTATCTGCCTGCATTATCACAACACCAGATGTTAGAAATCTTTTTAGATTTTATCAGAAATTTTTTTAGTTTTCTAGTTGAAAAGTGGTGTCTTGCTGATTAATTATTATTGAGATTCAACATCTTTTCACATATTTACTGGTCATTTGTATTTCTCCTCTAAAATGGCATATTTATATCTTGTGCCCATTTTTTTCTATTGAATATTGTTATATCAGTTTAGAAAAGTTGTTTGTATATGAAAGATATCAATAATCTGTTTATATGTTACAGACATTATCTCTCAGTCATTTGTCTTTATTTTATTTATGGTGTCTTTTGCCATGCCCAAGTTTTTAAGTTTAGCAATTGCTTAGAAAGATTTTACCACTCTAGGCCAGGCGCGGTGGCTCATGCCTGTAATCCCAGCAGTTTGGGAGGCCGAGGTGGGCGGATCACCTGAGGTCAGGAGTTCAAGACCAGCCTGACCAACATGGAGAAACCCTGTCTCTACTAAAAATACAAAAGTAGCCGGGCGTGGTGGCGCATGCCTGTAATTCCAGCTACTCGGGAGGCAGAGGCAGGAGAATGGCTTGAACCCAGGAGGTGGAGGTTGTCGTGAGCCAAGATCACTCCACTGCACTCCAGCCTGGGCAACAAGAGTGAAACTCCGTCTCAAAAAAAAAAAAAAAAAAAAAAGAAAGGCTTTACCACTCTAAAATGTAAACAATATTTTCCTATAATTCATGATTTATCATTCTTTCAAAATTACATTGCAATAATATAATGGTTAAGAGCACAGTCTCTGGCACCAACCTGCCCAAGTTTAAATCTTGATTATGCTGTGTAACCTCAGGAAAATTATTTAATTTCCATGTGCCTCAGTTTCCTCAACTGTTAAATGGGGATAATAATAGCCTCTACACCTCTTATGGCTGTTGTGAGGATTAAATGAATTAGTACATACCAACTGCTTAGCACCCTCTTGCAACACAGAAGATTTCAATAAACATTAGCTACTATTAGTTTTGCTGTGACTCAATGGTAGTTTTCCAAAATGTTTTTCGTTTGTTTGTTTGTTTGTTTGTTGAGATGGAGTCTCACTCTGTCGCCCAGGCTGGAGTGCAGTGGCTCGATCTTGGCTCACTGCAAGCTCTGCCTCCCGGGTTCATGCCATTCTCCTGCCTCAGCCTCCCAAGTAGCTGGGACTACAGGCGTCAGCCACCACACCCAGCTAAATTTTTTTGTACTTTTAGTAGAGTCAGGGTTTCACCATGTTAGCCAGGATGGTCTCGATCTCCTGACCTTGTGATCTGCCCGCCTCGGCCTCCCAAACTGCTGGGATTACAGGCATGAGCTGCTGCGCCCAGCCTCCAAAACGTTTTAATATCTACTAGGACCCATAAATAAATGCTCCACAAATACATCCATTCCTTATAATGGTCTTATGCTTTCTGCCACCTGCTGCTATCAATAAAAATGAAAAATCGGCAACCACAAAGACAGAAAATGAGAAGGGCAGTGTCACACTGCAAATCAAATAGAAGTACCAGCTGCAAAAACTCAGCCAGGTTTAAGCAAATACAAGAACTTGAGGCAGGGAGTTTCAACTGTGAGTCTTGCCCTGACAGAGCTCTCCGACAGCAGCTGCACTAAGCATGTCTTATCCCATGGAAGGCAAATGTGTGCTCATATTGAAAGGAAGTTCGTTCCCTACACATTTCGCATGTCTCAAGGAAACTGTGCAGACGGAGTCTGTTCAAACCTTTCCAAAACTTTGTTTTGTCCTGGGCAACTTATTTCGTTATCTAGAGAGCTGGATATTGTCCTTGTTAAGCATGGTAGCTGGAAGACCAAGAGTGGTGATTGTTTTTTACAATGATAAAGTATGCCCACGTTAATAATCATTGAAATCTACCAGAAAGGTACATGCTGCCCAAGTACCACTAGTTACAATTCTTCAATCTCTTTCATATCTGTGAGTACCTTTCTTGTGCCTAAAGATGAAGGTTTTTCTTTTCTTTTTTTTTTTGTTTTGGTGGCGGGGCGGGGGAGTAGTCTTGCCGGAGGTTTTCCTACAACATTTATATATCTTAAAGGAACAACTTTTGATTTTACTTGCTAACTCTTGCTTTATCATTATTTTCCAATTTATTCATTTCTGATTCTATCCCATTTGTGTTGACACTGACAGTTGAGAGAAAGGTAAAGATTGTTTTTAGATTGTACACATTTCTGAGCAAAGAATTCATCCTCCTGTTTTGTTTTGTTTTGTTGGGTTCTTTGTTTGTTTGTTTGTTGGACCCAGTCTCGCTCTGTCACCCAGGCTGGAGTGCAGTGGCATGATCTCGGCTCACTGCAACCTCCGCCTCCTGGGTTCAAGCGATTCTCCTGCCTCAGCCTCCTGAGTAGCTAGGATTACAGGCACCTTACTTTCTACTTACTGTTTTTTTGTTTTTGTTTTTTTCTGGTTGCTTAAGTTAAATGCCTCATCTTTCTGTTTTCTGTTGCTCTCATTTCATAACAAAAGCATTTATTTGAGACTATTTTATTCAAAGGACAGAGTGAACCCATGCAGGCACCTGGGCTATGTAAGATTTGTGAAAATAAAGTTGCTGTCCCCTAAAGAGCCCTGCATGTGAGATGACTGCAGAGAAGATGGAAGAACATTAGAGCTGGGAGCAGCCGTAAAGAGAGCCAAAGCCTTACACTCTACAAATGAGGGATCTGACACTAGAAAATGAGAGCATTTGATACTGAAAATCAGATATCCTCACACGGAGTCTGTGCTCTAGTTGAGGTAGAAGTCTTTATTTTTTTTCTTCTTATTTATTTTATTTTTTGAGACAGAGTCTTGCTCTGTCACCCAGGCTGGAGTACAGTGGCTTGATCTCAGCTCACTGCAATCTCTGCCTCCGGGGTTTAAGCAATTCTCCTGCCTCAGCCTCCAGAGTAGCTGGGATTACAGGCACCTGCCACCATGCGCAGCTAATTTTTGTATTTTTAGTAGAAACGGGGTTTCACCATGTTGGCCAAGCTAATCTCGAACTCCTGACCTCAGGTGATCCACCTGCTTCGGCCTCCCAAAGTGCTGGTATTACAGGCGTGAACCACCGTGCCGGGCCCAGGAAGAAGTATTTAAAAAGCAAAACAACTACAAATTCCCTTTCCCTCCCTTCCTTCCCTCTGCATGGTACCAGATCACCTGTTATCTCCCAAAGAACCTAGTTATCTGTTTCCTTTCATAATCAATAGAAACATGAAATACTGTGTGAATTCTGTGTTCAGAGTTGAGCTTTAGCTAGGCACGACCCCCTCCAGGTTGGTCATTGGAGGAAAGTTCTGGAAGACAGAGAAGCAGGCTAGCTTTCCACTGCTGTCTGCTGCAAAAATACTCTTGGTTGATGTTGCAGGACTCTTCCTTAATTCCGCCAAAGAGGGGGTTCTTATCCGTCCCACAGCCACGAAAATGTAGGCTTGCAGACGGTTTAAAGGATGAGAAAAGGATTTTATTGGGTGAAAAGGGAAAAAAGCGGGGGAAAACAGGGATCCCCCGAAAGGCCAGAGTCTCCTGCTAGAGCGCTTCCCGCACGCAGTTTGAATCCCAGGTTCTACCCAGGAAGAGGAGGGGCCAGGTTCCTCCCTGCTGCAAACAGCATGAACTTCCCGAGGCTCCACCTCAGTGGGCAGGTTGGGTGGAGTTTCTTCAGGGACCCTCTCCCACATGGCTGTCTCAGGGACATCTGCTTTGACTGTGAATTCTAGCACAGGGAGCTTGAATAATTAACTCAGTGAGAAAAGAGTATCACAATTATTCAGGCATTTGTTACGGTTACTGTTCTCGTGTTTTCTCCCAGTCGCCACAGAGTGACTTCAGTGCCTTAATCCTACATTTCTTAACTGGAGTTGGGGGAGAGGGAGGCATGCTTATCAGAATCACCTCGGGAGTACTTTTGTCAAAACTATACACTCTCCACTCCTTGTATGATGAACAATGATCTAATCAAAGAAAGGGAGATATAAGGGACAAAAATTAATCTAAGAATCTACTTTTGGAAACAAAAATAAGGATAGATGTTCATATTCTTAGTGAAGATTTTGATCAGCATGAATGTCCAACAACAGGAAAATAAATTATGTTATTATTATATGTTTGTAACTATTTCTTTTTAGAACCTCAGAAAAGATGGTTTAACTTTTTTATCTTGCAAAATCATTGCAAGATGAAAAATCATTTTTCATCATTGCAAAGATACATATTTATAAAATATGATCACAACTATTTAAATGTTTATATACACAGCAGAGAGGCTGGATAGGAAAATCATCAAAATTTGTTTTTTTTCTTTCTCTTTTTTTTTTTTTTTTTGAGACGGAGTCTCGCTCTGTCGCCCAGGCTGGATTGCAGTGGCCCGATCTCAACTCACTGCAATCTCTGCCTCCCGGGTTCACGCCATTCTCCTGGCTCAGCCTCCCAAGTAGCTGGGACTACAGGCGCCCGCCACCGCGCCCGGCTAATTTTTTGTATTCTTAGTAGAGACGGGGTTTCACCGTGTTAGCCAAGATGGTCTCGATCTCCTGACCTCGTGATCCACCCACCTCGGCCTCCCAAAGTGCTGGGAATACAGGCCTTTTTTTTTTTTTTTTTTTTCTTGAGACGAGTCTCTGTTGCTCAGGCTGGAGTGCAGGGGCGCAATCTCGGCTCACTGCAACCTCCGTTACCTGAGTTTGAGAGCGATTTTCCTGCCTCAGCCTCCCGAGTGGCTGGGACCACAGGCGCCCGCCACCACGCCCTGCTACTTTTTGTATTTTTTGGTAGAAACAGGGCTTTGCCTTGTTGCCCAGGCTGGTCTCAGAAGAGCCGCCCACCTCGGCCTCCCGAAGTGCTGGGATTACAGGCATGAGCCTCAGTGACCCGCCAGTTGTTTTTCTTTTGAATACAATACATTATTATTACCTACAGTTCTCATGTTTTGCATCAGATCTCCAGACTGGTTCATCCCAGGTGTCTGCTACTTTGTATCCCCCCATCCTCTATCTCCCTACTTCCTACCTCCCACCCTGCCCCAGGTAATCACTATTTTATTGTCTTTGTATATTTGGCTTTTTTTTTTTTTTTTCTATATTTCACATATATACCAGGCTTGGTGGCTCATGCCTATAATCCTAGCACTTTGGGAAGCTGACGCACATATGGCCAGGAGTTCCAAACCTGCCTGGGTAACATGGGTAACACACCGAGACCCTGTCTTTACCATAAAAAAAACAAACTTAGCCAGGCACAGTGGCATGCACCTATAGTCCCAGCTACTAGGGAGGCTGAGGCAGGAGGATTGCTTGAGGCCAGGAATTCTAGGCTGCAGTGAGTTCTCATTGTGCCACTGCACTCCAGTTTGGGCAACAGAATGAGACTGTCTTTGAAAAAACAAAACAAAACAAAATTTTACATGCAAGTGAGACCAAGCAGTACTTTTCTTTCTGTGACTGGCTTATTTTACTTAACATAATGTCCTTCAGGTTCCCACGTGGCAGCAAATGGCAGGATCTCCTTTTTTTTTTTTTTAGGCTGAATAATATCCCAGAGTCTATCTATAGCACAGTTTTTCTTTTTTTCCTCCCAAACTGCTGTGAACACTAAGCACAGTTTTGTTTGTTTTGTGACAGCATCTCACTCTGTCGCCCAGACTGGAGTGCAGTGGCGCGATCTCGGCTCACTGCAACCCCTGCCTCCCAGGCTCAAGCGATTCTCTTGCCCCAGCCTCCCGAGTAACTGGGATGACAGGTGCGCACCACTACACCGCCTAATTTTTGCATTTTTAGTAGAGACAGGGTTTCACCATGTTGGCCAGGCTGGTCTCAAACTCCTGACCTCAAATGATCCACCCACCTCAGCCTCCCAAAGTACTGGGATTACAGGCGTGAGCCACCGCACCTGGCCAGCAGTTTTTTTAATCCATTCTTCAACACACACTTAGGTTGTTTCCACATCCTGGCTACTGTAAGTAATGCTGCAATGAACATGGAGTCCAGATATCTTCATGAGGTGGTAATTTCATTTTCTTTGGGTATATGCCTAGAAGAGGGATTGCTGGCTCATCTAGTAATTCTATTTTTAATTTCTTTAAATGATCACGGCTCACTGCAGCCTCCATCTCCTAGGCTCAAGTGATTCTCCTGCCTCAGCCTCCCAAGCAGCTGGGACTACAGGCATGCACTACCACATCGGGTTAATTTTTTTATTTTTTGTAGAGACAGTGTCTTGCTATTTTGCCCAGGCTGGTCTCGAACTCCTAGACTCAAGCAATCCTCCCGCCTCAGCCTCCCAAAGTGCTGGAATTAGGCATGAGCCACTGTACCCAGCCTCTCGTCTTTTTGACAATAGCTATCCAGTTGTTTGTTTTCAATGAGATTAATAAAGACTTCAAATTTCTTCTGCTTTATACCTTTTTTTGTAGTTTTAGTGTTTTTTTCTCACAAGCATTATTACTTTTATAATTAGAAATAAGCCCAGAAAAGTTTATGAGTAAAACTTCAAATCCGTACTTTCTATTTCTTGCCATCAGTTCAGGAAAAAGAAAAAAAGAAATGAGAAAAGAAAAGGGAGGTAAAAGGAGAGGACAGGGGAGCAGAGAGAGGAAAGAGAAAGTGATAACGCAGAGAAAAGGAAATACTGGTTTGCCAATAGAGGTGATATGCAAAATATTTAACAAGAGTTCGGCCCAGGCTCTCTGCAGTGAGAACACAGTTTGACTTTGACTGTGACTAACTGGTCCACTTGCACTGGTGTATATCCACTGACTGTCAGCCTGTTTTCAGGCTCACTTTACAAGGAAGGGTGTGTTTGGGAATACACTGTTAACCTTGCACAGAGCGTATTTCCCTTCACCTCCATCTGATGTTCATCATCATGAGCCTTACTTGGCTGCCCCAGTCAAAATGAACTTCTTCCTCTGTTCCCTCATACCTCTCACGTAGTGTGTACTACAAATGCTGCCTCCTAGTATAGCAATGAGTATCCTATTTTCTTTCCTGCTATTGTGTAAATCCTTGAGGACAGGGGTTGTATTCCCACAGCATCTAACTTGCCAGGGATCACATTCTCATCTTCATCCAACTACATTCAAGCAAAAACTATTTGTGATCATGGGGTGCTTTCCAGGGAGTTCCTGCATTTAGGGTAATCAGCTACCTTTTGCAATTTTGGGTGGCCAATTTGTCCATACCCAGGATCTGAGCAATTTGCTGAGGTGGGAGAACAGAGGTTTCCTAAACTAGCCCCTCTAAGGGGACAAGGGGTTCAAGGGGAAGTTGGCCTGATGCGCAAGAGATGTCCTCTACTGATGGTGATAGTAGAGTTAGATGACCACAAAGATCCTTTTTTATTCTGGGCTGGGGGTAGAGGGATGGGGACAATGGCAGGGGAAGTTAGGGGAGCAAACTGTCAACAGCAAGGCGGTGTCAACTGGACATAATTTCAAAGATACTTACAGGGAATACTGGGTGGTGCTTTTGCAAAAAAAAAGCAAAAAAGTTCGTAGATTCAATGTAACCATTCCTTTGTTTATTTAACAAACAGTAATATTACTTTAGCCAGGCATGTGCTGAAGATTTGGAGATTTTAAGATATTATAAAACACATTGTTGGGAAGATTGCAGTGAAATGGTCATTCACAGATTCAAACACACTGCTGAGTTGAACTGATCCAACCTCACTGTATTAGTTTGCTAGGGCTACAGTAGCAAAGTGCCACAGAATGGGTGGCTTCAGAGAAATTTATCATCTCATAGTTCTGGAGGCTAAATTCCAAAATCGAAGTGTCAGCAGGGCTAGTGCCTTCTGAGGGCTGCAAGGGAGGCAGCTGTTCCAGGCCTCTCTCCTTGCCTGTGTGGTGTCTTCTTCCTGTGTCTCTTCACATCATCTTCCCTCTGTGGCTATCTCTGTGTCCAAATTCCTCCTTTTTATAAGGACACCAGTCACATTGGATTAGGGTCCACCCAAATTACCCCCATTTTAACTTGTGTGGTGGTTAATATTGAGTGTCAACTTGACTGGATTGAAGGATGCAAAGTGTTGTTCCTGGGGGTGTCTGTGAGGATGTTGCCAAAGGAAATTAAAATTTGAGTCAGTGCACTGGGAAAGGCAGACTCACCCTCAATCTGGGTAGGCACAATCTAATCAGCTGCCAATCTAATCTGCCTGCCAGAATAAATGCAGGCAGAAGAACATGAAAAGACTAGATTGTTGGCAGGGTGTGATGGCTCACACCAGTAAATTCCAGCATTTTGGGAGGCCGAGGTGGGCAGATCACTTGAGGTCAGGAGTTCAAGACCGAGACTAGTCTGGCCAACATGATGAAACCCCATCTCTACTAAAAATACAAAAAATTAGCCAGGTGTGGTGGCGCATGCCTATAATCCCAGCTACTGAGGAGGCTGAGGCACAAGAATCACTTGAACCCAGGAGGTGGAGGTTGCAGTGAGCTGAGATCGCGCCTACTGCACTCCAGCCTGAGCGACAGAGTGAGACTCCATCTCAGAAAAAGACTAGACTGGCTTAGTCTCCCGGCCTCCATCTTTCTCCTGTGCTGGATGCTTCCTGCCCTCGAACATCAGACTCCACATCCATCAGCTCTGGGACTCTTGGAACTTTGACTACAGACAGAAGGCTGCACTGTCAGCTTCCCCACTTTTGAGGTTTTGGAACTCGACTGGCTTCCTTGTTCCTCAGCCTGCAGATGGCCTACTGTGGGGTCTCACCTTGTGATCATATGAGTCAATACTCCTTATAAACTCCCCTTTATGTAGATATCTATCCTATTAGTTCTGTCCTTCTAGAGAACCCTGACTAATCCAACTAGATTACTTCTGTAAAGAATACCTCCAATTAAGATCACATTCAGGAGTACTGGGGGTTAGGACTTCAACATATGAATTTTGGGGGAACATAATTCAAGCCATAACACCCAGCCACATCACAGGGGATGATCCAAAGCTGAACCTAAGTGTCATCAGACAACACTGAAATGCTTCTCTGGCCATGTTGCACGGGAATCACCACACAGCATTACCCTGGGAAGCAAAGGTAGCACCAACACCAGGCTCAACAGCAATAAGTAGAAAACAAGATGGCACTCTCTTTCTGCCAGTGGTATTGGCAGCCTTCTCCTAGAGCTCGTCTCCTGGTTTCCTGGCTAGTTTTTGGCAGAAGGGATGGACAAACGATGAAAGTGACAGCATGCCCTGGCACTTCACGTTGGAAGAACTTGCGAAGGGCAGAAGATAGACTGAGAAAAGTGGAAGCCCAGTCCTTTAAATATGCAACCTAGCAAGATAGGCTAAATATACCTAAATGCCTTGACCAAACTCCAATATAACTGATACAATCATTAAACTGGGCATCCCTAAATAAAATATACACCAATCTGCTTTTGCTGAAATATTAAAACTGTATTCTCAAACAAGTTGCCAAGAAAGTAAATAAATCTCTCAATCATAAACATGTAAAAGCCTTTTCCATATCACTTATCTCCTAGTTTCAATCCCTTTCCAACATATCAAAGAGGAACCAAAATAGAAAATACATCATTGAGCAAAATGAGGATATGTGAAATACAATTGCACTGTCTTAAATGGCCCATGACATATTAACTCAATCATTTAAGTTAATGCATAACCTGATAGAGCTATTGAACAGGAAATGATCTCATTTGGTAACATCTGGCCAAAAAGATACAGCTGAAAAAAGGTAGTCAACAATTTCCAATTAGAACACAAAAATGGATGAGGTCCACTGAGCTCCTGCATGTGCTTTTTCTTTTGGGGGACAGGGTCTCACTTGGTCACCCAGGATGGAGTTCAGTGGCACCACTCAGCTCACTGCAGCCTCAACCTCCCAGATTCAAGCTATCCTCCTGTCTCAGCACCCCACAAGTAGAGTGGGACTGTGGTGGCGCATGGGACTAAAGGCACGCACCACCACACCCGGCTAATTTTTGTATTTTTTGTAGAGACAGGGTATCGTCATGTTGCCGAGGCTGGTCTTCAACTCCTAAACTCAAGTGATCTGCCTGCGTCAGTCTCCCAAAGTGCTGGGATCACAGGCGTGAGCCACCACACCCGGCCATCCTGCATGTGCTCTTATTAGACAACTACCTAATTCATTTTCTTTTTTATTTGTAATCTTTAAATATATTACCACAATGGACTCTTAAGTTGGGATGACCAGTGTACATAGTAAGTAGGCCCCCTAAAAAAACTGAATGATTAAGGGTATATATCTTGAAATTTATGTTTTTATTTCCATGAAAATTATAGACACAATTATTGAGTTAAATGTATATTTTAATTTTTAAAAGCTTTTTACCCTCAAATTCATAAGACGTTTCTCTTTTTTCAGAGATTTTTTTATCTTTTCTAAATTTCATTAATATGAGTCTTTTCTTAATTTCCTCCTCTATTTTCTTTTATGGTTATTTTACTTTTTTTTTTTTTTTTTGAGATTGAGTCTTGCTCTGTCACCCAGGCTGGAGTGCAATGGTGCAATCTCAGTTCACTGAAACCTCTGCCTCCCAGGTTCAAGCAATTCTCTGCCTCAGCCTCCCGAGTAGCTCAGATTACAGACGCCTGCCACCACGCCCAGCTAATTTTTGTATTTTTAACAGAGATGGGGTTTCACCATGTTGGTCACGCTGGTCTCGAACACCTGACCTCAGGTGATCCACCCACCTCGGCCTCCCAAAGTGCTGGGATTACAAGCGAGAGCCACCACACCCAGCTTCCTTTTTTTTGTTTTTTTTTTTAAAGATGAGCACTGAATTTCCAATCTTTATGTACTTTACATACAGCTCTTGCTGGCTTTTGTAGGTTTGGTTATGTCGAGTTTCCCTTTTTTTCTTTACAAAGTTTATCATTTCAGTTCAGTTTCTAATTTGATCCAATGATTATTTAGGAGGGCAGTCTCAAATTTCAAATAATTATTTTTAAATCTTTTATATATTTCTAATTTCATTAATTTACTTCTAATTTCATCAAATAATGTGAAATTTAAAAATCTCTATTTTTAAGGTTTTTTTTTTTTTTGAGACAGTCTTGCTCTGTTTTGCTGGCTGGCGTGCAGTGGAGCGATCTCAGCTCACTGCAACCTCCACCCGCTGGGTTCAAGCAATTCTCGTGCCTCAGACACCCAAGTAGCTGGGATTATAGGTGTGTGCCACCATGCCAGGCTTTTTTGGTATTTTTAGTAAAGGCGGGGTTTCTCTACGTTGGCCAGGCTAGTTTCAAACTCCTGACCTCAGATGATCCCCCCGCCTTGGCCTCCCAAAGTGCTGGGATTACAGGCGAGAACCACCACGCCCGGCCCTTTTTTATTTTTGTGGCCAAGTTTATGATAAATTTTTGTAACTAGTTAGTAGCCATTTAGAAATATATATATTTGGCCAGGCGCAGTGGCTCAAGCCTGTAATCCCAGCACTTTGGGAGGCAGAGGTGGGCGGATCACCTGAAGTCAGGAGTTCAAGACCAACTTGGCCAACATGGTGAAACCTCGTCTCTACTAAAAATACAAAAAATTAGCCGGGTGTGGTGGCGCGCACTTGTAATTCCAGCTACTCGGGAGACTGAGGCAGGAGATCACTTGAACCCAGGGAGGTGGAGGTTGCAGTAAGCCAAGACTGCACCATTGCACTCCAGCTTGGGCAACAAGAGCAAAACTCCATCTCAAAAAAAAAAGAAGAAAAAAGAAATATACATATTTATTCTCTGAAGAATGTATAATTCTATATATATTTATTAAAGCAAGTAGGTCAATTGATTTCTGTGGTCT
Organism: Homo sapiens; assembly: GCF_000001405.40. Taxonomy (NCBI): domain Eukaryota; kingdom Metazoa; phylum Chordata; class Mammalia; order Primates; family Hominidae; genus Homo; species Homo sapiens. The sequence continues at coordinate 40,168,637 of NC_000004.12, read as the reverse complement.
CCTATTTTTTGTCTACTAGATCTGTCTAGTTCTGAAAAAGGTGTAAAATCCATAAATTTCATTTTTATGATGTTATCCTTATATTTATAACAATCTTCTGATTTATATCTTTATGATATTGTTTGGTGCTTATCTTCAAATATTGTCTTTTATAGGCACTGTTCTTCTCCCTGTTTAGTTCATTAATAGCTTGTCCCACCTTTTCTGATATTAATATTGCCTCTCCTAATTTTTAATCTCTTTATATATCTGTAGTATTGCTTTTCCAATTGCTTTAAATACTTCTTTATCACTCTAAGTGTGTTTCTTGTAAACAACATATTCACTGGGTTTGTTTTTAATCCATTCTGATAGTCTCTGTCTGTTGATAGGAAAATTGGGCTCATTTACATTTAATATAATCACTGATATTCTTCATTTTATTCCTTCTCTCTTGCTTATATTTACTATTAAACTTACCTCATTAATTTTCTTTTTTCCTTTTCTTTATATATACTGGTATGATCAAGTTACAATTTATTCCTTTGTTTCCTCTTATAATTTCAAAATGACACTATGCTTTCCCACTCCACTAGTGGTTATGTTTTTTTAATACACATCATCAAACACATATTTTATTACTATTATGTAAGAATATACTATTTCCCCACCAAGTTACTCTATTCCTTGATGCTTTCCCTCCACCCAATAAGATAAAACTTTTAGAATGTTTTTACTTCTTCCTCCCTTTCCTCCAATACCACCTCTTAGGTTTTGCTGAGAAAAATTGTAACTTTTACTCCCAGGCTCTAGTTAGATGAGTCTCATTTATCTTAAGAGTCTTTATTTAACACGTATAGTACACATTTTCAGTCATTTCATCATCATCCAAGTACATTAAGATACATACCCATGTATATTACAAGGCTTATTGTTCACTCATCATCTTCCCTTTCTACTTTACCTTCTCATTTCTTGAAGTCTCTATTCTCATTAATTTGTTATTTAGTTACAGTCCTCTTTTCAGTTTCTTCAGATGGGGATATGCAGATGATAGATTCTTGGAATCCTTTCTGCATCCCTTTCACTCTGGCAGGTGAATGATGCTTGGCTGGAAAGAGACTTCTTGGTTACTTTCCTTTTCTCTTAACAGGTATAGATATGATTCCACTGTCTGATACCAGTCCAATTCTTTTCCCATTGCAAATAACTTCTTTCTGTCTGGAATCTTATATATTTTTCTCTTTAACTTTGAGATTCAGGAATTCTGTCAGAGTATGTTTAGGTGTATGCCTTTTCTCATCAATCCTGCCTAGAATTTAGTGAACACTTTCAACCTGCAAATATAAGGCTTTATTCAGCTCAGGAAATTTACTTCTATTAAATCTGGCTTTTCTCTTGTATTTCACTCTGGAACTCCCATTATATACAAATTAGATCTCTTGGATCTGTCCTCCCTTCTTCCAGCAGTTGTATCAATTTAAGAGTTTAAAAAGGCAGAGTAATGCTTTTCCTGATAATATCAGATCACCACAAACACCAGGTCAATTATCTGATTATAACATTTGGTACTAGAAGGCAGCCTAAAGAGAAACATATTAAAATACATATAATGTGTACACTGAATAATTCACTCTAATATCAAGTATGACATTTTCACTATGTTTCAAAATGTAAAAGTGTAGTTAGAATGAATAAGATCTAGTATTTAATAGCATAAAAGGGTGACTACAGTCAACAATCATTTAGTGTACATTTTAAAATAAACAACTGAATTGTTTGTAACACAAAGGATAAATGCTTGAGGGGACGGATATCCCATTTACCCCGATGTGATTAATATGCATTGCATGCATGTATCAAAAATATCTCATGTACCCCATAAATGTATACACCTACAATGTACCCACAAAATTTTAAAATAAAAAGTGCATCTATTAATTATCTTTTTGTTTGTTTGTTTTTTTTTTAGATGGAGTTTCACTGTTGTTGCCCAGGCTGGAGTGCAATGGTGTGATCTCGGCTCACCACAAACTCCGTCTCCTGGGTTCAAGTGATTCTCCTGCCTCAACCTCCCAAGTAGCTGGGATTACTGGCATGCATCACTACGCCAAGCTAATTTTGTATTTTTAGTAGAGACAGGGTTTCTCCATGTTGGTCAGGCTGGTCTTGAACTCCCAACCTCAGGTGATCCACCCGCCTCAGCCTCCCAAAGTGCTGGGATTACAGACATAAGCCACCTCGCCCAGCCAATTATCTCTATTTTTTAATGACTTTCTAATAGTAATATATATAGTTTTAAAACAAAAACAGTTCAGACAATGAAGGCAAAATCTAATTCTCCTACCTCTGACCCCACAGGCCTATCCCGCCAGATAGCCTGCTGTTCAGTTTCTTACAGAATCCTTCAGAAATTCTTCATGTGAAACAGGGAAAAAACTTATTACTGTGGGGGTATTTGTAGCTTCCTTCCTCCTGCCTACTAACAAAGAAAAAGATTCCAATATTGGCATCCTGACCACTTCCCACTGGCTACACCCCCACCTTCCATTGTCTTATTGTGTAGATAAAACAAATGGGAGGGAGGTGTGTTCTATGAGAAGAACCAAGGAAGCTGAGATGAGAGATTTATATGCAAAAGGCCCAGAACTATTCACTAGGCAGAAGAAAACAGAAAGAAAATGGGAAGGGAGATAGATAAGGCCCAGCAGTGGTAGAGACATCAGGGAGGGTTTTGGTGAAAGGAGGAGAGGAAGAAATAGAGACAGAGGCTTTGGGGTATCTACGGAATATAAGAATGGAAGACAGAAAGAATATGAAGGGAAAACTAATTTCAACTTGTGCTATATAAAACACAAATGTTTCCTATAAGTTCTTTGAGGAATACTGACTTCTGAACATGACATCCTTTGAAACTGAGTCATAAGGGGCCCAGAATCTATTCTATTCACTCTATGTGTGGGTTTGCATTTATATATACATATACACACACACACGTACATAGAGATGTATAGTATATCAGTGGATCTATCTATACATATCCTTTTAAAAAACACACTAATGGATCATCCTGTGAGTACCCTTTTGCACCTTGCTTCTTTTTCTCTTAAAAGTAGAGACAGTGACTCACACCTGTAATCCCAGCACTTTGGGAGACCAAAGCAGGTGGATCACTTGAGGCCAGGAGTTCAAGACCAGCCTGGCCAACATGGCAAAACCCCATCTCTACTATAAATACAAAAATTCGCCAGACATGGTGCCGCACACCTGTAGTTCTAGCTACTCAGGAGACTGAGGCACGAGGATTGCTTGAGCCCGGGAAGCAGAGGTTGCACTGGCCTGTGATTGTGCCACTGTACTCCAGCCTGGGTGATAGAGCAAGTCAAAAAAAAAAGTACAGATTGATTTTTATCCTATTTCCAAAAAAAGATTTGAGCTAGCTTACAATAAAATCACAGGAATATGACCTAAAACTATTAACATGACTCTAAGGACAGGAACCAAGAAATATAAGAGACAACTATATTCAGATATTCTAGCTAATGATTCTATGAAGGTAACAAAATTAATAAGGTACTTTAAAAATAAATTCCTATGTAACCCACTGCCAAAAATTATTTTTGAAAAAAAATATAATTTTATCTAAGAAAGGACAGAACAATGAAAAGAAAAACGTAGCCCAGAGCTTAAGAAGACAGTGAGCTCTTCTTACTCTACAGCTCAGCAAAGAGATCACCAGAGTCTTCAGAGTCTCAGCAAAGAGATCAGCAGAGTTGCCTTTAATTGTTTAAATAAATAGGGAAACCACAATAATCTGAAATAATGGGCAATGTATAAGCCTATTTTGTTGGTTTTCATAAATTCAGATGGATTAAATAAATAGGCAAGAAGCAACTTCAAACAAAACAGTGAGGTCCCGCTGCAAAGAACTGTTTCAGAAAGACCTAGGAAACTCCATTTCTCATGACTCTCTCCTTTCAGCCCCTCCCAGTGACCCTATCTATCTCGTCTCTCCAGTCTTGACAAAGCAGCAGATTAAAACAGATTAATCCTTATAATTCTTTCTTCAACATGGGGCTGTGTTGAGTCAGATCCTATCCATGTGAAGAATGGAGACCACGCAAATAAAGAAAACATTTTTATTTCACCCAGACTTCCAGCAGACTGGCTTTCAATCTTCCTCTCTACTGCACTGCTTGTCACTTTTCTAGGTAATATGTACACAAAGTGGATGATCCAGAAATTTGGTATCAATTCTGTGACCTTCTCCACTCCGACTACCATCATCTCCATGCTCAGCCACAAATCAAACTCCCTTAGGAACAAATACCCACATCCTAATATTCTGAACTCTGAAGTTCTCAAGGTTCCTTCCTACAACCTCCTTCCACTTTCCCTCCCCCTCAAACTTTCTGAATCTGTTCTTTCCTCAACTATACCTTCACTGCTCACCTCCACTATTCCAGTCTATCAGCCCCCTCTGGATTCCACTTGACTCCTTACCAGCCTGTATCTCACAGTCAAGCTTTTCAACCTTACACATACAGCATCGTGAATTTTGTCTCCTTTCCTTCCCACACTGAACCCTTCCCATACCTATCCGCCAATCACTACCTCTGCTGAAACCAACTGATGTCTCTGTTTCTCCTCTCTGATTCCTGAGAATTGCTGGAGAAAAGTCACTTAACTGATAAAAGACCAGGTGCTTAGAACATAGACATCTCAGTCTGAAACCCGGCTCTGCTATTAATAGCCGGGAAAGATTTCGCAAATTCTATAATCTCTCTGAACATGTTTCCTAGTCTGTAAAAAGGGGTATATCAAATCATTAGGATGCTTCCAGGTGTAACACAAAACCCAAACAAAGGCAGCTTATTGTCTCTCATAACAAGGCCACTAAAGGTCAGTTCCAGGGTTAGTTAATTCAGGGGCTCAATGACATCATCAAGAACAGAGGGTTTTTCTTCTCTACACTCACCATCCTTAGCACATTGGCTTGGGCCTTAGGTTTGTCTCTTCATGGTTTCAACAAGGCAACTGCAATTCCAGACATCACATACAGACACAAAGTCTTGCTGAACAAGAATGCATTTCTTCCTATGTGTTTCTCTGTATTCGTGAGGAAAACCTTTCCCAGAACCAATCTAGCAGAATTCTTGTTGGTATGATCATATATCCATCCTCCAACTAATCACTGGCAAGGGGAAATGGCATTGCCATGATTGGCTTTTCCACCAATCAAAATTCACCTGCAGGAGCTACAGAGGGGTTGATCTTCCCTGAGCCCACTGCCACCAGATGCCTGAACAAAAAGAGCTGTAATAGAAAGAATAACTGTTGGGTAAGACAACAATGTCGGCCATGTGGGCAATAATACCTACCCCAGCGGGTGGTTATGATTATACTAGGTACATTTGCAAAGTACCCAGTGGTGCCTAGTTCATAGTAAACATAATGGCTTCCAAATACATACACAAATCCTTTGACATTGTATCCTTCAAAAGGTAGAGCTAATTCTCCTGTGCTTCAAAGTTAGCTGAATTTAATGGCTTGGTTCTAACAAACAATTTGGCAGATAACTGCAAAAAACTTCCAATACTAAGTCATAAAAGGTACTGCAGTTTCTGTTTTGCTCACTTGGATTACCTGTTCTGGAGAAACCAGCCACCATGTTGTAAGGACACTCAAGCAGCCTTTGGAGAGGCCCACATGGGGTCCTCTCCCCTTGGATTTTGAGAACTTCACACTTGAACTGAAAGATACCATCAGCTTCCCTGGCTCTGTGGCCTTCAGACTTGTACTTGGCCATGCTACTGGCTTCCCTAGTTCTCCTGCTTGCAGATGGCCTGGTGTGAACTTCTCAGCCTCCAAAATTACAGGAGCCAATTCTCCTGATAAATCCCCTATCTATCTCCTATTCATTCTGGAGAACCCTAATACATACACCAATAAGCTACATTAAATAATAATGTGTATTATTTGCCATTGAGTAAAACCAGTGCTCCTGAAATATATCCTAAGCTTATCCTGGACTTGGGGTACTCCCTGGCATACCTCTAAATATCCCAGTTGACATGCAATGCTTTTGTGACTAATATGTCAAGCCATTTTATTTCTATACCTGGTTGGACAAGTATCATCGGTGTAGCAAATATGAGCATTTGATACTCATCCTCCAGCTCTACTTCTTCTTCTTTTTTGAGACAGAGTCTCACTCTGTCACCCAGGCTGGAGTGCAGTGGCACTATCTTGGCTCACTGCAACCTCTACCTCCTGGTTTCAAGCATGTGCCACCACACCTGCTAATTTTTGTATTTTTAGTAGAGACAGGGTTTCACTATGTTGGCCAGGCTGGTTTTGAACTCCTGACCTCAAGTGATCTGCCTGCCTTCGCCCCCAGAAGTGTTGGGATTACAGGCATAAGCCACCACACCCAGCCCCAGCTCTACTTCTAATGAGCCTTTCCGTAAAGTTTAAAAGAACATTTCCCAGATCTTTGATGAAGGTAAAATTCTATATATATTAGAATACAATAGTTTCTACCAATTAGATACACTCCAGTGAGATTTCGGAGGCATAAGTAAGGTGGAGGCCATCTATCCACTGGTACGGCTCATTCTGTTCAAAAGGCAAATGATGGAGACTATTTCTACAACACTTTTCTGGTGCCTAGTCACCAGCTTTGAGAATGGTTAAGAGACAGCTGTGGCAACAGTGCCATGGGGGCCTCCTGATTCCTCACCTTTAAATTACGGCAGACGTAGCAGCTACTATGCAGGTTAATTCTGCAGCATTCTGGAATTCATCCCCAGAGCCAGGTCTAGAATCCACTTCTCCAGCTCTTCCATCAACTTTTTAAAAATCCTTTTTTATAGAGCTTTGAATACATTCAAAAGTAGACATTCTAGTATAATAAACATCTATCTTTCCCATTTACCAACTTATGGGCAATCTTGTTTCCTAAGTACCCACAGCCACTTGCTCCATCTTATTTTGAATTGCTAACATCGTATCATTTTACGTACATATTTCAGCATGTATCTCTTTTTTAAAAATAGAGATCCTTTTAAAAATACAACCACATCATTCCTAAAAAACAATTGTTCTTTAATTATCAAGTCAATGTTCACAATGCCAACTGTCGTGTGATTGTCAAGTTTTTCTGCTGAACCAGTACCCAAAAAAGGTCCACAAATTGCAACTGGTATAAGCCTCTTTTGTTTCAATGGGTAAGTTCTCCCTCCACCTGTGTGGTTTTATTTTATCTTCAACTTATTTAAAGAAATTGTGTTGTCAGTTTCCCAGTCTATCCTGGTAATTGCATCCTGATGTCTCACATATTCCTGTGTCCTCTGTAATCCCTGTAAATTGGTTGTTGGATCTACAGCCTTGATCAGATCTAATTCTCCAAGATGAGGGTGCATTCTCTCTGAGAAAATTTGCATTTGCCTTTGTCAGGCAGCTAGTGGCGGCATTATCAGGCCAAGACCTCTACCAATTCAATTCTCGACTTCTCATTTTTTTGCCTACTCTAGGTGTTATGACTTCGGGCTGTTATTCTGTGAGGGCCAGTAGTGATTTTAACTTGTCAGGATTGATTGATTGAGTTTTTGGTCTCTTCTGCTCATGCCAAGACAATATTCCTTGCAGTCCTTCTGGGGGTGGGAAGGAGGGCGAAATTGTTTTATTCATCCCCATCCCCACTGAGGATAAAGCTCTGTGGGGTGTTAGGTTTATGGAGTGTCTTAGTCTTTAAGTCTGCTGTCCTTTGTCATCTGTCCCTCCACCCCAAAACTGAAAACTAAAACTTAACATGAGTCAGGAGCAGAGGCACCTTTTGCAAAAGTGCCTCTAATATTCTCACTTAGATTTCTGACCTAAGCCCCTTTATCAACTATGCAGTGTTTTTAGTGTGTGTTTAGTATTTTCATCTGGAATCTTTTGTTTCCCCAACTCTCCCAGTTAGGGAGTCAGTCTGAGTTTTCTAACTAAGAAATGCATGTGAAATAAAGATGTTCCTCAACTTACAATGGGGTCACTTATGTAATAAACTCACTGTAAGTTGAAAATATTTTAAGTGGAAAATGCATCCAATACCCCTAAGCTACTGAACATCATAGCTTAGCCTAGCCTACCTTAAATGTGCTTAGGAAAGTTAACGTTAGCGTGGCTGACTAGGAGCTGCAGCTCGCTCCACTGCCCAACATCACAGGCGAGTATTGCACCACATATCACTAGCCCATCACCAGCACAAGAAAAATCAACATTCATGCTTTGAAGGATGGTTTCTACTAAACGCATACGGCATTCACACCATCACAAAATCGAAAAATACGTCAAACCATCCTAAGTGGGAGACCATCTGTACATATATCCTATATTAAATAGGGCGGGCTAATGTAGCAATGCCAAAAACATGTTTTGACTAATGTACTTCCTGCCATTAGCACTTATTAAGCTAGTCCGTGTCATTTAGTTTTTTCCTACTTGAGGCTAGAACAGGATCATATACAGCAATCCTCCCCGAATAAAATTCCCTGGCCGGGTGTGATTGTTCACACCTGTAATCCCAGCACTTTGGGAGGCTGAGGCGGATGGATCACCTAAGATCAGGAATTCGAGACCAGCCTGGGCAACATGCTGAAACCCCATCTCTACTAAAAATACAAAAATGAGTCAGGCATGGTGGTGGGTGCCTGTAATCACAGCTACTTGGGAGACTGCACCACTGCACTCCAGCCTGGGTGACAGAGTGAGAATCCATCTCAAAAAAAAAACAACAACAACTGTGATTTCCTTTTTTTGATTCCTAACACTCAGAAGTCATCAATGCATCGAGAACTAATTTTCACATTATTTGCATATAATGATAAAAAATGATGTGGCAGAGACTGCTATTCATTCTCCTAATATCCATTCTCTTTCCTCCAAGAGAATACCAAATTTCAGCAGAACATGGCAGTCTGAAATAGAAAATTTCCCAGCCTCCCTCGCAGCTAGATATGACATGACTAGGTTCTGGTCAATAGGACGTAAGTAGAAGTGTCCTACGGCAGGTTCCAAAAACCATCTTTAAGACCACTTGGCACTTGCCTTTTGCTCCCTTTTTCTTTGTCTTTCCTCCAGCAGAATACAGATGTGACAGTTAGAGATGTAGCCACCCACCCTGGCCTAGGAAAATGAGGGCCATTATCTTGGGTATGGCAGAATGATGAACTTTCCTAGATTCCCAAAAGCGTCAAGTAAAGCAGTCCTGGAATTTTTATCCCTGGGATTTTATAGGAAGAAAGAAATAAACTTTTACCTTTTGCCATTAGTATTTTGGGTTTTTCCAAAGTACCAGCTTTCGTATAAAGGAAGAAGGCAGAATCATAAATGGTAGGTTTTCAAAGACATATACTGTGGAGCCACAACTCTCTGGAGAGAACAGTAGACTATTATCTCTTTATAAGTAACTATTCTCTCTTAGGACAAATGCAGCTGCTCCATATTAGGAGTCAGAGAATGTGGTTCAAGTTATACCTCTGACATTAAACAGCAAACCAGTTAACTTCTCTAAGTCTATGTGGCTTTATTCATTAAATTGGGATAGCACTACCTATGTAATAAAATTCTCTTGAGATTTAAAATATAACATATACGAGAGTATCCCATAGTATAAGTCACTATATACATAGGAGTTGATAAGAATAATTATAATTCTGGATAAAAGCTCTATCGCATTTACCCTGTAACCCCAGTAACGAGTGCTCTAAATATTTGTTAGATAAATGTTTTTAAGTCCTTGCAAAATGAGTGAATTCTGCTTTGGACTCGAATATAAAGTTCCAAGGTCATTAATATTATTTAAAGCATTACTTGAGTCTCTAAGAGATTCTTTTTTTTTTTGAGATGGTCTCACTCTGTTGCCCAGGCTGGAGCTCAGTGGCACAATCTCGCCTCATCGCAACCTCCACCTCCCAGGCTCAAGCAGTTCTCATGCCTGGGATTACAGGTGTATGCCACCATGCCTGGCTAATTTTTTGTAGAGACAGAGTTTCACCATGTTGGCCAGGCTGGTCTCAAACTCCTGACCTCAAGCAACCTGCCCGTCTCAGCCTCCTAAAGTGCTGGGATTACAAGCATAAGCCACCGCGTCTGGCCTCTAAGAGATATAATTCTTAATTTTGATATCAGTTAAAAGATACAGGGTGTGAGGAGAGAAACCATAGCCAATCCATTTATCTGGTTCAAAAGTAGACTCTTATTTGCTACAGAAAACGTAAACCAGAAGAAAAGTTTTGGTACAGAAATAAAATTTTCATGACACTTTCCCCCTGAAATTACAAAGTTAGACATGAAAATATTTTAAAATATTTAACCCACTAACTCTAATACATCAAATGAAGGATTTCCTCACACTGGACTGTGGCTAAAGTATTTTATTAAATTAAGTATGTAATTTGCAAATGGCTTCATAAGAAAATTTAAAAGCAAATTTATAAAACATTTTCAATTTAAAAAGTACAGAGTTAACAGCAAAATTACATTTTCTATACAGTACAAATAAAAACATTTTTCTGATATACTGTCTGAAAATTTTATAATATATTCTCCAACTGATAGCTGCAATATTGTATTTTAATGAGAAGCCTCACAGTTAACTCAATCATTTATTAATAATAAGTTCATCATTGGACCATAAAAGTCAATTGCTCAACTTTAAGGAAAATAATGAACTTTGTCATCATATAATATGAAGTTATAAACGGCTCTTCAGGATGTAGATGTGTTCTAGCCTTGTTTCTCTATTAAATTCTGTAAAGAAGCATTAAGTAATACTGTAAACTTGAATTACATTTTAAAAATAAGCACCATGAACATACATTCTACATAAACTTATTTTACCTTTTAAATGACACCTTTTGGCCACATAAACATTTAAATCTGTTTTCTTTACATGTAAATAAAAATTGAGCAATATTTAACTACTACACCGAAAAATTACCAAACTTCACCTCATTGCACAATGGAAAAGCACTTAGAAAAAGCACTTGGAAAAAACAGCACACGTTATTTTTGTCTTTTTTATACATTTCGTCATTTTCTTAAATTGAGAGCAGTTAAAACATTGTCAGAGCAATTTCCTGAGTTTCCAAAGTTTCCAATTTCCAGCTCAGAAATAACCGATCTCAATATTATACATGTCTACTTTCTAAGCATACAAAACACTTGAATTCAAAAAGAAAAGACCTAAATAAAGGATGGAAACCATCCAGAAGAGCAGTATAGCTTTTCTTCTCAAAATATACTACTCAAGAGGATTTAAAGTCAAAATTTCTGCTATATAATATGTCCTATATTTAAAGGCCATAAAGTTGCAAATAGTATGGAAATACTAACCAATTGAAGAAACTGCACATTAAAAATAATGTAGAGAAATATGAAGAGCCAATAAACGTAAAAAAAAAAACACTTCCATTTCTCACATTGGAATAAAGAGATGGACAGACTGAAAATACTGTTAAGTGTCTAATATCTCCCTGGTCCAACTGGACACCCTCTGGGGTTTCCACATTAGTCCTCTTTTTCCATCTGGGAGATAATGGTAAGAGACTACTGAATGAATATAATTATTACTGAAACCTTCCATACTACAGAAGTGCTGTACTTTTAAAATATTAAGTTTACAAAGAATCATTCTAATGAGTCATGTATTAGCACAAATATACAGGTTGAGTGAGTATCCCCTACTCAAAATGCTTAGGACCAGAAGTGTTTTGGATTGCTGGGGTTTGGGGGGATATTTTAGAACATGTGCATTATATTTACTTGTTGAGTATCGCTAACCTACAAATGTAAAATGCTCTGTGAGTATTTCCTTTGAGCATCATGTCTGTGCTCGAAAAATTTCAGATTTTGAAGCATTTCAGATTTTGAATTTTCTCATTAGGGATACTCAACCTACACCAATACATGAAAATTTTTATAATCTCCAAACTATCTTTGACATACAGGATTTAGAAATGGGTAATAGAGAAAACTTTTAAAATCCCCAAACTATCTTTACTGCGGGCATACAGGATTTAGAAATGGGCAAAAAAAAGAAAGGAGGGATTACAAACTTTTCTTTCAAAATTATGTGTTGCTTAAACTATGCTAGATAGTGGGGTGGGAGGCAATTTGGAATTAAGCAGCTTCATAAAAATACATATGATGCTCAAACTTTGCCTGTATATTTATCAACAATGATTAAGATATACTATTTGATTTATCAAAATAAGGCATAATATTAACATTGATATAGTAAACAAGTAAACAATATAGCTTTTTTCATTTGACTTCTGCCCACGGAATACCACACCTCTACTTCTGACTGCTCCTTCATTAATCATAATTATAATATTGAAATAAGTCTAGCTGAAGTGCCGAAAAGTGATGATTTTTAAAACTAGGTAAGGAAATATAAAAACACAGAAAGTGAGTATGCAGCTGCACACATTCCAATTAACTCCACATTTTAGCACTGTTTTTCATACCCTTAAATCATACTAATGTATACATAGGAATATCTTATTTCATTAACAATTATAGTTTCATAGTAAGTTGTTTAAAGGAACTGCTTTATTTTTAATGTTTATTTTTAATGTATAGAACTGTTCTAGAGATTACAAAAGTGTGCTAAACTGTTGGCATTCTTTAAATAAATTATTACAAACATAAGTGTGAATAATACTTCAATACCAGTCACTAACCATTTCTAAATAATAAACATGTATTTTCATTTTTATGGAACTAAAATTCAATGATAAGCCTCCTTATTTTAAAAGCATGCAATCATGATATATAAAAAAAATGTTTTGGGGTTTTATTTTCATTGAAATGTCTGCTCTTTTGGAAAACCATTCTGTACTTTAGGATTCTTTTGGTACCAGCTCAATCCTATAATTTCTGATCCAAATTTTTTTTTAAGCTTAACAAAAAGCAACAAAACTATTTGTTAAAATTATGTATGTTGAAAATATTCTCCATCTCCAAAGGCAAATTTAAGCCATTGTCTCATATTGGAAAATTATACCTTACCACATTATAACCTCCTTTACACAGGTTTAACTTGCATACTAACAGAATTTATTAGCTAACCAAACAACAGAAGTTAATGACAGCTTCCTTTGAGAAAGTTGGCTCTTTTTCAAAATAAAAGTGAAAATATTTTAAATTGTAAGGATTCTTCTTATGATTATAACCAAAATATTTTCTCTTTTTTTTCTTTTTTTTTTTTGGAGACGGAGTCTTGCTCTGTCACCCAGGCTGAGTGCAGTGGTGTGATCTCGATCTCGGGTCACTGCAACCTCCACCTCCCAGGTTTAAGCGGTTCTCCTGCCTCAGCCTCCCAAGTAGCTGGGATTACAGGCACACGCCACCACACCCAGCTAATTTTTGTATTTTTAATAGAGACGGGGATTCACCATGTTGGCCAGGCTGGTCTTGAACTTCTGACCTCAGGCGATCCACCTACCTCGGCCTCCCAAAGTGCTGGGATTACAGGCGTGGGCCACCACACCAGGCCAATTATAAACAAAATATTTTCTATATTTGTTTAATAGAATTTTAACCTACTGCAGTTTTAAAATTACATGCCTCAAAAATAAAATATAAGTATTTAGTACTGTCTGAAATACGACTTATACAGACAGTTCTAGAAGCATTTCGATAAGGCAGCAACATCTGGAAGATATTTAACCATTTCTTTTTCTCTGAAAACCTTTCTGTCTATAGAAAGTATAAAATTACAATATAATCTCAGACCCAACTTTCTTTCCATAAAATGCACACAGAAGAACAGAACAAAAGGTAAAAGATCAAGGTCATATACAAAGCAGAAGAAAGGGCAAAAGCATGTCTTCCTTCCTGTAGGATATGGCAAAATAAAAGCATTTTATGTGTTTAGTTTTGAAAATAAAAAATATTCAAGTGTTTTTGTTAGATCTCCTTTTTTTCTTTACTACCACTACTATGTCCTTTTTCCTCTTTTAATACCACCCTTTGGGGGGCATGAATCAGGTCTCAAAGCACTTTAAATACCTCTCACAAAAGACTTTTAGGACATTACTAAATGTCATACAACAATTAATACAAAGGTAACCTTTTCTGAGAAACAATCAGAGCATTTTAAACTTTAAAACTGTAGCTGATAATTTTCTTACATATTTTGTAATCAATAAAATTTCTCTGTAATATCTTTAACAGGTAACATTTGCATTTGATTCAGTAAAAAATCAAACCTCACTTGCATTTTGAAAAACATCATAATTTTTTTGTTTCATAATTGAATATTATTTATAATAAAACACATCTTTAGGGTAGAATTGACTGAATTACTGCAAATAAAAGTAATTTTAACCTACAAACCTTCATACTTCTAATTCAAGGATGTTTATTTTACTTTAGCATGACTTTCAAGCACCCTGGTTTAATTTCAGAGAACCTGCAGAAATGAGAAAAGAGTTATTTTAAAGATGAAAATTTCAAATTAGCTAAGGAATATACCTTGTAATCAATTCCAAGTACCTACGCTTAATATAATATTTACTACCAAAGTATTGACCCTTATTAAGTCAATATCCAAGACCAACATCTAGGTTTGTGTTCCTTTTATCTACGGTCAAAACAAATACAATCTTAAAGCTGGAGGTTGCTCTTGACTTAGTATAACTTAAGATTTGTCAAAACCTGTGAGGCCTGAATTTTACCTTTATGAAAAAGAGTATGCTGTAGGAAGAATAAAGTCCTTGGTGCATCATGAAAGCACCAAGAAGAAATCTCTGATATATCAGGTAAGTCTGATTAATCTGGCCATGCAATGCTTTCAACTCTATCCGGAGAGAATTTAAAGGAAGACTAGTCTCTAAAATAGATAATTAATCTCAACATAATGTTCTGGTCTAACTACTCCTTTTATAAAAATAACCCTGATGTCACCTGTTTTATGCTCATAACTTATGCTATCATTTTCGATAATGTAGCCAAATAACATCTTATTACATGGCATAAAATAAATATGCTACACTGAAATTGGTGGGTAGGAGTTAATGATACACATCTGCAGGAAATCTATCCATCAACAGATATTTCATCTTTGACTTTCTTGTCATTTTCTGTTATTAAATAATTATCACTTAATGAAAAAGAACATTTCATGTTTGTCAACACAGGTCATTAATGGCATTTAACTTATGAAAACACAAATAAATTCATATTAACTGAACATTTCTGCTAAAGTTTAAACGTACCTAAATTATAACTATATTTCAATAGAAGCCACCCAATTCCATCCAAAATCCACAAATACTGATTTCCTTTCAAAAGAATAATAGCAAATCTTAAAGTATGATACATATTACCTAATTATTTTGCATATTATCAAAGAAACAAATATATTTACTTTCTTTTAGAACTTTAAATTTATGATAGAAAGTTTTATCAGATGATTATTGGCAACAAACACATTTTTCCTTATTTCTGGTTTACCAGACAACATAAATCCAGCAGGGAAAGTTATATCATAATTTAAGCATGAATCTGTGGCTGAAATCAGATGATTAAATTTAGTTAACTATTTTAACAGATTGTTCTGAGTACGCTATTAGTGTTTATTTACCTAGCTATATTAGGGCTATTGCTATTATCAATAACAGAAATCTATACTCACAGAAATATCTGATAAAGATCTATATGGGCAGTTGCCATTATTAATAACAGAAATCTACACTCACCTGAAGCTATGGCTTATGAGGTACTTAATGACAGCTGGTTTGATGCGAGCAACTCCTCCCTGGCTGTGGTTTCCTCTCCCCGTAATCACAGACAAATAGGGCTTCCCACCGTTCTGCTTAAATTCTGTTACAACAGAAATCAGGGGAGTTAAAATTCATTTATCTTACATTCTCAATAGAAAACGTAAACCTTAGCTACTCAAGCACATGAAATTGTTTTCATGAGGATTTTGGGGTTTGCCATCTCAAAACTGTAATAGTAAGACAGATTTGCTATCTCAAAAAGCCCCCAAATTAATGTTTTAAGATGTATGTTTTAAAACACATAGCCTCATTGTAATCTATCCATCAAAAGATTTGGTGGGACTTCTTCCTTTATGGGGGAAGAGATTTCTGTGCACTACCAGAAGTTCTCCCTGAAATAATGATAATGGCAATAATACCATTAATGATACCTAACAATTACTATACAAAAGGAGTCAAGTACTGCTTTAAGTGGCTTATATTTATTAACTAAGAATCTTCACAACAACCCTGTTAATTAAATATTCTAAAGCCATCAAGCTTTGTTCTGAATCATAGCTCTGCCACTAAATGACTGTGTGACCATGGACAAGTTACTTAGCTTCTTTTGTGCCTATTTTCTCATCAGGAAAAAGGGATAATGATAGCAACTAGTTTATAGATTATCTTCCAGTAATAGCTATTAGCAAATCCACTAGTCACAGCTGGATTGCAGTCTTACTATTAAAGATAATCAATTGTTAACAAACTTTTCCTGATAGATAGTTCTTAAAACATCAAAGGAGTCTGAGCCTCCTAAAATACTGAAGTTCCATTTTGGAAATGACCTTGTGAAAATCAAGGATATAAATCCTGAAAACTAATAAAAGCTGTAGCAGAATAACAAAAACAACAAAAAAACTATTAATGAGATGAATTAATAAATTTAAAACACACAAAATATAAACATTCCACGGTCTGCTTATTAAATTGTCCTAATACTCCTAATAGAATACAAACAAATGGTTTTTCAAGTATCATATCTCCAAGATGATATTCAGCCTGGAATTTTAAAAGAATATGTTGCTCTTGCATTTCTAATTCCTTGTCTATGATCTCCATCTCTAATCCACATCCATTACTTCAAGCAATATGTTGCTCAAAATTCAACTGAGTGCTAGCTTCACAAAGGTATTCACAGTGCACAAAATTCTAGGTATATAGTGTAAAACCTTTTTACGAACTTTTTACAAAGTTTTTGCACTATATACCTATAATTTTGGGCACTGTTCTTTACATATGTTATATTACGCATAAAAGTTTTACATTGGCCAGGGACAGTGGCTCATGCCTGTAATCTCAGCACTTTGGGAGGCTAAGGAAGGTGGACCACTTGAGCTCAGGAGTTCAAGACCAGCCTGGGCAACACGGCAAAACCCCATCTCTACTGAAAATACAAAAATTAGCAGGGCATGGCGAGGCGCACCTGTAGTCCCAGCTACTTGGGAAGCTGAGGTAGGAGGATGGGTTGCACCTGGGAGGTGGAGGGTGCAGTGAACCAAGGTCACAACCAACTGCCAGCCTGGGCAACAGAGCCAGACTCCCATCTCAAAAAGAAAAAGTTTACTTACAAAAAAAGCCCAACTAAATCTCTAATCATAACTCACACTCTTCACTATGGCTCCCCTTATCACTTAGGTCAGTCATTTATACGATTATCACCTGCTAATAGTTCACTTATTGCTCTGAAAATATTCTCTAGTTGATTCACATGCCTCAAGTAAGAGTTCAAAGGATGTTTGTTGCATGAAGTAATGTATATGTTTCGTTTCCCAAATACAGGCTGTTCTTGCTGTTTAACGCCTTAGAAAGGACTGTTTAACTCATTTTTCAGCACACTCCAGATACTTCAACTGCAAATATTTCAGTACATACCTCATAAAAGATAAGGACTCCTTTAAAAAGCATAACTACAATGGCACCATCATATCTTATAAAATTAATAAAAGTCCCTTAATATCATTAGTTTCCAAAATTTCCCCCAATTATCTCAAAAATATGTTTTTACAGTAATTTGTTGGCATCAAGATTGAAATAAGTCTATACATTCTATTTGATTGATATATTTCTTAAGTAACAAGGTTTCCCCTCCCCTGGTGTTTTTCTTTACAATTTATTGAAAAAAATTGGATCATTTATCCTAGACTTCCTCTTTTTTTTTTTTCCCCCTGAGACAGAGTCTCACTCTGTTGCCCAGGTTGAAGTGCAGTGGGATGATCTCGGTTCACTGCAGCCTCTGACTCCTGGGTTCAAGCGATTCTTCTGCCTCAGTTTCCAGAGTGGCTGGGATTACAGGCCTGAGACATCATGCCCAGCTAATATTTTTGTATATTATTAGTGGAGACGTGGTTTCACCATGTTGGCCAGGCTGGTCTCAAACTCCTGACCTCAAGTGATCTGACTGCCTCGGCCTTCCAAAGTGCTGGAATTACAGGCATGAGCCATCACACCCAGCCTATCCTAGATTTTCACAATCTGAATTTTGCTGACTGTATCCCCATGGTGTTGTTTAACATGTTCCTCTGTCCCCTGTAAATCCCTATAAAATGGTAGTCAGTTCTAAAGGTTTGATCTGCTCCTAGTTTGATTTGGAGGCAAAAATGATTCGTACGTAGCAGTGTATATTTCAACCAGAAGGGACATAAGGTCCAGATGTCTCTCTTTTTTAAAAAATTCATCTCCGATTTTAACACTCCTTAATCTTATGTCAAAAGGCAATGCAGGTCAGAGCCACAAATCTTCCACTGGATTCATTTCTATTCAACAATACTGCCACCTGGTGGTGACTGACAGTAACTACAGACTACCACAGGTGGCAGCATGCACTAGAGATGGGCCTTGGCTTCCAGAAAAGATCTGCATCTTGGATCTTGACCAAGTATTACCTTGGGCAAATTACTTAGCTCTTTTTTCTTTTCTTTCTTTTTTTTTTTTTTTTCTTTTTGAGATGGAGTCTCGCTCTGTCACCCAGGCTGGAGTGCAGTGGCTCGATCTCGGCTCATTGCAAGCTTCGCCTCCCTGGTTCACACCATTCTCCTGCCTCAGCCTCCCAAGTAGCTGGGACTACAGGTGCCCGCCACCATGCCCAGCTAATTTTTTTTTGTATTTTTAGTAGAGACGGGGTTTCACTGTGTTAGCCAGGATGGTCTTGATCTCCTGACCTCGTGATCCGCCAGCCTCGGCCTCCCAAAGTGCTGGGATTACAGGCATGAGCCACTGAGCCTGGCCTCTTTTTCTCTTCTTACAATTTTTTTAATTGAGATAAAATTAACATAAAACTAACCATTTTAAAATATGCAATTAAGCGGTTTTTAGCATATTCATCATGTTGTGCAACCACCACCACTAATTCCAGAACATTCCATCATTTCACAAAGAAATTCTGTGCCTCATAGCAGTCACTGCTCATATTCTTGCCATTCCAGTCCCAGCAACCACTAATCAAATTTTTGTCTCTCTAGATTTACATACTCAGAACATTTGGTAAAAATGAAATCATACAACATATGGCTTTTTATCTGCCTTCATCTTTCACAAAGAATAATGTTTACAAGGTCCGCCATTTCTCTACATGGCTAAATTAAATTTCATTGTATAGATTTACCACATTTTGTTTCTCTATTCATCAGTTAATGAACTTTTAGGTTACCACCACCTTTTGGCTGTTGCAGACATTCATATGCAAGTTTCCGTAAAGACATATTGTGTTTTTATTTCTCTTGGGTACATAGTTAGGGGCAGAATTACTGGGTCATACGGTTAATTATATGTTTAACCTTTCAAAGAACTAGTGAAATTTTTCACAGTGGCTACACTAGCAATATATGAGGGCTCCAATTTATCCACATCCTTAACAATACTGATTACTTTCCATTTCATTTTTCTGTTTTTCGATTTTTCAATTTTTTTTTTCTTAGAGAGTCTCACTCTGTCATCCAGGCTGGGTGAAACAACCTAATTGTCCATCGATGGATAAATTGATAAAAAAATGTGATATAGACACAATGGAATATTATTCAACAATAAAAAGGGGACCAGGCACAGTGGCTCAGGCCAGGCATGGTGGCTCACATCTGCAATCTCAGCACTTTGGAAGGCCAAGGTGGGAGGATCACTTGAGCCCAGAAGTTCGAGACCAGTCTAAGCAACACACTGAGACCTCCTATTTCTTTTAAATAAAAATAAAAATTTAATTAAAAATTTTTTAAAAGGGGAAAATCCTGCCATTTGCAACAATACAGATGTGGCTGGAGGGCATTATACTAAGTGAAATAAGCCAGACACAGAAAGACAAATCCTGTATGATCTCACTTACATGTGGAACCTAAAAAAGCCGAACTCCCTCTCCCCCTCCCCCTCCCCCTCTCCCTCTCCCCACAGTCTCCCTCTCCCTCTCTTTCCACGGTCTCCCTCTGATGCCGAGCCGAAGCTGGACTGTACTGCTGCCATCTCGGCTCACTGCAACCTCCCTGCCTGATTCTCCTGCCTCCGCCTGCCCAGTGCCTGCGATTGCAGGCGCGCGCCGCCATGCGTGACTGGTTTTCTTATTTTTTTGGTGGAGACAGGGTTTCGCTGTATTGGCCAGGCTGCTCTCCAGCTCCTAACCGCGAGTGATCTGCCAGCCTCGGCCTCCCGAGGTGCCGGGATTGCAGACGGAGTCTCGTTCACTCAGTGCTCATTGGTGCCCAGGCTGGAATGCAGTGGCGTGATCTCGGCTCGCTACAACCTCCACCTCCCAGCCGCCTGCCCTGGCCTCCCAAAGTGCCGGAGATTGCAGCCTCTGCCCGGCCGCCACCCCGTCTGGGATGTGAGGAGCCCCTCTGCCTGGCTGCCCAGTCTGGGAAGTGAGGAGCGCCTCTTCCCGGCTGCCATCCCATCTAGGAAGTGAGGAGCGTCTCTGCCCGGCCGCCCATCGTCTGAAATGTGGGGAGCGCCTCTGCCCCGCCGCCCCGTCTGGGATGTGAGGAGCGCCTCTGCCTGGCCGCGACCCCGTCTGGGAGGTGAGGAGCGTCTCTGCCTGGCTGCCCCGTCTGAGAAGTGAGGAGCCCCTCCGCCCAGCAGCCGCCCCATCTGAGAAGTGAGAAGCCCCTCCGCCCGGCAGCCACCCCGTCTGGGAAGTGAGGGCCAGCCGCCCCGTCTGGGAGGGAGGTGGGGGGTCAGCCCCCACCCGGCCAGCCGCCCCGTCTGGGAGGGAGGTGGGGGGTCAGCCCCCGCCCGGCCAGCCGCCCCGTCCGGGAGGGAGGTGGGGGGGTCAGCCCCCACCCGGCCAGCCGCCATGTCCGGGAGGGAGGTGGGGGGCGCCTCTGCCCGGCCAGCCGCCCCGTCCGGGAGGTGGGGGGCGCCTCTGCCCGGCCGCCCCTTCTGGGAAGTGAGGAGCCCCTCTGCCCGGCCACCACCCCGTCTGGGAGGTGTACCCAACAGCTCATTGAGAACGTGCCATGATGACAATGGCGGTTTTGTGGAATAGAAAAGGGGAAAAGGTGGGGGAAAAGATTGAGAAATCGGATGGTCGCTGTGTCTGTGTAGAAAGAAGTAGACGTGGGAGACTTTTCATTTTGTTCTGTACTAAGAAAAATTCTTCTGCCTTGGGATCCTGTTGATCTATGACCTTACCCCCAACCCTGTGCTCTCTGAAACATGTGCTGTGTCCACTCAGGGTTAAATGGATTAAGGGCGGTGCAAGATGTGCTTTGTTAAACAGATGCTTGAAGGCAGCATGCTCGTTAAGAGTCATCACCAATCCCTAATCTCAAGTACCCAGGGACACAAACACTGCGGAAGGCCGCAGGGTCCTCTGCCTAGGAAAACCAGAGACCTTTGTTCACTTGTTTATCTGCTGACCTTCCCTCCACTATTGTCCTATGACCCTGCCAAATCCCCCTCTGCGAGAAACACCCAAGAATGATCAATAAAAAAAATAAAAAAATAAAAATAAAAACATTACCTGGGGAAAAAAAAAAAAAAAAAAAAAGCCAAACACATAGAAACATAATAGAATGGTAGTTGCCAGGGGCCAGAATAGAGAGGAGGAAATGAAATGCTGGTCAAAGGGTACAAGCTTAAAAAGAATACATTCTGCTGAGCTAATGTGTAGCATGGTAATAATATTTAATAGCACTATATCATATACTTGAAATTTGCTATGAGAGTAAGTCATAGGTGTTCTCATCCCCCACACACAAAATGGTAACAATAGGTGATGTATGTGCTAAAGTACTTCATTGTGGTAATCACTTTACAATGTGTACATTTATCAAATCATCACATTGCATACTTTCAATATAAACAATCTTATTTGTCAAAAAAATAAGAGTAATAACTACCATTATTTAGTCATTTATTCAAAAACTTTTTTGAGTGTTGAAGAAAAAACATGATCATCACTGGCTCAATTCTTGGCCAAAAAGACAGGTATTTAATAACCAATTATACAATAAGCTTTTTATAAACACTGTGAGAGGTAGGAGTACTGTGAGAAGTTATTAACAGGGGGCCTAACTAGTATGGGGGTCAAGACTGACAGTGTAGTTAAATATACAGAAAAGGAGAAAAAAACACAGGGTGAGACTGGAGAGGTAAGCAAGAGATATTATGTAGGGATTTTAGAATTTATCCTAAATACAACTTGTATTTTCTTATTTTATTTTATTTTATTTATTTATTTATTTATTTATTTTTGAGAAAGAGTCTCGCTCTGTCACCCAGGCTGGAGGGCAGTGGCGTGATCTTGGCTCACTGCAACCTCCGCCTCCAGGGTTCAAGTAATTCTCCCTGCCTCAGCCTCCCAAGTGGCTGGGATTACAGGTGCATGCCACCATGCCTGGCTAATTTTTGTATTTTTAGTAGAGACGGGGTTTCACCATGTTGGCCAGGCTGGTCTCGAACTCCAGACCTCAGGTGATCCGCCCACCTCGGCCTCCGAAGTGCTGGGATTACAGGCATGAGCCACCGCACCCGGCCACAACTTGTATTTTCTTATCACAATGCTAATTACTTATGTAACTATTTTTTCACTGTTATCTATCCTACTAGATGGTATACCCCACTAGACAATAAACTCCAATAAAGACAAGGATTGTGTGTCTTTTTCACCACCTTATCCTTGATGCCTAGAATACAGAAGATAATCAAATATTTATTGAGTAAAACACTATTAATTCATCCTCTATAGAAAGAATATTCTTTCATAACACTTCTATATACTTGAAGAGTTTTCTTCTCTCTGGATTAAATAATAATTTAAACGGCTCTTAAAGTTTCTCTTTTCTAATCTTTACTGTTTTCTAGATTTTCTACAAGATTTCCAAAATTCAATTTAAAAACAACTGGGGTCAGGCTAGGAGCAGTAGCTCACTTTGGGAAGCCAAGGCAGGTGGATTGCTTGAGGCCAGGAGTTCAAGACCAGCCTGGCCAACATGGTAAAACCCTGTCTCCACTAAAAATACAAAAACTAGCTAGGCTTGGTGACACCCGCCTGTAATCCCAGCTACTCGGGAGGCTGAGGCACGAGAATGGCTTGAACCCAGGAGACAGAGGTTGCAGTGAACCGAGATGGCACCACTGCACTCCAGCCTGGGCAACAGAGTGAGATTATGTCTCAGAAAAAGAAACAAACAAACAAAAAAACTACTGGAGTGGGAGAATCCTATCACCTTATTTACTTCTGTATTTTATCAAGCATCTACTGAAAAATTGAAATCCAAGAAATATCAATTAAGTTTAATAAATGTCTATTGGACAAAGATATGTAATATTCCTGAAAGGTCTCATTTATAAGTCACAGAGAGGATTCGCAGATTACACCATGCCCTCCCGTTAATAAATACAGCACAGGAATACAAATGAAGAAAATGTTAATCATCATACCAATGAGGATCCTTTCCCAAGAAGGTTCTCTTGAAGAATGAATAACATAAACATTTACAGATGTTACACAGATATTCTCAGCCTGCATATTCAGACTCTCCTGAATTTGCAAGCTATACCAATATAAGCAAAGACATATATTCTATTGAAAACTTGTGATTACCACAGTCCTACCTTCAGTCTTCTTCTCTAAAACTCTCATCAAATGTTCTAGAGCTTCATCCACATGCAGCCCATGGAGGTCTAAAACATTCTGTGGCAGCAGCGAAGCATTGACTTTCTCAAAGATCTCTATGGCAGCAAGGTGATTGGCTTCTTTCATCTTCTGCTCATGAAGAGTACCCTAAATCATAAACATATCACCAAGGGACAGTTTTGCTGTTTGCTACTTGGGTGATGAGGAAGTTAATAGTGCCCCAAATAAAAGGAAGGGGGAAAAAGGGAATAATAAACCTAAAATCTTAAATAATGCAATGAGTTTAATATATAAGAATGCACCAAAATTTAGGTAAATTTCAGTGACTTAATAATGTAGTCCTTAAACTACTGAGTCATTCTTTCTAACATTTTCTGAACCAAAAGTCGTAAAAGTGGGAAACTTAACTAAACACGATCCTCACATGTGACAGTTAATTTTAGGTATCAATTTGACTGGACTGAGGGATACCTAGATGGCTGGTGAAGCATTGTTTCTGGGTGTCTCTGTGAGGGTGTTTCCAGAGAAGATTGCCCTGCATGTCAGTGGACAGAAAGAAGACCTCCCCTCCATGCGGGCAGGCACCAACCATGTGGGCAGCTGGAGGCTGGCTAAGACAAACAGGCAGATGTTCTCCTCCTGCCTTTGGAATTCAGACTCCACATTCTTCAGCTTTTAGACTGTGGAACCTGCACCAGCTGCCTCTTGGTGGCTCTTGAGCCTTTGACCCTGGACTGGGGGCTGCAGTCAGTATCCCTGGTTCTGAGGCTTTGAACTTCGACTGCGCTACACTCCTGGCTTTAAGCTATGCTATCGAATTCTTTGGTTCTCTAGCTTACAGCTGGCCTATTATGGGACTTCTCCACCTCTATGACTGTGAGAGCCAATTCCCCCTAATAAATTATCTTTCATATATCCTACTGGTCTGTCTCTCTAGAGAACTCTAATACACCATCTCAAGAAGGAATCACTGGTTTATTATTTGTGTATCCTTTGATAATGCTGGGTCTCATCTTGGCGTTCACCTTCAACATTTTGTAGTTACCTACCCCAGAAGCTATCCCCCAAGGACTACTGTTAGGGCTCACAGGCCTATAGCAGTTTGATACTCTTCTCTGCTCAATCACAAAGAAGTAACCCATATGGCAACACAAACATAAAAAGTTAAGCAGATTCCTGGCCGGAAGTAGTACCTTGCACTTGTAATCCCAGCACTTTGGGAGGCTGAGATGGGAGGATTGCTTGAGCTCAGGAGTTCACGACCAGCCTGGACAACATGGTAAGACCCCATACAAAAATTAGCTGGGCCTGGTGGCACGTGCCTGTAGTCCCAGCTATTTGGGAGGCTGATGTGGGAGGTTCACCTGAGCCTGGGAGGTCAAGGCTGCAGTTAGCGGAGATTGCACCACTATACTCCAGCCTGGGCAACAGAGCAAGACCTTATCTTAAAAAAATAAATAAATAAATAAAGCAAGTTCCTTATAATATCATGTTAAATGAGCCCAGGTAGAAATTTTACTTCCCAAAAAAAATTAATGTTATTTTTGTACTATGAAAGTGATATATTACCAAAAATTCAAACATGACAGAAGGCACAAAACCCCTTTAATCTCACTCTCAGATGGCCAATATTAATATTCTGCTGCCAGAAATATGGACTGTCAGAATAAACTGTAATTCACATAAGCAGTAAATGCAAAAGCAACCACAGAAACTGAGCATTTCAAATGCTCAAAACAGCAGGAGATGAAATTCTCAGAACCATACATTTCTTAGGATACCTTATTTATGTCACTTACATAACTACTACATTCCCCAGAATAACTTAATCTAGTCACAATATGGGTGTCTTATCTGCTTCAAGAGTATTTAGTTATTATAACTGACAAAAAATATATAATCAGTTTTCCACTTTACCTGCTGGGCATAAAAGGTGGCGACATTTTTTTTCCCTATCCGATAAGCTTCTTTGGCCTTGCTGTAGCACTCCATCCTCTTCTGTTGGTGAAGGAAAGCCTCTGCTCTGTAGTCATCATAGTCTGGGTACTCAAAGTCCTGGAAAGACAGTTCACTTGGTGTTTCTTCAGTCTCTTTTAATTTCTTTGGCTATAAGATATTAAACAATAAGTAACACACACAGAAAGTTAAAAAAAAAACTCATGCCTTACACCTTCACAAAACGCACATGAAAACTGGGCTGTCGTATATTTTCATCTCTCTCCTCAGGAAATAGATTCTCCCCAGCGTCTACCTTGTAAGTCAGGCATTTATCGACTATCATTAACTTTTTTATGCCGCTAAGGTTACCCTTTCTTTAACCACTCTCGGGAGATGTTGAAGAGTTCTCTAAAATTATCAAAATACAATTAGGGATACTGAACTCCGAGTTGGAAGAGGCGAGTTCAGTCTCAAAATGGAGGTAAAACCACCACCCAGTCACCCCCAGCCCAACTCCAGCCGTCGCCACCACCGCCAGAGAGAGGAGGGCCATGATCCAAAGGAACCAGAGCAGTTGAAAAAACTGTTCATTGGTGGTCTGAGTTTTGAAACTACAGATGATAATTTAAGAGAATAAGTGCAGAGGCTGAAGTGAAGTTACCAAGGTTACACGCTGCCCTCTCCCTCTCCCTCTCCCTCCCCCTCCCCCTCTCCCTATGGTCTCCCTCTCCCTCTCCCCACGGTCTCCCTCTCCCTCTCTTTCCACGGTCTCCCTCTGATACCGAGCCGAAGCTGGACTGTCCTGCTGCCATCTCGGCTCACTGCAACCTCCCTGCCTGATTCTCCTGCCTCAGCTTGCCGAGTGCCTGCCATTGCAGGCACGCGCCACCACGCCTGACTGGTTTTCCTATTTTTTTGGTGGAGACGGGGTTTCGCTGTGTTGGCCGGGCTGGTCTCCAGCTCCTAACCGCGAGTGATCCGCCAGCCTCGGCCTCCCGAGGTGCCGGGATTGCAGATGGAGTCTGGTTCACTCAGTGCTCAATGTTGCCCAGGCTGGAGTGCAGTGGCGTGATCTCGGCTCGCTACAACCTCCACCTCCCAGCCGCCTGCCCTGGCCTCCCAAAGTGCCGGAGATTGCAGCCTCTGCCCGGCCGCCACCCCGTCTGGGAAGTGAGGAGCGTCTCTGCCTGGCCGCCCATCATCTGGGACGTGAGGAGCCCCTCTGCCTGGCTGCCCAGTCTGGAAAGTGAGGAGCGTCTCTGCCCGGCTGCCATCCCATCTAAGAAGTGAGGAGCGCCTCTTCCCGGCCGCCATCCCATCTAGGAAGTGAGGAGCGCCTCTGCCCGGCCGCCCATCGTCTGAGATGTGGGGAGCGCCTCTGCCCCGCCGCCCCGTCTGGGATGTGAGGAGCGCCTCTACCCGGCCGCGACCCCGTCTGGGAGGTGAGGAGCGTCTCTGCCCGGCTGCCCCGTCTGAGAAGTGAGGAGACCCTCCGCCCGGAAGCCGCCCCGTCTGACAAGTGAGGAGCGTCACCGCCCGGCAGCCACCCCGTCCAGGAAGGAGGTGGGGGTCACCCACCGCCAGGCCAGCCGCCCCGTCCAGGAGGGAGGTGGGGGGGTCAGCCCCCCGCCAGGCCAGCCGCCCCCTCCGGGAGGTGAGGGGCGCCTCTGCCCGGCTGCCCCTACTGGGAGGTGAGGAGCCCCTCTGCCCGGCCACCACTCCATCTGGGAGGTGTGCCCGGCAGCTCATTGAGAACGGGCCATGATGACAATGGCGGTTTTGTGGAGTAGAAAGTGGGGAGAGGTGGGGAAAAGAGTGAGAAATCGGATGGTTGCCGTGTTTGTGTAGTAGGAGGTAGACATGGGAGACTTTTCATTTTGTTCTGTACTAAGAAAAATTCTTCTGCCTTGGGATCCTGTTGATCTATGACCTTACCCCCAACCCTGTGCTCTCTGCAACATGTGCTGTGTCCACTCAGGGTTAAATGGATTAAGGGCGGTGCAAGATGTGCTTTGTTAAACAGATGCTTGAAGGCAGCATGCTCGTTAAGAGTCATCACCACTCCCTAATCTCAAGTGCCCAGGGACACAAACACTGCGGAAGGCCGCAGGGTCCTCTGCCTAGGAAAACCAGAGACCTTTGTTCACTTGTTTATCTGCTGACCTTCCCTCCACTATTGTCCTGTGACCCTGCCAAATCCCCCTCTGTGAGAAACACCCAAGAATGATCAATAAAAAATAAATTAATTTTAAAAAAAAAGAGAATAAGTGCAAAAATAATTTCCAGAATAACTTAAAGTTTACATTTTGGCCAAGGTTTACATAACTCACAAAAACTCTCTTTCTGATTATATTTCCAATCATCTCCCACTTTGAGCAAGCACATCTTCTTATCACCCCCTATTACCATAATGACTCACAGTGCCTTGCATATTATCAGGAGGGAGAAGTAACTTCATTGCCAATTTGGCCCATAAGGTCTCATAATCATCTTGTGTACACTCTCTGCATTTTTATAATATGCTGCATCTATCTATCCATGACAGCATGTTTTCCAGGTGGGCAGAGGCATCAGTGGTAGCACTAACAGATCATATGAAAATCAAAATTACCTAAGTCCTAAATACCAACTAACTGACAATGAAACATTCAAAGAAAAAAGGGAGCACTTAATTTACCCCTGAGTGGTCTTATTAATAAGGATTGCAGGATGATAAGATTCTGTAAAGTAAAATAAAATAAAAAAATAAGGCTGGGCATGGTGGCTCACGCCTGTAATCCCAGCACTTTGGGAGGCCAAGGTGGATCACTTGAGCCCAGAAGTTCAAGACCAGCCTAGGCAACCAAAACCCTATCTCTACAAAAAATACAAAAATTAGCCAGGTGTGGTGGTTCATGCCTGTAGTCCCAGCTACTCAGGAGGGGGAGATGGGAGGATCGCTTGAGCTGTGATCCTGCCACTGCACTCCAGCCTGAGCAACACAGTGAGACCCTGTCTCAAAAAAAAAAAAAAGAAAAAAAAATGTAAAAAAAAAAAAAAGCCTAATGCTAGGCCTGGCGCAGTGGCTCACGCCTGTAATCCCAGCACTTTGGGAAGTCAAGGTGGGTGGATCACAAGGTCAGGAGTTCAAGACCAGCTTGGCCAAGACAGTGAAACCCCGTCTCTACTAAAAATACAAAAAATTAGCTGGGAGTGGTGGCAGGCACCTGTAATCCCAGCTACCTGGGAGGCTGAGGCAGGAGAATCACTTGAACTCAGAGGGCACAGGTTGCAGTGAGCCGAGATCGCGCCACTGCACTCCAGCCTGGGCGACAGAGTGAGTCTCTGTCTCAAAAAAAAAAAAAAAAAAGCCTAATGCTGATACAAAATTAATACAAAAAACCCAACTGCATGTCTATGTATTTGTAATAAACAATCCAAAAATAAAATTAATGCATAATTCCAGGCCAGGTGCGGTGGCTCAAGCCTGTAACCCTAGCACTTTGGAAGGCTGAGGCGGGAGGACTGCTTGAGCCCAGGAGTTGAAACCAGTCTGGGCAACATAGCAAGACCCTTTTCTCTTTTTAATTTAAAAGTAATATCAAAAAATAAACTTTTAAAAAGGACATAATTCCAGACCAGAAAGAAACAAAACAAACAAAAGAAATAATTCCATTTACATTTACAATAGCATGAAAAAGAATAAAATACTGTATTTAGAAATAAACTTAACAAAAGATGTGTAAAATTTATACTCTGAAAACTATAGTGCATTGTTGAAGGAAATTAAAGAAGACCTAAATAACTGAAAGATACTCCATTTCATGAATTGAAAGACTTAATATTGTTAATTGGTCTACATATTCAACACGAACCCCATCAAAATTCTAGCTGGCTTCTTTGCAGAAATTCACAAACTAATCCTAAAATTCACATGGAAATCCAAGGGCACCAGAATAGCCAAAATCTCTTAAAATAAATAAATAAATAGAACATAGTTGGAAAACTCACACTTCCCAATTTCAAAACTTACTACAAAGCCACAGTAATCAAGAAGCCGCAGTAATCAAGACAAGTGGTACTGGCAATAGGACAGACATACAGATCAATGGAATAGAATTAGGAGTCCAGCAATAAATCCTTGTAACTATGGTCAATTCATTTTCAACAAGAGTGCCAAGAAAATTCAATGGGGAAAGAATAGTCTTTGTAACAAATGGTACAAGACAACTGAATATCCACATGCGAAAGAATCAACTTGAACTTCTATCTCACTACATATACAAAAATTAACTCAAAATGGATTAAAGACCTAAATGAAAGGCCTGAAACTATAAGACTCCTACAGAAAATACAGGAGGAAAGTTCATGACATTGGATTTGGCAATGAAGCACAGGCAACATAGCAAAAGTAGACAAACTAGACTACATCAAATTTAAAAGGCTTCAGTGTCACAACAGAAACAACAGAGTGAAAGGCAACCTATGGAAAGGACAGAATATCTGCAAATCACATGTCTGACTGGGGACTTGTATCTAGAATATATAAAGAACACTTACAACTCAACAATAAAGACAAATAATCCAATTTAAAAATAGACAAAGGATATGAACAGACATTCTTCCAAAGATGTACAAATGACAAATAGCACATAAAAAGATGCTCAACATCAATAGTCATCAAGGAAATGCAAATCAAAACCACAATAAGACACCATTTCTGTATTAACCATGTCTTTTATTTTCTGTATTCTGCCACTGGAATTTTTGCAGCCTTCATGACACTAGAGAGGCTGCTCCTCCTGCCCCCTCATCTCCATCCATTCTCACAACCCCCTCAGGTTTAGCTAATTCCTAGAGATAACAAACACCTGTCTGGGAGCACGCCTTTCATTTGGAAACCAACCAGTCCAGAAACTATGCCTCCAACTTCCTCCTTTAATGGAGTTCTCCCACTCCAGGGCACTATCCACCTGCCCCCGAGTATCAGACAACCAGGGGAAGTCCCTATGCCCCAGAGCCTGCTGAAATTATTTAAACTAGCCAATCCTAAACCTGCTTACCCTGCCTTACCCATTCCTTCCCATAGAAACCAAAATACAGGCTTTTGCCCACATTTCCCCCCTACTCCTTCTGCCTCCTGACCAATCCTGCTGGCTCCCCATGTGAACTTGGGTAGCAAGCCATACCTCCTGTTTCCAGAACTCTGTGAGTATGATAAACTTCCTTCACGACACTTCCATGTCTGCACGTCTTACCATACCTGATTAAAACAAATTCTCGGTATTCTTAACACAACTTCCCACTCACTACAATGGTTATAATAAAAAGACGGGTGTTAAATAATAATATATGTCAGTGAAGATGTGGAGAAATTGTAACCCTCATACTGTTCTAGTGGAAATATAAAATGGTAGAGCCACTTTGGGAAAAAATTTGGCACTTTCCCAAAAGGCTAAATATTTCTGCCCACATGTTTATATTCAAGACCCATCACATTACTGCTATTCAATTAAACCACATACTCTACTGTGTCAGACTATACAGAAGTTGCAGAAATTCAAGTGCCTGTTTATCATGCACACGAAGGAAAAAATCAGCTATAAATTCATTATTTTGAGTGCACAGATATTATAAGCCAAATATGCCATTGGTGGTTAAATTTCCAGTCTAGTCAAAATGGTGAGAAATAATCATTAAATTATTATACTCAATGAACCAATTATATTTTTATATGCAATTATCTACCCTTGTAGAAAAAAAATTAGTAACTCCATACCTTTTTCTCTTTAGACTTCTGGCCAGTATGAGATGTGACATTCTCATTTTGGTGAACAAACTCTTGGGCTACAACTGTTTTTACAGGGTCCCCTTCAAGAACACAGTTAAGAAATTGCACTGTGTGTTCTAATGAATAGCTGTAGAAAATTTAAGTAGAAACATAATGTCAATAAATGAAAATAAGTTGTGTGGGACATTAACACAAGCAATCTTCAAACATCTTACAAGAATATGAAAAACTGGCTTACTTTTAAGTTTTCAACCTTGAAATTAAATGCTCATGGTGTATCTCAAAAAAAAATCAAGAATAATCAGAAGGAAACTATCAAATAATAGGTTCTCAAAAGCTAATTTTCAAAAAATGA
Source organism: Homo sapiens (assembly GCF_000001405.40). Lineage (NCBI taxonomy): Eukaryota > Metazoa > Chordata > Mammalia > Primates > Hominidae > Homo > Homo sapiens. The sequence continues at coordinate 40,136,715 of NC_000004.12, read as the reverse complement.
ATGCCAAAAGATAGTATATTGGTAATTCAGCCAGGCACAGTAGCTCACGCCTGTAATCCCAGCACTTCGGGGGGCCGAGGCGGGTGGATCACTTGAGGTCAGGAGTTAAGAGACTAGCCTGGCCAACATGGTGAAACCCCGTCTCTACAAAAAACCCAAAAATTAGCTGGGTGTGGTGACGCGCGCCTGTAATCCCAGCTACTCGGGAGGCTGAGAGGCACGAGAATCGCTTGAACCCGGAAGGCAGAGGTTGCAGTGGGCTGAGATGGTGCTACTGCACTCCAGCCTGGGCGACAGAGCAAGACTTTGTCTCAAAAAAAAGATAGATAGATAGATAGATAGATAGATAGATAGATAGATAGATAGATAGATTCAATTTCTAATCCTTTATACCAGGCAGATTAGCCATAACAAATCTTTCTTTCATTTTATCACCTATTCTTCTTAAATCCTTTGTTGGATTTATATGTGGTTTCCTTCAAACATCAAACACAGACAATAGACCTTTAAGCTGACATTTTTATTGTGTCAAATTCTACATTTACTTTTACCATGGGATTTTAGTCAAATTCTAAGCAGGGATACAGAAAAGAAAAACTTAAGCACTACCCTACCTCTCATCCCTGCATTATTCAGTCATATCTTGACGGTGATACTATATTATCTGTAGAATGAAATTCTACAAATCAACAAATGTCTGACACACTCACGTTCCAATATCTAAAGAAAATCATTCAAAAAAATTATATGCTGCTCAGTATTTCACACTATTTATGTCTCTCACCTCTTCCATTGGCCAGATACTGAGGAACTGACCATATACGAATATTTTTTGAAATCTGGTTAACTAGGCAGACATGGTGGCTCACGCCTGTAATCCCAACACTTTGGGAGGCCGAGGCAGGTGGATCACCTGAGGTCAGGAGTTCAAGATCAGCCTGGCCAACATGGTGAAACCCTGTCTCTACTAAAAATACAAAAATAAATTAGCCGGGCATGGTGGCGGGCGCCTGTAATCCCAACTACTTGGGAGGCTGAGACAGGAGAATTGCCTGAACTCAGGAGGCAGAGGTTGCAGTGAGCCGAGATGGTGCCACTGCACTCCAGCCTGAACAACAAGAGCAAACTCTGTGAAAGAAAGAAAAGAAAGAAAGAAAGACTGTAAACTAGTTCAACCACTGTGGAAGTCAGTGTGGCGATTCCTCAGGGATCTAGAACTAGGAATACCATTTGACCCAGCCATCCCATTACTGGGTATATACCCAAAGGACTATAAATCATGCTGCTATAAAGACACATGCACACGTATGTTTATTGCAGCACTATTCACAATAGCAAAGACTTGGAACCAACCCAAATGTCCAACAATGATAGACTGGATTAAGAAAATGTGGCACATATACACCATGGAATACTATGCAGCCATCAAAAATGATGAGTTCATGTCCTTTGTAGGGACATGGATGAAATTGGAAATCATCATTCTCAGTAAACTATCGCAAGAACAAAAAACCAAACACCGTATATTCTCACTCATAGGTGGGAATTGAACAATAAGAACACATGGACACAGGAAGGGGAACATCACACTCTGGGGACTCTTGTGGGGTGGGGGGAGGGGGGAGGGATAGCATTGGGAGATATACCTAATGCTAGATGACAAGTTAGTGGGTGCAGCACACCAGCATGTCACATGTATACATATGTAACTAACCTGCACATTGTGCACATGTACCCTAAAACTTAAAGTATAATAATAAAAAATAAAATAAAATAAAATAAAAAAGAAAGAAAGAGAGAGAGAGAGAGAGAAAGGAAGGAAGGAAGGGAGGAAGGAAGAAAGAGAGAAAGAAAGAAAGAAGCAAGAAAGCAAAAGGGAAAGAAATTTGGTAAACTAATTATCCAAAATAATGTGGTATTTTGCTATTCTTCAATTTATTAAAGACAACCCTTGAAAGGAAGCCATGTGCAACTACCAGTTCCACTTCCCCTCTCATCTTGCTGCCTCAGATATGCTCAACACAAAGGATATCAGTATTAGGGGCTGGATGCTACCAACAATTATCCACATCCTTTCTAGGCCTTAAAATCACTCACCTGCTGGAAGTCAGTCTCCAGCCCTGATGTTGTTTGAGGCAAACAGCCCTAGAAGATTACACCTCAAGCACATACTGTAGTAACTGAGCTCACCTACCCTTCTTACCAGGATGAAGCTGAACCTACTGCTAGCTGAGAGAATCAGCCAGCCGTTGGCAGACAAATGGAGGCAATCAGCCACCTAACATGAGGGCCCTGGCTGACCAATCACTGACCATCCCCAGAAGGACACACCCAGCCCCCTCCTTTGCCTGGGGAAGCACAACTCTGAGCTATTTCACCTCAGGCCTCTTGCTCTAGGTACTCATAGAACAGGAGTGGCCATATGCTAGCATCAACCTCTGGCATCTGGGAGATTTTAACACAAAACTCTCAGAAAATAGCAAGTTAGGTAGCAAAAATAAATAAGAAAATTAGGGATTGGAATACTACTTTTAAAGATTTGATTTAGGTGACATATTTAGAACTCTGCACACTCAGCAGAGAATAAATATTCTTAAGTACAGACTGGGCTGGGCACGGTGGTTCACACCTGTAATCCCAGAACTTTGGGAGGCCAATAGGGGAAGAATCCCTTGAGCTCAGGAGTTCAAGACCAGCCTGGGCAACATGGTGAAACTCCATCTCTACAAAAAATATACAAAAACTAGCCAGGCGTGGTGGCACGTGTCTATAGTCCCAGCTACTTGGGAGGCAGAGGTGGGAGGATCACTTGAGCTTAGGAGGTCAAGGCTGCAATGAGCCAAGATCGTGCCACTGCACTCCAGCCTGGGCAACAGCAAGATCCTGTCTCACACAAACACACACACACAAAAAAGTATATGTTGACTACTCCTCATCTGAAACACTTGGAATCAGAAGTGGCTGAGATTTCAGATCTTTCCAAATTTTGGAATATCTGTATATACATAATGAGGTATCTTGGGAATGGGGTCCAAGTCTAAACATAAAATTCACTCATGTTTTTATATGCCTTAAAAATTGGCCAGGGGAGGTGGCTCACGCCTGTAATCCCAGCACTTTGGGAGGCCAAGGTGGGTGGATCAGCTGAGGTCAGGAGTTCGAGACCAGCCTGGCCAACATAGTGAAACCTTGTCTCTACTAAAAATACAAAAATTAGCCAGGCGTAGTGGTGTGCGCCTGTAATCCCTGCTACTTAGGAGGCTGAGGCAGGAGAATCACTTGAACCCGGGAGGCGGAGGCTGCAGTGAGCCACGATGGTGCCACTGCACTCCAGCCTGGGAGACAAAGTGAGACTCTGTTTCAAAAAAAAGGAGAAAGAAATTCCAGGGTAAACAGAAAATCAAACTAAAATTTGAGATTTAGAAAATAATGAAAATTAAAATATGTATCAAAATCAAAACATATAGAGAAAAATTCATACCTTAAATGTATGTTATTAAAGACTGAAAGGAAATAAACTAACCAGAGTTGAAAATATACTAACAAATTTTAAGAGAAAGATATCAGTAAAAAATAAATGATAAGACAGCATAAAATAGACTTTGACCAATAAACCAAGATTCTCTCTCTGAGAAGGTACAAGCCCAGAACCTTCAAGGTACTAAGTTCTTTAAACTTTCCACAGCAGAGGGAAAAATGGCGGGCTGCCAGTTTATTTTATTAAGCCTGACACCAAATAAAACACTGAAACCAAAATCTGACAAAAATAGCCCAGGAACAGAAAAAAAAAAATCACAGACCAACACCATTTCATTACTATTGTAAAAATACCAATGAATTAGTAAATCAATTCCTACCTGCATTAAAGGAAAAAAAAAAAATCTGAAAGTAAAGTAGGTTTTATTCCAGAAATCCATTATTGTGATTGATATGAAATATATTAATAAACTAAAGATCAAAATCTATATTAGATTCTCAAAAGATTCTCAAAAAGTACCTATTTAAAACAAGCTCTTGTGAAGAATTTAAGAAAAATACATGATCAAAAGTATGTATTTTTCAAACCAGAGCATTCCTGATATACCTAACATAACACTACAATAATTAAAACAACACGGTGGCAACTCAGGATCTAACAAATAGCTCAATGGAATTAAAGTCCTTAAAATATATATTTGGAGATGTAGAATTACTGGTTATGTTTTATATAAGTGGGCAAAGATGATCCATTCATTTGGTTAGTCATTTGGAAAGACAAGTTAAATCTCTAGCTCATTTATAAATCTCTACCTCATACCACATACATAAAAAGGTAGACATTTAAAATAATAAAGAAAAATTTTTATAATATTAGGACATAACAGACTCCCTAAATAAAACATAAAACTCAGAAACAATAATGGTAAAGATTTTCTGTCCTGTAACCAATCTCCCAGATACTGAAGGACAACTGTATTTTGAGACACAGAGAGAGAGACCATGTTTACATAACTTATATTACAATATATTGTTATAATTGTTCTATTTTATTGTTAGTTATAGTTGTTAATTTTTTACTGTGCCTAATTTGTAAATCAATTCTTATTTATAGGAAAAAAACATAGTATATAGAGGGTATATAGAGGGTTTAGCTATATTCGTGGTTTCATGCACCCACTGTGGGTCTTGGAATAATACCCACAGATTAGGAGAGACTACTGTAGACTTACATTATTTTTGTTATCAGAAAAATAAACATGGCATATGCTTTCAGTGACATCAGAGTAGAAACTACAGACAATCCTTCTAGCACTCACTTGTGGTCCTTGAAAATGTCCACCAGAAAATTTTGGTTAATGGCTGGAAATATCTTAAAGAGCTGCTTCTCCTTTAGTTTAGTGGCACAATCTTTTTCAAACATAAGGGTCTCCCTTTTCTAAAACAAAAACATAAAAATCATGTTCAAGATGAAATGTGTAATACTAGAAACACTGACCAAAGGCATGGTTAACTTGTTGCAAAACTACTGATGATTTAAAAGCAATCACAGACTTTCTTTACGGATTAAAGGCTGAAATTAGTAATACGAGTACTCTTGCACTATTTATTTATATCTCATTTTTTGCAAAGTATTTGAAGTTGCTTATAAATATACACACACACACACAATCACATGTATACATGTATGTGTGGGCATCTGTATGTAAATATATATACACATACTGTCACACATGCATATCCAACACATTGAATCATTAAAAGGATGAAGATATAGAGGCATATATATACATACACACACATAAACAGGATAAAAATAAATGAAGTCAGAGAAAATAAAGATAAAATATAAGCTAAGGCTAGCAGTATTAGTATATAAATGCATGCCACAAAATCCTGTACAATTGCTACAAGTAGGCCACAAATTTAGTTCTGAGACTCTTAGTGGCCAAAGCAAAGGGGAAAACAAAGATTCTCAGTGTCCATAAAATAAAAACAAACCAGTTGCTCAGAAGTACAGCTTTTTCTGGTACTGAGACCTGAGAGAAATTTCCCCATGGGTCCTCATAAAAGTGACACTGTGTGATGCTGTGAACATCGTCCTCAAAACATATTCTCCTCAATGGGCAGAAACTACAGTGTACAAACAAGCTGCAAATTCAGATTGACAGAAATCTTGGAATTCACAATTTTTTTTTTTCAGTTTTTCACAAATATATTTACTCCAAAATAACTGTATAAGAATTATATTATTACTCACATTTCATATTTGGATCTGCTCTAAACTGTCAGACAAAAAGAACTTTCCTAAAAATATGCTATTTTAATTCTAACCTAAGATGATAATAAATATTCTTAAACATTGTGATATAACAAAATAATTTTGTTTGCTACAAAAATGCTGATGTCTGAAAAATAACTTCCTATACAGTTTCAAAGGCAATAAAATGACTGAAAATTCCTAAATTTAAAAATTACAATAGCTGAGGTAGGAGGATTCCTTGAACCCAAGAGTTCAAGACCAACCTGGCAACACAGCAAGACCCTATCTCTACATAAAATTGTTTTTTAAAAGCTGGCCAGGTGTGATGGCAAGAGTCCCAGCTGAGGTGGGAGGATGGCTTGAGCCCAGGAGGTCAAGGCTAGAGTGAGCTCAGATGAAGTCACTGCACTCCAGGCTGGACAACAGAGTGATACCCTATATCAAAAATAAATAAACAAAATAATCTGGGAAAATGCTAGAATTGTTATTTATTTTAAAGCTTAACCATACTTAGGCCATTTATAACACCAAACAGCAATAAAAGAGGAACCACAAGAGGTAACAATATGACTAAAAAGGAGTGATAAAGCTGAACATACAACAAGAGTGATGGAAACAAGCTACCTGAAGAATTTAAAATATTTCTGGCTGGGTGCAGTGGCTCATGTCTATAATCCTAGCACTTTGGAAGGCCAAGGTGGGCAGATCGCTTGAGCCCAGGAGTTCGAGACCAGCCTGGGCAACATGGCAAAACCCCATCTATACTAAAAATATATTTTATTTTTGGCCAGGTGTGGTGATGTGCGCTTCTGGTCCCAGCTACTTGAGGGGCTGAGGTGACAGAATTGCTTGAGCCCAGGAGATTGCGCCACTGCACATTCCAGCATGGGCAACACAGTGAAACCCAGCCTCAAAAAAAAATAAATTAAAATATTTCACATTTTACTTAAGATATGCATGTAATCTAAACTTACTAAAAAATTCAATCATCAGATTTTCTACCAATCTATCGGGTCAAAGTTTCTAAACTATAAATTCTGAGGTTTCATCAATGAACTAAAACCTTGTAACCTTAATCATCTTAAAATTAATTATTCTATTCATATATTATGTCTAAAGTTATATTTTTTGCTTTAAAAAATATATACAAAGTATATTTCTCCTTTGGGGACAAAGAGTGAGGACAGCATCAGGAAATTATCTGGCTGAGTGCAGTGTCATTTACACTTACAATCCCAGCACTTTGAGAGGCCAAGGTAGAAGGACTGCTTGAAGCCAGGAGTTCGAGACCAGCCTGGGCAACACTGCAAGACCTCATCTCTATTCGAGAAAAAAAAGAAAGAAAAAAATTATCTTTCTCAGGCTGCATGTGAAGGTAAAGGTGGGTATCCTTGGGACAAAGCCAACCAGCTTCTATTATATTACCCAATCTACAGAAAAACAAGAAAAGGCCAGGTGTGGTAGCTCATACCTATAATCCTAGCACTTTGGGAGGCCGAGGCAGGTGAATTGCTTGAGCTCAGGAGTTTGAGACCAGCCTGGCCAACATGGTGAAACCCCATCTCTTCTAAAAATACAAAAATTAGCAGGGCGTGGTAGCAGACACCTGTAATTCCTGCTACTTGGGAGGCTGAGGCAGGAGAATCGCTTGAACCTGGGAAGTGGAGGTTGCAGTGAGCCGAGACTGTGCCACTGCACTCCAGCCTGGGCAACACAGCGAGACTCTGTCTCAAAAAAAACAAAACAAAACAAAATAAAAACTAGCAGGGCATCGTGACTCACACCTGTAGTCCCAGCTACTTGGGAGGCTGAAGTGGGAGGATGGCTTGAGCCCAAAAGGCAAAGGTGCAGTGAGCTGAGATGGTGCCACCGCACTCCAGCCTGTAACAAAGCCAGACTGTGTCTCAAAAAAAAGAAAAGAAAAAGAAAAACAAGCAAAAATCACTGATAGCAAAAAAAAGGAGTAAGTTGTGAAGTCAAAAGATGCTCATTTGTTCACCTATTACATCAAGATATTAAAGGGAGGGTAGAACTGTAAAGACAAGTTTTAATAGTGGAAAATGGCATTTCAATAGAAAGTATCACACCATTTAAGCCTAAGTGTTAGAGTTTCCTTATTTTATTTATTTATTTTTTTTTTAAAGAAAATCCATTGCTGGCTGGGTGCTGTGGCTCATGCCTGTAATCCCAACACTTTGGGAAGCCGAATCACTTGAGGTCAGGAGTTCAAGACCAGCCTGGCCAACATGGTGAAACCCTGTCTCTACTAAAATTACAAAAATTAGCTGGGTATGGTGGCGCATGCCTGTAATCCCAGCTACTTGGGAAGCTGAGGCAGGAGAATCACTCGAACCCAGGAGGTGGAGGTTGCAGTGTGCCAAGAACGCACCACTGCACTCCAGCCTGGGTGACAGAACGAGACTCAAAAAAAAAAAACAGAAAGAAGAAAGAAAATTCATTGCCTCAAATTAATACATATATTAATTGAAGAGGCTATTTGACAGGACACTAAAATTTTAAGATCTACTGAAGAGGTTATTCCTTGGATTGCGTTAGGATACAAAGATGGGAATGGCAGTATATTTCTAATTTAGTTAACCAAGATAAATTTAAAAAATAAATATGAAGGTAGAGCAATCCCTATGCCTTAACTGGATGTATTACAGCCAAATATAAAGGTGCTCCTTTGTGCAGTCAAACGAATAAGAAAGTGTTAAAATGTTTTAAGAACACCATCTAAGAATTATTCTTTTCCCTTGAGAATTAGACTAAATAACCTCTAAGATGTTTTCCCTTTTGACCTGGAATTCTTTAATACTAATTTTCAGAATTCCAGAAAAGAGTAAGACGAAATCCAAACGAAATCTACTGCAAGTATGGCTTCATATATTTAGATATTTTGAAATAAAGACCAAAAATAAAATTCAAAGTGAAGCTTCTATTTGAAAAGGAAGAGTAATTTTTTTAATTCAAACTCATAAGTTTCTAAAATTTTTCTCTAAAATATTTTGTTTTGGCCAGGAATGGCGGCTCACGCCTGTAATCCCAGCACTCTGGGAGGCCGAGGCAGGTGGATCACAAGGTCAGGAGATCAAGACCATCCTGGCTAACACGGTGAAACCCCGTCTCTACTAAAAAATACAAAAAATTAGCCGGGCGCGGTGGCAGGCACCTGTAGTTCCAGATACTCAGGAGGCTGAAGCAGGAGAATGGCATGAACCCGGGAGACGGAGCATGCAGCGAGCCAAGATCGCACCACTGCACTCCAGCCTGGGCGACAGAGCGAGACTCCATCTCAAAAAAATATATATATATATTTTCTCAGAGATAGACATCTTTAATAGTAAGATAGACATTTCTTATTACTAATATATATAATTATCTTTAAATAAGATTTCCTTCATGTTTTTATAGAAATAAAAAAATAGAGGTAAATATTAAAAGCTGAAAAAGATGCAGCTGGCTGGGCATGGTGGTTCATGTTGATAATCCCAGCACTTTGGGAAGCTGAGGCAGGAGGATCACTTGAGCCCAGGAGTGTAAGACCAGCTTGGGCAACATGGCAAGACCCCATCTCTACAAAAAATAAAAGTAGCCAGGCATGGTGGCACATGCCTGTGGTTCCACCTACTTGGGAGTCTAAGACAGGAGGCTCACTTAAACCCAGGAGGTTGAGGCTGCAGTGAGCCTTATTGTACCATTGCACTCCAGCCTGGGCAACAGAGCAAGACCCTGTTTCAAACAAATAAAATTAAAAAAAAGAAAAAAAGAAGAAGAAGATGCAGCCGGTCAGGCACAGTGGCTCATGCCTTTAATTCCAGCATTTTGGGAGGGCAAGGCAGGTGAATCACTGACCCCAGAACTCGAGACCAGCCTGGGCAACATGGCAAAACTGTCTCTATAATAAATTCAAAAATTCGTGGGCATGGTGGCTCATGCATGTAATCCCAGCACTTTAGGAGGCTAAGGCAGGTGGCTCACTTGAGGTCAGGAGTTTGAGACCAGCCTGGCCAACATGGTGAAACCCTGTCTCTACTAAAATTACTAAAAATTAGCCAGGCATGGTGGCACACATCTGTTGTCCCTGATTCTTGGGAGGCTGAGGCAGGAGAATCGTTTGAACCCGAAAGATGGAGGTTGCAGTGAGCCAAGATTACACCACTGTACTCCAGCCTGGGCAACAGAGCGAGACTCCATCTCCAAAAATAAAATAAAAATACCCAGGCATGGTAGTCCCTGTTACTCAGGAGGCTGAGGTGGGAGGATCACTTGAGCCCTGGAGGTCAAGGCTTCCATGAGCTGTGATCACGCCACTGTAGTCTAGTGTGGGCAACAGAGCCAAGACGATGTATCAAGAAAAAAAAAGGTAAAGAAAAAGAAAGATGCAGCTCAATCACCTATACAGTTAAATCTAAAACAACACAAACTTAACATGGATGGCTTATAGTTGAGTATTAACTAATTTCCCTGAAGCAAAAACCTCCAGCTTCAAATTATACTTAAAATATTTTTCAATTTTAACATTAAATTCAATCAGGTTAAATATGGATTCTAGACTAGAAAATACTTTGAAAAAATCACAAAGTAAACATACACAATAAACCAGAATCAGAGACAGTAGCTTAATATTTATATTAATTCATACCAAATTATGTTTTTCCTGTAAGGCAATTTCTTCTGACATTATTTCTCTGAGTGATACTTTTTTAGTTTGAGTATTCCAATGATCCAATAAAGGTAGCATTTCAGATGCTGTTAAAGTCTTCAGTAATTTTTTGCCTGTTCTCTGAGATGATTTTTGTTCAGGATTATCAAGCCCAGTATGTCCAACCAAGGAAGGATCTACAAAGTAGTATAAATACTGTCATACTCTCAACAATAAATGTATAAATTAAACATTATTCACTCTGTTATATTTACCTCAGAGACCAAGGAAACAGTTTTTTAATTTTCAGTTTGTAAATATAACACAACTCTGAAATTGTAAAATACATCTTCACGTCATCGCAAGTAAGAAATAGTATGTGTTAATGTAGCAATATTTTAAAAGAGTAATGATCTGTGTATAATTTTTTTTTTTTTTTTTTTTGAGACGGAGTCTTGCTCTGTCGCCCAGGCTGGAGTGCAATGGCGCAGTCTCGGCTCACTGCAACCTCCGCCTCCCAGGTTCAAGCAATTCTCCTGCCTCAGCCTCCGAAGTAGCTGGGATTACAGGCGCCCGCCACCATGCCTGGCTAGTTTTTGTATTTTTAGTAGAGACGGGGGTTTCACCATGTTGGCCAGGCTGGTCTTGAACTCCTGACCTCAGGTGATCCGCCCGCCTTGGCCTCCCAACGTGCTGGGATTACAGGCGTGAGCCACCGCACCCGGCCAGGCTGTGTATAATTTTAAACTGACTCAATGCTTCCCACTCTTTTTCATATCATATCAACCCAAAACATAGTGACATGTATACAGGACACTGGTAAATAGAGGAAGTTGTAGCCAGCTGGAAGTGAGCAACCATAACAGCTACAGTCTGCTCTGGCCACCCATTCTAAGGACCAAGAAGATCGATTACTTTGGCAAACCTGTAACTCAGTGAAGGCACACAATAAAGAGTGGGCAAATGATATTCAAAATAAGGAACTGAACATTCTAGGAAGTTCACAACAACAGAATTTAATGTGTAACATTTCAACTTCTCAGAGGAGTATCAACACATTCTGATACATTCCTCTGCTGTCCTAGAGAGTGAAGAAACAATAGACACTGGCATTTGCACACCATCCTTTGGGCACCTCTATCCCTACATCAGCTGTAGCTCTTGAGGCTATGACATGAGCACAGGTCTGGACCAAAGTGGATCCTAAGAATCTTCAAGGTGAAACTCCTTGCCTTGGTCCCAGTGTGGACTGGACAACAGAGGCATGTGGAGGAACTCAGGCACAAAAGGAGGATGCTTAATAACAGGTCTGCCACCCTGCAACAGTCACTGAAGACAACACTATCTAAGAGAAGTCATCTGGAATCAAATATTTTCAAGTTGGCAGGATGTACCAAAAAGCAGGCTGGGTTTTGTGGTCTAACAATACTGACATCAATAAAAACTTTGAATAACCAAGTAATATTTCAATGATGTTCTTGATCAAACACATGAACACTCTGTTGCTCTCAAACCAAAAGTTTTCTTTCATGCAGAGCAAAACCTCAACAGGAAATGCTTTGAGAGCATACCCTAGGTGTTCCACAGCACTCATGAAAGTTCAATATACATTATAGGGGCTTTTTCCCCCTTTAAGTTTTATTTTATTTCATATCAATAAAATATTAAATATTTTTAAAGAACTGGCTGGGCGCAGTGGCTCATGCCTGTAACCCCAGGACTTTGGGAGGCCAAGGTGGGCAGATCACCTGAGGTCAGGAGTTCAAGACCAGCCTGACCAATATGGTGAAACCCCGTCTCTACTAAAAATACAAAAATTAGCCAGGTGTGGTGGTGCGCACCTGTAGTCCCAGCTACTTGGGAGGCTGAGGCAGGAGAATTGCTTGAACCCAGGAGGCAGAGGTTGCAGTAAGGCAAAATGGCACCACTGCACTCTAGCCTGGGCGACAGAGCAAGACTCCATCTCTAAATAAAAAAATAAATAAATAAATAAATAAAACTTTTATTTGCAAATCAAAATTTGTGGGTACCGTATTTTGTGGAAGTAATTTAGAATGAGTTAAAATTCAAACACACACACCAAATTTCAACATTAAGACATTAGAAATAAAAACATGTGCTTTACCTTGCATAAACTTGCCACAAGACACCTCTTCTTGTCTTTGTCGCTCCTAAACACAAAAGCCAGGCAAGAGATTGGCAAACAGGGAGTGCATTAGTAAACAAGGATACAAGGTTATATTATTTTTCTCTAGAAATCATTTCTCCTTGTATAACTGTAAACCATTCTTACTCAATCTAAGTAAAACAATAAAGTTAGATAATAAAAATTATGAAGTATGACTACAGCTACATATTTTTTCCACTTCTAGAATGGTAAAAATACTGCATTTAAAAAAAAAAATTTCTTGTTATGAAGAATGGTCTGAAAAAAATTTTTAAATAAATTAAGAACTGTCTTTGAAATTTAACCAATCAGCATTGAAGTCTTTAATTCTGGGAGTGAAAAACTCACTGTTTATAATTATTTTCTTAAAAAAAAAACAGGTCAGGCACAGTGGCTCATGCCTATAATCCCAACACTTTGGGAGGCCAAGGCAGGAGGATCACTTAAAGCCAGGAATTCAAAACCAACCTGGGCAACATAGTGAGACCTTGCCTCTACAAAAAAAAAAAAATTACCTAGGTGTGGTGGCAGGCACCTGTATAGTCCTACCTACTCTGGAGGCTAAGGCAGGAGGATCATGTGCCCAGTAGTTCAAGGCTGCAGTGAGCTATGATTGTGCCACTGCACTCAACCAGGGCAACAGAGCTAGACACTGTCTCTAAAATAGAAAAAAGATATAAAAAAAATCAACAATTACAATGAGCTCCATCGCTAATTATATAATTTGGCTGTCTGGAAATACTTAAACTACTGAAAAGAGAGAAAAAAAAAGACAGTAATCTGTTAAATGGTACAAGTTCATTCTCTCTCAAAGTCAAAATTCAATAGAACTCTTCCATCTCAAAGCCAAAATTCAATAGAACTCCTTAATATTATGTGGTAGATTTCACTGAAATTCAAAGGTTCAAAATGGACAAAAAAGGAGCTCTTTATAAAAAGAAGCCTACCAACCATTACAGATTCTTTCCATTTCTCATGAATCACTTTCGCCAGATTCAGATCTATATGAACCACACAATCTTCAACTGTTAGAGACCCTTGTGGGGGAAGGGGGAGGGAAGAAAATGTAATCATTACTCATTATATATTTGCAGAAAACATACTAAACCACCTTATGCATCACAAAACTAACTTGTACTATTAATTCCTAACTTATGCTTCTATTTACTAAATCTTAGAGTATTTCTATTTATGTTATATGCTATGTTACTGTCTTCACACTTCTTGACTACTGCAGTTATACAAAGCTTCACAGTAAATCTAAGTTATTCCTTTCCATGAGTCTAAATATGTTTACTTTATTCATTTCTATTAGTCAAGACTTTTCAATAAATATGTTCTAAAAAATTAATCTTGTCTTAAATGTATCTGGAGTAGCACCAAAGGATTTTAAAAGGTTCATCCGTACAATTAAGTGTGAAGTAAATACCAGAGAAAACGTTCAAACTATGTATGGGATAAATACAAACTCCATATAAATATTCTCTATTTCTTCCTATTGTATTTTTTAAAGTCCTCCAGAAATGTGTCAAAAATAAGGCACTATGTGAAGTTAGGCAACATAAAATTACTTTTGCATTTCAGTTAACATAGAATATAATTTTACAATCAAAATAGAACTCTCTAGCCAGGTACGGTGGCACATGCCTATAATCCCAGCTACTCTGGAGGCTGAGGCAGGAGAATCACTTGAACCTGGGAGGCAGAGGTTGCAGTGAGCCAAGATTGAGGCACTGCACTCCAGCCTGGGCAACAGAGCGAGACTCCATCTCAGAAAAAAAAAAAATACAAAATAGAACCCTCTGTAGTCTAGTCACACAAAGACACACACATGGTCATTTACTTTTTCCTTACCTGAATCAATACCAACAGGACCAAATAATTCATTAAGTTGAAAAGCCAGTTCAGGGGGTAATGCCAATTCCAGACAGTCTATGGTCAGAGATTTGGCCATCGCTGGAGTGGGATTCAATATCTCGGTTTTATCTTCCCCACTAACTCCAGCTGATAAACTACTTCCTGCCATTAGAATTTCCTTCATTTCCTTCTCATCTTCATTCATAAATTCTTCTTCATCTGAAAATTTCACATAATCCTTTGGAAAATTTTCATTTCTCTTTATTTCAAGAGAATCAGTAAAATAAATTTCTTCATTTAATTCAAGATTTGAAGTACTAGATACAAAGTTAAAAATATCAGAGAAATGTGAAGGAGAATGTATGTTGTCTCCAGTCTCTGTGACTACTAGGTTTTTTTCTGTTTCACTCATATCTTTAGGAGTAGTAGCTTTTAGAATACCTGGAAAGGACTGCTTACTGCTATATAAAAGTTCTTCCTGGCTGTTAGGAAGTATGTCATTATTATTCTTTAGACCCACAGCAGCACTGGGAAATATACTTGTCATCGATTCATGGTTTTCAGGAGTGACAGCTCTCATTTCCGCCTGCTCTGAGTTTCCTCTTTCTGCATCACAAGTAGACTGTGAGTCAGCGTTACTAATACCAATCCCATGGCTAAACTCTGGCACAGGAGAATTAGAATTCTCTAAAGTTCCTCTTTGGCTAATAATTTCTTTCAAATTCAACCCCAGAGAAAAAGGCCCAATTTGTGATCCATCACACGATTTTTGGAAATTCTCAAACTCTGTATCCTCACATAACTTAGTTTCAGAATCCAACAAAAGGCTTGTGGCCCAAATAATATCTTTATTGCACCTCTCATATAAGTCTTTCAGGGCTTCTAATGAAAAGGATCCAAACAGTTTACAAAGAATGTTAAGATTTTCAGATTCATCTGCACTGGTAAGCTCACTTTCTTCAACAAACGTGCTTTTATCATACATTACTCTATATGGAATTGCTTCTTGAACGTCTGATTTTGTGTTAATATTGAAAACTTTCGGCTTAAATCCATCTAATCTTCCTGTTAATACTTTGATAGAATCTGAAATGCTAATTTTATTCTTTTCTATTTTCCATAAAAGAGCAAAATCCTGTGGTTCAGTCTGGGTGCACATGCCTACTTCTTTTCCAGGGTCTCTCTTAGGCATTTGCTCTTGACATTCAGCTAACGTTTGTGGTTCTACTACTCCAGAAACAGTTGGTGCACTATTGGTAAAAGTAAGAGGCAACGATGTGTGTTGCCCATGACTCTTTTTACTTAGACAAGTCTGACTCTCACAGGTCATTTCACTGAGCAGCATTTCAGAACTTCCTAGATTGGAGCTACCCAATGTCTTTAGTTTTTGAGAGCTTGTGCCCCAACAGGCCTCATGTGCTGTAGATAAGGATATTTCATTCATTTTGTCATTTGTTCCAATTTCTAGGTTGGGCTCACTTAAACCAGTCTTTGGCATTCTTGATCTGTGTTCCCTCTGAGCTAAAGAATCAGATGAAGGCCAGTCACCCATAATGTTGAATGAGTTTTTGTCAATATTTTTATAAGCATCATATTTATAGCTATTGAGTGGCTCTGAAGCATCATCACACTGTGACTTTCTGCCATCCTCTACACTTTCATGTGGAGATCCTCGTTGCTGGACACAATCTGTATTCACAGATACACTGTTAACTAATTTGTGTGACTGAGGGTAATTATACTTTTTGTCGCTTTGTACGGATGAAGTTTTTTCAGTTTTTCTGTTCCTTTTTGTCCTCTGACCAATAGTCTTATCAACTGGCCAGTCACCAACAAAATTTGATAGCTCATGTCTTGGGAACTTTTCCAAAGTCGATTTGCTTTTTTGTTTCCCAAAGGCTTTTTTCGTTACTGTTGCTCTTTCTTCCACTATTTCACCAGGTGAGGATTTTTCATTTTGAAGTGGTCCACTATTTGCAAGATCACAGTCTTCTTGATTATTTTCACTACAGCAAGTACTAGGTGATACTCTCTCCATAGAACTATCTGTGTCAGTTTTACTATACCCTTTTACAGCCACCATTTCTATTTGCTCGTTTTCACTTTTGTCTGTTGCCTGTAGTTTGCTTTCAGAGTCAGAAAAATACATGTGTGGAGTTTCCAGAATTAAAGCACTTTGAATGCTAGGATTCATATCACTTATTTCTTTTCTTCTTTTGTTTAAATCTGCATTAGAGAGATATGCAACATTCTCAGGTAACATTGTTTCTTTGGTTACATCAAGATTCTTCTCTTCAGTGAACTCTAGATGCTTCAAAGATAAAGATAAAATATTTTCTTCTTTTTCAGAGATAATATCTTCATCGTCTCTTGGGCTGTAAGATTATTTTAAAGAGTATCATGAGAAAGTCTCTTAATGCTGCCATCAATACTATGATTTAAAGAAGCATTAATTGACAGGGCACTTAACAGTTATTCTGAAAATTTTATAAATAAATTACATTAAAATTATAAAAGCTAATTCTGATCTTTCTCTAATACCCTATGAACACATTACATTGTTGTAACCCCATTACCTAGCATGATGCTTGGCATATATGAAGCACTCAAACTTTTTTTTTAATTGAATAGTACATATGAGATTTTCAGTTTAGGTGTTAATTATGCATTAAAGTTAAAGCTCTGAATTTGTTCCCAGGAGAGGACACCACTTTTCTAGCTTCTTTCTGACCTTAGTTTTACATAGCTAAGCATATGTAAAATAGGTCTGATACCGAGGAAGCTTCATTTACAAAGTCACAAAGGGCCAACCAACGCTATTTGCCCGATTAAGAGAAATTAGAAAAAAAGAGCTTTCATTTGAAATGTCATTTGGTAAGATTTTTTAAAGCCATACTTAATGTTAATTTCAGACTCAGAGCACTTGTGCAAATCATTATACTCTCAACTTTAGTTAATTTTTCTCGATTAAATTTGTCAATGCATTTCCTCTTTTTTTTAACTTCAGGAGTGCTCGAAGTCCCAACTCTCGCAGGATGCCTTCCTAAGTGAAATCATACCTAACGCTGAGTTTTCTATGTGTTAGATGATGCTACTTTAAGTCCCTTGCATGTACTAATTCATAATCCTTATAAGATTTTTATGAGCAGAGTGTTATTACTGGCATTTTAGAAATGAAGAGCTGAAGTACAGAAAGATTTGTAACTTGTCAGAGATGACAAAGCTTTGGGACTTTTTGAACCCAGGAAATATAGCTCAAGAGTCCATGCTCTTAACCACTTTGCAACACTGTTTCTCAATCAAAAAAGCATTTATAAATTTTCTCTTCCCCATTCCCAACTCCTTTTTAACAGAAGCTCTCTATCCCTTACCATCAAAACATATGGATAATTCAGACCTGTGGTTTCTTCTTTACTCTGTCTGTCAGTTAATGCTGTTTTTATTTATTCAATTGTTTATGTGTCTTCGTTGCTAAACAGAATCAGTGCTACCTTGGATTGCAAATTGTCAGAAGGCCATGACTTGTATTACTTGGTAAAAGTGTACTGTTAATAATTTTTATAACACTAGCTTGAAAGAGTATTTTCATTAAAACTTAAGGAAATTAAGAAGTGATTTGAGTGGATACAAAATAATAACAGCGAGAAGATAAGGGAAATACTGGATTAGCAGCGAGCGTCAAGTAAAACTGGCAGGAGAATTCATAGCATAATCACGGACTCACAAAACTCTGAGGACAATAAAAGAACTGTCATGTCATCTCTCATATGA
This sequence comes from Homo sapiens, assembly GCF_000001405.40. NCBI lineage: Eukaryota > Metazoa > Chordata > Mammalia > Primates > Hominidae > Homo > Homo sapiens. The sequence continues at coordinate 40,118,535 of NC_000004.12, read as the reverse complement.
ACTTGTACTTCTCTTGATAACTACATATATCCCACCCTAGGTAAGACTATAAGTAAATCCTTAAAAATAACAAAAGTCCACCTTATTTATTTATTTATTTTTTGAAATGGAGTTTTGCTCTTGTTGCCCAGGGTGGAATGCAATGGCGCAATCTCGGCTCACCGCAACCTCAGCTCACCGCAACCTCTGCCTCCAGGGTTCAAGCAATTCTCCTACCTCAGCCTCCCAAGCAGCTGAGATTGCAGGCATGCGCCACCAGCCAGGCTAATTTTGTACTTTTAGTGGAGACGGGTTTCTCCATGTTGGTCAGGCTGGTCTCGAACTCCTGACCTCAGGTGATCCACCTGCCTCGGCCTCCCAAACTGCTGGGATTACAGGTGTGAGCCACCACACCCAGCCAAGTCCACCTTATTTTTAAAGTTTATCAGCAATGATTCCACAAGCTCCAAAATTATACCTTTTAAAAATTATATTTCAAATTGAATTTTGTACATAAGGCATTTTAACCTACCTAGTGCTTCTATCCTCACAAGAATATGCACACAACTCAATACGTTCAATTTTCTCTGGAACCGAAGAACTCATAATTATTGGCACTGAAACAAAACGTTGATAATGTTCCAACATTCTTGTTATTTTTTCTTTGCTTACCCCATGAATGTTACGCCTGAAAATTCCAGGGGAAAAAAGGGTTGAAGGAATATTGATAATTAAGTTTTTAAAAATCAGAACATATGTCTAGGAAAACAATAATATATTTCTAATAGATACGAATATCAAAGCTGCTTTATTGTGACCACAATATATACAATTTGATTCTAATTTTCATTTTATTAAGGATTTCTTAAATTATACACTTAAGTTCAAACAAAGAAAAAAAATTCTAGTATTTGAAGTTTCTAGATGTTCAAATATGAAGTTAGTTGTTTGTGTTTTCACTCATAGTGCCTTTTTCAAAAATGTTTTTTATTATAAGCTCATATTTGGTTGAACTTAATATATGAGAATTCTGAGGCCTTCAACTCGGAGTACTTTCACACAGCATCTAGGTTTATACCTGCCAGGAGGCCAGATGTTATGCTTTAGCCCCTCAAAGGTTTGGTCTTAATGAAAACATCTCAATTGCAACTTTCCTGTCTTGGGTTGAATTCAAGGCTTTGTGACTGGATCCCAGGGATAATATATGCATTTGCCAGTTGGGCAAATCTGGCTTTCATATTTACCTACCTCGATCTTGTCTGGTTTCAGATCACAGAGAAGCAAAGAGATAGAAAATATGAAAGAGAGGTTAAGGGTCATAGGAGCCAGAGCCAAAAGTTCTAGTATACATCTAATCTAAGTCCCGGAAAGAGAAGAGAATGCATGGGACGGAAGCAATGTAAAGAAAAATGCTGAGAATTTTCCAGAACTGATGAAAAACACCAATCCCTTAATTTCAGAAGCCAACAAATGCCAAACAAGATAAAAAAATAAGAAATCCATAACTAGAAACATAGTACTGAAATTGTCATTCACCAAAGACAAAGAGATGATATTAAAAGCAACCAGAAATTTTAAAAAATCATTTTAAAACTAGTTATCTACAAAGAAACAATTAGAATGACAGCTGACTTAACAACAATAATAATGTAAGTCAGAAGGGAGTGAAGTGTTATCTTCAACAACAGAAAATAACTGTCAGTATAGAATATACATATCCAGCAAAAGTATCTTACAAGAATGAGGGCAATAAAAAGATCTGCAGATTTTAAAAAAAGAATTTGACACCAAGCAGACCCTTACTATAAAGAAAATTCTCAAAGATGAACATCAGGCAGAAGGCAATTCCCAGATGAAAGGTATATGATGCAAGAAAAAAATGAAGCAGAAAGCAATAACTAGATGAATAAGTGAAAATAAACACTACCTGTATATTCTGGACAATGAGAGCATGTAAATTGAGAGGGAGGCAAGTGTCAGAATTAAAATGTTTTAAAGTCTTCGTATGCGTGAGGAGGAAAGCCAAGAAAATGGTTTGACTTTAGATTTAAAGTCTGCACAATTTCCAAATTAGTAGAGAAGAAAAAAATTTAATACAAAAATTTGGAAACAATTTTAAAAATTTTAAATAAGGCATGATAGGAAAAAAATCCAACTACATCATTTTCTATAATAGAAGAACAATCACAGAAAAGGCGAGATAAACAAAAAGCACAGAATGAGACAAGATCAATTATATGAATAATTCTAAGAAACAAGATCAATTATATGAATAACCAAAATAACCATAAAAGAACTAAGTTTATCAGTTAAAAGTCAAGGTGGACAGAGTGGATTTCAAAAAATCCAGCCATCATGCTTACAAGAGATACATCGAACATAAAAATATTCAAAGTAAAAGTATGAAAAAAGAAGTAACAAATACTAACTAAAAGGAAGCTGATGTAGGTCTATCAATATTAGACAAATTACACTTTACAACAAAAATCACTACTAAAGACAAAAGAAAATCACTAGAAAATAATAAAAGGTTCAATTAATTAGGGTGATATAAAAATCTTAAGCTTGTATACATTTCAAAAACTACCCTCCAAATATGTAAAGCAAACATAGGCAGAATTATAAGGAGAAACCACAAGTTCAACATAATAAAGGGAGATTTCAACATTCATCTCTCAAATACAGGAGATATGAGTAACAATAAGCATGATTTAATGGATATATTAACACATTGTAATCATGTACATTCTTATCAAGCAAATATGAAATGTATAAAAAATCAACACTTAACTAGGCCAAAAAAATCTTATAAATGTCAGTGAATCATACAAACTACACAACCTGACCTACTGTAGTTAAGTTGAAAACCAATTTTTATAAAAGACAAAACACTCATCTGTTCAGAAATTTAAAAACACAGTACGACATAACCCAAGAGTTAAAGAATGAAATTAATCATAATGCAAACTAGAAAATAACTAAATAAGACAAAAATAAAGTATTATATATTAAAATTCTGAGAGCAGCTAAAATAATACATATGAAAATTTTATTTTATTGGGAGACAGAGTCTCGCTCTGTTGCCTAGGCTGGAGTGCAATGGCACAATCACAGTTCATCACAGCCTCGACCTCCCAGGCTACAGCAATCCTGCCACCTCAGCATCCGAGTACCTGGGACCACAGGCGAACGCCACCATACCCAGCTAATTTTTTTATTTTTTGTAGAGTCAGGGTCCCACTCTGTTGCCCAGACTAGTCTCAAACTCCTGGGCTCAAGAAATCCTCCTGCTTCAGCTTCCCAAAGTACTGGGATCACAGGCAGGAGCCACCACACCTGGCATACATAGGGAAATTTTAACATCAAATGTCATATTAGAAAATGACCTAAACCTTCAAGTAGAGAAGTTTAAAACACAAGAGAATAAAAAAAGCAAAATTGATTTTTGAAAGCAATAAAGGTAGAATAATGAGAAGCAGAAATTAATTAAACATTAGAAAACTTACGATGGAGTTCAAATAAAGCTGAGACTTGTTTATCTGAAAAGGCTAATCTGATCTCTGATGAGAATAACAAAGAAAAAAGAAGGAAGATAATATAAACATACTAAGATTGCAGGAGGGAACTTAACTGCTAACACAGTAGATGTGTAAATAGTAAGAGACTACTATAATTGCTTTAATAGTCTTAATAAATTTGGAAACGTTGCTATAACGGAAAAATTCCAACTAAACATTCTCACAAAGAAAACATCAGATCCAAAGAATTTTTAAAGTAAATTCTAACATTCAAACTTAGATAAACCTAGAAAAGAAGAAAAGAGGAGATACTTCCCAATTAATTTCATGATCCTAAAACTATGATATCCCTGTCAGGCAAGACAAGTCAAGGAATAAAAAAACTGTAGGTCAATCTCATTTATTTATAAAGATGCAAAAATCCTAAATGAAATATCAGAAAACCAAACTCAGTAATCTATCAAAAGGAAATGAAAAGGAAGTAGTGACACATGCTACAACATGGATGAGCCTTAAAAACATTAAGCTAAGTGAAAAGATGCCAGACACAAACAGCCACATATTGTATGTTCCATTTATATGCAGTATACGCAACAGGAAAACCCATAAATACAGAACACACATTAGTGGTTGCCAAGAGGAGGGGGGAACTAGAGTAACTGCTTGTAGGCATAGGGCTTCTTTGGAGGAAATGGAAAAGTTCTGAAATTACATAGGGGTGATGATCACACAACACTGTGAATATACTAAAATTAGGTTGTCCTTTAGTACTAAAGTTAGTTGAAATTGCCAAGAAAAAAAAAATAGCCTAACCAAAATGAAGTTAGGGCTATCTCTATGGAAGTATAGAACACAAAGCAAAACAAACTGTACATCCATGCCTTGACTAACATTTTTATTCAAGTCAAGCAACTCAATAAAGAAAAAAGTATAGCCATAGTGGGAGGCAGGCATGGAGTGAGATATCTGGACAGCTGGATATTTGCTACCTTTTCCATCTCTATATCCGTACTACCTTCCAGTGCTCTAAATCACTAAGCAGCTACGACAATTCGCCCCTCCCAGTAGCACATAGTTCAGGTGTGCCAAATCCTAGGGTCTGTTCTAGCTTTAGATATTAACATATGATTCAAAGTAATAAAGTACAGGCTGGGCATGGTGGCTCACACCTGTGGTCCCAGCACTTTGGGAGGCAGAGGCAGGAGGATCGCTTGAGGCCAGGAGTTCAAGACCAGCCTGGGTAACATGGCAAGACCCTGTCTCTATATTTAAATAAATAAACGAATAAATAAAACTCAAAAAAGGTAGTAAGATACTGAGTATATAATACAAGGGGAATTTTTACCGTAAATTAACTCAATTTTAGAAACACAAAGAAACTCTTCATAAAACTGGACAAAAAGCCGTAAGCAATAGAAATTAAGTTACAATCTAATCAATTCATTCATCATTTACAAGGGGAAAAATCTAAACGGACCTTGTCTGTCTGTCGTTACATAAAAAGCATGTTAGGTAGCCTCCAAGTTTTACCTTGCAAGTTCCTTTGGTTTAAACTTCCACCATGTGTCTGGTTCCCGAAAAAGGACTTTATATTTGTGTTTCTGAGACTACATACAACAAAGACAAAAACATTTTAAAATAGGTATTTCCAAGAAATTAAAATTATTGTTTCCAAATATATAGCATGTAAAACGTAAAGATTATCTAATCTTGATGAGTGTGTTAAAATGGCAAAATATACAATCACTTTAACCCAGCAATTAACTATTAGAAATTTAGCTACTGATAAATACTTATATAAGAGCATTTATTTATATAATACATACATTAGATATATGCCAGGATAGCCAGTTTTCCAGTATTTGTAACAGCAAAAGGATACAAATAACTACATGGCTATTAATATAGAACTGACTAAATAAGTGAAGGCATAACCACAAGATGAAAATACTACACAGTAATATTTAAATTCTACATGTGCTAATGACAGAATGTTCTTTAAAAAAATGTTAAGAAAGGAAGATAAAGAATTTTCGGCCGGACATGGTGGCTCACGCCTGTAATCCCAACACTTTGAGAGGCCGAGGTTGGTGGATTAACTGAGGTCAGGAGTTCAAGACCAGCCTGGCCACCATGGTGAAATCCTGTCTATACTAAAAATACAAACAATTAGCTGGGCGTGGTGGCGGGCACCTGTAATCCCAGTTTCTCAGTTTCTGAGGCAGGAGAATCGATTGAACCCAGGAGGCAGAGGTTGCAGTAAGCCGAGATCACGCCACTGCCCTCCAGCGTGGGCAACAAGAGCAAAACTCCATCTCAACAACAAAAAAAAAAAGGTGAGCAAAAAAGAGCAAGAAGGGCAAGAAGAGGATTAGGTATAGGTCAGGTAAAGGCAAAGGACTTAAACATTAAAAGAAATCTGGCAAATTCAGAGAAAATAGCTGAGTTTACAGAATGCTGAATTTCTCAGAACAGCAAAATTTCAAAAGAAATTTAGGGAAAAACAAAGGACCAACAAATTTTGATTCTGCCAAGTATGAGGAAAAGGAAATAAATATATATAACATAGGTACAAACAAAAAAATAAAATTATAATTTAGTACCACTACCTTTTCATAAAAGACCCCAAAAAACAAAACAATCTTAGAGTTCAAAAATTGAATTTCAGAATTTAAAACTTTAACTTTATGGAAAAACTCAGCTAAATGGCCTAATTTCCTCATTTTGCTGAACACCAATGAAAGCTCATTTACAGACTATCCAAGGTTCTGAGATTCTTAAGTGCTTCAGATTCACTTTCATAATTAATGTTCCCCAATAATTGCATACAAACTGTTATAAACTTATGACAACTTATGGTACTAACCAAAGCAACATATGGTTTCATTTCCCATGCCTGTAGGTTTGTATTATCTATAATTATAGGAGATATCTTCTTCTCAAATGCTTCTTTTGCTGAAAAACATAACATAATTAAAAATCATTTTTTAAACAATACTAAGTATTATGATTTTCAAAAAATCTGATCTTTTCATAATTTGAAAATCATGATGTGCTAATTTTACTCACTGCTCAACTTCTAAATATCCCTTTGAGGACATAAAAATTAAGTAAGTATGGGTTGGCTGGGCATGGTGGCTCATGCCCATAATCCCAGCACTTTGGGAAGCCAAAGCGGGCAGACCACTTGAGGCCAGGAGTTCAAGACCAGCCTGGCCAACATGGTGAAAGCCCATCTCTACTAAAAATACAAAAATTATTTGGGTGTGGTGGTGCCCACCTGTAGTCCCAGCTACTCAGGAGGCTGAGGTAAGAGAATCACTTGAAACCAGGAGGCAGATGTTGCAGTGAGCCAAGATCAGGCCACTGCACTCCAGCCTGGGCAACAGAGTAAGACTCTGCCTAAAAAATACAAAACAAGGCCGGGCGCGGTGGCTCATGCCTGTAATCCCAGCACTTTGGGAGGCCAAGTCAGGCGGATCATGAGGTCAGGAGTTCGAGACCAACCTGGCCAACATATTGAAACCCCGTCTCCACTAAAAATACAAAAATTAGCCAGGTGTGGTGGCACGCACCTGTAGTCCCAACTACTTGGGAGGCTGAGACAGCAGAATCACTTGAACCCGGTATGCGGAGGTTGCAGTGAGCTGAGACCACGCCATTGTACTCCAGCCTGGGTGACAGAGTAAGACTCCGTCTCAAAAAAACCCCACATATTAAGACTGTCAAGTAAGAGAGAAAGACCTTGAGTAGAAAAATTAAAATCAAACTATAGTCTTGAGTTTAGTTAATAATAATAAACCAATTTCTTAGTTTTGACAAATGTATCCTCGTTATATTAGATGTTAACATGAAGGATAAATGAGTGAAGGGTATACAGAAGCTTTCCATAGTATCTCTGCAACTTTTCCATATATCTAATATTCAAAAATAAAGTTTAAAAACAAACAACAAAAACAAATGGACAAATATACACACACACAATGTAATGATCTGAAATAAAGAAAACATTATAATACACCATTGCACAAGGGATTTTCTTACCTTTCTTCCAAAGGAATTAGACCATACAGGAAATTAATGATGTACCACAACAAGTAAGTCTTACAAGTAATTTATTTGGAAGTTTTCAAAGTTCTGCCCAGTCTCTAACAACTCACTAATGAAGAAACAAAGAACCAATTTAAAAATGGGCAAAGGAGGCTGGGCACGGTACCTCACACCTATGATCTCAGCACTTTGGGATACTGAGGCGGGCGGATCACCTGAGGTTAGGAGTTCGAGACCATCCTGGCCAACACAGTGAAACCCCGTCTCTACTAAAAATACAAAAATTAGCCGGGCGTAGTGGCTTGCACCTGTAATCCCAGCTACTCAGGAGGCTGAGGCACAAGAATCACTTGAACCCAGGAGGCGGAGGTTGCAATGAGCCAAGATCGTGCCACTGCACTCCAGTCTAAGTGACAGAGCAAATATGAATAGACATTTCTCCAGAGAAGATATACAAATGGCCAAAAAACACACAAAAAGATGTTCCACATCATTAGCCATCAGAGAAAAGCAAATTGAAACCACAGTGAGATACCACTTCACACCTACCAGAATAGGAATAATCAAAAAAACGGACAATAACAAGTGTTGGTGAGGATGTAGAAAAGTTGAAACCCTCATAAATTATTAGAGGAAACATAAAAAGGTATGATTGCTTTGGAAAACAGCATGGCAGTTCCTAAAAAGGTTAGACATAGACATGTGTGTTTGTTTATAGCAGCACTGTTCTTAATAGCCAAAAAGTGAAAACAACTCAAATGTCTATTAACTGATGAATAGATTAATAAAATGTGATATATCCACCCAGTGGAATCTTACTCATCCATATAAAGGAATGAAACACATGCTACAACATGGATGAAGCTTGAAAACATTATACTAAGTGAAAGAAGCCAATCACAAAAGTCCACATGTTGTAGGAAATGTCTGGAATAGGCAAATTATCTATAGGGACAAAACACAGACTGGAAAGAAATGAAGAGTGACTGCTAATAGGTACAGAATCTTTCTGAGATGATAAAAATGTTCTAAAATTTAGCGTGTTCTAAAAGTTGCAGCAAAGCCAAATTAAATAGAGTGTATTAACGAATGCACAGCCCTGAATATTAAGTTCTAAAAACTACTGAATTATACAATTTAAATGGATGATTTGTATGGCACATGAATTTTGTCTTAACAAAGCAGTTTTAAAATGAATTCCGCCTATTAACATATATTATTGTTGCTGTTATAAGGGCATGCTGAACCATGCTAACACTTTTTTTTTTTTTGAGACAGAGTCTTGCTCTGTCACCCAGGCTGGAGTGCAGTAGTGGGATCCTGACTCACTGAAACCTCCGCCTCCCAGGTTCAAGCAATTCTCCTGCCTCAGCCTCTCAAGTAGCTGGGACTATAGGTGTGCACCACCATGCCCGGTTAATTTTTGTATTTTTAGTAGAGATGGGGTAACGCCATGTTAGCCAGGGTGGTCTCAAACTCCTGACCTCAGGTGATCCATCTGCCTAAGCCTCCCAAAGTGCTGGAATTACAGGCATGAGCCACCGCGCCCAGCCAATGTTAACACTTTTCACCTTCATTTAACTTTCACAACAATCCTGGGAGTTAAGTATTATTATTCCCTTTTACAAAGGGGACACTGGGCCTTGGAAAGTATAAGTAAATTGCACAAGATCATATAGCTAGTAACTGGTGAATCCAAGGGTGATCTTCATCACCAAATCATACTGCCTCCTTTGGTTTTAGTTATGTTGGCATTTTCAGATTCCTGAATTCTTAATCTTTAGTTCAAAAAAGAATATATAAAAATTTAACAATGTCTGAAGATGGCAAACCCAAGAATCACCTTTACAGTACACTTATCATAAAAGACTGAGGGCCAGGTGTGGTGGCTCATGTCTGTAATCCCAGCACTTCGGGAGGCTGAGATAGGTGGATCACAAAGTTAAGAGATCGAGACCATCCTGGCCAACATGGTGAAACCCTGTCTCTACTAAAAATACAAAAACTAGCTGGGCATGGTGGCATATGCCTGTAGTCCCAGCTACTCAGGAGGCTGAGGCAGGAGAATCGCTTAAACCCGGGAGGCAGACATTGCAGTGAGCCAAGATCACGCCACCGCACTCCAGCCTGGCAACAGAGCAGGACTCTGTCTCCAAAAAAAAAAAAAACTGAGGAAAATACAGTCCCTATATCTTAACAAGATTCTCCATAGAAAATTCAAACTATGCAAATAAACATTTAATGATAAAACTATCTTCACTGAATAGACAGTTACACTAGCAAGGAAACTAAATTTTTACCTATGATGTCCCCACAGATTCAGTTTAGAGAGTCGTTTTTATTCTCACACTATCTTCCATAAAAAGTAAACCAATTGCCAGGCGTAGTGGCTCATGCCTGTAATCCCAGCACTTTGGGAGGCCGAGGCAGGTGAATCACAAGGTCAGGTGTTCAAGACCAGCCTGGCCAACATGGTGAAATCCCGTCTCTACTAAAAATACAAAAATTAGCCAGGCATGGTGGCACGTGCCTGTAATCCCAGCTACTCAGGGGGAGGCTGAGGCAGGAGAATCGCTTGAACCTGGGAGGCAGAGGTTGCACTGAGCCGAGATCACGCCACTGCGCTCCAGCCTGGGCAACAAAGCAAGACTTCGTCTCAAAAAAAAAAGAGTAAACCAATCTAAGGAAAACCAGTGGTTAACTGGTCAAATTCCATTTCTGGTGGTTCAAATTCCATTTTAGAAAGCAGTAACCAGGCTGGGCATGGTGGCTCAAACCTGTAATCCCAGGACTTTCAGAGGCCGAGTTAGGCAGACCACTTCAGGCCAGGAGTTTGAGACAAGCCTGGCCCTGGCCAATGTGGCAAAACCCCGTCGCTACTAAAAATACAAAAATTAGCCAGGCATGGTATCACACACCTATAGTCCCAACTACTCAGGCTGGGAGGCTGAGGATGAGAATCCCTTGAACGTGGGAGGCGGAGGTTGCAGTGAGCCGAGATCACACCACTGCACTGCAGCCAGGGCAACAGAGCGAGATACTGTGTCAAAAAAAAAAAAAAAGATACATAGGAAACAACTGCAATTTCCTTACAGCTATTCTGAGACCCAAGCAGAAAATTAGATTTACTTCTCAAAAGATCCCTACTGATAACTTAAATATGCCACACAATATTCTAAGTACCTTACAAAAATTAACTCTTTGAATCCTTATAACCACCCTATGAAATAAACTCACCTCTTACTATGTAACATAAGAATTAATGTTAATGACAGTTAAAATTTTATATATACTATACAGTTATAGGCCACGCACGGTGGCTCACACCTGTAATCTCAGCACTTTGGGAGGCCAAGGCAGGCGGACCACCTAAGGTCAGGAGTTCGAGACCAGCCTGGCCAACACGGGGAAACCCCGTCTCTATAAAAAATACAAAAATTAGCCAGGTGCGGTGGCATGCACCTGTAATCCCAGCTACTCAGGAAGCTGAGGCAGAAGAATCACTTGAACCCAGGAGGCAGAGGTTGCAGTGAACCCAGATTGCACCACTGTACTACAGCCTGGGCGCAAAGTGAGACTCCATCTCGAAAAAAAAAAAATACTAAGCCAATTTAACTGGGCGCAGTGGCTCACTTCTGCAAACTCAGCACTTTGGGAGGCTAAGAGAGGCAGATTGCTTGAGCCCAGGAGTTCAAGACCAGGCTGGACAACAAAAAATACAAAAATTAGCCAGGCATGGTGGCACATCTGTGGTCCCAGCTACTTGGGAGGCTAAGGTGGGAGGATCACCTGAACCCAGAAGTCAAGGCTGCAGTGAGCCAAGATCATGCCACTGCACTCTAGCCTGTGCAACACAGCGAGACCCTGTCTCAAAAAACAAAAACAAACACACAAACAAATACTAAGTGAATTTTTTCTTTGTATTACTCATAACGTTACCCAGAATCTGATTATCTGTTCTTACCACGATTCTGGTTCCATTCATGTGCTTCTCCTAAGTACTTTACATCAAACTGGTACTGTCCATTTATATAAAAATAATCATCAGTACTAAGAATGACTCCACTTGGATTATCCTCTTGCAAAGTCCTGTGAAAGATAAATGAAATAATTTTCATTACCTTTTCTTCTAAATTTTCTCTCCTAATTTTTCCAAAGTCATAAACAAAATAAATTATTCAAGTACTATCATTTTGTGGATCACTTGAGGCCAGGAGTTCAAGGCCAGCCTGGCCAACATGGTGAAATCCCATCTCTACTAAACATACAAAAATTAGCCAGGTACGGTGGCATGCGCCTATAGTCCCAGCTACTAGGGAGGCTGAGGCATGAGAATTGCTAGAACCCAGGAGGCAGAGGTTGCAGTGAGCTGAGATTGCGCCACCGTACTCCAGCCTGGGAGACAGAGCAAGACTGTATCTCAAAAAAATAAATAAATAAAATAAAAGAGTAAAAATCAGCCTCGGCAACATAGCAAGAACCCAACTATACAAAAAAGACAAAAATTAGGCAGGTGTGGTAGTGTGCACCTATAGTCCCAGCTGCTTGGGAAGCTAAGTTGAGAGGATCACTTGAACCCAGGGGGTTTAGGTTACAGTGAGCCAAGGTTGCACCACTGCACTGGAGTCAGAATAAGACCCTCTCTCAAAAAAGAAAAAAAATTAAACACAAAGAGATAAATAAAAGAACATATTGTAATATTCAAACAAATCATACTAAAAATACTCTAAGCAGAAGTTTAATTCCAAAAAAAATCTGACCTAAGGCAGGTCTATTTTGCTTTATGTAAATTAATATTCAGAAACTTGTTTTTAATGTTACAAAGACCTTTTATCCTTAACTATAAAATCTTTATAATGGTTAGAAGATTAACAAATTTTTAATTATCCTTTTCTGAAAATATATGTCCCTTTCTGTAGCATCTATTAAGTGCCAGGCACTGTTTTAAGCACTGAGCATACATCAATGAACAAAAAAAGACACAAAAGCTTGCACTCATGGAGCTTACATTCTAGTGAATGCTCATTTGATCCCAATTCCTGTTTATCCTCTTCTCTTTGTAGCTTTCCCTTCTCTGACACTTCCTTTTTTACCGTTAAACATGTATATATCTCAGCTATCTTTAAAAATTCTAACTAGGCTGGGTATGGTAGCTCATGCCTATAGTCCCAGCACTTTGGGAGGCTGAGGTGGGAAGACTGCTTGAGCCCAGGAGTTTGAGATGAGCCTGGGCAAGCTGGTAAGACTCTGTCTCTACAAAAAATTTAAAAATGAGCCGGGTGTGGTGGGCCCATGCCTGTAGTCGTAGCTACTCAGGAGGCCAAGGCAGGAGGATTGCTTGAACCCAGGAATTCAAGGCAACACTGAGCTATGAACGTGCCACTGCACTCCAGCCTGGGTGACAAAGCAAGACCCTGTCTCTTAAAAAAAAAAAAAAAAAGTTTGAGACCAGCCTGGCCAACATGGTGAAACCCTGTCTCTACTAAAAATATAAAAATTAGCTGGGGGTGGCAGCAGATACCTGTAATCCCAGCTACTCAGGAGACCGAGGCTGGAGAATCTCATAAACCTGGGGAGGTGGAGGTTGCAGTAAGCTGAGATCACACCACTGCACAACAGCCTGGGTGACAGAGTCAGACTCTGTCAAAAAAAAAAAAAAAAAATTGTAACTACACTTTGGGACCCCTTTCAACTACTACCCAACTTCTCTCCTTCCTTTAACTCCATCATCAGAGCTTGTTAAACCCTTTTGTCCTCACAGGACAACAAAATTGTTTCTCAGATATCCATTTATGACCTTCTTTCCAATAAATTCAAAAGGCTTTTTCCACTCATCGTTTTCCTTTGGTTTGAATACTAGACCATTCTCTTCAAGACAACGCAGGATTGTTGGGCGTGGTGGCTCACGCCTGTAATCCCAGCACTTTGGGAGGCCGAGGCGGGCGGATCACAAGGTCAGGAGATCAAGACCATCCCGGCTAACACGGTGAAACCCCATCTCTACTAAAAATACAAAAAATTAACCAGGCGCGGTGGCAGTGGCTGTAGTCCCGCTACTCCGGAGGCCGAGGCAGGAGAATGGCGTGAACCTGGGAGGCGGAGCTTGCAGTGAGCCGAGATCGCACCACTGCACTCTAGCCTGGGCGACAGAGCAAGACTCTGTCTCCAAAAAAAAAAAAAAGACAACGCAGGTTCTATGTCTCAACACTCTTCCTGTTATTTCTCTCTCTTCATTCAAAAAATATTAAGTTTCTACCTTGTGAAAAGCACATTTTTCTTTACCCACACTGTAGCTGCCTCTGATTCTAAAGGCCCCTGAAACCTATTCTTCAAACTTGTCTCACAGCTCAACTGCCTTCTAAGGTACCACCTTTCAGTCCAATCTCTTTCATGAAACACACTGCCATGACTGACAGTAACATCTATAATATTAAATTGTTTTATGTTGTTGTTGTTATTAAGTCAGTTAGAAAAGCCTACATGTCTACTGAAAAATATGCTTATAAGTGTATCAGCAGAATATGTGGAAATTTACTAGCAGAGAAACCCAGACACAGAAAAGATATCAAAAAAAAAAAACTAAAAATAAGTTTATGAAGGACATTCTCCAGTTATCTATGCATATTCATTAAGACTAGACTAGATACACCCAGGATCAAATAGAGACCCAACTGATAATGTTAGAAGGCTAATGGTTAAAATTTGGAAAAAGGAAAAAAAAAAAAAAAGAACTAGCAAGCCAGGCGCGGTGGCTCACGCCTGTAATCCCAGCACTTTGGGAGGCCGGGGCGGGTGGATCACGAGGTCAGGAAATCGAGACCATCCTGGCTAACACGGTGAAACCCCGTCTCTACTAAAAATACAAAAAAGTAGCTGGGCGTGGTGGTGGGCGCCTGTAGTCCCAGCTGCTCGGGAGGCTGAGGCAGGAATGGCATGAACCTGGGAGGCGGAGCTTGCAGTGAGCCGAGATCGCGCCACTGCACTCCAGCCTGGGCAACAGAGCAAGACTCCGTCTCAAAAAAAAAAGAACTAGCATATAAAATAGATTAGGTGAAATCTTCTGGAATTTAAAGGTTAAGCAGGGATAGAGAGGGACTATGAAAACAATACTCTTCAAGGAGTGCCACTGAAACCATTACAAAGCTGCCTCTAACACTGACTCCTGTCTCCCAGATTAAGGCACTCACAGCCTACCTTAACTACAGAAGGGATAAAGGTGTATATATGAGATCAAATAACTGATGGTACTCTATTTTGGAACAGAAAAGTCCCTGAAAACTTGAAGTTCTCTGACTACCAGTTGTCATCCTATACTCTCTTCCTTCAAATCACACATTTCTAAAAGCATTATTTAACAACACTCTATAATCCTGAATTTCCAACTACCAGTAAAATTAATGTATTTAAGTCTTCCATTCCATGAAATCAAGATCAATTATATCTCTTTAACTCTGTGATCAAAGCTGAACTCATCTTTCTCCCACTCAAATTAGCTCTCTTCTACTACTACATCAATAGCTCACAATTTTGAAATTGTCTTTAATTTTTTCTTCTGTCTTTCAAAGAGATATTCCAAGATGAACGGTTTCAATAAACTTCCACAGAAAACAGTGTTATTAGCTACACAAAGTTAGGAAACCTTAGTAAAAAGAAAACATTTTAGGGGTTACTAAAGATCTCTACTAAGCAAAGCATTTTGCCTATTTATTCATACTTGTGTTCAAATTCAGACATTATACTATTTTTTAAAAACCCAATCAAACCTCATACCTTGCCAAAAAAGATTTTCCAGATCCCGGAAGACCTCTGAGAAGAACAAGAACTAGTCCAACGTAAGATGTCTTCTTTCTTACAACCTGAGAAACTGGGGTTTCTTGTACTTGATAAGCACTTGTTCCATCTTTATTTCTCCATACTTTTGTTGGGGAAGTGTGAGAAATAACTGAGGGTGGAAATGTGTAGTTGACAGATCTCCAGTGTGCAGCTGTGGTTACAACAGGAGCTACAAAGCCATGGTTTCCTTGGAAGAGGTCAAAAGCAGGAATCATTGGATTCCACATCGGTGGAGGTGGCGGAGGAGGCAACAGCAATGGGAGAGGAGCAAGTACCGGGCAGTAACTCACATCCTTCCCCTTAGTTGGCAGTTCAGGATGTTTGTGTGGCTTGAAGTTGAACCCTTCGGAAGGTAGAAACACATCAGAGACCCGAGTAGATTTCTGATCCCCACCTGTACCTGGTAAATCAAGCCCTGGAAGGTTTAAACAAGCCTGAGGTTCACTGGCATCCAAATCTACAGGAGCTTCAGAGAATTGAGCCTCAACGCACTCAGATTCTAAAAGTTCTTTCTGTTTTTGATTGAGACTGCTACAACCTGCGATGGAGTCACTTGCTACATTTAAAGAACTACTGAGAAGAGAATCTTCCGGGTAGTTACTTTCCAAAGCCAATGTGTTATCCTTTATAAAACACTTGGACTCGTTCAAAACTGAATGTGAAGGTAATGGGTTTAAACTTAAAGTAGAACCAGAATTCTCTAAATTTTCACCGTTCAAATTCATATTTTGTGTAGAAAAAATGGGAGTCATATTACTTGAATCAGGATTTATAAACTCACTTGAGTCATTAAAACTATTAACATCTTGTGAAGGCAAAAATGAGTATACTTGGTCATCAGGAGAAGAGTTCAATTTCTCAAAAGCATTCTGTATTAAGGAATCCAGGTCTTCAGTTAGCTGCATGTCCAAAAATGAATCCATTTTTGAATCTTCACTCTCTTCTTCAGGACGTTTTTCCATTATTTTACTTTCTGCTGCACCTACTTGGTTCTCAGAAGCAACGAAACTTTGTGAAGATGATTCTTCTATCTTGGTATCAGTGGCAGATAATTCTAATAGACAATCCATAGCATTTTCAACTGTACAACAACAAGAATAATAACAACAACAAAAATATAGACAGAGAAAACAGATTTAATAATTTTATTAAAATCCAGCTAAAATTATATTGGATTTTGCATTGAACAGAATATAAATGTACAATATTCATGTTATTTTTAAAAAATTAATATTTTATTAACATACCAAAGTCTGTAGTAGCAAAAAGTCTGAATGATGGAGACATGCAATCCTATTCTTTCAGGAAAACAGTAATAAACCAAGCTAATAAACTATCATCAAATAAATATTATTTGCTGAATTGAGTAAATACATAAATATCTGTAATTGGACATATTAGGCTTATTTATAAAAGTCCTAAAGCCTGTTGTTTAACAAATACTTACCTATTGCATGCAAACTTTTAAATATTAAGTATTTTATGTATTCTCTTAGTAAATCTAACTTATTTACATGATCCACGCTATGAATTTCACTTACTACAAAGAATATTTGAGCATGTACTGCATATCAGAAATATTTTGTAAAAAAAAATCTTTAATATGCTCAAAGAACTTTGCAATCTAATAGAGATTTAAAACAATTATATTAGAGACAATTACACTGTAATATAATACAGATTAAATAATGCACACTTTTTGGCGTGGTTGCTCATGCCTGTAATCCCAGCACTTTGGGAGGCTGAGGCGGGTGGATCACCTGAGGTCAGGAGTTAGAGACCAGCCTAGCCAACGTGGCGAAACCCCATCTCTACTAAAAATATAAAAATTAGCTGGGCATAGTGGCGGCGCATGCCTGTAATCCCAGCTACTCAGGAGCCTGAGGTGGGAGAATCTCTTGAACCCGGGAGGCAGAGGTGGTAGTGAGCAGAGATCGCGCCACTGCACTCCAGCCTTGGTGACAGAGCGAGACTCCCTCTCAACAATAAATAAATAAATAAATAATGCACACTTTTGATAATGTACAAATGCCATAGAAGCACAAAGGAGAATAAGAAAAGATCTCACATAAGGTGATATGTGAACTGGGACTTGAAGATTAAAAAGTAACTTGCCAGACACAAGAGAAAAAAGGGTAAACCCAGGCTTGGCTCTCCCTAGAAGGAGGTCGATTGGGTGAAATTGGGAGGAGTCCTGTATGTCATGTTAAGAAATATTAATTTTATTTTCGAAGGGAACTTGAAGGAAACTACCAGTCATAGCATTTGAGCTAGAAGTTTTATACACATCACCTCACTGAATCCTCAAATACTACCATGAGGTATATTATTCCTAGCAAACAGATGAAGAAATGAAGTTAAAAAGTACATTAACTTGACCCAAGTCACACAGATAGTCAGTGACAGAGCCAGGACTGGTATATCTGACTCCAATGCTGAGCTCGTTCTGTTATAACACAAATAGGGAGCCATTAGAAATTTTAAGGCCAGGTGTGGCAGCTCATGCCTATAATCCTAACATTTTGGGAGGCTGAGGCAGGTAGATCGCTTGAGCCCAGGAGTTCGAGACCAGCCTGGGCAACATGGAAAAACCCTGTCTCTACAAAAATTAACCAGTGTGGTAGCATGTGCGTATAGTACCAGCCACATAGGAGGCTGAGGTAGGAGAATCACTTCAGCCCATGAGGTCGAGGCTACAGTGAGCCTCTAGTGAAAGTGATTACTGCGCTCCAGCCTGGGCGACTGAGTGAGGCCCTATCTCAAAAAAAAAAGGAAACCAAAAAAAAAAACAAAATAAGAATTTTT
The DNA here is from genome assembly GCF_000001405.40 of Homo sapiens. Taxonomy (NCBI): domain Eukaryota; kingdom Metazoa; phylum Chordata; class Mammalia; order Primates; family Hominidae; genus Homo; species Homo sapiens. The sequence goes on along the minus strand of NC_000004.12, from coordinate 40,100,350 downwards.
AAGCATCTGAAGTTTGGAGGGAGGGGTTGTTTATTTTGTGTTTTGTCTTGCTGTTTTAAGAAAGATAAGTCTGGAAACAGCACAGCAGAGTAGGTAACAGCTCTGGTCTGGAGTCAGAACACCAACATTTAAATCTCTACTGCTGGCTATGACACTTTCAACAAGTTAACTTTCCTAAACCTCGATTTTCTCATTTGTAATATGGGGATAATAAAAGCACCTACCTCATAGGTTGCTGTGAGGATTAAATGAGATAATCCATGAAAAAGTGCTGTGCACAAGAACTGGCACCTAGTAAGCACCCAATTAAGTTCCCTTAAGAAGAAAAACAAAGAGGGATTGGAGGGGGCAAGCCTGGCAGAGACCAATTAGGAGATCATAGCAATACTACAAAGGACAGAAAACCTAAAAATGGAAGAAAAAAAAAGGTGGCGGGGGTGGGCAGGGACGGGGGAAAAAAAAGAAAGCAAACGTAAGGAGTATTTCTATGAAAAAAATCTACATGACAGTAAAACCAGAAAAGATCAACTAAAAACTTAATGTCTATACAATGAAAAATTACACTAAGTAAATTAAAGATCAAAATGGATAGGTACTTATCACATTAAAAAAAGTCCTTATACAGATTGCTGGGAAAAATTAAAACCATGGTATAAAAAAATTTTTTTTCAATGAATGAACAATTTACACAAGAATACAAGAATAAACAAACATGTACAAAAATGTTCAACATTCCTCTTTATTAAAAAAACACAAATTAGGAAAAATGCAATTTTATTCCTATTAAAATCTTAAAACATGGGCCGGGTGCAGTGGCTCACGCCTGTAATCCTAGCATTTTGGGAGGCTGAGGCGTGTGGATCACCTGAGGTCAGGAGTTCGAGACCAGCCTGGCCAACATGATGAAACCCCATTCTCTACTAAAAATACAAAAAAAAAAATTAGCCAGGCACAGTGGCGGACGCCTGTAATCCCAGCTACTTCAGAGCCTGAGGCAGGAGAATCACTTTAACTCGGGAGGCTGAGGTTGCCATGAGCCAAGATGGCGCCACTGCACTCCGGCCTGGGCAGCAAGAGCGAAACTCCGTCTCAAAAAACAAAAAATCTTAAAACACTACCACACAATGTTGAAAAGGCTGAAGTGAAACCACTACACTTATGCAAGCCTGGTGGAATTACAAGTCAGCACACCTCATTGGTAGGCAATTCAGCAGTATGCTTCCAAGAGCCAAAGCAGTTCTTACCCTGTGACGCAAGAAAATAAGATTTTGGAACTAAGAAAAAAAAGCCAAAAGAAAGAAAAAAATATTTTTACCAAGATGTTCTCTGCAATATTAATTATTCACGAAAAACGTAGATATAATTAAATAAACTACAGCACAACTCAGTAGATTAGAAACCCATTAAAAATACAGATTACAGCAACATAGACAAATGCTTATGTTAAGTTAAAAACGCATAATAACAAAATTCCACCACTCAAATCTCAAATGCTTATGAACAAGGTCTATAGAAGATTCTGGAAAACAAAAAAGTTTTTTTGTTATGGTATAGGATGATGTGGATTTCTTGTAATTCCTCATTGCTGTATTAGTTTATATGCAACAATTACATTTTAAACATATCAAAATTAGGAAATGTCAAAGTAACTTACAAAACTCAATATACTGTCATTTCTGAGCATCATGCACTGCTGACAACTGGTTTTCTACATGCATAACTGGACAAGATATGCTCGCAGACCACACGATGACTGAAACTGGAAGTTTATAACACATTACCAAAACTTCCCAAATCCAGAATAATTTTACCTTATACTAATCATGGCTAGTAACAATACTAAGCATCAACATTTAATTTACTCATCTAGCCAACTTATATAAACTCCCTTCTGTCTACATACTTCTAAACAATGTATGACAAGTTATTAATAACCTACCATACTGAAGACTTTACCAAAAACAAAAAACTAAAACTCAATCCTCACCAAAAAAAAGTCCTATGAAGCACATACTGTTATATTTCTACCTAACAGATTAGAAAACTGAGACTCAGGGAGATTAAGTGGCAGAGCTGGAAATCCAACCCACGTTTCTTGACTCCAAAGTCAATGTTTTGAAATTATACTATTCTGCTAGCCTCAACTCTTAATCAGCTCTTATTTGCATAATTATAATTACCTAGTTGCTTAATAGATATTTACTTAGCTCCTATTATGAGTCAGTTGCTATGTTACGGGCTGAAGATACAGGAGTAAAACAAAGTTTTTAAAAACTCTGTCTTTATGGAGCTTACATTCTAGGAGAGTGGTTCTCAACGAGGTACAATTTTGCCTCCCAGGGGACAAATGACAATACATGGAGACATTTTTTATTGTCACAACTGGGTGGTAAGGAGCTATTGGCATCTAGCGTGTACAGGCCAGGGACGCTGCTAAACCTACAATGCATAGGAGAGCCACTCAAAATAAAGGATTATGTAGCCTGAAGTGTCAACAGTGCCAGTCTGTTCTAGAGTGAAGATGAAAGAGACAGAATATGCTATCTATACAAATACCTTACACCTAGAACTGCACATTTCTCAAGAGCAGAAAATATGTTTTATTCTTCATATCCCAAATACCAACTCAAATACCAACCTTAGTAACTTGCCAACAGCAGATGATTAATAAATTATGAATAAAATAGAAACAAGACATTTTTCTATATTACTATTAATCATGGCATAGTACACAAAGTCTTCTTATAAGATGGACAGGGTTCAAACTAAACTTTTTCTCACCTTTGAAATCACATTCAGAAAGCATCAAATACACTACATCAGGATCCAGATCAGAAAATATCTCTGAGATACTGGTGAAGAGTTCTTCCTGATCAACTTTTGTCTCACCCATGGAAGGTAGAGTAGTGGTTGGCTCCTCACGACTAGCAACACTGGATACGACAACTTCCTTAGGGTTTGCAGTCTTCCGAAAAGGATTTCCCCCAAGATTTTTCCTTCTCCTTGGCATTCTGACTTCCAAAACTAAAATGTTTCCCTTTTCTTAGTTAAGATGTTTGACATTTAAGTCATAATTCAAACAAAATAGGGTTAAATATCTTGCACAATCCAGCAGTAAAAAGACCTAAAATAGAAAGCAATTAAAAACACTCAGACTATATATATTTCCATTTCTAAAATCGGAATGACATCTTTATTTAGCTCTAAGAAAGTACCACCAACTCTAACAGCAGAGCTAAAAAGTAGTCAATTTCTCTCTCTTCAAAATATGCAGGTTTTGCCAGGATTGAACATGTTAAAAATTAAGATGTTAACAATATGTATTTCAGAACAATGAATACACTATTTCAATACATTTTTTCATTTTTAAAAACACGAAAGTCTTCATAAATATAATTAGAATGCGTACTGAACACCTATACTCAGATGTCCAATAGGCATTATAAATTTAACATGTCCAAAACAGCTCCTCATCACCCCCTTCAAACCTGCTTTTCCCAGTCTTTCCCATCTCAGTGCAACTATATCCTTCCAATGACTTGGGCCAAAATCTTGGAATAATCCTTGACTCCTCTCATCCCACATCCAACTGGTAAGCCAATTTTGTCAGTGCGACTCTCAAAACATATCCAGAATACTATCATTCCTCACTGCCACCACCCTAGACTTAGCTACCACAGCCTCTTGCCTGAATTACTATAAGTCTCCTATCTCTTGGTTTCCACCCTTGCCGCTTCAGTCTATTTAGCACCAAAGCCAGCGTGACTCAATTAAACCACATGGTGGATCATGCCTTTCTTCTACTAAACTATCCACTAGCTCCCTAACTCAGGACAAAAGCCAGAGCCCTTAAAATGGCCCATAACCTGGACACTGGTTACCTCTGTACTGTCCTTTCCCTTAGCCACACTTAAGTCTCCTCACTCTTCTTCAAACACACCAGCAATGTTCTCCCCTGGGAACCTTTACACCTTGGTTCCCTCTACTGAACCACTTTTCTCCAAGTATCTCCTTATCACCTTCTTATCATTATTCAAATGTTACCTTCTCAGGACCTCAGAGCCCCAACACCATTTATCCCACTTTCCTACTTGAATTTTCTCCATAGGACTTATTGTTTTCTTACATAGCATATGTTTTACATACGTATTGTATTTACCACCCATATTCCAATAAAGTGTAAGCTCCACAAGGGCAGGGACTCATACCTGGAATAGAACTACAGGCAGTCTACTTGTTTTCTCTGCTTGAATATATCTAATAAACATTTCAAACTTAACATATCCAAAACTAAATGTCTAATATATTTCCCAAAATCTGCTCTAATCATTGGGTCTGACACCTGTCATCTTTCAACCATATTCCAACCTCCTACCTGTTCTCCCTGTTTGCAACTTTGTCCCCCTATAGTCTATTTTCAATATACCAGCCAGACTGAGCTTTATACGATGTAAAAAGGGTCTGATCTAAACCCCTATATGTTCTCCATATCACTCAGAGAAAAAACTAAAGTTCTTACAATGACGTATCTCTCTGCTAGCCCTTGATATACTCTTCCTCAAGATATCTGCACGGCTAACTCCTGTACTCCTTCAAATTTTTGTTCAAGTGTCACATTCAATGATTTCTCTATTGATTATCCAACTGAAAATCATATACCCTGCTCCCTCTGCCCCAATCTCCCCTTTCCTGCTAACTATCCATTGCCCTTATCATCTTCTATTGTGTTATAAAATTTACCTTTTAATTAAATTTGTATCATAGCTCTCTCCACCTTCCAGAACTGCATTGTCAATATGGCAGCCACCAGCCATATGTTCCTATTTAAATTTAAATTAATTACAATTAAATAAAAGTACATTTATATATTAATATCAGACATAAGCAGAATTCAGAGCAAAGAAAATTATCACAGACAAAGAAAGGCACTGTGTAATGATAAAGGATCAGGCCATCAAAAAGATATAGCGGGCTGGGCGTTATGGCTCACGCCTGTAATCCCAGCACTTTGGGAGGCCAAGGTGGGTGGATCACCTGAGGTCAGGAGTTTGAGACGGGCCTGGCCAACAATGGTGAAATTCTGTCTCTACTAAAATACAAAAATTAGCCAGGCGTGGTGGCATGGGCCTGTAATCCCAGCTACTCAGGAGGCTGAAGCAGAATTGCTTGAACCTGGGAGGCAGAGGTTGCAGTGAGCCAAGATAGCGCCATTACACTCCAGCCTGGGCAACAAGAGCAAAACTCCATCTCAAAAAAAAAAAGATATAGTAACCCTGGCCAGACTCAGGGGCTCGCGACTGTAATCCCAGCACGTTGGACAATGGGCAGGAGGATCACTTAAGGTGAGGAGTTTGAGACCAACCTGGCCAAAATGGCAAAATTCTGTCTCTACTAAAAATACAAAAAGAACTAACCTGTAGTCCCGGCTACTCGAGAGGCTAAGGCAGGAGAATCGCTTGAACCCAGGAGACAGAGGTGCAGTGAGCCAAGATCACGCCACTGCACTCGCGGTGGCTCACACCTGTAATCCCAGCGTTTTGGGAGGTCGAGGTGGGCAGATCACCTAAAGTCAGGAGTTTGAGACCAGCCTGACCAACATGGAGAAACCCCATCTCCACTAAAAATACAAAATTAGCCAGGCAAGATGGTGCATGCCTGTAATCCCAGCTACTCGAGAGGCTAAGGCAGAATTGCTTGAACCCATGAGGCAGAGGTTGCATTGAGCTGAGATCACACCATTGCACTCCAGCCTGGGCAACAAGAGCGAAACTCCATCTCAAAAATAAATAAATAAATAAAAATAAAAAAGATATAGCAACCCTAAATGTATATGCACTAAAAAGAGCTACAAAATAAGTGAAGCTAAAACTGAAAGGAGAAATAGACAAATTCACAATTATAGGTGGAGACTTCAACACCACTCTATCAACAACAGACAGAATAAACTAGACAGTAAATCAGCAAATATATAGAACTCAACAACACCAATAATTAAGGATCTAATCAACACTTACAGAACACTCCACCCAACAACAGCAAAATACACACTCTTTTCAAGTATTAACAGAACACATACCAAGATAGATCATATCCTAAGCTAAAACCAAACCACAACAAATTTAAAACAATTGATATCACACAGGTATGTTTTCCAACCACAATGGAATCAAACTAGAAATCAGTAACATAAAAATTTCCAAGCAATATACATCTAAATAATCCATGGGTCAATGATGAAGTCTCGAAAAAATTTTTAAAATATAATAAATTGAATGCCAATGAAAATATACCATATCAAAATTTGTAGGCCAGGTGTGGTGGCTCACGCCTACCTGGATTGTAATCCCAGCACCCTGGGAGGCTGAGGTGGGCAGACCACTCTGAGCTCAGGAGATCAAGACCATCCTGGGCAATATGGTAAAACCCCATCTCTACTAAAAGTACAAAAATTAGCTGGGCGCGGTGGCTCACACCTGTAATTGCAGCACTTTGGGAGGCCGAGGTGGGTGGATCGCCTGAGGTCAGGAGTTCAAGACCAGCCTGGCCAACATGGTGAAACCCCGTCTCTACTAATACAAAAATTAGCCAGGAGCGCTGGCACGCGCACTGAAGAAACAGAAGCAGGAGAATCGTTTGAACCCAGGAAGCAGAGGTTACAGTGAGCCAAGACAGTGCCATTGCACTCCAGCCTGGGCGACAAGAGCAAAACTCTGTCTCCAAAAGTAAATAAATAAATAAATAATAATAATAAATAAATAAATAATACAAATACAAAAATTAGCCACGCAAGGTGGCACACACCTATAATCCCAGCTACTCAGGAGGCTGAGGCAGGAGAATCACTTCAACCCGGGAAGCAAAGGTTGCAGTGAGCTAAGATCGAGCCACTGCACTCCAGCCTGGGTGACACGGCAAGACTCTGTCTCAAAAAAAAATTGTAGAACATGGCTAAAGCAGTGATTACAGGAAAATCTATAGCACTAAATGCATACATTAGAAAAGAAGTCTCAAATGAATAATCTAAGCCCCCACCATAAGAACCCAGAAAACGAAGGGCAAATAAACTCAAACCCAGCAGAAAGAAGAAAATAATAAAGAGTAGGCCGGGGCCAGGCATGGTGGCTCATGCCTGTAATCCCAGCACTTTGGGAGGCTGAGGCGGGTGGATCACCTGAGGTCAGGAGTTCAAGACCAGCCTAGCCAACATGGTGAAACCCTTTCTCTACTAAAAATACAAAAATTAGCTGGCCATGGTGGCAGGCGCCTGTAATCCTAGCTGCTCCGGAGACTGAGGCAGGAGAATCGTTTGAACCCAGGAGGCAGAGGTTGCAGTGAACTGAAACTGCGCCATTGCATTCCAGCCTGGGTGACAAAAGCAAGACTCCATCTTTAAAAAAAAAAAGAGCAGGCCGGGCACGGTGGCTCATGCCTGTAATCCCAGCACTTTGGGAGGCTGAGGTGGGTGGATCACCTGAGGTCAGGAGTTCGAGACCAGTCTGCCCAATACGGTGAAACCCCGTCTCTACTAAAAATACAAAAATTAGCTGGGCATGGTGGTGCACGCCAGTAGTCCCAGCTACTTGGGAGGCTGAGACAAGAGAATCGTTTGAACCCAGTAGGTGGAGGCTGCAGTGAGCTGAGATTGTGTCACTGCACTCCAGCCTGGGCAACAGAGCAAGACTCTGTCTCAAAAAAAAAAAAAAAAGGAAATAATAAATAGCAGATAACAAACATTGGAAACAGAAAATAATGAGAAAATTCAATGAAATAAATTGCTGGTTTACCCAAATGATCTATAAAACTGAAAGACTAGCAAGACTGACAAAGAAAAAAGAAGACAGAAATTACCAACATCAGGAATGAAAAAGGGATATTACTATAGACCTTGCAGATATCAAAAGGCTAATAAAGTAAACTATGAACACACAAAAGTTTGACAATTTATATGAAATGGACCAATGTCTCAAAAACCACAAAGAATCAAAACTCATCCAATAAGACAAAGATAAAATCACTATAATTTATAAAGAAATTTAATTCATAATTTTAAAACTCAAAAAAAAAAATTTCCAGGGCCAAATAGCTTCAATGGAAAATTCTAACAAACATTTTTAGGAAAAAATAATACTAATCCTACATAATCTCTTCCAGAAAATAAGAAAGCACTTCCAATCCATTTTATGATGCTAGTATTATCCTGATACCAAAAGCAGACAAAGCCAGTACAAAAAAACTACAGACCAATACTCCTCATGACTACAGACACAAAAATCCTTAACAAAATACTAGCAAATAAAATTCAGCTATATATATATATATATATATATATATATATATATATAATTTTTTTTTTTTTTTTTTTTTTTTTTGACACAAGGTCTTGCTCTATCACCCAGGCTGGAGTGCAGTGGATATAACTGTTTTTATATATTGTTGAATTTTGGCGGGGCATAGTAGTTCACACTTATAATCCCAGAACTTTAGGAGGCTGAGTTGGGAGGATCGCTTGAGCCCAGGAGTTCAGGACCAGCCTGGGCAACACAGTGAGACCTCAACTCTACAAAAAAATTTAAAATTAGCCAAGCATAGTGGTACGTACCTGTGGTCCCAGGTACTGGTGGGCAGGGTGAGGTGAAAGGATCACTTAGGCCCAGGTGGTCGAGGCTTCAGTGAGCCATGATCACACCACTATGCTCCAGCCTGGGTAACAGTAAGACCCTGTCTCAAAAAAAAAAAAAAAAAAAAAAAGGATTGTATACTATAATGAAATGGGGTTTATTCCAGGAAGGCAAGGCTAGTTCCATATTCAAAAATCAGTATAATCCACCATTTTAATGCGTGAAAGAATTGTATCAATCAATGCAGAAAATAATGACAAAATTCAACACCATTCATGGTAACTACCAGAAAAACAGGAACAAAAATATTCTCAACCTGATAAAAGCACCTACAAAAACCTACAGCTGACATTGTATTTGTAATGAAATACTAAACGCTTTCCTCCTAACATCAGGAAAAAGGCAAGATATCTACTCTCACCAATTTTATTCAAAATAATGCTGGAAGTTCTAGCTCATGAAATAAGAGAAAAAAAGAAAATAAAACGCATATAGATTAGGGAAGAAGAAATAAAAGTGTCCCTATTTGCAGATAACATGGTTATCTATGTATTACAGAAAATCCCAAATAATCTATAAAATCTCCAACAAGAAAGTGAGTTTAACAAGGGTGCAAGATACAAGATAAACATATAAAAGAAACTGTATTTATACATACTAGCAAAAAACACATGGACACTGAAATTAAAGAAACAGTACCCTTCACAATTGCAAAAAAAAAAAAAAACAGAGAAATACACTAAGTCCTCACTTATTAACCTCAATAGGATCTTATAAACTTTTTTTTTTTTTTTTTTTTTGAGACTGAGTCTCGCTCTGTCACCCAGGCTGGAGTGCAATGGCGTGATCTTGGCTCACTGCAACCTCCACCTCCTGGGTTCAAGCAATTCTCCTGCCTCAGCCTCCTGAGTAGCTGGGTTTACAGGCACATGCCACCACACCCAGCTAATTTTTGTATTTTTAGTAGAGATGGGGTTTCACCATGTTGACCAGGCTGGTCTCGAACTCCTGACCTCAGGTGATCGGCCTGCCTCAGCCTCCCAAAGTACTGGGATTACAGGCGTGACTCACCACGCCTGGCTGTAAACTACAACTTTAAGCAAGACAATACATAACCAATTTTTTTCCTCATCAACATTATAACAGAATGACGTTGAACGAAAGTATGTTGTTCAAGGACCTGATACATGTCGTTTCACTTAAAATCACAGTTTCCGAGAACCTATTGATGATGTTATGTGAGGACTTCCTATATTTCAGCACATAGGTATAAATCTAAGAAAACAAGTACAAAACTTAATATGCTGAAAACTGTGAAAGAAATGTTCAAAGATGGGAAGACAACACAGTAAATATGTCAATTCTTCCCCAAATTGATATACACGTTTAAGAAAATGCCTACCAGAACCCAAGCAAGATTTTTTTATAGATATAGATAAAATTATTCTAAAATTGATAAGACAAAGGAACTAAAATAGGTAAAATAGCTTTGAAAAAGAACAAAGCAGGAGGAATCGCAACCTGATTTCAAGGGTTTCTGTATGGCTACACTAATCAAAACTATGTAGCATCAGTGGAGGGACAGAAATACAGACCTGATAACAGATTATAGATCTGGGAACAAGAGAGAAAACCCAGCAACATAAGTGTGCCTGACTGATTTTTGACTATGGTGCAAAAGCAATTCAATAGAGAAAAGACCACCTTTTCAACAAATGATACTGGAACAAGTGGACATCAATCAGTAAAAAATAAACCTTGACCTAAGTCTCATGCTTACCCTTTAGTATTCTTGGAAATTTACAGAAATATTTACAGAAATATTAACTCGCAATGGACCACAGATTTAAATGTTTAAGACATAAAGCTATAAAATTTTCAGGAAAAAAGGGGAAAATCTCTCCTTGTGGGAACTAAAAAAGAGAGAGAAAATCTTCAGAAGCTAAGGCTAGGCAAAAACACAAAAGCATGGGCCATAAAAGGAAAAACTGATCGTGGCTGGGTGCAGTGGCTCATGCCTGTAATCCCAGCACTTTGGGAGGCTGAGGCATGCAGATCACTTGAGCTCAAGAGTTCAAGACCAGCCTGGCCAACATGGCGAAACCCCGTCTCTACTAAAAATACAAAAATTGGCCAGGTGTGGTGGCATGTGCCTGTAATCCCAGCTACTTGGGAGGCTGAGGCAAGAGAATGGTTTGAACCCAGGAGGCAGAGGCTGTAGTGACCCAAGATGGCACTAGTGCACTCCAGCCTGGGTGACAGAGCAAGACTATGACTCAAAAAAAAAAAAAAAAAAAGGCAAAACTGATAAATTATAGTTCATCAAATCAAAACTTTTGTTTGATGAAAGACCTGGCTAAAAGGATGAAAAGACAAGCTACAGACTATGAGAAAATACTTACATACCACATTCAGGATAAGGACTAATATCTAAAATCTATTAACAACCTATCAAAACTCAACAGTATGCCAGGCATGGTGGCTCATGCCTGTAAACCTAGCACTTTGGGAGCCCAACAGGGGCTGAAGAGGGGGGGAATCCCTTAAGCCCAGGAGTTCAATACCAGCCTAGACAAAATAGTGAGACCCTGTCTCTATGAAAAAATAGAAAACAATCAGCCAGGCATGGTGGCACGTGCCTATAATCCCAGTTACTCAGGAGCCTAAGGTGGAAGGATCCTTTGCAGCTGGGAGGTTGAGCCTGCAGTGAGCTATGATCATGCCATTGCACTCCAGCCTAGGTGACAGACAGAGACTCTGTTTCAAAAAAACACACACAAAAAAAACAAAAAATAAAAACCAAACAATTGGAAAATCAGCAAAAAAGGAGAAAAAACACTACACGAAAGAGGAGATACAGGTGGCAAATAAGTACATAAAAAGATGTTCAACATCACTAACCATTAAGTAAGTGCGAATTAAAACTCTAATGAGGTCAGGTGCGGTGGCTCATGCCTGTAATCCCAGCATTTTGGGAGGCCAAGGCGGGCAGATCAACTGAGGTCAGGAATTCGAGACCGGCCTGACCAACAAGGAGAAACCCCGTTTCTAGTAAAAATACAAAATTAGCCAGGCGTAGTGGTGCATGCCTGTAATCCCAGCTACTCGGGAGGCTGAGGCAGGAGAATCACTTGAACCCGGGAGGCGGAGGCTGCAGTGAGCGGAGATCACAATATTGCCCTCCAGCCCGGGCAACAAGAGCGAAACCCCATTGCAAAAAAAAAAAAAAACTATAATGAGATATTACTTACCTATCAAATTGACTAAAATAAAAAACAGGTACAACACCAAATGATGGCAAGACTTCAAAGAAACAACATCACTTATGGTTGCTGATGGGAATGTAAAATGGTACAGTCACTCTGAAAAATATTCTGCAGTTTCTTAAAGAAACTAAATATACAACTACCATACAACTCAGCAATTGCACTTCTGGGCATTTATCAGGACTGAAAAATTATATTCATCTAAAAACCTGTAAACAAATGTTTACAGCAGCTTTATTCATAATAACCAAAAACTGGAAACAACTCATGTCCTCCAGTAGATAAATGGTTAAAAAAACTATGGTACATCCATTCCATGAAATACTAGTCAGCAATAAAAACATATTACTGATGCATACAACAACCTGGATGAAATTCCAGAGTATTATGCTCAGTAAAAGCCAGTCGTAGCCGGGCGTGGTGGCTCCGGTCTGTAATCCCAGCACTTTGGGAGGCCAAGGAAGGCGGATCACCGGAGGTCAGGAGTTCGAGACCATCCTGGGCAGCATAGTGAGACCAGCCTGGCCAACATGGCAAAACCCTGCCTCTACTAAAAATACAAAAATTAGCTGGGCATTGTGGCGCATGCCTGTAATCTCAGCTACTTGGGAGAATCACTTAGAACCCAGGAGACAGAGGTTGCAGTAAGCCGAGATCGAGCCATTCAGCCTGGGCAACAGAGAGACACTCCATCTCAAAAAATAAAAAAATCTAAAAAAAAGCCAGTCCTAAAAGGCTATATTGAATTATTCCACTTACACAACATTCCTTTTTTTTGGGCGGAGGGGGCGGGGTGCACGTGGAGTGGGGGAAGGTGGCTCGTGCCTGTAATCCCAAAACTTCAGGAGGCCAAGGTGGGCAGATCATTTGAGGCCAGAGTTCAAGACCAGCCTACGCAACATGGCAAAACCCAGTCTCTACTAAAAATACAAAAAATTAGCTGGGTTTGGTGGCACATGCCTGTAATCTCAGCTACTCCAGAGGCTGAGAAACAAAAATTGTTTGAATCCAGGAGGTAGAGGTTGCAGTGAGCCAAGATCAAGCCACTGCTCTCCAGCCTAGGTGACAGAGTGAGACTTAGCCTCAAAAAAAACCTAATTTTTTAATTTTGAAAAAAGTATGTAAAATTCAAATGAAACTCCCCTCTCTGTAACCATTAACACAAGAAGCTTCCCCTCCTTTAAAAAAAATTTTTTTTTTAAAGGAGGGGAAGGGGAAAAGGAAAGAAACATAAGAGGAAGAAAGAAAGGGGCAAGGAGGAAGGGGTGAAACAGTAAGAACACAGAAGATTTGATCTGTGCAATAAATATAACTTGACTCCATATCTATAGAACATTGAACCCAATAGCCACAAAACACAATTTACTTTCAAGTGCACATGGAATTATACTAGAAATCAGTAGCAAAAAATGTAATTACACCAGGCACGATGGCTTACACCTATAATGCCAGCACTTTAGGAGGCTGAGGTGGGAGGATCACCTGAGTCCAGGAGTTCGAAACCAGCCTGGGCACCATAGTGAGACCCCCATCTCTACAAAAAATCTTTTAAAAACTTAGGCATGGTGCTGTTCACCTGTGGTCCCAGCTACTCAGGAGGCTGAGATGGGAGGATCACTTCAGCCCAGGAGGTCAAGGCTGCAGTGAGCTCTGATCGCACCACTACATTCCAGCATGAGCAACAAAGCAAAACCTTGTCTCAAAAGTATAAATAAATAATTTTTTTAAATCTATATAATATATATAATTAGAATCCAAATTTCTTGAAAATTAAGAAATATACTCTCCATAAGTCTTTTTCTTATGTTCTTCTTTTTAAATATTTTTTATTTGGTCGGGCCCGGTGGCTTATGCCTGCAATTGCACTTTGGGAGGCCAAGGCGGGTGGATTACTTGAGGTCAGGCATTCGAAACCAGCCTGACCAACACGGTGAAACCTCATCTCTACTACAAATACAAAAATTAGCTGGGCATGGTGGCGCACACCTGTAATCCCAGGTACTCGGGAGGCTGAGGCAGGAGAATCAATTGAAGCCAGGAGGAGGAGGTTGCAGTGAGCCAACATCATGCCACTGCACTCCAGCCTGGGTGACAGGGTAAGACTTCGTCTCAAAAACAAAAAAATAAATAAATAATTTTTTAAATTTTTTCTTATTTTTGTAGAGACAGTGTCTCGCAATGTTGTCCAGGCTGGTCTCAAACTCCTGGACTTGTCCAGGCATGATGGTTCACACCTGTAATCCAGGTTGGTCTGGCATTCGAGACCAGACCTGGACAACATGGCAAAACCCTGTCTCTAATAAAAATACAAAAATTAGCAAAAAAAAAAAAAAAATTAGCCGGGCATGTTGGCAGGCCTGTAATCCCAGCTACTCGGGAGCTGAGGCAGGAGGATCGCTCGAATCCAGCAGGCAGAGAGGTTGCAGTGAGCTGAGATCGAGCCATTGCACTCCAGCCTGGGTGACAAAAGCAAAACTCCGTCTCAAAAAAAAACAAAAAACAAAAAAAAGACTCCTGGCCTCAAATATTCCTCCTGCCTCAGCCTCCCAAAGTGCTGGGATTACAGGTGTGAGCAGCACACTTAGCTAGATTATATTTCTTTATACCAACAACTAGAAAATAAAATTAAATCAAATGATCAGTTCTCAGTTCTTGTCTTTCTAGACCTATCAACAGCACTTAAACAGCTGATCAATCTCTCCCCCAAGAACTGGCTTTCTTCTCCAGAGGACACTGCCACTCTCGAGATTTTCACATCTCTCAACTTGGAAACAATACAGCGTTCCAGAGCTCAGTCCTAGGGCCTGTTCTTTTCCCTCTTTTCCCTCTACAAAAAATTTAAAAATTAGCCAGGCATGGTGGCGTGCCTGTAATTCCAGCGACTCTGGAAGCTTAGGCAGGAGGATCACTTGACTCTAGGAGTTGGAGGCTGCACTGAGCTATGATTGTGCCACTGCACTCCAGCCTCAGTGACAGAGTGAGACCCCATCTCTTAAGAAAAAGAATAAAAAATAAATCCTATCAACATGCTAACAAATTTACATCTTCAGCCAGCAACTCTTCTCTGACTGTAGACCCACATCAAAGTATTCACTGAACATCTCTACTTTGTGTATCTAAAAAACATCTCAGGCTGGGCGCAGTGACTCAGGCCTGTAATCCCAGCACTTTGGGAGGCTGAGGCGGGCAGATTGCCTGAGGTCAAGACCAGCCTGGTCAACATGGCCAAACCCCATCTCTACTAAAAATATAAATTGGCCGGGTGTGGTAGCTCACGCTTGTAATCCCAGCACTTTGGGAGGCCAAGGCAAGTGGATCACAAGGTCAGAAGTTCAAGACCAGCCTGGCCAACACAGTGAAGCCCCGTCTCTACTAAAAATATAAAAATTAGCTGGGCGTGGTAGTGGGCACCTGTAATCCCAGCTACTCGGGAGGCTGAGGCAGGAGAATCGCTTGAACCTAGGAGGCGGAGGTGGCAGTGAGCTGAAATCGCACCACTGCATTCTAGCCTGGGCGACACAGCGAGACTCCATCTCAAAAAAAAAAAAAAAAAGCCAGGCGCTGTGGCTCACACCTGTAACCCCAGCACTTTGGGAGGCCAAGGTGGGCAGATCACCTGAGGTCGGGAGTTCAAGATGAGCCTGACCAATATGGAGAAACCCTGTCTCTACCAAAAATACAAAATTAGCTGGGCATGGTGGCCCAGCTACTCAGGAGGCTGAGGCAGGAGAATCGCTTGAACCCGGGAGGCAGAGGTTACAGTGAGCCAAGATCATGCCACTGCACTCCAGCCTGGCAACAGAGAGAAACTCTGCCTCAAAAAAAAAAAAAAAAATTATATATATATATATACACACACAAAATTTGGCTGGGCGTGGAGGTGCATGCCTGTAATCCCAGCTACTTGCCAGGCTGAGCCGGGAGGATTGCTTGAACCTGGGAGACAGAGGTTGCAGTGAGCTGAGATTGTGCCACTGCACTCCAGTCTAGACAAAAAACCAAGACTCCATCTCGGAGGAAAAAAAAAAAAAATCTCAAACCAGGCATATCTAAAAGTGACCTGATTCTCCTCTGCCACCCTGCCCTATCTATAGTAATTGCAATCTCAGCTAATGGCAATTTCTACTTGTTGAAGCCAAAAACTAAGTCATTTTTGCCTATTCTTTCCGTCACACCTCATCATTCAGCAAATCCTGCCAGTTGTAAATTCAAAATAAGCTGGGTGCGGTGGCTCACGCCTGTAATCCCAGTACTTTGAGAGGCCAAGGCAGGTGGATTACCTGAGGTCAGGGGTTCAAGACCAGCCTGGGCAACATGCCGAAACCCCGTCTCTACTAAAAGTTCAAAAATTAGTTGGGAGTGGTGGCGCATGCCTGTAATCCCAGCTACTCAGGAGGCTGAGGCAGGAGAACCCAGGAGGGGGAGGTTGCAGTGAGCAGAGATCACACCACTGCAACTCCAGCCTGGGTGACAGAGTGAGACCCCGTCTGAATGAATGAATGAATAATAAATCCAAAATACATTTAAAATCATCACCTTCACCACTACCATCTGTATCAAAGGTAGCGTCGTGGATTGGTTTTAAGTGTGGGAGCTCCCAAATTTCTACTTATACCAGCTTTATTAAAATATAATATGTAAACCATAAAATTCACCATTTCAAAAGTGTACAATTCAGTGGTTTCCAGTATATTCAGAGTTGTACAACCATCACCACTAATTCCAGAACATTTCTATTAACTCAAGAAGAAACCCCACCACCCATTAGTAACCATTCCCATTCCTCCCTCTCCTATCCCCTGGCAACCACGAATCTACTTTTGTCTCTATAGGTTTACCTATTCTAGGCATTTATATGAAGAGAATTGTATAATCTAAAACATGGCCTTTTGTGACTGGCTCCTTTCGCTTGGCATGTTTTCCAGGTTCATCCATGTTGTAGCCTGTATTGGTACTTCACCGATACTGCTAGAAAATATTGCATGGTACGGATATAACACATTTTATGTACATATGCATCAAGTGATGGACATTTGGGTTGTTTCTACTTTTTGGCTATGGTGAATAATGTTGCTATGAACATTTGTATAAGAGTTTGCTGTGGACATGTTTTCATATCTCTCAAGTATATATCTAAGAGTGGAATTGCTAGTTCATACGGTAACTCTATGTTTAACCTTTTGAGGAACTGCCAAACGGTTTTCCAAAGCAGCTGCACCAATTTCAGCTTCCACCAGCAATGTGTAAGGGCTCTGATTTCTCTAATCCTCACCAACACTGTTACTGTCAATTGTTTTGTTTTGGGTTTGTTTTTCTTTTTTTCCTTTTGTTTTTTCCTTTTTCTATGTCTGCACCGCCCCCCAACCCCGCTTCATAATACAGAACAGGCACAGGGCGTGGGCTGAAGTATACGGGGTAGGTTTACTCTATCTCCTCTTTCTATACAGTCAGTGTAAGAATACAGCCCGGCCGGGTGCGGTGGCTCACACTTGTAATCCCAGCACTTTGGGAGGCTGAGGCAGGCAGATCACGAGGTCAGGAGATCGAGACCATCCTGGCTAAAACGGTGAAACCCCGTCTCTACTAAAAATACAAAAAATTAGCCGGGCATGCTGGCAGGTGCCTGTAGTCCCAGCTACTCGGGAGGCTGAGGCAGGAGAATGGCGTGAACCCGGGCGGCAGAGCTTGCAGTCAGCCGAGATTGAGCCACTGCACTCCAGCCTGGGGGACAAAGCAAGACTCTGTCTCAAAAAAAAAAAAAAGAATACAGCCTGTGGTTAAGCACCAGGAGGTGTTGGGTTGGTTTGTTTGCTTAGGCTTTTTGGTTGTTTTTTATTTTGGAGACAGAGTCTCACTCTGTTGCACACGCTGGTCTCGAAGTCCTGGGCTCAAGGAACTAACTCTTCCACATAATCCTAGTGGTATCTAGCTGTGGTTTTGATTTGCATTTTCCTAAGGACAAATGTTGTTGACCATCTTTACATGTTCTTATTGGCATTTATATACTTTTTTGAATAAATGTCTGTTTGGATTCTTTTGCCTATTTGTAAATTGGGTTGTTTCTATTATTAAGCTGAACCCAGGATTGTTAGATTATTGAATACAACACCTCTTTAGATTGACATAATGGAAATTTAGACAGCCATTTAAAAAGACTATGTTTTGAATAATTTTTTTTTTTTTTTTTTTTTGAGACAGGGTCTCGCTCTGTCGCCCAGGCTGGAGTGCAGTGGCGCCATCTCGGCTCACTGCAGCCTCCACCTCTTGGGTTCAAGCAATTCCCCTGCCTTAGTCTCCCAGTTTGCTGGGACTACAGGCGCTCGCTACCACACCCAATTTATTTTGTTATTTTTTTTGAGATGGAGTTTCGCTCGTTGCCCAAGCTAGAGTGCAATGGCGCAACCTTGGCTCACTGCAACCTCTGCCTCCCAGATTCAAGCGAGTCTCCTGTCTCAGCCTCCCGAATAGCTGGGATTACAGGCATGCGCCACCACACCCGGCTAATTTTGTATTTTTAGTAGAGATGGGGTTTCTCCATGTTGGTCAGGCTGGTCTCAAACACCTGATCTCAGGTGATCCACCCACCTTGGCCTCTCAAAGTGCTGGGATTACAGGCGTGAGCCACAGCACCCAACCTTATTTTTGTATTTTTTAGTAGCGATGGGGTTTCACCACATTGGCCAGGCTGGTCTCAAACTCCTGACCTCAGGTAATCCACCCGTCTCAGCCTCCCAAAATGCTGGGATTAAAGGCATGAGCCACTGTGCCCAGCCTGATTTGGATAATATTTAACTGTAGTTTTTTGTTTTTGTTTTTTATTTTTGAGACAGTCTCACACTGTCACCCAGGCTGGAGTGCAATGGCACAATCTTGGCTCACTACAACCTCCAGCTCCCGCGTTCAAGCAATCCTCCTGCCTCAGCCTCCCTAGTAGCTGGGATTACAGGCATGCGGCACCACACCCCATTAATTTTTGTATATTTAGTAGAGACAGGGTTTTACCATGTTGGTCAGATTGGTCTTGAACTCCTGACCTCAGGTAATCCGCCCACCTCGGCCTCCCAAAGTGCTGGGATTTCAGGTGTGAGCCACCTCGCCCGGCCTTCACTGTAGTTTTTTAAAAGAGAATGTTAGAAATGAAAGCAAGACACTCAACTAAATATAATCTACCCAGACACACAAAAGGGACTGACTTAAATTAGACTGGAAAAGAAATCTCTGGATAATAGAATCATAGGTGATTTTTTTAATATATTTTTTATATGCTACTTTCGCATTTTCCACATAATCCGTAAGAAATGCATTTTTTCCATAATCAGGAAAAAATCATTATTATAAATTAAAGGTGAATCATGGACTTCCCTCTGTACTTCCTCCAGTTTGCAAGCTATATATCCCTTCCATTCCCTTTTTTTCACTGTGTCTATTTGTATGTAAAAAGATCTAAACATATAGGCAGTTTTAGTGTCCAAATAATGTTTAGTGTATTAAAGAAAATTCTTGCCAGGCGCAGTGGCTCATGCCTGTAATCCCAGCACTTTGGGAGGCTGAGGTGGGCGGATCACGAGATCAGGAGATCGAGACCATCCTGGCTAAAACAGTGAAACCCCATCTCTACTAATAATACAAAAAAAAAAAAAAATTAGCCAGGCGTGGTGGCAGGCGCCTGTAGTCCCAGCTACGTGGGAGGCTGAGGCAGCAGAATGGCGTGAACCCAGGAGGCGGAGCTTGCAGTGAGCCAAGATCACGCCACTGCACTCCAGCCGGGCGAGATTCCATCTCAACAAATAAATAAATAAATAAGAAAATTCTGATGTATAAAAACATATATAGGCCAGGCACGGTGGTTCACGCCTGTAATCCCAGCACTTTGGGAGGCCGAGGCGGGCAGGTCACTAGATCAGGAGATCGAGACCAGCCTGGCCAACATGGTGAAACCCTGTCTTTACTAAAATACAAAAAATTAGCTGGGCGTGGTGGCACGTACCTGTAGTCCCAGACAGAGGCAGGGGAATTGCTTGAACCTAGAAGACAGTGGTTGCAGTGACCGAGATGGTGCCACTGCACTCCAGCCTGGCAACAGAGCAAGACTCCACCTCAAAAAAAAAAAATTATATATATACATATATATGTGTGTGTGTATATATATATATATACAGCTCACACTATCTCCCAATCACCTGTTCTACTTATAATCCAGTTTATCTCAATCCCACATATTCTACTGTAAGTGATGCTCAGGTTTAACTATTTTATCATCTAATCTTACGTATCTTCCTTTTTTCATGAGAGCCTCCTTATTAATACATTAGTTTAAACAACCTTGTATAGCATCTTCATATACATACCTGACCTAAACAGAGATTGTATTTGAAAAGGATATAGAAAATAAGAATGCATAAGTAAAGTTTGATATATTATGGAGAAATGTGAATGGACTGGCTCAAATGAACAATGTAAAAACAAATATATCCCCCCCTCCCATCCTCAAAACAAATAATTATTAACAATACCATGAATATATGCATTTTTCAAATTCTTCTACCTCTATTATATAATTTTAACCTGATGTAAAATCTAATCAATACTTGCTCACTGATTATCATCATAATATTCCAACATGGTAAGCAGAGGTCTTATCAACTCTAGATTTTTGTTTTTGTTTTTGAGACAGTCTCCCTCTGTCACCCAGGCTGAGCTGCAGTGGCATGATCTCAGCTCACCACAGCCTCAACTGCCCATGCTTAAGCAATCCTCCTGCCTCAACCTCCCAAGCAGCAAGGGCTATGGGCACATGTCACTCAGCTAATTTTAATTTTTTGTTTTTCTTTTAATAAGGACATATGTTCACTTAAACAGTTTTTTAAAATTCAGGGTTAACATGAAATCTACAAATAGTAATAGAATGAACAAACATGATCTCTAATAGTGTTATGGCAATGGTCAATACTGACATTATTTGCCTGTGGTTTTCCTACACTGAAAAAAAAAATACTGCCATTAAAGTAGATATACCAATAAACACTTCAAAAAAAAAAAAAAACCATCCAGGGTGGGCACAGTGGCTCACACCTGTAATCCCAGCATTTTGGAAGGCCGAGGAAGGAGGATCATTTGAGCTCAGGAATTCAAGACCATCCTGGGCAACACAGCAAGAGCCTATCTCTAAATAAATAAATAAACAAAAAATACAAAACCTTCCTACTGAAAACCACATCATCAATACAAAAAAAGCACCATTATCAGGACAGGCACAGTGGCTTATGCCTATAATCCCAGCACTTTGGGAGGCCGAGGCAGGAGGATCACTTGAGGTCAGGAGTTCAAGACCAGCCTGGCCAGCACGGTAAAACCCCATCTCTACCAAAAATACAAAAATTAGCCGAGTGTGGTGGTGCACACTTGTAATCCCAACTACTCAGGAGGCTGAGGTTGGAGAATCGCTTGAGATCGCGCCACTGCATTCCAGCCTGGGCAACAGAGTGAGACTCCACTCTAAACAACTAAAAAAATGAAAATAAAAATTAAAAAGCACCATATCATTTTTCAAGATACACAATTTTATTACAGATTTTCTTAAAAAAAACAAAATGCAGTATCCTAAAAATCCCAAACTTTACTATTGATACTAATTCTGAGGCCAAGTGTAGGTGGCTTATCCCTGTAATCCCAGCACTTTGGGAGGCCACAGTGGGCGAACTGCTTGACCCCAGGAGTCTAAGACCAGCCAGGGAAACATTATAAAACCTGTCTCAACAAAAAAATACAAAACAATAAGCTGGGCGTAATGGTGCACACCTGTAGTCCCAGCTACTTGGGAAGCTAAGGTGAGAGGATCAGTTGAGCCAAGGAAATCAAGGCTGCAGTTGAGCCATAAGCATGCCACTGTACTCCAGCCTGGGCGATAAAGCGAGACCCTGACTCAAAGAAAAAAAGTAAAAAAAAAAAAAGGATATTAATTCCAAGTTTGCTATGCCACCATACGCAAGTCAAGAAACTTAAAAAAACCATTAAATATTTAGGAATATTGGGCTAGACACGGTGGCTCACATCTGTAATCCCAGCACTTTGGGTGGCCGAGGCAGGTGCATCACCTAGACCAGGAGTTCAAGACCTGCCTGGCCAACATGGTGAAACCCTGTCTCTACTAAAGATACAAAAAGTAGCCGGCCATGGTGGCACATGACTGTAGTCCCGGCTACTCAGGACACTGAAGCATGAGAATCTCTTGAAACCAGGAGGCTGAAATCCTGCCACTGCATTCCAGCCTGGGCAACACAAGACTGTCTCAAAAAATAATAATAATAAATACACACATACACACACACACACACACACACACACACACACACATTTAGAAATATTCAACATCAGAAGCTTTAAAATCCAATTCAAAAAGGTACAAGCTGCATTTTTTTAAGTATTTTCTCTAAAAAGAACCTTATCAGCTATACAAATATCTGTACAGTTTTTATACTGAAGCTAAAAATATGGAACACTTCACGAATCTGCGTGTCATATCCTTGCACAGAGGCCATGCTCATCTTCTCTGTATCATTCCAATTTTAGGAAATGTGCTGCACTCCATATCATTTTATAAATAAATCTTTTATATGTAGTATATGACAAGGACAATTAAGTTTGAATAATTTACCTCGGTGGAACAATATCCAGAAAATAACAGATCTCTATAACAATCAAAAAAGATATTCTGGCTGAGTGCGGTGGCTCACGCCTATAATCCTAGCACTTTGGGAGGCTGAAGTGGACGGATCACTTGAGGTCAGAAGTTCAAGACTAGCCTGGTCAACATAGTGAAACCCCACCTCTACTAAAAATACAAAAATTAGTCGAGTGTGGTGGCCGGTGCCTGTAATTCCAGCTACTCAGATGGCTGAGGCAGGAGAATCGCTTGAATCCGGGAGGCAGAGGTTGCAGTGAGCCAAGATCGCGCCACTGCACTCTAGCCTGGGTGACAGAGCGAGACTCAGTCTCAAAAAAAAAAAAAAAAGATATTCTGGCCAGACACAGTGGTTCACGCCTGTAATCCCAGCACTTTGGGAGGCCGAGGCAGGCAGATCACTTGAGGTTGGGAGTTCAAGATCAACCTGGGCAACATGGTAAAACCCTGTCTCCACTAAAAATACAAAAAACAGCCAGGCATGGTGGTACACACCTGTAGTCCCAACTACTCAGGAGAATTGCTTGAACCCAGGAGGCAGAGGTTGCAGTGAGCTGAGATTACGCCACTGCACTCCAGCATGGGCAACAGAGCAAGACTCTCTCAAAAACAAAAACAAAAATACACACACACACACACACATATATATTCTACATAATATTCAATATCGACCAACTAGAAATAATAGGCCTAAGAAAACTGATACTAAGAACCAAATATTTAGCTCCTTAAGACCATCAAAAAAGAAACAAACAAAAAAAATCTCTCTATATGTAATATATAGGGAAGTTACAGGACCCAAACATAGCATGTTCCCAAACACGATCAGCAAACAACTTCCTCAGAAAGAGAAGCTACCAAAAACCAGTATCATCAATGTCTTTCCCAAGGATTAAGTTACCTACAAGATGATTTCAAAATACTACTGTGATAAGAAAAAGGTAGATGCTAAAATCTCATGAGATACCAAAAGTATGTCACTAAAAAAGATATTTTTGGGCCGGGTGTGGTGGCTCACACCTGTAATCCCAGCACTTTGGGAGCCCAAGGCGGGCGGACCACAAGGTCAGGAGATTGAGACCATCCTGGCTAACATGGTGAAACCCTGTCTCTACTAAAAATACAAAAAATTAGCCAGGCGTGGTGGCGGGAGCCTGTAGTCCCAGCTACTCGGGAGGCTGAGGCAGGAGAATGGCATGAACCCAGGAGGCGGAGCTTGCAGTGAGCCGAGATGGCGCCACTGCGCCCAGCCTGGGTGACAGAGCAAGACTCAGTCTCAAAAAAAAAAAAGATATTTTTGGGTTTTTTTTGACACAAAGTCTCCCTCTGTCACCTAAGCTAGAGTGCAGTGACAGGATCTGAGCTCAATGCTACCTCTGCCTCCCAGGTTCAAGTGATTTTCCTACCTCAGCCTCCCGAATAGCTGGGACCACAGGTGTGCACCACCACGCCTGGCTAATTTTTGTACTTTTAGTAGAGACAGAGTTTCACCATGATGGCCAGGCTGGCCTCGAACTCTTGACCTCAAGTGATCCTCCTGCCTCAGTGTCTCTAAGTACTGGGATTACAGGCAGGAGCCACCGCACCTGGCCAAAAAATACTTTTTATAGAAAATGTAACCAAATTAAAGTAACCAATCATCTTTAAATATATCTATCAGGGGCAGGCATGATGGCTCACACCTCTAATTCCAGCACTTTGGGAAGCCAAAGGAGGAGGATTGCTTAAGCGCAGGAGTTCAATACAAGCCCGGGCAACATAGGGAGAACACATCTCTGTGAAAAATTTAAAATTAGCTAGGCCTGGTGGTACATGCCTGTAGTCCCAGCTGCTCAGGAGACTGAGGTAGGAGGATTGTTTGGGCCTGAGAGGCCAAGGCTGCAGTAGGCAGTAATCAAAGCACTGCACTCCAGCCTGGGCAACAAAGCAAAACCCTGTCTCAAACAAACAAACAAAAAAAGAAATATGTATCTATCTGTTATAACATCCTAAACACTTAGGAAAACAGTATAAATTATGGCAGAACTCATCCTTTGGAATACTATGCAGTAATAAAAAAAAGTTGGTGGAATATAGAAATAAGATGTGTAGGCCTGGCACAGTGGCTCATGCCTGTAACCCCAGCACTTTGGGAAGCCGAGGCAGGCGAATCATAAGGTCAGGAGTTCCAGACCAGCCTGGCCAATATGGTGAAACCCCATCTCTACTAAAAATACAAAAATTAGCCAGGCATGGTGGCATGCACCTGTAGTCCCAGCTACTGAGGAGGCTGAGGCAGAAGAATCACTTTAACTGGGAGGCAGAGGTTGCAGTGAGCTAAGATCGCGCCACTGCACTCCAGCCTAGGCGACAGAGTGAGACTCCATCTCAAAAAAATAAATAAATAAAAGAAAAGCTGTGTAAAAACTGGATAGACCTCTGAGACATGTTGTTAAATGTTAAAGCCAGTTGCTGAAAAATATATACCTTTAATTCCAAGTGTATTTCTGTATAATACATCAATACTGTCTATAATCCTTAACTACTTATTGCAGTACTAGTCTTGCTTAATTTAGAGTCAGTCGGTATTACTGACTTATTAATTTCCATCTATATGTGTTTATATCTACAACTAATAATGTTTCTTGAGAACATGGATCATGATATATACGCCAAAATGGTACTATGCATAGTACCACACATAAAACAGGTGCACAAATATTTATGGATGGCTAACAATATGTAAAATATGAAGAAGCAAGATTGGCCTATTTTTTATTTATTTACTTTTTTTTTTTTCTTTACAGAGTCTCACTCTGTCGCCCAGGCTGGAGTGCAGTGGCAAGAGCTCAGCTCACTGCAGCCTCTGCCTCCCAGGCTCAAGCAATTCTCATGTCTCAGCCTCCCAAGTAGCTGGGATTATAGGTGCATGCCAACATGTCCCACTAATTTTTGTATTTTTAGTGGAGACGGAGTTTTGCCATGTTAGCCAGGCTGGTCTCAAACTCCTGGCCTCAAGTGATCTGCCTGCCACAGCCTCCCAAAGTGCTGGGATTACAGGCGTGAGGCACCATGCCCAGCCAAGACTGGCCTTTAAGAAGCAGAGAAACGAAAACACTCATTAAATAGAAAAACTAACACCACAATTCAGTTCTTTATGCTTCCTCAGTCAACATGTCTTATACCACGAAAGCTCTTTTGAAAATTCTAGTAACAAAATCTGTGATTATATTTTCCTTCTCATGAGGTGTTTTTTTAGTCCCTCAAATATATAAGTAAAAGCTTAGAAACCTGTGTAGGCCAGGCGTGGTGGCTCACACCTGTTGTCCCAGCACTTTGGGAGGCCGAGGCAGGCGGATCACTTGAGCCAAGGAGTTTGAGACCAGCCTGGGCAACATGACAAAACGCCATCTCTGGGCCAGACACGGTGGCTCACGCCTGTAATTCCAGCACTTTGGGAGGTCAAAGTGGGTGGATCACTTGAGGTCAAGGGTTAAGAGACTAGCCTGACCAATATGTGAAACCCCATCGCTACTAAAAATACAAAAATTAGCTGGGCATGGTGGCACACATCTGTAATCCCAGCTACTTGGGAGGCTGAGGCAGAAGAGTTGCATGAACCCAGGAGACGGAAGTTGCAGTGAGCCAAGATCGTGCCACTGCACTCCAGCCTGAGCAATAGAGCAACACTCCATCTCAAAAAAAAGCAAAAACAAGCAGGGCTCGGTGGCTCACGCCTGTAATCCCAGTACTTTGGGAGGCTGAGGCGGGCGGATCACCTGAGGTTGGGAGTTTGAGACCAGCCTGACCAACATGGAGAAAACTTGTCTCTACTAAAAATAAAAAATTAGCTGGATGTGGTGGCATGCGCCTGTAATCCCAGCTACTTGGGAGGCTGAGGCAGGAGAATCGCTTAAACCTGGGAAGCAGAGGTTGCAGTGAGCTGAGATCATGCCATTGCACTACAGCCTGGGCAACAAGAATGAAACTCCACCTCAAAAAAACAAAACAAAAACAAAAACCATCTCTACCAAAAAATACAAAAATTAGCTGGGTGTGGTGGCATGCACCTGTAGTCCCAGCTACTCGGGAGGCTGAGGTGAGAGAATCGCTTGAGCCTAGCAGTTTGAGGCTGAAGTGAGTCAAGATTGCGCCACTGTACTTCAGCTTAGGTGATACAGCAAGACTCAATTTAAAAAAAAAAAAAAATCTTATGTGTAAAATATTCATACTCTACAACTTTAATAACACTTACTGTCTGTCTAGCATCGATGCTGTCAACATGCTCATTAAGGCCACAGTTGATATATGCAAACTCTACACCTCTTCTTGTTATCCAACATGTCTTCTTACTATGAAAGGAAAGTTATATATTAAAGTCAAATTCACATCAAACTATAATCACAAAAGAAATCAAAGTCAAAAATGTCTATAATATTTATAATATATATGATATTCCAAAAAGAAAGTGACAAAAGAGAAAAGACAAGAAAGACTGCACTTATTGCCACTGGAGGTGACTATTGCACTCTGAAAAAGTCTGTATAAAAGAAAGTAACTAAGCATCTATTCTGCCTTTAAGTAGAACACTAATTCCAGGTAACAAAATAGCCTTAGTTGATGAGAGAAACCTTATCTTTATAGAAGGTGGCTAGCTACTAAATGTATAAGGAACAACAGAACCCAAAACTAATTACCATTTTTTAACCAATAATTAAATAGCTAATCAAGAATCATCAATGAATGCTAAAATCATTAGGTGAAAAGTTGGTAAAGAAATTGACCTGGCCAGGTGCGGTGGCTCACACCTGTAATCCCAACACTTTGGAGGCCAAGGTGGGTGGATTACTTGAGGTCAGGAGTTTGAGACCAGCCTGGCCAACATGGTGAGACCCCGTCTCTGCTAAAAATAAAAATTAGCTGGGCATGGTGGTGCACACCTGTAATCCCAGCTACTCAGGAGGGAGGCTGAGACAGGAGAATCACCTGGGAGGCAGAGATTGCAGTGAGCCGAGATGGCACCATTGCAGTCCAGCGTGGGCAACAGAGAGAGGCTCTGTCCCAAAAAAAAAAAAAAGTCCCACAAAAATAAAAGAAAGAAATTTATCTGGGGCCGGGAGTGGTAGCTCACGAGTGTAGTCCTATTACTTTGGGAGGCCTGGGGGGGTACAGGGAGGGATTGCCTGAGCTCAGGAGTTGGAGACCAGCCAGGGCAACGTGATGAAACCTCATCTCTACTAAAATTACAAAAATTAGCCAGGTGGGCCGAGCGCGGTGGCTCACGCCTGTAATCCCAGCACGTTGGGAGGCCGAGGTGGGTGGATCACGAGGTCAGGAGATCAAGACCATCCTGGCAAACATGGCGAAACCCCATCTCTACTAAAAATACAAAAATTAGCTGGGCATGGTGGCACGTGCCTATAATCCCAGCTACTCAGGAGGCTGAGGCAGGAGAATTGCTTGAACCAGGGAGTCGAAGGTTGCAGTGAGCCAAGATCACGCCACTGAACTCCAGCCTGGCGACAAAGTGAGACTCCATATCAAAAAAAAAAAAAAAAAAAAAATTAGCCAGGCATAGTGGCACACGCCTGTAGTCTCAGCTTACTCAGGAGGCTGACGCACAAGAATCACTTGAACCCGGAAGGCGGAGATTGCAGTGAGCTGAGATTGTGCCACCGCACTCCAGCTTGGGTGACAGAAGGAGACTCCATCTCAAAAAAGAAAAAAAAAATTAGCCAGGCATAGTGGCAAATGCTTGTAGTCCCAGCTTACTCAGGAGGCTGACGCATGAGAATCGCTTGAACCCGGGAGGCAGAGGTTGCAGTGAGCTGAGATTGTGCCACTGCACTCCAGCCTGGGTGACAGAGTGAGTCTCTGTCTCCAAAAAGTCAAAAAATAAAATAAAATAAAATAAAAATGTTTTTTAAAAAAAGAAATTTGAGGCCGGGGGCAGTGGCTCACACCTATAATCCCAGCACTTTGGGAGGCCAAGGCAGGAGGATCACCTGAGGTCAGGAGTTCAAGACCAGCCTGGCCAATATGGCGAAACTTCGTCTCTACTAAAAATACATAATTAGCTGGGCGTGGTGGCGAGAGCCTGTAGTCCCAGCTACTCGGGAGGCTGAGGCAGGAGAATCACCTGAACCCAAGAGACAGAGGTTGCAGTGAGCCGAGATCGCACCATTGCACTCCAGCCTGGGCAACAAGAGCAAAACTCCGTCTCAAAAAAATAAAAAATAAAAAATTTACCTGATGTCAAAGTACCACCCTATAGATTACTACTTGCTAGAAGCAAAAAGAAAACCATAACTTTATAATGAAATGATCAGGTTCTCACCACATTAGCTTGGTGATCAAATACAGCATCAAAATAGTGGGACCTGACATTATATGCCTCTTAACTAGAAACAGTAGGAAGTACACAGCATTACTAAATGAGATACTCTTCCAAAACTGTTTAACCTAAGTCTACTCACACCTTTAGATCTAACTCCCAGTTTACAGGAAATAAATATAGGGGATAGAGGAAGAAGTAATACTACACCATGAGGAAACAAGCAGCAATACAAAATGTAATCGTCTCAACAGACCTAACAGGTCAATACCACAGGGAAGGAGAGGCAGAGTAGGGAAGGAGAGGCAGAGTAGAGAAGGAGGTGGATGGGTAGAAGAGACAGTTCTACCTATATATTTAAAAAGACTCAAGATTACAACCCAAATGCAACGGGTAGTTCTTGACTGAAATCTGGCATTTAAAAAAAAAACACCAGCCTGGCCAACATGGTGAAACCCCGTCTCCACTAAAAATACAAAAATTAGCCAGGCATGGTGGCGGACACCTGTAATCCCAGCTATTTAGGAGGCTGAGGCAAGAGAACTGCATGAACTCAGGAGAAGGAGGTTGCAGTGAGCGAAGATCACGCCACTGCACTCCAGCCTGGGTGATAGAGCAAGACTTCCTCTCAAAAAAAAAAAGAAGAAAAAAAAACACCACACAGCAATCAAAAACATTTTTGGAACAACTCAGGAAATCTGAATATAGTATAAGTAGCATGTATCAGGGAATCAGGTCACATGCCTGTAATCCCAGCACTTTGCGAGGCCAAGGCAGGAGGATCACTTGAGACTACAAGTTTAAGACCAGCCTGGGCAACATGGCAAGACCACATCTCTACAAAAAATACAAAAATTAGCCAGTCATGGTGGTATGTGCCTGTAGCCCCCAGCCACTCCAGGAGGCTGAGGCAGGAGAATGGCTTGAGCCTGGGAGGTCAAGGCTGCAGTAAGCCATGAATGTGCTGCTGTACTCTAGTCTGGGCAACAGAGCAAGACCCTGTCTCAAAAAAAAATCAAAAAGTAGTATAATACTAGGGAATTACTGGTAATTTTGCTAGAAATGATAATGGTTTTATGGCTATATAGGGAGAATGTCCTCCTTTTCCTTGGCGAGATCTGAAGATATACGTCTTCTTATATAATCTTTTAAAAGAGCAAATATCAATCTAAATCTTTAAATGTCAAAGTCCAAAATACATACATTTATAATACAATCATATGATACTTAAAAGGGAAAACTGAAAAAAACTTATTTGCCCCTCTTAGTTTACTTTTAAATGGTTCAGGAAATTTATATATGTAGATAAAACAAATATGGCAAAATGGTAACAATTGTTGAATCAAGCAGGTGGGTACCTGTGGTTTCAATGTATCATACTACTTTTCTATATCTCTATTTTCCTAATGAAAGTTTTTAAAATGTACCATGCTTCAAGCAAACTAGTTTGCTTCTAAGATGTTTGAAAAGATAAAACCATATTTAATCCACTAAAAGAATACCTCTACAAAGCAAAGAAAGAGTTTTTGGGGGTTGTGTTTGTTTTTTGTTTTTTTAAGAGACAGGGTCTCACTCTGCCACCCAGGCTGGAGTGCAGTGGTACAACACTACAGCTTTGAACTCCTGGGCTCAAGCAATACTCCTGCATCAGCTTCCCAAAGCTGGGACCACATGCATGCACCATTCCACCTGGCTTATTTTTTGTTGTTGCTTCTTTTATTTTGTTTTGTAGAGACAGGGTCTCGCTTTGCTGCCCACACTGGTCTCCAACTCCTGGCTTCAAGCAATCCTCTCCCCTCAGCCTCCCACAGTGCTGGGAATACAGGAATGGGCAACTGTGCCTGGCCAAAATCCTTTTTTAATTCAAATATCAACTCTTAACATGAAACATGTAATTCAAAAATGCCAAGTTTTTATAAAGCAGGGCACACTCCATATTTCAAAGGTTATGTATAGGTTATCTGTCCTTACATGTCGAGAAGAAAAAAGAAAAATTCAACCACGCTGTAAGTGAGTTTAAAATGAAAGGAAGGGAAAAAAATGAAAGGGAATTTTTTTTTAAAACAGTCTCACTCTTTCGTGCAGTGGTGCAATCTTGGCTCCACCTCCCAGGTTCAAGTGATTCTCCTGCCTCAGCCTCCGAGTAGCTGGGATTACAGGCAAGAACAACTAAGCCCAGCTAATTTTTGCATTTTTTTGTAGAAACGGAGTTTCACCATGTTGGCCAGGCTGGTCTTGAACTCCTGACCTCAAGTGATGTGCCCGCCTCGGCCTCCCAAAGGGCTGGCATTACAGGCATGAGTCACTGTGCCCGGCTGGGAATTTTTTTGTTGTTTTTTGTTTTTGTTTGTTTTTGAGATGGAGTCTCGCTCTGTCACTCAGTGGAGTGCAGTGGCGCGATCCCGGCTCACTGCAACATCTGCCTCCCAGGTTCAAGCGATTCTCCTGCCTCAGCCTCCCGAGGAGCTAGGATTACAGGCGCCCGCCACCATGCCCGGCTAATTTTTGTATTTTTAGTAGAGACAGGGGTTTCACCATGTTGGCCAGGCTGGTCTTGAACCCCTGACCTCAAGTGATCCACCTGCCTCGGTCTCCCAAAGTGCTGAGATTACAGGCGTGAGCCACTGTGCCCAGCCTGGGAATTTTTTAAAGGATAAAAATTATGAGAAGGATCCCAAATAGTTAAAACAAACTTGAGAAAGAAAAACAAAACTGGAGGCCTCATACTTCCTATTTCAAAACACCTTACATTACAGAGCTACAGTAATCAACACAGTATGGTAGGGCTTAAAGATAGACATAAGACTAATGGAATGGAATAGAAAGCCCAGAAATAAATACTCACATATGTGATCAAATGATCTTCAACAAGGGTACCAAGGCCACACAATGGGAAAAGGAGAGTCTCTTCAACAAATGATATAGGAAAAACTGGGTACCCACATGCAAAAGAATGAAGCTAGAATCTTATGTTACATTGAATACAAAAGGTAACTCAAAATGGACTAAAGACCTAAATCTAAGACCTTAAACTTAAAACTCGTAGAAGAAAACGGGGAGAAAGCTTCATGACATCGGATTTGGCAATGATTTCTTGAAGACGACACCAAAGGCATAGGCAACAAAAGCAAAAATAGACAAAATGGACATCAAACTTAAAGAATTCTGTGTCACAAAGGAAACAATCAACAGAATAATAAGGCAACCTACGGAATGAGAGAAAATATTTGCAAACCATACATCTGATAAGTTGGTAATATCTAGAATACATAAAGAACTCCTACAACTCAACAAACAAAATCCAAATAACCCAATTTAAAAGTGGGCAAAGGACTTGCACAAATGTTTCTCCAAAGAAGATATACACATGGCCAACAAGTATATGAAAAGATACTTATCACTAATCAGAGAAATACAAATTAAAACCACAATGAGATAGATATCACCTTACACCTATTGAGATGGCCACTATCAACAAATGAGTTAAAAAACAGGCCAGGTGCAGTGGCTCATGCCTGTAATCCCAGCACTTTAGGAAGTCAAGGCAGGTGGATTACCTGAGGTCAGGGGTTCAAGACCAGCCTGGCCAACATGGTAAAACGCCATCTCTACTAAAACTACAAGAATTAGCCTGTAGTCTCAGCTACTCGGGAGGCTGAGACAGGAGAATCACTTGAACCTGGGACGCAGAGGTTACAGTGAGCCAACATCATGCCACTGTACTCCACCCTGGGTGACGGAGTGAGACTCTGTCTCAAAAAATAAAAAAATAAAAAATAAAAATGTTGGTGAAGATGTAGAGAAACTGGAACCCTTGTGTACTACTGGTAGGAACGTACAATGGCTCAGCTACTAAGCAAAGGGTATGGCAGTTCCTCAAAAAATTAAAAACAGAATTATCATATGATCCAGCAATTCCACTTCAGGGTACATATCCAAAATAATTAATAACAGGATCTCCAAGAGATACTTGCACATGCATGTTTATCACAGCGTTATTCACAATAGTCAAGAGGTGGAAGCAACCTAAATGTCCATCAACAAGTGAATGGATAAAAAAAAAAATGTGGTACATACATACAATGGAATATTATTCAGCCTTAAAAAAAAAAAAAAGGAGGCCAGGCACAGTAGCTCATGCATGTAATCCCAGCATTTTGGAAGGCCAAGGCTAACTAACTGATCACTTGAGCCCAGGAGTTCAAGATCAGCCCGGGCAACATGGCAAAACCTCATGTCTACAAAAATTATCTAGGTGTGGTGGTGCACACCTGTGGTTCCAGCTACTCAGAAGGCTGAGGTGGGAGGATGGCTTGAGTCTGGGGAGGTCAAGGCTGCAGTGAGCCATGATCACACCACTGCACTCCAGCCTGGGTGACAGAGCAAGACCCTGTCTCAAAAAAAAAAAAAAAAAAAAAGGAAATTAGGTCATATGCTGCAACATGGAAGAATCTTGAGGACATTATGCTAAGTGAAATAAGCCAGTCACCCCAAAAACAGCAATAACAATGACAAAAAGCTGCATGTTTCTACTTATATGCGGTATCTACAAGTAGTCAAACTCTAGACACAGAAAGTAGAATCGTGGTTGCCAATGGCTAGGAAGGAGAAAATGGGTTCACTGGGTACAGAGTTTCAGTTTGGCAAGATGAAAAAAACTGCACAACAATGTGCATAGTTAACACTACTGTTCTGTACTCTTAAAAGTGGTTAAGATAGTAAATACGTTGTACTTTTTTCCCCAACTAAAAAAACTATGAGTAGCTTAACTACAAAGAAAAAAACTGAGACAAGGTGATTTAGCAGAGAAAGAGAATGTTCACTCAAGAGAGATAGACTCAAAAACAGACCAGGGCTAGGCACGGTGGCTCACACCTGTAATCCCAGCACTTTGGGAGGCCAAGGCAGGTGGATCACTTGAGGTCAGGAGTTCAAGACCAGCCTGGCCAACATAGTGTAACCTCATCTCTAATAAAAAATACAAAAATTAGCTGTGTGTGGTGGCACATGCCTGTAGTCCCAGGTACTTGGGAGACTGAGGCAAGAGAATTGCTTGAACCTGGGAGGCAGAGGCTGCAATGAGCCGAGATCATGCCACTGCACTTCAGCCTGAGCAACAAAGTGAGACACTGTCTCAAAAAAAAAAAAAAAAGGGAAAATCACAAATAGAAATCCTGAGAAATGAACTAAATTTAATTACAACTACATAATCAATAATTAACTCTGGGTCCCCTGAAAAAAATGGGCCGGGCACGGTGGCTCACACCTGTAATCCCAACACACTGGGAGGCTGAGGCAGGTGGATCACAAGGTCAAGGGATTGACACCATCCTGGCCAACACGGTGAAACCCCATCTCTACTAAAAATACAAAAATTAGCTGGGTGTGGTGGCGTGTGCCTGTAGTCCCAGCTACTCAGGAGACTGAGGCAGGAGAATCGCTTGAACCCAGGAGGCAGAGGTTGCAGTGAGCCGAGATCACGCCACTGCACTCCAGCCTGTCGACAGATCTAGACTCCATCTCAAGAAAAAAAAAAATGCTTTACTGGATCTTTATAGGTCCAGAAACTATGTGCAAAATACTCTACTAGATACTTGTACTCCCCAGTAACTGCGCATGTATCATATCCATGCCCCCGGTCAACCACTTCTTACCTCCCAAACACTGCCAAAAAAGCCTCCATCTGCTCCTACCTGACCTTAAAAATGCTAAAAAATTCAAATCCCTGCATTGGAAGAACTGTCTAAAAATTTTATTTTCTCTGTGCACACAGAATTGATAATGATCAGACTAACAAAACTCCTATTATTTCCTATACGGTTTCAGTTTCTTAAAATGAAAGTAGTTTATATTTGTTGTTTCAACTTTTTTCTGTTGACTCCTTGACCCAATACAATCCACCCTCCCATCCCAAGCAGCATTTACTGGTTTTTTTCTGTCTGGCCCTTCTTGGTCTCTGTCATGGACTTTCTGCCTTCTGCTCACTTTTTTCAGTGTCATTGCTCGCTAAGGTTCTGTTCCTAATCTTTTGTTCGATTTACCTCTTCTAGGTCCATTCAAACCCATGGCTTCAATGCCTGTGTGACTCCAGTCAATAATTTTCTCCCAAACCCCAATATAGTTAATTGTTTGACAGACATATCCACTTGAATATTCCATGGGCACTTCAAACCTGAGAGGTCCAGCTTAAATTTCCTTCAATGACTCTCTATAGCTTTCAAGATCAAGTTCCAACTCTGTGATAAAGCACTCAAGGACTTCTATGACGTGATCCCTTATCTACCTTTGGCCTCCTCTTCTTCCACTCTAATCCACCTGTACCTAGTTATTTGTTTCCCACACAAGGTAGCCCATTTCACAGCTCTGTGCCTTATACATTCTCTGCCTGAAAGTCCCTCTAACCCCAGCCGGGCACAGTGGCTCACGCTTGTAATCCCAACACTTTGGGAGGCTGAGGTGGGCAGATCAGGAGGTCAGGAGTTCGAGACCAGTCTGGGCAACATGGTAAAACCCCATCTCTACTAAAAATACAAAACTTAGCGAGTGTGGTGGTGCATACCTGTAATCCTCCTGAGTACAGGAGGCTGAGGCAGGAGAATCGCTTGAACCTGGGAGGCGGAGGTTGCAGTGAGCCGAGATCACACCACTGCACTCCAGCCTGGGCAACAGAGCAAGACTCCATCTCTACCCCATCACACCCAACCCATATTTATTGGTTCAATTTACTTTTCTTTAGGAAAGTTTCCCACTATCTCAAAGCATGATTTAGCCACAGCTCCCAATGCACCCTAGACATCTATCTTAGCACCTTTGTATTTACTTGTTGAGACTACTAGTCTGTAAGCATCTTGCAGATAAGTGT
Organism: Homo sapiens; assembly: GCF_000001405.40. Classification (NCBI taxonomy): domain Eukaryota; kingdom Metazoa; phylum Chordata; class Mammalia; order Primates; family Hominidae; genus Homo; species Homo sapiens. The sequence continues at coordinate 40,064,610 of NC_000004.12, read as the reverse complement.
TTTATTTAGCAAACAAGAGCTCAATAAATACTTGTTATTGCCGGGCGCGGTGGCTCACGCCTGTAACCCCAGCACTTTGGGAGGCCGAGGCAGGCGGATCACAAGGTCGGGAGTTTGAGACCAGCCTGACCAACATGGCAAAACCCCGTCTCTACTAAAAATACAAAAATTAGCCAGGCGTGGTGGTGCGCGCTTACAGTCCCAGCTACTCAGGAGGCTGAGGCAGGAGAATCACTTGAACCCAAGAGGCAGAGGTTGCAGTGAGTCAAGATCACACCATTGCACTCCAGCCTGGACAACAGAGCGAGACTCTGTCTCAAATAAATCAATCAATAAATAAGTACTTGTTATAAGCTAGCATAAGCCAAAAGGCCAACTTCTTTAAAATGTTGGACTTACCATTTTCGTACCTGGAATACACAGGTCCATAGTACAGGGCATCTCTTTACCACAAATAAAGTACCAATGAAAATAAATTCATAATCAGAAAGGTGGTTAAGAATTACAGTGGATGAGGCCAGGCATAGTGGTTCACATGTGGTCCCAGCACCTTGGGAGGCTGAAGCAGGAGGATCACTTGAGCTCAGGAGTTCGAGACCAGCCTAGGCAACATAGTGAGACCCCCCCCTGCCGCCCCACCAATCTCTCTAAATAAATAAATAAAATTGGCCAGCACGGTGGCTCACACCTGTAATCCCAGCACTTTGGGAGGCTGATGCAGGAGGATCATCTGAGGTCAGGAGTTCAAGACCAACCTGGCCAACATGGTGAAACCCTGTCTCTACTAAAAAGACAAAAAATTAGCTAGGTGTGGTGATGCACACCTGTAATCCCAGCTACTCGGGAGGCTGAGACAGGAGAATCGCTTGAACACGGGAGGTGGAGGTTGTAGTAAGCCGAGATCACACCATTGCACTCCAGCCTGGGCAACAAGAGCAAAACTCCGTCTCAAAAAAATTAATTAATTAATTAATTTAATTAAAAATAAATAAATCAATAAAACGATAAAGAATTAAAGTGGATATTCTTTATGTCTGCCCAGAACTCCGTCCTCTCCCCTACTCAAGGTCTGCTCTGCTTTTTGCTAACAGATCCCTGGCCATGTAAGTGAGCATATCACAACCTAGAATGAACTAAGCATAGTACTTCATCCCTTCAAACACTAGATTTGGTCAAGGTTCTAGTTGATACCCCTGTGCTGCCATGAAACAGGTTTACCATGTGAAGAAACATATTTTCAGTAAAAGGAATAAAGCCAGTATGCACAGAGTATAAGTACGGAAAGGTCCCAACTATGGGAAAGTTCCCACCCTAGCTCTTCATGGCCATCCTTATTCATACAATGCCTATTATATGGTCATATGAACCAATAACTTTTTCCCCTACAGGCTACTTCAAGCTGTATTTCTGTTACTTGAACACCAAAAAGTCCTAACTAATAAAATAGAGAAACCAAATTGATAAAAATTAGACATCAAAGGATTTTTTCATTCAGGCTATAAAAGGGCCTGGTATGCCTTCTCTGGCTTAGAAAACTTTCATCTATCAAATATAATGTCCCTTTCCTCTCTGTATTAGATAAACCCCAAAATTACTATTTCATTCTCTTTCAATACACTCTATGCAAATCACATCATTTTTTAAGACAGTCCATTTACCGCTATGTGGTGAGATGACAAATAAGCAAGCAATCACAATGTAATAAAAGAACATGGAGTGCTAAGGACACAAAGAGGAGGCCCATGTAACTCAGACTTGAAGTATCCGAGGGCTTTCTCCTAGAGCTACCACCTAGGCTGAGACCTGAAAGACAAGCCTGAGTTAATAAAACAAAAGTGAGGGTAAGGAACAAACTAGGAAAGGTATTCCAGACAGATAGAAGCTTCTGAACTCAAGTGCAGATTTAAGAACTCTGACCCCTTCAGGGAGAAATACAAGGAACTTAATAGGGCTAGCACACTGACAGCCAAGTGTCAATAAGGATCCAAATCATGAGGATCCTGAAAGCCAAGTGAAGAAGTTCAGAAGTCTCAAAAAAAAAAAAAAAAGAAGTTCAGAAGTTATCCTAAAGGCCATGAAAAGTCACAAAAAAGTTTTAAGCAGAGGAGTAATGTGTTAGACAGATTACTCTAGCTACAGTGGGAAAAATGCATTGGAAGACTGAAAGCAGGGATGAGCTGTTAGGAGGCTCGTGCAACAACCCAGGTGAGACATGATACTAACCATGGAGTAGGAGGGCAGCAGCGAGGATAGGGAAAAGGAACAGATTCAAGAGATATTAAAGAGAGGAGGATCACGAAGTCAGGAGATCGAGACTATCCTGGCTAACACGGTGAAACCCCATCTCTATTAAAAATACAAAAAATTAGCCGGGCGTGGTGGTGGGCACCTGTAGTCCCGGCTACTCAGGAGACTGAGGCAGGAGAATCGCTTGAACCCAGGAGGCGGAGATTGCAGCAAGCCAAGATCGCACCACTGCACTCCCACCTAGGTGACAGAGCGAGACTCCGTCTCAAGAAAAAAAAAAAAAAAGTAACCAAAAAATAAAGCAGTAAAAACAAAACAAAAATAAATAAATAAATAAAACCAAAAAATAAATAAAGCAGCAAATTAATGCAAATATTTTCAAGAAAAAAAGACACTAATGGCCAGGCATGGTGGTTCACACCTGTAACCCCAGCACTTTGGGAGGCCGAGGCAGGCAGATCACCCGAGGTCAGGAGTTCCAGACCACCCTGGCCAACATGGCGAAAACCCATCTCTACTAAACATACTAAAATTAGCCAAGCGTGGTGGCAGGTGCCTGTAATCCCAGCTACTCGGGAGGCTGAGGCAGGAGAATCACTTGAATGTGGTAGGCGGAGGTTGCAGTGAGCCGAGATCACACCACTGCACTCCAACCTGGGCAACAAGAGCAAAACTCCACCCAAAAAAAAAAATAAAATACGCCAGACACAGTGGCTCAAGCCTGCAATCCCAGCACTTTGGGAGGCTGAGGCGGGCGGATCACCTGAGGTTAGGAGTTTGAGACCAGCCTGGCCAACATGGTGAGACCCCATCTCTACTAAAAATACAAAACTTAGCTGGGCGTGGTGGTGCACATCTGTAATCCCAGCTACTTGGGAGGCTGAGGCAGAAGAATCACTTGAACCCAGGAGGCGGAGGTTGCAGTGAGCTGGGATCATGCCATGGCACTCCAGACTGGGCAACAAGAGCGAGACTCCATCTCAAAAATAAATAAATAAATAAATAAAATGAAATAAAAATATGAAAATTAGCCGAACATGGCAGTGGACACCTGTAATCCCAGCTACTCGGGAGGCTGAGGCAGGAGAATCGCTTGAACCTGGGAGGCAGAGGTTGCAGTGAGCCAAGATTATGCCACTGCACTCCAGCCTGGGCAACACAGCAAGACTCTACCTCAAAATAATAATAATAATAAAGACACTAATAACCTTAAATCTGGGGCTTGCATAAAGTTTTAAGAAAAACAGCCAGCTGAGGGTGGTGGCTCACACCTGTAATTCTAGGGCTTTAGGAGGCCAAGGTGGGAGGATTGCTTGAGCCCAGAAGTTTGAGGCCAGCCTGGGCAATATGGCAACACCCCGTCTCAATTTAAATTTTAAAAAAAGAAGAAGAAAAGAAAAGAAAAGCAGCTAATACATGATCAAAGGATATGCTCATACAATCCACGTTTAGAAAAACAGGCCAGGCGTGATGGCTCGGGCCCATATTCCCAGCAACTTGGGAGGTTGAAGTGAGAAGACTGCTTGAGCCCACAAGTTTGTGACCAGCCTAAGCAACACAGCGAGACCCTGTCTCTACAAAAAAATTTTAAAAATGAGCCAGGCACAGCGGTATGTGCCTATACTCCCAGCTACTCGGGAGGCTGTTGCAAGAGGATCCCTTGAGCCCAAGAATTCAAGGCTACAGTGAGCTATAATCATGCCACTGCACTCCAACCTGGACAACAGAGGGAGACCCTGTCTCAAAAAAAAAAAAAAAAAATCTAGCTACTTAGCCACATAAATTTATTAAAGCCTCTTTTAATTTTTAAAGTATGTGCGGCCGGGCACAGTGGCTCATGCCTGTAATCCCAGCACTTTGGGAGGGCAAGGTGGGTGGATCACCTGAGGTCAGGAGTTCACGACCAGCCTGACCAACAAGGTGTAACCCCATCACTACTCAAAATAAAAACATTAGCCGGGCGTGATCGTGTGCACCTGTAATCCTAGCTACTTGGGAGGCTGAGGCAGGAGAATTGCTTGAACCTGGGAGGCAGAGGTTGCAGTGAGCCAAGATGGCACCATCACACTCCAGCCTGGGCAACACAGTGAGACTCCATCTCAAAAAAAATAAATGAAGTATGAGAGCTCAGATAGAATTGATTAACCACAATCTAGATGTACAGTTCTAATAAAATAATTTCTGGAGGGCAATGCTGAGATAGGTAAGAAAGTAAAATACTCTTCCCAAGGCGCAGGCACAGTGGCTCACGCCTGTAATCTCAGCGCCTTGAGAGGCTGAGGCAGGAGGACTGCTTGAGCTCAGGAGTTCGAGAGCAGCCTGAGCAACATAGTGAGACCCTGTCTCTTTAAAAAAAGAAAAAAAAAAAAGAATAAGGTTTTGGGTCACAAAGATCTAAGTTTGACTGAAACCTACCTGATACATACATAACACTCCCACACACTAGTCGGGTAACTTTCAGCAACTTTCTTAATACTTCTCAGTCTCTGTCTCCTCCCCTGTAAGAATAGTGCAAATCTCAGAGTTGTAAGAATTAAATACAATCACATATGCAAAGTGCTTAAAACAGCACCTGGTGTGCATGTGTGTGTACATACACATAAGCCACTTCATTACTATGAGGACGAGGGCAATGAGGTTGATAATGATACATGGCTTGATGTATGCTTACTCATTATCAGGCAAGGTAGGTATCAAAAAAGTGTTCAATCTAAGGCCAGGCGGGGTGGCTCATGTCTGTAATCCTAGCACTTTGGGAGGCCAAAGCGGGCGGATCACTTGAGGCCAGGAGTTACAGACCAGCCTCACCAACATGACAAAAACCCATCCCTACTAAAAATACAGAAGTTAGCCAGGTGTGGTGTTGAGCACCTGTAATCCCAGCTACTCCAGAGGCTGAGACAAGATAGCGCCACTGCACTCCAGCCTGGGCGACAGAGTGAGGCTCTGTCTCAAAATACATACATACATACATACATAAAAAATGCTCAATCTCTTCTTAAATTCCTAACATAAACTACTTCTAAAGGCATTTAATAGACAACTGATTCTTCCCAAGACTTACAATATGATTTTGCATATAAAAAGCTGAAAGGAAAGCAAAGAAGGTAGATAGCTATTTTTCTGAAATTCATTAACTAATAAATGGTTGCTGCTTTGCATATCAAAAAACATGCATAATCATGGCTAATCATGATGAAAAGGGAGATTTTAAAAGGAAAATAATCAGCGTTTTAAAACGGCCGGGCGGGCGTGGTGGTCACTCCTGTAATCCCAGCACTTTGGGAGGCGGAGGCAGTTGGATTGCTTGAGCTCAGGGGTTTGAGACCAGCCTGGGCAACATGGCGAAACCTCCTCTCTACAAAAAATACAAAAATTAGCCGGGCGTAGTGGCTTTCGCCTCTAGTCCCAGCTACTCTAGGGGACGAGGTGGGAGGATGGCTTGAGCCCAGGAGGCAGACGTTGCAGTGAGCTGAGATAGTGCCACTGCACTCCAGCCTTGGCGATACGGCCAGACCTTGTCTCAAAAAAATAAATAAATAAGATGCAACTATGTAACAGTATTTAGATTTAAAATAAATACTAAAAAAAAAACATGCAACTAGTGATAATATTTAGCTTCTACTGTGTACATACAAGATACTATGCCTACTTTAATATACTTTAATGAAGGAAAAAACATGCCTCTACCATAACTTAAGCCCACTTTTTCTATGAAATACAGTACTTCTATCTCCCCTTCAAATTAACTAAAGTCAACAAGTACACAAACTGGCATTCGTACGTACTGCGTGCTGATTTCAACTGCTTTATTCTTTATTGTTTTACAGGTTAGTCTTTTTTCATTAACTAAATTGTAGCCTCCTTGCAAAAGAGCAGCCATTTATTTCCTATTCTTCCCACCATGTCCACCACTACAGCCCCTCGCTCCTACCCCCCATCCTAGCACGGCACTTAAATAATAAAAGGTCCTGGCAGCGAAACTCAAAACTGTTTATTTCTGACCTTTAGCAGTAAACAATGTTAGAAAGGCAGATGGAACCACGTTTATCAAAACACAGAACACACGATGTTTACATTTCCTAAAGCGCGTCTTTTAGTTAAAATTAAAGGATGAGAGTTAAAACGAGTTACAAAAGACAGCTGGTGTTTGAAAGAAAAACACTGGAAGTAATAAAAACGGAGTGAAAAGGCTGATGTTGGGATTAAAAGAAAACATTTTTTTAATACAGCTGCAAATCAGTCATTGTTTTCTGAGAGGCTAGGTTCATCTCCAGGATTTTCTTCTAGGAGCTCAACCAATGGCCACCTTTACTGAGTTAACCAGTCTCCAGGCAAGCAGCCCTTGCTGATTGGCTCAAAGATGTCGAGTAGAAAAAGCAGCCAATCCTGCCTTCAAGCCAGAACTGTGCCATGGAGACATTACAACCACTGCATGGCGAGAATGTGTACAAACCTGTCCGTGCCACAAATATCAGATCCTAGTTACAAAGACTGCCGCCGAAAGGAAGAGCCTTTGAAGCCAACACTGACACTGACCTGTCATCTACATTCTATTACTCTAGCTCTCTTTCGGAGGGAAAAAAAAAACTATTTTAACCAAAAGCGCATGAGAGATAAACTGTGCCCCCGCTAAGATGACTCACTCTATTGAGGATGAATTTCCAAACGGACGGCTTAGAGAGAGTCCCGATGAGAGAGGGGCTCTAGAAGGGTCCCATTGAGGGACAAAGTTGCAGATGGGGGCAGGGGAGGCGGGACGAGGGCCAAAGACACACAAATGCCGGGGAGGGGAAAGTCTCCCCGCAGTCTCCAAAATCCGAACGTGTGAGTGGCTGTGTGTCTGGACTTGAACTGAGTAAATAAACGGCTCTGCTAGGACTATGTGCTCAGGAAGGTGGCCTGAAGTTCCCAGAAGGCTCCGCCTGGCAAACACCTAAGGCGCCTGGAGGGGCGCAAGGTCAGGTCCCGGCGGGAACAGATCTGGGAGGAAACCTCGGGGGGTCGAGAGGGGTGTGTCTGGGGCCTGGAGGCCCGCCAGGCACTCGGAGGCCAAGGAAGCGGCCGCGGCCCCCGCCTTCGCCCGGCCTCGGGCTGAGCGCCAGGGCCCGCCTCTCGCCGACGCCTCACTTCCCTTCCGTCCGGGCAGCCGGGCCCGCGGGTCAGATCGGAGGCGGCCCGCGCCGGGCCCCACATTCAGGGCTTGGGGGTTCATTCGCCGCGCCGCCCGCCGCTGCTTCAGGCCCTCCGCTTCGGCTCGGAGCCCCGGGACCCCTAACCTCCAGGGCCCTCACCTTGGACCCGCCTCCCTGCCTCCCACCCGCCGCCTTTACCTGCTTCTGGAGCGGGCAGAGGGCGTCGAAGCCGGTGCCGCGTCGTCGAACGCACAACGCGGCGCCGCAGGTCCGCAGCCCTTTCCCGCCGGCGCCACTGCGCTCTCCCGCGCCGCGCAAGGCTAGCAAGCAGCTGCGGCCGCGGGGGAGACACGGCGAGCGCGCCCGGCGGGGAGACACTGCCGCTCTCCGTCCGGCCGGGGAAGAGCAGCCGCGCAGAAGCCCGCCGCGAGAGGGCGGGTGGGCGGCCGGGTGGGGAGGGGTCTCGAGGCGCCGGCAATGGCTGCCACGTCGCCCAGGTGGATCGCCGCCCACCGCCCCCCCCCAAGCCCGCCGGCTGTCCGCCACGACCTCTGCTTCGTCCCCGAGCTCCGCCTCGGCGCGGCGGCCCGGGGGACTTGAGCCCGCGGGCGCTCCCACCTCTCCCGCTCCCGCTCTCCCGTTGGAGAGCAAGCCCTGCCCGGCCGGTTCGGCTGCTTCCGGTCGCCCACCCCCCAAGTCTCGCCCGAGAGCGGGCCGTGGTCCCCACTTTTCTTATCAGGGGGTCCCTGGAGGAGCAAGCCCTTCTTCGAGTGTCGGGTTCTGCTTGGGGGGAAGGCGGGAGCTGTTTGGCGCTGGGGAACATTGCAACAGGCCCGGAATTTTTGCCAAAATAAGCGGCGCGGTAAACCACAGCTGTTTCTAGCCCTCGGCACTCTCCCGAGCCCCAAAAAACAAAACAAACACAAGGTCGGCCTCGCGAGGTGAGGGGAGAAAGGAAAGCAGAGCTGGGACGAGCCCTGACGCGCGCGGGGTCCAGGCTGCAAGTTGGGAGGGACGGCGAGGCGAGCGACCGGCCTCGGCATTGCCTGACTAGGGCCGTGGCCGCTGCGGCGGGCACGGGAACCCGCCTTCTCGCGCGCGGCCCTCCCGCGGGGGGCTTCCGGGCGCGCGGCCTCGGAGCCCCACGGGGAGACAAAGGGGTAGGCGACTGCCACGGGGTGGAGGGAGGCTGCCCAGCCCCATCGGCCCTGCCAGCGTGCGGTCTGAGCTCGGGGAATGTGTGCGCCTTAGCCGGTGGAACCGCAGCCGCTGGCCTTTGCCCCCAGTTCGAGCTTGAGTTTTCGGATGCCAAGAAAAAGCAAAGACGTGCTCTTCCCTCTTGCGACCGCTGTAGTATGAGTCCGTCCCCAAGCCTGCACCATTTTTTTTCTCTCAACTCTGCTTTCCCTGGTTTATTTGTTCTGGGTTCTGATGTGAAATGTTTAGTGTTTTCAGGGTACGCAAATTTTTCACCTTTGCTTTCTGGTTGGTGGTGGTGGTGGTGATGGTAGTGGTGGTGGTTTTGCCTGTTTTTTACTTCCTCCGTCCCCTCCCTTTGCGGTTACTTTTCATTCCACTTGCAGTGGTTTTTCCCAGAATAGAGAAGCGAAATAACCTCATGACAAAGTGTCCCTTTGCATCGAAGATACATTGTTGGTTGTTATGGCAGTTGCTTTAAACAGAGTGTAAATTTGGGGCAAGTGCAAGTGGTTTTTGTCGTTTAGGTCTAACTGGAACACTTATTCACAATGAGAACGTTGTAGTGCTTTTTCAAGAAACTAGTAATATATAAGGAGAGAACTCAAGAAGATAAATTTTCTGATGAAACCATCCATATAGAAAAATAGGGGAATTTTTCCTTTTGTATGAATTTTGTATTTAGAGGTCTCGAGTCCCAGTGTTAAATCACAGACTTCATGTTCATCCTTAAAAAAAAATCACTATACAAAAACCCCTTAATGCTTTTATTAAATTTCAAAAACAAAAAATTGTAATAACCCAGAATCTCAAGAGATAAATAGCTGTTGCTGAGAAGCTAACATTAACTCTGCCTCTAAACAACCATTATAAGAGACTAAAAACTGTAATATATGCCACTTTAGAAATGAAAGAACCCTAGTAATTATAAACTTGAAAGATGTCGAGGAAATTAATATTTTGTTTTTGAAATATGTTCACCATGATAATAAAAACTAGCATTTAAATTATTTTCCTTTGAACATCTGTTAAGGATTCATCAAATCTTAAGTCAGAACAATAAGAAATAAACTCTTCTTAACATTGGAAAATATATTTCAAGCCACAAAGACAACACCCAAGCTGAATGTTTTTAAAGTTTGTTTACTATGGCAATAAGAAGAACATCAACACCATAAAGTTCTGAAAGTGAGACTGGAATGAAGAACAAAGCAATCTTCACTCAACATTCGCAGTATCAGCCTTCGGTTGTGAATATTTATAAAGATTTCCTCCTTTCTTATTGGTTCAAATTCTAAGCCAATGGGAAAAGTACAACACGTCTTTTAAAGGGTGAAGCATCAATCAGCATTAGATTAGTATCTGGGATAAAGGTTTTGGTTATCATGCTCGTTCTCATTGAAGTTCATGTCCCTTTAAATTTCTTTTTTTTTTGGGGCGGCGGGGGGGCGGTGACTAGAGTTGCTCTGTTGCCCAGGCTGGAGTGCAGTGGCACAGTCTCAGCTCACTTCAACTTAACGCCTCCCGAGTTCAAGTGATTCTCGTGCCTCAGCCCCCCGAATAGCTGGAATTGCAGGCGTCTGCCACCAAACCCAGCCAATTTTTATATTTTTAGTAGAGGAAGGGTTTCTCTGTGTTGTCCAGGCTGGCCTCTAACTCCTGACCTCAGGTGATCCTCCCACCTCGGCCTCTCAAAGTGCTGGAATTAAAGGCGTGAGCCACCGCACCGGGCCGTGTCTCTTTAAATTTCAAAGAAGACATTTAAGAATAGGGCCTGGCACAGTGGCTCACGCCTGTAATCCCAGCACTTTGGGAGGCTGAGGCAGGCGGATGGGATCACGAGATCAGGAAATTGAGACCATCCTGGCCAATACAGTGAAACCCCGTCTCTACTAAAAATACAAAAAGTAGCTGGGCGTGGTGGCATACACCTATGGTCCCACCTACTCGGGAGGCTGAGGTAAGAGAATCGCTTGAACCGGGGAGGCTGAGGTTGCAGTGGGCCGAGATTGCGGCACTGCACTCCAGCCTGGGCAACAGAGCAAGACTCCATCTCAAAAAAAGAATTATTGACTATCTTGTGGGTGCCACACCTGCTCACATTCTCTTCAGTCTTCCAGTTGGTTTTATTACAATTGGTCTTGTTAGAATTATGTGACAATATATCTAAAATGCCAGATAAATCTGAGGAATGGTAAAATGTCTACTACTTAATACATTAAAATGAATCCTGGCATTTTAGATTAAAAACTTACCTTTAAGGAAAGACTAAAGTTTATATTTTGGGCCGGGCGCAGTGGCTCACGCCTGTAATCCCAGCACTTTGGGAGGCCGAGGCAGGCGGATCACGAGGTCAGGTGATGGAGACCATCCTGGCTAACACGGTGAAACCCCGTCTCTACTAAAAATACAAAAAATTAGCTGGGCGTGGTGGCGGGCGCCTGTAGTCCCAGCTACTCGGGAGGCTGAGGCAGGAGAATGGTGTGAATCCGGGAGGCGGAGCTTGCAGTGAGCCAAGATTGTGTCACTGCACTCCAGCCTGGGCGACAGAGCCAGACACCGTCTCAAAAAAAAAAAGAAAAAAAAAAAAAAAAAGTTTATATTTTGGGAAATGTCTTGGATTTTTGTAAAAAAAAAAAAAAAAACTGCCAAGTCGTCAAAAGTAAACCTTTTATATTTACCTAAGTCCAACTTTGGTCTATGTAACAGCTAAATTCTAAACATGATTGTCTGTGTTTATGTTTAGAACATAGGTATGATTTCCTTCCAACCAAAAATATTAATAATCTATGCCACCTTTGTATTCCTATACTTGGATTATGACTTGAAGCATTCCACTTAATTATTCATGTGTTTATAATCTCCCTTACTAAGTCATCAATGCCTTGAAGTTTCCCATTCAGCCTTGTATTCCTCATTGTCAGACTCCCAGCCTTGTGCAATATAAACACTCCATGAATGTTTACTGAGTGAAAGAATAAGTGAGCATCACTCTATGACAAGACATATGGCAAATCAAGAAAATCTGTGTCAGGATTTTTTCCTCTTCTACATAATGGCTAATGACACTGTTTTCATTCCCAACTAAGAATAGTATTGTTGACCAGGCGCAGTGGCTCACACCTGTAATCCCAGCACTTTGGGAGGCCAAGGCGGGCGGATCACGATGTCAGGAGATGGAGACCAGCCTGGCTAACATGCTGAAACCCCGTTTCTACCAAAAATACAAAAATTAGCTGAGTGTGGTGGCTCTTGCCTGTAGTCCCAGCTACTCAGGAGCCTGAGGCAGGAGAATGGCTTGAATCCGGGAGGTGGAGGTTGCAGTGAGCCAAGATCGTGCCATTGCACTCCAGCCTGGGTGACAGAGTGAGACTCCATCTCAAAAAAAAAAAGAATAGTATTGTTGCAAGAACTTTACTAAAAGAAAGTAGGACCAACATATGCTGGAATTATTGTGTTTTTCCATTTTAAATTTAGTGGAAACCGAATAGTAGATAATATTGCCATTATCTAAAGTAAATAAATATCAATGGGTTTTATCTTTATGTAAGATTTCTTTACCACACTCAACCCAGGGTGCATCAAGCTCTGACCTTGGGAAAATTACTTAAACTCTCAAATACTCAGTTTTCTCATCTCTCAAATAGCATTCATAAAAGCTACATTCTGATTAATTAAAATAATAAATGTACATAAAAGAGGCTTAATAAATAGTAGTTATTACTCACAGATATTAGTGGACTCAATCATAAAGAAAATGTAATTTTCTTAGTGCAATTATTTATCTATAAAAGGTGCCATCCTGGACAACATGGGGAAACTCCATCTCTACAAGAAATACAAAAATTAGCTAGGTGTGGTGGTATGGACCTACAGTCTCAGCTACTTGGGAGGCTGAGGTGGGAGGATCACTTGAGCCCAGGAGGCAGAGGTTGCAGTGAGCTGAGATCGCGCTACTGCACTCCAGCCTGGACAACAAAGTGAGACATTGTCTCAAAAAAAAGAAAAAAAAAAGGCAAGCATAAAGGCTGTTAAAATAATAATAAGGAAACAAATATCCTAAAGGAAGGAATAGGGTACTAAGAAAATCTACCAAAAGAAGATAACTTTTGCAGCCTGGACAACATGGTGAAACTCCATCTCTACAACAAATGCAAAAATTAGCTGGGCATGGTGGCATGTGCCTGTAGTCCCTGTTCCTCAGGAGGCTGAGGTGGGAGGATCACCTGGGTCTGGGAGGTGAAGGCTGCAGTGAGCCAAGATTGCACCACTGCACTCCAGCCTGGACAACAGAGTGAGACACTGTCTCCAAAAAAAAAAGGAAAAGAAAAAAAAGATAACTTCTAAAAATAAATATCAATGGCATTCCAGTCTGAGTGAAAACTTTATGAAAAACCAAATCTGATTGTGTCTCTCTCCTCTCACAAACTTCACAGCTCCTCTAATTTCTACTAGCTTTTCTCAATAGGGATAAATAGTTATGCATTGCTTTTAAACTGAAGGGCTTCTCATTGCACTCTGTTTTTTCTTTGAATAAATTCTCAGAGCTTTTAATATGCCAATGTGCCTAGGAACTCTAAGAAAAGGATATACTAGTAAATATTTCCAAACTTACTTGACCGCAAATCCTTTATTCATAGAGAGTATCCCAGGACATGTGATTTTATATCACATTTTGGAGGAAACACTTGTCTACATATTTGAAGATAAAATCCAAACCCCCTCACCTCTGCTTCCAAATGCTGCCACTCCTGCAAAAATGACCTCAAATAAGCCTGAAATGTAGGTCTCCTGAGAAATGCTCTTGAGAAATTGACCTTTGTTTTACCCAGTTTCTCTGTACATGAATGGACAGGCATGAGGCAGTCTCCAAACTTGACAAGAAAGGGTGGAGATAGGATTGGCAAAAACAGTATTAAAAAAAAAAAGTCTGGATAATGCCAAGGATAGCTTCCTTATTCCCAGGATAATCCTCCTTCTTTGAGTGTGATAGCAACAACAATTCTGTGTCTTCGTGAGAAACTTTACGGGAAGCCATACCTCTTGTCTGTAAGCATGTTGTGGGAGCTCCAGCTTTATGTAACTGTAAGTTTTCTTTTTCTTTTTTTTTAATACGGAGTCTAGCTCTGTTGCCCAGGCTGGAGTGCAGTGGCGCGATCTCTGCTCACTGCAACCTCCACCTCCCGGGTTCAAGCGATTATCCTGCCTCGGCCTCCCAAGTAGTTGGGATTACAGGCGCCTGCTACTACAGCTGACTAATTTTTGTATTTTTAGTAGAGACGGAGTTTCACCATGTTTGTCAGGCTGATCTCCAAACTCCTGACCCCAGGTGATCCACCGACCTCGGCCTCCCAAAGTGCTGGGATTACAGGCATGAGCCACCGCACCCAGCCAAGTTTTCATATCACTTGCCTATCACTTGCCAATAGGGAAACTATACATCCTGTAACCATACCTGCTAACATTCTTCTGTCAGTTATATTACTCCTCTATTTGAGACAATCACACACCTCACAATACATCCTTTCCAGGGATGTTGAACCATTGGCTAACCTAGTCATTCACTTTCATTTGTGTTTACAACCCAACCCAAATGCCCTTTTATCCTGTAAAGCTTTTCTGGATGCCCCAAATAGAACGGTTTATTTATTTATTTATTTTATTTTATTTTTTTTTTTTTTTGAGAGTCACCCAGGCTGGAGGGCCGTGGCATGATCTTGGCTCACTGCAACCTCTGTCTCCCAGGTTCAAGCAATTCTGCCTCAGCCTCCCAAGTAGCTAGGATTACAGGTGTGTACCACCACACCTGGCTAATTTTTTTGTATTTTCATAGAGACAGGGTTTCACCATGTTGGCCAGGCTGGTCTCAAATTCTAGGCTCAAGTGATCCTCCCACCTTGGCCTCCCAAAGAGAATGATTTCTTCTATGCCCACAGCAATGTCTGTGTACTTCTCTTAATTGCAGTGATGATTATTTGTTGGTCTGTATCTTTGCTAAAACTGTGAACTCTCTTCCCCTAGACAAAATATGTATCCACAGTAACTAGAAAACATACCTTACACATTGAAATGTACTAAACTCCTTTTAGGGTACCTTCCTAGCTTACAATTTCCTAGTCAGTTGTACCCTCTTCCCCCAATTCTACAGGACCAGACTCCAGGGTTTTGAAAAATCACTCTACTTCCTTCACCACAGTTAACCAAGAGTGGGTGTTTTAATCCAATTAGTCTCTTCCAGGGAAATTTTAGAATTGGGACAAAGACCATTAGTAAAATCAAAATACAAATAATAAACAAGAAAAAATGCAATTCACATCGGAGACAAAGGGCTGATTTCTCTAATATACAAACATGTAGAAATCAATAAGGAAAAGACTAACGACCCAATAGTAAAAAATGGACACATTATAAAAAAGACTGCTCACAGAAAAAGAAATACAAATTACTCTTAAGCATATTTTTAAATTACATATGTGCAGCATTGTTTGTAATATAGCAAAAGATGGGGGAAAAACCTAAATGCCCACCTACAGGGAACTGGTTAAATGCAGTATGTTAGATGAAAAGAGCAGAATGCCACAATATAAGAGGATGATGTCACTCTAAATGTTCATACTGCACCATCTCCAAGATATATTGCTCACTGTGTGTATGGTATGCTGCCATTAGTGTAAAAAAAATGGAGAGGAGGAAAAGATAGATAAATATAGATAGGTAGGTAGGTAGAAAGATATGATGATGGATGGGATGGATGGGATGGATGGATGGATGGATGGATGGATGGATGGATGGATGGATGGCTTTTATCACATATACATAGAATATCTCAAGAAGAAGATAGAACAAACTGCTCCATTAATTGCTTTTGAGAAAGCAAATGGTGGCTAGAGGAAAGAGGATGAAGAGACTTTTCACTGAACCAATTTTATATATTTATTTATTTTTCATGACAGGATCTTGCTCTATTGCCCAAACTAGAGTGCAGTGGCACGATGTCAGCTCATTACAGCCTAACTTCTAGGGCTCAAGCTATCCTCCTGCCTCAGCCTCCCAAGTAGCCAGGACTACAAACACAAACCACCATGCCAGGCTAATGTACCAATTTTTTTTTTTTTTTTTTTTGAGGCAGTATCACTGTGTCGCTCAGGCTGGAGAGCAGTGGCGCAATCTCGGCTCACTGCAACCTCCACCTCCTGGGTTCAAGGGATTTTCCTGTCTCAGCCTCCCGAGTAGCTGGGATTACAGATGTGCACCATCACGCCCAGCTAATTTTTGTATTTTTAGTAGAGACAGGGTTTCAATATGTTGGCCAGGCTAGTCTCGAACTCCTGACCTCAGGTGACCCACCTGCCTCGGCCTCCCAAATTGCTGGGATTACAGGCGTGATCCACTGCACCCGCCCTTTTTTTTTTTTTTTGAGACGGAGTCTCGCTGCGTGATTCTCCTGCCTCAGCCTCCCGAGTAGTTAGGATTACAGGCACACGCCACTACACCAAGCTGATTTTTTTTTTTTTTAACAGAGTCACGCTCTGTCACCCAGGCTGGAGTGCAATGGCACGTCTCGGCTCACTGCAACCTCTACCTCCTAGGTTCAAGCGATTCTCCCTGCCTCAGCCTCCAGAGTAGCTGGGATTACAGGTGCCTGCCACCATGCCAGGCTAATTTTTGTTTTGCTTTGTTTTGTTTTGTTTTTTGAGACAGAGTTTTGCTCTTGTTGCCCAGGCTGGAGTGCAATGGCACGATCTTGCCTCATTGCAACCTCCACCTCCCATGCTCAAGCGATTCTCCTGCCTCCCAAGTAGCTGGGATTACAGACATGCGCCACCACGCCTGACTAATTTTGTATTTTTAGTAGAGACAGGGTTTCTCCATGTTGGCCAGGCTGGTCTCGAACTCCTGACCTCAGGTGATCCGCCCACCTCAGCCTCCCAAAGTGCTGGGATTACAGTCATGAGCCACTGCGCCCGGCCCTAATTTTTGTATTTTTAGTATAGAACAGGGTTTCACCATGTTGCCCAGGCTGGTCTTAAACTCCTGACCTCAAGTGATCTGCCCACCTTGGCCTCCCAAAGTGCTGAGATTATAGGCGTGAGCCACCACGCCAAGCCCCAATTTTTTTTTTTTTTTTTTTTAATTTGTGACAGAGTCTCACTTTGTTGCCCAGGCTGGAGTGCAGTAGTGCAATCTAATCTCACCTTGCAACCTCCACCTCCCAGGTTCAACCCCTCCTGGGTTCAAGTGATTCTCCTGCCTCAGCCTCCTGAGTAGCTCGAATTACAGGCACGCACCACCACACCCAGCTAATTTTGGTATTTTTAGTAGAGATGAGGTCTCACCATATTGACCAGGCTGGTCTCGAACCCATGACCTCAAGTGATCAGCCTGCCACGGCCTCCCACAAGTGCTGGGATTACAAGCATGAGCCACTGTGCCTGGTCTTAAAAAAAAAAGAAAAGAAAGAAGAAAATTTTAATTAGCTGGGCACGGTGGTGTGTGCCTGTAGTTCCAGCTGCTTTGGAGGCTGAGGTGAGAGGATGGCTTGAGCATCCAGCCTGGGCAACAGAGCAAGACCCCATCTCTTAAAAAAAAAATCTATTTGCTGTGTAAAAATAAATAGCATTTAAGTAAAAATATAAAAGATTTGCGATTCTCAGTTTCTTTGTGCTGCTGAGCTTGTATAGGATTAACTCAGGAGTTGGAGGCAGCTATATTCTACGTCAGGCCAGGGTAGCAGAGGAAGCTGCTCGAGAGAGAAGAAACAAGCAGAGAAGAGATATTGGAGAGATGGAGAGAAGATAATGTCTGGGCTCTCAACAACTTGTTTTTGGCCTTTCCTGGGGCCAGCTACATCTCTCTCCTTGGTTTCTTCGAAACATCCCTATATTCTTATAATAAATCTCTCCTTTTTTGGCCTAAGCTAACTTGAGTTGTTTCTTGATAGTTGCATCCAAAGAAATCTCACTGTCATAGCAGGTTTTCTTTTTTGTTTTTGTTTGTTTGTTTGTGACAGGGTCTCGCTCTGTCACCGGGGCTGGAATGCAGTGGCGTGATCTCGGCTCACTGCAACCTCCCACCCCTAGGTCAAGCGATTTTCTTGCCTCAGCCTCCCAAGTAGTTGGGATTACAGGCATGCACCATCAGGCTCGGCTAATTTTTGTATTTTTAGTAGAGATGGGTTTTTGACATGTTGGCTAGGCTGGTCTTGAACTCCTGACCTCAACTGATCCACGTGCCTTGGCCTCCCAAAGTGTTAGGATTACAGGCGTGAGCCACTGCGCCTGACCTCATAGTAATTTTTCTGTAAATGCTTGTTAAAAGGAAATGTAAAGTTCTTTGTAATGAAATTATTTAGGTTCTCAAAATTTGATTGTACTTTAAAAAAAAAAATCTCCTAAATTGAGGGAGGCCAGCTCCAGAGGTGTCGTTAAAGACATTCACCCTAAGCTAAGGTGGTGTTTGTTCATGGAAAATATGAGCTGGGCCTGGGGCCAAGTAACACATTCCACCCACTAGACTTTCCTCTCAGTCCCTGCCTAAGAAGTTAGACTTTTCAATGTTTGGTGATGACCTGCCTGAAAGATAAATGCTGAATGTTGCTAAATAGAATGGAGTTTGAGGAGTGTGAGACATTTTTGTTTGGTTTGGTCTGGTTTCTGTTTTGAAAGGAAAGGCGTTAGGGCCAGGGCAAGAGCACCAATCCCAGGGTAAAGAGTCCTTGTGATAATTATTTTAGTACATTCAAATATGGGTTTCCATTCTAGCTAATTCTGCAAGACTCAAAAAAAAAAGAAAAAAGAAAAAGGAAAAAAGATATATGTTTCCAAGTTCTAGGACTACTTAAACCTTTGAGGCTAATACCTTTCTGAAGGCAAAGTCCATTTCTCTGTCAGTGTTTTCAACGCTATAGATAGTACTATCCTCTTACTATTTATTTTATATTATTATTCCCAGTACTGAACAGACGGAAAGTACTTAGGAAAATCCTCAAAGTCCCAGAATGGTATTCATAAGGCAACTCCTAGAGTTCAATAGCCTGCAAATGAAGTTAAATATATTAAATATATTTTATATAAGCATGATATCATAATGCTCCAAAAATATCATACACTCCAAAAAATGACAGAATGGCAGCAAAAAAAGCTGCATATATGTTTATGCTTTTTTTTTTTTTTTTTTTTGAGACAGTCTCACTCTGTCTCCTGGACTGGAGACTGGCATGATCACAGCTTATTGCAGCCTCAAACTCCCTGGGCTCAGGTGATCCTCCCACCTCAGCCTCCTAATAGGTGGGACCACAGGCATGTGCCACCATACTCAGCTAATAATTATATTTTTTGTAGACACAGGGTTTTGCCGTGCTCCCTAGGCTGGTCTCAAACTCCTGAGCTCAAGCAATCTGCCTGCCACAGCCTCCCAAATTGCTGAGATTACAGGCGTGAGCCACTGTGTTCGGCCTGTTCACACATTTTTTATGTAAGATGAATTTAAACTGGATGATAAAATTGTCTCTCATGTGAAATAAGTCAGAATAATTGCATTATAAATACTAAGGTTAAAAAAGCGTAATTTATTTCTATCATTGAAATACCATTGAAAAATTGAATAACATTATTTAAATACCAGGAACCAACCATACCATTCAAGCAATATTTCTTGAAAATTCATTAGGGATATCATAAAAGTATAAGACATGGCCCCTGTCCTTAAGGAGCTTTGTTATAATTTATGTGAGGTAAGACAGATACAAAGCATCATCATTGTTATTTTTACTAACAGAAGTAGTATGGTGAAGTGGAAAATAATACAGGCTTTTAAATCTTAGGTGTAGATCCATATTTTTAGTTCTGCCATCCCATTAATGTATGATCTCTGCAAAGATACTTAACTGCTCCTAGGCTCAATTTCTTTAATTCTACAGTGGGGATAAGGATGCTAATTTTTTTGTTTGTTTTTTGTTTTAGAAAGGGTCTCACTCTTTTGCCCAGGCTGGGGTGCACTGGCACTATCTCGGCTCACTGCAACCTCTGCCTCTGGAACTCGAAGGATCATCCCACCTCAGCCTCCCAGGTATCAGGGACTACAGGCACATGCCACCATGCCCGGCTAACTTTTGTATTTTTGGTAGAGACGGGGTTTTGCCATGTTGCCCAGGCTGGTCTCAAACTCCTGAGCTCAAGTGATCCACCTGCCTCGGCCTCCCAAAATACTGGGATTACAGGTGTGAGCCACCGCACCCAGCCAGGATGCTAAATTTAAAGGACTGGTTTTTAGCCAGGCTTGGTGTCAAGAGCCTGTAATCCCAGCTACTCGGGAAACTGAGACAGGATAATTGCTTGAACTTGGGAGGTGGAAGTTGCAGTGAGCCAAGATCGCGCCACTGTACTCCAGCCTGGGTGACAGAGTGACAGCCTGTCTAAAAAAAAGAAAAAAGAAAAAAAAAGAACATGTTTTGTTTTGTTTAGTTTTCTTTAGAGATGGGGATCTCACTATGTTGCCCAGGCTGGTCTATGAACTCCTGGGCCCAAGCGATCTTCCCTCATCAGCCTCCCAAAATGGTGGGATTACAGGCCTGAGACACTGTGCCCGGCCAGGACAGTTGCAAGAATTAAATTGCATTATAGATGCAAATACCTAAGTAAACGCTCGATATGTGTCAGGTGTTCGAAAAATACTAGTTTATTCTCCATCTGAATTGAAGGGATTGAATATTTTCTAACTCGTTTCTACTTATTGATAAATAATAGTTTTATTATTGGTGAATTTTAAAATTGAAGTTAGCTAAAACTGCAATCATTTTAACAACCAAAACTTTAATTTTCTCAACACTAAAACTCAATTCCGCGCCAGGCCTGCCAGACACCTGCGCCCTCCTGCAGCCACCGCCACAGCTGCCAGCATGTCTGGCCCAGACATCAAGACGCCGACCGCCATCCAGATCTGCCGGATTATGCGGACGCTAATGTGGCCCGCAATGTCTAGGCGGGACCATCCTGAAGATGATCAAAGAGGCGGGCGCCATCATCAGCACCCGGCATTGCAATCCGCAGAACGGGGATCGCTGTGTGGCCGCTCTGGCTCGGGTCGAGTGCACCCACTTCCTGTGGCCCATGTGCATCGGTGAGGTGGCCCACGTCAGCGCGGAGATCACCTACACCTCCAAGCACTCTGTGGAGGTGCAGGTCAACATGATGTCCGAAAACATCCTCACAGGTGCCAAAAAGCTGACCAATAAGGCCACCCTCTGGTATGCGCCCCTGTCGCTGACGAACGTGGACAAGGTCCTCGAAGAGCCTCCTGTTGTGTATTTCCGGCAGGAGCAGGAGGAGGAGGGCCAGAAGCGGTACAAAACCCAGAAGCTGGAGCGCATGGAGACCAACTGGAGGAACGGGGACATCGTCCAGCCAGTCCTCAACCCAGAGCCGAACACTGTCAGCTACAGCCAGTCCAGCTTGATCCACCTGGTGGGGCCTTCAGACTGTACCCTGCACAGCTTCGTGCATGAAGGGGTGACCATGAAGGTCATGGACGAGGTCGCCGGGATCTTGGCTGCACGCCACTGCAAGACCAACCTCGTCACAGCCTCCATGGAGGCCATTAATTTTGACAACAAGATCAGAAAAGGCTGCATCAAGACCATCTCCGGACGCATGACCTTCACGAGCAATAAGTCCGTAGAGATCGAGGTCTTGGTGGATGCCGACTGTGTTGTGGACAGCTCTCAGAAGCGCTACAGGGCCGCCAGTGTCTTCACCTAAGTGTCGCTGAGCCAGGAAGGCAGGTCGCTGCCCATGCCCCAGCTCGTGCCGGAGACCCAGGACGAGAAGGGCTTTGAGGCCTGGCTCGGTGGCTCACGCCTATAATCCCAGCACTTTAGGATGCTGAGGCAGGCGGATCACTTGACGTCAGGAGTTCAAGACCAGCCTAGCCAACATGGCAAAACCCCATCTCTACTAAAAATACAAAACTTAACTGGGCGTGGTGGCAGGCGCCTATAATCCCAGCTACTCAGGAGGCTGAGGCAGGACAATCTCTTGAACCTGGGAGGCAGAGGTTGCAGTGAGCCAAGATCATGCCACTGCTCTCCAGCCTGGGCAACAAGAGCAAAACTCCGTCTCAAAAAAAAAAAAAAAAAAAAAAAAAAAAAAAAAAAACTAGAACTCAAATATCCAGGATTTTTAATCAGGTAACTAATGTAGATAAGGGGGAAAAAACTAAGAATATACTGATTTATGCCAGGCGCGATGGCTCACGCCTGTAATCCCAGCTCTCAGGGAAGCAGAGGTGGGAGGATAGCTTGAACCCAGGAGTTCAAGACCTGACTGGGCGATATAGTGAGACCCCGTTCTCCACAAAAAGGAAGAAAAAAAAAGACAAAAAAAAAAATAAGCGTAAGAATATACTGATTTACCTGGAAAAATGTTATTTGTAATCCCAACTTGCTCTCTGAATGTAATAATATCACGTAACATCAGTGACTTTTGTTTTGTTTTGTTTTTTGAGGCAGACTTTCGGTCTTGTTGCCCAGGCTGGAGTGCAGTGGCATGATCTCAACTCACTGCAACCTCCGCCTCTCAGGTTCAAGCAATTCTCCTGCCTCAGACTCCCCAGTAGCTGGGATTACAGGCTTCTACCACCATGCCTGACTAATTTTTTGTATTTTTAGTAGAGATGGGGTTTCATCACGTTGGTCAGGGTGGTCTCAAACTCCTGACCTCAGGTATTCCACCTGCCTCAGTCTGCCAAAGTGCTGGGATTACAGGCGTGAGCCATCACACCTGGCCAGCGACTTTTTAATATATAAAACCATGCCTTGGGCTGGGCTCGGTGGCTCACCCTGTAATCCCAGCACTTTGGGAGGCTGAGGCGGGTGGATCACCTGAGGTCAGGAGTTCGAGACCAGTCTGACCAACATGGTGAAAACCCTGTCTCTACTACAAATACAAAAATTAGCCATGCATGGTGGTGTGCGCCTGTAGTCTCAGCTACTCAAGAGACTGAGGCAGGAGAATCCCTTGAACCCGGGAGGCAGAGGTTGCAGTGAGCCGAGATTGAGCCACTGCACTCCAGCCTCAGCAACAGAGCTAGACTCCGTCTCAAAACAACAACAACAAAAACTTGTTCCAAATCAGAAATCAATCATAATTTATAGCATAATGTCATTGGGTTTTCTCATTTTTCTTTTGGCTAAGTACAAAATATAGGAGGATTTGGGCCCGGTGCAGTGGCTCACACCTGTAATCCCAGCACTTTGGGAGTCCGAGGTGGGCAGATCACTTGACGTCAGGAGTTTGGGACCAGCCTGGCCAACACGGTGAAACCCTGTCTCTACTAGAAATACAAAAATTAGCTGGGCATGGTAGAGTGTACATGTAACCTCAGCTATTTAGGAGGCTGAAGCAGGAGAATCGCTTGAACCCGGGAGGCGGAGGTTGCAGTGAGCAGAGATCGCACCATTAGGAGGCTGGAGTGTAGTGCCAATATCTCAGCTCACTCCAGTTTAAGCCTCCTGGGCTCAAGGATTCTCCCACCTCAGCCTTCCGAGTAACTGGGATCAAAGGCACATAGCACCACACCAAGCCAGTTTTTAAATTTTTTGTAGACAAGGATATGGGGTCTCACTATATTGCCTTGGCTGGTCTCCAACTCCTGGGCTCAAAGGATCCTACAGCAGCAGCCTCCCAAAGTGCTGGGATTACAGGCTTGAGCCACCGCACCCAGCCTCAATTTTTTTCTTCTGATTTTAAAGGAAATTGAAACATTTTCATGGACCCTAGGCACTATGGGTATAATTGACCCTAGGCACTGCCTGCTGTGCCTAATGAAGAAGTTGGCCCTGGACAACACTGAACACACTGGACCAAGTAATGCTTAAATCCCAAAGGAAGTGTGTACTCTTGAGGGAAATGAGAGGAAATGAGGCAAGCATACCTAAGTTGTTCTTCCTGATTTACCAATCAGATGAGTTACTCTCTGCCTTGGATTACAATGGATAAAGGGAAAGCAAGGAGTGCATCACTCCAGCTCAACTCACATGAAAGAAAATCGCGGTAGAGAAAAAGCAACCCTCTCTGAGCAATTCTATTCTTAAGGCTGAAATGATTGCATTCGGTTATCGTAATTAGATAACACTGGTCTTTTATGATTACCGAGCTAATTCTTCTTGCTCCAGATTCCTGTTTACCAGAAAATCTGAGGATAACTAGGCTTCCCATGTAGATTATCCTGCAAGGAAAGAATATCTCAAGCAGGCCAGGTGTGGTGTCTCACGCCTGTAATCCCAGCACTTTGGGAGGCCCAGGCGGGTGGTTCACTTGAGACCAGGAGTTCGAGACCAGCCTGGGCAGCATGGCAAAATCTCATCTTTACCAAAAATACAAAACATTAGCTGGGTATGGTGGCTTGCGCCTGTAGACCCAGCTACTCAGGAGTCTGAGGTGGGAGGATGGCTTGAGCCCAGGAGGTAGAGGTTGCAGTGAGCTGAGATCGTATTGCACTCCAGCCTGAGTGACAGAGTGAGACCCTGTCTCAAAAACAAAACAAAAAATCTCAAGCGGCTGATAAATATACAATCTGAATATACAATCTGCTGTCTGGTTACATTTCTTATTATGAGGTAGCAAATTAACATTCTGGTTTATATATTCTCACAAAAGACTGGTTGGCATGAGAATCCATGGATTCATTTAACTCATTCATATAACTGACTTGACCATGTTATTAAACTGGAAATGTTGAGGTTCAAATTCTAAACCATAAAGGCTTAATCCAAGGTACTATAACCTAGCCAGCAAGTTTGTATTAGCTGCAATTCAATTTTCCCATTTTCTAACTACAACACACTCCCCAGTCCTCACACCTTTCTTATAATCCTATGTCCTCAAATTAGCTGAGTGGGGGAATCCGAGGGCACAAAAAAGGAGGAAACATTCCAGCAAAATGTTTCTGATTTTTTCTTTCTTTTTTTTTTTTTTTTTGAGATAGAGTCTAGCTCTGTCACCCAGGCTGGAGTACAGTCGCACGATCTCGACTCACTGCAACCTCCGCCTCCTGGGTTCAAGCAATTCTTCTGCCTCAGCCTCCCAAGTAGCTGGGACTACAGGCACGCACCACCATGCCCAGCTAAATTTTGTATTTTTCGTACAGATGAGGTTTCACCATATTGGCCAGGCTGGTCTCGAACTCCTGACCCTGTGATCCGCCCTCCTTGGCCTCCCAAAGTGCTGGGATTACAGGCATGAGCCACCATGCCTGGCCGTCTAATTTTTCCTGTTTTCTTTTCTCTCTCTCTCTCTCCTTTTTTTTTTTTTTGATGGAGACAGGGTCACTGCAGCCTAGACCTCCAGGACTCCCACTCCCTCCAGGATTCTCTCACCTCAGCCTCCCGATTAGTTCATGCCACCATGCCCAGCTAATTTTTTTTTTTTTTTTAGATGAAGTTTCACTCTTGTTGCCCAGGCTGGAGTGCAATGGCACAACCTCAGCTCACTACAACGTCCGCCTCCTGGGTTCAAGTGATGCTCCTGTCTCAGCCTCCCAAGTAGCTGGGATTACAGGTGCCCGCCACCACACCCAGCTTATTTTTGTATTCTTAGTAGAGACAGGGTTTCACCATGTTGGCCAGACTGGTCTTGAACTCTTGACCTCAGGTGATCCACCGGCCTCAGCCTCCCAAAGTGCTAGGATTACAGGCGTGAGCCACCATGCCCGGCCGTGAATTATTATTTTCTTCCGGGTCTATCGAATGTCAAGGAATTTTTAATGCATGACTGTTCTCCATGGCTCATAATTAAAGAAGGGTTAGTCATTAGCAGCTGGTTCTGTGTAAAGCAAGTCATATCCTTTATGACAAATTATCTCTTGGAAATTTTCATTTAGTCTTAACCACCTCCATGGCCAGACAAGATGTCATCTTGGATCAAGATACGGAAGAACTGGTGACACAACAAAGTTTGTAATGGAGCATGTCAATAGTTATACTCTTTCATCAAACATGTGTTCAGAGCCAGTGAAGTGCTGGTCAGCCTAACAGAATTGGAGGCAGGAAAGTATGATTTAGCTGTGTGCCCAGAAAGAAAATGAAACAGATTTGGCTGAATACTTATTAATCTCTGCCTCAACAACTAGGATTATATTCCCATTTCATAGGAAATGGAGGCACTGAGAGAATGAGTAACAAGCCTAAGGCCACATAGGTAGAAAAAATGATATAATCATAATGTAGTTGTGTTTCAAACTCAGTCCTGTTCAGTTCAATAAACATTTGTCCAGTCCTCATTCTATGATATGTCCTGTGAATTGGCATTGAGAATGCAGCCATGAACCCCATTGAAGAACTTTATCAGCTTCCAGCCACCAAGACAGAAAACCCATCTACAGGACCACTCATGCCTTCTGCCAGCCTTCTTGGTACCATGGGAGAGGTATAGCTCCTCCTAACTAAGGCTACTCTTTCCCCTGTGTTTTATTTATTTATTTTATTTTTATTTTATTTTATTTTACTGAGACAGGGTCTTGCTTTGTCTCCCAGGCTGGAGTGCAGTGATGTGATCTCGGCTCACTGCAACCTCCGCCTCCCGGGTTCAAGTGATTCTCGTGCTTCAGCCTCCCGAGTAGCTGGGATTACAGGCACACAGCACCATGCCCAGCTAATTTTTGTGGTTTTAGTAGAGATAGGGTTTCACCACGTTGGCCAGGCTGGTGTCAAACTCCTGACCTCAAGTGATCTGCCCACCTCAGCCTCCCAAAGTGCTGGGATTACAGGTGTGAGCCACCTCACCCAGCCTCCCCTGTGTTTTAGATCCCACCCTCATACCCTTTATTCTCCTTGAAAAAAAAAAACAAAAAACTTTTTA
The DNA here is from genome assembly GCF_000001405.40 of Homo sapiens. NCBI lineage: Eukaryota > Metazoa > Chordata > Mammalia > Primates > Hominidae > Homo > Homo sapiens. Next base: position 40,038,179 of record NC_000004.12, on the reverse strand, counting down.
TTTTGAAATAATTTTACACTTACAAAAAAGTTACAAAAATAGTACAGAATTCACATATACCCTTCACCCAGCTTCCTCTAATGTTAAAAACATGCACAGGCATAGTACAATGATCAAAACTATGAAGTTAACATTACTAAATCACTAATCACTATAAACTATATACCTTATTTGGATTTTGCCAGTTTTCCCCCTAATGTCCTTTTTTTTTTTTGAGATGGAGTCTCGCTCTGTCGCCCAGGCTGGAGTGCAGTGGCGTGATCTCGGCTCACTGCAAGCTCCGCTTCCCGGTTCACGCCATTCTCCTGCCTCAGCCTCCAAAGTAGCTGGGACTACAGGCACCCACCACCACGCGTGGCTAATTTTTTGTATTTTTAGTAGAGACAGGGTTTCGCCATGTTAGTCAGGATGGTCTGGATCTCCTGACCTCGTGATCTGCTCGCCTTGGCCTCCCAAAGTTCTGGGATTAGAGGGGTGAGCCACTGCACCCTGCCCTTTTTCTATTTATTTATTTATTTATTTATTTATTTATTTAGAGACAGGGTGGTATTGCTCTGTTGCCCAGGCTGGAGGGCAGTGGCATGATCTTGGCTTACTGCAACCTCCACCTCCCAGGTTCAAGTGATTCTCTTGCCTTAGCCTCCTGAGTAGTGGGATTACAGGCCTGCACCACCATGCCTGGCTAACTTTTCGTATTTTTAGTAGAGATGAGTTTTCACTATGTTGGTAATGTCCTTTTCCTGTTCCATGATCCAATCCAGAATCCCATATTGCATTTAGTTGTTGTGTTTCCTTAGTCTTCTCCAATCTATGACAATTCCTCAGTCTTTCCTTGTCTTTCATAACTTTGACACTTTTTTTTGGTAAGACAGAGTCTCGCTCTGTCACCCAGGCTATAGTGCAGTATGTGATCTCGGCTCACTGCAACCTCCATTTCCCCAGGTCAAGCAATCCTTCCACCTCATCCTCCCAAATAACTGAGAGATGAGCACGGACCACCACACTCAGCTAGTTCTTAAATTTTTTGTAGAGACAAAGTCTCACTATGACGTACGATGCCCAGGCTGTTCTCAAACTCCTAAACTCTAGCGATCTTCCAGCCTCACCTCCCAAAGCTCTGAGATTGCAGACGTAAGCCCCCGCACCAGCCAACTTTGACACTTGGATGAGTATTAGTAGTCATCTTGCAAAATATCTCTTAATTTGGTTTATCTGGCATTTTTTTCATAATTAGATTGAAGTCATGGATTTTTGACAAAAGTGACACAAAAGTTATATCATGTTCTCTCAATGCATTATATCAGAGGATACATGATGCCAATACATCTTATTACTGATATTAATCTTGATCACTTGGTTAAGCTGGTGTCTACCAGGAATTAAATTACTGTTTTTTCCTTCGTACATTGATAAATATCTTAGAGGAGTTACTTTGAGGATATGCAAATGTCCCGTTTCTCCTCAAACCACTGATTTTTTTTTTTTTTTTATCTTTAGAGACAGGGTCTCTCTCTATCACCTAGGCTGGAGTACAGTGGCACAATCATAGCTCACTGCAGAGTCAAATGCCTGAGCTCAGGGAATCCCTCCACCTCAGCCTCCCAAGTAGCTGGGACTAAGGTGCACTCCACTACACCCAGCTAATTTTAAAAATTTTTTTTGTAGAGACAGGGTCTCTCTGGGTTGCCAAGGGTGGACTTGAACTCCTGGCCTCAAGTGATCCTACCGTCTCAGCTTCCCAAAGTCCTGGGATTACAGGCCTGAGCCACTGCACCTGGACTCGACCACTGATTTTACCATTCATCAGTGGGTCTTGCCTGCAACAATTACTGTTGTGTTTATATATCGGAGATTGTATATTTCCCACATTCATTCTACGTTTATTAATTGGAAGTTTTCTGTAAAAAATAATTGTTCCTGCCGGGCACGGTGGCTCATGCCTGTAATCCCAGCACTTCGGGAGGCCGAGGCGGGTGGATCACGAGGTCAGGAGATCGAGACCATCCTGGCTAACACAGTGAAATCCAGTCTCTACTAAATATACAAAAAATTAGCCGGGTGTAGTGGCGGGCGCCTATATTCCCAGCTACTCAGGAGGCTGAGGCAGGAGAATGGTGTGAACCCAGGGGGCGGAGTTTGCAGTGAGCCGAGATTGCGCCACTGCACTCCAGCCTGGGCAACAGAGCAAGACTCCGTCTCAAAACAAAACAAACAAACAAACAAACAAAAACTGAAAGAAAAAAATTAATAAAAAAAAAATTGTTCCTGCTCACTCATTTATTCATTTAATTATATTTATGTCAGCATGGACTCCTGGATAGTTATTTTATTCCATGGGTTATAATCCAATACTGTCATTATTTATATTGTTTCTCAAATATTTCCAGGTTTGGTCATTGGGAGCTCCTTCAGGTTAGTTTGAGTCCTTTTGACATGCCCCTTCCTTTTTTATTTTTATTTATTTATTTAATTTATTTTGTTGAGAGAGGGTCTAGCTCTGGCACTCAGGCTGGAGTGCAGTGGTGCAATCATAGCTCACTGCAGCCTTAACCTCCCAGGTTCAAGCAATCATCTCACCTCAGCCTCTGAGTAGTTGGGACTATAGGCACCTGCCACCACTCCCAGTTAATTTTTTAATTTTTGTAGAGACAGAGTCTCCCCACATTGCCCAGGTTGGTCTCAAACTCCTGCACGCAAGCAATCCACCTGACTCAGCTTCCTAAAGTGCTAGCATTACAGGCGTGGGCCACCATGCCCAGCCTCCACTTCTTTTTTAAAGCAGTTCTTTATTTTCTGGTACTACAAGATGTTCCAGGCTCATCCTCCGCCAACCCTGGAAACAAGCACTTCTCCAAAGAGCTCAGAGGAGGTTCTTTTCATCAAAGAATACTACTGAGGGACCAAGATCTGAGCACTAGTTGTACTCATTGCTACTGGGGTATCACTGCTCCTAGGCCCTCTTTTTTATTTTATTTTATTTTGTTGAGACAGGGTCTCACTCTGTCACCCAGGCTGGAGTACAGTGGCATGATCACAGCTCATTGCAGCCTTGACCTCCCAGACTCAAGCAATCCTCCTACCTCAACCTCTCAAGTAGCTGGGACTGCAAATGCGCACCACCACCCCTGGCTAATTTTTGTCTTTTTTTTTTTTTTTTTTTTTTTTTGTAGAGACAGGGTTTGCCATGTTGATCAGGCTGGCCTTGAACTCCTGGGCTCAAGCAATCCTCCCACTTGAGCCTCCCAAAGTGCTGGGATTACAGGCGTGAGCCACTGAGCCCAGCCCCCAGGCCCTCTTGTGAATAGAGCTAAGAATTTGTATATATGTTTGTTTGTTTTTGTTTTTTTGTTTGTTTTTGAGACAGAGTTTCCCGCTTGCTGCCCAGGCTAGAGTGCAATGGCGCCATCTCAGCATGCTGCAACCTCCGCCTCCCAGGTTCAAGCTATTCTCCTGCCTCAGCCTCCCAAGTACCTGGGGTTACAGGCACCCACCACCACACCCGGCTAATTTTTTGTATTTTTAGTAGAGACAGGGTTGCACCACGTTGGCCAGGCTGGTCTCCATGTTTTTCGTTTTTTTTTTTGAGACAGAGTCTCCTTCTATCACCCAGGCTGAAGTACAGTGGTGCCATCTCGGCTTACTGTAGCATCCGCCGCCTGGGTTCAAGCAAATCTCCTACCTCAGCCTCCCAAGTGACTGGGACTACAGGCATGCACCACTACACCCGGCTAATTTTTGTATTTTTAGTACACCATGTTGGTCAGGCTGGTCTCGAACTCCCAATCTCAGGTGATCCGCCTGCCTCGGCCTCCCAAAGTGCTGGGATTACACGCATGAGCCACCACGCCCAGCCAGAAGTTGTATGTATGTTAATGTACAAATACACACATATTCATAATTGTTTCTATGTGTATAAAATATATATTATCAAAAACCACAAGTTCATTCTGTCACCATTTATTTCAATCCAACACAAAGTTTATCCTTTTCTAACATTCACTCTTGAACTCATTGCACCCTGACTTCCATCTTTACTACTCCCCTGAAACTCCTCTTACTAAGATCACTACCAATCTCCATGTCACTATAATCAGCAAACAATTTTTTGCTTGACCTCTCAAAAAAATATTTCACACTCTTGAGCTCTCTCTTTGTATTAGTCAGTGTTTTCCAGAGAAATGGAACCCACAGGATGGAGGGAGAGAGATGAGAGGGCATTTATTAGGAGAAATGTTTCACACAGTTATGGAGGCTGAGAAGTCCCACATTAGGCCTTCTGCATGCTAAAGAACCAAGAAAGCTGACAGCGTGACTCAGTCCAAGTTCAAAAGTCATAACCAGGAGAGCTAAACCAATCCAAGGCCAAAGGCTTGAGAACCTAGGAAGGCCTCTTGTAGGAGTCCAAAGGCCAGAGAACCTGGAGTTGTGATGTCCAAGGGCAGGATAAGATGGGTGCCTGGCTCCAGCAAAAAGAAAGAGTGCAGCAGTTTGCCTTCCCTCTGCCTTTTTGTTATATCCGGGCCCTCAGCTGATTGGATGGTGCCTGCCCACATCAGCTGAAGGTGAGTCCACTGATTCAAATGCCAATCTTGGCAGGGCTTGGTGGCTCAAACCTGTAATCCCAGCACTTTGGGAGGCTGAGGTGGGAGCATCACTTGAGCCCAGGAGTATGAGACCAGCCTGGGCAACATAGTGAGCCCTCCCATGTCTATTTTGTATTAAAATTTACTCCTTTTGGCCGGGCGTGGTGGCTCACGCCTGTAATCCCAGCACTTTGGGAGGCCAAAGCGGGCAGATCATGAGGTCAGGAGTTCCAGACCAGCCTGGCCAACATGGTGAAATCCCATCTCTATTAAAATACAAAAATTAGCCTGGCCTGGTGGCACATGTCTGTAATCCCAGCTACTCAGGAGGCTGAGACAGGAGAATTGCTTGAACCTGGGAGGCGGAGGTTGGGGTGAGCCGAGATTGTGCCACTGACACTCCAGCCTGGGCGACAGAGCGAGACTGTGTCTCAAAAAAAAAAAGTATATATATATACACATGTGTGTATACACACGTGTATACACACGTGTATATATACACGTGTATACACGTGTGTATACACACGTGTATATATATACGTGTATACACGTGTATATATATACACGTGTATACACGTGTGTATATATACGTGTATACACGTGTGTATATATACGTGTATACACATTTGTATATATATACACGTGTGTATACACATTTGTATATATATACACGTGTATACACACGTGTGTGTATACACGTGTGTGTATACACGTGTGTGTATACACGTGTGTGTATACATGTGTGTGTATATACACGTGTATAGACATTTGTATATATACGTGTATAGACATTTGTATATACGTGTATAGACATATGTGTATATACGTATATACACATATGTGTATATATACACACACATACATATACACATATATATGTAACTAATACAATATGCTATTCATCTGTGAGCCAAACATTGCAAAATGTTTACCTAATTAACCCTCAATTATCCTTATCAGTTTCAAAATCACTTTTTTCCAAGCTCCTTCTCTACAAAATATGCAAAATTTACCTGGGAGTGGTGTACACATCTGTAGTCTCAGCTACTCTGCAGGCTCAGGTGGGAGAATCACTTGAGCCTGGGAGGTCTAGGCTGCACTGAGCCATGATCATGCCACTGCACTGCAGCCTGAGCAACAGAGCAAGAACTTGTCTCAAAAAAAAAAATTTTAAGGTAACATAATCACATGATTTTCTCCCCTGTACCCCAATGCCATCACATGCCATAAGTCCTGCAGGGTATCTAATGGACTTTCAACAAAGGGAAGAGAAAAGGTTTGGTAAGCAGAATTCTAAGATGGGACAGAGATTCCTGTTCTCTGTATCATTCCCTTAATTAGATAGATCACTGATCCATAGTTGACTTTGAGTTAATCAAATAGTAGATTTTTTTGGTTGGCCTGCCCTAATTCTGTAAGCCTTTATTGTTTGTTTGTTTGTTTGTTTGTTTGTTTGTGACAGGGTCTGGTTCTGTCACCCAGGCTAGAGTGCAATGGTGCAGTCTCAGCTTACTGCAACCTCCACTTCCTGGGCTCAAGCCATCTTCCCACCTCAGCCTCCTGAGGAGCTGGGACTGTAGCAGGCACCACCACGCCCAGCTAATTTTTGTATTTCTTTTGTAGAGATGGGTTTTTGCCATGATGCCGAGTCTGGCCTTGAACTCCTGGCCTCAGGTGATCCACCCGCCCTGGCATCCCAAAGTGCTAGGATTACAGGTGTGAGCCACCAGGCCTGGCCCTGTAAGCCCTTTAAAAGAATGTAAAGTGGGCCGGGCGCGGTGGCTCATGCCTGTAATCCCAGCACTTTGGGAGGCCGAAGCGGGCGGATCACAAGGTCAGGAGATCAAGACCATCCTGGCTAACATGGTGAAACCCTGTCTCTACTAAAAATACAAAAAAAAAAAAAAAAAAAAAATTAGCCAGGCATGGCGGGCCCTGTAGTCCCAGCTGCTCTGGAGACTGAGGCAGGAGAATGGCACGAACCCGGGAGACAGAGCTTGCAGTGAGCTGAGATGGCGCCACTGCACTACAGCCTGGGGGACAGAGGGAGACTCCGTCTCAAAAAATAATAATAAATAAATAAATAAATAAATAAAAGAATGCAAAGCAACAGAGAGACACTTTCCTACTGGCCTTGAAGTCGAAGTGAACCGGCATGTTGTGAATGGGCTTATGGAGGTGCTGTGTGCAAGGACCTGAGGCAACTGGAGGAGCTGAGAGCAGTCCTCAGTCAACAGCTAGCAAGAAAATGGGGACCGGGTGCGGTGGCTCACGCCTGTAATCCCAGCACTTTGGGAGGCCGAGGGGGCGGATCATGAGGTCAGGAGAGCGAGACCATCCTGGCTAACATGGTGAAACCTCCTCTCTACTAAAAATACAAAAAATTAGCCAGGCGTGGTGGCGGGTGCCTATAGTCCCAGCTACTCGGGAGGCTGAGGCAGGAGAATGGCGTGAACCCAGGAGACAGAGCTTGCAGTGAGCCGAGATCGCACCACTCTACTCCAGCCTGGGCGATAGAGCAAGATTCCGTCTCAAAAAAAAGAAAATGGAAACGTCAATAATACAACCACAAGGAGCTGAATTCTACCAACAACCCAACAACCACAGTGAGCCTGAAAGAGGCCCTCCAGTCTCAGATGAGATTTATGTCCAACACTTTGATTTTGGCCTAGAGAGACCCTGAGCAGAAGACCTGGCTAACCCAGGCCGGACTCCTGACATGCCAGAACTGGGACATAATAAATGTGTGGTTTTGGGTTTTTTGTTTTGTTTTGTTTTGTTTTTGTTTGCTTTTTCTTTTTCTTTTTTGCTTGACAGTCTTAATATGTGTTTTTAAATTTTTACTTAATTTAATTAATTAATTTATTTTTTTATCTTTATTTTTTTGAGACAGAGTCCACCTCTTCCTCCCTAGTAGCTGGGATCATACCTGGCTAATTTTGTTGTATTTTTGATAGACAGGGTTTTACCATGTTGCCCAGGCTGGTCTCCAATTCCTGGCCACAGGTGATCCTCCCACCTCCGCCTCCCAAAGTGCTGAGATTACAGCCCATGAGCTACCGCGCCTGGCCAGGAAGATAAATTGATTGAAAGCATGACTGTGGGATATGCCTTGAAGGTGAAAGTTTGCATGGCAAGCAGGTTTTATATATATATATATATTTTTTTTTTTTTTTTTTTTTTTTTTCTTTTTTCTTTTTTGAGATGGCGTCTCGCTCTGTCACCTAGGCTGGAGTGCAGTGGCGTGATCTCGGCTCACTGCAACCTCTGCCTCCCGGGTTCAAGCGATTCTCCTGCCTCAGCCTCCCGAGTAGCTGGGACTACAGGCGCCTGCCACCATGCCCAGCTAATTTTTATATTTTTAATAGAGACGGGGTTTCACCATGTTGGCCAGGATGGTCTCAATCTCTTGACCTCGTAATCCGCCCGCCTCGGCCTCCCAAAGTGCTGGGATTACAGGCGTGAGCCACCGTGCCCAGCCTGGCAAGCAGGTTGTATTTACTTAGATGACATATTTCATCCTAAGCTCTGTTTCTGACCTAATGGGTCTGAGAAAAAAAAAAAAAAAGCAAGTAGATGAAATGTTCATTTGTAGTGGCTTGCAGGGTAGGACATGATTAGCTGAAGAAAGCGATACATCCAGCCAGGTGCAGTGGCTCACACCTGTAATCCCAGCACTTTGGGAGGCCAAGGCAGGCAGATCACGAGGTAAGGAGTTCAAGACCAGCCTGGCCAACGTGGTGAAACCCCGTCTCTACTAAAAATACAAAAATTAGCTGGGCCTGGGGGCACGTGCCTGTAATCCCAGCTATTCAGGAGGCTGAGACAGGAGAATCACTTGAACCCAGGAGGTGGAGGTTGCAGTGAGCCAAGATCTCACCGTTTCACTCCAGCCTGGGCAAAAAGAGTGAAACTCCGTCTCAGAAAAAAAAAAGAAAAAAAAAGTGATACATCCAGGACCAGGATTAGGATGAAGGAGATAAGTCAGCTAACTGGGTTGTAAAATGTAAAAGGCGCCAAAGCACTCAGTAATTAAGTGATAAATAATAATAGTAAAAAATACAAGTAATAAAATAATTTTTTTTCCAACAGAATTTTGCTCTTGTCGCCCAGGCTGGAGTGCAATGGCACGATCTTGGCTCACTGTAACCTCCGTCTCCTGGGTTCAAGCGATTCTCCTGCCTCAGCCTCCCAAGTATCTGGGATTACAGGCCCATGCCACCACGCCCAACTCATTTCTGTACTTTTTTTTTTTTTTTTTTGAGACAGAGTCTCGCTCTGTCGCCCAGGATGGAGTGCAGCGGCACGATCTCGGCTCACTGCAAGCTCTGCCTCCCAGGTTCACACCATTCTCCTGCCTCAGCCTCCCGAGTAGCTGGGACTACAGGCGCCCGCCACCACGCCTGGCTAATTTTTTGTATTTTTAGTAGAAACGGGGTTTCACCATGTTAGCCAAGATGGTCTTGATCTCCTGACCTCGTGATCTGCCCACCTCAGCCTCCCACATTTTTGTACTTTTAATGAAGGCAGGGTTTCACCACGTTGGCCAGGCTGGTCTTCAACTCCTGACCTCAGGTGATCCACTCACCTCGGCCTCCCAAAGTGCTGGGATTACAGCCATTTGCCACCATGCCCAGCCTTAAAATAGTATTTTAATGCTTTTTTTTTTTTTTTTGAGACAGAATTTTGCTGTTGTTGCCCAGGCTGGAGTGCAATGGCATGATTTCAGCTCACCGCAACCTCTGCCTCCCAGGTTCAAGCAATTATCCTGCCTCAGCCTCCCAAGTAGCTGGGATTACATGCATGTGCCCCCACGCCCAGCTAATTTTTTGTATTTTTAGTAGAGATGGGGTTTCTCCATGTTGGTCAGGCTGGTCTCGAACTCCCAACCTCAGGTGATCCGCCCGCCTTGGCCTCCCAAAGTGCTGGGATTACAGGCGTGAGCCACCACGCCTGGCCAGTGCAATATTTTTAAAAGTCAAAATAGGTGCAGCAAAACCCCATAATGAACAAAATATTGAAATGTTAAATAAAAATTAGATCAGTGCTACTAATTTTTTCTTTTGCCTCAGGCTCCAATATGGTTAGGCACAGCACTACTTGGCACTGCCACTGAGCAAAGAGTATGGGCAGACAGAACTGCTTTCAGAACACTCTTTGTATTTTTTTTGAAATATGTTTGGACAGGAATGATGGAGGGAATTGCTAGAAGTCACCTCCACAGCTTCCAGGATTTAGATGGCTGAGCATTGACCTTTCTAGACTTTTTTTTTTAATTTCCCCAATACAGAATCAGAACAAGAAACAGAAACACAAACGCTATCTTCAATAAAACTAGGAAACATTTATCCCCGCAAACTCACAGCACTTGAAAACAAAAAGCAGATGGAGGAATGGTGACTAAATTAGCAGAGCAGAGGAAGGCCAAGCTTTGTTGGAGAAGACCCACAAAAAGCAAGACAACTCAAGGACTGAAGCCTGGTACTTTGGAAGGCAGTAATAGGAACAGGACACTGAAGACAGTGAGGGGTGTCTGAAGACTGAAAAGCAGCCCTAGAAGCCTTCCCTCACTCCCATCAGTCAGGCAGCCACCCCTTCCCCACTCCCACAAGTACTTTTTCTGGGGAGAAACAATCTGAGAAGCTTAGGGAGCAGCAGGAAGGAAGAGAGATCGGGTGAGAATTCCGTGAAAGTCTACAGGCCGGGTATGGTGGCTCACGGCTGTAATCCCAGCAGTTTGGGAGGCCAAGGCAGGCAGATCACTTGAGGTCAGGAGCTCGAGACCAGCCAGGGCAACATAGTAAAACCTTGTCTCTACTAAAAATACAAAAAATTTAGCAGGCATGGTGGCCGGTGCCTGTAATCTCAGCTACTCAGGAGGCTAAGACAGGAGAATTGCTTGAACCCAGGAGGCAAGAGGTTGCAGTCAGCTGAGATCATGCCACTGTACTGCAGCCTGGGCAACAGAGTGAGACTCCATCTCAAAAAAAAAAAAAAAAAGTCTACAGAGTTTCCAGAGTACTTGCTTTGTTTTCTTTTTCTTTTTTTTTTTTTTTAACAAAAAAAGGGCATCCAGGCATAGAGGCCAAGGTGGGCGGATCACAAGGTCAGGAGTTCAACACAAGCCTGACCAACATGGTAAAACCTCGTCTCTACTAAAAATGTCTAATTTTTATTAGACAGGCATGGTGGTGTGCACCTGTAATCCCAGCTACTCAGGAGGCTGAGGCAGGAGAATCGCTTGAACCCAGGAGGCGGAGGTTGCAGTGAGCCAAGATCGTGCCACTGCACTCCAGCCTGGGCGACAGACAAGACTCCATCTCAGAAAAAAAAATAAGGAAAAAAGTCTACATATTGAACTGTGAAATTCCTCAGTCCAGTGCTACAGAGCCAATAGCCAGGCAGAAGATTAGTTTAGTAGTACTTGCTTTTTTTTTTTTTAACAAAAAAAGGTCTACATATTGAACTGTGAGATTCCTCAGTCCAGTGCTACAAAGCCAATAGCCAAGCAGAAAATTAGTTTTTCTCCAGATAAAGTAAATTGCTACAGAGAAAATACCTACACATACTGTCATTTGGGGTACCACACACATACCTGAACACAAAAGCTGGCTGACTACCTAGGGAATCTAAAAATAAGCTCACAAGTTGACAAGACCTGCCCACTCACACAGAGCTTCCAGTCAGCTATGCAGTGGTTCAGTTAAAAATCTGACCAAATATTCAAGGATCATCAGACCTTTGAGGAAAGCTTTCAACAGTAAAGACAGAGACCGAGCAGGGCATGGTGGTTCACATCTGTAATCCCAGCACTTTGGGAAGCCAAGGCAGGTGGATCACTTGAGGTCAAGAGTTTGAGACCAGCCTGGCCAACATGGTGAAACTCTGTCTCTACTAAAAATACAAAAATTAGCTGAGTGTGGTGGCGCACGCCTGTAATCCCAGCTACTCAGAAGGCTAAGGTGGGAGAGTCGCTTGAACCTGGGAGGCAGAAGTTGCAGTGAGCCGAGATCGTGCCACTGCATTCCAGCCTGGGTGACAGAGCGAGACTCCATCTCAAAATAAAATAAATAAATAGTTTTTAAAAAAATGGTGAATGGTTAAATAGACTGTGGTACATCCATACCATGGAATACCCAGCATTAAAAAAGAACAACCTATTGATACATGCAAAAACTTAGGTGGCTTTCTAGGGCATTATGCAGCCTGAAAAAGCCAGTCTCAAAGGGATACATAAGGCCTGATTCCAGTTATGTAATTTCCTCAAAATGAGCTGGATTGCCTGTTTCTGGATTTACATGATTGATAATTCTACAGGGCATTTAGTTTTAGTTTCCGACAACCATAACACAACTTTCATTCTCTCCTGGAGTCCTCCTTTCTTCTTTCTTTTTTTCTTTTTTGAAACAGAGTCTCACTCTGTCACCCAGGTTAGAGTGCAGTGGCACGATCTCAACTCACTGCAACCTCCATCTCTCAGGTTCAAGCAATTCTCCTGCCTCAGCCTCCCAAGTAGCTGGGATTACAGGCAAGCACCACCATGCCCGGCAATTTTTGTATTTTTAGCAGAGACAGGCTTTCACCATGTTGGACAGGCTGGTCTTGAACTCCTGACCTCCAGTGATCTGCCCGCCTCAGCCTCCCAAAATGCAGGGATTACAGGTATGAGTCACTGTGCCTGGCCAATTTTTTAATTTTTTTGAGACAAAGTCTTGCTCTGTTACCCAGGCTGGAGTGCAGTGGCACGATCACAGTTAACTGCAGCCTCAACCTCCTGGGCTAAAGTGATCCTCCCACCTCAACCTTCCAAGCTGGGACTACAGTTGTGTGTCACTACACCTGGCTAAATTTTTTAATTTTTTGTAGAGGTGAGGGTCTCATTAATGTTGTCTAGGCTGGTCTCAAACTCCTGGGATCAAGGAATCCTCCTACCTTGGCCTCCCAAAGTGCTGGGATTACCAGTGTGAGCCACCATGCCTGGCTGGGTTTTACTCATTTTCTAATTGGTTTTGTTTTTGTTTATTTACTGTTGAGTTGAAAATTCTTCGTATAGTCTAGATATGAGTCCTTTATCAGATATGTGATTGGTAAATCACAACAAAAGTTTTTAATTTTGATGAAGTCCAATTTATCAGTTTTTTTATGGATTGTGCTTTTGGTGTCACATCTAAGAATTCCTCAACAAGGCACAGGTCTTGAAGATTTTCTCCTATGTTTTCTTCTAAAAGCTTATAGTTTTACATTTCACATCTAAATCTATAATCCATTTTGAGGTAATTTTTACATTTTTCCATGTTTGTATAGGTAACTTTAGTCCATTTGACTACTTTTCATATTCCCTTGTATGACAAAGTTACAGTGCATTTATGTTTAGTTTTGTTTTTTGAGATGGAGTCTCGCTCTGTCACACGGGCTGGAATGCAATGGCGCGATCTCGAATCACTGCAACCTCTGCCTCCCAGGTTCAAGTAATTCTTCTGCCTCAGCCTCCAGAGAAGCTGGAATTACAGGCGTGTGCCACCACACCTGGCTAATTTTTTTTGAATTTTTAGTAGAGATGGGATTTCACTATGTTGGCCGGGCTGGTCTCAAATTCCTGACCTCAAGTGATCCACCAACCTTGGCCTCCCAAAGTGTTGGGATTATAGGTGTGAGCCACCGCACTGGCCCTTGCATTTATCTTTTGCTGTCCTGGGGTATAGTCAGTTTTTCCACAAACACTACTGCAGTAATCATCCTTGTTCATTTCATTTGATATTATTTATCAAATAAATACAGGTGCCCACAACCACACCCAGCTAATTTTTGTATTTTTAGTAGAGATGGGGTTTCACCATGTTGGCCAGGCTGGTCTCAAACTCCTGACCTCAGGAGATACACCCTTCTCGACCTCACAAAGTGCTGGGATTACAGGCGTGAGCCACCACACCCGGCCCATTATTATTATCATTATCATTATTATTATTATTATTCAGACAGGGTCTCACTCTCACCTAGGCTGGAGTGCAGTGGTACAAACACTGCTCACTGCAGTGTCCTGGGCTCAAGGGATCCTCCCACCTCAGCCTCCCGGTAGTTGGGACCACCGGCACGCGCCATCGAGCCTGGCATTTTTTTTTTCTGGTAGAGACATGGTCTCACTACATTGTCCAGGCTGGCTTGAACTCTGAGCTCAACCTATTCCTCCCACCTCAGCCTCCCAAAATGTCGAGATTACAGGGATGAGCCACCTCACCTGGCCCTAGATCCATTTTTTCCTTTTTTTTTTTTTTTGTTTTCTTTGTGTGAGATGGAGTCTCGCTCTGTCGCCCAGGCTAGAGTGCAGTGTTGCAATCTTGGCTCACTGCAACCTCCACCTCCTGGGCTCAGGCGATCCTCCCACCTCAGCAGCTGGTACAGGGAGGCACCATCACGGCCGGCTAATTTTTATATTTTTAGTAGAGACGGGGTTTCACCATGTTGCTGAGGCTGGTCTCAAACCCCTGATCTTAAGTGATCCACTCACTTTGGCCTCCTAAAGTGCAGGTATTACAGGTGTGAGCCACTGCGCCCAGCCCTACTTTCTAAATAAATCTATCCACTTCTCATTATCTCTACTGACACCTCTCTACTTCAAGCTGTCAGTCATCTCCTTCCTACTTCATCTTCTTCACAAACCACTATAATAAACTTAATTAATTCCTCCACATTCATTCTTGTTTTACCTCAGTATATACATGGCCATATAACATACATATCTTATAATGTAAATCTATTTTAGATAACTTGCCAAGTTCCCTCACATCATGTTTGGGCCTTTACATATGCCACTTCCTCTGCCTGGAATGTTGTTTCTTCCCTCTTTGCATAGCCAACATCTAGTCATTCATCAAGCTTCAGTGTAAATGTCATTTCCTTAATATTACCTTCACTAATCATATATAAATCAGAAGTTATATTCCCCCTTACTTTTCCTTCATAGACCAATTGCAATTATAAATTAAATATTTTATTTACATTATTATTATTATTTTGAGACGGAGTCTCACTGTGTTACCCGGGCTGGAGTGCAGTGGCATGATCTCAGCTCACTGTAACCTCCCACTCCCAGGTTCAAGAGATCCTCTCACCTCAGCCTCCCAAGTAGCCTCCCAAGGGACCATAGGTGCACGCCACCATGACCTGCTAATTTTTGTATTTTTAGTAGAGCCAGGGTTTTACCACTTTGCCCAGGCTGGTCTCAAACTCCTGGGCTTAAGTGATTCTCCTGCCTTGGCCTCCTAAAGTGCTGGGATTACAGGCATGAGCCACCACACCCGGCCTCACTATTTTAAAACTCTGGCACAGTGCATGGCACATGATAAATTTCTAATAAATGTTTGTAGAAACAATGCAGATTTTTTCTTTTTTCTTTTTTCTTTTTTTTTTTTTTTTTGAGATGGAGTTTCACTCTTGTCACCCAGGCTGGAGTGCAATGGCGCGATCCCAGCTCACTGCAACCTCTGCCTCCGGGGTTCAAGCGATTCTTCTGCCTCAGGCTCCCAAGTAACTGGGATTACAGGCCTGTACCACCACGCCTGGCTAGTTTTTTTGTTTTTAGTAGAGATGGGGTTTCACGATGTTGGCCAGGCTGGTCTTGAACTCCTGACCTCAGGTGATCCTCCTGCCTCAGCCTCCCAAAGTGCTGGGATTACAGGCATGAGCCACCGCATCTGGCCTCACTGTTGTATTTCAAAACTCTGGCGTAGTGCTTGGCACATGATAAACGTCTAATAAATATTTGTAGAAAGAATGCAGAATATTTTTTTTTTCTGAGATGGAGTTTTACTCTTTTGCCCAGGCTGGAGTGCAATGGTGCAATTCTGGCTCACTGTAACCTCTAACTCCCAGGTTCAACTGATTCTAATGACTCAGCCTCCCAAGTAGCTGGAATTACAGGCATGTGCCGCCACGCCCTGCTAATTTTTGTGATGTTTTGTTTTGCTTTGTTTTGTTTTGTTTTGTTTTGTTTTGTTTTGTTTGAGACAGAGTCTGGCTGTGTCTCCCAGGCTGGAGTGCAGTGGCACAATCTCTGCTCACTGCAACTTCCGCCTCACGAGTTCAAGCGATTCTCCTGCCTCAGCCTCCTGAGTAGCTGGGACTACAGGAGCCCACCACCATGCCAAGCTAATTTTTGTATTTTTAGTAGAGACAAGGTTTCATCACATTGACCAGGCTGGTCTCGAACTCTTGACCTCAGGTGATCTGCCCTCCTCAGCCTCCCAAAGTGCTGGGATTGCAGGCATGAGCCACCGTGCCTGGCAATTTTTGTATTTTTAGCAGAGATGGGGTTTCGCCATGTTGGCCAGTCAGGGAAAGCATGCAGAATTTTTAAATGAATATTTAAGTAGCCGAATGAATGAATGTTTGAATAAAACATATCAAAAATCGGCTGGGCACTGTAGCTCATGCCTGTAATCCCAACACTTTGGGAGGCCAAGGTGGTGAGTTCCAGACCAGGCTGGCCAATATGGTGAAACCCCCATCTCTATTAAAAATACAAAAATTTGGCGAGGCGCAGTGGCTCATGCCTGTAATCCCAGCACTTTGGGAGGTCGAGGCGGGTGGATCACGAGGTCAGGAGATCGAGACCGTCCTGGCTAACACAGTGAAACCCCTTCTCTACTAAAAATACAAAAAATTAGCCGGGTGTGGTTGCAGGCGCCTGTAGTCCCAGCTACTCGGGAGGCTGAGGCAGGAGAATGGCCTGAACCCGGGATGCGGAGCTTGCAGTGAGCTGAGATTGCGCCACTGCACTCCAGCCTGGGCGACAGAGCGAGACTCCGTCTCAAAAAAAAAAAAAATACAAAAATTTGCTGGGCGTGGTGGAGTGTGCCTGTAGTCCCAGCTGCTCCAGAATGTGAGGTAGGAGAATTGCTTGAACCCGGGAGGTGGAGGTTGCAGTGAGCCGAGATCGCCCCACTGCACTCCAGCCTGGGTAACAGAGCAAGATTCCATCTCAAAAAAACCAAAAATCTTAAAAATATTTATTTATTTTATCTCTGAGCTTATTATTGGCCTCCTGCTCCCCAAAGGGTACCCTGCTTCTTCTGGCTTAACGTCTCAGAACTTTGGTGTCATTGGTCTCAGACACCACTTTGCCATCCACTATCCTGCGGGTGGTGGTCTTTTGGATGGTTTGCATGGAGTTGTCCAGGGCATCACCAAGATTGAAGTCCTTGCCGTCTTCCAGCAGGCAGGTAGGTGGCAATCTCAGCCTCTAGCTTGACCTTGATATTCAGCAGGGCCTCCTACTCCTGGGCCTGGCACTGTCCCTCTGCCCGGGTCTGTGCCAGCTCTGACTCCAGGTGCAGCAGGATCCCGTTGAGCTGCTCCATCTGCAGGGTGTACCGGGCCTCCATCTCCCTCAGGCTGTTCTCCAAGCTGGCCTTCAGATTTCTCATGGAGTCCAGGTCGATCTCCAAGGACTGGACTGTATGTCTCAGCTCCGTGAGCAGCATCTCAGCAGCTCCAACCTTGGCGGTCTGCGTGGTGACCACTGTGGTCTCTCCTCAATCTGCTGAGACCAGTACTTGTCTAGGTCCCCTCAGTTCTTTCAAGCCAGCTCATCATATTGGGCCTGGATGTCTGCTATGATCCTGGCAAGGTCCTGAGATTTGGGGTCATCTACCTCCACGGTCAACCCAGAGCTGGCAGTCTGAGCTTGTAGACCTTTTACTTAATCTTTGTGGTTCTTCTTCATGAAGACCAGCTCCTCCTTGAGAGCCTCGATCTCTGTCTCCAGCTGCAGCCAAGTGACATTGGTGTCATCAGTGAGCTTGCAGAGCCCATGGATGTAGTTCTTTACAGACTGGCACAGGGCCAGCTCTGTCTCATACTTGACTCCAAAGTCATTAGCAGCAAGACGGGCATTGTTGATCTACAGAAAGATGAAGGCATTGTCCACAGTATTTGCGAAGATCTGAGCCCTCAGGTCCTCGATGGTCTTGAAGTAATGGCTCCAGACTCTGACCTGGAGTCCCTTCTTCTCCAGATGCTCCCGGATTTTGCTCTCCAGCTTCCAGTTCTCGGTCTCCAAGCTCCTCACTCTGTCCAGGTAGGAGGCCAGGCGGTCGTTCAGGCTTTGCATGGCCTCCTTATAGTTCTGGGTGCCTCCCATTCCTGCCAGACCCCCGGCCATCCCAGCAGCCAGGCCCTGGAACCCAATGCCGAGCCGGAAGCTGGTGGAACGGGACACGGAGATCCAGGAACCAGAGCCCCCGGCACCTGCATAGATGCTGGCAGAGCTGCTGACTGGCCGAGCGCCGTAGCTGGGCACCTGGACAGAGCTCAGGGACCAGTAGCTGGTGGAGAAGGTGGAACGAATGGTGAAGCTCATTCTGTCCGGGGAGGAGTGAGAGGACAGGACTCAGGCTTTGCCGATGACTATTTATTTATTTTTTTAATTTATTTATTTATTAAGATGGAGTCTTGCTCCGTAGCCCAGGCTGGAGTGCAGTGGCGTGATCTCAGCTCACTGCAACCTCCGCCTCCCAGACTCAAGTGATTCTCATGCCTCAGCCTCCCAAGTAGCTGGGATTACAGATGTGTGCCACCACACCTGGCTAATTTTTTTTTTTAGTAGAGACAGGGTTTCACCATGTTGGCCAGGCTGATCTAAAACTCTTGACTTCAGGTGATCCTCAGGCATGAGCCACCACGCCCAGCCAAAAATATTTCTGTTTTTGATTCACTATTCATTCTTTTGAGATTTGTATTATGTGAACAGTATTAAATATGGGCAAGGCTTTATATATAACCATCTTTATTTTGGTCTTATTTATAAGGACAAAAGATGATCTAAATATCCAATAAAAAGGAAACATCAGTATATTAAGATGAGGTAAACTGTGCTTTCTTTCCCAAATCCAGCTTATCATCAGAATCCCCTGAGGAACTTTTATAAAAATAGAGATTTATGGGTCTTACTCTTGAGCTACTAAGTTAAGATCTCTGGGAGTGGAAATAGATTTCTCTCCCTCTCTCTTTTTTTTTTTTTTTTTTGGACAGAGTCTCACTCCCTCACCCAGTCTGGAGTTCAGTGGCTCGATCTCAGCTCACTGCAACCTCTGCCTCCCAGATTCAAATGATTCTTGTGTTTCAGCCTCCCAAGTGGCTGAGAGTACAGGTGCGCGCCACCACACCTGGCTAAGTTTTGTATTTGTAGTAGAGATGTGGTTTTCCCAGGTTGGCTAGGCTGGTCAAAAGCTCAAAAGATCTGCCTGCCTTAGCCTCCCAAAGTGTTGGGATTACAGGCGTGAGCCACCGTGCCAGCCAGATTTTTCTCTTTCATGATTAGCTGGGCTTTGGAACCACTGGGTTTAGTGGGAAGAATACAGATTCTGAAGACTGACCTTGCTGCTTGTCAGCTCTGTAACCTCAGGCAAATAAGTTTTCAGCCTTCCCTGAAGTCACTTTCCTCATCTGTAAAATACGAATCTCTGGAGGTGCTAATTACTGAATAAAATGATGTCTATAAAGCACCTGACATGCACATTAAGTAATTGCTATTATTGTTGGTATATTGGCACTATAGAATATTATACAGCTACTAAAATTAATCTTCCTGAAAAAAAAACATTGTTCTTCTCCTATGTATCAAAGTCCTAGAAGAAAGGACATGGTACACTCAAACTGGGTAATTTGAGGCGATTTAGCAAAGGGATCATTTGCAAAAGGTTTAGGGAAACCAATAAAGATTATTGCAGAACTTGGCCGGGCCCGGTGGCTCACACCCGTAATCCCAGCACTTTGGGAGGCAGAGGCGGGCAGATCACGAGGTCAGGAGATCAAGACCATCCTGGCGAACACGGTGAAACCCCGTCTTTACTAAAAATACAAAAAAAAATTAGCCGGGCGTGGTGGTGGGTGCCTGTAGTCCCAGCTACTCAGGAGGCTGAGGCGGGAGAATGGCGTTAACCCGGGAGGCGGAGCTTGCAGTGAGCCGAGATTGCGCCACTGCACCCCAGCCTGGGCGACAGAGAGAGACTCCGTCTCAAAAAAAAAAAAAGATTATTGCAGAACTTGTTGCAGCTGTCTATCAACAGCAGTTATCAAACATAGGCTGAAATGGAGATCCCAAGAAAGAGCATCTGAGAAGAGGTGAGACCTTCAGTAAAGGGGCACAGCCAACCCACCCCACTCCCTCAAAGGAGAAGGGAAATTAATACCCTATCATAGTGTCCCCATTAGGTAAACCCAAATAGAAGAGCTCAATAGAATCCATTGATGGAGTCCTCATGAGTCCCTCCTGAGACACAAAGCAGAATGAAGAAGAGAAGAGAGGCTCTGGACTAAAGAAGAGTACAAATCATCAGCTGGGCGCGGTGGCTCACACCTGTAATCCCAGCACTTTGGGAGGCCAAGGCAGGTGGAGCACCTGAGCCCAGGAGTTCAAGATCAGCCTGGTCAACATGGTGAAACCTCCTCTCTACAAAAAATACAAAAATTAGTCAGGCGAGGTGGTGCACACCTGTAATCCCAGCTACTAAGGCAGGGGGCTGCATGACAGAGCAAGATCTGGTCTAAAAAATAAAAATAAAAAATAACATACAAATCACATACATAAGTATTTCCACTGGGTACAAATATCCATAGAAATTTTATTGTAAGTAAATACTTCAACATTTTAATATCGGTTGCCTTTGGAAGATGGATTATTGATTACCTTTTCTTGCTCTTTCTAATTTTTTGAATTTTCTAAAGTTTCAACCACAATAATAGTATTTATTGAATATTATTGAATACTTACTGCTCTATGTATTTATGGGTGTATATAAATACATTTCATCTTTTTTTTTTTTTTTTGAGATGGAATCTCACTCTGTCTCCCAGGCTGGAGTGCAGTGGCATGATCTCGGCTCACAGCAACTTCTGCCCCCCAGGTTCAAGCGATTCTTCTGTCTCAGGCTCCCGAATACCTGGGGCTACAGGCGTGCACTACCACTCCCAGCTGATTTTTGTATTTTTATTGTTATTGTTTTTTTTTTTTTTTTTTTTTTTTTGGAGACAGAGTCTCACTTGACATGTCACCCAGTCTGGAGTGCAGTCATGCGATGTTGGCTCACCGCAACCTCCACCTCCTGGCTTCAAGAGATTCTCCTGCCTCAGCCTCCCAAAAAGCTAAGATTAGAGGCTGGGCGTTGGAACCATGGGCTGGGCTTTGCCAGCTAATTTTTGTATTTTTAGTAGAGATGGAGTTTTACCATGTTGGCCAGGCTGGTCTCAAACTCCTGACCTCAGGTGATCTGCCTGCCTCAGCCTCCCAAAGTGCTGGGATTACAGGTGTGAGCCACTGCGCCTGGCTAATTTTTGTACTTTTAGTAGAGATGGGTTTTCACCATCTTAGCGAGGCTGGTTTCGAACTCCTGCCCTCAAGTGATCTGCTGTCCTCAGACTCCCAAAGTGTTGGGATTACAGGCTTAAGCCACTGCACCTGGCCCATTTCATCTTCGTAGCAACCCTATGAGGTAGGTACTATTATCATCCTCACATTATGGACAACAAAATTCCAACTAGAGAGGTTAAGTGACATCCAAAGTTGTATAACCGCAAGTAAACTATGGAGCCATGACTTAAATATAGCCATTCTGCTACAGTCTTCGTACTTTTAAAAACACTACTTTGTTATGTTCACGGTAGGTAACAAGAAAGATCTTTGGCCGGGTGCGATGGCGCACACCTGTAATCCCAGCACTTTGAGAGGCCAAGGCGGGCGGATCATGAGGTCAGGAGATCGAGACCATCCTAGCTAACACGGTGAAACCCCGTCTCTACTAAAAATACAAAAAAATTAGCCGGGTGTGGTGGCAGGTGCCTGTAGTCCCAGCTACTTGGGAGGCTGAGGCAGGAGAATGGCGTGAACCCAAGAGGCAGAGCTGGCAGTGAGCTGAGAATGTGCCACTGCACTCCAGCCTGGGGGACAGAGCGAGACTCCATCTCAAAAAAAAAAAAAAAAAAAAGAAAGATCTTTACTTGGGGAAAAATAATTAATGTTTTTTGGTTTTTTGGTGTGTCTGTGAGACAGGGTGTTTCTCTGTAGCCCAGGTTGGAGCGCAGTGAGTCACTACAACCTCAACCTCCGAGGCACAAGCTATCCTCTTACCTCAGCCTCTCAAGTAGCTGGGACTAAAGGTATGCTTCACCATGCCTGGCTAACTTTTCCTTTTCTTTTTTCTTTTTTTTTTTTGAGATAGAGTTTCCTTCTGCTGCCCAGGCTGGAGTACAGTGGCACGGTCTCAGTCCACTACAGCCTCAACCTCCTGGGCTCAAGCAATCTTTCCACCTCAACCTCCCAAGTAACTGAGATTACAGGCAGGCACCATCATGCCTGGCTAGTTTTTGTATGTAGAGATGGGGTCTCACTACATTGCCCAGGCTGGTCTCAACCTCCTGGGCTCAAGCAATCCTCCTATCTGGGCCTCCAAAAGTGCTAAGATTATAGGCGTGAGCCACCATGCCCAGCCCACTTTAATTTGTTTTAAAGAAAAACATTTTTATTGTATATTTTCCTGGTATTCAATAAATATTAAAAACATACAATGATATAATACTATGTATAATAAACTGTAATAGATAATAAAAATATGTATAGTTTTGATTCACTAATCTCATTTCTTCTTCCTTTGTAATAAAATCCTGGCTGGGCACAGTGGCTCATGCCTGTAATCCCAGCAATCTGGGAGGCCAAGGTAGGTGGATCATTGAGGTCAGGAGTTCAAGACCAGCCTGGCCAACATGGTGAAACCCTGTCTCTACTAAAAATACAAAAAAAATTAGCCTGGTGGCTGGGCACGGTGGCTCACGCCTGTAATCCCAGCACTGTGGGAGACCGAGGCAGGCGGATCACTTGAGGTCAGGAGTAGACGTCCAGGAGTTCGAGACCAGCCTGGCCAACATGGCGAAACCCCTCCTCTACTAAAAACACAAAAATTACCTTTTCTTGCTCTTTCTAATTGTTTGAATTTTCTAAAGTTTCAACCACAATAATAGTATTTATTAAATATTATTGAATACTTACTGTATTTATGTATTTATGTATTAAATACAGTAAGTATTATGAATACTTACTGTATTTATGTATATACACCCATAAATCTATGTATTTATGGGTGTATAAATACATTTCATCTTTTTTTTTTTTCAGAGGGAATCTCACTCTGTCTCCCAGGCTGGAGTGCAGTGGCATGATCTCGGCTCACTGCAACTTCCGCCTCCCAGGTTCAAGCGATTCTTCTGTCTCAGGCTCCCGAATACCTGGGGCTACAGGCGTGCACCACCACTCCCAGCTGATTTTTGTATTTTTATTGTTATTGTTTTTTTTTATTTTTTGGAGACAGAGTCTCACTTGACATGTCACCCAGTCTGGAGTGCAGTGCTGCAATGTTGGCTCCTCTAAAAACACAAAAATTGTTGGGCGTGGTGGCTCACACCTGTAATCCCAGCACTTTGGGAGGCCGAGGTGGGCGGATCACGAGGTCAAGAGTTCGAGACCATCCTGGCCAACATGGTGAAACCCCATCTCTACTAAAAGTACAAAATTAGCCAGGTGTGGTGGTGCATGTCTGTAATCCCAGCTACTCAGGAGGCTGAGGCAGGAGAATCACGTGAACCTGGGAAGCAGAGGTTGCAGTGAGCCGAGATCGCACCATTGCACTCCAGCCTGGGCAACAACAGCGAAACTCCGTCTCAAAAAAAAAAAAAAAATTAGTGGGGCACAGCTGGGCGTGGTGGCCCACGTCTGTAATCTCAGCACTTTGGGAGGCTGAGATGGGCAGATCACAAGGTCAGGAGTTCAAGACCATCCTGGCCAACATGGTGAAACCCCATCTCTACTAAAAATACAAAAAAATTAGCTGGACATGGTGATAGGCGCCTGTAATCCCAGCTACTCGGGAGGCTGAGGCAGGAGAATCTCTTGAAAACAGAAGGTGGAGGTTGCAGTGAGCCGAGATCACACCACTGCACTCCAGCCTGGGCGAAAGAGCAAAACTCTGTCTCAAAAAAAAAAAGAAAGAAATAGTGGGGCATGGTGGCACATGCCTGTAATCCCAGCTACTCAGGAGGCTGAGACAGAAGAATCACCTGAACCTGGGAGGCGGAGGTTGCAGTGAGCCAAGATCATTCCATTGCATTCCAGCCTGGGCAACAGAGAAAGACTACATCTAAAAACAAAAACAAAAACAAAAAAAATTAGCAGACGGACATGGTGGCTCACTCCTATAATCCCAGCACTTTGGGAGGCCAAGGCGGGCAGATCACCTGAGGTTGGGAGTTCAAGACCAGCCTGACCAACCTGGAGAAACACCGTCTTTACTGAAAATACAAAATTAGCAAGGCGTGGTGATGCATGCTTGTAATCCCAGCTACTTGGGAGGCTGAGGCAGGAGAATTGCTTGAACCCATGGGGCGGAGGTTGCAGTGAGCCAAGATCACGCCATTGCACTCCAGCCTGGGCAACAAGGACAAAACTCCATTCCCAGAAAAACAAATTAGCCTGGCATGGTTTTGGGCCCCTGTAGTCCCTGCTACTTGGGAGGCTGAAGCAGGAGAATTGCTTAAGTCCAGGAGGTAGATGTTGTACTGAGCCAAGATTGCATCACTGCACTCAACCCTGGGTGACAGAGCAAGACTCTGTCTCAAAAAAATACAATAGGCTGGGCACGATGGCTCACACCTGTAATCCCAGCACTTTGGGAGGCCGAGGCAGGCGGATCACCTGAGGTCAGAAGTTTGAGACCAGACTGGCCAACATGGTGAAACCCCATCTCTACTAAAAATACAAAATTAGCCTAGTGTGGTGGCACATGACTGTAATCCCAGCTACTAGGGAGGCTGAGGCAGGAGAATCACTTGAACCCGGGAAGAGGAGGTTGCGGTGACCCGAGATAGCACCATCATACTCCAGCCTGGGCTCCGTCTCAAAAAAATTTTGAGACGGAGTTTCGCTCTTGTTGCCCAGGCTAGAGTGCAACGGCACGATCTCGGCTCACTGCAACCTCCGCCCCCTGGGTTCAAGCCATTCTCCTGCCTCAGCCTCCCAAGTAGCTGGGATTACAGTCATGCGCCACCGCACCCAGCTAATTTTTGTATTTTTTTTAGTAGAGACAGGGTTTCTCCATGTTGGTCAGGCTAGTCCCGAACTCCTGACCTCAGGTGATCCGCCTACCTCGGCCTCCCAAGTGCTGGGATTACAGGCGTGAGCCACCGCACCCAGCCAAAATTTTTTTTAATTTAAAAAAATAAAAAAGAACAAAAAAAGGAGAGAGAAACTAAAAGAAAAAATAAATAAAATAAAATAAGGCCGGGCACAATGGCTCACACCTATAATCCCAGCACTTTGGGAGGCCAAGGCGGGAGGATCACCTGAGCTCATCAGTTCAAAACCAGCCTGGCCAACATGGTGAAACCCTGTCTGTACAAAATACAAAAATGAGTTGGGTGTGGTGGTGGGCGCCTGTAATCCCAGCTATGGAGAGGCTGAGGCAGGAGAATCACTGGCACCCGGGAGGCCGAGGTTGCAATGAGTGGAGATCACACCACGGCACTCCACCCTGAGCAACAGAGCAAGATTCTGTCACAAAATAAAATAAAATTCCTAGTTTTCTTTGATTTGTTTTGTTTTGTTTTGTTTTGTTTTTTGTTTTTTGAGATGAGGTCTTGCTCAGTCGCCCAGGCTGGAGTACAGTGGCGCAATATCAACTCACTGCAACCTCCACCTCCTGGGTTCAAGCAATTCTCCTGCCTCAGCCTCCCAAGTAGCTGGGATTACAAGCGCCCACCACCACGTCCAGCTAATTTTTGTATTTTTGATAGAGTCAGGGTTTCACCATGTTGGCCAAGATGGTCTAGATCTCCTGACCTGGTGATCCACCCGCCTTGGCCTCCCAAAGTGCTGGGATTACAGGTGTGTGCCACTGAGCCAGGCCTTGTTTTTTTTTTTTTTTTTTTTTTTTTTGAGATGGAGTCTTGCTCTGTCACCCAGACTGGAGTGCAGTAGTGCAGTGGTGCTATCTCGGCTCACTGTAAGCTCCGCCTCCTGGGTTCATGCCATTCTCCTGCCTCAGCCTCCCAAGTAGCTGGGACTACAGGCACCCGCCACTATGCCCGGCTAATTTTTTGTATTTTTAGTAGAGACGGGGTTTCACCGTGTCAGCCAGGGTGGTCTTGATCTCCTGACCTAGTGATCTGCCCTCTCGGCCCCCCAAAGTGCTGAGTGCTGGGATTACAGGAGTGAGCCACTGCGCCCGGCAGGCCTTGTATTTTTTTAAATAAAGTTCCAGATGTAATGCTGAGGGGCACCTCCAGTTGAGGGCGAGTCCCAGAATGGCACCAATTTGGAGATGGATTTAGAAAGAGTCATCTCAAAGGCCTAGAAAACTACTCATGTTATTCTATGTGCTCCCTAAATATGTAGTGAAGATGGAGTCGGCATTTTTTTTTTTTTTTTGAGACTGAGTCTTGCTCTGTTGCCCAGGCTGGAGTGCAGTGGTGTGACCTCAGCTCACTGCAACCTCCACCTCCCAGGTTCAAGCAATTCTCCTGCCTCAGCCTCCCAAGTAGCTGGTATCACAGGTGCCCGCTACCACACCTGGCTTTTTTTTTTTTTTTTTTTGTATTTTTAGTAGAGATGGGGGTTTCACCATGTTGGCCAAGTTGGTCTCGAACTTCTGACCTCAAGTGATCTGTCCGCCTCGGCCTCCCAAAGTGCTGAGTGCTGGGATTACAGGAGTGAGCCACCACACCCAGCAGGCAATTTTTTTTTTTTAATAGAGATGGAGTCTCGCTATATTGCCCATGCTGATCTCAAACTCCCAGACTCAAGGGATCTTCCCACCTTGCGTTCCCAAAGTGCTGGCATTACAGGCATGAGCCGCCATTACTGGCCTCAGAACACCACTTTAAAGACCATGTGCTGGGTCAGGGGAGGTGGCTCACGCCTGTAATCCCAGCACTTTGGGAGTCCAAGGAAGGCAGATCACGAGGTCAGGAGATCGAGACCATCCTGGCTAACACAGTGAAACCCCGTCTCTACTAAAAATACAAAAAATTAGCCGGGCATGGTGGCGTGTGCCTGTAGTCCCAGCTACTCGGGAGGCTGAGGCAGGAGAATGGCATGAACCCAGGAGGCGGAGCTTACAGTGAGCCGAGATCACACCACTGCACTCTAGCCTGGGTGACAGAGTGAGACTCCGTCTCGAAAAAATAAGTAAATAAAATTAAAAAAAATAAAGACCATGTGCCTACCTCCCAAGAGTTTAGAGAAAAGTACCTCCTCAGTGATGCCAACTGAGGGATCAAATTCAACCTAAGCTGGATAGACATTCTTTCTGGGATAGCCTCGTATTGTAGCCATTCCTTTGATACGCTTCTGCACAGTGTCCTGGCTACTGGTCTGCATCCTACCTGCCATGTTCTCACTTCATTATTGAAAACCCTCTTCAAATGGCGGCTCTCTGGCTGGACATGGTGGCTCACACATGTAATCGCAGCACTTTGGGAGGCCAAGGCAAAAGGGTCACTTGAGCCCAGGCATTTGACACCAGCCTGGGCAACATGGTGAAACCCTGTCTCTACAAAAAATACAAAAATTAGCTGGGCATGGTGGTGCATGCCTGTGGTCCCAGCTACTGGGGAGGCTGAGGCAGCAGCATCATCTGAGCCTGGGAGGTGGAGGCTGTAGTGACCCCCAATTGCACCACTGCACTCCAGCCTGGGCAACAGAGTGAGACTCTGTCTCAGAAAAATAAATAGGCCAGGTGCAGTGGCTCACGCCTGTAATTCCAGCACTTTGGGAGGCCGAGGCAGGCGGATCACCTAAGGTCAGGCGTTCGAGACCCAGCCTGGCCAACATGGTGAAACCCCATCTCTACTAAAAATACAAAAAATTAGCCACGTATGGTGGCACGTGCCTGTAATCCCAGCTACTCCGGAGGCTGAGGCAGGAGAATCACTTGAACCCGGGAGGCAGAGGTTGCCATGAGCCGAGGTCATGCCATTGCACTCCAGCCTGGGCAACAAGAGCAAAACTGTCTCAAAATAAATAAATAAATAAATAAATAAATAATCTCATGAGATAGTTACTATTATTTATCTCTATATCTTAGGAGAAGACATGAAAAAACAGAAATGCTAAGCAGCTAGCAAGCTATAGAACCAGAGTTTGCTGGCTCTAAAATGCAGGCTCTTTCTAACTCACTATGATGTGACTTTAATCAGGCAAAAAATATAATCCTTTTTGAAATTTATACATATGAGGTCGGATGCGGTGGCTCACGCCTGTAATCCCACTACTTCGGGAGGCCGAGGCGGGTGGATCACCTGAGGTCAGGAGTTCGAGACAAGCCTGGCCAACATGGCGAAACCCTGTCTCTACTAAAAATATGAAAAATTGCCAGGCGTGGTGGCTCACGCCTGTAATCCCAGCAGTTTGGGAGGCCGAGGCGGGTGGATCACAAGGTCAGGAGATCGAGACCATCCTGGCTAACACAGTGAAACCCCATCTCTACTAAAAATACAAAAAATTAGCCAGGCATGGTGGCGGGCGCCTGTAGTCCCAGCTACTCAGGAGGCTGAGGCAGGAGAATGGCGTGAACCCAGGAAGCGGAGCTTGGATCGCGCCACTGCACTCCAGCCTGGGCGACAGAGTGAGACTCCGTCTCAAAAAGAGAAAAAGAAAAAAGAAAAATTAGCCAGGCGTGGTGGCAGGTGCCTGTAATCCCAGCTACTCAGGAGGTTGAGGCAGGAGAATCACTTGAACCCGGGAGGCAGAGGTTGCAGTGAGCCGAGATTGCACCACTACACTCCAGCCTGGGCAACAAGAGTGAAACTCTGTCTCAAAAAATAAATAAAATAAAATAAATATTACTCTGGTAAAAGCGTAAAAGAATTTGGCCCAGACATGGTGACTCATACCTGTAATTCCAGCACTTTGGGATGCCGAGGTGGGTGGATCACTTGAGGTCAGGAGTTCAAGACCAGCCTGGCCAACTTGGTGAAATCCTCTGTCTACAAATAATACAAAAAATTAGCCAGGCGTGGTGGCATGCACCTGTAATCCCAGTTACTTGGGAGGCTGATACAGGAGAATAGCTTGAATTTAGGAGGCAGAGGTTGCAGTGAGCCAAGATATTACACCACTGCACTCCAGCCAGGGAGACAGAGAGAGAGAGAGACTCTGTCTCAAAAAAGAAAGAAAAAAAAAAAAAAAAGCTGGGCCTGGTGGCTCACGCCTGTAATCCCAGCACTTTGGGAGGCCGAGGCGGGTGGATCACCTGAGGTCAGGCATTCGAGACCAGCCTGGCCAACACGGTGAAACCCTGTCTCTACTAAAAAATACAAAAATTAGCCAGGCGTGGTGGAAGGCACCTTAATCCCAGCTACTTGGGAGGCAGAGGCAGGAGAATCGTTTGATCCCAGGAGGCAGAAGTTGCAGTGAGCCGAGATCAAGCCATTGCACTCAAACCTGGGGAACAAGAGCAAGACTTCTCTCAAAAAAAAAAAGGAAGAGTAAGGGTGTGGCAGTTGGCTGGGCGCGGTGGCTCATGCCTGTAATCCCAGCACTTTGGGAGGCTGAGGTGGGCGGATCACCTGCGGTCAGGAGTTTGAGATCAGCCTGGCCAACATGGTGAAACCCTGTCTCTACTAAAAATACAAAAAAATTAGCCGGGCGTGGTGGCACATGCTTGTAATCCCAGCTACTCAGGAGGCTGAGGCAGGAGAATCGCTTGAGCCTCGGAGGCAGTGGTTGCAGTTAGCTGAGATTGTGCCACTGCACTCCAGACTGGCCAACAGAGCGAGACTTTGTCTCAAAAAAAAAAAAAAGAAAAAAAAAAGGGTGTAGCAGTGGCAAGCAGGTAAGCAGAGTGGTATGAATGATGGGTGAAGGCAAGACACGAATAAGAAGACTACTGTCTCCTTATTCTGTAGTGATCAGAATAAATGTTAGGACCTGAGCCAGGAGGGTGGCAGGAAGGATGAAAAATAGAACACAAATTGAGGGGCGGGGGAAGGAGACAGAACGATCAGGATTGAGTGACTTAAATCCTGGCCCTTGAGGCATGCCATGGAGAGGCTGGCTTGCTCCATGCTCTGTGTGTGTAACTAGTGTTGGGAGTCAGGGGCTGTGGTGATTTAGGCCAACTACAGAGAAAAGCAAAGGCAACTTACCATTTTATTGCTGATCTTCATACTTACAAGATCATACAGGAAATGCACAGGGAGCTTGGAGGGAACAGCTGTTGAGATTGCCGGAGTGGTGTGGGGAACAGGCCTACACAAACAGTACCCTGAGCCCCCACTGTCTTTCTGGCTACCCATGGTGGTGCTGAGAAAGTAACTATGGCACTGGTAGCAGACTCTCAACTTCAAAGGGAGCCATTTGAGCTTCAGCCCTTGAGTTTCCTTGGGAAACTCAGTAGTCAGGGTCCCTCCGTGGCTGACACAGCAATCAGTAAAAAGCAACTGGAGGCCGTGCATGGTGGCTCATGCCTGTAATCCCAGCACTCTGGGAAGCCAAGGTGGGCAGATTGCTTGAGCCCAAGAGTTCAAGATCAGTCTAGGCAATATAGCAAAACCCCATATCTACAAACAAAACAAATAGAATGAGCCTGTTGGTTATTTGAGGGCAATTGTTCTCAGGCCAGAGTAAACCACTGGGGTTACTGGATTTATCGTGCATATAGAAACTCTTGGGAGAAAATAAACCATCCATTAACTACAAAATGGAGTTCCAGCTATTTCATTTAAATCAGGGATCCCCAACAGGTACCGGTTCTGTCCTCAGCCTGTTAGGAACTGGGCTGCACAGCAGGAGGTGAGCAGAGGGGGAGCCAGCAAAGTTTCACCTGTATATAGAGCCGTTCCCCATCACTTGCATTAATGCCTGAGTTCACCCCCTGTCAGATCAGTGGCAGCATTAGATTCTCATAAAAGCATGAACCCTATTGTGAGGGATCAAGGTCATGTGCTCCATATGAGAATCTAATGCCTGATGATCTGTCACTGTCTCCCATCACCCCCAGATGGGACTATCTAGTTGCAGAAAAACAAGCTCAGGTCTCCCACTGATTCTACATTATGGTGAGTTGTATAATTATTTCATTATATATTACAATGTAATAATAATATAAAATACACAATAAATGTAATGTGCTTGAATCATCCCAAAACTATGCCCCCCAACCCACCACATGTCTGTGGAAAAACTGTCTTCTGTGAAACCAGTCCCTGGTGCCAAAAAGGCTGGGGACCAATGATTTAAATACCTTAAAAGATGGCCAGGAGCGGTGGCTCACGTCTGTAATCCCAGCACTTTGGGAGACCGAGGGGGGTGGATCACCTGAGGTCAGGGGTTCAAAACCAGCCTGACCAACATGGTGAAACCCCGTCTCTACTAAAAATACAAAAATAAAATTAGCCAGGCATCGTGGCAGTTGCCTGCAGTCCCAGCTACTCAGGAGACTGAGGAAGGAGAATCGCTTGAACCCCAGAGGTGGAGGTTTCAGTGAGCAGAGATTGAGCCGCTGCACTCCAGCCTGGGTAACAAAGCAAGACTTTGTCTCAAAAAAACAAAAGAAGAAATTACTTAGGCAAATAGTAAGGGTACGGAAGTCCTGGATAAGGTTTTCCTTTATTTATTTATTTTTTTTTGAGATGGAGGCTCCCTCTATTGCCCAGGCTGGAGTAAGGTGGTGCAATCTCAGCTCACTGCAACCTCTGCCTCCCAGTTTCAAGCTATTCTTCTGCCTCAGCTTCCCAAGTAGCTGGGATTACAGGCATGCACCACCACGCTCAGCTAATTTTTGTATTTTTAGTAGAGATGGGGTTTCACTATGTTGGCCAGGCTGGTCTTGAACTCCTGACCTTAAGTGATCTGCCTGCCTCAGCCTCCCAAAGTGCTGGGATCACAGGAGTGAGCCACCGCGCCCAGCCAAAGTTTTTCTTTTAATGAAAAGCAGCCCCCAAGACCAGCCTAGCCAACTGGTAAAACTCAGTCTCTACTAAAAATACAAAAATTAGCCGAGCATGGTGGTGGGCACCTGTAATCCCAGCTACTCAAGAAACTGTGGCAGGAGAATCGCTTGAACCTGGGAGGCAGAAGTTGCAGTGAGCCGAGATGGCGCCTTTGCACTCCAGCCTGGGTAACAAAAGCAAAACTCCATCAAGGAAGGAAGGAAGGAAGGAAGGAGGGAGGGAGGGAGGGAAGAAAAGCAGCCCCAAATCATTTTCCTTTCTAACAAAGAGCAGTCTATGAAATAGAGCTGCAGACATAGATGCCGGCAGTTGTGCTAGTCATGTTCAAAATGGCAGTTCCATTTTCCCTTCTCTGCCAGCCCTGTACAGTAAGGAGCAGACAAGATGGCTCCAACCAAGGGGAAAGTTCCTTTGCATAATAAGATTAGGGTGGGGACGCCAGCCTTCCCTGAGAGCTATGTAGACATCATACCTGATGGAACCAATCTGTGAGCCCTATGTAAATCAGACACCTCCAAAAAATCTCCAAAAAATCTCATAATGTTTTCAGAAAGTTCACGAATTTGTGTTGGGTTGCATTCAAAGCCATCTGGGGCTGCAGGTTGAACAAACTTGCCCCAGTTAGTGAGTGACATATAAAGTTGAGGGAATGATGGCAGGAAAAAATTAAAAAGCTTAAGAGGGGCTATCAGTTGAGGTCTTATAGGCCATGTAAGAATATATCATTATTCACTGTAATCCATTGATTCTAGAATATTGAGACATTATTTCTTTGAATATTCCATTTCATGTTATTCTCTGCTGCTAAACCACTGTTGGGCATATGTTAGCACCAGGCATGGTGGCTCCCACCTGTAATCCCAGCAATTTGAGAGACAGAGGCGGACAGATCACTTAGGCCCAATAGTTTGAGACCAACCTGGGCAACGTGGCAAAACTCCGTCTCTACTAACGATCTGTAACACTTACTTTCTTGTGGACTCAGCTGTGCATTGAAAAGAATGTGAAGGCTGGGCATGGTGGCTCAGGCCTGTAGTTCCAGAACTTTGGGAGGCCGAGGTAGGTGGATCACTTGAGGCCAGGAGTTTGAGACTAGCCTGGACAACATGGCAAAATCCCATCTCTACTAAAAATACAAAAATTAGCTAGTCGTGGTGGCACACACCTGTAATCCCAGCTACTAAGCAGGCTAAGAAAGGAAAATTGCTTGAACCCAGGAGGCTGAGATTGCAGTGAGCCAAGATCGTGGCCGTTGCACTGCAGCCTGAGTGAGAGCTAGACCCTGTCTCAAAAAAAAAAAAAAAAAAAAAAAAGAGATAAGAAGAAATATAGCAAAACAAAAAGAAATTAGCACACAAAAAGGCCTTAGGAGTCCTCCCTTGAAAGAAAATTCCTGCAAGATATGTTTCTTTTCAAAGGAAAAAAAAAGTTTTCAGCCTGGGCAACATGGAGAGTTCCCATTTCTACAAAAACAATGTAAAAATTAACTGGATGTGGCCAGGTGCGGTGGCTCAGGCCTGTAATCCCAGCACTTTGGGAGACCGAGGTGTGTGGATCACCTGAGGTGAGGAGTTCTAGACTAGCCTGCCCAATATGGCGAAACCCGGTCTCTATTAAAAATACAAAAATTAGCCGGGTATGGTGGCGGGCACCTGTAATCCCAGCTATGCGGGAGGCTGAGGCCGGAGAATCGTTTGAACCCGGGAGGCGGAGGTTGCAGTGAGCTGAGATCATGCCACTGCACTCCAGCCTGGGCAACAAGAGTGAAACTCTGTCTCAAAAAAAAAAAAAGAAAAAAAATGGGCTGGGTGGATCACGAGGTCAAGAGATCGAGACCATCCTGGCCAACATGGTGAAACCCCATCTCTACTAAAAATACAAAAATTAGCTGGGCGTGGTGGCGCACACCTGTTCCCAGCTACTCAGGAGGCTGAGGCAGCATAATCGATTGAACCCGGGAGGCAGAGGTTGCACTCCAGCCTGCTGACAGCGCGAGACTCGGTCTCAAAAAAAAAAAAAAAAATTAGCTGGACGTGGTGGTGTGCACCTGTGGTCCCAGCTACTTGGGAGGCTGAGGTGTGAGGATTGCTTGGGCCTGGGAGGTGGTGGCTGTAGTGAGCTGTGATCACGCCACTGCACTCTAGCCTAGGCAATGGAACAAGACCTTGTCTAAAAAAAAAAGTTTAAAAATACTGTCTTTGTTTATATAGAGAGAGAAATATGAAAAATTCACTGAAGACTGATATTCTTAATACTATCATATTTGTACAGTGTTGTAATTCAATTTAAAGTGACTACAGTTGTGATCATCAGAAAGCATTCCATGCATATGGGAGTAGCACTTGACCTTACACAGCCGACTCACCATTACCAGTTGTTGCAAAGCAGGGACATATCTAGCTTCTGCTGAACATGCAGATATACTAAAAGTGCCATGGGCTTGCACAGTAAGGCTAGAGTTACAGATCTTTGCTTGAGGTCAGTCCTGTGGGGGAAGTAGGAAAGAGGAAGTAGGATTAAGACTATTTGGCAGCAGATAAAGAATCTCTTCTGCAGTTAGGAATTCTTTATTAAACTTGAGGGTATAGACAAGATCAATTCCCCACCTCCAAGCATCAACAAGGACCCTTTGGTATCTGGACACCTTCCATCTCAAAGTGTGATTCATATATCAAATTTTGGTGATATGGACTCAGGCCAGGGTGATGCTATGGCCGTGCTGAATTACTTGACCCAGCTCTTTTTACCTGCAGTTGCTAGAACCCAAGTGCTTTCATGAGGTCAATGAAAGGATCAGATAGGTATTAAACTATTCCTAGCTCTTTTATTAAAATTGCTGTATAACAAAGAGTATATTCTTGCTTTTACTCTGCAGTGAGGTGGGGAAAACAGTGGACTAAAAATCTCACATCTCTTATACAAGAATGTTCATTGCAGCTCTATTCACAATGGCCAAAATCTGGAAATAACCCAAATGTCCATCAACCCGTGAATAGATAAATAGATCGTGGTATATCCTTACAATAAAATAATGCTCAGGAACAAATGCTTACAAATACAACAGCATGGATGAAATCTGAAAACATTATGCTAAGTTTTTGTTTTTGTTTTTTTTGAGACAGAGTCTTGCCCTGTCGCCCAGGCTGGAGTGCAATGGTGTGATCTCAGCTCACTGCAACCTCCATCTCCCAGGTTCAAGTAATTCTCCTGCCTCAGCCTCCCAAGTAGCTGGGATTACGGACGCACACCACCACACCCAGATAATTTTTTTGTAATTTTTAGTAGAGATGGGGTTTCACCATGTTGGCCAGGCTGGTCTCGAATTCCTGACCTCAGGTGATCCCCGTAAATCGGCCTCCCACAGTGCTAGGATTACAGGCCTAAGCCACCAGGCCCGGCCCACATTATTCTAAGTTTTAAAAGCCTTACACACAAGCATATATGTTGTATACTCTTTAAATTTCACTTATCCTGTCGGCTCTCCTTATCCATAGGTTCGTCATTCATGGATTCAACCAACCACAAATACAAAATATTCAGGCCAGGTGAGGTGGCTCATGCCTGTAATCCCAGAACTTTGGGAGGCCTAGGCAGGCAGATCACCTGAGGTCAGGAGTTTCAGACCAGCCTGACCAATGTGGAGAAAACCCGTCTGTACTAAAAATACAAAATTAGCCAGGCGTGGTGGCGCATGCCTGTAATCCCAGGTACTTGGGAGGCTGAGGCAGCAGAATCGCTTGGACCCAGGAGGCAGAGGCTGCAGTGAGCTCAAATCATGCCATAGCACTCCAGCCTGAGCAACAAGAGCGAGACTCCGTCTCAAAAAAAAAAAAATTCAGGAAATAAAAACAAAGCAGTTGGGCATGGTGGCTCAGGCCTGTAACCCCAGCATTTTGGGAGGCTGAAGCATGTGGATTGCTTGACCCCAGGAGTTTTGAGACCAGCCTGGGCAACATGGTGAAAACCCATCTCTACAAAAAATACAAAAAGTAGCCAGTCGTGGTGGCCTGAGCCTGTGGTCCCAGCTACTGGGGAGGCTGAGGTGGTAAGATCACTGGAGCCTGGGAAGTTGAGGCTGCACAGAGCCGTGATCACACCACTGCACTCCAGCCTGGGTGACAGAGCAAGACCCTGTCTCAAAAAATTAAAGTTAAAGTTTAAATGTAAACGTAAAGGCCAGGCGCAGTGGCTCACACCTGTAATCCCAGCACTTTGGGAGGCCTAGGCGGGTGGATCACGAGGTCAGGAGATTGAGACCATCCTGGCTAACACAGTGAAACCCCGTCTCTACTAAAAATACAAAAACTTAGCTGGGCGTGGCGGCGGGCTCCTGTAGTCCCAGCTACTGGGGAGGCTGAGGCAGGAGAATGGCGTGAACCTGGGAGGCGGAGCTTGCAATGAGTCGAGATCACGCCACTGCACTCCAGCCTGGGCGACAGAGCCAGACTCCGTCTCAAAAAAAAATAAAATAAATAAATAAATGTACATTTAAATTTTAAAAAATCTTTAATCTGGCCTGGTGCTTTGGCTCACACCTGTAATCCCAGCACTTTGGGAGGCTGAGGTGGGCGGATCACGGGGTCAGGAGATCGAGACCATCCTGGCTAACACAGTGAAACCCTGTCTCTACTAAAAATACAAAAAATTAGCCGGGAGTGGTGGCACGTGCCTGTAGTCCCAGCTACTCGGGAGGCTGAGGCAGGAGAATTGCTTGAACCCGGGAGGCGGAGGTTGTAGTGAGCTGATATCATGCCACTGCACTCCAGCCTGGGGGACAGAGCGAGACTCCATCTCAAAAAAAAAAAAAATGTGTAATCTTCATTTATTTATTTAGAGAGGGTCTCCTTCTGTCGCCCAGTCTCCCTCTGATGGCCTGCTGGAGTGCAGTGGTGCCGTCTTGGCTCAACACAACCTCTGCCTCTGGGATTCAAGAGATTCTGGTGCCTCAGTCTCCTGAGTAGCTGGGATTACAGGCGTGCACCACCACATCCGGCTAATTTTTGTATTGTTAGTTGAGACAGGGTTTTGCCATGTTGCCCAAGCCAGTGTCCAACTCGTGACCTCAAGTGATCTACCTGCCTCGAACTCCCAAAGTGCTGGGATGACAGGCGTGAGCCACCATGCCAGGCCTAAATATTGTATTTAAAGGAAAATTAAAAAAAAAATACAGCTCAATAGCAAGGCAAAAAAAAGATTGTTTAGAAAAACAATTTTAAAAAATACAAATAAAACTCAATACAGTATAGCAACTATTTAAATAGTATTTGCATTGTATTTGTTATTATAAGTAACCTAAATTTGATTTAAAATCTATGACAGGGGCCAGGCATGGTAGCTCATTCCTGTAATCCCAGCACTTTGGGAGGCCAAGGCACATGGATCACTTGAGGTCAGGAGTTAGAGACCAGCCTGGCTAATATAGCAAAACACCACCTCTACTAAATACAAAAATTAGCTGGGTGTAGTGGCGGGTGCCTGTAATCCCAGTTACTCAGGAGGCTGAGACAGGAGAATTCCTTGAACTCAGGAGGTGGAGGTTGCAGTGAGTCGATTTTGCGCCACTGCACTCCACCCTGGGGACCAAGTGAGACTCCGTCTCCAAAAAAAAAAAAAAAAAAAAAACAGAAAAAAGGATATGGGAGGAGGTACATCTAGTATATGCAAATACTAGGCCTCTTATATAAGGAAGTTGAGCATGCGAGGATATTTCGTGTCCATGCAGCTCTGGGAACCAATCCCCAGCAGATACTGAAGGATGACAGTATGAAGTTTCAGAACAGGCAAAATTAACTTGTTGGATTCATTCACCACTTTCCCATTGCTCATGGCACACTAGTGTCAACCTGAAATAATCAAAAGGATCAGAATCCACCTTAAAGACTTTATTCGAGCAAAAAATTGGAAATAGCCACTTGGGAGACAAAGGCTACAGGAAAATGGGGTCAGTGTTCTAAAGTTAAAAGTTAAGTTTCTTTCTTTCTATTTTTCTTTAATTTTAATTTTATTTATTTATTTTTTTTGGAGACAACATCTCGCCCTGTTGCTGAGGCTAGAGTGCAATGGTGCAATCTTTGCTCACTGCAACCGCCGCCTCCCGGCTTCAAGCGATTCTCCTGCCCCAGCCTCAGCTGGGATTACAGGCACGCTCCAACACACCTGGTTAAGACGGGGTTTCACCATGTTGGCCAGGCTGGTCTCGAACTCCTGACTTCAGATGATCCACCTGCCTCGGCCTCCCAAAGTGCTGGGATTACAGACATGAGCCACTGCGCACGGCCTTATTTTATTTTTTGAGACAGAGTCTTGCTCTGTCGCCCAAGCTGGAGTGCAGTGGCACGATTTTGGCTCACCGAAAACTCCACCCCCGCGTTCAAGTGATTCTCCTGCCTCAGCCTCCCAAGTAGCTGGGATTACAGGCGCCTGCTGCCATGCCCCACTAATTTTTTGTATTTTTAGTAGAGATGGGGTTTTCCCATGTTGGCCAGGCTGGTCTCAAACTCCTGATCTCACGTGATCCTCCTGCCTCAGCCTCCCAAAGTGCTGGGATTACAGGCGTGAGCCACCGCGCCTGGCCAGTTTTTAATTTTTTTTAAGAGATGAGATCTTACTATATTGCCCAGGCTGGTGTCAAACTCCCAGGCCCACAAGATCCTCCTGCCTTGGCCTCCCAAAGTACTGAGATTACAAGCATGAGCCACTGCACCCTGCCTTTAAATTCCTTCTTACAAAGACAGAAGAAAACAAGTTTAGTAGGATTATAACATTTTATATACTAGCCTGGTTTATGAATTACAACAATTTAATTAGTTATAGTTTACTTTTTTTCCCATATGGCTTGTTTTCTTTTTTCTTGCTTTTCTTTTTTTTTTTTTTTTTTTTGAGACGGAGTCTCGCTTCGTCGCCCAGGCGGCTGGAGTGCAGTGGCGCGATCTCGACTCCCTGCAAGCTCCGCCTCCCGGGTTCAAGCCATTCTCCTGTCTCAGTCTCCTGAGTAGCTAGGACTACAGGCGCCTGCCACCGCGCCTGGCTAATTTTTTGTATTTTTAGTAGAAACGGGGTTTCACCATGTTAGCCAAGATGGTCTCGATCTCCTGACCTCGTGATCCGCCTGCCTCGGCCTCCCAAAGTGCTGGGATTACAGGCGTGAGCCACTGCGCCCGGCCGCTTTTCTTTTTTTTTTTTTCTTTAGACAAAGTCTCACTCTGTTGCCCAGGCTGGAATGCACTGGTGCAAACTTGGCTCACTCCAACCTCTGTTTCCCAGGTTCAAGCAATTCTCCTGCCTTAACCTCCCAAGTAGCTGGGACCACAGGTGGTCTGCCACCACACCCAGCAAATATTTGTATTTTCAGTAGAGACGGAGTTTCACCGTATTGGCCAGGCTAGTCTGGAACTCTTGGCCTCAAGTGATCCGCCCACCCTGGCCTCCCAAAGTGTTGGGATTACAGGCATGAGCCACCACTCCCAGCCTGTTTTCTTTTCTTTGTGCTAGTTTTCATTACCTTTCCAATTTAAAAGAATGTACTTAACATTCCATCTTAAGAGGATGTGATAGCCATGAAGTCTTTGTGTGAGAAAAGTAAGAGGGAAGTTAATCTATAATGAAGATTAACTGTGAAGAGGGAAGAGGTCTGCCCTGGCCCTTTTAGTCCTTTGCAGTATTTTAAAAACAATGTAGATAAGGAATAAGAATAATCTATAATCAGAGAAACAAAGTTTCTAGTTGCCTAGGTAACAGCTGCCTGTCACATGATTCAGGCCTTATAATCTCTCTCCTTTAAGGCTCAAAATAATTTACAGTTCCAACATGCTAGATTTTAAATTTATTTTCACAGTAGCTACGCTAGCTTTTTTTTTTTTTTTTTTTTTTTTTTTTTTTTTGAAACAGAGCCTCGTTCTGTCTCCCAGGCTGGAATGCAGTGGCGCGATATCGGCTCACTGCAAGCTCCGCCTCCCGGGTTCACGCCATTCTCCTGCCTCAGCCTCCTGAGTAGCTGGGACTACAGGCGCCCGCCACCACGCCCAGCTAATTTTTTTTTTTTTTGTATTTTTAGTAGAGACGGGGTTTCACCGTATTAGCCAGGATGGTCTCGATCTCCTGACCTCGTGATCTGCCTGCCTCGGCCTCCCAAAGTGCTGGGATTACAGGCGTGAGCCACTGTGCCCGGCCTTTTTTTTTATTTTTTTATTTTTTTGTTCTTTGAAGTTAACAAGTACTTTCCTACCTCAGAGCCTTTTGTTCTGCTATTCCCCCAAAATAGGTTATTCTTTCTTCCCCTTTTAATCTGGATTACTACCCCAATTTAGACATCCTGTTTTTCAAGGAATCTTTCTGGTTAGCTCTCTTGCACTTATTTTTTGTCATAATTATACTAATTATAAATAAGTAATAATTGGTAAGTTTACTTGTTAGGGGCCTATTCCACCTTAGACTGTGAATTCCTTGATGTGCAGGACTATTTACATCTATTTAGTGTTCTACTCCCAACCTCTGTCAGCATTTTTGAAAGTATAGTGGGCGGCCGGGCACAGTGGCTCAAGCCTGTAATCCCACCACTTTGGGAGGCCAAGGCAGGTGGATCACCTGATGTCAGGAGTTCGAGACCAGCCTGGCCAAGACTGTGAAACCCCATCTCTACTAAAAATACAAAAATTAGCCAGGTGTGGTGGTGGGGGCCTGTAATCCCAGCTACTCAGGAGGCTGAGGCAGGAGAATTGCTTGAACCCAGGAAGTGGAGGTTGCAGTGAGCCAAGATTGTGCCACTGCACTCTAACCTGGGCGACAGAGCAAGACTCCATCTCAAAAAAAAAAACTAGCCGGGCGTGGTGGCGGGCACCTGTAATCCCAGCTACTTGGCAGGCTGAGGCAGGAGAATCTCTTGAGCCTGAGAGGCAGAGGTTGCAATGAGCTGAGACATTGCCATGGCACTCCAGCCTGGACAACAGAACAAGATTCCATATCAAAAAAAAAAAAAAAAAAAAAAAGAAAAGAAAAAAAAGAAAATATAGTGGGCAACTAATAAATATTTATGGATTAAGCCAACAGTCAAATGAAAGAATCCATGTTTCCATCTTCTCATTTTCCAAAAATTTGGTGATCTTTGGTCATCTTCTCATAGGGCAACAATTTTATAATATTATTTTCCATATAGAGAATGAAAAGATAGTCTCAATTAGCCAGGCGTGGTGGCACACACCTGTAGTCCCAGCTGCGCAGGAGGCTGAGGCAGGGGAATCCCTTGAATCCAGGAGGCAGAGGTTGCAGTGAGTTCACTGCACTCTAGCCTGGGGGACAGAAGGAGACTCTGTGTCCAAAAAAAAAAAAAAGGAAAGAAAGAAAGAAAAAGAAATACATTGCTATGGTCCAGAAACGGGGGACAACTCAAAGGGGTGGGAGGGGGCGCTTACAGGCTATAGGTGAATTTGAACATTTTCTGGTTAACAATTGGTCGAGTTTGACTAAAGATTTGAGATTGATAGAAAGGGAATGTTCAGGGTAAGATAAAGATTGTGGAGACCAAAGTTCTTTGGAAGTCTTATAGTGACTCCCCTTAGAGACAATAGATGACAAATGTTTTCTGTTCAGATCGTAGTTAATCTCTTTAGCATTGGGAGTGTCTGGAGGAAAAAGATATAGCTACGTTAATAGAGATCCTTTACAGATGCAAATTTCCCCCACAAAGAACAGCTTTGCAGGGCCATTTTAAAATACGCCAAAGAAACATGTTTTGGGGTAAAATACTTTGATTCTGGCCAGGCGCGGTGGCTCACGCCTGTAATACCAGCACTTTGGGAGGCTGAGGCAGGCGGATCATGAGATCAACAGATTGAGACCATCCTGGCCAACATGGTGAAACCCCGTCTCTACTAAAAATAAAAAAGTAAGGCCGGGCCTGGTGCGGCGGCTTACGCCTGTAATCCCAGCACTTTGGGAGGCCGAGGTGGGTGGATCACAAGGTCAGGAGATTGAGACCAGCCTGGCCAACATGGTGAAAACCCGTCTTTACTAAAAATACAAAAATTTGCTGGGCGTGGTGGTGCGTTGCTGTAATCCCAGCTACTTGGGAGGCTGGGGCAGGAGAATCTCTTGAACCAGGGAGTCGGAGGTTGCAGTGAGCTGAGATCGCGCCACTGTACTACAGCCTGGCGACAGAGAGAGACTCTGTCTTAAAGAAAAAACAAAATACAAAGGTTAGCCTGGCGTGGTGGCGGGCACCTGTAATCCCAGCTACTCGGGAGGCTGAGGCAGGAGAATTGCTTGAACCCGGGAGGCAGAAAGGTTGCAGTGAG
This sequence comes from Homo sapiens, assembly GCF_000001405.40. Classification (NCBI taxonomy): domain Eukaryota; kingdom Metazoa; phylum Chordata; class Mammalia; order Primates; family Hominidae; genus Homo; species Homo sapiens. The sequence continues at coordinate 39,996,316 of NC_000004.12, read as the reverse complement.
CCAGGATTGCACCACTGCACTCCAGCCTGGGCGACAGAGGGAAACTCCGTCTCAAAAAATAATAATAATAAATAAAAATAAAAATACTTTTATTCCTTATCTGGTAATTCTATGCCAGAGTCAGGTTGGAAAGTCAGTCAAGATATATAGGGTTAAATAAAACCCATCTGGCTGGGTGGGGTGGCTCACTCCTGTAATCCCAGTACCTTGGGACCTCAAGTGATCTGCCTGCCTCAGCCTCCCAAAGTGCTGGAATTACAGACTTGAGCCACCACGCCCAGCCCTGCTGGTTGATTTTTTTTTTTTTTTTTTTTGTGACAGAGTTCAGCTCTCTTGCTCAGGCTGGAGTGCAGCTGTGCAATCTTGGCTCACTGTAACCTCCATCTCCTAGGTTCAAGTGATCCTCCTGCCTCAGCCTCCCCAGTAGCTGGGACTACAGGCATGCACCACCATGCCTCGTTAATTTTTGTTTTTGTTTTTTTGTTTTTTTTAAATTTTATATTTTTAGAAGAGATGGGGTTTCACCATATTGACCAGGCTGATCCTGAACTTGTGACCTCAAGTGATACGTCCTCCTCTGCCTCCTAAAGTGCTGGAATTACAGGCATGAGCCACTGCGCCCTGCCTTACTAGTTGGTTTCTTTTCTTTCTTTCTTTTTGACATGGAGTCTCACTCTATCACCAGGCTTGAGTGCAGTGGTGTGATCTCTGTTCACTGCACCTCTGCCTCCCAGGTTCAAGCGATTCTTCTGCCTCAGCCTCCCGAGTAGCTGGGATTACAGGCACACGCCACCACACCCAGATACTTTTTGTATTTTTAGTAGAGATGGGGTTTCACCATATTAGCCAGGATGGTCTCCATCTCCTGACCTTGTGATCTGCCCGCTTCAGCTTCCCAAAGTGCTGGGATTACAGGCGTGAGCCACCACGTCCAGCTGATTTCTAACGAAACATCAGAATTATGCTCTGAATAGGAAATGCAGAGGTGGTACAATCCAATATAAAACAATCCCTCTGTTAGCCAGTCAAGCATATATACACAATCTATAATTTATTTAATTGAACAAATATTTATTGAGTACCTATAGGTGCCAGGCACTTAGGATACATGAGTGAACAAAATAAAGATCCTTGCCCCCACAGAGCTTCATTCTTACAGAATGTACATAATAGTCCCTTGCTTCAAGTTAGTGTCAGAGCTCCCAACTCCAAGTACCAAGGAAGTAAGAGTTCGGAAAGAGTTCCTCTATTCTTTTCATATCAGCTTTCCCATTTATCCTTAATGGGCAGTGGTCCATTTAGGACACCTTCATTTAGGTCCATTGAGCTGCCCTACATGGCCACGCCTCTTTTTTCCCACAAATATACAATCTCCCTTTGGGATCTTCTCTTTCTTTTCTCCTCCCTCCATGACAGAGACTTGCACCCTTTCCCTAGGATCCTATCTCTTTTCTACATTTGGCACAGGCTTGAGCCATTCAGCTCTGCTCCACTTTAGATGAGATCGGGAGTGTATCAATCCTATCCATGGTGTATATACAATCAGACTGTTCACATTGAAAAGACTGCCCTTCTCTGTTAATATTCAAAAACAGTCTCTGTCTGTCTCTCTCCCTGCATTTAGTCACATTGCCAAATATCCCTTCTGTTCCCCATGGCATGTGCTAAATACCCCAGAAAGGGAATGGCACACAAGGAGGAATAAGTCTGTCTTGCAACACTAACTGTGACAGACTCAGGGATGCAGATCATGGTCCAGCCATGGAGTTTCTTATGAGTAATAGCTTTCTTTCTTCTTCTTCTTCTTCTTTTTTTTTTTTTTTTTTTTTTGTTGTTGTTTTTTCAGGTGGAGTCTTGCTGTGTCACTCGGGCTGGAGTGCAGTGGTGCAATCTGGGCTCACTGCAACCTCTGCCTCCCAGGTTCAAGCAATTCTGGTGCCTCAGCCTCCCAAGTAGCTGGGATTACAGGCATGCGCCACCACACCCAGCCAATTTTTCTATTTTTAGTAGAAACAGGGTTTCACTATGTTGACCAGGCTGGTCTCCAACTCCTGACCTCAAGTGATTCGCCTGCCTTGTCCTCCCAGTGGGCTGAGATTAGAGGTCTGAGCCACCACACCCAGCTGTATTATTAATTTTGAATCTATAAATATATATTAAAGATTACTTGTTAAAATGTGAACAGTGGGCCTGGGTTGGTGGCTCACGCCTGTAATCCCAGCACTTTGGGAGGCCAAGGGGGGTGGATCTCTTGAGGTCGGGAGTTCGAGACCAGCCTGGCCAACATGGTGAAACCCCGTCTCTACTAAAAATGCAAAATAGCCAGGCTTGGTGGTTTGCACCTGTAATCCCAGCTACTCAGGAGGATGAGGCAGGAGAATCGCTTGAACCCAGGAGGTGGAGGTTGCAGTGAGCTGAGATCATGCCATTGCACTCCGGCTTGGGCAACAAGAGTGAAACTCCATCTCAAAAAAAAAAAAAAGAATTTAAAAAGTCAAACTCTGAAAATTTCATTTAAATAATTAAATGTGATGCTGAGAGAGATTTTATTTTTATTGTGAATGTTGGGTGTGTGTAATATAAAGAACACCGAGTTGGCACTAACTTTAACGGAAATAAAACTTTGGTGGAGATCTTTTGGAGGATATATCTGGTGCATGATTCTTCCTTTCTCTGAAAATTGTTACTCGTTTCCCAATTCATTAATGGTGGTTCACTTCACGTTTTAGACATGACCCTGCACACTTGGCCCCAGTTGATTAAACAAGGCATGCGCATCTGGAGAGGCAAACCATAAATCATCAAAAAAAAATAAGTAAATTATTTTGTATTCTAGATGGTAAGTTCTATGGGAAAAAGAAAAAAGAATTCCATTTGTTGTCCTTGGCATTTCTTATTTGGACTAAGAGATTCTAGTTTAGTCTGAGCTAATCTAAGATGTAGGCTATGTAAACTCAGAAGATGAGAGGTGGCTGGGTGTGGAGGCTCACACCTATAATCCCAGCATTTTGGGAGGCAGAGGCAGGGAGATCAATTGAGTCCAGGAGTTGGCCTGGCCAACATGGTGAAACACTGTCTCTACTAAAAATACAAACAAGGCTGGGCATGGTGGCTCACGCCTGTAATCCGAGCACTTTGGGAGGCCGAGGCAGGCGGATCACGAGGTCAGGAATTCGAGACCAGCCTGGCCAACATAGTGAAACTCCATCACTACTAAAAATACAAAAAATTAGCCGGGGCTTGGTGGCTGGTGCCTGTAATCCCAGCTACTCGGGAGCCTGAGGCAGGAGAATTGCTTGAACCTGGGAGGCAGAGGTTGCAGTGAGCCAAGATCACACCATTGCACTCCAGCCCAGGTGACAGTGAGAGACTCCGTCTCAAAACAAACAAACAAACAAGCAAACAAAAGATGAGAGGTGATTCTCTACTGCATGTCATGTGGACTGAAAAGCAAAGAAGGAGCTCTTTTTAAAGAGCAAAGTATGAAGGGCCGGGTACAGTGGCTCACACCTGTACTCCCAACATTTTGGAAGGCCAAGGCGGGTGGGTCACCTGAGTTCAGGAGTTTGAGACCAGCCTGACTAGCATGGTGAAACCCCATCTCTAGTAAAAATACAAAAATTAGCCTGGCATGATGGCGTATGCCTATAATCGCAGCTACTTGGGAGCCTGAGGCAGGAGAATCACTTGACCGCAGGAGACAGAGATTGCAGTGAGTGGAGATCATGCCATTGCACTCCAGCCTGGGCAACAAGAGTGAAACTCTGTCTCGGAAAAAAAAAAAGAATGAAGGAGATGTTGAGAGGGAAATTAGGAGTAGAATGTATTGCTGATACCATCTTTCAGTTCTTACCTGACTCCTTTCTTGAAGTCTAGCTGTAATTTTACTTGGGTTCCATGAAGCACCCCTGTTATCATTATTATACATATGATGATGATTTTATATATATATATATATACATTTTTTTCCTTGCTTAAGCTAGCTTAAGTTCATTTCCTTTGCTCCTAGAAACCAAAGAGAACTAACAGCAATAATGGCAATAATATGAACAATATTAACAATAGTAGGCTGTGCACGGTGGCTCACGCCTATGATCCCAGCACTTTGGCAGGCCGAGGCAGGCAGATAATGAGGTCAGGAGTTCAAGACCAGCCTGGCCAACATAGTAAAACCCTGTCTCTACTAAAAATACAAAAAATTAGTTGGGTGTGGTGGCAGGCAACTATAATCCCAGCTACTCTGGAGGCTGAGGTAGGAGAATCACTTGAACCCGGGAGGCGGAGGTTGCAGTGAGCCAAGATCGTGCCATTACTCTCCAGCCCAGGCAACAGTATGAGACTCCGTCTTGAAAAAAAAAAGAAAAAGAAAAAGAAAATAGTAGACAACAGTTATTAAGCACATATTATACTCCAGGCACTGTGTTAAGCACTTTTAGGTACTTTATCTCATTGAGATTATAGGTGTGAGCCACTGTGCCCAGCCTATCCTGTGCTTTCTAAGGACTGAAAAAATAACTGATGTATTCTAGAAATATTTCCAAAAGAGTGGAAAGAAAAGGAGTTTTCTGGTTAAGATTTAATTTATCAAATAATTCAATTAACAAGAAACTTCGTGTATCCTGAAAATTATGATATATCTCAGTTATGATTAGAAAGTGAAATTAGTCCTTAAATTTCCTGCAGACTCTGCTTAATTTTCTTTAGTCTCTAGACAAGTCTCTGCATAACTGAACCCTGTAGAGTTTTCCCAAAACAGTATTTATCTAGGTAGCCCACATTCCAAGAACTGTGCAGTTTCTATAATTACTTGGAAAACTTCATAAGGCAAAAGTTGCGCAAATCCTTGGCACATCTCTCAGACAAGTCAAATAGTGTTGGCTACCAGTTCTAATTTGGTTACATTTCCAGTTAAACTAGAAATTTGAAGTTCAAGTACTTAACAATCTGCTGGGTATTATATAACAACTTTTTTTTTTTTTTTTGAGACAGTCTCACTCTGTCCCCCAGGCTGGAGTGCAGTGGCATGATCTTGGCTCACCGCAACCTCTGCCTCCTGGGTTCAAGTGATTCTTCTGCCTCAGCCTCTCAAGTAGCTGAGAATACAGGCGTGAGCCGCTGTGCCCGGCCTATAATGACATTTGATTGGTTATAAATAATAGAAAGTGTTTCTCTTGGCTGGGCTCGGTGGCTCACACCTGTAATGCCAGCACTTTGGGAAGCTGAGACAGGAGGATTGCTGGAGCTCAGGAAGGAGATCAAGGCTGCAGTGAACTGTGATTGCGCCACTGCACTCCAGCCTGGGCAGAGTAAGACTCTTCCTCAAAAAAAGAAAAACAGGTAGGGAGAAAGCAGTGGTTCACGTCTGTAATCCCAGCACTTTGGGAGGCCAACACGGGTGGATCATCTGAGCTCAGGAGTTTGAGACCAGCCTGGGCTACCTAGTGAGACCCTGTCTCTACAAAAAATACAAAAATAAGCCAGGTATCCTAGTGAGTGCCTGTAGTCCCAGCTACTACTCCAAAGGCTGACGTGGGAGGATTGCTTGGATCCTGGGGGTCCGAGCTGCAGTGAGCCGAGATAATGCCACTGCACTCCAACCTGGGTGATAGTGAAACACCATTTCAAAATAACAAAATAAAACAAAACAAAACAAAGTAACTTCCTTGACTTTTGTCCTTTCAATTTTGCACAACCTCGGTTATTCATTATATACTTCCATTTTTTTTTTTTTTTTTGAGATGGAGTCTCGCTCTGTCCCCAGGCTAGAGTGCAGTGGCGCAATCTTAGCTCACTGCAACCTCTGCCTCCTGGGTTCAAGCAATTCTCCTGCCTCAGCCTCACAAGTAGCTGGGACTACAGGCGCGTGCCACCACACCAAGCTAATTTTTGTATTTTTAGTAGAGGTGGGGTTTCACCATGTTGGCCAGGATGGTCTCAATCTCTTGACCGCATGATCTGCTCACCTCGGCCTCCCAAAATGCTGGGATTACAGGCATGAGCCACTGCACCCGGCATTTTTTTTTTTTTTTTTTGAGACGGAGTCTGGCCCTGTTGTCCAGGCTGGAGTGCAGTGGCGCCATCTCGGCTCACTGCAACGTCCTCCTCCGGGTTTCAAGCGATTCTACTGCCTCAGCCTTCCAAGTAGCTGGGACTACAGGCGCACGCCACCACACCTAGCTGATTTCTGTATTTTTAGTATAGATGGGTTTCATCATGTTGGCCAGGCTGGTCTTGAACTTCTGACCTCAGGTAATCCGCCTGCCTAGGCCTCCCAAAGTGCTGGGGTTACAGGCATGAGAGTCTGGGCCCAGCCTATACTTCCATTCTTCTTCTTCTTCTTTTTTTTTTCAGAGACGCAGTTTTGCTCTGTCACCCAGGCTGGAGTGCAGTGGTGTGATCCCGGCTCATTGCAACCTCTGCCTCCTGGGTTCAAGCAATTCTCCTGCCTCAGCCTCCCAAGTAGCTGTAACTACAGGCGCCTGCCATCACATCCGGCTAATTTTTTGTATTTTTAGTAGACACGGGGGTTTCACCATGTTAGCCAGGCTGGTCTTGAACTCCTGACCTCATGATCCGCCCGCCTCAGCCTCCCAATGTGCTGGGATTACAGGTGTGAGCCACCACGTGCAGCCTATACTTCCATTCTTAAACTGCTTTTAAAACTTTAGTTTGGACTTTTGCATAGCTGAAAAATGACAAATCAACACTTGAAGCTAAGGTTTGGTAGAGCTGTCTGCCATACAACAGTTCCATTTTTGCAGTTTTTCCACATTAGTTTCATAATTACTTAAATATTTGCTTGCATATTGTTCTATTGCATAAGAATGTGTGTAAATGGGATGGGCACAGCGGCTCATGCCTGTAATCCCAGCACTTTGGGAGGCTGAGGCAGGTGGATCACCTGAGGTCAGGAGTTCAAGACCAGCCTAACATGATGAAACCCTCTCTCTACTAAAAATACAAAAATTAGGGGGCTGGGTGCGGTGGCTTATGCCTGTAATCCCAGCACTTTGGGAGGCTGAGGTGGGTGGATCACATGGTCAGGAGTTTGAGACCAGCCTGACCAACATGGTGAAACCCCGTCTCTACTAAAAATACAAAAATTACCTGGGCATGGTGGCATGCATCTGTAATCCCAGCTACTCAGGACGCTGAGGCAGGAGAATTGCTTGAACCCAGGAGGAGGTTGCAGTGAGCCAAGATGGCCCCACTGCACTCCAGCCTGGGCAACAGAGTGAGAATCCGTCTGAAAAAAAAAAAAATTAGCCGGGCATGGTGGGGGGCTCCTGTAATCCCAGCTACTTGGGAGACTGAGGCAGGAGAATCGCTTGAACCCGGAAGGCAGAGGTCGCAGTGAGTCAAGATCGTGTCATTGCACTCCAGCCTGGGCAACAAGAGCGAAACTCCATCTCAAAAAGAAAAAAAAAAAAAGAAAAGAAAATGAGAAAATATACGTGGACATAAAGCTGGGAACACTAGCCAGTAGGGACTCCAAAAGGAGAGAGGGAGAGGGAAAAGGGCTGAAAAACTTCCTACTGGGTACTATGTTCGCTGTATGGGTGATGTGATCAATAGAAGCCCAAATCTTATCATTACACAATTTACTCTTATGGCAAACCTGTACATGTACCCCCGAATCCAAAATTTATTATTATTATTATTATTATTACTTTTTTTTTTTTTGAGACAGAGTCTCACTCCGTCGCCCAGGCTGGAGTGCAGTGGTGTGATCTCAGGTCACTGCAAGCTCTGCCTCCCGGGTTCACGCCATTCTCCTGCCTCAGCCTCCCAAGTAGCTGGGACTACAGGCACCCGCCACCAAGCCCGGCTAATTTTTTTGTATTTTTAGTAGGGACAGCGTTTCACCATGTTAGCCAGGGTGGTCTTGATCTCCTGACCTCGTGATCCACCCACCTAGGCCTCCCAAAGTGCTGGGATTACACGCGTGAGCCACCACGCGCGGCCACCTAAAATTTAAAGAAGAGTAAATAAAGAAATTGATTTATGCTCACAAAGTTAACACAATTGAAAAAAAATGTAGAAATCAGGTAAGCTGTTGTTTACAGCTGTATAGATGTTTCACAGTTCTCCTTCAAAAGCAAATGTTTAGGTCAACATGAGAGTGACATTTGTCTCTCAGAGGGTAAATGTTTTTGCTTTCTTATGGCTACCAACTATCCCACTTTAAGACAGTTTTTTTCCTTCTTTTTTTTTGTTTTTGTTTTTGTTTTTGTTTTTGTTTTGAGACAGAGTCTCGTTCTGTCACCCAGGCTGGAGTGCAATGGCGTGATCTCAGGTCACTGCAACCTCCGCCTCCTGGGTTCAAGCGATTCTCCTGCTTCAGCCTCCCGAGTAGCTGGGATTACAGTCACCCGCCACCACACCTGTATAATTTTTGTATTTTTAATAGAGATGGTGTTTCACCATGTTGGCCAGACTGGTCTCAAACTCCTCACCTCATGATCCCCCCACCTTGGCCTCCCAAAGTACTGGGATTACAAGCATGAGCCACCGCACCCAGCCAAAACAATTTTTGCATATGGCTGGTGTATTGGTTTCATAGGACTGCTGTTGCACCACAAACGTGGTGGCTTAAAACAACAGAAACTTACACTTTTACAGTTTCAGAGGCTAGAAGTCCAAAGTCTAGGTGTGAACAAGGCTATATTCGCTTTGAAGCCTCGAGGGAAGAATCCCTGTCTCTTTCTCTGCTTCTGGTGCTTGCTGGTGATCCTTGTAATTCCTTGGCTTGCAGTCATCACTCCAATCATCGCCTCCATCCCTACATGGGACTTCATCCCTGTGTGTCTTCATATCTTCTTATTAAGACACTGCTGGTCAGTGGATTTAGGACCTACCCTAATACAGTATGAGTTTGTTTTAAATAATTACATCTGCAAAGATGCTGCTTCCAAATAAGATCATATTAGGAGGTTCCAGGTGGACATGAATTTTGTGTGTGTGTGTGTGTGTGTGTGTGTGTGTATGTGTGTGTGTGTGTCGTGGGGCACTATTCAACCCAGTACAGGTGGGTTCATGAATCTTGGTTAAGATTTCATAAAGTCCAATCAATTATTCATTCTAAATTAGGTCATATTTGGTGGTTAACATCAGAAATGTACTCAAATTAGCTCAGATAAAAGAGATTTTACATGAAGAAAACAATTTTTTTTTTCTTTTTTGTGACAGAGTCTTGCTCTGTCGCCCAGGCTGGAGTCCAATGGCCTGATCTCAGCTCACTGCAACCTCTGCCTCCTGAGTTCAAGCAATTCTCCTGCCTCAGCCTCCCAAGTAGCTGGGATTACAGGTACCCACCACCATGCTCTGCTAATTTTTTTTTGTTGTTGTTTTTTGAGACAGAGTCTCACTCTGTTGCCCAGGCTGGAGTGCAGTGGCGCAGTCTTGGCTTACTGCAAGCTCCGCCTCCCGGGTTCATGCCAGTCTCCCGTCTCAGCCTCCCGAGTAGCTGGGACTACAGGCACCTGCCACCACGCCCAGCTAATTTTTCGTATTTTTTAGTAGAGATAGGGTTTCATCGTGTTAGCCAGAATGGTCTCGATCTCCTGACCTTGTGATCCGCCCGCCTCAGCCTCCCAAAGTGCTGGGATTACAGGCGTGAGTCACCGCGCCAGGCCTAATTTTTGTATTTTTAGTAGACAGGGCGTTTCACCGTGTTGGCCAGGATGGTCTTGATCTCCTGACCTTGTGATCCACCTGCCTCAGCCTCCCAAATCTCAGCCCGGCCTGAGATTTCGTCTAAAAAAAAAAAAAAATTAGCTGGGTGTTGTGGCATGCACCTGTAATCCCAGCTACTCTGGAGCCTGAAGCAGGAGAATCGCTTAAACCCGGGAGGCGGAGGTTGCAGTGAGCCGAGATCATATCATTGCACTCCAGCCTGAGTGACAGGGTGAGACTCCTTCTCAAAAATAAATAAATAAACAAACAAACAAATAAATAATTAGGGCCGGGCACGGTGGCTCACGCCTGTAATCCCAGCACTTGGGGAGGCTGCGGCGGGCAGATCACCTGAGGTCAGGAGTTCAAGACCAGCCTGGCCAACGTGGCGAAACCCCATCTCTACTAAAAATACAAAAATTAGCCCGGTGTGGTGGCAGGCACCTATAATACCAGCTACTTGGGAGGCTGAGGCAAGAGAATTGCTTGAACCCAGGAGGTGGAGGTTGCACCCAGGAGGTGAGCCGAGATGTGCCATTGCACTCTAGCCTAGGCAACAGAGCAAGACTCAGTCTAAAAAAAAAAAAATTAGCCAGGCATCATGGCACGTACCTGTATTCCCAGCTACTCAAGAGGCTGAGGTGGGAGGATAACTTGAGCCCAGGTGATCAAGGCTTCAGTGAGCTGTGATTATGCCACTGAACTCCAGCCTGGGTGACAGAGTAAGACACTGTTTCAAAAAAATAAAAATAAAATAAGAAAGTAAAGTTATGACACATACTTCTTTACTACAGTTATGGGCAGAATAGACTCATTTATCAAATGTATTAGAGAAGATAATCATGCCCGGGTGTGGTGGCTCACGCCTGTAATCCCAGCACTTTTGGAGGCCGAGGTAGGCGGACCACCTGAGGTCAAGAGTTCGAGACCAGCCTGACCAATATGGAGAAACCCCGTCTCTACTAAAAATATAAAAAAACTAGCCGGGTGTGGTGGTACATGCCTGTAATCCCAGCTACTCAGGAGGCTGAGGCAGGAGAATCGCTTGAACCTGGGAGGCGGAGGTTGCAGTGAGCAAAGATTGTGCCATTGCACCCCAGCCTAGGCAACAAGAGCGAAACTCCGTCTCAAAAAAAAAAAAAAGATGAAATCTCGCTCTTGTCCCCCAGGCTGGAGTGCAATGGTGTGATCTAGGCTCACTGCAACCTCCGCCTCCCAGGTTCAAGCAATTCTCCTACCTCAGGCTCCCAAGTAGCTGGGATTACAGGCCTGTATCACCATGCCTGGCTAATTTTTTGTATTTTTAGTAGAGACGGGGCTTCACCACATTGGCCAGGCTGGTCTCAAACGCCTGAAGTCAGGTGATCTGCCCGCCTCCCAAAGTGCCAGGATTACAGGCGTGAGCCACCGTGTCCGGCCACGCCTGGCAAATTTTTTATATCTTTAGTACAGACGGGGTTTTACCATGTTGGCCAGGCTGGTCTTGAACTCCTGACCTCGTGATCCACCAGCCTTGGCCTCCCAAAGTGTTGAGATTACAGGTGTGAACCACCGCACCCGGCCTTTTTTTTTTTTTGAGAAGGAGTCTCACTCTGTCACCCAGGCTGGAATGCAGTGGCACGATCTTGGCTTACTGCAAATTAGCTCAGATAAAAGAGATTTTACATGAAGAAAACAATTTTGTGTGTCTGTGTAACAGAGTCTTGCTCTGTTGCCCAGGCTGGAGTCCAATGGCCTGATCTCAGCTCACTGCAACCTCTGCCTCCTGGGTTCAAGCAATTCTCCTGCCTCAGCCTCCCAAGTAGCTGGGATTACAGGTGCCCGCTACCATGCCCAGCTAATTTTTTGTATTTTTAGTGGAGAGGGGGTTTCGCTATGTTGGCCAGGCTGGTCTCGAACTCCTGACCTCAAGTGATCCACCCACCTCAGCCTCCCAAAGTGCTTGAATTACAGGCGTGAGTCATTGCGCCTGGCCTAATTTTTTATTCTTAGTAGAGACAAAGTCTCACTATCTTGCTCAGGCTGATTTTGAACTCCTGGGCTAAAGTGATCCTCCTGCCTTGGCCTTCGAAAATGCTGGGATTATGGGCATTAGCCACCTCACTTGGCCAATTATTTTAAGTTTAAAAAAAAATTTTTTTTTGTGGCCGGGCATGGTGGCTCACGCCTGTAATCCCAGAACTTTGGGAGGCCAAGGGGGCGGATCACGAGGTCAGGAGATCGAGACCATCCTGGCTAGCACGGTGAAATCCTGACTCTACTAAAAATACCAAAAATTAGCCAGGCGTGGTGACGGGCGCCTGTAGTCCTAGCTACTCGGGAGGCTGAGGCAGGAGAATGGCGTGAACCCGGGAGGCGGAGGTTGCAGTGAGCCGAAATCGCGCCACCGCACTCCAGCCTGGGCGACAGAGCGAGACTCCGTCTCAAAAAAAATTTTTTTTTTTGAGATGGAGCTTCATTGATGTTGCCCAGGCTGGAGTGCAGTGGCATGATCTTGGCTCACTGCAACCTCTGCCTACTGGGTTCAAGCCATTCTACTGCCTCAGCCTCGCGAGTAGCTGGGATTACAGGTGTGTGCTACCACCACAAGCTAATTTTTGTACTTTCAGTAGTGATGGGGTTTCGACATGTTGGCCAGCCTGGTCTCGAACTTTTGGCCTCAAGTGATTTGCCCACCTTGGCTTCCCAAAGTGCTGGAATTACAGGCGTGAGCCACCATGCCCAGCCTATTTTAAGTTATATAGGACAACAGGAGGCTAACATCCCAAGCTTCATAACAAAAATGCACTGCAATGTGATTGTTGAAATTTTATTTACTCTGAAAACTCTTTCAGTCCTATAATCATCTGTCATCCTAATACTAGCAACTTGAGAAAGGGTTAAAAAGTGGCATTTGTACAAAATATAACTCTAAATAATTTCTTATGGTACTACCATTACTAGACAAAAATTATAATTATCATGAGGGTATAATTTCTTTGACTTCAGGGGATATAATTGAAAAAATATTAAATTACAATATTAAAATGTTTGGAAATTTGTTGAGTTTGGTTTTATTTTTTTCTCTTCTGGACCTCATGTGCTCTGACTAGATTAATTATAATTCTTGGGTTATGAACACATCTCTCATTAGTCCATGGGTTGCCTTTAGTCATTCAACCATTCATTCTTTAGCATAGCTAGCATATGTGAAGTCACCATCTCACCCAAGAATAAAGCTTCAACAGAATACATCTACCAATATATTCATTCTCCCGTGTTGTCTCACTGTGTTCCCTGCTTCTCCTTGTACTCTAAGGGTAACCATTATCCTGAACCTTGCTGTTGAACTTTATGTCACTAAGATTTATCCATGTCACTTATACCTGCAGTTTTTTTCATACTTGAAAATATTTAGGGTCAGGCTTGGTGGCTCATGCCTGTAATCCCAGCACTTTGGGAGGCCCAGGTGGGCAGATCACTTGAGGTCAGGAGTTCAAGACCATCCTGGCCAACATGGGAAACCCTATCTCTACTAAAAATACAAAAATATGCCGGGTGGTGGCGGGCACCTGTAATCCCAGCTTCTCAGGAGGCTAAGGCAGGAGAATCACTTGAACCTAGGAGGCGGAAGTTGTAGTTAGCCGAGATTGTGCCACTGCACTCCAGCCTGGGCAACAGAGCAAGACTGTCTCATAACAACAACAACAAAAGAAAGTAATCAAAATAAATTAAATTAAAAATTCACTTCTCTCGTGGCACTAGCCACTTTCCAAGTGCTGCACAGTCACGTATGGCTGGTGGCTACTATTCTGGACAATGTATGTGTGGAACATTTCTATTGCTGCAGAAATTTCTATTGGACAGAACTGCCCTAGATTTTTGCTCTAGAATTTCTTACTTTCTTCTTCTTTTTTTTTTTTTTTTCTTTTTTTTGAGACTGAGTCTCACTGTGTCACCAAGGCTGGAGTGCAATGGCACGATCTCAGCTCACTGCAAGCTCTGCCTCCCAGGTTCAAGTGATTCTCCTGTCTCAGCCTCCTGAATAGCTGGGATTACACAGGTGCCCATTACCCTGCTCAGCTAATTTTTGTATTTTTAGTAGAGATGGGGTTTCACCAGGTTGGCCAGGCTGGTCTCAAACTCCTGACCTGAGGTTATCTGCCTGCCTCGGCCCCCCAAAGTGCTGGGAGTACAGGCGTGAGCCACCGTGCTCAGGTCTTTTTTTTTTTTTTAGACGGAGTCTTTCTCTGTCGCCCAGGCTGGAGTGCAGTGGTGCAATTTCGGCTCACTGCAACCCCTGCTTCCCAGAGTCAGGCAATTCTGATGCCTCAGCCTCCCAAGTAGCTAGGACTACAGGTGTGCGCCACCCCACCAGGCTAATTTTTGCATATATATATATATGCAAATATATATATATATATTAGTAGAGATGAGGTTTTGCCATGTTGGTCAGGAGCTCTAGAATTTGTATATAGAAGGAGCTGTAGTGAAATTGGGGGTTAGGGGTTTGTCCTCAAATTGCATTGGACGCAATTTTGTACATAGATTATATAACTGAATGTATGTGTGAGGGGGACACTGATTGAAATTATGTGGGAGGTAGAATAAAGACTCACAAAGCCACCCCTTTGTGCAATTATTAACCACATAAAACTCTTTGATTTTTTTATTTTATTTTATTAAAAAAAATTATGTAGAGCTTAGTATATGCGAGTTACTATTCTAGGCATTTTACAAATATTAACTTATGGCCAGGCGCAGGGGCTCACACCTGTAATCTTAGCACTTTGGGAGGCCAAGGCGGGCGGATCACCTGAGGTCGGGAGTTCAAGAGCAGCCTGGCCAACATGGTGAAATCCCATCACACTAAAAATACAAAAAATTGCTGGGCATGGTGGTGCGTGCCTGTAATCACAGCTACTAGGGAAGCTGAGGCAAGAGAATCACTTGAACCTGGGAGGCAGAGGTTGCAGTGAGCCGAGACTGCAACACTGCACTCCAGCCTGGGCGACAGAAAAAAAAATTAAGTTATGTATTCCTCATAATGATCATGTGAGGAAGATACTATCATTATCCTTGTTTTACAGATGAAGAAAATGAGGCACAGAAGAATTAAGTGGTTTGACCAACATTGCCTAACTCAGGACATACATCATATCACCTCTTTGCTTAAAACAGTCCATTAGTTCCCCACCTCAATCAGAGGATAGCCACAGTCTTACCAGAGGTCTAAAAGGCTACATGTGATCTGTACTCTCTCTCACTCCAGGGAGTCTCACTCTGTCGCCCAGGCTGGAGTGCAGTGGTGCTTTCTCAGCTCGCTGCAACCTCCATCTCCCCGGTTCAAACGATTCTCCTGCCTCAGCCTTCTTAGTAGCTGGGATTACAGACATGTGCCAGTGCGCCTGCCTAATTTTTGTATTTTTAGTGGAGACAGGGTTTCACCATGTTGGTCAGGCTGGTCTGGAACTCCTGACCTCAGGTGATCCACCCACCTCGGCTTCCCAAAGTGCTGGGATTACAGTCCTGAGCCACCGTGCCTGAGCCACTGAGTCTAATTTTTTGTCTTTTTAATAGAGATGGGGTTTCACCATGCTGGCCAGGCTGGTCTGAAACTCGTGACCTCAAATAGTCTGCCTGCCTCCCCCTCCCAAAGTGCTGGGATTACAGGTGCGAGCCACCGTGCCCAACTCTTCCCTACTTTATTTTCATATACATGTATTATTGTTATTTTGGTCTATTTCTCCCCAAACAAATTAAGGTCCACCAGGAGGGCAGGCCTTCATTTGTGAAACAATTATTTAAAGAGGCCTATAATATAAGGCATTGTTTTGGGCACTGAGCGGGGAAGAAAAGCTTGGTGGAGGTTGGGTGCAGTGGCTCATGCCTGTAATTCCAGCACTTTGGGAGCCCAAGGTGGGTGGATCACCTAAGGTCAAGAGTTCGAGACCAGGCTGGCCAACATGGTAAAACCCTGTCTCTACTAAAAGTACAAAAATTAGCCAGGCGTGGTGGCGCATGCCTGTAGTCCCAGATCTTGGGAGGCTGACGCAGGAGATCTGCTTGAACCCAGGAGGCGTAGGTTGCAGTGCGCCCAGATTGTACCACTGCACTCCAGCCTGGGCAACAGAGCAAGACTTCGTCTCGAAAAAATAAAATAGGCCAGGCGCAGGGGCTCACACCTGTAATCCCAGCACTTTGGGAGGCCGAGGCGGGCAAATCACGAGGTCAGGAATTCGAGATCAGCCTGGCCAATATGGTGAAACTCCATCTCTACTAAAAATATAAAAATAAGCTGGGCGTGGTGGTGTACGCCTGTAGTCCCAGCTACTTGGGAGACTGAGGCAGATGAATCGCTTGAACCTGGGAGGCAGAGGTGAAGTGAACCGAGATCGCACCACTGCACTCAAGCCTGGTGATAGAGTGAGACTCCATGTTAAAAAAAAAAAAAAAGAAATCAACCAGTAAGGCCAGGCACGGTGGCTCAAGCCTGTAATCCCAGCACTTTGGGAGGGTGAGGCGGGCAGATTACCTGAGGTCAGGAGTTTGAGACCAGCCTGACCAACATGGTGAAACCCTGTCTCTACTAAAAATAACAAAAATTAGCCGGGCATAGTGGCGGGCGCCTGTAATCCCAGCTACTTGGGAGGGTGAGGCAGGAGAATTGCTTGAACCCAGAAGTCAGAGGTTGTAGTGAGCCAAGATCACACCACCACACTCCAGCCTGGGCGACAGAGGGAGACTCTGTCTCAAAAAAAAATTAGCCCGGTATGGTGGCACACACCTGTAGTCCCAACTACTTGGGGGCCTGAGGCACAAAAGTCGCTTGAACCTGGGAGGCGGATGCTGTAGTGAGCCGAGATCATGCCACTGCACTGCAGTCTGGGCGACAAAGTGAGACTTCATCTCAAAAAATAATAAAATAATATAAAAAATAAATAAAATAAAATATATGTACATATACAAAACTCCATTTAATAATGGGCAAGCTACTGAGGAGGATGAAAGATAAAATCATTGTTGTTTAATTAAATGTAACACACAAAGAAATATCAAATTTGGCCGGGCGCGGTGGCTCATGCCTGTAATCCCAGCACTCTGGGAGGCCGAGGCGGGCGGATCACTAGCTCAGGAGATCGAGACCATCCTGGCTAACATGGTGAAACCCCGTCTCTACTAAAAATACAAAAAAAAAAAATTAGCCGGGCGTGGTGGCGGGCGCCTGTAGTCCCAGCTACTCGGAAGACTGAGGCAGGAGAATGGCGTGAACCCGGGAGGCAGAGCTTGCAGTGAGCCGATATCACGCCACTGCACTCCAGCCTGGGTGACAGAGTAAGATTCCGTCTCAAAAGAAAAAAATAAATATCAAAAGTGACAGGGAGAGCCTAAAAAGAGAGCAGCTTTTGGTCCACTTAATAGTTTGGATGAGGACACTTTTAAATGGATTCTGCCTGGTACTGTAAATGCCCAAGAACAAAGCATTGACTTTTGGGCAGAGTTCTAGCAAATCAGCAACTGTGGAGTGTCAGATTCGCAATGACTGCTCTTGTGTAATACGTCAAAAACAAGTCAGTGAGCTGAAATGCAGTACCTTTACTATTTTTAAGTTGACGTTAAAGGATGTGGGAAAAAAATAGACCAATGGGTACCCATCAAGAATAATTTGAATAAACAATCGAATATCATTTTAAACTATGGTAGTGGTCAGTTTCAAGAGCTGAATGTGATTTCATATTATCGTATCCTTTTTTCAACTTTCTCTTCGGAAATTTTGTGTATGCTCTTGATTTTTTTTAAATAGGTAAGTGTATGTTCTTGCGTTAATTTGTTTCAATTACATACATTAAATTGCTCAAACACTGCTGCGTGCACTGTTTTTACCTGATAGTGGTTTTCCTTTGGATGACAGAAAACGTTAATGCTTGGTAGGTTTAAAACATTTTTAAAAAATGAGCTCTTCCTTATTTACAAGAATCACCCACCCAATTAATAAATGCTTATTTCTGGGTTCCACTCTCAGAGATTTTTATGTTTATGTATATTTTTATATTTTTTAGTGTTTTATTTTATATGTTATATTTTTATATGTTTTATGTTCATATATATTTTTACGTTAAAAAAACATATATTTTTATGTTTTTTAATCTTTGGAGTTGGAAACCTACGTTTTCAGCCAGTACCCAAAGTGATTGTGAGGCCTGGTGGCCCAAAGACCATACCTTGAGAACGACTCGACCCAATGCTATTTTCATGTTTTGCAGCTTTCAAAATATTAACTTCAGAAATCTAAGGAGGGTGGGCAACTCGGGTGGCTGTCAGAAGACCCGAGAGTGAGCCGCTCACGCTGCGCCCCATTGCACAACTTTCCTTGACTTTGCAGATCTCTCCCTGAGGAGGAAATCAGTTCATTTTCACCGAGCAATTAACTACCTCCCAACCAGTTTCGTCTATGTCCCTCAGGATGACCCCCAAAAGTCACCAGCTCATCGCCGCTGCGAAAGATAAAGCACTGTTTGCCCTGCGTGCCCTCGCAAGGCCGCGGGAACCTGGGCTCGCTTCCCGCCACCCGGGCTCCTCCTCCTCTCGCCCTCTCCGGTCGGGTCCTCCGGGAGGCGCCCCGCGCGGCAGGTATTGGCGCCAACCGGGTGGCGGCGCTGTCCGCCCTGCGCGCGGCCGCCTCGGGCCCGAGGGAGGCGGATGCACGGCCGGCGGAGGAAGGGGAGGGAGCGAGGAGCGCGCGCTGCTCTCGCGTGCTCTCGCGCCGCTCGCGTGACCGGCCGGTGTGTGCGCGAGGCCCCGGCTCCCGGGGCACGGACGGCCGGGCGCGCGCCTCTGCGAGGGGCGTCCGGGTCCGAGTCGGCGGTCCGGGCCGGCGCGAGGTGCGTGCGGGCGGGCCGCGGGGGTCCCGGACGGACACAAGCGCACACACTCCCGGAGGAGCCTTCGAGGCTGCTCTTCCTCGGCCAGACGGAGAGCGGCACTGTCTCCCCGCCCAGCGCTCACTCGCCCCGCGTCTCCCCCCGCGGCGGCTGCTCCTCCTCGGCACCGCCAGCCCCAGCGCCGCTCCCGGGCGGGCGGGCGGCGGCGGCGGCGGCGGCGGGACCCGCGGAGCCGCTTTGTGTGCAGCCCGACTAGGGGCGGCGGCGCAACCACCTGACAGAGGCCCGGGCGCTCGATGCACCTTCCGCCCGCATGAGGAGGAGGTAAAGGCGGCGGCGGCTCGGCTCCCGCCCTAGGCTGCTGGAGGGAGGGGACGGAAGGGGAGACTGGAGGGGGGGGCCGCGGGTCCGAGGCCCGGTGGGGCCGCCCGAGGGTGCCGGGAAGGCCTCGGCGGTGCCGGAGGCGCCAAGCGGCCGGGGGCCAGAGAAGCAGCTGGGGTCCCTCAGCCGAAGTTGAAGGAACAAAATGTGAAGTGCGGAGGCGCGTCAGCCGCTTCCTGGCGTGGGGCTGAGGGTGGAGGGCGGCTTGTTTTCCCCTCCCGCGGGGGTGAGGGAGCGGAACAGGGGAGGGGTGGCAGCGCGGCGGGGACTACCCCGGGTCCGAGGCTCGGCTGGGCAAGGGCGTTTTGTTCCCGGCAGCCGCCGCTGCGCGTGGGTCCGCTGGGTCCCTAGTTTTGCGGCCTAAGCCGAGCCCTATAGGCCTCGGGTCTGGTTTCCCGGAGGGGACTGGCCGGGCGGGACTGGGTGCTTCCCCACCGCCGAGCGGGGGCCTTGGGGTCCTTGCCGGCCTCCCGGGGCCGCCAAACTTCGGACCCTGGTGCTCGGGGGTGGATTTCATTGTGAAAGGCGGAATGGGAAACTCCTGGCGCTGTTCGGCGGCCACGGCGGCTGGTGCGGAGGAGCCCCGTGAGCCTGGGGCTGGCAGGGCCGGGTTGGCGGGGCCGGCGGGGTTCGATCCCTGGGAAAGAGCGGGTGGCGAGGCCGCTGCCGGGTCCCCGGCCTCTGGGGAGACAGGGCCTTTTCCAGATTAGAGAGATTTGAAATGAAAAAAGAGGTTACAAAGTCGCCCCTTTCCCGCTGAACTTTGGTTTTCTGACCGATAGAGGCCGGTAGAGGACTGTGAACCAAAAGTTGTCCCCCAGGATGGACTTCACCGCGCAGCCCAAGCCTGCCACTGCCCTCTGTGGCGTCGTGAGTGCCGACGGGAAGATCGCTTACCCTCCGGGGGTAAAAGAGATCACCGACAAGATCACCACGGACGAGATGATCAAACGCCTGAAGGTAAGTGTCTGGACGGATTTTGATGTCTTTGGTAGAAGGCGCTTTCTCCTGTGATACTGCTACCCTGCTCAGTCTGGCCTTTAAAGTTCCAAGTTTTTTAGATCTCTTACCCCCTCTGAAAGGTACTGTTGTATCTCAGATAACATCTTTGAGTGAGTTTTGTAGGGATATAACCATTGTGGGAAATTTAAAAGGAGTGTGATTTTTCAAAAACTTACTGGTTTTCAAGCATAAGAATTTGTGTTTTTAGAGTTTTTTCTGGAGGTATTTAATGAGAATACTGTTCAGAGTGGCTTGCAAACTTAGGTGTAGGCAGTAATTTGCCTAAGAAGTTTACTATTTTCAGCTTCTGAAGGGGATTGATTAAAGCGCAAAGTCCTTTTTAAAAATTTGCATAATTTTCTATATCCAGAAGCTTAAATATGTATATATGGTGGTTAAACTTTGACAGAAGGTACAGACTTTTCATAATTCAGGCTTAAAGTAAGATGATTTAAGTCTATACGTTCAAAGGAGTTTAAGAGTATTATGGCCCTTTTTATGAGGTGTCAGCTAATTTTGTTTAAGCATGGCAGTCCTAAGGTTAAGGTTTTAAATTTCAACCTCATGTTTGTTAGTTTTTTTGGTTTCTGTTCCACTGACATAGATTGTGGCCAGAATCTTAACAAATAAGTAATATTCTTCTTGTAGGAACAGCTTGAAGCAGTGGTTCTGAGTCAGGGCAACTTTGACCTCCAGGAGATGTTTGGCAATGCTGGAGACATTTTGGTTGTCACAATTGGTGCTAGATTGGAGTAGGGGAAGACCAGAGGCAGTGAGTCCGGCTAGGAAACTGTAAACAGTAGTCTAGGTGAAAGACGTTGAAATCTTCAGGTAGGGCTATGGCATTGGTAATAGTGACTAGGAAATGATTTAACAACTTTTCAGAGTTAGAATCAATCAGAATTGGTGGGAGGTGAGGGAAGCAACATTGTTGACAATGTTTCCACCTTGGGCCACTTGGCCAAATGTATTTTAGGGAATGAGCTTGGCCTCTTGCTCTTGGAGCCCAGTAAATGTACCTAATGTTGCATTTTAATGAGTACAGTATTTAAAATATTCCTGTGGTTTAGTTTTCAGACTCTTAATTTGGTTCTGCAATTTGTTGCCTTTTTGGAAGGAATAAGACAACAGTTCCTTTCATTAAAACAAATCTGTGTGCGGCGGCGGGATCTCAGCTCACTGCAACCTCCACTTCCCAGGTTCAAGCTATTCTGCCTCAGCCTCCCAAGTAGCTGGGACTACCAGCGTGTGCCACCACACCCGGCTAAATTTTTTTTTTTTTTTTTTTTTTGAGACGGAGTCTTGCTCTGTCACCTAGGCTGGAGTGCAGTGGCGCGTCTCGGCCCACTGCAACCTCCACCTCCCGGGTTCAAGCAATTCTGCCTCAGCCTCTCTAGTAGCTGGGATTACAGGTGCCTGCCACCACGCCCAGCTAATTTTTGTATTTTTAGTAGAGATGGGATTTCACTATGTTGGTCACTTTGGTCTCGATCTCCTGACTTCGAATGATCTGCCTGCATCGGCCTCCCAATATGCTGCGATTACAGGTGTGAGCCACTGCTCCCAGCCCCTTTCATTAAAACAAATCTTGGGCCTGGTGTGGTGGCTCCAGCCTGTAATCCCAGCACTTCGGGAGGCCGAGGCAGGCAAATCACCCGAGGTCTGGAGTTCTACTAAAAATACAAAATTAGCTGGGCGTGGTGGCGCATACCTGTAATCCTAGCTACTGGGAGGCTGAGGCAGGAGAATCGCTTGAACCCGGGAGGCGGAAGTTTTGATGAGCGGAGATCGCGCCATTGCACTCCAGCCTGGGCAACAGGAGTGAAACTTCATCTCAAAAAAGTAAAATAAAATAAATAAAGCAAATATTGATACTAAAGATTATACATGAATTGAGCTGCTTGATTGATGCTTCTAAAAGTTACACTGTTTTGGGAGTGAGAAATTATGAAATATAAAACTTAAACAATTGATGGATCGTTAATATTTATTGTTTTCAAATTAAGAATA
Source organism: Homo sapiens (assembly GCF_000001405.40). Taxonomy (NCBI): domain Eukaryota; kingdom Metazoa; phylum Chordata; class Mammalia; order Primates; family Hominidae; genus Homo; species Homo sapiens. The sequence goes on along the minus strand of NC_000004.12, from coordinate 39,974,387 downwards.
TTGAAACCTTGAATTCTAATGTTGGATAATTTGGTTAAAAAATGGAAAGTTGATGTGTTAGCAACCGCTCTGTTGACATGACTCATGGAACCTGTGAAGAAGCTGGTCTCATAGTATTAAGTGGTGGTATAGGAGCAGCTTGGGGATAGCACCTGGCATATTGGAATGGATGAGGTCTGGCACCCTGAGCAGTCCAGCGAGGACTTGGTCTCAGTAGAGCAGTTTGGCTAGGAGGAGAGTATGCAGCACGGTTTTTATTTATTTTTGAGACAGAGTCTCGCTCTGTCGCCCAGGCTGGAGTGGGTGCGATCTCGGCTCACTGTAAGCTCCGCCTCCCGGGTTCACGCCATTCTCCTGCCTCAGCCTCCCGAGTAGCTGGGACCACGGGCGCCCGCCATCATGCCCGGCTAATTTTTTGTATTTTTTTAGTAGAGACGGGTTTCACCGTGTTAGCCAGGATGGTCTCGATCTCCTGACCTCGTGATCTGCCCCTCTTGGCCTCCCAAAGTGCTGGGATTACAGGCGTGAGCCACCGCGCCCGGTCTTGCAGCACGGTTCTGAGTCTGTGGAATAGCTGCCATGAAGTAACCTGAAGGAGGTGCTGGCTGGTAGGGGTTGATTACATGGTTGGGCACAGCTCGTACACTTGCCATTCTCTGCATATGCTGGTTAGTGAAGTGAGCCTGGCACTCTTCTTTGCGCTGAGCTAAAGCTACATACGATGGTTTTGTGGCCACAGTTCTACCGTTCATTTCTGTAACTGCTTTAGTGGCTTCTTCCGGGAAGGAGAAACATACGAAACCAAACCCTTTGCTGTGACCACCCTCCATCATAGCCTTTGCACTAGTGATTGTACCAAATGGAGAAAACTCTTTCTGGAGACGTTCATCATCAATACTATCATCAAGATTTTTCACGTAAATATTAACACCCTGGTATCTGCTGGCTGCAGCTACTCCTGCTGTCCACACCGTTCCACAGTATAAATATGCTGCGGGAGTTCGCAATCCTCAGCAACATCTTAATGCACAGCCACAAGTTACAATGCAACAGCCTGCTGTTCATGTACAAGGTCAGGAACCTTTGACTGCTTCCATGTTGGCATCTGCCCCTCAAGAGCAAAAGCAAATGTTCATATGCTCGAGAGTCCAGAGTCACTCTGTTCTAAGGTTCATGAAGCTAGCTATATTACAAGCCCACCAAGCTAAAGAGGCTACCCAGAAAGCAGTTAACAGTGCCATTGGTGTTCCTGCTGTTTAAAATTGATCAGAGACCACGAAAAGAAACTTGTGCTTCACCAAAGAAAAATATCTAAACATCGAAAAACTTAAATATGGAAAAAAAAATTGCAAAATATAAAATAAATTTAAAAAGGAAAGGAAACTTTGAACATTATGTACCGAGCAAATGCCAGGTCTAGCAAACATAATATTAGTCCTAGATTACTTATTGATTTAAAAACAAACAACAAAAAAAACCCCACAAAAAATAATAAAATATAAAGACAAATTAATGTTTTATAGATCCTGGGAAAAATAATTTTCAGCAAAGTACAAAAATTTAAAGCATTCCTTGTAATCTTTACTGTGGAATAGCTCAAAATATCAGTTCTGTTTTAAGTAACAGAATTGATAACTGAGCAAGGAAGCGTAATTTGGATTATAAAATTCTTTTTTTAATAAAAAATTCCTTAAACAGTGAAAAAAAAAAAAAGGAAAGTTGTGGTTGGGTACAGGGGCTCATGCCTGTAATCCCAGCATTTTGAGGGCTGAGGCAGGAGGATCATTTGAGCCCAGGAGGTTCAGACCTGGGCAACATAGACCCTGTCTCAATTTTATTTTTATTTTTTATTTATTTATTTATTTTTTGAGACGGAGTCTCGCCCTGTCGCCCAGGCTGGAATGCAGTGGTGCAATCTTGGCTCACTGCAAACTCCGCCTCCCGGGTTCAAGCGATTCTCCTGCCCCAGCCTCCCAAGTAGCTGGGATTAGAGGTGCGTGCCACTATGCCCAGCTAATTTTTGTATTTTTAGTAGAGACGGAGTTTCACTATGTTGGTCAGGCTGGTCTCGAACTCTTGACCTCGTGATCCGCCCACCTCGGCCTCCCAAAGTGCTGGGATTACAGGCGTGAGCCACCGCGCCCAGCCAACCGTGTCTCAATATTATTTTTTTAAGGTGTGTTGGGAAAGTTATGACTACTTATGTACATTTTCTGTTTGAAAATCGATTATCAGAAGTACTGTTAACTATAAATGGACATACAATCCAGTGGAGAATGAGCATCGAGTTTGATTATCCATTTGTTATGAGTTCTTTTGGAAGTTAAAATCGACGTTCATATCAACCAACTTCAATGTCCTACTGCCAAAATGTTTTCTGAAAAATTCTTTTGATTTTGTATTTCTTCTGCCTTCCTTTCTATTTTGACTTTGTACTTAATTAGGGATCCTTCTTTAAAGTATTATGTCTCATTGGAAATGTAGATTTTTAACAATACTTAAGTATTTTTGAAATTTTGTTTTTTTATTAGAATCTTAGTTATTGATAATTTTATAAATTCAGGAGTTTATTATTATTATAACATAGCAACAGTGTTGAAATGCTGTACAAACACAAAGAGAGCTTAAGCCCGGACGCAGGGGCTCATGCTTGTAATCCTAGCCCTTTGGGAGGCCAAGGCAGGTGGATCTCTTGAGCTCAGGAGTTCGAGACCAGCCTGGCCAACATGGTGAAACCCCATCTCTACTAAAAATACAAAAATTAGCCAGGTGTGGTGGCACACCTCTGTAATCTCAGCTACTCCTGTGGCTGAGGCATGAGAATCACTTAAACCCAGGAGGCAGAGGTTGCAGTGAGGCATTATGCCACTGCACTATAGCCTGGGTGACAGCAGAGTGAGACTCTGTCTCATTAAAAAAGACCTTAAAGGCAGGCCCGGTGCGGTGGCTCACGCCTGTAATCTCAGCACTTTGGGAGGCCGAGGCGGGTGGATCATGAGGTCAGGAGATCGAGACCATCCTGGCTAACACAGGTGAAATCCCATCTCTACTAAAAATACAAAAAAATTATCCAGGCGTGGTGGCGGGGCCTGTAGTCCCAGCTACTTGGAAGGCTGAGGCAGAATTGCATGAACCCAGGAGGCGGAGCTTGCAGTAAGCCAAGATCCCACCACTGCACTCCAGCCTGGGTGACAAAGCGCGACTCTGTCTCGAAAACAAACAAACAAAACAAAACAAAAAACATCTTAAAGGCAATTACAAAGGAATTCAGCGGTGTTTGGTCCTGTTCTCGTCAGTTTTCAAGAATGGAACAAGGCTGGGTGTGGTGGCTCATGCCTGTGTAATCCCAGCACTTCAGGAGGTCAAGGTGGGAGGAACACTTGAGCCCAGGAATTTGAGATAGGCCTGGGCAACATGACAAAAACCTATCTCTACAAAAAATGCAAATATGGTCGTAGCTACTCAGGAGGGTGAGGTGGGAGGATCACTCAAGCCCAGGAAGGTCAGGGCTGCAGTGAACCGTGATCCTACCACTGCACTCCAGCCTGGGTGACCGAGTGAGACCTTGTCTTAAAAAAAAAAAAAAAAAAAAAAAAAGGAACAAGCGGTTTTACAGTGGAACCATAATCTTAGAATTAGAAGGATCTTAAAGGAAATTCTGGAACCTCCTCTTACTTCACAGATAATGAAAGTTAGGCCAAAGTATTCAAGTAACCTTTACCAAAATCAGTCACAGGGCAGTTTAGTGGCAGAGGGCAGGGGCAATAACGCCATATTTACTTTGGTTGTTATATAGTTGCTTTCTTCTAAGGAATCTAAACTAAGTAGAACTAAAAAGTTGTAACTTTTATCATGTAGTTGAAGACATTACAGTGAAATGTGAAGAGAATGAGAGTGAGTTTGGTCTTTTGTAGGGAGAAAAAGGACAGCTTTTTTTTTTTTTTTAAGCATTTGAGAGAAACTATTGTGAAGCTTTGAAGCTTCGTTGACAATAATTCTTAGAGTATGTCTTTGAAAGAGCTAAGATATGTTTTCCTATACTAGAGCTTTTCATTCCTGTTTCCAGGGCATTACTTTACCTATTTTTGTTATGTCAGGCCACAGTGGTCTTCGGTTGGTTTCCTGAACATGCCATGTTTATTTCTGTCTAGACAGGTTCCTTACATTAAATAGCCCATGTGTTCATTTGTCATTCATTTGTTACTTCTTAAGGGAAGCCTTTAAGGTTCTACATTACAGGCTGGGCGCGGTGGCTCACGCCTGTAATCCCAGCACTTTGGGAGGCCAAGGTGGGTGGATCACGAGGTCAAGAGTTCGAGACCAGTCTGACCAACATAGTGAAACCCTTTTTCTTGGAGCCGAGATCACATCACTGCATTCCAGCCTGGGCAACAGGGCGAGACTCTGTCTCAAAAAAAAAAAAAAAAGATTCTACATTACATACCCTTCAACTCCTTCATATTACATTTATCCATACATTTATTTGGTTTGTCTCTTTAGCTTCTCTGTAAACCTTATTAATACAGATACCGTGTCTGTTTTTCATTCCTCTCAGTGCCAAGCTTAATGCCTGGCACATAATTGGGTGCTGAACAAATACTTGTTAAGTGAATGAATGAATATTTTGTATTAATACTGAATTAGAGAAATATTTTTATTTTTGAAAGTAAAGGATAATTTGAAAAAATTTCAAATTGCAGCTAAGGACTTTCCTTTTTTTTGAGACCAAGTTTTGCTCTTGTTGCCCAGGCTGGAGTGCAATGGCCTGATCTCGGCTCACTGCAACCTCTGCTTCCTGGGTTCAAGTGATTATCCTGCCTCAGCCTCCTGAATAGCTGGGATTATAGGCATCCACCACCACGCCTGGCTAACTTTGTATTTTTAGTAGACACGGGGTTTTACCATGTTGGTCAGGCTGGTCTCGAACTGGTGACCTCAGGTAATCCACCCACCTCGACCTCCCAAAGTGCTGGGATTAGGGCGTGAGCCACTCTGCCTGGCTAGGACTTTTCAAACTAAGGAGTTTGTGTCTTAGAGATGGTAACATAGGTACAGTACTTAGAATTTTGGAGTCAACAGGTAGTTCAGAGGTTATGTATTTCTGTTCTAATTTTTCAGGTGAAGAAACTGACCATTTGATAGGTTGTGAACAACGCTAGTCACCTAAAGCTGAAAAGTGTCATTAACTTCTGCTACTTAGATAATAGAAGTTACAATTATATATTAATTGACAAATATTAAAACCATACTAAAGTTAGCTATGTGGAAGGATGGCCAATAGTTTAGTATCATTGTTACATTAAGAATCACAAATAGCTGGCACGGTGGCTTACGCCTGTAATCCCAGCACTTTGGGATGCCTAGGCGGGCGGATCACCTGAGGTCAGGAGTTCAAGACCAGCCTGACCAACATGGAGAAACCCCGTTTCTACTAAAAATATAAAATTAGTTGGGTGTGGTGGCACATGCCTGTAATCCCAGCTACTCAGGAGGCTGGGGCAGTAGAATCCCTTGAACCTGGGAGGCAGAGGTTGCAGTGAGCCGAGATCACGCCACTGCACTCCAGCCTGGGGGACAGGGCAAGACTCTGTCACGAGAAAAAAAAAAAGTAAAAGCATACACTGAGCAAGTGATTTTTTAAAAAATTCATATTACAGGCCGGGCACAGTGGCTCATGCATGTAATCCCAGCACTTTGGAAGGCCGAGGTGGGTGAATCACCTGAGGTCGGGAGTTCGAGACCAGCCTGACCAACGTGGAGAAACCCTGTCTCTACTAAAAATATAAAATTAGCCGGGTGTGGTGGCGCATGCCTGTAATCTCAGCTACTCAGGAGGCTGAGGCAGGAGAATCGCTTGAACCCAGGAGGCGGAGGTTGTGGTGAGCCGACATGGTGCCATTGCACTCCAGCCTGGGCAACAACAGTGAAACTCTGTCTCAAAAAAAAAAAAAAAATTAATATTATAATTAAGTAATCTAAGCACCATTGCACTCCAGCCTGGGCAACAAGAGCGAAACTCCATCTCAAAAAAAAAAAAAAAGAATCACAAATAGCCATCCTCCCATATAGTTGTGGGTTCTGAAACTAATACAGGGTTCACATCTAATAAGTGACATTTAAAATACACTTATAGGTCTGGTGTCCTCTGGCTTATGCCTGTATTTCCAGCACTTTGGGAGGCTGAAACGGGCAGATCACTTGAGCTCAGGAGTTTGAGACCAGCTTGGGCAATATGGCAAAACCTCATTTACAATAAAAATTAAAAAAATAAAATACACTTATAAATAGCTGTGCAAATTCCATAAAGGGCTTAATGGAATTAAGTTAGTTATGTAGTATATCCTATATCATGGATTACTACAGAGCTATTTACTATACACATACTTTGTTTCTTTCTTTCTTGCTACTTTGGAGGTAAGAGGGCCTTGATAATTATTGGTGTTTTTTTTGTTTGTTTGTTTGTTTGTTTTTAAGATGGAGTCTCTCGGTCTGTTGCCAGGTTGGAGTGCAGTGGCGCAATCTCAGCTCAGCCTCCTGAGTAGCTGGGACTACAGGCTTCTGCCACCACACCCAGCTAATTTTTGTATTTTTAGTTAGAGACGGGGTTTCACCATGTTGGCCAGGCTGGTCTCGAACTCCTGACCTCATAATCTGCCTGCCTTGGCCTCCCACAGTTCTGGGATTACAGGAGAGAGCCACTGTGCCTGGCCTTTTTATTTTTATTTTATTTATTTATTTTTTGAGATGGAGTCTTGCTCTGTCGCCCAGGCTGGAGTGCAGTGGCGCGATCTTGGCTCACTGCAACTTCCGCCTCCTGAGTTCAAGCAATTCGCCTGCCTCAGCCTCCTGAGTAGCTGGGGTCACAGGCGTGCACCACCAGGCTTGGCTAATATTTTGTATTTTTAATAGAGACGGGGTTTCACCATGTTGGTCAGGCTTGTCTCGAACCCCTGACCTCGTGATCCACCCACCTCGGCTTCCGAAAGTGTTGGGATTACAGGCATAAGCCACCACGCCAGGCATTTCTTGATTTTTAAACGGAGGGATGGATAGAGTGAAATTTGTTTCTTTTCTTTTCTTTTTGAGATGGAATCTCACTCTGTTGCCCAGGCTAGAGTACAGTGGCAAGCTCTTGGCTCACTGCAACCTCTGTCTCCCAGGTTCAAGCAATTCTCCTGCTTCAGCCTCCTGAGTAGTTGGGATTACAGGTGCGTGCCACCACACCTAGCTAACTTTTTATATTTTGGTGGAAATGGAGTTTCATCTTGTTGGCCAGGCTGGTCTCGAGCTCCTGACCTCAAGTGATCCACCCACCTCGGCCTCCCAAAGCGCTGGGATTACAGGCGTGAGCCACCACACCCAGCCTGAAATTTTTTTTTTCTTTATTTTTTGAAAGGGAATTTCACTCTTGTTTCCCAGGCTGGAGTGCAGTGGCAAAATCTCAGCTCACTGCAACCTCCACCTCCCAGGTTCAAGCAATTCTGCCTCAGCCTCCCGAGTAACTGGGATTACAGGCACCCACCACTACACCCGGCTAATTTTTTGCATTTTTAGTAGAGACGGGGTTTCACCATGTTGGCCAGACTGGTCTTGAACCCCTGACCTCAAGTGATCCACCCAGCTTGGCCTCCCAAAGGACTGAGATTACAGGCATGAGCCACCATGCCCGGCCTGAAATTTGTTTCTTATATTCCTCTCTTAACTATCTGATCTCAGAGAGCAGTGCTCCAGACATTAATACAGCTACCCTGGTCTGCTATATTATTCTGTCACAGAAACAAATAAAAATACCTACTGTTTTGTTGCTAAGAATTCGAAAAATTAAGTAGGGTTTTGTGAAAGTATCCTCGTTTTTTCCCACCAGGTGTATTTTCCTTATATTTTCTCTAATCTTTCTTCCTGTATCAACCATTCTCATCTGGCCTATTTGATGGTTTAGTGGGAATTAGGATATGGTGGAATTGATATTAACGTAGGGCCATCCCCCTTTCCTCACAAACCTTGTTAGAGGTGATGAACAGATTAAGGGCAGGACGGCCATAATTCTTTCCCTTTGCTTTCCTCCAGGAGGACCCCTGAAGTACTGGTTTGGTTGTAATTATTTTTACTTCCATGAATGATTTTTATTTATCCCTCATTGCTACACAGTGTGATAATTTTGCATGTAATTAAGTATATAATTTTAACTCTGAGTTCTGTTCATATGTTTTAATATTTGTATTGCAGAAGATTCTGCTCAGAACATTAAAAATTAAATGGGGAGGCAAGATTTCTTAAAATCATGTCCTAAAATAATAGCCAGTGTACATTTGTGAAGGGAGGCTTAGTGCAGTATAGTTCTTATTTCAGACTTCTGTTTGTGTAGAACTGTTCTGGTTATCTGTTGCTGTGTAACAAACTTTTTAAAAGGTATTTTAAAATTTTCATTATGGTAAAATATACATAACATAAAATTTATCACTTTAATCATTTTTAAGTGTACAGTTCTTTGGCATTAGGTACATTCACATTGTTGTGAAACCATCACCACCATTCATCTCCAGAATTTTTCATCTTCCCCAACTGGAACTCTACCCATTAAACTCTTAACTCCTCATTTTTCCCTTCCCCAGCTCCTGGCAACAACCATTCTGCTTTTTGTCTAGATGACTTTGACTTACTCTCCACTTGATCTTAGCCAAAAGGCTCAGAAGCGATTACCTTACTCTCAAATAATTGAAATCATACAATATTTGTCATTTTGTGATTGGCTTATTTCACTTAGCATATACCTTTAAGGTTCATCCGTATTATAGCATGTGTTATTACTTCCTTCCCTTTTAAAGCTGAATAATATTCCATTGTATGTATGTACCACATTTTGTTTCTCTGTCAGTGAACACTTGAATTGTTTCCACTTTTTAGCAATTGTGAGCAACTTTTCTTATTGTCTCACAGTTTTGTGGATCGGGAATTCAGGCAGGGTTTAGCTTGCGTCTGCTACACATGGCTACTGGGCTCACTCATTGGTATTCAACTAGTGACTAGATTGGTCTAGATGATCCACAGTGGCTTTACTTAAACGCTTGATACCTTAGTGGGAACAGCTGAAAGGCTGGACCCAGCTGGGTTCTTTTCTGTAAGATGTAGTTTTAGGGTTTTCCACATAGTCTTTCTAGCAGAGTAGTTGGGCTAAGGGTTCCAAGACACCATGGAGGAGGTTGCCAGAAATTGGTCCAGAAATGGCATTATCACCTCTACCTTACTCTATTGGTTAAAAGAAAGTACTGTTGTCATAACCCAGCTCATACTCAAGGGGAGAAAAAAGATGAGCCTTACCTCTCAATAGAAGCAGGAAAGAATTTGTAGCCATGATTAGTCTACCACAGGAGCTCTTGTGACAAGTCAAAGTATGCTAACCATGTGTACTTTTAAATTATTATTTTATTATTATTATTATTATTTTTTGAGACAGAGTCTTTCTGTCACCCAGGCTGGAGTGCAGTGGCACGACCTCGGCTCACTGCAACCTCTGTCCCCCAAGTTCAAGCGATTGTCCTGCCTCAGCCTCCCAAGTAGCTGGGATTACAGGCATGTGCCACCATGCCCACCTAATTTTTATGTGTTTCACCATGTTGGCCAGGCTGGTCTCCCAAAGTGCTGGGATTATAGGTGTGAGCCACCACACCAGGGCATATTTTATTATTATTTTTTGAGATGGAGTCTTGCTCTATAGCCCAGGCTGGAGTGCACTGGCACAATCTCGGCTCACTGCACCTTCTGGGTTCAAGTGATCCTCTTGTCTTGGCCTTTGGAGTAGATGGGACTACAGGCGCAAAACCCCACCATGTACTTTTTAAATTTGTTGTAGTTTTGGGGGTCGCTCTACGTTGATCAGGCTGGTCTTGAACTTTTGGCCTCAAGCCATCCTCCCACCTCAGCCTCCGAAAGTGATGGGATTATAGGCATAAGCCTCTGAGTCTGGCTTGCATTGCTATTATGATATAATTTCTTCAGGCCCTTTCAGTATATAGGGCTGAGAAATACATCCCCCTTATTTACATAATTTAATCAGCCAGTCAGCCATGAGTTCAGTCTGTTACCTCCATTTGAACCTCTAGCACAGAGTACTTCTAAGCTTCCTCCATTCCATATTTCTGTCTTCTACAGGCAAAACCTGGATTTCCTCTAACATCCATAAGGTTATTTGTACTACCCTACTGTAAACACAGTCTAAATACAGAGCTACTTTACCAGTATCCTTTACAGAATTTCTCTGTGGTTCTTTTTGTCCCATGAAAAGTATATGAAGTACCATGTTTGTTAGTTAGTTAAATTTGAATTCTGTATGTTAATCAATTTTTATAAATAGCTAATTTCAGGCTGAGGCAGGAGAATCACTTGAACTTGGGAGGCAGAGGTTGCAGTGAGTCAAGATTGCTCCACTGCACTCCAGCCTGGTGACAGAGCGAGAGTCGGTCTGGGGGGGAAAAAAAAGCTAATTTCTTTGTGTTCTGTTTATCAATTTATATATCTATTTCTTGACGCTCCCTCTCCCCCACCCCCGCTTTTTGAGACTGAGTCCCACTCTGGTACCTAGGCTGGAGTGCAGTGGTGTGATCACGGCTCACTGCTGCAGCCTGGATCTCCATAGGCTCAGGTGATCCTCCTACCTCAGGCTCCCCAGTAGCTGAGACCACAAGCATGCACCACCATGCTGGGCTAATTTTTATAGTTTTTGAAGAGACAGGGTTTTGCCATGTTTCCCAGTCTGGGCTCAAGCATTCTACCCACCTCAACCTCCCAAAGTGTTGGGATTATAGGCATGAGCCACTGTGCCCAGTCAACCGTTTATTTCCACTGGCAAATGTAATCCTTGCTTTATTATTATTATTATTTTGAGAGTGGCTAGGATTACAGGCCACTGTGTGCAGCTAATTTTTTTTTTTGAGATGGAGTCTGGCTATTTTTGCCCAGGCTGAAGTGCAGTGGTGCAATCTCGGCTTACTGCAACCTCCGCCTTCTAGGTTCAGGCGATTCTCCTGCCTCAGCCCCCTGAGTAGCTGGTATTATAGGTGCCTGCCACCATGCCCGGCTAAATTTTTTTGTTATTTTAATACAGATGGAGTATCACCATGTTAGCCAGGCTAGTCTCGAACTCTTGACCTCAGGTGATCCAACTGCCTCGGCCTCCCAAAGTGCTGGGATTACAGCTGTGAGCCACTGTGCCTGGCCTAATTTTTGTATTTTTAAAAGAGACGGGGTTTCGCCATGTTGGTCCAGGCTGGTTTTGAACTCCTGACTTCCAGTGATCCACCTGCCTTGGTGTCCCAGAGTGCTGGAATTACAGGCGTGAGCCACCAGGTCGGCCTGATTTTTTTTTTTTTAATTGTGGTAAACATATAAAATTTACTCTCTTAACCATTTTTATTATTTTTTGTTTTTTTGAGGTGGAGTTTTGCTCTGTCGCCCAGGCTGTAGCACAGTGGTGCAGTCTTGGCTCACTGCAACCTCCACTTCCCAGGTTCAAGTGATTCTCCTGCCTCAGCCTCCAAAGTAGCTGGGACTACAGGCATGTGCCACGACCTCTGGTTAATTCCCCCTCTTCCTCGCCAGACGGAGTCTCGCTCTGTTGCCAGGCTGGAGTGCAGTGGTGTGTTCACTGCAACCTCCGCCTCCTGGGTTCAAGCGATTCTCGTGCCTCAGCCTCCCAACTAGATGGGATTACAGGCTTGTGTCACCACACCTGGCTAATTTTTGTATTTTTAGTAGAGACGGGGTTTCACCATGTTGGCCAGGATGGTCTCAACCTCCTGACCTTGTGATCTGCTCGCCTCGGCCTCCCAAAGTGCTAGGTTTACAGGCATGATCCACTGCGCCCAACCTGCCTACTTTTAATTTGCAGTCAAATAAGCTAATTAATGTTTTCCAATGAAGCCAACTTATTGCTTCCTGGCAACAAGAGTAGTTCTGTGTGAGAATAATTAAACATAAGTGTCATGTTGAGGTTCAGTGGGGTAAGAACTCTAGATTTCCTTAAAAACTCAGGAAGAGGCCGGGCGCGGTGGCTTACGCCTGTAATCCCAGCACTTTGGGAGGCCAAGGCGGGCGGATCACAAGGTCAGGAGATCAAGACCATCCTGGCTAACACAGTGAAACCCCGTCTCTACTAAAAATACAAAAATTAGTCGAGCGTGGCGGACTGTGTCTGTAGTCCCAGCTGCTGGGCAGGTGGAGGCAGGAGAATGCCGTGAACCCGGGAGGCGGAGCTTGCAGTGAGCTGAGATTGTGCCACTGCACTCCATCCTGGGCAACAGAGCGAGACTACGTCTCAAAAAAAAAAAACAAAAACTCAGAATTGAGTGATACCTTTTTAGTTTGGAGAAATGCGGGTAGGAAGGGATGGGGATAGAATTTTAATAACAGAAATAATGTTGAAAGCTTCAAGCCTCACTTAGGTCTTAATTGAAGATCTTGAATTAAATAGAAATTAGGTTAAGGCTTATTAAAAACCATATATGAAGTAAGTAACATTGACATGTATGAAGGCCAATACTATGATTTATATATCTTGTATCAGAAATCTATATAATGCTCACAGTAAGAGAACAGGTTTAAGGACATTAATGAATTTTATTTCTGTTGGCTTTTATTTTCACAGTTAATTGTTAAACAGTTTGGCTGAGGTTATTGGCACATTAAAATATTTCCACATGGCTGGGTGCGGTGCCACATGCCTGTAATCCCAGCACTTTGGAAGGCCAAGGCAAGAGGATCACTTGAGCTCTGTAGTTCCAGACCAGCTTGGGCAAAATAGTGAGACCCAGACTCTATTAAAAAGGAAAGATGGCCAGGCACGGTGGCTCATACTTGTAATCTCAGCATCTTGGGAGGCCGAGGTGGGCTGACCACCAGAGGTCAGGTGTTCGAGACCAGCCTGGCCAACATGGCGAAACCCCGTCTCTACCAAAAATACAAAAAAAATTAGCGGGCATGGTGGCGGGCGCCTCCCAGCTACTGAGGAGGCTGAGACAGTGAGCCGAGATGGCGCCACTACCCTTCAGCCTGGGCGACATAGCAAGACTCCATCTCAAAAAAAATAAATAAATAAAAAATAAAAGGAAAGAAAAGATTTCTTGAATTCCCTGGTGCAGAAAGATAAAATTAATGGAGTGAGTGGAGTTTTTACAATATATGAAATCCAAGATTATACTTTTCAGGGATCAATTCTACAGTTCGTTACAATATATGAAATCCTGATAGTTTTTATTTGCTGAAGACAACAGATCAAGAAAGTTCTAGCTAGTTGTGGTGGCTCATGCCTGTAATCACAGCACTTTGGGAGAGCGAGGTGGAGGATTGCTTGAGGCCAGGAGTTCAAGGCCGGTGAGACCCCCACCTCTACAAAAAATAAAAAATTAGGCTGGGTGTGGTGGCTCACGCCTGTACTGCCAGCACTTTGGGAGGCCGAGGCAAGTGGATCACGAAGTCAAGAGATCAAGACCATCCTGGCCATGATGGTGAAACCCTATCTCTACTAAAAATACAAAAATTAGCTGGACTTGGTGGCGTGTGCCTGTAGTCCCAGGTACTCAGAAGGCTGAGGCAGGAGAATAGCTTGAACCCGGGAGGTGGAGGTTGCAGTGAGCTGAGATCACACCACTGCACTCCAGCCTGGGCGACAGAGTGAGACTCCGTTAAAAAAAAAAAAAATTAGCTTTGTATGGTGGCAGGTGCCTGTAGTCCCAGCTACTTGGGAGGCTGAGGTGGGAGTATCACCTGAGCAGTGAGCTAGGATTGCACCATTGCACTCTAGCCTGTGTGACAGAGGAAGACCCTGTCTCTTAAAAAAAAAAAATGTTCAAGATAACTGTTGCAATAGAAAGTTGAACATAAGCATAATGAAGAAATTTTCTAAATTTCTTTCCCTTGCTGTTGGCATTCGGTCTTTGACATTAATTCATAGCTTCCTAGCTAGTTTGCTTCTACACAGTTACAATTGTGCCTAGACCCAGAATCCCTCAGCCTTTGGAACTTATACACATATCATTGTTTTTGTGTATTATGTGATATTTTAAAAGTTGGTAACTTCCATAATATATGTGTTTTTTTGTTTTTGTTGTTTTTGTTTTTGTTTTTTGAGACAGAGTCTCACTCCGTCACCCAGGCTGGAGTGCAGTGGTACAATTTCGGCTCACTGCAACCTTTGCCTCCTGGGTTCAAGCGATTCTGTGTCTTAGCCTCCCGAGTAGTTGGGATTACAGGTGCGTGCCACCACGCCCAGCTACTTTTTGTGGTTTTCTTGTTTGTTTTTTTGAGACGAAGTCTCACTCTGTTGCCCAGGCTGGAGTGCAGTGGCGCGATCTCAGCTCACTGCAACCTCCACCTCCCAGTTTCAAGCGATTCTCCTGCCTCAGCCTCCCAAGTTGGTGGGACTGCTGGTTACGTACCACCATGCCCACCTAATTTTTGTATTTTTAGTAGAGATGGCGGGGTTTCACTGTGTTGGCCAGCCTGGTCTTGAACTCCTGACCTCATGATCTGCTTGCCTTGCCCTCCAAAAGTGCTGGGTTTACAGGCGTGAACCACCACGCCTGGCCTAATTTTTGTATTTTCACTATAGACGGGCTTTCACCTTGTTGGCCAGGCTGGTCTCAAACTCCTGACCTCAGGAGATCCACCTGCCTCGGTCTCCCAATGTATTGGGATTACAGGTGTGAACCACCATGCCTGGCCTTACGTGTTGTTTTTCTGTTATAAAATTAATGCCTTGCTGGGTGTGGTGGCTCACGCCTGTGATCCCAGCACTTTGGGAGGCCAAGGCAGACAGATCACTTGAGCTCGAGAGTTTGCTACCAGCTTTGGCAGCATGGTACTAAAAATACAAAAAATTAGCTGGGTGTGGTGGTGTGCACCTGTAGTCCCAGCTACTCAGGAGGCCAGTTGGAAGGATCACCTGAGCCTGGGGAGGTAGAGGCTGCAGTGGTCATGATCGTGCCACTGTGCTCCAGCCTAGACGACAGTGAGATACCTATCTCCAACAACAACAAAAAAATTTAGATTAAACATTTTTAGCTTGCAACTAGGGTATAAAATAAAAAAATTTAAAAAGAGATAAACATTTAACACTTCCTACTAAAGTAGTGGCATTGTGATTTGTGTTGGTAAAGCCAGCCCTTAAATAACAGCATTTAGTTCAGTAAGGGAAAGTGACACTGGGAATAACAGTAGAATGGATTTTCATGTGAGATTATCATATTTTGAGATGATTGTAATTTACAATGTGAGTGCCAATTATGTGGTTGGATTGCATTTGTTTCTTTAGATAAAAAGATCACTAAGAATTTTGATTGTCAAGAAATTCATAGAGAAGGTGACAGTTGGGCTGGGATTTGAAGTCTCAGACTTGGGTAGGCAAATGAATGGTAAAACATTCCAGGCAGATGAATGGCAGAAAGGCAGAAGCATGTTTGGTGTGTTTAAGGAAAATAAATAAGTACAGCAGGGCGCAGTGGCTCATGCCTATAATACCGGCACTTTAGGAGGCCAAGGCAGGTGGATCACTTGAGGCCAGGAGCTTGAGACCAACCTGGCCAACATGGTGAAACCCCATCTCTACCAAAAATACAAAAATTAGTCAGGGGTGGTGATGTGCGCCTGTAATCCCAACTACTCAGGAGGCACAAGAATAGTTTGAACTCACGAGACAGAGGTTGCAGTGAGCAGAGATTGTGCCACTGCACTCCAGCCTAGGTGATAGAGTGAGACTCTGTCTCAAAGAAAAAAGAAAAGAAAAAAAAAAAGACAAGAAATGAGTACTACTATTTTGCTTGTGCTGAGGCAAGTTAGGGTTAGGTAAGGCTTAGGTAATTCCCTACCCGTACCTTTTTTTTTTTTTTTTTGAGACACAGTTTCGCTCTTGGGCCCAGGCTGGTGTGCAGTGGCAAGATCTCAGCTCACTGCAACCTCCACCTTCTGATTTCAAGCGATTCTCCTGGCTCAGCCTCCTGAGTAGCTGGTACTACAGGCGCACACCACCATGCCCGGTTAAATTTTGTAATTTTAGTAGAGGCGGGGTTTCACCATGTTGGCCAGGCTGACCTTGAACTCCTGACCTCAGGAGATCCTCCTGCTTCGACCTCCCAATGTGCTGGGATTACAGGTGTGAACCACCATGCCTGGCCTTATGTGTTGTTTTTGTTATAAAATTAATGCCTGGCTGGGCGTGGTGCCTCATGCCTATGATCTCAGCACTTTGGGAGGCAAAGGCAGACGGATCACTTGAGCTCGGGAGTTTGCTACCAGCTTGGGTAGCATGGTGAAACCCTGTCTCTACTAAAAATACAAAAAATTAGCTAGGTGTGGTGGTGTGCTCCTGTAGTCCCAGCTACTCAGGAGGCTGAGTTGGGAGGATTAGCTGAGCCAGGGTTTCTCTGTGTTGGTCAGGCTGGTCTTGAACTCCTGACCTCAGGTGATCCACCCACCTCAGTCTCCCAAAGTGCTGGGATTACAGGCGTGAGCCATCACCCCCGGCCTGTGGAGTCTTTTTTTAGCCTCATGTCCAGATCACATAGCATCTTTGTTTGTACAGGAATCCATTTCTTTTTTTTTTTTTTTTTTTTGAGATGGAGTCTCACACTGTCGCCCAGGCTGGAGTGCAGTGGTACAGTCTCAGCTCACTGCAAGCTCTGCCTAGCCGGGTTCATGCCATTCTCCTGCCTCAGCCTCCCGAGTAGCTGGGACTACAGGCGCCCGCCACCACGCCCGGCTAATTTTTTTGTACTTTTAGTAGAGATGGGGTTTCACCGTGTTAGCCAGGATGGTCTCCATCTCCTGACCTCGTGGTCCGCCCTCTTTGGCCTCCCAAAGTGCTAGGATTACAGGCCACTGTGCCTGGCCCAGGAATCCATTTCTAATTGATGCTGTCTGAGTAAATTTGTTTGTTGCTGAGATTATAGTCATCTGACAATAGGTGTGAAAGCCGTGGATGAGTAAAATTTAAAGAGTGGCTAGCAACATTTTATGTACTTAATTATAATATGAATTTTAAAAAATCACTTAGTGTATGCTTTTTCTTTTTCTTTTTTTTCTTGCGATGGAGTCTCGCCTTGTCCCCCAGGCTGGAGTGCAGTGGTGTGAGCCCCCACGCTGGCCCTAAGTAAACCTTAATAGTAAATTGATGCCATTATTTTATTTTGTTAAGTTTAATACTTGAAAATTGGGTTAAGTTCTGTGGCCATGTATAATTATCCTATAACTTCAAATGCTTATTGAATATCCCTCACGTAGCCACTATAGAATAAGTAGAGGTGGATTCCTTGTGTGTGAAAAGAAAATCATTGAATAAAAATTTTTCCTAAGATTCATGAAGATTGAGTCAGTGTAGATAAAGAGAATACTTTGTTTCTGGCAGAAGTTATTTAGAAAATGTCTTTTGGCTGGGTGAGGTGGCTCACGCCTGTAATCCCAGCACTTTGGGAGGCTGAGGCAAGGCAGATCACTTGAGGCCAGGAGTTTGAGACTAGCGCGGGCAACATGGCAAAACCTCTTCTCTACAAAAAATACAAAAATTAGCTGGATGTGGTGCAGGCGCCTATAGTCCTGCCCACTCTGGAGGCTGAGGCAGGAGGATTGTTTAAGCCAAGGAGATTAAGTGTACAGTGAACCATAATTGTGCCGCAGCACTCCAGCCTGGGTGACAGAGTGAGAACCTGTCTCCAAAAAAAAAAAAGTAAGAAAATCTGTCTTTCTTCTTGAAGCATATACCTATAAAGCTTTGAAGAAAGGGTAAAAACCAGGTAGTAATAAAATAAAATTGTCTTTAGATGTTTTTGAAATAATGTTGTATAGCTTTGTTTGCTGTGTTCAGTTCTCATATTTCCTTGATATTTTATCAGACTTTTTTTTTTTTTTTTTTTGAGACAGTCTCGCTCTGTCACCCAGGCTAGAGTGCAGTGGCGCAATCTTGGCTCACTGCAACTTCTGCCTCCTGGGTTCAAGCGATCCTCCCACCTCAGCCTCCCAAGTAGCTGGGACTACAGGCATGAGCCACCATACCTGGCTAATTTTTGTATTTTTTGGTAAACATAGGGTTTCAGCATGTTGGCCGGGCTAGTCTCCAACTCTTGATCTCAAGTGATTTGCCTGCCATAGCCTCCCAAAAGTGCTGGGATTACAGGTGTGAGCCATCGCACCCTGCCAAATGTTTAATACTGTAATCCACTGCTGCTATCTCAATTGTTCTATACGTTTTTCTTATACTGTTTTTTAAAATTGTTCTTTTTTTTTTTTGAGAGGCAGTCTCAGTCTGTTTCTTAAGCTGGAGTGCAGTGGCGAGATCGCAGCTCACTGCAACCTCTGCCTCCCATGTTCAAGCAATCCTCCCACGTCAGCCTCCCGAGCAGCTGGGACTACAGGTGTGTGCCACCACCATGTCTGGCTAATTTTTGTATTTTTAGTAGAGATGGGGTTTCGCCATGTTGGCCAGGCTGGTCTCGAACTCCTGACCTCAGGTAATCCACCTGCCTTGGCCCCCCAAAGTGCTGTGATTACAGGTGTGAACCACCACACCGGCCTTAACTGTTCAAATTTTTAAACAGACTTTTTTTTTTAGGGCAGTTTTAGGTTCACAGCCAAATTGCTGGAATGTACAGAGTATTCCCAACAAACCCCCTGGACTCACTCCTCAGTAACACTCCCGTCCCCCAGGAAGACTTCCCCTCCCCAGTCACACATGCCTCCCACAGTAATGCCTCCCCTCAGTCACCTTCCAGAGTGGTACATTTGTTTGTTTTGTTGTTGTTTTTTTATGACAGAGTCTCGCTCTGTCACCCGGGCTGGAGCACAGTAGCATGATCTCAGCTCACTGCAACCTCCGCTCCCCCGGGTTCAAGCAGTTCTCCCACCTCAGCCTCCCAAGCTGGGATTACAAGCATCCGCCACGACACCTGGGTAATTTTTTGTATTTTTGGTAGAGACGGGGTTTCACCATGTTGGTCAGGCTGGTCTCGAACTCCTGATTTCAGGTGATCTGCCCACCTCAGCCTCCCAAAGTGCTGGGATTACAGGTTTGAGCCACCACGCCCGGCCCTAGAGTGCTATATTTCTAAACCAACATCACAACATTATCACTCAAAGTCCATATTCGTGTATTGTTTCCTTGTATATTTTTCAGCATGGTAAATCCCAAATGTTCTATTCATGTAATGCTCTTGGTTTAAACTCTAAGTTAGATTTAGCATATTGTCCTTTAATATTCCTAATTTTGGCTTTTCTTGTTTGGCCAGGGTGAGCTCTAAGTGCTGATTTACTTTAAATCCTGATGATAATCAGCATGCTTTATTTATTTATTTATATTTTTTGTTTGTGACAGGGTCTCGCTCTGTCACCCAGGCTGGCTGGCGTTCAGTTTCATGATCATGGCTCACTGCTGCCTCCACCTCCTGGGTTCAAGCCATCCTCC
Source organism: Homo sapiens (assembly GCF_000001405.40). Taxonomy (NCBI): domain Eukaryota; kingdom Metazoa; phylum Chordata; class Mammalia; order Primates; family Hominidae; genus Homo; species Homo sapiens. The sequence continues at coordinate 39,954,946 of NC_000004.12, read as the reverse complement.
CATCTCAGCCTCCCAAGTAGTAGAGACTACAGGCATGTGCTACCACGCCTAGCTAATTTTTGTATTGTTTGTAGACACGGGGTTTGTCATGTTGCCCAGGTCTCAAACTCCTGGACTCACGTGATCCTCCTGCCTCAGCCTCCCAAAGTGTTCATGCCTATTAACAGGCATGAGGCTCTCTGCCTGGCCTCATAGTTATTTTAACGTCTCTGTCTGATAGCTTTAGCGTTTGGTCCACCTCTGTTTCTGTTTTTTTTTTTTTTTTTTTTTTTTTTTACTTATCTCTTGACAATGGGTACTTATTTATGTCTTGACAATGTATTTCAGGCTGGGCACGGTGGCTAACACCTGTAATCCCAGCACTTTGAGAGGCCAAGGCGGGTGGATCACCTGAGGTCAGGAGTTCAAGACCAGCCTGGCCATCATGGTGAAACCCCACCTCTACTAAAATAATACAAAAATTAGCCGAGGGTGGTGGCACATGCCCGTAATCCCAGCTACTCAGGAGGCCGAGGCAGGAGACTCGCTTGAACCTGGGAGGTGGAGGTTGCAGTGAGCTGAGATCGTGGCATGTTTTGTTTTTTTAAGAGACAGGGTCTCGCTCTGTCACCAAGGCTGAGGTGCAGTGGCACCGTCATGGCTCATTGCAGCCTCAAACTCCTGGGCTCAAGCAATCCTCCCACCTCAGCCTCCTAAGTAACTGGGACTACAGGCACATGCCACCCTGCCCAGCTAATTTCTTTTTCTGTTTGTTTGTTTTTTTTTCTCCGTAGAGATAGAGCCTCACTATGTTGTCCAGGATGCTGTCAAACTCCTAGGCTCTAGCAGTCCTCCCACCTCGGCCTCCCAAAGTGCTGAGATTACAGGCGTGGGCCACCATGCCCTGCCTCATCCCATTGTTTCTTTTTCCTTCACTTAGTACCTCAGTTGGGGCCTATTGGGTTTTGTTTTGTTTTTAACTTGGTAGATTGTATGAAAACTTCATTCCAAGGCATTCTGACTTCATTAGGACACTGAAGTTTCCCATGAACTTTTAATATTGCATATTGTGCTTTGGCTATTGAGAGTGTGGTGTCAGTTCACAATAGGACAAATGCAGAAATTGAGAGTAAACAGAAACATTTATAGGTCATTTGCTATTGATTACGAACGTCTAAGTGCATTTCAGTGTTTTATATTTTACAAATGTGTTGGAATTTTACTTTACTTATTCTTTTGAGACAGGTTCTCGCTCTGTGGCCTAGGCTGGAGTGCAGTGGTACGATCATGGCTCACTGCAGGCTTGACTTCCCAGCTCAAGCGATCCTCCTGCCCCAGCCTCCTGAGTAGTTGACACTACAGGCATGTGTCACTACACCCAGCTACAATTTAAATTTTTAGTAGAGACAAGGTCTCACTATGTTTTCCAGGCTGGTCTTAAACTTTTGGGCTCAAGCGATCCTCCCATCTTAGCCTCCCAAAGTGCTGGGATTACAGTTGTGAGCCACCACTCCCAGTGTGTTGGAATGAAAAAAAAAAAAAAAACTGATTCTTCACCATTGATGGTTTGAAAAACACTGCCCTGGATCACCTGATGAGCTCCAGAAATAGTTCCCCCTGCCCTTATTTCATACCAACAACCTAGGTTTCTCACAATAGTTGAGATCAGTTACCCCAGCCACGGTGAAACTGTTCTTTAACTGTTGTTTCAGTTGGCATGAGCTCAAAATGGTCAAGTGACAAACTCAGCTTCACTGTAGTGGAGCGGTTGTTGTGTCCTAAGGTAGAAGTATTCCAAGACCTCTAAACCAAGAAACCAAGACCTCTAAACCAGCTGACCAAGCGTTTTAAGGATGGAGGAAAAAATGTTTTTTGAGTAGGTTATTAGGTATGATAATGAGAGGGGGCACTCTGATTCAATCTTTTAATTTCCAGATCTGGACTGACGTGGTGGCTCATGCCTGTAATCCCAGCACTTTGGGAGGCCAAGGCTGGCAGATAACCTAAAGTCAGGAGTTCCAGACCAGCCTAGCCAACATGGCAAAACCCTGACTCTACTAAAAATACAAAAATTAGCCAAGCATGGTGGTGGGCACTTGTAATCCAAGCTACTTCGGAGGCTGAGGCAGGAGAGTCATTTGAACCCGGGAGGCAGAGGTTGCAGTGAGCTGAGATCATGCCATTGCATTCCAGCATGGGTGACAAGAGCAAAACTCAGTCTCAAAAAAAAAAAAAAAAAAAATTCCAGATCTGTGTACTGTGGGACAAGTGACAATTTATTGGTCACTGATTTAGGTAATGTATCACATGTTATAAAATAAGTAAGCACCTCATCTTCTCAGCGCGTTATCTTTCAGCTGGTATTATCACAGTAAGCTATTCCACTTTACTATTAAGCTGGCTGTCCTGAGTGATAGGATAGAAAGACCAAGGAATTTGATGACTATGAGCCCATCATTAGAAAAAAAAAAGATTAACAAATTATGATCTGGTGATTTTTAACACTTACAAAATTTTAATTTTATACTTGCTGAAAGAGCTCCTATAATTAACTCATTTAGACAAATTTTTTCCACATCACCTTCTTACATATGTAAAGGAAAATAAAATTGAAATAATTGGTTTTTGTTTTGTTTTGAGACGGAGTCTCACTCTGTGGCCCATACTGGAGTGCAGTGGCATGATATCAGCTCACTGCAACCTCCGCTTCCCGGGTTCAAGCAGTTCTCCTGCCTCGGCCTCCTGAGTAGCTGGGACTACAGGCACATGCCACCATACCCGGCTGTTTTTTTGTATTTTTAGTAGAGACAGGGTTTCACAATGTTGGCCATGCTGGTCTCGAACTCCTGAACTCAGGTAATCCGCCCACCTCTGCCTCCCAAAGTTCTGGGATTACAGGCATGAGCCACCGTGCCTGGACAATTGGTTGTTATTCCTACATTCACATTCATAGTTTGACCCTTGTGATCTTTTTTGTTAAAACTAGTAATTGATGCTTGTGTTTTTCCACACAGTGTTGTCATCACCAGTAGTGTTAGTGATACAGATTTTTTTTTTTTTTTTTTTTTTGAGACAGACTCTGCTCTGTCACCCAGGCTGGAGTGCAGTGGCGCGATCTTGGCTCACTGTAACCTCTGCCTTCCGGGTTCAGGCGATTCTCCTGCCTCAGCCTCCTGAGTAGCTGGGACTACAGGCGCCTGCCACCATGCCCGGCTAATTTTTTGTATTTTTAGTAGAGAAGGGGTTTCACCGTGTTAGCCAGGATGGTCTAGATCTCCTGACCTCGTGATCCACCCGCCTTGGCCTCCCAAAGTGCTGGGATCACAGGCGTGAGCCACCTTGCCCAGCGTGATGTAGAATTCTTTTGAGTGCTCCAACTGTTGTTGCTGAGATGTTCTTCTGAGCCATTAACACTTAATGCTGCAAGATTTGATGCTTGTGCTTTCTAGATGTTATCAGTTGTTATCAGCACAAGATTTTCAAAGTGAAATTTGTGTAAGTGCAAGTAACAGTAGTTTCCTTACAATTGCTTCTGGCTGTCTCTCATTGGAAAACTGCTGATTTTGAGACACATCACAATTTCAGAGATCTGAGCCTTAGAATTCATAAAACATGGTTATTTAATTTATCACAGCCCCCATGTATGCCAGACAGTAGATCTGGCAATTATCATCTCTAAATATCAAATCTTACAAGATTATATTGCTGTCCTCATTATGTAGTCACAGAAAGACTAAGTAATTCAGATTACCTATCCATTAAGAGGCAGAACAGAGGCCAGATGGAGTGGTTTATTTCTGTAATCCTAGCACTTTGGGAGATTGAGGCATGAGGGTCACATGATCCCAGGAATTTGAGACCAGCCTGGGCAACATAGTGAAGCCCTGGCTGTACAAAAAAAAGCTGAGTATGGTGATGCATTCCTGTAGTCCCAGCTACTTGGGAGGATGATGTGAGGATTGCTTGAGCCCAGGAGGTCAAGGCTGCAGTGAGCTATGATTGTGCCACTGTATTCCAGCCTGGTCCACAGAGGGGAGACCCTATCTATTTTAAAAATTAAAACCAAAAAAAAATTCAGGGTGGGCATAGTGGCTCCCACCTGTAGTAATACCAGCACTTTGAGAGGCCGAGGCTGGTGGATTACCTGAGGTTAGGGGTTGGAGACCAGCCTGGCCAACATGGCGAAACCCTGTCTCTACTAAAAATACAAAAGTTAGCCTGGTGTGGTAGCGTAGACCTGTAGTCCCAGCTACTTGGGAGGCTGAGGCAGGAGAATCTTTTGAACCCATGACCTGGTAGAGGTTGCAGTGAGCTGAGATGGTGCCACTGCACTCCAGTCTGGGCGACAGAGCAAGACTCCATCTCAAAAACAAACAAAATTCTATTTTATTTATTTTAGTAGAGATGGGGTTTCACCATGTTGCCCAGGCTGGTCTTGAATTCCTGACCTCATCCACCTGCCTCGGCCTCCAAAGTGTTGAGATTACAGGCGGGAGCCACTGTGCCTGGCCATCTTAATAATTTCTAACTTGTTTTTTTGAGACAGAGTCTTGCTCTGTCACCCAGGCTGAAGTATACAGTGGCATGATCTCGGCTCACTGCAATCTCCACCTCCCGGGTTCAAGTGATTCTCCTGCCTCAGCCTTCTAAGTAGCTGGGATTATAGGTGAGACCCACCGTGCCCGGCCTAAATTTTCTTTTTTAAAAACAGCTTTGTTGAGATATAATTCTCATACCATAGAGTTTACCCATTTAAAACGTACAATTGGCTGGGTGCGGTGGCTCACACCTGTAATCCCGCCACTTTGGGAGGCCGAGGTGGGCGGATCACTTGGGAGTTTGAGACCAGCCTGACCAACATGGAGAAACCCCATCTCTACTAAAAACATAGAAAATAAGCCAAGCGTGGTGGCGCATGCCTGTAATCCCAGCTACTCTGGAGGCTGAGGCAGGAGAATCACTTAAACTCGGGAGGTGGAGGTTGTGGTGAGCCGAGATCATGCCATTACACTCCATCCTGGGCAACAAGAGCAAACTCTGTCTCAAAAATAAAATAAAATGTATGGTTGTTTTTAGTATCATCACAAATGCTTGCAGTGATTGCCACAGTCAGGTTTTTTGTGGTGTTTTTCTTTTTTTTTTTTTTCTGAGACAGAGTCTTATTCTGTCGCCCTGGCTGGAGTGCAGTGGTGCAATGCACTGCAGCCCTGGCCCCTGCAAGTTCAGTGATTGTGCCACCCCAGCCTCCTGCGTAGCCGGGTGTGCGCCACCATGCCAAGCTAATTGTTGAAACTTTTTTTTTTAGAGATGGGGTTTCACCTGTTGCCCAGTCCGGTCTTGAACTCCTGGGCTCAAATGATCCATCCACCTGCCTCAGAACCCCAAAGGGCTGGGATTGTGTGAGCCACTTTGACCAGCTCGTAGTCAGTTTTAGAACAGTTATCATCTCAAAATGAAGTCCCTGTGTCCATTAGCTATTACCCTCATATTCCTCCCCACAGTCCTAAGGAATCACTAACCTACTTTTTGTCTATGTACATTTCCCCGATCTGGACATTTCATATAAATGGAATCATAAGCAAGTGGTCTGTTGTGGCTGGCATATTTCAGTTAGCATAACATTTCGCCCAGTCATACCATCAGTTCTTTTTTTTTTTTTTTTTTTTGAGATAGGTTCTTGCTCTTTCATCCACGCTAAAATGTAGTGGCTCCATCTGGGTTCACTGAAGCCTCGACCTCCCGCATTCAAGCAATCCTCCTGCCTCAGCTTCCTGAGTAGCTGGGACTATGGACATGTGCCACCACACCTGGCTATCTTTTTTTTTTTTGGTGTTTTTTGTAGAGACAGGGTTTCACTATGTTGCCCAGTCTCAAAATCCTGTGCTCAGGTGATCTCTGGCCTTGGTCTCCCAAAGTACTGTGATTACAGGTGTGAGCCACCATGCCTGGCTTTCATTATACCTTTTATGGCCAGATAATACTGTAGTGTATAGGTGTACCAAATTTTGTTTATCCGTTTGTTAGTTGATAATAAATGGGGTTGGGCTGGGCTCAGTGGCTCACACCTCTAATTCCAGAACTTTGGGAGGCCAAGGTGGGCAGATAATCTGAGGTCAAGAATTCAAGACCAGCCTGGCCAACATGGTGAAATGCCATCTCAACTAAAAATAGAAAAATTATCCGGGCATGGTGGCACATGCCTTTAATCCCAGCTACTCAGGAGGCTGAGGCAGGAAAATTGCTTGAAGCCAGGAGGCAGAGGTTGCAGTGAGCTGAGATGGCACCACTGCACTCCAGCCTGGGCAGCAGAGTGAGACTCGGTCTTTAAAAAAAAAAAAAAAAAAAATCCAGGCGTGGTAGCTCACACGTGTAATCCCAGCACTTTGGGAGGCCGAGGCAGGTGGATCATGAGGTCAGCAGTTCAAGACCAGCCTGGCCAAGATGGTAAAACCCCATCTCTACTAAAAATACAAAAATTAGCAGGGCCTGGTGGTAGGCGCCTATAAACCCAGCTACTCGGGAGGCTGAGGCAGAGAATTGCTTGAACCCGGGAGGCGGAGGTTGCAGTAATGCAGTGAGCCGAGGTCGCACCATTGCACTCCAGCCTGGGTGACAGAGCAAGACTCCATCTCAAAAAAAAAAAAAAAAAAAAAAAGGTTTGATTCACCTTTTGGCTATTGTGAATAATGCTGCTATAAACATTCTTGTGCAAATTTCTCTTTTCTTTTTCTTTCTTTCTTTTTTTTTTTTTTTTTTTGAGACGGGATATCTTGCTGTGTTGCCTACCTCCTGAGCTTAAGGAATCCTGCTGCCTCAGTCTTTCAAGTAGCTGAGACTACTGGTACGTGCTACCATACCCAGCTAATTTTTAAATCTTTAGTAGAAATGGGGTCTTGCAGTTGTTGCCCAGGCTAGTCTTGCATTCCTTGTCTCAAGGCATCCTCCCTCCTTGTCTTTCCAAATTGCTAAGATCATGGGAGTGAGCCACCATTCCTGGCTTATGTGCAAATTTTTGTGTGGACATTGCCATTATTTGGATAAGGTTTGTCCTCACCAAAACTTATGTTGAAGTTTGGTTCTCATTGCAGCAGTGTTGGGAATTGGGGCCTACTGGGAGGTGTTCCATCATGGGGCCAGTCCCTCATGAATAGATAATGCCATCTTGTGAGAGTGAGTTCTCACTCTTCTGGGACTGGATTAGTTACCCAAAAAGTGGGTTCTTATAAACAAGCTTGGTCCAACTCACAGCCCGTGGGTCACATGTGACCCAGGATGGCTTTGAATGTGGCCCAACACACATTCATAAACTTTCTTAAAACATTATGAGACTATTGTGCAATTTTTTTTGTTTGTTTTAAGGTTATTAGCTATCATTAGTGTTAGTGTACTTTATGTGTGGTCCAAGACAATTCTTCTTCCAGTGTGGCCCAGGGAAGCCAAAGGATTGGACACTACTGTTAGAAAGCAGGTTTACTCCCTCATGTTTATTTCATGTTTCCTCTCTCTTTTTTTTCCCCCCTTTCAGACAGTCTCTCTCTCACCCAGACTGGAGTGCAGTGGCATGATCTTGGCTCACTGCAGCCTCCGCCTCCCGGTTCAAGTTATCTGCCTCAGTCTCCTGAGTAGCTGGGAGTACAGGCACATGCCACCATCCCAGGCTAATTTTTTGTATTTTTAGTAGAGATGGGGTTTCACAATGTTAGCTAGGCTGGTCTTGAGCTCTTGACCTCAAGTGGTCCGCCAGCATCACCCTCCCAAATTGCTGGGATTACAGGCGTGAACCACCATGCCTGGTCATGTTTGTTTAATTTCTTTGTCAGATTATTCATTCCAAGTGTATAGAAATAGGATTTTTAAAAAACATATTTTAATTAATTTTTTTTTCTCAATAGAGATAGGGTCTTCCTGTGTTGCCCAGGCTGATCTCGAACTCATGGGCCTGAAGTAATTCCCCTCACCTCATCCCCTCACAGTGCTGGTTTTACAGATGTGAGCCACCACTTCCAGCCTATAGTAGTCCTTTATGATCAGTTTTATTTATTTCTCTTTTTCCCAAGACACAAGTCTTGCTGCAACGCCCAGGCTGGAGTGCAGTGGTGCAATCTTGGCTCACTGCAATCCACACCTCCTGGGTTGAAGCGATTCTCCTGCCTCAGCCTCCCAAGTAGCTAGGATTACAGGTGCCCGCCACGCCTGACTGATTTTTTGTATTTTTAGTAGAGACAGGGTTTCACCATATTGCCCAGGCTGGTCTCGAACTCCTGACCTCAAGTGATCCGCTTGTCTTGGCCTCCCAAAGTTCTGGGATTACAGGCATGAGCCACCACGCCTGGCCAATGGGTTTTATTTCTGTAAGGTAATTAGTAACATGTCTATTTTCATTCTGAATGTAGTAATTTGGTCTTTTTTTCTTGGTCAGTCTAGCTGAAAAGTCGTCAGTTTTGTTGATGTTTTCAAAGAACCAGCTTTTTGTTTCCCTTTCTCTAGCTGCCATCATGTTCTTCTGGGTGGTAATATTTTTGGCAACTGATATAGGAAGGCGATGCCCACTTCTGCTTCTCTGCCACTGTCTGCTTTTTCCCACCACCCGTTTCTCATCGTGCCTGTAGGGGAATTTCCCTATACTTACTGTTGATTTTCCTCTAAACTCTCACTGCTCCTGCCATAATTAATTCCATCTGCCTTTTTCCCACATATGTACGCTTGTCTGCTTGAATCTCTTTTCCTTTCCTTTTTTTTTCTTTCTTTTTTTTTTTTTATTGAGATGAAGTCTCACTCCATCACCCAGGTTTGAGTGCAGTGATGTGATCTCAGCTCACTGTAACCTCTGCCTCCTGGGTTCAAGCGATTCTCCTGCCTCAACCTCCCAAGTATATGGGATTACAGACACCTGCCACCATGCCCAGCTAATTTTTGTGTTTTTAGTAGAGACGAGGTTTCGCCTTGTTGGCCAGGCTGGTCTCGAACTCCTGACCTCAAGTGATCCCCCCCTCCCTCCACGGCCTCCCAAAGTGCTAGGATTACAGGCGTGAGCCACTGCGCCTGTCCTGCTTTTTTTTCTTTCAACTCTTAATCCGTTTAACCTTAGAAAAACTGCTGTGTTTTATTTTATTTTTGAGCAAAAACACCTTACATAATGTTTGATCATTTTAAGCATAAGGCAAACGATTTACCTTTATGAAGGAAAAGGAAAGCCAGAGTACTTGACATTCAGTTAATGGATTAAGAGATCTATTAAGTTGCTAGATGCTCCCATCTAAATTTTCTACTGTAGTCTTCATCTAACTAAATTGTGACAAAGTAGGCTTTTTGAGTTTGCCTGGGAACATAATCACTTAGTAGTTATAACTAATACAGTACAGTTTTTATAGTATAATGTGTGTATTTCAGTAGTCATTTGGGGAAGCATTCCTCCTACTATACTATATGTAACATATAGGTAAGAGTACTAAGCAGTGAGTGACTAGCTACATTGCCTGCATTTAATTTTTTTTTTTTTTTTTTTTTTTGAGGCAGTCTCGCTCTGTCGCCCAGGCTGGAGTGCAATGGCGTGATCTCTGCTCACTGCAAGCTCCACTTCCCGGGTTCATGCCATTCTCCTGCCTCAGCCTCCCTAGTAGCTGGAACTATAGGCGCCTGCCACCACGCCTGGCTAATTTTTTGTATTTTTAGTAGAGACGGGGGTTTCACCATGTTAGCCAGGATGGTCTCGATCTCCTGACCTCATGATCCGCCCACCTTGGCCTTCCAAAGTGCTGGGATTACAGGTGTGAGCCACTGCACCCGGCCGCCTGCATTTAGATTTTTATGCCCTTGGACAACTTATTTGGCCTGTTTCCTCATCTGTTAAACGGGGGTATTAATAATAATGCTTCTCATAGATATCATTGTATTACATAAGTTAATAGTGTATTCAAATTATTTGAAATGTACCTGACGCATAGCAGGAACACAATACATGTTAGCAGCTATTAGTACTATTGCAAGTGGTTCCTATAAACAAATAGGCTTTAAGAATTAAGAATTTGTAAAGAAAATAAAATGGAAACAGTTTGAGCTGTAAAGAAAAAAAGAATAGAGGATTTATTATGTGAGGGTCAAAATATAGAATGATTTGTTTGTATCATATCGTCTTCACTCGTTTTATTCTTCCATCTTACAAATACCCAAAGATTAGAGAGCATCTGAGGTTATGTTAAAACCAAGTCTCAAAGCCTTTGAACCCGCCATGCATGTATCAAACTCTCAGCTTTTTGTTTTTTTTTTTTTTTTTGAGATGGAGTTTCGCCGTTGTTGCCCGGGCTGGAGTGTAGTGGTGTGATCTTGGCTCACTGCAACCTCCGCCTCCCAGGTTCAAGCGATTCTCCTACCTCAGCCTCCCGAGTAGCTGGTATTACAGGCATGCACCACCAAGCCTGGCTAAGTTTTTGTATTTTTAGTAGAGACGGGCTTTCTCCATGTTGGTCAGGCTGGTGTGAAACTCCTGACCTCAGGTATCCGCCCACCTCGGCCTCCCGGAGTGCTGGGATTACAGGTGTGAGCCACTGTGCCCCGCCACACTCTCAGCCTTTAAGGCCACTCATAATGTTTTAGGACCTTATGAATTCCCCTTGAGGCTAAAAATAACTTCTATTATGATTGTTCTGTTACAGTCAGTATCCAGGTAATTTTTAAGAATCGTGTTTGTGGGTTATCTTGAAGGCGGAAATAAATGGAGTAAACCATTTCTTACCTACATTAGAAACCTTCCATAATGATTAATAGTGTATTTTTTTTTTTTTTTTTTTTTGAGACGGAGTCTCACTCTGTTTCCCAGGCTGGACTGCAGTGGTGTGATCTCGGCTCACTGCAAGCTCCGCCTTCCTGGGTTCACGCCATTCTCTTGCCTCAGCCTCCTGAGTAGCTGGGACTACAGGTGCCCGCCACCACGCCCCGCTAATTTTTTTGTTTTTTTAGTAGAGATGGGGTTTCACTGTGTTAGCCAGGATGGTTTCAATCTCCTGACCTCGTGATCCACCTGCCTCGGCCTCCTGAAGTGCTGAGATTACAGGCATGAGCCACCACACCCGGCCGACTAATAGTGTATTTTGTAGTATGTGCTTGTTAAATGGTTTAGGTCTGGTAGAATGGATCTTTTTGTTGTTGTTGTTGTTTGTTTGTTTTTGATACGGTTCGCTTTGTTGCCCAGGCTGGAGTGCAGTGATACGATCTCGGCTCACTGCAACCGCCGCCTCCCAGGTTCAAGCAATTCTTATGCCTCAGCCCCCCGAGTTGCTGGGATTACAAGTGCGCACCACCACATCTGGCTAATTTTTGTATTTTTTGTATTTTTTTTTTTTTTTTTTTTGTAGAAACGGGGTTTCACCATGTTGGCCAGGCTGGTCTCGAACTCCTGACCTCAAGTGATCCGCCTGCCCTGGCCTCCCAAAGTGCTGGGATTACAGGTGTGAGTCACTGCACCTGGCCAGAATGGATCTTTAAAATAGAATTGGGTTTGGAGTTCAGGAAGAAGCTAGTAAAATGTGTGGCATCTAATTTTTCTGCACCACACAATTTAGGTATGAAATAATAACCTTGTCTTATTAAGTAATGCTAACCTTGACTAAATATATTAGTAATAAATTATATATCAAGTAGTCTATGCTGGTGTATTAGAAAAACAGGTCATTGAATTTTTCCCAAAGAATAATTTGTTGAAATTGAATGAAATTGAAAGAAATATTTTGATGCTTTGTTGTCTTTGTTGCTTTATTAATAGTACTTAGTATTGTGAGATATATGTATATATGTGTGCGTGCGTGTGTGTGTGTGTGTGTGTGTGTGTGTGTGTGTGTGTGTGTGTGTATTTGCATAGTTTTTGCCAAATGCAAATTTTGGAGGCATTTCTGTTCTCAGACTTGGTCAATTACTGAAATCTAGAATATGTAAAAAATATACTAATGCATTTCATTCCTTCAGAAAATACCTTGTACATATGTCTTAGTGTGTAGGGCAGATGTGCAATATGTAAAACACAGCCCCCATCCTTCAGGAGATCCTTTAGGAGTTCACTGCAGCCTTGAACTCCAGGCATCAAACGATCCTCCCACTTAAGCCTCCCAAAGTGCTGGGATTAGTGTCTTCTTGAGAAGACACGATTTTTATGCTAATGACCACAGCATTAGATGCTGTAAAATAATTGCTTCATAATTGGTACAGTGTTTCCAGTACGAAGGAGTCAATGATCCCTTCAGAAGAGGAAGTTGACGGTGTAGTAACTCATACCTGTAGTCCTAGCACATTGGGAGGCCTCGGCAGGTGTATCGCTTGAGCCCAGGAGTCCAGGACTAGTCTGGATAACATGGCAAAACCGGTCTTTACAAAAGATACGAAAATTAGGTGAGTGTGGTGGTGCATGACTTTAGTCCAAGCTTCTCGGGAGGCTGAGAGCTTAAGGCTGTAGTGACCTGTGATTATGCCACTGCACTCTAGCCTACGTGACTGAGTGAGACCCTGTCTCAAGAAAAAATGGAATTTGGGCAAAAACATTAAGGATGGGTAAGAATTTAGTAAGAGCGTATGTTTGGGTAGGGTAGGTATGTATTGAGGAGCAGAAGCAATTCTAGGACATATTCACATATTTAAAAAAGTGTCGAACTCTGTGAGCTTTCTTTTTTCTGTGTAAAGCTGTAAAGAGGCTCAAGATATTTTTGGAAGATAATGAATTAACCCAGTTTGACTAGAGCGGAGGGTTGACATTACATAATGTTTTATAATTATATATAAACATATACATATGTATAAGTATAGACGTGGAAAAGGCAAACAAAATTATAAAATTGATTATGATGTTTAAAATGTCATAAGGAATGCGGCCATAGGAAATCACTCTTTGAGTTGGGATAACATTAATTTAGGAGCACTGTGTTTGGTTTTAAAATCTAAAGAGACTCAAGTTGGGTATGATGCAATAAGGGCCTAAACTAAGCATTTTGGCAATGGAATCTAAATGTTACCAACTTTATTCAGTATGAAACTAGCTCACTTTTTTTGTTGTTGCTGAGATGGGGTCTTGCTCTGTGGTTCAGGATGGAGCAGCAGTTGTGCAGTCATAGTTCACTGCAGCCTTGAACTTGAACTCTTGGCCTCAAGGGCTCCTCCCTCTTCAGCCTCCCAAAGTGCTGGGATTACAGAATGAGCCACCACTCCTGCCTGTGAGGTTTTCTTAAAAGGAATTTACCATCTAGGTGCAATGAAAAGGCATAATAATGATGTGATAAACTTGGTCAGTAAGCCACTTCAACTTGAGCTTTAGGCCCAAAAGTTGCTCTAATGTGCTAAACTCCAAAGTTAGTTTGTGTGTATTAGGTGGACTTTCAATTCTAATGGCTTTATGCATTAACTGTGCTCCTGCACCACCTGCTGTAGTTTTCACCTTGAATGCATATTAAATAAATAAAAGGGCTATGTTACAAATAATAGTACGAAATAGGAAAGGAAGCTGCAAAGAAGCACGTATTGGCAAATAGGTTGTTCATTCTCAATCTTAGCCAGCAGTCCATGTATATGCTCAGTGAGTAAACTGCCATTTTAATATAAAAGTTAGATGGCCTGTTTAATTCAGAACTCACTTTGTCTTTACACCTGACAGGTTGATTTTTGTTGCTCAAAGATTGGTATACATGTAAAGTTTTCTGGGATAATAGTTTCATTAATTCAAGAAATACTGAGTACTTACTCTGTATGAGGCACATTTTTTGTAGACTCTAGGACTACACAAATTTTTAAATCTATTGCCTTCACAGAACTTAAAAGTCTAGTGCAGGAAAGACAGAATAAGCAAGTAAAATGTAAGAAAAATTGGAGAAAAGTAAAACTACGAAGAGAAAGTGCTTTTACAGCATATGAGTTAAAATGGTGTCCTTGCAAGTATTAGATTGGCAATCCTGAAACCTGGGTTTTAGTTTTCAGTTCTAGACCTACCATTAACTCATTATGTTTCTTCAGTTAATATCTCTAGGCTGAGCATAGTGGCTCATGCCTGTAATTCCAGGACTTTGGGAGGCCAAGACGGGTGGATTGCTTGAGCCTAGAAGTTTGAGTCAGCCTGGGCAACATGATGAAATCCTGTCTCTGCAAAAATAAAAACAAACAACAAGACCCCAAAATTTAGCCAGGCATAGTGGCACATGCCTGTAGACTCAGCTTCTCAGGAGGCTGAAGTGGGAGGATCATTTGAGCCCTGGAGGTGGAGGCTGCAGTGAGCGCCTCTGCGCTCCAGCCTGGGTGACAAAGCAAGACCCTGTCTCCAAAAAATTAAAATAAAAATCTGTAGGTCTGTTTCTTCCTCTCTTTCTCTCCTGTTCCTCCTCGTCTCTTCTTTATTTTTATGTGAAGGAATTCACATTTCTGAAGCCCCTACATTATCTAAAAGGTGGTTAGATTAACTGCTTTAAAGAGAACCTGAGATTCTTATGTATCTAAAATTCTTATATATCTTTAGATTCTTATATATCTGAAATGTAACATAAAAGGTGCATAAAACAAATGCAGTTTAATAAGTAACCACAAAGTGAATATACGTATAAAGAAATAGAATATCATCAGCACCCCCAGAAGTTGTGTGTTCCCCTCAATCATAAGCTTCTTCCTTCATTCGTAATTCCTCCATTACCATGTTAATGCAGTCTCCTTGGTTTTCTTACATTTTCACTACATATTTCTTAAAAATAATAGGTTCTTTTTTTCTTTTTTCTTTTATTTTTTCTTCCAGACAGGGTCTCGCTCTGTCATCCAGGCTGGAGTGCAGTGGCAAGTGATTATCTCATTTAGCCTCCCAAGTAGCTGAGATTACAGGCACCTGCCACCACGCCCGGCTAAATTTTGTATTTTTAGTAGAGATGGGGTTTTGCCATGTTAGCCAGGCCCATCTTAAACTCCTGACTTCAAGTGATTCTCCTGCCTCGGCCTCCCAAAGTGCTGGGATTGCAGGTGTGAGACTCTGCTCCTGGCCAGTTTCATATTTTTCTAGTTTTATTTATTTTTTACTTTATTTAGACAGAGTCTCTGTTGCCCAGGCCAGAGTACACTGGTACAACCATAGCTCAATTTAAATATATCCAAAGTATTATACAGTAGTTCAGCTATACCTTAATAAAGCTGTTTTTTTGTTTGTTTGTTTTTGTTTTTTTGGAAACGAAGTCTTGCTCTTTTGTCCAGGCTGGAGTGCAGTGGTGCAATTTCAGCTCACTGCAGCCTCCGCCTCCTGGGTTCAAGTGATTCTCCTGCTTCAGTGACCCAAGTACCTGGGATTTCTACAGGCGTGTGCCACCATGCCTGACTAATTGTTGTATTTTTAGTAGAGAAGGGGTTTCAGCATGTTGGCCAGGCTGGTCTCCAGCTCCTGACCTCAAGTGATCTACCCACCTTGGCCTCCCATAGTGCTGGAATTAAGGCGTGAGCCACTTTGCCCAGCCGCAGTAAAGCTATTTAAAAAAAATTTTTTTTTTCATTTTAGGTTTTGAGAAAGGGTCTCACTCTGTCGCCCAGGCTGGACTGCAGTGGTGTGATCAGAGGTCATTACAGCCTCACCCTCCTAGGTTCAAGCGATCCTCCCATCTCATTCTCTTGAGTAGCTGGGACTACAGGCGCATGTCTCCATGCACAGCTAATTTTTATTTATTATTATTGGTAGAGATGAGGTCTTGTTATGTTGCCCAGGTTGGTCTCCAACACTTGGGCTCAAGCGATTTTCCTGCCTCGCCCTCCCAAAGTGTGATTACGGGCATGAGCCACTGTACAATGTACAACTATAGCTCAGCCATAGCCTTGATCTAGGCTCAAGCCATCCTCTTGCCTCAGCCTCCCAAGTAGCTGGGACTACAGGTATTGGCCAACATGACTGGCTTTTTTCTAGTTTTACTTTTTCAATTTTATATGGCTAGAATCATACTATATGGTTCCTTGTGTTACTGTGTCTTCAGTGTTATGTTTGAGTTTTGTATTATTGCTTTTTTTTTTTAGATGGAGTCTCGCTGTGTTGCCAGGCTGGAGTGCGGTGGTGTGATCTTGGCTCACTGCAACCTCGGACTCCCTGGTTCAAGCGATTCTTCTGCCTCAGCCTCCTGAGTAGCTGGAATTACAGGCATGCGCCACCACGCCCAGCTAATTTTTGTATTTTTAGTAGAGATGGGGTTTCACCATGTTGGCCAGGATGGTCTTGATCTCCTGACCTTGTGATCCATCGGCCTCAGCCTCCCAAAGTGCTGGGATTACAGGCATGAGCTACTGCGCCTGGCCTAACTTATATAGTATTTCATTATACAGTTTAATCAGTCTTCTATTGACATTTTTCACTTGTAGTTTTTTGGCTTTTACAAACCACATTGCTGTTGTTAAAATAAAAACTTCAGACATATATATATATGTATTTTTTGAGACAGAGTCTTGCTCTGTCACCCCGGCTGGAGTGCAGTGGCACGATCTTGGCTCACTACAACCTCCGCCTCCCGGTTCAAGTGATTCTCCTGCCTCAGCCTCCCGAGTAGCTGGGATTACAGGCACCTGCCACCACGCCTGGCTGATTTTTGTATTTTTAGTAGAGATGGGTTTTCACCATGTTGGCCAGGCTGGTCTTCAACTCCTGACCTCGGGTGATCCACCCACCTCGGCCTCCCAAAGTGCTAGGATTACAGGTGTGAGCCACCGTGCCCGGCCCAGACACATTAAATTTAACAGAATTTAATTGAGCAAAGAATGATTCACAAACTGGGCAGCCCCCTCCAAACTTGAGTAGGTTCAGAACAGTTCCAGAGCTGCCAAGTGGTCAGATAACATTTATGGACAGAAAAAGGAAAGTGATATACAGAAAACGAAAGTGAGGTATAGAAATAGGTGAATTGGTTACAGCTCAGTGTTTGCCTTATTTGATCACGGTTTGAACAGTCAGCCACCTGTGATTGGCCACAATTCTGTGTGATTGGTAGGAGAGTAGGTTACAGTCTTTTTACAATCTGGTTAGGTACAGCTCACTATGTATGGAGAATCCTTTAGGCTGAATTTATGCAAGGAAGCAGCTTTAGGCTAAACTTAACACTCCAGTCATCCTTGTATACATACTCTAGCTGCTTTAGGGCACCACCAGAGGTGAAATTGTTGAATCATTGGGCATGTATGTCTTCTACTTAACTGAAAGCAGCAAAGTGGTTCTACCAATTTACATTTCAATTAAAAAGTGAGTGAGAGTTCTCATTTGCTATGTTGGACTTACAAAAAGTTCATTTGGCTGGACACAGTGGCTTACACCACTTTGGGAAGTCAAGGCAGGAGAATCACCTGAGGCCAAGAGTTGGAGACCAGCCTAGGCAACATAACAAGACCCCATCTCTACCAATAATAATAAATAAAAATTAGTTGCACATGGTGGCATTCGTCTGTGGTCCCAGCTACTCAGGAGACCGAGGCAGGAGGATCACTTGAGCCAGGGAGGTTGAGGCTGTTGTAATCCCTGATCACACCACTGCAGTCCAGCCTGGGCGACAAAGTGAGAACCTTTCTCAAAAAATAAAATTAAAAAAAATTTTTAATAGCTGTATTGAGGTGTAATTGAATTACTGAACAATAATTTGGACATATTTAAATTATATGACATATAATAATCGATCTGATCTTTGTTCTGATTCTTGGCACAGAGCCTCAAAAACCCTTGGAATTTCCCAAGTGAGAGTGTCTTTGTTACGCTAATGAGGCAGCTCCTGGCAGTGCCACTAGATAGCTTCAGGATGGGGCTGGTCACTTAAATTAGAGGATTGAAACTTTCTCCCAGGAGAAGAGGGAGGCTGGAGATTGAGTTCAGTCTTGATTTTATCATTCATGCCTGCGTCATAAAGCCCAGTGAATCCTGTGAACACTAAAGCTCAGGGGAGGTTAGTGGTTGGTGAACACAGTGATATGCTGGGAGGATTACATGTCCAGATTCAATGAGAAGAGTATACGAAGCTCTGTGTCCCCATCCCATCCACACACCCCTCTTCACCCCCAAGACTTTGGCTGATGTGTCTCTTCAGTTTGACTGTTCTTGAGTTACATACTTTTCTTCCACCTTGTTATTTTCTGTTTCTTTCTTTTTCCTTCTAGCTCACAGCACCTGGTATTCCCCAGTGATCTACCATCCAAGATCGAGCAGGCTCAATCTTGTTTAGGCTTCCAAGTATTTCCTTTATAATAAAACTGTGACAGTAAACATAGTGCTTTCAGGCCAGGTGCAGTGGTTCACACCTGTAATGTGTGAACCAGCACTTTGGGAGGCCAAGGTGGGAAGATCACCTGAGGGCAGGAGTTTGAGACCAGCCTGGCCAACATGATGTAACCCCGTCTCTACTAAAAATAAAAAAAATTAGCCAGATGTGGTGGTATGCACCCAGCTATTAGGGCAGGCTGAGGCATGAGAATCACTTGAACCCAGGAGGCGGAGGTTATAATGAGCCACGGTTGTGCCACTGCACTCCAGCCTGGGTGACAGCGAAACTGTCTCAAATAGATAAATAATAAATAATAAATATAGTGCTTTCATTGAGTTCTGTGAGTTATTCTAGCAAATTTTTAAACCTGAGGAGGCTATAGGAAACCTGAAATTTATAGCTGGTCTGTCAGAAATGGAAGTTGTCCCTGAGAATTGGGGCTGGCATCGGAAGTGGAGGCAGTCTTGGGAAGAACTTTGCCTGTGGGGTTCTGCGCTAAGGTGGGTAGTGTCAGAACTGAATTGAAATGTAGGACACCTATTTGGTGTCAGAGAATTGCTGTCGGGGAATAACAACCTGACAAGTTTTGACATACATACACAGCATTGAAACCATCACTTCAATTAAAGTGAACTTATCACCCTCATAAGTTTCCTCCTTTTGCTTTTTAGTCCTCTCTGCTCCCCATTTGCGCCTTGCTTCTGTCAGGTTCCTTTTATCGCGAATTAGAAGTCTTTTGTATGGGTATACCACAATGGATTTATCCATTTACCTTTTGAAGGACAGTTGGTTATTTTCAGTTTTGTGATATGCTGAATAAAGCTGTTAGGAACACGTACTTGTATTTGTGTGAAATGTTTTCAGTAAATTCTTAAGAATGGAATTTTTGGCTTAAATGTTAAATGCATCTTTAAATTTTATGAAGAACTGCCATACAGTTATCTGAAGTGGTTGTACCATTTTATATATCTACCTCCAGTGTATGTTTCTCTTGTTAAGTCTGTTCAGATCTTTTCCTCATTTTTATGTTGAGTTGGATGATTCACATACTACCTGATTTCAAAACTTTTTAATAAAGCTACAGTAATCAAAGCTATGTGGTATTGGTAAAAGGGCACAGAAAATAGGAACACAACAGAGTCCAGAAATAGGCCTACATGGTATAGCAGTTTTTTTCAACAAAGATGCCAAAACAATCCTGTAGAAAAAGAGAAAGAATAGTCTTTTCTAGAAATGAGGCTTGAACACCTCGACCCAAAAGCTTTCAGTACATACAGAAATTAACTCAGAATGAATATAGACATACATATAAAAACCTAAAACTATAAAACTTTTCCAAGAACACATCGGAAGGCCAGACGCGGTGGCTCACGCCTATAATCCCAGCGCTTTGGGAGGCCAAGGCGGGTAGATCACTTGAGGCCAGGAGTTTGAGACCAGCCTGGCCAACATGGCAAAACCCCATCTCTACTGGAAGTAGCTGGGTGTGGTGGTGCACACCTGTAATCCCAGCTACTTGGGAGGCTGAGGCAGGAGGTTGCATTGAGCCGAGATTGTGCCACTGCACTCCAGCCTAGGCAACAGAGTGAGACTCCGTCCCAATCAGTCAATCAATCAATCAATCAATACCACAGCGGAGAAAATCTTTACAACTTTTGGTTAGGTAATGATTTCTTAGGTAGGACACACAAAGCACAAACCATAAAAGAAAATAATTGATAAAGTTAGATTACGTTAAATCCTTCATCAATTAAATTTTTCTATGCTGTTAAAGACAAGCCTCAGACTGGGAGAAAATATTTGCAATATACGTATCTGATAAAGGATTGGTACCCAGAATATATGACAGCTGAAAACACATAAGGAAAAAAGAAAAGAGATTTGGAGAGGCACGTCACCAAGAAAACGTAGAGTAGGTGGCAAATACGTGAAAAGATGCTTAATTTTGAGTTAATTTGTCTCAAAAAAATATTTATAGAGTGCTGGAATGTGGTAAATATTCAGTAAATGTTAATCATTATTAATAGTATTGGTGTTAGTGTTTCTTTTTTATCAATATTATAAAAACCTAGCTGTGGGCAAAAAAACTTAGTTTGATTTTTTCCTGCTCATTTCTTAAAAAAAAAAAAAAAAAGAAAAAAAAAGAAATACTAAGACCGCAATAGATAAATAGCCAGAGGGTATTAAAACACAATCCACAGGAAAAAATTCACACAGACTTACCAAGAAATTGTTTAATTCTCATAAGTGTATGATAAATTAGATGAGGTAAGAAGAGATTAGTCTACAAAGAGCCAATAGCATTTAAAAAGGCCTGAATGGCACAGGGGATTCTGACATGTTGAAGGATCTGAGAGAAAATCAGAGTCATGTTTCAAACACCAGTCAAGCTTTAGTTATGTTATTTTAAGCAGACAGGGAACTTGCTATTTAAAAAGTGATTTGGAATTGCTGGAAGAGCACCCTTAATTCAGGCTTACAGGACTAGACTCCGAGAACACTTCGTATAGCTGGCCCACAAGGAGAGCTGAATCCTGTGCTCTAATCAGAAAGGTGGGAAAATCAGGAAGCCACCCTGGAGCTCTTAAGTAGGGACACACGTTTAGCCGTAATCCAGTGATTAGGAAGTCACCATTGGTATAATTTGGTACAGAGCCTCACACAGTTTAATAGATTAGTACCAGCACAAAATGGATGCTTCTTCCCTCTATCTTCACAATACTAACAGCCAGTTAGTAGAAAGCTGCTGTGTATGTGCCTGCCCGCACACACATACACACAACAGCTC
The DNA here is from genome assembly GCF_000001405.40 of Homo sapiens. NCBI lineage: Eukaryota > Metazoa > Chordata > Mammalia > Primates > Hominidae > Homo > Homo sapiens. Next base: position 39,933,961 of record NC_000004.12, on the reverse strand, counting down.
ACTCCATACTTGCCAGCTGACAACAGCAGAAACTACACCACCACCTCTTCTGAACTTTCACCTTCCAAATCTTGAATAAGTGCCTCTGATGGGCTATACGAGAATTATGACTTCAACTCCATTGCAAGGGAATCTAGGAAATGTAGCTTTTATCTTTCCTGCCTCAGTACAGCACATTAAAAATGTGCACAGTAACGACATATTTAAAAAAGGGAAGAATGAATGGAATTTCATTTCTGTTCCTGTGTGGTAAAGCAAAATCTAGTGGCTTAAAATGAATAATTGTTTCTTTCAATTCTGTGAATAGACTTTGTGGTCCTTCTTTTCCATGTGGTGCCTTCTGGGGTCACTGGTTTTTTTTTTAAACAGTTTATTTTAATTTAATAACAATCTGGGAAGTCTGCATCAGCGGTTCTAGTGCAATATCAAGTGCAATTGGGAATTCAGAAATTTCAGTGGAACTGTTAGTTTAGTGAATCTCGTAGGTAAAAATATATGCATGCTTTAACTTTTATTTTATTTTTCTAGAGGTAGCATTTTGTTCTGTCACCAGGCTGGAGTGCATTGGCATGATCATAGCTCACTGCAGCCTAGAACTTCTGGGCTCAAGCAGTCATCTTGTCTCAGCCTCCCAAGTAGCTGAGATTGTAAGTGCAAGCCACCATTCTTGACAATACATACATACTTTTGATAGCACACATGAACAGACCTCTCTAAAATTGCTCTCAATGAGTTCATTCTCAGCAAACTGATCTGGGTCATTCAACATGGTTTTGGTTTTGGTTTTGGTTTTGAGACGGAGTTTTGCTTTTGTCACCCAGGCTGGAGTGCAATGGCACGATCTTGGCTTACTGCAATCTCTGCCTCCTGGATTCAAGCGTTACTCCTGCCCCATCCTCCCGAGTAGCTGGGACTACAGGCACCTGCCACCATGCCCGGCTAATTTTTGTATTTTTGATTGAGGCAGGGTTTCACCATGTTGGTCAGGATGGTCTCGAACTCCTGACCTCATGTGATCCACGCTCCTCAGCCTCCCAAAGTGCTGGGATTATAAGCATGAGCCACTGTGCTTGGCTTCAGCATGGCCTTTTGATTGTTCCTCATGTTAGTGCATGTTCTCTCTTTTTTTTTGAAATGGAGTCTTGCTCCTGTAGCCCAGGCTGGAGTGCAGTGGCGTGATCTCAGCTCACTGCAACCTCCGCCTCCTAGGTTCAAGCGATTCTCCTGCCCCGCCTCCTGAGTAGCTGGGATTATAGGCGCGCACCACCAGGCCCAGCTAATTTTTGTATTTTTAGTAGAGACAGGGTTTCACCATGTTGGTCAGGCTGGTCTCGAACTCCTGACCTCGTGATCTGCCTGCCTCAGCCTCCCAAAGTGCTGTGACCCACCGCGCTTAGCGCTGCATGTTCTCTTTTTACAATAAATTCATGACCATCGGAAGATACCAGTTTGACATACATGGCATCAGGACCTTCACAGCCACCACAGGTTTTCTCCCCTTGGTTGTGTGTATTTATGAAGCTCTACTTTGCTTCTACAGGGTCACTCTTATGGCTAAGTTTAGATGGCAGCTCAATTAGGCCACCTTAGTTCTCTTCCACGTAGTCTATGTGGTATACACAGCCTCTGTTTTTTGAATAGTCTGGGATTCCTAATAGCATGGTGGGTACATTCCCATAGGGGCATTGCAATCTCAACGTACAAATGCTTATCAGGCCTGTTCTTGCATCAGGCTTGCTAATGTCTGTTTGGCCAAAATAAGTCACATGGACTGGGCATGGAGGCTCATGCCTGTAATCCCAGCATTTGGGGAGGCTGAGGCAGGTGGATCATCTGAGGTCAGGAGTTGAAGACCAACCCAGCCAACGTGGTGAAATCCTGTCTCTACTAAAAATACAAAACTTAGCCAGACTTGGTGGCGAGTGCCTGTAGTTCCCAGCTACTTGGGAGGCTGAGGCAGAAGAATCCCTTGAACCTGGGAGGCAGAGATTGCAGTGAGCCAAGATCATGCCACTGCAGTTTAGCCTGGGCGACAGAGCAAGACTCTGTCTTAAAAAAAAAAAAAAAAAAGTCACCTGACCAAATCCAGAGTCATTGTGGAAGAAGACTATATAAGGTATACATATGAGAAGGCATTGTATCATAGCCTCCAAGATAGCTCTGAATGATCCTTATTTCCTTGTATTTACTCCCTTGTATAGTCCCCTGCAACACTGAACGGGGCTGTCCTGAGTAACGGAACAGGCTGTGGTAGAAGTGACAATGTATGCTTTTCAAGGTTAGGTCGTAAAAGACTGCCACTTCATATTTGCTCTCTTGGATCTTGCACCAGGGGAAAACCAACTGCCTTTTCACTTGAGCTGTCTAGAAAGGCCCATGTAGTGTGGAACTGAAGCCTTTCAACAACAGCAAGTGTCAACTTAGAACCGTAAGAATGAGTTACCTTCAAAACACACCCTCCACGCCCAGTCAAGCCTTCAGATAACTGCAGCCTTGACCAGGTACAGCCTCTTGAGAGATTCCAGGCCCACACGACTTAGCTAAGCCACTTTCCAATTCTTCAACCACATATGATAAATACATGTTATTGTTTTAAGGCACTGAGTTTTGGGGTATTTTGTTACATAGCAATAATTAAAAAAAATTTTTTTAGCCTGGGCACCATATGGCAAAATCCCATCCTACAAAAAAAAAAAAGTACAAAACCTAGCCAGGTGTGGTGGCGTGTGCTGTAGTATCAGCTGCTCAGGGGGCTGAGGTGGAAGGAACTCTTGAGCCTGGGAGGTGGAGGTTGCAGTGAGCTGAGATTGCGCCACTGTACTCCAGCCTAGGTGACAGAGCCAGACCCTTGTCTTGGAACTGCTGGGCTCAAGCGATCCTCCTGACTTGGCCTCCCAAAGTGCTGGGATTACAGGTGTGAGCCATCACATCCAGCCCTTCTCTATCTTTTGTTTCACAAACCCTGATTCTAGTTTCTTTGGATTTATCTAATTTCTCAAGATGGAAATATAGATGATTGCATTCTTTCTTTTGTAAAATACACATTTAAGATTATAAATTTCCTTTAAGTACAGTGGTAAGTGCATCCTATGAGTTTTGGTAGTTCATATTTACATTATAATTCAGTTCAAAATATTTTCTCATTTCCGTTATGATTCCTTCTTTTATCAGTTATACTTCCCTAAATATTTAGGGAAGAAATAAAACCAGTCTTACTATCACACTTTTGATATACTATGTTAGAAAAAAAGAGGGATCACTGCTTATTTTGTTTCAAGCCAGTATAATTTAGTACTAAAACCTGATACGGTTGTCTTAAGAAGTTATAAGCCAGTTTCTTTCATATAATTACAAAGAAATAGAAATAATGTAATAGCAAATAAAATGTAATACCTTAAAATGTTATGACCAAGTTGTCTTTATTTTAGCAATGCAAACTTGGACTAAAATAGTAAAATTAGAATGCAAACTTGAATTAAAATTAGAAAATCAGCCATTGGGATTTACTATATTAACAGAATTAGGGAAAAAGTATGATTATCTCAATAGGTGTCAAAAAATACTCAATAGCCCAGGCATGGTGGCTTATGCCTGTAATCCCAACACTTTGGGAGGCTGAGGCAGGCAGGTCGCTTGAGCCCAGGAGTTCGAGACCAGCCTGGGCAACATGGCAAAACCCTGTCTCTTAAAAAAAAAAAACAAAAAACAAAAAAACTTTTTTTTTTTTTTTTTTTTTTTTTTTTTTTGAGATGGAGTCTCACTCTGTTGCCCAGGCTGGAGTGCAAGTGGCACAGTCTCGGCTCACTGCAACTTCTGCCTCCCGGGTTCAAGAGATTCTCCTGCCTCAGCCTCCTGAGTAGCTGGGATTACAGTTGTGTGCTACTGTGCCCGGCTAATTTTTTGTATTTTTAGTAGAGACGGGGTTTCACTGTGTTGGCCAGGATGGTCTCGATCTTCTGACCTCGTGATCTGCCCGCCTCGGCCTCCCAAAGTGCTGGGATTACAGGCATGAGCCACCTCGCCCGGCCCCCCAAATTTTTTTTTTTTGATTAGCCAGGTATAGTGACACATGCTTGTAGATCCACCTACTTGGGAGGCTGAGGTTGGAGGACCACTTGAGTCTGGGAGGCATAGGTTGCAATGAGCTGAGATCGCTTCACTGCACTCCAGCCTAGGCAACAAAGCAAGTCCCTTTCTCAAAAAAAAATAATAATAATAAAATTTTACACTCATGATAAAAAATCTTGGCAGAATAAAAATATAGCTTGAATATTTGACAGTGGCGACAGATTGTATTAGGGTTCTCTTAGAGGGACAGAACTAACAGGAATACACACACACACACACACACACACGCCCCAATAGGATATGTATAGGAGATATATGTATGTAGGATATTAATGGGATATATATATATATATATATATATATATATATATATAGTTTATTAAGTATTAACTCACAAGGCCCCACAATAGGCTATCTGCAAGCTGAGAAGGAAGGAGAGCCAGTCCGAGTCCCAAAACTGAAGAACTTGGAGTCTGATGTTTGAGGGCAGGAAGCATCCAGCACGGGAGAAAGATGTAGACTGGGAGGCTAGTCCCGCCGTCCCTTTTCATGTTTTTCTGCCTACTTTATATTCGATGGAAGCTGATTAGATTGTGCCCACCAGCTTAACAGTGGACCTGCCTTCCCCAGCCCACTGACTCAAATGTAATCTCTTGGCAACACACACACAGGCACACCCAGGATTAGTACTTTGTATCCTTCAATCCAATCAAGTTGACACTCAGTATTAACCATCACACAGATTAAGTAAACTGTGATTTATAATTAGAGAATCATTTTTAAGATCTGAGGAAATTATTGTGATTTGATACATAAAGAATTATAGTTATTTGCATAATTACAGAGAAAACAGGCCAGCATAAAGTACACAAAAATGTGAATGGTAGTTTCTGGAGTTGATAAATTATGGATTTTTCTTTTATTTTTTTTCATGATTCTTTGCATTTTATAATGATTCCAAAGTGTGCATTGGTTAATTTTATAACCATAAAAGCAGGTTAATTAAATGTTTTAATTAGAAATACAACTGCATTAATATAATTTTAAAATGCCTTTTTTTTTTTTTTTAAAGACAGTGTCTCACTCTGTTGCCTAGTCTGGATTGCAGTGGTGTGATCTTGGCGCACTGCAGCCTCCGCCTCCTGGGCTCAAGGGACCCTCCTATCTCATCCTCCTATGCAGCTGGGACTACAGACACATGCTACCATACCCAGCTGGTTTTTGTATTTTTTGTAGAGACAGGGTCTTGCCATGTTGTCCAGCATGGAAAATGACTTTTTATTATGAAGTGTAAAACTCATTAAAGCATGAAATGAAATAGCAATTTTAAGGAGCCTGAAGAAGGCTCCTTTAATAATAAAATATAAAAGAAGCATAGTTAATGATGTTGCCAAATATCAAATGAATGTTATTGTCCATATGGGGCCAGGAACTATCTGGGCTAGATTTAAAATGAATAATAAGAGGCTTAAGTTCCTCATAAATGAGGTACTAGTGCAGACAATGTGCCTGAGAAGGTGATACTTGTTTATGGGTTTTTTAGACTAGCCGTTTCATGCTTGTGATCTTTTCTGAAATTCTTAAATGAAGATTTATAAAAAGTTGACTGTGAACTGTCTGGTGGCCACCGATTGCTAATGGAGATGACTTTTTTTTTTTTAAATCACATCCTCCACTGATTTCTAAATTCCAGGAGTTAATTATTTTGTGTTTTTGTACATTTTTACAGATGGTAGTGAAAACCTTTATGGATATGGATCAGGACTCAGAAGATGAAAAACAGCAGTATCTCCCACTAGCCTTGCATCTTGCATCTGAATTCTTCCTCAGGAACCCCAATAAAGATGTGCGTCTCCTTGTAGCATGTTGTTTGGCTGATATCTTTCGTATCTATGCCCCAGAAGCTCCATATACTTCCCATGATAAACTTAAGGTAAATACAGCCTTTTTCACTTTATTGTATTTTTCATTCACCACTGTTCAGAAGGTATACTTTTATTTTTATATTTTACCTTTATGAACATAGGTTTCATATTAGTCTCTTCATCTTAAGAATATATTGTAAGTTGCAAAATTATTCATTCAGTTAGTATTTCCACAAATGACTGGGTTGCTTGGTTGTTTGATTTGAAGCATAGAAAGGTATAGTTCAAAACTAGTCCCTGTATGCTCAAATCCAATTTTCTGGCTAATTCATCACAAAAGCCCAGATAGCTATGTTCCAGGGATAAATAGCAGATTAATGATACTTTTTAAAATAATAGCATACCAGAATTTACATATTCATATGACTATTTTCCCCTATAAGTTATTCAGCATGCAAAACTATATGCTCATCTTGGTTGTTCTGCCTTTGTTCAAGTGTTTGTGGAACTCTTAACATTGATCTCTTGGGGAGATTTTGTATTTTGAATAATTTCATTCTTGGCAAATTTTAATCCTGTAGACTGCTTTCTTTAAAAATAGTCCTAAAATCATTTTGTATTATATTGATACTACTGTGAGTTAAAATTTCTAAAGAAAGCTTATTAAGAAATGAAAGACTACCATCATGAATCATAGAACCATTGGACTAGTCTGTTGCCTTTTTTCACACACAACTTCGTAATCATACATCAACTTCAAAACATTGGCTAAAAATTACTATTTACTTGTAGGTAATAGTAATGGAAATACTCATATCCAACTCCTTAAAATGAAGATAGTTTTTGCCCCGATGCAAGGTGGAGATAGTGAGTAAAGTGAAAGCACGATAGTAGAAGAAATTATAATGAGATATAGAGCCTGTGGTCCGCTCTGAAAGAGAAAGCCTAAAGATTTATAGTTTATTTTTGCTTCTAAAGAGTATAATTTTATTTGATTGGATCTTTTGAATCATTTTGAATAATGGATTAGGCCAATCCCAAGACATTCATCTAAAGGAGAATTTTCTTTTATTGTAGTTTGTACACAAATAATAAAGTTACATACTATTAGTGTGTTGTGAAAGAAAAGTATTTGTGTCTAAATTAATGTGTTTTTTTTTTTAACAGGACATATTTTTGTTTATTACCAGACAATTAAAAGGTTTGGAGGATACAAAGAGTCCACAGTTTAATAGATACTTTTATTTATTAGAGGTAAAAAAAAAAAAACTTTAATAACTATTAACATTATTTCACATGATAGCAAATTCTTCATGTTAACTTTGTAATGTAAAATGAGTGTTTATTTTATTCAAAGCCTATAATAAAATGTCTTTTACATTTCATAAGGAAAATATTATTTTATTTTTCTTCCTATCCTGAAGAGATAAAGTATATTCTGATGGAAAAACTGTAGATTATTTGAAACTATATCTTTTGTTTGTATCTATTTCTTTCTTTTTTTTTTTTTGAGACGTAGTTTCACTCTTGTTGCCAAGACTGGAGTGCAATGGCGTGATCTCAGCTCACCACAACCTCCGCCTCCCAGGTTCAAGCAATTCTTCTGCCTCAGCCTCCCGAGTAGCTGAGATTACAGGCATACACCACCACGCACGGCTAATTTTGTATTTTTAGTAGAGACGGGGTTTCTCCATGTTGAGGCTGGTCTCAAACTCCTGACCTCAGGTGATCCGCCCACCTTGGCCTCCCAAAGTGCTGGGATTACAGGCGTGAGCCACCGGGCCCGGCCTCTATCTTTTTATTTTTATTTTTTTCTATTCTAAAAACAGATTTTTACTGCTTCTTAAATTTTGTATGGAAATATATCTACCAACTTAAAAATATTGAGTATTTTTCAGTTTGAGAAAATTGATGCCATCAGGTATATATCTTTTTCAAGGTCAGAATATGTGATTAACACTTAAAATTTTATATGTTGAGTCTTTATAGACTTTAATATGTTTCTAACTCTAAAAATTAATTTTTTACTGAGTTTTTTATTATATAACTATTCTGTATATATGTATAATTCAATAATTATTTTTATTTATTTAAGAATTTAGCTTGGGTTAAATCATATAACATCTGCTTTGAATTGGAAGATTGCAATGAAATTTTTATTCAGCTTTTTAGAACTCTCTTCTCAGTGATCAAGTAAGTTATTTTTTAAGCATTTCTGTTTGTCTCTTTTTCTTGATTATGTATTCAGATGTTGTATACTCTACATGTACACTAAGATATTTCAGAGTTATAAGGAATTGTTTTCCTTAGAAAACTTAACATAAAGGGGAAAGTAAAAATTCTGTTGTCCGAACACTGCCTTTGACCTTATACTACGAATTTTAAATTATGGTACCAATTTACTGGTTGGCTCTTCAGTCGCCCAGGCTGTCCTGGAGGCCATGGACCAGTAGAGAAGTATAAAGTGGTGCTCTTGTTTTGAAGGGACTTACTATCTAATAGAGGCAACCACATATGGTTGTAAAGCAAATCGTCTGAAACCTTACGTTAATACAATGAAGTATTAAATTATGAGGTAGAAATTATGCATATTGTATGTACCATTAGTTCTGGGAGACGTAATAGCTCAGTCTTTAAGCTCACTAACTTTGACAACTTCTTATTCTAGACCTAGAAAAAAATCTTAAACATTGCCTAAATTGGCCTTCTCTTTATAGAAATAGGGAAACTAATCCAGAGTCAGGAAGTGTAGTGGCTTGCCCAAGGACCAGTTGCTGGACAGGAGGCTCAAATTCTGATTTTAGCCCATGTTTTTTGGTTTGTGGGTTTTTTGTTTTGTTTTGGTTTGGTTTTTTTTGTGTGTGGGTTTTGTTGTTATTGTTTTATTCTGTGTGGGTTGTTTTGTTTTGTTTTTTTTGAGACAGTGTCTTGCTCTGTCACCCATACTGGAGTGCAGTGGTGCCATCTTGGCTCACTGCAACTTCCACCTCCCGGGTTCAAGCAGTCCTCCTGTCTCAGCCTCCTGAGTAGCTGGGACTACAGGTGTGTGCCACCACACCCGGCTAATTTTTGTATTTTTAGTAGAGATAGAGTTTTGCCATGTTGGCCAGGCTGGTCTAAAACTTTTGACCTCAAGTGATCCACCCACCTCGGCCTCCCAAAGTGCTGGGTTTACAGGTGTGAGCTACCACACCCAGCCTGGTTTGTTTTTTGTATAGTAAATTAAGCACTGTTATGAGAAGTGTTCTAGAGCATTACATTATATGCAAACATACCTCACATAAGTTTTCTAGTAGTCACATTAATAGAAAAGTAAAAACAAGTGAAATTCATATTGATAATATATGTTATTTATTCCACTGTATCCAAAAGTATTTTCATTCCAACATGTGGCCCTCCTCATGTTTCACATGTTCACCAGCCATATGTGGCAAATGGCTTGCATATTGAACAGCACATTTCCAGAGTTTTAATGAATGCTATATCATATTTTCTTTTTCCTTAGATGGAATGGTAGGATTAGACATTATCCTGAAACAAACAGGAAAGGATCACTCCAGCTTGGCATAGGATAGAAGCTTGTAGAAAGATAGCATGAGAAGAAACTTCTGTGGCATTTGACTAGCAGTAAGCCCTTAAAGTAAATGATAGAACATATAAACCTTTGTGTTTGTTAGCTTTTGCTGCATTACAAAGTAACCTAAAACTTGATAGTTTAAGACAGCCACCATTTTATTTAGCTCATGATTCTGCTTGGCAGTTGATTTTATTTGGGTTGGATTTGCACCTGTGTTTGTAGTCAGTTGGCAGGATATCTGGTCAATATCTGGCCGTAAGCTGAGGTGGGCTGAAGTGATAGAACTGGGTCACATGTCTCATCCATTCAGGAGGACAGCCCAGGCCTGTTCGTATGCTGACTGGGTTCAAAAGTAGCAAGAAAGGGCAGGCCTCATTGTGGAAGCACTTGAAAGTGATTCTTGGCCTTATATTTTATGCTTTATTGATTTTTCATTTGTCTGTTTGAAATTCTTTAGGAGGTACTAGGATGACATTTTCAGAAAAGCCTTCTAGTTATTGAAAGCATTTTAGATGAAACTTTTGATTTTCAGTATTGGTGAGTTAAAACTTCTAGTGGCAAGGATACAGCAATAATTGCTTATGTTGGCTTATGCATTTGGGGGTGTTTAAATAGGTTTTTATCTTAGTTTGAGGAATTTATTAAGACTTAAGGTGTGGGAGTTGAAAAAAATGTCTGCCTTTATTATTGTATACTTTTTTGTTTGTTTCCTTAAAATTTTATCACCTTTAAAAATCTGGGGCATGTAAGCAGAAGTGTTCTTTCCTTGAAGTGGATGCGTGTGTGTGTGTGTGTGTGTGTGTGTGTGTGTGTTTTGAGACAGGGTCTTGGTCTGTCCCCCAGGCTGGAGTGCAGTGGCACGATCATGGCTTGCTGATGCCTCGACCTCCTGGGCTCCAGTGATCCTCCCATGTCAGCCTTCTGAGTAGCTGGGGCTACTCAGCTGGCCAATTTTTAATTTTTTTGTAGAGACAGGGTTTTGCCATGTTGCCCAGGCTAAAATTGACATTTTTTAAGGCAGAATTTAATTTACTTTTGGAATCCTAGTTGTGTAAAGACTTAATTTATTTTAAAAGGTCTTTTTTTCCTTTTCCTTTTTTTTTTCTTTTTTTTTTTTTTTAATTGATACAAAGTCTCACTCTGTTGCCCAGGCCGGAGTGCAGTGGCATGATCTCTGCTCACTGCAAACTCCGCCTCCCAGTTTCAAGTGATTCTTCCGCCTTAGCCTCCCCAGAAACTGGAATTCCAGGTGCCCGCCACCACGCTTCACTAATTTTTGTATTTTTGTAAAGACGGGGTTTCACCATGTTGGCCAGGCTGGTCTTGAACTCCTGATGTCAGGTGATCCACCTGCCTCAGCCTCCCAAAGTGCTGGGATTACAGGTCCGAGCCACTGTGCCCGGCCTTTTTCTTTTCTTTTTAAAAAAAAGTGAATGGAAGAAAATGTAGTTTATTAGAAATTAGGTTTGTCTTTGTTTTTATAAAATACAACAGTACCTTACAACTGTTGTAATAGTCAACAAAAGGAGAAAGAAAATAGAGCAGCCAAAATTTCTCTGCCATTATTGGCACTGTCCCTCAAGTGAAAATCCTTTACATGTGAGATTGTTGTTTTAAACTAGGACGTTTAATTTCCTATTAGAAGCTTGAATTCTCTTCTTTTCCTCCTCCTACTACTTATTCTTTTTTTTTTTTTTTTATAGCAATAGCCACAATAAGAAGGTACAAATGCACATGCTAGATTTGATGAGTTCTATCATCATGGAAGGTGATGGAGTTACTCAAGAATTATTGGACTCCATTCTTATTAACCTCATTCCTGCACATAAGGTCTGTAAAGTATGAAGATATTCAAGGTTAATGTTTAACAGTCACGCCACACATAAGAATGAACAGTTGTTTTATGGCCATTTGCAATCCCATGTAATTGTTCTCATGACCGTTCTCCACCTCAAATAAAATAACATGCATTAGTCTTGTGGCTATTATTTTTACAAAATATATTGATTAACATATCATGTAGGAGTTTCATTCATTTAAGTGCTGTTTTCTGGAAACTGAAAATGTTTTGTATTCACACAAATAATCTGAGAATTGTAAGGGGTTAGGGGTGTTGCCTTTTGGTTAACTTTGTTTGGAAAAGAAATGTATTTCCTCCTTTTTAACATAGATGTGAAACATAGGAGTTTGGATTTCTTTTCAGAATCCGTATCGTACCTTTTTCTTAGGTACTCTCAGAAAAAGATTTGGGCAGAAGCTATATGGTTAATGTTAAGAAGAAAAGGATGATTCAAAGGTGTATCATTCTTCCCTGTTTCCTTTTTCTATTTATCTCCACCAGATCCTCCTAAGAATCTGAAGGACTTGGCTGCCCTCAGGCTCCACCACTGGGCTCTACTCAGGCCTACCCCAATGTTGATATTTGCTCTCCTGCTCTTTTCTTCTAGTGGTTCAGTATCCTGTTATCAGACATTAGAGGAAAAATCTGTCCAATTATACTCATTCACAGAAAGATATAATTAATTTTAAATTCTTCTCGAGTTTAAATATTATTTACATTTTATTAATTCAAATGTAGTTTACAAAATTCTGTAGTTTATAAAAATTCTGAGACTATGGCAAAGGAGAGTATATTTTGGCAGATTAAGACAGTATATTTGGTTTTTATATACTAGGTAAGTAGGTTGGTGGTATTTTTTTGGGACAGGGTCTCACTCTGTCACCTAGGCTGGAGTGCAGCGGCACTATCTTGGCTCATTGCCGCCTCTGTCTCCTGGGCTCAAGTGATCCTCCTACCTCAGCCTCCCAAGTAGCTGGCAATACAGGCATGTGCCACCATACCTGGCTTTTTTTTTTTTTTTTTTTTTTAAGTTTTCTTTGTAGAAACAGGGTTTCGCTATGTTGCCCAGGCTTATCTCAAACTCCTGGGCTCAAGCGATCTGCCCGTTTTAGCCTCCCGAAGTGCTGAGATTACAGGCATGAGCAACCACATCTGGCTTGAGAGCATTTTTATTAGTAGTAGGAAATAGACTTCTTTTAAGAAATAGAAATGTTAACTTAATTTTAAGCAAATCTTATCCTTTGCCAATGAAATAAAAGTATAGAGCAGGGGTCAAGAAGCTATGGCTTGTTGATCAGATTTGGACTATTGCTTATTTATGTAAGTAAGATTTTATTGGAACACAGCCATGTTCATTCGTTTTCGTTTTGTTTATATCTGCTTTCATGCTACAACAGCAGAGTTGTGTAGTTGTTGCAGTGATTTGTATGACCCACAAAACCTAAAATATTTACCATGTGGCCCTTCATAGAAAAAGTTTGCTGACCCCTGGCCTAGAGTGTAGGGTTTCCTAGCCTTGTTTTGGAAGAGGTGTTAGATGATGGTGAATGAATCTGTTTGATCCAAAACTTCAAGATATAGCAATGTTAATAGGTATTATTCAAAACAAGAATTCCCTTTTCAGGCATTTAAAAAAAATTAAATAATATATTTTCTAAGGTCCTTCTCAGATCCTTTAATTTATTTGAGTACATTGGGACTCTTGAAACGGGAGCATAGTATTAAGCATTTCAAAAATACAATTGATCAAGAACGCTTTTTATTTGAAACGCTTACCAGGTCTACTCTTCTCCAGAGCACGCATTGATTAAACAATGAAATAATTGAGCATGTTGTGTTAGATCAGGGAGTGTATGTGTTTAAGATACGTGGGTGTAGTTGTCAGTTTACATTGGTTAACAGATAAAACCAAAAAGCATTAGGTCTGTTTTGAGTTTAATAAAACAATATAGTGTTGTGCTTTTGCTAACTAACCCATTTTAGTTTTTGATTAATAAATTAGTTCGATTTGCAACGTCTGCATTTAAGATCACTTGACTAGAGGATATTTGGCAAAACCTTGAAGAGAACTCAGTTATTTTTATTTTTGCTTCATATTTTAGTGAAGCAAAATTCATATTTTATTACAGATTTGAAGACTACAGTATTCTAATGTTACTATCTCATAAATTAACATTTATTTGTAACTTTCCATGTTTTTATTATTTTTCAGAACTTAAATAAACAGTCCTTTGACCTTGCAAAAGTGCTATTGAAAAGAACAGTCCAGACTATTGAGGCATGCATTGCTAATGTATGTATTTCTTTCTATGTTTATTCTATATTTTGTAATTCTTAATCCATTGTATTAATTTATTAGAACCTCTTACATAAAAGTTTATTTAGCTTATAAATATAAAATAACTTATGTCCAGATGTGACCAGGGTTAGAGAAATGCAGCATAAGTTTCATGACGTTTTTAAAGGGTGGATATTACTATAAGAAAAGTCGTCTGCAACTCCCATCCCCTTATCTGCATTTGTATTTATGTTTATTTCATTGTCTCCCAGATATGCTGATCTCTTTCATATTTTCCTTGGGTCTCTGTGTCTCTCTCTATATATTTTTTTCTTTGTTTCTTTTGGGTCATTCTTCTGAAGTCCTGTAATGTTTCTTCCTTTTTTTTTTATTTTATTTTTTTAAGATTACAGAGATTTATTTAGAAAATGGTTTGGTTGTTTTGCCTGTTGTTTTTGGCAAAGATTTAAATACTTTTCAGTAATGAAAGATTGTGATAGTTGCTACATAGTAATAGTTAAAAAAAGGTTTACTGAGGAATTTGTTCTGGGTTTGTTTTTCCTAAAAAAATCAATAATTTGGAAAAAAAAGTTTGCAATCTCACTACCTTATAGCAACTAATTCCATTGTTCATTTGCTCATATTTATAACTATTTTCCCACATACTTTATGAAAAAAAAATTTTTTTTGAGACGGAGTCTCACTCTGTCTCTGAAGCTGGAGTGCAGTGGTGCATTCTCGGCTCATTGCAAGCTCCGCCTCCCGGGTTGACGCCATTCTGCTGCCTCAGCCTCCTGAGTAGCTGGGACTACAGGCACCCGCCACCACACTTGGCTAATTTTTTGTATTTTTAGTAGAGACAGGGTTTCACCGTGTTAGCCAGGGTGGTCTTGATCTCCTGACCTCGTGATCTGCCTGCCTCAGCCTCCCAAAGTGCTGGGATTACAGGCGTGAGCCACCGCACCCGGCTATTTTATGTAAAATTTTTATCGTCATATTTGTATTTACGTATTTTGACATTCTTTTTAAATATATAAGAATGACTGTAAATGTTTCTTGATACGTATTTCCTTATTGTCATAGATCTAGGTCTTTTCAGTGTTTCTTTCCTTTCCTAATCATCTTTGTGAATCTAACATTTATATATTGTTGAATTATTTTCCATGGATAAAAATCCAAATGAGGCTTTTAATTTAAATGTTATCCTATTAGTATTACTTGGATTACTAAATTAATATTTAAACAGATTAAACAATAATAGTAGTAAAGAAGTGTCTGTCTTCAGCCTTGAATACATTTCTTAATTCTCAGAAATAACCATCCCCATTAGGTTTTCTTATATCCTTTCAGAAGTAGTATTCTGTGCTTTTTTGTGTGTGTGTATGCATATATTTTGATAAAACTATCTTCTTCATTATTTTCAATGTCTGCATAGTAAATATGAATTTTTTGATATTACTCTTATCCAGTGGGAATGATTAGAGATGGAGTCTCGCCCTGTTGCCCAGGCTGGAGTGTAGTGGTGCGATTTCAGCTCACTGCAACCTCCGCCTCCCAGGCTCAAGCGATTCTCCTGCTCCAGCCTCCTTAGTGGCTGTACTGCAGATGTGTGCCACCACGCCCTGCTAATTTTTATATTTTTAGTAGAGATGGAGTTTCACCATGTTGGCCAGGCTGGTCTTGAACTCCTGACCTCAGGTAATCCGCCTGCCCCAGACTCCCAAAGTACTGCGATTACAGGTGTGAGCCACCACACCTGGCCAATAATGAATATTTTCTAACTTAATTCATGCTGCTTTTCAACTTATGATACTACCAGAAGTGTATGCTTGTATCAGTTGCATACAATTGCCCCTGAGGCATTTTAAAAATTTAATTCTTCTGCATGTGTGACGGTGGTGTGCAGTGCTGGTATCTTTTAATTTGCGCTCTTGGCCTTGTATACTCTTTATTTCTGTCTAGCATTTAAAAAAAAAATCAGCTTTTGTATTACCAACTTTTTGTTCTTTTTGTCATGCGAGTCAAAACATATTTGACTTTCTCTGAGTATTAAAAGAAACAACCCAACAACAAAAAAAAATCCTTCAGCTTTAAATACTCTTTATTACTAAACTCATGGAAAAATTATTCTGTTTTTTTTTTTTTTTTTTTGAGACAGGGTCTTGTTCTGTCTCCCATGCAGGAGGAGTGCAATGGTGTGATCACAACTCACTGCAACCTCGACTTCCTGGGGCTTAAATGATCCCCCTGCCGTGGCCTCCTGAGTAGCTGGGGCTATAGGCATGCACTACCACACCCAGATAATTTTTTTATTTTTTGTAGAGGCAAGGGTCTCACTGTGTTGCCCAGGCTGGTCTCCAACTCCTGGGCTCAAGATTGTCGTGCCTCGGCTTCCCAAAGTGCTGGGATTACAGGCGTGTGCTGCTGTGCCTTTGATTTTTTTAAAAATCAAAGGTTGAGGCCAGGCGCAATGGGTCACGCCTGTAATCCCAGTACTTTGGGAGGCCGAGGCCTGTAGATCACCTGAGGTACGGAGTTCGAGACCAGCCTGGCCAACACGGTGAAACCTTGTCTCTGCTAAAAATACAAAAATTAGCTGGGCATGGTGGCGGGTTCCTGTAATCCCAGCTACTCGAGAGATTGAGGCAGGAGAATTGCTTGAACCTCGGAGGTGGAAGTTGCAGTAAGCCGAGATCACGCCACTGTACTCTAGCCTGGGTGACAGAGCCAGACTCCATCTCATAAAAAGAAAAAAAAAATCAAAGATTGAGACTTTGTAATTTTTCTCTGCTACAAGGAAATTTTTCTAAAATCCTTTGTAATGAACTACACAGACTGTCTAAATTGTTTTAATGAAAACAAAGATTCCTAGAAATGTCCTTATTTGAAATACACCCAACAAACCAATTTTTTTTTGCTTTTCTCCTTGTAACATTCATGATTTGATATTATTAGGAAATTATTTCTTCTGCTGTTTAGATGACTGTCCTATTATATATTAGTAATCACACACCTGTTTGTATCACCTCCTTCAATTGTATATGTAATACCTAATTAAATTATTTATAAAAAATGTTTATTAAAAATGTATCCATGTTTTTAAATGAACTGGATGTTTTCTTTTTGTTTTTAATATCTCTTACAGTTTTTCAATCAAGTCCTGGTGCTGGGAAGATCATCAGTAAGTGATTTGTCAGAACATGTATTTGATCTGATTCAGGAACTTTTTGCTATAGATCCTCATTTATTATTATCCGTCATGCCACAGCTTGAATTCAAACTAAAGGTAAGATTGACCAGTTTTCTTTTTTTTTTTTTAATTTTTTTGTTTCTAGAGCAGGCACAATGTAAAATTGACCAATTTTCATGCCCTTTAAACTTTCCAGGAAAAATGTATACCGCATAATTTTTCTGTAACTGTAGAAGAATAAAGTGTGACTTCAATTTATCTTTTTTTTTCTTTTTTTGAGACGGAGTTTTGCTGTTATTGCTCAGGCTGGAGTGCAATGGCGCAGTCTCGGCTCACTGCAACCTTTGCCCCCCAGGTTCAAGCGATTCTTCTGCCTCAGCCTCCCGAGTAGCTGGGACTACAGGTGCAAACCACCATGCCCATATAATTTTTCTATTTTTAGTAGAGATGGGGATTCTCCATGTTGGCCAGGCTGGTCTCAATCTCTTGACCTTGTGATCTGCCCACCTCGGCTGCCCAAAGTGCTGGGATTACAAGCGTGAGCCACCACGCCTGGCCACAAAATTATAATACTTTTAATTGTTAAATATCTACTGATAATCACAGTGACACAAGCAATAGATAGGAAAAATGGTATTATCTTAGAGATTTATAATACATGTTGGTATTAAATGGTATCCATTATTAGATAGATATGTTTTAGAACATCAAAATATTTTAAATGTAATCCTCATATGGTATTGCTTACAATTTTATGACCTTTTCATGGTACAGATTAAGGACAGAAATTTGACTGTCCTAAAAATAGTATATCTATTTTTTATAGACAACTGAGCAAGTAATTCGTAATTCTTGCCCCTCTGCTATTTGTAAAAGTTTAATACTGCCTTGAACTCTTGGGCTCAAGTGATCCTCTTGTCTCAGTCTCTTTTTTTGTTGTTGTTGTTTTTTTGAGACGGAGTCTTGCTCTGTCGCCCAGGCTGGAGTGCCCGGCTTTTCTTGTCTCAGTCTCTTGAGGAGCTGGGACTACAGGTATACCTCACCATGCCTGGCAATTTTTTGCTTGTTTGTTTGTTTGAGAGGGGTTCTCACTATGTTGCCCAGGCTGGTCTCAAATTCCTGGCCTAATGCAATTCTCCTGCCTTGGCCTCAAATTACTGAGATTACAGGCATGAGCCACTGAGCCTGGTCAAGGAATATATTTTGACTTTTACAAATAGCAGAGGGGCGAGTTTTCAGTTAGTTTTACTTCTGTAGTTTATAGATGTGAAATGTCCTCTTTTGAAATAATCACTGATTTACTAAAACAGTTACTTGCTATTAGAATAAAATTTCCATATATTGTTTCATATTTAAGGGATAGATTACTTTTTCTTTAAGAAGTAAATCATATTGGCTAATAAATTGAACTTATTAGAAGGTTGTGCTACTCTGCATTATTGTCATTTTGCTTGAGAAAAATTTTGTCAAAGAAAATCAGGCTGGGCCAAGTGCGGTAGCTCATACCTGTAATCCCAGCACTTTGGGAGGTGGAGGCAGGCAGATCTCTTGAGCCCAGGAGTTTGAGACCAGCTTGGGCAACATGGTGACACCCCATCTCTACAAAAAATACAGAAATTAGCCAAGCATATTGCCACACACCCGTAGTCCCAGCTACTCAGGAGGCTGAGGTGGGAGGATGGCTTGAGCCTGGAAGGCAGAGGTTATAGTGAACCGAGGTTGCTCCACTGTACTCCAGCCTGGGTGATAGAGCCACACCCAGACCTTGTCTCACCCAAAAAAAAAAAAAAAAAAAAAAAATCAGGCCGGTTGTGGTACCTCATGTCCATATAATCCCAGCATTTTGGGAGGCTGAGGTAGGAGGCTTGCCTGAGGCCAGGAGTTCAAGACCAACCTTGTCAGCATGGTAAGATTCTGTCTCTATAGAAAAATAAAAAATTAGCCAGGTGTGGTGATGCACACCTGTATGTCCAGCTACTCAGGAGGCTAAGATGGGAGGATCACTTGAGCCCAGGAGTTCAAGGCTGCAGTGAGCCATGATCCTGCCATTGCACTCCAGCCTGGGCAACAGAGCAAGACTCTTACCTCTTAAAAAAAAAAAATCATTTTTGTCATTTAAAATTAAAATAGTTAATACTTGATGTAATTTTCATTTTTACATTGGTTAAGTGTGCCTGTTTTACCCACAAAACCCCTGTTCTTGAACGTTAAAACATTCATAAGGAAAGGATTTTATCCTGTGGTCTTTATTTTTCTATTTTTACTTCTCTTTTCCAAAACTATTTTGTTTATTGGATATCTGGTATTGCTTTAGGCACATATTATATTTGAACACCTAAAAAAAATTAGCAGTTGCTTTTAGATACTATGTTTATTTTCCTAGTGAATATGATTTTTGAAAAGTTTCACACACCATATGGTTTTAGAATAACTTATTTTACATTAAAGCATGGCATCACTACTGAAACTGGAACAGAATTTTTATCGCATATACTGTTTCAGGATAAGAAAATATAATCTTACTAGAAAACAATGAAGTTTTGCTTTTTTATAGTATTTAAGCTGACCTTCAGATCATCTTTTGATTCTTGCATTGCTATTAAAATGAGTTTCCATGAATCATGAAATTCTGTAGTGTCGTATTCTCCAGTCGTAGGGGATCCTTCATTAAAACTTTGTGTATCAGCCAGGTGCGGTGGTTCATGCCCATAATCCCAGCACTTTGGGAGGCCGAGGTGGTTGGGTCACGAGATCAGGAGTTCGAGACCAGCCTGGCCAAGATGGTGAAACCCCATCTCTACTAAAAATGTGAAAATTAGCCTGGTGCGGTGGTGGGCGCCTGTAATCCCAGCTACTCGAGAGGCTGAGGCAGGAGAATCTCTTGAACCCGGGAGGCAGAGGTTGCAGTGAGCTGAGATCGTGCCACTGCACTCTAGCTTGGGAAAACAGTGCAAGACTCCTCAAAAAAAAAAAAAAAAAAACAAATTTGTATATCAAAACTTTAATTGATGTGTGTTTATGTTGGAACGTAAATTGCAGATTTCCTATAAAGTAAGCTTATTAGGGTGGTAACTGTAACTTTGTCCTTCATAGATGTTTTTATAGGGTTCTTAATGTTAGAAGTGAATTGTATGTCTCATATTTGTACAGTGTCCATAACCAATGTATAGAATGCAATTAATCAGTGAAGTAGACATAAATTAGCAGTTGGGAGGGTGTGAAATAAGAGCAAAAACCCAGATGATCTAACATGAAATTAAATCAATTTCTGCATAGTAAGTGAGGACATATGATATTTTAAACTTCTCACAGTTATAAGCAGAAATATGAAATAGTATCTTCTTGAGAATGTTTCAAGATATTTTCTGTAATCTGGTGAATAAAGCTTAGGCTTCACTTTCTGTTTTCCCTTCTTAGAGCAATGATGGAGAAGAGCGATTAGCTGTTGTTCGACTTCTAGCTAAATTGTTTGGCTCCAAAGATTCTGATTTGGCAACACAGAATCGTCCTCTTTGGCAATGTTTTCTTGGACGGTAAGAGAACATATAATTCTGATGTTTATATTTTAGAAAATAGTCAGTAGGGTGCAGTCCACTTGATTAAAACTATACATATCAAAACTTTCATTAATAGATGTTGGTTTCATTGTCATCTGTGTTTCCATCCTTCTTATGGAATAAATTGTATGAAAAATTTTTTATGAAGAAAGCTTAGTATTTTATCTGTGTAACTCTTTTTAACTTCTTTGTGTTAAAATAATGTCATGGCCAGCCGTGGTGGCTCATGCCTGTAATCCCAGCACTTTGGGAGGCTGAGGTGGGCGGATCACTTGAGGTCAGGAGTTCAGGAGACCAGCCTGACCAACATGGTGTCTCTACTAAAAATACAAAAATTAACCAGGGGTGGTGACCGGCACCTGGAACCGCAACTACGCAAGAGGCTGAGGCGGGAGAATCCTTGAACCCGGGAGGCAGAGTTTGTACTGAGTTGAGTTCAAGCCACTGCATTCCAGCCGGAGTGACAGAGTGAGACTCTGTCTAAAAAAAAAAAAAAAGAAAGTCATTAGAATAAATAAACAGCATTGCAGTATATTCTAAGTCTTAAGATCTTTAAATCATGAAACTGAATACATACTGATCCAAATTTAAGAACCTGTGCCATTTGTCAGCCTACCAACTTTTTCATTTACTAGTGCTTGTCGTTTGGGTCTGTAACTTATCTGAACACATTGTATGGTGTGTTTTAACTAATTTGGTATAATTGTATGATTTTTAAGTGGAAAATATGATTGCCATTAACTCAGATAGTTTTTAATGTTTCTTCTCAAGAGCTTAGAATGACTAAATTCTATTTGGCTTGATAGTAGTGTTGACAAATTTATGAAATTCATTAAATTTCTCCTTGCATTCCATTTACCTGTTTTGCTTTAAAAGCTGATTGGAAAGTAGATATTTACTATTAATATTCTGGAGATGTTCGAGATTCTCCGTTGTTTTAGTTCAACTGATTCAGTAGTTGGTGCCAGAATTTTTCTTGATGTAAATTCACCATAATAGTTCTCATACTAATCCTAGGTTCTGAGAAATCGCTGACAAGGCCTACTGCTATCTTAGCAGTTACTTGCCCAGAACACGCCATTTTGAAGGTCTTATAGGAATAAATGCTAAATAGTTGAATAACTAAATGTGACTCCATGAGAATTTTGAATGGTGGGAATGAAGCAACTGCACTTTCAAAGTTATGGGGGAGGAATTCCCTATCCCAGGATGGACATCAAATATTTTTTGTAAATCATTTAAGCAAAAACGCAAGGCTTCATTTTTCACTTTGGTTACTTTTAAAAATGAAATCACCCAATATAAGTTTCTGACACTCATTATTTTACACTCACTGCTAACTGTAGTGGTGTCTCTGATTCATAGAAACAAGTCACAGTCTGCAGTATTATTTTCCATAATTATAGCGTTAAGTGTTTTGATACTTTGTAATTACTTGATCATTAATAATGTATAATTTTTCTCTGCCAGCCAGAGAATTACAAATCCTAAATGCAGTATTTTATTAACACATGAAAATTTTATCTGGGTAAGAAAGTGGGAGGCCATAGACATTAAGACGTTTATTAAACAATTTTTGTTTACTTGGTTTTTTTATGAGATCATTTCAAAAATAAAAATACTTCCAGCTATTTCAGATCACATTATTTATCATTAATCAGTATATTTTAAAAGTTGCCTAATAATCTGTTTTAAATTTGAGGGTTCCTTACCTTATCCTTAACATGTGCATTTTTTTTTTTTTTTTTTTTAATTGAGACGGAGTCTCACTCTGTCGCCCAGGCTGGAGTGCAGTGGCGCGATCTCTGCTCACTGCAAGCTTCGCCTCCCGGGTTCATGCCATTCTCCTGCCTCAGCCTCCCAAACAGCTGGGACTACAGGCGCCCGCCAGTGCGCCCGGCTAATTTTTTGTATTTTTAGTAGAGACAGGGTTTCACCGTGTTAGCCAGGATGGTCTTGATCTCCCGACCTCGTGATTTGCCCGCCTCGGCCTCCCAAAGTGCTGAGATTGCAGGTGTGAGCCACCGCGCCCGGCCAACATGTGCATTTTTGAGTCTACATATTGTGTTGTATGTTAATTGAATTCTTAACGTATACTAGACCTTTAAAAGAGCACTGTAATACAAGTTGGTGCTGGCCAAAAGAAACTTAAGTGGTGAGACAGTGCAACACAAATTTTTTTTTTTTTTTTGAGACGGAGTCTTACTTCATCGCCCAGGCTGGAGTGCAGTGACGTGATCTCTGCTCACTGCAACCTCTGCCTGGCGGGTTCAAGCAATTCTCCTGCCTCGGCCTCCTGAGTAGCTGGTATTACAGGCACCCACCACCATGCCTGAGCTAGTAACACATTTTCTGCACTCATCTTTGAACTTCTGGATTTGCCCCTTATATATGGTTTGCTCTCTACCTCAAGTTTCCCAGTGTTTGTCTCATATAAACCTTTCGTCTTGTTTTGTTTTGAGACAGGGTCTGTTACCCAGGTTGGAGTGCAGTGGCACAATTATGGCTTACTGCAGCCTCGACCTCCTGGGCTCAAGCAGTCCTTCCACCTCACCCTCCCAAGTAGCTGGGACTACAGGGGAATGCCTCCACGCCCGGCTGATTTTTGTGTTTTTTTGTAGAGACAGGGCTGTGCTGTGTTTTCAAGGCTGATCTTGAACTCCTGAGTGCAAGCAATCCACCCACCTCAGCTTCCTGAGTAATAGCTGGGACTACAGAGGCATGCTACCATGCCTGCCTAATTTTTGTATATTTTGTAGAGACAGGGTTTTGCCATGTGTTCAAGGCTGGTCTTAAACTCCTGGCCACAAGCAATCCACCTGTCTCCGCCTCCCAAAGTGCAGTGATTACAGGTGTCAGCCACCGTGCCTGGAATCTCCTATAAACTTATTCTTCAAACTGATTTTGTGTGTTTTGAATATTTTTTACTTTGTAGCATAATATTAAGCTCTCAGATTTTAACTCCATAAAGTGTATAGTTTGGGTTGAAGGATGTGTTTGTTTATACTGTTTTTTGTTAGTTAGTTTTAGCATGGTAAAGAAATTCTGTTTGTGAATATGTTTTTGTGAAATTGTATCCTTTCACCTTATAGTGTACTTTATATTCTTCCTTCAGAATACCTTAGCTCATAACAAATTTTCTAATCAGTAACTATTGTTGCGTATAAGTATTTTCATGTTAGATATACCTGATTTGAGAGTGATTATTTTGCCTTACAATTAATGTTTAGCAATCTTTTTCTGTGTAGATTTAATGATATTCATGTTCCTGTGAGATTAGAAAGTGTGAAATTTGCCAGTCATTGTTTAATGAATCACCCAGATTTAGCGAAGGATCTCACAGGTAAGCTAGCTGGTTTATTACACATATTAGCATAACCATACAACTATATTGTAGATATGACTTGTGACCTAACTTCACTTTCCAAGTAGGTTTTAACTCTGGTATGGTCTCGTGTTTTCATTTGTTGTGCACTAAGAAATGATTTCATGTTCATGTAATAAAATTACATTTAAAATCTCTTTATTTGTTTGTTTGTTTATTTTAAGAGAAAGGCTTTCACTCCTGGGCTCAAGTGACCTCTCACTTTGAGATCCCGAGTATTACAGGCGGGTGCTACAATGCCCAGCTTAAAATCTTCATATTTTAATCCTTTGAAATTTTTTGAAAATCATAATTTAAGGAAGTAGTGTATTTCTTAAGACATTGGATTTGGGTAGAAATCATTATGTCTATTTAATTAAATATAGTGGCATTTAATAATAAGTGGGAACATGATTATCTTCTGCACTAGACTAGAATTTTTCATTCTTTTGAATCTAGAGCATTTAAATCTACCTTTTTGGTAGCAGCACATAAGTGGTTTTTATCAGCAGGCTGTTATTTACCAAAAAGAACAGGGGAAACAACATGTTTTTGTTTAGATTTAGTTTGTATTATAAATTATTTAAGAATTTTTTGAACAGATTATAAAATATTCTGGATTTTATATTGTGTAATTTGCAAGTATATACCTGTCAGCTAAATTGCCATAAGCATTTTCACTGTTTTTCTTTTAAGCTTTTTAATTAGTAACTGAAATTCAAGCTGACATAGATCAGATACTGCATTGTGAGTTGACTTTTCCAGGATAACTGATGAAAATACATTATTAAAATGTAACTATGGGCATGGTGGCTCACGCGTGTAATCCCCTGCACATTGGGAGGCCAAGGCAGTGCATCACTTGAGGCCAGGAGGTCAAGACTAGCCTGGCCAACATGGTGAAACCCCATCTCTACTAAAAATACAAAAATTAGCCAGGCATGGTGGCAGATGCCTGTAATCTAAGCTAATCGGAGGCTGAGGTACGAAAATTGCTTGAACCTGGGCGGCGGAGGTTGCAGTGCACCGAGATTGCTCTATTACACTCCAGCCTGGGTGACAGGCTGTTTTTGTTGTTGTTTCAACAACAAAAAATAAAAATTAAAAAAAAGATGTAACTGTGAAGTATTTTATTTTATTTTATTTTATTTTATTTTATTTTATTTTATTTTATTTTATTTTTTGATACAGGGCGTCACTCTGTTACCCAGGCTGGAGTGCAGTGGCTTGATATTGGCTCACTGCAGCCTTGACCTCTGGGCTCAAGTTATCCTCCCTCCTTAGCCTCCCAAGTAGCTGGCACTGCAGGGGCGGGCCACTACACTTCTGGCTAATGAGTTTTTTTATTTGGTAATTTTCGTAGAGACGGGGTTTTGCCATGTTGCCTAAGCTGGTATGAACTCTTGAGCTTGTGCGACCTGCCTGCCTGCCTCAGCCTCCCAAAGTGCTGGTATTACAGTTGTGGGCCATCACACCTGGCCAACTTGGGAGTTTAAAGTGCAGTTTTGTGATTACAGTAGAGTACTGCTGCTGTAAAAATAACATGATTTAATTTCATGCCATATTTTACAAACATTGCTTTAGTATGGACAAAAACTTAACATATTTCTGTTCTTGCCATTCTAAATCATGACAAATTACATAGCTAACATTTAGCCTAAGTTTTTTTTCTCTTATTACAGAATATTTAAAGGTTAGATCACATGATCCAGAAGAAGCTATTCGTCATGATGTCATTGTTACTATAATAACAGCTGCCAAGAGGGACCTGGCCTTAGTAAATGATCAGCTGCTTGGCTTTGTAAGGGAAAGAACACTGGATAAACGGGTAAAATCTGAGG
Source organism: Homo sapiens (assembly GCF_000001405.40). NCBI lineage: Eukaryota > Metazoa > Chordata > Mammalia > Primates > Hominidae > Homo > Homo sapiens. The sequence continues at coordinate 39,908,381 of NC_000004.12, read as the reverse complement.
CATTTTATTCTTCTGTAATTTACTGTTTAAATTGCTAAATACAATTGGGTATCATTTTCTGTTACATTTAATGTCTTTCTGTGTGAAAATCAAATTAATAACAATGATAAAGAGCTCCTAATTTGTATGTTTCCTGCATATCTTTTAATTATCCTTATGAATAAATACAATGGATTCTATACCTTTTGAGATCTTAAGCATGGGTTTCTTTTCTATCATACCTTCATAAGAGAACCACTAAGTTAATCAAAATTTTACCTTTTTATTTACATGATGAGTTTCAAAAGAATAGTGATTGATCGTCTATTCTTATAGTTAACATTTTCACATATGACTTTCTTGAATAACTTAGCTGGGTCTGCCATTCATTGAACTTTACTTCCTAAGAAAGTGACGTTTACATATTGATGTGCCAAGCTAAGGACAATAATGATGGTTATATGTTTAGTTATTTTTCCTGTGATTTTCTCCATTTGATGCAGTTGAAAAAATGGATTGCCGGGCGCGGTGGCTCACGCCTGTAATCCCAGCACTTTGGGAGGCCGAGGCGGGCGGATCACGAGGTCAGGAGATCGAGACCATCCTGGCTAACACGGTGAAACCCCGTCTCTACTAAAAATACAAAAAATTAGCTGAGCATGGTGGCGGGCACCTGTAGGCCCAGCTACTCGGGAGGCTGAGGCAGGAGAATGGCGTGAACCCGGGAGGCGGAGCTTGCAGTGAGCCGAGATTGCACCACTGCACTCCAGCCTGGGTGACAAAGCGAGACTCTGTCTCAAAAAAAAAAAAAAGAAAAGAAAAGAAAACATGGATTGTTAAGGAAAAGTAGTGTTAAGAATACAACTAATGAATAGCGTCAGGTGTAAACAAGAAACAGATGTGTAAGGCAGGCTGATTAGGCCTAACATTTCTAGCATGTTTCATGATTACCTTGCAACATGCTATTATTTTATTTGAGGTGTAGTTGAAAATTACTTTCGTCTGCAAATGAGTATTATAATTTCAGGGTAGAATAGTAATTGGTTTGGGTTTTAAAATATAGAAAGAGGTATTCTTTAAGTTTTTACTTTTAAAATTGTCACAGGAGCCAGATGTTTAAAAAAAGGCAGATACCTTTTAAGTTGTTCAACAGTGTTAGTAATTTTAACTTTGAAGATTTTTTTCCCTTGGCTTTAATTTAAATGAAATGACTCTCTCCCTAGTGGTTATTTGGCATTCCTCCCTTCCCCCATTTAAAAAGTTTCACTACTATTACAGTTTTTTCATAGTTTCAGAAAGTTGAATAAATGAATCTTCCTAACTGAAACTGTATGGTGTGGTAACAGTAACACCTACTGGATATTTTCTGACCCATATTTTGGTTTAATAAGTTAGATGTCCTTGGTTATAGCCTCTAGAAATTTGGGAACAGGATTTCATCTTAAGATTTTATTGCTTGTTTTTTTTTTTTTTTTTTTTTTTTTTATGTAAGAAATCTCAAAAGGCTTTTGCTAACCTGTTACATAGGAACAAAGTTTTATTCCATCTAATAAGGGGCCTAAAAAATGAGAAAATGATACAAAAAAATTTATAAAGAAGTATTGACTTAAATACACCAAAGATAATATACTCCCACCCACCCCTCTTTTTTAGAGGTGGTGTGTTACTATGTTACCCAGGCTGAACTTGAACTCTTGGATTCAAGTGATCCTCTTGCTTCATTCTCCTGAATAGCTGGTACTACAGGCTCCCACCATCACACTCAGCTGCTGCTGCTGCTGCTTTTTTTTTTTTAATACACAGATTTTTTTTTACTATTATTTTTCTTACATCTTATGATGATCCTCATTCTAAGTTTTTATGGTCTCCTTTCCTGTCTCTTCTCTTACAACTTTTCTTTCCTACCCTATTAAACCTTCCCAACCTCTAAAAGTCCCAAAGAATCTTCTGCCAACTAGCTAAATCGTTTGCCTTTTAGGTTTGCAACGTAAGGAAGTTCACTTACGGTGATCACTAAGGTTTTTTTTTTTTGTTTGAGACAGGGTCTCACTTTGTTGCCCTGGCTTGAGTGCAGTGGTGTAATCTCAGCTCACTGCACCCTCCTCTTCCCAGGCTCAAGCGATCCTCCCACCTCAGTCTCCCAAGTAGCTGGGACTACAGGTGTGCACCACTACACTTGGCTAATTTTTGTATTTTTTGTAGAGACGGGGTTTCACCATGTTGCCCAAGCTGGTCTCGAACTTCTGGGCTCAAGGGATCTGTGCCTGCTTCCACCTCCACCTCCCAAAGTGTTGAGATTACAGGCGTGAGCCTGTTCTCTCTTTTGGGAACTCTTTAATTTGATGTTGAAATTCTTGGACTGATAGTTTAATTTTCTTATCTTTTTTTTTTTTTACTTCATCTCCATTTTTAATTTCCAAAAGCACCTCTTGTTATCTAATTTGTCTTTGTTTTTCTTTTCTTTTTTATTTTTTAAATCAGTTTCCTCAGATTGAATCATTAATTTTTCTAACTTCCTTTCTCCCTGCCTCCTTTCCTTTTTTTCTTCCCTCCTTTCCTTTTCTTCTTCCTTGCTTTCTTCCCTCCTTTTCTCCCTGCCTCTCTCCCTATCTTCCTTCCTTTCTTCGTCAGAGGCATTGAGTCTTATTTTATGGTGTAAAATCTTATCTCCCTGAGAATGTTTGGAAGTGTCTTTTACTGCCTGTATTATCTCTGTTTCTGCTGAGTCCTGTTTTCCTCCTCTGGCCTGTTTGTTTTGGTCCCTCTCTTTACTGTTGAAAGCGTTCCTCAAAGGTCTGATGATCCTTGAATAGTTGGTCAGTTTTTTGTTTTTTGTTTTTTTGTTGAGACAGAGTCTCACTCTGTCGCCCAGGCTGGAGTGCAGTGGCGCAATCTTGGCTCACCGCAACCTCCGCCTCTCAGGCTCAAGTGATTTCCCTGCCTCAGCCTCCCAAGTAGCTGGAATTAGTGGTGCGTGCCACCATGCCCGGCTAATTTTTGTGTTTTTAGTAGAGACCGGGTTTCACCATTTTGACCAGGCTGGTCTCGAACTCCTGACCTCAGGTGATCCACCTGCCTCGGCCTCCCAAAGTACTAGGGTTACAGGTGTGAGCCACCATGCCCGCCCTTGGTCAGATTTTTAACTGACTCACTGCACAGCTGATTGGAAGCTCTGTTTGAGTGGGCAGGTTTTGTCAGCTTGTGAGCATATTTTTAGATTCACTGGTTAGTCAGCCAGCTCAACTCCTAGATTCACTACAATTTTAGATTTACTAGGATTTTAGATTCACTGGGTAGTCAGTTCCCCAAGTCCTGAGCTCAAGCGATGCACCTGCCTTGGCCTCCCACAGTGCTGGGATTACAGGCATGAGCCACCATGCCTGGCCCAGAATTCTTGATAGTGAACTTTGTTCTTATCCGAAGTTAACATCTAAAGGGATGTAACTGGCAATTAAAACATTCCAGATAATAGGGGTTTTGTTTGCAAGGGGAATTATAATCACTTCTAAAACTTGGTGAATTTTCTTTCAATAGAATCAAATGAACTCTCCCATAAGGTTATTAATAGTTTTCAAGGGAAATAAAAAATCAGTAACCTGTAGTTCTAGGTACTCAGGATGCTAAGGCAGGAGGATCACTTTAGCCCAGAAATTTGAGACCAGCCTAGGCAACGTAACGAAACCCCATTTCTTTAAAAAGAAAAAAGTAGATCATTTAGCAATATTTGCATTGGAAAATTTCTAAATAGGAACAGATTCAAAATTGTTTGTAGGCTGGGCGCGGTGGCTCACGCCTGTAATCCCAGCACTTTGGGGGGCCGAGGCGGGCGGATCATGAGGTCAGGAGATCGAGACCATCCTGGCTAACAGGGTGAAACCCCGTCTCTACTAAAAATAAAAAATTAGCCGGGCGTGCGGGCGCCTGTAGTCCCAGCTACTTGGGAGGCTGAGGCAGGAGAATGGTGTGAACCTGGGAGGCGGAGCTTGCAGTGAGCCAAGATCCTGCCACTGCACTCCAGCCTAGGCGACAGAGTGAGACTCCGTCTCAAAAAAAAAATAAAATTGTTTGTAAAGCCTCTTTTGAAGAGAAATAGTGTGCCAGTTTATAAAGGCACACATAAGACTGTACAACCTAATGAAGCCAAGGCAGTCTTTGGAGATTAGTACAGAGTTTTGTTATCTTGCTCATCTAATAAATTTTATGCTTTTTAGTGGCGAGTAAGAAAAGAAGCTATGATGGGTCTGGCTCAGCTTTATAAGAAATACTGTCTTCATGGTGAAGCAGGAAAGGAAGCTGCAGAGAAAGTCAGCTGGATAAAGGACAAACTTCTGCATATTTATTATCAGAACAGCATTGACGACAAGTGAGTTTAATATGTTGGTAGAATGGTTGAGTGTAAAACTACTTTTTACTTAAAAAATGTCTATTTAATATTTTAGTAATTTCTTATTTTTATGTATTTACTTCATAAATAAAATTAAGTTTATTCAACTTGATTAATCATTTATTTCTAAGTTTAGAGATAGCTTTTTACATATTTTTATGTACTGTGTTTAAACAAGACTGTCCACGATTATAAGGTAGCCTTATAATATGAAATAGGCATGAACTTTGGAGTTAGAGACCAAATGTTCACTCTGCCCTTTATTAGATGTGTATTCTTACATAGGTTCATTAAGGTCTTGTGCGCTTCAGTTTTATATAAAAAGGAAAAATAATAGTGCCTTTCCCACAGGATTATCATGTAGATTAAATAAAATAATGAATATAAAGCATCCTAGCCCAATGTGTGGCAAGAGAGCACTATTGAGTTAACTGCTAGTTACTTTCCTTTTTACACCACTACCAATAGAGGAATTACTAAGTTGTTTTCATTTTCTGAATATTACTTATAATTCTATATTGGATCGTACAAATGATACTTGGTGTGTGCAGAATAGTTTCCATTGTTTTGTTTAATTAAACTAACTTCTCTGGCATCACTGGATATGTATTTCATTTGTTAATTAAGAGATCTTGTATATTCTTAATCCAGTGATATTAAATAATAGAAGCAAGAAGATACAAGCAATAGGTACTAGCAAGAAGGATATTCCAATATTGGTAAGGAATTTAGATCATGGAGAGAACAATAATCAGATGTACACAGGAAAAACTACATTTTCTGGAAGTAATATGAAGGGGGGTCCCCCTGTTTTTAACTATGTGACAACATGGAAAATGGGCTGAACTGTAATCAGAGGAAATTAATGAGTTTCTTGAGAATTAGCTCTACCGCGGATCATAGCTTTATATGTTGCGTTAATGAATTTGCTTTTGTTCTAGACTGCTGAAGAAGAATAGGCGGAACAGCCTAGCACCCTGTGTTTAGGAATAACATTTAAACCTTCTAGAACAAATGTTTCATACTGACAAATTATAAAGCCACAGACAGTAACCGTGTCTCTAAAGTTAAACTGTACTGAAAGCTTTCCAAGAAGGAAGTCATTATAAACTGATATCTTCCATTGTATGTGCACACATAGCTATTATCTTGATATGGTATCCTGGCATAAGATGGTTAAAACTTAAAATGTTGGCTGGGTGTGGTGCCTCATGCCCGTCGTAATCCCAGCACTTCAGGACGCTAAGGCAGGCGGATTGCCTGAGCTCAGGAGTTCCAGATCAGCCTTGGCAACATAGGGACACCTTGTCTCTACAAAAAATATAAAAATTAGCTGGGCATGGTGGCACGCGCCTGTAGTCCTAGCTACTGGAGAGGCTGAGGTGGGAGAATCGCTTGAACCTGCGAGACAGAGGTTGCATTGAGCCGAGTTTGCACCACTGTACTCCAGCCTGGGTGACAGAGCAAGACCCTGTCTCCAAAAAAAAAAAAAAAAATTGCTTCTTAAAAATGGAATAATTGTGTCACTTAGGTTTTTTTTGTTGTTGTTATTTCCTAGACTGTTGGTAGAGAAAATCTTTGCTCAGTATCTTGTCCCCCACAACCTGGAAACAGAAGAGAGAATGAAATGCTTATATTACTTATATGCTAGTTTGGATCCAAATGCTGTAAAGTAAGTTACTTTTCAAATAACTGCTGTATTTTCTAAGGATTTCGTAAAATTACTTCATCTTATCTAATTAGTTGTTATTGATTGGATTGTTGCTGCTTCTATAGTTGAATCAAGAACCTCAGGTAAATATTTATAGACAAAATGTTACGATTTATGTTCAGGTTATTCTTATATGTGTAGGCTTGTTTGGCAGCCAGGTCAGTAGTAGGATGGTTTCAGGTGTTCAAATAAATGACCACGTCAAAATACCTGTGGCTAGTGTCTAAAACTACTGGTGCTTTATCCTTCCAGACTAAATATTAAGCCTAATAACTGAATACTGATTCTTTGTTGGGTGAACATATTCAGATCTTCTCTGTGTAAGATGGCCATATGATTAATGGTCCAACTGGATTATTTTCAGACTGAAAGGGATCACTATTGATATTTTTACTTAAATAGCATAATCAAACTGTCCCAGGCCAACCAGGATGTGTGGTCATTTCACTTTAATAGATTTTTTTTTTAAAGTAAATGTTACAATATATACATATATTATGTTGTACACCATCGTATATGTAATTTTTGTCAAAAATACACAAAGTAAATGAGTGATGTCATTAAGAATTCTGATCTGAAGATGGAAGGATCTTTTCAGCCTAGAAGCTTGACCATCCTGGGCAATGTAGTGAGATTCTGTCTTAAAAAAGAGAGAGAATTTTGAGTTAGGAATTTGACTGTTTGCCATTGTGGCTTCTTCAAGTGTTCCTGCATTATTAGATTAAGACTGCATTTTTAGGCCGGACGTGGAGGCTAACCCCTGTAATCCCAGCATTTTGGGAGGCCAGGGCAGGCAGATAATTTGAGGTTAGGAGTTCGAGACCAGCCTGGCCAACATGGTGAAACCCCATCTCTACTAAAAATACAAAAATATTAGTTGGGCATGGTGGTGCACGCCTGTAATCCCAGCTACTAGGGAGGCTGAGGCCGGAGAATTGCTTGAACCCAGGAGGCAGATGTTGCAGTGAGCCGAGATTATCCCATTGTACTGCAGCCTGGGCAACAGAGTGAGACTTGTCTCAAAAAAAAAAAAAAAAAAAAGAAAGAAAAGAAAAAAAGACTGTCATTTTGGCAGAAATTCTATTACGATAGTGTTGTATCATGGTTACTAATCCCTTTCCTTGCTTAAGGTTTTGATGTTTGTTTACATTTCAAAATATCTGACAAAGAGTGTTTAGAGATTAGTAATTCTCAGAGGTCATCTGGGCACCTGGAAATATGGATGGGATTTCTGAGAGAAGAAAATCTGTGTTCCTGGAGAGAGAAAAGTTTAGAATAAACACAATAATGTAAATTTGGCATCTTGAATCTGCATCATTTTTGATACTTCATTTTTCAAAATAGTCTATAGTGCTTCATGTATATGCCTTAGCCTTTTTAATAAGGCCTTCATGATTTGATCTGTGTCTGTGGAATGCTCCAGCTTCCTTATGCTCCACACACATGCCTTGTGCTCCAAGCGTATACATGTTTTTCAGTTTGTTTTATGTCCCTTGCACTTTGAGATTTTCTTTCCTTGTACCAAAACTTTCTAGCTACCTGTATTTAGTACATCTTTCAATCCCTGTATTACTTATTAATCTTTCTAAACCTCTCAAATATTTTCTCTCATAAGAAGGCTTATATTTACCATTTGTACTAAATTGTTTTAAATCCTAATAAATATATTTCCCGGTATTTAAACTTTTAGGTAGATGTAGAAGAATGGTGTATATACAGCATGCAACAAGAAAGGTTGTAAAGCTGAATAATTTCCAGTATTGTTATGTAATGTGTGTTTTCATATTCATAACTTTACAGAGCTCTCAACGAAATGTGGAAGTGTCAGAACATGCTTCGGAGCCATGTACGCGAACTATTGGATTTGCACAAGCAGCCTACAGTAGGTTCATGATTTGTTTAAATTCATAGTTTATTATAGTCACTGTTCAGATTTTCTGTAGTTCTACGTAATGAAGCAGGGAAAAAGTATCTCAGTTGTTTTATTTTCCAAATGTCAGTTAAATATAATTTCTGTAGTTGTCCAAGCTAAATTTCCATTTAAAATAAATATAACAAACTCTTATTTTCTAGTGTGAGCAAAGAAATGGTGTTTTCTAGTTTATATAAAGTTTTCAGACACTAAGAGTTTATAGTTAATCAATTTTCAAATAATTAGAATTAAATTTTGAGATAAAATTACATTAAACATCATATTTCTTTTTCACTGCATGATTCATGGTCTCTCAGTGTAGAGTGAATATCAGATATCAATCCTATAAATATGCCAATGGCAAACTAAAAAAGAAATGCCATTAAATTTTTGCAAGGTTGGGGAAAAAAACTTTACATTTTTACGTGTGTTCACTAGAATAGGTGTTCTTAACCAGGGGACCATATAAACAGACCCCTCAAGGACACATGGATGCTGGAACAGGGGCGGGCAAACTTTTTTTTTTTTTTTTTTTTTTTTTTTTAATACACAGGATCTTACTCTGTTGCCCAGGCTGTCGCATAGTGGCATGATCACAGCTCACTGCAGCCTCGATGTCACTGGGCTGAGGTGATCCTCCCACCTCAGCCTTCTGAATAGCTGGGACTACGGGTGTGCTCCACCATACCCAGCTAGGTTTTGTATGTTTTTTGTAGAGGTGAGTTTTCACCATGTTTCCCAGGCTGGTCTCAAAATCTTGGGCTCATGCAGTCTGCCTGCCTAGGCCTCCCAAATTGCTAGGATTACAGGTGTGAGATACTGCACCTAGCCTAGCAAACTTTGAAAATAAATCAACAGATAGCAAAAACATATTTTGCAAGGCATAGAGTCTGTGGTCAGATATTCAACCCTGCCTTTGCAAAATTAGTCATACACGATAAATAAATGAATGGACATGACTATATTCCATCGAAACTACTAACAAAAACAGGTAGCTCATGGGGGCATAGTTTTCTAACTTTTGAACTAAATTATTCAAATTTAGTATAAATGAAAACTAATAAGTAATGTTTTATGGGATACAGGAAAGGGAAGTACGTTTTAGAAAGGAGGTTTTCCTGAAGGTATTTAAGTAACGGGCCACAAAGTAGCTAACAGAACTCTATTGCAGAAAAAAAAGTTTCTTCTCTATATTTTTAGTTAATTTTTTGTGGCATGTAGTTTCATAGTAATTCTGATATGATAAGTTTATATGTTGATTGCTTCATTGATCTTTTTTCAATCTTCTGGCAATGTAACTTTCCTGTGAAAGTTATATACTTGTGGGTTTTTAAGTACCTTCCTCCCAACATCTCCTTTCCTTCTATTTGTCTTAATAGTTGCTACTATGTAATTCTTTGTTGTTAGTTTAGCGTATATATGTGGTAAAACCATTTTCCATTGAGCAGACTGTGATGAACTTTATTTTTTAACGTCATGAAAAATGTACAGTAATGAGTATTGATTTTTGTTAGGGAAATTTGTTAACACATATGACTAGTTGTTCTTTTGTTTCTGTTTTAAATTTCAGTCAGAGGCTAACTGTTCTGCCATGTTTGGAAAACTGATGACCATAGCAAGTGAGTATGTTTATTTACTCACTAAACATGTAGTAAACGTAAATGCAGACAAAGTATTTACCCAGTGGGACTACTGATTTAATGTTAAGTAAAAGAAAATAATCTTTATCTTAATTTTGTTTCTAAGAACCAGCTAGGCTGATTTTCTTTTAGTGGCTCCGCAATATTTTGATGGCACCTGTTTTTAGCTTAGTAGAATAGTTTTTTTTTTTTCCTTCTCTAATATTGATTCTCTTTTAATTTTATAGAGAATTTGCCTGACCCCGGGAAAGCACAAGATTTTGTGAAGAAATTTAACCAGGTTCTCGGCGATGATGAGAAACTTCGGTCTCAGTTGGAGTTATTAATTAGCCCAACCTGTTCTTGCAAACAAGCAGATATTTGTGTGGTTAGTAAATCATACTTCACACTTTTTCTCTAGCTTTACTTACAGAAATATGTATTTTATTAAAGCCTGTTTTACATACAGTGATTTGTGTAAATGTAACAATATTGTGAGCTCTGAATTACTTTGGAGTATATCTATTGTCAAGTTAATTCTCTATTTACCATTCACTCTCAGCCACATTCCAGGAAAATAACTAAAGAACTAAGCCAGGGAGATTGGTCTTAGGAATTTTACAAGATAAAGTACTTTGAACTTAGTAGACATTCATTGAGTAATGATAAGTATTTTCTGAATGCTTGTGTACATGTGCATTTTCTTCTTTCATGTATTAGAATGGAAATAATCGTCAATAAATTAGTAGTAGTAACATTGCCATATATCTGGTTTCATTTACAGATAAAGTAAATTCCTATCTAGACTTTTGTCTTCATTCTTCTCTTGAACTCATTTAAAACCAATATTCTTAAAGCTATCAGGAGGGAAAACTTATGCATTCATTTATTCAGCTTTTTTTTTTTTTTTCCTGAGATAGTCTTGCTTTTGTCACCCAGGCTGGAGTTCAGTGGCACAATCATAGTTCACTACAGCGTTAAAGTCCTGTGCTCATGTGATCCTATACCCCAGCCTTCTGAATAGCTAGAACTATTGGCACACGCATCCACACCCAGCTAAGTTTTTAAATTTTTTGGAGGCCATGCACATTGGCTCACACCTGTAATCCCAGCACCTTGGGAGTCCAAGGCGTGTGGATCACCTGAGGTTGGGAGTTCGAGACCAGCCTAGCCAACTTGGTGAAACCCCATCTCTACTAAAAATACAGAAATTTGCCAGGTGTGGTGGTACATGCCTGTAATCTGAGCTACTCAAGAGGCTGAGACAGGAGAATTGCTTGAACTCGGGAGGTGGAGGTTGTAGTGAGCCGAGATCATGCCACTGCACACCAGCCTGAGTGACAGAATGAGACTGTCTCAAGAAAAGGAAAAAATAAAAATTTTTGTCTCTGTGTTGCCCAGGGTGGTCTCAAACTCCTTCAAGTGATTATCTCACCTCACTGCAACCTCCACCTCCTGGGTTCAGACGATTCTTGTGCCTCAGCCTTCCGAGTAGCTGAGATTACAGGCATGAGCCATCACATCTGGCTAATTTTTTGTATTATTAGTAGAGGTAGGTTTTCACCATGTTGGCCAGGCTGATCTTGAACTCCTTACCTCAGGTGATCCACCCACCTCGGCCTCCCAAAGTGCTGGGGTTACAGGCATGAGCCACACACCCAGGCAAAAGATTCTTGATGTATCTAAAATGGTATACTGCATGACAACATTTTGGCCAAAGATAAGACCACATGTATTTTGGGAGTCCCATAATATTATAACAGAACTCAGGGTGATGGGTGTAGCAAACTACCATGACACATGTATACCTGTGTAACAAACCTGCACATTGTGCACATGTATCCCATAACTTAAAGCATTAAAAAAAAAAAAAGATTATAACGGAACTGAAGGATTCCTATCACCTAGTGACATCTTGGTGATCCTGACCTGGCGTAGGCCTAGGCTATTGTATGTGGTTGTATCTTAGTTTTGCACAAAAAAAAGTTTTAAAACTTTCTTTTTTTTTTTTTAAACAGGGTTTTGCTCTGTCACCCAGACTGGAGTTCAGTGATGTTATCATGGCCCACTGCATCCTCAGCCTCCTGGGTTCACGTGATCCTCTCCCTTCAATCTCCTGAGTAGCTGGGACTATAGGCACATGCCACCATGCCCAGCTAATTTTTTATTTTTTGTAGAGACAGGGTTTCTCCATGTTGTCCAAGCTGGTCTGGAACTCCTGAGCTGAAGAAACCTACCTGCCTCAGCCCCACAAAATATTGGGATTACAGGTGTGAGCCACCACATGCAGCCAAAAAAATTTTTAATAGGAAGAAGCTAGTAGAATAAGGATATAAGGAAAGAAACCATTTTGTGTACAGCTGTACACAAAATGTGTTTTAAGCTAAGTGTTACTACAAAAGAGTCAAAAAGCTAAAAAAAAAAAAAAAAAAGATCAGTACATTGGCTCACACCTGTAATCTCAGCACTTTGGGAGGCCTAGGCAGGAGGATCACTTGAAGCCAGGAATTTGAGACCAACCTGGGCAATATATCAAAACCCCCGCCTCTACAAAACATTAAAGAAAACTAGCTGCACATGGTGGCGCACACCTGTAGTCCTGACTACTCCAGAGGCCAAGATGGGAGGATCACTTGAGCCCAGGATTTTAAGCCTACAGTGAGCTATGGTCACACCACTGCATTCCAGCCTGGGTGACAGAACAAGATCCTGTCTCCAAAAATTTTTTTAAAAGCTAAAAAAAAAAAAAACCGGGCCAGGTGTGGTGGCTCACACCTGTAATCCCAGCACTTTGGGAGGCCGAGGTTGGCAGATCATGAGGTCGGGAGATCGAGACCATCCTGGCTAACACGGTGAGACCCCGTCTCTACTAAAAATACAAAAAAAAAAAAATTAGCTGAGCATGGTGGCGGGCGCCTGTAGTCCCAGCTACTCTGGAGGCTGAGGCAGGAGAATGGTGTGAACCTGGGAGGCGGAGCTTGTAATGAGCTGAGATCATGCCACTGCACTCCAGCCTGGGCGACAGAGCGAGACTCTGTCTCAAAAACAAACAATCAAACAAAAACAAACCCTTGAAGTTCATCAAGTAAAAATATTACAAAAAGCTAAGGATAATTTATCATTGAAGAAAGAAAAAGTGTTTAAATATCGTGCTGCCTAAGTGTACAGTGTTTATAAAGTCTACAGTAGTGTACTGTAATGTCCTGTTTCTTCACATTCACTCACCACTTACTCACTGACTTACCCAGATCAACTTGCAGTCCTGTAAGCTTCATTTATGGTAAGTGCTCTATATGTAGGTGTACTGTTTTTTATCTTTTATATGGCATTTTTATTATATGGTTTATATTGTGTTTTTATCTTTTATATTTTTACCCTGTGTTTAGATAATGTTCAAATACACAAATACCACTGTGTTACAGTTCCCTACAGTATTTAGCATAGTAACATGCTGTACAATTTTGTAGCATAGAAGTAGTACGCTATACCATTTAGGTTTGTGTGCGTGCACTCTAATGTTCACATGATGAAATTGCCTTAACAACACATTTCTCTTTTTTTTTTTTTTTTTTTTTTTGAGACGGAGTCTCACTGTCGCCCAAGCTGGAGTGCAGTGGCGCGATCTTGGCTCACTGCGTTCTCTTGCCTCAGCCTCCCGAGTAGCTGGGACTACAGGCTCCTGCCACCTCGCCCGGCTAATTTTTTGTATTTTTAGTAGAGACGCGGTTTCACCATGTTAGCCAGGATGATCTCGATCTCCTGACCTCGTGATCCGCCCGCCTCGGCCTCCCAAAGTGCTGGGATTACAGGTGTGAGCCACCGTGCCTGGCCAACAACACATTTCTCAAAATCTGTCTCCACCATTGAGTGATGGATAATTCTTTGTGTGTGTGGGCAGGGGGAGGGTATGTATTTCTCTGTATAAGGGCCCTGCACTGCCCTATTGGATTTAAATAAATAATCCTTCTCACAATGTTAGACATAAACGTCAAGTACTATGCTTGGGACCAGGCTTATAGAGACAAATAAGAGAAATGTAATTTCAATTACATATGTCTAACTTTGTTCTAGAAGGGATTAGAGTTGATGGTTTTAAAATAACTTATAAAGGATAAGGACTATAATAGATGTATATGTGGAGAGGTCTAGCTGCATAGAACATGTATCTTTTATTCAGCATAGAGATCTGAATACCATTACAAATACCAATAATTAGGAGGACATGGGGAGGAAAACCAATTTAGGGAAGAGAAGAGTGGGCTTGTCTCTCAGGGCTATGAATGTGGATGTGCCAAATGCCCAGACAACCTCAACCTTTGCACTTCTTTTTTAAATTTTATTTACTTACTTATTTTTTTCTTTTTTTTTTGAGATAGGGTCTTGCTCTGTCACCCAGGCTGGAGTGTAATGACACAATCTCAGCTCACCGTAACCTCTGCATCTAGGGCTCAAATGATCCTCCTGCCTCAGCCTCCCAAGTAGCTGGGATTACAGGCATGCGCCATCATGCCTGACTAATTTTTGTATTTTTAGTAGAGATGAGATTTCACCATGTTGCCCAGGCTGGTCTTGAACTCTTGGACTCAAGTGATCCTACCCACCTTGGCCTCCCAAAGTAGTGGGATTACAGGCATGATCCACCATGCCCAATAAGCTTTGTACTTCTGAGCTGAGTAATTTGCTGAAAACGCTTAAAAGTTTCATTGACTTCTTTGGCATTTAGAATTCTAGTTCCAGAGTACTGTGTCCTGCAGAGAATCTACTATTATAATTAGATCAGACAATGAAATAGCTTGAAAAGGCTGGGCGCGGTGGCTCACTGTTGTAATCCCAACACTGTGACTGCAACAGCCACACAGTATAGCCAATCAGTGCTCTTGATATTAGGAACCAGTGAGGTAGAAATGAATACTGCACTTGCAGTGGTAAGAGCATGAGTTCATTATACCTTCTTTCCTAGCTCTTATATTAGCATTGTGTGACTTGAGTATGTTATTTAACTATGTGTTCTCATACGTAAAGTGGGACTTAGAATACCTCCCTTAGGCACACATGAAAACAAACCTCTGCTAGAGTACCTTTATGAGTTTGTCCTTTCCCCTATGGGCTACTGAATATTATTTACATATTTCCTCTAATATCCCCATTCCTTTTCTGATGTAGAAGAATAAAGAAAAATAATGCAAATGTAAAATTTAGTTTCTCTCATTCTATGTAGCTTGCATTCCATCCTTGAGAGTTCCTTCTCTGTACCCTAATGCGTATTTGTCACTACCTCCTTATTTTCATATCTCACTTCTCAAGAGGTAGATATTACTTGATACGAGAGTTAGTAGGCATAGAAATCTAATATTTTCTTCCCTCTTTGTCCAAGTTCCATTTCTGAAAAATCTTAGCAAACATACTTTGAGCAAAGATTATCAAAAGAGACGTGTATTTGTGTGTGGGGTGGGGGATATAATGAATGAGAGTGAGCAGTGGAATTGAAATGTGATATATAGATTTACTTTCCCTTTAGAATTCAGGTTTTAGGTTTCTACACCTTGACCCTAGAGAAGGACCACATACTTGCCATAGCTTCAGCTGTGCGTCATAGTTTATGCTCCATTGCCCCCCTCCCCATGAGAGTGGTCCCCAAATTTTAATATTTTCCAGGAAGCTTGTTTATTTGACATTTAATGAAACAGTCCTTGGTTTGAATATCGTTTACTACCAGTATGACCTTTAGTAAGTTACTCAGTATTTTCAAGCCTCCTTATTCATTTTCTTCACCTATAAATATTATCAACCTCATAGAATTTTTAAAAGAATAATGTAAAATGAAATTTTATATGTGGCCTAATGCAGGGCCCCCCTGCACTGCCTACAGGGTTTCAATAAATGGTCATTTTTATAGGTCTTACCCTTACAAAGAGTAGGCATCTTTAAAATAGGTTATGATGTAGCATCATGAATCTCTCCATCTTTTAACCAAGTTTCAACATGAGTGGTTTATGGACTACACTTTTAAAAACCCTCCTCTACCTAGTTACCTGGATATGCATTATATCTTCAGAAGTCCAAATATCTTCTTTCTTGATCAAGCACACACTGTTATAATTCACTGCATGATTAAATAAATTTTATAATACATGGTTTCTCATGGAGCTTGCAGAATAAGTGACAGAGGCTGACAAATATTTCCATTGAATTGTGTGCTTTGGTAAAATAAAGAAGCATTACTCATTCCAGGCAGGGGTGGAAATAGGTCCAGGAATGGCTTCTTCTAGAATAAGTGACTCCTAAGTTGAGTCTTAAAGGATGAATAGGAATTAGACCATTGTGTGAAGAATGACTGCTATATTTTCAGTTTGGCTGACTGGATATCAGAGGAGATGCTTTAGGGAAGAAGATAGCGTCTTTGCAGTTGTGTTCAGAAGTGTTGGGATTCAGGCCTGGTTCTATATATTAGCACAATTACATCACTTGGAGGAGGTAGAGAAGAAATGAAAGAGAAGACAAATCTGAGAATGGCCTCTGAGAATGGTCAGGCTGGTCTCAAAACTCCTGACCTCAAACGATCCGTCACCTCGGCCTCCCAAAGTGCTGGGATTATAGGCATGAGCCACTGCACCCGGCCTAATACCATAATCTTTGAGCTTAAATGGATAGTTAACTTTTTTTTGTTTTTTGTTTTTTGTTTTGAGACAGAGTCTGTGCAGCTGTGCAATCTCAGGTGGTCACTGCAACCTCTGCCTACCAGGCTCAAGTGATCCCCCCCACCTCAGCCTCCTGAGTAGCTGGGACCCCAGGCATGCACCATCACGCCTGGCTAATTTTTTGTATTTTTTGGTAGAAACAGGGTTTTGCCATGTTTTCCAGACTGGTGTCAAACTCTTGAGCTCAGGCAATCCACCTGCCTTGGCCTCCCAAAGTGCTTTGATTACAGGCATGAGCCACTGCTCCTGGCTGAGAGTTACTTTTATTATTGGGGTTATCTATCAGCCTTCCATAACTGTATGTCTAACTTATAAATAAAATTCTAAGGGTGTACAGAGTTCTCATTTATCCTCCACCTATGTTCTTCCAGAACTGAAAAATTTTGCAAGTATATATATATATATGTACGAATATGTGTTTCTGTTTCTTTTGAGATGGAGTTGCTCTTGTTCCCCAGGCTGGAGTGCAATGGCACGATCTCAGCTCACCGCAGCCTCCGCCTCCCAGGTTCAAGCAATTCTCCTGCCTCAGCCTCCCGAGTAGCTGGGATTACAGGCATGCGCCACCAAGCCCGGCTGATTTTGTATTTTTAATAGAGATGGGGTTTCTCCATGTTGGTCAGGCTGGTCTCGAACTCCTGACCTCAGGTGATCCGCCCGCCTCAGCCTCCCAAAGTGCTGGGATTACAGGCGTGAGCCACCTGCGCCCGGCCTGAATATGTATTTTTTAAGAAACAAATTAACTGGCCAGGCACAGTGGCTCATGCCTATAATCCCAGCATTTTGGGAGGCCGAGGCGGGTTGGATCACCTGAGTTCGGGAGTTCGAGACCAGCCTGGCCAACATGACGAAACCCCATGTCTACTAAAAATATAAAATTAGCCGGGCATGGTGGCGTGCATGTTTAAACCCAGCTGCTATGGAGGCTGAGGCAGGAGAGTTGTTTGAACCTGGGAAGCGGAGGTTGCAGTGAGCCAAGATTGCACCATTGCATTCCAGCCTGAGTGACTGACAGAGCGAGACTCCAGCTCAAAAAAAAAAATAACTGAAACAAAACACAATGTTCTGTCAAATTATGAAATAATTAAAACCAATAAAGCATACCCATAAAAGTACAAATTGTTTTTATTCTAAATTAGAGTATTAAAAAGGTTGCCATAGTCCAGGTGTGTGGTGGCTCACGCCTGTAATCCCAGCACTTTGGGAGGTCGAGGCAGGTGGATCACTTGAGGTCAGGAGTTCAAGACCAGCCTGGCCAACATGGTGAAGCCCCGTCTCTACAAAAATAACAAAAATTAGCTGGGCATGGAGGCACGTGCCTGTAATCCCAGCTACTCTGGAGCCTGAGGCAGGAGAATCATTTGAACCCAGGAGGTGGAGGTTGCAGTGAGCCGAGATCGTGCCACTGCACTGTAGCCTGGTGACAGAGTTAGACTCGTCTCAAAAAAAAAAAAGTTGCTATATCAACCAATAATTTCATCAAAGAATTGTGAGGCAAGGCTGTGTTCACTCAGAAACCACATCATCCACTTCTTTTCTCTGCTGTCCAGATTTTTCAGTCATTGCTCGGGGTGTAAAAATTTTAGTCAGGGTCTAGAGCAGACAATTCTTAACCACTTATGCTGGTTTTGAATATTTCAGTTCCTTAGTCATTTTTCTTTTCAAAAATATGAAAGCAAATCACGTTTTTGGTAAAACTCCTTTCTTTCTATAGAGAGAAATAGCCCGGAAACTTGCAAATCCTAAGCAACCAACAAATCCTTTTCTAGAGATGGTCAAATTTCTGTTGGAAAGAATCGCACCTGTGCACATTGATTCAGAAGCCATAAGGTAAGCCAAGAAGTATATTCGCTCAAAAATAAATAATAATCTGCAACGACAATGTTGTTAATTTAAATTCTGGGCTCCTAAAGATACCTGAAAACCTCTGTATGTCTCTTTTTAATCACAGGGTTGTACATCATTCAAGTTGAAGGGAAAGCCTTCTCATTTTATGATCTTTGGCTTTATATAATGCTTTCTGTTTTTAAAGAGTTCTTATGTTTATTTTTAGCTTATGCGTTCTCATTAAAGAAAACTTAGAACAAAGAGAAAGACAGAAAAAGGAATATTTTAGATCTGTGTGGCTGTTGACCAACCTCTGAGTTTTCTTAAGCATTTTAATGGCCCTGTAATATTCTGTAGTACATATTATACCACTGTTCATTTGATGTGTGAGAACAGAATGGTATGTTGGAAAGAGGAGAGGATTATCTTTAGGCAAATTTGGTTTCAAAACATAAGTCTACTTTGTGGCTTTGGATTGTCTTTGAATTTTCATTTATTTTCAACTTTAATATGGGCATAAAATCTTGTTGGATGATTATGTTAATTTGAGGTAATATATAAAAGGTAAGCAGCCTGGCATCATAGACATTAGTTAAGAGCTATTGATTTTTTATTACGTATTCTCATGATTTCAGACTTTTCAAACGTCTGGTAATGCTTTTCTCTTGCACCAATCATTTTTCCAGTAGATAAGCTATATATCTTTCCATATTCAGTTACTATGCAGCACTTGTTGGTTCTTTTTCCAAACAGCCTAGAATTCAGAGATCAGTTCCAGTACCCAAGCTTCGCTGTTTATTTCACCTTAGGTGAATCACTGATGTGGCTGTATTGAAATGCTGATTATATTCATTTGCTAGGGCTTTCATAACAAAATACCCCAGTGCCTGGCCTGAACAAAAGAAATTTATTTTCTCACAGTTCTGGAGGTGTAAGCCTGAGATCCAAGGTATCAGCAATTTTTAATTTTTTTCCTGAAGCCTCTCATCTTCATAAACAGATGGCTTCCTTCTCACTGTGTCCTCTTGTGGTCTTTTCTCTGTGCACGCAGCATGTCTATGTCCTAATCTCTTGCAGGAACAATAGTCATATTGGATTAGGCCCCACCCATTCAATCTTATTTTACCTTGATTATCTCTTTAAAGGCCCTATCTCTAAATACAGTCACATTCTGAGATACTGGGGATTAGAATTCATATGAATTTGGGAGAAACACATGTCAGCCCATAACATAATAAATGTACATATATTCAGGCTATGTCTGATAATTTAATACATTTATACAATTTGTGAAGATCAAATCAGTGTATTGGTGATATACATCACCTTAAATATTCATCTTTATGCTAGAAACATTCAAATTCTCTTTAGCTATTAAACTGTAGTCACTCTACCGATCTCTAAAACACTAGTCGTTCTATATCTATTAATTAACCTCTCTTCATTCCGCCTTTCTCACCCTTCCCAGCTTCTTGTAACTACCAGTCTACTGTGTCATCATGAGGTTCACATTTTTAGCTCTCAAATATGACTGCGAATATGCAATATTTGTTTTTTTTTTGTTGTTCTTGGCTTGTTTTATTTAACATAATGAGCTCCATTTGCATACATGTTGCTACAAATGGCAGGATTTCATTCTTTTTTTATGGCTGAATAATTTTTCATTGTACATATATACCACATTTTCTTTCTTCGTTGATGTGCACTTAGGTTCATTCCATATTTGGCTATTGTGAATAGTGACACAATAAACATAGGACTGCAGATATCTCTTCAATATATTAATTTCCTTTTTAAAAAATATATACCCAGTAGTGGAATTGCTAGATCATATGGTAGATCCAGTTTTAGTTTTTTGAGGAACCTCCATACAGTTTTCCTTAGTGGCTATGCTAATTTACATTTCCAACAACAGTGTATGAGGGTTCACTTTTTTCTACATCCTCGCCGGCATCCGTTATTCCCTGTCTTGTTGATAAAAAGCCCTTTTTTTTTTTTTTTTTTTTTTTTGCCGGAGTCTTGCTCTGTCACCAGCTGGAGTGCAGTGGCGCCATCTTGGCTCACTGCAATCTTCACCTCCCAGGTTCACGCAGTTCTGCGTCAGCCTCCCGAGTAGCTAGGACTACAGGTGCATGCCACCATGCCCAGCTAATTTTTGTTTTTTAGTAGAGACCGGGTTTCACCATGTTGGCCAGGATGGTCTCAATCTCTTGACCTCGTGATCTGCCCGCCTCAGCCTCCCAAAGTGCTGGGATTACAGGCGTGAGCCACTGCACCTGGCCTGTTTTCCCACTTTTAAATTGGATTTTTTTGTATGGTTTTGATTTTTTGTTTGTCTGGTGTTTTTTTGTTTTGTTTTGTTTTGTTTTGTTATTTTGCTATTGAGTTGTTTGAACTCCTTACATGTTCTGGTTATTAATCCGTTGACACAGGGATAATTTGCAAATATTTTCTCATTCTGTGGGTTGTCTCTTCGCTTTTTTTATTGCTCCCTTAGCTGTGCAGAACCATTTTAGCTTAATGTAATCCTATTTTTCTATTTTTGCTTTAGTTGCCTGTACTTTTGGGATGTTAACACAAACAAACTTGGCTCAGATCACTGTCTTTAAGCATTATCCTAGCATTTTCTGCTAGTAGTTTCATCCACTAGGTCTTAATCCATTTTGATTTGATTTTTTTAGAGGGTGAGGGATAGGGGTCTATCACTGATGAACATAGATACAAAAATCCTCAAAAATACTAGCAACCTGCTTTCAATAACACATTAAAAATATTCATCACAATAAAGTGGAATTCATCCCAGGGATGCAGAGATGGTTCATAAATCATATATCGATAAACATGATTCATCATATTAATAGAACCAAGAATAAAAACCGTATAGTCATTTTAATAGGTTCTGAAAAAACATTCAATAAAATTCAACATTACTTTATGATAAATACCCTCAACAAAATAGGTATAGAGGGAACATACCTCAAAATAATAAAGGCCATATGTGACACACCCACACTGAACATTGTGCTGAATGGGGTAAATTGAAAGGCTTTCATCTAATACCTGGAATAAGATATGGAAGCCACTTCTACCACCTTTATTCAACAAATTACTGGAAGTCCTGGCTAGAGCAATTAGTCAAAAGAAAAGAAGGCCATCCAAATTTAGCAAGAAGGAAGTCAAATTAGCCTTGTTCGCAGATGACATTATCACAGAAAAAGCTAAAGACTCCACCGAAAAACTGTTTTGAACAGATAAATGAATTCAGTATAGTTGCAGGATACAAAATCAACATACAAAACTCAGTAGCATCTACGTATGCCGACAGCAAACAATCCGAAAAATCAAGAAAGCAATCTTATTTATAATAGCTACAAAGAATATTAAATACCTAATAATCAACTTAAGCAAATAAGTGAAAGATCTATTACAAGAAATACTTTAAAACGCTGATGGAGGAAATTAACGGAAACACACAAAAAATGGAAAGATATTCCATGCTCGTGAAATGGAAAAATTAAAAAAAAATTTTTTTTTTTTTGAGATGGTGTTTCACTCTTGTTGCCCAGGCTGGAGTGCAATGGCGCGATCTTGGCTCACCACAGCCTCCACCTCCTGTGTTCGAGCAATTCTCCTGCCTCAGCCTCCCAAGTAGCCATGATTACAGTTATGCGCCACTGCACCTGCCTAATTTTGTATTTTTAGTAGAGATGGGGTTTCTCCATGTTGGTCGGGCTGGTCTCAAACTCCCAACCTCAGGTGATCCGCCCACTTCGGCCTCCCAAAGTGCTGGAATTACAGGTGTGAGCCACCCCGCCCGGCCAAAATCAATATTGTTAAAATGACAGTACTACTCAAAGTAATTTACAAATTAAATGCAATATCTATCAAAATACAAATGACATTCTTCACAGAAATAGAAAAAACAATCCTAACATTTACATGGAACCACAAAAGACTCAAATAGCCAAAGCAATATGAGGAAAGAGAACAAAAGCTGGAGCCATCAAACTACCTGACTTTATACTACAAAACTACAGTAACCAAATCAACATGATACTGGCATAAAAACTAGACACATCTAAAGGAACAGAATTGAGAACCCAGATACATATTGGTGCTTTTTTGGCCCGCTCATTTCTGACAGAGGTGTCAAGAACATACAAGGAGGGAAGGGATAGTCTCTACAATAAATTGTGGTAGGAAAACTGATTAGCAGAAGAATGAAACTAGACCGCTATCTCTCATCTCTCAACATACAAAAAAATCAAAATTGGCTTTTTTTTCTTTCTCTTTTTTTGAGACAAGGTCTTGCTCTGTCACCCAGGCTGGAGTACAGTGGCATGATCATAGTTCACTGCAGCCTTGACCTCCTGGGCTCAGGTGATGCTCCTCCCTCAGCCTCCAGAGTAGATGGGACCATAGGCACATGCCACCACAACTGGCTAATTTTGTGAGGGTGTTTTTTTTTGTTTGTTTTTTGTTTGCTTTGTTTTGGTTTTGGTAGAGACAGGGTTTCACCATGCCGTCCAGGCTGGTCTCGAACTCTTGGACCTAAGCGATCCACCCACTTCGGCCTCCAAAAGTGTTGGGATTACAGGCGTGAGCCACTATACGCAGCCCTTTTTTATTAAGATTTTCTTTTCTTTTTCTCTTTACTTTTTTGGATACACGATCTCACTCTGTCGCCCAGGCTGAAATGCACGATCCTGGCTCACTGTTGTGTAGGCTCAAACGATCTCAGACCTCAGCCTCCTGAGTAGGTGGAACTATAGGTGTGCGTCACCATGCTCAGCTAATTTTTTTAAAAGTTCTTTAGTAGAGAAGCAGTTTTGCCGTGTTGCCCAGGCTGGTCTCGAGCTCCTGGGCACAAGTGATCTGCCCACCTTGGCCTCCAAAATGCTGGTATTTCAGGCATGAGCCACCATGCCGAAGTTTTTTTTCTCTTCTCTTCTCTTCTCCTTTCTTTTGTCTTTTTCTTTTCCTTTCTTTTTTTTTTTTTTTTTTTAAGAAGGAATCTTGCTCTGTCACCTGGGCTGGAGTGTGCAGTGTCACGATCTCAGCTCACTGCCACCTCTGCCTCCCGGGTTCGGCCTCCCGAGTAGCTGTATCTACAGGTGTGCGCCACCATGCTAGGTTAATTTTTTGTATTTTTAGTAGAGCAGGGTTTCACCATCTTGGCCAGGCTGGTCTCGAGCTCCTGTGCTCAAGCAATCTGCCCACCTCGGCCTCCCAAATTTCTGGGATTTCAGGCATGAGCCACTGCACCTGGCCTAGAATTTTGAAAGAAAGGATTGGGGTTAATATAAAATCATTCTAAATATAATCAATTTCCCCCCTATACATATGTCCATACACCTTGACATATGTGTGCTACAGTTAGTTAATGGTCTATAGGAAGTAGATGAAAATGAAGTAGTCATTGTAATGATGGCTGGAACCCAGGTGAAAGTAAAATTTTAAAAAGGAAAAGGTTGAGGACTGAATCGTGAGGGAAATTAGCAATTAAGAGGCTGGCAGAAGATAACGGACTTAAATTTTCTTTTTAAGTTTTGAGCAGACATAGTCAAAAGCAGAAAATTGGGAAAGAGTGTTATCACAGAAACCAAAGAGGGGCTAAGGAGGGGTCAGATGATATCCAGAAGTTGATTAAATACTAAGAATCATCGAATGGATTAGGAAATGGGAAAAAATCACAATGAACAGAGCAGTTTCTGTGCGGTAGCAAGGACAAAGCCAGAATGCCATGGATTCAGAAAGGCATAGGACAGTCCTTTCCAACATGTACATCGTGGTACACAGAGAAGGTGATCAGTATTACTTAGGCAGAGAAGACTACTGAGTCTGTTTTTTACTGGCCCAGCTCAATAGAAAGCCACTAGGTACCACTTGGCTACACTGAGGCTTGAGCATGTTAAAGGGATACATAGCCTTGTCACCCTTCTAAACCCTGCTTAGGAGATAAATTGACAGCACCAGTGGGGACAATCAGTGTAGACAGCGCCAATCTTGGATAAAAAGCAAAGGAGGCCAGGCATGGTGGCTCATGCGTGTAATCCCAGCACTTTGGGAGGCCGAGGCGGGCAGATCACGAGGTCAGGAGTTTGAGACTAGCCTGACCAACATGGTGAAACCCCGTCCCTACTAAAAATGCAAAAATTAGCCTGACGTGGTGGCACGCAACTGTAATCCCAGCTACTCAGGAGGCTGAGGCTGGAGAATCACTTGAACCTAGGAGGCGGAGGTTGCAGTGACCCAAGATCACATTATTGCACTCCAGCCTGGGTGACAGAGCGAGACTCAAAAAAAAAAAAGCAAAGGAGAAGGCTGGGTGTGGTGACTCACGCCAGAAATCCCAGCACTTTGGGAGGCGGAGGTGGGTGGATCACTTGAGTCCAGGAGTTAGAAACCAGCCTAGGCAGTATGGCAAAACCCTATCTCTACAAAAATACAGAAATTAGCAGGATACCATGGCATGCGCCTGTGGTCCCAGCTATGTGGGAGGCTGAGGTGGAAGAATGAGCCCAGGAAGCAGAGATTGCAGTGAGCTGAGATCACGGCACTTCACTCTCTCCTGGGCAACAGAATGAGACTGTGTCTCAAAAAAAGACAAAAACAAAAAAACTGGGCTAAAGTCAGAGTTTGAGCCTCAAAAGAAAAGTAACAGAAAAATAAGATGATGGAAACGGAGTAAGCTTGAAGAAGAATCTTCTGCTGTTGTTTTTGACTAAATAATTTTGAATATTTAAATACCTTGAAAAGGTGCTAGCTGAAGGCTGGGTGTGGTGGCTCACGCCTGTAATCCCAACACTTTGGGAGGCCGAAGTGGGCGGATCACCTGCGGTCAGGAGTTCAAGACCAGCCTGGCCAACATGGTGAAACCCCATATCTACTAAAAGTACAAAAATTAGCCAGGTGTGGTGGTGCGTGCCTGTAATCCCAGCTACTCGGGAGGCTGAGGCATGAGAATCACTTGAACCTGGGAGGCGGAAGTTGCAGTGAGCTGAGGTCGCACCATTGCACTCCAGCCTGGGCAAAAAGTGAGACTCCATCTTCTTCTTTTTTTAAAAAAAAAGATGCTAGTTGAAAAGAAGACAGATTGCAGATAAGGGAAGGGGAATATAGGTATGAGGGAGCAGCATTCCTAAGGAAGCAGAGCAAGAAGAAGGACATCTTAACCTATGACATGACAAAATAATACACACAAATTAGAGGAGGTTAGAAGATTAGGTATGGAAAATTAGAAGAGTTTTCACTCAAGGCGTCCATTACTACTCTTCCTTCTGTTAAAGATGAAGTTGCCAATGGGAGTATTTAGACTTCGTTTAGAATGGTGAAGATTTGTAACAGTGGTTGTATAGCATAGACTTCCCAAGCAGTTTTGAAGAGGCACTTGAGATCGTCTTTTTCATCATGATAGCCCTGTGAAATATATATTATTTATTTAATTTATAAAAGAGGAAAAATACTTTATAAGAGGAAGGACTGTGAACCTGGTTTGAAGACTTTGCTCTTTCGCTTATAGCTCCTTGACGCATACTGGTGATTACCAACATTACAATGATAGCAGAGATTATGTCTCTCATTTCATACTGTATTTCTCAGGTAGACCATAAGACTTGGCACATGACAGGTAGTTAATAAATACTCATGAAATAATCGTGTGCATGGAACCTATCACATGTATTTACATATTTATAAATTTTTTTGAAACACACTTGTAATTTTGTTAAATTCAAGCAATGTTGACTAGGATTTCTTAATAAAAAGCTCAATTTGGAATTATTTTCTCAAATTGAATGAATCTTTAAAATACAAAGTCAGAGCTAGAATTTCCAGAAAACATATAGGATAGGCAAAGATTTCTTAGAGGGAACATAATAGCCACAGACTGGGAGGAAATACTTGAAAAGCATGTATTTGGTAAAGGATTATATCCAGGCTATATAAGGAACTACTCAATAAGACAGATGACTCAGTTTTAAAATGGGCATATTTGAACAGGTACTAGTTAAGACGGTAAATAAGCACAAGAAAGGACAGTTAGTATTAATACTCATTTGGGAAATGCAAATTCAGATTTTTACATTTTTATTTTATTTTGTTTTATTTATTTATTCTTTTTGAGACAGAGTCTGGCTCTGTCACCCAGACTGGGTAATTTATAAAGGAAAGAGGTTTTAATGAACTTGCAGTTCCACGTGGTTGGGGAGGCCTCACAATCACAGTGGAAGATGAAGCAAGAGCAAAGTGACATCTTACATGGTGACAGGCAAGAGAGTATGTGCAGGGGAACTCCCCTTTATAAAACCATCAGATCTCCTGAGATTTATTCAGTACCACAAGAACAATATGGAGGAAACTGCCCCCATGTT
Organism: Homo sapiens; assembly: GCF_000001405.40. NCBI lineage: Eukaryota > Metazoa > Chordata > Mammalia > Primates > Hominidae > Homo > Homo sapiens. The sequence continues at coordinate 39,881,879 of NC_000004.12, read as the reverse complement.
CAGTTATCTACCTGGCCCCGCCCTTGGCATGTGGGGCTTATTACAGTTCAAAGTGAGATTTGAGTGGGGACACAGCCAAACCCTATGAAATTGTATGATTTCATTAATATGAAATGTTCAGAATAGGCAAGTGTTTAGGGGAGAAAATAGATTAGTAAATGCCTAGGGCTGGAGGGAGTAATGGTGAATGAGTTCCTGCTAACAGGTAAGGGGTTTGACTTAGGATAGTGATGGGATGTTCTACAGTTAGGTGGTACAACCTTGTGAATATAGTAAACACCATTGAGTTGTACATTTTAATTCAGGGAATTGTGTGGTATATTATACTTTAAGTTAATGTTTATACACATATACAGCAATTTGTTTTTTTAATGTTATCAGATTAACTGAAGATAATGAATTTTAAAATAATTCTTGTGATGTAAGAGGGAAAGGAAAGTAAGTGCTAAACTTAGTTTAAACTTCAACATCTGTAAGTTAATACAGCCATTATGGAGAACAGTATGGAGGGTCCTCAAAAAAAAAAAACTAAAAAATACAACTACCATATGATCCAGCAATCCCACTACTAGGTATACATCCAAAAGAAATAAGTTTATCAGGGATATCCGTATACTCATTATTATTGCAGCATTATTGACAATAGCCAAGATTTGGTATCACCCTGTGTCCAAGGAATGAATGGGTAAAGAAAATATGGTACATAAATAAATGGAATACTATTCGGCCATAAAAAAAAGAATGAAATGCTGTCATTTGCAGCAATATGAATGGCATTGGAGGACATTATGTTAAGTGAAATGAGCCAGGAACAGGAAGTTAAATACCAGATGTTCTCACTGGTAGGTGGAAGCTAAAAAAAAAAAGTAGATCTCTCAGAAGCAAAGAACAGAACAGAGGAAACAAGAAGCTGGAAAAGGTAGTGGGAAGGGAGGATTAGGGAGAAATACAAAATTACAAAAAAGGATACAAAATCACAGCTAGATGGGTGGATGAATTCTAGTGTTCCATAGCACAGTAGGATGACTATAGTTAACAATAACATAGTTTCAAATAGCTAGGACAATATTGAATGTTCCCAACACAAAGAAATGATAAGTGTTTAAGATAATGGATGTGTTAATTATCCTGATCTGATCACCATGCATTATATGTCTGGAAACATCACTGTGTACCCCATGAATATTTATAATTTTTGTTAATTTTTTATAAGTGAAAAGAATTTCAACATCTGCATCCTATGCATATTTGGTACTTAAATTTTTTTTAATGAATACTTTGACATAACACCAAAGGAAAAAAAAATTAGCCAAAATCTTGTTTTGAACATTTGTAATAATAATTGAATGTTCTCATAATAGGGTAATATCTTCTTCAGTTTACTGATCTCAAAACCAGAAGTCACATTTGTTTTTACTTAAAATAGTACCATGTTGCTACATCATCTGATTTTTATTGACCAGATAATATTCTATTTCCTGGTGGTAGGTATTTTGAAAAACTAATTCCTTAATTTTTGACAATTAAATTGTTCCTAATTAATGAATCTTTATAAATACAGCATGATGCTTCCAATGACTTGCTTCTTTGCTGTAAGTTTATAGAAATAAAGTTACTGATTCAGTAAATTATCAGTGATTAATTCATTTGTCCATGTGTATGTTTATTATTTGTATTTTTTTGAGTCAGTTGTCATTGCTCACTTAGCAACTACTATATTATTATTTTTCTTAAAACTGAAAATGATCTCTGTATATATGGAAATGAATATTAAATTACTTATGTGAATATATTACCAGAGTGCTGTGTCATTTAATTTTAGTTTTGTTATTTTTTAGAAGAGTTACTCTTATACATTAAGTTTTTTAGGGGGATAAACTAAGTAGAAGTTTAGTTATCAAGTAGAGGACAAGGTTGAACTTTTTTCCCCCACAGAAACTCCTTTGAATTTAATATTTTAAGGTTCTATATATGTTCTGTCACAGTGTGATTAGGATATAGTTACTACTACAGTGGTTACTGATTTATATTTTCTTCTTTTTATAGTGCACTAGTGAAATTGATGAATAAGTCAATAGAGGGGACAGCAGATGATGAAGAGGAGGGTGTAAGTCCAGATACAGCTATCCGTTCAGGACTTGAACTTCTTAAGGTATTTTTGAAACAGTTTTGTTGCCATGTATTTCCGTGGGGTCATAATTTGCCTTCCCTTCAGGATATGCAAGAGTCAGGCTTATTTCACAGGAAACTATTTGAAAGATTTAAAACTTGTGTTGGAAATTAGATGATGTAAAAGTAATGTTTTTACAACATAATATAATAATGTAATTATTTTACATTATAAATTAATATTTGTTTCACTGTTTATCATTTCCATGCCTTCTATGCTTGGTAGTGATTACTGTACAATCTATTCTTAACTTAGTAATAGCAAGATGTGACTTTAGACTTTGTGGACAGGGTATGTGACTAAATCTAGAGGAGGGAATATCATCATTAAAGGGAGTATTTCTTGGTATATTTGTGGGATTCTTGGGAGACTGGCATGACTAGAAAAAAGGGGTGCTTTGGGGAATGATGGGAGACAAGGTTGGTTCCAGATTGTCGAGTGCCACTGGGTAAGAAAGGTAGTGTCACGGGCTTTTAACCTGGCTTACAACCAGCTGCAGCCCTTGATAGAGCTTTCATTGGATTGAGTAAAAGAAGGGAAGAAATTGAAGGCAAAGAGACATGATACCACTGTGACATACAGGAGAAGAGACAAACCAGTGCAATGGATGTTAGATAGAAAAAGAATGATGGGATCATATTCCAAGGGTCTTAAATATCATTTCATTCAGCTGGGCTCGGCAGCTCATGCCTGTAACCCCAGCACTTTGGGAGGCCGAGGCGGGCAGATCACAAGGTCAAGAGATCGAGACCATCCTGGCCAACATGGGGAAACCCCGTCTCTACTAAAAATACAAAAATTAGGTAGACGTGGTGGCACACGCCTGTAGTCACAGCTACTTCGGAGGCTGAGGCAGGAGAATCACTGGAACCCAGGAGGTGGAGGTTGCAGTGAGCTGAGATCACACCACTGCACTCCAGCTTGGCGTCAGAGTGAGACTGTCGAAAAAGAAAAGAAAAAAAAATCATTTCATTAATAGAATTGATATGATGCCTCATGAATAAGATTTTAATTGTTTTTAGTAATTGAGTTGTATTTTTAAGTTGTTTTAAAAGTGAAACCACCTTTAAGGTAACATTTTTTAATAGATTGCTTTTTTTTGTTTGTTTGTTTGAGATGGAGTCTTGCTCTGTTGCCCAGGCTGGAGTGCAGTGGCATGATCTCGGCTCACTGCAAGCTCCGCCTCCCAGGTTCACGCCATTCTCCTGCCTCAGCCTCCCAAGTAGCCGGGACTACAGGCTCCCGCCACCATGCCTGGCTAATTTTTTTTGTATTTTTAGTAGAGATGGGGTTTCACCATGTTAGCCAGGATGGTCTCGATCTCCTGACCTTGTGATCAGCCCGCTTCGGCCTCCCAAAGTGCTGGGATTACAGACGTGAGCCACCGCGCCCGGCCAGTAGATTGCTTTTTATTACATTTTTCTAATTTAATTCTCCAATTTTCTGTAAATAATTAAAACCACGTAAGTAAATATTATCACTCCAAACCTTGCCAAGTGAGACAGTGTCTACACTTAATGACCATTAAATAAGTGCTTATTGAAAAATTAATGAAGACCATCTGCTCATTCCCCTTTCTCCCTGCTTCTCTATTTTCCTAATCTTGATACTACACTAACTGAATTGTTTCTACTTTATGGAAGGTTAACTCTTTAGACATGTATCTAACTTGCTAAAAGTTATTTAAGGACAGGCTCGTGCTGGTGTTATAATAAGGGAATAATTATATATTGTAATCATAATTAAAAGTTCACAATAGTGGCTTCTTTGTTGATAATTATGTTGAGTGATAGATTTCACTTCAGATATTTTTTTGGCTGGGTACAATGGTTTACGCCTGTAATCCCAGCCAAGACAGGAAGATCTCTTGAGCACAGGGGTTGGAGACCAGCCTGGGCAACATAGCTAGACCTCATCTCTACAAAAAAAACAAAAAATTTAGCCGGGCATGGTGGTGCACCTGTAGTCTCAGCTCAGGAGACTGAGGTGGGAGGTTGAGACCCCAGTGAGCTGTGACATTCCACTGTACTCTAGCCTAGGTGACAGAGTGAAATCCTGTCTCAAAAAAAGAAAAAAAAAAATTCTCATAGATTATCTTTTTGCCAGTCAAAGAAAGCTCTGAGTTTGCATTTTGTTTACGTTACACAAAGATTGAGTCATTACGTATGGAGGTTTTATCTCAAGTAAGCATTCCTTCACCTAAATACAATATATTTATAAACTGATAATAGTTATTAATATTGTAAATCACATTCCATAAAAAAGGAGCCATGTGTTTTGTGTTCTAAGTAGCAGAGTAGACTAAGAGGTGAAGAAGAAAATAGGACAAAGGCTGTCTGTTAGTTGTGTCAAGGAATAACTGGAAGCTACCACACCATACAGTATTTCTGATTAGCCATAACTAACTGCAAGGACGGCTAGGAGATGTATCTCTATTCTGTGTAGCTAGCATATTTACCCCAGAATTTAATTTTTTTTTTCTTTTGCGGGAAGTAATTCTTTTTTAATGGATTAAAACCATTGTCTGTACTTCTAAAGCTGTATCTGTTTTTTCAGGTTCTGTCTTTTACACATCCTACCTCGTTCCACTCTGCAGAGACATATGAGTCCTTGTTACAGTGCCTAAGAATGGAGGATGACAAGGTAGCAGAAGCTGCTATTCAAATTTTTAGAAATACAGGTCACAAAATAGAAACAGACCTTCCCCAGATACGATCGTGAGTACATTTTTTCTCCCGTGGTAAATACAAAAGTTTCTAAGTATGGGAACCATAAAATCATTGTTTTCCTTCTGTGTAGGAAGATAGGAGGGAAGAAAGACAACTTTGATTTAGAAGCTACTTTTCTGTGTCCTCCTCTGCTTTGTCTTTCCCTTGCTTCACACCCCTCTCCCACCATTAGAATGCAGGCAGCAGAATAAACTGAAACTACATGTTTGTTTATAACAAAAGTATTTTAAGATATTAAGAATCAAAAGTTATCACAGAATTTAGTGTTTTATTATATTTATGACTAATGTCTTTCTAATCCATGTATATTCATCTTTTTTTCTATAAATGGGTTATAAATTCAATAACTGTCACTTTGCTATCCTACCAAAAAATGGGGCAAATAGTTCACTTTGGCATCTTAAAAAGGTTAAGGTGAAACTTGTGCTGAGATGTTATATTTAGACTTAAAATATGCAGAAGACATCTTTTGAAGGAAACAATACATTGCAAATGGCAGTTGAATCATATGTTCAGGGTATTGGCAATTAGTTCAGAGTATATTCAACTACATACCATTTTCCTCACATGATAATCATAGAACAAGCAGTCTCCTGAAGTTTTTATTAAATTTGTGAGCTAATAGTTTAACTTGTGAAATAATTCAGTGTCCATTGTACATTCTCTTCATTCTCCGCATTGTTCTGGCTAATAATAAAAAGTTACCACAATTAGTCCCTGCCCTCAAGGAGTTTATAGACTAGAAATAATAAATTTTATACATTATTAGAAAAAGATCACTGACACAATAGGATAGTTTTTGATGAGTTTTTCAAGGGAGGAAATCCTATACATTTTTTCAAGGCAAAGAAACTATTCTTAGAGGAATTCTACCCCAAAGGACACAGTTGAAAATGAGCATAGGTGGAAGAGTTAACTTTGGATGTGAGGAATAAAATACCTTATTCATAAGACCAATGGAGAAGAAAGGAGATAATCACTGGAAAGCAGAAAAGCACAATGCTAAAGACCTCAATAACAACTCTGATGGCATCACTAGATTATACTGCTCTAGAAAAAACAAGAAGAAAGGTTAAAGTTGACTTTCTGTATTATTTTATTTGGCTAATAATAATAATACATTTAACAACAGTTTGATTGAAACTATCTTCCTTTGTCATTCACCAGTGTTATAAGAAATCTCAGTCTGGTAAATGGAATGGTGAAAGACTAAACAGATAGGAGAGAGGAAAGACATCTTCCATTTAGAAGCATAGTCAATACTCAGTCAAGGAAGTCTGTTTGGTCATGGACATCCCTATCTCATAATTCCAAAGTCCATAGAGGCAAACTTCAGGCATATTTATACATGTCAAATCAGATTCATACCAACTAGCATATGTTCCCATTTTTGGTTAAAGTGCATGGCCTGGAGCCTGCAGTATAGGTTTCATATGTAGCCTTCCATTATCATAAGAGGGCATTGTCACCCTTGCATTTGATGCCACTAACTTTATAAAATAGGCTCTTCTCTAATAACATTAAATATATGACAAATATCTTTCCTTAAATGTTTGTTTCGTTTTATCAATTTTATTCTGATTATAAAAATACTTACGTTCATTGTAGCAAACTGAAACTAGAAAAAATATAACGAAATAGTCACCATTAACATTTGATATATATACTTTCTATGAATGTTCATCTACTAGATGTGTTTGTCTATTTTTTATAAGTTCATATATGCACACTATTTTCTTCATTCTACCTAATGCTTTTTCATGTCATCAACATTTAATTTTTGAAGAATGCTTTATGTTTTTCTGTCATCCTAAAAGAAGACTGTTTTAGTTTACTCTTCATTGTCAGTGTAGAGGTTAAGTATGTGGATTTTGAAAGAAATGCTAATTTTCAAATCCCAACTCCCAGTTTCCTAGCTTCGTCATCTTAGGAGGCTTAAATAACATCTTTGTGCTTTAATTTTCTCATCTGTGTAATGACTATGATAGTCTTCTTTGGGTGGATGTGAACATTAGTTGAATTAATCCATGCGGAAATACCTAGAATGGTGCCTGGCACATAATAGTTAGATATTTTTATTGCCATTCTACTGATATATATGTAGCTGTATCTTTGCATACTTTCTTTCACTAGTATTATTTCAGCTGTTTAATACAACTTGGCCTTTTGCTACTCTCTTTCTGTAGCTACTTTGAAATAACTGAAGGGGATTATAAAAGGGAATTGAAAAATTAGCAATATTGCTACTTAGAAGGTAAATGCAAAAATATGTCATGGGGTAAGCTTTAGATTATGAATTAAGGGTTGCTTGTTATTTTGCATATTTGTGAGGTAACTTTAAAATAAAAATTGTCTCCTGAAGTAGGCTTTTTCTTGAGGCATTGTATTTCTTGGTTTATACTTGGGGGCAGAGATGGAGCTTTTTTACAACTTTCTTTAGATCAGATAATTTTTAAGAGAGCCTTCTCTACTAGCATCCATCCATATAGGGGAAGTGGAAGTCAACCAAAGGAATACTTGTTGGTTTATGGGTTTAAGAAAAAAAAACAACTATATTATTTTTTGCAGGACCTTAATTCCCATTTTACATCAAAAAGCAAAGAGGGGTACTCCACACCAAGCAAAACAGGCTGTGCACTGTATACACGCCATATTCACAAATAAAGAAGTCCAGCTTGCACAGATTTTTGAGGTATATCTAATATATAGGTTGTGTTTATATTGGTCTTTATTTTTTAAGCTCTATAGTTTGATGAAGATGGAAGCTAGATTTTTTAAAGCTGTTTATATGAAGTCCTACCTTAGACTATAAATTCCTTGTGAGCAAGGATTCTGTCTATTTTATGTGGTACTGCATTCCCAGCCTGTAGATCAGATTATATGTTCAAACACCTCATATTGAAGGGTTTTGTGGTTTTTGTTTTTTAGTTTGTTTTTGAGATAAAGTTTCACTTTCTCACCAGTGCTGGAGTACAGTGATGCAATCTCTGCTCACTGCAGCCCCGAATTCCTAGGTTCAAGCAGTCCTTCTGCCTCAGCCTCCCAAGTAGCTGAGAGTACAGGCACCACCACCATGCCTAGCTAATTTTTGGATTTTTTTATAGAGATGGGGTTTTGCCATGTTGCCCAGGCTGGTCTCAAACTCCTGGACTGAAGCGATCCACCCACTTCAGTCTTTCAAAGTGCTAGGATTACACACATGAGCCACCACACCTAGCCTTATGTGTTTATGTTAGAACATTTTACTTAATTTTAGCCTTATTGGTTCAGTGGTGCATTTATCCTCGGAAAGTATTAGTAGATAATTTTGAACAATCCAGTTTAAAGTACCTAAGAACCCTACCTGAAAATTAATCCTGTTTCCCTTTTTTTTACATATAATGACTGGCCTCATTTTACTATTAGAAATGTATTCCTATTATCATAAATTGGAGATAGTGTGACCAAAACCCAGTGAACTCTTACTTTGTATGATTTAAGGTCATTTAAAATGCTTCCACAGGGTAAGAAAACCACTGGTATAGCAAATCCATTGTTGTAGATTAGTCAAAAATAATGCTGATTTGATGAAGCAAAAATGTTTTTCTTTAAACTTCTTTTTGTTGGATTTTATTTTTTCTTTTATCTTTTTTCTACATTCTTTCAATCTTGCTAAATTTTAGTAGGTGAATTAAGAACCAGGTGTCTTAACATGGTTGAAGTTAGTTATGATCGTATTAGAGAAGATTGGTTTGGGCATGGTAAATTCAGGAGGACTCAGGAAAATGTACTGTTTCAGTAGAGTGTCTAGATATTTATCAAACAAATTGGTAATTTTGTCTGTTTTATTTTTATAGCCACTCAGTAGGAGTCTGAATGCTGATGTGCCAGAACAACTTATAACTCCATTAGTTTCATTGGGCCACATTTCTATGTTAGCACCAGATCAGTTTGCTTCCCCAATGAAATCTGTAGTAGCAAATTTTATTGTGAAAGATCTGCTAATGAATGACAGGGTAAGTTTCTCATTTAATTAAATTGAGAATCATGAGATTAAGGCTGTTTACATCTTCATCACAGAAACACTTCTGTTTCTGTGTAATTCTCTTTTTCTTTTAAATTATTCTATATTGGTTCTACTTATTTTTTATTTATTTAAATTCGAAACTACTTCCTTATTTCATGGTAGCTATTACTACTAGAATTTCACACTTAAGAAACAAAAATTAGAACACGGGATTGGTGAATCATGAAAGTTACATATAAGTAAAAGCTATTTTCCTGACCCTCAAAAGACAGTTTATCATTTTCTGGAATGTTAGAATTGGGTTATTTTTGTTTTTTGTTTTGAAGACAAGAGTCTCGCTCTGTGCCTCAGGCTGGAATGCAGTGGCACGATCTCGGCTCACTGCAACCTTGGCCTCCTCTCATTCCTCAGCCTCCCAAGTAGCTGGGATTACAGGTGCCTGTCACCACGCCTGGCTAATTTTTGTGTTTTTAGTAGAGACGGGGTTTCGCTATGTTGGCCAGGCTTATATTGAACTCCTGACCTCAGGTGATCCGTCCGCCTTGGCCTCTCCAAGTGCTGGGATTACAGGTGTGAGCCACCATGCCGGGCTAAAATTTGTTTTATCAAACATTGTTAGAAATGTAAGTGGATTAGCCGGGTGTGGTGACGGCAGCTGTAATCCTAGCTACTCAGGAGGCTGAGGCAGGAGAATCACTTGAACCCAGAAGGCAGAGGTTGCAGTGAGCCATGATTGCACAGTTGCACTCCAGCCTGGACAACAAGAGCGAAACTCTGTCTCAAAAAAAAAAAAAAAAAAAAAGTAAGTGGACTTGAATTTGACTAATTTTTAAGATAATACACTGTACTTTTGGCACTAGATTTATTGATGTCTGTGTGCTCTGATTTATTACCTCTGGGTTGGAATGTATAGATTGAAAAGACTCCCCAAATGATTTCGGAAACACACCTTGATTAAGAGTCACTACTGGCAGGGCTTGGTGGCTCACGCCTGTAATCCTAGCACTTTGAGGGGCCGAGGTGGGTGGATCACCTGAGGTCAGGAGTTCAAGACCAGCCTAGCCAACATGGTGAAACCCTGTCTCTACTAAAAATACAAAAAAATTAGCCGGGCTTGGTGGCGAGTGCCTGTAATCCCAGCTATTCGGGAGGCTGAGGCAGGAGAATCGCTTGAACCCGGGAGGCAGAGGTTGCAGTGAGCCAAGATTGCACCATTGCACTCCAGCCTAGGCGACAAGAGCAAGACTGTCTCAAAAAAATAAATAAATAAATAAAAGAATCACTGCTTTACCAAATGGATCTAAATTAAATCTGTTGTTATTGAATAAAGACACAGATATGCTGGATCATTGTGGATGACTTTCATTTAAGTGTTAGTTTGCCACAAATCCAGCTTATCCAAAGTTCCTAACTCTCACATGTTTCGGTAATCTTGAGGCCTCAGTATCAGGAACTTAAAGACACCTGCTAGTGCCCCTTCTGTATTTGTACCACCTTCCACTTTTGAACGCAGCAGACAAGAAGAGAAGAACGTGGCCTAAGTCTCATTTTCTACCCTTACATATCCTTGCTGTTATTTTTACTTTCGATAGATGTGGTTTTCAACAAATGTGAAATTTAAGATACCTCTTAAATGATGATTGTTGATAGATTGTGTTTTCAGACGGTCTTTTTTTATGGTGATAAACTATACATAGTATCAAATTTGCTATTTTTAAGTGTTAAAATTCACTAACATAATAGCCACATTGTTACCTAATCATCACCACCCCATCCATCTCCAGAATTTTTTATCACCCCATACAGAAACTCTGTACCCATTAAGCAACAACTCTCCATTGCCCTCTGTTCTACCTTCTGACTCTATGACTACCTATTCTAGGTATCTCTTATATGATATTTGTCCTTTTGTGTCTGTTGTATTTCACTTAGCATGTTCTCAGGGCTCTTCCATGTTGTAGTATGTATCAGAATGTTGTTCCTTTTGTGGCTAAGCAGTGTTCTTTTATATGTATATTTTTGTTTGTATATATCCCACATTTTTTTGTTGATTGGTGGACACTTGGGTTGCTTCTACGTGTTGGCTGTTGTGAATAATGCTGATATAAACATTTATGTTCCTGTTCTCCCATTTCTTGGGTATATATCTAGGAATAACATTGTTGGGTTACATGTCATTTTCCTTTTTAAAAAAGCAACAGCCATACTAGTGGATAAGAAGTGATATCTCATTGTGGTTTTGATTTGCATTTTCCTGATGAATGATGATGTCAAGGATATTTTTTGTGTGCTTATTGACTACCTGTATATCTTCTTTGGAGAGCTGTGTATTAAATTCCTTCCCCCACCCCACTCTTATTTTATTTTATTTTATTTTATTTTATTTTGAGACATGGTCTCACTCTGTCACCCAGGCTGGGGTGCACTAGCGCAACCTTGGCTCATCACAACCTCCGCTTCCCAGGCTCAAGCAATATCTCCTGCCTCAGCCTCCTGAGTAGCTGGGACTATCAGCACACGCCACCATGCCTGGCTAATTTTTGTATTTTTTTATACAGACAGGGTTTCGCCATGTTGCCCATGCTGCCTTCACCCACTTTTAGTTGGGTTGCTTCTTGTTGAGTTTTAAGAGTTATTTACATTTTCTGTATATTAAACCTTTGTCAGCTATTTACCAGATCCAAGATCATGAAGATTTCTTCCTATGTCATCTTTTCAGAGTTTTATGGTTTTAGCTATTAAATTGAGATATTTGATTAATTCTGAGTTAATTCTTATATGTATTAACAATCTAGTTTCTTTTTTTGTTTGTGTGTTTGCTTCTTGTGGATATCCAGGAGTTTTTTTGTTTTGCTTTTGTGTTTTTGAGATGGAGTCTCACTCTGTAGCCCAGCCTGGAGTGAGGTGGCGCAATGTCAGCTCACTGCAACCTCTGCCTCCTAGGTTCAAGCAGTTCTCCAGCCTCAGCCTCCCGAGTAGCTGAGACTACAGGCATGCACCACCATGCCCAACTAATTTTTTTGTGTTTTTAGAAGAGGCAGGGTTTTGCCATGTTAGCCAGGCTGGTCTCAAACTCCTGACCTCAAGTGATCCACCTGCCTCATCCCCCCATAGTGCTGGGATTACAGGCTTGACCCTCTGCACCCGGCTGAATATCCAGTTTTTCTAGCACCATTTGTTGAAGAGACTGTTCTTTCACTAAAGATGGTCTTGGCATCCTTTGTCAAAAATGAATTACCATATATGCAAGGGTTTTCTGAGTTCTCTATTCCATTAGTCTATATGTCTATCCTTGCCAGTACCAGCCACACTGTCTTGATTACTGTAGGTTTTATAGTAAGTTTCAAAATTGGGAAGTATGAGTCTTCTAACTTTGTCCTTTTCCAAGCTCTGGTTGGTGATGTTCCCGTAGGTTTCTCAGAGGCTGTGTTGATCAACATGAAAAACTTAATCAGCAAAAACATAAATTTTTTTTTTCATGCTAATAGCTAAATTTATTCAATTGTCTATAGTCAACAGGTGAAAAGAATGGAAAACTGTGGTCTCCAGATGAAGAGGTTTCCCCTGAAGTACTAGCAAAGGTAAATTTGTTTAGGCCTTGATAATCTTCATGTTTAAAAAAGGGACATTTTGTAGTTATCTTCCTCACCTTTAAAAAATTTAATAAACAGAGATGGGATCTTGCTGTGTTGCTCAGTTTGGTCTTGAACTCCTGGGCTCAGCTGATCCTCCCACTTCAGCCTCCCAAAGTGCTGGGATTATGAGCTTAAGCCATCGTGCCTAGCTGGGAGCCTTTTTTAATTAAACCTAATAGTTAATAAGCATTTGTTAAGGAGGTACTTTATTTTAAAATCCATTGCAAAAAATGGTTTATTGAAGACATTGTGGTTGTCATTGTTTATTACATGTCAGTGTCTTCTGCCTGCTAAAGCAATCTTAATGAGGCTGTTTTATAGAGAGACTGTTTATAGAATGACGGTGCTCAGAGGCATCTTAAATCCAGCCTCATCACCACTATCTACAAGCATATGAATATTAACTTGGCAAAGATAGGTAATTGTCAAGCTGGGCACTGTGGCAGATTTGGGATTTAAAATAAGATTGTATCATCTTCTTTGATAATCTGTTTCACTTTGTGTTGCTTCATCATCATCATATATTCTATCAATTCATTTTTCCTGGTTGTCAATAAATATAATAAATAATACTTTGATTTGTTTTTCACACCTATTATCCCAGCACTTTGGGAGGCAGAGCAGGAGGATCGCTTGAGCCCAAGAGTTCAAGACCAACCTGGGCAGCATAGTGAGCCATGTCTCTACAAAATATTAAAAATAATTTAGTTGGGCTAGGCATGGTGGCTCACGCCTATAATCCCAGCACTTTGGGAGGCTGAGGCAGGCAGATCACTTGGGGTCAGGAGTTCAAGACCAGTCTGGACAACATGGTGAAACCCCTTGTCTACTAAAAATACAAAAACTAGCTAGGCATGGTGTTGCACATCTGTAATCCCAGCTACTTCGGAGGCTGAGGCAGGACAGTCACTTGAACCTGGGAGGTAGAGGTTGCAGTGAGCCAAGGTCCCGCCACCGCCCTCCAGCTTGGGCAACAGAGTGAAACTCGGTCTCAAATAATAATAATGATAATTTGGCCGGGTGTGGTGGTGCATACCTATAGTTCCACCTACTCAGAAAGCTGAGGCAGGAGGATCGCTTGAGCCCAGGAGGTCAAGGCTACAGTGAGTTGTGATCATGCCAGTACACTCCAGCCTGGGTGACAGAGCAGATAGAGATGATTGTTACTAAATTTGTGACATTTAATAGATGTAAAGCTCAGTTGAAAAGTGGCAGATTTGGGATTTAAAATAAGATTGTATCATCTTCTTTGATAATCTTTCACTTTGTGTTGCTTTGTAGTCATCATATATTCTATCAGTTCATTTTTCCAGGTTGTCAATAAATATAATAAATAATACTTTGATTTTTTGGCTAGCTTTTTCACATATATTGGTAACAATCTTTTGACTAGACATTTCTAAGTAATTATGACTACCAATAATTACACAAAATCCCATTTTTTTGGTCACAATGTTAAATGAGACTGAATCAGACTTGATGGTTTCTTCAAAGTAGTTTTTCAATACCACAAAACTGAAACTCTCAAGTTATTTTCAGTCACCACAATCAGTACAGTTGTGGGGTGTGTGTGTGTGTGTGTGTGTGTGTGTGTGTGTGTGTGTGTTTTGGTTTTTTTATGAAACAGAGTTTTGCTCTGTCACCCAGGCTGGAGTGCAGTGGCACAATCTCAGCTCACTGCAACCTCTGCCTCCCGGGTTCAAGCAATTCTCATGCCTCAGCCTCCTGAGTAGCTGGGACTACAGGCGTGTGCCACCATGCCTGACTAATTTTTTTTTTTTTTTTTTTTTAGTAGAGACGGGGTTTTTTAGTATAGACACGGTTTCACCATGTTGGCTAGGCTGGTCTCAAACGCCTGACCTCAAGTGATCCACCTGCCTTGGCCTCCCAAAGTGCTGGGATTACAGGCGTGAGTCACCACCCCCGGCCTGTATAGTTTAAATTGTTGTTTTTAAAGTATATGTTTTCAAATAGTTTCAAAATCTTGCACAAACATCTAAGTATGAGAAGCCTAAATTCTGGAACCAGACTTTTAAGCAAGTTATCTATGATAATAATGTGTCTCAATTGCCTTATCTGTTGGAAAAAAAAAAATCTTCCTCATAAGAATTTTTTGGGAGATTAAATAAGTTAATACATTTACAGATCTAAGAAAAGTGCCTGGCACTGGTTAAGCACAGAGTAAATATTAGTTCGTATTGTTGCTGTTATTATCCCATAGACTTATTTAATAAAATGTCTGCTGATGGAGATGAGTAATCTCATTAATCTAATTAAATTAATTTTCCCTTTAATTGGAATTTTAAGTTGCTTTCTTTTTTTAGCATGTTAATATTTTATAGGTACAGGCAATTAAACTTCTGGTAAGGTGGCTGTTGGGTATGAAAAACAACCAGTCTAAATCTGCCAATTCAACCCTTCGGTTATTATCAGCGATGTTGGTTAGTGAGGGTGACCTGACAGAGCAAAAGAGGATCAGGTGAGATTTTTCTTTCTTTCCAGTTTTCTTAGTGCTGAAATTTTGGTGGAATTTACATAGGAATTATTTACCTAATGAATACTGAATGGTGTAATTACACCATGATCTTCAGGGTCAGATCTTATGTACTCATTTAGGGTTTGTCTGTCTGTCAGTATTGTTATTTTAATAGTGCCAATATATTTTTCTTCATTCCTAAAGAAGAGGAACTTTTTCCAGTAAATACATAATCATAATCACTATATTGTACTATTACAGTTAGCATCAACATTTGGTTCAATTAAACAAGTATTTGTTAAACTTCTACTTCATAAAACACTGTGAAAAGCATTGCAGCAAAAATAAGTAGGAAAAGTCCCTGCCTTCAAAGAGCATCCCTGTATTAAAGCGATTAAATAAGTGGAGTGACTTGAGTCCCATGAAAGTAATAAAAATTTAAGTGGCAGCCAGGCGCGGTGGCCTATGCCTGTAATCCCAGCATTTTGGGAGGCCGAGACGGGCAGATCACGAGGTCAGGAGTTCAAGACCAGCCTGGCCAATATGGTGAAACCCCGTCTCTACTAAAACAAAAAACAAAAATTAGCCAGGCATGGTGGCACATGCCTGTAATCCCAGCTACTCAGGAGGCTGAGGCAGGAGAATCGCTTGAAACCAGAAGGCAGAGGTTGCAGTGAGCTGAGATCGTGCCACCGCACTCCAGCCTGGGCAACAGAGCGAGAGCCTGTCTCAAAATAAATAAATAAATAAAAATAAAAATTGCAATGGCAACTCAAGGGAGAGTTGAAGCCTTCTTGTTGTTCTACAGATTTGGGTGTGTACACTTGTATGTGCACACAGAGATTGTTTACATTGTTACACATTTTCACTTTTAATCTCTAAAATTGCCATCTCATTTTAAGATGAAAATAGAAGCTCAGTTTTTCATGATCCTGGTTTCTGTCAAATTCTTGATTTAGTAGGGGCCAAGATTACCAACATAGATAACTAAAGTATTCTACATATGATGCATTCCTTTTTAAAAATTTGTTTTAGAGGACAGAGGTTTAATCATTCTTTATGAGGCTGAGTGCAGTGGCTTACGCCTGTAATCCCAGCACTTTGGTAGGCCAAGTCAGGCAGATCAATTGAGGTCATGTTGAAACCCTGTCTCTACTAAAAATATAGAAATTTAGCCAGGTGTGGTGGTACGTGCCTATAATCCCAGCTACTGGGGAGGCTAAGGCATGAAAATCACTTGAACCCAGGAGGTGGAGGTTGCAGTGTGCCAAGATCACGCCATTGTACTCCAGCTTTGGCTAGTTATGTGGTACTGCTATGCTATTAATTTTTTTAAAAATTATTGTGATTAGGAATGGGATCTCACTATGTTGCCCAGGCTAGCTGGGCTCAAGCAATCCTCCTGCCTCAGCCTCCTGAGTAGTGGGACTATAGGTGTGCACCACTACGCTCTATTTTTATCATAGAATAAGCCAAAGGCAGCCTTTTATAACACTGTTTAGAGCTGAGTTAGGGATAATGAAAGCTTTAAATTGGGGGTAATTATGTACAGTACATGGCAAAGGCATAATAATGAGCTCTTACAAGTCAGTGATACCTAGGCAGGACCCCCAGTGGAGATGAAGTTTAGCTATTATCAGTTTACTTTTAAAAGTTTAACATCACTAAATGCAGTCAATACAATTTAAACTTAATCAATACCTCTTTTCATTACAAATCAGAAAGAAAAAAAAACGTTATAAGCAATCATTCCTCAGTATGATCATGGAAATGGGTTCCTTCATTACTCCTATGAGTATAAATTAGCAGGACTCTTTGGCATTTTGCATCTAGATCCTCAAAAATGTTATCCTTGACTCTTTATTTTTACACTCATAATTCATGAGTATAAAAGAATCATATGAAAGCTTATACACAAGCATGTTCCTCCAGCATTATTTTCCATCACAAAAAATAGGGGAATGGTTAACCATAGAATGAACACCCATTGGACAGATCCTAACTGGATATCATATAATATAGTATTACCTTTTGTAAGCCTCAATTTCCTCATCTTATGGAGTGAAAATTAATTGAGATAAAGCCTATAAAGTGTTTTTCACACCTGCCTGGCACGGAGTAAGCACTCACATAATAGCTATTAACTTTGATTCCTGAATGAATGCCATAGAAACCATTTGAGGCTCCCTCATTGTTACCAGTGCTCATTTTAACAATCCTGTTGTCCAAGAGTGCCAGGTTTTCTTCTCTCTATGCTTAGCAACAGTCCCAGTGGGTTCCGGCTAGCTTTCTGCATTTCGTAAAGTGGTCACAATAAATACAAAAGCCATGCTATGTTCCACATAGAAGTCGAAGTAGAAAGACTCCCATGCCATCCCATTCATTACCACATTTTACCACGTAAGTAATAAAAATCCACAGTGTCGGGGTGGGAGTGCCAAGGCTTCATAGGTTCCATTTGAAAACTTTACTCTGCAAAAGGAGATCAGCCCCAGGAACTAGTACCTAAGACAGACACTGGCCTCTTATATTTCATATCCTTTAGGTATTTGTCTGATACTTCTTCACTCTTAACTGCAGCCCTGCCATTTCAGCAGGCATTAAACTAGATTCCTGTTACATGTTTATATGCAGGAAATAGATTTTAAATGATGATAGGTGATTTTTTTTTTAATTCTTTGTGGTTTTTTTAATCAAGTTTTTTTGTTTTTTGTTTTTTGTTTTTTGTTTTTTTTGAGACAGAGTCTTACTCTGTTGCCAGGGTAGAGTGCAGTGGTGCGACCTTGGCTCACTGCAACCTCCACCTCTCAGGTTCAAGCAGTTCTCCTGCCTGAGTCTCCCAAGTAGCTGGGACTACAAGTGCGTGCCACCACACCCAGCTAATTTTTTGTATTTTTAGTAGAAACAGGGTTTCACCATGTTGGCCAGGATGGTCTCAATCTCTTGACCTCGTGATCCGTCCACCTCGGCCTCCCAATGTGCTGGGATTACAGGTGTGAGCCACCATGCCTGGCCACTTTAATCAAGTTTTCTACAATCAATATGTATTTCTCTTAAAATGAGGGATACAGCTCCTGATGTAAAGAGTTTTTCCTAGCCTTGCAATTACTATGGTTGCAAGAATAAGCAGAGTTTTTGGGTTGTGGTGAAGTATCTAAGCTAGAGTTTGACTAGAAATGAAGGCAGGTAAATTTGTAATCAGAAAGTCACAATGATTTGATTTGATTGTGAAAGTCACAATCCCCTGTGTTAAGTTCATGGACTCAAAGTAGCTTTCCCATATTTGTACGTCATTTTAAACATAAATTATGCTCTAAGGACCTTACATTCAAAAAGGGACGAAAGCATTTTTATGAATGATAGTGGTTATAGGAAATGTTTATTTCTTTTTTGTTTGTTTATAGTAAATCTGATATGTCTCGCTTGCGATTAGCTGCTGGTAGTGCCATAATGAAGCTTGCTCAGGAACCTTGTTACCATGAAATTATTACCCCAGAACAGTTTCAGCTCTGTGCACTTGTTATTAATGTAAGTAACAATCTTATTTTTGTCAATTACTTATCTTCAAAGTTGAATACATTACTTTTCTATGGATACAAATCCATTTATAATGTGAATATATGCACAAAAGTCACTACTATTATTACCTGTTTAACTGTCTTCCAATTATTACATTATTTATTCTCCCATATAATTATCTTCTTTTTAATTGAAGACACTAAAAATACTTAAACTGCTGTTTTTTATTTAATAAATGGTTGCCAATTTAAGTTTTTCTGTGCTGCTGTAGGATGAGTGTTACCAAGTAAGGCAGATATTTGCTCAGAAGCTGCATAAGGCACTTGTGAAGTTACTGCTCCCATTGGAGTATATGGCGATCTTTGCCTTGTGTGCCAAAGATCCTGTGAAGGAGAGAAGAGCACACGCACGACAATGTTTACTGAAAAATATCAGTATACGCAGGGAATACATTAAGCAGAATCCTATGGCTACTGGTAAGTAACTCAGAGTTCTCCGTGTGCAAATATATTTTGTCAATGTATCCATTTTTAGGTTTTTTTTTTCTTGTCATGTGTTTCTATTATAGTTTATAATAAAACTGGGAGTTTTATAGAATGCTGTCATTGTAGTTATGATGTACTTAAAAACTGAACTCCTGAGTCCTATTTATGCTGCATTAACTCTGGCAAACTGCATTTTTCCTATGGGATCAGGAGTGTAGTTTAATTTGAACATATTGCTCGGATGTCAGACTAAATAATTTTTTCCTAGCTTTGCCAGGGACCTGTTGTTTAATGGGTTTAATATCTGATACCTTTGACTTCAGTATCTTTCAAAAGTGAAATACAACTGCATACCAGGTACCAGAAAAAGAAATTGAAAAGTGAAGTGTAAAGTATTTTAGTATCCAGGTATCATGTTGTGCCTAATTTAGAAATAACTGAGGGAAAAAATGAAAACTTAAGTGGTTAGAACTCAGTCCACTAAGGCATTTTATAAAGGTTGTTTTTAATAATGTTTTTACTTCAGAGAAATTATTATCACTGTTGCCTGAATATGTAGTTCCATACATGATTCACCTGCTAGCCCATGATCCAGATTTTACAAGATCACAAGATGTTGATCAGCTTCGTGATATCAAAGAGTAAGTCTTGTTGTTTTTCAAGAACTCTAAAAATTATGTTTAGTTTTCAAAAAATGGTAAATTTTTTGTTTATTATTTTTATTTATTATTTACATTAGAATTAGAATCTCCTTATGGTTTTATTCATTTATTATAAATTTCCAGTTTCGTCTTTCAAAAATTTTCCCATCTACCAGGTTTTGGTTGTTCATTTTCTGTTTGTTTGCAGCTAGTTAAGCTATCTAAGTCTTTGAAATAGGTTAGTTTGGTTATCTTAGTTATTATATTTGATTTTTACTATTTATATTGAGAGGGTTTGAATATGGGAAGAGTACTGAAGTATGTGAAATAATTGGAGTTGGAACTGAAAACAGTGGAGCATATTTTTTATTCTTTGTTCTCTCTAGCATGCAACACTTTCAAATATCTTTTAAAAAATTTTGATACATAATAATTGTATACATTTATGAGGTACACGTAATATTTTGGTACATGCATACAATGTGTAATGAGAAAATCAGAGTAATTAAGATATCCATTTCCTCTTCATCCCAGGCAATTGGAGCTGCAATGAGCTATGATTAAGCCACTGCATGCCAGCCTGGGTGATAGAACGAGACCCTGTCTCTGAAAAATAATAGTAACAATAAAATTTTTAAAATACAAATAAATTATTGTTAACTATAGTCACCCTACCATGGTATCAAATGTCAGAACTTATTCCTTGTATCTAAGTGTATTTTTGTACCCATTAACCAGTCTCTCTCTCTTTATTTTTTTCCGAGATGGAGTCTTGCTCTTTTGCCCAGGCTGGAGTGCAGTGGCACGATCTTGGCTCACTGCAACATCTGCCTCCCTAGTTCAAGTGATTCTCCCATCTCAGCCTCCCGAGTAGCTGGGACTACAGGTGCCTGCCACCACTCCTGGCTAAATCTTTTTTTGTATTTTTGTTAGAGATGGAGTTTTACCATGTTGGCCAGGCTGCTCTCCTGACCTTGTGATCCCCCTGCCTCAGCCTCCCCAAGTGCTGGGATTACAGACGTGAGCCACCGCACTTGGCAACCAGTCTCTCTTTATTCCCCCTTCCCTTCTACACTTGACAGGCTCTGATAACCACCCTTCTACTGTCTGCCTGTATAAGATCTTCATTTTTATTCTATTTTTTTTTTTTTTAATGAGACAAGTTCTTACTCTATCCCCCGGGCTGAAGTGCAGTGGTGTGATCAGGGCTCATTGTACCTTGACCTCCTGGGCTAAAGCAATCTCCTACCTCATCTTCCTGAGTAGCTGGGACTACATGTGCCACCATGCCCAGCTAATTTTTGTATTTTTTGTAGAGATGGGGTCTCACTGTGTTGCCCAGGCTGGTCTCAAACTCGTGGACTCAAGCGACCCTCCTGCCTCAGCTTCCTGAAGTGCTAGGATTACAGGCGTGAGCCACTGTGCCTGGCCTTCACTCTTTCAGTGCCCACATATGAGTGAGACCATGCGATATTTGTCTCTGGGCTTGGCTTATTTCACTGAGCATAATGACTTCAAGTTCTGTTCATTTTGCTGAAAATGACAGAATTTCATTCTTTTTTATGGATGAGTAATTTTTCATTGTATGTGTGTATATCCTCCATTTTCCTAATTAATTTATCTGTTGAGGGACACTTAGGTTGATTCCATATCTTGGCTGTTGTAAATAGTGCTACAGTAAACATGGAAATGCATCCATCTCTTAGATCTACTAATTTCCTTTCTTTTTTTCCTTTTTTTCCTTTTTTTTTTTGAGACAAGTGTCTTACTCTGTTGCCCTGGCTGGAGTGCAGTGGAATGATCTCAACTCACTGTAACCTTTGCCTCCCCACTTAAAGCTATTCTCATGCCTCAGCCTCCCAAGGAGTTAGCACTACAGACGTGTACCACCACAACCAGCTAATTTTTGTATTTTTAGTAGAGACCAGTTTTCACCATGTTGCCCAGGCTGGTCTCCCAACTACTGGCCTCAAGTGATCCACCCGCCTGGGCCTTCCGAAGTGCTGGGATTGCAGGCATGAGCCACTGTGCCCGGCCAAGATGTACTGAATTCCTTTATTTTGGATATATATCCAGCAGTGAGATTGCTGGATTATATGGCAGATCTGTTTTTGTTTTTTTGAGAAACCTTTTTTTTTCTCTCTCTTTATAGAGATGCGATCTTGTTATGTTGCCCAGGCTAGTCTTGAACTCCTGGGCTCAAGCAATCCTCCCACCTTGGTCTCCCAAATTTCTGGGATTACAGGCATGAGCCACCACACCCAGCCTGAGGAACCATCATACTGTTTTCCATAGTAGCTTCAACATGGTGTCCCCACTGATTGGAGCAGTGAGTAGTCACCAGAGTTTAAGCACAGTCAGTGCCCTGCTCTTTGTCCCCAGTTCATCCCAGGTGGTTCTGCCCATCTAGCACTCCCAGTGGTTCCCATGGGACAGGACTGGAGTGGGCTTCCCAGACTTGTGGAGAGCTCGGAGTTCCACATCTAGTTCCTCTCATCTCAGAAACCACGAGTCTAGGGAAATTGTGTGCGAGTGGTGTTCTGACAGTTTAGGAGACCAGGGTGGTGCACTCTGAAATTGAACTGTTTCTCTTACCAGTGGTGGCATCACTTAGTTCTTCTCCCCCTACTTCAGGTGCATTAAAGATGGTATTCTTGTCTTAAATGTTTTCTAGATGTTCTACTATCTTGCTGAAATCATTTCCACTTTTGTGTATCTTTAAACATAATGTTTAAATTACCATGTAATTTGAAGTTCCAACTAATGTTTTTCATGGTGGGTGTGGTGGGTCTCACCTGTAATCCCAGCTACTTGGAAGGCTGAGGTGGAAGGATTGCCCGAGCCCAGGAGTGGAAGGCTGCAGTGAGCTCTGATCCAGTTACTGCATTCTAGCCTGGGTGACAGGAAACCCAGTCTGGTTTTTTTTGTTTGTTTGTTTTTTTAAGTTTTTCAAAATGTAGTTACATAACTTTATGGAAATTAGTAAGTTATTGTGTCAGAAACAATTTTTTTGTTAATTGTGGTAAATATATATAGCAAAATTTGCAGTTTTTTACCACTTTTAATCATACATTTAAGTGGAGAAATGTCCAGTGACTTTGCCCTTTTATTAATTGGGTTGTCTTTTTGTTATTGAGTTGTAAGAGTTCTTTATATATTTGGGTATTTATCTCTTATCAGGTATATGATTTACATTCTTGATAGTAAGTAGCCTTTGATGCACAAAAGTTTTCACTTTAATGAAGCCCAGTGTATTTTTTCTTTTGTTGCCTATACAGTACTTTTGTTATAATTAAGGAACCAAATCCAAGTTCATAAAAATTTTTTACTGTGTTTTCAGCCGGGCACAGTGGATCACCTGAGGTTAGGAGTTCAGGACCAGCCTGACCAACATGGTGAAACCCTGTCCCTACTAACAATATAAAAAATTAGCCACGCGTTGTGGAGGGCGCCTGTAATCCCAGCTACTCGGGAGGCTGAGGCAGGAGAATTGCTTGAACCTGGGAGGTGGAGGTTGCAATGAGCCGAGGTCACACCATTGCACTCCAGCCTGGGCAATAAGAGTGAAACTGCATCTTAAAAAAAAGAAAATTTTACTGCATTTTCTTCCATGACTTATAGTTTTTAGCTCTTTAGTTAAGATCTTTGATCCATTGTAAATTAATTGTTGCATGTGGTATAAGGTAAACATTCAGATTCATTCTTTTGTTTGTGAATATCCAGTTTTTCCAGTACCATTTTTGAAGAGACTGTTCTTTCCCCAGAGATTGGTTTTGGCACCCTTGTCAAAAATCAACTGACCATATATGCAAGGGCTTACTTCTGGGCTCTCAATCCTATTTAATTTGTCTGTATGTCTGGCCTTATGCCATGTAACTCTGTCATTACTGTAACTTTATAATAAGTTTCAGAATTGAGAAGTCTGATTTCTGTTCTTTTTCAAGATTGTTTTGGCTTTTGATATTTCCTGTGAATTTTAGGTTGCATTTATCTATATTTCTAAAAAATTCCATTGTACTTTTGATAGGAATGGGACTGAATCTGTATATTGCCTTGGGTGATATTGTTATCTTACCAGTATTAAGTCTTCTAATCTATTAGCACAGGATGTCTTTGCATTTATTTAGACCTTTAATTTTTTATTTTATTTATGTATTCATTTATTTATTTTTCCAGCACTGTTCTGTAGTTTTCTGGGTATAGGTCTTCGTCTTCCTTGGTTAAATTTATTTCTAAACATTTTATTCTTGGCCAGGCATGGTGGCTCACACCTGTAATCTCAGCAACTTTGGGAGGCCGGGGCGGGAGAATTGCTTGGGCCCAGGAATTTGAGACCAGCCTGGCAGCATAGTGAGACTCTGTCTCTATTTTTAAAAATTAAAAAGAAAAAAGAAAATGGGTTATTGGTGTCTCCAGTTCTTATTAAGGCACTCACTATTTCTCCCTTCAGTTCTGTCCATTTTTTGCTTCATAGATTGGGGGACTTTCTTGTTTGTTTTGTATATATTTATTACAGTCACATTTTCTTGCTGGATTGACCTTTTATCACTACAGTCTTTGTGGTCTCTTCTTACCTTTTTGAGTTTAAATCTATTTTATCTAATAATAAAATAGCCACTTATCTCTCTTATGGTTACTGTTACATGAAATATCTTTACATCCTTTTACATTAAAAGTAATTACTGAAAAGGAAGGAGTTAGTTTTGCAAAATAGCTGTATATTTTCTGCATGTCTTATTTGTTTTTTGTTGAATTCCTCCAATTTTGCCTCTTTGTCTTGTATTTAGTTGGCTTTTTTGTGGTGAACCTTCTGACTTCTCTTTTGTAAAAGTTTTTAGCTATTTCTTTCCTTTTTTTTTTTTTTTTTGAGATGGAGTCTCACTCTGTCGCCCAGGCTGGAATGCAGTGGCGCGATCTCGGCTCACTGCAAGCTCCGCCTCCCGGGTTCACGCCATTCTTCTGCCTCAGCCTCCTGAGTAGCTGGGACTACAGGCACCTGCCACCATGCCCAGCTAATTTTTTGTATTTTCAGTAGAGACGGGGTTTCACCGTGTTAGCCAGGATGGTCTCGATCTCCTGACCTCGTGATCCACCTGCCTTGGCTTCCCAAAGTGCTGAGATTACAGGCATGAGCCACTGCACCCGGCCATTTTTAGTATTTCATTAGGTTTTAGATCACAGCTGACATCTCAAACTTCTAACAACCTAGTTTGAATAGTAGCAAATTTGTTTCAATAGCATATGGACACATTGCTCTTCTACATCTGTATTTTCCCTCCCTTTATTTTTTATTATCACGAATCACATCTTTATAGGCTGTATTCCCATTTACTTAGATTTAGATTTACAGTTACTGTTTTATGCATTTTCCTTTTATTTATTTATTTAGTTATGTATTTATTTGAGACAGAGTCTCACTCTGTTGCCCAGGCTGGAGTGCGGTGGCGTGATCTTGGCTCACTGCAACCTCTGCCTCCCAGGTTCAAGCAATTCTCCTGCCTCAGCCTCCCGAGTAGCTGAGATTACAGGTGCCCGCCACCACGCCTGGCTAATTTTTGTATTTTTAGTAGAGACAAGGTTTCACCATGTTGGCCAGGCTGGTCTTGAACTCCTGACCTCAGGTGATCCACCCACCTTGACCTCCCAAAGTGCTGGGATTACAGGCATGAGCCACTGCACCCAGCCGCATTTTCCTTTTAAATCATGTATGAAAGAAGTGAGTTATGAGCCAAAGTACAGTAATACTGTCTTTTAAATGTACCTGTATGGTTACTTTCACCAGATTTACTTATTTCTTCTTATGGCTTTAAATTACTATGTAGTGTTCTTTCATTTCAGCCTGATGGACTCACTTTAGCATTTCTCATAAGACAGGTCTACTGATGACAAACTCCCTTTGCTCTTGTTTATTTGGAAAATGTTTTGATTTTGTCTTTATTCTTGGACAAAGACAAATCTTATATAGGATATAAGATTCTTGGTTGACGAGTTGTTGGGGTTTTTTTGTTTTTTGTTTTTTTAGAACTTGGAGATGTCATCCCACTGCCTCTTGGCCATTATGATTTCTGATGAGAAATCAGCTGTTATTCTTATTGAGGATCCTTTAACATGAGTCACTTCCTTCTTGGCTGCTTTCAAGAGACCTTTATCCTTTATCTCTTTATCAAATGTTCAACCATTTGACCCTGATGTGTCTCAGTGTGGGTTTCAGATTTCATCCTGCTTGGAGATCACTGAGTTTCTTGGATGTATAAATTCACATCTTTCATAAAATTTGCAAGTTTTTGACCATTATTTCATCAAATATTTTTTCTGCTACTTTCTGTCTTTCCGTTTGGAAATTCCATGATGTCTAATGTTAGTATTTCTGATTGTTTCTTGCAGGTTCATTAGATTGTTTTTCTTCATTCTCTTTTCTTTCTGTTCAGACTGAGTATTTTCAATTGCCTTGTCTACAGGTTTACTGAATCTTTTTTCTGCCTGCTGTAGTCGGCCATTGAATCCTCCTAGAGTGAATTTTTAATTTCAGCTGTTATAATTTTCTGTCCTGGAATTCCTACTTGGTTCCTTTTAATTATTTCTGTCTCTTTATCAGTATTCTCTACTTGTTCATACATATGATTATCTTTATTTCTTTTATCTCATTGAGCATATTTAAGACAGTTGATTTAATGTCTTTGACTAGTAACTCTAAAATCTGGGCCTCCTCAGGGTTAATTCCTAATTCTTTCTTCTTCCCTGTGAATTAGTCATATTTGCCTGATTCTTTATGTGATTTGTAGTTTTTCGTTAGGAATTGGACATTTTAAGTACTATAATGTGATAACTCTAAAAATCTGGTTCTTCCTCTCTTTCTAGATTGCTTTTGGTTCTTGTAGGGCGCAGTCCACCATTCTGACTTTTCCAAACTACTTTCACAAAGTCTGTATTCCTTGTTTTGTGTAGACCTTGAAGTTATAGTTCTGTTATCTTTATGGTCAGCCTGTGACCCTGACATAGATTCCCTTCACTGTTGAGGTTCATCCCCTCTTCCTCCATCAGACCAGGTGTTTACCCCTGGTTGCTGGGTCCCATGAGGTTCCAGAGTTCTGCACAGGTGATTATGATTGTTTTTTTCCAGCTTAATAGTTGTTTTGTTGTTGCAATTGATATCTGAAATTTCTTACTCTGCCATTTTTCTGACATCAGTAATAATGTATTTGAATTTGAAAAATCGTACTTAAATATAGCCTTTAATGTTTAATAATTACCTTTCTCCTTTATTGATATTCAGTAAGAAAAAATTGAAAATGAATTCATTAAGAAGAAAACAATTATTCGTAATTATACCCCCTAAAAGCCCTTCATTGCTGTTAACAATTTGGTCTGTATCTTTCAACACTTTTTCTTCTTCATATGTTCATATTTCCTTAACAAATATTTATAGAGTACTTTCAATGTGCCAGGTACGCTAAGTTCTTGGGTTGTGAGGTTATGTAATATGAATATCATATATATTCCCTTAAGGTTTACAATCTAATGGAAGATGAAGAAAGATAAAGAGGTGGTTACAATATGATATGTGATATATGCTCTGCTATTGTGGGAGTACCTAGAATAGGCACATAACTCACACTTGCAGGGAGTCAGAAGTTAAAAAGAGGAGGAAGAAAAAAATAATCTGTAGAGCAGAACTTCTAATAGTGTAGACTTCAGACATACCACTACTGGAAAGAACAGAGAATCAGAAAACGACCTGGAGGAAGAATATTGGAGGTCAAAGGAACAGCAGTTTGGAAAAATGATCAGGAACCAGCTAACATTCATTGGCTTTTTATTATATGTTACGTGTACTGGAAATGTTACCTCATTTATTCTTCAAAACAATGGGATAATTACTGTTGTTCCCATTTTATTTTTGTTTTTGTTTATGTTTTGAGATGGAGTCTCGTTCTGTCGCCCAAGTTGGAGTGCAGTGGTGTGATCTTGGCTCATTGCAACCTCCGCCTCCCAGGTTCAAGTGATTCTCCTGCCTTAGCATCCCGAGTAGCTGGGACTACAGGCATGCACCACGATGCCCAGCTAATTTTTGTATTTTTTTTAAGAGATGGAGTTTCGCCATGTTGGCCAGGCTGGTCTCAAACTCCTGGCCTCAGGTGATCCACCTGCTTTGACCTCCCAAAGTGCTGGGATTACAGGCGTGAGCCACCGCACGCATCCTGTTGTTCCCATTTTACAAATGAAGATACCAGCAAGGGTAAAGTCACACAGCTAATACGTGTCCTTTGAATTTAAGAACAAACTGTGTTTATTTGCTTACTGGTTGGAAAAATTGTTTAAAATGTGTTTAGCAACAAAGCACTCACTGATAACCTTGGCAGGGGCAGCTGTAGTAAAGCAATGCAGGTGAAAGCCAAATTGCCAAAAGATAAGGAATACATATCGTTTAGACAAATCTTTTTTAAAAATTGGCTATGAATTGGGGAGGAAGAAGGCAATAGAAAGTATTTAAGGAGCCAGGGGAAAAAGTGTGGTTGTAGGTAAAAGAAACGATGGTAATAAATTGAGGTGAGGTCTTCAAAAAGAAGAATTTATGGGGTGGT
This sequence comes from Homo sapiens, assembly GCF_000001405.40. NCBI lineage: Eukaryota > Metazoa > Chordata > Mammalia > Primates > Hominidae > Homo > Homo sapiens. Next base: position 39,853,636 of record NC_000004.12, on the reverse strand, counting down.
GGGATCTTAAAGATAGATAAAGGGAAGGCCAGGAAATAAAAATAATTTTCCAGGACTGCTGTTAAGTAGTTGAGGAAGTCTCATCTTAATGACTTAGGTTTCTAAATGATATAGGAGCAGAGTCTACTGGTAGGTGAGGGTGACAGAATTAGATATGAGTAGAGTAAAGATTGGAAACAGCTGCTGTGAAGAAGTGGCTAAAAATCCTGGTGACACATAGGATAGCTGGGTAGCATAAAGTACCAAGCTAAAAATTTTAAATTTATAATTATATCAAGCTTCTCAGCTACATGGTTTTTCTGTAGCATTAAACAATTCTAAATATAGCTGTCAAGAAGCCAAAGATTTGGATTGTTCTTGAGTTTTTCAAAGCAAGTGTACCAGAAGGAAAATTGTTAAGAGTTGATACTGTTTTCAAAAAAGTGATTAAAATGTTGAGAGGCCAAGACAAGAGGATTATTTGAGTCCAGGATTTCAGGACCAGCCTGAACAACATAGCAGGATCTTATCTCTACAAATAATTTTTTTGAATTGGCTTGGTGTTGTAACATGTGCCTGTAGTCCCAGCTACTCAGTCCCTGCAGTCCCAGCTACTCAGTCCCTGCTGAGGCAGGAGCGTTGCTTGAGCCCAGGAGGTAGGCTGCAGTGAATTTATAATTTCACAGGCGAACAATTTCTAAAGATTAACAAAGTCTAGGAATGTCTGAGGCAGTGAAATGTCTTAGGCAAAGATAAAATTTACCAGGATTAGAACAGCCAAGGAATTAGGAAATCGTGTTGAACAGATTGCCCAGAAAATTGGCAGGACTTAAAGATGGAGTCAAGGAAAAATGTCATCCAGAAACTAAATCAACGCAAGGAACATAGGGAAGCTGATAGATAACATTGACAAGGAGAGGATGGTAGAAGCAGCCAAATGGCACAAGCTTCCTAGGAGTAATTTTACATAAACCTGGAAGAATAACTGGAATTAGCTTTGGGGATGATAGAAGCTGAACTCACTCTCTGACCCTAAGTATGCATCATCTAATAGAATGAGCAGTTATAACTTTTAGGGGAATGCAAGGCAAGCATTCTTGGGGTGGGGGTATGGTTTCAGTTACGGCAAAAAGGTGAAGTGAGCATTCATTGAAGATTCTTTTTGGAGGGAAAGTATATTCTAGAGAGTTCAGTGAAAAGATACGAGATGGAGAGGAATTAGCTCCCTTGGATAAGGCAAGAAGAAGCAGAGGATCATGGGAATCTGTGTACTTCGTAGGATGGGTAAACATTAATGATTACATTTCTTGGGCAGTATTGAGGATGCAGAAGTGAGACATGGCCCCAGGGATTTCAACATATTCTAATTTCAAAAAATGCTGTTTTAATATCTATTATATATTGTTTTATAATACATATATGTATTGTTTTGTATCCTGTTTTAAATGTAACATTATATTGAACAACTTCCAAGTACTAAAATTTATTGAGTCAATTGGTTCATGTTAGATAGCACATTAGTCTCAGCATATCTGCATAAAATTAAGGTGGAATTGGCATTCTTATCACAAGACAATCATACTTTTTTCCAGTTACTTCAAGGAATAAATTCTCTATTATGTTGATGTACATTCAAGTATTTTATGTATATACTAATGTTTAAAACCTTATTGCAAGATTTTTTTGTTACAACTTTTTAAAGAAACCCTGCATAGGAATGCTTCCTCACCTTATCCCCTAAAACTGAGAGTAATCCTGACCCTATACTTCTGTGGAAAGGGATCAAACAAATCTTCAAGTTAATAGAAACTCAACAGAATTCTGACCCAAGAATTAAGGAAATGATTTCAGTGTTTATATAAACAAATAGAATCCTCAAACCTATAGAACCGATGTGTTCAGTGTTGTCACCTTTGTTTAGTATATAGTTGCTCAGATAATGTTTATTATATTTATTTTGTGTATTTTTGTTAAAAGTATAAAAGCAGACCTGGTTCTAATCCTAGCTCCATCTTTTTATCTCTGTGACCCTAAACAGGTTACTTAATGCCTCAAAAAAAATATTTAGATAGCCAGGAGTGGTAGCTTACGCCTGCAGTCCTGGCACTTTGTGAGGCCAAGGCAGGTAGATTGCTTGAGCCTGGGAGTTCAAGACCAGTCGGCAACCTGGCGAAACCCCAGCTCTATAAAAATCAGCCAGACATGGTGGCACATGCCTGTAGCCCCAGCTACTCAGGAAGCTGAGGTAGGAGGATAGTGTGAGCCCAGGACACCATGGTTGCTGGGGCTGTGATCACGCCACTGCACTCCAGCCTGAGAGGCAAGCAAGACTCTGTCTCAAAAGACAGACCAAAAAAAAAAAAAATAGGTTCTATATATAATGGTGACGATTTTTCTTATTCTTTATAGAGTCATGAGGATTATATGAAGGTAAAGTGCTTAGCCTAATGCCTAGTAGATAGTAAGCACTCATTAAATATTTGCTAATTTTTATTATATTTGTTGTTATTCATTATTCTGTTCCTTTCTTTGATCAGGATTCTAGCAGCTATCCAGTATCTAAGTAGAGTTGACAACTCTTTGCCTAAGTTAATAAATATTATTGAAACAACCAACTATCATTTAAGCCATTAAGCTAAAAAACTAATGCATGCTACAGTAGTCTCTTAAAACAATTATGTGGAATGTAGGAAAAGAAGCTTTTACAGAGTATCATCAAATAGTTTCTCCCCTGTTGATGCAGGAATGCAGTAGTCATGTCACTGCCTGAAAATACTGGGATCTTTGTAAAAACAGGCCCCATTTCCAGATTTGTCTATTTAAGTTATCCAAACAATTCTAATGTTCAGCCTGATTTGGGGTTCACTTTTACTTAGAAATTCAAATGTTCCCTTCAGACACAATGTGTTAAATGAATATACAGTGACAAGTGTGGAATAGCAAAAGTGGTTTGAGATTGTGACTCCTTAATTGGGTGGCTGGGTACCACACACATCAGCCTCATAATACATGCAACTTAGACTTGTTTCTCGGCAGAACTGCATACCAATTGTAGAACTTCTGCATAGCTTACAAATAATCAAAATCCCAAGACTGCTGTGTGTTGATTTGCTCATTATTGCTGGGTGTTAAGTTATATCAGATTATGTAAACTTACCTATAGGGTGAATCTGTGTTTTCTTTTGAGAGGGTGTCACTTTTTTGCCCAGGCTGGAGTGCAGTGGTGTGATTATGGCTCACTGCAACCACAAGCGATCCTCCCACCTCAGCCCCACAAGTAGCTGGGACTACAGGAGCCCACTACCATGCCCAGCTAATTTTTGTATTTTTTTTGTAGAGATGGGGTCTCACGAGGCTAGTCTCGAATTTCTTTTTTTTTTTTTTTTGAGAGAGAGTCTCGCTCTGTCACCCAGGTTGGAGTGCAGTGGTGCAGTCTCAGCTCACTGTAAGCTCTGCCTCCTGGGTTCACGCCATTCTCCTGCCTCAGCCTCCCGAGTAGCCGGGACTACAGGTGCCTGCCACCAACACCCAGCTAATTTTTGTATTTTTAGTAGAGACGGGGTTTCACCATGTTAGCCAGGATGGTCTCGATCTCCTGACCTCTTGATCTGCCCACCTCGGCCTCCCAAAGTGCTAGGATTACAGGCATGAGCCACCGCGCCCAGCCTCGAATTTCTGGGTTCAGGCAATCTACCCACCTTAGCCACCCAAAGTGCTGAGGTTATAGGCACGAGCCACCATATCCAGCTAGGGTGAATCTTTATATGCCTTATGAAACTGTCAGACTTTCTCATATTAAGCTATGTTTTCATTTTTTATATGTTATTTTATGCTTTAATTTTCCATTTGAATAGAATATTATTAGGATAATAACATATATTAGTCATTAAGGTTGATCATTTTATTTTATTTTATTCAGACAACAGAAATTCCCAGCTAACATATTTATTGCTTTAAGCTAAAGCATCTATCTACGTCTAGTCTCTTTAATATGTTTACATTTAGGTGCCTATGGTTCATGCTTGAAGTTTTAATGACAAAGAATGAAAACAATAGCCATGCCTTTATGAAGAAGATGGCAGAGAACATCAAGTTAACCAGAGATGCCCAGTCTCCAGATGAATCCAAGACAAATGAAGTAAGATGAGTGTTAGGCCAGTGGGTGTTAAGATGTAATAGAAAAATATATTGTCCCACTTGGTTTTTTTTTTTTTTTTTTGGCCATACGTAGTAATTTAAATTTTAGAATGTTTACAAAAGTAAATGTGTAGTCAGTTTTTATTGCACTTCATTACAAGTGAATTTTATTTCAGGAATCTTTAGTACTCTGAAAAGACATTATAACCTTAGAGCAAGAGGATAAGAATAAAATGTACAACTATGGTATATTACGAACTTACAGTAAGAGTTACAGACAAATGCTTATTCTTTTTGTGTGCTTTCTTTGGGTTGGTTCATTTGTTTGTTATTTTCCATGCATATTGGCATCCATGTTAAATTCATATAGAGGGATTTTTATTTATCAGAAGGCTGCATAAACAGTGCTGAACAGAAATATGGAATGTTCAAGGAATAAATAACAACCACAGTATCCTTCTTTTAACTCTAAATTATACATTTAGTGGAATTGGTAATTATGATTATTTTGCAATACTAAAAGTTATATATGATTCGTTTTCCTCCCTAGAAACTGTATACAGTATGTGATGTGGCTCTCTGTGTTATAAATAGTAAAAGTGCTTTGTGCAATGCAGATTCACCAAAGGACCCAGTCCTCCCAATGAAATTTTTTACACAACCTGAAAAGGTAATTTTCTTCCTCTCATTTTTCCTACCACACTAAACTGATTTCAATGTCAATTACCATCAACCATTGTGGCAAATATTGAATTGTCTTGACCACAGAGTAAAGAAAAAATCTGGGTTTATCAAAGAGTGGGAAATTGTCTTACACAGCCCTGAACATTATTCTGACTTGAACAGAAGACTACACATACTGTTGATCTTATGTTTATTCTAGGAATTTCTAGTATTAAAGTTTTCAGATTTTTAAAATTATTTTAATCTCATTTTATTGAAACATGGGTAGTATTTTTGCAGATAAGAAAAATTTTAAATCTTTGGCACAGTGTAAGGAGGGACAGGTTCTCTCCTCTAAGCCTCCATTTCTTCATCTTTATAATGCAGATGTTAATAATACATATGGACAATTGCTAATATCTAGGTTTATATGAAGAGTTTATCACATAAAACCATTCAATAAATGGTGTTATTAATTAATATACAGTGCATCTATTCTGCTTTCAGCAAACTGTTTCCCATGTAAGTAAATTTTTCAGGTAACGCAGGCTCTGTAAGTTTTTCCAGCTAATTTGGATTTTTAAAAGCTTTTGTTTATTTCCTGCTGTTAGGTGGTATTTTAAACTTGTTTCACTTTCTCCTATAAATGTATATATATGCCTCAGTAATGATCCCCTTAGAGCAGTGGTTCCCAACCTTTTTGACACCTGGGACCAGTTTCGTGGAAGACAATTTTTCCACAGAGAAATTGAGGTGGAGAGATGGTTTCAGGATGAAACTATTTCACCTCAGGTCATCAGGCATTAGTTAGATTCTCATAAGGAGCACACAGCCTAGATCCCTCGCAGGCATAGTTCGCCATAGGGTTTGTGCTTCTGTGAGAATCTCATGCTGCCGCTGATCCGACAGGAGGCAGAGCTCAGGTGGTAATGCTTGCTCGCCAGCCACTCACTGCCTGCTGTGTATCCCAGTTCCTAACAGGCCGCAGACCCATGACCCATAACCCATACCAGTCTGCAGTTCGTGGGTTGGAGACCCCTAGCTTAGAGAATTCTCCAAATGCACATTCCAAGAAATAAATGGAGCTTCCTACTTTGAATGCCGTACTTTACTAAAAGTTTGCTAAAATGTAATCTGATTTTTATTACTGATTTAGTATTGAACACATAACTGTGCCTTGCTTTTGATAGAAATAATGAGAATTTGCAAAAGTATGCTCTCTAATTGAATCCACTGATCTGTATAAAAAAAATTTTTTTTTTTTGAGTCTCCGTCACCCACGCTGGAGTGCAGTGGCTTGATCTTGGCTCACTGCAGCCTCCAACTCCCTGGCTCAATCAGTTCTCCTACCTCAGCCTCTCAAGTAGCTGTGACTACAGGCATGTGTCACCATGCCTGGCTAATTTTTTAACTTTTTTGTAGACAGGTGGTTTCATCATGTTGGCCAGGCCTCAAACTCCTGGGCTCAAGTGATCAACCCACCTCCAGCATCCCAAAGTGCTGGGATTGCATGAGCCACCATGCCCAGCCTATAAGATATTCTTAAGTGAGCTGTTGAATTAAAATTAATCCTGTTGCTGACCCAGGACCATCATGAATAGAATAGTACCAAATAGAATCTATGTAACAGTGGTGATACCATCATCAAGAATTAAATTCCTACTTGTCACTACACCTTATCTGGACTCATAGATAACAATTTTTTTTTTCTTTTGTTACCTTCAGTGTTACAGAGTTTTAGTCTTCTTAATAATAACAACTTAGGTTTTTCTGTTTTCAGTATGCAACGTTCCTTATTTATGTAACATGTTGCTTTTAATGTGTTATAAATTCATAAACCCTAGAACACTAGGTTTGTGAAGTTAGTCAACCTAGTGAAGCTATACTATATCTTTATGAATGAAGTGAATGAACTTTGGTACACAGGTTTCTTAATGTTTATTTTAGCTGCATAGAAGACTTTGTGCAAAAGAAATGATACAGCTTTGCCTAGCACACATGACAAAACTGTGATTTCCTCACAGGCACACTTTGTTCTTTCCTACTTCTGTGAAGGTAAATTTAATACAATAAAAAATATTTTTTAATAGGATTATTTAAAACTTAATTATATTTCCTGAGTTTAGTAGCTAGTTTTGCTTCACTGACACAACATTGTGGTTTGTTTGCCATTTTCAGATATTAAGCAGGAAAAGGCATCAAGAGATCAAGTTTGAACTCCTAATTTTTATATAGATATAACTCTCAAAGTGCTATCATTTTCCACATTTGGTTTAAATCGTGTATTGTTAATATCACAGCTGTCAAAGAACATAATTCACTTAATTGTATTTTGACAGTTGGTCTACTTATGTTTTTTGAGATGGAGTTTCACTCTTGTCACCCAGGCTGGAGTGCAATGGCACGATCTCGGCTTACCGCAGCCTCTGCCTCCCGAGTTCAAGCGATTCTCCTGCCATAACCTCCTGAGTAGCTGGCATTACAGGCGCATGCCACCCGGCCTAGCTAATTTTGTATTTTTGTAGAGACAGGGTTTCACCATGTTGGCCAGGCGGGTTCGAACTTCTGACCTCAGGTGATCCACCCACTTTGGCCTCCCAAAGTGCTGGGATGAGGCTCACAGGCATGAGTCACCACACCCGGCCCGAATTTATGATGTGGTGGAATTCAGTGAATAAATTTAATGAATAAACTGCATTGAACCGTATGAAAACATGTGTGTGCTTTATTTATGGTGTGATTTAGGAAATTTATCTTTGACATTTGCCTAAGTCTGCGTGCCATCAGTTTAATTTAAAGCTAGACTTATGGTATGGCTTTGATTGTTTTGATTGTTTGATAAATTGGTATATGTGTTAGCACAAGTGTATTTATTATTGCAAGGCACAATACCTAAAAAGCCTTATTGAGATAATTAAAATACTCATGTTCCTTTGATTGGTGTTTCTTTTTTCTTTTTCTTTTTTTTTTTTAATAGGACTTCTGTAACGATAAGAGTTATATTTCAGAAGAGACAAGAGTACTTCTGTTAACAGGAAAGGTATTATTTACTTAATAATTTTGAGATCTTTGTTTCATGTGTATCTTGCTTCTGCTATTCCTAGAAATACCTTTAAATGACCACTAGATTGTATAGTTCCTGATTCTTAGGGATCACATTATGGATTTAAAGCATCTAAAGCAGCCATGCTTTTAGAATTTTTCTGCCAGCAACCACTCCTCTGAAATGCCACTGTGTGTTCTCATCAGTAATGTTAAGCACAGTTTATTTACAATTCACAAAGAAGACTTTCCTGGGAAATGGTATAACCAACTTAGGTATATAAGATAAAAGAAATAATTTTATACTACTAATGAATTAGACAATTCATGTTCTATGTAAGTAATATGGTGACACCTAAAACAGCAAAAGGAAATTTAGTTTTTTGTAAATAGTTCCTAAACTATTACTATATATATATCCAATAGTTTATTTATAGGAGCATTTATTATGTATGTATTTTGCTATATTTTAGGGGAACTTTGTATTTTGATTGAATAATAAAGGATACATTAATATTACCTAGTTATTATTAAGTAGAGATATGCTTATGACTTTTGATTGTATTAAGGCAACCAAACACAATTTTACAGAATGATCTTTTTTTTTCTTGAGACAGTCTCATTTTGTCACCCAGGCTGGAGTACAATGTTGCGATCTCAGCTCACTGCAACCTTCACCTCCTGGGTTCAGGCAATTCTCATGCCTCAGTCTATCGAGTAGATGGGACTACCGGCTTATACCACCACACCTGGCTAATTTTTGTATTTTTGGTAGAGGTTGGGTTTCACTCTTTTGGCCAGAGTGGTCTTGAACTCATGGCCTCAAGTGATCCACCTCCCAAAGTGCTGGGATTTGCAGTCAGGAGCCAGTATGCCTGGCCCAGAATGAACATTTCTGGTAAATTTAACTAATTAGCACTTAACAATATCTCTTACTTGTGTCTAAATTTACATGTATACATGGTAAGGTATAAACGTGTGTGTTTTTGGGGGGTTTTTTGTTTTTGTTTTTAGCCAAAGCCTGCTGGAGTACTAGGTGCAGTAAATAAGCCTTTATCAGCAACGGGAAGGAAACCCTATGTTAGAAGCACTGGCACTGAGACTGGAAGCAATATTAATGTAAATTCAGAGCTGAACCCTTCAACCGGAAATCGATCAAGGCAACTTTTCTCTCCAATTATTTTGTTACTAGCACTCACTACTTGGTTTATCTTTTATTCCTAAAGTGCTGTCTCATAAAATGGTCTTCTGTCATTAGCGGTGTTCTGGTACAAAATAATATTGATGAATTTTAGTATTTTCTTTTCTGGGTTTTTTTTTGTTTTTTTTTTTTTTTTGAGACAAAGTCTCGCTCTTGTCCCCGCCCAGGCTAGAGTGCAATGGCGCAATCTTGGTTCACTGCAACCTCTGCCTCCCGGGTTCAAGCAATTCTCCTGCCTCAGCCTCCCGAGTAGCTGGAATTACAGGCGCCTGCCACCACGCCCCGCTAATTTTTGTATTTTTAGTAGAGACGGTGTTTCACCATGTTGGCCAGGCTGGTCTCGAACTCCTGACCTGAGGTGATCCGCCTGCCTCAGCCTCCCAAAGTGTTGGGATTACAGGCGTAAGCCACCGCACCCAGCCAGTATTTTCTTTTTTTTCTTAATTTTATGTAATTTTTTTTTAAGAGACAGGGTCTCACTTTGTTGCTTAGGCTGGAGGGCAGTGGCAGGATCATAGCTCACCGCAGCCTCAGACTCCTGGGCTCTAGGGATCTTCTCGCTTCAGCATCCCAAGTAGCTGGGACTACAGGCATGCACCACCAACCCCCAGCCAATTTTCTTTTGTACTTTTCATAAAGATGGAGTTTCGTCATCTTCCCCAGGTCGGGCTCGATCTCCTGGGCTCAAGTGATCCACCCCCTTCAGCCTCCCAAAGTGCTGGGATTACAGGCGCAAACCACTGCACCTGGGCACATTTTAGTATTTTCAATGAGGAAATCAAGAATGTACTGCACACTTTGAAACTATTAATATATAGCATTCTAAGTGTATAGAAAAATTAACAGAAAATAATATAAGAGTTAATAATACAACCAATTTATATCAAAATACTTATTTTTAATATTTTTGAGACAGAGTGTCTCTGTCCGTCACTCAGGCTGGAGTGCAGTGATGGGATGTCAGCTCACGGCAACCTCCACCTCCTGGTTTCAAGTGATTCTCACACCTCAGCTTCCTGAGCTTACAGGCACACGCCACCACTCCCAGCTAATTTCTGTATTTTTAGTAGAGACAGGGTGTCACCATGATTGCCAGGCTAGTCTCTGCCCACCTTGGACTCCCAAAGTGCTGGGATTACAGTCATGAACCATCACGCCTGGCCCAAAATGTTTATTTTTTATACGTAAGAAAATTCAACCCTTAGGAAAACTATGAAAACATTAACTTTTAAATAAATTGAAATGCTTTTTAATTTTTAACTCAAATTAGTATAGGAGGGCTGGGTGTAGTGCCTTATGGCTGTGATCCCAGCGCTTTAGTAGGCCAAGGCAGGATTATCACTTGAGCCCAGAAGTTCAAGTCTAAAGTGAGCTATGATGTCTCTGCTACACTCCAGCCTGGGTGACAAAGCAAGACCCTGTCTCTTAATAAAAAGAAAAGGCCATGTGTGATGGCTCACACCTGTAATCCCAGCACTTTGGGAGGCCGAGGAAGGATAATCACTGGAGCCCAGGAGTTCGAAACCAATCTGGGCATCATGGGGGCATACACTTGTAGTCCCAGCTACTTGGGAGCTCAGGAGGCGGAGGCAGGAAGATCACTTGAGCCCAGGAGTTCTAGGCTATATCAGCTATGATTACATATTTCATTTCAGCCTAAGACCCTGTCTCTTAAAATATATATATATATATATATATATATATAAAAATAGGATAAGTTTACATTGTTCTAACATTTTCTAATTATAAAAATATTCCATGTTTATTTTAACATGTTAAGTATTCAGTATATTAGCTACTGCATAAGAATTTCTACCTGCAATTTTTTTCATAAACATACTTATTTTGATATATAATAATTGTACATATTTATGGGGTGTTTGTGATATTTTGGTATATGCATAGCATGTATAGTGATCAAATCAGGGTAATTAGGATATCCGTCACATCAAACCTTTATCATTTCTGACCCTACTCTTAGGAACACTTAATATTGTGGTTTTTATAGATATTATTCTTACACATGAAATCTTAAGAATAAACTCAACCAATGATGTTTTAAACCACTTTTAGCAAAAATGAAGCCCAAGATATGAAATCAGTTAACATGGTTTAAAGAATAGTGGGGCCTCAAATACCTACCAAATAGCCTCTTCTGACAGCCCCCTTTTTAGTAGAACACTATGGAAATGACAACTATACTATGGTCTGTAGTTTTATTTTTGTTTTAGGATTTTCTATTCCCAAAAGATAAAGCTTACAGTGGTTGTGTTATTTTGTCTCTTGACAATTAACCCTTTTGTCAAGTAGTCTTAGGCAGTCATTTCTGTCTTAATGTTATTAAGGCAAAATGGAAATTGATACCACTTTATCAAAGCTAAATGGAAAATGATATTTTTAAAGCAATAGTCTATAACTACAGAGTATCCGAATCTTGCTATTGTTGCTTCAATTGTCAAGGTTTCGAAACCAGCCTAAGCCTTTCTTTATTGGTACGGTGAGAGAGTGAACTTTCTCTTCATGGAAATATGAAGTCTTGGTTTATTTGTTTTAAACAGGGAACAGAGTTCAGAGGCAGCAGAAACTGGAGTTAGTGAAAATGAAGAGAACCCTGTGAGGATTATTTCAGTCACACCTGTAAAGAATATTGACCCAGTAAAGAATAAGGTAAATTTTAAAATTTAACAAGTGGATTTTTTCCATGGAGATTATTACAGTTTTTCCGTAGGGATAAGAAATCTACAGCCAACACTTCAATGCACATGCTACATTTTAAACTTGTGTGTATTACCACACACCTTCTCCCCGCTTCCCGCACCCCGGCTATACTTCCCAAAAATGATTCTGCTTACCTCCACCCACTTTATAAGAATTTATGTGGTCTGGCTGGGCACAGTGGCTTACACCTGTAATCATCTCTACTAAAAATAAAAAAATTACCGGGGCGTGGTGGTTGGCACCAAAATCCCAGCTACTCAGGAGGCTGAGGCAGGAGAATTGCTTGAACCCAGGAGGTGGAGGTTGCAGTGAGCTGAGATAACGCCATTGTACTCAAGCCTGGGTGACAGAGGCAGACTCTGCCTCCAAAAAAAAAAAAAAAATTTGTGTGGTCACCTACCCGTAGTGGTATCCTTTTCCTATACTACCCATTTCAACTCTTTTAAAGAATAGGAATTGAGGCCTGGTGCGTTGGCTCATGCCTGTAATCCCAGCACTTTGGGAGGCTGAAGCGGGTGGATCATGAGGTGAGTAGTTTGAGACCAGCCTGGCCAACATGGCGAAACCCCGTCTCTATAAAAGTACAAAAATTAACTGGACGTGGTGGCAGGCGCCTGTAATCTCAGCTACTCAGGAGGCTGAGGCAGGAGAATTGCTTGAACCCAGGAGGCGGAGGTTGCAGTGAGCTAAGATCGTGCCATTGCACTCCAGCCTGAACGACAGAGCGAGACTCTGTCTCAAAAAAGGAATTGAGAGTTTTTGAAATATTTCAAAAGTTTGTTGATTCCCACCAGAGATCAGCCCTTTGCTTTGTTTCTACTGTGTTTTTAAAAGTTCATCTTGGCTGGGTGCAGTAACTTACACCTGTAATCGTGCACTTTGGGAGGCAAAGATGGGTGGATCACTTGTGGTCAGGAGTTGGAGACCAGCCTGGCCAACATGGTGAAACCCCGTCTCTACTAAAAATACAAAATATTAGCCAGGCATGGTGGCGCACACCTGTAATCCCAGCTACTCAAGAGGTCGAGACAGGAGAATCACTTGAACCCTCGAGGTGAAGGTTGCAGTGAGCCAACATCATGCCATTGCATTCCAGCCTGGGCGACAAGAGTGAGACTTGGTGGATCACCTGAAGTGAAACCCTGTCTCTGCTAACAAAGTGCAAAAATTACTTGCCTGGAGTCCCAGCTATGCGGGAGGCGACCCGGCGCAGTGGCTCACACCTGTAATTCCAACACGTTGGGAGGCCGAGGCAGGCAAATCGCCTGAGGTCAGGAGTTCCAGACCAGCCTGGCCAACGTGGTGAAAACTCGTCTCTACTAAAAATACAAAAATTAGCTGGGCGTGGTGGTGTGCACCTGTAATCCCAGCTGCTTGGGAGGCTGAGGCAGGAGAACTGCTTGAACCGCGGAGGTGGAGGTTGCAGTGAGCCAAGATCACGCCACTGTGCTACAGGCTGGTCTTGAACACCTGACCTCAGGTGATCCACCCTCCTCAGCCTCCCAAAGTGCTGAGATTACAGGCGTGAGCCGTGCTTGACGACTTTGTTGATCTTTAAACGATACCGCCCAATTTTGTTTTGTTTTGTTTTGAAACAGGATCTCACCATGCCCAACCCAATTTCTTAATTTTTTGGCAGGAGAGGAGTGGTGCATAATCGATAGGAGCATCACACATATCTGACTTTTGCCTCTTGGCTCTGCCACTCACTGGCTAAGTGTTGACTTGAGCAGGTCGCTTGACTTCTCTGGTCTTCTTTCAGTTGTTTTTTTTTTGTTCTGTTTTGTTTTGTTTTCTTTTGTTTTTTGAGACGGAGTCTCTGTCGCCTGGGCTGGAGTGCAGTGGCACAATCTCAGCTCACTGCAACCTCTGCCTCCTGGGTTCAAGCGATTCTCCTGCCTCAGCCTCCTGAGTAGCTGGGATTACAGGCACGCACCACCATGCCCAGCTAATTTTTGTATTTTTAGTAGAGACGGGGTTTCACCATGTTGGCCAGGCTGGTCTTGAACTCCTGACCTCGTGATTCGCCCACCTTGGCCTCCCAAAGTGCTGGAATTACGGCTCAACTATTAAATGAAATTGGTAATTTATCTCAGTAAGAATGGCTTGAAGATATTATTTCCTCCCCTGCCCCCCCCCCCCAGAATCATATTCTTGAAGTGCTTATCTTTTTATTGCTCACCATATACTTATTGTAGTCATCAAATATTTTAGATATTACCCTTGGGTACATTAAATATACTAGGATTATGCAGTTACACCACAGTAGCTTAACTTTTCCTATCCAAACTCTCATTTTCTGAACTCAGCTACATGAGGATACTTTTTGAGATGGAGTCTTTCTCTGTTGCCCAGGCTAAAGTGCAGTGGCGCGATCTCGGCTTACTGCAACCTCCGCCTCCTGGGTTCAAACCATTCTCCTGCCTCAGCCTCCTGAGTAGCTGGATTATAGGCACCTGCCACCATGCCTAGCTGATTTTTGTATTTTTAGTAGAGATGTGGTTTCACCATCTTGACCAGGCTGGTCTTGAACTCCTGACCTCGTGATCCACCCGCCTTGGCCTCCCAAAGTGCTGGGATTACAGCCGTGAGCCACCATGCCCGCCCGACGTTACATTTTTAGATCAATCTCTTGCTATCTAAACTCTTTCTGCTTGGTGTTTGAAACACAGCATGTCAGTGGATTCAGGTAACAAGTTACCTCTTATTATCAAAACTCTTAGAATCCAGATACCAATAGATTAGAATATTGTGGGATCCTTGTGTAAAATTAAGCAGTCTTGACTTAAACAAACTTACATAGAAAAATGCATATTGCCATAGACATTGAGTTACATTGAGAGTTAGATTTTATTTTTCAAGTACTATTTGTGCTTTATATTTTTATTATTGCAATTTTTTTCCCCCCAAGACAGAGTTTTGCTCTTGTTGCCCAGGCTGGAGTACAATGGTGCAATTTCGGCTATTCTCCTGCCTCAGCCTCCTGAGTAGCTGGGATTACAGGCATGGGCCACCATGCCTGGCTAATTTTGTATTTTTAGTAGAGACAGGGTTTCTCCATGTTGGTCAGGCTGGTCTTGAACTCCCAACCTCAGGTGATCCACCCGTCTCGGCCTCCCAAAGTAGTGAGATTACAGGCGTGAGGCACCGTGCCGGGCTTGCAATTACTATTTTGAGATAAGATCTCCCTCTGTCACCCAGGCTGGAGTCCAGTGGCATAATCTCTGCTTACTGTAGCCTCAACCTCCCAGGCTTAAGCAATCCTCCCACCTCAGCCTCCCAAGTAGCTGGGACTACAGGCACAAGCCACCATGCCCGGCTAATTTTTTAAATTATTTGTAGAGATGGGATCTCACTATGTTGCCGGGGATTGTTTGGAACTCCTGGGCTCAAGCGATCCTCCCGCTTTAGCCTCCTAAAGTGCTGCGATTACAGGCGTGAGCCACTGTTCCCAGCCTTTGCTTTTTAATGAGCATTTATTGAGCACATTATATATGCTATACACCATGGTAGGTACCAGGCACAGTCACTCTCCTCAAGGAGCTTACTTTCCTAATGTGATGTAAGCAGTTAACTGGAAGCCCTCAAATCCAGACTCCTTTAAAATACTTTCAAAACACTCTTTTCTAATAGAGATCATTAATATTTAAGGAATTTGTGTTTATAGAATTGTTTTGTGCTTTTTTAGGAAATTAATTCTGATCAGGCTACCCAGGGCAACATCAGCAGTGACCGAGGAAAGAAAAGAACAGTAACAGCAGCTGGTGCAGAGAATATCCAACAAAAAACAGATGAGAAAGTAGATGAATCGGGACCTCCCGCCCCTTCCAAACCCAGGAGAGGACGTCGACCCAAGTCTGAATCTCAGGGCAATGCTACCAAAAATGATGATCTAAATAAACCTATTAACAAGGGAAGGAAGAGAGCTGCAGTGGGTCAGGAGAGCCCTGGGGGTTTGGAAGCAGGTAATGCCAAAGCACCCAAACTGCAAGATTTAGCCAAAAAGGCAGCACCAGCAGAAAGACAAATTGACTTACAAAGGTAATGTACGCCATTCTTCCTCAAGTGGGAATTTAGACATTTTGTTTTATTCGTAGTATATTCTTAGTGCCAGTCACCCCAAACACCTAAGCATTTGAGAGAGAAACCTGCATCTGGTTTTCCTGGGTCCGTTTATAATAGCATCTGTTATTATCTCATAACTTCCAGTTTTAAGGCACAAATTTGAAGAAAAATCTTTTTTCTTTGTGTAATTTTTATTTAGGATATGGTATTTTGATATTTCTATTTTTATTAACAAGACAAATATTTCTTTTGCTTAGTGCCTTTCAAGTGGTTGCAGAGGTTTACATAAAATAAGGGCTACCTTTTGGATACAAGGTCCCAGAAATGGAGAAAACAGTCACGAAATGTCAATAGGTAATAGGTCCCACTCTTTAATTCTTCGTGTTATAGTTAATTCTAACACAGGTCAACAACTTACATCTTCCCCACCCTGCCCAGAAAAACAACTTACCAAACTGTTCATCTTTGATCATTCTTGTGCTGAGATTTCAGACTTTTCCTGTTGGAAATCTAGAAGGTGGCTCCTTTCACCTTGGCCTTAGAACTTAACTCATCCTCCTTTTTTCCTTACATACCTAACTCATTTACCCCTGAATTAGACTGTAGGCATTTGAGTTTCTTCTAGGGAAGAGTCCCAGATTTGATCAGCTCAGGATACCCCCACTATCCTGCTTCAGTATTTTTATAAAACTCAATGTCAGGCCATGCTCAGTGGCTCATGCCTGTAATCCCAACACTTTGGGAGGCCTAGGTGGGTGGATCACCTGAGGTCAGGAGTTCAAGACCAGCCTGACCAACATGGTGAAACCCCATCTCTACTAAAAAAAAAAAAAAAAAAAAAAGGAAATGCAAAAAGTTAGCCAGGTGTGGTGGTGCATGCCTGTAATCCCAGCTACTCAGGAGGCTGAGGCAGGAGAATGACTTGAACCCAGGAGGCAGAGGTTGCAGTGAGCCAAGATTGCGACACTGCACTCCAGCCTGGGTGACAGAAGGAGACTGTGTCTCAAAAAAAAAAAAAAAAGTTACTGAAGCATGTGTGTAAAAACATTTAAAATATTATCATTTATGAGCTGGGCCCAGTGACTCTCGCCTGTAATCCCAACACTTTGGGAGGCCACGGCGGGTAGATCACGTGAGGTCAGGAGTTTGAGACCAACGTGGCCAACATGGTGAAACCCCATCTCTACTAAAAATACAAAAAAAAAAAAAAAAAAAATAGAAAAAAATCCCGGGTGTGGTCGTGGGCATGGGCACCTGTAATCCCAGCTACTCAGGAGGCTGAGACAGAAGAATCACTTGAGCCCAGGAGGCAGAGGTTGCAGTGAGCAGAGATTGCGCCATTGCACTCCAGCCTGGGCGACAAAGCGAGACTCCATCTCAAAAAAAACAAAAAAATTAGCATTTACGGAATTCTGAAATTTTGGGCTATTAAATTTCTACATCATCTAAGTGCCCTCTTGGCAATCTTTCACATCCTCTCATGGCATCTGATCCAGAAGGCTCAAACCTGATCTGAGTACTAGTGTGTTCCTCCTACTCACTTCTGTTTCTATTAACTAATAAGTGTAGTAATGAAAGCCAGTATTAGGGACAAATTTTACATGACTTTCTTCTCAAACCTGGACCTTTATTGAACCTCTGCCTCCCTTTTTCATTAGTATGAAAGTATGTATCTTAAAGGGTTGCTCTACGAATTAAATGGATCAGTAAATATAAAGAAAGCGCCTAGCAAAGTGCCTAGTACAAAATAAACGCCCAACTGTTATTGTTACTATTGTTTTAAATTCTAGTTTCCTTACCCCTTAACATACATTTTCAGTTATACAAAAGTTGAACGTTTCCCTGGAGATTGCCAAAATTCTCTGAACGGTTTCAAGAGATCTGTCCTATTCTTCACCTACACACAAAAAAGTACTAATCATCACACACAGGCTACCTAAGCCACCTGACCTTACCTCCCATTAGCTGTCCCTGTACCATCTAACTAAAATGTACAGATACATACTTGTGGCCAGGCACGGTGGCTCACGCCTGTAATCACAGCACTTTGGGAGGCCAAGGCAGGCGGATCACCTGAGGTCAGGAGTTTCAGACTAGTCTGGCCAACATGGAGAAACCCCATTTCTACTAAAAATGCAAAAATTAGCTGGGCTTGGTGGTGCACACCTGTAGTGCCAGCTACTCGCGAGACTGAGGCAGGAGAATTGCTTGAACCCGGGAGGCGGGGGTTGCAGTGAGCCGAGATCCGGCCACTACACTCCAGCCTGGGAAACAGAGCGATACTCTGTCTCAAAAAAACAGAAAGACAAAAAAACGGATACATGCTGGAACCCTGAAAACTTTTTCAGTAGCATTTAGACCTTCTCTCATATACAGCATTGTAAAATCCATTGCTTTGCTTTTAGCTGCACTATGTGCCCCAATATCATCAAATGGCATTTGGCCTTCTCTTTACAGACTGAAAAGGCACATTACAGATCTTAAATATGCTAGTAGTAGATCAATGGGCAGTGTGTTATTCAGAATACAGTATTCTGTGATGGTTTTCTAATCTCAGTGACAGTAGGTGGTTAAATTAAATGTTTATGGCCAGGTGCGGTGGCTCACACCTATAATCCCAGCACTTTGGGAGGCCAAGCCAAGGTGGGCAGATCTTTTAAGGTCAGGAGTTCAAGATCAGCCTGACCAATATGGTGAAAGCCTGTCTCCACTGAAAATACAAAAAATTAGCTGGGTGTGGTGGCGCACCCCTGTAATCTCAGCTACCCGGGAGGTAGAGTTTGCAGTGAGCAGAGATTGTGCCACTGCACTCCAGTCTGGACGACAGAGTGAGACTCCATCTCAAAAATAAAAATATAAATTAAATACAAAATTAGTCGGGCATGATGTTGTGTGCCTGTACTCAGGGAGCTGAGGTGGGAGGATTGCTTGAGCCTGGGGCTGAGGTTAGCGGGAATAGGCTTTAGTGTTTAATGGGGATGGAGTTTCAATCGGGGAACGTGAGAAAGTTCTAGAGATGGATGGTGGTAATGGTTGTACACAATATAAATAATTGGCCACTTCAGAAAGGTCATGGAAAACTGGAGTTAAGAGATAAAAATAGAAACTTTCTCAACATAAGCTCCATCAACTTCAAGACACTTTTTGTAAGCAATGATAGAAGCCATTTAGTCCATCCCCAAAGAACTGAGGGTCCTGTGAGTTTAACCATTTCAAACAGTCTTTTTTTCATTAGTGACCAAAGAAAAATTGGCACTCTTTAAAAATTTTTTTAAGATTAAGAAGCAAAAAGAAGTCAGAAGGAGCCAAATCAGTACTGTAAGCTGGATGCCTAATGATTTCCCATGGGAACTCTTGCAGAATTGCCCTTGTCTGATGAGAGGAATGAGCGAGAACATTGTCATGGTGGAGGAGGACTCTCTGGTGAAGCTTTCCCAGGCATTTTTCTGCTAAAGCTTTGACTTTGTCCAAACACTCATAATAAGCAGATATTATCATTTGTTGGCTTTCCAGAAACTCAACAAGCAAAATGCCTTGAGCATCCCAAAAAACTATTGCCATGACCTTTACTCTTGACCAGTCTGCTTTTCCTTTCACTGGACCACTTGGCCACTTTGACCTCTTAGTACCCTTTTTTTTTTTTTTTTGAGACAATATCTGGCTCTCTTGCCCAGGCTAGAGTGCAATGATGCGGTCTTGCCTCACTGCAGGCTCAACCTCCCTGGTAGCTGGGACTACAGGCACGCGCCACTGTGCCCAGCTAAATTGCTTTGATTGTGCTTTGTCTTCGGGATTGTACTGGTAAAGCCATGTTTCAGTTCCTATTGCAGTTCTTCGAATAAGTGCTTCAGGATCTTGATCGTACTTGTCTAGACTTTCTATCCAAAGCTCTGCTCTTGTCTACAGCTGATCTGGGTGCAAAGGGTTTTAACAGCCATTGAGTGGAAAGCTTGCTCAACTTTAATTTTTCAGTCAGAATTTTGTAAGCTGAACCAGTTGAAATGACCACAGTGTTGGCTATTGTTTCTGCTCTTGTCAGTCCTCTTGAATCGGCAGAAACAAGATGAATTTTTTTCCCCGTAAATTGATGTGGAGGGCATGATGTTCAACATCATCTCAACCCTTCCTGAAACAATTTATCCAGCTGGTCATCATGGTTCATGCCTATAATCCTACCACTTTGGGAGGCTGAGGCTGGCAGATGACTGGAGCCTAGGAGTTTAAGACCAGCCTGGGCGATATGGCAAAACCCCATATCTACAAAAAAAATAGAAAAATTAGCCAGGTGTCTGGTATGTGCCCATAGTCTTGGCTACTTCAGAGGCTGAGGTGAGGGGATCACCTGAGCCTGGGAGGTCGAGGCTACAGTGAGTCATGATCATGCCACTCCTCACTGCACCCTAGCCTGGGTGACCGAGGAGACCCTGTCACACACACACAAAATACCAATTTTAAGCTACTGATTTCTTTGGGGCATTGTCTCATAAACTTTTCCTAAAGCATCAGTGATTTCGCCATTCTTCCACCCAAGCTTCACCAGACATTTGATGCTTTTCTTGCTTCAATTTTAGCAGAATCCTATTGCTCTGATAGGGACTCTCTTCAAACTTTTTTCTTTTTTTTTTTTTTTTTTTTTTTTTGAGACGGAGTTTCACTCTTGTGGCCCAGGCTGGAGTGCAACGACACGATCTCAGCTCACTGCAACCTCTGCCTCCTAGGTTCAAGCAATTCTCCTGCCTCAGCCTCCCTAGTATCTGGGATTACAGGCGCCCGCCACCACACCCAGCTAATTTTATATATATATTTATTTATTTATTTATTATTTTTTTCTTTTTTTTAGTAGAGATGGGGTTTCACTATGTTGGCCAGACTGGTCTTGAACTCCTGACCTCAGGTGATCCACCCACCTTGGCCTCCCAAAGTGCTGGGATTACAGGCGTGAGCCACCACGCCCAGCCTCTTCAAACTTTTTTGAGAGACCAGTCTCACTCTGTCACTCAGGCTGGAGTGCAGTGGCACCATCATGGCTCACTTTGTTCTATGAGAGCACTGAGGCTCAAGCAATCCTCTTGCCTCAGCCTCCCAAGTAGCTGGGACCATAGGTGTGCACCACCATGGCTGGCTAATTTCTTTTTAAATTTTTTGGGTCTTGCTGTATTGCCCAGGCTGGTCTCAAACTCCTGGAATCAAGCAATCTTCCTGCCCCCAAGCAATCTTCCTGCCCCAGCCCTCAAACTTCTCAAATATTTTCAGTGCCTCAAACTAGATCCTGATCAGACATAACAAGTTAGTATGAGTTTATTTTGGTGCAAAAAAAAAATTTTGAGCCAGGAACGGTGGCTCATGCCTATAATCTCAGCACTTTGGGAGGCGGGTGGATCACGAGGTCAGGAGATCGAGACCATCCTGGCTAACACGGTGAAATCCCGTCTCTACTAAATATACAAAAAATTAGCCAGGCGTGGTGGCAGGCATCTGTACTCCCAGCTACTCGGGAGGCTGAGGCAGGAGAATGGCATGAACCCAGGGGGCGGAGCTTGCAGTGAGCAGAGATCACACCACTGCACTCCAGCCTGGGCGACAGAGTGAGACTCCAACTCAAAAAAAAAAATAATTGAAATCCATGCATAATTATTTCGTAACATTCATTTTCCACAAACTTTTTGAAGACCCCTTATATTCTTGTTTTTGGGTTTTTGTTTTGTTTTGTTTTTGAAATGGAGTCTTGCTCTGTCACCCAGGCTGGAGTACAATGGTGAGATCTCGGCTCACTGCACCCTCTGCCTCCCGGGTTCATTCAAGGGATTCTTGTGCCTCATCCTCCGGAGCAGCTGGGACTGCAGATGTGCGCCACCACACCCGGCTAATTTTTGTATTTGTAGTAGAGACGGGTTTCACCGTGTTGGGCAGCCAGACCCCTAATATTCTTTTTTTTTTTTTTTTTTTTTTTTTTTTTGAGACGAGTTTCGCTCTTGTTGCCTAGGCTGGAGTGCAATGGTGTGATCTCGGCTCACCGCAACCTCCGCCTTCCAGTCCAAGCAATTCTCCTGCCTCAGCCTCCCTAGTAGCTGGGATTACAGGCATGCGCCACCAAGCCTGGCTAATTTTGTATTTTTAGTAGAGACAGGGTTTCTCCACGTTGGTCAGGCTGGTCTTGAACTCCCGACCTCAGGTGATCCGCCCACCTTGGCCTCCCAAAGTGCTGGGATTGCAGGCGTGAGCCATCGCACCCATCCCTTTATATTCTTAATGCCATTAAACTTTATACTTAAAAATGGTTAAAATGATAAATTGTATTTGATATATATTTTATCATAATTTTAAATTTTGCTGCATTAAAAAACAGCTAATGGTAATATAGTGCTTATTATAAGTCAAGCTCAATAATAAGCTCTTTATTTGTTAACCCATTGAATCCTTAAAACAACTCTATGGCCAGGCACGGTGGCTCACGCCTGTAATCCCAGCACTTTAGGATGCCAAGGTGGGCAGATCACGAGGTCAGGAGTTCAAGACCAGCCTGGCCAATATGGTGAAACTCCATCTATAATAAAAATACAAAATTTAGCCGGGCATGGTGGCGCACGCGCCTCTAGTCCCAGCTACTCAGTAGGCTGAGGCAGAAGAATTGCCAGGAGGCAATTGAACTTGGGAGGCGGAGGTTGCAGTGAACCAAGATCACACCATGCACTCCAGCCTGGATGACAGAACAAGACTCCATCTCAAAAAACAAAAACAACTCTATGTGGCTAAGTACTGCATTCTCCCCAGTACTATCATTTCCTCCCAAAAGTGGAGGAAACCCAGGTATAAAGGGCTATGTAGCTTTTGATCCCTTACATAAATGGGATTATAGGCGTGAGCCATTGCGCCCGGCAGAACTGTAAGTAAAAGCACTAGTTTATTTGAAATAATCACGGGTTAAATTAGACCAATTCTACTCATCTTTTTCACCTCTTTTGGTAGTACATGCAAACAAAATCCTTGCATTTTAGGATTAGAGAGGAAAACCGAGAGATAGATCAGATGTTTTTGAAAGTGGCATACTTTAATTGAATCTAACACCCAATGCCAAGAACAAGACTGGGGTGAAAATTAGTTCAAATGGGCTGGGCATGGTGGCTCACGCCTTTAATCCCAGCACTTTGGGAAGCCTAGGTGGGCAGATCACTTGAGGTCAGGAGTTTGAGACCAGCCTGGCCAACATGGTGAAACCCTATCTCTACTAAAAATACAAAATTAGCTGGGCGTGGTGGCACACACCTGTAATCTCAGCTACTCAGGAGGCTGAGGCAGGAGAATTGCTTAAACCTGGGAGGTTGGAGGTTGCAGTGAGCCAAGATCTTGCCAGTGCACTCCATCCTGGGCAACAGAGTGATACTCTGTCTCAAAAAAATGAAAATTAACAAAAATTAGTTCAAATGTTATTTGGTACTATAGCAAGACCCTGTCTCTACAAAAAATTTAAAAAGAAATTAGCCCGGCATGGTGGTATTCACCTGTGGTCCCAGCTACTTGGGATGCTGTGGCAGGAGGATTGCTTGAGCCTCAGTGTTCATAGCTCCAGTGGGCCATGATAGTGCCACTGTACTCCAGCCTGAGTGATAGGTGCCTGGCATCTGTATTAGTAGTGACAGTAGGAAGTGTTTTATGAGCAGATATCTGACCTGCCAACATCCATTATTAAGCAAGTATCACACTATATGAGCATAAAGAAATGAAGACCTGAACGGACCTTGCTCAGGTCACTTGGCTAGTGCTACACAGGGCATGGCTTAAGATCCCAGCATATCACTTATTGTCTGTCTGCCTCATGATACTGCTCATGGCGGTAGCTTGGAAATTTCTTTTTTTTTTTTTTTTTTTTTTTTTTTTTTTTTTGAGTTGGAGTCTCAGTCTGTCGCCCAGGCTGGAGTACAGTGGCTCGATCTCAGCTCTTTGCAAGCTCCACCTCCTGGGCTCACGCCATTCTCCTGCCTCAGCCTTCTGAGTAGCTGGGACCACAGGCACCCACCACCACGCCCGGCTAATTTTTTGTATTTTTAGTGGAGACAGGGTT
Source organism: Homo sapiens (assembly GCF_000001405.40). NCBI lineage: Eukaryota > Metazoa > Chordata > Mammalia > Primates > Hominidae > Homo > Homo sapiens. Next base: position 39,829,772 of record NC_000004.12, on the reverse strand, counting down.
TCACCGTGTTAGCCAGGATGGTCTTGATCTCCTGACCTTGTGATCCGCCCGCCTCGGCCTCCAAAAGTGCCGGGATTACAGGCGTGAGCCACCGCGCCTGGCCGGAAATTTTTTTTTTTTTTTGTGGAGATGAAGTCTCACTCTGTCACCCAGGCTGGAGTGTAGTGGCGCAGTCTTGGCTCACTGCGACCTCCACCTCCTGGATTAAAGCAATTTTTCTGCTTCAGCCTCCCGAGTAGCTAGAACTACAGGTGTGTGCCACCACACCAGCTAATTTTTGTGTTTTTGTAGAGATGAGGTTTCACCATATTGGTCAGGCTGGTCCTGATCTCCTGACCTCGTGATCCACCCACCTCGGCCTCCCAAAGTGCTGGGATTACAGGTGTGAGCCACCATGCCCGGCCTCAGCTGATGTTTTGACTGCCCTTCAGTTGAATGGTCAAAATCCTGAAAGTGCCAACTATTTTTATTTCATGTGGAACTGCAGCTTCCACCTTGCTACAAGATTCTAAACATAGCTCTCATTAACTGCTAGTATTCCCTGTGAGTGATTTGACATTCCACCTGCATTTTCCTGAGACCTGGTGAGGATCATCCTGTTAAGGTTTTATATCATTACAGTTTCAACCAACTAACTGGTAAGAGAAGACATAGAGGTGCCAAACCTGAGAGCAATCAAACACACCGCTGAGCTACAGGGTGATAGAATCAGCTCTCCTTAGGGGCCTTGCATTGTGGAGTCTGATCGGGATTGCTGCACTAAGTTCAGCCCTGGGTTTTATTTGATAAAGAAGGCCTGGCACCCTTGTGCTTCTCTGTGGCCCTGCATTCTAACTCCAGGTGCCCAATTTATCAGTCTTTTATTTTTCCTTGCATGATTCTCCACACCTTTCACTTGCTTTATTTTTCACTTCCTAGATGATCATTTTCGGCTCTGTTCACAACTCTGCAGTAATATCTCAAAAGAGCTTACCTCTTAACCTCACCCCAGTCATCTATAGGTGCTCTTTTGTCGATCTGAGTACAGAATCCCACCCCAGAGTGGTACTTTACACTTGCACCACCTCCAGAAAGCTTGTGCAGTTGTATTACTTGGTATTTACTATCATATTTTATTATCATTAATTAGTGAAAACCATTTTTGAGGCCCTAGTATATGCCAACTACAGTTTACACTTTAGGTTTGTTAACTTCATTTCATCTTCAGCTCTTTTAGGTAGATTTCTGATGTGTGAGGCTTCTAGAGCCATTTTAATACCACAGCCATAACTTCTAATATGTGGCAAGTGCTAACCCTCGCAGAATTCCTCTTACTAGGTTTTTACTCAAAACATTAGGTCAGTAATGATTATTTTTAGCTTGATTCCTACCTATAGGGTTTATTTACTGGTTCAAGGATACTTTATTCCACCAAAACAGAGAGAGGAAGATATGCAAAATTCTCCTGGCCTCAGTTTTAGCTGGGAGCTGATGCTAAAGGTTTTAACTTGTAAAGGTAACGTTAGAATTTTTAGATCGGATTTTTGTGGTAAATGTATTCCCTCAGCTATTTGCATGTATGTGGGTTTCAGTAAGTATTCCTGTTTATGTTTTGGGCTGCATTTAGACTTGTTATTCCTTTTGCAAAAATTCCTTGAGTTCACCCAATAAAACCAGTAAAAATCAGCCATTTGCAGTGTGGTCAGGAAACAGTCAACAGTATTAGCTGGACATTAGTGTTGGGTCTCTGAGTTTCGGATGAAGGAATGATCATTTCAGTAGTTTAGTTCACTTGTTTTTCCTCTTTGTGTTAAGGCTATCATTCAGAGGGCAAACAGTTCCCGGTGTTGTGAATTGAAAATATGTTCTGAATAGATTTGCTGATTGTTGAGTATGTTTTGCTTACACTTAAGGCCAAATTCTTCCTTGAAGATGAGCTTGTCAATAAACATCAATGGAAAAATAACCCCAAATTTGTGACTTCTGGGGAATTTGAATTTAAAGAGAATATCTGTAGGATAACAGACTGTGGGTTTCTAGTCGTTGGATTAACATGTTTTGTTTAGCATGCTTAGTGTGGGAGTGTTCAAGGATCTTAGAATTTGTTTTTCTTAAAGCAAAGAATTGACTGAGTTTTTGTGCTCATTTGTATAATGAGAAGGTTTCCTCCCATCATGTGGGTTCGTATCTCAAAATTAACCCCTAAGTATATATCCTCAAATGTGTATCCTCATGTGTTAAACAGCTATATATTAGTTCAATATGAATTTTTTTTAGTAACAAGTGAATTTTTCTCAAAATAACATGAAATTTTTCAGAAGCCAAGTGCTTGCAGTGATGGCAGTTCATCTTGGTACATAGAATCAAGTCCAGGAGCTCTTCCAGTGACCTGGGTCTTTCAGAAGTCTGTGAGAGCAGCCCAAGAAATACAGAGGACTCAGGGCTAGGAAAGGGAAGCTTCCTGAAGGTGTAGCAGGCAGCTTGTAAATAATTCTTTGGCCGGGTCCAGTGGTTCATGCCTGTAATCTCAGCACTTTGGAGGCCAAAGCAGGCTGATCACTAGGTCAGGAGTTCAAGACCAGCCTGGCCAACATAGTGAAACCCCATCTCTACTAAAAATACAAAAATTAGCTGCGCGTGGGGGCGCAACCTATAGTCCCAGCTACTCAAGAGGCCGAGGCAGGAGAATCGCTTGAACCTGGGAGGTGGAGGTTGTGGTGAGCCGAGATCATGCCAAGCACTCCAGCCTGGGCAACAGAGCAAGACTCTGCCTCAAAAAAAAAAAAATTCTTTAATAGCATATTGTTAAAATTGCTTCAAATAGTATAACAAATTAATAGTCTCTGTATGAATTGTAATAATCACTTAGCTCTTTTAGCATTGTTACCTTTATAAAATATGTATGTAGTAAAGGAGTTTGGGAATATATCTTTCTTTCTCTTTTAGGTGTAAAATTGTGGAAAAGGAGACAGTCTTACTACTGATCAGGCTGATTAAAAATGTAGAATGGGCCGGGCGTGGTGGTTCATGCCTGTAATCCCAGCACTTTGGGAGGCCGAGGCAGGCAGACCACGAGGTCTAGAGTTCAAGACCATCCTGACCAACATGGTGAAACACCGTCTCTACTAAAAATACAAAAAATGAGCTGGGCATGGTGGCACGCACCTGTAGTCCCAGCTACTCAGGAGGCTGAGACAGGAGTATCGCTTGAACCCGGGAGGTGGAGCTTGCAGTGAGCCCAGATCACACCACTGCACTCCAGCCTGGCAACAGAGCGAGACTCCATCTCAAATAAATAAATAAATAAATAAATAAATAAAAATGTGGAATGAATTAGGCAAGTTGGGCTGCTAATGCCTTGCCACTGAATTGAACAGCCACAGACAAACCAGAATGCACTTCTCAGGGCAAAAGAACAAATATTGATGAAGTCAATCCCAACATGCTCATTCCTTTTCCCTAATCTCATCTATTAGATGAGTTCCTCCTTCTCCCAAAGAGGAGTAGGTGAGAGGAGGTGAGAAAGAGGCCATGTCCCACTCTCCTGTGCTTCCAGGGATCAGAATTTCCCTCCCTATTAGGGAAATGCGTTTAAAAAAAAAAAAAAAACACGCCAGTTTGGTTGGGATGTTTTTAGTATGCTAAAACGTTTATGTTTACCCAGCTCATGAGTCAGAAGTTATTTTGCTGCTTATAAATTCATTTTGCCATAGTATGATAAATAGCTTTTAATGTTGTAAGCAAATAGGGCATTGGATAGCAGCACTAAGTCATTGAAAACAAAAACTTCTTTATTGGTGTTTGGTTTTTATATAGTTTAGGGAAAGGCTCTTTAAACCAAGTTTCAGGTGAAAAAATGAAAAAACTTTTTAAGGATTTTAGATAACATGCCAAGCACAGTGACTCATGCCTGTAATCCCAGTAGTGAATCTGAGAAGCGCAGGCTTCCCAGATCGCTTGAGCTCAGGAGTTGAAGACCAGCCTGGGCAACATAATGAGATCCCGTCTGTACAAATAATTTAAAAATTAGCCAGCCATGGTGGTGTGCGCCTATAGTTCTAGCTATTTGGGAGGCTCAGGCTGGACGCTGAGCCTGGAGGACCACTTGAACCCAGGAGTTGGGGCTGAGTGAGCCATGATCGTGCCACTGTACTTCAGCCTGAGTGACAGAGTGAGATCCTGATGCTTAAGTTTAAAAAAAAAAAAAAAGATTTTAGATAACAACTATGGAAATGAAATCATTTTCGTTTGGTTTATATCTTCTCCACATCTTTTCTAACTTTGCGTTCTATTCTTAACCCTAAGGTAAAAATGCATTTGCAAAGGGAGAAAATGAAGGCCAAACAGAAGCAGGCTCCAGCTTCTGCAAAAACTTGGATTCACAAATGTCCCTGAACAGAAAATGAAGCTCACTTCAGAACACACACTCTCTGCCTTGAAAACTAAAGAGACTATTACTTCCTTTTCACATGACCACAAGTCCTCTGATGGAAATGTACAGCAGAAACTCTTGAGAGAGAGGCTAAAAGCAACTCTGTTCTCCCCCTTCCCCTAGACTTTTCTTACGAAAAGTCAATAATTAAGCAAATTGCTTAACACTTGGTTCCAGTTCCTGCCTATCTGGAGTTTAAATGCGTAATACACCATTAATTTCCACGCTGCAGTTTTTATTTTAAAGAAAGTAACAAGATGTCTTTACACTGACACTGAAAATTCATCCATTTTAGAGCCAGGAATTCCCATGTTACACAGGAAAAAATAGAAGTCTACTGAATTAATTTTTTAAAAGAAAAGAGATCAGATTAAATATTTCTTTGTTTTTCCTTTTGGAAACTTTTATGTATAATTCTTTCTGCCTGCCTACTTTTCTGCAAAAATGAGATGTACAGATTTCGGTTCCCTGCTATGAAAAGTGATGTGGTAGCAATTTTATAAATGTTGCTTTCTGATTTTTATCAGAGTGAGAAAATTAAAATTATTGATTTGCAAGTAGTAAACAGTTCATATTTTGATTTCCCCTCATTTTAGTTTAATATAATTTGCAATAAATGTACATATTGTTGTTTGTTTCATAAAGCATATCACTTTAAAATGGTTTTTACTCCTGTGATTATGTTGGAATATTTGGAATTTTAAAGGAGTAAAGACTGTCCAGCATTTGGTTTTATAATGTTTGTCACCAGATTTTTATTAATGTAAAAAAAATCAATTTTTAAAAAATAGTTGGACTTTGGCAGCTTTTAAGGAAAGTTGGAGGTGTTTTAGGATTGCTATCAATTTTCAGCATTGTGCTATTTGGAAATAAGTGTTTTGCTTTTGTCTGATGGTCTGGGCTCATTTTTATGTTTATTTTAGAAAACTGTTGCATCAATATATTATGTTTCTTGGCATTGTTCAGCATAGGTAATGTGTGCACTTTATGTGTACACATAATCATATTTAAGTTTTTTGCATAAAATAAATGCTTCTAGATGTCATGGCAGTCTTTTTAATCTTTTTATCATATGCTTTCTTGTGAATTTTTTCATGTTAAAGAGCTAAAGTCATAACATGATTACAGTCAACTCTCCATTATCTATATAAAATAGTGACTAAGCCTCAGGTTTTTAATTTTGTGATAACAAAATAACGAAGGCATGTAAGACCTGATTCTGGAGGAACATGAAATTTGTCTTTTCTCATGTCCAGAGTTCTATCCTGCCCCCACTGTCCACTGTAGGGTCATCCGCAAAGCCCTAGCAGAATGTGCTCACTCCATTTCCTTACACGTTTCTAGCATGGGTCAGAGGAAACAACATTTGTGTTATAACTTCGTCTTGATAGGCTGTAGTGTACATGGGATGTAAAACAAACAAGTGTATCAAAGGTGGATGATTCTGTTAGAGTGAAGTTTGAGAGTAAATGTCACTTACGTTTCTCATAGATAATCAAGAGTTGGCTGTGTATTGACTGAAAGATGGGTAATTATTTTAAATATGCATTTACACACATTTAGGTATCAGAAGATGCTTAGGGAACAATGGATACCAATGATAGAAAATGATACCTTTACAGGGGCAGAAAAATCCCCACTCTTCCTTATTGCCTCTTCAGAACCCTTTAGAAAGTATAAAATATTGCCTCCAACATGCTGAAAAAGAGTATCTATGCATAAGTATCAGAGAAGTCCCTCAAGCAATCAGTAGGTGTGTTCTATTTAGAGAGAGTTTAAAGTTCTCTTAGCATCAGACAACTTGATTCCTAAGGTTTCCAGTGTGTCACCAACAAAAAGTGCATTGATAGGGACCTTTGTCTCTTCCTCCCTTTGATTAATTGCCCGGCATCACAGTTTACTAGATTACCAAGTGTTACATCATATTAAATAAAATGTAGCAGAACCATCTGCATCAATATATTCCTGTTTAGATTTTTGCAGGAGAGAAGTTAAAAGGATTTGCTCCTTGTATGATGTAAGTGGCCCACCCCAATTTTGTAACATGATGCAAGTGTCTGGCACTAAGGGAAGCAAGAGTAGGGTTGTGGAAAGACCAAGCTGATGGGGAGGGACTTGTTTACGGGAATTTTTTTAGTTTTCCTTTTCAAAGGAAAACATTAAAATCCCTTAGGAATTTGGTATTCACATCTCAGAGAACTACAACACAAAAGTGCAGACTTATATTTGAGAATTAATGTTAACCCTTTGTGTCTAGTTTGAAGCTTCTTGTATTTGTCTAAAACAACAAGCCAGAATTTTGTATCTCCTTTGATAAAAAGTGTGTATAATGTAAAGTAGTTTTGCATATTCTTGTGCTGCACATGGGCTGAATTTTTAAATTTTTTTTAAAAACTTGAAGCAGAACCTTGTAATTTGTGTAAATGACAAGTGTAAAATCCTACCATAAAATGCTAAAAATATGCACTGTTTCAAATAAAACCAAGAAATGCAGCATTATATAGTAGTGTGGAGCCCTGAATATTCATGTACCCCTGGTATGTCACAAGTTGATAAAATGTCTCTGCATATTTTCTGTTGAGATGCTGGAGTCTGAATATCCTAATTAGAAATCAAAAGCCACCTTCAAACTTCCTGGCTGGGTACTCTGAGGTAGCTTACAGTGGCTAAGGAAGAACATAGTGGATGATAAATTCTGAGGCACATTCGGAATTTCCAAACGAGGTTTGTTTTAGGGGGTGGCTTTTTTTTTGAAATGAGATCTTACCCTGTTGCCCAGGCTGGAGTGCAATGACATGATCATGGCTCACTGTAGCAATCCTCCTGCCCCAGGCTCCTAGAAAAGTGCTGGGATTACAGGCCTGAGCCACCAGACCTGGCCAAGAAGTTATTTTTTTAACCTAAGAATTTAATAGCAGCCTTTGATTCATATTAGTCTATGGTTCATCCATTCATTGCAAGTTCTGCACTCACATATTTAGTTCCATAACAAATTCAAGAGAGCAAGCAGATTACATAAATGTATCTGGAGTAAGAGGTGACCAGAACGAGAGGTAAGAAAGTCTATCATGGCTGGGCGCAGTGAGTCACACCTTTAATCCCAGCACTTTGGGAGGGTGGCCGAGGCAGGTAGGTCACTTGACCTAAAGAGTTCAAGACTGGCCTGGGCAACATGGTGAACCCTGTCTCTACCGAAAATACAAAAATCAGCCGAGTGTGGTGGTGCACACCTGTAGTCCCAGTTACTCAGGAGACTGAGGTGGGAGAATCCGTTGAGCCTGGGAGTCGTCGGTTGCAGTGAGCCAAGATCACACCACTGCACTCTAGCCTGGGCAACAGAGCAAAACTGTTTCAAAAATAAATAGGCCAGGCGTGGTGGCTCATGGCTGTAATCCCAGCACTTTGGGAGGCTGAGGCAGGTGGATCACCTGAGGTCAGGAGTTCGAGACCAGCCTGACCAACATGGAGAAATCCCGTCTTGAATAAAAATACAAAAAAATTAGCCAGACTTGGTGGCGCATGCCTGTAATCCCAGCTACGTGGGAGGCTGAGGCAGGAGAATCACTTGAACCTGGGAAGCGGAGGTTGTGGTGAGCCGAGATTGCGCCATTGCACTCCAGCCTGGGCAATAAGAATGAAACTGTCTCAAAAATAATAGGCTGGGCACGGTGGCTCACACCTGTGATCCCAGCACTTTGGGAGGCTGAGGCAGGCAGATCACCTGAGGTCAGGAGTTTGAGACCAGCCTCGTCAACATAGTGAAACCCTGTCTCTACTAAAGATAAAAAAAATTAGCCAGGCATACTGGCGCACGCCTGTAGTCCCAGCTTCGCGGGAGACTGAGGCAGGAGAATCGCTTGAACCAGGGAGGCGGAGGTTGCAGTGAGCCAAGATTGTGCCACTACACTCCAGCCTGGGCAACAGAGCGAGACTCCGTCTCAAAATAAGTAAATAAAGGCCTGAAACGTACATTTTGCACCACTGCACTCCAGCCTGAGTGACAGGCTGAGACCCTGTCTCAAAAAAAAAAGGAAAAGCTATCATGCCTAGTTTTGTATTTTACCCATAATGGGTTGACCTTCCACCCCCAATACTTGCACTGACAAGACTTTTTTGTCTTTGCTACTCACATGAACTGTCCTGCTCTGACAAGCAGCTTTGTAGCCTGCTTAGGTAACGGTGACAGCATTTCCTACAAGGAGTTCGCTATAAGCCAGCAAGGTAGGGAGGATGGAAATGAGAGTGCAGAATCAAGTGCCTTTCTGCTGTAAACCATACCTTCAACTTTTCATTCCCATGAGAGTAATAACCTTCATTTATTTCACTATTGTATCATAGTTCAAAGTCTTAGCAGGGCAACATACAACCCATCTCTACCAAAAAATTAAAAAAATAAGACAGGCATGGTGGTGCGTGCCTGTTTTCCCAGCTTCTCGGGAGGCTGAGGTGGGACGATTGCTTGAGTCCAGGAGGCAGAGGCTGCAGTAAACTGAGATCACACCACTGCATTCCAGCCTGGGTGACCAAGACCTTGTGTCAAAGAAAAAAAAGCCTAACGGGAACATATACAGGTCTCATTTCTAAGGAACCTGGGCCAGGCTGCTGATCAGTACTTCAGTTTTGGGGTGTTTCTCAAATGTTTCTTTATCAATACTGATTGCTAACTTATCTCCCCTCATTCTCTGGTTACTCCTGTTGTTCTTGAGCAAGGACCGTGTCATTCTGAATAAAACCTGTTATTTTTAGTAAATAGCACTACATCCATTCTTCCTGAAGAAGCTTGAATAGTGACATGGTTTGGCTCTTTGTCCTCACCCAAATCTCATCTCAAATTGCCATCCCCCACATGTCGAGGGAGGGACCTAGTGGGAGGTGATTGAATCTGGGGCGGTTTCCCCCATGCTGTTCTCTTGATAGTGGTTCTCATGAGATCTGATGGTTTAAAAGGTGTGGCCCTTCCTTGCTCTGGCTCTCCCCTGCTGCCGTATAAGAAGTGCCTTGCTTCCCTTTCCCCTTCCACCATGATTAAGTTTCCTGAGGCTTCCCCAGCCATCCGGAACTGAGTCAATTAAACCTTTCCTTTCTAAATTACCCAGTCTCAGGCAGGCTTTTGTTTTCTTTTGTTTTGTTTTGTTTTTTTGTTTTTGAGACGGAGTTTTGCTCTTGTTGCCCAGGCTGGAGTGCAATGGTGCGATCTCAGCTCACTGCAACCTCCGCCTCCTGGGTTCAAGCGATTCTCCTGCCTCAGTCTCCTGAGTAGTAGTATTTTTAGTAGAGACGGGGTTTCACCATATTGGTCATGCTGGTCTCGAACTCCTGACCTCAGGTGATCCACCCGCCTCAGCCTCCCAAAGTGCTGGGATTACAGCCATGAGCCACTGCACCCAGCTTCAGGGAGTTCTTTATAGCAGCATGAGAATGGACTAATACAAAAAAAACCACTAGAAGTCAGTAAGACATGTAAGGAGCCACCGTAGTGCTGATTCTGGATCTGCAAAAGCCAACTAGAAAATAGGGAGTCGCCATTTTTCATCATTTCAGGCATTTGTAATCTGTAGAGACTAGGCACGATGCCAGGAGCCGACATTAAAAACACCAGGATTGGTGCCTTACAAGGACTAGCAACATAACACAGGCAGCTGCGACTGTTCCAGGTGATACATTTTGTGTGGACTTCAGAACCCTGATGGATGCCGTAGAAGCAGAAAATCCTCACCTTTTCTACTGAAGTGCAATTCTGAGAACTGTTATGAGCATGTAGGTGTCTAAAGAAGTGACTGGGCCAGGCGCAGTGGCTCACGCCTGTAATCCCAGCACTTTAGGAGGTCGAGGTGGGCGGATCACCTAAGGTCAGGAGTTCAACACCAGCCTGACCAACATGGAGAAACCATCTCTACCAAAAATACAAAATTAGCCAGATGTGCTGGCACATGCCTGTAATCCCAGCTACTTGGGAGGCTGAGAGGAGAATCGCTTGAACCCGGGAGGCAGAGGTTGTGGTGAGTCAAGATCGCGCTCACCGCACTCCAGCCTGGGCAACAAGAGTAAAACTCCGTTTCAAAAAAAAAAAAAAAAAGAAGAAGTGACTGGCCTGAGCAAACTGCCCTACCTCAGGGCACAAGGAGCTGGGCCTGAAGCTGGAGGTGGCTCTCCAGGCTGAGGGCTGGGGAAAGACAAGAAGGCCACCACTTCAGCGAATCCCAACACTCCTTAAACCTCCCTGGGCCTTAAACTTCCCTGCTCTGGGGAAGAGCTGGTCCCAGCCCTGAAACCTCTCTATCCACTGTAGTCCTGAGGGACAGGGGACACGCCCCACTCAAAGCACAAATTCTGTGTGTCAGTAATTCCTGTGGCTCCTTTGGACAAATTTTGTGCCACCTTAGGAGCTTAGTGGACTTCTCCAAAGCAAGGCAGCCCGCGAAGCACCCATTTTTCAGAGCCTTTTTGAAGAGCTCCACCCTGGTGGCCCCCCAACCCCTACCCCAAGAAAACCCTGGCAGTTTAGCCTTCTGGATGCATCTGGCATGTCCCCTCCAAGAGGAAGGTCAACCGCAGGGACTGAAAGGAAGCTGTCCCTTTGCAACCCACCTCAGGCCAAAAGCTGAAAAGCAAAATACTGGTTACCCCAAAACTGCCTTACTTTTAGATGTAGGCCGGACCCAGGGACTAAGGGCTCTGCATTTTTTGACCATTTGGCAGCTCGGCTGCCCATGGAAGCTTATAATTACGAGCACAGGATCTGTCTTTTTAGAAGCCATGGCTCATTAGGGATATTAAAAGTAGACTGGTTCTCATTTTCTTTTTGTTTTTTTTGAGACAGAGTCTGGCTCTGTCGCCCAGGCTGGAGTGCAGTGGTGCAATCTCGGCTCACTGCAAGCTCCACCTCCCGGGTTTGCGCCATTCTCCTGCCTCAGGCTCCCGACTAGCTGGGACTACAGGCGCCCGCCACCACGCCCGGATAATTTTTGTATTTTTAGTAGAGATGGGGTTTCACCGTGTTAGCCAGGATGGTCTCGATCTCCTGACCTTGTGATCCACTCGCCTCATCCTCCCAAAGTGCTGGGATTACAGGCATGAGCCACCGCGCCCGGCCTCATTTTCTTCTCTCTACACATACACAGCTTGGAGGTTGTCTTAATGACAAGGCATCCACACAGCATGGTAGTCGAACATTTCTCAGTCCCCACAGCTATTCAAAGGAAAACATTAACAAAGATGTTATCAACTCCGGCGAGCCACCAACTAAATTTTCCTTAGTTTCCTTGCCTGTAAAATGGGGACTTTAAGTAGGCTGGTCACAGTGGCTCATGCATGTAATCCCAGCACTTTGGTAGTCCAAGGCAGGAGGACTGCTTGAGTCTAGGAGTTCGAGACCAGCCTGGGCAACATGGCGAGACTCCATCTCTTTAAAAAAAATAATAATAATAAAATAAAGTATATATATATATATATATATATATATATATATATATATATATATAGCTGGGCATGGTGACAGGCGTGCACTTGTAGTTCCAGTTATTTGGGAGACTGAGGTGGGAGGATCACCTGAGCCCAGGAGCTACAGGCTACAGTGAGGCATGATCACACCACTGGGTGACAGGGAGATTGTCTAAAATATATATATATATATCTCAAATATTACATCATCTCCAGTCTCAGGGTAATTCCACCTTTTCATGGAAATGGTAGAGACGTGTTTGTTGTCACAAGGCCTTTTTTTTTTTTTTTTCCAAGACGGAGTCTTGCTCTGTTGCCCAAGTTGGAGTGCAGTAGCACCATCTCGGCTCACTGCAAGCTCCGCCTCCCAGGTTCAAGCAATTCTCCTGCCTCAGCCCGCCGAGTAACTGGGATTACAGTTGTGCGCCACCACGCCTGGCTAATTTTTGTATTTTTAGTAGAAAGGGGGTTTCAACATGTTGGCCAGGCTGATCTCGAACTCCTGACCTCGTGATCCGCCTGCTTCAGCCTCCTAAAGTGCTGGGATTGCAGGCGTGAGCCACCGTGCCCAGCCTCTGAAGACCTTATTCTTCACTGATGCATGATTTCTATCTTACTGACAATTATTGTGTTTTAAGGGTCACAGTTACCTAGATTTTACAGTTCATATAGAAGGATGAAAGGAATTACAGATATTCCAGAACAGGTAGAAACAAGAGGAAGCCATTGTGCACACACATGGCCTGCACTGCCATTTGGCTTTGGGGAGAGCAGGATTCTGACAGCAGAGGAAGAGCAGATCAGGATTTCTGCCTGAGTTCATTTCCATTTTAATGTCCCTGCTTATGATTAATATCATACAACAATGATAATTCAGCAGAAGCCCAGAAAGGGCTGGCATTGAAACTCGATTCTCTGCGCCTTAGGAATCCTCAAATATAAGAGAAACATTTGCTGTGTAAATTCCGGCAGGAATCCTGTAAGGCAAGGGTTGAATACCTTACGGTGTCAGTCAAGTGGCAGCAACCAGGCAGGGGTGGAAATGTGCCTTTAAAATGATGCAAGACCGGGTATGGTGGCTCATGCCTGTAATCCCAGCACTTTGGGAGGCCAAGGCAGTCAGATCGCCTGAGGTCAGGAGTTCAAGACCAGCCTGGCCAACATGGTGAAACCCCGTCTCTACTAAAAATACAAAAATTAACCAGGCATGGTGGTGCATGCCTATAATCCCAGCTACTCGGGAGGCTGAGGCATGAGAATCGCCTGGACCTGGGAGACAGAGGTTGCAGTGAGCCGAGGTTGTACCACTGCACTCCAGCCTGGGTGACAGTGTGAGACTGTGTCTCATAAATAAACAAATAAAATGATGCAGAGTCCAACTCAGGAGACTAAAGCTGGGGCTCCTGGACAAAGGAGTTCTTAGGAAGCCCTCCCACCTACCCTGTTACTCAGGAGGGGACTTATATACAAGTTACATACCATAAAATCCACTTGCTTTAAATGTACAATTCAATGATATGCATGACATATACCGAGTTATATGAGTAGCTGGGACTACAGGCGCCCGCCACCATGCCTGGCTAGTTTTTGTATTTTTCCTAGAGACAGGGTTTTGCCATGTTGGCCAGGCTGGTCTCGAACTCCAGGCCTCAAGTGATCACCCACCTTGGCCCCCCAGATTGCTGGGATTACAGGTGTAAGCTACTGCGCCCAGCCACCTTTAAAGATCTGTTTGTTTGTTCGTTTGTTTGTTTGTTTGTTTGTGAGACAGTCTCGCTCTGTCGCCCAGGCTGAAGTGCAGTGGCATGATCTTGGCTCACTGCAATCTCCGCCTCCCGGGTTCATGCCATTCTGCTGCCTCAGCCTCCCAAGTGGCTGGGACTACAGGCGCATGCCGCCACGCCCGGCTAATTTTTTGTATTTTTAGTAGAGACAGGATTTCACCGTGTTAGCCAGGATGGTCTCCATCTCTTGACCTTGTGATCTGCCCACCTCAGCCTTCCAAAGTGCTGGGATTACAGGCGTGATCCACCGCGCCCGGCCTAAAGATCTTGAAAGTTTCCTCCACGCACTCATGGCCACACTCAAGACTGCCCTTATGATAAGGCAAAGACACAAAAGACTGTGTAACCAGAAGCCCATATGTTCATGATGGATGGCTTCTTGCTCTCTGCATGGGAAGTCTCCCTGGCGGCTGAGTTCGAGTGAGCTCTGGGAAGCGCAGGGACAGCCGGCCAGGGCGTCCTCATGATCCGCCTCCGCTCGCCTGCTCGCAGCGGCTACCACTGCTGAAGCAGAAGGGGTGTCCCCAGCCAGGACATCCTCAGGCAGCAGGTGGGCGCGCTCGCAGACTCCGCTGTTCCTGCTTGGTGCAGCATCTGCTCTCCAGGCTCTGGGCCTGCATCAGGCTTTCTTGAGCCAGGGTATAAAGTCTCCAGTTTCGGGCTGGGCGCGGTGGCTCACGCCTGTAATCCCAGCACTTTGGGAGGCCGAGGCGGGCAGATCACGAGGTCAGGAGATCGAGACCATCCTGGCTAACACGGTGAAAGCTCGTCTCAACTGAAAATAGCAAAAATGAGCAGGGCGTGGTGGCGGCGCCTGTAGTCCCAGCTACTCAGAAGGCTGAGGCAGGAGAATGGCATGAACCTGGGAGGCGGAGCTTGCAGTGAGCTGGGATCGCGCCACTGCACTCCAGCCTGGGCGACAGAGCGAGACTCCGTCTCAAAAAAATAAAATAAAATAAAATAAAATAAAGAAAAAATAAATAAATAAATAAAGTCTCCAGTTTCTAGTTACATTGCCACACAGTTCAGCCTCCAAGAGGCCACATCGACAGGAAAACTTTCTCGTCTTTTCTTGCCCAGCCAGTACCTGAGCCCCCGTTTTGTATTTGGGGAACCCTCCCCACAACTGCTACCTTATGAGGCAGCGTCCATTTTTCTCTGTGGAAACAAAATGCAACACACACTTGCCAGCCTTGCATGTGCAGTAGGACTCAGACACGACCCGAGCTCCACCAACCAGACACACCACAATCACAACCACAAGCACACTCACAACCACCCACACACCCACAATCACAACCACACTCACACCCACAACCACACACCCACAACCACTTATGCTCACAACCACCCACACACCCACAATCACAACCACACACCCACAATCACAACCACACACCCACAACCACACCTATGCTCACAACCACCCCACACACCCACAATCACAAGCACACAACTACCCCCACACACCCACACTCACAACCACCCCACACCCACAATCACAACCACACACCCACAATCACAACCAACCACACCTACACTCACAACCACCCACACCCATAATCACAACCACACACCCACAACCACCCACACACAATCACAACCACACTCACACCCACACTCACCCACACCAATCACAACCACACACCCACAATCACAACCACACCCACACCGACACCCACACAATCACAACCACACCCACACTCACACACAATCACCACACCCACACCCACCCATACCACAATCACAACCACACTCACACCCATACTCACACAATCACCACACCCACACCCAGACACCCACACCACAATCACAACCACATTCACACCCACACCCACATACAATCACAACCACACCCACACCGACACCCACACCACAATCACCACACCCACACCCACCCA
The DNA here is from genome assembly GCF_000001405.40 of Homo sapiens. Classification (NCBI taxonomy): domain Eukaryota; kingdom Metazoa; phylum Chordata; class Mammalia; order Primates; family Hominidae; genus Homo; species Homo sapiens. The sequence continues at coordinate 39,814,236 of NC_000004.12, read as the reverse complement.
TACCACAATCACAACCACACACCCACACCCACACAATCACAACCACTCACACCCACACCCACACAATCACAACCACACTCACACCCAATCACAACCACACTCACACCCATACCCACACACAATCACAACCACACTCACACCCACACCCACACACAATCACAACCACACACACCCACACCCACACAATCACAACCACTCACACCCACACCCACACACAATCACAACCACACACCCACGCACAATCACACACCCACACACAATCACAACCACACACCCGCACCCACACAATCACAACCACACTCACACCCACACCCACACAATCACAACCACTCACACCCACACACAATCACAACCACACACACCCACACCCACACACAATCACAACCACACTCACACCCACACCCACACAATCACAACCACACTCACACCCACACACAATCACAACCACACACACCCACACCCACACACAATCACAGCCACTCACACCCATACCCACACAATCACAACCACACTCACACCCACACCCACACACAATCACAACCACACACACCCACACCCACACACAATCACAACCACTCACACCCACACACAATCACAACCACTCACACCCATACCCACACAATCACAACCACACACACCCACACCCACACACAATCACAACCACTCACACCCACACCCACACACAATCACAACCACACTCACACCCACACCCACACACAATCACAACCACACACCCACACAATCACAACCACTCACACCCACACCCACACACAATCACAACCACACTCACACCCACACCCACACAATCACAACCACACACACCCACACCCACACACAATCACAACCACTCACACCCACACCCACAATCACAACCACACACACCCACACCCACACACAATCACAACCACACACACCCACACCCACGCACAATCACAACCACACTCACACCCATATCCACACACAATCACAACCACTCACACCCATACCCACACAATCACAACCACACACACCCACACACAATCACAACCACACACACCCACACACAATCACAACCACACTCACACCCACACACAATCACAACCACTCACACCCATACCCACACACAATCACAACCACACACACCCACACCCACACACAATCACAACCACTCACACCCACACACAATCACAACCACACTCACACCCACACCCACACAATCACAACCACTCACACCCACACCCACACAATCACAACCACACACCCACACAATCACAACCACTCACACCCACACCCACACACAATCACAACCACACTCACACCCACACCCACACAATCACAACCACTCACACCCACACCCACACAATCACAACCACACACCCACACACAATCACAACCACACCCACACACAATCACAACCACACTCACACCCACACCCACACACAATCACCACTCACACCCACACCCACACAATCACAACCACACTCACACCCATACCCACAGACACCCACACCACAATCACAACCACGCACCCACACTCACAGACACCCGCACCCATATGGGGTCTCACTCTGTTGCTCAGGCTAAGTGCAGTGGCACAATCACGGCTCACTGCAGCCTCCGAGTAGCTGGGACAACAGGGTGAGCAGCACCACGTCTGGTTAATTTTTTATTTTTTGTAGAGCCAGAGTCTCACTATGTTGCCCAGGCCTGTCTCAAACTCTTGGATGCAAGCCATCCTACCACTTCGGCCTCCCAAATAGCTCAAAGCAATCACAATACATTAGACAGCATTTTATTACTGTCTTTATATATTTCCGTGATTATAGAATTCATTCATTTTCTGTATCCCACCTTTCCCACCAAAAGACAGAACTTTCCATCTCTCCAACATCTTCCATTTCTCTCTCCCTACAGACTTGTATCCTTCTGTCACAAAATGTGCCTGGCACAAGTGTCTCACACCTGACTCTATTTTGTAATTATTGTAGTTCCCTTTAAACAGTCAGATTGTTCCCCAAAATTTTAGCTCATCACCCTCTAACTTCTACACTAGCTGTTAATCCCATCAGTCGATCAAACCTCCTCAGGGATTGGAAGAGAACAACTAACAAAATGCTCAGGCCAGGCACGGTGGCTCATGCCTGCAATCCTCAAGTGAGTGGATCACCTGAGGTCATGAGTTCGAGACCAGCCTGGCCAACATAGCGAAACACCATCTCTACTAAAAATACAAAAGAATTAGTCGGGCATGGTGGTGTGTGCCTGTAATCCCAGCTACTCAGGAGGTTGAGGCAAGAGAATCACTTGAACCCGGGAGGTGGAGGTTGCAGTGAGCGGAGATTGTGCCACTGCACTCCAGCCTGGGCAACAGTGCGAGACTCCGTCTCAAAAAAAAAAAAATGCTCAAACCGTTGGCCACATACAATGTCTAGCTCTAATATGCTCCACCTTTCTGATGCACTTAATGTCACTGATGGCACCCTCCTTAGTCCCATTTCCTCTGCTCCTCTTGATTTTTATGACAAATTTAATAAAGTTGATATTAATTAAGTGCTTGTTACATGCCCTGACGTAAAAATATTGTGCATAAGGAGTTTACAATCAACAGACAGCTAACAAAAATATAGAAGGTGAGGCTGGGCATGGCGGCTCACGCCTGTAATCCTGGCACTTTGGGAGCCCGAGGCAGGAGGATTGCTTGAGGCCAGGAGTTTGAGACCAGCCTGGGCAACACAGTGAGACCCCTATCTTTTTTTTTTTTTTTTTTTTTTTTGAGACAGAGTCTCATCTTTCACTGAGGCTGGAGTGCAGTGACGTAATCTCGGCTCACTGCAACCTCCACCTCCCGGGTTCAAGTGATTCTCCTGCCTCAGCCTCCCAAGTAGCTGGGACTACAGTCACGTGCCACAACGCCCGGCTAATTTTTATTTTTATTTTTATTTTTAGTAGATACGGGGTTTCACCGTGTTAGCCAGGATGATCTCGATCTCCTGACTTTGTGATCCACCCGCCTTGGCCTCCCAAAGTGCTAGGATTACAGGCGTGAGCCACCACACCTGGCCGAGACCCCTATCTTTACAAAAAAAAAAAAAAAAATTAGCCAGCACCCACCTGTCATCCTTGCTACTCGGGTGGCTGAGGTGGGAGGATCAATTGAGACTAGGAAGTTGAGACTGCAGTGAGCCATGAGTGTGCCACTGCGTTCTAGCTTGGGCAACAGAGTGAAACCCTGTCTCAAACAAACAAACAACAACAAAAAAGAATATAAAAGGTGGAATATGTATCACTACTGGAACAATTGAGTCCTGTGGGAGATTTGGGAAGTTTCATGGAAGCGGTCGAATTTGGAGGTGGCCTTAAAGGATAAGATTTCGATTTATAGAAATGGAAAGCCTGGGTAGCATGGTGAAACCCAGTCTCCACAAAAAAACTACAAAAATTAGCTGAGTGTGGTGGCTTGTGCCTGTATCCCAGCTTCTTGGGAAGCTGAGGTGGTAGGATCGCTCGAGCCCGGGAGGTCAAGGCTGCAGTGAGCTGAGATGATGCCATTGCACTCCAGCCCGGGCAACAGAGCAAGACTCTACCTCGAAAATAAAAAAGAAGAAATGGAAGAGAATCGCATTACAAAAGGAGAAACAGTAATTTTAAATGCGCAGTGACAGGAAGCACAATGTGTACTTGGAGAAATGTAATTAAAATACAGAGAAAACGAAAGATCTTTGACTATCAACTTTTATTTTTAAAAAAGAATACACAGTGGCTAAAGAAACAAAAGGCTTACAATGAAAGTAAGTCTTCTGCCCTAGTGTTTTCTAGTCCCAAAGCTTACTCTTGACAAGATTTCTTAACTGTTTCTTCAGATAGTTGCCATATTTTAAAATAACATGCTTTGAATTTTTTTTTTTTTTTAGGTACACCTACTGAAATGGGAACTATTTCTTAATGTATACATTTTGGGTATTAGTCTGTTTTCGTTTTTGTTTGTTTGTTTGTTTGTTTTTGAGACAGAGTCTCACTCTATTACCCAGGCTGGAGTGCAGGGCTCCACCACCTGGGTTCAAGCGATTCTCTTGCCTCAGCCTCCCGAGTAGCTGGGATTTCAGGCAGCCGCCACCACGCCCAGCTAATTTTTGTATTTTTAGTAGAGACGAGGTTTCACCGTGTTGACCAGGCTGGTCTCAAACTTATGACCTCAGCTGATCCACCTGCCTTGGCCTCCCAAAGTTCTGGGATTATAGGCATGAGCCACCGCACCCGAACTACTCCTTTCTCATACTGCTATAAAGAACTGCTGGAGACCGGGTAATTTATAAAGGAAAGAGGTTCACAGTTCAGGATGGCTGGGGAGGCCTCAGGAAACTTAGAATCATGGCGGAAGGGGAAGCAAACATGTCCTTCTTCACATGGAGGCAGCAAGGTGAAGTGTACAATGAAGTGTGGGAGGGAAGCCCCTTATAAAACCATTAGATCTGGGCCAGGCAAGGTGGCTCACGCCTGTAATCCCACCACTTTGGGAGGCCAAGGTGGGTGGATTGCTTGAGGTCAGGAATTGGAGAACAGCCTGGACTACATGGTAAATCTCCATCTCTACCAAAAATACAAAAATTACCCGGGCGTGGTGGTGGGCACCTGTAGTGCTGGCTACTCGGGAGGCTGAGGCAGGAGAATCACTTGAACCGGGGAGGCGGAGGTTGCAGCGAGCTGAGATTGCACCACTGCGCTCCAGCCTGGGCGACAGAGTGAAACTCCGTCTCAAAAACAAAAACAAAAACAAAAAAACTACATCAGATCTCATGAGAACTCACTGTCATGAGAATAGCATGGGGAAAACTGGGAAACCAACCCCATGATTCTATTACCTCCACCTTGACAGACGGGGATATGGGAATTAAAATTCAAGGTGAGATTCGGGTGAGGACACAAAGCCTAACCATATCAAGTATAGCAACAAATGTGCCCTGGAAGATGAAAACTTGACATTCTTAGAAATAACTAACGGCCGGGCGCGGTGGCTCACGCCTGTAATCCCAGCACTTTGGGAGGCCGAGGTGGGCGGATCACGAGACCAGGAGATAGAAACCAGCCTGGCTAACATGGTGAAAACCCATCTCTACTAAAAATACAAAAAAATTAGCCGGGTGTGGTGGCGGGCGCCTGTAGTTCCAGCTACTCGGGAGGCTGAGGCAGGAGAATGGGGTGAACCCAGGAGGCAGAGCTTGCAGTGAGCCAAGATCGCACCACTGCACTCCAGCCTGGGCAAAAGTGAGACTTCATCTCAAAAAAAAAAAAAAAAAAAAAAAAAAAAAAAAAAAAAAAAAAAGAACTATCAATCTTGCAGTACAGATTTATTTGGTTAAATCAATTATTAGTAGTTGTTACCTTGCAAATGTTGTTCATGAAGAGCCAAATTCTTTATTTTAATTATATGTCTTCTCTTAAGAGGATCTATAGAATATGAATTAAGAGTTTATCAAAAGCTCTGGCCGGGTGCAGTGGCTCATGCTTGTAATCCCAGCACTTTGGGAGGCCGAGGTGGGTGGATCATCTGAGGTCAGGAGTTTGAGACCAGCCTGGCCAACGTGGTGAAACCCTGTCTCCACTAAAAATACAAAAATTAGCCAGGCGCACTGGCACATGTCTGTAATCCCAGGGAGGATCCTAGCTGGGGAGGCTGAGGCAGGAGAAACACTTCCTGTGGAGGTTGCAGTGAGCCGAGATTGCGCCAAAACAAAAGCAAAACTCTGTCTCAAAAAAAAAAAAAAAGAGTTTATCAGCTCTTGGAGCCCGGCTAGGGTCAAACCCTAGGAAGTGCTTGGGCACCTCCTAGCTGTATTAATTCTGAGCAAGTTATGTAATCTTTCTGTCCCTGTTTCTTCATTGCAAAATGTGGATAAGACCTACAGGGCTCTCGTAAGGATTAAATGAGTTAATACACGTAAAAGGACTTAGAACAACTGGCACTTAGTATACACTCAAAAGTGTCACCTTTTACTCTTACTGTGGAGTTTTGTCCTACAGTTTATAATTGTCTTTCTCTTAGGCATTTCCAATAGTTCCATTCATGTAGGTCATGAACTGCACACTTCCAGGGGTCTCATTCAAATGGAAAGAATAAACAGGGTTCTGCAATAAGGCAGTCTGTCTCCATATCAAGTACTTCATCAAGTCCCCCTTTCCCAGAGCCGCCTGTCCTGAAGCCCTTGTCCAGCTCTAATAAAGGTAGACTCTTTTAGTGCTGTCTTCACGAGTCTTTCCGGTATGGCGCTCCTGAGTTAGATCCACTGTTTCTTTGACTCCAAGTGTCTTTCTTTCTTTTGTTTGTTTCTTTCTTTCTTCTTTTTTTTCTTTTTTTTTTTTTTTTTTTTTGAGAAGGAGTTTCGCTATTGTTGCCCAGGCTGGAGTGGGACAATCTTGGCTCACTATAACCTCCACCTCCCGGGTTCAAGCGATTCTCCTGCCTCAGCCTCCCACATAGCTGGGATTACAGGCATGTGCCACCACGCCTGGCTTTTTTTTTTTTTTTTTTTTTTTTTTTTTTTTTTTTTTGAGATGGAGTCTCGCTCTGTCACCCCGGCTGGAGTGCAGTGGCGCAATCTTGGCTCACTGCAAGCTCCGCCTCCCGGGTTCACGCCATTCTCCTGCCTCAGCCTCCTGAGTAGCTGGGATTACAGGCGCCCGCCACCACGCCCAGCTAATTTTTGTATTTTTAGTAGAAACGGGGTTTCACCATGTTGGCCAGGCTGGTCTTGAACTCCTGGCCTCAAGTGATCTACCCACCTCGACCTGCTAAAGTGCTGGGATTACAAGCGTGAGCCACTGCGCTGCCCGATGCAATCTTTTTTTTTTTTTTTTGAGATGGAGTTTCGCTCTTGTTGCCCAGGCTATAGTGTAATGGCGTGATCTTTGGCTCACCGCAACCTCCACCTCCCGGGTTCAAGTGATTCTCCTGCCGTAGCTGGAATTACAGGGCATGTGCCACCATGCCCAGCTAATTTTTTGTATTTTTAGTAGAGACGGGGTTTCTCCATGGTGGTCAGCCTGGTCTTGAACTCCCGACCTCAGGTGATTCACCTGCCTCAGCCTCCCAAAGTGCTGGGATTACAGGCGTGAGCTACTGCGCCCAGCTGGCTGGCCCGCCCTCCCTTCCTTTCTTCCTTCCTTCCTTTTTCTTTTTCTCTCTTTTTCTTTCTTTCTTTCTTTTTCTTTCTTTCTTTCTCTTTCTTTCTTTCTTTTCTTTCTTTCTTTCTTTCTTTCTTTCTTTCTTTCTTTCTTTCTTTCTTTCTCTCTCTTTCTTTTCTTTCTTTCTTTCTTCTCCTTCTTTCTTTCTTTTTTTTTTTGAAACAGAGCCTTGCTGTGTCACCCAGGCTGGAGTGCAATGGTGCAGTCTTGACTCACTGCTACCTCCACCTCCCGGGTTCAGGAGATCCTCCTGCCTCAGCCTCCCGAGTAGCTGGGATTACAGTCATGCACTACCAGGCCCAGCTAATTTTTGTATTTTTAGTTTAGTTTAGGTTTTTTGTTTGTTTGTTTTTGTTTTTGTTTTTTTTGAGACAGAGTCTTGCTCTTGTCGCCCAGGCTGGAGTGCAATGGCATGATCTCAGCTCACTGCAACCTCCACCTCCCAGGTTCAAGTGATTCTCCTGCCTCAGCCTCCCGAGTAGCTGGGATTACAGGCACCCGCCACCACGCTCAGCTAATTTTTGTAATTTTAGTATAGACGGGGTTTCGCCATGTTGGCCAGGCTGGTCTCGAACTCCTGGCCTCATGATCCACCTGCCTTGGCCTCCCAAAGTGCTGGGATTACAGGCGTCAGCCACCGCACCTGGTCTAATTTTTGTATTTTTAGTAGAGATGGGGTTTCACCATGTTGGCCAAGCTGGTCTTGAACTCCTGACCTCAAGTGATCTGCCCACCTTGGCCTCCCAAAGTGCCCGGATTACCAGCCCTTCTTTTTTTTAAGAGACAGTCTTGCTCAGTCACCCCAGCAAGGAAGCCTGGGAGTACAGTGTCACGATCCTAGCTCACTGCAGTCTATCTCCTGCTGGGTTTATTTCTTGCTGCATTTTGCCACAGTATACCTACAAGCAATTTAAAATGACGTGCCTAAGTAGAACTTCTGAATATTTGTTCTTTTTTTTTTTTTTTTTTTTGAGAGTCACTCTACTGCCCAGGCTGGAGTGCAGTGGCATAATCAAAGCTTACTACAGCCTTACTGGGCTCAAGTGATCCTCCTGCCTCAGCCTCCAGAGTAGTTGAACTACAGGTGTCCATCATCACACCTAGCTAATTTTTAAAACTTTCTGTAGCAACAGAGTCTCACTGTAGTGCCCAGGCTGATCTCTAACTCCTGGCCTCAGGTGATCCTCCTACCTCAGCTTCCCAAAGTGCTGGAATTACAGGTGTGAGCCACCATGCCCAGCCCTGAATCTTTGAATGTAAAAAAAAAGATTGCATTTGAGGCCGGGCGCGGTGGCTCACGCCTGTAACCCCAGCACTGTGGGAGGCCGAGGCAGGTGAATCACAAGGCCAGGAGATTGAGACCATCCTGGCTAACACAGTGAAATCCCATCTCTGCTAAAAACTCAAACAAAAAATTAGCTGGGCATGGTGGCGGGTGCCCGTAGTCCGAGCTACTAAGGAAGCTGAAGCAGGAGAATCGCTTGAACTGGGGAGGCGGAGGTTGCAGTGAGCTGAGATCGCGCCACTGCACTCCAGCCTGGGCAACAGAGCAAGACACCGTCTCAAAAAAAAAAAAAAAAAAGATTGCATCTGGCAGTGCGATGGCTCACTTCTGCAGTCCCAACACTTTGGGAGGCCGAGGCAGGTGGATCACTTGAAGTCAGAAGTTCCAGGCTAGCCCAGCCAACACGGTGAAACCCTGTCTCTACTAAAAATACAAAAATTAGCCGAGCCTGGTGGCACATGACTGTAATCCCAGCTACTCGGGAGGCTGAGGCAGGAGAATTGCTGAACCCAGGAGGCAGAGGTTGCAGTGAGCCAAGATTGCACCACTGCACTCCAGCCTGGGGGACAGAGTGAGACTCTGTCTCAAAAGAAACAAACAAACAAAATATTTCATCCTAATAAATGACTTAGAGCTTGGATGAAAATTTAGATTGAAAATAAAACCGTTGGCCGGGCGCGGGGGTCCACGCCTGTAATCCCACCACTTTGGGAGGCCGAGGCGGATGTATCACTTGAGGTCAGGAGTTCAAGACCAGCGTGACCAACATGGCGAAACCCCATCTCTACTAAAAATACATAATTAGCTGGGCGCGGTGGCACATGCCTGTAATCCCAGCTACTCGGGAGGCTGAGGCACGAGAATCGCTTGAATCCAAGAGGCACGATTCATGTGAACGGCGATGCATGACTGCACTCGAGCCTGGGCAAAAAGAGCGAAACTCTGTCTCAAAAAAAATAAATAGGCTGGGCACGGTGGCTCACACCTGTAATCCCAGCACTTTGGGAGGCCGAGGCGGGTGGGTCACCTAAGGTCGGGAGTTCGAGACCAGCCGGACCAACATGGAGAAATCCTGTCTCTACTAAAAATACAAAAACATTGGTGGTGTTTGGTGGTGGCACACGCCTGCAATCTCAGCTACTCGGGAGGCTGAGGCAGGAGAATCACTTGAACCTGGGAAGCGCAGGTTGCGGTGAGCTGAGACCACGCCATTGCACTCCAGCCTGGGCAACAAGAGCAAAACTCCGTCTCAAAAAAATAAGTTAAATAAATAAATAAATAATAAAGGCTGGGCACGGTGGCTCATGCCTGTAACCCCAGCACTTTGGGAGGCTGAGGCAGGCAGATCACGAGGTCAAGAGATCAAGACCATCCTGGCCAACATGGTGAAACCCCGTCACTACTAAAAATACAAAAATTAGGTAGGCATGGTGATGCGTTCCTGTAGTCCCAACTACAAGTGAGGCTGAGGTAGGAGAATCGCTTGAACCCAGGAGGAGGAGGCGGCAGTGAGCCGAGATCATGCCACTGCACTCCAGCCTGTCGACAGAGCAAGACTCTGTCTCAAAAACATAAATAAATAAAATAAAAATAAATAAATAAAACCATTTCACTTTCTTTGTAATAGTGTATTAATAGTTTATAAGAAATCTGAAAAAAAAAAAAAAAGATTGCATCTGGCAGTGCAATGGCTCACACCTGTAATCCCAACACTTTGGGAGGCCAAGGCAGGCGGATCACCTGAAGTTGGGAATTCCAGACTAGCCCAGCCAACAGCCAATCAGATGCACACCTGTCATCCCAGCACTTTGGGAGGCCGAGGAGGGCAGATCACTTGACGTCACGAGTTCGAGACCAGTCTGGCAAACATGGTGAAACCTTGTCTCTACTAAAAACACAAAAGTTAGCCAGGCATGGTGGTAGCTGCATATAATCTCAGCTACTCAGGAGGCTGAAGCACGAGATCACTTCAACCCGGGAGGCAGAGCTTGCAGTGAGCTGAGATCACCACTGCATTCCAGCCTGGGCGACAGAGCAAGACTCTGTCTCAAAAAAAAAAAAAAAAAAAGAAAGAAAGAAAGAAAGAAGACAAAAGAAAAAAATAACAAAATGGGATTGATTCATGCTCTTTTCTTTCCGGGGGCCCTTAGTGTCCTCTCCTCTGCCCAGTGCTCTAAAATTAGTCAGAGATGTGTAAGTCTTTTTTTTTTTGAGACGGAGTCTCTCTCACCCAGGCTGGATGCAGTGGTGCAATCTCTGCTCACTGCAACCTCCGCCTTCCAGGTTCAAGTGATTCTCCTGCCTCAGTCTCCCAAGTAGCTGGCAGTACAGGCACACACCACCACACCCAGCTAATTTTTATATTTTTAGTAGAGACGGGGTTTCACCGTGTTAGCCAGGATGGTCTCGATCTCCTGACTTTGTGATCCGCCCGCCTCAGCCTCCCAAAGTGCTGGGATTACAGGCATGAACCACTGTGCCCCGGCATTTTTTTTTTTTTATTGCACTGAACTAGTAAGTTTATCTGAAAATTCATGTCCTTTAGCTCTAAAAATTTTTTTGTCCTCTTTCTTTGGTAATGTAAGCCTCATTTTCTTTTTTTTTTTTTTTCTTGATGGTGCTCAATTGTTCTCTGTTCTCTCTCTGGGATGATCAGTTATCGAAACTTCTGGGTTGACATATTTCTCACATTCTTGCTCCTTTTTTTTTTTTTTTTTTTTTTGAGATGGAGTCTTGCTCTGTCACCCAGGCTGGAGTGCAGTGGTGTAATCTCGGCTCACTGCCACCTCTGCCTCCCAGGTTCAAGCGATTCTTCTGCCTCAGCCTTCTGAGTAGCTGGGACTATAGGCGTGCACCACCATGCCCAGCTAATTTTTGTATTTTTAGTAGAGATGGGGTTTCACCATATTGGCCAGGCTGGTCTTGAACTCCTGACCTTGTGATCCACCTGCCTCAGCCTCCCAAAGTTCTGGAATTGCAGGCGTGAGCCACTGCTCTCAGCATCTTGGTCCTATTTTTTAAATTAGCCTCCTTTTTTAAATTTTTTCCATTGAGACTTCCTCTATTCATTAATCCTTTAGTTCATTCATTTACTCATTGACTGAAACAAGTATTTACTGATGACTGACCTACAGTATTCTTCTGTGTCCAGGCAATGTTCTGGGCATTGTAGATACAACAACGAATAAGACAAATCCTCATCCTCATTTTTGACAAAATTTAAAAGTGGGTTAATAGTAAGTGCCAAAATGCGCCATAAAGCAAAATTAAGCCAGGAGAGGAAGAGAAGGTGAGTGGGGCTAGAAGCTGTTTTAGCTAGGATGGTCAGGGAAGGAAGGCCTGACATTTGAACAGCAACATGAATGAGATGATGGAGCAAGTCATGTGAAGACCTCCAGGAAGAGCATTTCAGGCAGAAGGCCTGAGTTTGCAACAAGCTTAGTGTGTTTGATGAACAGAAAGAGGCTAGCATGTCTAGTGCAGAGTGAGCAAGGTGAGAGATGAGAGACTGGGCATGGTGGTTCATGCCTGTTATCCCAGCATTTTTGGAGGCTGAGACATGAAGATCGCTTAAGCCCAGAAATTTCAGACAAGGCTGGGCAATATAGTGAGATCCCATCTCGCTGAAAAAAAAAAAAATCCAGGAATGCAGGCATAGTGGTACACGCCTGTGGTCTCAGATACTTGGGGGCTGAGGCATGGGGATCACTGGAATCCAAGAGTTCAAACTATGATGGTGCCACTGCATTCCATTCTGGGCGACAGAAGGAGACACTGTCTCAACAACCACCACCAAAAAAAAAAAAAAAACAAAAAAAAAAAAAACAAAAAAAAAAAAGTAAATAAAGAGCGAAAGAAAAGAGATAAGGTCAGAGAGGTAGTCAGGAACAAAGGAGGTAGTAAGGCCGTGTAAGGTATTGTGGCCATGGTAAGGAGCATGGATATTATTCTAATTTAGTTAAAAGGCATTTTAAGCAGGCAACTGCCATTAAAAACAACATTCTGGCTGGACATGGTGGCTCACGCCTGTAATCCCAGCACTTTGGGAAGACGAGGCAGGTGGATCACTTGAGGTCAGGAGTTCCAGACCAGCCTGGCCAACATGGTAAAATCCTGGAGTTCCCATCTCTACTAAAATTACAAAAATTAGCCGATCCCGGTGGCCCACCTGTAATCCCAGCTACTTGGGAGGCTGAGGCACCAGACTTGCTTGAACCTGGGAGGCAGAGGTTGCAGTGAGCCCAGATTGTGCCACTGCACTCCAGCCTGGGTGACAGTGTCTCAAAAAAAAAAAAAATCTGTTTGCCAAGAGTATAAGTAGAAACACCTATATAAGTCTAGCGTAGTGGTCAAAGCAAATGTTACACTGGCTTGGTTACAAAGTAGCAGACAAGTAAATGGAAATCAGAACTAGAATATATTTTGAAGGCCGAGCTAATAAGAGTTGCTGATGAATATGGGCAATTAGTCAAGGAAAGGAGTGAAGGACGATTTGGGCAGTTTTAGCCTGAGCAACTGAATAAATAATGGTATCATTCAATTGCCTAAGGACAGACAAAGAAAGCAGCAAGTCTGGGTGATGGTGGAGTGGAATAAGGTTTTTGTTTTTTTTTTCCTTGTTTCTTCCTTTCTTTTTTTTTTGAGATAGGGTTTTACTCTTATTGCCCAGCCTGGAGTGCAGTGGTGTGATCTCGGCTCACCACAACCTCCGCCTCCCGGGTTCAAGAGATTATCCTGCCTCAGCCTCCCGAGTAGCTGGGATTACAGGCATGCGCCACCACCCCAGCTAATTTTGTATTTTTAGTAGAGACGGGGGTTTCTCCATGTTGGTCAGGCTGGTCTTGAACTCCCGACTTCAGGTGATCCGCCCTCCTCAACTTCCCAAAGTGCTGGGATTACAGGCGTGAGCCACCACGCCCGGCCAGGTTTTGTTTTTTTCTTTCCTTTTTTTGGAGTTGGAGTCTCACTCTGTCGCCCAGGCTGGAGTGCAGTGGCATGATCTCGGCTCCCTGCAACCTCCACCTCCCAGGTTTAAACGATTCTCCTGCCTCAGGCTCCTGAGTAGCTGGGATTGCAGGCGTCCGCCATCATGCCCAGCTAATTTTTTGTTTTTTAGTAGAGACGGGTTTCACTATGTGGCCAGTCTGGTCTCAAACTCCTGACCTCAGGTGATCCACCCACCTCGGCCTTTTTTTTTTTTTTTTTTTTTTTTTTTTTTGAGACAGGGTCTCACTCTGTCATTCAGGCTGGAGTGCAGTGGCACAATCATGGCTCACCACAGCCTCAACCACCGAGGCTCAGGTGACCCTCCCACCTCAGCCTCTTGAGTATCTGGGACTACAGGTGCCCGCCACCACTCCCGGCTAATTTTTGTATTTTTTGTAGAGACAAGGTTTCGCCGTGTTGTCCAGGCTGGTCTCAAACTCTTGGGCTCAAACGATCCACCTGCCTCAGCCTCCCAAAGTGCTAGGATTACAGGCATGAGCCACTGCACCCAGCCAGGAATTTGTTTCTAAGACATAAATTTGCCGGGCGCGGTGGCTCACGCCTGTAATCCCAGCACTGTGGGAGGCCGAGGCGGGCGGATCATGAGGTCAGGAGATCGAGACCATCCTGGCTAACACAGTGAAACCCCGTCTCTACTAAAAATACAAAAAATTAGCCGGGCGTGGTAGCGGGCGCCTGTAGTCCCAGCTACTCAGGAGGCTGAGGCAGGAGAATGGCCTGAATCCGGGAGGCGGAGCTGGCAGTGAGCTGAGATCGTGCCGCTGCACTCCAGCCTGGGCAACAGAGCGAGACTCCATCTCAAAAACAAAACAAAACAAAAAGACATAAGTTTGAAATGTCCCACCACAGTGGTTAAAAGCATGGATTCTGGAGGAAGACAGCGTTAGATTAAATTCTAGACTGGATAGGGCATGGAGTGTACAAAAATTTCTTTTCTCTCTTTAAAGTGGAGATATTATAGCATGTTTGTATGCTAAAGCAAAAAGAGAGAGATGAACGATACTGGAGAAAAAGAAGGATTAATTATAGGAGTGAAGTCCTTGAAGAGACAAGAGTGAAGACAAGCTGAGCACGGTGGCTCACGCTTCTAATCCCAGCACTTTGGGAGGCCAAGGTGGGCAGATCACGAGGTCAGGAGTTCAAGACCAGCCCGGCCAACATGGTGAAACCTCCTGTCTTTACTAAAAATACAAAAAAGTTAGCCAGGCGTGGTGGTGCACGCTCATAATCCTAGCTACTCAGGAGGCTGAGGTAGGAGAATTGCTTGAACTCCGGAGGCGGAGGTTGCAGTGAGCTGAGATGGCACCATTGCACTCCGGCCTGGGCAACAGAGTGAGACTCCGTCTCAGGAAAAAAAAAAAAATGAGAGAGCGAGTGAAGACAGAGTATGTGACCACTGGTGCAGATAGGATACATTTGATGATGAGATGCATCACTCTTTGCTTCTATTTATTAGCAATGTAAGAAATTGGTTTATGAGCTGTAAGGGATTCAAATAAGTTGTTGGGGATTCAAAATGAGAGAAGTTGTGAAATAGTCACCTCGGAGAGTGAACAGGGAGACATACAATTCTGCTACTTAGGCATAGGAGTTGACTGGGCAGAGAACTGAGATTTTGCAAGGTCAGTCAGGAAGCAAGGGAAAAGAAACTTATTACAGTAACGGCCTATGAAATCTAAGCTGCATAAAGATGAATAGCAAGGACTGTATCTGTCCCATCTTCATTAATGTGGGGCATG
This sequence comes from Homo sapiens, assembly GCF_000001405.40. Lineage (NCBI taxonomy): Eukaryota > Metazoa > Chordata > Mammalia > Primates > Hominidae > Homo > Homo sapiens. The sequence goes on along the minus strand of NC_000004.12, from coordinate 39,799,047 downwards.
CGATCCAAAATAGCTAATAGGGACTGGGTGCAGTGGCTCACACCTGTATCCCAACACTTTGGGAGGCCAAGGCGGGCAGATCACCTGAGGTCGGGAGTTCGAGATCAGCTTGGCCAGCATGATAAAACCACATCTCCACTAAAAAATACAGAAATTAGCCAGGCGTGGTGGCACAGGCCTGTAATCCCAGCTACTCAGAAAGCTGAGGCAGGTGAATTGCTTGAACCCGGGAGATGGAGGCTGCAGTGAGCCGAGATCGTGACATTGCACTCTAGCCTGGGCAACAAAAGCGAGACTCCGTCTCAAAAAAAAAAAATAATAATAATAATAATAATAGCGACTAGGGACTAGGGACTGGCTGCAGTAGCGCATGCCTGTAATCCCAGCACTTTGGGAGGCAGACGGGTGGATCACCTGAGGTCAGGAGTTCAAGACCAGTATGGCCAATATGGTGAAACGCTGTGTCTACTAAAATTGCAAAAAAATTAGCCAGCCATGTTGGCACATGCCTATAATCCCAGCTACTAGGGAGGCTGAGGCAGGAGAATCACTTGGACCCAGGAGATGGAATTTGCAGTGAGCCAAGATCATACCACTGCACTCCAGCCTGGGTGAGAGGGTGAGACTCTGTCTCCAAAAAAAAAAAAAAAAAAAAAAAAAAAAAAAAAAGCTACTAAAAAAAGCATGGAAATGGTCTAAACACATCAGCTAAAAGAGAGATTGTCAGACTGAATTAAAAAGCAAGACTCATGGCTTGGTGAGGTGGCTCATGCCTGTAATCCCAGCACTTTGGAAGGCCTAGGCAGGCAGATTGCCTGAGGTCAGGAGTTTGAGACCAGCCTGGCCAACATGGTGAAACCCTGTGCCTACTAAAAATCCAAAAATTAGCCTGGCGTGGTGGTATGCGCCTGTAGTCCTGGCTACTCGGGAGGCTGAGGTAGGAAAATCACTTGAACCCCAGAGGCGGAGGGTGCAGTGAGCCAAGATTGCATCACTGCACTCCAGCCTGGGTGACAGAGGGAGACTCTGTCTCAAAAAAAAAAAAGAAAAGAAAATGACAGAGGTCTGGCCAAGGCAGGTGGATCACTTGAGCCCAGGAGTTGCAGACCATACTAGGCAACATGGCCAAACCCCACCTCTGCAAAAATTTGTAGAGGCCGGCGCGGTGGCTCACGCCTGCAATCCCAGCACTGAGAGGCCGAGGCAGGTGGATGACCTGAGGTCAGGAGTTCAAGGCAAGCCTGGCCAACATGGTGAAACCCCATCTCTGTTAAAAAATACAAAAAAATAGCTGGGTGTGGTGGCATGTGCCTGTAATCCCAGCTACTCGGGAGCCTGAGGCAGAAGAATTGCTTGAACCCTGGAGGCAGAGGTTGCAGTGAGCCAAGATTGTGCCACTGCACTCCAGCCTGGGTGACCAAGCGAGACTTCATCTCAAAAAAAAAAAAAAAAATTAGCCAGGCTTGGTGGTGTGCGCCTGTAGTCCCAGCTACTTGGGAGGCTGAGGTGGGAGTATCACCTGAGCCTGGGAGGCCGAGGCTGTAGCTGTAGTGAGTTGAGATCGCCTCACTGCACTCCTGCCTGGATGACAGAGTGAGACACTGTCTCAAAAAAAAAAAAAAAAAAAAGAGGTCAATTATCTAAGAAGAACAATCCTAAATGTATACGCACCTCAAACAACTGAGGCAAGAATAATATATCTGGACCAGGCGTGGTGGCTCATGCCTGTCATCCTAGCACTTTGGGAGGCCAAGCTGGGCGGATCACCTGAGGTCAGGAGTTCAAGACCGGCCTGACTAACATGGAGAAACCCTGTCTCTACTAAAAAATACAAAATTAGCCGGGCGTGGTGGCGCATGCCTGTAATCCCAGCTACTTGGGAGACTGAGGCAGGAGAATCGCTTGAACCTGGGAGGCGGAGGTTGCAGTGAGCCGAGAGCACACCATTGGACTCCAGCCTGGGCAACAAGAGCAAAACTCCACCCAAAAAAAAGAAAGAATAATATACCTGAAAAGAAAATACATAAATCTGCAATTACATTTGAGGATGTCAATATTCCTGTCAGTAATTGATAGAGGAAGCAGGACGAAAATTAGTAAGGCCATAGATGACCTGAGCAACATCACTATCGACTAAAGTGACCTGACACTCAGAATACTCCACCCAATAATGTCAGCTTATACATTTTTTTTCTTTATTCTTTTTTGAGACAGAGTCTTGCTCTGTCACCCAGGCTAGAGTGGAGTGCAGTGGTACAATCTCGGCTCACTGCAGCCTCCACCTGCCAGGTTCAAGTGATTCTCCTGCCTTAGCCTCCCAAGTAGCTGGACTACAGGCACACACCACCATCCCTGGCTAATTTTTGTATTTTTAGTAGAGATGGGGTTCTCTCCATGTTGGCCAGGCTGGTCTCGAACTCTTGACCTCAGGTGATCCACCTGCCTTGGCCTCCCAAAGGGTCAGGATTACAGGCATGAGCCACTGCACCCGGCCTTTTTTTTTTTTTGGTATTTTTGTAGAGACGGGGTTTCACCATGTTGGCCAGGCTGGTCTCGAACTCCTGACCTCAAGTGATCCGCCACCTTGGCCTCCCAAACTGTTGGGATTATAGGCATGAGCCATCGCACCTGGCCTCTACAAAAAAAGTTTTAAAAATTAGCTGGATGGGGTGGCTAGTGCCTGTAGTCCCAGCTACTCGGGAGGCTGAGGCACAAGACTTACTGGAACCCTGGAGGCAGAGGCTGCAGTGAGCCAAGATCACACCACTGCACTATACCCTGGGTGACACAGAGTGAGACCCTGTCTCAAAAAAAAAAAAAAAAAAAAAAAAAGACCATATTCCAGGTTGTAAAAAAACAAATCTTTTTTTCTTTTTTTTGAGATAGAGTTCTTTTCGCTCTTGTTGCCCAGGCTGGAGTGCAGTGTTACAATCTCGGCTCACTGCAACCTCCACCTTCTGGGTTCAAGCAATTCTCCTGCCTCAGCCTCCCGAGTAGCTAGGATTACAGGCACCCACCACCACACCTGGCTAATTTTGTATTTTTAGTAGGGACGGGGTTTCACCATGTTGGCTAGGCTGGTCTCGAGCTCCTGACCTCAGGTGATCCGCCCACCTTGGCCTCCCAAAGTGCTGGGATTACAGGCGTGAGCTACCGCACCCGGCCAAAAAAACAAATCTTAACAAATTAAAAATAACAAAATTCAGCCTGACATGATAGCTCATGCTTGAGGTTAGAGGACTGCTTGAGCCCAGGAGTTCCCAGCTGCAGTGAGCTATGATCATGCCACTGAACCCCAGGCTGAGTGTCCCTAAAAAAAAATCGTGGAAAATATATTTTTAGGCTATAACAGAATTAGAAATCAATGACAAAAACATCTGGAAAATCCCCTAATATTGAGAATTAAACAACATAAAGTATTTATTTTGAGACAGGGTCTCACTCTGTTAGCCAGGCTGGAGTGCAGTGGCTCACACCTGTAATCTCAGTAGTTTAGGAGGCTGAGGTGGGAAGACTGCTTGAGGCCAAGAGTTCGAGAGCTCCCTGAGCAACAAAGCAAGAACTCCACTCTACAGAAAAAAAAAAAAAATTAGCCTGGCATGGTAGTGCATGCCTGTAATCCTAGCTACTTGGGAGGCTGAGGTGGGAGGATCCCTTGAGCCTAAGTGATTGAGGTTATGATGAGCTATGATCACGCCATTGCACTCCAGGCTGGGTAACACAGCAAGACTCTATCTCTGAAAAAAAACAAAACAAAACAAAACAAAACAAAGAAAGAAAGAAAGACAAGAAAAAAGTAAAAGTCTTCTATTCATACATGACATGATTGTCAACATTAAAAAATATATATAGCCACCAACTGAAGAGGCTCTAGTGGAAACAGTAGCTTCAGGGAATGGTCATGTTTGAGTTAGAAACTGAATGGATAAAGAGATGTGGTGATAGCCATTCTACTCCAAGCTGTTTTTTGTTTTTGTTTTTGTTTTTTTGAGATGGAGTCTAGCTCTGTCGCCTAGGCTGGAGTGCCGTGGCGTGATCTCGGCTCACTGCAAGCTCCACCTCCTGGGTTCATGCCATTCTCCTGCCTCAGCCTCCCAAGTAGCTGGGACTGTAGGTGCCCGCCACCACGCCCAGCTATTTTTTTTTTTCTTTTGTATTTTTAGTAGAGACGGGGTTTCACTGCGTTAGCCAGGATGGTCTCCATCTCCTGACCTCGTGATCTGCCAGCCTCGGCCTCCCAAAGTGCTGGCATTACAGGCGTGAGCCACCACGCCGGGCCTAATTTTTGTATTTTTAGTAGAGACGGGGTTTCACCTTTTTGGCCAGGCTGATCTGGATCTCCTGACCTTGTGATCCGCCCACCTTGGCCTCCCAAAGTGCTGGGATTACAGCCGTGAGCCACCTCGCCCAACCTACTCCAAGCTGTTTACCCAACAGAAATTAAAGCATGTTTCCATACAAAGAAAAAAAAGTTAAAGTTACATGGAATTTTGCTCATGACTGTTCCTAAGAATTTGGGAATGGAGGAAGGAGGCAGATAGGGGGCCAGTTAGTAAGATTAGATAAAGATTAGGAAATACGCAGGGTGCAGTGGCTCACGCCTGTAATCCCAACACTTTGGGAGGCCAAGGCCGGTGGATTGCTTGAGCTCAGGAGTTTGAAACCAGCCTGAGCAACATAGTGAGACCCCTATCTCTACAAAAACTACAAAAATTAGCCTGTTGTGGTGTGCGCCTGTAGTCACAGCTCCTCAGGAGGCTCAGATGGGAGGATCACTTGAGCCCAGGAAGTGGAGGTTGCAGTGAACTGACATCAAGTCACTGCACTCTAGCCTGGGCAACAGAATGCGGCTCTGTCTCAAAAATTAACGAATGAAAAATTAGCCAGGGATATGTGGTGTGTGCCTGTAGTCCCAGCTACTTGAGGGGGCTGAGATGGGAGGATCACGTGAGCCTGGGGTCGTGGCTACAGTGAGCCCTGATGGTTCCACTGCACTCCCGCCTGAGCAACAGAGTGAGACCTTGTCCACCAGCCCCTCCATCAAAAAAAAAAAAAAGAAAATACAGAGTTTTATGCCAAATAACCGGAAAATACTGAAGTGAGTGACCGAGGTAAATTGAGATGAAAAGCATGATTAGTCCCCTAGGCATTGGTAAAGTGGGTAACATTTTCATAGTGGTCTATCCATATAGATAAGACTATACCCCCTATTCCCTACAAGGAATGCTGTGGGTCTCCCTTAAATCCTGTCAGGACAGAAATAAAGTTGGAGGCCAGGTGCGGTGGCTCACGCCTGTAATCCCAGCACTTTGGGAGGCCGAGGTGGGCAGATCACAAGGTCAGGCGTTCGAGACCATCCTGGCCAAAAAGTTAGCCAGGCGTGGTGGCGGGCGCCTGTAGTCCCAGCTACTTGGGAGGCTGAGGCAGGAGAACCGCTTGAACCCGGCAGATTGCAGCGAGCCAAGATCGCACCACTGCACTCCAGCCTGGGCGACAGAGCAAGACTCCGTCAGGAAAGGAAGGAAGGAAGGAAGGGGAAGGAAGGAAGGAAGGGAAAGGAAGGAAGGAAGGAAGGAAGGAAGGAAGGGTTGGAGAAGAAATTTATAGAATTCCTAACAGTCTTATTTTCTTAAAATTCCTTTTTATAGCATCCTGTTTCTATATGGGCCCAATGACTTCTTTGATGTCAATAACTAGATCTCGGTTCACTGCAACCTCTGCCTCCAGGATTCAAGCGATTCTCCTGTCTCAGCCTCCCGAGCAGCTGAGATTACAGGCGCCCACCACCACACCCAGTAATTTCTTTTGTATTTTCAGTAGAGACAGGGTCTCGCCATGTTGGTCAGGCTGGTCTTGAACTCTTGACCTCGTGATCCGCCCATCTCGGCCTCCCGAAGTGCTGGGATTACAGGCGTGAGCCACGGCGCCCAGCCTAGATTTTTGTTTTAATAATTCTGATCCCTAGATTAAGTTTCATCCAGGTTATTTTTCGTCTTGGTTTCTTTTATGTTGAAGGCTCTTCTAAAAAAAATTTTTTTTTTAATTTTTTTTTTATGAGATAGAGTCTTGCTCTGTCACCCAGGCTGAAGTGATGTGGCAACATCTCACCTCACCACAGCCTCGACTTCCCAGGCTCAAGTGATCCTCCAATCTCAGCCTCCCTAGTAGCTGGGACCACAGGCGCACACCACCACCACACCTGGATAATTTCCTGTATTTTTTGTAGAGATGGGTTTTTGCCATGTTCCCCAGGCTGGTCTTCTCAAAGTTTTAATCTTAGTTCCCCTTATGGTTAAGAGTGAGGCACTAAAAGGCTGATTAAGAGCAGTGTGACTGTAAGATAATCATGCAGGGTGGGAATAATTCCAATTTTCAGTTAATTCTTTTTTTTCTTTTTTTTTTGGGGGGGGGAGACAGGCTCTCATTATGTCATCCAGGCTGGAGTGCAGAGGCCACAATCCTCTGCACACATGGAGTGCTGCCTTGATGTCCCGTGCCCAAGCAGTCCCACCACCTCAGCCTTCCAAGTAGTTGGGACTACAGGTGCACGCCATCACACCTGGCTCTTTTAAAAATTTTTTTCTTGAGAAAAGGTCTCACTATTTTGCCCAGGCTGGTCTTGAACTCCTCAGCTCAAGTGATCTGCCCCCTCGGCCTCCCAAAGTGTTGGGATTACAAGCGTGAACCACTGTGCCCGGCCGGGTAGCAAGAGTTTTGGTTTCAGGAAGTTTGAAACCTGGTTTGGTCAGGTTATGCTTTGTTGAGTTCTGGTGAGTTGTATATTACTATTTCTTCAATTGTAAAAAGACTGTAATAAAAAAAGTACTCAATTTGTTTGAAGGATTCAATGAAATAATATGCCATACTGAAAATGCCATCTGATACATTCAACCACACCAAATCTTCACTTAAACACAAATCCCCATTACTTTCACCTTCATATGAACTTTTTTTTTTTTTAAAGACAGGGTCTTGCTCTGTCGCCCAGGCAGGAGTGCAGTGGCGCCCTCACAGCTCACTGTAGCTTTGACCTCCCAGGCTCAAGCAATCCTCACACCTCAGTCTCCATAGTAGCTGGACTACAGGCGTGGTCCACCATCCTCAGCTAATTTCTAAAATATTTTTAGAGATGAGGTCTCATTATGTTGCCCAGGCTGGTCTCAAATTCTTGGGCTCAAGCAATCCTCCCACCTCAGTCTCCCAAAGTGCTGGGATTATAGGTATAAACCCACCATGTCCAGCCATATGAGTATTTTTGAAGAGAATACTTATATTTGCCATGAGTAGTGTGAACCTTTTATATACATGAATGGTTATATATATATACATATATATGCATATATATGTATATATATGTGTATATATGTGTGTATATATATATGTGTGTGTATATATATATATGTATATATATACTTTTTTTTTTTGAGATAGAGTTTTGCTCTTGTTGCCCAAACTGGAGTGCAGTGGCGCGATCTCTGCTCACTGCAACCTCCGCCTTCCAGGTTCAAGCGATTCTCCTGCCTCAGCCTTCCGAGTAGCTGGGATTACAGGTGCCCGCCACCACGCCAGGCTAATTTTTCGTATTTTTAGTAGAGACGGGGGTTTCACCATGTTGGTCAGGCTGGTCTCGAACTCCAGACCTCAGGTGATCCGCCCGCCTCGGCCTCCCAAAGTGCTGGGATTACAGGCATGAGCCACTGTGCCCGGCCATGAGTGGTAATATTTACTAGTACAACATGATGGGGAAATACTGGCAATAAAGGAAGGTTCTGAAGAGTGCCCTTAAGGAAATAATCTGAAATGCATACAGTGGTTTAAGACGGCATTATTTTTTGTTTTATCAAAGGAATATATACATTTTAAAAGTCAAATATTGCTAAAAATATTATTTTAAAAAACAAAAGCATGACTGCTAAGGGATGTTGGGTTTCTTTTTCAAGTAATGAAAATTTCTAAAGTTGATAGTGGTGATAGATACACAACTTCATGAATATACTAAAAGTCATTGAATTAGACACTTTTTTCTCCAGCTTTATTGAGGTATATAATTGGCAAAAATTATGTATACTGTGTACAATATGTCCCAATGTACTGTATACTGTATTTAAAAAATTTTAATTTTGTAGAGTCTCGCTTTGTTGCCCAGTCTGGTCTTGGACTCCTGGCCTCAACGTATCCTTACACCTCGGCCTCCCAAAGTGCTGAGATTACAGGAATAAGCCACTGTGCCTGGCCTGTATTGTACTTTATTTTTTGAGACAGGCTCTCCCAGGCTGAAGTGCAGTGGTGCGATCGCAGCTTACTGCAGCCTGGACCTCCTGGGCTCAGGTGATCCTTTCACAGCAGCCTCCTGAGTAGCAGGGATTACAGGTGCACACCACCACACCCAGCTAATTTTTGTGTGTATATATATAGATATATAGATATCTATATATATACATATATATTATATATAGATATCTATATATATATATTTTTTTTTGATACAGAGTCTCTCTCTGTCGCCCAGGCTGGAATGCAGTGGCACAATCTCGGCTCACCGCAAGCTCCGCCCCCTAGGTTCACACCATTCTCCTGCCTCAGCCTCCGGAGTAGCTGGGACTACAAGCGCCCGCCACCACACCCGGCTAATTTTTTTGTATTTTTAGTAGAGATGGTGTTTCACTATGTTAGCCAGGATGGTCTCGATCTCCTGACCTCGTGATCCGCCTGCCTCAGCCTCCCAAAGTGCTGGGATTACAGGCGTAAGCCACCGCGCCCTGCCCTACTTTTATTCACTGCATTTAAAACATACTTTTTGAAGGTAGTTGAGTACTTACTTGGTTCTTTTACATGGTCCACCCCAACTTCCATTCTTCTTACATTATGACTAATTATTGGTTGCTTAATGAGCTTACTAAAAATGTTTTTTTTTAATTTTATTATTATTATACTTTAAGTTTTAGGGTACATGTGCACAACGTGCAGGTTTGTTACATACGTATACATGTGCCATGTTGGTGTAAAAATGCTTCTTTACATCTTTTGCTATTTGATTAGTTTTCTTTTTCTACTAGTTCTTCCTAGTTTTGCTAATTCCTTCTTTGCACTTCATCGCAATGTAATTACACACATAAGATGTATGTGATAACCTATCATCAATTTATTTTGTTGATCTCCATTCTGGAGTATTTCACAGTTCTGGTCCTATGGACGAGAATGGCTGCATGTAAGGCTGCTGCACAACTGGCATTCTGGACTTCATTCACCCCAGAAATAGCCAGCTCCTGTGTTGTATCCCGTTTCATTTGCATGACTTACTCTCCTCCATTTTGGAGGAGTGTATCACTCAGGTGCTTCCTGAGAAAATCCAAATGGAAGACAAAATTTGAGATCTTGAGTATCTGACAATATCTAACTTTTCACTCAAAACTTAATTTTTTATATATTTATTTTTTAAGAGACAGGGTCTCACTCTGTTATCCAGGCTGGGGTGCAGTAGCACAATCATGGCTCCTCGAGCACAATCTCCTGGTCTCGAGAGATCCTCTTGCCTGAGCAACACCACACCTGGTGTTTTTTTTGTTTTGTTTTGTTTTGTTTTGTTTTGGCAGAGATGTTGCCAAAAAACAAACAAACAGAAAACAGGTGTGGTGTTTCTCAGGCAACACTATGTTGCCCAAGCTGATCTTGAACCCCTGGCCTCTAACACTCCTCCTGCCTCGGCCTCCCAAAGTGCTGGGATTACAGGCATGAGCCACCACGCTTGGCCTCACTCAGAACTTAGAAGTCATTGCTTCCTTGTCTTGTAGTTTCACATGTTGTTGAGAAAGTTGATGCCATTCTTATTCCCAATTCATTTAGCTCTTTTTTTTTTTTTTTCCCCACAGACGTAGTATTTTACCTTTGAAGACGGTTGTATTTTCAGGTTTTCTTCTCCCTGTAGTTGAAACTATTTTGATCTTGGTTGTTAGTGCTGGGAAACAATCTTTAAAAATCTAGTGAAACTTAAAGTTGCCATGTTTTGGAATTCACTGGGTGAAAACTTAGCTTTCTCATTGGAAAAACTTCTCTTCTAAAGTCTGAATCCCTTTGAAGTTCTTTTCTCTGGGAACACCGAATTTCTATAGAAAAGGATCTTTCTTCCTCCTCCCTGAGACGTAACTTTAAGCATTGTAGAAACTAAAAATCTACCATCCTGTATAATTAGTTGATCTTCATTTTCAGTTTATGCCTGGCATTTCTCAGTCTGAAGATTTCTGTTTCAAATTCTCAAAGAGCACTTTTCCTTCCATGTTAAGAGCACAGTAGTAACCTAGTTACCTATCTCACTGGGTAGAAATAATACAAACTTTTTTTTTTTTTTTTTTTTTGAGACGGAGTCTCGCTCTGTCGCCCAGGCTGGAGTGCAGTGGCGCGATCTCGACTCACTGCAAGCTCCGCCTCCCGGGTTCACGCCATTCTCCTGCCTCAGCCTTCCAAGTAGCTGGGACTACAGGCGCCCACCACCACGCCCGGCTAATTTTTTGTGTTTTTAGTAGAGACGGGGTTTCACCGTGTTAGTCTCGTGATCCGCCCACCTCGGCCTCCCAAAGTGCTAGGATTACAGGCTTGAGCCACCAAGCCCGGCCTAAGAATACAAACTTTTAACCAATCTCCATTCTCAGTCATTCTGTAGGGCCTGTTTTTCTCCACTGTCTAGTTCTAAGTTGTAAGGAGTAAACTGGCTTGCTTCTAATCAGTATTCCTACAATTAGGTTTGAACTTGCTCTACTGTACTATGTCAGTACATATTTTCCGTCCACTTTCCATCTTCTAAAAGTATTTTGACCTTTTATCTACCATTCTTTGTCCTTAGAGCTTTGTATCTCTAAATGTCATTTTGCTTAAGTCTCAAGACACAACTATAGTATTAAAACATTTGTGCTATCCACCATGTTTAATCAGAAGTCCATGGACCAATATTGTAATAGAGAAAAATCAGAAACAATCTAGATACCTAATAGGTTAACTGCCATAAAATATGGCAGCCCTACTCAATGGTCTCCTTATAGTCATTCAAATGTTTATGTAAAGAAACTTTAAAGAACTATAATTTCCATGTTTTTAAAAGATGAATATTAACAATTATATGCCCAGCTGGAGTATTAGCTCACTTTTACTGAGCTAAAAATAGTACACTGAAAGAATACTTCAGAATACTAAGTGAATTCATACAGCTTATGATTTCTGAAATGAGCACATTTTTATTACTAAAATTGCTTAGGAAAATAAAAGCAAAGCAAGCAGTTTAAGAGAGAAAACCTGAGTTCTTAGTTTGACAATGCCAGTCATCATAATCTGGAAGGGCAGCAGAATTTTCAGACCAATTTTAGTATCATGATGCAGGCCAGGCCCAAACTGTAAGAGACAAAGAACAAGAAAAGGGGCCAGGCATGGTGGCTCACACCTGTAAATCCCAGCACTTTGGGAGGCCGAGGCAGGCGGGATCACCTGAGGTCAAGAGTTCAAGACCAACATGGAGAAACTCCGTCTCTACTAAAAATAAAAAATTAGCCAGGCATGGTGGCACATGCCTGTAATCCCAGCTGAGGCAGGAGAATCGCTTGAACCCGGGAGGTGGAGGTTGTGGTGAGCCATGATCGAGCCATTGCACTCCAGCCTGGGAAACGTGAGCAAACTCCGTCTCAAAAAAAAAAAAAGAAAAGAAAAGAAAAGAAAAGGATAAGGAAGCAATCTATTCAGGATGCAGTATTTTTCAAATGCGATGGGAAACAGAGTAGGGAAAAGAGGAGAAATACACAAACATATTTAAATAGTTTAGGGGATGAAGTACTGAAGGGAAGAACATCTAGATGAAGGAAAAAAAAAAACTGAAATAAGACAATGGAAAGTAGTAAAGAGTACAATAAGTTACCCTTGGGAAAAGAGGAAGCTTCCCAAAGAGAAAAGGCCCAGTGAAGAGTTTTCTTTTTTGGAGACAGGGTCTTGCTTTGCACTTTGTCCAGGCTAGAGTGCAGTGATGCAATCACTGCCCATTGTAGCCTCGACCTCCTGGGCTCAGGTGATCCTCCCATCTCAGTCTCCTGAGTACCTGGGACTACAGGCGACCATCACCCTGCCCGACTAATTTTTGGCTAATTTTTTTGTAGAGACAGAATTTCAGCATGTTTCCCAGGCTGGTCTTAACTCCTCGGCTCAAGCAATCCACCTGCCTCAGCCTCCCACAGTGCTGGGATTACAGGCATGAGCCTGAAGAGAGTTTTACTGCACTGAATAGGGGACAGAAAGCAGTACTGGCAACATTTTAATCAACTGGACTTTAACAATTTATTTATTTTTGAGATGGAGTCTCCCTCTGTTGCCTAGGCTGGAGTGCAATGGCGTGATCGTGGCTCACTGCAACTTCCGCCTCCTGGGGTCAAGCGATTCTCCTGCCTCCGCTTCCTGAGTAGCTGGGATTACAGGCGCCTGCCACCATGCCCAGCTAAATTTTTGTATTTTTAGTAGAGACAGGGTTTCACCATGCTGGCCTGGCTGGTCTCGAACTCCCGACCTCAGGTGATCCGCCCACCTCGGCCTCCCAAATCGCTGGGATTACAGGCATGAGCCACTGCGCCCGACCCTTTAATGATTTTTAACAAATTAAAAGGATTAACAAAGCATTTGGGGCCAAGATTTTTAGCTGTACTCTCTACACAGAATCTTCCCACATAGGCACTTTTATCCTTCCTACTCTGCCCTCAATAGGTTCATAACCTGATTTTCTTTTACCACACCTTGCCTTTTTGTTCTTTTTATAATCTCTCTCGCCTATCTCTTAATCTTTTTTTTTTTTTTGAGACAGTCTTGCTCTGTCGCCCAGGCTGGAGTGCAGTGGCGCGATCTCAGCGCACTGCAACCTCCACCTCCCGGGTTCAAGCGATTCTCCTGCCTCAGTCTCCCGAGTAGCTGGGACTACAGACGCACACCACCAAGCCCGACTAATTTTGTATTTTTAGTACAGATGGAGTTTCACCATGTTGGCCAGGCTGGTCTCGAACTCTCACTGTTGCCCAGGCTGAAGTGCAGTAGCATGATCTTGGCTCACTGCAACCTCCGCTCCTGGGGTTCAAGCGATTCTCCTGACTCAGCCGCCAGAGTAGCTGGGACTACAGATGCCCACCACCACACTTGGCTGACTGTTGTATTTTTATTTTTATTTTGAAACGGAGTCTCACTCTGTCTCCCAGGCTGGAGTGGGCTGGAGTGCAGTGGCACAATCTTGGCTCATTGCAACCTCTGCCTATTCAAGCAATTCTCCTGTCTCAACTTCCCAAGTAGCTGAGACTACAGGCGCACGTCACCACACTCGTCTACAATTTTTGTATTTTTAGTAGAGACAGGGTTTCACCATGTTGGCCAGGCTGGTCTCGAATTCCTGACCTCATGTAGTCTGCCCGCCTCAGCCTCTCAAAGTACTGAAATTACAGGCATGAGCCACTGCGCCCGGCCTGATTTTTATATTTTTAGTAGAGACAGGGTTTCACCATGTTGGCCAGGCTGGTCTTGAACTCCTGACCTCAAGTGATCCACTTGCCTTGGCCTCCCAAAGTGTTGGGATTACAGGCATGAGCCACGGCACCCAGCCTATCTCTTAATCTTCTAATTACTACCTTTATCTAGGTACCATAGTCCCCTTGTTGCAGTTACTCATTTTCCTTTCCTCTGCCCTCAGTCCAAAGCAATTTTACTTCAGTGAGTGGATGCCCCTTAACTATACATACTTGCCCCCAAAACCATGTGATTTTCTCAAGGTTTTCTGCATTGACAGCCCTCCTTTAACCTAAACTCCATTGCTGAGTGAAGATAAAGTTGGGGATAAAAACATGGAGTCAAGAGATAACTAGGTGTAACTGACAGAACAGAAATGAGTTACTTAAACAGGAATAAGCATATTATTTAGTGACCTGGAGGTAACCTAAAAACAAAAATCCATTATTTAAAAACTGTTCTGTGTACTAGTAGTAAAGTTTGGTAGAGAATTAGTTTTTTTCACTATGAACTCTTACTACTGACTTTTTAAAAGCAATGAGTTTATTTGGAATAACAGTCATTTTTCTGAGACGGAGTTTCACTCTTGTTGCCCAGCCTGGAGTGCAATGGCACGATCTCGGCTCACTGCAGCCTCTGCCTCCCGGGTTCCAGTGACTCTCCTGCCTCAGCCTCTCGGGTAGCTGGAATTACAAGTGCCTGCCACCATGCCCAGCTAATTTTTGTATTTTTAGTAGAGACGGGGTTTCGCCATGTTGGCCAGGCTGGTGTAAAACTCCCGACCTCAGGTGACCCCTCGGCCTCCCAAAGTGCTGGGATTACAGGTGGGATCAGGCGTTAGCCATTGCGCCTGGCCTAATTTTTTTTTTTTTTTGAGACAGAGTCTCGCCCTGTCGCCCAGGCTGAAATGCAATGGTGCAATCTCAGCTCACTGCAACCTCCACCTCCCGGATTCAAGTGATTCTCCTGCCTCAGCCTCCAGAGTAGCTGGGATTATAGGCGCGCGCCACCACGCCCGGCTAATTTTTGTTTTGTATGTTTAGTAGAGACGAGGTTTTACAATGTGGGTCAGGCTGGTCTCGAACTCCTGACCTTGTGATCCACCCACCTCAGCCTCCCAAAGTGTTGGGATTACAGGCGTGAGCCACCATACCAGGACTGGAATAATTTTTTTTTTTTTTTAATTTTATTTGGAGGCAGGGTCTTGTTCTGTTGCCCATTCTGATGTGCAGTGGTGGATCATGGCTCACTGCAGCCTCCAATTGGGCTTAAGTGATCCTCCCTCCTTAGCCTCCGAAAGTGTTGGGATTACAGTTGTGAGCCACCACACTGGCAAAGATAATCAACCATGCTCCAGCTAATAATCACTTCAGCAATTATCCTGAATTTGTGTCATTTTGCAAACTTTGCCATTTGACTTTATCTGATACCTTAAGAAAGTTATCCTTAATAATTTTCATATTATTCACTGGAAAACTAATTCACTGATGATCAAAACAAAACAAGTGCCAAATGTCTGATGCTCTTTAAATTTGAGTATCTATTGCCAGGGCATGAGAGCTCCTTAAATTCTCACTCTGTTGCCCAGGCTGGAGTGCAGTGGTGCAATTTTGGCTCACTGCAATCTCCGCTCCCCAGGTTTTCATGCAATTTTCCTGCCTCAGCTTCCAGAGTAGCTGGGATTACAGGCGCGCACCACCATGCCCAGCTAATATTTGGTTTTAGTAGAGATGGGGTTTAACCATGTTGGCCAGGCTTGTCTCTAACTCCTGACCTCAGATGATCCACCTGCCTCTGCCCCCCCAGGTGTTGGGATTACAGGTGTGAGCCACCACACCCAGCTTTGAATTCTATTTGTTATCCTGGATTTTTAGTACCTAAAGACCCAGTCTTACTCCACAAAAAGAACACTTTATATTGATATTCCAGGTCAGGAGGAATTCCATTTCTTGGCAAAGAAACCTATAGGCCTGCTGTGAGTTGGTTACAAATACCATAAAGACACGATCAGTTTTGCCATGTAAAATAATTTGTACAAACCCTGACAAAGTGTCTTCTAATTATCAGCATTTATGGAGGAAGGGTCAATCTACAGATAATAACCAATCAATGGACCTTTGAAATAGTCAGACATAACAAAAAATAGCTACTTTGCCAAACCACAATTTTCAAACAAGGTATCCTCTTGGTGGTTTCAGATTAGGAACAGAGTAATACTTTCATAGTTTAGCCAAAATTTAGTGTTAGAATTATATTAACGTCTATACAATTAAGTAGTTTTATAGCTACATCAATCATTTAATTTGATCTTCACCAACACGCTACGAAGTACTGGGCAAATATCTTACCTAGATGAGGAAACTGAGGCTCAGAAAAGTCCAGGCTCTCTGCTCTTGAGTAAAAGCTGGGATTAAACCCTGGACTTTCTGAAACAATTCAGTCTTTTTGACAGTACCGAGCAACTTTCCAGAAAGCATATATGGAAACAGAATACAAAGTATTACTTAACTAACTCTTAATTACTCTAAATTTTGGATTAGAACCTAAGCAAATATGTTCTTTTAGTAAATTTAATTAGAACTAAATTTCAATGTTTTTAAATTCAAAGATCTGATACAACTTACTGCATTTATATGTCAATCACTATGAAATTTGTGAAGGAGAAATATCTGCCTGGTTCTTATTTAGAGTAAGACTTAATTGCTTGTCCACAGATGAGCACCCAGAAATAAGATATAAACCATTTTCAGGGGAAAACATGCATGCATTTATTTTTAAGAATTCCCAATAAGGGGGGAAAAATTCAACATCTTTAAAAATGTGTTTATTTTTTAAAAAATCAGTTGTGTACAAAAGTGTTTCGTAGTTTTTAATTCTCAAGACAAATACCCCAACCTTCCACCCCACAGCCCACCCTGCTTCAATGGTATTTCTGGTAACCCACCCATTTTCCCCTTACAGGAAGTTAACGGCTCAGAATAGACCCTCCTACAGAATTTATCATCACTAACAGATTGTTTAGAATAGAGATCTAGAGAAGCTAACAAGCAAGGTTCCCTATAATGGCAGTAGACTTCCAGCAGACACCACAACAAAGCACCATCAATTGCTGAAAGCTAAAAAATAGATATTATTTTCAATAATATTTCATTTTCTATTGGAAAAGTTTTTTAAATTACATTAAATAAGTCTCTTTCCCCCCAAAGAAATAGTCTAGCTTTTATTATGATGCCTGTAAAAAGTAGGTAACAGCAAGCAGACAAGGATCGTTAACAGCACAGTGTAATGATTTCTATCCACTCACACCTATAATCAAACTGACAAACTGTGCCACACCTGATTATATATAGCAGCATGGTTGAAATAACCAAGCAAAAGGTGACACATTCAAGACTTCCATTTAGGTGATTGCAAGTTCATGAGGGTGTATCAGTCCAATGAAGCAGTAACAGAACAAATGGGACAAGGGAGATACTAACACTCCCCTACCCCTATGCCACAAGATCTTTGATCTATATTGCAGCAGTGCAAATAGAACGTGTGACATAATATGTAGACACTGAAGAAAAGTCACACTTGGGAATAAAGGCTATTTTATCAGTAAATACTTCAAGTTGCCTTCTTCCCAGTGACAGCAACTGGCTGATGGTAAGCATTTACTTTAAACTGATACTAAAAAGAATGGAAACGTAATTTTTAAATCAATGGTTTGTACCCTGGAATTGAAATTCCTTGAACTAGAAAAAGTGATTAATACAACATTTTGTAGAAGTCCATGAAATAAAGTTAACTGTAAACAGACGGCTTCCTTTTTCCTATCTAAACATTGTTTCCCTCTACATACTAGAAGGTATACCTGGCTCCAGCTGTTCCCTACCCCAATCCATCTTAAATCTTTAAAACAATAACAACAAAAATTCATAATTTCCTATTTTGCTACATAGGATTGTAAAACATTACCATACACCTACTGCACAGTTTTAAAAGCTCAAATCAGGCATACACTTATACCCAAGATCTGCTTTTCACATTGGTAAACTTATTAAGCAGCCTCAACAGTAATACAGTATGCTGCATTCTGTAGTGCATAAATAAGCAAAATCCGTTTAAACTGCCAATTCTTTCTTACAGATACTTAAAAAGAATTATTTTGCATAGTTTTATGTGCCAACAATCATAAATGTGTATTACTTCTAAAAAATGAAAAAAAAAATCAAGTCTTCCATTTCATAGATTATTCTCTTCAAAAGCAAAATACTTAGACTCCATTTATATATCCTTGAATGTGTTACGTGTTTAAGTAAATCATAGTCGTGATTCCAAACATTTCGGGGTGCCAACTCAGAGCACCTAATTCAGTACCTAGTTCCTCAAATATTTATATACCACTGAATACTTATTTGGGTCCACTAACTGCCATTCATTCATTCATTCATTCATCAGTACTGAAATACTATACAGCTAATTATTTCTTCTTTTAAAAGAGGCACATACTCAGGAAACAGGCCTGATTATAACAAAAGCCTACTGGAGCATCAGTGACTTCTAACAAATCGGCCTGCCCTAAATGGGATTTCACTGGATTTTTTTTTTAACATAATTTTTGAGGCTTTTAAAACTGACAAACGGAGCCAACTCAAAAATATTAAGAATTACAAAAATAATTTCCACCAGGGTACTTTTCCCCTAGGCCTGACCTTTTAGTGTCTTTTTGTCCAAACATATTTAAGACCAGAGGAAAAAAGCAATTGCTTTAGTTTCTATGTTTGGGTAACTAAATCTACCCACAGACAAGAGAATAACAAAAACCAAACAGTACAGTGGGAAATATACCAGAAAGGAAAAAAAAGATCATCACATTAAATGTAAATGAGGTAAATTTTTATAATAAAGAATCTTTTATGAAGAATGTCTCAAACCAAATATTGTACTTTCCAATTTCTTGGGCACTGGGGATGCTGAAGTGTAGTTAGATGAGTATATAACCCTATAGGGCTCATGTGCATAAAAATCAAAGCAGGATATAGCTGCCTCCAAGAGCATGTATGTATGTATATATGTAAAATGCTTGACCTTTAGAAACCTCTGAGCTCTCTCACCTTTGTTTAACCACAGGACAATTAAATATACCCTGATAATACAGGCAAAAAATAAACTGGGTAGATGTGTCTGATATTTTTAAACCCAAATTCTACTAATACTACCAAGTTGCCCTCCACTTAAAAAAAGTAGTTCTAACCAACACTGGAGAAAAACCATCCACATTTTCACACAATCCCACCTTACTTCAAAATATAAAGTACGAGGTTTCAGGTATTTAAAATAAATAAAGAAAAATCTTGTTTCCTTTGGCATCTTTAGAAAATAAACTACAGCAATAAAAAGAGGTGATTGTATAAAGACATGCGTAAGCAAACATATGGGGAAAAAACAGCAACTTGTGTTTAGTATGTAATAATATCAGCTATAAGAGTTTACTGTTAATTAGGAAAGCCTTACAAATTTTTGGAAGAACCTTCACATCTTTAACATTACAATATATTTAATAATGGTTCTTTTATTGCTTCTAGTATCAAGATTATTGAGAAGTCAAATGAAGTTATGCTGACGTTATGATTCAAAAATTATCTTCCAAACATTTAACGATTATAATTTAAGATAAATAACACTTAAAGAAAGCAAACCTTTTATAATATGACTTTCAATATACAGCCTTACTTTAATTCAGTCTGATTCCATTACATTTTTGTTATTTTGTATTGGTCCTAAAAATTTAAAAAGAATTGTATTTCTATATATAGAACTGCCTGCATAAATCCACTTCAACCTTCATAAAATGGTTACATTAGTGTGTGATCTTGCAAAACTAATAATTTTCAAACTTTTGAACTTAGAATGAAATGTAAATTTAATACAAATAGTCTGACTATGTACAAGAGAAGGTAAAGTTTTCAATTCTCGTATTATCAGAAACATCATAAAGAAAGCTAGATTTATAACACACTTCTATTCCTATGTGCATCTGAAGTATGTACAATAAAACACCAACACAGCTTTCATGTGTCAATAGGGGAAGTGCAAGCAAGAATGACTTGAAGTATCCAATAAAGCAATCTCTATAGACCCCAAAATCAGGCTAAAAACTGCAAACAGCTGACTGCATCCTTGCCAGTTCTCAAAGAAAAATTTCATCACTAAAAAATAGGTGTCAAATTCACTGAAAAACTAAGTTGGGTTCTTTCATTAAACCTGGGAATAATGTAACATCAAGTATTTACTATTTTTGCAAGAGAAATAAAATTGGCAGTTCCATTTTTACATTACTTAAGAAAAATTTAAGAGTGTTTGAAGAACTGGGACAAGACATTCCAAACCTACGACCTAAAAATGAAGCAAGGGATACATACTGTCCTTCAGCACATTTCCCCACCTGATACAGAGAAATTTACCATTAGAATATTAGCTGTGTGTGGCAAGGCGGGGGTGGGGGGGGTGAAGGGGGAATCAGACACTGTCCCAGTCTGTTGACAAGGACAAAAAGGCTCTGAATAGGTCACCATCTTCAATTCTGAATAAATTTCATATTTAAGAATTCTCAAATGCTTAAAATGGTGGTCTTTTCAGCTACCCATCCTAAGAAGTCAAGTACAAGCATGCAAGTAAATTCACAGGCACAGAGGATCCATGTTAAAAACAGTTAAGGTAGCTGTGATGCAACACCAACAATTTGAATGGCCCTGACACACTCAAAATATTATCTTAATTATTCAACAAAATCCTGAAGCAAACTCTTGCTAGTCTTGGTACACTGCTAAACACTAAAGTAGCATGTTTCTTCCATGGTTTTAGCTTAGCTCAGGGAATTTTTACACTATTAAGAAAAAAAATTAAAGTATTTCCCCTTTTTAAATTTACACAGACGTTTAATTAGCTTTATTTACAGAGCAGGGATTTTTTTTTTTCAGTCTCCAATGGTGCCTAGATAACATCATTAGGCAAGAATGCCAGTTTAAAAGAAATCTATGCAGAATCCTAAAAATAACAGATGTTGGTGCTCCTCAAGAAGAGGCAAGCTTGACTATATCAGCAGCTCTCTATGCCTCAGTTACTCAGAAGCAATTCTGTTGCAGTCTCTACATCCCATGATTTTGAAGACAAGGCCACTATTACTGCATTCTGTAGAGAAGAAAAGGGGACAGGAAATTAAATCTCAAGGAAACATTTAAACAATACTGAATCATTCACTCTTTATACTGGGAATTAACACCTTGTTTCTTTTCTGTAAGTTGATTTACATTTGCAGTGCATGGAAAGCTTCTAAAATCAATGACAGTAATTAGTAAAAATAAAAAAATCACTGACTTTGAAAACAGAAAATATGTTTACCAAAACTAGATTTTCTCTTATTTTCCTTTTTTTTTTTTTTTTTTTTTTTTTTGAGACAGGGTCTTGCTCTATCACCAAGGCTGGAGTGCAGTGGCATGACTATCGCTCACTGCAGCCTCGACCTCCTGGGCCCAAGGGATTCTCTCACCTCAGCCTTCAGAGTAGCTGGAATTACAGGCACTCACTACCATGTCCAGCTAATTTTTGTAGAGATGGGTTTCGCCATGTTGCCCAGGCTGCGAATTTCTCTTATTTTCTAAACCACTTTTGTCAGCCAAGAATTTGCAATAATTTAAAATCAATCAATATATCAAAATCAACATGCCCTTATGTACTTACCCTATCAAAGCCCATAGCACATAGGTTTTCTATTTTTTTGGTGTATTCTGGACTAGAAACTGGTGCTCCAGCATACACATGTGCCCAAAGTCGAGCTGTCTGTTTGAACATTTCGGGATTTTGTTTGTACTATATGGGGGGAAAAATTGATTGACATGACATTACAGTTATAATATTTGATATATTTCAGCTCTTAATCGCCTACAATCCTACTTTTCCAAATAAAACAAATCTACATTTAAAATGTGATTCACTTTGCATTATAGACAACCTATGTCACTCGAGAAAAGACCACTTAACCTGAAGCTTCGACTCACAATTTGTGTTGACAATAATAAAGACAAGTAACATTAATCTACTTTAATCTCCAAATTCAACAAATATAACTAGCAAGACTAAAATTAGGTTAAGTGAGGTATTAAGAGATGTTCCAAACACTGGAAAGCAGCAAACATTATACAACTGAACACAGATTACTAGCTTATAAAAATATGTGGACATTAGAATAATTTTTTACGATGTAACCAGCTTTTGTATTACCCACAGCCCAGGCTAGAATACAACTAGATTCTTCTGTTTTCTTACAGCTGCATTAGTGTACAGTGATTTATGGAAACCCCACATGCAAAGTCCTAACTTATTACATAACTTGAGATGATTATAAACTCACAATAGAGTAATTTTATTAAAAGACTTCCCATATGCATTGGAAAGAGGTAAATTTATCAAATACTTTGGAACCACCATTACTTAGTAAAGCAAAGTATAAATTACTAACTATTCAATTCACTTTAATATTTCTTTTAAAAGTAATTTATATATTTAAATCTATTACATATTAAAACGATAAATCTAGTTTCTACCACTTATTCATCACAAGGAAATAAGTCAAATTATTGAACTATTTTAGGAGCTAAAAGAAACCCTTGAGTCCAACCTCAACGTGTAAGGCTTAGAGCTCAATAGGAAAGCAAAGCTGGAACACAAGCCATGCTTATAACAACAAATATGAACAAATAGCACATATATAAAACATGGAAAACCCTAATTGGAAGTACTCTGAGACAAATAACAGAATATATTGACAAGGATATATACATATATACATAAACAGATCTTCAAGGGAAAAGAAGAAAGATAATATATAAATTAAAATCTTATAGGTTAAAGAAGTTTGCCAAGAGGAAGTTTCCTCAGGCAGAGGAAATATGGTAGATTGGATACAATATGTAAAAATGAATGCAATGCTTGAAAAAGCATGAGTTTGAAGAAAACAAGAATTTAGGAAATAAAGCAGAGTTCAGATCATGGAAAAACTCTGCAAACTAAAGAATCTGGACTCAAGTAGATGACAGTAGAGCTACGAACAAGTTTTTGTTAGTGAAGTAAGATTTGCACTTTATAAAGCTACCTGATAGCAATGTAGAAGATGGAGAAAGGAAGAAAGAGGTTGAGAAAAGGAGATCTATCAGAGCAGTTGAAAAGAAACAATTTTTTAAAAGTGACCTATGGCAATCAGAGTAATTATGTAAATATAGTGACAGAATGATACAGGGAATGGTTATCAACAGGAGCAAAGGAGACACAGAGAAAAACTCCAAAGGCTGTGACTTGGGTGGTTAACCATATGAATGTTCCTTGGATACCTGAATGTAACACTGCCAAAACTGAATGCAGTATCATAAATCCTACAAACCTATCATTCTATGATACCATCACCTACCAATTTAGTTAAACACCAGGCTCTCGTGCTTAGGAGAGAGGGCAAGCCTAAACATTTTATCAATGTACAGGTACTAACATCAGTACAGATATGATCATCCAAGTGTGAGTGTGTACAGAAAGTAAAGGTAACAAGGTCAGAACTGAGGAACTACATTTAAGAAAGACGAGTAAGAAGGGAAATAATTGTGGGAACTAACAAAGAACAGCTATGAAGTGAGGAAGAAAAGAGGGTAATATCTTAGAAGTCAAGAGAAGAAAAACTTTCTAAGTTTAAAAAAAAAAATGTCCATTATATTCCAATGGCTTAGAGTAGGTGTTGGCAAATTTGTTTTTTGAGACAGGGTCCCGTTCTGTCACCCAGGCTGGAGTGCAATGGTGTGATCTCAGCTCACTGCAACCTCTGCCACCCAGGTTCAAGCGATTCTCCCACTTCAGCCTCTCAGGTAGCTGGGACTACAGGTGTGTGCCACCACGCCAGGCTAGTTTTGTGTTTTTAGTACAGACAGGATTTCACCACGTTGGTCAGGCTGGTCTGGAACTCCTGACCTCAAGTGATCCACCACCCACCTCAGCCTCCCAGAGTGCTGGGATTACATGCATGAGCCAACACACCTGGCCAGCAAACTGTTTCTTAACAGGTCAGATACTAATAACTTAGGTCCAGTCTCCGTTGTAACTAATAAACTCAGCCACTGTAGCTAGAAAGCGAAATGAAAAATATTTATTCTGTTCAACAAATTACAAGGTCATTGGAAACTGTGCCATGTCACATAAGTCCCATGATAGGAGGTGATTAAAATTATTAGCAGGGAGGGATCATCACTGAAAGGAAGGATAAAAAGATGGACACATACACGAGCATTAATCATAGAATCTAGATGGTAGGAATATGGGTGTTCACTATGTAATTCTTTTGACTTTATGTGTTTGAAAATACTCATGTTAGGAAAACAGCATCTATATCCAATTAAACTAGGATGTTAAAAGTCTATTTTCACTATTACACCTGACAAAATAATCCTACCACAAGAAAGAAAACCATTTCAAAATTTAGTTTCAATAGAGTATGCTCATGTGTTAATGTGCAAACCACTGAAGTGGCTAGAGACTCATACATAATATAAGAAAGTCTTTCAAAAGCGGCCATCTTACCTGATTTGCTACTACAGCATCCTGTGGATCATCTGGCTCTGCAGCTGCCAATAGTGCTTGCAATGACAATAATACCGTGCGGAGAGTCATTGCAGCTGCCCTAAAATGCAAAACATGAAAATATCCCAATTAAGAGGGCTCTGCAGGCAAAAGCAAAGTATTTTCTTAATAAAAATTAAAAAATTGTAGAGCTAAAAGTTACTTAGATCTTTATCTTAATTATATAGTTAAGTCATAGACATTTATAATTATGTATCTGCCTATCATATATTTTCTTCCTTACTTTACAATTTGCCTATTTCTTTTTTCTTTTTTTCCCCTGAGACGGAGTCTGGCTCTGTCGCCCAGGCTGGAGTGCAGTGGTATAGTCTCGGTTCACTGCAAGCTCCGCCTCCCGGGTTCACGCCATTCTCCTGCCTCAGCCTTCAGAGTAGCTGAGACTACAGGGGCCCGCCTTAACGCCCAGCTAATTTTTTGTATTTTTTTTTTTAGTAGAGACGGGGTTTCACAGTGTTAGCCAGGATGGTCTCGATCTCCTGACCTCGTAATCCGCCCGCCTTGGCCTCCCAATGTGCTGGGATTACAGGCATGAAAAACCACCTGCGCCCGGCCTTTTTTCTTTTTTTTAATGACAGTGTCTTGCTCTGCCGCTCAGGCTGGAGTGGGCAGTGGCACTATCTTGTCTCACTGCAACCTCCGCCTCCTGGGCTCAAGCGATTCTCCTGCCTCAGCCTCACGAGTAGCTGGGACTACAGGCACACACCACCACACCCAGCATTTTTTTTGTTTTTCCTTTTTTCGTAAAGACGGGGTTTTGCCATGTTGCCTAGGCTGGTATCGAACTTCTGAGCTCAGGTGATCCATCCACCTTGGCCTCCCAAAGGTTAGGGTTACAGGTGTGAGCTACTACACTCGGCCAGCTTTTCTATTTCTTAAGACAACTCGAATTCTGAACTGTCCTTGTTTTTCTTGTTGCCAAGATCCTTCTTGTTAGTTTAGTTTAGTTTAGTTTTGAGGCGGAGTCTCACTCTGTCGCCCAGGCTGGAGTGCAGTGGCGCGATCTCGGCTCCCTGCAAGCTCCGCCTCCCGGGTTCACGCTATTCTCCTGCCTCAGCCTCCCGAGTAGCTGGGACAACAGGCGCCCGCCACCACGCCCGGCTAATTTTTTGTATTTTTAGTAGAGACGGGGTTTCACTGTGTTAGCCAGGATGGTCTCGATCTCCTGACCTCGTGATCCGCCCGCCTCGGCCTCCCAAAGTGCTGGGATTACAGGCGTGAGCCACCGCGCCCAGCCACCTTCTTGTTAGTTTTATCCACTCACTTATTTTTCTATCCATTTCTCTAAACAAAGTTAAAGTGATAAATCATTAGTACTAATAGCATGTGAGGCTTTCTTTCAATGGCACTCTAAAAACAAGATACTATGAAACAAATATATTTTCTTTTTTCTTTTCTTTTATTTTCTTGAGATGGAGTCTCACTCTGCCGCCGAGGCTGGAGTGCAGTGGCGCGATCTCGGCTCACCGGAACCTCCACCTCCCTGGTTCAAGCAATTCTCCTGCCTCAGCCTCACAAGTAGCTGGGACTACAGGCACATGCCACCATGCCCGGCTAATTTTTTGTAGTTTTAGTAGAACAGGGTTTCACCGTGAGACACAGGATGGTCTTGATCTCCTGACCTTGTGATCCGCCCGCCTTGGCCTCCCAAAATGCTGGGATTACAGGCTTGAGCCACCGCGCCCGGCCATATTTTCAAGAAAATATGAAATCATTCCATAACATTCTGAAACAGGACAAGTTTTTTGGATTAAACTACATCACTTAATTTATGATTCTAAATGTATTTATAAGGAAAATATCTTTATAAAGCTAATATTTGTCTAAAAAATAGTATCTACCTGTCTAGCAATAATTCTTGGCATTTCTGTTAAAAAAAGTTGTCTCACTGGCTGGGCGCGGTGGCTCACACCTGTAATCCCAACACTTTGGGAGGCCAGGGCGGGCAATCATCTGAGGTCAGGAGTTCAAGACCAGCCTGGCCAACATGGTGAAACCTCATCTCTACAAAAAATGCAAAAATTAGCTGGGCGTGGTGGCATGTGCCTGTAATCCCAGCTGCTCAGGTGGCTGAGGAAGGAGAATCGCTTGAGCTCGGGAGGCGGAGGTTGCCGTGAGCCAAAATCATGCCATTGCACTCTAGCCTGGGCGACAGAGCGAGACTCCATCTCAAAAAAAAAAAAAAGTTGCTTTATCAATTAATAGAGGTATGTATAAATATGTGGACATATTAAAAATGTTACATGTAAAGAGAATGCCCATTTTTACCATGTAAATTAGATCATTCTTCTTTTTTTCTTTTTTTGAGATAGGGTCTCACGCTGCCTAGGCTAAAGTGCAGTGGTACAATCAAGGCTCACTGTAGCCTTGACCTCTTTGGCTCAGGTGATTCTCATACCTCAGCCTCCTGAGTAGCTGGGACTACAGGTGCACACCACCACGCCCAGCTAATTAAAAACAATTTTTTTTTTTTTTTTTTGGTAGAGACAGGGTTTCACCATGTTACCCAGGCTGGTCTTGAACTCCTGAGCTCAAGCAGTCCTCCCACCTCAGCCCCCGAAAGTGATGGGATTATAGGTGTGAGCCACGACAACTAGCCAATTACTCTAAACCAGCCTTTTTCAACTGGGTTCCTGATTTGAACCACAAAATAGAAAAAATTAGTGACTGTTTTCTCAATTTTCCCAAGTTTGGTACATAAATAGTACTTCCCTAGATGCCTACGATAAAAGTTAATTTAGGCTGGGTGCAGTGGCTGACGCCTGTAATCCCAGCATTTAGGAAGGCCGAGGCAGGCAGATCACTTGAGGCCAGGAGTTTGAGACCAGCCTGGGCAACATGGCGAAACACTGTCTGCCAAAAATACAAAAATTAGCCAGATGTGGTGGCACATGCTTGTAATCCCAGTTACTTGAGGGGCTGAGGCAGGAATCGCTCGAACCTGGGAGGCGAAGGTTATAGTGAGTCCAGATGGCGCCACCGCACTCCAGCCTGAGGGAGACAGCCAGACTGTCTCCTACACCTCCACCCCTAGCCAAAAAGTTAAGTTATTGCCAACAACCAACAATGGATGTCTTAAAGCAATGATCTCAGTGTTGTTCATCCAACCAGCAGCATCAGCATCCCTTGGGAAGTTTTCTCTATCCCAGAGCTACTGAATCAGAAACTCCAGGGTTTGAGTCCTAGCCGACGCCGTCGCCGCGCGCGCGAGGCCTGGAACACACCGCACGAGCCGCTCCCGCCCCTACCCCTTTACGCCCACGTGGAGCCGGCCCCGCCAGCGCGAGCGCGCCCTATACACCCTCCCGCCCTGCGCCTACATGCTGCCCTGGCTCTGCCCGTGTGTGGGGGGCGCTTCCGGCCCCGCGGGGGTGGGGAAAATAGGGGATTAAAAAAAAACAGCGCGCGGAACCGGGCCAGGGTTGCCCACCCCCGCCACAATGGCCTCTGGGGTGAAGTCCTGCGCTTCCAGCTGCCCGGCCACTAGGCCGCTACGCTACGGAACATGAACAAGCTCCGGGCAGAGGAGTGGTTCTGCGACGTGACCATTGTGGCCGACAGCCTCAAGTTTCGAGGCCACAAGGTCATCTTAGCCGCCTGCTCACCGTTCCTGCGGGACCAGTTCCTGCTTAACCCCAGCTCGGAGCTGCAGGTCTCCCTGATGCACAGTGCACGCATCGTGGCCGACCTGCTTCTCTCCTGCTACACGGGCACCCTGGAATTCGCTGTTAGGGACATCGTCAACTATCTTACAGCCACCTCCTACCTGCAGATGGAGCACGTGGTGGAGAAATGCCAGAATGCCCTCAGCCAGTTCACTGAGCCCAAAATAGGCCTCAAAGAGGATGGGGTCCGTGAGGCTAGCCTTGTGAGCAGCGTCAGCGCCAACAAGTCCCTCCTCCCTCCAGCCAGGACCCCAAAGCCAGCCCCGAAGCCCCCACCCCCCACCTCCTCTATCCCCTCCACTCCTGCGGCCAGTGAAGCTGGAGTTCCCACTGGATGAGGACTTGGAGCTGAAAGCCGAGGAAGAGGATGAGGATGAGGACGTATCTGACATCTGCATCGTCAAGGTGGAGTCGGCCCTGGACATCGCACACCGGCTCAAGCCCCCTGGAGGCCTGGGAGGGGGCCTGGGCATTGGAGGCTCCGTGGGTGGCCACCTTGGGGAGCTGGCCCAGAGCAGCGTGCCCCCCAGCACTGTGGCCCCACCGCAGGGTGTGGTGAAGGCCTGCTATAGCCTGTCGGAGAACGCAGAAGGGGAGAGCCTGCTGTTGACTCCGGGAGGCCGGGCCAGCGTGGGGGCCACCTCGGGCCTGGTGGAAGCAGCAGCGGCGGCCATGGTTGCCCGGGGGGCGGGGGGCAGCCAGGGACCCCTGCCTGGGAGCTTCTCAGGTGGAAACCCCTTAAAGAACATCAAGTGCACCAAGTGCCCGGAAGTGTTCCAGGGCGTGGAGAAGCTGGTCTTCCACATGCGGCAGCAGCACTTCATCTTCATGTGCCCTCGCTGTGGCAAGGAGTTCAACCACAGCAACAACCTCAACCACCACAGGAACGTGCATCGTGGTGTCAAGTCACACTCGTGCGGCATCTGCGGCAAGTGCTTCACACAGAAGTCCACCCTGCACGACCACCTCAACCTGCACTCGGGAGCGCAGCCCTACCGCTGCTCCTACTGCGACATGCGCTTCGCCCACAAGCCTGCCATTAGGCGGCATCTCAAGGAGCAACACGGCAAGACCACCGCCGAGAACGTGCTGGAGACCAGTGTGGCCGAGATTAATGTCCTCATCCGCTAGCCGCGCAGGCGTGGAGGCCCGGAGGCTGGGGTCCCTGGGCTAGGTGGGGAAAGGGCTCTTTGGCCCAGGAGAATTGGTGGGTGGGGGGTCTGGGGCAGAAAGGTAAGAGTGGGAGGCTGAGCAGATGCACACATCCTGAGAGAGGGAAGATGATTCCTTGGAGAGAAGACTGTTGTTGCTCTTGAGAGTGCAAGAAGCTGGAGCGGGGGACAGGGTTCTTGGAGTAGGCCAGGGGAATACGGGGTCCCAGAGAAAGATTTCCTTCTCTTAGAGGCGCATGTGTATGTGGAGGGAGGGAAAAGGGTCCTATAGAACGAGGGAAGACAAAAATGTTTTATTCCTGGCTAAGCCTGCCCAGGGGAAGGTTCTGACATTTCTCGAGATAAGAAGGGTGGGGGGGTGGGTGGGAACAGGGAGGGAATTTGGCAGGAGGACATGCTCCTGCTTATAATAGGCCTGGGGTGAGGGAGTGGTAAGGGGAAAAGATTATTGAGTCCCAGAAAAGGAAGGGGGAGACAGTTCTTGCATGCTGGCGAAATGAGACTGCAAGTATGAGGCTTGCTGAAATTTGAGGGAGAAAAAAGTAAGACGCCAGGTAAGAGAACATGGGGTGCACATCCTGGATAGATATTGGGAAGTGGGGGCACAATAGCAAGAACAATGGATAGTCATGGGGGTGGGGGGGTAAGGCACTTAGAAAAGAACACAAGAAGGGCTGTTGGGAGGGAGGGAGAGGAGTAGAGACATACAGTATTTTTTAAGAAAAAACATTTTTTAGGATTTTTTCTGGAGTTTGGGGTTTTAGTTTTTCTACTTTTGTTTTCCACAAAATAAAAAACAAAAAACAAAACGAAAAAAAAAAAAAAACAAAAAGAAACTCCAGGGTTGTTTTAACAGGTCCTCCAGGTGATTCTGATGCACATTAAAATTTGACAAATACTGTTAATTAGGGTGGGCATGGTGGCTCATGTCTGTAATCCCAATACTTTGGAAGGCTGAGGTGGGCAGATCACCTGAACTTGAGGTCAGGAGCTCGAGACCTACCTGGGCAACATGGCGAAACCCCATCTCTACTAAATACACAAAAATTTTCTGGCCGTGATAGTGCACACCTCTAATCCCAGCTATTTGGAAGGCTGAGGTTGCAGTGAGCTGAGATCATGCCACTGCACTCTAGCCTGGGTGACAGAGTGATACTCCATCAAAAATAGATAAATAAAAAACAAACCAAAATGAGATATCACCTAGCACTCGTTAGAACGGCTACTATAAAAACAATGAACAAGTGTTGGTGATGATGTAAAGGAAAGGAAACCCTCGCACACTGCTGGTGGGAATACAAATTAGTACAACCATTATGGAAAAACAGTATGGAGTTTCCTCAAAAAATTAAAAATAGGACCAGGCACGGTGGTTCATGCCTGTAATCTCTGTACTTTGAGAGGCTGAGGCAGGAAGATCGCTTGAACCCAGGGGTTTGAGACCAGCCTGGGCAAGATGGTGAAACCTCATCTCTTTTAAATGCACAATATTCTTTTAAGACATGAGTCAAAACAAAAAGCCAAACTCAGTCCTCAAATGTTCATTCTTGTCTTTCTACTCACCATTTTTTACATTTTTTTTTTTTTTTTTTGGAAACGAAGTCTCACTCTGTCCCCCAGGCTGGAGTGCAGTGGTGCAATCTTGGCTCACTGCAACCTTTGCCTCCCAGGTTCAAGCAATTCTTCTGCCTCAGAGCCTCCTGGGTGGCTGGGATTACAGGCGCCTGCTACCATGCCTGGCTGATTTTTTTTTTTTTTTTTTTGGTAGAGACGGGGTTTTACCGTGTTGGCCAGGCTGGTCTCAAACTCCTGACCTCAGGTGAACCGTCCACTTCTGCCTCCCAAAGTGCTGGGATTACAGGTGTAAGACACCGCAATGGCCCGTCTTTCTAGTCTCACAATAACAAGGGGAAATTCTTTCTCTAATTTCATTTGATAGTTTGAGTAATTTCAAAGAGAATGTTTAAAGGCACATACATATCAAAAGCTACCTAGATGTTATCAGCATAAAGCTGACTTAAACCACCAAAAATAACATAAGGAACACAAAGACAAAATATAACCAATGAAATATACAACACTTAAGTGCACTATTTAATTTTCCAATGGACTTTCTAAGCAATCTAATTTTAAAATCCATGGTGTCACCTGAAACAAAATCTTATGTAATTTTTAATAAAATTATTTATTTAAAGGAAATTTACCTGAATAGCAAAGAAAAATTTTCACTCAAAGGAAGTATTTAATACTAAGGCAACTATTAAACTCATAATATTTATTTTAATTTGAAAGAAAAACATAAAGGCATGTAAAATAAAAGCATCTAAATCTTGCAAGTCCTTCATACTATCACATAGGTAGTCTAACATATATCTCAACAAGGCAATAAACACTTTTCTTGAAAACTGATAATCCTGGGCCGGGCGCAGTGGCTCATGCCTGTAATCCCAACACTTTGGGAGGCCGAGGTGGGTGAATCACAAGGTCAGGAGATCGAGACCATCCTGGCAAACATGGTGAAACTCCGTCTCTACTAAAATACAAAAAAATTAGCCGGGCGTGGTGGCAGGCGCCTGTAGTCCCAGCTACTCTGGAGGCTGAGGCAGGAGAATGGCGTGAATCCGGGAGGCAGAGCTTGAAATGAGTCAAGATCACTGCACTCCAGCCTGGGCGACAGAGCCAGACTCCATCTCAAAAAACAAACAAACAAACAAACAAAACACACACACAAAAAAAAAAACAGAAAAAAAGAAAACTGATAATCTCTCAAATTAGTGAAGCTGGACCCTTACATTATACCATATATAAAAATTAACTCAAAATGGATCAAAGACCTAAATGTAAGAGCTAGAAAGCAAAAACATAAGGGAGAAAACTTCATGACACTGAATTTGGCAATGATTCCTTGGATATGACATCAAAGGTACAGGAAACCAAAGCAAAAAATACGAGAATATGCACGACAATTTTATCAAAGTTAAAAACTCCTGGCCGCATGCAGTGGCTCACACCTGTAATCCCAGCACTCTGGGAAGCTGAGGCAGGTGGATCACCTGAGGTCAGGAGTTCGAGACCAGCCTGGCCAACATGGTAAAACACCATCTCTATTAAAAACACAAAATTAGCCAGGCATGGTGGTGCATGTTTGTAATCCCAGCTACGTGGGAAGCTGAGGCAGGAGAACTGCTTGAACACCCAGGAGGCAGAGGCTGCAGTAAGCCGAGATTGTGTCACTGCAATCCAGCCTGGGCGACAGAGCGAGACTCTGTCTCGAAAAAAAGAAAGAAAGAAAATAATAAAAATTAGAAATAAAAATAAACACTCCTGTGAAGCTGGTGTGGTGGCACACACCTGTAGTCCCAGCTACTTGGGAGGCTGAGGTGGGAGGATCACCTGAGCCCAAGAGTTCGATGCCAGCTTGGGCAACACAGCAAGACCCCACTACTTAAAACAAAAAAACTTCTGTGTTGCAGGAGAAAATATTTCCAAATCATTTATCTGGTGAGGGCTTAATATCCATAATACATAAAGAACTCCTACAACTCAATAACAAAAAAAAAAAACCTGGTTAAAAAATCGACAAGGGATGTGAACAGACGTTTCTCCAAAGAAGATATATAAAGTGTCAATAAACACATAAAAAGATGCTCAACACCACTAATCATTAGGGAAATGCAAATTGGAACCACAATGACCTATCACTTCATATCCATTAGAATGGCTACCATAAAAAAAATGGTAATTGTTAGCCAGGTTGTGGAGAAATGGAACTCTTGTGCACTACTTGTGGGAATGTAAAATGGTGAAAACTCTATGGGAAACAGTATGGCAGTCCCTCAAAAAAAAACAAAAAACAAAAACACACACAGACAAAAACACACACAAAAAACACAGAGTTACTATATAATCCAGTGATTCCACTTATGGGTATACATCCAAAAGAACTGAAAGCAGTAACTGGAGTATTAATATATAAATGTTCATAACAATATTATTCACAATAGCCAGAAGGTAGAAGCAACTTAAGGTTTCCATGGATGGATGAATGGATCAACAAAATGTTTGGCTTTTGTGTATGTGTATGTGTATGTGTGTGTGTGTATGTATGTATGTATGTATGTATGTATGTATATATATATCCTGACTTCAGGTGATCCATCCGCCTCGGCCTCCCAAAGTGCTGGGGTTACAGGCAAGAGCCACCACGCCCAGCCTACTTACTTATTTATTTGAGATGGAGTCTCCCTCTGTTGCCCAGGCTGGAGTGCAGTGGCACAATCTTGGCTCACTGCAACCTCTGCCTCCCAGGTTCAAGCGATTCTCCCTAGTAGCTGGGACTACAGTCGCATGCTACCAGACTTGGCTAACGTTTTTGTATTTTTGGTAAAGACAGGATTTCACCATATTGGTCAGGCTGGTCTGGAACTCCTGACCTCAGGTGATCCATCCATCTCGGCCTCCCAAAGTGCTGGGATTATACGCGTGAGCCACTGCGCCTGGCCCTGCTTATTTGAGACAGGGTCTCACGGTCACTTAGGCTGGAATGCAGTGGTGTGATCACAGATCCCTGTAGCTTCAACCTCAACCTCCTGAGCTTAAGCGATCCTCCAACCTCAGCCTCCCAAGTAGCTGGGACTACAGACTCACGCCACCATGCCTGGCTAATTTTTGTATTTTTTGTAGAGATGGAGTTTCACCATGTTGCCCAGGCTGGTCTTGAACTCCTGGGCTCAAGCGATCCACCCACCTTGGCCTCCCAAAGTGCTGGGATTACAGCAGGCATGAGCCACGATGCCTGGCCTAGTAAATTTTATGCTGTGTACTTTACAAAAATTTTCTTAAAAAGTTTTAAGTAGGCCAGACACAGTGGCTCACGCCTATAATCCTAGCGCTTTGGGAGGCCAAGGCGGGCGGATCACGAGGTCAGGAGATTGAGACCATCCTGGCTAACACGGTGAAACCCTATCTCTACTAAAAATACAAAAAATTAGCCTGGAGTGGTGGCAGGTGCCTGTAGTCACAGCTGCTCAGGAGGCTGAGGTAGGAGAATGGCTGAGGCCAGGAGGCGGAGCTTACAGTCAGCCGAGATCGCGCCACTGCACTCCAGCCTGGGCCACAGAGTGAGACTCTTGTCTCGAAAAAAAAAAAAATTAATAAGTTCTTAGAGATTCAAAAATCCTTATTATAAATACTGTCTATTTCCTCTATTTGCACTGTCTTCCTATTGTGACGACACAATCTACTACAGACTCTAGATTACCATTTCAAGAATCAGAAACTTGAATGAAGAGGAGGTTAAAGAAAAAGAAATCAGCCGGGGGCAGTGGCTCATGCCTATAATCCTAGCACTTTGGGAAGTCAAAACAGGGGTATTGCTTGAGTACCAGCCAGCATGGGCAACATGGCAAGACCCATCTCTACAAAAAGTAATTTTAAAAAATTAGCCAGGCATGGTGGTGTGCACCTGTGATAAGCTGAGGTGGGAAGAATGCTTGGGGCCTGGAAGGTCAAGGCTGCAGTGAGCTGTGATCGTTGTCACTGCACTCCAGCCTAGGCGACAGAGAAAAACCATGTCTGGCAGGGGCAAAAGAAAAAAAGAGAAAAGAAAAAAAAAAAAAGGCAGTTTGCTCTCAAAACCCTCAAAATTGAAAAAAAATCTAGAGCTGCAAATTTAGATACAATTCATAACAATGTCAAAGAGAAAACGTTGTCACTTTTCTGCCTGATTGAATTTTCACAGAATGTGTGAACACGGCTCACTGCAGCCCTGACTTTCAAGGCTCAAGTGATTTTCTCACCTTAGACTACAGGCACGCAACACCATGCCCAGCTAATTTTAAAATTTTTTGTACAGACAGGGTCTTGCCATGTTGCCAGTGCTGGTCTCAAACACCTGGGCTCAAGCAATCCTCCTGCCTTGGCCTCCCAAATGCTAGGATTACAGGTTTGAGTCACTGCACACAGCCAGTTTTAATAATTAATTGTAAGAAAATTAGTTCAATAATTGAGGTCAGGCACGATGGCTCACGCCTGCAGTCTCAGCACTTTGGGAGGCTGAAGCAGGTAGATCGCTTGAGCCCAGGAGTTTAAGACCAGCCTGGGCAATGAGGTGAAACTCTGTCTCTACAAAAAATTAGCCAAGTGTGGTAGCACGTGACTGTAGTTACAGTTACTCAGAAGGCTGAGGTGGGAAGACCAATTGAGCCTGGAAGGTTGAGGCTGCAGTGAGCCACAGCACTCTAGTCTGGGTGGCAGAGTGAGATTCTGTCTCAAAAAATAAAAATAAAAATAAATATCCAAACAAAACCTATTGATATAGTTTGGATATTTGTCCTCTCCAAATCTCATGCTGCAATGTAATTCCCAGTGTTGGCGGTGGAGCCTGGGGAGAGGTGTTTGGATCCTGGGGGCAAATCGCTCATGAATGGCTTAGTGCCACCCCATTGGTGATGACTGAGTTCATGTGAGAGCTGGTTGTTTTAAGTGTTTTGGCTGGGCGTGGTGGCTCATGCCTGTAATCCCAGCACTTTGGGAGGTCAGGTGCACAGATGATCCGAGGTTGGGAGTTCGAGACCAGCCTGACCAACATGGAGAAACCCCGTCTCTACTAAAATTACAAAATTAGCTGGGTGTGGTGGCACATGCCTGTAATCCCAGCTACTTGGGAGGCTGAGGCAGGAGAATCACTTGCACCCGGGAGGTGGAGGTTGCAGTGAGCCAACATCGTGACATTGCACTCCAGCCCGGGTAACAAGAGCGAAACTCTGTCTCAAAGAAAAAAAAAAAAAGTGTTTTAAGGCTGGATGCAGTGGCTCATGCCTTTAACCCCAGCAATTTGGGAGGCCAAGGCGGGTGGATCACTTGAGCCCAGGAATTCCAGACCAGCCTGGCCAACATGGCAAAAGTCTATCTGTATTAAAAACACAAATATTAGCTGGGCATGGTGGCACGTGCCTGTAATCCCAGCTACTCAGGAGGCTGAGGCATGAGGGCACGAGAAGTGCTTAAACCCGGGAGGTGGAGGTTGCAGTGAGCCAAGATTGCACCATTGTACTCCAGCTTGGGCGACAGTCTCCAAAAAAAAAAAAAAAAAAAAAAAAAAAGTGTTTTTTGGCCGGGTGCGTGGCTCACGCCTGTAATCCCAACACTTTAGGAGGCCGAGGGCAGATCATGAGGTCAGGAGTTCGAGACCAGCCTGGCCAACACAGTGAAACACCATCTCACTAAAAATACAAAAACTAGCCAGGCGTGATAGCACGCACCTGTAGTCCCAGCTACTCAGGAGGATGAGGCAGGAGAATCGCTTGAACCCAGCAGGCGGAGGCTGCAGTGAGCCAAGATTGTGCCATTGCACACCAGCCTGCTCAACAGTGTGAGACTGTCTCAAACAAAGTGTTTTAAAAGTATGTGGCAACTTCCCTGCTCTCTGTTGCTTCCACTCTATTTTCTACCCTCATGATGTGAAACAGGCTCCTCTTTCATCTTCTGCTGTGATCATAAGCTCCCTGAGGCCTCACCAGAAATTGAGCTGATGTTGGCACCACACTTCCTATACAGCCTGAAGAATCAGAAGCCAAATGGAACCTCTTTTCCTTATAAATTACTCAGTTTCAGGTATTCCTTTATGGCAATGCAAAAACAGCCTACCACACCTATTTTTCTAACCCTAAATACTATAGACCAGGAGTAGGGGGTCAAGTCTGTAATCTTAGCACTTCAGGAGGCCAAGGTGGAAGGATCACTTGAGGCCAGGTGCTTGAGACCAGCTTGGGCAACATAGCAAGACCCCATCTCTACAATAAGTAAATAAATAAAATAAATTTCAAGATTTATTATTATTATTATTATTATTATTTTACTGAGATGGGAGTCTCGCTCTGTAGCCCAGGCTGCAGTGCAGTGAGGCGATCTCGGCTCACTGCAACCTCTGCCCCTCCAGGTTTAAGCGATTCTCTGCCTCAGCCTCCAGAGTAGCTAGGATTACAGGCGCATGCCACTACGCCCGGCTAATTTTTTATTTTTATTTTTAGTGGAGACGGGGTTTCACCATCTTGCCCAGGCTGGTCTTGAACTCCCAACCTCGTGATCCACCCACCTCGGCCTCCCAAACTGCTGGGATTATAGGCATCAGCCACCACATCCGGCCAGCAACCGGCCTAAAACTTTAAAAAAAAAAAATGAATACTATAGAAACTGTATCTTCGATAATATAAAGAAATGTGTGCAATTTTGGACTGCTCTAATCTAAATTCAGTAATGTGAAAAAGTATATAACTGAAAACATGCTTTTGTTCCATTTCTTCTTCTATTTACAAAGTAGTGATCAAATCTATATTGTACTGATATCTTTAGGATCAGTATATACAATCAACTTAAATCTATTATAACAAATCCTAACAGGCAAACAGGAATATGAAATTTCAAAATGTGTCAATCTTTATAATTTAGAAGATAATATGAATAAATCAGTACCTCATAAATCTATGTCCGGTAAATAAATTTTGCTCAAGTCTCAAATCAGTAAGACATAGTTAATGTGGCTATGTAAATATTCATATATTCATTCATAAGGACTCAGGCCTTACTATGTAGAATAATCATGTGAATTGTTCATACCGTTGACTAACTTTTCTGTTAAGGATCTTCCAACAGATCATCAATAATTAAACCACGTTCATTCAAAACACTAAATGCTACTTAAAGAGGATGGCAGCTTTTATACTAAAGATTTTATTTTTTAAAGAGATTGGGTTTCACTATGTTGTCAAGGCTGGGATGCAGTGGCTATTCACAGGTGTTATCTCACTATTGACTAGCACAGGAGTTTTGACCTGCTCTGTTTCCAACCTTGTCTGGTTCACGTCTCCTTAGGCAATCTGGTGGTCCTCTGTTCCTAAGAGGTCACCATACTTATGCCCAACTTAATGTGGACACCTGACTGGCATAGCACACTTCAGCCCAGACTTGCTGGTCTTAAGCAATCCTCTTGCCTCAGCCTCCTGAGTAGCTGGGACTACAGGTGTGCACCATTGTACCCAGCTGCTATAAATTTTTTTGTTAAAGTTTAAGCAAAGTTAAGATACCATGCAGCTGGATGAATTTTTATATCTGTATATATCCATGTAACCACCGCCTGGATAAAAATAGAGTATTTTTAGCATTACAAAGCCTCACTTCTGCTCCTCCTACTCACAACTCCTGCCCACCCTCACCACTATCGTATTTTTTTATTTGTTTTAATTTTTTTTAATTTTAATTTTTATTTTTTGAGACGGAGTCTCGCTGTAGCTAATTTTTTGTATTTTTAGTAGAGACGGGGTTTCACCGTGTTAGCCAGGATGGTCTCAATCTCCTGACCTCATGATCCGCCCGCCTCGGCCTCCCAAAGTGCTGGGATTACAGGCGTGAGCCACTGCGCTGGGCTATCGTATTTTTTATCACCATAAATTCTGGTTCATCTTCAATTTCATAAAAATTGAACCATACAGTATGTATTCTTTTGTGTCTGGCTTTTGTCACTCAACATGACTGAGTCTCATCCATGTTGTTTGTGTCAATGATAGGCTCTTTTTTACTGTTTATGTAGTGCTCCAGTGTGTGATCACAATGTATCAATTTTCTTGTTGATGAGACATCTAAGTTATTTCCCGTTGGGGCTATTAATAAATCTGCCATAAATATTCTTTTATACATGTCTTTTAAAAAGTAGGCATAGACACTAATTTCTTTTAGATATATACCTAGGAATGAAGCTGATAGGGCATACTGAAGGTGTATGTTTAGCTTTGGTAGATATTACTGGCTTTAAGTGGTTAAACCACATTATTTGTTTTTTTTTTTTTTTCTGTTTTTTTTTTTTTTTTGTGACAGAGTCTCGCTCTGTCACCCAGGCTGGAGTGCAGTGGCGCGATGTCGGCTCACTGCAACCTCTGCCTCCCAGGTTCAAGAGATTCTCCTGTCTCAGCCCCACGAGTAGCTGGGATTACAGGTGCCCACCACCCACGCCTGGCTAATTTTTGTATTTTTAGTAGAGATGGGGTTTCACCATGTTGGCCAGGCTGGTCTTGAACTCCTGACCTCAAGCAATCCACCTACCTTGGCCTCCCAAAGTGTTGGGATAACAGGCATGAGCCACCGTGCCCTGCCTGGTTAAGCCACATTCTTACCAGCAATGCATGAGGTATTTGTGTTTACAGGCATGTAGTAGTTATCTTATTGTGATTTTCATTTGCATTTCCCTGATGAGTAATGATGCTGAGCATACCTTATCGACCAGGCAGATATTCTGTGCCTGTTTGTGTCTTTTAGAAGGGCAGCGTCACTGAGTGAAATTTTTATGTGTTGCCATTTTCTTCCCCAGGTAAGTAGACACCATTAGTCATAGTAAGTGTCAGTGGAAAACATTAGAAAATAGTTTCCACACAGCACAAGTTGTGGAATTAAGAAATAAACCAGGGGCCGGGCACAGTGGCTCACGCCTGTCATTGCAGCACTCTGGGAGGCCGAGGCCAGTGGATCACCTGAGGTCAGGAGTTTGAGACCAGCCTGGCCAACACGGTGGAACCCTGTCTCTACTAAAAATAGAAAAAAATTAGCTGGGCGTGGTGGCACATGCCTGTAATGTAATCCCAGATACTTAGGAGGCCGAGGCAGGAGAACTGCTTGAGCCCGGGAGGCGGAGGTTGCAGTGAGCAGAGATGGCACCATTGCACTCCAGCCTGGGTGACAGAGCGAGACTTTGCCTCAAAAAAAAATAATAATAATAAACAAATATACTAAAATAAGTTAAATATTAATAAAGGTATATCATCACCCCTAGATGCATTAATAAAAGACCAAGATTAACCAATTATTTTCTAGTATGCCTGCTGAAAATTATTTATGTAATTCATTTTTCCTATGATTAAGACTCTGTATTTTTCTCTATCAAATTCCAGTTCTGAAACCTAAACATCCACATTTAAATATGGATATGCACTAAATGTCAATTATACCTCAGTAAAGCTCTGGGAATAAAGTAATGACTTCATGAATATCTAGTCTCACCTATTTTATCTAATGTGTCTTTGGTATATTCTAATATTTCAATTGTACAGATAAAAAACAAGATTATTCACCTGCCTTAGGAAAAGGGAATAGTTGATGTAAAAAATGTTTTGTTCCTGCACATCATATTAGGAGAAAATGTTTTGGTATAAAAATTCAACTTCTCTCTCTATATATACACACCATAATCTTTCAACTAGCTATATAGGAAGATAATTACAAGTAATAGTACTGTTGGCTTAACTCTGGGCAAAAAGAGAAGTCAATGGGAAGTTTTCATCTGCAAACTTTTTCTTTCTTTTTTTTTTTTATTTTTGAGATGGGGTCTCACTCCGTCGCCCAGGCTAGAGTGCAATGGCATGATCTCTGCTAACTGCAACTTCCGCCTCCCAGGTTCAAGCGATTCTCCTGCCTCAGCCTCCCAAGTAGCTGGGATTACAGGTATGCACCACCATGCCCAGCTAATTTATTTATTTTTGGTAGAGATGGGGTTTCACCATGTTGGCCAGGCTGGTCTCAAACTTCTGACCTCAAGCGATCTGCCCACTTCCGCCTTCTAAAGCGTTGGAATTACAGGCATGAGCCACTGCACGTGGCGGCAAGCTTTGTTTTCAAAGTTGTCATTCTGGGTGCTGGGAATAGCCTGAGTAGGTAAAAGCCAGAAGCAGGGAGGCAGACTAATGCAATCATGCAGGCTAGAGGTAATCCGTTTGGAAAAGTGTGGTAGTAAAGCTGCTGTTAAGATGTTGGGAGGTTTTGCCAATAGATCTGCAGACAGGGCATGGGGTACCAGAGAAAGAAATGCCAAGGATCATGATGTGATTTTGGCCTGAGAAAATGCAAGGACGTATTTGCCAATAACTTAGTTGGGGAAGACTATAGAAGCAGGTTTCAGGTTAGGAGACTATCAGTTCAGTTTATGTTTGATATGTTCGTTATATAGTCAAGTAAAGATGATAAGCAGGCAGCAGGATAGGAGTCTCAAGTTCAGGGAAGATAATTTGTGAGTTTGCAGTATGTAAAGGTGAAGTTATGATGAAATCAGATGAGCTTACCAAGGAAGTGAGTGCAGCTAGAAAGGAGCAGAAATCCAAGACTTATCCCTGAGGCATTCTAATACACAAAGATGCAAGGAACTGGTTAAGGAATCTGGGAGTGAGCATAGGAAAGGGAGAATAGAAAATCTAATGTCCTAGAAGCCAAGTGAAAACAGTACAATGTCTCTAATACTGCAAATATGTATTCATATCACTGAATCTTAGAGCTTTTAGAGGCCTTGGCGATAACCTAATGGATTAAAAACACTGACACTTAAGAAGTTCAATAAATTGGTAAAAGTCACAAATCAAAAGAGTAACAGAGAAGATAAAAAGTAAGTCTATTCCACACTGCTTTATGTTAGAAAGTCTTGATCTATATGGAATATAGAATATATTGAAATACAGATCAAGAAACCAGATCCCAAGAGATGATCTACTGAGGGACAGGATTTACTCAGATATACTACTGGAATAGAAAAAAAAAACAAAACAAAACCTGTAACTCTAGTCTGTTCATCCAGTTACTAAGTAAACCACTGGCCATACACTAAATACTGTCATTCCTATTTGATTTTCTTTCAGGTACCTTTTTTTCTCCCCTTTCTTAACAAATCAATCACATAGCTTAGGCCGGGTGTGGTGGCTCATGCCTGTAATCCCAACACTTTGGGAGGCTGAGGCAGGTGGATCACCTGAGCTCAGGAGTTTGAGACCAGCCTGGCCAACATGGTGAAACCTCATCTCTACTAAAAATACAAAAATTAGCTGGGCATGATGGCGCACGCCTGTAGTCCCAGCTACTCGGGAGGCTAAGGCAGGAGAATCGCTTGAACCCGGTAGGCAGAGGTTGCAGTGAGCCAAGATCGTGCCACTGCACTCCAGCCTGGGTGACAAGAGTGAAACTCTGTCTCAAAAAAAAAACAAAAAACAAAAAACAAAAAACAAAAAAAAAACACCCAAAAAAACATAGCTTAAAAATTCTAGTACCAAAAATAATATATAATCTTTAGAAGATTAGGCAGCCAGGCTGGGCCCATTAAACACAGTTTTGGCTCCAAGTCTTCTTACCAACTGCTGTTCTATTTTGTTCTGTTATACCTTCTCTTGTAAAAGAGTAAAATCAGAAGGAAAGGTCATAATAGACACTCACTTAATTGATTTTTTCTAGTTTTATGGTTTTCTCCCACTCCAATTACTTTTCATACCTTTGGTCTTAGTTTTTCCATCTATAAAATCATGTGCTAAATAATTAACTATCATCTTTATCATTGTCAGACTACACAAAGCTTCCAGCCTGGGCAACAGGAACCCTGTCTCTAAAAAAAATACAAACATTAGCCAGGTGTGGTGGTATGCGCCTGTATTCCCAGCTACTTGGGAGGCTGAGGTGGTAGGACTACTTGGGCTTTAGAGGTCAAGGCTGCAGTGAGCTGTGATTGCGCCACTGCACTCCAGCCTGGGCAACAGGGCAAGACCCTGTCTCAAAACAAACAAACAAAAACAAAAGCAAAGCTCTATTCTAAGGGAATTACATAAAGTAACTTATTTAATCCTCTGAGCTCTATGAAGTGGGTATCAACCCATTTTGCAGATGAGGACACTAAGGCACACAGACTTTAGGTAATTTGCTCATAACCATGCAGCTTGGTAAACTGGAGAGCCAAGATGTGAACCTGGTGGCTCCAGAGTAGGAACTCTTAAAACATTTAATGCTGTGCAGAGCAAATCAGACAAAAAAAGTGAAAGCACAATACCGCTATCCAAATGAAGACATCACCTACAAAGGTGCTCCTTGTTAGAATTCATAAACCAAAATCTTAACTGTGCTCAATTAACACAACCTGCAACAATTTTGTAACTTACATTCCATCTAAGGGGGATATGACTACTTCAATACTTACTTTCTACTTTTTTAGTCTTTCACAAATATCTTCTTAAGATAGCAAAGAATCAAATTTACCAAAATAACAAATGAAATCCAAGGCTTTTCAAAGTGTAAAGCTAGCATCTAACATTATCTAACAAGTTTCTATTTAAATATGGATTGTGATCTCAATTATAATGCATTTTCAGTTATGCACTTAAGAGACTTTTAAAGTTACTGCCCAAACAAGATAAAGTATAATATATGTTTTGAGGCAATTACACATTTAACACTCTTACAGTCTTGGTATTCATATGAGAAGGAGAGAAGGTGAATTCAAAATCTCTTACCATTGATCTTTCAGGATATCCAAACAAATAGCCCCTGTGACGGAACTAATATTAGGATGCCATATTTTAGTGATAAACCGGACCTAGAATATAAAGCACACTTGAGTTTTTCAGTAACAGAAATAAAACAGTTTAAGTAGAACTACAAGAAAATGAAATCTTCAAACTAAAAAAAGAAAGGTCCCTATATCTATTACATCATTTTGCCTAGGTGAAAGAAGGGGTGTAGAAGACAAAGGATCCAGTAAGCTGAATGTTGTCACTAACATATGTTGTTTTCAAACTCTTTAATAAATGTTCCGCCTTTAAACAAACCCAACAATTACTAGGAGCTTACAATTTACCTAGAATAATGGTAGATGCTATGAGAATACAACAGAGAATAAAATCCATTTTGGTAAATAAAATAGTACATAAAATAAAAACATAAATAGTAAATGGCACTTTTCTTCATGTGAGGCAGGGTGCAGAATAGGTTTGAGGAAAAAAGTAAGTAAAACCAGTGAATGGAAGCACAAATAGTAAGTGGCTGTGCTTCTCTTAATTTTTCTGTAGAATTTTTTCTCAAATTCTTATTATTGAAATGCCTATTATGATGTAGCAAACACTGAGGAGATACTAAGGCTTAGAGTTTAAGAAATCTAATTAAATAGCTAAACAGAGCACAATGTAAACTCCCACAATCTGATTCCAGATTCTGAGTCCAATCATCTCATTATTTGTCTCATTATGGAAGAATAACAAACCAACAAGTGAAAATGCTAAAACTCTAGGGGAACACCATGAAATTAAAGA
This sequence comes from Homo sapiens, assembly GCF_000001405.40. NCBI lineage: Eukaryota > Metazoa > Chordata > Mammalia > Primates > Hominidae > Homo > Homo sapiens. The sequence continues at coordinate 39,754,944 of NC_000004.12, read as the reverse complement.
GTTCATCAGCTCTTACTCATGAACTTTTGGAGGATCTTGTATTCCTATCTCTGACACATATGACAATGACCAGCTGAGCCCATATTCTTTGACACTTAGTAGATTAATTACTATGTGCCAATTAATGTTCTAAGAACTTCACAAAAATTAGCACTCACACACTGTAATCTCAACATTTTGGGAGGCTGAGGCGGGAGGATCACTTTAGCCCAAGAGTTTGAGACCAGCCTGGGCAACATAGTGAGACCATGTCTCTACAAATAAAAAAATTAGCTGGGCATGGTGGCACACACCTGTACTCCCAGCTACTAGGGAGCTGAGGCATGAGGATTACTTGAATCTGAAAGGTTGAGCTGCAGCAAGCCGTGATCGTGCCACTGTACTACAGCCTGGGCAACAGAACACGACCAACTGGAAAAAAACGGACTCTTTAATATATGCTCCTAAGCTATTTATGGAAAGAAGCTAAGAGTTTCCACTTCTCTCTTCTCTTTGTGACTTCTTGATTTGTTTACACTACCTATTTCTACTTCCTTACCTCCTGCTAACTCATATTCAATCTAAAAAGGCACTTTAATTCGCCAATGACTTTAAAATACCGAAAATAAGATACTTTCCATTCCTTCATTCTTGCTATGCTTGATTCTTTTCAGTCTTAATAATCTTACTACTTTCAAAGATACCTACTTCTCTCCATCCACCTTCTCATTAAAGGAGACAATCATTCATCATCTAGGTTACTACACAGTCTCCTGACTTTACTGCCTTCCCTTCTGTTCCCTCCAATTTATTTTCCGCACCAAAACTAAAGAGAGCCCTTTAAAACAAATCTGATTTGCATCACTATGCTGCTTTAAGGACCATTAATGACCTCTCATTCCCTTCATGTGGGCCCACTCTCTCTCTCTTTTTTTTTGAGAAGGAGTCTCGCGCTGTCGCTCAGGCTGGAGTCTGGAGTGCAGTGGCGCGATCTTGGAGCGCCAACATGGCAAGATGGGGTTTCGCCATGTTGGCCAGGCTGGTCTCAAACTCCTGACCTCAGGTGATCCACCCGCCTCGGCCTCCCTAAGTGCTGGGATTAGAGGCATGGAGCCATCATGCCCGGCCAAGCCCACACTCTTAACCTGGCCTTAGACTACTCCTGAAATCTCAATTTTTACCTCTATCCCACACTCCACTCTCCTGCTCAAAAAGTCATATTAAACTTTTCCCCTGTTCTGGGCCTTCATACATATTTGTTTTCTCAATAACATACCTCTGTGCCCTCTTCTCCCAACTAATTCCTACTCTTCAAGTTTCACTTTCCATATCACTTCTTCCTGATCTATTCCACACACCTGCAGTTTCCTTTGTCATAGTATATTAATTACACTTCTGTGATTTCTGCCTTGTTTGTCCGGTCTTCCCTAAAAGACACTGTATCCATCCTACTTAATAAAGCATCTCCAGATGTAAGCGACTCACATGGAATGAATGTGCACTTAATATTACGGCAAAAATGTTATTATAAGGCTAAATATCAAATACAATGCAAGCTAAGTAAGACAGTAATATAGGGCTTATGTACAACAAACATTTCTCCCTTTTTTCCCCCCCAGAGAAGGTCTCACTGCTGTGGCTCACTGCAACCTCAACTTCCCAGACTCAGGTGATCCATCTTAAAAGTAGCTGTGACTATAGGCACACACCACCACACCCAGCCAATTCTTTTATTTCTAATAGTGTTGGGGGTTTCACCATATTACCCAGGCTGGTCTTGAACTCCTGGGCTTAAGAGATCCACCCGACATAGGCTCCCAAAGTACTAGGATTATAGGCGTGAGCCACTGAGCCCACATCAAACATTGCTTTGTAAGAGATATAACCACACATTTCACATCTTAATACAGGTTGAGTATTTCTTTTTCTTTCTTTCTGTTTTTTGGAGACAGGGTCTCACTCCCGTTGCCCAGGCTGGAGTGGAGTGGTGCGATCATGGCTCACTGCAGTCCTAACCTTCTGGGCTCAGGCAATCCTCCCCTCTCGGCCTCCCAAACTGCTGGGATTACAGGCATGAGTGGGCCACAGTGCTTGGCCCATGCTGAGTATTTCTTATCTGAAAATCTGAAATCCAAAATGCTCCAACGAGCATTTTCTTTGAGTGACATGTAAACACTCAAAAAGTTTCAGATTTTGGAGCATTTCAAATCTCGGATTTTTGAATTTTGAATAATCAACCTCTATTTACTATTGAGTTCAATTCATAAACAAGCATATGCCATAATGTCAGAACTCAAGGAATTCACAGCATTTTATAACTTTAAAATGGTGGCTGGGCGCAGTGGCTCATGCCTGTAATCCCAGCACTTTGGGAGGGCGAGGCAGGTGGATCACAAGGTCAGGAGATTGAGACCATCCTGGCTAACACGGTGAAACCCCGTCTCTACTAAAAATACAAAAAATTAGCCGGGCGCGGTGGCGGGCGCCTGTAGTCCCAGCTACTCGGGAGGCTGAGGCAGGAGAATGGCGTGAACCTGGGAAGCGGAGCTTGCAGTGAGCCGAGATTGTGCCACTGCACTCCAGCCTGGGCGACAGAGCCAGACGCCGTCTCAAAAAAAAAAAAAAAAAAAGAAAAAAAAAGAAAAAAAAAAAAATTAGCCAGGCGTGATGGCGGGCGCCTGTAGTCCCAGCTACTGCAGTCCCAACTACTCGGATGGCTGAGGCAGGAGAATGGCGTAAAGGGAGATGGAGCTTGCAGTGAGCTGAGATCGTGCCACTGCACTCCAGCCTGGGGGACAGAGCGAGACTCCGTCTCAAAAACAAAACAAAACAAACACATACAAAAAACCCCATGTGGTTTAGTATTTTCAACAAGATTAGAAAATATAATTTTAAAACACTATTGAAGATGTCAGAAGGATTACGGTTCAGTCAAGTGAGCTGAAGATATGTGAAGTGTATTTTGCCTTTTGTTTTAATCTTATTTTTTTACTTTTATTGAGACAGAGTCTCACTTGGTTGCCTGGGCTGGAGTGCGGTGGTGCGATCTCGGTTCACTGCAACCTCTGTCTCCCGGGCCGAAGTGACTCTCCCGCCTCAGTCTCCCCAGTAGCTGGGACTACGTGTGTGCGCCACCACACCCGACTAATTTTTCTATTTTTTAGTAGTGACAGGGTTTCACCATGTTGGCCAGGCTGGTCTGGAATTCCCAGTGATCCGCCCGCCTCAGCCTCCCAAAATGCTAGGATTACAGGCATGAGCCACTGCGCGTGGCCTTTTTTATTTATTTTTGAGACAGGGTCTTACTCTGTCACCTTGGCTGAAGTGCAGTGGCGCAATCTCGGCTCACTGCATCCTCGAGCTCCTGAGCTCAATTCTTCTGCCTCAGCCTCCTGAGTAGTTGGGACTACAGGCGTGCGCCATCACTCCTGGCTAATTTTCATATTTTTTGTGGACACAAGAACAGGGTTTCACCATGTTGCTTAGGCTTTTCTCGAACTCTTGGGCTCAAGTGATCCACCCACCTCAGCCTCCCACAGTGCTAGGATTACAGGTGTGAGCAAAAAGCAGGATATGGCGTTCAGCACTGCTTTTTAAAGAAGGGTCTTCTATACAGAATTCTCTGTAGATACATAGGAAAAAAGCCAAGACCCAATTAAATTACTGAACTAATTCTTACTTTGTACTATAATCTATAGTTAGAAATAAATAATTTTGAATTTGGGCTGGGAATGGTGGCTCATGTCTATAATCCTAGCAGTTTGGGAAGCCAAGGCAGGTGGGCTGCTTAAGCTCAGGAGTTCGAGACCAGCCTGGGCAACATGGTGAGACCCCGTCCCTATTTGAAAAAAAAAAACAAGAAGAAAAGAAAAAAGAATTTTGAATTTGCAGATGATCCAATAAAGAATTTAATCTTCAGGGGCCAGGCGTGGTGGCTCATACCTGTAATCCCAATACTTCAGGAGGCTGAGGTGGGTGAAATCACTTGGACCCAGGAGTTCGAGAGCAGCCTGGGCAACAAGGTGAAACCCCATCTCTACAAAATACAAAAAAATTAGTCAGGCATGGTGGGGTATGCCTGTAGTCCAAGCTACTCGAAGGCTGAGGTGAGAGGATCGCTTGAGCCCAGGAGGCAGAGGTTGCAGTGAGCCATGATCATGCCACTGTACTCCAGCCTGGGCAACACAGCAAGACCCTGTCTCAAAAAATAAAATAAAATAAAAATTTTGTAAAAAAAAAAAAAAAGAATTTAATCTTCAAGATTATCTCCGTGGCCCAGCACAGTGAATCAAGCACGTAATCTCAACAATTTGGGAGGCCAAGGTGGGAAGACTGTTTGAGGCTATGAGTTTGAGACCAGCCTGGGCAATGTAGCAAGACCCTGTATCTATTAAGAATATAATAATAATGTCTCCTTATTTTTATATACAAAACTAGTAGTAGCGTTGTCTGGGAACTTCAGAACACTCACTAGCTTTGGGAAGCACTCAATGAATAAAAACGGAAATCTGAACACTATGTAACAACAGATTCTCAATGTTCCCAGACAGAAATGAAGGAAACTATTCTTAAATTATCAATATTGGCATAGCATCAACGGTTCTTATCTCTTCCTACAGGATGCACTGTAAATTTCATTCACTCTTTAGTTTAACACTTCAGCTCCCACTTCATTGTAGATGTGAGTTCATATTTCCATCTGTAACTTCCAGTTTTAAGACCTGAAGATATGTGAAGTGTGTTTCTTGCTTTTTTTTGTTTTTGTTTTTTTTGAGATGGAGTCTCACTCTGTCGTCCAGGCTGGAGTGCAGTGGTGCGATCTTAGCTTACTGCAACCTCCGCCTCTTGGGTTCAAGCGATTCTCCTGCCTCAGCCTTCTGAGTAGCTGGGATTACAGGCACGTGCCACTACACCTGGCTAATTATTTTTAGTAGAGATGGGGTTTCACCATGTCGGCCAGGCTAGTCTTGAACTCCTGACCTCTGGTGATCCACCCACCTCGGCCTCCCAGAGTCCTGGGATTACAGGCGTGAGCCACCGCGCCTGGCCGTATCTTATTTTTATTTATTTTTGAGACAGGGTCTCAAAGCATATTATATTATTAAGCCAGCTTTAACTCCCTTATCATACAAAAGAAAATGCTATTTTGAATATGCATGTACAGATGAGCATACGCTCATTAAAGATTATTAGCATTGGTATGTATATACAACTTAACATGTAAAAAGTATGATGATAACACCAAAGAAAAAGAGCAAAATTCACAACTTAATTTCTTTTTTTTTTTGAGACAGAGTCTTACTCTCTTGTCCAGGCTGCAGTGCAGTGGCATGATCTCGGCTCACTGCAACCTCTGCCTGCCAGGTTCAAGCAATTCTTGTGCCTTAGCCTCCTGAGTAGCTGAGACTACAGGCGCATGCCACCATACCAGACTAGTATTTTTTGTTTTGTTTTGTTTAGTTTTTGGCATTTTTAGTAGAGACAGGTTTTTGCCATTTGGTCATGAACTTCTGAGCTCAAGCCATCTGCCTGCCCCCTGCCTCCCTAGGTGCTGGGATTACAGGCGAGCAAACCACCGCATCCAGCCTGCTCTATTCAAGCAGGATACACCACTGGACTATATTTTTACTAATGATTTTTTCACTAACACAATATACATTGCAATTTAATGCTAGAAATCATATTGGTTGTATGCATTTAATCAAATTCCTTCTACACTATTATCACCTGATTCAAAGATATATTTTCTCTGTTTTAGAAGTAAGCCTACTCTTCCGGTCAATAATTTATTGCATAATAATAAACACAAAACATTCTGTGACCATGGTAAGACAAATGTGAATTTTTCATCTTTTCTCAAATTTTAGCTGCACAGTAGTAATGAGAATATAACCAGCTACCTTGATAATTTTACCTCATAAGACTTAAAATTAAGCCTGAGTCCAAACACATGTGAACACACAATTCAGCAAGAAATTTACATAAATATTCCCCATTCTTCTCATTTTATTTACCAATCAGTAAAAATTCAAATCAACGTAGTATACATCTAGAACATATTTATCATGTTCATTAACATTTACTGCAAGAGCGTAATGCCACAAGTAGGGTATATAACATTTTCTTGTTTGTTCTTTATTTTTTTTTGTTATTTAAAAAAATTTTATTTCATATATACCGTATTTAAAGAACACTAAACTGCAACTATGACTAATTGGTTGAGGTCACAGTAATACAAATTGGGGTTGAACCTAAGAAGATGTTTCTAAATGTCAAAGCTACCTCCAAACGGAACAGCTAGAATTAGAGATGTAGAGGCTTTTCTTTTTCTTTTTTTTTTTTTTTGGGACTAGAGACAGGGCCTTGCTATGTTGTCCAGGCTGAACTCAAACTCCCGAGCTCAAACGCTTCTCCTGCCTTGACTTCCTAAAGTGCTGGGATTATAGGCGTGAGCCACCATGCCTGGCCAGGTAACAGTGGCTTCAATAGCAAGATGAGGTAGTAGCAAAAACATCAGACATACTTCAGTTATTATGTTTTGAGTCTATTTTTCTCGCTTTAATAAAACAAGGGAGTGGATGTGGTGGTTCACGCCTGTAATCCCAGCACTTTGGGAGGCCAAGGTGGAGGGATCACTTGACCCCAGGAGTTAAAGGCTGCACTAAGCTATGACTGTGCATGCCACTAAACTCCAGACTGAGCAACAGAGTAAGACCCTGTCTCTAAAAAAAAGTGGGGATGAGGTGGGAGAGATTTAATAAAATATTTATTTCAAAAATTAAATGAAGTTACAGGTTGAACTGCCTAAAACAGAGCCACAACTATGCAATTACTTTGAAGCTATTATACACTATAAAGGCTACACCTTTACTGAGACATAATTCACCCACTTAATGTGTATGACTTCCTTTTCTTTTCTTTTTTTCAGATGGAGTCAGTAGTTCAAGACCAGCCTGGCCAACATGGTGAAATGCCATCTCTACTAAAAATACAAAAATTAGCTGGGCTTGGTGGCGGGTGCCTGTAATCCCAGCTACTCAGGAGGCTGAGGCAGGAGAATTGCTTGAACCCAGGAGACAGAGGTTGCAGTGAGCCGAGACCGCGCCACTGTACTCCAGCCTGGGCGGCAGAGCGAGACTCCATCTCAAAAAAAAAAAAAAGAAAACAACAACAACAACAAAATTAGCCGGGCGAGGTAGCAGACGCCTGTAGTCCCAGCTACTTGGGAGGCTGAGGCAGTAGAATGGCGTGAACCCAGGAGGCAGAGCTTGCAGTGAGCTGAGATTGTGCCACTGCACTCCTGCCTGGGAGACAGAGCAAGACTCCATCTCAAAAAAACAAAAAACAAACAAACAAAATCCAAATATCCATTAACAGCTGAATAAGAAAACAAAATATGGTCTATACTTATAATGGAGTATTATTCAGCCTTAAAAACAAAGAAATTCTGACACATGCTTTAACATGAATGAACCTTGATGACATTATGCTAGGTGATATAAGCCAGACACAAAATGACATTTTATGATTCCACTTACATGAGGTTTCTGAATTAATCAAACTCGGAGAAACAGAAACAGTGGTTACCAGAAGCTGGGAGCGGGGAATAATGGGGAGTTATTGCTTAATGGGTACGAAGTTTCAGTTTGGGAAGGTGAGAAAGTTCTACAGACAGATAATGGTAAAGGTTAAACAACAAGGTAAATACACTGCCACTGAACTGCACACATAAAAATGATTACAATGGTAAATTTTATGTCATGCATATTTTATCACAATAAAAAAATCGACCAGACTTATCAGAAAATAGATGTACATAAACAATAGACTAATAGGCAGCCCATAATGCTAAGTGAGCCAAAATCACCCTGGAACTTCCATTATCATATCTATTCTTAAACTGGAACAACCAATAGGTTGAATGAACAAATTCTAGAACATTCTGAGTGACTGCTATCATATGCCCAAGGGACACTATACTATTGGGAATTACTGATAATATATAGGTGTAAAAGACCTATATGACTCAGGAGCATAAAAGCTAGAGAAAGATACATATCCAAAATAATACATGAGTTGGAACTATATTTGTGTTGCCACTATATAAATTGTATAAAATGCTACTGAGAGAGGAGAGGGAGAAACATTTGATGAACTCAGCTTAATGAAGAAAGTGATACTCGGGCCTCATAGAAAACTAGAATTTTAAATAATAGGGACAAAGATTTAAGTGAAACTGATAGAAAGCTGTGGAAGAATAAGCATCACCTACAAATAAACAATCTAAGATGGAAAATGAGACCCACATTGTGGGTGGAAGTGGTAGAAGATTAGAGTGGGAAACAAGACTGGGGTCAGGTTCTAGGTTTCAAGTGCCAAGCCATGGAGTTTAGACTTTATTCAGGGAAAGAAAAGCAGCATGATCAAAACTGAACTCTAGGAAGATTTCTAGACCAACAGTGCAGAGAATGAGTAGAAATGGAAAAGATGGAAGGGTGATTAAATAATAGACAAAACAGGGAATAAAGTTGAATGCCTAAAGTGCTGATGACAGTAAAAGCAGAGACATAAAGAAAGTGGTTCAATCCAAAAATAAGTTTAGGTTGGGTCCCCCTGTTATACATGATCTTAGGGTATTCCATACTCCCTTTCAACATTTATCACAGTTGCAATTCCATGCTCAGTTTTTTTTCCCCACTATAATGTGAGCTCTATGAAAGCAGGAACAGTATAAGTCTTAGTTACTGCTATAGTTCTTGGCACAAAGTACTCAAATAATGACTGAATGTAGAAGGTACTCTCCTAAAACACATACTTCTTTGAGTCAAGTAAGAACCTCTGTCTATGTGTAAAAGGGCTCTCTAAATTTGGGAACACTGCCACGTATTTCTAGATCTAGTATATGAGCCATTGTCAGATGTACATCCTATTCCAGTTTTGAGCCATTACTGGCTGCCTTTGGGTGAGTTTGCTTTTCATTCTAATTTCAGAAGCCAGCCACCTGCCATTATCTAAAATCCTGTCCACATCAAGTTTACACAGTAAGCAATTCATAAAGCTGTGACTTTAATAAGCCCTAAAATATATATTAATAAAATGAGGTCAGAAATATAAAATATTTTGTAACTTCATGCACAAAAATAGGCTTACAATACCTTAGGGGGATTAAATGGGTATGTTTCTGGTATTTTTATCTCTAGTTGGTATCTTCCTCCTAAAAAAATGGGGAAAACAAAGTTAAGAATGCTGCTCAATTCAAATATATAAGACAAATATACTGATGAGCTTTTCAGAGCAGCTATTTTATATTCAATTATAAAAATTCATTTTAAAGTTGAAATCCAGAAAGAAAGTAATCAAAAGCACTAGTTTTTAATTTAAAGGTTGTTTAAAGCATACAGAATATCCATTTCATACAACTGTATTAGTTTATCAGTGAGTAACAAGGCCAGAGATAAATACATTTAATCCAGACAATGCAATGCCAACATTTCATCAGGACAATTAACTATTGGAGTTTTAATCTCCACTGTGTCCTCTAATCCATCCTGTTAAGAATTGCTAAATAACAACAACAACAAAAGGGTCAGAAAAAAAAAAGAAGGCAAGGAGGTATAAAAGTACAGATGATACAAAGGACAGAGATTATGCCATAAACAAAATTCTACTTCTAGCTGGTTCTCGCAAATGAAATAAGGTCCCAATCTTTTCATTTGTGCCCTAAATTAAATGTCAATACTTATTTGTTAATATTTGTGCAATTAAACTGCAATTACTTTTGCACTAGCCTAATAAAAACAAGCTGGGTCCATGGCTAATGCCTTGTAATCCCAACACTTTGGGAGGCCGAGGTGGGAGGACTGCTTAAAGCTAGGCCAGGAGTTTGAGTAGAGCCTGCTCAATATAGCAAGTCCTTGTCTCTATTTTAATATAAAAAACTTTAAATATATTTTTTATTTTTTAAGCAAAATTCAACAAGAGAGATAGACATAAAGACAAACTATTCCTTCATTTATTTATTTATTTATTTATTTTATTTAATTTATTTTTTTTTTTTTTGAGACAGAGTCTCGCTCTGTTGCCCAGGCCGGAGTGCAGTGGCGTGATCTCGGCTCACTTCAAGCTCCACCTCCCGGGTTCACGCCATTCTCCTGCCTCAGCCTCCCAAGTAGCTGAGACTACAGGCGCCCATCACCACGCCTGGCTAATTTTTTTGTGTTTTTAGTACAGACAGGGTTTCACCATGTTAGCCAGGATGGTCTCGATCTCCTGACCTCGTGATCCACCTGCCTCAACCTCCCAAAGTGCTGGGATCACAGGCGTGAGCCACTGTGCCCAGCCCAAATTATTCCTTTAAATGGGTATATAAAATGCAAAATTTTACCAAGGAGCTTTTCTAACCAGTAATATACAAACAGAAGGCAACTTTTTGTTTCGTTTTGAAGTTATCTTGAGCAACTAGCAGCTATACAGCATTTTTAAAAAGCTTATCTAGGCTCGGCGCGGTGGCTCATGCCTGTAATACCAGCACTTTGGGAGGCTGAGGCAGGTGGATCACGAGGTCAGGAGATCGAGACCATCCTGGCTAACATGGTGAAACCCCGTCTCTACTAAAAACACAAAAAATTAGCTGGGCATGGTGGCGGACGCCTGTAGCCCCAGCTACTCAGGAGGCTGAGGCAGAAGAATGGCGTGAACCTGGGAGGCGGAGCTTGCAGTGAGCCCAGATTGTGCCACTTCACAATCTAGCTTCTCACAACTGGGGTACTCAAGGAAAGGATAACTGCCTCTTAAGAAACTCTGGGCTGCGTGCAATGGCTCATGCCTGTAATCCCAGCACTTTGGGAGGCTGAGGTGGGCAGATCACTTGACGCCAGAAGTTCAAGACTAGCCTGGCAAACATGGCGAAACCCCACCTCTACCTAAAATACAAAAATTAGCCGGGTATTGTGGCATGTGCCTACGATCCCAGCTACTCAGGAGGTTGAGGCACAAGAATCGCTTGAACCCAGGAGGTGGATATTGCAATGAGCCAAGTTCGCACCACTGCACTCCAGCCTACGTGACAGAGCAAGAATCTATCTCAAATAAACAGAAAAGAGAAAAAAGAAAAGAAAACACTGAAGGGGTAAGTCTTACACTGGATGAGAGGCTGGATTCAACTCTTAACTCTAAGATTAATAACATAGAATACTATTACAAAATATAGTAAATAAAACTGTTCTATTGAAATATTTATTTATAAGACTATGAGATTTTGTTTCAAGATAATCAAAGAATAAATTAGATCACAGATGGCCGTGAGCTGATAGTTATTAAAGCTGGCTGAAGAGGTTTCATTATATTCTTTTTTTTTTTTTTTGAGACGGAGTCTCGCTCTGTCGCCCAGGCTGGAGTGCAGTGGCGGGATCTCGGCTCACTGCAAGCTCCGCCTCCCGGGTTCACGCCATTCTCCTGCCTCAGCCTCCCGATTAGCTGGGACTACAGGCGCCCGTCACCACGCCCGACTAATTTTTTTGTATTTTTAGTAGAGACAGGGTTTCACCGTGTTAGCCAGGATGGTCTCAATCTCCTGACCTTGTGATCCACCCGCCTCGGCCTCCCAAAGAGCTGGGATTACAGGCATGAGCCACTGCGCCTGGCCTATTCTTCTTTTTTATATATCTGAAATTCCCTGTAATAAAAAGTAAAATAAAAAACTGTGTGCTAGGAACATTATCTTCAAAATTCTATACACTCAGCTCTTCAAAAAGTCAAACAAGAGACTTTCTTCAGTATATTCTAGACTCTCTCAAATGTATCTCCTCACTCCTCCATTGTTATGAATGGATGGATGACTATGAATCTGAGGAAAAAATAAAAGTGGTACTATTTTCTTCAAGCCCTTTTTGTTTCGAATCCTTCTCTTTTTTTTTTTTTCCTGAGACAGGGTCGTTCTGTTGCCCAGGCTGGAGTGCAGAGGCACAATCTTGGCTCACTGCAACCTCCACCTTTCAGGTTCCAGCAAATCTTGTGCCTCAGTCTCCTGAGTAACTGGGTTTACAGGTGCCCACCACAATGCCCAGCTAATTTTTGTATTTTTAGTAGAGATGAGGTTTCACCATGTTGGTCAGGCTGGGCTTGAACTTCTGGCCTCAGGTGATCCGCCTGCCTCAGCCTCCCAAAGTGCTGGGATTACAGGCATAAGCCATTGCGCCTGGCCTCTCTTCTGGCTACTTTTTATTTGAGGCGGATTCTCACTCTGTTGCCCAGACTGGAGTGCAATGGTGCGATCTCGGCTGACTGCAACCTTCACCTCCCAGTTCCAGCAATTCTCCTACCTCAGCCTCCTGGGTAGCTGGGACTACAGGTGCGCGCCACCATGCCTGGCTAATTTTTTAATTTTTTTTTAAGTAGAGACAGGGTCTCAGCATGCTGGCTAAGCTGGTCTCAAACTCCTGACCTCAAATAATCTACCCGCCTCAGCCTCCCAAAGTAATGGGATTACAGGCATGAGCCGTTATGCCTCGTGGCTAGTTCTTTTTAATAGAATCCCATAGTGATTCATGCATGAGTTGAACTAAATGCCTGAATCACAGAACATATAACAATAATGAAATTTAAAGAAAAGTAGTGGAAAGAAAAAAAAAACTGACAGGTAAGAGAAGGGTACCTGAAGAAATTTTGTGACAATAACTGTCTATACCCAGAATTAGAAATGCCAGCTTCAAATATAGTTATAATAAATTTGGCTTCAGCACTACATAGGCTTTTCTTTTTCCTTCCTAAGAATTTTTTTTTTCTGATTAAACTCCAGATTAAACCATCTCTATAACCCATCATACAAAGTTCTTTGTTAATGGCCAAAATAATCTCTTAGGAGCAGTGTGAGGGCCCACAGATATTATATAAATAATGCTGGACTCGAGAGTCTCTAAAATCTTATTTCTATCCCTTATGTTACACGCTCTGACAACTTTCAATATATGACCACTTAGCATTAATCATAGCATTATTTGATCAGGGTAATACAACTAAGGAATCCTTATGATAACTATATTATTCATATTATAATAGTTTTTACTTTAAAACATTAACTTCTTGAAGAATAGCTTTTAATATTAAAAATTAACAATCTTTAAATTTAACTTAACCCAAAGAGGAGATGAGGAAGGAATGAGAATTTTTAAGCTGTCAACAATGATTCCATAAACCTAAAAGAAATTTTAGGAAGAAAAGCTCAAGAACTAAACTGTTCCTTTGTCATTGAATTATTAAGGCAAAAGAAGTGAAGAAAATTGAGTTAAGTAACATCCACAATATGGCATTTTCCCGTGAGTACTCTACTTCACAATCTGATTCTTTAAATACTACAAAAACAGCTGCCTCATTACTTAATAATGGTTATAAATTGCTTAACATTCCACATGTAAACTTTTGCTTTAGCATTTAAGTTTAGATTTTTAAAAACTCAAAAAACTGCAACATCCTTGCAATAAACATTTAACCTATCGTCACATTTAAAAGAAAAAGCATTAAAGTTTATGTCCTTGAATGGTGTTTTCCTTAACAAAATGAACTTCTCTCAATAGTTTTATATAAAATAACAGAATTCAAGTTACTCTACCTCAAATATATAAAAAGCATATTAAATCTAATCTTATCAAAATATTCATTTAGCAGCAGCAGCAGCAGAAATAAGCACTTTTTTTTTTTGAGATGCAGTCTCCCTCTGTCGCCCAGGCTGGAGTGCAGTGGTGCGATCTCAGCTCACTGCAACCTCCGTCTCATGGATTCAAGGGATTCTCCTGCCTCAGCCTCCTGAGTAGCTGGGATTATAGGCGCACGCCACCACACCCAGCTAATTTTTGTATTTTTAGTAGAGATGGAGTTTCACCACGTTGGTCAGGCTGGTCTTGAACTCCTGACCTCGTGATCCACCTGCTTCAGCCTCCCAAAGTGCTGGGATTACAGGCATCAGCCACCCCGCCCAGGCAGATATAAGCACTTTTAAATGACCAAACTTTTGGTCCCATTCTCGGTATCGGGAAAAAGAAAAGAAAAAAAATGACCAAACTTGTTTCTAACCAATAAAGAATATATCTTTTTTTTTTTTTTTTTTTTGAGACGGAGTCTTGCTCTGTTGCCCAGGCTGGAGTGCAATGGCACAATCTCGGCTCACTGCAAGCTCCGCCTCCCGGGTTCACACCATTCTCCTGCCTCAGCCTCCCAAGTAGCTGGGACTACAGGCGCCCACCATCACGCCTGGCTAATTTTTTTGTATTTTTAGTAGAGACGGGGTTTCATCGTGTTAGCCAGGACGGTCTCGATCTCCTGACCTCGTGATCTGCCCGCCTCAGCCTCCCAAAGTGCTGGGATTACAGGTGTGAGCCACCGCACTCGGCCATAAGAATATATCTTAATGTATCTTTTTTTTTTTCTTTTTGGGACAGAGTCTCGCTGTCGCCCAGGCTGGAGTGCAGCAGCGCGATCTGGGCTCACTGAAGGCTCCGCCTCCCGGGGTTCACGCCATTCTCCTGCCTCAGCCTCCCGAGTAGCTGGGACCACAGGCGCCCACCACCTCGCCCGGCTAATTAGTGTATCTTAATATATCTTAATGTATATAAGTATACATTATCCAATTAAAAAAATTAATCTACCTATTAAATATTGCTTCTATCTAATTTAGCTCAGGAAGTGCCTTGTTTATAAAAATCAATGAAAAAATTTAAAACTTTGCTGACAGACCTCTAGAATAATGTCACTGCCCTACTATCTTCCAAAAATACTTCAAAACAACCTAAAAAAAAATTCAAGAATAACTATAAGGTCTGACTTCAAGAAGAAGCTAGTATATTATTATATAAAAACATCTGCTATTAGGACAAGCATCTGATTTTTTAAAGATAACTAAAGGTCTCCTCTACATTTAATGATTGCAAAAAGGACTAAATGAAACAGCATCCATGAAAACTGCCAGACCAAGCCAAGCAGATAGGAAGCACTCGATAAACAGCATAAAAAATTAAATATCTAGAAATGGCTCGTATGAACTATAAAACAAAAAATAAAATTTTATCACTTAAGAATTGGTACAAGGTTGGGCACAATGGCTCATGCCTAGAATCCCAAGACTTTGGGACACCAAGGCAAGAGGATTGTTTTAGGCCAGGGGTTTGAGACCAGCCTCGGTAACTTGGCAAGATGCCATCTCTCCAATAAAGAAAGAAAAAAATGGGCTGGGTGCGGTGCGGTGGCTCACGCCTGTAATCTCAGCACTTTGGGAGGCTGAGGTGGGCAGATCACAAGGTCAGGAGTTCAAGACAAGCCTGGCCAATATGGTGAAACCCCGCCTCTACTAAAAATACAAAAATTAGCCGGGCATGGTGGCGGGCGCCTGTAGTACCAGCTACTCGGGAGGCTGAGGCAGGAGAATTGCTTGAACCCGGGAGGCGGAGGTTGCAGTGAGCCAAGATCGTACCACTGCACTCCAGCGTGAGAGACAGAGCAAGACTCTGTCTCCCAAAAAAAAAAAAAAAAAAAATGAATAAACAGAATTGGTATAATATGCTAAAGACATTCTAGGGTCTTAAAAAATCTGGATTAAAAACAAGAAAATATTCAAGAATATTAGATTTTTAAAAAGTGTTTTGGGTAGCCGGGCACGGTGGCTCACTCCTGTAACCCCAGCACTTTGGGAGGCCGAGGCTGGCAGATCACGAGGTCAGGAGATCGAGACCATTCTGGCTAACACGGTGAAACACCGTCTCTACTAAAAAAATACAAAAAAAATTAGCCGGGCATGGTGGCGGGTGCCCGTAGTCCCAGCTGCTCGGAAGGCTGAGGCAGGAGAATGGCGTGAATCCAGGAGGCGAAGCTTGCAGTGAGCCGAGATCGCGCCACTGCACTCCAGGCTGGGCAACAGAGCGAGACTCCATCTCAAAAAAAAAAAAGTGTTTTGGGTAACTGTTCATTACAGAATTATAGAACCACTCGAAAGTATTTAGCTGGTGGCCGGGATTGGTGGCTCACGCCTGTAATCCTAACACTTTGGGAGGCCAAGACAGGCGGATCACCTAAGGTCAGAAGTTCAAGACCAGCCTGGCCGTTATTGTGAAACCCTGTCTCTACTAAAAATACAAAAATTAGCCGGCATGGTGGTGCGCCTGTAATCCCAGCTACTCAGGAGGCTAAGGCAGGAGAATCACTTGATTCTGGGAGATGGAGGATGCAGTGAGCCAAGATTTCACCACCGCACTCCAGGCTGGGTGACAGAGAGACTCAGTCTCAAAAAACAAACAATCAAAAAATGAACAACAAAAAACACACACAAAGTATTTAACTGGATATGGTGGCATGCACCTGTAGTACTAGCTACTGAGGAAGCTGGAGGATTACCTGAGCCTAGGAATTCAAATTTATAATGAGCTATGACCATGCCACTGCTCTCCAGCTTGGGTAACAGTAAAACTTTGCATATAAAAAAATAGATAAAACAAAACAGACATCACCACCACTTCCAATATTAAGTCAATTCTGATTTACATAAAGTGATTAAAAGCACAGGCTTTGAAGACAAAGGCTATCAGTTGTGCTACTTAGATGGTTGACCTTAAACAAGTTACTTCTCTTAACTTGTTTCTTCATCTATGAAACAGCAATCGTTGTATTTACCTAGTAAGATTTGCTGAAAGGATTAAATGAGAAAATACATGTAAAGACTGTATAATTAGGGTTACCATATATTGTTATATGTTTTCTAATAAACAAATATTTGAATAGTTATTAATGCAAGAGCCTTGGTTATATGCTATATAATCTAAATTTACAGTAATATTAATTAATGAAGACTCACCTAATAAGAAAGTAAAATGCTATAAGGTTTATTTCTGTATCTTACCACCCGATTCCATGGTCTAAAGTAGCTACAGACTTAATTTGTGAACACCAAGTTCAGCAAAGCCACCTCCTTTCTATGGCTTGAAATAATCACTAAAAGCTTTCCTGAATAAAGAAAATAAACATTTGGACTACAGCCTGTATGAAGACATGAGTGAATGAAATGCTGAATGACAGAAAGAAGAACTTTAAAAACAAAAGCAACATTTTACCAATGAGATATTTAAGGCAAGGTCTGTTTTAGATACCATATGAAGGGTAACTGAGTGTCTACAGTCCATATGATTTAGAGGTTTACCATGCCAGATCTTTTATTCTATTAAATTCTAACCTATAATACCTGTAACAAAGCTCTGCTAAAACTGTTTTATGGAAAGAAAAAAATTAGCTAAAATTCAGTAAGAAATACCAGTCTATATTCAGTATCTAAATTTAGTATTTTTTAAATTGCTGTTTATCTAAACCAAATGAAGTTACCCTCCATATAATTTATAGATGTTTAAGATTATTCTGATTAAATGTTTCAGACAAGTTCTAATACGCACAATATTTTGATACAGAAAAAAGTACTTGCCTTCATATGGTGTGTCTGGAGGTCCTGCTATTTCTCCTCTTAATTCTGTAAAATTCTCATCTACAAGATCTACTTTAATTTGATTTTTGCTCGTCTTAAAAATAAACAGAAAATAAATGTTAGTTATGTCAGCAAGAAAAACGCCTAAAGTATTACCTATAAAAAATCTTGAAACCCCCTCTTTCATAAGCTTGATTATCTGCTCTAGTAAAATAAGTCTCGGCTTTTCTAGGACTTAATTATCCAGTTTTAAGAATATTTAAAACAAACTAATAAATTCTAACTTCATTGTTTTAAACGAAATAACACCACTATGAACAACAATACAATGGCTTCTTGACTTTCTAGGAATGTTATTAGGGAAAAATAGTATAAAAGCTATTTTATGTTTGCCAATTCCATGTATATCAGGCCCAAAGCGATAAATCTAATCATCCACAGATGAACACTAAGATATTATATTCTGCACTATACCCCCACGATACATGGGTTCTGCTTAAACAGAAAATTCAGGGTCATTAAAAGCCATTTAGGCCATAAACTCTCACTTGAACTAACCATAACAACTTTAAATGTTTAGTTTAACTGACTGAAATAGTACACTATCCACCAGAATGGTGAAAGCTCTAGCTACCTAACAGATTCTCCTTTCCATGAAAAATTCCAGAGGACTAAATGCCTCAAAAGAAAAGGCCTTCTTCAATTTGTTTTTCTGCTTAGTTTATTAAAACGGCAACTACCTACTTCAAAAAACCAGATTTCTACTTTAAATTTATCTACATTGACTTATTTTGCACTTTAAACTACTCCAAGTACTTTCCTATCTATAGCATTACTGAGTCTCTTAACCTTATGACAGTCCATTCTCAGAGCCATGATAACCTTAAATGATTCAGAAAACCATCCAGTGGGACTCACATTAACATTCGTAAGTGCCTGCCAGCAAATGGGCTCTCCACTTATATTCTCAAACCTATGTTAAAAATACAGTAAATCCTCTCGATTTTTTAAACCAAAATCCCTAAAGAACAGGTTACATCTTCCTTTTTTTGAGACGGAGTCTTGCTCTTGCTGCCCAGGCTGGAGTGCGATGGCACGATCTCGGCTCACTGCAACCTCCACCTCCTGGGTTCAAGTGACTCTCCTGCTTCAGCCTCCTGAGTAGCTGGGATTACAGGCACCCACTACCATGCTCAGCTAATTTTTGTTATTTTTAGTCAAGACGGGGTTTCGCCACGTTGGCCAGGCTTGTCTCGAACTCCTGACCTCGCGATACGCCCGCCTTGGCCTCCCAAAGTGCTGGGATTATAGACGTGAGGCACCGTGCCCGGCCTATATCTTCATTTTTTTTGGTTAGAATTCCATATTGTTACCTGATTGACACAACATATCTACTCTTATGTTTTTTGCTTTTAGACTGACTTTCTTAAACTTGATTACTAGATGAAACAGTGTAAGAATTACTGTCTTTGGCTTCCTCCTCCAACCCAAAAAAAAAAACCACAATTTTTACTCTTTTTCTATGTTAAATATTTTTTAGTACAGAACGTTTAGTTCATAAACAATACATGACTTAAAACCCATATTTTTCAAAGTTCACATCACTCCAAATTAATCCTGTTTTTTAATAAAAACATAGGATTTAAAAACTTACTTTCTAATTAGTACTTTTTTTTACATTTTTCTGAAAATATTTTTTATCCAAAAACTAAATTTAACTATAAATATGTACAATAAGAAACTACTTCTTATGCCCTAAAAAATCATTAACAACTTTGGTATTTGTGGTAGAGGAGAAAATGTACATTTTAGCAACAGTAAAACTACTCTGATGGCCGGGCGCGGTGGCTCATGCCTGTAATCCCAGCACTTTGGGAGGCTGAGGCGGGCAGATCACGAGGTCAGGAGATCGAGACCATCCTGGCTAACACGGTGAAACCCTGTCTCTACTAAAAATACAAAAAAATTAGCCAGGTGTGGTGGCGGGCACCTGCAGTCCCAGCTACTCGGGAGGCTGAGGCAGGAGAATGGTGTGAAACCAGGAGGCGGAGCTTGCAGTGAGCCGAGATCACGCCACTGCACTCCAGCCTGGGTGACAGAACGAGACTCCGTCTCAAAAAAACCAAAAACACAAAAATTTAGTTGGGCATGGTGGTGCACACCTGTAGTCCTGCTACTCGGGAAGCTGAGGCAGGAGAATCACTTGAACCAGGGAGACGGAGGTTGCAATGAGCCAAGATCGTGCCACTGCACTATGGCCTGGGTGAAAGAGCGAGACTCCATCTCAAAATAAATAAATAAATAAAAATAAAAAATTGTCTAGTATCTATGCATAATGTTAAAAGAAAATTGGAGGCATCCAACTTTCACTGACCAATTTAAGAAGCCAGTGTTAACTTACACTTGCATTTCTCCTCTTAAGGCTTCTTACAGGAATAATCATCTTGCTAATCATCAATGCTTTCAAAGATCTCGATAGCTTTCCACAATCCCCCCTCCAAAAAGTAGTATGTAAATAACCCAAAGATGATAGGATACTAAAGGATCTGATTAAAGTTTTTTGGGAAAGGAGAGGGAGATTAGAAAAGCTGCTTTTTGGGACTGCCCAAATCTCTGGCTAGTAAAATGCTAAATAATTATTCCTTTTCATACCTCTGTCCTTATTTCTGTCTACATCACCCCCAAATTATTATTATTTGTTTAAGACACGGTCTCACTCCCATCACCCTGGCTGGAATGCAGCAGTGCGATCTCAGCTCACTGCACCTCAACTTCCCAAGCTCAGGTGATTCTCCCACCTCGGCCTAACCAGTCGCTGGGACGAGAGGTGTGCACCACCATGCCTGGCTAAAGTTTTAAATTTTTAGTAGAGAGGGGGTTTTGCCATGTTTCTCAGGCTGGTCTTGAACTCCTGGGCTCAAGTGATCCACCACCTTTGGCCTCCTGCCTTGGCCTCCAAAAGTGCTGCGATTACAGGTGTGAGGTACCGCATCCAGCCCCCAAATTATAAGTCAGAAAAAAATTGCTCTTTTTTTCACTCTATAGAAAGAACATTATTATTGTATGAAAAAATGTACTAAATAAGCTCAAGAAAATACCATCATCATGATGAATTACATTATGAAAAAGCATTCTGGTCAGGTGCATGCGGTGGCTCGTGCCTGTAATCCCAACAGTTTGGGAGGCCAAGGCAGATCACTGAGTCAAGAGTTTGAGGCCAACATGGTGAAATCCGGAAAAATTAGCCGGGCATGGTGGTGTGTGCCTGTAGTCCCCGCTACTTGGGAGGTTGAGGCACGAGAATCGTTTGAATCCAGGGTGTGGAGGTTGGAGTGAGCCGAGATTTCGCCATTGCACTCCAGTTTGGGTAACACAGTGAGACTCTGTCTCAAAAAAAAAAAAAAAAAATTCTAGAGGGCTTAGAATAGGGTCTTTATTTGCACAGAACTAAAGATAAAAAGAAAACAAAGTTAAGCCAAAAATTTTTCACAGCTCAATTTTCCATCAAGCAACAATTATTCTTTATACCACCACAGTTTAATTCAAACATCCAGTTATTTCACAATCTAAAACTCCAATCCCCCTGCTCCCACAAGCGAACTTAAAGTCTTACTTTAAGAGTCAGGAACTATAAGCAAGACATGGAGAATGGTGAAAGATGACAGTATTACAAAAGTCATGGCCTTTGGAGTAAGACATATGTGTGCTGAATCCTAGTTCTGTCGCTTACTTGTGGTATTCATTCAGGTATAACACTTAACACCTAACTCTCAATTTTATTACTGTAAAATGAGAATACTTTCAGAATTAAGTTTCTTGGATAGAAGTAAGCAGCATAGTTCCCCTTTCCCTAACAACATTAACTATAAAACCTTTAATTTGGCTGGGTGCAGTGGCTCACGACTGTAATCCCAACACTTTGGGAGGCCAAGGCGGGTGGATCATTTGAGGTCAGGAGTTTGAGACTAGCTTGGCCAACATGGTGAAACCCCATCTCTACTAAAAATACAAAAATTAGCCAGGTGTGCTGACAGGCACCTGTAGTCCCAGCTACTCGGGAGACTGAGGCAGAAGAATGGCTTGAACTTGGGAGGTGGAGGTTGCAGTGAGCCGAGATTGCACCACTACATGCAGCCTGGATGATAGACCGAGATTCTGTCTCAAAAAAAAAAAAAAAAAAATTAAAGCCCGATTTTACAAAATTAATTTCACAGTCCTGTTTCCACAGTCTAAGAAAAAAATGTAGTATCTAAAAATAAATAATAAAATAATGTGTTATTCACTTCAATGACTGCAACAACCAAGGCAGCTGTAGCTTTTGGGTGAAATTCTGAAGAATTGTGTTATCACTGTAAATTTTTCATAAGGATAGGTCAAAGATTGCTTTTCTAAACTTTCTTCTCCCAACTCAGCTAAACACATAGCGGGACCTCTGGTTGTTTTTTTTTTTTTTTTTTTTTTTCCTGATGTTCCCTGGGGGCTTCAAGGCATTTCTAATGCACAAAAGGAACAGAGATATATAAAAGCTATAGCAGCTAGGCCAGGCAGGATGTTTCACCCCTGTAATTCCAGTACTCTAGGAGGCCGAGGCAGATGAATCATTTGAGGCAAGAAACTTGAGACCAGCCTGGCCCATATGGCAAAACCCTGTCTCTACTACAAATACAAAAATTAACTGGGCATGGTAGCACATGTCTGTAATCCCAGCTACTCAGGAGGCTGAGGCATGAGAATTGCTTGAACCCGGGAGGCAGAGGTTGCAGTGAACCAAGATCACACCACTGCACTCCAGCCTGGGCTACGAAGCAAGACTCTGTCACCAAAAAAAAAAAAAAAAAAAAGAGGGAAGAAGCTATAGAAGTTAGCAATTTTCAAATCAACTATTTTATTAAGATATACATGAAGCATGCAAAATAGCACATAACGTTGAAGCTAATTTGAATGAGATAAAAAAAACATTATTGTCAACAACCAACAGTGAAGAACTCAAAGCGGTTCTAATGTATTTCCAAGGCCATCTCTCAGTGAAATGATATTGTCATTGTTACCATCATCACTGTAAAAATTCTTTCAAATAATGACTAGGTTCTAGTATATGCTATCTCAAATGTTAGTGAACAAAACCTAAGTCCCTGCCCACTTGGAGCTTACATTCTAGTGGGAAAAACTAAACACTGGAAGATTTTATCATTTAAGGACTAAATACAAAGTATATTGTTGTTTAACCTTTTTAAAACTTACTAGCTATGAACAAGTTAATTAACTACTTTGTACTCCAGTTTCATCCTCTGTCAACTAAGGATAAGATAGTTCCTCATAGGGTTCGCTGGTGAATTTAACGAATAAAGTATATAGAACAATGCCTGCCACACAGTAAATGCTAAATTTATCATTGTAATATGCTGACTCTTGATAATGATGTTGGGGCAGAAAATTTTAACCCAAAGCAAATACTGTATTTTTTAAAGAGAATAATTAACAATATTAGCCTCACTTCTATTTATTTTTTAAAAAATGCTCTAAAATAAAATTTAAATCCAAATCTCAAATAAGACAAATATAATTCTAAATGCCCCCTAAAGTTACAAGTAATTCTTATTGATATAAAAAAATTATTATTTGTTTCCTAGTCAAGCCACAACTGTTTTAGGAGCCCTGCTCATCATTGTCATGCATATGTAAAAGTGAAATTTAGTTCTTCCTAATTTAGTTGGAAATAATACTTTAAAAGCTTAACAGTTGCCATTATTTTCTCATAATTTAATATAAATGACTTATCTTTCCCCTATTATTCAAAGGCCTAAGAAATACACTCGATTTCTACCTTCTAGGCAGTTAAATTTTTTTTTTATTTTTTTGAGATGGAGTCTTGCTGTGTTGCCCAGCTCACTGCAACCTCTGACTCCTGGGTTCAAGGAATTCTCCTGCCTCAGCCTCCCAAGTAGCTGGGATTACAGGCGCCCGCCACCACGCCTGGCTAATTTTTTTGTATTTGTACTAGAGACAAGGTTTCATCATGTTGGCCAGGGTGGTCTCAAACTCCTGACCTCTGGTGATCCACCTGCCTCGGCTTCCCAAAGTGCTGGGATTACAGGTGTGAGCCACCGTGTTTTCTGAAGCTTATGGCACATAACAGTCCCAAAGCAGAAGTGACATGAAAACAAAGGGATTGGGAGAATAATGAAAAACTGAGGCCATGGAGACACATGTATGATCCTTACTAAAAACAAGTTCTAGACGAGCAGTATCCAATACAATATAATGTAAGCCACTATGTAAATTTAAAATTTTCTGATATCCACATTGAAAAGAGTACAAGATGGCCGGGCGCCGTGGCTCATGCCTGTAATCCCAGCACTTTGGGAGGCTGAGGCAGGCGGATCACCTGACGTCAGGAGTTCGAGACCAGCTGAGGCAGGAGAATCGCTTGAACCCGGGAGGCAGAGGTTGCAGTGAGTTGAGATCGTGCCACTGCACTCTAGCCTGGGCGACAAAGCAAGACTCTGTCTTGAAAATAAAAGATAAAAATAGTACAAGAGACTGGACATAGTGGCACACTCCTGTAAATCCCAGCTACTTGAAATTCTAAGGCAGGAGAACTGCTTGAACCCGAGAGGCGGAGGTTGCAGTGAGCAGAGATCACGCCACTGCACTCCACCGGACAACAGAGTGAGACTCTGTCTCAAAAAAAAAAAAAAAAAAAGAAGCTATAGCAGCTAGCAATTATTATTATTATTATTTTTTGAGACGGAGTCTCACTCTGTTGCCCAGGCTGGAGTGCAGTGGCGCAATCTCAGCTCACTGCAAACTCCACCTCTTGGGGGTTCAAGCGATCCTTCTGCCTTAGCCTCCTGAGTAGCTGCAATTATAGGCGCCCACCACCATGCCCGGCTAATTGCTGAATTTTTGGTAGAGATGGGGTTTCACCATGTTGGCCAGGCTGGTCTTGAACTCCTGACCTCAAGATCTACCAGCCTCAGCCTCCCAAAGTGCTGGGATTACAGGCTAAGCCACCACACCAGGCTGCAGCTAGCATTTTTTAAATCACACCTGTAATCCCAACACTTTGTGGGGCAAAGGAGGGAGGATCACTTGAGCCCAGGAGCTTAAGACCCGCCTGGGCCATATAGTGAAACTCCCATCTCTACAGCGTGGAAAAAAAACAAAAAAAACAAAAAACGTGTGTCTGTAATCCCAGCTATTCAGGAAGTTGAAGTGGGAGAATCACTTGAGCCCAAGAGGTCAAGGGTGCAGTAAGCTATGACTGTGCCACTACACACCAGCCTGTGTGACAGAGTGAGACTCCATCTCTTAAAAAAAAAAGTTAAGTTCTGGACTTCTGTCAAACTTTACTCAATCTACAATGAAGAGTAATTCAAGTCTGAATTTATCAATTCCATGAATATTTACTAAGTACTTGCTATTTGCAAGGCATTATAACAGATATTGGTAGTATAATGATCAACTAGAAATTTTCTCTAACCTGTATCAATAGTTATTTCATTCTAAGGTACTGAAGAACTAATTATATAATTTTTAAATGAAGTACAGGATACTATGAAGAACATTTAGCAGACAGAAAATCTAGAAAGTAAGAGGAAGCTTCCTTGAGGAAATTAGTTTTAAAAGACTTAACTTTAGGAAAAGCCAGCACTTAAGGCAGAGCGTACACGCTGTGCAAAATGGAGGCAAACGAGGACTTGACAGGTTTAGGAATTGAAATGCCGCCAATGTGACTACAATACAAAGAATGAAAATGATGAAATGAGGCAGGAGAAGCAGTCAAAAGCCAGATTATTCAGGGTCATGAAGAATAATAAAAATTTGAAGTGTTGTAACAATCAGATCTGGGTCTCTTAGAGATCACCTGGCTGGAGTAGGGGGAAATGGCTGGAGGGGGATTAGAGAGAATACTTAGGAAACCAGTGAGAGATGCCAATAAAGTCCAGTGCAATGAAAAGAAGATGAATTAAGGCAGACAGGAAGTAAAATCTAAAGGACTTAGTTACTAACTAAAAGCTATGATCTTAGAAGAGGGGATTTTTTGCTGGGTGGATGACAGTATAATAAAGATAAGGAAACAAAGAATTGAGAAGTCAGGGTTTGAGGGAGAGGGGAAAAATCAGTTTGAGACATGTTGGATACAAGGTATCTGTGAAAATCCAAAGAACCAAGTAGGTAAATGAAAAATTCAGGTCTCGGGTTCAGGAGTGATCTGAAGATACAGTCAGAAAGATAGGAAAGACCGGGCGCCATGGCTCACGCCTGTAATACCAACACTTTGAGAGGTCAAGGTGGGCGGATC
Organism: Homo sapiens; assembly: GCF_000001405.40. Classification (NCBI taxonomy): domain Eukaryota; kingdom Metazoa; phylum Chordata; class Mammalia; order Primates; family Hominidae; genus Homo; species Homo sapiens. The sequence goes on along the minus strand of NC_000004.12, from coordinate 39,729,208 downwards.
ATCTAAGGTCAAGAGTTCGAGACTAGCCTGGCCAACATGGTGAAACCCCGCCTCTACTAAAAATACAAAAATTAGCTGGGGGCATGGTGGTGCGTGCCTGTAATCCCAGCTACTCTGGAGGCTGAGGCAGGAGAACTGCTTGAATCCAAGACACGGAGGGAGCAGTAAGCCGAGACAGAAGCACAGTACTCCAGCTTGGGCGACAAAGTAAGACTCCTTAAAAAAAAAAAAAAAAGGTGGGGGGCTGTGCGCGGTGGCTCACGCCTGTAATCCCAGCACTTTGGGAGGCCGAGGCGGGTGGATCACGAGGTCAAAAGATGGAGACCATCCTGGCTAACACAGTGAAACCCCGTCTCTACTAAAAATACAAAAAAAAAAAAACAAAAAAAACAAAAAAAACCTACTAGCCGGGCGTGGTGGCGGGCGCCTATAGTCCCAGCTACTCCGGAGGCTGAGGCAGGAGAATGGCGTGAACCCAGGAGGCGGAGCTTGCAGTGAGCCGAGATCGCACAACTGCACTCCCCACCTGGGGGACAGAGCGAGACTCTGTCTCAAAAGAAAAAAAAGAAAAAAGGAAAAAAGGAAAGGCAGGAGGAAGGGGAGGGAAAGGGAAAAGGAAAGAAAGGAAAGAAGAAAGGAAGAAAAAGATATTTGGATAGTCTGATATCACTGACACTACAGGAATAATATTTCAAGGAAACAGTGGGTAATGTTGCTGAACGATCAACAATAATACCTAATACATCGCTTTATCATCCAGACAGGAGGTACAGTGGTACAATCATAGCTCACCGCTGCCTCAAACCTCTGAGCTAAGGCAATTCTCCCGCCTCAGTCTCCCAAACTGTTGGGATTAGAGGCGTAAACCACCACTCCCAGCTCAATATCTATATATAATTTACAGGCAATATTTTAACTGATGTACATGTAATAACTCAATCTTAAAACAAACTTACGTGCTTACCAATAAGGAAGCTGAGGCAACAAAGTCACAAAGCTAATAATCAGTGAAGCCAGGTTTTAAAACTGATTCAAGAGTCAAGACAGAGCTTTTCTTTTACTTATTTTTTTTTTTGAGATGGTGTCTTGCTCTGTCGCCCAGGCTGAAATGCAGTGGGGCAATCTCGGCTCACTGCAACCTCCACCACCCGGGTTGAAGCGATTCTTCTGTCTCAACCTCCTGAGTAGCTGGGACTACAGGCGCACAGCACCACGCCTGGCTAATTTCTTACATATTTTTTAGTAGACACAGGGTTTCACCACATTGGCCAGGCTGGTCTCGAACTCCTGACCTTATGATCTGCCTGCCTCAGCCTCCCAAAGTGCTGGGATTACAGGCGTGAGCCACTGCACCCGGCTCACTTCTAAGATTTCAGTTAGAGGACATCTCAATGTATGCCAGTAAGAAAAAAACACTGCCATTTACACCATGACACAATACTTTATCACTCAGTTTTTATTATACACTTACTCAACTTTTAGAATTTATATACTTCAATCCTAAGATTAGGCCAGGCACAGTGGCTCACACCTGTAATCCCAGCTCTTTGGGTGGTGGAGATGGGCTGATCATTTGAACCCAGGAGTTCAAGACCAGCCCATCTCTATCCTTATGGAAAAAAAAAAAAAAGATCAGTCCAGACAACATGGTGAAACCCTGTCTCTACAAAAAAATTAGGTAGGTGTGGGTGTGGTGGTGCATGGCCATAGTCCCAGCAATGCGGGAGGCTGAAGTGGGAAAATCACCTGAGCCCAGGAATCCCAGGCTGCAGAGAGCCGTGATCTTACCACTGGCACTCCTGCCTGGGTGACTGTGGTGTATCCTGTCTCAGCGCTCCCCCCATAAGAAACCTTTAAGATTATTAAAGAGAAAAGAAAAACAGTCAAAGCTACTCCTCAAACTTCTTCACATCAAGTCCTACTCTCCAGTATCACCTTTTCAATTCAGTCTTTGTTGTCCATGTTTTTCCTACACAATACAATCCTCTGTATGTGATATAACATTTGTACTCTAAGACTGCTTGTGACATAAAAGGACTAGAAAGTAAACTAAATGATTACAACCATTAAGAAGAATAATGTAACTGTAAAAAGGTAAGTCAGAAGTCAAGGAAACCTGAGCATGTACTGTGTCATTACATATTCAAAAATTAGTGTTTCTTTTGTTGGACATAATAAGACAATTGATTTGGTTTCATAAAAATGTCCTTGTATGTTAAAGATCCACAATGAATTATTCACTGTACAATGACAGAATTCTGGGGTTTGCTGCAAAATAACTCAGAAGATTTGTTTCAAAATAATCTAGAAGGGGACAGGTACATTGGCTCACGCTGGTAATCCTAACACTTTGGGAGGCTGAGGTGGGTAGATCACCTGAGGTCAAGAGTTTGAGACCAGCCTAACCAACATGGTGAAACCCTGTCTCTACTAAAAACACAAAAAATTAGCCAGGTGTGGTGGTGCACGCCTGTAGTCCCAGCTACTCAGGAGGCTGAGGGAGGAGAATCGTCTGAGCCCAGGAGGCAGAGGTTGCAGTAAGCCGAGATCGCACCATTGCACTCCAGCCTGGGAGACAGTGAGACTCCATCTCAAACAACAAACAAACAAACAGCAAAATAATCTAGAAGGGAGTGGGAATCTGACAGACAAACTAGCCACATGTTCATAACTACCGAAAGTGGAGGCCAGGAGGAGTGGTGGCTCACACCTGTAATCCCAGCACTTTGGGAGACTGAGGCAGGAGGATTGTTTAAGCCCAGGAGTTCAAGACCAGCCTGGGCAGCAAAGTGAGATCTCCGTCTCTACAAAAAAGAAAAAGAAAAAGCAACTGGGTGATGATATCTATTATGCTATTTTCTCAACTTCAGTACAAGTTTAAAAATTTTAGCAGAAAGTTAAAAAGTAAAAACAGGCCAGGCACGATGGCTCACGCCTGTAATCCCAGCACTTTGGGAGGCCAAGGCAGGTAGAACACCTGAGGTCAGGAGTTCGAGACCAGCCTGGTCAACATGTTAAGACAGACATATAGGGAGGATGCCACATAAAGACAGATTATTGGGGTGATGCATCTACAAGCCAAGGAACACCAAAAACGCTGGCAAACCAACAGAAACTAGGAAGAGGCAAGGAAGGATTCCCCAGAGGTTTCAGAGGCAATCTGACCCTGCTGACACCTTGATTTCCAACTTCTAGCCTCCACAACTCTGAGAATAAATGTTTTATTTTAAAAACCCAAATATTTACAATACTATTTTAAAAAAAAAGGCCAAGTGTGGTGGTACATGCCTGTAATCCCAACACTTTGGAAGGCCAAGGTGGACAGACTGCTTGAGCCCAGGAGTTCAAGACCAACCTGGGCAACATGGCAAAACCTGCTCTCTACTAAAAATACAAAAATTAGCCAGGTATGGTGGTGTGCACCTGTAGTCCCAGATACTCAGGAGGCTGAAGCAGGAGGGTCACTTGAACGCAGGAGGTTCTCACAGTGAGGATGGAAGAAAATTCCCTGCATGCTTCTGGCAGGGGGAAGGGGGAAAGTAGCCATTCTGAAGTAATTCCAAAGTAATCTGTTCTTTTTAAAAAGGCCTGCCTTCAAGAGAAAAGATTTCACCAGAGGTTAACCAACTGGAGTTTTATCAGAGCTAACTGACCCAAGGGAAGTGAAAAACCCAATCCCAGCCTTCCAATCTCAACTAAGGAGGAAGTGTGAACTGAGAAGCAACTGTGAATATCACAGCCCAGGTACACAGATTCACTAAAAGACTACAACAGAATACTGAAACCTTACTATCAAGAGGTGTTTTTTTTTTTTTTTTTTTTTTTTTTTTTGAGACAGGGTCTTGCTCTGTCACCCAGGCTGGAGTGCAGTGGCATGATCATGGCTCACTGCAAACTGCCTCCCGGGTTCAGATGATCCTACCTCAGCCTCCTGAGTAGCTGTGAGTACAGGTGCATGACACCATGCCTGGTTAATATTTGTATTTTCTGTAGAGACGGTTCGCCATGTCTCCATTTGTCTACAAATCTCAAATTCTTGGGCTAAAGCAATCTGTCTGCCTTGGACTCCCAAAGTGCTGGGATTACAATTGTCAGCCACCATGCCTGGCCACGAAGGCTTTTGTATAACAACAGGACGTTACTCAAAGAACTGCATTTGTGCAATACTTGCAAGGAATTAAAAAACTAAAAAAGAAAAATATATAACTGCATGTCTCAGATCTTATTTAAGAAGTCTCTAAGGAACCCCAAGACAACAAAGTAAACAAAAATAAGAACACTGGAGGAAATATTAGTTCTCACACCTACAGCTACAAAAAATGTTAATACAAAACACAGCCCAATCCTAAGTCAGATAAACGTAATGCCTCACACTAAAGGCTTATGTATCTCAGTTACTTTTACCTAGTAAAACATGCCCAGCATTTTTTTTTTTTTTTGAAACAGGGTCTCACTCTGTCCCCCAGGCTGAAGGGCAGTGGCGCCATCTCAGCTCATTGCAACTTTTGCCTCCGGGGCTAAAGTGATCCTCCTGCCTCAGCCCCCCCAAGTAGCTGGGCCTACAGGCATGCACTTACCATGCCTAGCTAATTTTTGTATTTTTTTTTTTTTTTTTTTTTTTTTTTGCAGAGACGGGGTTTTACCATGTTGCCCAGGCTGATTTTGAACTCCTGAACTCAGGCAATCCACCTGCCTCAGCCTCCCAAAGTGCTAGGATTACAGGCATGAGCCACCATGCCCGGCCCATGCCCAGCTTTCAATAAAAAATTACAAGGTGTACTAGAAGACAAAAAAATACAGTTTGGGCTGGGTGCAGTGGCTAATACCTGTAATCCCAGCACTTTGGGAAGCCAAGGCAGGAGGATTCACCCAGGAGTTTGAGACTAGCCTAGTCAACACAGCAAAACCCCACCTCTACAAAAATACCACAAAAATTAGCCAGGTGTGGTGGTGCGTGCCTATAGTCTCAGCTACTTGGGAGGCTGAGGTTGGAGGATCACTTGAGCCCAGGAGTTCCAGGTTGTAGTAAGCCATGATTGTGCCACCGTACTCCAGCCTGGTGACAACAATTAAAAAAAAAAAAAAAATTAAAAAAGGACTGGGCATGGTGGCTCATGCCTGTAATCCCAGTACTTTGGGAGGCTGAGGCGGGTGGATCACCTAAGGTCAGGAGTTCGAGACCAGCCTGACCAACATGGTGAAATCCCATCTCTACTAAATACAAAAAAACCAGATGGGTGTGGTGGTGTGTGCCTGTAGTCCCAGCTACCTGGGAGGCTGAGGCAGGAGAATCGCTTGAACCCCGGAGGCAGAGGTAGCAATAAGCCGCGATTGTGCCATTGCACTCCACCCTGCGCAACAAGAGAGAAACTCTGTCTCAAAAAATATATTTTTTAAAAAAGGAAATTAATTGTACAGTACCCATTATTAACACAGAGAAACAATTATTTTAAATGTTATTATTTTCCCTTAACAAAAATTTAAATTACAAAGACATTCTGAGTTTTCCCTCTAATTTATTAATCTCTTTAAGAGCAGACAGGCCACGTGCAGTGGCTCACGCCTGTAATCCTAGCACTTTCGGAGGCCGAGGCAGGCGGATCAGGAGGTCAGGAGATTGAGACCACCCTGGCTAACACAGTGAAACACTGTTTCTACTAAAAATACAAAAAATTAGCAGGGCGTGGTGGTGGATGCCTGTAGTCCCAGCTACTCGGGAGGCTGAGGCAGCAGAATGGCATGAACCTGGGAGGCAGAGCTTGCAGTGAGCAGAGATCGTGCCACTGCACTCCAGCCCGGGCAACAGGGCGAGACTCAGTCTGAAGGAAAAAAAAAAAAAAAAAAAAGAGAAGACAGCAGGGCTGGGTACAATGGCTCATGGCTCATGCATGTAATCTCAGCACTTTGGGAGGTCGAGGCAGGTGGATTGCTTGAGCTTAGTTCGAGACCAGCCTGGGCAATATAGTGAAATCCTGTCTCTACTTAAAAAAAAAAAAAATTATCTAGGTGTGGTGGCATATACCTGTAGTCCCAGCTACTCAGGAGGCTGAGGTGGGAGGATTCCTGGAGTCTGGAAGGCAGGGGGTGCAGTGAGCTGAAGTTGTACCACTGCACTCCAGTCTGGGTGACAGTGAGACACTGTCTCAAAAAAAAAAAATTAAAGAAAAAAGAGAGGTGAGTGGATCACCTGAGGTCAGGAGTTTGAGACCAGCCTGGCCAACATGGTGAAATTCCATCTCTACTAAATTAGCCGGGTGTGGTGGTGCGCGCCTGTAATCCCAGATACTTGGGGGGCTGAGGCAGGAGAATCACTTGAACCTGGGAGGCGAAGGTTGCAGTGAGCCGAGATCATGCCACTGCACTCCAGCTTAGGTGACAGAGGGAGACTCCATCTCAAAAAAAAAAAAAAGAGAGAAAAAGAGAATACAGCAGGTCCTTGGATAACATCATTTCCTTATAACATTTATGAGGAAAAAAAAATCCCACACGGGCTGCTGTCTTATGTGGAGCTTGCCATGTTCTCCCCACGTCTTTGTGGGTTTTCTCCGGGTACTCAGGTTTCTTCCCAAATTCCAAAGATAAACATGCTAGATTAACTGGCATGGTTAAACTGTACCAGCATGAGTGAGAGTGGGGGTGTGTGTGAGTGCACCTGGTAAAAGGATTTTGGGAATAAGATTATTTCCAGGATGCCAAAGAAGTAATCCATCCTTTACTTGCTAATTGCAAAGAGCATAAAATGTACCTTTACAAAGAAATCTTGTAGTTCCCACCTTAATCAAATGATTAAACAAGTGACCAAGCATCAATAACAGTAAGAAAATCTGATATTACACATGTACTAATATGATTCAATATGAAGTATACAACATCACTTGGGATCTTCTTACCAAAATGTTTAACCTGAAGCTAATCAAACCTTTACACCTAAACTAGGAATCACAGACATCAGGATTTTCAGTATTAATGAGATGAGAAAAAAAGAAAGGTATGTGAAGGGGTTAACAATCATAAATTGTAAAAGACCCAAGAATACAATTATATACAATCTGTGAACGTTACGTAGATAAGACTTTTTTTTAAGTCAACTGAAAAATAGAAGTTTGGGGTTTTTTTTGGAGACAGGGTCTTACTCTGTCACCTAGGCCGGACTGCAGAGGCTGCAGTGAGCCATGATCATGGCACTGTACCTACTGGGCTCAAGCAATCCTCCGACCTCGGCTGCCCAAGCAGCTGGGACCACAGCCACATGCCACCACACCCAACTATTTTTTTCTATTTTTGTCGAGACGGGCTTTTGTCATGTTGTCCAGACTGGTCTCAAACTCCTGGGCTCAACTTATCCTCCTGCCTCAGCCTCCTAAAGTGCAAGGATTACCAGAGTGAGCCACCATGCCCAACCAAAAGAATATTATTTTTAAGAGATGCATGCTCAAGTTTTTGGTAGTGAATTATATTCATGAGAGCAACATGATCTTAGCTAGTGGGGATACAAGTGTACTGTCCTTTCGACTTTTCTCTTCAAAATTTTATTGATAAAAAGTTAAAAGTTGACTGGGTATGGTGTCTCATGCCTGTAATCCCAGCACTGTGGGAGGCCGAGGCAGGTAGATTGCTTGAGCCCAGGAGTTCAAGACCAGCCTGGGCAACACGGTGAAACCCCATCTCTACAAAAAAAAATATGAAAATTAGCAGGGCGTGGTGGCACGTGCCTGTAGTCCCAGCTACTCAGGAGACTGAGGTAGGAAGATCACTTAAGACCAGGAGTTTGAGGCCGCAGTGAGCTGTGATTGAGCCACTGCACTCCAGCCTGGGTGACAGAGGGTCTCCCAAATACTTATAACTTCTCTTCGGCTCCCTATTCAACTCTAGCCCCATACTACAATAATTTCTTGCCTAAGCTACCTAAAAAGGTTTCCTAAATGATCCTGAGTTCATTCTTGCCCCTCTACCCTCTACATGGCTAGTTGTCTAATCAACTTTCTTTTTTCCTTCTTCCCTACTAAAGAAACTCTCATTTTAATTGAGGAGTACTGTGCTCAACTAAAGAAGATTTCCTAGCCTCCCTTAAACCAAGAAGAGGTTATGACGCAGTTTTGGTTAAAAAAATAAAAACAGTCGTAGGACAGTCCATCAGGAAAAGAAAAAAAGAAAAACAGAAGTTGGCCAGGCAGGGGCTCAGGCCTGTAATCTCAGCATTTTAGAAAGCCAAGGCAGGAAAATCACTTGAGGCCAGGAGTTCAAGACCAGCCTGGGTAACATGGCAAAACTCAGTCTCTACAAATAATTTAAAAATAATTAACTGGGCACAGTGGTGTCTACCTGTAGTACTAGCTACTCGGAAGGCTGAGGCAGGAGAATCACTTGAGCCCTGGAGTTCAGGGTTACAGTGAGCTATGATCATACCACTGCACTCCAGCCTGGGCAACAAACTGAGACCTAGTCTCTAATAAATAAAAACATATATACATAGAAAAAAACAATAAAATGTTTTTCCATTATTCATTGTAAAATGATTATTAACTATCTATACGTATACAGAGTTGATCATGGTCATTCTAATTTATCCTGTAAGTATCAGTTACCGGTTATTCCCAAGAAACTCTTTCCCTGAGGCTAGAATACCCAACTTCCATAGGTCCCCTTACTTAAAGTCAACAAACACACTTATTAGCTGTTCAATTTCTCACTGCCTTACTGAGCCATAATTTATTCCATAACAGCAAGGATCATGTCCATTTTATTAACATAGGTAGCATTCAGTAAATATGTGAATAAATAAAAAATGTAAAGTTACACTAAAGAATTGAACCACAGATGATGTCATATATACTAAATAGATGCCAGTGAGATCTTCAAAAGGGAAAACTACAGAAAAAAAAAAAAAATTACCTTCCCACTATCTTGTTTCCCAGTTTTGGGCTTGGACATTCCATCATCCTAATTCAAGACCTGACTACATTATTAACACTTACATGCAACAGAAATCCAACTTTACCTGGAGGCCACCTTTATCAATATATTCAACTCTTCCTAGTCCCAGAATCAGGATGAAACTTTCACAATGGTTGGGGATGAGCTCTCTAGAGCTTAGGAATATCCTTAAACTCATTCAGGAAAACAAGTATCTCCTGCTTAGCAGGCAATGGTGCTAAGCAATGGGGAATGGAAGATCAGTGAGAAAGAACTCTGCTTTCAATGACTCACATTCACAGTGCCTATGGGCAGATGGAAAGAAAGCACCTAACAATATAAACACCTAAAATTTCATCCAACACTCAATGACCACTCAGTATGTATCACTTTCAGAGATATACACTCAAAATTCTCACACATGTACACTATCAAGAAACTGGAAATAACTGAATGTCTAATAGGAGGCAAAAACTGTGCTATATTCTATACAACAAAAACTAAGTCACTACAGTGATTTAAGAAAAAGCATAAAATGTTTTATTATCAGCTCGCTGAGAAGCAACAGCATCAGACAACCCAAAATTGGGTATGACAAAACCAAGTAAGATGCTTCACTTGAAACAAAGAAACCTAAAAGCAAGACACCCATAGTTAACTGAGAGAAAAGAGTACATAGACTAGCTGGTCCTACATTTCTAATCACTAGAAAAATCCATAATCACACATTTGCTAAAAGTAACGGAAGCCTGCCCTAAACCTATGTCCTAAGAGCACTTTTAGCAGCAGCTCCTCAAAATTAGATACCTATCAAAGACTTTTTTGGTGTGCTTTAAATTACTAAGGCTTCTACATTCAAGGAACCCTACAAGGTGCTAAAGAGAAAAAAATGAATATGAGCCCTCAAGGAGTTTAATCTACCAGGAGTAGAAGGACATATGTACAATTATCAATAGTAAGATAACTGCTCTCATGAAGTCTGACAATGAAAAACAGAAGGAAACTTTGGCTTCAAGAAAGGCTTACCAGGGGTGGTATTTTAGGACAAGTAGGTTTCGAAAGGTAAAGAAAAAAGATAAGGGCTTATTCCAGACAGATGAAACAACTAAATAGCAAGCAATTTTGTATTGCTGAAGGTTTGAGGGAGACTGAAAGTCTGAGGTATGTGTAGGAATGCAAGTGTGTATCTGTGACTTAACAGGAAATAGGTCAGGAAAGGTAGGTCAGAATGAGAGGTGACAGCGTGCTGGCAGCCCTCACAGCCCTTGCTCACTCTTGGTGCCTCCTCGGCCTCAGTGCCCATTCTGGCCACACTTGAGGAGCCCTTCAGCCCACCGCTGCACTGTGGGAGCCCCTTCCTGGGATGGCCGAGGCCGGAGCCAGCTCCCTCAGCCTGCAGGGAGGTGTGAAGGGAGAGGCACGGGTGGGAACCGGGGCTGCGCACGGCGTTTGCAGGCCAGCTAGATTTCCAGGTGGGCGTGGGCTTGGCGGGCTCAGCACTCTGAGCGGCCGACTGGCCCTGCTGGCCCTGGGCAGTGAGGGGCTTAGCACCCAGGCCAGCAGCTGCGGAGGATGCGGCCGGGTCCCCCAGCAGTGCTGGCCCACCAGCGCTGCGCTCAATTTCTCACCAGGCCTTAGCTGCCTCCCCACGGGGCAGGGCTCGGGACCTGCAGCCCGCCATGCCTGAGTCCTGCCCCCCTGCCGTGGGCTCCTGCGTGGCCTGAGCATTGTCCCCTGCTCCACGGCACCCAGTTCCATCGACTGCCCAAGGGCTGAGGAGTGCAGGCGCATGGCGCAGGACTGGCGGGCAGCTCCACCTGTGGCCCCGGTGCGAGATCCACTGGGTGAGGCCAGCTGGGCTCCTGAGTCTAGTGGGGACTTGGAGAACCTTTATGTCTAGCTAAGGGATTGTGAATGCACCAATCGGCACTCTTTATCTAGCTCAAGGTTTGTAAATGCACCAATCAGCACTCTGTGTCTAGCTCAGGGTTTGTAAATACAGCAATCGACACTCTGTATCTAGCTAATCTAGAGAACATGGAGAACTTTTGTGTCTAGCTCAGGGATTGTAAACGCACCAATCAGCACCCTGTCAAAACGGACCAATCAACTCTCTGTAAAACAGACCAATCAGCTCTCTGTAAAATGGACCAATCAGCAGGATGTGCGTGGGGCCAGATAAGAGAATAAAAACAGGCTGCCTGAGCCAGCAGTGGCAACCCACTCGGGTCCCCTTCCACACTGTGGAAGCTTTGTTCTTTTGCTCTTTGCAATAAATCTTGCTACTGCTCACTCTTTGGGTCCACACTGCCTTTATGAGCTGTAACACTCACCGCAAAGGTCTGCAGCTTCACTCCTGAAGCCAGCGAAACCACGAACCCACCGGGAGGAACGAACAACTCCAGACGCGCCGCCTTAAGAGCTGTAACACTCACCGCGAAGGTCTGCAGCTTCACTCCTGAGCCAGCGAGACCACGAACCCACCAGAAGGAAGAAACTCCGAACACAACCGAACATCAGAAGGAACAAACTCCGGACACGCCGCCTTTAAGAACTGTTAACACTCACCGCAAGGGTCCGTGGCTTCATTCTTGAAGTCAGTGAGACCAAGAACCCACCAATTCCGGACACAAGAACAACAGTATAAAGGTTTTGACTTTATCCCCATAGGCACTGGAAAACCTAACAGAGAATGATGTAACATTGTATTTTTAAAATTAAATCCAGTGGCATGGCACCATTAGGGTTGACTAGAAAAGCTGGGAGAGGCTGGGCGTGGTGGCTCACGCCTGTAATCCCAGCACTTTGGGAGGCTGAGGTGGGCGGATCACAAGGTCAGGAGTTCAAGACCAGCCTGATCAACGTGGTGAAACCCTGTCTGTACTTAAAACACAAAAATTAGCCGGGTGTGGCAGCATGCATCTGTAATCCCAGCTACTCAGGAGGCTGAGGCAGAATTGCTTGAACACGGGAGATGGAGGTTGCAATGAGCCAAGATTGTGCCACTGCACTCCAGCCTGGGCGATATAGCGAGAGTCCATCTTAAAAAAAAAAAAAGAAAGAAAAGAAAAGCTGGGAGAGACTGAAGGCAGAAAAATAAATGTACATAAGCAAACTTTTATTCTATTTTATTCTTTAAAGACAGGGTCTTGGCTCTGTGAAGTGCAGTGGCAAAGTCAAAGTTCACCGCAGCCTCGATCTCCCAGGCTTAAGGGATCCTCTCGCCTCAGCATCCAGAGTAGTTTAGGACTACTGATGCGCACCACCCACCCCAGGCTTTTTTTTTTTTTTTTTTTTTGAGATGGAGTCTCACCCTGCCACCCAGGCTGGAGTGCAGTGGCACGATCTTGGCTCACAGCAACCTCCGCCTCCCGGGTTCAAGTGATTCTCCTGTCTCGGCTTCCCAAGCAGCTGGGATTACAGGTGCACACCGCTGTGCCCTACTAATTTTTTGTATTTTAGTAGAGACAGGGTTTCACCGTGTTGCCCAGGCTGATCTTGAATTCCTGAGCTCAGGCAATCCACCCGCCTTGGCCTCCTAAAGTGCTAGGATTACAGGCGTGAGCCACCGTGTCTGGCCTCATTTTTTAAATATTCTGTAGAAACAGGGTCTCACTATGTTGCCCAGATCGGTCTCAAACTCCTGGGCTCAAGCAATCCTCCTGCTTCAGCCGTCCAAAACGCTGGGATTACCGGCTTAAGCTATTGCAAGTTGCCAGGAAACGTTTAATACAAATAGTCCATCTGGGCTGGGCGCAGCGGCTCATGCCTGTAATCCCAGCACTCTGGGCGGCTAAGGCGCATGGATCACTTGAGCCTAGGAGTTTGAGACCAGCCTGGGCAACATGGCAAAACCCTGTCTCCACAAAAAGTAAAAAAAATCAGCCAGGCATGGTGGCAAATGCCTGTAATGCCAGCTACTTGGGAGGCTGTGGTGGGAGGATCACTTAAGCCCAACAGGTTAAGACTGCGGCGTGAGCTGTGATCACAACACGGCACCCCAGCCTGGATGATAGATAGACAGACAGACACCATGTTTCAAATAAATAAATAGTCCATCCTGAGATATAAAAACCTGACCTATGGTATTAACAAAAGGAATAAAAAAGAGAAAACAAACATTCCAGAGACAAGTGGAGGATGAAAGGTAAATCAGTGACAATATTTTATAAAGGATAGTAACAGAGGTTAGAGGAAAATCAGAAAAGAGCAGTATCAGAGCAACCAAAGGAGGAGAGTTCTAAGATGGAAATGGAAATGCTGAAGGAACATGTACAAAATGGATGATCACGAGAACTCACTCTGTGTTCTGTAATTGGGAAGGTACTGCCTGAAGGAGCAGTTTCAGTATGACATGGTAGAGAGAGAAACCTGAGTACAGAAGTTAAGAAAATGAATTAACTTTTAAAAACCAAATACAGAAGAATGTCTTTAAAAAAATAAATAAAAAAAAACGGGTCCTCCGGCACAGTGCCTCCAGAGCAGGAGGTCAGGCCAACCAGTGACCTGGGTCCGAGAATGCCTTTATTAATATCAAAGTAGGAGAAGACTTCTTAAAATGCAAAAAACACACCATGTAGGAAAAGATAAAATCTGAATACCTTAAAATTAAACTTCTGTAAGACAAAAAGGAGGACAATAAGTAAAATACACCAGAAAAAAATTGACTACTTTAAAATTAAACAGGGCCAGGCACGGTGGGTGACACCTGTAATCCCAGCACTTTGGAAGGCTGAGGCGGGTGGATCACTTGAGATCAGGAGTTGGAGACCAGCCTGGCCAACATCGTGAAAAACCCTATCTCTACTAAAAATACAAAAAAGCAGACGGGCATGGTGGCCCACACCTATAATCTCAGCACTTTGGGAGGCTGAGTTGGGAGGATCCCTTGAACCCACGAGTTCAAGATCAGCCTGGGTAACATAGGGAGATTCCCATCTCTACAAAAATTTTTTTTAAAAATTAGCTGGCCGGGCGCGGTGGCTCACGTCTGTAATCCCAGCACTTTGGGAGGCCGAGGCAGGTGGATCACGAGGTCAGGAGATTGAGACCATCTGGCTAACATGGTGAAACCCCATCTCTACTAAAAAATACAAAAAAAAATTATCCGGGCGTGGTGGCGGGCGCCTGTAGTCCCAGCTACTCGGGAGGCTGAGGCAGAAGAATGGCGTGAACCCAGGAGGCAGAGCTTGCAGTGAGCCGAGATCGCGCCACTGCACTCCAGCCTGGGTGACAGAGTGAGACTCCGTCTCAAAAAAAAAAAAAAAAAATTAGCCAAGAGTGGTGGCTTGTACCTGTAGTCCCAGCTACTCAGGAGGCTGGGCTGAGGCATGGGAAAATCACTTAAGCCCAGGAGTTCCGGGCTGCAGAGAGTCATCATTGCACCATTGCACTCTATCCTGGGTAAGCGTGTGAGTGAGACCTGTCTCTTAAAAATAGAACTTCTGGGCCAAGCACGGTGGCTTACGCCTGTAATCCCAGCACTTAGGGAGGCCAAGGTGGGCACATCACGAGGTCAGGAGATCGAGACCATCCTGGCCAACATGGTAAAACCCGTCTCTACTAAAAATATAAAAAAAAATTTAACTGGGGGTAGTGGCACATGCCTGTAATCCCAGCTACTCGGGAGGCTGAGGCAGGAGAATCACTTGAACCAGGGAGTCGGAGGCTGCAGTGGGCTGAGATCACGCCACTGCATTCCAGCCTGGCAACAGAGAGAGACTCAGTCTTAAAAAAAAAAAAAAATATATATATATATATATATATATATATATATATGAAACTTCTAAAAGACAAGGAGGACAGTTAAGTGAAATAAACCAGTCACAAAAGGACAAATAATGTGCTCAGAGGATAATTCTGCATAAGCCAACTCGAAAAGCTGTACAAAAAATAAGCAGAAGTGTCCCAGGAGCCCTATTCTGACAGGCGTGCATGACATAATCCTTGAGGGCTTGGTCTTCCCAAGTGAAATTGTGGGCAAGAGAAACTGGATGGCAGGCAGCTCATAAAGGTTCATTTGGACAAAGCACAGCAGAACAATGTTGAAAACAAGGCTGAAACTTTTTCTGGTGTCTGTAAGAAGCACAGGGATTTGATGGCTCCGGTGGCTCATGCCTATAACCCCAAAACTTTGGGAAGCAGAGGCGGGAGGATCACTTGAGTTTGACATCAGCCTAGGCTGAGACCTCATCTCTACAAAAAGTAGTGTGAGACCTCATCTCTACAAAAAATACAAAAATTAGTCAGGCATGGTGGTGTACCTGTAGTCCCAGCTACTTGGAAGGATGAGGTGGGAAGATCACTTGAGCCCAGGAGGTTGAGGTTGCAGCAGTGAGCCATGATTGCACCATTGCACTCTAGTCTGAGCAATAATAGAGCAAGACTCTGTCTTAAAAAAAAAAGCTGCTCATGGGCAAGGATGTTATTTTTAACTTCCAGAGTTTCGGTTTTAAACAAAAATGAAGAAAGTATACTCAGAGTTTTTTTTTTTAAAGGGACAAATAATGAATGATAGAGCAGTCACACAGATTGAGATACAAAGTAGAAATGTGACTGCCAGAAGCTGGGTGGTAGGGGGATAGGGAGTTAGTAATATTGGGTACAGAGTTTCAATTTTGCAAGATGAAAAGTTCTGGAGATGGATGGTGGTGATAGCTACACAATGTCCTTAATGCCACTGAACATTTAAAATGGTTAGAATGATAAATTTTATGTTATGTGTATTTTACTACAACTTAAAAAAAAGCATAAAAAGATAAGCCAAAATTAAAAATCAAGCCACATAATGTAAGATAGACAATATCATATAAATAACATAAAGAATTCCTACAAATCTGGCTGGGCACAGTGGCTCACGCTTGTAATCCCAGCACTTTGGGATGCCGAGATGGGCAGATTGCCTGAGGTCAGGAAGAGACCAGCCTGGCTAACAAAGCGAAACCCTGACTCCAGAACAAGACTCCAGCCTTACTCCAGAGCAAGAACTGTCTCAAAAAAAAAAAAAAAATTTCCTACAGAAGAAGGAGAAAACTACAAACCACCTAATTTTCTTTTTTGAGATGAAATTTCACTCTTGTTGCCCAGGCCAAACCATCCAATTTTTAAAAAAGCAGTTAAAGAATGTAAACATGGCCGGGCATGGTGGCTCACGCCTGTAATCCCAGCACTTTGGGAAGCTGAGGCAGGCGGATCACCTGAGGTCAGGAGTTAGAGACCAGTGTGACCAGTATGGCAAAACCCGTCTCTACTAAAAATACGAAATTAGCCAGGCTTAGCGGGGCATGCCTGTAATCCCAACTACTTGGCAGGCTGAGGCAGGACAATCGCTTGAACCCAGGAGGCAGAGGTTGCAGCGAGCCAAGATCGCGCCACGGCACTCCAGTCTGGGCGACAAAGCGAGACTCCGTCTCATTTAAAAAAAAAAAAAAAAAAGTAAACACTAAATTTACAAAAGCCTAATGGCCAATAAACACAAAACATGCTTAATATCTCTACTGACTAGGGAAGTAAAAATTAGAATAAACCACCATTTCACATCCATCATAGTGACAAAAACATAAGTCTTAAAAATGTAGGCCGAGTGCGGTGGCTCACGCCTGTAATCCCAGCACTTTGGGAGGCCGAGGTGGGCGAATCACAAGGTCAAGAGTTCAAGACCAGCCTGACCAACATGGTGAAACTCTGTCTGTACTAAAAATACAAAACTTAGCCAGGCGTGGTGGCATGCGTCTATAATCTCAGGAGGCTGAGGCAGGAGAATTGCTTGAACACAGGAGATGGAGGTTGCAATGAGCCAAGATTGTGCTACTGTACTCCAGCCTGGGCGATAAAGCGAGAGTCCATCTTAAAACAAAACAAAATAAAACAAAAAAAACACGGAGAAACCCTGTCTCTACTGAAAAAAAAAAAAAAAAAAAAAAAAAAATTGGCCGGGCGCAGTGGCGGGTGCCTGTGGTCCCAGCTACTTGGGAGGCTGAGGCAGGAGAATGGCATGAACCCAGGAGGCGGAGCTTGCAGTGAGCTGAGATCTTGCCACTGCACTCCAGCCTGGGTGACAGAGCGAGACTCGGTCTCAAAAAAAAAAAAAAAAAAAAAAAAGGTTGTCGGTGCTATTGCACTCCAGCCTGGGCAACAGAGTGAGACTCCATCTCCAAAAAAAAAAGGGGGGGCGGTTTCAAGTAACTACGTTTTTTTTTTCCCTTCCTCTTTTTTTCCTGAGATAGTCTTACAAAAAATAGTGACTATTTTTTTTTGAGACAGAGTCTCCCTCTCTTGCCCAGGATGGAATGCAATGGCGCAATCTCGGCTTAATGCAACCTCTGCCTCCCCAGTTCAAGCAATTCTCCCACCTCAGCCTCCCAAGTAGCTGGGATTACAGGCATGCACCACCATGCCTGGCTAATTTTTTGTATTTTTAGTAGAGAGACGAGGTTTCTCCATGGTGTTCAGGCTGGTCTGGAACTCCTGACCTCAGGTGATCCGCCCGCCTTTGCCTCCTAAAGTGCTGGGATTACAGGAGTAAGCCACCTCTCCCGGGCAGAACTCTTTTAGTGGGAATGTAAATTGATTCAATCATCTGGAGAACAGTGAAGCAATGTCCAGTCAGGCAGAAGCTGAAAATACGCTCAGGTCTTACAAATCTACTTCCTAGAAAAACTCTTACATGTTCCCCAAAAAATTATAAAAATGTCCAGTACATCCTTTTATCTAAAAGTTGGAATTAAATGCCATCAATAGGGAAATAAACTTTAAAAACTGACATGGAATACAATATAGTCTGTATTAAAGAACTAGCACAACATGCACTATCACAGATCTTTAAAAAATAATGCTGCCGGGCGCGGTGGCTCACACCTGTAATCTCAGCACTTTGGGAGGCCGAGGCGGGCGGATCATGAAGTCAGGAGATCGAGACCATCCAGGCTAACACGGTGAAACCCTGTCTCTACCAAAAATACAAAAAATTAGCTGGGCTTGGTGGCGGGCGCCTGTAGTCCCAGATACTCGGGAGGCTGAGGCAGGAGAATGGCATGACCCCGGGAGGCAGAGCTTGCAGTGAGCCGAGATCACACCACTGCACTCCAGCCTGGGCGACAAAGTGAGACTCCGTCTCAAAAAAAAAAAAAAAAAGAGAAAAAGTTTCCAAGAGACATACATTACAATCATTCATAAAAACTGTTTTTAAAAAAAACTTTAAAAAAAAAAGCAAAAAAGTATTTTATTTTTAAATTCAGGAGATATTAACAGTAAAAACAAAAATATGAAGGGGAAGGATATACACTAACTTCACATAGCAGATACTCCTAGAAAGAAAGAAAAAATGGAATAAGAAAAAAGTTATCCAGTGAGCTTTACCTCTATGTTTTACAGTATTTGGGTAGAGGCAGTTTAGCCCACAGTATGAGAAGATTACTATCTGTTAAATATGGACCACAGATATAAAGATGTTCACGTATTACTTTTAAAACTTCTAAGTATAAAGTATTTCTTAGTTTTAAAAAAATCTTCAAAAATGTAGGGAGCAAGCAGCAGATATGAGTATAACTCTTTCTACCATAACCACCAATATTTTGGACGCACAGACCTGGTTTCAAACCTCTGTTCCACCACCAAGTTACTGATACTGAGAAAGTTACTTAATTTCTTCACAGCTGCAACTGTTGGATCTGTGAAACAAGAATACTATCAATCCCATAAAGCTGCCATATATAAAAAATGTCAGATAGGCAGGGTGCAGTAGCTCATGCCTGTAATCCCAGGACTTTGGGAGGCTGAGGCAGGAGGACTGCTTGAGCCCAGGAGTCTGACACCAGCTTGGGCAATATAGTGAGAACCTCAACTCCACAAAAAATTTTAAAAAAGATAATTTAGCCAGGTGTGGTAGCTACTAGGAAGGCTGAGGCAGGAGGATCACTTGAGCCCAGGAGTTCAAGGTTACAGTGAGCTATAAGGTCTTGCTCTGCTGCCACTGCACTCCAGCCTGGGCAACAGAGCAAGACCTTGTGTCTTAAAATCAATCAATCAATCAATCAATCAGACAGTAGGCATTCAACTGTAGGCAGTTATTCTAAATTTGGAGTAAAAGCAAAGAACTAAAGGGAAGAGAAAGAAAAAAAGGGTTTTGCAGTGGTGTTTACAATTAATTGATCATAACCAGTTACAGACTTTTTTCCTTTTCCATTTCCACTGCTTCGTTTGACTAGCCTTAAAAAAATAAAAAAATTTTAAAAAAGCATGTTCAATGAAATAAAGTTCTCCCACCTTTTCAGATTTATGTAAGAGAATAAAATGGATGTCAGATGAATGAGACTGCCTATTTTCTGGCTCCCAAAGCCCACTGAAAAAGGGATTTGCAAAGGGATCCAAGATTATACACCACAGGATTAGAATCTAGATTCTTTGGTCTAGTTTCAGGAAACCCAGAGCCATGTCAAGAAATTCAAAATAATCCCATTATCTCTATATCATTTGAGAGTTTCCCAAATGAACTTTTTCATTCAGGAAGGCAACATTTTAACACAAACTTTGAACGATTTATAACTGTCTCCTAAAGAAAGATTAAATAAATCACATCTGGAGAACAGAGCCCACATATATTCCTTTGTATTAATATATCCCCTCTTATCCACAGGGGACACGTTCCAAGATCCCTAGTGGATGCTTGAAACCACAGATAGTACCGACCCTATACGTACATACATATCATAAAGTTTAATCTATAAATTAAACACAAGAGATTAACAATGGAGTAATTATAACAATATATTGTAATGAAAGTTACGTGAATGTGCTCTCTCAAAATACCTTATTGTACTATACTCACTTATTTTTGGACGATGGTTGACAATGGGTAACTGAAACTGCAGAAAATCAAACTGCAGATAAGGGTGGACTACTTGGCCACTAGCCCCATGGATTATTGGCACACAGGTGACAAAGAAACACTATTAGAAGTACCTTAACCCTCATCTTGAGCTTTTCTTGAGGCATATTTACATCCAATAATCACTAAACCATTGAACAATACCTTTATAATCCAAGAATAATAAGCACGACAGAATATGAAAACATAGCTAATTCTGACATCTAACAGCTATCCGTTTACTGAATGTTTAATTATGTCCCAAGGTTGTTCTAAGCACCGCAAGGACTCTCCTAATCTTCCCACATTTTTACAGATTAAAAAAATCGAGATACAGAGCCAGTACTTCAGGTTTTAAGAAGAAAAGCCAGGACTCAAAGCAAATCTAATTCTAAAGCCCACGCCCTTAATTACTAAGCTAACTTAACTAAATTATGCTTCAGGAGTTAAAAAATCTCTACCTCCTTGGCAAGTTCAAGTTCTCATACTAAGAGGAAAAAAAAAAAAAAAGACACAAATAATACTGCATTGTTATCCCCTTCTGTAAAGTTGTATTAGCAGTCAGCTTTTATACTATCATTTATGAAAAGGATATTCCCAAAAACCAACTACTTATTATGACTAAACTGGTATGCAAAAAGCCTGGGTTCACCATTAACCAGCTCTGTTTCTCTGAGAAACAATCAACCTCCTTGGGCCTCAATTTCCTGATTTTATAGATGAGAAGTTTGGCCTAGATCTGTTTCAGCTCTGAAATTCAATACATTTTGGCACATTTTCTAAGACACTATATTTTTCTTAAGAAAGATTTTGAAAAGCATCTTTTGAAAACTTTCAAACTTAAAATACATAATATATACTCACATCTATTCTTTTACTCAAACATACTCAAAACTAATCGGTTATTAGAAGTCAGGAAAGTAACTAGAAAGGCAGGCAGATTCCCATGGTACTGGGAAGGGTCTGTTTCTTGATTTGGATGCCAGTCACACTTTATTACGTACACATTTTACTTTAATATGAAAAAGGGTGGTTTTCCTCCCCAAAAGGTAACCATGAAGAAAGTTAAGATCATGATCTAACTCTAAAACTATGTTTGAGTATGTAAGAGCTGTGCAACCTTTCTGTTCTAAATATGCAAATGTGCTTCTTGAATAATTGTATCAATAATCTCTTTGTTCCATAGTTCCAATTCATGTGCCTAAAGAAAAGTTCATTTACTTAAGAATCTCGGCCAGGCGCGGTGGCTCACGCCTGCAATCCCAGCACTTCGGGAGGCCAAGGCTGGCAGATCACCTGAGTCCCGGAGTTCGAGACCAGCCTGACTGACCACCATGGAGAAACCCGGTCTCTACTAAAAATACAAAATTAGCTGAGCGTGGTGGTGCATGCCTGTAATCCCAGCTTCTCGGGAGACTGAGGCAGGAGAATCGCTTGAACCCGGGAGGCAGAGGTTGCAATGAGCTGAGATTGTGCCACTGCACTCCAGCCTGGGCAACAAGAGCAAAACTGTCTCAGAAAAAAAAAATTGCAATATTACCAGAATTCCTTTGGGACTGTCTCCTGAAATTTGAGGTCAGTCTTAACTTTCCTCTAGAACTCAGCTCAAGAAGGCTGGGTGAGGTGGCTCATGCCTATAATCCCAGCACTTTGGGAGGCTGAGGCAGGAGGACTGCTTGAAGCCAGGAGTTCAAGACCAACCTGGGCAACACAATGAGACCCCATCTCTACAAAAAATAAAAATTAGCCAGGTGTGGTGGCACACACCTGTAGTCCCAGCTACTCGGGAGGCTGAGGTGGAAGGCCTGCTAGAACCCAGGAGGTCAAGGCTGCAATGAGCTATGATTGTGCCCCTGGGCGACAGAGTGAGACCCCATCTCAAAAAAAAAAAAAAGGCACCTAGCTCAAGAACCTCCCTCATACAGTCATACAGGCCAGGCACGACGGCTCATGCCTGTAATCCCAGCACTTTGAGAAGCCAAGGCAGGCGGATCACCTGAGGTCTGAAGTTCGAGACCAGCCTGGCTAGAAACCCCATCTCTACTAAAAATAGGAAAATTAGCTGGGTATGGTGGCATGCGCCTGTAATCCCAGCTACTGGGTCAAGCAGGAGAACTGCCTGACCTGGGAAGCAGAAGCTGCAGTGAGCCAAGATCATGTCACCGCACTCCAGCCTGGGTGAGAGAGTGAGATTCCATCTCAAACAAAACAAAACAAAAAAACTCCAGGTGGGGTGGCTCACACATGTAAGCCCAGCACTTTGGGAGGCCAAGACAGCCAGATCACCTGAGGTCAGGAGTGTGAGACCAGCCTGGTCAACATGGTGAAATCCAGTCTCTACTAAAAATACAAAAAAAATTAGCCGGGTGTGGTGGCGCATGCCTGTAATTCCAGCCATTCTGGAGGCTGAGGCCTGAGAATCACTTGAAGCCAGGAGGCGGAGGCTGCAGTGAGCCGAGATAAAGCCACTGCACTCCAGGCTGGGTGACAGAGACTCTGACTCAAAACAAAACAAAAACAAAAAAGAACCTCCCTCATTCAAATACCCTCAGAATCCCATAGCATTTACACTTTGCCCCTCCCATTTTTATCTATCCTTTGTCCTGTATCTCCAACCAATTAAGCCTTTTGGGGCTGTGGTCAACATGTTCGGTAACTGTTAATAATGTATTCACTGGGAAATAAGAGTATATAGTCTTGGCTGGGCATTGTGGCTCACACTTGTAATCTTATCACTTTGGGAGACCAGCCTGGCCAACATCATAAAACCCTGTCTCTACTAACAATATAAAAAATTGGCTGGGCGGTGGGGCGCGCCTGTAATCCCAGCTACTTGGTAGGCTGAGGCAGGAGAACCGCTTGACCTGGGAGGTGGTGGCTGCAGTGAGCTTGGATCATGCTACTGGACTCCAGCCAGGGTGACACAGTGAGATTCCATCTGGGAAAAAAAAAAAAAAAAAGTCCAGGCATGCCAGGCATGGTGGCTCACCATTTAAGCCAAGCACTTTGGGAGGCCCAGGCAGGCAGATCATCTGAGGCCGCGAGTTTAAGACCAGCCTGGCCAATACAATGAAACCCTGTCTCTACTAAAACTACAAAAATTAGCTGGGTATTGTGGCCGGACAGGGTGGTTCACACCTGTAATCCCAGCACTTTGGGAGGCCAAGGCAGGCAGATCACGAGGTCAGGAGATCGAGACCATCCTGACTAACACGGTGAAACCCCGTCTCTACTAAAAAAAAAATACAAAAAATTAGCTGGGAGTGGTCGTGGACGCCTGTAGTCCCAGCTACTCAGGAGGCTGAGGCAGGAGAATGGCATGAACCTGAGAGGCGGAGCTTGCAGTGAGCTGAGATAGCGCCACTGCACTCCAGCCTAGGTGACAGAGCGAGACTCCGTCTCAAAAAAGAAAATTAGCTGGGCATGGTGGCGCATGCCTGTAATCCCGGGATCCCAGCCATTCCAGAGGCTGAGGTATTGGTTGAACCTGGGAGGCGGAGGTTGCAGTGAGCTGAGATCGCGCCACTGCACTCCAGCCTGGGTGACAAAGCGAGACTCCGTCTCAAAAAAAAAAATTAGCTGGGCGTGGTGGCGCATGCCTGTAATCCCGGGATCCCAGCCATTCCAGAGGCTGAGGTATTGGTTGAACCTGGGAGGCGGAGGTTGCAGTGAGCTGAGATGGAGCCACTGCACTCCAGGCTGGGTGATAGAGCCGAGACTCTGTCACAAAAACAAAACAAAACAACAACAAAAAGGAATCTCTCTCATGCAGATACCCTTTAGAATCCCATAGCATTTACTCTTTGCCCCCACCATTTTTATCTATCCTTTGTCTGCCCTGTATCTCTAACCAGTTAAGCCTTTTGGGGCTATAGTCAATATTTTCAATAACTGTCAATAATGTATTCACGGGAAATAAGAGTATATAGTCTTGGCTGGGCACGGTGGCTCACGCCTGTAATCCCAGCACTTTGGGAGGCCAAGGCAGTTGGATCACTTGAGGTCAGGGGTTCGAGACCAGCCTGGCCAACATGGTAAAACCCTGTCTCTACTAACAATACAAAATATTAGCTGGGCGTGGTGGGGTGCGCCTGTAATACCAGCTACTCAGGAGGCTGAGGCACGAGAGTCGCTTGAACCCGGGAGGCAGAGGCTGTGGTGAGTTGAGATCGTGCCACCATACTCCAGCCTGGACAACAGAGCAAGACTCTGTCTCCCAAAAAAAAAAAAAAAAAAACCCAGGTGCAGTGGCTCATGCCTGCAATCCCAGCACTTTGGGAGGCCGAGGCGGCAGATCACAAGGTCAGGAGCTCGAGACCAGCCTGGCCAATACGGTAAAAACCCGTCTCTACTAAAAATACAAAAACAAAAACAAAAAAAAACAAAAAAAAACATTAGCCATGCATGCTGGCACATGCCTGTAATCCCAGCTACTCAGGAGGCTGAGACAGGAGAATTGCTTGAACCCGGGAGGCGGAGGTTGCGGTGAGCCGAGATGGCGCATTGCACTCCAGCCTGGGCGACAGAGGGAGACTCCGTCTAAAAAAAAAAAAAAAAAAAAAGGTGTATAGTCTTTAAGAAGGGGTGACAGGCCAAGCATGGTGGCTCACGTCTGTAATCCCAGCACTTCAGGTGGCCAAGGCCGGAGGATCACTTCAGTCCAGGAGTTCGAGACCAGCCTGGGCAACATGGTGAAACCCCGTCTCTACAAAAAATTACATAAATTAGCTGGGCATGGTGGCAGACGCCTTTAGTCCCTGCTACTTGGAAGGCTGAGGTAGGAGGATCATCTAAGCCTGGGGAGTTCAAGGCTGCAGTGAACTGTGATCACGCCACTGCATTCTAGCTTTGGTGACAGTGAGACTCTGTTTCAAAAATAAATAAATAAAAAGGGAAGAAGCTAGGGAGCCCAGATGTGTCTAAACCTACGCCCAATGGACAGAGCTCAAAGTCTTTGTAACACTGTATACAAGGAATTCACCCCAAACATATTACCTGCACAGACTTTGATTTTTTTTAACCCAATCTATAGGCTTTCCTTGCTCAACCCATTCCAGAAACCATAAGAAATACTATTTAAATATTACATAAAACTGTAACTTACATAACTTTCAAACACACTTTTGAAAAAATAAAATAAAAATAAAAACTTTAAAAACCACTTTTTTACTATTTGGAGACAGTGTGTTGCTCTGTCACCCAGGCTGGAGTGCAGTGGCACAATCACCGCTCACTGCAGCCTCGACCTCCCAGACTCAAACGATTCTCCTGCCTCAGCCTCCCCAAGTGCTGCAATTACCGATGTGAGCCACCACGCCTGCCTCTAGTCTTAGAAACAACTGTTCAAATTCTCGTTACATTCATTTTTGGTAGAAAATTTTACCTTTTTATTAAAATCAAAAGCGAGAAATTTTAAAAGAAAAACACTAAAAACGGGAAACAAACTTAAAAGTTTTAAAAATAAAACATTCAAAGCCAGTATATATTTTTTGTCTTTACTGTCTGTGTCCATTTATTCTTTAGATAAATTATCTTACACATCTGATACAGTTAAGTCTCAAAGTATTCTTTTTTTTTTTTTTTTTTTGAGATGGAGTCTCGCTCTGTCGCCAGGCTGCAGTGCAGTGGTGCCATCTCGCTCACTGCAACCTCCACCTCCCCGGTTCAAGCAATTCTCCTGCCTCAGCCTCCCAAGTAGCTGGGACTACAGGCACTCACCACCATGCCCGGCTAATTTTTGTATTTTTAGTAGAGACGGGGTTTCATCATGTTGGCCAGGATGGTCTCGATCTCCTGACCTCGTGATCCACCTGCCTAGGCCTCCCAAAGTGCTGGGATTACAGGCGTGAGCCACCACGCCTGGCTGTGTTCTTCTTATATAGTTAATAAATAGCCAGGAATCATTTTCTTTTTTCATTTATGAGACAGGGTCTCGCTGATGCCCAGGCTAAAGTGCGGTCACATGATCACAATTCACTGCAGCCTTGACCTCATGGGCTCAAGCATCCTCCAGCCTCGGCCTCCCGAGTAGCTGCCACTATAGGCACATACCACCAGGCCTGGCTGATTTTTTTTAAATGTTAGTAGTAACAAACTCTCACTATGTTGCCCAGGCTGGTCTTGAACTCCTGGCCTCAATCGAGTCTCAGCCTCCTAAAATGCTAGATTACAGGCATAAGCCACCCCACCTGGCCATAAACACTCTTTTAAAGAGTTTTGTCAGGCCAGCCTGGCCAACATGGTGAAACCCCCGTCTCTACTAAAAATAAAAACATTAACCGGGCATGGTAGTAGGCGCCTGTAATCCAAGCTACTCGGGAGGCTGAGGCAGAATGGCTTGCAACCAGGAGGTGGAGGTTGCAGTGAGCTGAGATCGTGCCACTGCACTCCAGCCTGGGTGACTGAGCAAGACTCTGTATCAAAAAAAAAAGTTTTGTCTACATAGTTCTCAACATATGGCAGTCTGGGGACATTTTTAGTTGATGCATCCAGCAAGAAGAGATAGTGGGGACATGCGCTGGGGCTCTGCAGTGCTACCTGCATATACTGGTAGAGGTCAGGGATGTTGCTAAACATCCCACAATGCACAGGAGAGCCACTCAACAAAGAACTATCTGCCCAAAATGTCAGTAGTGCCAAGGTTAAAAAATCCATGGTCTACAGAAATCAAAAGACTTACTTTTAGAGATTTACAACTACTTCTATTACAGAATAATCTAGATCAAGCTAGATCAAGTACATTAAAATTTTAAAGGAAAATAGACACAAAAATCTATTTAAATGATGAGGGAAAACTTAATGTACTATATAGTAATTTTCACGAAACCAATTTGTTTATGCCATAGATTTAAACACGCCCTATGAGACTAGAAAATGTTGGCCAGGTGCAGTAGCTCACTCCTGTAATCCCAGCAATTTGGGAAGTCGAGGCGGGTGGATCACCTGAGGTCGGGAGTTCAAGACCAGCCTGACCAACATGGAGAAACCTCGCCTCTACTTAAAATACAAAATTAGCCAGCCATGGTGGTGCATGCCTATAATCCCAGCTACTCAGGAGGCCGAGGCAGGAGAATTGCTTGAATCCAGGAGGCGGAGGTTGGGGTGAGCCAAGATCGCGCCATTGCACTCCAGCCTGGGCAACAAAAGCAAAACTCCGTCTCAAAAAAAAAAAAAAAAAAAAAAAAAAAAAAAAAAAAAAAAGAAAAGAAAAGAAAAGAAAAGAAAATGTTACCAAAGTGCAATTACAACATGAAAAACCAACAGGTGCCATATAGCATAAGACCAACAAGAGAGTGCACTGATTTAAGGGTGTTTTATTTCATTAAGTTTCAAATTTTAAAATATTTGGTATATTGAAATTCAAGTAAATCTGGCTGGGTGTGGTGGCTCATGCCTGTAACCCCAGCACTTTGGGAGGTTGAGGCAGGCGGATCACTTGAAGTTAGGAGTTCAAGACCAGCCTGGCCAACATGGTGAAACGTCGTCTCTACTAAAAATACAAAAATTAGCTGGGCGTGGTGGCGGGCACCTGTAATCCCAGCTACTCAGGAGGCTAAGGCGGCAGAATCTCTAGAACCTGGGAGGCAGAGGTTGTGGTGAGCTGAGATCGCACCACTGCACTCCAGTCTGGGCGAGACAGCGAGATTCCTTCTTAAAAGAAAAAAAAAAAAACATGAAAGAAAGAAATTCAAGTACATCTTAAAGTTAATTATAGGTAACACTTATTTCAATGAGTTTAAACTAGCAAATTAAACTGTGTTTAAATCCTTTAACCAGTAATACAAACCAGGCTCGATTTTTTAAATTAATTAAAAGCATGCCTATCCTTAGCAAGTCATGACAGCGTGGGACAATATGAACACAAGCAGACCTAGATCCAAATCCCAGGCTCTGTGATTGCAGACAAATAATTTAACTTCTCTAAATCTCTATTTTCTCATCTAGGAAATAGGACATCTAAAGAACTGTGCTTAAGAATTAGCAATAACGTAAAAACAAATGATACTAAGAACAACTAGCCATTCTACAAATGGCAGCTAGTTATTAACAGCAGCAATAACTAATAGTAAATAATAAAACTTATGAATAAAACATTGATTATGGGTTTATATCCTCACAATTAATAATTTACTTATGTAATCCTACTCATAAAATAACTAATTATAAAATGTACTTTACATCAATATTCCATGCCTAACAACTTTGGAATATTATTTAAAACTACTTAAAATTCACACTCATATTTAAAAACAAACATCTAAAACAAAGAAAATAAATATTAATTAATAAAAAGAAACATCTGACAAATTTCCAAACACTGTCTTAAGGGAAAGAGGCCAAATGATGCCTTTAAGTAAATCACATTTGTATGACACAAAATTCAAAAAATATCTATACCCCAGACACCCAACTCTCTACACAGAAAGCAATCAATTTTACCAATTTCTCATGAAACCTTTTACCCATACAGGCAAATACACACATGCCCTTCTTTTTGACACAAATGGCCTCTTCCACACTATTCTGCACCTTGCTTTTTCACATTTATCTTGTTGGCTGTATTTTAACACACTCTAAGAACGGCCACTTATAATCTCTCATAACCAGAATCCAGTAAGCGTCAGCTATCTTTACAAAGGCTCTTATAAGGCCACCCCAAAAAGTCCTTAAATCAACCAGTGTTCTTAGTAAACACAAGCATACAAACACATGAAATAAACTTCGGTAAAGTGCTGATTTACCAAAAAAGTGACATGATGAAACATTTATTTGATCAGCCATTCAAAAGACTGTATTTACACCCTTAAAAAGGAAACACATGGACTATACTACAAGTCTTCAATGAGTTGAAAATAACAATACACTTATAGAACTGGGGCTACTAAAATATCAAAAAATACTGGTGAAAATAAGCTATTTATTGGTTATATTTATTCCAAGATTAAATGATGTGACCCTTTCCTAAATGTTCTTTCCAACTTATTTTCCCAGAAGTTTCCTTCCATATTTATACAGGTACTGTTCTAAACAAAACAAAACAAAACAAACAAACAACAAAAACAACAAAAAACCTGTCTGTTTGCATTTCCTGTTTTCTTCTTCTGAAACACTTTTGATGCTTATCTGAAGTAAGGCTTCAACATCCCTTACGTATAAAGAGCAGTGTTTTTTTAATATGCATTACTAGAGAGCAATACAAGTATTTCTGGTAATCTTCAACTTAGTACTAAGAATACCACGGTGAAAAGTCAGCTCATAAAAAGCAAAGAGACCACATTAATTACCAGAGCAGTAACTTACTGTTTCTGTTACCGTAAGTAACAGAAAATAAAGCATTAAAAGTCTATTAAGTTTCAGGCTTGTACAACCTTATTAAACAAGAAATGTTTTCAGTTGTTGGCAACAACAACTGCTTTCATTAGGAGTATATATGTCAACTAACCTGGAATACATTTTCATATTAAATAAGTTAAAATTGCTGTTTCATTGTATCAGTACAGACACTTATGACTCTATTTCTGCATTGTACCACAAAATACAAAGTCATCCTTCCATTCAGAGTTTTGGCATATGAACAAACATAGAGGTCAGAGTTCATACACATGCTCTGTAAAACCGACCATGACTTATATACTACTTTCAATAAGTCTGTTGTCATTTTTGAATTTTAAATAATTTTTTCTCCATGTATACTCATCACATACTTAGAATGCTGAATTTCACAAATTATTATTGACACTATTAAAGTACTAACTGTAAAAGAAAAACACAAATAGCAATGATATATTCAATAATGGTATGTGAATCTTGAAAATAATCATTTTCTGTATTACTTTTTGTTTAATTCATGTGGGGAAGACAATCTGGCATTCTTGTTGATCTTGGTATGAGAAACTGTACTAATACTTGCATAATTTTGAGTCAAATTACTAGAGCACTGTGAATATCTTACATAAATAAACGTAGTACAAATGTATCTAAATTCTGCAGGACTTAAGAGCAACGGGAGGCAACTTTTTTGAAAATCTGTTAAGTCGTGATAAATCTCAATAAGGAGATGAAACAATGTATTAATCTGGTGAAATTTCACATTTTTAATAGGTCTGCTTTTCAAAAGTAAGAATCAAGTTAACTATGAGGGACATCATAATGAAGTTTCGTGGCACAACACGAGTCACAGAGGCACTGTCTTAAGACAGTCTCTCTGATCTGTAACTTGTAAACAATATTTTGAAATAAGCTACTCATACATTCCATTATTTGTTTCCTAACTAAAAATATTTACATGTCTTTAATACACCAAACACCTTGCCTTTGCCCACTCAAAAGATTGAGATGTCAATAAAGATGAGGCCTAGGAATTTGGGGGTTAAGTGGAAAAGAGATAATTATCTTATTTGGAATTAACTTGCTAACTCAGGTGAAAATTCCCTTACCCCTGCCACCAAATAAGACAGTATTCTATTATGTCTCCCTTTGACTCCTAACACCCAACTAAGAAGGACTAACTCTGAATGTCCTTCCTTTTTAATCAATACCTAAGGACTCACTGCTCCTTCCCCAAGAAAAGAACAGTGAAGGCCTGACAGGCAATAACCCCGAATACCCTCAAAAGTGTGGGCCTTCGAGCAGCACTGCTCTTGGGATCCAGTTACCACCTTTCCCCTTCCCCCAACCCACTTCCCGGGTTTTCTCAGGCTCGGCCTGCTCCCTCCCCACCCCACAGCCACATTTCCAGCTGCGGCCACCGCCTCGGGTTCTCTTGTGAGCTTCCATCCCTCCGAGGAGTTGCCCCCTGTCCATCACCTCCCCAAACCATGTTCCACCCCAGACCACCCGCCCGCGAGACCGTCCATCCTAGCGCTCTGGGAGGGGAGGGGAAGGCGGCGGAAGGAGGAGGGGAACACTGCTGCTTCCTCACAGGCAGAAGGGCGGCCGCAAGGAGGACCACCCAGGGACTACCGGGGATATCGGGGTCGCAGCTGGGAGGACCCTCCCGCCCCAGGCAGAGGTGGGGGATATCCGGGAGTTCATTTCTGACCTCCTCGCTCTTCAGCACCTCCTTGAACTCCCGCTTGATTCGCTGCACCGCGATGTTGGCCATGTCTCCGCCCGCAGCTGATTCGTACCCGCCTCCTCCGCCACCGCTACGACCACCGCCACCGCCGCCACCTCTTCCTCCACCGCCTCCTCCCTCGGCGATTCAGACCTGAGCACACGAACACTGCCACTACCACCCCGGCCGCCGCGCTCGCCTCAGTGTGGAATCACCTCCGCGCCCGGCCACCAAAATGGCGCCGGGTCGGCGCATGCGCACGACGTTGACCCGGCCGGGCGGCGCAGCCGCTCCCGTTGGAGCCCCCATACGCCCGAGCCACGAGCTCGCGTCTCGGCTGGGGCTGCGGCCGCGTGGCTCCGCCCTGCCGGCGTCTGGGGCCGCGAGGGTGCGGCTTCCAAGCTGGCCGGCCCTAGCCGGCCCCCCCGGCCCTTCCCGGCGCCTCCGCTCCTGTTTAAACCCGGGTGCTGTGGTCTGGGCTTCCAGCGCTGGCCTCTGACCGAAGGTTCGGGCGCAACCGAACGGGTTTCCGACGCCGCACTCGGCTGGAACGCCGCCCTGACTCAGCTAGACCCGGAACCCGGAGGCTGAACGCCGTGTCTAGCGCAGGAAAACGCTCTCCCGGATCTCGGTCCGGCCCATTTTCAGTTGGTGTAGCCCCAGAAAATCTACTGCAGTCGTTTTTGTTCTGCAACATTTATAGTACCACGATTATTCCCATCATCTCAGGTAGCACAGATTATTGAATTAAGGCTGGTTATTGTTGGATCAGATTGGGTTTGAGACAGGTACTCGGTGGAGAGGCCTGAGGGTGGGTTTAGAAGCCAGATGTTGCTCTTTGACCTATTTAATACCGAGCTTGACACACACACACAATCTCTCTCTCTCTCTCTCTCTCTCTCTCACACACACACACACACACACACACACACACTCCTATGCCCATCCCTAGAGTGTAGGGTGGGCCTAAGACTGCGCTTCTAACAAGTCTCCCAGTTGCTGCTGCTGTTGGTGCTGGTTCCGGGACCACATTATGAGAACCACTGAACTGAATGAAGCATGTGAAAATTCACATATATTAAAGTGAAAATTGGAGAAATGGAAACAATTACAGTACCCTTCAGGGGACTCGGGGTGGGGGAGGGGGAGCCTTATTTCTGTAAACCTAGGCCTCAAAGGTGCCTGGTGATAGTAGGCACTCAATAAATATTGAATGAGTAAATGAGTACAGATAAGACTAAAACGTTTTTGCTGGCGCGGCGGATCGCTTGAGGTCAGGAGTCCGAGACCAGTCTGGCCAACATGGTGAAACCCCATCTCTACTAAAAATACAAAAATCAGCCAGGTGTGGTGGCAGGCACCTGTAATCCCAGCTATTCTGGAGGCTGAGGCAGGAACATCGCTTGAACCTGGGGGTCGGAGGTTGCAGTGAGCGAGATCGCGCCACTGCACTCCAGCCTGGGCCACAGTGCAAGATTCTGTCTCAAACAAAACAAAACAAAACAAAAAGTATAAAATATTTTAAGTGGAAAGTAAGTTTGAAAGTGGTTTCTGGGCCAGGTGCGGTGGCTCACGCCTGTAATCCCAGCACTTTGGGAGGCGGAGGCGGGCGGATCACGAGGTCAGGAGATCAAGACCATCCTGGCTAACACGGTGAAACCCCGTCTCTACTAAAAAAATATAAAAAAAATAGCTGGGCGTGGTGGCGGGCGCCTGTAGTCCCAGCTACTCGGGAGGCTGAGGCAGGAGAATGGCGTGAACCCGGGAGGCGGAGCTTGCAGCGAGCGAGATTGCGCCACTGCACTCCAGTCTGGGCAACGGAGCGAGACTCCGTCTCAAAAAAAAACAAAAAACAAACAAACAAAAGAAAGTGGTTTCTGGTCGGGCGCGGTGGCTCACGCCTGTAATCCCAGCACTTTGGAAGGCCGAGGGGGAGCAGATCACTTGAGCCCAGGAGTTTGAGACCAACCTGGGCCCTATGGTGAAATCCTGTCTCTAAAGATAATAATTTTTAAAAAAGAAAGTGGTTTCTAAGGTGCATAGTAATAATGGTTTGGTACTGAGAAGCATTTTGAATAGAACATTTTGGAATAAGTAATAAGGGTGTCATTTCAGAAGTTTATACTTCATGCACTTTCTTCACCTAGCCAATCAGTAAAATATCTATTATAAAAATATCACAAATACATGGTTTTACCAAAAGTAATTAAAATTGTGGTGGCAAACATGGAAATAGCCAATGGAGGCGAATCAGTGGGGGCACAAGGCAAAAGAGAATTTCTTAAACTCCCGCCCCAGGAACCAAGAGGAGATTTTAAAATTCCAGTTCTCTCCCATGGCAGTTCTCTTGCCAGCTTTTATTTCCTCATCTACGAAACGAGAAAACTGGATTAGATTATCTCTCTCAAGTTTTAAGAGTTCAGAATTCGAAAATATCATCTCAAAACATTTCCCCTAAGTGGGCTGACATAAATTATATAAACCCTTCTAGCAGAGCCCCCTAGTGGTCCTAAGAGGACTCAACCATATACGTAGGTCATGGTACAAGGAATTATTGGTGTAATGTAAATCACGCAATGCTATATGTATTTGTGCCAGTAGACTTAAAAAAATTATTTTGAAGAGTGCAAAAACTTTTTGAGCACTTTACATTATCACTGTCCAATCCTAATCTTGGAATGTGAAGAAACTTGGAATACTCAAAGGGGGACCAGTTAGAAGGGTCCAGGCCGGGCGCCCTGATTTATGTCTGTAATCCCAGCACTTTGGGAGGCCGAGGCGGGCGGATCGCTTGAGCTCAGGAATTCGAGACCAGCCTGGGCAACATGGTGAGACCCCCGACTCTACTAAAATACAAAAACTTAGCTGGGTGTGGTGGCGTGCGCTGTAGTCCCAACTACTTGGGAGGTTGAGGCAGGAGAATCGCTTGAACCCAGGAGGCGGAGGTTGCAGTGAGCGGAGATCACACCACTGCACTCCAGCCTGGGTGACAGAGGGTGACTCTGTCTCAAGAGAAAAACCACAAAAAGACAATTCCCCCTCTCCAAAAAAAGGTCTGGTAATTTCTTTCTTTTTTTTTTTTTTTTTTTTTTTTGTCTTTTTTCCCCCCTTTCTGTGGAGAACGGGGTCTCGCTATACTGCCCAGGCAGGTCTCAAACTCCTGGGCTCAAGGTATCCTCGCGCCTCTGCCTCCCTGAGAGCTGGGATTAAAGGTGTGAGCCACTGCACCGGACAAGGGTCTGGTAATTTCTTCAAGGGAGAGGGTTTGGTAATCTTTAAATGCACATAATCACTGCTCCTGCAATTTCACTTCTAGGAATTCATTCTGTAGTCCTTCTAATGAGACAACTGCATATTAACTGATATGAAACAATCTCCAGGATATATTTTAAGTGAATAAGAAGCGCCATGCGAGGCCAGTCACGGTGGCTCACACCTGTAATCCCAGCACTTTGGGAAGCTGAGGTGGGCCGATCACTTGAGGTCAGGAGTTGGAGACCAGCCTGGCCAACATGGTGAAACCCTGTCTCTATTAAAAATACAAAACATTAACTGGGCATAGTGGCGGGCACCTGTAATCTCAGCTACTCGGGAGACTGAGGCAGGAGAATTGCTCAAACCCAGGAGGCGAAGTTTGCAGTGACCCAAGATTGCACCACTGCACTCCAGCCTGGGCAACAGAGCCAGACTCTGTCTCAAAAAAAAAAAAAAAAAAAAAAAGAAGCACCACGCTAAATGCAATGTGGTATCCTGAATTGGATCCTAGAACCAAAAGGGCATACCTAGTGAAATATAAATAAATTCTGTAATTTAGTTAATGGTATTATAACAATGCTAATTTCTCAGTTTTGACATAGCCATATGGTAATGTATGATGTTAACATTAGTGGAAGTTGAGTAAAGAGTATACAAGAATCTCTGTACAGGGCCGGGTGCGATTGCTCAAACCTGTAATCCCAGCACTTTGGGAGGCCAAGGCAGGCAGCTCACCTGAGGTCAGGAGTTCGAGACCAGCCTGACCAACATGGAGAACCCCGTCTCTACCAAAAATACAAAATTAGCCAGGCATGGTGGTGCATGCCTGTAATCCCGCCTACTCAGGAGGCTGAGGCAGAAGAATAGCTTGAACCCAGGAGGCGAAGGTTGCAGTGAGCCAAGATCACACCATTGCACTCCAGCCTGGGCAACAAGAGCGAAACTCCGTCTCAAAAAAAAAAAAAAAAAAAAGAATCTCTGTACTATCTTTTCAACTTTCTTGTAATCTAAAATTATTCCAAGGCCAATTGTGATGGCTCATGCTTGTGATCTCAGCAACTTGGGTGGTGGAGGTGGGAGGATCACCTGAGGCCAGGAATTCTAGACCAGCCTTGGCATCACAGAAAGACCCCATCTCTAGCCAAGTGCGGTGGCTCATGCCTGTAATCCCAGCACTTTGGGACGCCAAGGTGGGCAGATTACGGGGTCAGGAGTTTGAGACCAGCCTGGCCAGCATGGTGAAACCACGTCTCCACTAAAAATACAAAAAATTAGCCAGGTGTGGTGGTGCACGCCTGTAATCCCAGCTACTCGGGAGGCTGAGGCAGGAGAATCACTTGAACTCAGGAGGCAGAGTCTGCAGTGAGCCGAGATCGTGCCACTGCACTCCAGCCTGGGCAATAGAGACTCAGTCTCAAAAAAAAAAAAAGACCCCCATCTCTCTCTTTTTTTTTTTTTTTTTTGAGACGGCATCTCGCTCTGTCGCCCAGGCTGGAGTGCAATGGCGTGATCACGGCTCACTGCAACCTCTGCCTCCCGGGTTCAGGAGATTCTCCCACCTCAGCCTCCCGAGTAGCTGGGACTACAGGTGCCCGCCACCACGCCCAGCTAATTTTTTAAAATATATTTTTAATAGAGACGAGGTTTCACCATGTTGGCCAGGATGGTCTTGGTCTCTTGACCTTGTGATCCGCATGCCTTGGCCTCCCAAAGTGCTAGGATTACAGGCGTGAGCCACCACACCCAGCCAAAAAGACCCCCATCTCTACAAAAAAAGTAAAAAACTAGCCAGGGGTGGTGGCATGTGCCTGTAGTCTTAGCTGCTTGGGAGGCTGAAGTGGGAGGCAGGTTTGAGCCCAGGAGTTTCAGGCTGCAGTGAGCTATAGTTGCACCACTGCATTCTAACCTGGTGTCAAAGTGAGATCCTGCCTCTAAAAAAGATAAATAAAATAAAATTATAAAATAAAATTATTCCAAAAGAAAAAGTTTACTTATTAAAGGGTATGTCACAGCCCATATGTATATAGTATGCCACCATATTTGTAAGGAGAGAAAGGAATATGCCTGTATATGTAATGTTTGTGAACCATAAAATATCACTGGAAAAATGTGGAAGAAACTGATAACAGTGGTTACCTCTCAGGAAGGAACTTAAGTACTTTGGGGGAAGCAAAGTGGGAGAATTTTCACCATGTCTCCTGTTGTATTTTTTATCCATCCAAAAACAAATTTTTAAAAATGTGTTTCCAATAATGGAGAACATAGCTCTTCCGTAATATGATCTAATTCTGATTAACTTCGTTAACTAAATAATTAAATAAGTATTTATTGAATGCCTACTATGGGCTAGGCCCTGGAGGCATATCAGTGAACAAGAGATTAAAATCCCTGCAATCGTGAAATTTACATTTTAGCAGGGATGAAGAAAATTAACCTCAAACTATAGTCTACAGACACCTGGGCAATCCCTGAGATGTTTTCAGGCAGTCAATCTACCATCCTTAAAGTATGGCTTTTTTTTTTTTTTTTTTTTGAGATGGAGCCTTGCTGTATCGCCCAGGCTAGAGTGCAGTGGCGTGATCTCTGCTCACCGCAACCTTTGCCTTCAGGGTTCAAGAGATTCTCCTGCCTCAGCCTCCCGAGTAGCTGGGATTAAAGGCACGTGCCACAATGCCCTGCTAATTTTTTATATTTTTAGTAGAGACAGGGTTTCGCCGTGTTAGCCAGGATGGTCTCGATCTCCTGACCTCATGATCTGCCTGCCTCGGCCTCCCAAAGTGTTGGGATTACAGGCATG
Organism: Homo sapiens; assembly: GCF_000001405.40. Classification (NCBI taxonomy): domain Eukaryota; kingdom Metazoa; phylum Chordata; class Mammalia; order Primates; family Hominidae; genus Homo; species Homo sapiens. The sequence goes on along the minus strand of NC_000004.12, from coordinate 39,692,323 downwards.
AGCCACCGAGCCCAGCCCATGCTTGAACTATTATTATGATACTAAGATATTATCTGCCTTTTTTCCACTTTGACATTTGCACCAATACTGTAAAGCAATAGTACTGTACAATTACTGTACTAGTAACAATTAATGTAACACATTCACTGTTTAAAAAACTGCCAGTTTCACTTTGGAATGTCTTGATGGAACAGTAGGAATTATTAATTTTATTAAACCTAGTGGAGACTAAAGCAGCTCCATCTTGGATACTAATCTGCCACATTAACTTCCAATTGACCCCAGTTCCAGAAATGCCTCTAAGATTTATATTTTATCCTTTTTAAAAATTTTTTTCAATTTTGAAACAGAGTCTCACTCTGTCACCCAGGCTGGAGTACAGTGGTGCAATCATAGCTTATTGCAGACTCAAGCTCTTGGGCTCAAGCAATCCTCCCACCTTCGCCTCCCAAAGCACTGGGAATACAGGTAAAAGACATCACACTGGGCCTCTAATCCAGTGTTAGTTAATTTTTTTTTTTCCTTTTTAGAGACAGGGTCTTACTCTGTCATCCAGGCTGGAGCACAGTGGCATGATCATAGCTCACTGTAGCCTCAACCTCCTGGGCTCAAGTGATCTTCCTTCCTCAGCCTCCCAAGTTGCTAGGGCAACAGGTGCACACCACTATGTCTGGCTATTTTTAAAAATTTCTTGTAGAGTCAGGGTCTGATTATGTTGCCCAGGCTGGTCTTGAATTCCTGGGCTCAAGAGATCCTCCTGCCTCAGCCTCCCGAAGTGCTGAGATTACAGGTGCCCTGCCACTTTAATTTTTTTTTTTTTTTTGAGACAGAGTCTCCCTCTGTCACCCAGGCTGGAGTGCAGTGGCATGATCTCGGCTCACTGCAACCTCCACCTCCCGGGTTCAAGTGATTCTCCTGCCTCAGCCTCCCAAGTAGCTGGGACTACAGGTGCACGCCACCACGCCCGGCTAATTTTTCTATTTTTAGTAGAGACGGGGTTTCCCCATGTTGGCCAGGCTGGTCTCAAACTCCTGACCTCAGGTGATCCACCCGCCTCGGCTTCCCAAAGTGCTGGGATTACAGGTGTGAGCCACTGCGCCCAGCCCCATCCCAAGCTTTTAATACAGAAAGTTATTGTAACCTTTTCTTCCCAGACAAAGCTTTATATTGAAGAAAAGCAGCTGTAATTATCAACATTTATGGAAGTTCAAGTCACTATGTTAGATGCTAGGAATGCAAAGAGAAATGAAATACATACTCTGCTCATAAAATTAATAACTTATTAGGGGCTGGGCACAGTGGCTCACACCTCTAATCCCAGCATTTTGAGAGGTCAAGGTGGGAGAATCACTTGAGGCTAGGAGTTTGAGACCAGCTAGGGCAATATACTGAGACCTCATCTCTACAGAAAATTTAAAGATTAGCCGGGTGTGGTGGTGTACACCTGTAGTCCTAGCTACTCCGGAGGTTGAAGTGGGAGAATCACTTCAGTCCAGGAGTTCAAAGCTGCAGTGAGCCATGATCACAGTACTGCACTCCAGCCCGGGCAATAGAGTGAGACTCTGTCAAAAAAAAAAAAAAAGCAACAAAAATGAATTTATTGCAGGAGGCTGGGCCCAGTGGCTCATGACTGTAATCTCAGCACTATGGGAGGCCAAGGCACAAGGATTGCTTGAGTCCAGGAGTTCAAGAGCAGCCTGGGCAACATAAGTGAGCCCCCATGCCAGGCATGATGATGTGTGCCTGTAGTCCCTGCTACTCAGGAGGCTGAGGCAGGAGAATGGCTTGAGCCCAAGGAGTTTGAAGCTGCTGTGAGCTATGATTGCACCACTGCACTCCAGCCTGGGTAACAGAGTGAGATCCTGTCCCCCATTCCCCCTCCACCAAAAAAAAAGAAAAAAACTAGTTTATTGGAGAAGATAGAAAATTTCATTGTAAGACAAATACAGGATAGCATATGCCAATTTTTAAATAAGTGGCAGAGAAATTGTGTGTCTTGGGAGTTCAGAGGTTGTGATTTAATAATGGGCTTTGTATATATATACACACACGCGTGTGTATATTATATATACATATGTGTGTATATATATTATATATACATATACATGTGTGTATATATTATACATACGTGTGTGTGTATATTATATATACGTGTGTGTATATTATATATACGTGTGTGTGTATATTATATATACGTGTGTGTATATATTATATATACGTGTGTGTATATATTATATATACTTGTGTGTGTATATATTATATATACATATGTGTGTATATATTATCTATACATATGTGTGTATATATTATCTATACATATATGTGTGTGTATATATTATCTATACATATATGTGTGTGTATATATTATATATACATATGTGTGTGTATATATTATATATACATATGTGTATATATATATTTATATATATATATATATATATATATATTTTTTTTTTGAGACAGAGTCTTGCTCTGTCGCCCAGGCTGGAGTGCAGTGGCACAATCTTGGCTCACTGCAGCCTCTGCCTCCCGGGTTCCAGCGATTCTCGTGCCTCAGACTCCTGAGTAGCTGGGATTACTGGTGCACACCACCACACCTGGCTAATTTTTGTATATTTAGTAGAGACGGGGTTTCACCATGTTGGCCAGGCTGGTCTCGAACTCCTGACCTCAGGTGATCCACTCACCTTGACCTCCCAAGGTGCTGGGATTACAGGCGTGAGCCAGCACACCTGGCCGATTTTGTATATTAAGATACCAATCAGCTGAGCACAGTGGCTCATGCCTGTAATCCTAGCACTTTGGGAGGCTGAGCAGGAGGATCGCTTGAGGCTAGTTCAAGACCAGGCTAGGCAATATATAGCAAGACCCTGATTCTATCAAGAAAAAAAAAGAGAGAGAGAGAGAGAGAGCCAGGTGTGGAGGCGTGTGCCTGTAGTCTCAGTTACTTCGGAGTGAGGTGGGAGGATCACTTGAGCTGAGGAGGTCTAGGCCACAGTGAGCCAGGATCGCACCTATCTCAAAAAAAAAAAAAAAGATACCAATCAGTATGTACACAAATGTTCATAGCAACATTATTTATAATAGCCAAAGAGTGGAAGCATCCCAAATGTCTAGCAATGATGAATACATGGTATATCCATATGATGGAACATTATTCAGCAATTAAAAGAAATGAAGTACTAATACATGCTGTAATATGGATGAACCTTGAAAACATTATCCTAAGTAAAAGAAGCCATCACAAAGGGCCACATATTGTATTATTCCATTTATATAAAGTATCCAGAATAGGGAAATTCATACAAACAGGTTAGTGGTTGCCTAGGCTAAGGGTAGGAATGGAAAGTGATATGACTGCTAATGGGTACAGGGTTTCTTTTTGGGGTACTAAAAATGTTTTAAAATTGATTATGGGGGCAGTTGCAGAACTCTGTAAATATACTACAAACCATGGAATTGTACGCTTTTTTTTTTTTTTTTTTTTGATACGGAGTCTTGCTCTATTGCCCAGGCTGGAGTTCAGTGGCATGATCTTGGCTCACTGCAACTTCTGCCTCCTGGGTTCAAGCAATTTTCCTGCCTCGGCCTCCCGAGTAGCTGGGATTACAGGTGCGTGCCACCATGCCCAGCTAATTTTTATATTTTTAGTAGAGACAGTGTTTTCCTGCTTTGACCAGGCTGGTCTCAAACCCCTGACCTCAGATGATCTGCCCACCTCGGCCTCCGAAAGTGCTGGGATTACAAGCGTGAGCCACTGCACCCGGCTAGAATTGTACACTTTAAATAGGTGGCTTGTATGGTACGTAAATTGTATCTCAATGAAGGTGTTATTAAAAATTAAAATAAACAGTCTCACCCAGCCCCATTACTCCTTTAAAAAAATGTGAATTTTATTGTATGTGAACTACATCTCAATAAAGTAGTTGACAGAGAGAGACAGAGAGAAAATAAAAAAAATACCAACCAGTAATCCATAAACAACTATTGTCTGGACCAAATGAGCTGTTTTCCTTAGCTTTATAGAATCCCCAAAGTTTTTGATTAATGTAGTTATGTACTGAAACTCTGCTTAGGAGGATTAATACTGGCAGCTCTCAGTAGGCTAGACTGAAATGGAGAAGAATTGGAGGAAGAAAGCCTGCCTGGTATCTGTTAAAATATTCTAGAACAGCACCAGCATCAACTAGGAAATTGTTAGAAATGTAAATTATTGGTTCCCACTCCCGAACTACTGAATTAGTTCTGGGATCCGGTAATCTGCATTTTTATTCTCCAGGTGATTCTGATGCAGAGAAACATTTAGGAAGCACTGCTCTAGGAGACAAGTTATGAGTACCTGAAAGAGGGTGGCAATAAAGTAAATAGAGAAAAGCTTATGATGTGTAGGCAGATTATTTCCAGTATGTCTTGCCAACTATTTGGATTTAAAGGGCAAGGGTAAGGAAGGAAGCAAAGAAAATGCACAAGTTTTCTTTGATACCATTAACAGAAATACGGAAGATAAGAAGAGGTGCAGGTGTAAGAGGAAAGACAAGGAATTCAAATTTGTATACATTTTGAGTTGATACATGAAGCAAACCCTGTTAATTGCCTACCCAAATCCATTTCCACCACCTGCCCATCCCCCTTCTTCGCAGAGTCTCAGTTTGTTCATGTGTTCATTCTCCATGTGACACCCCTCCCAAGATCCAAAGGTGAATGTTGATTGGCCAAAGAATCATAGGTGTCTTAAGTATTTTTGTGGGTAATTAAATTAGGCATGAGCATACGCCATAATTCTGGCCAGGGAGCCATGAAAAGAAATCTGATGGGGGACCCATATAAGAGAAGAAGTCTTCCAGAGCACAAAACAAGTTATTTTCTTTTCCCTGCCTCTGGATATCAAGCTGAAACTGCAACAGCCATCTCATGACCATGAGAATACTATTTAACAATGTTGAAGTTCTATACAGTTCAAAATTCCAAGAAAAAAGTAACATTTGTTGAGTGTTCATTTAATGTCAAACATGTGTCCAAGAGCTGTACATATGTAATTAAGTTACAAAATGTAAATTAACTCATTTACTGGCCATGAGGAAACTGAAACTAAGCAAGTTAAGTAACTTACCCAACCCCAAGTTAAACACTAGGGACTGAAAGAGACAGAATTCTCACAGATCTTTTGACTACAGAGCTTACACCCTTAACTTCAGTGCTCCAAATTACAATGATCAGGAAAAGGGACAAAATTACCTTCTTTTTTTTTTTTTCTTTGCTTTTCTTTTTTTGGCAGGGTCTTGTTTTTTCACCCAGGCTGGAGTGCAGTGGTGCAATGACAGCTCACTCCAGTCTCGACCTTCCAGGCTCAAGTGTTCCTCCTGCCTCGGCCTCCTAAGTACCTGTGACTACAGGTGTGAGCCACCACACCTGGCTAATTTGGAGTTGTTTTCTTATTGCTCAGTTTTAAAAGTTGGTTGTGTATTTTACATACAAGATACCAGATATATACGATATATCAATATATCTGTTATATCAGATGTATGTTTTGCAAATTTTTCTTCCAGTTTATGACTTTTCATTCCCTTACTAGTGTCTTATACAGGGCAAAATATTTTACAATTCATCTATTGTTTCTTTTATAGATTGTGCTTTTTATGTTGTATCTAAAATTTTGCCAGGCATGGTGACTCGAACCTGTAATCCCAGTAATTTAGGAGGCCAAGGCAGGAGGATCCCTTGAGCCTGGGAGATTTAGGCTGCAGTGAGCCATGATCACACCACTGCACTCCAGTCTAGGTGACAGAGCAAGACCCTGTCCCCTAAATAAATAAATAAATAAATGCCAGGTGCAGTGGCTCACGCCTGTAATCCCAGCACTTTGGGAGGCTGAGACAGGAGGATCACTTGAGCCCAGGAGTTCAAGACCAGTTTGGGCAAGATGGTGAGACTCTGTCTTTGCAAAAAATTTTAAAATTAGCCAGGTGTTTTAGAGACAGCAGCTATCATGATGCCAATGCACTGCAGCCTGGGCCACAAAGCAAGATCCTGTCTCTAAAAATAAAAAATAAAAATGAAAATTCAATGCCAGATAAAGAAAATATGGAATACTATACAGCCATAAAAAAGAAGGAGATCACGTGGTTTGCAAGAACATGGATGGAACTAGAGGCCATTATCCTTAGCAAACTAAGACAGGAACAGAAAACCAAATACCACATGTTCTCACTTATAAGTGGGAGCTAAATGATGGGAGCATATGGACACATAGACAGGAACAACACACACTGGAGCCTTTCAGATGGTGGAGGGTGGGAGGAGGGAGAGGATCAGGAAAAATAACTAATGAGTACTAGGCTTAATACCTAAGGTGATGAAGTAATCTGTATAACAAACTCCATGCCGTAAATTTATCTATATAACAAACCTGTATGTTGTAGCCCTCAACTTAAAAGTTAAAAAAAAAATGTAATGCCAACCCAAGGTCACCTAGATTTTCTCCTATGTTATCTTCTAGAAGTTTTATGGTACTGAAAGATGTAAGGTTAGTGTCTAAGTGCATGTTTTTGCAACTAGATGTCCAATTGTTCCAGCATTATTTGTGAAAAGACTATCTTTTCTCCATTGAGTTGCCTTTGCTCCTTAAAAGATCAGTTTACTGTATTTGCATGGGTCTATTTCTGGACTCTCTATTCTGTTCCATTGATATATGTATTTGCCTTTTCTTTCTCCAAAACCACACTGTCAATCCTTGTAGAATTGTTGTAAGTCTTTAAGTGTCTTTAAAGTCTTTAAGTGTTTCTCCAACTATGTTCTCCAACTTTGTTCTTCTTCAGTATTGTGTTGGCTATTCTGTGCTAGAGCATTTTTTAGAGCATTTTAAAATAAGGCTGCCCAAGGATCATCTGACTCAGAAAATGTAATTCCGACTAATAATTGATTAGGGACTAGATGCCTTCCAATCCTCTAACAGTAGAGCTTAATTTATAGAAATGAACAGGGATGCAATATTTTTTTTTTCTTTCTGTTGGTAGTGAGGATGACCATTTACAAAGGTTGTGTTTTATTGCCCCTTAGAACACTGATCAGTTTTAGGGCTGGGCGCTGTGGCTCACGCCTGTGATCCCAGCACTTTGGGAGGCCGAGGCGGCCGGATCACGAGGTCAGGATATGAGACCATTCTGGCTAACACGTGAAACCCCGTCTCTACTAAAAATACAAAAAATTAGCCGGGCGTGGTGGCGGGCGCCTGTAGTCCCAGCTACTCGGGAAGCTGAGGCAGGAGAATGGCGTGAACCCAGGAGGCGGAGCTTGCAATGAGCCGAGATTGCGCCACTGCACTCCAGCCTGGGCGACAGAGCGAGACTCCAACTCAAAAAAAAAAAAAAAAAAAAAAAAGAACACTGATCAGTTTTGTATCTAATGTAGCAATCCTATTTCGGCATTCCGAAATAGGATTGACTCTGTATCTGTATGATAATTTTAAAAATCAGTTTAACAATTATGTCTTCGTCTGTAATCCCAGCACTTTGGGAGGCCGAGGTGGGCGGATCATGAGGTCAGGAGATCGAAACTATCCTGGCTAACACAGTGAAACCCCGTCTCTACTAAAAATATAAAAAATTAGTCCCGCGTGGTGGCGGGCGCCTGTAGTCCCAGCTACTCGGGAGGCTGAGGCAGGAGAATCTCTTGAACCCTGGAGGCAAAGGTTGCGGTGAGCAGAGATTGCGCCACTGCACTACAGCCTGGGAGACAGAGTCAGACTCCATCTCCAAACAAAACAAAACAAAACAAAAAATAATTATGTCTTCGCAAAAGAAAACTAAAAGCTGGGTGCTGTGGCTCACACCTGTAATCCCAATACTTTGGGAGGCCAAGGCATGAGGATTGCTTGAGCCCAGGAGTTCAAGACCAGCCTGGGCAACACAGCAAGACCCCATCCTTACACACACGAAAAATTAAAAATTAAAAAATCAGTCAGGTGTGGTGGCACACGCCTGAATTCCTAGCTACTGAGGAGGCTGAGGTAGGAGGATGGCTTGAGGCTAGGAGTTCAAGGCTGCAATGAGCTATGATAGTGCCACTGCACTCAACCTGGGCAATAGAGCAAGATCTTGTCTCTAAAAAATAATACATAAATAAAACTTAAATAATTATCTCACAATAAACATTATCATTTTGCAGTACATACATTAAAAAAAACATGAAACTTTACTGAGAAGCCTTGAAAAAATAAAAGGCACATTTCCCTATCGGAAGACCCAAATTTTTAAAGATTTTCACATCTCTCTCAAATAATGTACAAATTTCATACCCAGTGGTTCACACCTGTAATCCCAGCACTTTGAAAGGCTAAGGTGCATGGATCACTTGAGACTAGCAGTTTGAGACCAGTCTGGGCAATATAACAAAATCCCACCTCTACAAAAAATACAAAAAATTAGCCGGGCATGGTGGCATGCTCCTATAGTCCCAGCCATTCAGGAGGATGAGGTGGGAGGATTGCTTGAGCCCAGGAGGTTGAGATTGCAGTGAACGTGATTGTACCACCGCACTCCAGCCTGCGACAGAGAGAGATCCTGTCTTTAAAAAAGAAAAATGGGTGGGCCAGGCGGGGTGGCTCACGCCTGTAATCCCAGCACTTTGGGAGGCTGAAGCGGGTGGATCACAAGGTCAAGGAGATCCAGACCATCCTGGCTAACACGGTGAAACCCCGTCTCTACCAAAAATACAAAAAAATTAGCCGGGCGTGGTGGCAGGTGCCTGTAGTCCCAGCTACTCGGGAGGCTGAGGCAGAAGAATGGCATGAACTCGGGAGACAGAGCTTGCAGTGAGCTGAGATTGTGCCACTGCACTCCAGCCTGGGCAACAGAGCAAGACTCCATCTCAAAAAAAGAAAAAAAAAGAAAGAAAAAAGGGCTAGGCACCGTGGCTCACTCCTGTAACCCCAGCACTTTGGGTGGCTAAGGCAGGAGGATTGCTTGAGGCCAGGAGTTGAAGATCAACCTGGCCAACAAAGTGAGACCCTATCTCTAAAAAAAAAGAAGAAAAAAGAAACACACTATTAGATATCAAAGTATACTTTAAAGCTGTTAATCAAACCAGGGCTGGGCGCAGTGGCTCACGCCTGTAATCCCAGCACTTTGGGAGGCTGAGGCAGGGGGATCACCTGAAGTCAGGAGTTCAAGATCGGCCTGGCCAACATGGTGAAACCCCATCTCTACTAAAGTAAATACAAAAAAAAAAAATTAGCCGGGTGTGGTAGCACAGGCCTGTAGTCCCAGCTACTCAGGAGGCTGAGACAGGAGAATTGCTTGAACTCAGGAGGCGGACATTGCAGTGAGCTGAGATCGCACCACTGTACTCCAACCTAGGCGACAGAGCAAGACTGTTTCCAAAAAAAAAAAGAAAAAAAAAAAAGAATCAAACCAGACAATATAGCCAGAACAGACAGAGACACCACTAATAAAGTTTTAATATGTGATAAATGTGGGATTTAAATTTGGTAGATAAATAATGAATTGTTTAATAAGCAGTGTTAGGATAATTTGGGCAAGCCAACAATATCTTCCACCCTACAACGTGCACCTTGAACAATGGCTATGTCATTGTATTTACTGCTTACCAGACATTACCAGAGATGCTATTTTCATGCTTCCATACCATTGCTTATGCTGTTCTCTCTGCCTGGAATTCTTTCTCCCTTTCATCCCCTTGTTGAAAGCCTATCCTTCTTTCAAGATCCAAATTAGTCATCTGTAGCCTGGGCAACATAGTGAGATTGCGTCTCTACAAAAATTTTTTTAGAAAAATTAGCTGGGCATGGGGGTGCACGGTTGTAGTCCTAGCCTCTCAGAAGGTTGAGGTGGGAGGATAGCTTGAACTTAGGAGTTCAAGGCTGCAGAGAGCTGTGATCTCACCATTGCACTCCAGGCAGGGCAACAGAGTGACACCCTGTCTCGAAATAAATAAATAAAAATAATCTGTGAAACTTGCCTGACTTCTCCAAACAAAGTTACATCCTCTTTCATGTGGCCACAACATCTGCCACATATCTCTACTGTAGTACTCATCATGTTCTGTTGCAGTTATTTATTTATATTTCTGTACCCTTTACTAGGCTGTAAGCATTTTATAATCAGGAACCAAGTCTTTTCATTGTTGTATCCTGATACCTAATACAAAGTTCTTCATAATGAGTGCTCAGTAAGTATTTGATATGATAGGGTTAATAATGAATGAAATTAAATGTGATGGTACTTTGAGAGTATAAAGTGATAAATAAATGAAAGGCTATCAAAAGCCCATGTGGTAGTCATGACCATGGGCTCTGACACCAGATTGCCTCAGTTTGAATCTTATCTCCCTACTTACTAGCTGTGTGATCTTGGGCAAATAAGTTAACTTCTCTATACTTGAGTTCCCCTATCTGAAATGGGTCTAATAGTGATTACTACATAGGATTATTAGGAGGATTTTAAAAGTTAACATAGGCCGGGCGCAGTGGCTCACACACTTTGGGAGGCCGAGGCAGATGGATCACCTGAGGTCAGGAGTTCGAGACCAGCTTGGCCAACATGGTGAAACCCTGTCTCTACTAAAAATACAAAAATTAGCTGGGTGTGGTGGTGGGTGCTTGTGATCCCAACTGCTCAGAGGCTGAGGCACGAGAATCGCTTGAACCCAGAAGGCGGAGGTTACAGTGAGCCAAGATCGTGCCATTGCACTCCAGCCTGGGGGACAAGAGAAAAACTCCGTCTCAAAAAAATAAAAATAAAAATAAAAACAAATAAATAAATAAAATTAACATAGACTTCTCCTTCTAGGAAGAAATTGAATAGATGCACTTTTCCCTATTTCTTCTATTAGTTGCAACTAAGATCCTTGGACATTGAATATAAAACAAAATATAAGAAGACACTTAAAAGTCTAGCAGAGAAAGCAGACCAGCTAGAGACCTTGATACCCAAAGAACAACATGGTACTGAGTTCCCTGGGTTTTCTTTTACTGCATATATCCCAGACTAGACACTGAAAAAGCAAGCAACCTAGAAACAGCAATGGCCACAGACAAAAAAGAAGGCATAAGAAAAGCCTGCACAAGCCCCGCCCTCCCCTCTCTTTTTTTTTTTTTTTTTTGAGACAGGGTCTCACTCTGTCATGCAGGCTGGAGTGCAGTGGCACAATCATAGCTCACTTCAGCCTTGAACTCCTCTTCCCTATCTCAGCCTCCCGAGTAGCTGGGACCACAGGTGCATGCCACCATGCTCAGCTAATTTTTGTATTTTTTGTAGAGACTGGGTTTTGCTATGTTGCCTATGGCTGGTCTCAAACTCCTGGGCTCAAGGGATCCACCCACCTCGGCCTCCCAAAGTGTTAGGATTACAGGCGTGAGCCACTGCATCTGGCTAAGTCTGCTGTCTCTAACCAAGGGCCAAATGATCAGGAAAGGAGTGGCCTAGCAAGACAGAAAACCTTTAGATCAAGCTTGTCCAACCCATAGCCCACAGGCCACATGCAGGCCAGGACAGCTTTGAATGTGGCCCAACACAAATTTGTAAACTTTCTTAAAAATACTATGATATTTTTATGCAATTCTTTTTTTTTTTTTTTTTTTTTTGAGACGGAGTTTCTCTCTTGTTGCCCAGGCTGGAGTGCAGTGGTGCGATCTCGGCTTACTGCAACCTCTGCCTCCCTGGTTCAAGTGATTCTCCTTCCTCAGCCTCTCAAGTAGCTGGGATTACAGGCACCCACCATCACGCCTGGCTAATTTGTGTACTTTTAGTAGAGACGGGGTTTCGCCTTGTTGGCCAGACTTGTCTTGAACTCCTAACCTCAGGTGATCCACCTGCCTCAGCCTCCCAAAGTGCTGGGATTACAGGCCTGAGCCACTGCGCCCGGCTCCTCTTTTTTTTTTTTTTAAGCTCATCAGCTATCATTAGTGTTATTGTATTTTATGTGTGGCCCAAGACAATTCTTTTTCTTCCAATGTGGCCCAGGAAAGCCAAAAGGTTGGACACCACTGCTTTAGATAATAGATGCTCTACTCTAGTAAAGCATAACAGAAGAAAACAAAACAAAACAAAACAAAACAAACAGAAAAACAAAAAAACCCAAACTGTGGCCACCTACATGATTAGCAGCAAAAGCCCACTGGAGAGCCTAGACTTCTATTCTTTCCAAGCTGTGATGTGTCAGCCCAGCTCTCCTGTAGGGTAGTGTTAGAGAAAGTCAAATGGAAATTGACTTTCATCTCTGCCTGGTGGTAAAGAATATTGAATGCCCCATGGTGTCAGTGGAGACCACACAGGGAGCCTGGACTTCCATCCACACCCGTCACCCTTCTTCCTTGTAAGTGATGTCAGAGGAAGCCTAGTGGAAAGTCAGGACCACTAGGTCCTTTCCCCATCTCTCACTGGTAACAAGGCCACACATATCCTTACTGTCTCAGTGGAGACCATGTGGGGAGCCAGCACTCTAATGAAATGTCCCTCTTCCACCCATAGTATCAACAGAGGAGAACCGGGACTTTCACCTGGTTCTCCTCTGTTGATACTGTGAGCGGAAGAAGGGACATTCTTCCACCCACCTTAACCCACCCTGTGTCAGAGGTAGGGCTGATCCCAACATGAGATTTAATTAAATAAATAAGATCTACTCCAAATACCCAGGTCTCAATTAAAAAGTCACTCATCAAAACCCAAGAAGATTTCAAAATGAATGAGAAAAAGACAATTAATAGATGCCAACACCAACATGTCACAGATGTTAAATCATTTGGCAAGGATTTTAAAGTAGGCATCATAAAAATACTCCAACAAGCAATTATGAGCATGCTTAATGCAAATGAAAAAATAGAAAGTCTTAGCAAAGAAATAGGAAATCTTAGAAAAGAAATAGAGTATATAAAAGAGAACCAAGTGGGAATTTAGAACTAAAAAAATGAGGCCGGATGCAGTGGCTCATGCCTGTAATCACAGCACTTTGGGAGGCCGAGGCGGGTGGATCACTTGAGGCCAGGAGCTTGAGACCAGCCTGCCCAAAATGGTGAAACCCTGTCTCTACCAAAAAAATTAGCCAGGTGTGGTGGCTGGTGCCTGTAATCCCAGCTACTTGGGAGGCTGAGGCAGGAGAATGGCTTGAATCTTGGAGGCAGAGTTTGCAGCCAGCCAAAATCGTGTCACTGCACTCCAACCTGGGCAACAGAGGGAGACTCCATCTCAAAACAAAACAAAACAAAACAAAACAAAAACACAAATAAAAATCTTAATGGGTGGGCTCAACAGAAAGAATGGAGAGAAGAAAGAATCAGTGAACTTGATGACAGAGCAGTTGAAATTACCTAGTCTAAACAACTGAGAAAAAATGGGTTTTTGTTAATTAACAGAAACTTGGGGACCTGTGGAACTGTAACAAAAAAATCTAAACTTCATCTCATAAAAGTCTCATAAAAAGAGGAAGAAAGCAGCGCTAAACAAGTATTTGAAGAAATAATAACTGAAAATGTCCAAATTTGGCAAACAAACCATAAACCTACAAATTAAAGCTGACTGAACTGAAAACTGGATAAACTCAAAGAAATCCATGCAAGGCACGCCATGGTTAAACTTCTGAAAACTGAAGACAAAGAGACATCTTGAAAGCAGTCAGAGAGAAATGAAACATTACCTCCCAGTGGGAGAAACAACTGGAATAACAGCAAATTTCTCATCAGAAACCAGAGGCCAGAAGGAAGATGGCACAACACTTTTGAATTACTAAGAGAAAATAACTGTCAATCTAGAATTTTATATCCAGAGACAATATCCTTAGATATGAAGGCAAATTAAGACATTCTCAGATAAAGGAAAACTAAAAATTTGTCACTAGTAGACCTACCCTGAAAGAATGGCCAATGATCGCCCCATTGCACTCCAGCCTGGGCAACAAGAGCGAAACTCCGTCTCAAAAAAAAAAGAAGTTCTCTAGACAAAAAGGAAATAGTAAAAGAGAACATCTTGGAACATCAGGAAGGAAGATAAAACATGGAAAGAAGAAAACTGTAGGTAAATACAATAGACTTTCCTTCTCTTGCATTTTCTAAGTTATGTTTGGCAGTTGAAGCAAAAATAATAACCCTTTCTAATGTGGTTCTCGATGTACATAGAGGAAATACTTAAGACAATTAAATCATAAATGAGGGAGGGTAAAGGGATGTAAAGGGAGGTAAGGTAAAATCTCAGAACTAGTGACTTGATTGTAGTGGTGGTTACACAAATCTACATATGTGATAAAATGACATAGAACTATGCACACGCATTGCAACAATGTCAAATTCCTTGTTTTGATATTGTACTGTATTTATGTGAGAGGTAACCACTGGGGGAAACTGGGTGAAGGGCACATGGAACCTCGCAACCTCCCATGAATCTATAGTTATTATAAAGTTAAAAATTGTAATCCCAGCACTTTGGGAGGTCGAGGTGGGCAGATCACTTGAGCTCAGGAGTTCGAGACTAGCCTGAGCAACATGGTGAAATCCTGTCTCTACTAAAAATACAAAAATTAGCTGGGCATGGTGGTTTGTGCCTGTAATCCCAGCTACTTGGGAGACTGAGAAGAGAGGATCACTTAAACCCAGGCAGCGGAGGTGGCAGTGAGCTGAGATTGCACCACTGTACTCCAGCCTGGGTGACAGAGCAACACTGTCTAAAAAAAAATTAAATTAAAAATTATTAAAAAGTTGGCCAGGCACGGTGGCTCACGACTGTAATCCCAGCACTTTGGGAGGCTGAGGCGGGTGGATCACGAGGTCAGTTCAAGACCAGCCTGGACAACATGGTAAAACCCCGTCTCTACTAAAAATACAAAAAATTAGCCAGGTATGGTGGCGTGTGCCTGTAGTCCCAACTACTCAGGAGGCTGAGGCAGGAGGATTGCTTGGACCTGGGAGGCAGAGGTTGCAGTGAGCCGAGATCATGCCACTGCACTCCAGCCTGGGTGACAGTGTGAGACTGTGTCTCAAAAAAAAAAATTATTAAAAAGTTAACCTTATATATGCTCCTGTCATACAGTAAGCCACTATAAATCTGTTAGCTACCATTTTTTTCTTCTAGACAGAGTCTTGCTCTGCGTCCAAGCTGGAGTGCAGTGGCGCCATCCTGGCTCACTGAAGCCTCTGCCTCCTGGGTTCAAGTGATTCTCCTGCCTCAGCCTCCCGAGTAGCTAGGACTACAGATGCACACCACCACGCCCAGCTTATTTATTTATTTATTTTTTTGAGATGGAGTCTCAATCCATCACCCAGGTTGGAGTGCAGTGGCACGATCTCGGCTCACTGCAACCTCCACCTCCTGATGCCCAGCTAATTTTTTTTTTTTTTTTTTTTTTTGAGACGGAGTCTCGCTCAGTCGCCCAGGCTAGAGTGCAATGGCGCGATCTCAGCTCACGCAAGCTCCACCTCCTGGGTTCACTCCATTCTCCTGCCTCGGCCTCCCAAGTAGCTGGGACTACAGGTGCCTGCCACCACGCCCGGCTAATTTTTTTTTGTATTTTTAGTAGAGACGGGGTTTCACTGTGTTAGCCAGGATGGTCTCAATCTCCTGACCTCGTGATCCGCCCATCTCGGCCTCCGGAAGTGCTGGGATTACAGGTGTGAGCCACCGCGCCCGTCCGATGCCCAGCTAATTTTTGTATTTTTAGTAGAGACGGGGTTTCACCATGTTGGCTAGGATGGTCTTGATCTCCTGACCTCGTGATCCGCCCGCCTCAGCCTCCCAAAGTGCTGGGATTACAGGTGTGAGCTACCGCACCTGGCTGCTACCACTATTAAGAAATGTTTGCAGCCAGGCGTGGTGGCTCATGTCTATTTTCCCAGTACTTTGAGAGGCCGAGGTGGGCAGATTACCTGAGGTCAGGAGTTCGAAACCAGCCTGACCAACATGGCAAAATCCCATCTCTACTAAAGATACAAAAATTAGCTGGACATGGTCGTGGGCACCTGTAATCCCAGCTACTTGGGAGGTTGAAGCAGGAGAATCGCTTCAACCCAGAAGGCGGAGGTTGCAGTGAGCCGAGAACGCAACATTGTGCTCCAGCCTGGGCAATAAAAGCAAACTCTGTCTAAAAAAAAAAAAGAAAAGAAAAGAAAAGAAAAGAAAAAGAAATATTTATTTGCAAGCATATTATTAGCTGAGCATCATTAAACCAAACCAGGGAAAATTATTGGTCACTGCCACTTCTTTGGTTCTACTTTTAGTTTGCTTATTTTTGTGTGTGTGTATTTATTTATTTTTTCCAGACAGTCTCGCTCTGTTGCCCATGCTGGAGTGCAGTGGCACGATCTCCGCTCACTGCAACCTCCACCTCCCAGGTTCAAGCAATTCTCCTGTCTCAGCCTCCTGAGTAGGTGGGATTACAGGAGCGGGCCACCATGCTCGGGTAAATTTTGTATTTTTATTTTATTTTATTTATTTATTTATTTATTTATTTATTTATTTATTTATTTATTTATTTTGAGATGGAGTCTCGCTCTGTCACCCAGGCTGGAGTCCAGTAGCGTGATCTCAGCTCACTGCAAGCTCTGCCTCCTGGGTTCATGCCATTCTCCTGCCTCAGCCTCCAGAGTAGCTGGGACTACAGGCGCCCGCCGCCACACCTGGCTAATTTTTTTTTTTTTTTTGTATTTTTAGTAGAGACGGGGTTTCACCACGTCAGCCAGGATGGTATCCATCTCCTGACCTCATGATCCACCCACCTCGGCCTCCCAAAGTGCTGGGATTACAGGCGTGAGCCACCGTGCCCAGCCAAATTTTGTATTTTTAGTAGAGACGGGGTTTCGCCATGTTGGCCAGGCTGGTCTCAAACTCCTGGCCTCAAGTGATCCACCTGCCTCGGCCTCCCAAAGTGCTGGGATTACAGGCATGAGCCACTGCATCCGGCCCTACCACTTGACTTTACGCAAGTTTCTTAAAACACTCTAAACTTCAGTTTCTATACTTTTTGGTAAGGATTAAAATAGATAGATTTCTTGAAATAATTTAACACAGAACCTGACACATAGTAGACATTCAGCAAAGCTTAGTTCTTGCTCCTCTCCCTTCTGCTTTCTGTAATTCATCGGCCAAGGCTGGCTTTCACATCCAAATCAAGTAACCAATTTCAAATCTTACTTTTTTTTTTTTTTTTTTGAGACGGAGTCTCGCTCTGTCGCCCAGAGACTGGAGTGCAGTGGCAGGATCTCGGCTCACTGCAAGCTCCGCCTCCTGGGTTCATGCCATTCTCCTGCCTCAGCCTCCCGAGTAGCTGGGACTACAGGCGCCCGCCACCACGCCCGACTATTTTTTTGTATTTTTAGTAGAGACGGGGTTTCACCATGTTATCCAGGATGGTCTCGATCTCCTGACCTCATGATCCGCCCGCCTCCGCCTCCCAAAGTGCTGGGATTACAGGCGTGAGCCACCGCGCCTGGCCGTCAAATCTTACTTTTAAACCTTACTATCTTAGTGTGAATATCAGGGTTCCCAAGGCTCAGCTGAATCTCTGTCCTTCCCACTGTTTCACTGCTTAACCATTTCTTGAATTCTAAGAGCCTATAGAATCCTGTTTTGCCTGCAATAATTTGAATTGGATTTATACCATTTACAACCACTAATGTATCCATTATCTAAAATGGCAATCAGTTAATCTGCTAAGCTAAATTGCTTAAAATAACTAGTGGCTTTGAATTAAATAATTGAAATATAATTTCATGGCCAGAAGTTTTTTTCAGAAATAATTTAGTCCTGGCCAGGTCCAGTGGCTCATATCTGTAATCCCAACAATTTGAGAAGCTCAGGCAGAAGGACCCCTTGAGGCCAGGAGTTCAAGACCAGCCTGGGCAATATAGGGAGAGTCCATCTCTCCAAAAACTTGAAAAAAATTAGCTAGGCATCATCTGGCGGGTGCCCCTCTGGGATGAAGCTTCCAGAGGAAGGAACAGGCAGCAATCTTTGCTGTTCTGCAGCCTCCACTGGTGACACCCAGGCAAACAGGGTCTGGAGTGGACTTCCAGCAAACTCCAGCAGGCCTACAGCAGAAGGGCCTGACTGTTAGAAGGAAAACTAACAAACAGAAAGGAATAGCATCAACATCAACTAAAAGGATGTTGTCCACACAGAAACCCCATCAAAGGTCACCAACATCAAAGACCAAATGTAGATAAATTCACGAAGACGAGGAAACACCAGTGCAAAAAGGCTAAAAATTCCAAAAACCAGAACGCCCCTTCTCCTCCAAAGGATCACAAGTCCTCACCAGCAAGGGTATAAAACTGGACAGGGAATGAGTTTGACTAATTGACAGAAGTAGGCTTCAGAAGGTGGGTAATAACAAACTCCTCTGAGCTAAAGGAGCATGTTCTAACCCAATGCAAGGAAGCTAAGAACCTTGGAAAAAGGTTAGAGGAATTGCTAACTAGAATAACCAGTTTAGAGAAGAACATAAATGACCTGATGGAGCTGAAAAACACAGCACGAGAACTTCGTGAAGCATACATGAGTATCAATAGCTGAACTGATTAAGTGGAAGAAAGGATAATCAGAGACTGAAGATCAACTTAATGAAATAAAGTGTGAAGACAAGATCAGAGAAAAAAGAATGAAAAGGAATGAACAAAACCTCTAAGAAATAGGGGACTATGTGAAAAGACCACACCTACGTTTGATTGGTGTACCTGAAAGTGACAGGGAGAATGGAACCAAGTTGGAAAAGACTCTTCAGGATATCATCCAGGAGAACTTCCCCAACCTAGCAAAACAGGCCAACATTCAAATTCAGGAAATACAGAGAACGCCACAAAGATACTCCTTGAGAAAAGCAACCCCAAGACACATAATCATCAGATTCACCAAGGTTGAAATGAAGGAAAAAATGTTGAGGGCAGCCAGAAAGTTCAGGCTACCCACAAAGGGAAGCCCATCAGACTAACAGCAGATCTCTCTGCAGAAACCCTACAAGCCAGAAGAGAGTAGGGGCCAATATTCAACATTCTTAAAGAAAGTTATTTTCAACCCAGAATTTAACATCCAGCCAAACTAAGCCTCATAAGCAAAGGAGAAATAAAATCCATTACAGACAGGCAAATGCTGAGAGGTTTTGTCACCAGCAGGCCTGCCTTACAAGAGCTCCTGAAGGAAGCACTAAATATGGAAAGGAAAAACCGGTACCAGCCACTGCAAAAACAAGTTCTGAAATTGAGGCAGTAATAAGTATCCTACCAACCAAAAAAAGTCCAGGACCAGATGGATTCACAGCCAAATTCTACCAGAGGTACAAAGAGAAGCTGGTACTGTTCCTTGTGAAACTATTCCAAACAATAGATAAACAGGGACTCTTCCCTAACTCATCTTATGAGGCCAGCATCATCCTGATACCAAAACCTGACAAAGACACAACAAAAAAAGAAAATTTCAGGCCAATATCTCTGAAGAACATTGATGTGAAAATCCTCAATAAAATACTGGCAAACCAAATCCAGCAGCACATCAAAAAGCTTATCCACCATGATCAAGTCGGTTTCATCCCTGGGATACAAGTCTGGTTCACCATACACAAATCAATAAAAGTAATCCATCACATAAACAGAAGCAATGACAACAACCACAGGATTATCTCAATAGATGCAGAAAAGGCCTTTGATAAAAATTCGACAACCCTTCATGCTAAAAACCCTCAATAAACTAGGTATTGATGGAATGTATCTCAAAATAATAAGAGCTATTTATGACAAACCCACGGCCAATATCATATGGAATGAGCAAAAGCTGGAAGCATTCCCTTTGATAACTGGCACAAGACAAGGATGCCCTCTCTCACCACTACTATTCAACATAGTATTGGAAGTTCTGGCCAGGGCAATCAGGCAAGAGAGAGAAAGAAAGGGTATTCAAATAGGAAGACAGGAAGTCAAATTGTCCCTGTTTGCAGATGACATGATTGTATGTTTAGAAAACCCCACTGTTTCAGCCCAAAATCTCCTTAAGCTGATAAGCAACTTCAGCAAAGTCTCAGGATACAAAATCAATGTGCAAAAATCACAAGCATTCCTATATACCAATAATAGAGAGCTAAATCATGAGTGAACTCCCATTCACAATTGCCAAAAAGAGAATAAAATACTTAGGAATCCAACTTACAAGGGATGTGAAGGACCTCTTCAAGGAGAACTACAAACCACTGCTCAAGGAAATAAGAGAGGACACAAACAAATGGAAAAACAGTCAATGTTCATAGATAGGAAGAATCAATATCGTGAAAATGGCCATACTGCTCAATTTATAGATTCAATACTATCTGCATCAAGCTACCATAGACTTTCTTCACAGAATTAGAAAAAACTACTTTAAATTTCATATGGAACCAAAAAAGATCCTGTACAGCCAAGATAATCCTAAGTAAAAGAACAAAGCTGGAGGCATCACGCTACCTGACTTCAAACTTACTACAAGGCTACAGTAACCAAAACAGCATGGTACTGGTACCAAAACAGATATATAGACCAATGGAACAAAACAGAGGCCTCAGAAATAATGCCACACATCTACAACCATCTGATCTTTGACAAATCTGACAAAAACAAGCAACGGGGAAAGGATTCCCTATTTAATAAATGGTGTTGGGAAAACTGGCTAGCCATATGCAGAAAACTGAAACTGGACCCCTTCCTTATACCTTATACAAAAATTAACTCAAGATGGATTAAAGACTTAAACATAAGACCTAAAACCATAAAAACCCTAGAAGAAAACCTAGGCAATACCATTCAGGACATAGGCATGGGCAAAGACTTCATGACTAAAACACCAAAGCAATGGCAACACAAGCCAAAATTGACAAATGGGATCTAATTAAACTAAAGAGCTTCTGCAGAGCAAACGAAACTATCATCAGAGTGAACAGGCAACCTACAGAATGGGAGAAAATTTTTGCAATCTATCCATTTGACAAAGGACTAATATCCAGAATCTACAAAGAACTTAAACAAATTTATAAGAAAAAAAACAAACAACCCCATCAAAAAGTGGGCGAAAGATATGAACAGACACTTCTCCAAAGAAGACATTTATGTGGCCAACAAACAGATGAAAAAAAGCTCATCATCACTGGTCATTAGAGAAATGCAAATCAAAACCACAAGGAAATACCAGTTAGAATGGCAATCATTAGGGCTGGGCATGGTGGCTCATGCCTGTAATCCCAGCACTTTGGGAGGCTGAGGCGGGCAGATCACAAGGTCAGGAGATCAAGACCATCCTGGCTAATATGGTGAAACCCCGTGTCTACTAAAAATACCAAAATTTAGCTGGGCGTGGTGGCAGGCTCCTGTAGTCCCAGCTACTCGGGAGGCTGAGGCGGGAGAATGGCATGAACCCGGAAGGCAGAGCTTGCAGTGAGCCAAAATCGTGCCATGGCACTCCAGCCTGGGCAACAGAGGGAGACTCCGTCTCAAAAAAAAAAAAAAAAAAAAAGAATGGCAATCATTAAAAAGTCAGGATAACAATAGTTGCTGGAGAGGATGTGGAGAAATAGGAACACTTTTACACTGTTGGTGGGAGTGTAAATTAGTTCAACCATTGTGGAAGACAGTGTGGTGACTCTTCAAGGATCTAGAAACAGAAATACCATTTGACCCAGCAATCCCATTACTGGGTATATACACAAAGGATTATAAATCATTCTACTATAAAGACACATGCACACGTATGTTTATTGCAGCACTGTTCACAATAGCAAAGACTTGGAACCAAACCAAATGCCCATCAATGATAGACTGGATAAAGAAAATGTGGCACATACACACTATGGAATACTATGCAGCCACAAAAAAGGATGAGTTCATGTCCTTTGCAGGGACATGGATGAAGCTGGAAACCACCATTCTCAGCAAACTAGCACAGGAACAGAAAACCAAACACCACATGTTTGCACTCATAAGTGGGAGTTGAACAATGAGATTACATGGACACAGGGAGGGGAACATCACACACCAGGGCCTGTCAGGGGATGGGGAGCAAGGGGAAGGATAGCATTAGGAGAAATACCTAATGTAGATGACAGGTTGATAGGTGCAGCAAACCACCAAGGCATGTCTATACCTATGTAACAAACCCGCATGTTCTCCACGTGTATCCCAGAATTTAAAGTATAATTAAAAAAAAAATTAGCCAGGCATGGCTGGGCATGGTGGCTCACGCCTGTAATCCCAGCACTTTGGAGGCTGAAGAGGGTGGATCACCTGAGGTCAGGAGTTCGAGACCAGCTTGGCCAACATGGTGAAACCCCATCTCTACTAAAAATACAAAAATCAGCCGGGCATTGCAGCGCGTGCCTGTAATCCCAGCTACTAGAGGGGCTGAGGCAGGAGGATCGCTTGAACCTGGGAGGTGGAGGTTGCAGCAAGCCGAGCCCGTGCTACTGCACTCCAGCCTGGGCAACAGAGAGAGACTCTGTCTCAAAAAAAAAAAAAAAAAAAAAAAATTAGCCAGGCATGGTGGTGCATGCTTATAGTTCCAGCTACTCAGAAGGCTGAGGCAGGAGGATTGCTTGAGCCCAGGAATTCAAGGCTGCAGTGAGTTATGATTGAACCACTGCACTCCAGCCTGGGTGACAGAGTGAGACCCTGTCTCATTCACACACAAACACACACACAAACACAAAGTAATAAATTAGTCCAAACTCTCCTCCCTACCTCTTTTGAATTTCAGGGTTAAGACTCAGAAAATTTCACCAACATGCCCAAGGTCATGCAGCTAGTAAATGCTGGAGAGCCAAAACTAGAACGTGGGATCTTCAGGCTATGACACCACTACTTGATGCTGTAGGGAAATAAGAACATAGGCTGGGCATGGTGGCTTCATGTGTGTAATCCCAGCACTTTGGGGAGGCCAAGACGGAAGGATTGCTTAAGCACAGGAGTTCAAGACCAGCCTGGGCAACACAAGAATACCCCATCTCTATTTCCTTTTTAATTAAAAATTATTTTAGAAAAGAAAAAAAAAAAGGAAATATTCTGTGTGTAGGGCCATCATTGTTGCAATTGCTATTTAGCTTTTATACAACGACAGATGGTTCATTTTTGAGCTTGTAGTCAACAAGATGTTCCAGTATTTTTTCACTTGCAATACTAGTAAATCCAAGTCTCATCATTCTGTTTTTATGCAGCAGTTATGTTTTTCAAGCACACATACTCAGCTTTAAATTCCTTCTTGGCTCAGCCTTTTTAGATCTCCTGAAATGTGCATTCTGTCATTCAGCCGTTCATCCATCAAGCCCTCCCTGTTTTGTATTATCTGCAGATTTGACAAGCATGCTTCCTCCATGCTTGTTCATGCCAAGTCATTCATAAAAAGGCTTAACAGTAAAGGGTCATAGAGGCCTTTGACAAATTGCTAGAAATTTCTATTTCAACCTTTGCATAATCTCAGCTTCCAATAAACTGTGCTATCATCCAGCCCTCCTTCTTCATGAAGATTTGTCAAATGCCTCTAAATAAGAAGGACATAGGTTCCACACCATTTTCTTGATCTACCACAGTAGTAAGAACAGTAATGAATAATAAAAACTATCATTTATTGAGTGGCCAGATCAAGCTTTAAGTGTGTGTGTGTGTTTGTGTGTGTTTGGGGTTTTTTTGAGACAGGGTCTTGCTTGCTCTATCATCTAGGCTGGAGTGCAATGGCACAGTCATGGCTCATTGCAGCCTGAACCTCCTAGGCTCAAGCAATCCTCTCGCCTCAGCTTCCCAAGTAGCTATGACTACAAGTGCATGCCACCACACCCAGCTAATTTTTAAAATTTTTTTATAGAGGCTGGACATGGTGGCTCTTGCCTGCAATCCCAGCACTTTGGGAGGCCGAGGCAGGTGGATCACTTGGGATCAGAGTTTGAGGCCAGCCTGGCCAACATGGTGAAGCCCCCTCTCTACTAAAAATACAAAAATTAGCTGGGTGTGGTGGTGCATGTCTGTAATCACAGCTACTTGGGAGGGTGAGGCACAAGAATCGCTTGAACCTGGGAGGCAGAGGGTGCAGTGAGCCAAGATCGTGCCACCGCACTCCAGCCTGGCTGACAGAGCAAGGCATTGTCTCAAAAAAAAAATCTGTATATATCTATATATAGATATATATAGATATAGATATATATTTTGTAGAGACAGCGTGTTAGTGTGTTGCTCAGGCTGCTCTTGAACTCCTGGCCTCAATCCGTCCTACGGCCTTGTCCTCCCAAAGTGGTGGGATTATAGGTGTAAGCCATCACACCTAGCCTTGATAGATTACTTTTAACTTAGTCCCCTCAAAAACTTTCTAAGTATTATTGTTTTAATTTTTATTATGGGAGAAGGATTGAGGACCTGTAATGCCTACATGAGTGTGGTCTAGTTTTAGCTAACCACGTTTGTTTTTCCAAATATTGTTGGCTGCCTTTTCTTTTAATGACCACTGGGAAAGCAGAAAGAGAAGTATGCCTGGAGAAGTTGTAGAGAAAGTAGTAGCTGCTTTTTTTTGTTTTGTTTTGTTTTTGTTGTTTTCAGGGAGTTAAGAGGTGAAGGAAATGATGTAGATTCCTAAGGGAAGAATTTTAGGGAAGGAGTCAGGTTCTATTTTTTGCTCTGTTGCCAAGCCTGGAGTACAGTGGTGCAATCACGGCTCACTGCAGCCTTGACCTCCTGGGCTCAAGTGATCCTCCCACCTCAGCCTCCCTGGTAGCTGAGACTATGGGTGCCCACCATCATACATAGCTTTTTTTTTTTTTCCGAGACAGAGTTTCACTCTTGTTTCCTAGGCTGGAGTGCAATGGCATAACCTTGGCTCACTGCAACCTCTGCCTCCTGGGTTCAAGGGATTCTCCTGCCTCAGCCTCCCAAGTAGCTGGGATTACAGACATCCGCCACCAGTCCTGGTTAATTTTAGTATTTTTAGTAGAGACATGGTTTCACCTTGTTGGCCAGGCTGCTCTCAAACTCCTGACCTCAGGTGATCCACCTGCCTTGGCCTCCCAAAATGCTGGGATTACAGGTGTGAACCACCGTGCCTGGTCTAATTTTTGTATTTTTGGAAGAGACGGGGCCTTCCTATGTTAACCAGGCTGGTCTTAAACTCCTGGGCTCAAGTGATCCTCCTGCCTTAGCCTCCCTAGTGCTGGGACTACAGGCACCCACCATCATTCCTGGCTAATTGTTGTATTTTTTGTAGAGATGGGGTTTTCCTATGTCGCCCAGGCTGGTCTGGAACTCCTGGGCTCAAGCGATCTGCCCACTTTGACCTCCCAAGGTGCTGGGAATACAGGTGTAAGCCACTGCACCCAGCCAGACCCAGGTTATAGAAGATGATTTTTATGAATATTTTGCTTTGTTATGTATAATATAATCCCCATTATTTATTAATGCCTCCAAAATTGGGGTTTTTGTTGTTACTGTTTTGTAATGAGACCATGTGTGAAACTGGTCTCAAGGAAGGCCCTGGGGGAGAGAGAGCTAACCCCAAAGTAGCTCCACTAAATTTGCATTACAGGAGGGTCTCAGAGAATTTGGTGTCCAAGTGTCACTTTTGGAGTGGTGGAACTGGAATTGGAATTCAGCCTCAGCTGACTCCAAGGCCCATACTTGACCCTGCAGGTGTCAGACCAAGGAAAGTAGGATTCCTATCAGGAAGAAAGAATGCTTAGTTTAGGTCCACTTATTTTTTAGTGAATTTATGCTGTGCCTTGTTTTTGCCACTTTTCTAAAGATTCACAAACCATTTGTCTAATTATCCATTCCAGAATTTTGCCAAAGAAAAATGTGCTCAGAGACTTATAGGTTCTTCTTTTAGAAAACAAGGAGATTAGTCCATCTTCAAACTTCTGGCACCTCTCCTGTCCCCAGTAAAGCTACCACCACATTTCACATTCTTTCGGTAAGACAGAGAATGAAGTTGTGTGAAGGGGCTGGATGCTCTCTTACTTCCTCATCTGCCTTGCACGTAAATTTTTTCTTTACCATGTAGGTCCTACTCCTTCTAATTTGAGGATAATTCTCTGTAACGGAAAAATGATGGAAAAGTAGGAGTTGATTGAGTCTGCTTTTTCCTCTCTCATCTGTTATCATTATACCTTCTGTTCCTTGTTCTTCTTGCTCAGAACATTGACTTTCCTGAAATTGCCATCACATATTAGTGTTACTAAACACTTTTATTACAAGTTAATATTTTTATGACAGGTGCTTTGAGCTAAAAAAAAGAAAAAAGAAAAAAAAAAGAAAAGAAAACCAAGTTAGTATTTTTGGACTAACCTATTACAATGCATCACAGACAGTTCAATACAAAATCTTGCTTTTCAAAATGTCTTACCTATTTCGATGCGTTTTTATAGCTGTTCCTTTATGTAACAAGTAACTGCAATTCACAAAATATCCTATTTATAATATTTCATCTAAAATGTAGAGTTTCAGGCAGTAATTCAACCAATTTACTGCTAAAATAGAGGCCTTATAAAATGGTAGGAACAGAAAGTGAGTTCTATCTCTTAGAAAATACAAAATGATAATGCAGGAAAAAGAAGAGATACTATCCTAATAGAAATTTTTAGACCATTTTTTCCTCTTCCAAGTTATTCATTCTCTCTGAGGAGGTGAACTAGCCTTACATTTTAATACTTGATTTGAATTTCTATATATTCTTTATTTTAAAAAGATATTTGCATCATTTTGTATTTTCCTGAATGGCTAGCAAGAAACCCTCTTCAAAGTAAGTGGTTAAATTCTATGTTCAGTTGCTTCATTTGTGTGATTTTGAACCTCAAAAGAGGTGACTCAGAGCTGACTCTTTGGGTGAATTTCTTACAATTCAGCCACTGCAAAGTTTATGCTTGGCATTTTCAGCATTCTATCTCTTCTCTGTCCTTCCTAAGCTCTCTTTATGTGGCAGGATTTTCAGTTCAGTTCAATAAACATTTCCATAACAGCACTGTCCTTTGCATTAGATTGTGACTGGCGTCAGTCCCAGCCTTTAAGGTGCTCAGAGCCTAGTTGTGAAGACAGCCATGTCAATACGTAACACAACAGTGTGTGATGTATGAAACAAATGAACTATGTGCAAGGTCGTGAAATAGTGCAGAGGAGGATATTCTCACTGTGAGATTCAAGAAAGTGTCACAGAACACCAGCAAGTGGTTGCAGGCACCAGATTTGAAAGGATGAATAGGTATGCAGCAAGAAGTCAAGGTGGAAAGGACATTCCAGGCAGCAGAACACCATGTACAAGAGCATGATGTGTGCAGGAAACAAAGAGATTTACAATGTTCCAGTGCAATGCATAAGGTGGAGAATGGGATTCAGATGTAAAGGAATTTGAACTTTGTCCTGTCCTGCAGAGGGTTTTAAATGGGGAAATGACATAGTTAGAGAAAGATCTCAGAAAGAACACCCTGGCAACAACACACAGGATGATTTGTGAAGAGCTGACTCTAGGCAGAATCACCAATTAAGAGATTATTTTATTAGTCTAGGCAGTGATCTAAGAATTGGTACTGAAAAAGAGAGAATGCCAAAACTTAAGCTGACTTAGAAGTTACATTAACAGGATTCAGTGATTGTTTGGATGTGGGAAAGGGAGCTGGTAAGATGGTGTGATAGTTAATTTGGGGTCAACTTGGGTGGACTAAGGGATGCCCAGATAGCTGGTAAAACATTATTTCTGGATGTGTCTGTGAGGGTGTTTCTGGAAGAGACCAGCATTTGTATCAGTTGACTGAGTAAAGAGGGTCTGCCCTCATAAATGTGGATGGGCATCATTCAATTCATTGGGAACCCAAATAGAATAAAAAGGTGGAAGAAGAGGCTGGGCGCGGTGGCTTACGCCTGTAATCCCAGCACTTTGGGAGGCTGAGGCAGGTGGATCACTTGAGGTCAGGAGTTCGAGACCAGGCTGACCAACATGGTGAAACCCTATCTCTACTAAAAATACAAAAATTAACTGGGTGTGGTGATGCACACCTGTAGTCCCTGCTACTCAGTAGGCTGAGACAGGAGAATTGCTTGAATCCAGGAGGCAAAGGTTGCAGGGAGCCGAGATTGCGCCATTGCACTCCAGCTTGGGTGACAGAGTGAGACTCCGTCATGCGCGCGCGCGCGCGCACACACACACACACACACACACGTGGAATAAGGGCAAATTCACTCTCTCTCTTTTTGAGCTGGGGCATTCATCTTCTCCCATGCTTAGACATTGGAGCTCCTGGTTCTTGGGGTCTTCAAATTCCAGGACTTTTGAATTTCTATATCTTTATTTTTGCCTTGCTATATTTGATAAGACCTCTGATACAATATAATGGAAGTAGTAAATGTGGTTATCTTAGCTTTATTCCCAGTCTCGAGGAGAAAGCATTCACTATTTTACCATTAAATATACTAGTTGTAATTTTTGTACATGTTTCTACTTAAACTTCAAAGGAAGTTCTCATCTATTCCTAGTTCCCTGATAATTTATGTCATGAATGGTTATTAAATTTTGTTGAATGTTGGGCCGGATGTGGTGGCTCACGCCTGTAGGCCCAACACTTTGGGAGGCTGAGGTGGGAGGATTGCTTGAGCCCAGGGGTTCTAGACCAACCTGGGGGTAACATACTAAGACTCCATCTCTCTCTCTAAACAAAACAAAACAAAAAAGGCCAGGTGCAGTGGCTCACACCTGTAATCCAAGCCCTTTGGGAGGCCGAGGCAGGTGGATCACTTGAGGCTTGAGGTCAGGAGTTCAAGACCAGACTGACCAACATGCTGAAACTCCATCTCTACTAAAAGTACAAAAAAAAAAATAATTAGCCGGGCGTGGTGGCGGGCGCCTGTAGTCCCAGCTACTCAGGAGGCTTAGGCAGGAGAATCACTTGAACCTGGAAGGCGGAGGTTGCAGTGAGCCAAGATCATGCCACTGCACTCCAGCACGGGTGACACAGCGAGACTCTCTCTCTCAAAAAAAAAAAAAAAAAAAAGCATCTATGTAGTGTGGGGAAAAAAATGAAAAAAAAAAAAAAGAAATTTTGTCAAACGCTTTTTCTGTGTTGATAAAGACTTTTCTGCATAGCTTGGTTCCTCTCTAATGCCTTGCCCCAGAGATTTCACTTAGCTCAGTGGTCCCAGACTCTCGTATCTACAACCTCAGTCAGCAGGACCGCTATGCTCTGCTCAGAATCAAGCCCTCTGCATTATAGTTAGGGAGTTGTCCCCAGGCAGACAGCTGATCAATCATGGGGCTCACCTCATGAGTTTCCTTTCTCTCAGAAATTGCAGTCTTCTGCTGTTTACTTTATTCTGCCTGAATATAGTTACTACATATGTTTTGTCCAGTTTTACAGTTGATTTCAGTGGGAGAGCTATCCACTATCAATTGTTCCACCATGGTCAGAAGTATAAGGCAAACACAGCAAAATTTCTTTTTGAGACAGGGTTTCACTCTTTCACCTCGGCTGAAGTGCAGTGGAATGATCATAGCTCACTGAAGCCTTGACCTTCTGGGCACCAGGCCCGGCTAATTAAAAAAAAAAAATTGACCGGGTGCGGTGGCTCACACCTGTAATCTTAGCACTTTGGGAGGCCGAGGTGGGCGGATTAGCTGAGGTCAGGAGTTCAAGACCAGCCTGGCCGACATGGTGAAACCCTGTCTCTATTAAAATACAAAAAAAATTAGCTGGGCATGATGGCGGGTGCCTGTAATCCCAGCTACTCAGGAAATTGAGACAGGAGAATCGCTTGAACATGGGAGACAGTGGTTGCAGTAAGCCGGGATCCTGCCACCACACTCCAGGCTGGGCGGCTGAGCGAGACTCCCATCTCAAAAAAAAAAAAAAAAAAATTATAGGCCGGGCGTGGTGGCTCATGCCTGTAATCCCAGCACTTTGGGAGGCCGAGGTGGAGGGATCACAAGGTCAGGAGTTCCAGACCAGCCTGGCCAATATGGTGAAACCCCGTCTCTACTAAAAATACAAAAATTAGCCGGGTGTGCTGGTGGGTGCCTATAGTCCCAGCTACTTGGAGGCTGAGGCAGGAGAATCGCTTGAACCTGGGAGGTGGAGATTGCAGTGAGCTGAGATCACACCACTGCACTCTAGCCTGGGCAACAGAGCCAGACTCCATCTCAAAAAATATATATAGAGAGAGAAAGATGAGGTCTCACGACATTGCCCAGGCTGGTCTCAAACTCCTGGGCCCAAGCAATCCTCCCAGGTTGGTCTCCCGAAATGCAGGGATTACAAGGCTGAACCAACCACCGTGCCCAGCCCAAACACAGCAAAATTTCAAAGATGGTTTTCTCCTTCTCCTAATTATGGAATGACAAGCTGCTGCTGCTTTTTTTTTTTAATTTTTTATTTTCCTGTATTTTCAGTTCACTGCAGCCTCCACCTCCCAGGTTCAAATGATTCTCCTGCCTCAGCCTCCCGAGTAGCTGGGACTACAGATGCATGTCACCACACCCGGCTAATTTTTGTATTTTTAGTAGAGATGAGGTTTTGCCCTGTTGGCCAGGCTGGTTTTGAACTCCTGAACTCAGGTGATCTGCCCACCTCGGCCTCCCAAAGTCCTGGGAATACAGGCATGATCTACCATGCCTGGCTATGGTTAATCTTATGTATCAAGTTGATTATGCCATGGGGTGCCCAGATATTTGGTAAAACATTCTCAGTGTGTCTGTGAAAGTGTTTCTAGGCACATTTGAGGGCTGGGTGAGGTGGGTTATGCCTGTAATCCCAGTGCCTTGGGTGGCTGAGGTGAGAGGATCACTTAAGACCAGGAGTTTGAGACCAGCCTGGGCAACACAGCAAGATCCTGTCTCCCTAAAAAAAAATTAGCTGGACATGGTGGCACGGGCTGTAGTCCCAGCTATTTAGGAGGCTGAAGCAGAGGATGGCTTCAGCCCAGGAGTTCAAAGCTGCAGTGAGCAAGGATCATACGACTGCACCACTCTGGCCTGGGTGACAGAGCAAGACTCTGTCTCTTAAAAAACAAACAAACAAACAAACAAACAAAAAACAAAAAAAAACAGACTGGGTGTGGTGGCTCACGCCTGTAATTCCAGCACTTTGGGAGGCCAAGCGGGTGGATCACGGGGTGAGGAGTTCCAGACCAGCCTGGCCAACACGGTGAAACCCTGTCTCTACTAAAAATACAAAAATTAGCCGGGTGCGGTAGTGGGCGCCTGTAATCACAGCTACTCGGGAGGTTGAGGCAGGAGAATCACTTGAACTGGGGAGGTAGAGGTTGCAGTGAGCCGAGATCGTGCCACTGTACTCTAGCCTGGGCGACAGAGCAAGACTCCGTCACAAACACACACACACACACACGAAATTAATATTTGAATCTGCAGGCTGAGTAAAGCAGATTGCCTTCCCTAATGTGGGTGGGTCTCATCCAATCAGTTGAAGGCCTGAACAGAACAAAAAAATTCACCAAAAAAACTATCTCAAATACAAGATAATTTTTCTTCCCTTTAGATTCAAACTGAAACATTGCTGTCCTGGTTCCCAGGCCTTCAGACTCTGACTGGAACTACACCATCAGCTCTTCAGCTTGCCACCTCATCCTGCAGATCATGAAACTTGTCACCCTCCACAATCACATGAACTAATTCCTTATAATAAATCTCTTTATATATCTGTATGCATATATATACATGTATATACACACCCTATTAGTTGTTTTTCTCTGGAGAACCCTGCCTAATATTATGGATATAAACACACACATACCTCTTCTCACATTTTCATGATAGTCAACAAGTGAGAATCCATTTCAGGGAATGCTTATACAAACCCACAGGAAGCTGGGAAATACAGGGCTACAACTAAATTCTCACATCTGGTAAATCTCTTAAGGAATATGTCTGCTTCTCTGAGAGCGTGGTTCTTTTCCAGAGAAACATGACAGTTCTAGGAGAAATAAAGGTGACTCAGGAGCAGCAGAACCAAAGAAGACATATCTTCAATC
The DNA here is from genome assembly GCF_000001405.40 of Homo sapiens. Lineage (NCBI taxonomy): Eukaryota > Metazoa > Chordata > Mammalia > Primates > Hominidae > Homo > Homo sapiens. The sequence continues at coordinate 39,660,378 of NC_000004.12, read as the reverse complement.
ACTCCTAAAAGGGTTACCTTGAGAGATTAGAGTTTGAGCAACCCTCCCATAACATTTCTTGTTCATGCAACTGTCCTCCAACAATCAGCTTTTGCAATTCTCTTTCTGTGGCATCATCTTCGTGGGTTTGGCATTATTATGAATCATATTTTTGTGATCTGTCTTCTCACCATTTGATGACTGATGGCAGCTGAGTGGGGAATGTTTTACAAGAAACGCATCTTTTTTTTTTTTTAATGAGACAGAGTCTTGCTCTGTCTCTCAGGCTGGAGTGCAGTAGTGCAATCCCGGCTCACTGCAACCTCCGTCTCCCAGGTTCCAGCGATTCTCGTGCCTCAGCCTCCCAAGTTGCTGGGATTACAGGCACACACCAACATGCCTGTCTAATTTTTGTATTTTTAGTAGAAATGGGGTTTCTCCATGTTGGCCAGGGTGGTCTCGAACTCTTGACCTCAGGTGATCTGCCTGCCTTGGCCTCCCAAAGTGCTGGGATTACAGGCGTGAGCCACTGTGCCCGGCCACATTTTTTAAACCCTTTCATATGTTTGGTTTAAGTGCTATCATCAACTCACTAATAAATAAATTTGTTTTTTGATTAAGACATGGTCTCTCTCTGTTGCCCAGGCTGGAGTGTGGTGGCACGATCATGGCTCATTTTAGCCTCAAACTCCTGGGTTCAAGCAATCTTCCCACCTTAGCCTCCTGAGCAGCTGAGACTGTGTGTGCCACCACACTCAGCTGATGTTTTAATGTTTTTGTAGAGATAGTATCTCCCTATGTTGCCCAGGCTGGTCTCGAAATCCTGAGCTCAAGTGATCTTCCTGCCTTGGCCTCCCAAAATGCTGGGATTACAGAAGTGAGACACTGTGCCCAGCCCCTAAATAAATGTTTTATGATTCTAGCTTTTTATCTCTAAAATGGAGATAATAATGGTATGCATATATTTAATAAATATGGCAGGAGAACTTCAAAAAGCATAAAACTTTTTTTCTAAAAAATATTATTTTACTTTTCAGATGAACTGAAATGGTGCAAATACAAATGTTATTGCAATAGCCTGGTATGGTGGCTGGCTCATGCCTGTAATCCTAGCACTTTGGGAGGCTGAGGCGGGCAGATCACATAAGGTCAGGAGTTCGAGACCAGCCTGGCCAACATGGTGAAACCCCGTCTCTACTACTAAAAATACAAAAATCAGATGGGCATGGTGGCAGGCACCTGTAATCCCAGCTACTAGGGAGGCTGAGGCAGGAGAATTGCTTGAACCCGGGGGCAGAGGTTGAGGTGAGCCCAGATAGCACCACTGAACTCTAGCCTGGGCGACAAGAGCAAAACTCCGTCTGGAAAAAACAAAAAAACAAAAACAAACAAAATAAAACAAAACAAAAAGAAAACCCCACAGATTGTTGCAAACACTAGAAGGCACTATTTCTCTACAGAGGCAGAAAATGAACCTAACACAAATTTCTTATATCTTAAACTTCTCCTCTTGCCCCATTTTTATTCAAGACACAGAACAAAAAGTGCAGTGTGGCAACTTTTTAAATATAAATATCTACAATGTAATAAGCAGTGGAAAGAAAAATGAAAAGGAGGACCAGTGAGACAAAGAACATATTGAAAAAATGTAAATCCAATAAAAAGAAACAAAAAAAGCTGTAGGCCGGGCGTGTTGGCTCACGCCTATAATCCCAGCACTTCGAGAGGCCAAGGTGGGCGGATCACGAGGTTAGGAGATTGAGACCATCCTGGCTAACACGGTGAAACCCTGTCTCTACTAAAAATACAAAAAAAATTAGCCGGGCGTGGTGGTGGGCACCTGTTGTCCCAGCTACTTGGGAGGATGAGGCAGCAGAATGGCGTGAACCTGAGAGGTGGAGCTTGCAGTGAGCTGAGATCGCGCCACTGCACTACAGCATGGGCGACAGAGCAAGACTCCGTCTAAAAAAAAAAAAAAAAAAGCTGTAAAAGGTGATAAAGGAAAAAAGGGATGAGAAGAAAGGGAAGTAGAAGCAAATTTCCTCCATACAATATAATATATGGGAACTGTTTTCCCTGTCATTGCCCTATGTCATATGTTGAAAATGTTAATTTATAATTACTCAGTGGTTTTCTAGGTCTGCATTGCCTCCCCTTTCCAATCTTCTCACTCATCCTATTTCTCTCAACCATACCTTTCAGGAAGGTTACTGGATGTGTATCAGGACCCATAATGGAGTAAGACAAGGATGAGGGATTTGGAGTTACCATGGAAATGCAAAAATTGTTTTGAAAGTACTGTCTAGCGGCCGGGCGCGGTGGCTCACGCCTGTAATCCCAGCACTTTGGGAGGCTGAGGTGGGTGGATCACGAGGTCAGGAGATTGAGACCATCCTGGCTAACACGGTGAAACCCCGTCTCTACCGAAAATACAAAAAATTAGCTGAGTGTGGTGGCAGGCGCCTGCAGTCCCAGCTACTCGGGAGGCTGAGGCAGGAGAATGGCGTGAACCCGGGAGGTGGAGCTTGCAGTGAGCTGAGATCAGTTTACTGCACTCCAGCCTGGGCGACACAGCGAGACTCCGTCTTGAAAAAAAAAAAAAGTACTACCAGAAAGCAGAAGCAGACAAATTCCTGCTTATTCTTCCCTCCATGGTCATGTCTGGACACTTACCTGGGTGAGACTTACAAAGTGATTGAGATTCTGAGTGATAGAGAACTAGACTATTTGGTTAGGGACTTTTTTTTTTTAACTTCATGGAACTTTAGGTTTCACAGTAGCTTGACTTTCATTTCCTCTCTCTCTCCCTCTCCCCTTCTCTCTCTGAAGAAATGCCTTCTACACCTTTTAATTCTTGACAATTAAAGGAAACCAGGACGAGGCAGCAGAGAACTGGCTGTTTAGGTTTTGATCTCGGTTTAAAGAGCGAACCTGAGGTTGACTTCTATTAGTCCATCTTTGTTAATCAACTTAGGGTGAAAAAAAAAATCCCAGAACTTGAAAATCCCAGATGTATCCAAATCAAACACATGGCTTGTAGCTTTACCTCAGAATAGTGAGAATTCCAAGAGCCCAGGCAATAGTTGTTTGAGTTTCCAATAAAATTTTGCTGGCCGGGTGCGGTGGCTTACGCCTGTAATTCCAGCACTTTGGGAGGCCGAGACGGGCGGATCCCTTGAGGTCAGGAGTTTGAGACCAGCCTGGCCAACATGGTGAAACCCTGTCTTGAGTGAGCATTACTGCCTGAGTTCCACCTCCTGTCAGATCAGCGGCAGCATTAGATTCTCGTAGGAACACGAACCCTATTGTGAACCGTGCATGTGAGGGATCTAGGTTGCGTGCTCCTTATGAAAATCTAATGCCTGATGATTTATAGTTGACAGTTTCATCCTGAAACCATCCCCCTCCCCCTGTTACCCCTACCCCAGCCGGTGGAAAAACTGTCTTACACAAAACCAGTCCCTGGTGCCAAAAAGGTTGGGGACTGCTGAGCTACAGCATTATTGGGAAAATTATATACTATGCCCAACGCATAGCACAAGACCTGGCACATCAAAATTGCTCAAGATGGCCTGGGGCAGTGGCTTACGCCTGTAATCCTAGCACTTTGGGAGGCTGAAGTGGGTGGATTGCCTGAGCTCAGGAGTTTGAGACCAGCCTGGGCAACATGACGAAACCTCATCTCTACTAAAAATACAAAAAATTAGCTGGGCGTGTTGGTGTGCACTGTAATCCCAGCTACACAGGAGGCTGAGGCACAAGAATCACTTGAACCCGGGAGGGGAAGGTTGTAGTGAGCCGAGATCATGCTCCAGCCTGGGTGACAGAGTGAGACTCTGTCTCAAAAAAAAAAAAAAAAAAAGGCCAGGTGCAGTGGCTCACGCCTGTAATCCCAGCACTTTGGGAGGCCAAGGCGAGTGGATCACTTGAGGTCAGGAGTTCGAGACCAGCTTGGCCAACATGGTGAAACCCCCTCTATACTAAAAGTACAAAAAAAATTAGCGGGTATGGTGGCAGACACCTGTAATCCCAGCTACTCGGGAGGCTGAGGCAGGAGAATCGCTTAAACCTGGGAGGTGGAGGTTGCAGTGAGCTAAGATTGTGCCACTGCACTCCATTCTGGGTGACAGAGCAAGACTCCATCTCAAAAAAAAAAAAAAAATTGCTCAACTATTGCTGGCTAATGACTATTAAGTTTCACTTTACCCTGTCCCTGATGGTCTATTTACTCTGCTTGCAAACAACTGGCGGGCAGAGTCATCCATAATTTAATGGCAGTCATTGCTTATGATTTTCAGTATTTGGGTGGAGAACTACTTATCAAAGCCAAGTACTGTGTGTTCTGTTTCTATGTCATGTTTATTCAATCACTAAATAACCACAGTTTCTGTCCTTGGCCTTATATTACTCAGTAGTTCTATGATTTAATCATCGAAATTGTATCTGGTCTTAAATTATGTTTGTAAGTAGTCTTCCAGTAGGAAAAGCAGGCCTCCACCCGTTATAGATCATTCTGCCTAGAAATTTTAGTCATAGATTTTGTCCAGTCCAAATACAAATATTAATATATTGTTTTCTATAATTTTAAGGTAAGACTGCTTAATACTATGTTTTCAAAATATTGCCAAATATCATCTCTTTCATTCTTATCTGCTGGATTCAACTGATCTTATGCTCTCTCAAAACTTTTGCTCTGGCCCTAGTTAATTAATACTCAAGAACTAAAAGTGATTTCTTGGTAGGTTTCTGTTTCCAACTTCTTCCCATTTCAATTCACGTTGGATGCTACAAAACATTTCACAAAACATACCAATTTATCCATGAACACCTTTCTTTACATTTTCTCACACTCTCAGTTTAGATATGAACCATGATGCCCTTAGCTTGGAGTTAGAGGAGACTCTAGATTATGTTTAAACTATATTGTATGTTTGACTATCATAACATCATTTTTTGGAATCTGACCACACTCTTGGCCAACTACATCCTGATATCATAGCAACTGAAAGTGTAGCCAAGTATTTTAATGTCAAGTAAACTGCTATGTGTTGAGGATGGTTGGAATTGGAATTGGAACAGCCAGTTTTGACTTCCCTCTTAAGTAGTGGGGTTCTGAAGTCAAAATATTCTGCTTATTAGTTTTTCTCCATTTCCCCCTAAATTAGGTAATATTCTATCCTTAATATATTTTACCTTTTTTTTTGTTTTCCTTTTTAAAAAAAAAAATAATAGACACAATGTTGCCCATGTTGATCTCAAACTCCTGGGCTCAAGTGATCCTCCTGCCTCAGCCTCCCAAAGTGCTGGGACTATAGGCATTAGCCCAGACTTTTTAAATCTTTTAAACAGGGCACTGATGATAATCTAACTGCATGCCTGTATTGTCTTAGAATATTTTTAGTTAATATTGCTGGGCGCAGTGGCTCACGCCTATAATCCCAGCACTTTGGGAGGCTGAGGCGGGCAGGTCACGAGGTCAGGAGATTGAGACCATCCTGGATAACATGGTGAAACCCTGTCTCTACTAAAAATACAAAAAAATTAGCCGGGTGTGGTGGCACATGCCTGTAATCCCAGCTACTTGGGAGACTGAGGCAGGAGAATCGCTGGAACCCAGGAGGCAAAGGTTGCGGTGAGCCAAGATTGTGCCATTGCACTCCAGCCTGGGTAACGAGAGTGAAACTCCATCTCGAAAAAAAAAAAAAAGAATATATTTAGTTAATATTAATATCTGGCTGGGCACGGTGCCTCACACCTGTAATCCCAGCATTTTGGGAGGCAGAGGTGGGTGGATCACCTGAGGTCAGGAGTTCTAGACCAGCATGGCCAAAATTGAAAAACCCCATCTCTACCAAAAATACAAAAATTAGCCAAGCTTGGTGGTGGGCACCTGTAATTCCAGCTACTTGGGAGGCTGAGGCAGGAGAATCGCTTGAATCCAGGAGGCAGAGGTTGCAGTGAGCCGAGATTGCACCATTGCACTCCAGCAGCCTGGGAGACAACAAGACTCCATCTCAAAAAAAAAAAAAAAAAAAGGAATCATAACCTATCATTAACCAAGTCTATATCTTCCTTAGGCAAATTCTCCTCTAGCAATAATGTCCTGTGAAACAAAAACCAAAAGACATACCCACATTAGCATTTTCTATAGTCATAGTTGGAGCTCCCCTTTTTTCATTCATATTGAAAATATAGACTACTCCTGATAATTTTTGCTGTTTTCATTCAGCTTACTTCTTGGCTCTTCAAAAGAAGTTGTTTTGCTAGAGTTCTTCTCCCCAACAAACATGTGAGTCCAAGCTAAGACTATTCTCTTGTTCTAAGCCTCTCTTTATGCCTCACCAAAATTGTTAGTTTTTTCCTTTTATACAACACATTTATTGACTTTCCCTTCAGCAACAATTTCACCTTTCTTTCCTTAATCATTAATTTTAATCTGAACATTTTCCCCTAAGTAGGTCCCTCTGGCTCAGCCACTGGACTAGTCCATATGTCTGGTAGTAAGATGAGATACACACTGACTTCCCTTCTAGTCCATTATTAATCATAGAAGGCAAATTGGATAAGTGGAGAAAATGCAGCTATCCTCTCCACTAGGCAACAAAACATTTGCACAGTTAGCTCCAACTCTGCAAGACTGGGGAAGGAATAATCTGTCTCATCAAGCCCTTTAGGATTTTTGCAGTTAGGTTCAAATGAATACATATGGTACATTGTTTTAGAATACTATCAAACCTCTGGGACCCTTAATTACAGACCCAGTCCAGTGACTACTGAGTTAGCATTGAAAAATAAACTTGTAGTAAACTAGGAAAGTCTTGTATTCAAGTTCCTGTATCATCCCGGTCAAAGGACAAATTACAACAAATGCAAAGATCTCAACTGACTTTATTGCAGTTCTAGAATTGGGCAGGCTGAGTGTGGTGGCTCATACCTGTAATCCCAGCACTTTGAGAGGCTGAGGTGGGACAATCTGTTGAGTTCATGAGTTCCAGACCAGCATAGGAAACATGGCAAAACCCCATCTCTACAAAAAACACAAAAGTTAACCAGGCGTGGTGGTGAGCACCTGTGGTCCTAGCTACTCAGGAGGCTGGGGTGAGAGAATTGCTTGAGCCTCGGAGGTGGAGGTTGCAGTGAGCCAAGATGGCACCACTGCACTCCAGTCTGGGTGACAGAGCCAGAATTTGTCTCAAAAAAAAAAAAAGGCTGGACATGTTGGTTCACATCTGTAATCCCAGCACTTTGGGAGACCAAGGTGGGTGGATGGCTTGAGACCAGGAGTTTGAGACCAAACCAGCCTGGGCAACATGGCAAAACCCCATCTCTACAAAAAATACAAAAATTAGCTGGATGTGGTGGCACACGCCTGTGGCCCCAGCTACTCGGGAGGCTGAGGTGGGAAGATGGCTTGAGCCTTGGAGGTGGAGGTTGGAGTGTTCCAAGATCGTGCCACTGCATTCCCGCCTGAGCAACGGTGCACGACCCTGTCTCAAAAAAAGCCAGAATTGGGTAACACTTCATTCCATAAAATAGAATAAGTGGGCCAGGTGTGGTGGCCTGGGCATGGTGGCCCCGGCACACTTATTCTATCCCAGCACTTTGGCAGGCCAAGGAAGAAGGATCCCTTGAGGCCAGGAGTTTGAGACCAGTCTGGCCCACATAGCAAGACCCTGTCTCTACAAAAAAAAAAATTTTAAAAATTAGCTGGGTATAGTGGTGCAAGCCTGTAGTCCTGGCTGCCAGGGAAGTTGAGGCAGGAAGATTGCTTGAGTTGAGGAGGGTGAAGGTGCAGTGGGCCAAGACTGCATTAGTACTCTCCACTCTCCAGCCCGGGTGACAGAGTGAGACATTGTCTCAAAAAATAAAAATACAAATAAAAATAAGTGTTGCAGTGAGCTGTGCAAAAGAAGCTGGCTTTACAGACAGAGAAGGGCTGAAGAAAGCAGAAGCAAAAAACGAATAATGTTATTAGTCCTTTCAAAGTCACTTTTCTTGTAAAGTGGGGACAGAAAGACAAAATGATAGAAAAATAACTGATGAGTGGCCAGGCGCGGTGGCTCACACCTGTAATCCCAGCACTTTGGGAGGCCGAGGGGGGTGGATCACAAGGTCAGGAGATCGAGACCATCCTGGCTAACACGGTGAAACCCCATCTCTACTAAGAATACAAAAATTAGCCGGGTGTGGTGGCAGGCACCTGTAGTCCCAGCTACTCGGGAGGCTGAGGCAGGAGAATGGCGTGAACCCGGGAGGCGGAGATTGCAGTGAGCCGAGATTGTGCCACTGCACTCCAGCCTGGGTGACAGAGCAAGACATTGTCTCAAAAAAAAATAAATAAATAAAAATAAAACTGATGAGTTAATATCAGGTTATTTAAGGCTACTTTTTCGTGTGTAAGGATTAAATCAGAGGGAACTTCCTTATCATGCTTACAGGAAGATTTAAACTGGCCTGTTTGGGAAACTGGCAGTTATCTATCTCTTCTCATTTCCAGAAGGTCAGATAACAACTTAGTTTAGGTTTGGTGACTTATAGGTATGAACCACTGTGTGGACCATTTGAGTTTTTGTTGTTCCAGCTGCAGAGAGACCATTTGCTCTTTGACACAGATGGTGGTATAGAAACATTTAAAACATTTTGACTGGGCGTGGTGGCTCATGCCTGTAATCCCAGCAGGCTCCCTGCCTTGGGAGGCCAAGGCAGACAGATCACTTGAGGTCAGGAGTTCGAGATCAGCCTGGCCAACATGGCAAAACCCTGTCTTTACTAAAAATACAAAAATTAGCCGGGTATGGTGGCGGGCACCTGTAATCCCAGCTACTCGGGAGGCTGAGGCAGGAGAATCGCCTGGGGGGCAGAGGCTGCAGCGAGCAGAGATCGCACCACTGCACTCCACCCTGGGCGACACAGCAAGACTCCATCTCAAAATAAATAAATAAATAAATAAATAAACACATAAATAAAATAATAATAAAAATACAAAACTTAGCCGGGTATTGTGGCACACGTCTGTAATCACAGCTCTTTGGGAGGCTGAGGCAGAAGAATTGCTTGAACCCAGGAGGCAGAGGTTGCAGTGAGCTGAGATCACACCACTGCACCCCAGCCTGGGTGACAGAGCAAGACGCCATCTGAGAAAAAAAAAAAAAAGAAGTTAAAAAGTCACAAAGCTATCATCTTTTTCAAAAACAATCTTTCTTTAACACCAGTAAATACCTGGTCAGTGTTCATATTTCCTCAACTTCCTCAAAAATTTTTTAGCAGTTGGTTTATTTATACCCTCTTACAAATTTTTGACTATTTTTGTCTTTCCCCAACTTTTAGATCTATTTAGTCTTATCATATTTTCTTTCAATTTTAAAACAACTTCTAAAAACCTCTAAACTGGCTGGGCACAGTGGCTCACACCTGTAATCCTAGCTCTTTGGGAGGCTGAGGCTGGTGGATCACTTGAGGTCAGGAGTTAGAGACCAGCCTGACCAACATGGTAAAACCCTGTCTCTACTAAAAATACAAAAATTAACTGGGCATGGTGGCATGCGCCTGTAACCCCAGTTACTTGGGAGGCTGAGGCAGGAGAATTGCTTGAACGTGGGAGGCAGAGGTTGCAGTGAGCCAAGATCACACCACTGCACTCCAGCCTGGGTGACAGAGTGAGACTCCATCGCAAACAAAACCCAAAAAAAACAAAAAACAAACAAACAAAAATCCCACCTCTAAATCATACAAAATTATCTTCCCTTTAACAAAAACCACACTTTCATGTCTTCATAAGCAAGTATCAAAAATATCATAGAAGCAACAGTTTTATGGCATTAAAACATCTAGCAGTGACAGCATAAACCTACCTAAACAATAGAGCCAGGCAAAAAATACCTGAATTAAAATTTGAATATGTTTTTATTTTATTTTACCAACAATTTAAAAACTATATTTACTGACTTTGGGAGGCCGAAGTGGGAGGATCACTTGAGCCCAGGAGTTTGAGACCAGCCGAGGCAACATAGCGAGAGTTCATATCTATAAAAAAGTAAATAAATAAAAATGTTTTTAAAATAAAGAGAATACAAAACAATGTTTATTTACCAGAGATTGCTAAAATCACACTTGAAAAGCATTTGGGCTTATTTGCTTAATTAACGAGGACTTCTTTATTTATAAGCCCATTTGGTACCATAGACAATATACAAACAGATATACACATAAAGATACAGACAGTTGTGTCCTGCATGAGGGGAAAAAAAAAAGGATACAAACAGATGCAAACGAAGACTCTACAGCCTTGATTTCAAAACTCTAGCCATGAGACTGGCAAAACTCACTAGTCCAAAAGGACAGTTGGATTCAAACTATGCCCCTGCAAATATAACAAGTCAAAGTTCACTTGTCCCACACAGCCCAAGTCCTCAATGAGCCCCAGAGAAATCAGAATAGCAATCCACATCTCTTCTTTTTATTATTATTATTATTTTGTAAAGACAAGGTCTCACTCTGTTGCCCAGTCTGGTCTTGAATTCCTGGCCTCAAGTGATCCTTCTACCTCAGCCTCCCAAAATGCTGGATTTATAGGCATGAGCCATCATGCCCAGCCACAATCCACATCTCAAAGCAGAGAGAGAGAAAGAATCCAAGTGTCTTCAAGAAGGAGTCTGGCTGTGCTAGTGGAAGACTAAGAAAGGACACCAAGGCAACACAAATCACAGAAATTCACCACAGGACTCTACAAGGAGACCAACTTCATTTAGATAAATAGCTTTTAATTTAGCCTGTTTCTCCAACTGGACCACTGAGCTCCAGACAGAGCCCATTAAGGAACAGGGCCAATTAAGTACTTGCAGCTTTTAGGGCCCAACTATCCAAATATGTGAAAAATAGTCAAAGTTGGAAGGCAGAACATCCAGGCCTTTAAAAATCAAGGACTTTATACTGAATCCCAAGTCCCCCAAAAGAGGGAAATGCCACGACACTAGGCTGCACAGTGCCTTCACAGCACACCTGCCATGAAGAGCGCTCTTCTTAAACAAATGCACAAGGAAAGGAGCAGCCCCCTGTGGCAATGACCATCTGCCACAAACAGTGGTTGTCAGCCACCTCTAAAACTGCACAGTCTCATCAGCAACAGCAACCTCCAGCTCTCCCAAAGGACCAGCTCCGAGTACAAGAAATGTCCGCAGAATTTCCCCAGGGCAGCTCCACAGCCACTCTAAAGGTCCAGGTGGACAAGCCTCACCAAGATTCAACTGCAGCCATGGCTGACATCCATAGCAGCGCCTCTTGATATGCCCAGGGTGCCCACAAAAGAAGCAGGCACCCTCTTCACCCAGAGCCAAAGAACCAGTTGGCACCTGAGGAGACTGGAGGCCCACTGAAACTGCTGCAACAGCAGTGCCACCAGGCGGGCTCCACACTCCTGGTGCTCCCCCTCCATGGTTCCTGCCAAGCAGCCAGCCAAACCAGCAACCTGACAAGGGGTTCCTGTGGCCCAGTTAGGGCCATGTTGCCTGAGGGTACAGCTTTATGTAATCCTGAGTGATAGAGATCTGGACATCCATGTTAAATTATAAACTAAATTCCTACCATGGGTAGCTTGGCTTTTGCCCAGGAATGAGCAAAGATAGCCAGCAAGGATAGCAACAAGATGGAGTCAACCATGTTAGACTTCTCTGTCATAATCTTTGCAAAGGCAGTTTCACTAAGGTTACTGAGTGTTTAAAAATTATAATATATGTAAATAAAACTACTAGAAATAGGGCTGGATGTAGTGGCTTATGCCAGTAATCCCAGCACTTTGGGAAGCTGAGGTAGGAGAATCACTTGAGACCAAGAGTTCAAGACTAGTCTGAGCAACACAGTGAGACCTCATCCCTACAAAATTTGTTTTAGTTAGCTGGGCATAGTGGCACATGCCTGTAGTCCTAGCTACTTGGAAAGCTGAGGCAGGAGGATCATTTGAGCCCAGGAGTTCAAGGTTATAGTGAGCTATGATTGCGCCACTGCACTCCAGCCCGGGTGACAGAGCAAGACTGTCCCAAATAAAACAAACTAAAAATGAGGAAAACAATAATGCACACAAAATATACAAGAAAAGTAAGACGTTGTTTTTAAATTTTTATTTATTTTTTTAGAGATGGGGATCTTGCTATGTAGTCCAGGTTGGTCTCAAACTCCTGTGCTCAAGCCATCCTCCCACATCACCCTCCCAAGTAGCTTGGACTACAGGTGCATGACACCATGCCTGGTGTAAGATATGTCTTTTTTTTTTTGAGATGAAGTCTCAGAAAAAAAAAACAACAACAACAAAAAACCCCTCCAGAGTCTCACTCCATCACCTAGTCTGGAGTGCAGTGGTGCGATCTTGGCTCACTGAAACCTCCACCTCCTGGATTCAAGCGATTCTCCTGCTTCTGCCTCCCGAGTAACTGGGACTACAGGCATGTGCCACCACACCCGGCTAATTTTTGTATTTTTAGTGGAGATGGGGTTTCACCAGGTTGCTCAGGCTGGTCTCGAACACCTGACCTCAAGTGATCCACCCACCTCGGCCTCCCAAAGTGCTGGGATTACAGGCGTGAGCCACTGCGCCCAGCCCCCATCAGCTTTTTATGTAAGTGGTTTGCAGTCATTGATAACCATTGTCTGGATCCATTATTTCATTAGGGGTTGCAAAATGATGACATTCAAACTCTGTCATTTCTTCTTTATTTTTAAGCTGGAATTACTTTCCTTTACCAACTATTTATTCTGGGGTGTAGTTAATACAGGAAAGTCAGGACAAATACTTGATTGTTTACATGTATTTAAATTTCAGAATGGGTTTGTTCCCTGGTCCCTCACAAAGGCAACCAAAAAAGTTTTTGAAATGTTTTAATATTAGGAACACACAGAGTTTAATATATAAGATATGTTGCAATCCAAAAAAATTATTTTGTCTGCTTTTTTTTTTTAAACCTGAAAAATCTCATGTCTTTTTTTTTTTTTTTTTTTTTTTAAACAGGGCCTCACTCTGTCGCCCAAGCTGGAGTGCAGTGGTGTGATAATAGCTCACTGCAGGCCAGGCGCAGTGGCTTGTGCCTGTAATCCCAGCACTTTGGGAGGCCGAGGCGGGCAGATGACCTGAGGTCGGGAGTTCGAGACCAGCCTGACCAACATGGAGAAACCCCGTCTCCACTAAAAATACAAAATTAGCTGGGCATGGTGGCGCATGCCTGTAATCCCAGCTACTAGGGAGGCTGAGGCAGAAGAATCACTTGAACCCAGGAGGCGGAGGCTGCGGTGAGCCGAGATTGCGCCATTGCACTCCAGCCTGGGCAACAAAGAGCGAAACCCCGTCCCAAAAAAAAAAAAAAAAAACAGCTCACTGCAGCCTTCAACTCCTGGGTTCAAGCAATACTCCCACCTCAGCCTCCGAAAGTGCTGGGACTACAGGAGCACACCATCACACCTGGCTAATTTTTGTATTCTTTGGTAGAGATGGAGTCTCACTATGTTGCCCAGGCTAGTCTTGAACTTCTGGACTGAAGCAATTCTTCTGCCTCAGCCTCCCAAAGTGTTGAGATTACAGGCGTGAGCCACCAAGCCTGGCCAAAAGTTATTCTGCTTTTTGATTCTCAAATTGACATATCATTGGTCAATGTGAGACGCTTCAAGTTGGACCTTATGTCCTTTTAACATGATCTTGATAGCTTTGATAGCTTCATGGTATAACAAAATGTTTTGGGCCCATGTGGAACATTTCCTTCCCTAAGCTTGCAAGGAGTTCAGTGGGAAATCATCTTCAGAGACCATAATCAGGGTGATTGGGGTGCTTATCACCACTGAGTTGATGACTGTTTCCAAGCTTGTTCAGTGGTCTACAAACGACTGTTTAGGTTCAGGTCCATTAATGTGTAATGGAGGGAAAGTCTGAGCAATAAGATTTAGTTTAAATAAAAGAGGTAGAAATTAGGGATCTGGAGCTGGGCAAGGTGGTTTATGCCTGTAATCCCAGCACTTTGTGGGGCTGAGGAGGGAGGATTGCTTGAGCCTACGAATTCGAGACCAGTCTGGGCAACATAGTGAGGCCCTGTCTCTCTTATATAAAAATAAAAAATAAAATAAAATAAGGAAATTAGGGATATGGCTATAAAAGGCAAAAATTTAAAGATTATGTTATCTTTCTTTCTTTTTTTTTTTTTGAGATGGACTCTCACTGTCACCAGGCTGGAGTGCAGTGGTGTGATCTCTGCTCACTGCAACCTCCGCCTCCTGGGTTCAAGCGATTCTCTTGCTTCAGCCTCCCGAGTAGCTGGGACTATAGATGCCCGTCACCACACCTAGCTAATTTTTGTATTTTCAGTAGAGACGAGTTTCACCATGTTGGCCAGGATGGTCTCCCTCTCTTGACCTTGTGATCTGCCTGCCTCGGCCTCCCAAAGTGCTGGGATTACAGGCGTGAGCCACCGCGCCTGGCCCTTCAATTTCTATTATAAAAAAGCTTGAAAATTATTCTATTACTGGTTTAGTTTAATTTTATTACTTTCTAAAAGGTTGATAAACAATATTGTCTATTACTATACAGCAAAAAAAATGAATGTATAAAATCTTGTGGCCGGGTGCAGTGGCTCATGCCTGTAGTCCCAGCACTTTGGGGGGCCAAGATGAGCAGATAACCTGAGGTCAGGAGTTTGAGTCCAGCCTGAACAACATAATAAGATTCCATCTCTAAACAACAACAACAAAAATCCTTTAGGTCTGAGATAAAACATCAGTCTCATATACTCTTTGGAACAGACGGGATTAATTTTAAGAATGATAACCAATACCTTAGAATATTACTATTAAAAACACAATAATTCTTAATATGCTAAGTTCCAACTATAGTTCAGCAACTGAAATATTTTTAAAATTCCAAGGGGAGGGTGGGAGGAGGGAGAGGATCAGAAAAGATAACTATTGGGTACCAGACTTAATATCTGGGTGATGAGCCAGGCGTGGTGGCTCACGCCTGTAATCCCAGCATTTTGGGAGGCTGAGGCAGGCGGATCACCTGAGGTCAGGAGTTCGAGACCAGCCTGGTGAAACCCTGTCTCTACTAAAAATACAAAAAAAATTAGCCAGGCATGGTGGCGCACACCTGTAATCCCAGCTACCTGGTTGGCTAAGGCAGGAGAATTGCTTGAACCCAGGAAGCATAGGTTGCAGTAAGCCAAGATCGCACCACTGCACTCCAGCCTGTGTGACAGAGTGAGACTCCATCTCAAAAAAAAAAACCAAAACCAAAACAAACAAAAAAACCTGGGTGATTAAATAATATGTACAATAAACCTCTGTAACATGTGTTTCCTATGTAACAAACCTTCACATGTACTCCCAAACTTTAAAGTTTAAAAAAAAAAACTGGCCTGGCGCGGTGGCTCATGCCTGTAATCCCAGCACTTTGGGAGGCCGAGATGGGCGGATCACGAGGTCAGGAGATCAGACCATCCTGGACAACATGGTGAAACCCTGCCTCTACTAAAAATACAAAAAATTAGCTGGGTGTGGTGGCGCACGCCTGTAGTCCCAGCTACTTGGGAGGCTGAGGCAGCAGAATCGCTTGAACCTGGCAGGTGGAGGTTGCAGTGAGCTGAGATTGAGCCACTGCACTCCAGCCTGGTGATAGAGTGAGACCCTGTCTCAAAAAAAATAAAAAAACCAAACCAAAACAAAAAAAATCCAAAACATGATAAAATGAAGATGTATCTCATTACCGATTTTCACTTGCCTTCTTTAGCATTTATCCATCTGCAAAATATGTATATATATAATGTATATATATATATAGTGTATATATATACACACACACACATACATATATATATATACATTTTTTTTTTTTTGAGACAGCGTCTTGCTGTGTCGCCCAGGCTGGAGTGCAGTGGTGCAATCTCAGCTCACCATTCTGCCTCACGGGTTCAAGTAATTCTCCTGCCTCAGCCTACCGAGTAGCTGGGATTACAGGCATGTGCCACCACGCTTGGCTAATTTTGTATTTTTAGTAGAGATGGGGTTTCTCCATGTTGGTAAGGCTGGTCTCGAACTCCCGACCTCAGGTGATCCACCTACCTTGGCCTCCCAAAGTGCTGGGATTACAGGCATGAGCCACCGCACCCGCCTGCAAAATATTTTTTACCCAGATGTAGTCATAGTGTGCAAGTTGTATCATTTTTCCCCTTAACAATATGTCCATAACATTTCTCCATATGCTGTAGGGTATTTGTAATTTCAAATTATTTAATGATTTTTTTTTTTTAAGGAGACAGAGTTTTGCTATGTTGCCCAGGTTGGAGTGCAGTGGCTAGTCATTGGTGTGATCCTACTACTAATCCACCAAAAAAAATTTAGAACTAATAAATTCAGCCAAGTTGCAGGCTACAAAAGCAATACTCAAAAATCGCCTGCATTTCTACATACTAACAATGAACACTCTGAAAAGGAAATTAAGAAAGTGACCAGGTGATGTGGCTCAATGCCTGTAATCCCACACTTTGGGAGGTGGACGTGGGCGGATTACTTGAGGCCAGGAGTTCAAGACCTTGGTGTTCAAGCCCATAGTGAAACCCTGTCTCCACTAAAATTACAAAAATTAGCCGGGGTGGTGGTGCGCACCTGTAGTCCCAGGTACTCAGGAGGCTGAGGCATGAGAATTGATTGAACCTGGGAGGTAGAGGTTGCAGTGAGCTGAGATAGTGTCATAGCACTCCAGCCTGGGTGACAGAGCGAGACTCTGTCTCAAAAACAAAAAACAAGCAATTCCATTTATAATATCATCAAAAAGAATAAAATAGGCTGGGTGTGGTGGTTCATGCCTATAATCCCAGCACTTTGAGAGGCCAAGGCGGTGGGATCACTTGAGCCCAGGAGTTTGAGACCAGTCTAGGCAACATAGTGAGACCCTAGCTCTATTTTCAAATATGAAAAAAAGAAAAATTTTTTGAGATAAAGTCTGGCTCTATCGCCCAGGCTGGAATACAGTGGCGCAATCTTGACTCACTGCAACCTCTACCTCCTGGACTCAAGCCATCCCCTCCCACCTCAGCCTCCTGAGTAGCTGGGACTATAGGCACCACCACAATGTCTGGTTAATTTTTTTTTTTTTTTTTGTAGAGACAAGGTTTCACCATGTTGTCCAGGCCTGGTGCAGTAGTTTGCACTTCCCTTGAGGCTAGGAGTTGGAGACCAGCCTGGCCAACATAGTGAGACTCCTGTCTATTAAAAGAAAAAAAAAGGCTGGGTGGC
Organism: Homo sapiens; assembly: GCF_000001405.40. Taxonomy (NCBI): domain Eukaryota; kingdom Metazoa; phylum Chordata; class Mammalia; order Primates; family Hominidae; genus Homo; species Homo sapiens. Next base: position 39,643,140 of record NC_000004.12, on the reverse strand, counting down.
ACATGCCAGTAGTCCCAGCTACTCAGGACGCTGAGGTAGGAGGATTGCTTAAGACCAGGAGTTCAAGGTTGCAATGCACTGTGGTCACATCTGTGAATAGCCACTGCACTCCAGCCTGGGTGACAGAGCAAGACCCCATCTCTAAAATAAGTAAATAAATAAATATATTTCCTTAATGTAGTAGCCAAAAAAGAAAATCATTTTAATTTGCATTTTTTGATTACTAGTGAGATGGAAGATTTTCAAATGTCAAACATTTGTATTTCCTTTGTGTGTGTGAACCATCAGTTCATACTTTATACCTATGCATGTGTGGCAGGCATTAATTTTCCCTATTGATTTGTATGAGCCCTTCATATATTATGGTATTTCTCCTTTAACTATCAGTATTTGTTCCAAATTCTCCAATTGGTGTTTCTTTTTTAATTCTGTGTCCATTCAACAAATATTTATTCAATGTTTACTATGCTCTCGGTTGTATGGTAGGAATTCTATGTTATTCTTTACACATAGAATTACACACTTTTTAGTTCTTCCATTGTTTAGTTTAGAAAAACTGCACTTAGGGGCCGGGCACAGTGGCTCACGCCTGTAATCCCAGCACTTTGGGAGGCCAAGGCAGGCGGATCACCTGAGATCAAGAGTTCGAGACCAGCGTGGCCAACACGGTGAAACCCCATCTCTACTAAAAATACAAAAATTAGCCAGGTGTGGTGGTATGCACCTGTAATCCCGGCTACTAGGGAGGCTGAGGCAGGAAATCGTTTGAATCCAGGAGGCGGAGGTTGCAGTGAGCCAAGATTGCACCACTGCACTCCAGCCTGGGCAACAGAGCAAGACTCAAAAAAAAAAAAAACAGCCTGGCGCAGTGGCTCATGCCTGCAATCCAAGCACTTTGTGGGGCCGAGGCGGGTGGATCACCTGAGGTCAGGAGTTTGAGACCAGCCTCAACATGGAGAAACCCTGTCCCTACTAAAAAATACAAAATTAGCCGGGCGTGGTGGTACATGCCTGTAATCCCAGCTACTGGGGAGGCTGAGGCAGGAGAATTGCTTGAACCTGGGAGGCGGAGGTTGTGGTGAGCTGAGATCACACCATTGCACTCCAGCCTGGGCAACAAGAGCAAAACTCCGACTCAAAAACAAAAACAAAAACAAACAACAAAAAAGGGAGAAAAAACTGCTCTTAAAGATCAGAACAAAAAAGCATATAATATCCCATATCAGTGTCTGTGGGTAAGAGCTAGCCTATTCTAGCTCTCAAAAACTTGCAATCAAATGTTGGGCAGGGATGCAGTCATCTGAATGCTTGATTAGGGCTGCAGGATCAATCAAGTTAGTTCACTCACATGGCTGGCAAGTTGGTGCTGGCTGTTGGTGGAGGCTTTTTCTCCTCTCCACATAGGCCTCTTCATAGAGCTGTTCGAGCACAGTGGTGTGGAGACTGCCTTCCTCCAGGGCAAGCAATCAAAGAGAATGAGAGGGAAAGCTGCAATCAGTGTCTTTGTGACCTAACCTCAGAAGTCACACACATTCAATTGTATTCTATTGGTAAAACATAGTAGTCCTGATTCAAAGGGTTGATGCAGACCACCAGCGGTGACAATCACTGGGGGTCCTCTTAGAGGCTGGCTACCAAGGATCCCAACATCTTTTTTGTTTGTTTGTTTCTGAGACAAGGTATTGCTATGTTGCCCAGGTTGGAGTGCAGTGGCTATTCAAAGCCTCTAACTCCTGGGTTCAGGCAATTCTCCTGTCTCTGCCTCCTGAGTAGCTGGGACTACAGGCATACAGCACCTCGCCAGGCTAATCCTAACATCTTGGTTTTCCTGTAATTTACTTTATAAAGCAAGTACTGGGTGTGCACAGTGACCCATGCCTGTAACCCCAACACTTTGGGAGGCTGAAACAGGAGGATCACTTCAGACCAGGAGTTCAAGACCAGTCTCAACAATATAGCAAGATCCTATAACAAATTAAAAAAAAAAGTAGCTCACTGTGGTGGCATGTGTCTGTAGTCTTAGTTATTCAGGAGGCTAAAATGGGAGGATCACTTCAGCCCAGGAGTTTGAGGCTGTAGTGAGCTATGATTGCACCACTGCATTCCAGCCTGTGCAACAGAGCAAGACCCTATCTCAAAAAAAAAAAAAAAAAGGCCAGGCGCGGTGGCTCACGCCTGTAATCCCAGCACTTTGGGAGGCCGAGACGGGCGGATCACGAGGTCAGGAGCTTGAGACCATCCTGGCTAACATGGTGAAACCCCGTCTCTACTAAAAATACAAAAAATTAGCCAGGCGTGGTGGCGGCGGGTGCCTGTAGTCCCAGCTACTCGGGAGGCTGAGGTAGGAGAATGGCGTGAACCCAGGAGGCGGAGCTTGCAGTGAGCCGAGATCGAGCCACTGCACTCCAGCCTGGGCAACAGAGCAAGACTCCATCTCAAAAACAAACAAAAACAACAACAACAAAAACAACAACAACAAAACCAAGTACTGAGAATTTTGCAACAACCAGTACAATTCTAGTTTTGTACCATACTGTTCTCTTAAACACAGCTGTGTTCTCAAACACATACGTGCCCATGGGTGCACTCAAGCATAACAGATTTTGTTTGGAGTTGCACAAATTAAAGACCCTTTGGTACAGTGTCAGCTCATTAGGGCACCAGATTCCATCTCAAACTCTGAATTTGAGTAAGCAGAGTTCAAGGTTGCAGATTAAGGGCCAAAATCTTTATTCTTTGTATCTACTTTGCAATTAGTTAACTGGGAAACACTTCAAGTTTTACCAGAAACCTTTAATTTTCTAGAAACCTTTACCTGTGTTCAATATCCACTTTAATTAAAAAGCTCTTGTAAATGATACTTATTTGGGGAAGGTGATTCAGCTTGTCGAGGGGTAATTAACCAAATTGCTGAGGTGGAAGTCTGGGTAAGTGAAAAGGTCATCAAATCTGAGTAAGAAAGCTTGCAGCTTTCACCTCTCCGTCAAGACTGGCAGAGAGGCACTTTCGTAAAATCTTTGTTTGGGATTCACTTTTACTTCGCCACTTGTCCCATTTTAATTAAAGCTTGCCAACTGAAGGACCTAAGAAAACAATATAGTTCTGCATTTTGCCAAATTGGGAAATTTCCAGGGCCCCCAAAATTTAGCGGGGAGACTCAGAGACTAGAATGGGAGAATAGGAAGCACCAACTTGCTCTAAAAGGAAGATTGGGTAAAAGCAGCACTCTTATTCCAGCTCTACAACCAAAGCAACTAAGACTTGGGCTGGCTGGCTGCCTAGCCACAGCATTCCCTCCTACTTCCCCATTATCTCCTGACCAGCAAGTCATCTTTGGTCACATATCTTTAATTATTTAGTTTGAGACAAAGTCTCACTATCACCCAGGCTGGAGTGCAGTGGCGCGATCTCGGCTCACTGCAACCTCCGCCTCCCGGGTTCAAGCGATTCTTCCACCTCAGCCTCCCGAGTAGCTGGGACTACAAGCGGGCACCACCATGCCCGGCTAATTTTTGTGTTTTTAGTGGAGATGGGGTTTCACCATGTCGGCCAGGCTGGTCTCGGACTCCTGACCTCAAGTGATCCGCCCACCTCTGCCTCCTGAAGTGCTGGGATTACAGGCATGAGTCACCAAGCCCGACTACATATTCCTTTTATTAATATTCCTGTTGAACTTAATTTTGGTCGTTTCCGGTGCAAAAATGTTAAGGTAAAGGGAATCAATAACAGCCACATTTGATGTATTTTTGTAATCCCCATCTCCAATTTCCATCCGGGCCTGAGTAACCAAAAACACTTTACAGGGGTAGACTGTCTCAACAGACATCAATTTGTAACCGCGTCTACCTCTACCACGGTATTCTAAAGACTCCGTCGAGGAAAACCTTTAGCTCGGGCAACGGGAGACACATTACAGAACACTGTCCGCCGCCGAAGAAACAGACGATACGCGGGAGAGTTGAACAGACACCCGGCCTCGCCCCGATTGCTTCACAGTCCTCAGCCACGCCCCTCCCAACCGGAACTACATCCCCCGCACTCCGCGCCCCCACGCACAGCGTGTCGTAGGCGTCCGAAGCCGCAGGCTCCCGCCCGGCTTCCCGGGACGCACAGGGCAGGCGCTGGGCATGCGCATGCTCGGCAGGCGGGGCAGCTGGAGTCTCCAGGCGCTGCAATCTGTTGCGCCGCCGCCCGCGGGAGCCGGCAGATCCGGGTCTTGTGGCTAAGAGTGACGTGGTCACTCGAATCAAAACAGAGGAGGGGGAGGAAGCCGGCGGCCAGAAACGGCAGTGGCAGCAGCGTCCGGAGCAGCCGCAGCCTTCTGGAAGCTCCAGGCGGTCTTTCTGCCGAGCCTCGGTCCCGGCCCCCATCCTCCCCGCCCCATCGGTTGTTGTCTGGGCGGGTGAGTGTCTCCCCCTCTCCCACCAGCGTTTGCTGGCTCACCCTCCCCTCGCCCCAGTTTTTCCTGGGGGCTCCTCAGGCTCTCGGGGACTGCGGCGGCTGCGGCAGAACAGGGCTGTTTCTCGGGCTTGGCGTTTCCTCGGCCGGGCTGGCGATTCTGCACCGGGAGAAGCTCCGCTGCTGCCGAGCCCGCGTCCCCCGCGAAGAGCCTGCAATTGGGTATTCTCTGCAGGATGTCAGAGTCGGGGCTTTGCAGGCAAGGGCAAGGTAGCCACGGGTGGTTTTATTTTTAGGATCAGATTGTCGACGGGTGGAGGCGTATCATGGAGTAAAAAGAGAGTCGTAGCTGGAAGGAAAAACTCACAAATCCTGAAATCCACACTATCTTGTTTACCGTCTCCCTCAGCCCTTTCTGGGTACGGTGAAGTCACTAGGATGCGTCCTTTGTTGTGATAAGTGAGACGAGAAAGCTGACACCCTGAAAGCGAGAGCTTTTTAGCTCCTATTGTGTCGCGAATTTAAAGGATCCCCTTTTTCTGTTTGCTCAGTAAGTGGAACCAAGGCTGACAGTAAAGAGGTAGCAGCACCCTTTATTGGAACTAATAGTGTGTGATAAACTGGTTACCGGCTCTACCCGAAGTCCCGTGTTGCTGTTTAAAGGCAGACTTCACCAAAGTGGCTGTTTATATGTGCCAGGATTTTAGCCGAGATGGTTTGCTAGCTGTAGAGAGTCGGTAGGATGTTTTCAGTTGCCCCAGTTGGCAAAACCGAGGCTGTGGCCTTAATAGAATGTGTTACTTTTGCATCGAGAGAGTCGGATGAGCTTCACACACGTAATAGCTACATTTGCAGAAGAGACCTTCCAGTTTGTGTGTGTTATTGTCAGAAACAGCAGCTGTACATATTATAACTTGGAAAGCGTAAGACCTTCCAGGTGTTGGAGTGTTGGGACGCTTAGGAGGCATTCTTGCTGCCCAGCGCTGTGGAGGTTGCAGGAGGCTTTGCATTCCCTTCCACTTAGGGTGGCTGGCCGCGCAGATTCCTTTAGTGTAGCCTGCTCCGAACTTGCCGCTCTCCGCGGCCGTCGACAGCACTGCGACCAGAAAACCAAACCTTTTTGTCCTAACTTTTTTTTTTTTTCCAACGTGGTGTTTAAGAACACCGCTTCACCCCCGAGAACTCATTAATTGAGGTGTTTCAGTGGTTAACAGCAAGAAAGAACAACAGTACGTGATAGTTAATTGCTCCTTATCAAACCCAGGAAGAGTTATGAGTTTAGATTATTTCCTTGAAGGGTATGTCCTTGTGGTATAACATGAACCCCTTAACGAATCTTTTCTCCAGTGTTTGCCGTTGAGATATTTTTTCTTACTACTGTAGTTGGAATCCTTCTGATTTAGAAGAAGGAAAGATTTCTTGAAGTTCTTTTTCAGCTTTTTACCTTTTATGCTAGCCTATAACTAATATTTTTGGTTATACGAAATACTTTGTGTAATAGAGAAGATGTTGATAAAAGCAGATAGGAAAAAAAAATCAATAATCCTGCCACCCAAAGATCACCAAAATGTTAGTTTATACCCTTCTAAACTACTTTTTTGCATTTATATATTTTATACAAATATGGTATCATACCACATATGCTTTTCAGTACATAACCTGCTTTTTCACATTCTAGTACTTCTTTTTTGAGTAATAATTTAAATTTTTCAGACATGGACTTTGGACCTTAAATTTTAGAGCGTATTCACTACACAGTAGTGCCCCCTTATCCGTGGTTTCACTTTCAGGGGTTTCCCGAGTTTCAGTTTCTGTGGTCAACCGCAGTTTGAAAATACAATCATATTTTCAGAGACCACATTCACATAACTTTTATTATAGTATATTGTTATAACTGTTCTATTATTAACTATTGTCAGTCTCTTACTGTGCCTAATTTATAAATTGAATTTTATCGTAGGTGTGTATAGGAAAAAAACAGTCCATATATAGGGTTCTGTACTATATGGGCTTTAGGCATCCACTGGGGGGGGGTTGTTTTATAATTTTTTAATTTTAAAATTTAATAGAGACGAGATCTCACTGTGTTGTCCAGGCTGGTCTCAAACTCCTAAGCTCAAGTGATCTTCTGGCCTCAGCCTCCCAAAATGCTAGGATTACAGGGATGCTGAGACACCAGGTCCAGCCCACTGGAGTTTCTTTGAATGTATCCCTTGTGGATAATGGGGGACTTCTATGTTTGGCAAACCATAATTATTAAAAGCATGGTTTTAAAAGATTTCCTCACAAATCTCTATGATAATGTAACATTTAAGAAATTAATATGCATTGTGTGGCAAAGTAAGACCTCACTTGTTTGGCTCTTGGGAAAGAAAGCACAGCCTGAGGATAATATGAAAGTTTAAGTAGTTTTTGCTACTCAGTGGTTTGATTCGGGTAAAGATTTAGTTCTGTTCCATAGTTATACTCTATTCCAAATGCTGATCAGATGTTCAGGCCCCAGGCAGTAAGGTCCTGGAAGATTTTAACTTTACACGTCACACTTTTTTTTTTTTTTTTTTTTTTTTTTGGGAGATGGAGTCTTGCTCTATTGTACAGGCTGGAGTGCAGTGGTGGATCTCAGCTCACTGCAACCTCTGCCTCCCGGGTTCAAGTGATTCTCCAGCCTTAGCCTCCTGAGTAGCTGGGATTACAGGTGCACACCATCACGCCCGACTAATTTTTGTATTTTTAGTAGAGACGGGGTTTCACCATGTTGGCCAGGCTGGTGTCAAACTCCTGACCTCAAGTGATCTGCCCACCTTGGCCGCCCACGGTGCTGGGATTACATGCGTGAGCCACTTCACCTGGCCCACATCACACTTAATATGCATTGAGTCTTGGTGTGTGCCCATTTAGTCCAGTGCTTTACCAGTTGGCACCAAAAGAGCCTGCTATGGAAGGAAACGTCCTCTTCATCTCAACTTCAGAGGATAAGTACATGCCATGAACTATCCTAAATCTGCTAATAACCTATTTTGAGTTTGAGCCTCATAAACTTACCTAAAATCTTTAAATCTCTATTTTCATTTTGCATCTCTTGGATGATTAGTCCTAGATGTTTACTACTTATTACATAATCTAGTTTCTTTTTCTTTGATTTGGCTTATAGTATTCAATATGTATTCTAAATTTGTCCACTTCTTCCCATCCCTACTGCCATCAGCTTTGCCAGGCTATCTTCATCTCTTACCTGATCTGTTGCAGCAACTCCTGGTCTCCCTGCTTCCACTTTGGCTTTTTATTATGCATTTCCCTTACCAGCCTAAGAGATCCTTTAAAATGTAAATTACCTTGACACCCCCTTGTTGAAAGTTTTCCATCCATATTCAGAATAAAATCCAAACTCTACCAAAGCTTGTCAGGTGCTACATGTTTCAGCACTGCCTTCCTCTCTTATCTTACCTTGTATCCTTCTACTTAGTTCAGTACCCTGGAGCCTGGCCATGTGAGTTTCTTCCTGTATTCTAATCCCACTTGCATTTTTGTCCCTGGAACTTGCCAAGCTGGTTCTTGCTGTAGGGCCTTTGCATTTGCTGAACGCTGGGGCTTCAGTACTCTTCTCCCAGATCTTGCTGTGGTTGATACCATTGTGTTATTCAGGTGTTAGGTCAGATGTTGCCTCTTCAAGGAGACTGACCAATCTCTCCCTTGTATTTTATTTTCTTCACAGCATTTATCAATATATGGAATTTTAAAAAAATGTTCCGTCTCCTACCCTGGAAATTAAGCTCTGTGAATATGGAACCTTGTCTGTCCTTTTCACTGCATAGTAGGTACTCAGTGAATGTTGATTGAATAAATGAACTTAGTGAACATGTCTGTATTCCTCTTGAACATACTGTCTATTGTAGGCCATTTTTTTTTCCCATGGAAAAGTCCTAATTTTCAGCCTCTTTATTGGGCAGTGCCTTATTCTCTTTGGTGTTTGGGTCAGAGTACACTTATATTCTACTTTAGACCTGTGGAATTAATTTCTGTGAGAAATGGGTTCTTAGAATCTGTATTTTCAATAAATCTGTCAGGTGATTTTAATGCATATCAAACTTTGAGAATCTCTCAATGTTTTAGTGGCTTTTCCTTGGAAGATTGCTTCTTTATAGTAGTAATGATAGCTACCATTTTTTGGGAACACTACTTTATATGTCAAGTATTATGCTAAAAATTACTGTTACATGTTTTCATTTAACTGCAAAGCAACTCAGATATGTAGGTATCATACAAATGAAGACAATGAGACACAGTAAGTGGCAGAAACTTGAATTTGAAACCCAAATCTTTTTAATCACTGTACCCTACTGCTTCTGAACTACAGAGTTTAGAATTGTGTTCAGTACTTTAAGAGAGGCCATGTTTTTGTTCAGGACAGGATAGTGTTTTCTGTCCCTTTTCCAATCCTGTCCTTAATGAAGTCCGTTGTTTTGTTGGTCTTTTTGCCTGAAGTTGCACAGACAGATGACCTTAAAAAACATTCTGCGGCTGGGCGCGGTGGCTCATGCCTGTAATCCCAGCACTTTGGGAAGCCGAGGCCGGTGGATCACGAGGTCGAGAGATTGAGACCATCCTGACCAACGTGGTGAAATCCCGTCTCTACTAAAAATACAAAAATTAGCTGGGTGTGGTCATGCGCGCCTGTAATCCCAGCTACTTGGGAGGCTGAGGCAGGAGAATCACTTGAACTCGGAAGGTGGAGGTTGCAGTGAGCCATTGTGCCACTGCACTCCAGCCTTGCGACAGAGCGAGACTCCGTCTCAAAACAATAAACAAACAAAAAACATTCTGCAAAGACTCCTAGGTCTTGCATTGTTGTATTGAGTGCTGAGAGCCTACCAGGCTTCAAGTAAATTTGTAGCATTTTCTTCTTCCTTTTGTATTACCTGCTCATTCCCCACACCCAAAACCTATTACTTTGTATTCGTTGATACAATCATCAGAGTTCTTCCTACATTTTCTCCTTTGATTTGTGTTTTACTATTTGAATTTAGTGGCGTGATCATGGCTCACTGCAGCCTCAACCTTCTGGGCTCATGCGATTCTCCCACCTCTGCCTCCTGAGTAGCTAGGACCACAGGTCCATACTACCACACTAATTTTTTTTTGTTTGTTTTCTGTAGAGACAGGCTCAGGTTGGTATGGAATTCCTGGGCTCAAATGATCCTTCTGCCTTGACCTCCCAAAGTGCTGGGATTACAGGCATGAACCACTGCATCCAAAGATATTTTAAATAAACAGATTTATTTGAAGTTTTCCTTTAATATTGGGCATGAATGTAGTTTCCAGTTTTTCACAATTATAAATAATATTATGGTGAACCATGGCCTTAAATAGTTAACCTAAAAACTGAATAATTACAGCAGCCAGTCTAATTACAAATAGAAGCTATATTAAAGACTTCTTAATTTTTTTTTTTGAAACAGAGTCTCACTTTGTTGCCCAGACTGGAGTGCAGTGGGGTGATCTCGGCTCACTGTAACCTCTGCCTCCCGGGTTCAAGCAATTCTCCTGCCTCAGCCTCCTGAGTAGCTGGGATTACAGACGTGCGCCACCATGCCCAGCTAATTTTTGTATATTTAGTAGAGACAGAGTTTCACCATGTTGGCCAGGCTGGTCTCGAACTCCTGACCTTAGGTGATCCACCTGTCTGGGCCTCCCAAAGTGCTAGGATTACAGGCGTGAGCCACTGCACCCAGCTGAGACTTCTTAAATTATTTTAATCATAATTCAACAAGTATATATAGCATATATATATATATACATACTTGCATATGCTTAGAAAATGTTACATGAAGTTTTAAAATATTTTTTTAATTTATTTATTTTTGGTATTTTTTGAATTCTAAAATCTTCCTGAGACATAAAGGTTTTTCTTTTTCTTTTGTGTGTGTGTGTGTGTGTGTGTGTGTGTGTGTGTGTGTGTGTGTGTGTGTGACGGGAGTCTCACTCTGTCATCCAAGTTGAAGTGCAGTGGGGCGATCTCGGCTCATTGCAGCCTCCACCTCCCAGGCTCAAGCTACCAACCCACCTCAGCCTCCCTAGTAGCTGAGACCACGCCTGGCTAATTTTTGTATTTTTTGTAGAGTTGGGGTTTTGCAATGTTGCCCAGGCTGGTCTCGAACTCCTGAGCTCATGCAGTCCACCTGGCTTCGCCTCCCAAAGTGCTGGGATTACAGGTGTGAGCCATTGCACCTGGTCAGACATGAAGGTTTTTTTTTTTTTTTTTTTTTTGAGACGGAGTCTCGCTCTGTCAGTAGGCTGGAGTGCAGTGGCCCGATCTCTGCTCACTGCAACCTCTGCCTCCCGGGTTCAAGTGATTCTCCAGCCTCAGCCTCCTGAGTAGCTGAGATTACAGGCGCGTGCCACCATGCCCAGCTAATTTTTGTATTTTTAGTAGAGACGGGGTTTCACCATGTTGACCAGGATGGTCTTGATCTCTTGACCGCCTGCCTTGGCCTCCCAAAGTGCTGGGATTACAGGCATGAGTCACCGTGCCCAGCTGACGTGAAGATTTTTAATAGAAGCTATCTCTGAGGAGAGGAAAGTACCTGCATTTTTCCATTTTTTTTTAACTTTTGGTATTTAAATTTTAAATTATAAATGCATATTTTATTTTTAAAGAATTAACTCTTTGGAAAAGTACATTTTTCTAAACTAAACCAATTTTTAGGTGTATAGTAGGGCTTACATATGTATTTGATAACATTTACGACCTCTGTTCTTTTGTTTTGGAGAAAGTTACCTTCTTATTGCTTATTTTCATATTGAATTTTCATTTCCTTTTTTTTTTTTTAAATTTAGGCCAAAGCACAGATGTGTCTCAGCTTTGTAAAAATACAGAATGACAGAATGAAGCTGGTTTATGCCTGACTGCACTCATTGACAAGTATTACAAGTGCAGAGCTTTCAAAATTTAATAGCTAATAAAAGTATTTCAAATTGAATTAGGGATGCAGTAAGCATCTTCCTGGTATATGCACCAGACTTAGAAGTCAGTGTTCTGGCTGCTATCATCTTTTATCTTTTAACATATTTATTTTTTTTTTTTTTTGAGACGGAGTCTCGCTCTGTGGCCCAGGCTAGAGTGCAGTGGCGCAATGTCGGCTCACTGCAAGCTCCGCTTCCCGGGTTCATGCCATTCTCCTGCCTCAGCCTCCCGAGTAGCTGGGACTACAGGTACCTGCCACCATGCCCGGCTAATTTTTTTGTATTTTTAGTAGAGACGGAGTTTCACCATGTTAGCCAGGATGGTCTCGATCTCCTGACCTCGTGATCCGCCCGCCTTGGCCTCCCAAAGTGCTGGGATTATAGGCATGAGCCACTGCACCCGGCCACAACATAGTTTTTAAAAACAAGTTTGCTCTTTTTTTTTTTTTTTGAGATGGAGTCTCACTCTGTCACCCGGGCTAGAGTGCAGTGGCACGATCTCAGCTCACTGCAACCTCCACCTCCCGAGTTCAAGCGATTCTTGTGCCTCAACTTCCTGAGTAGTTGGGATTACAGGCACCTGCCACCATGCCCGGCTAATTTTTGTATTTTTAATAGGGACGGGGTTTCACTCTGTTGGCCAGGCTGGTGTCGAACTCCTGACCTCAAGTGATCTGCCCACCTCAGCCTCCCAAAGTCCTGGGATTACAGCTACCATGCCCTGGCAAAAACAAGTTTGCTTTTTATACAATATATATTTTGCTGCTTTGTTACTCTTGGGAAAGGTAATGTAGAAGAAACTGACTTGCTTGAAATTTTGAACAGACTTTTAAAATCTGTTTGTTTATTTTATTTGTTAATCCTTGCTTGCTTGCTTGCTTTTCTTTCTTTCCTTCTTTCTTTTTTTTTTTTTTTGACAGGGTTTTGCTCTTGTTGCCCATGCTGGAGTGCAGTGGCACAGAGCATAGTCTCGGCTCACTGCAACCTCCACCTCCTGGGTTCAAGCAATTCTCCTGCCTCAGCCTCCCAAGTAGCTGGGACTACAGGCACCCACCACCATGCTCAGCTAATTTTTGTATTTTTAGTAGAGATGGGGTTTCACCATATTGGCCAGGCTGGTCTTGAGCTCCAGGCCTCAGGTGATTCGCCTGCCTTGGCTTCCCAAAGTGCTGGGATTACAGGTGTGAGCCACCGCGCCTGGCCCAATAATTGCTTTCTTTATCACAGTAGTTCTAAGCATTTTTCCCAGTATGACTAATGATGTTTATGCGCATCTTTGTGCACATGTCATCTCAGCTATGATATGGAAGAAAGAGGCTGTGAGTTACTTAGTTTGGAGAGCAGTAGCCATAGTCCGCTTCTTTCATTTTTATTTTAATTAGAAACAGGGTCTCTGTCACACAGGTTGGAGTGCAGTGGTGTGATCATAGCTCACGGTAGCCTTGAACTCCTGGGCTCAAGTTATCCTCCCTTCTCAGCCTTCTGAGTAGCTGGGACTACTACATAAGAAGGCACATGCTAGCATGCCTGGCTAATTATTAAAGTTTTTTGTAGAGACGGTTTCACCACCTTGGCAGGCTGGTCTCAAACTCCTAGGCTCAAGCAATTCTTCTGCCTCAGCCTGTCAGAATTGGTTTTACAGGTGTGAGCCACTGCGCTCAGCACTCTGCTTCTTTCTGCTCAGAGAAATCATATAGACAAGCATGTGAATGAAATATTAAGGAAAAGTCTTGATTCTGTTGTAATTTATTTAGATAACATTCATCTTTAACAAACTGGTACCATTGCTTGTAATATACCTCTCAAGTTTAGAACACACCAGTATTTTGTAATACAGCTGTTAAAAACTGCTTTCTGGCCAGGTATGGTGGCTCATGCCTGTAATCCCAGCAATTTGGAAGGCTGAGGTGGGGAGATCACCTGAGCCCAGGAGTTCAAGACCTACCTGGGCAACACATCGAGACCCCCTCTCTCTACAAAAAAGTAAAAAAATTGGCTGAGTGTGATGGCATGCACCTGTGGGCTCAGCTGCTCCGGAGCCTGAGGTGGGAGGATTGCTTGAGCTGGGGAGGCTGAGGCTGCAGGGAGCTGTGATCACGCCACTGCACTCCAGCCTGGGCAACAGAGACCCTATCTCAAAACAAAAACCTACTGCTTGCTTAACATTTATAAGCGAAGCCATTGTGGTGGCACACACCTGTAGTCCTAGCTGCTTGGGGGGTTGAGGTGGGAAGATGGCTTGAGCTCAGGAGGTCAAGGATGCAGTGAGCCATGATTACACCACTGCACTACAGCCTGGGCAATAGAGACCCTGTCTCCAAAAAAAAAAAAAATCATTTATAAGTTACTTGTATGCACTATTATGTGGGATCAACATAGTATGGAATATATATATATATGTATCTTTTTTTTTTTTTTTTTTGAGACAGAGTCTTGCTTTGTCACCCAGGCTGGAGTGCAGTGGCACGATCTCGGCTTGCTGCAACCTCTGCTTCCTGGGTTCAAGCGATTCTCCTGCCTCAGCCTCCCAAGTAGCTGGGATTACAGATGTGCACTACCACGCCCAGCTGATTTTTGTATTTTTAGTAGATATGGGTTTCCACCATGTTAGCCGGGCTGGTCTCGAACTCCTGACCTCAGGTGATCCACCCAGCTTGGCCTCCCAAAGTGCTGGGATTACAGGCCTGGCCTGGAATTTTTATATTTTCTGTTAAATTTTTCTGTTTCTGATTTATGGAAAACATTTTCCTGGTCGGGCACAGTGGCTCACGCCTGTAATCCCAGCACTTTGAGAGGCTGAGGCAGGTGGATCATCTGAAGTAAGGAGTTCGAGACCAGCCTGTCCAACATGGCAAAACTCCGTCTCTACTAACCATATAAAAACTAGCTGGGTGTGATGGCACGCACCTGTAATCCCAGATACTTGGGAGGGTGAGGCAGGAGAATCACTTGGACCCAGGAGGTGGAGGTTGCAGTGAGCTGAGAATGTGCTGCTGCACTCCAGCCTGGGTGACAGAGGGAGACTCCGGCTCAAAAAAAGAAAAAAGAAAAAAAAAAAAAAAGAAAAACATTTTCCTGAGTTTTTGTTTGTTTGTTTGTTTGAGACGGAGTCTCGCCTTGTCACCCAGGCTGGAGTGCAGTAGTGTGATCTCGTCTCACTGCAACCTCCTCCTACCAGGTTCAAGCGATTCTCCTGCCTCAGCCTCCCAAGTTGCTGACTTGGGACTACGCGTGTGCCACTATGCCCGGCTAATTTTTTTAAAAATATTTTTAGTAGAGACGGGGTTTCACCATGTTGGCCCGGCTGGTCTTGATTTCCTGACCTCGTGATCTGCCCGTCTCAGCCTCCCAAAGTGCTGGGATTACAGGCGTGAGCCACCGCGCCTGGTCACATTTTCCTGATTTTAAAATGTTAAAATTTAGAATATGACTAGTAAATATTCTTGGGTAGAATTTTTTTTCTTTTTTTTTTTTTTGTGATGGAGTCTCACTCTGTTGCCCTGGCTGGAGTGCAATGGCTTGGTGTTGGCTCACTGCAACGTCTGCCTCCCAGGTTCAAGCAGTTCTCCTGCCTCAGCCTCCAGAGTAGCTGGGTGTACAGGCATGTGCCGCCACACCTGGCTAATTTTTGTATTTTTAGTCGAGGCGGCGTTTCACCATGTTGGCCAGGCTGGTCTTGAATTCCTGACCTCGTAGTCCTCCTGCCTTGGCCCCGCAAAGTGCTGGGATTATAGGCGTGAGCCCCCACGCCTAGCCTTTTTTTTAGGATTAAAAAATTTTCTCTCCATGACACAGGAGGTCCTGATGACATGTGCCCTCTTGGGTGGAAATTTTAGAAAACGTTTTCAAATTATGAAACTTATGGTTATGATATTGAATACAAACAAAGATGATTTAATTGAAAAGCTTTCCTTTGTTTGACTCTTTATGATCAGTTTTACCCCTGGACCTTGACCAGGCACAGAGAGAATTCTTAGGATTGTACAAGAGTAAACTGCGGCCAGGAAAGGACAGGACATTAGTAGGTGAGAGACCAAGATTAAGAACAGAAGACTTCTTTCTTTTCTTTCCCTTTTATGCAGATGAGTGATAACTTTGGCCCCAGTGGAACACACACACTCCAGAGCACTATACAGAGAACTTGGGCTAAGGGTTAAAGATACTTTGGTCTTCAACTGACCCCAAGTTTTAAAACTTTTTCAGTTTATTAAGTACTGTTACAAATTCTCACTTGATCTTTGCGCAACTGTTTAAAATGAATAGTTTCAATTATCACTCTTGTTTTATAGATAAACTGAAGTCACAACAAGGCTAAGTGATTTATCTATTAATATTTCTCAGTACTGCCTTAAGTTTTTTGTCTAAGGATGTTCTTTCTGCTGTCCCATGATGTTTTGGCAAGTGTTGTCTAAAGTGATCCTAGAATAGGAGTCAGATAGAGGTAAAGAAAAAAGGGTCGCCAAGGAAAGAGAAGGTAATGTTTAAGACAGTCCTTTGGTCTGAATGCTTGTGTTCCCCACAATTCATATTTGAAATCCTAACCCCCAGTGTGATAGTATTAGGAGGAGGTGGGCCTTTGGGTAGTGATTAAGTCATGAGGGTGGAGCCATCATCATGAGGAGTAGTGCCCTTATAAAAGAGGGCTCAGAGAGCTGCTTGCCCTCTTCCACCATAGTAGGACACAGTGAGAAGGCACCATCTACCAACCAGAGAGTGGGTCCTCAGCAGACACTGAATCTACCAGTGCCTTGATCTTGGACTTCCTAGCCTCCAGAACCGTGAGAAGTAAATTTCTGTTTGTAAGTTACCCAGTCTGTGTTATTTTGTTTAAGCATCCCAATAGACTAAGGCACCTGAGAAAATAGGGTCACATTTAATGAGAATTTCTAGAAAAATGGTGGCCACCTGGGGGATGAATCTTAACAGAATCATGTGTTGCAGAGAAATGGAAACATTAAGGAGATGAGGAAATTCTCTCTGACCTTGAAGAGTTAAGCCTAGTAGTGATGGAATAGAAGGTCAAGGAGAAAAGCGTTCTCCTTTCCTTGAGTTTTGAGCTTTCTCCAAAGTAGTGATCACAAAGGTAATTTGTAACATTTATTTAGTTGTTAATTATCTATTGGTATGCAATTATTTAATTTAAATTAACAGTTAACTTGATTGCAAGCTCTTGATGGTAAAAGCTACCTTTGTTTCTTCTGTATCCTCCTCTGAACTCTCTTGCTGGTTACTTTGTCCCCTGAGAATTTGTTAGATACATCCTTTTCAAGAAAGGAGAAGTGAGAGAAGACAGGGCGTTTGAATCCCACCTCCTGTGCTGTGTGACTGGGCAAATTACTGAAGCTTTCAGAGCCTCAGTTCTTTCCTCTTTCCAATTCAAGTGATTCTTAATTGAGTGGGCGAGAACTGCTGTATCTCCAAAGTTGTAATAGTGCCACTTGTGAAGTTGTGATTTGTTGAATATAAATAAATGAAGACTTGGTATACTCTAATCCAGTGGTCCCCAACCTTTTTTGCACCAGGGACCATTTTCATAGAAGACAGTTTTTTCAGTGGGCTGGGGCAGGGGTGGGGGGCGTGGGGAGAATGGTTTTGGGATGAAGCTATTCTACCTCAGATCATCAGACATTATTTTTTCATAAGGATCGTGCAGCCTAGATCCCTCGCATGCAGTCGCTCCAGTGAGAATCTAATGCCACCGCTGATCTGATAGAAGGCAGAGCTCAGGTGGTAATGCTCAGGTGGTAATGCTTGCTGGCCCGCACCTCACCTCCTTCTGCTGTGCTGCCAGGTTCCTAACAGGCCACAGACCAGTACCAGTCCATGGCCTGGAGGCTGGGGACCCCTGCACTAATCTATACCTGATCTATACAGTGGCCTCTGGCCATGCTGACGTAGTTGCTTCTGTATATTCCTGTTGTATTCTGTGGAAAATAAACTTCTGTTGTCCTTTCTTGCCTGCTGTAGTCTCTTCCTTTTGAATAGTATGCCCTCTGAAAAGGGTGTCTTTAAGCTTTCACTTTCTTGTAAAATTATAAGAATTTCAGGGATTGGCTGGGTGCAGTGGCTCACGCCTGTCATCCCAGCACTTTGGGAGACTGATCACCAGAGGTCAGGAGTTTGAGACCAGCCTGACCAACATGGTGAAACCCCGTCTCTACTAAAAGTACAAAAATTAGTTGGATGTGGTGGCGCGTGCCTGTAGTGCCAATTACTCGAGAGATTAAGGCAGAGAATCACTGGAACCCGGGAGGTGGAGGTTGCAGTGAGTCTAGATTGCGCCACTGCACTCCAGCCTGGGCAACAGAGCAAGACTCCGTCTCAAAAAAGAAAAAAAAAATTGTAATGATGAGTTTCAGGGAGTTTTAATCCTGCGTGAGTTTAGATCACAGAGAATTGTGACATCAAGGGCATGTAATGGGGTTTATTTCAACATTTAAATTTTGTATGTCTTTAACTTCTCCCAGGTATAGCTTTAGAATAATTTTTAGCAAACATTAATTGACCAATTTGAACTTGAGTCTGCATCCTTTTCTTTTTCTTTCTTTCTTTTTTTTTTTTTTTTGAGATGATGTCTCACCCTGTTGCCCAGACTGGAGTGCAATGGCATGATCTCAGCTCACTGCAACCTCCACCTCCTAGGGTCAAGCAGTTCTCCTGCCTCAGCCTCCCGAGTAGCTGGGATTACAGTCATGCACCACCACACCCAGCTAACTTTTGTCTTTTTTTTTTGTATCTTTAGTAGAGATGGGGTTTCATCTTGTTGGCCAGGCTGGTCTCAAACTCCTGACCTCATGATCTGCCTGCCTCGGCCTTCCAAAGTGCTGGGATTATAGGTGTGAGCCACCATGCCCAGCCAAGTCTGCATCCTTTTCTTGCCTACTTCCCATCAGAGAAGCAAATGTAGTTTAAGAGAAAAGTATTTCGTTACTAAGAACGAATAGGAAGTTTTTTTTTTTTTTTTTTCGAGATGGTGTCTTGCTCTGTTGTCCAGGCTGGAGTGTGATCTCAGCTCAATGCAACCTCCGCCTCCTAGGTTCAAGCAATTCTTCTGCCTCAGCCTCCCAAGTAGCTGGGATTACAGGGACACACCACCACGCCCAGCTAATTTTTGTATTTTTAGTAGAGATGGGGTTTCACCATGTTGGCCAGGCTGGTCTTGAACTCCTGACCTCAGGTGATCCGCCTGCCTCAGCCTCCCAAAATGCTGGAATGACAGGCATGAGCCACTGCGCCTGGCCAAACTAATAGGAAGTTATTTGATAGTTATCTAATTTCTGTACTGCTCTAAAGTTGTCTTTGTAAGGGTGAAAGAAACATAACTAGCATGATTGGTCATATCTGGCAGATGGGGAATGAGTCCTGCTCAGGATTTTACAATGTGACTTCCTGTATAAGATCTGTCATATACTAGATGTGCGATCATAGTGAAATTACTACCTTAGCTGGGGCTATGTTCCTCATTTTAAAAACAGAAAATTTTCCTGCTTTGATTTTTATCAGAAGGGCTTTTGTTAAGATGTGAAAGTAGTAAAGCTACATTAGAACATAAACTAGGTGTGGTAATATTTGAGAGCCATTTGTGTTAAAAGAATAACCAGTTTTGAGTATTTTGTAAAAAGTATTGTGTATGAGTAGGTTTGAACACCTCATTATACTGAGACTTTGGGTAATCTGATAAAAGTCATCCCAACTACTTATTGATGCTTTTTAAGATAAAAATGCATAGAATGCTTCCTCTGGCCTCCCATTTCATTGACCAGTATCTCTGTTTTCTGTTATGTAAAAACTAATTGCATACGTTCTATTTTTTTAAACTTTCTTTTTTACTGACCAGACAACAGTTATGAATAATTGCATACATTCTAAATTGTTACTGTGCATTTTCTTCTTGCTGAGGGTTTTTATTTTTTCATTTTTTCAGATGGAGTCTTGCTCTGTCACCCAAGCTGGAGTGCAGTGGTGCAATCTCTGCTCACTGCAACCTCTGCCTCCTGGGTTCAAGTGATTCTCCTGCCTCAGCCTCCCAAGTAGCAGAGACTGCAGGCATGCACCACCACACCCGGCTAATTTTTTTGTATTTTTAGTAGAGATGGAGTTTCACCATGTTGGCCAGGCTGGTGTTGAACTCTTGGCCTCAGGTGATCCAACCTTCTTGGCCTCCCAAAGTGCTGGGATTACAGGCATGAGCCACCGCGCCCGGCCTATTTTTAACATGGAAAGAATTATGATATTGTTCTTCATCACTGTGAAGATTTGGCTGGCTATGTGAAAAGTAATTTTATTATAAATCATATTCTTTAAAATCACAATAAAAGAATTTTCATATTCTGACCTTGAATTAGCCAATGTTATCCCTGCCTTCTCAGGAAGAGCTCTGTTTGCATGGAGTCGGGGAGAGGGGAAGAGATAATTGTTTGTTTTTCTATAAAAATGTATTTTTAAAAAACCTTTTATGTATTAATAATTTGAAATTTTTAGCACTAAAAGGTAGAATGGTGTAATGAATCTCTGTGGACCCATCACTTGCCTTCAACAGTTAAACTCATGGTGGTTTTGTTTCATCCATACCTCTCCCCCCTTGGCAGGTTTATTTTAAACTAGACCCCAGGTATTGTATCACTTTAACTGAAAATACTTAGTGAGATTCCTAAGAGATAAAGACTCTTTTTAGATGTGATCGTTGACATTGTACGTATGTAACAATGTCATTTAAACAGTGTTCAAAGTTCCTGATAGTTCATAAATGTCCTTTTACTAGGTTGGTTTGAATCAGGATTGGTATCTCTTAATTTTGTTTTAATCTGTAACCGTTCCCCTGCCATCTCTTAAGATTTATTTATTTTTTGCCATTTATTTGTTGAAGAAACTGAGTGACCTTCCCTGGATTTAGCTGCTGCATCCAAAAATTTTTTTCCTGATTATAAAAGTTAATATGTAACCATTATATGATATTTGAAAACTGTACAAAGTGAAAAGTAAAATCCTGCCACCCAGAGATAACAGATGTTAAAGTTTTATGTTTTCTTTCAGCCTTTTCATTTGTATGTGTTTTCCTATGCCTTTAAAAACGAACATTTGCAGGCCAGGCGTGGTGACTCATGCCTGTAATCCCAACACTTGGGGAGGCAGAGGCGGCGGATCACTTGAGGTCAGGAGTTTCAGACGAGCCTGGCCAACATGCTGAAACCCTGTCTCTACTAAAAATAAAAAAATTAGCTGGGTGTGGTGGCACACACCTGTAATCCCAGCTACTTGGGAGGCTGGGGCAGGAGAATCACTTGAATCCGGGAGGTGGAGGTTGCGGTGAGCCGAGACCGTGCCACTGCACTCCAGCCTGGGCAAAAAAGCGAGACTCCGTCTCAAAAAATAAATAAAAATAAAATAAAACATGCATTTGTGGCCGGGCGCGGTGGCTCACGCCTGTAATCCCAGCACTTTGGGAGGCCAAGTTGGGGGGATCATGAGGTCAGGAGATCGAGACCATCCTGGCTAACACAGTGAAACCCCGTCTCTACTAAAAATACAAAAATTAGCTGGGCACGATGGCGGGTGCCTGTAGTCCCAGCTACTCGGGAGGCTGAGGCAGGAGAATGGCGTGAACCCGGGAGGCGGAGCTTGCAGTGAACCGAGATCGTGCCACTGCACTCCAGCCTGGGCAACAGTGCAAGACTCCGTCTCAAAAAAACAAAAAACAAAAAACAAAAAAGTGCATTTGCTATGTTTATTTTTATGCCCTTTTAAATATACTTTTAACATTATGTTGTGATCATTTCTCCATATTATTAAGAAAGAAAATGAGGCCGAGTGCGGTGGCTCATTCGTGTAATCCCAGCACTTTGGGAGGCTGAGGCAGGAAGATGGCTGGAGCCTGGGAGTTCGAGACTAGCCTGAGAAACATAATGAGACCCCGTCTCTACTTAAAAAAAAAAAAAGCCAAGCATGATAACATGCGCCTCCGTAGTCCCAGCCACTCGGGATGGGATCACTTGAGCCTGGGAGGTCAAGGATGCAGTGAGTCATGATTGCTCTGCTGCATGCCAGCCTGGGTGACAGAGCAAGAGCCTTTCTCAAAAAAAAAAAAAAAAAAAAAAAAGAAACGTTTGGCTGTATAATACTTTACAGTGTATATCACAATTTAAATATTTCTTTTTAGCTGGATATTTAGATCATCCCCATTTTTCACTACTTTAAAGCCATGATAACCATCTTTGTATATAAACCTTTGTATTTCAGATTATTTTCCTTGATAGTCTTAGAACTGGAATTATTCAGAGGGCATGCACGTTTTTTTAACATCTGGATTTGTATTGCCAGAAAAGTTATCATAGTTTGTAATTTCAAATGCAGTGTATAAATGGTTCCATCTTACTAAAGAATTGGTTTGCATATGCTCTGTATTTTTAAAATGTCTTTGCCAGCTATATTAGTGGAATGTTTGGAGTTTTTTTCCCCTAATTCTTTTGCTCTTTTAATTTTACTTGGGATTTTTTTTAAATGCACAGTCTTATGTCCTAAATTTGATATTTTTCATTGTATTTATCTTTTTTGTTTTCTCTCTGTACTTTAATGGATGGAAAGTTTGTATGTATCTGTAGGGGGTCCTTCCCTGAAGATCAAATAAATGTTAACCTTACTTATCTGGTAGAATTGCTGATTTTTTTCCTCCTTAACTGCTAGTAGGTTTTTTCTTTTTGGAATTTTTTCTGGGGAGCTTTCCAGCAAAAACCGGAAAGCCTGCTAGACAAATTCTAAAAGAGCTGTAACACTGTAGGTTTTCCTAGCACTGAATTTATTGAAATTGCAATCCCTTCCCCATTTATTTGTGATTCCAATTTTGATATATAAATATAAATAGATATATTTTGAGGTGAATTTGTTCAGAAAATTCTATAATCTGATTTGCTGGTTGTAATTATGTATGTGTGTGTGTGTGTTTGCACACCATTTTTGAAAAACTTGTTTATTCCTGCCAGGACCAAAGAAGACATTTGGCCTTAAAGATTTAACACAGGGTCATCAGGACTTACTCACCACTTCCCACATAAAAGTGAATTGTTGTAGAAACAGTAATAGTAAAATATCGTTTTCATTACATTCCTATAGTACATAGCAGCTCACAAGCACTTTTATATTCAGCATATTCCAGCCTGGGCACAATGGCTCACGCCTATAATCCCAGCACTTTGGGAGGCTGAGGCCAGAGGATCAGCCTGGCCTTGCTATGTCGACCAACCTGGGCAACATAGCAAGACCTCTGTCTCTACAAAAAAAATTATTTTTATTTTTAAATAATTTTTTTTTTGATACAGTCTATCTCTCTCGCCCAGGATGGAGTGCAGTGGCGCGATCTCCGGCTCACTGCAGGCTCCACCTCCCAGGTTCACGCCATTCTCCTGCCTCAGCCTCCCGAGTAGCTGGGACTACAGGCGCCCGCCACCATGCCTGGCTAATTTTTTGTATTTTTAGTAGAGACGGGGTTTCAGCGTGTTAGGCAGGGTGGTCTCCATCTCCTGACCTCGTGATCCGCCCGCCTCGGTCTCCCAAAGTGCTGGGATTACAGGCGTGAGCCACAGCGCCCATCCGAATTTTTTTTTTTTTTTCTTAATAGAGATGGGATCTTGCTGTTTCCCAGACCAGTCTTGAACTCTTGGGCTCAAGCAGTCCTCCCATCTCAGCCTCCCAAAGTGCTGGGATTACAGGCATGAGCTACCATGCCCAGCAAAAATATTTTTTTAAGTAGTTGGGTGTGGTGGCCTGTGCCTCTAGTCCCAGCTCCTCAGGAGGCTGACATGGGATGATCACTTGAGCCATGAGTTTGAGGCTGCAGTGAGCTATGATTGCCATTGCACTCTAGCGTGGGCCACAGAGCGTGAGTCCCTATCTTGCTCTTAAAAAAAAAAAAATATATATATATATATAAATATATATAAATATATATATACATTTATATATACATATAAATATTTTTGAGAAAATTGAGATATATATAAATATATATAATAAATTATTTATTGATATATATATAATAAATTATATTTATTGATATATATAATTATATTTATTGATATATAGAATAAATTATATTTATTGATATATAGAATAAATTATATTTATTGATATATAGAATAAATTATATTTATTGATATATAGAATAAATTATATTTATTGATATATAGAATAAATTATATTTATTGATATATAGAATAAATTATATTTATTGATATATAGAATAAATTATATTTATTGATATAGAATAAATTATATTTATTGATATAGAATAAATTATATTTATTGATATAGAATAAATTATATTTATTGATATAGAATAAATTATATTTATTGATATAGAATAAATTATATTTATTGATATAGAATAAATTATATTTATTGATATATAGAATAAATTATATTTATTGATATATAGAATAAATTATATTTATTGATATATAGAATAAATTATATTTATTGATATATAGAATAAATTATATTTATTGATATATAGAATAAATTATATTTATTGATATATAGAATAAATTATATTTATTGATATATAGAATAAATTATATTTATTGATATATAGAATAAATTAAATTATATTTATTGGTATATATAATAAATTAAATTATAATTATCTCAATTTTCTCATATATATTTAATTATATCTCAATTTTCTCTTGAACTGAACATGCTAAATTATCTAAACCCTGTCTTACCCTCTATCATCACTTAATTTGTTGGTTAGAGATAGTATATCACATATATTCCAAAGACAGGCTTGTGGAATATAAAGGATCTATCAGCCAGGAGAGGTGAGTATGTGGTGTATATGCATCCCTGCTGCCATTTTATGCCCAAATCTCTACTCCATAATGCTGCTTCCTACTGAGTCTATTCACACTCACTTTCTTCTCAACAGGGGGCTTGACACCCCTGCAAGGTCCAACATGCAGGTTGAAAAAAGTGTGCAGTCCTTTCTGTAAATTACCAGACCTAAAAAATATAAAAGCTATTATGCAATGGTACTTGCTGCTTGGGAAGTGTAGTCAGTGAGAGTGGGTAAAAGAGAATGAGAATGAGTGAGTTTCATTACACTGGGCTTTGGTTTTTTTTTTTTGTTTTTTTTTTTTTTTGAGATGGAGTCTCGCTCTGTCGCCCAGGCTGGAGTGCAGTGGTGCGATCTCAATTCACTGCAACCTCTGCCTCCTGGGTTCAAGCAAGTCTCTGCCTCAGCCTCCTGAGTAGCTGGGATTACAGGTGCCCACCAACCACCAAGCCTGGCTAATTTTTGTATTTTTAATAGAGATGGGGTTTCACCATCTTGGCCAGGCTGATCTTGAACTCCTGACCTCGTGACCCACCCACCTCGGCCTCCCAATACTCTGGGGCTTTCAAGTGCAGTTCCTGGAGCCCCATTTTAATTAGACTGAGGTTATCTTGAGAGTGGTGATCACATCTTGCTCATCGTTTTTCCCATGCCTGTTACAGTGTTCAGTATCAAGGTGTTCAAATGAGTTGGGCTCGATTGAATGCATTTTCCTTTTTCTTTATGGTGTAAGTTCTCCTCAGCAGCCCCTGGTGATAATTCCTCTCTTGATGTTTTGGGGGCCTTTTCTGTATTTGCCAAGACTTGAGTAGATGTCACTGATAGTTTAGGTTTCTATGCTGGCTTCACTTGTTATTTCTGAAGAAGTGGGCTTGCTTTGGCAGGAGTAATATTCTCTCTTACTTCTCTCCTCTCTCTACCATTTTTTCCGTTTGTCATCTCAACTATGGTAAGCATCCAGATGATGTCTTTGATTGCAGATGCACCTTGGGAGAAGATAAAAAACAAAACTAGTTTAGGCATTGTCATTTTCCTGATTTTTTTCCGTCTTATATGTTTTTAAAATGAATTTCCATTTGCTTTTATTTTAAACTTAATTTAACAAAATACTATACCAACATTAATAGTTTATGGTAGATACACTGTTTTAGATACACTGTTTCATTGTTTAGATTCTCTTCCGCTGTTAAAGCTTCCACCAGAGAGTGAGTAGGGCAGGGAAGAGTAAACTTTGAAAACTGATTTTTGCAAACAATGTTTGCCTCAGATTTAGGTGAAAGGCTGACTTTAGAAGTATCCATGATAGGGCCTGTTTACATACTTTTTAATATCTTCATTGATGATGGGATATGGTTAATTTTGTTACATTTACCTATGGAGTTACAATCCCTTTTATGCTATATTTAACCAACAAATTCAGTGATGATAGAGGGTAAGACAGGGTTTAAACAATTTAGCATATTCAGTTCGAGTAAATTGAGATATAATTATTTTTCCCTAGAGCTAATGGCTATGGTTGAGAGAACAAGAAACTTACTGTAAGATTATTCTTTTACAAAGTTAATACTCTTTGAATAGTTAAAATATTCAAATGGTGTAATTTCAGAAAACACATAATCGTATACAGTGAAAAGTCTCCTTACTAATTCTGTCCCCAGGCCACTTAGGTCATCTTTCAAAAACTAAAATCTTAAGGTTTGGGACTATTTGCAAACATCTCTCCATAGATAAAAACTTGGCCTTAAGTTACTAATGTTATTGGAGTTTTGACATCAGCATTTATTTTTATTTTGGGTAGTATCTGTTGTTTACACATGTATGTAATTTTGTACATATATGTAAATATTTACACATTCATATGTAAATATGTAATTTGGTTCAAAAAGTAATATGTATAGAAACATAGGAAAACAAGAAAAAATCAGTATCTGATCATCTTAACAATAACCGGTATAATGAGTTTAATGTACAATAATTCTTCCCCAAGTTTAAATTCTAGGTAGATAGTAATTCTAAATACTTTTAAAAACCTTAATCACAGGAATTTCACACTGAGCATACTGGAATTCTGACTCATTTCTTAGGAGGGAAATGAATATCTTAGTATTGTTGCTCTTGGAAAAAAAGCTGGGAACTAACCTTTTTGAAGGAGAGAGGAAACCAGGGATTGGCAAAAAGAGTAGAGAGGTTTCAAAGGGTACATATTTTTATACTACAGCCTTGAGAAAAATAAGGAAAAAATCCAGTTGCAGTAATTCTGGGTCCTTAGAATCCTGCTTTTCTTTTTTCTTTTTCTTTTCTTTTTTTTTTTTTTTAAATGTAAGGAATGGATTGGAAGATGTATAGAGAAGATAAGCTCACAGTCAGGTTACACTATTCTGTTACGTTTTGATGTGGGTACCAGGGAGGATTAACTTAAAAAGGAAAGGAAAAGAACTTTCCAAATCATGCTTTCAGTTTATGTCTGTTAGCACAATGGAGTCTGAGAAGCAAGAGTCAGAAACTCCCAAGTTATAAAATGTGGCCAGGCGCGGTGGCTCACTCCTGTAATCCCAGCACTTTGGGAGGCTGAGGGAGCAGGTCACTAGAGGCCGGGAGTTTGAGACCAGCCTGGCCAACATGGTGAAACTCCGTCTTTACTAAAAATACAAAAATTAGCCAGGTATGGTGGCACACGCCTGTGTTCCCAATTACTTGGGAGGCTGAGGCAGGAGAATTGCTTGAACCCAGGAGGTGGAGGTTGCAGTGAGCCAAGATGGCGACACTGCACTCCAGCCTGGGTGACAGAGTGAGTCTCAGCCTCAAAAATAACAACAACAACAACAAAATTGGGAATATTTAACCCTTTTCAGGGATGTCCCTTCCTTGTTTTCAGTGGAATAGCCTAGCAGAATAAGCCAAATCTACTATAGAGATACTATTAGCAAGAGGCCAGTTTTGCTAGCTATACCATGTTACTACATAGTATGTTTCATTGCTTGAATGTACCATAGCTTTAATTACTAACATTTGGGTTCTTTATAGTTTTTTAAATTTTCAGTAATCCACAATTCAGACAGTCCCTTAGGACAGAGTGATAGAAATATAATTCTTAAGGATACAAGCTTTGTAAAAACACTTTTTATTATAGGTTTAAAAAATATACACAAAAGTAGGCTCAACAGTTTTCAGTTACCCATGATCCAGTTTCAATGGTCTTTAACTCCTGGCCAGTCTTGTTTCATTGATCCACATCCAGTTTTTTAGTTTATTTTTTTAAAATATCATTTTTTTAGAGCAGTTTTAGGTTCACAGGAAAATTGAGAAGAAAGTATAGAGTTCTCATATATCCCCTGCCCCCACACATGCATAGCTTCCCTACTATCCGACACCAGAGTGTTAAACTTTGTTATATAGTCAACGAACCTAACATTGAAAAGTCATTGTTACCTAAAGTCCATAGTTTACATTAGGGTTCACTCTTGGTATTGTACATCCTATGGGGTTTGACAAATGTATAATGACATGTATCTACCACTGTAGTAGTATACAGAATTGTTTCACTGCCCTAAAAATCCCCCCATTCATTTATTTATTTTTTAAAGTTCTTTTGGACTTGACATTTTTTAAGTAAATATTTTTATTTTGGGATAAATTTAGACTTACAGAAAAGTTGCAAAGGTAATACAAAGTTACAGTATACTCCTCACCCCGCTTCCCTTAATATTAATATCTTACATTCGGGCCGGAGGTCGTGGCTCACGCCTGTAATCCCAACACTTCGGGAGGCCAAGGTGGGAGGATCACTTGAGCCCAGGAGTTCAAGATCAGCCTGGGCAACACAGCAAGACCCTGTCTCTATAAATAAATTAAAAAAAAAACATTTTAGAGACTCTATCGGCTATTTTAACTCCCTCTGTCTCTTAGAGACTTGCATGAGCTGGAGTGTTTAAGGTTCTAACAGCAATGATAAATTGGTTAACAGCACTGGAAAATTCCCTCACCACATATAGCAACAGTATGACTCAACTGAGTTATTACTGCCAATCCCTACCAGGAAAGGTTGTATTAGTTGTAGAGGAGAGAAAATGACCTGGACCTGCAGAATAAGGGGAATTGCTTTTTGCCTTCCCAACATTCATGTTCTTTCACTGCTTTTCTGTGCTAAGAATTGTTTGAGAGCTTCAGACATGTTTGTTTATTTTGCCCTTAATGCTACATAGAAAGTCACTTATAAACCATGTTGCTTAATATATACCTGGAGTCAGATTGCTATCACAAAAATGGGAAAATGCTGACATATAAATTAAATGACTATTATGGAAATATAAAAATATTTTTAAAAAGTAGCATAGGGGCCGGGTGCAGTGGTTTACGCCTGTAATCCCAGCACTTTGGGAGGTTGAGGCAGGCAGATCACCTGAGGTTGAGAGTTCAAGACCAGCCTACCCAACATGGTGGAACTCCATCTCTACTAAAAATACAGAAAATTAGCCGGGCGTGGTGGCACACACCTGTAATCCCAGCTACTCTGGAGCTGAGGCAGGAGAATCGCTTGAACCTGGGAGGTGGAGGTTGCAGGGAGCCGAGATTGTGCCACTGCACTCCACCTTGGGCAACAAGAACAAAACTCTGTCTCAAAAAAAAAAAAAGTAGCATAGGAACTCCCCAGAACCTATAACCCAACTTCAATAATTATCAACTTATTGTCCGTTTTATTTCATCTATGCCTATGTTTGCTTCCCTTACTGCTCCTCGATTATTTTGAATTTTCTTTTTTTTTTTTTTTTTTGTAATGGAGTTTCGCTCTTGTTGCCCAGGCTGGAGTGCAATGGTGCCATCTCGGCTCACTACAACCCTCCCAGGTTCAAGCAATTCTGCTTCAGCCTCCCAAGCAGCTGGGATTACAGCCGTGCACCACCATGCCCAGCAAATTTTTGTATTTTTAGTAGAGACTGGGTTTCACACCATATTGGCCACACTGGTCTCAAACTCCTAACCTCAGGTGATCTACCCACCTCGGCCTCCCAAAATGCTGAGATTACAAGCATGAGCCCACCGTGCCTGGCTATTTTGAATTTTGTTAGTAAACTATTTATGTTTTCATGACTTAGACCTTTGTGACCTGTTGCACATTTTTGAGAAACAAGTCTTGAAGCTGCTTGTCCTCAAGGATCAAGCCCCCCGTGACTTTGGTATTAGCATTGTTCTCTAACATTAGCGATATATATCGGGGAGATGAACAAGTCAATGAAACATACAAGATGAAACTTTGTTTTAAATTACTTTCTATCAAAGACCTCATTGAGGCAGATGTACTAAAATTCTGATTCAGTAAAACTGTTCTGTCTTGCCTAGGATAGAGCAGCTTCTTAATGTCTCTGGAGACCAAGGGATTTAAATGTGCGGTGGGACTGGTTAAGTTTTTTTCTTCTAGTGCCTAGCTGCTGGTTTGTGTTGACACTTGTTCTTGGGTCCTCACCAAAAGAGAACTGTGTTCATTCTATTTTCAAAAAAACCCCCAGTGATTTTAAAATGGAAACTGTTAACTGAAAACGGAGTAGTACTTAAAACAGCTCAAGTGTACAGGAAGAAAGTTCCACAGAAGTGTAGCACTATTGAGGAATGTCCTATTTATAAATATACTTTCTCATTTTACTGGAGGCTAATTAAGACTGAAGTATAATTTAAAATTCTGGTTGATTTACTTGTTCCTGGCACATATAGATGTAGAGAAAATAAACATTGTCAAGAATTCAGTAAATATTTATTCTATGAGTGCTGTGGCTAAGCAATATAGGTGGTGTTCAGAGATGATGATGACTAAGATTTCTGCCCTCCAGAAGCTCTGTTTTTTTTAGGGGTGGTGGTGGAGTCTGATTTTGTTGATTTAATGAATTAAAAAGAGATTTTAAAATAGCCATGTTTTACAATTTTGATGGATAATACATTGATAAAAACAAGTCTCCCTTTCTTTATAAAAGCCAATGTGCTTGTGCTTTCTTAAATTTCTGTGTTCAGAGGCTACAGAGGTGGTCATTTCTGTATTTAATTTCTTTTATAAAAATCTTAGTAAAAGGCCATGCTTGTTGGTTCATGCCAATAATCCCAGCACTTTGGGAGGCCAAGGCAGGTGGAGTTCTTAACCTCAAGAGTTCAGGACCAACCTGGGCAAATGGCAAAACCTCGTCTCTACCAAAAATACAAAAATTAGCCAGGCATGATGGCAGGTGCCTGCAGTCCCAGCTACTGGGGAAGCTGAAGTGGAAGGATTGCTGGAGCCTGGCAAGTCGAGGCTGCAGTGAGCCATGATTGTGCCACTGCACTCCAGCCTTGGTGACACAGTGAGACCCTGTCTCAAATTTTTAAAAAATAAGAAAATCTTAGTAAAATATCTTTTCATTTTAACCAACACAGTATTGGCCTGGGGGGATACACGTCAGGAGTAAGGAAGGATGGACTAGTATTTCATTTTAACCAACACAGTATTGACCTGGGGGGATATACATCGGGACTAAGGAAGGATGGACCAGTATCTGTAGTTAACACTTGCTTATATCCAGACCAGCATAGCGCATGTGTGTAATCCCAGCTACTTGGGAGGCTGAGGCGGGAGAATTGCTTGAACCTGGGAGGTAGAGGTTGCAGTGAGCCGAGATCACACCATTGCACTCCAACTGGGGTAACGAGTGCAACTCCATCTAAAGAAAGAAAAAACAAAAAAAGAAAAGACAGTTGAGAAACAGGAATTTACTGGTGAACTTTACATATAAGGGTAGGTTATATTTACTTTCAGAGTTTTCTGTGTTGCATATGTACAATCAGTTCTCTAATGTGAAAGCTAATCACCCTTTTTTTTTTTTAAAGGTGTTGACAGAGTGGCCTCAGACAAAACTGTGAAGTAGAGTTTGCA
Source organism: Homo sapiens (assembly GCF_000001405.40). Taxonomy (NCBI): domain Eukaryota; kingdom Metazoa; phylum Chordata; class Mammalia; order Primates; family Hominidae; genus Homo; species Homo sapiens. The sequence goes on along the minus strand of NC_000004.12, from coordinate 39,612,064 downwards.
TATGGTGTTGCTTACCTTCTGGAAAGTGAGCCTCTCCAGCTCAGGCCGCATCTCCATCTCCCTTTCCAATTCTCACCTCCCCTTCTCCCCTTAGCTCAGGCAAGCAGATCTAGAAGGATATTAGATGGAAAGGTTTGCCCTGTTTACAGCTTGATTTCATCTCAATATATGTTGGTTGGTTCACCAAATCACCATGTAGAAATCTACCTTATTCTTTCTAACAGCTGTATAGGATCTCATGTACTCATTGTATCATTTAATTGGAACAACACTGATAAATACTTTGCATTACTTTTTTCTTTGCTGTTACAGTATTCCAGTAAACATGCTGTACAGAAATTTTGCATACTTGTTTGAATATGAATATTCAAATTAACCAGGATGAATTATTATTATTATTTTTAGATGGAGTCTTGCTCTGTTGCCCAGGCTGGGCAATCTCGGCTCACTATAACCTCCACCTCCTGGGTTCAAGCGATTCTCCTGTGTCAGCCTCCTGAGTAGCTAGGATTACAGGTGCATACCACCATTCCTGGCTAATTGTTTTTTTTTTTTTTTTGAGATGGAGTCTTGCTCGGTTGCTCAGGCTGGAGTGAATTAGTGCTATCTTGGGTCACTGCAACCTCCACCCCCCGAGTTCAAGCAATTCTCCTGCCTCAGCCTCCTGAGTAGCTGGGATTACGGGTACCTGCCACCATGCCCAGCTAATTTTTGTATTTTTAGTAGAGACGGGGTTTGGCCATGTTGGCCAGGCTGGTCTCGAACTCCTGACCTCAGGTGATCTGCCTGCCTTGGCCTCCCAAAGTGCTGGGATTATAGGCGTGAGCCACCGTGTCTGGCTGGATGAATTAATTTTACCAATCTCCTGATAGGTATAAGATTGTTTTGATTTACACTTCCATTTTTTATTTGCTTATTGGTTCTGTATTTTCCTGTGAATGTAATCTTCGCTCACTTTTCTTCTAGGTTGCCATTTTCATACTGATTTTTTCAGAGTTCTCTGTAAATTAAGGAAACTAGCCCTGATATTGCACATGGTTTTTCAAGTTTGTTGTATTTTCATTTTATGGTGTATTTTTGGTTTTATAGAAACTTTTATTGGTTTTGGTTGTTAAAATTATTGGTCCTTTCCTTCATGGTTTCTTGGACTTATATTCTATATGTATCCCAGTCATCTTCTTGTAGTTATGTATGTGTGCCTTTTTAAAATTAAAATTTATATTTTAGAAGTCTTAATGCATAAATACATACTCATAAGAAATGTAAAAATTGACAACGAAACTCTAGTCCCTAAAATTTTATTCTCTTCCCCAGAGCTATTCACATATTAAGTCTGTTGTATGTTCTTTCAGTTTTTTTTTTTTTTTTAAGAGACCAGGTCTAGTTCTGTCACTCAGGCTAGAGTGCAGTGGTGTGATCATAGCTCACTATGGTCTCAATCTCCTGGGCTCAAGCGATCCCCCTACTTCAGCCTCCAGAGTAGTTAGAACTACAGGTACACGCCACCACACCCAGCTAATTAAAAAAAATTTTTGTGTGTGGAGATGGGGTCTTGCTATATTGCTCAGGCTTCCAGTGCTTTATGTATGTGTCACAGTTTACTTTAAAAAAAAAGACAATCACCCTGCCATTTATTAAATAATCCATGATTTTAAATGGCACCTTTTGCATATTTTCAATTTCAGTAAAATCATGGGTCAATTTGTGGATACTGTGTTCTAATCTGTTGCTGTAGTTGACTAATTTTATGTGTGACTTCATTTTTAAAAGTTAAATTGGACCAGGCGCGGTGGCTCACACCTGTAATTTCAGCACTTTGGGAGGCTGAGGAGGGAGGATCACTTGAGCTCAAGAGTTCAAGACCAGCCTGGGCAACATAGGGAGACCCCGTCTTTACAGAAAATTTAAAACTAGCAAGATGGGGTGTGTACCTGTGGTCCCAGCTACTTGGAAGGCTGAGAGGGAAGGATCACTTGAGCCTGGGAGGTTGAGGCTGCAGTGAGGTGTGTTCGCGCCACTGCACTCCCACCTGGGTGACAGAGCCAGACACTGTCTCAAAATTAAAAGTTAAATCACTCATGCGTCTAGAATTTATTTTGGCATAAGGAATGAGAATAGGGAGGGAGCTAACACCATTTATGAAATAATTTGTCTTCCTTCCAGTGATTCAATATGCTGTCATTAAAATATCATTCTCCAAGGAGCCCCGCCGTTGTCGCTGATCTGTTGAAAGAGCATTTTAACTAGGTTCCCTCTACCTACTGTGGCTTCCCTTTTCTCAGTTTTCTATCGTGCAGCTGAGGTGGTCTTTTTAGAACACACCAGGATGAAAGCACATTGCTTCACATTGTTCTTCACATTGCTCTTGGGGTAACGACCTAATCATGAACATAGCCGGAAAGACCCTTTGTGGCATGACTCCCTCTGACCTCTCCTGTGTCATTTTAAACCACTTTGCTATCCAGATTCTAGCACAGTGTGGCTTTCTTTCAGTTCCTCCAACATGTCATACTCTTACTCATAAAGGACCTTTGTACTTCTTTTCCCTTTGTGTCTAGAATGCCCTCAACCCCCAAGTCTCACACCTTCTACTTCTACCTCTCCCTAATGTATTTAACTCATTCCTTCACTCTCAACTTCTAGTTAATTTCTTCAGTAAAATCTTCCCTGACTCTCCGGATGAGTTTAGAACATGTATATGCTCTCTAGGCACCATTTATGTAACAGCTTTTTTGAGATATGATTTACATACCATACAATGCACCCGTTTAAAATGTACAATACAGGCCGGGCACGGTGGCTTATGCCTCTAATCCCAGCACTTTGGGAGGCCAAGGCGGGCGGATCGCTAGGTCAGGAGTTCGAGACCATCCTGGCTAACATGGTGAAACACTATCTCTACTAAAAAAAAATACAAAAAATTAGCCGGGCATGGTGGCACGCGCCTGTAGTCCTAGCTAGTCTGGAGGCTGAGGCAGGAGAATGGCTTGAATTCGGGAGGTGGAGGTTTCAGTGAGCCGAGATCATGACACTGCACTCCAGCCAGGGTGACAGAGCAAGACTCCATCTCAAAACAATACATAAAATAAAATAAAATGTACATTACAGTGTCTTTTAGTATATTCACAGAGTTGTGTGATTATCACCATAGAACAGTTTTTTCAGCCCCCCTGAAAGATCCTATACACATTAGCAGTCACTCCCTATTTCCCCTGCAAACTTCCCAGCTCTAGGCAACCAGAGTGATTGTTTTTAATGGGGTAAAATATAACAAAATTTGCAGTTTTAACCATTTTTAAAGTGTACAGTTTGGTGACATTAATTACATTCACAGTGTTGTACAATTATCACCATCATTTTGAAAACTTTTTTATTACCACAGATAGAAACTCTTTAAGCAGTAACTTCCCATTCCTTTCTTCCCTAAGTCCCTAGAAGTCACCATTCTACTTCCTGTCTCCATGAATTTGCCTATTCTAGCTAGATATTTCATATAAATGGAATCATAGCATATTATTTTTTGTCTGGCTAATTTCAGTTTGATGAATGTTTTCAAAGTTCATTCATGTTGTAACATATCAGAACCTCATTCCTTTTTACAGCTGAATATCCCCATTGTATGTGTATACCACATTTTGTTTATCCATTTTTCACTTGATGGACACTTGGGTTGTTTCTGTCTCTTGTCTATTGCAAACAATGCTGCTCTGAATATTTGGTAAACAAGTATCTGTTGAAGTTCATGTTTTCTTTTTTGTTGTTGTTTATAAATACAGACAGGGTCTTGCTCACCGTGTTGCCTGGGCTCAAGTGATCCTCCCACCTCAGCCTTCAAAAGTGCTGGGATTATAGGCGTGAGCCACCATGCCCAATCTTGAGTCTATGTTTTCAAATCTCTTAGGTATATACCTATGAGTAGAATTGTTGAGTCTTATGATAATCTGTGTTTAACTTTTGAGGAACTTTCAAACTATTTTCCACAGCAGCCACACCACCATTTTACATGAGGGTTGTATGAGGGTTCTAGTTTTTCTACATCACTCATTTTCCATTTTGATTATAGCCATACTAGTAGGTATGAAGTGGTATCTAATTGTGGTTTTGATTTGCATCTCCCTAATGATTACTGACTTTAAGCATTTTTAATATAATTATTAGCCATTTGTATATTTTCTTTGAATAAATGTCTGTTCAAGTTCTTTGCCATTTAAAAATTGCTTATCTTTTGTTATTGAGTTATAGAAATTCTTTATATGTTGTGAATACTAAACCTTTATCAAACAGATGATTTGCAAATATTCCATTCTGGGAGTTGTCTTTTCACTCTTTCGTTTATCTTTTATAGCATTTATCAGTTTGTATTTATAATTTAAAAAACATTTAGATTAGTATCTGTGTCTACTACTGGAATGTGAACACCATTAGGGTAAGAACTATCAGTTTTTGCTTACTTTAAATTTCTTTTTTATTTTTACAGAGATGAGGTCTCACTATGTTGCTCAGGCTATTCTTGAACTCCTGAGCTCAAGTGATCCTCTTGCCTCAGCCTCCCAAACTACTAGGATTACAGGTGTGAGCCACCATGCTCAGCCTACTTTTAAATTTCTAATAGGCTTAGCATAAGCACTAAATATTTTTGAGTGAATTTATGTTAATCACTCAATTTTTAATTTTAAGTTAATTTATGAATTGTTTTATTGATCTGCCTATTCCACCTTTTAACCAGAATGGTTTTCCATGGCTAATGCTGTATATAAGCATAATTTTACTCGTTATTGAGATATAATTGATAAACAATAAACTATGCACATTTAAATATACAATTTGATAAGTTTTGATGGATGTGTCCACAATTCACATATATTAGACCATTTGAAGTTGTCCCACAGCTCACTAATGGCCTATGTATGTTTTTGTTTATTTTTTTCAGAGATGGGTTCTCACTGTGTTGCTCAGGCTGGCCTTGAACTCTTGGGCTCAAATGGTCCTCCTGCCCCAACCACCCAAGTGGCTGGGACTACTGGTTTATCCACCCCTTTTTCTATTATTTCATTTTTGATAGCTACTGTTATTATGTCTTCAAGTTCAGTAATCTTTTCTTCTGTAATGTCTCCTATGCTGTTAAACCCATCTGGTGTATTTTTCATTTCGGACACTATTGTTTTTATCTCTACCAGTCCAGTTGGATGATTTTACTATCTTTAATGTCTCTCCTTAATATAGTCATTCTTCTAGTTTCTTCTCCCCAACTTAGGGATACCACTGGGCTCTGGTCTGGGTTTTCCCACCACATACTTGGAACTAGAGTCTCCTCGAGGCAGTAAACTGGGCCAGTGATAGGGCTCATCTCATTTGTTTTTCCGTCTCTCAGGTGTCACTATTCTTTGTAGCCTCATGTTCAATGTCTTTTTTTTTTTTTTTTTTTGAGACGGAGTCTTGCTCTGTCGCCAGGCTGGAGTGCAGTGGCGCGATCTTGGCTCACTGCAACATCTGCCTCCCGGATTCAAGCGATTCTCCTGTCTCAGCCTCCTGAGTAGCTGGGACTACAAGCACACGCCACCACGCTTGGCTAATTTTTGTATTTTTAGTAGAGACGGGGTTTCACCATGTTGGCCAGGATGGCCTCTATCTCCTGACCTTGTGATCCACCCACCTCGGCCTCCCAAAGTGCTGGGATTACAGGTGTGAGCCACCACACTCAGCCCTTTTTTTTTTTTTTTAAACATGAACTCACTGTGTTGCCCAGGCTGGAATGCAGTGGCGTGATCATGGCTTATTGCAGCCTTGACTGCCAGGGCTCAAGCAATCCTCCCACCTCAGCCTTCTGAGTAGCTGGGACCACAGGTTTGTGCCACCATGCCCAGCTAATTTTTAAATTATTTGTAGAGGTGAGGTCTCACTAGGTTGCCCAGGCTGGTCTCAAACTCCTGGGCTCAAGTGATCCTCCCGCCTCAGCCTCCCAAAGTGCTGGGATTACAGGAGTAAGCCAGTGCGCCTGGCCTTAATATCTTAAAAACAATTGTTTCTGGCCGGGCACGGTGGCTCACACTTGTAATCCTAGCACTTTGGGAGGCCGAGGTGGGCAGATCACCTGAGGTCAGGAGTTCAAGACCAGCCTGGCCAACATGGCAAAACCCCATCTCTACTAAAAATATGAAAAGTAGCCGGGCGTGGTGCATGCCTGTAATCCCAGCTACTCCGGAAGCTGAGGCAGGAGAATCTCTTGAACCCAGGAGGCGGAGGTTGCAGTGAGCTGAGATCGTATCACTGCACTCCAGCCTGGGCGACAGAGCGAGACTCTGTCTAAAAACAAAACAAAACAACAGCAAAAAACAATTGTTTCATGTATTTTGTCTAATTTTTAAAAAATTGTTTTAGGCAGAACAGTAAATCTGGTTGCCAATACTCCATCTTGACCTCTCATTTGTTTCTCTTTATTTTTTGAAATCTACCTAGCTATTTTTTAGCTATGTCATTAATTTCCCCCCATAAACCTTGGTATCATTTTAGATACCTTTTCAGATGTCTTTCTTGGTGAGGGTAAAGGCTGGTTTAAATTATTTGCATACTGGAGCTAATAAAGTCAAATAATTGAGTAATTAAGCAGAGTAGGTTCTAGCATCTTCAGCATCACAGGTGGGGCCAGTTTAGAGCATTGAAGACATTTGTATTTATGGGCTGATGGCAGAAGGGGTAGCCAATCACCTGTATAGATTCATAATTCATATAAGATTAATAATAAATTAATAGATACAAGTCAATAAATACAAACTATACATAGTTTAATACTATTGTGAATGTAATCAATATCAGAATTTTTCATAGCTCAAGAGAAAGAGTAATTCTGAATTGTAGACTTAACAGTATTTTTTCCTTCCTCCTAGATTTAAACAGTCAAGTAAAATCAAGCTGGGTAATCATGGCAGAAGGTGGATTTGATCCCTGTGAATGTGTTTGCTCTCATGAACATGCAATGAGAAGACTGATCAATCTGGTGAGATGCAACAGGACAATCCTATTCTGAACTGATCTGTATCCCTTGTATCCTCTTTTCATGAAAATACTGGTTATTGGAGGGTTTTCATCTGATGGTCACTAAAGAGTATTTCATAATTGAAATTCCACATTTGTTTAAGTTGTAATGATTAAAATGTGACCGGGCACAGTGGCTCACACCTGTAATCCCAGCACTTTGGGAGGCCAAGGTGGGCGGATCACTTGAACTCAGGAGTTCGAGACCAGTTTGGCCAACAAAGCAAAACCCCATCTCTACTAAAAATATAAAAATTTGCCAGGCGTGGTGGCACACACTTTTAATCCCAGCTACTCGGAAGGCTGAGACACGAGAATTGCTTGAACCCAGGAGGCAGAGATTGTTGTGAGCCGAGATCATGCCACTGCACTCTAGCCTGGGCGACAGAACAAGACTCTGTCTCAAAAAAAAAAAAGTTTGCTAGCAATTATTTCATTAGAGATGAAAACAGACTACCGTCTTTATTATTGTTATTATTATTATTATTATTATTTTGAGATGGAGTCTCGCTCTGTTGCACAGGCTGGAGTGTAGTGGTGCTATCTCGGCTCACTACAGCCTCCACCTCCTGAGTTCAAGCGATTCTCCTGCCTCAGCCTCCCGAGTAACTGGGACTACAGGAGTGTGCCACCACGCCTGGCTAATATTTGCATTTTTAGTAGAGACTGGGTTTCACCATGTTGCCCAGGCTGGTCTCAAACTCCTGACCTCAAGTGTTCTGCCCACCTTAGCCCCCCAAAGTGCTGGGAATGCAGGTGTGATCCACCTCCCCAGCCCAGACTACTGTCTTTATGGTAGATTTATGTTGGTGACATTTGCCATCATGGGTAGATAACACATATGTATATTGCCTTTTCTACTTTATATCAATACAAATAAAATTGTTTTTAGCTGTGTGGAGCTTGTTTGCCTGCTAAGCTGCTATTGACAGTTCCTGTTATGATATAGTTCATATCCTACACCAACATATGGCATGACAATACGAATCTCTATGTAAAGCATTTCTTTTTTTTTTTTTTTTGAGACAGTGTCTCACTCTGCCACCCAGGCTGGAATGCGGTGGTGCGATCTCGGCTCACTGCAACCTCCACCTCCTGGGTTCAAGTGATTCTCCTGCCTCAACTTTGCAAGTAGCTGGGATTGCAGGTGCGCACCACCATGCCCAGCTAATTTTTGTATTTTTAGTAGAGACGGGGTTTCACCTTGTTGGTCAGGCTGGTCTCAAACTCCTGACCTCAGGTGATCTGCCAACCTCGGTCCCCGAAAGTGCTGGGATTACAGGCGTGAACCACTGCGCCTGGCCTATGTAAAGCATTTCTGAAAACAAATCAATTATTTGACAGAGGTAGATTTCTGAACAACAAGATTTGAATAGTCTCATTGAGTCGATTGTAGTGAGTCTATAAGCTTAAATACAGGGCTGTTTATATTATACTTTATTATTGTTATTATTATTTTTTATTTATTGTTTTTGAGATGGAGTCTCGCTCTGTCACCCAGGCTGGAGTGCAGTGGCGCGATCTTGGCTCATTGCAAGCTCCGCCTCCCAGGTTCACGCCATTCTCCTGCCTCAGCCTCCCAAGTGGCTGGGACTACAGGTGCCCGCCCCCATGCCCAGCTAATTTTTTGTATTTTTTAGTAGAAATGGGGTTTCACCATGTTAGCCAGGATGGTCTCAATCTCCTGACCTCGTGATCCACCTGCCTCAGCCTCCCAAAGTGCTGGGATTACAGGCATGAGCCACCGCGCCCAGCTATATTATACTTTATACTTTTTATGTGCAAAAGGAAAAATTTGACCATTATTAACAGTGAAGTATATTCTTATATTACACATTATACTGGTTGAGTATCCCTTATCCGAAATGCTTGGGACCAGAGGTGTTTTGGATTTTTTTTGCATTTTGGAATATTTGCATTATACTTACTGGTTTAACATCCCTAATCTGAAAATACAAAATGCTCCAAAGAGCATTTCCTTTGATCATCATGTTGGTGCTCAAAAAATTTCAGATTTTGAAGCATTTTGGGTTTCAGATTAGGGATACTCAACCTGTAACATTTTATTGTTTTAAAATACTCTTGTATGTCAGTTAATAAAGGTACGTACAAACATTTGCTCAAATATTTAAGTTGTCAATAACTAATAAGCAGGTTTTCTGCTTGCTTAGTGTTGCTACATATAGTGATCAGAAATGTGTTTCTTGTGAATGATGTACTTTTTTAGAGTCAGCATGCACTAGGACTTGTGATCCTTAAGAATGCCTCAGAAGGAAAGGAATAAAATAAGAACTTATACATTAAATCAGACTCTTGAGGGTATAGAAATATAATGGTAATGTGATGGCTCTGATAACTTGGTGTAAAAATAGATGAGTCTAAGGAGAGAATATTTGTTTATGAAGCAAAGAGCCGATCGTTTTTGTTTGTTTGTTTTTTGACATGGAGTCTGCTCTGTTGCCCAGGCTGGAGTACAATGATGCAGTCTAGGCTCACTGCAACGTCTGCCTCCTGGATTCAAACGATTCTCATGCCTCAGCCTCCCAAGCAGCTGGAATTACAGGCGCCTGCCACCACGCCCAGCTACTTTTTGTATTTTTAGTAGAGATGGGGTTTTACCATGTTGGCCAGGCTGGTCTCGAACTCCTGACCTCAGGTGATCCGCCTGCCTCGGCCTCCCAAAGTGCTGGGATTACAGGCGTGAGCCACTGCGCCCGGCCAATATTCTTTTCTAATAGGCTTTTCCACCTCTCATGCATCCATTATCATCATTTTTTTTTTTTTTTGAGACATGACTTTGCTGTCACCCAGGCTGTAGGGCAGTGGCACGATCTCTGCGCACTGCAACCTCTGTCTCCCAGGCTCAAGCAATCCTCCTGCCTCAGTCTCCTGAGTAGCTGGGACCACAGGCACCAGCCACCACACCTGGCTAATTTTTGTTTTTTTTATAGAGGTGGGGTTCTACCATGTTGCCCAGGCTGGTCTTGAACTCCTGAGCTCAACTATCTGCCTACCTCCCCCTCCCAAAGTGCTGGGATTACAGGCATGAGTCACCAAACTAGCATTTTTTTTGTTTTTTTTTTTTAAGATAGGGTCTTATTCTTTTCCCCCAGGCTGAAATGCAGTGGTGTGGTAATAGCTCATTGCAACCTTGAACTCCTGGGCTCAAGCAATCCTCCCACTTTAGCCTCCCAGGTAGCTAGGATTACAGGCATGCACCACCATGCCCAACTAATTTTTTACATTTTGGTAGAGATGGGATCTCCCCAGGTTGCCCAGGGTGGTCTCGAACTCCTGGCCTCAAGTGATCCTCCCGCCTTAGCCTCCCAAAGTGTTGGGATTATAGGCATGAGCCACTGCACCCCACCTCATCCATTATCTTCTACTTTTATACTTCAGAGGACCTTTTTTCTTAGTACCTGTTATCTGACAGCTTTATAGAACTCTAAGTTAACTCCCAGCCTGTATTTTAAAAGCAATTTATCTGAGGGTATAATTTTTTGCCGTTAGTTATAACTACGAGAATTTAAATCCCTGTGTGCTTAGGAAACTCACAGATGTAGTTACTGATACAGTATAATGACAGAACAGATTTATTCTCACTTTCTAAAAATGGACATTTAATTCATCTTTGTAATAGAGTAAAATTTCAAGTACTAATTGTGAATTTTTGGGTTTTTTTGTTGACCTCATGTAATGTAATTGGGTTTTTTTGAAGGCCAGAATATCATCAATTTTTAAGAATTTAAAGTTCTTATAGCAAGTAGACACCTGGAGAAACTTGAAGATTTTAATGATGATTTACAGGTTAGGTCATTAGTTATATGCTGGGCTGTGGTTTAGTTTTTGCCTATTCTGTAGAAATAGATGAGCTTTGCCAAGGAATATACACAACTTAGGAGCAGTTAGGATTTTATTATTAGTTCCTTTTCATAAATAATAAAGTATACTATGTACTACTATAAATAATGCCTAAGAGTATGATACATAAATCTGTTATGTTAAATTTTTTTTAATAAACTTTTTTTTTGCTTTCTGGGAGCATACACTCAAGTTGCCCTGAATATACATTCCCTATTTTTAATTTTTAAAATAAAATTGTATTTATTCACAATTTAAAACTTCTTTTCCTGCTTTGTTTGTTTATTTATTTATTTATTTTGAGATGGAGTCTCCCTCTGTCACCCAGACTGGAGTGCAATGGCGCGATCTCTGCTCACTGCAACGTCCGCCTCCCGGGTTCAAGCGATTCTCCTGCCTCAGCCTCCCGAGTAGCTGGGACTACAGGCACACAGCACCACACCTGGCTAGTTTTTTCTCTTGTTTTGTTTTGTTTTTTCTTGAGATGGAGTTTCGCTCTTGTTGCCCAGGCTGGAGTGCAATGGCGCCATCTCGGCTCACTGCAACCTCCACCTCCTGCATTCAAGCGATTCTCCTGCCTCAGCCTCCTGAGTAGCTGGGATTACAAGCGCCTGCCACCACGCTCGGCTAATTTTTGTATTTTTCGTAGAGATGGGGTTTCACCATGTTGGCCAGGCTGGTCTCAAACTCCTGACATCAGGTGATCCACCCGCCTCGGCCTCCCAAAGTGCTGGGATTACAGGTTTCAGCCACCACACCCGGCCCTTTTCCTGATTTAATAGTGTTATCAGTTAAGGTTCTTCATTATGAGTAATAGAAATTCTGGATGATTAGGCTGGGCACGGTGGCTCATGCCTATAATCTCATCACTTTGGGAGGCTGAGGCAGGTGGATCACTTGAGGCCAGGAGTTTGAGAAAGGAGTTATTAAAGTGTATTTTGTAGCTCACATTGGAGAGCCTGGCATGGGAAATAGGATAAAAGGGAGGGTAAGTTGTCAAAACAAGAGCCAAAGTCATGCCCCAATGCCAGCTGGGCTAAGATGCTCATGCTTCTGGATTCCAGGTCTTTGTATATCCAAATGTTGACACATCTTTTCCATTTAGAAACTAATAGGCATTTTAAATTTGACATGTGTGTAACCAAATTTATCTTGCCCCTAAGCTTATTCTGAATGTTCAGGTAACAATTTCAGTTCAATTATCTTTTACCCTCTTTTTCTTTTTTTTTTTTTTTTTTGTTGTTGTTTTTGAGACGGAGTCTCACTCTGTTGTTCAGGCTGGAGTGCAGTGGCACGATCTCGACTCACTGCAACCTCCGCTTCCCGGGTTCAAGCAATTTTCCTGCCTCAGCCTCCCAAGTAGCTGGGACTATAGGTGCGCGCTACCATGCCCAGCTAATTTTTGTAATTTTAGTAGAGACGGGGTTTCATCATGTTGGCCAGGATGGTCTCGATCTCTTGTCCTCGTGATCCACCCGCCTCAGCCTCCCAAAGTGCTGGGATTACAGGTGTGAGCCACTGTGCCCAGCCTACCCTCTTCTTTCAACCCACATCTGATGCAGAACCATCCTTTGGGTCAACCTTAAAAATACATCCAGAATCCAGCCATTTTTCACACCTCCAGTGCAACACCTTGGTCTAATCTACCATCATCTCTTGCCTGGATTGCTGCATTTAGCCTCTTTATGGATCACCTTGTTTCTGCCCTCTTGCTACCCCCAAGCCCCCTCAAGTTTAGTCTCACTACAGCAGTTGAAGTGATCCATTTTAGTTAAGTCAGTAATGTTTCTCCTTTGCTCAGAATCCTACAGTAGCTTCCATGAGACTCAGAGTAAAAAAAAATGAAATTTACATGGTCCTGTGTGATCTATCCCCTTCCACCCTACTCTTCTCCTTTGCCCACTTTGTTCTAACAATTCTGGCCCCCTTGCTGTTCCTGGAAAACAGGTCACACACTAAGGGTCAAGAATCTAAACGACTTTAGACTTCTCAACAGCAAAACTGGAAACTAGAAGGCATTGGCACAGTGGCTTCAAAATCCTGAAGGGAAGTCATTACCAGTCCAGCATTCTGTATCCAGCCAATCTCTCAATCAAGTTGGGGGAGTATGCTTTCATAGGAAGTTCCTAGAGGATGAGCTATTTTTCACCGAAATGAAGGCATAAGCCAAGAAAGAAGACTAGGATTTTGAGTGTAGAAAGCAGATCTAGCACATACGAGAAACAAAGTACCTTCCAGGATAATGGTGAAGGGACATCCCAGGGTGGCAGCTGTGCATCAGGACTACAGGGAGCTGGCTTAGTTGCAGGGGGGCGGTGGATGGGGGTGTGGGGGTCACATGGCTCTGGGAGAGACTTTTTTAGAAAGATGAATTGGTAGAATACCTGGTGAGTCTAGACATCTTGTGATCTAGGGAACTGTAAACAAGTTTTGAAAAGTCATAGAAAAATGCAAAAAAAGTACTAACTTTAAAGAAACACATTAAGTAGTACAGAAAAGAAAAAGTAATTACAGTATAGTTTACTGTGTGGCTCAACTGTGAACGTTTATGTAGTTATAATTGATAACTGAGTACTGAACTAAACAACTTTATGATACAACCATTATTAGGGGATGGAAAGAGTATACACGGGGTCAGGGAGGAGAAGCAGATCTTCATACTCTATACTGGTACATCTATGGGTATTTAACATGGAAAAATCAAGAAGTAGCAATAATGCATATTTATATATAAAAGACATGGAGGTAAGCAGTAAAACAATCAGCTAAAAGTTGAAAATGGTTGCCTCTGGAGGGAGAAGTGGGTAGGAGGATGAAAAATTACTGTTTTTCAGAACAAACCTTATAGAACTGTTTGACTCTAAATTGTGTACACGAATAACTAAAACAATTAAAACTACCACACAAAACAGAAAGCAAAACCTTTCAGTGAGTACAAAAAGGAGGAATAGGTCTATTGAGTAGCTGGATCTGTTGTGCCTCTTTTCCCTTCTATGCAGTATAAGGTAACTGGCTTAGGCCTTTGCTACCAGGCTAAAACCACGAGAGTTGCTGTCTAAGACAAGTAGAAAACTTTTTGTGGGGAGGACTCCTAGTTGCATGTTAAGGACCAAGAGGGAAACCAAGGAAACCCTGAACTCTATAGTGGTTGTAAATAAAGTGAGAAGGAAGAGAAAAAACACTTGGTTTTGGAATGAAATATGATATAAAGTCTTGTAATGAAGTCTTCCCTATTTTGAGAGTTAAGAGGCTCTTTAGCCTGCCTGCATACTTCCTTGATTAGGGAAGCTGTTTGTATGCCCTAACTGTTCATTGAGCTAGTCCTTCATTAATGTGAGCAGAAAAACAGGCAAAGTAGTTGAAGAAAATAAAAGGACCATGATGTAGTGAGGTACAGCTACATTAGAAGACAAGATGAAGTAAATACTTACTAATAGGAAAAATCATGAACATTACGGTTATAAATGCAGACTCATACATGTTTGTTTTGTTGGGTTTAAATACCACCAGTGACAGTCTGGCCAACATGGTGAAACCCTGTCTCTACTAAAAATACAAAAATTAGCTGGGTGTGGTGGCAGGTGCCTGTAATCCCAGCTACTCGGGAGGCTGAGGCAGGAGAATCACTTGAACCCCGGAGGCAGAGCTTGCAGTGAGCTTAGATGGTGCCACTGTGCTCCAGCCTGGGCAACAGAGCCAGACTCCGTCTCCAAAAAAAAAAAAAAAAAAAAAATACCACCAGTGACAATGACTTTCTGAAATGGAGGACAGGTCTTGGTAGAGCTTTAAATAAAACTAAGTACAATTTTCCCTGATTTAAATGCTAAAGTCCAGTTTAATTCCTTGAAAAGTCAATACCATCTGAAAATTATATTTTTCTGTCAGATGAAGTTAGATTATAGGCTCAGGGTTTTCATTTTTGTGAGTGTCTAGTAGGACATTTTTAAGCCATGTAGGATGCAAGCCAATCACAACAACCAAAAATCTGCTTCTCAGATGTCCAGAATACTCTAGGGAGTCATATGGATGCACTGGGGAACCTTAGAATGATAGAAGAAGTAGGCTAAAAAAAAAAAAAAAAAAAAAGGGAAACCTGGGCCGGGCACCGTGGCTCATCCCTGTAATCCCAGCACTTTGGGAGGCCAAGGCAGGCAGATTGCTTGAACCTAGGAGTTCAAGACCAGCCTGGGCAATACGGCAAAATCCCTTTTCTACAAAAAATACAAAAATTAGCGGGGCATCTTGGCACATACCTATAGTCACAGCTCCTTCAGAGGCTGAGGTCAGAGGATTGCTTGAGCCTGGGAAGTCAAGGCTGCAATGAGGTGTGATTGCACCACTACACTCCAGCCTGGATGACGGTGAGAATGCAAAACTATTAGAAATACAAAGAGAATTTGATAAACTGATATTTTAGAAGTATCAGAGAAGTGCTAGTGAGTGCCATAACGAAGACTTTGTAGGCTTGTGTATTGCTGAAGTCAGTACAATGTTTTTGCAAATAGTAAAAAAGGTTCAAAGGGATATACCTCAAACAGTGGTTACAGTGGGGAGGGTTTGAAGGGGGCCTAGTCCATTGAAAACCTCTAATGTAAGTACTAGGATTTCTTTTTACAGATAAGGAAACTGAAGTAAGTTAGTTTTCCCAGGTGTTGGAACTGACCAGAGAGTGGCAGAGACATGTTCAGTCCTGACCATTTAGTTTTAGGCTGTTGCTTCAGCATCATGTTCTTCTTGGTTGGTCTCCTTTAAGCACCTTAAAAAGCACTATATATGCGGCCGGGCCCGGTGGCTCACGCCTGTAATCCCAGCACTTTGGGAGGCCGAGGCAAGTGGATCACCTGAGGTCGGGAGTTCGAGACCAGCCTGACTAACATGGAGAAACCATGTCTCTACTAAAAATGCAAAATTAGCCAGGCGTGGTGGCACATGCCTGTAATCCCAGCTACTTGGGAGGCTGAGGCAGGAGAATCGCTTGGACCTGGGAGGTGGAGGTTGCGGTGAGCCGAGATCACGCCATTGCACTCCAGCCTGGGCAACAAGAGCAAAACTCCATCTCAAAGAAAGAAAGAAAAAAAGGCACTATATATGCAATCAAGGGTGGGGTAGAGGAGTAGGAGGAAGGAGCAGGAGGCATACTCTTCAGTGTATTTTTATATTTTAAAACCATGTGAATGCATTACCCACTCAAATAATTAACCTAAAAATAAAACTTCTAAGCACCTTGTACAGATATATACAAAAATTAGTAATTACAGGCCTGGCATGGTGGCTCACCCCTGTAAACTCAGCACTCTTCCCAAAGGAGGCAGAGGCCACCGATCACTTGAGTCTAGGAGTTTGAAACCAGCCTGGGCAACATGGTAAAACCCCTTCTCTACCGAAAATAAAAAAAATTAGCCAGGTGTGATGACGCGTGCCTGTAATCCCAGCTACTCAGGAGGCTGAGGTGGGAGAATCGCTTGAGCCCAGGAGGCAGAGGTTGAAGTGAGCCAAGATTGTGCCACTGCACTCTGGCCTGGGCCACAGAGTGAGACTCTGTCTCAAAAAAAAAAAAAAAAAATCGTAGTTACAGAAAACGTTTTCATTGAAGAAGAAACTCTTTTATTTTATTATTATTATACTTTAAGTTTTAGGGTACATGTGCACAATGTGCAGGTTAGTTACATATGTATACATGTGCCATGCTGGTGTGCTGCACCCATTAACTTGTCATTTAGCATTAGGTATATCTCCTAAAGCTATCCCTCCCCCCTCCCCCCACCCCACAACAGTCCCCAGAGTGTGATGTTCCCCTTCCTGTGTCCATGTGTTCTCATTGTTCAATTCCCACCTATGAGTGAGAATATGCGGTGTTTGGTTTTTTGTTCTTGCAATAGTTTACTGAGAATGATGATTTCCAATTTCATCCATGTCCCTACAAAGGACATGAACTCATCATTTTTGATGGCTGCATAGTATTCCATGGTGTATATGTGCCACGTTTTCTTAATCCAGTCTATCATCGTTGGACATTTGGGTTGGTTCCGAGTCTTTACTATTGTGAATAGTGCCGCAATAAACATACGTGTGCATGTGTCTTTATAGCAGCATGATTTATAGTCCTTTGGGTATATACCCAGTAATGGGATGGCTGGGTCAAATGGTATTTCTAGTTCTAGATCCCTGAGGAATCGCCACACTGACTTCCACAAGGGTTGAACTAGTTTACAGTCCCACCAACAGTGTAAAAGTGTTCCTGTTTCTCCACATCCTCTCCAGCACCTGTTGTTTCCTGACTTTTTAATGATCGCCATTCTAACTGGTGTGAGATGGTATCTCATTGTGGTTTTGATTTGCATTTCTCTGATGCCCAGTGATGGTGAGCATTTTTTCATGTGTCTTTTGGCTGCATAAATGTCTTCTTTTGAGAAGTGTCTGTTCATGTCCTTTGCCCACTTTTTGATGGGGTTGTTTGTTTTTTTCTTGTAAATTTGTTTGAGTTCATTGTAGATTCTGGATATTAGCCCTTTGTCAGATGAGTAGGTTGCAAAAATTTTCTCCCATTTTGTAGGTTGCCTGTTCACTCTGATGGTAGTTTCTTTTGCTGTGCAGAAGCTCTTTAGTTTAATTAGATCCCATTTGTCAATTTTGGCTTTTGTTGCCATTGCTTTTGGTGTTTTAGACATGAAGTCCTTGCCCATGCCTATGTCCTGAATGGTAATGCCTAGGTTTTCTTCTAGGGTTTTTATGGTTTTAGGTCTAACGTTTAAGTCTTTAATCCATCTTGAATTAATTTTTGTGTAAGGTGTAAGGAAATGATCCAGTTTCAGCTTTCTACATATGGCTAGCCAGTTTTCCCAGCACCATTTATTAAATAGGGAATCCTTTCCCCATTGCTTGTTTTTCTCAGGTTTGTCAAAGATCAGACAGTTGTAGATATGCGGCGTTATTTCCGAGGGCTCTGTTCTGTTCCATTGATCTATATCTCTGTTTTGGTACCAGTACCATACTGTCTTGGTTACTGTAGCCTTGTAGTATAGTTTGAAGTCAGGTACCGTGATGCCTCCAGCTTTGTTCTTTTGGCTTGGGATTGACTTGGCAATGCGGGCTCTTTTTTGGTTCCATATGAACTTTAAAGTAGTTTTTTCCAATTCTATGAAGAAAGTCATTGGTAGCTTGATGGGGATGGCATTGAATCTATAAATTACCTTGGGCAGTATGGCCATTTTCATGATATTGATTCTTCCTACCCATGAGCATGGAATATTCTTCCATTTGTTTGTATCCTCTTTTATTTCATTGAGCAGTGGTTTGTAGTTCTCCTTGACGAGGTCCTTCACATCCCTTGTAAGTTGGATTCCTAGGTATTTTATTCTCTTTGAAGCAACTGTGAATGGGAGTTCACTCATGATTTGGCTCTCTGTTTGTCTGTTATTGGTGTATAAGAATGCTTGTGATTTTTGTACATTGATTTTGTATCCTGAGACTTTGCTGAAGTTGCTTATCAGCTTAAGGAGATTTTGGGCTGAGACAATGGGGTTTTCTAGATATACAATCATGTGATCTGCAAACAGGGACAATTTGACTTCCTCTTCCTAATTGAATACCCTTTATTTCCTTCTCCTGCCTAATTGCCCTGGCCAGAACTTCCAACACTATGTTGAATAGGAGTGGTGAGAGAAGGCATCCTTGTCTTGTGCCAGTTTTCAAAGGGAATGCTTCCAGTTTTTGCCCATTCAGTATGATATTGGCTGTGGGTTTGTCATAGATAGCTCTTATTATTTTGAGATACGTCCCATCAATACCTAATTTATTGAAAGTTTTTAGCATGAAGGGTTGTCGAATTTTGTCAAAGGCCTTTTCTGCATCTATTGAGATAATCATGTGGTTTTTGTCTTTGGTTCTGTTTATATGCTGGATTACATTTATTGATTTGCATATATTGAACCAGCCTTACATCCCAGGAATGAAGCCCACTTGGTCATGGTGGATAAGCTTTTTGATGTGCTGCTGGATTTGGTTTGCCAGTATTTTATTGAGGATTTTTGCATCAATGTTCATCAAGGATATTGGTCTAAAATTCTCTTTTTTGGTTGTGTCTCTGCCCGGCTTTGGTATCAGGATGATGCTGGCCTCATAAAATGAGTTAGGGAGGATTCCCTCTTTTTCTATTGATTGGAATAGTTTCAGAAGGAATGGTACCAGTTCCTCCTTGTACCTCTGGTAGAATTCGGCTGTGAATCCATCTGGTCCTGGACTCTTTTTGGTTGGTAAGCTATTAATTATTGCCACAATTTCAGAGCCTGTTATTGGTCTATTCAGAGAGTCAACTTCTTCCTGGTTTAGTCTTGGGAGGGTGTATGTGTCGAGGAATTTAACCATTTCTTCTAGATTTTCTAGTTTCTTTGCGTAGAGGCGTTTGTAGTATTCTCTGATGATAGTTTGTATTTCTGTGGGATTGGTGGTGATATCCCCTTTATCATTTTTTATTGCGTCTATTTGATTCTTCTCTCTTTTCTGAAGAAGAAAATCTTTAAATGCACCATAGTTATATGATTTGAAAAGAAAATGTACACTACAATGTAGCTGTTCAATAATTCTTAATAAAACTTCTCATTACCTTGATTTATAAATTGGTAGGATTTGTTCTCATCAGAATGTTTTAAAAAATCTATAAAAATAGAAGAAAAGTATCCTCTCATAAAGCTTTATGGGCACTAACAGCAGTTGGAACTTCTCTTACTACTGCCTCATCACTGGTTATATATAAGTTTTAGTACAAAGACTATAAATCTGGCTGGGCTCATGCTCATAATCTCAGCACTTTCGGAGGCAGAGGCGGGAGGATTGTTTAAAGGCAGGATTTAGAAACCAGCCTGAGCAACAAAGTGAGACCCTGTCTTAAAAAAAAAAAAAAAAAAAGAGGCAAATGACCATCTCTGTGACTATCTATCTATCTGTCTATCTATCTATATTTTTCCTTTATTTTTATTTTAAGAGACAGGGTCTCATTGTATCATCTAGGCTGGAGTGGAGTGGTGTAATAGATCACTGCAGCCTTGAACTCCTGGGCTCAAGCGATCCTCCCACCTCAGTCTCCAGAGTAGCTGGTTCTACAGGTACACACCATTGTGCCTGGCTAATTTTTGTATTTTTTTTTGTAGAGATGGGGTCTCACTGTGTTGCCTACGCTGGTCTCACACACCTAGCCTCAAGCTTCCTCCTGTTCCACCCTCCTTAAGTGCTAAGATTACAGTCGTGAGCCACCTCACTAAGCTTCTCTGACTATGTTATTATAGGGTTATTTTAAAGTACACATTATAGGGCCGGGTGGGGTGGCTTACGCCTGTAATCCCAGCACTTTGGGAGGCTGAGGCAGGCAGATCATTTGAGGCCAGGAGTTTGAGACCAACCTGGCCAACATGGTGAAACCCTGTTGGTAGTAGTCTCTACTAAAAATACAAAAATTAGCTGGGCCTGGTGGTGGGTGCCTGTAATCCCAGCTACTTGGGAGGCTGAGACATGAGAATCACTTGAGTCTGGGAGGTGGAGGTTGCAGTGATCTGATATCACACCACTGCACTCCATCCTGCGTGACAGAGGGAGACTGTCTCAAAAAAAAAGTACATATTATAAACTAACAGTGTTCAAGTTCAAGACTGATATGATTGCAGTACAAAGAATGCCCGTTTTGGGGTGCTGGTGACAAGGTTTTACTTACTTACTTGGCATGGGTCCTTTCTATGATTTAATTACATCACCGAGTTACAGCGAGTGTTAGACTATTCTTAATGCAGTTGCATTTTGCCAGGTGTATGTATACTTCTGCTTGTCTCAGGAATGTTCAGAAACACTTAAAAAATTGAGGTATTATCTCATATCACGGACTTTTTTCTTTCCTAATCTAATACAGTTGGCCCTTCATACCTGTGCTCTCTGGATTCATGGATTTAGCCAACTGTAAATCAAAAATATTTAAAAAATAATAATACAAATAATAAAACAATAGCATAACCACTGTTTACATAGCCTGTACATTGTATTAAGTATTATAAGTAACCTAGAGACAATTTGTCTATGGGAGGATGTTCATAGATTGTATGTAAATACTATACAATTTTATATAAGGGATTTGAGTGTCTGGATTTGGAATCTGAGGGGGGTTCCTGGAACCAAGCCCCTGCAGATACCAAGGGACAACTGTACTTTAATTAGAGATTTAGTGCTTTATAATACTGCCTAAAAGGACTTAAAAAGGTAGATAAGGATAGACGGTGAGTCTCTTTCAGTGACAATCTGGGTATCTTCATCATGTTACATATAATTCTGTGTTATTTAATATAGGAATATGCCCCGTGATAACTATGGAATTTTTTTTTTTTTTTTTTGAGACAGAGTGTTGCCCTGTCTCCCAAGCGGGAGTGCAATGGCGCAATCTGGGCTCACAGCAACCTACGCCTCCTGGGTTCAAGCAATTCTCCTGCCTCAGCCTCCCAAGTAGCTGGGATTACAGGCGCCTGCCACCACGCCCGGCTAACTTTTGTATTTTTAGTAGAGACGGGGTTTCGCCTTGTTGGCCATGCTGGTCTCGAACTCCTGACCTTAGGTGATCCGCCCACCTTGGCCTCCCGAAGTGCTGAGATTACAGGCGTGAGCCACCACGCCCAGCCGATAACTATGGATTTTTAGTGATGTAGTAGTAGAATACTAGTATATGTATAGAAAGTTGCCTACACAAAATCCCCGTCTAATCATGAATCATTCTTTTTTTTTTTTGAGGCAGAGTTTTGCTCTTGTTGCTCAGGCTGGAGTGCAATGGCGCATTCTCGGGTCACCGTAACTTCCACCTCAATTCCACAAGCAATTCTCCTGCCTCAGCCTCCTGAGTAGCTGGGATTACAGGCAAGCGCCACCACGCCCAGCTAATTTTGTATTTTTAGTAGAGACGGGATTTCACCATGTTGGTCAGGCTGGTCTCGAACTCCCAACCTCAGGTGATCCACCTGCCTTGGCCCCCCAAAGTGCTGGGATTACAGGTGTGAGCCACCGTGCCTTGCATAAATTATTGTTTTAAGTTGTCTAGTATTCTTTATAAAACAAGAAAAAGAAAAATCAGATATTTCCTTGTAACTACTTTAGTATTCTTTTTTTTTTTTTTTTTTTTTTTGAAACAGAGTCTTGCTGTGTTGCCCAGGCTGGAGTGCAGTGGTGTGATCTCGGCTCACTGCAGCCTCTGCCTCTCATGTCTCAGCCTCCTGAGTATCTGGGATTACAGGTGCACGCCACCACACCCGGCTAATTTTTTGTATTTTTAGTAGAGACGGTTTCACTATGTTGGCCAGACTGGTCTCGAACTCCTGACCTTGTGATCCATCCACCTCGGCCTCCCAAAGTGCTAGGATTACAGATGTGAGCCACTGTGCCCGGCCGCCTAGTGTTCCTTTTTAAAAAGTAACTCATATCCTTATACCAATGAAAACAACCTGGAGAGGGGATTTTTCTTCCATTGAAATAATTTGCTTCTGGCTTCGCCGTCTTCTCCTGTTGTTCTGCTTCACTGGCTGTCACTTGGCATATAGTTTCTTCTATTAATGATAGGAATTCTAGAAAGAGAAAGCAGATGGATTTAGAAATGCGAACTTGGATTATGCTCATGTGTTTTTCCTGTTCTGTTAGAATCTAAGATTTTGGAATGCAGGTAATCCTCTTCATTTTTATGTTTTAATTGTTGAGCTCTGTATTTCAACTCTTAATCTAAACAGCATAACTAAAACTTCTACATCTTCACTGAAATTTGTTTCTGGGCCAGGTGCAGTGGCTCATGCCTGTAATCCCAGCACTGTGGGAAGCTAAGGCGGGCGAATCATTTGAGGTCAGGAGTTTGAAACTAACCTGGTCAACATGGTGAAAACTCATCTCTACTAAAAATACAAAAATTAGCCAGATGTGGTGATGGGCACCTGTAATTCCAGCTACTTGAGAGGCTGAGGCAGGAAAATTGCTTGAGCCCAGGAGGCAGAGGTTACAGTGTGCAGAGATCGCGCCATTGTACTCCAGCCTGGGTGACAGAGCGAGACTCTGTCTGAAGAAAAAATAAAGTAAATTTGTTTCTGTATTAAAGTACTGTAAAAATGTGATTTGGGAGACCCTTGGTCAGATTCCTTTTTATCAGCCTGAATGCCCTGTAAATTGTGATGTCTACTGTACTTAAATAAATCACTTTAAGGCCCATCGGACCTTTCCTGGAAGAAAAATATCTGTGTCTGGAAAGTTTCTTTGAGAGACTTCTCTATGCAGCAAATGTATTTTTGCTAGTTGTGTTAAAACTTTTGTAAAATATTTGTTTTTCTTTTTAAAATATTTAATTATTTATATAAATAATATATGAATATGTGTTTTCAAAAAATATCAATACATTAAAAGTAAGGCTGAACTCCTTTCCCCATACTTAGCTTTTATTTCCTACTTTCCTAGATGAATTGGTGTGTATCTTCCCAGATCTTTTTAAGAAATATGTTTTTAGATACTATGGAATATGTATATTTTCCTCAATTTAATAATATTTTGCATTTTTCATGTTGCTATGAAAGCTTTTTTAATCGTGTGATTAACTTTTGAGTTTTATTTTAGTCAATAAGGAAATTTCAGTGGACTACTTTGTTTCAAATCTTAATCCTTTTTTTAAATCAATATGCAGGCACTGGAAGACATAAAAGGCACATAGCCTTCTATAATTAGCAATACAATTGGTCTTACCAATTTTGAACTGTGTATTTAGGATGTATAGTTACGTTTTATTTATTTATTTAGAATAGAGATGGGGTCTCTCTATTTTGCCCAGGCTGGTCTCAAACTCCTGGCCTCAAGCACTCTTCCCTTCTTGACCTCCCAAAGTGCTGGGATTACAGGCGTGAGCCACCACCCTCAGCCGACAGTTTCTTGTGTATTGTTCCCATTATTATTATTGTATAACAAATTTCCCCAAAACTTAGTTCCATAGAACAACCATTCATTAAGCTGACAGACTGTGTCTGGAATTCACACAGCTTGTCTGCTGATCATTGTTTGTGTTCTTAGCTAGAAGACATAGAAGCTGAGGGCAGGAAGTATCTGGAAACTTGGTTACTCACTGTCTGATAGTTGATGCTGGTGAGTAGCTGGAACCTTAGCTAGTATTGTCAGTTAGAATGTCTACATACGGCCTTTTCATGTGGCTGCTTGGCTTCCTCATAGAATGGTGGCCTGGTTCCAAGGGAGAACATCCCTCCTGAGAGGAGATGGGAGAGGGAGAGAACTTAGTGTAAGAAGTCATAACACCTTTCCTATATTCTTGGGTGTAGCAGTCACAGGCCTGTCCAGGTTCAAGAGGAGGGCAAACAGATTTCTCTCTTTCCTTCCTCCCTCTTTCCTTTCTTCTTCCTTCTTCCTCCTTTCTTCTTTGACAGGGTCTTGCTCTGTCACCCAGGATGGAGGGCAATGGCTTGACCATAGCCTGGGCTCAAGCGTTCCTCCTGCCTTGACCTCCCAAAGTGTTAGGATTACAGGCATGAGCCACAGAGTCTGGCCAGATTTCACCTCTCAATGGGGAGTGGCAAGATTCTAGAAGAGCATGTTTGGCTTTAATTCTGTGGCTGTTTTTGGAAAGTATAGACACACATCTTTCTAGAATTTTTTTTTTTTTTTTTTTTTTTTTTGAGATGGAGCCTCACTCTGTCTCCCAGGCTGGAGTGCAGTGGCGCGATCTTGGCTCCTGCAAGCTCCACGTCCCTGTTTCATGCCATTCTTCTGCCTCAGCCTCCCGAGTAGCTGGGACTACAGGCACCCGCCACCATGCCTGGCTAATTTTTTTGTATTTTTAGTAGAGACGGGGTTTCACTGTGTTAGCCAGGATGGTCTCGATCTCCTGACCTCGTGATCCACCCACCTCGGCCTCCCAAAGTGCTGGGATTACAGGCGTGAGCCACCGTGCCTGGCTCCTTCTAGAAATTTAATATGCATATACGTATGTATATAGTTTATATTTTTGTTTTACATAGAAGGGATCATAGTATATATACATGCTATGGACTAAATGTTTGTGTACCTTCCCCCCAAAATTCATATGTTGAATTCCCTAATCCCCAATGTGCTAGCATTTGGAGGTGGGACCTTTGGAAGGTAATGAGTTCATGAGGGTAGAGGCCTTGTGATAGGATTAGTGCCCATATTAGAAGAGACAGAAAAGAGATGATCCTCTTCTCTACCATGTGAGGATGGAGGAAGAAGACCTCTATCTACAAGCCAGTAAGAGGACCCACACTGGGAACCAAATCAGCTAGAACTTTGATCTTGGATTTCCCAGCCTTCATAGTTGTCAGAAATAAATGTTTGTATGTAAGCTACCTGGCCCATAGTATTTGTTATTGCAGCCCAAACTAAGACAAAAAGTGTTACTAAAAAGTGGGATGCTACTATAACAAATACCTAAAAACGGGTAAGTGACTTTGCAACTGTGTAATGGATATAGGCTGGAAGAGTTTTTAAGTGCATGCTAGAACAAGCTGATATTTGCTGTGAGGGACTGTTGGTAGAAGTAAGGGCATTAAAGGTGATTTTGGAGAGAGCTCAGCAAGAAGAGAGGAGAATGGTAGAGCAAGCTTCCATCTTACAGAATACATAAATAATCATGTACAGAATTTTAGTAGAAAATAAAGGCCATTCTGATATGGTCTTAGAAATGAAGAACGTTACTGGACAATGGAGAAAAGGCAATCTTTGTTACAAAGTAGCAAAGAACTTGGCTGAATTATGTTTGTGTTCTAGTGTTTTCTGGGTGGGAGGTAGAACTTGTGAGTGATGAAGTTGGATACTTAGCTGAGGAGATTTCTAAGCAAAATGTTGAAGGAATGGCTTGGTTCCTCCTGATTGTTTATAGTAAAAATTGAAAAGAGGGAAGCCAATTGAAGATGGAATTATTAAGCAAAAAGGAACCACAACTTAAAGATTTGGAAAATTCTCAGCCTGTCCACATAACAAAAAGTAAGAAAGTTCACAAGAGAACACTAAAGGTATGGTAGACTAACCACTTGATAAGATTTGTGTGGGTGAGAACTGCAGAATCAAATCACCAGCCCCCAGCAGGAAACTGCCAGGTTGAACTAAAAGGGAGGGAGACTGGATGGAATGAAGGAGAAATAGAGGTCGGAGTTCTTTTATTTTACAGGACAAGACCGTAGAGCTATTGGGCTGCAAGTGTACATTATTCTTCAAGGCAAGGGAAGAATGATCTGGACATTATTCTTCATGACAAGGGAAGAGCGACCTTAACAGCAATTCAGAGATGATCAGGGCTGCCTCTTTGGTTTCAAAGGGGGTGGACCATCCCTTCTGTATCAGCACACCGGTTGGCCTCTGCCCAAAGCTTTTTGGTCATCAAAGCCTTGGGGTTGGTGCTACCTGGAGCCTTGCAGGACAATACATTTCTGCAACTTTTTTTTTTCCCACTTCGTACATCTTCACTTTAATCTTTTGATATTAGCAAATCAAAGTCAGGCTCCTTTTTAGCAGTGTCATAGTATTGGAATTCTCTGTCTTTTCTTTTAATAATAGAAGTAGGCTGGGCGCAGTGGCTCATGCCTGTAATCCCAGCACTTTGGGAGGCCAAGGCGGGCAGATCACCTGAGGTCGGGAGTTCGAGACCAGACTTACCAACATGGAGAAACCCCGTCTCTACTAAAAATACAAAAATTAGCTGGGCATGGTGGCGCACGCCTGTAATCCCAGCTACTCAGGAGGCTGAGGCAGGAGAATCACTTGAACCTGGGAGGTGGAGGTTGCAGTGAGCCAAGATTGCACCACTGCACTCCAGCCTGGGCAACAAGAGCAAAACTCTGTCTCTAATAATAATAATAATAATAATAGAAGTAATATGTGAATATCTAGACCATGAAAGCCTGAAATAATGTAGAAATATGGAGCAAAATGTAAACATGTCCCTTTCTATTGCTCCCCACTCATCCATCCCACTTCATGGCCACTATTACTTGTTTTGTCAGAGGTCACATTAAGTTTGTGGACCTTTTAGTCACATTTCTAGGCACTTATATACTTTTATATATAATTGAAATAAACTGTTTCATAGGGTATGGCTATGCATTTACTGTTATGTCTTTAATGACAGTAAATTGCATCATTTTTGGTTCAATAAAGTAAACTCAAATTCAGAATGTGCTTTGTAGAGCTGGGGAAAGTATATGAGAAAATCTGGAGTGGTTGCTCAACCTGCATATCATTTAGGCAAAGTAGCCCAACCTATTAGTGTTAGACATTCAAAATATATTTAGATTTGCCTTTAACCTGATTATTTGTAGTCTTTACAAAAATTTTTTTTTCTTTTTTCTTTTTTTTTTTTTTTTTTGACAAGGTCCTGCTTGATTACCCAGGCTGGAGTGCAGTTGCATGATCTTGGTTTACTGCAACCTCTGCCTCCTAGGTTCAAACCGTCCTCCCACCTCAGCCTCCCAAGTAGCTGGGACTATAGATGTGTGCCACCACACCCAGCTAATTTTTGTATTTCTTGTAGAGACAGGGTCTCCCTATATTGCCCAGGCTGGTCTTGAACTCCTGGGCTCAAGCAATTTGCCCACCTAGGCCTCCTAAATTATTGGGAATACAGGCATGAGCCACTGCGCCCAGCCTGTTTGTCTTTTTTTTTTTTTTTTTTTTTTTTGAGACAGTGTCTTACTCTGTCGCTCAGGCTGGAGTGCAGTGGCAAGATCTCGGCTCACTGCAAACTCCACCTCCCAGGTTCAAGCAATTCTCCTGCCTCAGCCTCCTGAGTAGCTGGGATTATAGGTGCACACCAGCATGCCCGGCTAATTTTTATATTTTTAGTAGAGACAAGGTTTCACCATGTTGGCCAGGCTGGTCTCAAACTTCTGACCTCAACTGATCCACCTGCCTTGGCCTCCCAAAGTTCGAGGATTACAGGTGTGAGCCACTGTGCCTAGTCCAAATTATTTTCATTATGGAGTACTGCATAGAGATGTTACTTAATCAAAATGTGATCAGATGTAGTATTAGGTTCTAGCTGGTTTCCCAGTTGAAACACTGGGCTTCTGCAGAGATGTGATCATCCAGGAAGACTTGAATTGAACGTACTGTATTTGTATTTCATCATTAAAAAAAATTCTCCTATTGTAGTTTGGCTATGTGTATCAAAACTTACAGTGTGCATACTTGTGTTCTAGCAATTCTTCCCTGAGGAGATTAATCAGGTGTGTAAGAATGTATTTATAGGAACATATACACAGCATTGTTTTTCATATATAAATTTGGAAATGATGAAATTAAATGAAATACTGGTGCAGCATTGAAAGATAAGTTTGAGCTATTTGGAGGCATCAGTTTGTGACTGATTGGTAAGTGTGGCAGAAAGAGCAAAATAACTCAGGGTCTTATCTTGTAAAATCTGTGCCATCATATATACTGTGTTAGAAAAATGTGTACACGTATGTGGAACACATTAACTAAAATGGTAACAGAATGGTTATCATTGGATGGTGGGATTTTGTCCATTTTGTTCACTGCTTTATCCATAACAACTAGAACAATAGGGAGCCACATTAGAAAGAAGGTCATGTTTGCGTTATTTTTATAGGGGCTTTATGTTTTATTTTCCATGTTGGGCTCCTTCTAGATCTTTGGATCTGTAATACAGCCTCCCTCGTTTTGTGACTATGTTTCCAAACCCCAATTTGGAATGAATGACCTGAAGCTGATTATCGGAATACTTAAAACCAGTTAGAATAATAGCCCAGGCAAGTTGGCTCACACCTGTAATCTTAACACTTTGGGAGTCTGAGGTGGGAAGATTGCTTGAGCCCAGGAGTTTGAGACCAGCCTGGGCAACACAGTGAGACCTTGTCTCTAAAAATAATAAAATAAAATAAAAAATTAGCCCAGTGTGGTGGCATGTGCCTATAGTCCCAACAACTCAGGAAGCTGAGGTGGGAGGATTGCTTAAGCCTGGGAGGTCGAGGCTGCAGTGAGCCATGATTGTGCCACTGCACACCAGCCAGGGCAACAGAGTGACACCCTGTCTCTTAAAAAAACAAAACGGCTGGATGCGGTGGCTCACGCGTGTAATCCCAGTACTTTGGGAGGCTGAGGCGGGTGGAACATCTGAGATCAGGAGTTCAAAACCAGCCTGGCCAACATGGCAAAACCCTGAACTACTAAAAATATAAAAATTAGCCGGGTGTGATGGTGGGTGCCTGTAATCCCAGCTACTTGGGAGGCTGAGGCACGAGAATTTTGGACCCGGGAGGCGGAGGTTGTGGTGAGCTGAGATCTTGCCACCACAATCCGGCCTGGGTGAAAAGAGCGAGACTCTGTTGCAAAAATAAATAAATAAAAATAAAAAATTAAAGGTGAAACACAAATGCCATTTAAATGAATACTGAAGTAGAATTTAGCTACTGGTGGACCAGTACAACTGGAATATATAGCTGGTCTTTTTCTATAAGACCCTTTCTTTTTTTTTTTGAAATGGAGTTTCACTCTTGTTGCCCAGGCTGGAGTGCATTGGCACAGTCTTGGCTCACTGCAACCTCTGCCTCCTGGGTTCAAGCGATTCTCCTGCCTCAGCCTCCCAAGTAGCTGGGATTACAGCCGTGCACCACCACACCCAGCTAATTTCGTATTTTTAGTAGAGACAGGGTTTCACCATGTTGGTCAGGCTGGTCTGGAACTTCTGACCTCAAGTGATCCACCTGCCTCGGCTTCCCAAAGTGCTGGGATTACAGGCATAAGCCACCGTGCCCGGCCAAGACCCTTTCATATTCAAAAAGAATCCACTTCTTCCCCTTTTTTCTCTTATGAATTATTTGCTGCAAAGGAAAGATCCAGTTAAATACAAGTTATGGGGGAAGCCAGACAACACAGATACTGTAGGCAAAGTGATAATAACCTTTAGGTTTCAGAGGGTACTCTTCTTCCAGTGTGTTGGTTATAGTTTATCTAAGAAAAGACATTTGCTAGACCAGGCGCGGTGGCTCATTCCTGTAATCCCAGCACTTTGGGAGGCCGAGGCGGGCAGATCACCTGAGGTCGGGAGTTTGAGACCAGCCTGACCAACATGGAGAAACCCTGTCTCTTCTAAAAACACAAAACTAGCTGGCTGTGGTGACACATGCCTGCAATCCCAGCCACTTGGGAGGCTGAGGCAGGAGAATCACTTGAATCCAGGAGGCGGAGGTTGCAGTGAGCAGAGATCGTGCCATTGCACTCCAGCCTGGGCAACAAGAGTGAAACTCAGTCTCAAAAAAAAAAAAAAAGAAAAGACATTTGCTGGGCATGGTGGCTCACGCCTGTAATCCCAGCACTTTGGAAGGCCCAGGTGTGTGGATTCCTTGAGCTCAGGAGTTCAAGACCAACCTGGGCCACATGGTGAAACTCCGTCTCTACTAAAAATACAAAAACAGCCAGGTGTGGTGGTTGTGCGCCTGAGGTTCGAGCTACTCCTGTGGTCCCAGCTGCTCAGGAGGCTGAGGGAGGCTGAGGATCGTCACTTGAGCTTGGTGCTGGGGTAGGGGGTGGGTGGGGGTGCAGAGGTTGCAGTGAGCCTAGATCACACCACTGCACTCCAGCCTGGGTGACAGATCAAGACCCTGTCTCAAAAAAAAAAAAAAAGAAAAAGAAAAGGAAAAAAACGAAAAAAGAAAAGACACCTACTGAGTTAAAGTTAACCAGTGGAAATCTGTGTGTGTGTCTTTTAATTCTGATGATCCTAAGAAGTTATGATAATTAAGTAGCCTGCAAAAACAAAAGCAAAAGTATGATTTCAGGTTCTGGTTAAAGTGAAGAGACAAACTGTGTAAAACTCCATTGTTAACAGGCAGATCTGCTCATTAATAGAGAAGGAACTTAAACATTTGAATTTTAGAGGGAGAATATAAAATGTTTAGGCATAAAATATTTAAAAAACATTTTGTTGGACAGTATAGAGAAAAATGCACAATATAAATAATACTAAAATCCAAAATATTAAAGACTAAGGTATTTTAAAGGTTTTTTTCCTTCTTAAGCAGAAAGGCCAAATTGAAGATTAAGGATAAGTTCTAGGATGATGTACAATAAATTATGCTCATTAGGAAACACTAGAGTTCTGTTAAGACACTTTCTTAATTAAGCACGTGATATTAGCTATAATATTGCAATGATGTGAAAAAATTCTGTGGGCCATGAGCTGAGTTCTTTATGTACATTAATATTTTATTTATATATTTAATTATATCACTTAATCCTCATGGTGAATTTAAGGTTGATAATAGGTTGTGTTTATCTTTTTCATAGTTTGAAACTTTGCCTTAGAAACAGAGACAGGGGCTGGGTGCGGTAGCTCACACCTGTAATCCCAGCACTTTGAGAGGCTGAGGTGGGCGGATCATGAGGTCAGGAGTTCAAGACCAGCCTGACCAACATGGTGAAACCCCGTCTCTACTGAAAATACAAAAATTAGCTGGGCCTGGTGGCACACACCTGTAATCCCAGCTACTTGGGAGGCTGAGGCAGGAGAATTGCTTGAACCTGGGAGGCAGAGGTTGCAGTAAGCCAAGATCGCACCACTGTACTCCAGCCTCGCCTGGGTGACAGAGTGAGACTCCATCTAAAAAAAAAAAGAAAGAAAGAAACAGAGACAAGATTTGAACCCAGATACCTCTGACTTTTTGGCTGGGTGTGTTGGTTTATACCTGTAATCCCAGCACTTTGGGAGGCCAAGGTGGGAGGATTCCTTGAGCCTAGAAGTTGGAGAACAGCCTGGACAGCATAGGGAGACTGTCGCTACAAAAATAAAAATTTAAAAACCGGGTGTTGGTGGCACGCATCTGTGGTCCCCACTACTCAGGAGGCTTGAGGTGGGAGGATCACATCAGCCTGGGAGGTCAAGGCTGAGGTGAGTTGTAATCAAGCCACTACACTAGCTCGGGTGACAGAGTGAAACCCTGTCTCAAAATAATAATAATAATAAAACCACACACAAAATATTTTTTAACCACATTTTTGTACCTCACTGTTTGTCAGTTCATTGGCAGCTCTGTTGAATGAGAAAGAAGAACATCTCCAACACATATGAGGTTCTTGAGCAGATGTTAAAGAATAGCAATTAAGTTCTTGTTTAGGTATGTTTCAGTAACTCTAGAGAGAGATTTTTTGTTCTTTGTAATTTTTTTTCGAAGAATTTCCCCAGCCTAAGTTTCCTCATGGAAGCTACATTTGTCCACTTGTTGTCATTAGAATCTTCTTTGATCTACATTTCCCCCTAAGCCCATGACTGCCAAGGCTTTCTTTCTTTTTTTTTTTTTTTGAGACGGAGTCTCACTCTGTCACCCAGGCTGGAGTACAGTGGCATGGTCTCGGCTCACTGCAACCTCTGCCTCCGGGGTTCAAGCGATTCTCCTGCCTCAGCCTCCCAAGCAGCTGGGACTACTGGTGCGCACCACCACACTTGGCTAATTTTTGTATTTTTTAGTAGAAATGGGGTTGCACCATGTTGGCCAGGTTGGTCTCAAACTCCTGACCTCAAGTGATCTGCCCACCTCGGCCTTTCAAAGCGCTGGGATTACAAGCATGAGCCCTGTTCCCGGCCTGCCAAGGCTTTCTAATAGGCTTTCTAGATATCCTATTGGACTATTTTAGATTCTATACTTTTCCCTAGCATATCTCTGTGGCAAGTCTTCCATTCTCTTAATCCCTTTTTGTGCCTTTTTCTTTTCTTTTTTTTCTTTTTTTTTTTTTTTGGAGGCACTGTCTCACTGTGTTGTCCAGACTGGAGTGCAGTGGCACAAACACAGCTCACAGCATCCTCGACATCCTGGGCTCAAGCAGTTCTTCCACCTCAGCCTCCTGAGTAGCTGGGATTACAGGTGCACATCACCACATCCAGATAATATTTTAACTTTTTTGTAGAGATGGGGTCTTTCCATGTTGCCCAGGCTGTTCTCAAACTCCTGAGCTCAAGCGATCTTCCCACCTCAGCCTCCCAAAATGCTGGGATTACAGGGATGAGCCACTGCACCCGGCCTTTTATGTGTTTTAATCTCTTTTTCTTCTGCCTCTTCTCCCACTGAAGAAATAACTACTTCATATTATTCTACTCATATTATTCTATTACTGCTTTACTCATATTATGCAGTCTCTGCTTTTTTTTTTTTTTTTGACAGTCTCACTGTGTTGCCCAGGCTGGAGTGCAGTGGTATGATCTCGGCTCACTGCAACCTCCATTTCCCCAGGTTCAAGCGATTCTGCTGCCTCAGCCTCCCGAGTAGCTGGGATTACAGGTGTGCGCCACCACGCCTGGCTAATTGTTGTATTTTTAGTAGAGACAGGGTTACACCATTTTGGCCAGGCTTGTCTCGAACTCCTGACCTCAGGCGATCCACCTGCCTCGACCTCCCAAATTGCTGGGATTACAAGCGTGAGTCACCGTGCCCAGCCCATTCTCTGCTATTTTGAAGTTTCCTCACCTCAAGAACTTTCACGACCATCCTTGTTTAGATGGGGAGATCGAACTCTACTTTTACTTCTTTCTTGGCATCAGTGTTAACATGAATGGTTTCCTGGACAGCAACTACTGTCAGTAAACTGTCCACATGTGGCACCCATCCCCACATTACTATAATATAGAAGATATTTAAAGTCTATATTTCTATAGATACTGTGGGTATTATCTTTGGTTTTTCTCTAATTGTTGTTTTTACAAATTGTTTCCCTTTGGAGTAGACAAAATCAACATCAGTGGTACCAATGTTTTCTCCAAGTAAGTCAAGAGAAAATTGAGATACATTGTAAATTAGGCCTCTCTGCTTAAGAGTTGCATCAAAACTGTGAGATTCTCAAGTTGGGTGTGGTAGCACACACCTGTGGTACCAGCTACTTGGGAGCCTGGGGCGGGAGGATTGCTTGAGCCTGGGAAGTGTAGGCTGCAGTGAGCTATGATTGTGCTGCTGCACTTCAGCCTGGGCACCAGAGAAGACCTTGTTTCTTAAAAAACAAACAAAATTCCCAGAACTAAAATTCTCCTGTTTTACTGGATACTGGACACATGGTTTTTGAATGCTTTAAAAGACTACGATTTACCCATTGTAGGTGTTTGAATTCAACACATTGAATATACATTCCAGCACACTCTGCTTTGCCAAAAACCTTAAGTCCTGGACTAGGAATATGGTTGTGGTACTTCGGCATTTCATTATTCAGAGCCTAGAGCATAGCCTGTTTGTGAATATGAGGAATGTAGCCGTCAAGCCACAGAAGGGCAGGATCCAACACCAGCTCTTGGCAAGATGTCCCAAAGACTTACCGTAGCTTGGTCTAAGATGAAGTTGCTTCTCTTAGCCAGGCTCCTGATAATTTCTTTCATTCTTGATTGTGTTTGTGAGTACGTGTACAAAGGCACTCATTTTTCATTTAAAACTGAAAGGAGGCCAAGCACAGTGGCTCACACCTAAATCCCAGCACTTTAGGAGGCCGAAGTGGGAGGATCACTTGAGGTCACGAGTTCAAGACCAGCCTGGCCAACATGGTGAAACCCTGTGTCTCCTAAAAATACAAAAATTAGCTGGGTGTGATGGTGCAGGTCTGTAATCTCAGCTACTTGGGAGGCTGAGGCAGGAGAATCACTTGAATCCAGGAGGTGGAGGTTGCAGTGAGCCGAGATTGTATCACTGTACTCCAGCCTGGGAGACAGAGTCAGACTCCGTCTCAAAAAAAAAAAAAAAGGCTGAAAGGGCTCCTGTCTGCCCAGCAGTGAGCTAAAAACTGTATTCTTTTCTACTGAAAGGCATAATTTGACTCCTGCTTTTCTGGCTCCCTTTACCTAGGAGAAACACTTATGAACCAACACACCTTCCATATTAAACTGGCATAATTTCTCTAATTACCAATTGTGTGTGAGTAATTGGTTCTATAGATACTCATATAGCAGGAAAAATTGTACATTACTTAGCATCAAAGGGAAGCCTCCTCCTCCTCCTCCTGGTGGAAGGAGGAGAGATTAGTGCTGAAGAAAAACACTGGTCATGTTCACCTGCCTTGGCCTCCCAAAGTGCTAATTTTAACATTTGTGTTAAAATATATCAAATATTATATAATGGAAAAAATATTCCTATTCCACAGTGTTAAAAATATATAGGTATTCCAGCCAGGTGTGGTGGCTCATGACTGTAATCCCAGCACTTTGGGAGGCCGAGGCGGGCAGATCACTGGAGGTCAGGAGTTCGAGACCAGCCTGGCCAATATGGTGAAACCCTATCTCTACTGAAAATACAAAATTAGCCGGGCGTGATGGCAGGCGCCTGTAATCCCAGCTCCCTGGGAGGCTGAGGCAGGAGAATCGCTTGAACCCAGGAGGCGGAGGTTGCCATGAGCTGAGATTGTGCCACTGCACTGCACGCCAGCCTAGGCAACAGAGCAAGACTCCGTCTCAAAAAAAAAAAAAAAAAAAAAAAAAAAAAAAAAAAAAAAATATATATATATATATATATATATACACATACACACACACATAGGTATAAGTTATATACATTGGTAGGTCTTAGAGTTGGAGGCAGTCAGAGAAATTACAACATGACATTGTGATGATCTGAGCCTTTGTAGAGAGCATTTGGTTCTGAGGTTAACTACATGCAGCAGCTAAGTAACATGTCTCAGACGCTTCAACCACAGTGGCCTTTTGGTTCCTTGATACTGACTCACAGGCAGGGCACCTTGTCACCTAGGGACCTCCTAGTCATGTACTTTGCCTGAAATGTGCCTACCCTTGATCTTTACTATCTTGTAAATAGCACTTAAGTGTCACTGCCTCTGTCTTCCTAATTTAAAGTGGCTACTCAACTGCCCTTCTGTCATACCATGCTATTTTCATTCTCTGCATGGGTCTCTGACATTTAAAAAATATGTGTTCATTCCAGAAGCTTTGTAGAACGTGTTATATAAAAAGAAAGAAAAAAAAAAAAGACCAAGCATGGTGACTCACGCCTGTAATCCCAGCACTTTGGGAGGCCGAAGCAAGTGGATCACTTGAGATCAGGAGTTAGAGACCAACCTGGCCAACATGGTGAAAACCCCATCTCTATTGAAAATACAAAAATTAGCCAGGCATGGTGGGGCATGCCTGTAATCCCAACTACTTGGTAGGCTGAGGCAGGACAATCACTTGAACCTGGGAGGTGGAGGTTGCAGTGAGCTGAGATCATGCCACTGCACTCCAACCTTGGTGACAGAGTGAGACTCCATCTCAAAAAAAAAAAAAAGTAGGCTGGGTATGGTGGCTCACGCCTGTAATCCCAGCACTTTGGGAGGCTGAGGCGGGTGGATCCTTTGAGCCCAGGAGTTCAAGACCAGCCTGGGTAACATAGCAAAACCCCATCTCTACAAAAATACAAAAAAAAAAAAAAAAAATAGCTGGGCATGGTGATGTGCACCTGTAGTCCAGCCACTCAGGAGGCTAAGGTAGGAGGATCGCTTGAGTCCAGGAGGCAGAGATTGCAGTGAGCCAAGATTGTGCCAGTGCATTCTAGCCTGGGCAACAGAGCAAGACCCTATCTTAAAAACAAAATAAGAATGTGTAATTTTAGTAAGAGTTTTTTGATTCACTCCTTTCATATTTAGAAAGGGTTAAGATATACAGCATATTTTTACATTAAGATCTGGCTGGGCATGGTGGCTCATGACTGTTTGTAATCGCAACACTTTGGGAGGCTGAGGTGGGTGGATTGCTTGAGCTCAGGAGTTCGAGACCAGCCTGGGCAACATAGACCCTGTTTCTATTTCATTAAAATTAATTTTTTAAAAAAATCTGTTTTCTTCACTGGGCTTGGTGGCACATGCCTGTAATCCCAGCACTTTGGGAGGCGTAGGCTGGCAGATCGCTTGAGCTCAGGAGTTCAAGACCAGCCTAGGCAATATGATAAAATCCCATCTCTACCAAAAAATACAAAAATGTGGCGTCTGTAGTCCCAGCTACTTGGGAGGCTGAAGCAGGAGGATTGCTTTGAGCTGTGATTGCGCCACTCATCTCTAGCCTGAGTAACAAAGTGAAACTCTGTCTCAAAAAAAAAAAAAAAAAAAACTATTTTCTCGTTCTTATTAAAACAAGACTAGTTTTTTTGTTTTGTTTTGTTTTTGTTTTGAAACAAGGTCTACTACCACCAGGCCTGGCTAATTTTTCTATTTTTTTGTAGAGATGAGAGGTTCAGCATGTTGCCCAGGCTGGTCTCAAACTCCTAGGTTTAAGCTATCCTCCTGCCTTGGCTTCCCAAAGTGCTAGAATTACAGGCATGAGCCACCGGGCCTGGCTCCAAACAGGACTACTTTTAGTAGTATACACCAAAGCAAGCCTGATCATCTTAGAGAATAATTTACAAAATGATTCGTTTAGTTGTTAATTCCAATAGTTGTTTAGTTGAAGTCATAATTTGTATGGCACAGTAATAAAAGCTAACATTTCTTGAGTCATTACTGCATTTCACATTTGTTATCCATTTTAATTCTCACTAGTACTCTTAGATATAGGTGATATTATATCCTCATTTTACCAGACGAGGAAACTGAAGCTTAGAGGTGTTAAATTACTTGCCCCAAGGTCTTGAAACTTAGAAAGTTGCAGGGCCAGGTGCTGTGGCTCACGCCTGTAATCCCAGCACTTTGGGAGGCTGAGGTGGGCAGATTGCCTGAGCTCAGGAGTTTGAGACCAGCCTGGGCAACATGGTGAAACCTTGTCTCTACTAAAATACAAAAGAAATTAGACGGGCATGGTGGCATGCACCTGTAGGGAGGCTGAAGCAGAAGAATTGCTTGAACCCGGGAGGCAGAGGTTGCAGTGAGCCGAGATTGCGCCACTGCACTCCAGCCTGGGCGACAGAGCGAGACTCCGTCTCTAAGAAGAGAAAAGAAAAAAAAAAAAAAAAAAAAGAAAGTTGCAGAACCAGACTTTAAATCTAGGCCTGTCATTCTGCAGAGCCATGCTGAACCATCTAAGCACTACTGCACCATAGTTGCCGTCCCAAACAATTCCAAGTGTGGATTACTACTCTAATGGAGAGGGTGTAGTTAGTAATAAGACTAACTTGGAAAGTTATATGCCCCTCATTGTCTTTACTATTTATTCATCTCTATTTTAAGGTTTATGAGATTTTCGTTTTTAAACATCGTAAAAGGTCTCAGCATAGGTTGTATGCTTATAAAAGGATGGCTTATAATATAGATAGATGGGACTTTTCTTTTTTAACTTTCTTTTTAAAATTGATAATCACATGATTCTAAAATTATATAAAAAGACAGACATTGAAAACTTCAGCTCCTATTTCTGTCACTCTTCTCTACTCCCCCATTGTACCTTCACTCCTTGTGGTAACTCCTTTTATTAGTTTCTTATCTATCCAACCACTGATTCTTTATGCTTCCTTTCAAAGATGCATTTTCTACAAATAGAATCTGGTTTTTTTTTCTTTATCTGCTTCTAATTTTCAATGAGAAGAAAAATCTCTTTAACAAAGGTTTACTCTTCTAGTTCTCTACAGTTTAGCACTTTCCCTTTGGGATGCCTAATTATATATTGGCAGCAAGAATTTGTGTCATGGGTGATTTTTTTAAAATTATTTAATGAAATGGGTCAGTTGTAACAGATCACAGTATATTTGAAAATTATTTTGGGTAGGAAAAAAAGTAGACAGCCCCTCAGAGTATTCTGTGTTTGTGTATGATTTTGAAGATACGTTCTGTGACAGCATTCATTAAAAACCAAAACATGGGTCACGGGCATGGTGGCTCATGCCTGTAATCCCAGCACTTTGGGAGGCCGAGGCAAGTGGATCACTTTAGGTCAGGAGTTCAAGACCAGCCTGGACAACATGGTGAAAGCCCATCTCTACTGAAAATACAAAAAAACTATCTGGGTGTGGTGGCGGGTGCCTGTAATCCCAGCTACTCAGGAGGCTGAGGCAGGAGAATCGCTTGAACCTGGGAGGCGGAGGTTGCAGTGAGCTGAGATCGCATCATTGCACTCCAGCCTGGGCAACAAGAGCGAAACTAAATAATAATAATAATAAAATAATAATAATAATAATAATAAAAACCAAAACATGGTTTGTCACTAGACTGGTCAACATAGTAAGACCCCCATCTCTACAAAGTGATTTTTAAAATATTACCCAGGCATGGTGGCACACACCTGTAGTACCAGCTACTCAGGAGGCTGAGGCAGGAGGATCATTTGAGCCCAGGAGTTTGAAGCTGCAGTGAGCTAGGATTGCACCCCTGCACTCCAGCCTAGGCAACAGAGTGAGACCCTGTCTCAAAAAAACAAAAGAAAACATGATTTTTTTTTTTAAGACAAGGTCTCGCTCTGTCACCCTGGCTGGAGTACAATGGTGCCATCTTGGTTCACTGCAACCTTTGCCTCCCAGACTCAAGTGATCCTCCCACCTCAGCCTCCCTAATAGCTGAGACTACAGGCACACACCACCACACCTGGCTAATTTTTGTATTTTTTGTAGACATGGGGTATTGCTGTGTTACCCAGGCTGGTCTTGAATGTCTGAGCTCAAACAATCCACCCACCTCAGCCTCCAAAGTGTGGGATTACAGGCGTGAGCCACCGCACCCGGCCAAAACATGATCTTTCTAATAATTATGGTCCACTTTTGTTTAAGTCTAATCACTAACTTCCCTTTCTTATTCATTGTAGTTACGGCAGTCCCAGTC
Organism: Homo sapiens; assembly: GCF_000001405.40. Classification (NCBI taxonomy): domain Eukaryota; kingdom Metazoa; phylum Chordata; class Mammalia; order Primates; family Hominidae; genus Homo; species Homo sapiens. The sequence goes on along the minus strand of NC_000004.12, from coordinate 39,572,446 downwards.
CTACTGCACAGACACAGAGTGTCTTCAGGAATGTAAGTACCACTGAGACAGGAGGAAGGATGGCATTGGGGGCAGAATTAGAGGCCAGATGCCTGTGAATATTTGTCAGAATTTATTCTTACATTGCCTATTCTAGTGGTTACCAAAAAAAAAAAAAAAAAAAAAAAAAGCGACACATACGCACAAAAGAAATTATTCTCATAGTTTGCTCTTTAATAAGAAAATGGTTCTCAGTAATGTATTTGCTACTTGACTATTTCATTTTTTAACTTAAAATTTTTTTCATGCCTCAAAAACCCTGCTTATTGCAGAACATTATAAAATAAGTATAAGGAAAAAAAAAGGCTGGGTGCAGTGGCTCACACCTGGAATCCTTGCACTTTGGGAAGCTGAGGCCGGTGGATCGTTTGAGTCCAGGAGTTTGAGATTACCCTGGGCAACACGGGGAAACCCTGTCTCTACAAAAAATACAAAAATTAGTGGGGCATGGTGGTGCATGCCTGCAGCCCCAGCTACTCCTGAGGCTGAGGTGGGAGGATCACCTGAGCCTGGGGAGGTTGAGGCTGCAGTGAGCTGTGATCGCACCACTGCACTCCAACCTGGGTGACTGGAGTGAGACCCTGTCTCAAAAAAAAAAAATAGAAGAACTTCCAGAATAGTTAAAGATAACCACTGTTGACAAATTCGGGTATATCCTAGTCTTTTTTTCTTGGCAAATAAGTCTGTAACAGGGCACTGTGGGCAGGTGTAACTGGGACATCAAAGCTGCTTGCGCAAACCATTCACTCTCTCCCTAACATCTATTTGCATCTGTTGGCAGGCTTGAGAATTCTTTTTTTTTCTTTAATTTAAAAAAATTTTTTTTTAAGAAACAGTGTCTTGCTTTGTCGCCCACACTGAGCGCAATTGTGCGATCATGGCTCACTGCAGCCTTGACCTCCCAGGCTCAAGTGATCCTCCCACCTCAGCCTCCCTAGTAGGTGGGACTACAGGGATGCACCACCATGCATGGCTAATTTTTTAGAATTTTTTGTAGAGTCACGGTCTTCCCATGTTGCCCACATGGGTCTTAAACTCCTGGGATCAAGTGATCCTTCTGCCTCGGCCTCTCAAAGTGCTTGGATTACAGGCGTGAGTCACCATGCCCAGCCACTTGAGAACTTCTTGGTGGGGAGGCCATTCTTTTCCATGTGTGGAAACTTTGGGTGCCTGTGGAGTTCATTCCTTTGGCTCTGACATTAACATGCGCATCAGAGAATTTGGCAGTGGAGAAGTTTCTCCACATGGCTTTATGGGCAGTAGTGATGGTAAAGTGAGAATCAGTAGGAAGATGAATATTGCATGGTATATGTAGGTGACAGACTTAGTGACCATTATGTGACACATCTTTTTTCAGGATACTCAGAAATATTTTGAGAGATGCTTTAAGGGGAACTAGTAAAATAGTATTTAAACCAATCCAGTCTTGTATCAGAAGACTGCAAGAAGGAAAGTATGACATTCACAAGATGGTGAAGCCTGGCATAATTAGATTTCATATAAACTTACAGAAATGGGATCACATTGTATATGTTATTTTTCACTACTTATAAAATATCAACATATATTTGTCTTACTATTTATTGAGCCAGGCATGGTGTCATGCTCCTGGAGTCCCGGCTACTTGGGAGGCTGAGGCAGAAGGATCACTTGAGCCCAGGAGTTTGAGGCTGCAGTGAGCTATGTTCATGCCACTGCACTCCAGCCTGGATGACAAAGTGAGATCCCATCTCAAAAAAAAATTATTAATTAAATAATAATTCATTGTGGGGAAGCACCAGCGTTTAAATGATTTCCTTTTACTAGAACCTTAGGTTGCTGATATATTTTTTGCTATTATAAACAACACTTGAATAAACATTCTTTGTGTGCATATGTTGGGGAGGACAAATAATTTTTTCTTCAACCTCAGAGTTCTTTGCTGAGACACCCTGTAACAAAGGATAGATTGCCGGGCACGGTGGCTCACGCCTGTAATCCTAGAATTTTGGGAGGCTGAGGTGGCCAGATCAGTTGAGGCCAGGAGTTTGAGACCAGCCTGGCCAACATGGAAACCCTGTCTCTACTAAAAATACAAAAATTAGCTGGGCGTGGTGGCACGTGCCTGTAGTCCCAGCTGCTCTGGAGGCTGAGGCACCAGAATCACTTGAACCCAGGAGGCAGAGGTTGCAGTAAGCTGCGATCACACCACTGCACTCCAGCCTGGGTGACAGGGCGAGACTCTCTAAAACAAAGAAAAAAAAACAAAAAAAAGATAGATGAACAAGGAAAAAGCAAATTTATTAATGTGTGTGGCATCACATGGGAGAAAGCTCAATGCAAAGTAACTCAAAGCAGTGGCTCAGAACTCTGGCTTATGTAGCATCTTCAACAAAGAACAATACATTTGTGGAAAAAGGGCAGAACATAGGAAAGAGATTTTAGGCTTCCAAGGATAGGAAACTGGGAAAGTAAATATTTGGGAGGAAACTAATGGAGTAAGGTTTGTTTATAGACTCCTCTGGTGCTGTCTCTGGACTATTAAGTCTGTAGGGTTGTGTATAAAGGAGAATTTGTATCCTACCTTTAGGCAGAAAAGAGGGGAATAGAGGGAGCTTTTCTTCTGTTTGCTACTTCCTAATTGCCTACAGCTCAAAAATAATTTCTTTTTTTCTTTTTTTCTTTTTTTTTTGAGACAGAGTCTCGCTTTGTCGCCCAGGCTGGAGTGCAGTGGCTCAGTCTCAACTCACTGCAACCTCCGCCACCCAGGTTCAGGCAATTCTAGTGCCTCAACCTCCCAAGTAGCTGGGATTACAGGCATGAGCCACCGTGCCTGGCTTCTCCAAAATAATTTCTATGTCAAAAAGGCATATTTTGGAGTGATACGTTCTGGTTTTCTTCACACATTTTAAGGCTATTTACATATTGCCAAATTGCATTTATTAGTAGGTTAGTTGCTGATACGTAACATCTCTGAAGCAGAGCTGCCTGTTTATTATATATATGAAACTGAAACAAGACGCAGTAAGGTAATTGTAAAGAGACTTGTTATACATTATGATTTTTATTACTTTGTGTACTGGGTGTCCCATCAAATTCCACAGATATAACAGCTTAGAGAAGTGGGAGCTAGTGCAGTGCCTAGCCTAAAGTAGAAATTTTGTGGGAACCTAGTCCATTTGGGTGATATATATGCCTTCAAGACAAGAAAGCAATAGAAATGTGCATTGTTAGGACAATGGGTGGTGGTTCCCTCCCTCCAGACTTCTTTACTTCTCCAGTAGCATTCATTAATCTACAATGTACAGCTCAAATATTTGCCTCAACAGGTAAAGCTAAAACCTGTTTTCCTAGTTGAAAATAATTTTATTGAACCTCCCCATGGGAAAACACGTGTTTATTACATGTGCGGCTTTTGTGACTCTTTAACCAGCCCCGCCTATAACCAAATATAGTCATTCCTGTGGGTAAAATGTCACTTCCTAACTCTAAAAAGAAAGGTGAAACTTTGAACATTCATTTAGGCATATTGGCAAGTTTTTCTTTCCCCCCAGTTCTTTTAGCAGTTGGTAAAAATCCTTTCTGAGAGCTAGGCTTTTAAATGGTTAAACAGTAGTTTACTGTGAGGGATAGAATTATTTTTCTTATATTCTAAATTTTCTCCAGTGAGCTTATACTTTTTTCTTAAAATAATAAAACATATTTTGTAGCTATCTTTATATTTAGATACTACTATTCAATTGGATAGTATTGTGCTACTATTCAATTGGAAAAAGTTATTTTTTAAAATTAAATATATGTTTTAGGATCGTGGGAATTTGAGGCTTCTTAAGAATTGAAATAAGCCTTGAAGAAATACGTTTTATTCTCTTCTGACTTTTTTAAATTGGTTGCTTTCGTTCATTTCTGCCTTTTATTTCTGTAGTTGTATTTTGTATATATTCCATTGTCTTATTTTTTTACTCTTCCCCTTTTCATAGGTGTTATTCCATTGTTTTAGAACAGTGTTTAATCATTGTGATATCAGAAATATCATTTATTCATTTAGTCATAGAAGCAGCTGCTAGGTAGAGTCAATGTTGTTAAAACACAGACCAAAGAGTAAATGGTGGAGAAATATATACATGTATATGTTCTTTTTTTTTTTTTTGAGAAGGAGTCTTGCTCTGTTGCCCAGGCTGGAGTGTAGTGGCACAATCTTGGCTCACTGCAACTTCCGCCTCCCAGGCTCAAGCTATTCTCCTGCCTCAGCCTCCCAAGTAGCCAGGATTACAGGAATGCACTACCACACCTGGCTAATTTTTTGTATTTTTAGTAGAGATAGGGTTTCGCCATGTTGGCCAGGCTGATCTCAAACTCCTGACCTCAAGTGATCCACCCACCTCCGCCTCCCAAAGTGCTGGGATTACAGGCGTGAGCTACCGCGCCCGGCCTGTATGTTCTTATTTATACAATCTATTTGGGCTTTAACATTTGGCACTGAATATGGTTTGGGGTGTTTTTGTTTGTTTTTTGTTTTGTTTTGAGACAGGGTCTCACTTTGTCACCCAGGCTTGAGTGCAGTGGAGCAAACAGGGCTCACTGAATCTTGACCTTCCAGGCTCAGTAATCCTCCCACTTCAGCCTCCTGAGTAGCTGGGACTACAGGAGCATACAACCATGCCCAGCTAATTTTTTTTTTCCTTTCTTTTGAGACGGAGTCTTGCTCTTGTTGCCCAAGCTGGAGTGCAATGGCATGATCTCAGCTCACTGCAACCTCCACCTCCCAGGTTCAAGCGATTCTCCTGCCTCAGCCTCCTGAGTAGCTGGGATTATAGGCGCCTGCCACCACACCCGGCTAATTTTTGTATTTTTAGTAGAGATGGGGTTTCGCCATGTTGGCCAGGCTGGTCTCGAACTCCTGACCTCGTGATCCGCCCACCTCAACCTCCCAAAGTGCTGGGATTACAGGTGTGAGCCACCATGCCCGGCCTAATTTTTGTATTTTTTGTAGAGACAGGGTTTTGCATGTTGCCCAGGCTGGTCTCGAACTCCTGAGCTCAAGCAGTCCACCTGCCTTGGCCTCCCAAAGTGCAGGGATTACAGGCATGAGCTGCCACACCTGGCCCATTTTGAGTACTTAGCATACAATTCTTAGCCTTCTGCTTCTTCCTGATAAAGTTGTAATCTGAGAAATTATCTAGTTTCAGCCTTTAATAACTAAATCTTCTCCATATTTCCCATGTCACATTTTTTTCCTATTGTCACATTGCGGCTTCCTTTTTTTTTTTTTTTTTTTTTTTTTTCTTTTTTTGAGATGGAGTTTTGCTCTGTCGCCCAGGCTGGAGTGCAATGGCGCAATCTCGGCTTACTACAACCTCCACCTCCTGGACTCAAGCAGTTCTCCTGCCTCAGCCTCCCAAGTAGCTGGGATTACAAGCGTGTACCAGCATCCCCAGCTAATTTTTGTTTTTTGTTTTTTTTGAGATGGAGTCTCACACTGTCACCAGGCTGGAGTGTAGTGGTACAATCTCAGCTCACTGCAACCTCCACCTCGCAGGTTCAAGCGATTCTCCTGCCTCAGCCTCCCGAGTAGCTGGGACTACAGGTGCACGCCACCACGCCTGGCTAATTTTTGTACTTTTAGTAGAGACAGGGTTTCACCATGTTGGCCAAAATGGTCTCGATCTCTTGACCTCATGATCCGCCTGCCATGGCCTCCCAAAGTGCTGGGATTATAGGCGTGAGCCACCACGCCTGGCCTAATTTTTGTATTTTTAGTAGAGACAGGGTTTCTGTATGTTGCCGAGGCTGGTCTTGAACTCCTGACCTCAGGTGATCCACCCACCTCAGCCTCCCAAAGTGCTGGGATTACAGGCATGAGCCATTGTGCCTGGCTGCATTGCGGCTATCTGCTGTCTTCTTTCTCGGTGCGTCTGTCTGTCCTCCAGACCTCTTAACTTTTATCCTTGGAATGCTCCAGGACTTAGCCCCTGGATTATTTCCTTTTCTAGACATTCACTCACTTGGTGATCTCATCTGGTCTCATGACTCATTACTTGTATGCTGATGACTGTCTTTTGGGCATTTCCACTGGGATGTCTAACAAGGCACCTCAAATTCAACATCTTCAGAATTTCTGCTTCTCTTGAGATCCTTCCTATAACAGTTAATGGCAGTTCTATCCTTCTGAGACTCATCCTTGGCTTCCCTTTTTCTCACACTGTCCAGTCATCTATCAGCAAGCACTATCTTGAAGATACATCCAAAATTCTACCACTTCTCACTATCCCACTGCCTCCTCCCTGTTCTAGGCCATCATCATCTCGTATGTTAATAGATTATTGCAACAGGTTCTTAACTGTCTGTATTAGTCAGTCTTCACACTGCTAATTTAAGACATACCCAAGACAGGGCAATTTACGAAAGAAAAGGGTTTATTGGACTTACAATTCCACATGTCTGGGGAGGCCTCACAATCATGGCGGAAGGTGAAAGGCATGTCTTACATGGTGGCAGTCAAGAGAAGAGAGCTTGTGCAGGGAAACTCCCCTTTTTAAAACCATGAGATCTCGTGAGACTTGTTTACTATCATGAGAAGAGCGCAGGAAAGGCCCGCCCCCCATAATTCAATCACCTCCCACCAGGTTCCTCCCATGACATATGGGAATTGTGGGAGTTACAATTCAAGATGAAATTTGGGATGGGACACAGCCAAACCATATCACTGTGTTTCTGTTTCTCGTTTTTCAAAACACAACAGATGGAGTGGTTCTGTCAAAATGAGAGTCAGATATCATCTGCATTTTGCTCAGAACTCTTCAGTGGTGTCTGGGCACAGTGGATCACACTTGTAATCCCATTTTAGGAGGCCAAAGCAGGCAGATCACTTGGGCTCAGGAGTTCAAGACCAGCATAGGCAACATGTTGAAATCCTGTCTCTACAAAAAATATAAAACTTAGCTAGGCGTGGTGGCCTGTGCCTATGCCCCAGCTACTCTGGATGCTGAGTTAGGAGATCACTTGAGCCTGGGAGGTTGAGGCTGCAGTGACTGTAATTGAGCCACTGCACTCCAACCTGGGTGACAGAGTGAGACCCTGTCCAAAAAAAAGAAAAGCCCTCTTCAGTGGTTTTCTATTTAATATGTAATAGAAGCTTATTATGACCTATAAGGCCAACATGATCTGAATCCTGTTACTCTTTTGATTTAATCTTTTTCTTTTCTTTTCTGGAGACAAAGTCTTACTCTGTTGCCCAGGCTGGAGTAAAGTGGTGCAATCATGGCTTGCTGCAACCTCAACCCCTTGGGCTCAAGCAATCCTCCCACCTCAGCCTCCTGATTAGCTGGGACCACAGGTGTGTGCCACCACACTTGGCTGATTTTGTTTGTTTTTTATTTTGTAGAGATAGGACCTCATTATGTTGCCAAGGCTGGTCTTGAACTCCTGGCCTCAAGTGATTCTCCCACCTCAGCTTCCCAAAGTGCTGGGATTACAGGCGTGAGCCACCACACCCAGCTTAATCTTTTTCTTATATCCCACCTCACTATACCACCAATCCCAGGTCACTTCACTTCAGCCACATTGGCCTCCATGAACATCCCACAGGCTCCTGAATCAGGAGTTCTCGCTGTTCCTTGTGCCTGAAATGTGCTTCTTTCGGATAATCTCACAACTGACAGCCTCACTTTCTTTACATTTTCACTCCAGAGTGCCTTCTTAGTGAGGCTTCCCTTAGCCCCCTGCTTAAAAGTCATGTATTTCATTTTTAATAGAATCCTTTAAACAAAAGAGAGGATGCTTTCCATTCAGGTTATCTTTATCTAAAAAACGCTAATCTGAAATAACACTATGGGGCACCCTCGCAGAACACAATATGAAAGTATAGGTTGAATATCCCTTATTTGAAATGCTTGGAGCCAGAAGTGTATTCAGTTTCAGATTTTTTCAGATTCATTTACCAGTTGACCATCCCTAACCTGAAAATGTGAAATGTTCCGATAAGCATTTCTTTTGAGCATGATGTCAGCTCTCAAAAAGTTTTGGATTTTGGAGGATTCTAGATTTTTAGAGTAGGAATACTCAGCCTGTAGGAGAATAACAGATCTACATTAGGGAATGATAGAGATCACCCTTGACTCAGCTTGAAAACTGGTAGCTGTGCTTAGGATAATGTAATTACTGTATAGGACCAAAAACTACAGGGTTAGAGCATACCGGTGTATTGTCCACTTTCACTGCTGTTCTGTTTTTGCTTTCCCCAGCGGAAACCTATATAAGTTTATACAAATAATCTTCTGAGGATGGGCCAGCTCTTAGAGCCTCTGTCTCTACCTTTTCATCCTCTTGGTATCCAGCTAAGTTAACAGCTTCATTGTGAATATTCCATTTGGCATTTTATTTGTGAGGCAGGGGAATTGCTTGAAACTGGGAGGCGGAGGTTGCAGTGAGCCAAGATGGTGCCACTGCACTCCAGCCTGGTGACAGAGCAAGACTCCGTCTCAAAATAATAATAATAGAAGAAGAAGAAGAAGAGGAAGAGAAGGGGAAGAAGAAGAGGAGGAGGAGGAAGAGGAGAAAGAAAAAAGAAAAAGAAACTTGAGGCTCAGGGATTATATACCTAAGAGGTGGTACAGTCAAACAGCTATGAGATGGTCTCAGTTCTTAAAAAGTTAATTAGGAGAGACGGGAAACCATTCCTTCAAACTAGAAATGCTATACTAGTCCAGAGAAGGCAGAGGAAAAAGTGGGTGGAGGAAATGGAGATTTTTATGGAAGAGGGATGTAGGTTATAGGTGAATAAATGGAGTTAGTTGTAAGAACATGCCAGACAGGGAAATAACGAGTACCCCAGGAAGACTGAATTTGCATAGTTGGCAAATGCTGCCAGACAAGTTCGCATTCAACTGTTGCATCAGATTCATTTGGAAAGCTTTTAAAAAATATTGTTGGCTCCTGATCCCACCCCGAAGCTGCTCCTGAATCAGATGGTCTTAGGCAGTGCCTTAGAATCTGTGGTGTTGATACTGTCACAGGCTATTCTGATGCATAGCCAGGCCAGGGAATCCTTGGCTAGAGAAAGAAGAGGGGCCGGGGGCGGTGGCTCATGCCTGTAATCCCATCACTTTGGGAGGCTGAGGTGAGTGGATCACCTGAGATCAGGAGTTCGAGACCAGCCTGGTCAACATGGTGAAACCCAGTCTCTACTAAAAATACAAAAAATTAGCCGGGTGTGGAGGCGAGCACCTGTAATCCCAGCTACTTGGGAGGCTGAGGCATGAGAATCACTTGAACCCGGGAGGCAGAGGTTGCAGTGAACAGAGATTGTGCCATTGCACTCCAGCCTGGCCAGCAAGAGTGAAACTCCGTCTCAAAAAAAATAAAAAAAAGAAGAGGTATGGGGGTGACTAGAGCAGAGGATGCATTTTCTGAGAAGTGGTAAGAGGTAAGATTAGATGAGTAAGGCCCAATCATATGAGGAAAGGCTGAGCTAAAGAACTTAGAGTTGCTGGGCACAGTAGCTCATGCTTATAATCCTAGCACTTTGCGAGGCTTAGGTGGGTGGGTTGCTTGAGCTCAGGAGTTAGGGACAAGCCTTGGCAACATGGCAAAACACCGTCTCTACTAAAAATACAAAAATTAGGGTCAGGTGGGGTCGCTCATGCCTGTAATTCCAGAACTTTGGGAGGCCAAGGTGGGCAGATCACTTGAGCTCAGGAATTCGAGATCAGCCTGGGCAACATAGTGAGACCCTGTCTCTAAAAAATAAAAAAAGTTTTAAAAATATAAAAAAATTAATTGGGCATGGCAGCATGCGCCTACAATTTCAGCTACTCAGGAGGCTAAGGTGAGAGGATCACTTGAGCCTGGGAGGCAAAGGTTGCAGTGAGCTGTGATTGTGCCACTGCACTCCAGCCTGGGAGACAGAGTGAGACACTGACTCAATAAAAACAGAAAAACCCCAGAGTTGAAACAGTAGGCAGTGGAAACTGAGTTACCACATTGATCAGCAGAGATGTGTTAAGAGCAGAGGGGATTTTTTGTTTGTTTGTTTGTTTGTTTGTTTGGGGGTTGAGACAGGGTCTGTCTCTGCCACCCTGGCTGGAGTGCAGTTGTGTGATTACAATTCACTGCAGCCTTGACCACCTGGGCTTAAGTGATCCTCCCACCTCAGCCTCCCGAGTAGCTGGGATTACAGGCCTGCACCACCACACTCAGCTAATTTTTTAATTTTTTTTGTAGAGACAGGGGTCTCACTATGTTGCCCAGGCTGGTCTCAAACGCCTGGGCTCCAGGGATCCTCCTGCCTCGGCCTCCTAGAGTGCTGAGATCACAGCCATGAGCCACTGTATCCAGCCAAGAACAGTTTTAAGCAGACTTTTCTGGCAGCAGTAAGCAAGAAGGAAAAGCTGCAATAGGAACCAAGCTAGGAGATAGTTAAGGGAACTACGAGTCATATTACTATTGTGAGATTCTAAAAAAGAAGTGGACATTACTATTTGGTTGTTGTTGTTGTTGAGATGGAGTCTCACTATGTTGCCCAGGCTGGAGTGCAGTGGCACGATCTCGGCTCACTGCGACCTGTCTTCCGGGTTCGAGCAATTTTTCCGCTACAACCCCCCAAGTAGCTGGGATTACAGGTGTGCACCACCATGCTTGGCTAATTTTTGTATTTTTAGTAGAGATGGGCTTTGGTAGAGATGGCCAACACCATGTTGGCCAGGCTGGTGTTGAATTCCAGACCTCAGGTGATGCACCTGCCTTACCTTCCCAAAGTGCTGGGACTACAGGTGTGAGCCACCGTGCCCGGCGTGAGATTCTAAAAAAGAATCAGGGATCCTTTGTCTAGAAATAAGAATTAGTAAACTTGGAATCTGAGGTTTAACTCTCTTAAGCTTCAGAATTTTTTACTTGCAAAGAATATTAAAAAGTCATGGCTGGGCATGACTACTGACTGACACCTGTAATCTCAGCTCTTTGGGAAACCAAGGCAGGAGGATTGCATGAGGCCAGAAGTTCAGCACCAGCCATTTTGCCCAGGCTGGTCTTGAGCTCCTGAGCTCAAGGGATCTTCCTGCCTTGGCCTCCCAAAGTGCTGGGATTACAGGCATGAGCCCCATCAGGTCTGGCCTTAACTATTATTTAAAATAAAAATAATAGTATAGGTTGAATATCCCTAATCTGAAAATTTGAAGTGCTCCAAAATCTGAAACTTATTCAGTGCTGACATGATGCTCAAAGGAAATGCTCATTGGAACATTTCAGATTTTGGATTTTAGGATTAGGGCTGCTGAACCAATAAGTATATTGCATATATCCCCAAATCTGAAAAAATCCGAATTCTGAAACACTTGTATTCCCAAGCATTTCACACAGGGAAACTCAACATGTATTTGCTTTTAAAAAAAAAGAAAAAAAAATCACTCTGGAAACAATATAGAGCACAGGGGAAGCAGGAGTAGATATAGGGAGATCCCTTAAGAGGCCACTGCAATAGACCAGATAAGAGGTTATGGTAGCTTGAGCAGGTGGGGACATGGAGCTAAAAGTGGGCAGATACAAGTGATATTTAGGAGGAAAAATTGCAAGAAACTTCATGATGGATTAAATACAGGGCTGTTGAGAAAGAAAAAAGGTGTTTTCTTAGGTTCTGCCCTGGGCAACTGGATGAACAGAGATCCAGTTTGGTAGTTGGGGTGGAAGGGGGTAGGGCGGGGGAGATGCTCATGATTTTTGTTTGGAATACTAAAGTACTGAATATGTTAAGTGGAAGGTGGGATTTCTGCATTTTGTTTTGTTTTGTTTGAGACGGGGTCTTGCTCTGTCGCCAGGCTGGAGTGCAGTGGCGCGATCTCAGCTCACTGCAACCTCTGCTTCACGGGTGATCTCTTGACCTCGTGCTTCCTGGATTTCTGCATTTTTAAGAAGTTTTCAGTTGACTCTGATATATACCATAGTTTAAGAACTATTGATGTTGGCTGATTGCGGTGGCTCATGCCTGTAATCCCAGCATTTTCGGAGGCCAAGGCAGATGGATCACCTGAGGTCAGGAGTTTGAGAACAGCCTGGCCAACATGGTGAAATCCCAGCTCTACTACAAATAAAACCCAGGAGGCAGAGGTTGTAGTGAGCGGAGATCGCGCCACTGCACTCCAGCCTGGTGACAGAACGAGATTCCATCTCAAAAAAAAAAAAAAAAGAAAAGAAAAGAACTGTTGATATAAAGAAAAAGAGAATTATTGATGAAGGAGTGTCCAACTGTTAGACAATGGTAGTGACACAGAAGACAATGGAAGAAAGTGTTTGTTTTTGTTTTTGTTTATGTTTTGAGACAGTGTCTGGCTCTGTTGCCCAGGCTGGAGTGCAGTGGTGCAATTACAGCTCACTGCAACCTCCACCTCCTGGGCTCAAGCCATCCTCCCACCTCAGCCTCCTGAGTAGCTGGGACCGCAGGCACACACCACCACACCCGGCTATTTTTTTTTTTTAATTTTTTGTAGATACGGGTTTTTGTCATGTTGCCCAGGCTGGTCTCAAACTCCTGAGTTCAAGGGATCTGCCCGCCTTGGCCTCTCAAAGTGCTGGGATTACAGACATGAGCTGCCACGCCCGGCCTGTTTAGCTGTTTCTAGGGAAGTGACTGGGTTTGGAACAGAGGCTACATTCCTATCCATCCTGCTCTTAGGCCAGCTCAGCTCTTTTTAATATATATTTTGTACTAATTTGTTTGCCATAAGACTTCGTTGCAGCAGGGCCAGCGCAACTCTTAACTTGACTTTGTCCGCTTTTATCACTAGCCTTTTGGCCTCAGCAGTGCCACCAATTCCTTCCCTTTTGTGGAATTGAGCCCTGGACCCACTGACCCAATGCAGTGTATCAGATTAGTTTCAACATCTTATCTGGATTTCTTTTACTTTTTCCTGAGGCAAGGAGATCAAAACCAAACAGCTGTGGTCTTGACAAGCTGTTTTAGTAATCACCTAGGGATACTACATTTTCCTCTAGAAATCTAATCTATAATTTTTATTTCTTTTTCTTTTCCTTTCTTTTCTTTTTTTTTTTTGACAGGGTCTTGCTCACTCGCCCAGGCTGGAGTGCAGTGGTGTAATCTGAGCTCACTACAACCTCTGCCTTCTGGGTTCAAGCAATTCTCGTGCCTCAGCCTCCTGGGTAGCTGGGACTACAGGCTCACGCCACCCCACCCAGCTAATTTTCGTAGAGATGTTGCAGTCTCACCAATGCACCTTCATATATTGGTTTCTCTTGTGAGGTATCACCCTGAGTTCTTTGTCTCGCCTCTAAAATGATTAAGGAGCATGGTCACAAGGGTGAAGTTGGAGCGAAAATGTAATAAGCAAAAGGAGAAAGCTCTCTGCAGAGAGGGGAGTCCAAGTGGATAGCTTGGTTACAGCTGAATGCAAAATGCTTTTATAAGAAACTGCAGCCAGGCGCGGTGGCTCATGCCTGTAATCCCAGCACTTTGGGAGGCCGAAGCAGGCAGATCACGAGGTCAGGAGTTTGAGACCAGCCTGGCCAACATGGTGAAACCCCATCTCTACTAAAGATACAAAAAGTTAGCCAGGCATGGTGGCATGTGCCTGTAATCCCAGCTACAGGGGAGACTGAGACAGGAGAATTGCTTGAACCCGGGAGGTGGAGGTTGCAGTGAGCTGACATGCCATTGTATTCCAGCTTGGACGACAGGGCAAGACTCTGTCTCAAAAAAACAAACAAAAAAAAGAAACTGCTCTCCTCCTTGTAACTGATTGAGTAATTTTTCTTTTTCGAAAAGCTGTCTGTGCAACTCCCTTTTTCCAGCTGTGGGATTGTTTCTAAGCACAAAGCACAGCTTCTCTTCTTTGTATAACTGGGTTTTTTTAGGTAAGCCCACTCCGCCCTATGCAAGTTCCCACGGAGCCCACTGTGTATATGCCTGAAAAGGGGAGGAAACTTTTTCCTGGGAGCTCACTGATTGTACAAAGAACAAAAAGGCTTGTTTGCTTTACTGGCTGCTTATCTGTCCAGGCTTATCTGTGCAGCTGCAGCAGCTGTGATTTTTCAGGCAAGCACTTCTAGGGGCCCAGCCTTAACTGTTTACCTAATGGATTTTTCCTTTTCTTCTCCCTCAGAGATGGGGTTTCACCATATCGCCCAGGCTGGTCTCGAATTCCTGAGCTCAAGCAATCCACCCATCTTGGCCTTCCAAAGTGCTGGGATTACAGGCGTGAGCCAGTGCACCTGGCCATTTTTATTTCTGAAAATTGAGTTCTCTAATATACTTCAATAAAAAATCTACGTTTCATTTATTAGAAATTTGTTAACCTCATATCATGGGTCAGGCACTGTGCTAGGCACTTGTTATTTCAAATTAAATAAGACGTGGCTATGTCAAGGAACCAGGAAAAACTGATGCCTGTATACGCACATACATCCCTGTCTAGCATTTTTCTCTTGATAAATAGAAAAAATTGATAGAAGAGAAAAATTGATAAAATTTTAAAATATCTAGATCTGAATTCAACTCCTTTGTGTGAAAAAGAAGGTCAAATTAATCTCTTTGGTTGAGACTGTAATTCAAGGGGTCTTTTAATGTATATATTACGCAGCCCAGATGTCCCCTTTCTTTTTCATGATGCCTCTGTAATTAAGAAGCAGATTTTTCCCCCCAAAGGAGAGTGTTTTTTCTGTGGTCTTAACTTGGATTCATATGGATTCGTGGCTTTGTGGGTTCTTAAACCTTCCACAATTATATACAAAATTGTGGAATTTGGTATACATGAGTGCTTTTCATATTTATTTTTAATCCAGAATGGATCAAAAAGAACAATCATGAAGGATGTAGGTGCCAGACACAGGGCAGAAGGTAGCTAGAAAAGTAGATCTTAGGGAAGTTAGGGCCCCTAGCCTCATTAATCTACAAACATGGCATGGCCGGCTTGCCTTGCAAGACCTCAGTTGAAGACCCCATGAATTCTTAAAATGGAAAGAGTTCTTAATTTTTATCAAATTCTCAAATGATTCTGTTACCCCAAAATATTAAGAATTATTATACTATTAAAAAATGTGTTAGAGACTAGTCCAGGCAACATAGTGAGACGTCGTCACTACTAAAAATTTTAAAAAAAATTAGGGGTGTGGGGCAGGACACAGTGGCTCACACCTGTAATCCCAGCCCTTTGGGAGGCCAAGGCAGGTGGATCACCTGAGGTCAGGAGTTCGAGACCAGCCTGGCCAACATGGTGAAACCCCGTCTCAACTAGAAATACAAAAATTAGCTGGGCATGGTGGCGCATGCCTGTAATCCCAGCTACTCAGGAGGCTGAGGCAGAATTGCTTGAACTTGGGAGGCAGAGGTTGCAGTGAGCCAACATTGTCCCACTGCACTCTGGCCTTGGCAACAGAGTGAGACTCCATCTCAAAAAAAAAAAAAAAAATTGTTAGAGACCAGCCCAGGCAACATAGTGTCTCTACTAAAAATAAAAATTAAAAATTAGGTGCATGGGGCATGGTGGCACACACCTGTAGTCCCAGCTACTCAGGAGGCTGAGGTGAGAGGATCCCATGAACATAGAAGGTTAAGGCTGTAGTGAGCTATGGTTGTGCCACCGCACTCCAGCCTGTTTGATAGAGCAAGACCCTGTCTCAAAAAACAAAAACAACAAAAACTTACTAAGTTTTGGTTTATGACTATTTAACATCATTTACTTTTTAGATGTTCTCACTGGGGGAAAGGGAAATTGAAGATATAATATGTACTTTTGTAATTTATCAATACAATTTTTATATTAATACAGTAATTGAAACTGACATTTAAACATTAGAATTTGTTTTTACTTTTAACAATATTGTGAGCATGCTACATTTTTTGTTTGTCTTTAGTACCGGGACCCTCTGGTGATAATGGCATCAGTGTTACAATGATCTTGGTAGCCTGGATGGTTATTGCATTGATCTTGTTCTTACTGAGACCTCCTAATCTAAGAGGATCCAGCCTACCTGGAAAGCCAACCAGTCCTCATAATGTAAGTGTTGCAGATTTTAAATGCTTTTTGGGTAAGGGAATGTATGTGGCCTGGGGCAGGGAAGGACTTGGTTTTGACTAAAACACCTAAATTAGTTAAATTATATTTAACTCATAGAGTATTCTACCTATGTAGTTCTATTAAATATTGCAATTCCAAGATTTAATTGACAGCTTAATCTTTATGGAGTTAAATGCAGAAAGAAGCACAGACCAGAAGCCCAAAATTAATTTGAAAATGAATTCCAATCCTTTTTTTTTTTTTTCAGACAGGGTCTTGCTGTGCCGCCCAGGCTGGACTGCACTGGTGCGATCTTAGCTCACTGAAGCCTCCACCTCCTAGGCTCCCACCTCAGCCTCCCAAGTAGTTGGGACCACAGGCATGCACTAGCACACCTGGCTAGTTTTTTGTATTTTTTTGTAGAGATGGGGTTTTGCCAGGTTGCCCAGGCTTGAATTCTAATCTTTACTCACATGAGAAGCATCAAAAATAATCCATTTCATAATCCACAGCAATATTGCTCAAGTCTCAATCCTCCACTACCCAGTTCTGTCCACCTCACAGTTGATCCCTTGCCTCTCATGCTTCCAGCCCCTAAACTCTTAGTAGCTTTAGTTGAAATGTTTGACCCCCTTCTGTCCTAGCTATTCAGTAGAGACACTGAGCCTGTCTTATTTTATTTTCCTCATTTTCCCATCCTATTTCTCTCAAACCCATTTTCCATTTCTGTACCACAGTAAATCAGCTGAGCTGGCAAAAGGAGAGGTCGGAATCATTCATGTTGATAAATCTTGATAGTCATGATTACAACCATTTTTAGAACCTTCTAAATTAAAACTATGATAAAGTGACCCAATAGGGAGTTTTCAGGACTATCTTTAAGAGAACCTCTGTTGGCCAGGCACTGTGGCTCACGCCTGCAATCCCAGCACTTTGGGAGGCCAAGGGGGGCGGATCACCTGAGCTCCGGTGTTCAAGACCACCCTGGGCAACATGGTGAAACCCTGTCTCTACTAAAATACAAAAAATTAGCCAGACATGGTGGCATGCGCCTGTAGTCTCAGCTACTCAGGAGGCCGAGGCATGAGAATCGTTTGAGCTCAGGAGGCAGAGGTTGCAGTGAGCCAAGATCACACCACCACACTCCAGCTTGGGCTACAGAGTGAGACTATGTCTCAAAAAAAAAAAGAACCTCTGTTAAAGGATTCCTTTTAATCCTTTTCAGAACCAGTATTTATGTTTTTTTTTTAACACTGAATTTGAATATTATCTCTTTAAAAATATTTCCATGAGGCCGGGCGCGGTGGCTCATGCCTGTAATTCCAGCACTTTGGGAGGCCAAGATGGGCGGATCACCTGAGGTCAGGAGTTCGAGACCAGCCTGGCCAACATGGTGAAACCCTGTCTCTAGTAAAAATACAAAAATTAGCTGGGCCTGGTGGTGGGCACCTGTAATCCCAGCTACTCGGGAGGCTGAGGCAAGAGAATTGCTTGAACCCAGGAGATGGAGGTTGCAGTGAGCCAAGATCGTGCCATTGCACTCCAGGCTAGGCGGTGAGAGTGAAACTTCGTCTCAAAAAAAAAAAAAAAAAAAAAATTCCATGAATTTGCCAGTTACCTCTATTTAGCCATTCTACAAATGTATACATATTTCAAAACATGTTGTATATGACAAATATATACAATTTTTATTTGTCAATTTAAATAAATGTTAAAATTTATAATTAAAAAACTATAAGGTAATAGAGCATCAAAAAAAAAAAAAAAAAAAAAGGAAAATTTCCATGATAGATTTGCTTGTTTTTGTTGTTTTTTTTTTTGAGATGGAGTCTCACTCTGTCCTCCAGGCTGAAGTGCATTGGTACAATCTCAGCTCACTGCAGCCTCTGCCTCCCAGGTTCAAGTGATTCTCCTGCCTCCACCTACCGAGTAGCTGGGATTACAGGTGCACGCCACCACATCTGGCTAATTTTTGGATTTTTAGTAGAGATGGGGTTTCACCATGTTGGCCAGGCTGGTCTCAAATTCCTGACCTCAAGTGATGTGCCTGCCTCGGCCTCCCGAAGTACTGGCATTACAGATGTGTGTCACCACACCTGGCTAATTTTTGTATTTTTAGTAGATACAGGGTTTCGCCACGTTGGCCAGGCTGGTCTTGAACTCCTAACCTCAGGTGCTGTGCCTGCATTTGCCTCCCAAAGTGCTGGTATTACAGGCATGAGCCACCATGCCCGGCCAGATTCACTTGTATACCAAATTATCCCACTAATTCTCTTTTCCAACCTTTACCTTGTGGAATTCCTAAAATAATTGTTTCTTTTCTCCAGTGTTGTGGTGTTGATATCAGAAGTTCAGTTAGACTCATTTTTTATATAAGAGAAAGCAAATGTGCAGTGTTAATTGGTCAATGTTTTGCTTTGTTTTTTAAGGAATAGAACATTTAGATATGTAGCATAGAAAGAAAAAAAATCAAAACGAAAAACATACACAAAAAAGATACGTAGCATGCTAACTTTAAGAAAGAAGGCATTATAGACCAGGCGCGGTGGCTCTCACCTGTAATCCCAGCACTTTGGGAGGCTGAGGCGGGCGGATCACCTGAGGTCAGGAGTTCAAGACCAGCCTAGCCAACATAACCAAACTCCGTCTCTATTAAAAGTACAAAAATTAGCCAGGCATGGTGGCGCGTGCCTGTAATCCCAGCTACTTGTGAGGCTGAGGCAGGAGAATTGCTTGAACCCAGAAGGTGGAGGTTGCAGTGAGCTGAGATGGCGCCATTGCACTCCAGCCTGGGCAACAAGAGCGAGACTCCATCTCAAAAAAAAAAAAAAACCGGCATTATTAGCACTATATAAAAAGCCTTACATTTATTTTTATTTTTTCTTGGAGAAGAGAGTATTTATAAAACAGCTTGCATATTGTCTTGATAAAGTGTTTATTCCTTAGCCTTCTTTCTTACTTTCTTTGTATAGCTTTGTTACTTTCATATCAAAGAGTAAATTCCTCAATGTTTGGAGCTAAAGAAATAGAACTCTTAATAACCTGACTTAGAAATCATTACAGTGGGCTGGGCACGGTGGCTTACACCTGTAATCCCAGCACTTTGGGAGGCTGAGGCAGGTGGATCATTTGAGGTCAGGAGTTGGAGACCAGCTTGACCAACATGGTGAAACCCTGTCTCTACTAAAAATACAAAAAAATTAACCAGGTGTGGTGGCACATGCTTGTAATCCCAGCTACTCGGGAGGCTGAGGCAGGCGAATCACTTGAACCCGGGAGGCGGAGTTTGCAGTGAGCCGAGATCTCACCACTGTACTCCAGCCTGGGCGACAGAGTGAGACTCTGTCTCAAGGAAAAAAAAAAAAAAACTATTAAAATGACAGAAATGCAAGATTACCCTCTCCTGGACCTTAATTCATTGTAGGCCAGTGTTTCTAGGAATAGTAGTTCCACTATCTTAGGAATAAGTAAGAAAATGTGTTGAGACTAATTCCAAGGAGAAATATTGATCACCCCCAACTCGGGCGTCATGTATCATTTCAGGGTAAATAAATAAAATCTTGAGAATCTTAAAAACTCTGATCTTTCCTTTACAGTTCACTTGCTTTCTATTGCAAGTTAACAAAAGTCAATTCCAAGTGGTTTAAAACAAGTGGCTTCATTGATTTACACGTCAAAAAAATTCAGAGGTAGGGTCAGTGTTAAGAAAGTTTCAACAGTGTCATCAAAGACCTAGTTTCTTTCCTCATACTAACAACTTCATTCCAAGATGGGCTCCCCTTAGGGTTATAGGATGACTACCAGAAGCAACTGCAGCCACATGCATCCTCGTAGACATTCAGTATTGAGAAACAAAAGTCCCTAGCTTCATTTTAAATATACAGTACTTTGCTTAGCCAATCGACTTTAGCAAGAGGGATGAAGATATTTTCATAGGTTTGAAGATCACTCCTGGGGTTGGCAGGAGTGATAACATCACTGTTGTACAAATTCCCTCTCTCTTCCATTCTACAGGGAAAAATGAGACAAATGGTGGAAAATCACAGTGTTATTTAATCTAGTGTTCCCTCATGTAAAAACATATGAAAAGTCCAAATAAGCATATATTTGGGATGGGATGGTTGGGGGCATTGCTGCTCAGTTGTTTCTCTATGTGTTAGATTGGTTGCACTGGGATTTAATAAGTCAATTTTTAAAAAAGTAATAAATTTTAAATTTTTTTGAATTTTTAAAAAGTCAATTAAATAATTTATTTCTTTCTAATGCCAGGGACAAGATCCACCAGCTCCTCCTGTGGACTAACTTTGTGATATGGGAAGTGAAAATAGTTAACACCTTGCACGACCAAACGAACGAAGATGACCAGAGTACTCTTAACCCCATTAGAACTGTTTTTCCTTTTGTATCTGCAATATGGGATGGTATTGTTTTCATGAGCTTCTAGAAATTTCACTTGCAAGTTTATTTTTGCTTCCTGTGTTACTGCCATTCCTATTTACAGTATATTTGAGTGAATGATTATATTTTTAAAAAGTTACATGGGGCTTTTTTGGTTGTCCTAAACTTACAAACATTCCACTCATTCTGTTTGTAACTGTGATTATAATTTTTGTGATAATTTCTGGCCTGATTGAAGGAAATTTGAGAGGTCTGCATTTATATATTTTAAATAGATTTGATAGGTTTTTAAATTGCTTTTTTTCATAAGGTATTTATAAAGTTATTTGGGGTTGTCTGGGATTGTGTGAAAGAAAATTAGAACCACGCTGTATTTACATTTACCTTGGTAGTTTATTTGTGGATGGCAGTTTTCTGTAGTTTTGGGGACTGTGGTAGCTCTTGGATTGTTTTGCAAATTACAGCTGAAATCTGTGTCATGGATTAAACTGGCTTATGTGGCTAGAATAGGAAGAGAGAAAAAATGAAATGGTTGTTTACTAATTTTATACTCCCATTAAAAATCTCTAATGTTAAGAAAACCTTAAATAAACATGATTGATCAATATGGCAGATGATTTACAGTCCATTATATGACATTTGTAAGCCACTCAACACTAGCCTTACAAGGTTCATGAAAGGAGGAAAACATTAATTCTTTCTGCCTTTGCTGATATAATCCACATAGTAATAATTTAAGCTATAATTTATTTTTAAAATGAGTGCCTCTTGGGAAGCTTCTTTTCTGTTCTAACAGTTCCCTGTTAAAATGAAAATCTTAGGCCAGTGCAGTGGCTCACACCTGTAATCCCAGCACTTTGGGAGGCTGAGGTGGGTGGATCACTTGAGGTCAGGAGTTCGAGACCAGCCTGGCCAACATGGTGAAACCCTGTCTCTACTAAAAATACAGAAAAATTAGCCAGGGTTGGTGCATGTGCCTGTAATCCCAGCTACTCAGGAGGCCAAAGCAGGAGAATTGCTTGAACCCGGGAGGTGGAGGTTGCAGTGAACCAAGATCGCACCACTGCATTCCAGCCTAAGCAATAGAGCGAGACTCCCTCTCAAAAAAAAAAAAAGAAGAAAATCTTAAAGCTGTATTAGGGCCTGTTAGGTTACTGATATTTGAATGCCTATTTACTTATTTACTACATTGAGTCTTTTGTTATCCTCTGACCTATAAAATATTTTAATAAATTACTGGTTTACTTCAAGGGAAAAGAAGGAAAATGAGAAACATACATCTTTTTTTCACTCCTTATCTCATTCCTGTTTGGTGATGGGATGGATTGGGGTAGGAAGGAATGTTAATATGAGAGAAATTTTAAAATGTATAAAAAAGTAAAAGGTTGTATTGTTTTGCTCAGTTTGAAATAAAGTGAATACCAATAGCACTTAAAAATGTCTGCATGGGCTGGGCACGGTGGCTCACGCCTGTAATCCCAGCACTTTGGGAGGCCGAGGCAGGCGAATCACCTGAGGTCAGGAGTTCGAGACCAGCCTGACCAACATGGTGAAACCTTATCTCTACTAAAAATGCAAAAATTAGCCAGGCATGGTGGTGTGTGCCTATAATCCCAGCTACTGGGGAAGCTGAGGCAGGAAATTGCTTGAACCTGGGAGACGGAGGTTGCAGTAAGCTGAGATCGTGCCACTGCACTCCAATCAGGGCGACAGAGCGAGACTCTGTCTCAAAATAAATAAATAAATAAAAATGTCTGCATGACCCATATGGTTATGAAGTTTTTTTCCTAGCAAATGATTGCAGATTATTTATGGGGGCTAGAAGATATTTTGCTATCAATGTAAGGATTTTTTTCCCCTTAGGTCAGTCTATTCACTGTTTAGATCTGGTAAATTACTTGTATGAATTGAATAAATTCTCTGTATCATTGTACTGTTTAATAGTCTCTGATACAATTGTGATACTCATAAGGTATTTTCCCCCCTTTATTATGATTACATTCTAGATCATAAACATTGTAAGGGCATCTTTTCATTATATAATCCAATATTGATTGTTTGAATTCCTCCTTGTACATCCTGGCTTTGTGCTCAATTTCTTGAAATAATATAACCAACTCTAAATTACTTGTGTTAATAGATCGGTAACATGACACAGGTAAGTTAAATCCTGGATAAATGAGCCCCACAGAATAAAGGTTTTTCCTCTTGCTGTGGCCTACTGGAAGCCTTCCTAACTCTATAGCTGGTAAAGTAGAGCAGAAAGGGCCAGAATGGCTTAAGATGGAGCTAAATCCCTATAGCATTCCATTTTCTGCTCTTGCCTCTTGAACTTAGAAGGCTTGCCCATATATCCTAACAATCTGTTCTCTGAGCTGTTAGGCCAATCCCTGGCAAGAGATATTGATGTAGTCACTGAATCTATGGCTCACAAATAATTGAAAATTGGCTTTGGGAGCTGGGCGCAGTGACTCATGCCTGTAATCCCAGCACTTTGGGAGGCTGGGGCAGGTGGATCACTTGAGGTCAGGAGGTTGAGACCAGCCTGGCCAAGACGGTGAAACCCCGTGCCTACAAAAAATTAGCCGGGTTTGGTGACACGGCCTGTAGTCTTAGCTACTCGGGAGGCTGAGGCAGGAGAATCGCTTGAGCCTGGGAGACAGGTTGCAGTAAGCCAAGATCACGCCACTGCACTCCAGCTTGAGTGACAGAGTGAGACCCTGTCTCAAAAAAAAAAGGCTTTAGAAGGCTTTATTGGATGAAATGGCTGAAACTTGGATACAGAATGTCTAGTATTAGACACCTAAAAATCTGGATTCTTTTTGGTTGTTGTTTTGAGATGGAGTTTTGCTCTTTCGCCCAAGCTGGAGTGAAGTGGCGCGACCTTGGCTCACTGCAACATCCACCCCCAGGTTCGAGCGATTCTCCTTCCTCAGCCTCCTGAGTAGCTGGGATTATAAGTGCCCACCACCACGCCCAGCTAATTTTTGTATCTTTAGTAGAGATGGGGTTTCGCCATGTAGGCCAGGCTGGTCTCAAACTCCTGACCTCAGGTGATCCACCCACTATGGCCTCCCAAAGTGCTAGGATTACAGATGTGAGCCACCGTGCCTGGCCAGAAAATCTGGATTCTTATTCCTAGTTCTTCATTTCTGTCACATGCACTTAGTTGACATTACATCTACATATATTAGCTTTTTCCTACATGAGCCATCTATTTACTTAGTAACCAGTGTTCTTAATGAAGTATTTAGTCTTGGGTTTCTTGTAAAATTTCTCTGCATTCCTTAGACAGTGTACTATACATGAAATATTCTTGTTGACCTAGTAATTTATATTATTCCATTTAATTCTTAAACCTATGGCCTTTTTATTGAGCACACTCTTAAATCATTATTTGGCTTGTAAACATTCATCTGAAGTGTGGCTACAATCCTCTTTAAATAATCTAGGAAAAAAGAAAGATAAAGCTTACATTTTCACAGTTTTGGCTCTTAAACACATTCCACAAATGCCATTAAGAATTTATTTTGTTTTAGGCCAGTCATGGTGGCTCATGCCTGTAATCCCAGCAATTTGGGAGGCTGAGGCAAGAACTGCTTGAGCCCAGGAGTTTGAGACTAGCCTGGGCAACATAGCAAGACCCTGTCTCTACCAAAAAAAAAAAAGTTTATTTTGTTTTAGAGTCATTTAATGTGTTTTTATGCACAATAATAGTGGGAGGTTGTTTTGTTGCATTTGTTTGTTTGTTTTGTTTTGTTTTGTTTTGCTTTCCATGTGGGAAAAGTTAACATTGGAACTGTTTCTAGTAAAAGATTTTTTTCAGGCTGGGCACGGTGGCTCATGCCTGTAATCCCAACACTTTGGGAGACCGAGGGAGCTGGATCACCTGAGGTCAGGAGTTCGAGACCAGCCTGGCCAACATGGAAAAACTCCATCTCCACTAAAAATACAAAAGTAGCCTGGTGTGGTGGCACATGCCTGTAATCCCAGCTACTTGGGAAGCTGAGGCAGGAGAATCACTTGAACCTGGGAGGTGGAGGTTGCAGTGAGCCAAGATCACGCCATTGCACTCCAGCCTGGGCAACAAGAGTGAAACTCCGTCTCAAAAAAAAAAAAAAAAAGATGTTTTTCATTTTTTTCATGTTATCTATCCAAGCACTGTTCCATGGTCAGCAAGTCATATTTCATAATGTGGATTTTCCAAAATAATTATTGAATACAGCTATTCTATGGCTACTTTTAGTGTTTTTGTGGTATGTGGTGTGGGAGTGTTTATGGAATTACCAGTATCTTAAATTTTCAAAGGAACCTTGGAAGTCTATCACTCTAAATGAAAGTCTGTCACTCTACATGAATTATGTGCTCAAATTTGACCAACTCAGTTTAAGACACAAAACAGTAATTTGAAGAAGGAAAAATGAAGAGAGTTTCTAGTTTAATGGGTTAAATTTTTGTTGTTGCAATAGTAAGTTTAGTCTTCTTATAATATTTCTAAATGAAAAATCATAGGTATTTGTTACCATGTGTGAAGATTAGTTTGTTAAAAGCAAAAGTGGTCGTGTGATATGCTAAATGTTAATTACTGATTTTATATGTTTAAATCACGCCAAACAAATTATGTCTGTGCCATCCAGGGTCTGTTGTTAATCTTTTTCTGAGTACTTGGATTGGGATAAAGGGCTTGTACTATGCACTTTTTATTAATGAATAAATAGAAAACGTTAGTAACACTTTGTGTTTTCTGTTTGGCTTTTGTGGGAAGAGAAGCAAGCATCTTTTGCCTAGTAGATGTTAACATTGTGTATTAAACAGTTTCTTTGTAAGACCTAACTAAAGACATTCCTAAGAGAGAACTTAAGTTTTAAGAAAAGTTGTGAGAAAAATATTCATAAAATATGCAGTATGGGGCCAGTATTCAGAAGTAGAGTTTCTCTCTTGGAAATTAGATTGCAGTCACATTTCTTTGGTTATTTTCTTTCTCTCTCTCTTCCTAGAATACCAGGTAAAATAGACATTTACTTTGAGGGACTAATATCCAATAGTGTTAATTATTTAAGCAGATATATCTAGCTCAAAAGGAACCAGACATGTCACTGTACCAAAAACACACAAAAGTGAAAATTTGCTTCTGTTCTGTGACCTAGAATGTGTCCAGACATTAAAGGTCATGAATACTCATATACATGTAAAAATAGTAACACTGCTCTGGCATGATTTTGACGTCAGTGTTTATGTAATAACTTCAGTGTTATATTTAAAATAGATAAATTTGTGAAATAACAATTTCTTGGAGACAGTCAACTTTTTATGATTTAATCTAAAGATTGTCATGTACATGTCAACGGATATCTGAATCCTCAGTGAAACTGTTAAGTTTTCATTAAATGACTCTGCTGCAATACTAGTTTTCTTCTCAGAAAATGGAATTCAAATAAAATAAGTTTTTTGGTCTTGGCATTTCACCTGATGACTTTCTCTGTTCTGGATCTCAATTTGTAGAGTTGTTGGGGGTTCCCCCCCCTCCAAAAGATGCTCCATAAACACCAACTACAATTATCTTTCATGATCATATTTTTAAAAATTGGAGTTACCTGTGTGATCTTTTCCCATTAGTTGCTTGTAGGGGACTTTAGTGTGCGTATCTCTTCTCAGACAAATGTATTATGTTCGTTCAATAAACACTTCAACAAATTTTTATACTTGTTTCTTAACTCTCTATAGGCTTTAAAATGGATTTTATTCAGGATTTGATTACAGAAACTATTTCAAACCATCAGATGCCAAATTGTCTACTGACGTTAGTGAGGAGATGTCTGGGAGGCAAGGACTATGTAGGGGTGAAAACAATATATATAGTTTTAAAGATAAAGCAACTTTCTTTCTTTTTTCTTTTTCTTTTTTTTTTTTTTTTTTTTTTGAGACATAGTATCACTCTGTCACCCAGGCTGGAGTACAGTGGCACAATCTTGGCTCACTGCAACCTCTACCCTCCTGGTTTCAAACGATTCTCCTGCCTCAGCCTCCCGAGTAGCTGGGATTACAGGCGCCTGCCACTGCGCCTGGCTAATTTTTGTATTTTTAGTAGAGACGGGTCTTCACCATCTTGGCCAGGCTGGTCTTGAACTCCTGACCTCGTGATCCACCTGCCTCAGCCTCCCAAAGTGCTGGGATTACAGGCGTGAGCCACTGTGCCCTGCCAGGATAAAAAAACTTTGATATCAATACATGGTTTTGGTTTTGATTTTTTGGTTTTTGGTTTTTTTTTTTTTTTTGAGACAGAGTCTTGCTCTGTCGCCAGGCTGGAGTGCAGTGGCACGATCTCGGCTCACTGCAACCTCCGCCTCTGGGGTTCAAGCAATTATCCTGCCTCGGCCTCCGGAGTAGCTGAGACTACCGGCGCGTGCCACCACACCTGGCTAATTTTTGTATTTTTAGTAGAGACAGGGTTTCACCATGTTGGCCAGAATGGTCTTGATCTCTTGACCTCATGATCTGCCCGCCTCGGCCTCCCAAAGTGCTGGGATTACAGGCGTGAGCCAAGTGCCTGGCCATCAGTACATGTTTTATTGGGAGGTGGGAGGATCACTTGATGCCGGGAGTTCAGGACCAGCCTGAGCAACATAGACTCTGTCTCTACAAAAATAAAATAAAACTTAGCGGGACATGATGGCCTGCATCTGCAGTCCCAGCTACTTGGGAGGCTGAGGTGGGAGGATGGTTTGAGCCCAGTAGTTCCAGGCTATTGTGTGAGCTGTGATGATGGCACCACTGCACTCTAGCTAGGGCAACAGAGCCAGATCCTGAGTCAAAAATAAATGTTTTAAAGAGTATTATTTCCTTTTACAAATCTCCACTTGTTTCTAGGAAATTTAGAAATGAGAAAAGTATTATTTGCAATGTCTGGAATGCCAGAGTCTAACCTCTTAAATATGTGCTCATAACCTCAGATACTTGGTCTATGCTTGATAATTAATGGTTTTGAATTGCAGTGTTTATTAGTTTTGAAAATTTGACCAGAATTAAACATAAATACCACACAGCAGGTTCAGCATTATAGAAAAAGCCTCTTAAATTGTTTTTAAATAAATGAATCTGTTATGTATGTAATTCAGTCAGTGTCAGAAAGAGAAGCACTTTTCATATACAAAAGGCATCTCAGACCCTGGGTTGAATGCAGCTTTTCATGACAACTAATTAGTATGTAAACAAACTTTGGAAGTCTAGATGTGTTTAAAGGGACTTCCTTACAATTAATCCAGCCAGGACAATTTTGTGGTTACAAAATACAGGACAGATGGAAATCTGACACCAGAGCCTATACCCCCAATAAATGGGTTAAGATTTATATCCTTGCAAATGTTGTTTGTCTTCATTTTTATCTAACAGCCGTTTTTTTTTTTGAGATAGTCTCACTTTGTCACCCAGGCTGGAATGCAGCAGCACCATTATGGCTCACTGCAGCCTCGACCCCTGGAGCTCAAGCTATTCTCCCGCCTCAGCCCCACAAGCAGCTGAGACTACAGGCGCACCCCACCACACCAGGCTAATTTTTGCAGAGATGGGGTTTCACCGTGTTGCCCAGGCTGGTCTCCAACTCCTGAGCTCAAGCTATCCTCTTGCCTCGGCCTCCAAAAGTGCTGGCATTACAGGCATGAGCCTGTTACAGGCCGAAAGAATGAGGGTCGTGACCAACTCAGTATACCACTGGAGGCTATATGAGCAAATAGAAAACTGTTCTCATGAAAGCAGGATGTTGGAAAACTAACAACTGTGTCTGCTGCCAGAAGGGTTGCTGAGGGCAGTCACACCCCAAGCACAGTGTTCCTTGTGATTATCTATAGGAACATCTGAAGCCTGTTGTACAAAGAAAGCAATTATGTATACCTGTGATAAATCAAGCAACTGACCAACTGCTACCTCTCCCTCCCTGCTCTTTCTACCTAATAAATACGAAGGGCTGTAGAAGCTCAGGGCCCTTGCTCACTAGAAGGAGCCCCCTGACCCCTTCTTCCAAAAATACTTTTTGTCTTTGTCTTCGTTTCTGCATTCATCCCCCTTCGTTCACTCCCATAACAACCAACAGCGACAACTGGCACCTAGGACAGGGACGTGAGTGAAGGTCTGCTGGAGCAGAGAAACTGACACTGACAAGAAGAACGAGAATGAGAAACCCTGCGACGAGTCTGCTGACAGCTAATATAAGGTCAGTGCCCTAAAGAGGTACTGGGAACGGGAAGTTTCTGAATCAGGGTAACATGGGGGAAGAATTTGGCTATTTTCTTTTTTATATTTGGAGTTTAGTTCATCCTGCCATTATTCATTTCTTATTCTGCTAGACAGCAGGAGTCATGTTCAGAGTCAAAAAATTTGAAAGAATCTTTCTGTTCTCTCAACAGCGCCAATTAAAAATAATAAACAGGAGCAGGAGGATGAAAATTGGCCTGTGTCACCCCCTCTAGTAGCAGAAACATCTGAACCGCCTCCTTCAGTAGCAGAAATAGAGACCCCAATACAAAGAACTTTACACTCTACTGCTATGGCTGGAGAACCCTTAGGACCTTGAGCTTTTCCTATTTCCGTAAGGCCTGATCCACATAATCCACAGCAGTTTATTCATGAACACACCCCACTAGAATTTAAGTTGCTGAAGGAATTAAAAGCTAGTGTAGTTAATAATGGAATACAAAGCCCATTTACTTTAGGACTGCTAGAATCTATTTGGCGCTATGCGCCTTCCACCCTTTGATGTAAAGCATTTGGCTTGCACTTGTTTGTCTGCTAGTGCATACCTGATATGGTATTTAAATTGGCAAGAACTGTGTGCAGACCAGGCTAGATAGAATCGTGCTGCTGGACACAGAGACATTACAGAGGATGCTGTTAGGCAGTGGCCCCTATTCAGACCTAGAACATCAAATAGCACTCCCAGACGCTGCTTGTAAGCAGTGTGCCTTGGCTGTTAAACGCACCTGGGCCACAATTCCAGAGGAAAGGGTCCCAGTACAATCTCTTACATATCATGAAAGGGTCACAGGAGCTCTATGCACATTTTCTTGCAAGATTACCATAGGCAGTGAAGTGTCAGATTTCTCTTACCATGGCTACAGAAATGCTAACCTTAACTAGCTTTTGAGAATGCAAACACGGACTGTAAACATGCATTGGCATCTGTGAGATGTATAAAAAGCTTAGGAAATTTTATCAAAGCTTGTCAGGATGTGGGAACTGAGCTTCATCGCTCTACGATGTTGGCTGAAGCAAAGGAATAATAGATAATCATTATCCATCAGACAAAGTTTTGCAATTTTATAAAGTTTACCCTTTTATCCTCCCTGTGATTACTCATCACAAGCCTATTCCAGGTGGCCAGACTTATTTCACTGACGGCTCTTCCAAAGTCTGAGCATCTATTTATGGACCTAAGCATATTAAAACAATAAAAATCCCTGGTGTTTCAGCTCAATGCTCAGAATTAATGGCAGTTATTCAGGTTTTACAGCTCACTGCTTCCTCTCCTATTAATATTGTCTGTGATTTAGCCTATGTTGTAAATGTAGCCAGTCGCATTGAGACTGCTACTATTAAAAGCACCCTAGAACCAGAGCTGTTTAACTTGTTTCTAAGACTTCAGCGAGCTGTTTGCTCTCATGCTGCTCCTTTTCAAATTTCTCATATTCGCTCTGACACACAACTTCCTGGACCACTACCTCTAGGTAATGATAGAGCAGATAAATTGATTGGTTCTGTGTTTCAGCAAGCT
The DNA here is from genome assembly GCF_000001405.40 of Homo sapiens. Lineage (NCBI taxonomy): Eukaryota > Metazoa > Chordata > Mammalia > Primates > Hominidae > Homo > Homo sapiens. The sequence goes on along the minus strand of NC_000004.12, from coordinate 39,542,266 downwards.
GAAGCCTCTCATGCATTACTGCATCAAAACACCTCTGCCCTTACTTGTATGTTTCATCTGCCTCGAAGCCAGGCTCGAGCTATTGTGCAAGCCTGCCCCACTTGTCAGCATGTCCCTGGTGTTATACCGGTAGAAGGATGTAACCCACGAGGCTTAGCTCCAAATGAAATCTGGCAAATTGATGTTACACATATAGCAGCCTTTGACAAACTTAGCTATGTTCATATGACTATAGACACTTATTCTCATATGCTGCATGCTACATGTCAAACAGGTGAAACAGCTGGCCATGTCCAATGACATTGTCTGTTGTCATTTGCCGATATGAGGGTCCCTAAACAATTAAAAACTGACAATGGACCTGCTTAAGTTAGTCATGCTTTTCAAAATTGTTTACAGTTATAGGCAGTCACTCACAAAACAAGAATTCCTTATAACCCTCGAGGACAAGGAATTATAGAGCAGGCACATCAAACATTACAACATGCGCTGAAAAAACAAAAAGGAGGTATAGGAGACCAGTTACCACCTCAAACAATACTACATTTAGCATTATTTACTTTAAATTTTTTAACTCCTGGTACAGATAATAAGACTCCGGTAGAATGACACTGGCAAATGTTAGAGGGAAAAAGGAAAGTTTACCCAAAAGTATTATGGAAATCCCTGGAAGAAGGACAATGGAAAGGCCTGGTAGATTTACTGACATGGGGATGAGGGTATGCTTGTGTTTTACAGATCAAGAAAACCACACAAGAAGATGAGAAACTGCTGGAGCATCAGGGTCAGGCAAAAACCCCTGACTCCATGTTTATGGCCATGCTAGCTATGATATCCTGTGTGCTATGTTTTCCCTGTGCAGAGGCAAAAACATATTGGGCTTATGTTCCTAACCCCCCGGTAGTATGACCGGGGTGACACTCCTCCTGAGATATATCATGATCAAGGAGCATGGGCACCGGGACCCTTAACTCCCCCTGACACAGAGCAATTAGACTCTCAGAACAATGGTATCAATTATACCACTCCATTGGAGGGCCTTTCTTTATGCATCACCCAGGATACACTGCTCAACTGCAGTTGCCTTGCAATTCAATCCCAGGCATGGTTGAGTTACCATGGAAAATTTACGTACCTATTGGGCCTTAGTTCTACTAATATTACTGGTGTAGTTACTAATCACTCCCGGCCCCATCACCCAAATTGTATTAATTATATAGAATGGGCTCCCTTTGATAATTCTAACCCCCCTCCTTGGACCCCGTGTCTTAGCTCCCTAGCTAGACAACAGTCCATGCTAATGGGAGACATTATTTACTGGGGTCCCCATGGTCATTTGGTTGGGAGACATGAGCATCAGACCTCATGGCATTAACTTTGCTGGAACTGGTGGCAAAACTTTAACATCTCCCACTACATCACATTGCAATTCAATCTCAATCTGCTGCCCAAATTGCTTGACACAGCACATGCTTTAGCTCACCTTTGCCTCAATGGCATTATCAAGGAAAGAGAGGTCCAATTCAGGAGTCAATATGGAAAGCAGCACTCCCATTTATGAATGGCAGCATTTGGATTGGGACACTATCCAATAATAGTAATTGTGCTAAACACAGTTTTAATGTTACCCTTGTAGAAAATATTACCACTCAATTTACAATTTGTTTTTAATCCTTATATTTTCTTAGCAGCAAAAAAAACCCACCTCCAGGTAGATGATGCCCAATTGACTTGTGATTCCTGTCAACTGTATCATTGCCTTAATCATAGCACAATACAAACACATGACATATCCACCCTAACAATTCTAGGTCATGTTCCTGGATTATGAATTCCTGTAAATTTATCTTAGCCTTGGGCAGCCACCCCCGCTTTACATCTTATGAAACTCCTTTTTACTCCGCTTACTCATCGTGCTCATAGAGCCTTAGGCATGATAATTTTTGTTATAGTCTCCTTAGTTACATTAATAACCTCTGTTGTGTTGTCCTCAGCAGCAACGCACAGCTCCATTCAAACAGCTCAATATGTGGAAAACTGGACATGCACAGTCGACCAGGCATGGATGCTTCAAAATAAAATTAACACCGAAATACAAACAGAGGTGGCAATGTTAAAGACTACTGTTCTATGGCTAGGGGAACAAGTACAAAGTTTGCAGTTGCAGCAGCAATGCGTTGTCATTTTAATCATACTCATATTTGTGTGACCAATTTGGTATATAACCAAAGTGAATATCCATTGAGCCTTGTAAAAGCCCATTTACAGGGAGCTTTCACATTCAATGTTACTTTTGATATTAATGATTTACAAAGTAAAATCCTTAACTTGAATAAGCAGACTCAAGCGTTTCAGCCCTCTTTAAAAGCTTGGGCAGAATTCCAGCAAGGTTTAGACAGCCTTAACCCTGGGACCTACTTCAAATAGCATCTCAATGTCTTTTTTGTAACTATGGGATTAATGTTATTATATTTTTGTTTTTTGTTAACAGTCTGCAAAATCAGCTGGACCACCAAACGGCAATTGAGAGCTGCACAACCTGCAATTACCTTTATTCAATTAATGCAAAAACAAAAATGGGGAGATGTTACAGGCCGAAAGAATGAAGGTCGTGACCAACTCAGTATACCACTGAAGGCTATATGAGCAAACAGAAAACTGTTCTCATGAAAGCAGGATGTTGGAAAACTAACAACTGTGTCTGCCGCCAGAAGGGTTGCTGAGGGCAGTCATGCCCCAAGCGCAGTGTTCCTTGTGATTATCTATAGTAACATCTGAAGCCTGTTGTACAAAGGAAGCAATTATGTGTACCTGTGATAAATCAAGCAGCTGACCAACTGTTACCTCTCCCTCCCTGCTCTTTCTACCTAATAAATATGAAGGGCTGTAGAAGCTCAGGGCCCTTGCCCACTAGAAGCAAGGAGTCCCCTGACCCCTTCTTCCAAAAATACTCTTTTTGTCTTTGTCTTCATTTCTGCATTCGTCCCCCTTCGTTCACTCCCATAGCAACCAACAGCAACATGAGCCACCATCACACCCGGCAACATTTTCTTAAAAATTACATTTTACTTTGCTTTGTCTCACATTACACTTATGTCAACATCTTCTCATCTTTCCAAAGAGTTTCACTAGTAACTGCCTGTTGAAAGCTGGCAGTCTCAAACTTCAAGCATGATTCTGTAAGCCAAAGCTGAATTAGAAAATACAAAGCTTAAGAAAATCTTGGGCTAAATAAAGTAATATTGTAAATTTTAGTTTCTCCATTAAAGAATGGATAGGACTTACAAAATTTTCGTCCTCCATAACATCCAAGGAATTTTTTCATTGTGTCACATTTTTAAAACTGAGTCACATAGTCACACCTATGTAGGTGTCCACTGGCAATGGCTAATTCCTTGTGCCCTCTAGTATTAATAATTCTCTGATGCTAATCTCTAAAAGCATTAAAGATATTCAAAGAGGGCCAGGCACTGTGGCTCATGCCTGTAATCCAGGTACTTTGTGAGGCCAAGGCAAGAGGATCCCTTGAGCCCAGGAGTTCGAGACCAACCTGGGCAATATAGTGAGACCCTGTCTCTGTAAAAAAAATTCATAAAATTAAAAAAAAGAAAGATATTCAAAGAGCTTTTGATTGAAGATAGGTAACAATTGTCACCCTTTATCACTTCTGCTATAATTTTCATAATATACATGCTCTAACACAGTGACTCATAGTTCCCTTAATCAACTCTTCATCTAATTCTCAACTTCTTGTTTTCATTGTAGCAATTTTATCATTTGCATTACAAACATTTAGTATGCTGTCAATTTTTTAAAATAAAAAATAGGTTGGTGGGCATGGTGGCTCACACCTGTAATCTCAGCACTTTGGGAGGCCGGGGTGAGCAGATCACTTGAGGCCAGGAGTTCAAGACCAGCTTGGCCAACATAATAAAACCCTGCCTCTCTGCCTCTACAAAAAATACAAAAATTAGCCGCGTGTGGTGCACACTTGTAATCCCAGCTACTAGGGAGGCTGAGACATGATAATCGCTTGAACCTGGGAGGCAGAGGTTGCAGTGAGCTGAGATTGCACCACTGCACTCTAGCCTGGGCAACAGAACAAGACTCTGTCTCAAAAAATAAATAAATAAAATAAAATAAAATAAAAGGCTGGGCATAGTGGCTTACGCCTGTAATCCTAGCACTTTAGGAGGCTGAGACACTTGCATCACTTGAACCCAGAAGTTTGAGACCAGCCTGGGCAACATGGCGAAACTCCATCTCTACAAAAAATTTTAAAAATTAGCCAGGCATGGTGGTGCATGCCTGTAGTCCCAGCTACTCAGGAGGCTGAGGTGGGAGGATCACCTGAGTTCAGGAAGGGTGAGACTGCAGTGAGTGGTGATGGTTCACTGCACTACAGCGTGGGTGACACAGTGAGACCCTGTCTCAAAAATAAGTAAAATAATTTAAAAATATATTTAGTATTGTCAATAGTATTGTCAGTAGTTCCCAATTTAGCCTCGGGAAAAAAAATGCTAAGTAAAATAGCTTTGTGGGCCCATGGTGGCTCATGCCTGTAATCCCAGCACTCTGGAAGGCCGAGGTGGGCAGATCAGAGGTCAGGAGTTCGAGACCAGCCTGACCAACACGGCAAAACCCCATCTCTACTAAAAATACAAAATTTAGCCAGGCGTGGTGGTGCACGCCTGTAATCCCAGCTACTCAGGAGGCTGAGGCAGGAGAATCGCTTGAACCCAGGAGGCAGAGGTTGCAGTAAGCCGAGATCCCACCACTTCACTCCAGCCTGGGCAACAGAGCAAGACTCTGTCTCTAAAATTATTTTATGTATTTATTTATTTATTTTGAGACTCAGTCTCGCCCTATTGCCCAAGCTAGAGTGCAGTGGCGTGATCTCAGCTCACTGCAAACTCTGCCTCCTGGGTGCAAGCATTACTTGCACAATGCCAACAAATGCCAACAAATAAGGTAAATTAATTTCAGGGACTTCTAATTGCTGAAGGGAAATTAAAATATAATCATGGTGAGATACCTTTTTCTTTTTGACAGGATCTTGCTATATTGCCCAGGCTGGCCTCAGACTTCTGGGCTCAAGAAATCCATCAGCCTCAGCCACTCGAGTAGCTGAGATTACAGGTGTGCACCACCACACCTGGTTCTGAAAGAATTTTCTAAAGAGATGATATTTGAGTTGGGATCTGAATAATTCAGCTAAGGAAAGATCTGGGCAGTTTTCCAAGAGAAAAGAAACAATAGTAACAAGCACAAAGGCCCTGAAATGGAAATAGACTTGGCATTTTCAAGGGACTGAAGATCAAATGATGGGTACAAGATGAGAAGTAAGGTCTCTATCTTGTAGGATCTTGGAAGCCAAATAAAGGTTTTGGATTTTATTCTGAGTATAAAAGATAGCCATTGGTACAGGGGGTAGAAGTTATATGATCTGATTTATGATTTTATCTTACTCTGGCTGCTATGTAGAAAGATGAATTGTGTCAAGAAGAGAGGCAGAAAACTAGTAAACCACTGGAGTTCAGATAAGAGATATTAGTGGCTTTGACTAAGGTTGTAGCAGTACAAATTATAAGAAGAGATCAGATCTGGGATATATTTTGGAGGTACAGCCAATAAGTCACAACGATGGCCTGGCTATGAATGGGAAGGAAAAGAGAAAACAAAAGTGACATCTGGTTTGTGGGCTGAGCAACTAATGATATAAATTGATATAGAAAAGGTTTATAGTAAGGGAAAGAGGGGTGAGAAAGAACAGACTGGGAGTAAATATTAGTTGGATATAGATTCACTTGCTGGAATAAAGAGATCCAGTGGTTTAAACCAGATTAAAAGTTCTCTTTCATGTAACAACAATATAAGCAGTCTAGAGCTAAAATGTATGCTTCAGGTATTCAGAACCTACACTCTTTCTATTGTTGCTCCCCCAACCCCTAGAGCAGTGCTTCTCAAACTGGTTGTGCATGGTCCACCCAATGCTGCACTTCTCTGCCTGGTCAAAGAAAGTTCACCACAACATCCATTGGGTTAGTGTTCCAGCTAGAGGAGAATGAGGAGGGGATATTTTATAAGATGTGTAGACAAAACTAGAGAGCTCAAAGCATAAAGATAACTACAATCCCAGCTGCTATCCAGAGTGTCTGAATCAGTGTGATTAAACAGCTTGGAAATTGGAAGAATGGGTCTGAGTTCTGCCAAACTTCTCACATTTTAAGTTGGCATTTAATATGTTTCCAGGTGTAGGTTTAATATCCTTGACAAAAATAGAAAATATTAAACATTGCATAAGATGAAGTGGGAAAAATGGTTCATTATAAGGTTTGATATACCAAAGCTAAACTGCTTTATTGAATACATCTTGTAAATTTTGTAAGTTGCTTTTAAAAGAATCAAATTCACTGATTTACATGGCATCTTCTGTTGGAATTCAGAACCTCTCAATAGGCCAAAATGTCCTGATTCTAACTCTAAACTTCAGCCTTAACAAAAATACGTATTAAATGGGTGGCAAGACAGACTTGAGGATTCTTGATTCATCATTACAGGGGACTTACCCAAAACCCAAATGTAGTTTATCTCTGTTTGACATTCAGGAGAATTTTACCCTAGGTAATGGATCATTGTATGAGTCCATTTTCATGCTGCTGATAAAGACATACCTGGGCAATTTACAAAAGAAAGAGGTTTATTGCCGGGTGCAGTGGCTTACGCCTGTAATCTCAACACTTTGGGAGCCCAAGGTGGGCGGATCACAAGGTCAGGAGATCGATACCACCCTGGCTAACACGGTGAAACCCCGTCTCTACTAAAAATACAAAAAAATTAGGTGGGTGTGGTGGCAGGCGCCTGTGACAATGCCTGCTACACGGGAGGCTGAGGCAGGAGAATGGCGTGAACCTGGGAGGCGGAGCTTGCAGTGAGCCGAGATCGCGCCACTGCACTCCAGCCTGGGCAACAGAGTGAGACTCCGTCTCAAAAAAAAAAAAAAAAAAAAAAAAAAAGAAAGAGGTTTATTGGACTTACAGTTCCACGTGGCTGGGGAGGCCTCACAATCATGGTGGAAGGTGAAAGGCATGACTCACATGGTGGCAGACAAGAGAAGAGAGAAATAACTCTCATTTTTAAAACCATCAGATCTTGTAAGACTTATTCTCTATCATGAGGACAGCACAGGAAAGACCCACTCCCATTCTTCTTTTTTTTTTTTTTTTTAAGACTAAGTTTCACTTTGACGCCCAGGCTGGAGTGCAGTGGTGCGATCTCGGCTCACTGCAACCTCCGCCTCCAGGTTCAAGTGATTCTCATGCCTCAGCCTCCCAAGTAGCTGGGATTACAGGTGCCCACCACCGTGCCTGGCTAATTTTTGTATTTTTAGTATAGATGGGGTTTCACCATGTTGGCCAGGCTGGTCTCAAACTCCTGATCGCAAGTGATCTCCCCCTTGGCCTCCCAAAGTGCTGGGATTACAGGCATGAGCAACCGCATCCAGCCCACATGATTGAATTACCAGGTCCCTCCCAAGACACATGGGTTATGGGAGCTACAAGATAAGACTTGGGTGGGGACACAGAACCCAACCGTATCCTTCCACCCCTGGCCCCTCCCAAATCTCATGTCCTCACATTTCAAAACCAATCATGCCTTCCCAATAGTCCTCCGAAGTCTTAACTCATTTCAGCATTAACTCAAAAGTCCGCAGTCCAAAGTCTCATCTGAGACAAGGCAAATCCCTTCTGCCTATGAGCCTGTAAAATCAAAAGCAAGTTATTTACTTCCTAGATAGAATGGTGGTATAAGCATTGGGTAAATATAGCCATTCCAAATGGGAGAAATTGGCCAAAACAAAGGGGCTACAGGACCCATGCAAGTCTGAAATCCAGCAGGGCAGTCAAATCTTAAAGCTTCAAAATGATATCCTTTGACTCCATGTCTCACATCCAGGTCACACTGATGCAAGAGGTGGATTCCCATGGTCTTGGGCAGCTCCACTTCTGTGGCTTTGCAGGGTAAAGCCTCCCTCCAGGCTGCTTTCATAGGCTGGCATTGAGTGTCTGCAGCTTTTCCAGGCACACGGTGCAAGCTGTCGGTGGATCTACCATTCTGGGGTCTGGAGAACGGTGGTCCACTTCTCACAGCTCCATCAGGCAGGGCCGCAGCGGGGACTCTGTGTGGGGGCTCCGACCCCACATTTCCCTTCTGCACTGCTCTAGCAGAGGTTCTCCATGAAGGCCCCACCCCTACAGCAAACTTCTGCCTGGGCATCCAGGAATTTCCATATATCTTCTGAAATCTAGATGGAGGTTCCCAAACCCCAATTCTTGACTTCTATGTACTCGCAGGCTCAACACCACATGGAAGCTGCCAAGATTTGGGACTTCCACCCCATGAAGCAGCAGCCCGAGCTCTATGTTGGCCCCTTTCAGTCACCACTGGAGGAGCTGAGACGCACGGCACCAAGTCCCTAGGCTGCACATAGCATGGGGACCCTGGGTGCTGCCCACAAAACCACTTTTTCCTCCTAGGCCTCTGGACCTGTTGATGGGAGGGGCTGCCATGAAGACCTCTGACATGTCTGGGAGATATTTTCCCCATTGTCTTGGATATTAACATTCGGCTCCTTGGTACTTATGCAAATTTTTGCAGCCAGCTTGAATTTCCTCTCAGAAAATGGGATTTTCTTTACTATCACATTGTCAGGCTGCAAATTTCCCAAACTTTTATGCTCTGCTTCCCTTATAAAACTGAATGCCTTTTTTTTTTTCTTTTTTTTTGAGACAGAGTCTCAGTCTGTTGCCCAGGCTGGAGTCAGTGGCATGATCTTGGCTCAATGGAACCTCCACCTCCCGGGTCCAGGCGATTCTCCTGCCTCAGCCTCCCGAGAAGCTGGGACTACAGGCGCACACCACCATGCCAAGCTAATTTTTGTATTTCCAGTAGAGACAGGGTTTCACCATATTGGCCAGGCTGGTCTTGAACTCCTGACCTCTTGATCCACCCTCCTCGGCCTCCCAAAGTGCTGGGATTATAGGTGTGCACCACCGCACCCAGTCAAAACAGAATGCCTTTAACAACACCCAAGCCACCTCTTGAATGCTTTGCTGCTTAGAAATGTCTTCCACTGGCCAACATAGTGAAACCGTCTCTACTAAAAATACAAAAAATTAGAAGGGCGTGGTGGCGGACGCCTGTAATCCCAGCTACTCGGGAGGCTGAGACAGAATTGCTTGAACCCAGTAAGCTGAGATCAGACCATTGCACTCCACCCCAGGCGACAATGCAAGACTCCGTCACAAAAAAAAAAAAAGAAATGTCTTCCACCAGATACCCTAAATCATCTCCCTCAAGTTCAAAGTTCCACAAATCTCTCGGGCAGGGGCAAAATGTCACCAGTCTCTTTGCTAAAACATAACAAGAGTCACCTTTGCTCCAGTTCCCAACAAGTTCCTCATCTCCATCTGAGACCACCTCAGACTGGATCTTATTGTTCGTATCACTATTAGCATTTTTGTCAATGCCATTCAACAAGTCTCTAGGAAGTTCCAAACTTTCCTACATTTTCCTGTCTTCTTCTGAGCCCTCCAAACTGTTCCAATGTTTGCCTGCTACCCAGTTCCAAAGTCACTTTCACATTTTCAGGTATCTTTTCAGCAACACCCCACTCTACTGGTACCAATTTACTGTATTAGTCCATTTCCATGCTGCTGATAGACATACCCAAGACTGGGCAATTTACAAAAGAAAGAGGTTTATTTGGACTTACAGTTCCACGTGGCTGGGGAAAGACTCACAATCATAGGGCAAGGAAGAGCAAGTCACATCTTACATGGATGGCAGCAGGCAAAGAGAGAGAGCTTATGCAGAGGAACTCCTTTTTTTTTTTTTTGGAGACAGAGTCTTCAATTTTGCCCAGGCTGGAGTGCAGCGGTGCAATCTCGGCTCACTGCAACCTCCTTCTCCCAGGTTCAAGCAATTCACTCTGCCTCAGCCTCCCTAGTAGTTTGGATTACAGGTGCCCACCACCATGCCCAGCCAGAACTCTTTTAAAAACCATCAGATCTCATGAGACTTATTCACTATCACAAGAACAGCACAGGAAAGACTTGCCCCCATGATTCAATTACCTCCCACTGGGTTTTAAGATGAGATGTGGGTGGGGACACAGCCAAACCATATCACAGCTACTGTGAAAGCAGAGTTGGAGGGTCACTTCAGCCTGGGAGGTTGAGGCTGCAGTGAGACGTGTTCATGCCAATGCATTCCAGCCTGGGTGACAAAGTGAGACCCTGTAAAAAAAAAAAAAAGAAAGGAAAGAAAGGCTTATGTTTTACCCAAACAATACCTTACTATGACTGGCTCTGTGTCCCCACCCAAATCTCATCTTGTAGGTCCCATAATTCCTACATGTTGTGAGAGGGACCCGGCAGATGATAATTGAATCATGGGGGCAGGTCTTTCCCGTGCTGTTCTTGTGATAGTGAATAAGTCTCATGAGATCTGATGGTTTTAAAAATGAGAGTTTCCCTGCACAAGTTCTCTCTTCTCTTGTCTGCTGCCATGTGAGACATGACTTTCACCTTCCACCATGATTATGAGGCTTCCCCAGCCATGTGGAACTGTAAGTCCAATAAACCTCTTTCTTTTGTAAATTTCCTAGTCTTGGGTATGTCTTTATCAGCAGCATGAAAAAGAACTAACACAGTAAATTGGTACCAGTAGAGTGAGGCACTGCTAAAAAGATATCCAAAAATATGGAAGCAACTTTGGAACTGGGTTAACAGCCAGATGTTGGAACAGTCTGGAGGGCTCAGAAGAAGACAGGAAAATGCAGGAAAGTTTAGAACTCCCTAGAGGCTTGTTAAATGGCTTTGACAAAAATGCTGATAATTATATGGACAATGAAATCCAATCAGGTGGTCTCAGATGGAGATGAGGAACTTGTTGGGAACTGGAGCAAAGGTGACTTTTGTTATGTTTTAGCAAAGAGGCTGGCGGCACTTTGCCCCTGCCATAGAGATTTGTGAAACTTTGAACTGGAGAGAGATGATTTAGGGTATCTGACAGAAGAAATTTCTAAGCAGCAAAGCATTCAAGAGGTGACTTGGGTGCTGTTAAAGGCATTCAGTTTTTAAGGGAAACAGAACATAAAAGTTTGGAAAATTTGCAGCCTGACAACATGACAGAAAAGAAAATCTCATTTTCTGAGGAGAAATTCAAGCTAGCTGTAGAAATTTGCATAAGTAAGGAAGATCCGAATGTTAATCACCAAGACAATGGGGAAAACGGGCATGTCAGAGATCTTCATGGCAGCTCCTCCCATCACAGGCCTGGAGGTTTAGGAAGAAAAAATGGTTTTGTGGGCCGGGCCCAGGATCCCTCTGCTGTGTGCAGTCTAGGAACTTGGTGCCTTGTGTCCCAGCTGCCCCAGCTGTAACTAAAAGGGGCTGAGGCATAGCTTGGGCTATTGCTTCAGAGGGTGGAAGCCCCAAGCCTTGGCAGCTTCCACTTGGTGTTGAGCCTGTAGGTACACAGTAGTCAAGAATTGAAGTTTGAGAGTCTCCACCTAATTGATACAAAAAGCAGATAAACAGGCCAGGCATGATGGCTCATGCCTGTAATCCCAGCACTTTGGGAAGCCAAGGCAGGTGGATCACCTGAAGTCAGGAGTTTGAGACCAGCCCGGCCAACATGGCAAAACCCTGTCTCTACTAAAAACACAAAAATTAGCGTGATGTGGTGGTGCGCACCTGTAGTCCCAGCTATTTGGGAGGCCTAAGCAGGAGAATCTTTTGAACCTGGGAGGTGGAGGTTGCAGTGAGCTAAGATTGCACCACTGCATTCCAGCCTGGATGACAGAGCGAGACTCCGTCTCAAGAAAAAAAAAACAAAAAGCAAAAAACAAAAAACCAGATAAACAGAGAAAAATTGAACTGCCATTAGAGAAGACGGGGAGATGTGGGAACCCAGAGCCTTGTCTTTAACTTCCTACTGATTCTCTATCCTCACAGATTTCTGACACACTACCAGAGGATTCAGGGCTCCATGAAACATAATTTGAAAATAACTAGCCTACCTTGGCAGTTCTCAAAGTTTGTAGTATCAAGACCCCTTGGCATGTTTAAAAATTGAAGACTCAAAGAAGTTTTTTTCATGTGGATTGTAACTATTGGTATTTACCATATTAGAAATGAAAACTGATAAATTATATATAAAAGATTAATTCCTTAAAATTGACAATAAGCCCATTACATGTTAACATAAATATCATATTTTAATGAAAAATTACTATATTTTAAAAACAAAAGATAAGATTGGCATTGTTTTACATTTTTGTAAATCTCTAATATCTGACTTAAAAAACAGCTTAATTCTATTTGCTTTGATAGCACATTATAGTCTCCACAAAACTTCATTGTACACTTCTGAGAGAACAAGAGTGAAAAAAGCAAGTAACACATGAAAACTTTTTGACCTCATGGATCCCAGAAAGAACCTCGGAGATTGTCTACAGTCCCCAGCTCACATTTGGAGAACCTCTGTCCTAAATCCAAAGGTCCATTCTAGCTGGCACTGAAAATTGACTTAATTTCTGAAATCCTATTAACCGTTTTGAAGAGTCTGATTCTACCAAAATACTAAAAAAGAATGTGAGGTGAATACTAAATAGAAAAATGTTGAATTCAAAATGAAGGGACTAAGATAAGTGGTTTTTATTACAAAGCAAACTGTATTAGATAACTTAAATCTATGTATGTTCAAAAAGATGTACTTGTCATATCTAGTGCAATTACTTGTTTACATATCTCTTCTACCCAACCTGTGAGCTTTGCAAGAAGGAAATGAGTCTTTTTTGTTTGGTTATTTTTCTGAGACAGTGTCTCGTTCTGTTCCCCAGGCTGCAGGGCAGTGGTGTGATCTCGGCTCACTGCAACAGGGAGCCTCCTGAGCAGCTGGGATTACAGGTGCCCACCGCCTCACCCGGCTAACTTTTTGTATTTTTAGTGGAGCCGGGGTTTCACCATGTTGGCCAGGCTGGTCTGGAACTCCTGACCTCAGGTGATCCGCCCGCTATGGCCTCCCAAAGTGCTGGGATTACAGGCGTAAACCACCGTGCCTGGCCAAAGGAATTGAGTCTTAATCCCTTTTGCATCTTCAGTCTTTAGGATAACGTCTGACACACAACAGGCATTAAATATTTGTTGGATGAATGAACTGAACTGCATAGAATGCAGAAAGCCTACATATACTGGCCAGGCACAGTGGCTCACACCTGTAATCCCAGCACTTTGGGAGGCCGAGACGGGCGGATCACCTGAGGTCAGGAGTTTGAGACCAGCCTGGTCAACATAGCAAAACCCGGTCTCTATTAAAAATATAAAAATTAGCCGGGCATGGTTGTGGGCGCCTGTAATCCCAGCTACTCGGGAGGCTGAGGCAGGAGAATCGTTTGAATCTGGAAGGAGGAGGTTGAGGTGAGCCGAGATCGCACCACTGCACTCCAGCCTCGGCGACAAGAGGGAGACTCCGTCTCAAAACAACCAACCAACAAGCCTACATATCCTGCCACACGTGCTACAATCCACAGCAAACTGTTTCATCCACATTCAACCACTTTCTTAAAGTCACCATCATGATCCTATCAAGAAAACCGTAATTTATATGGTATTTTAATGTGCCTTTATAAATTACTAATCACTTTCTTCATGATGTATGTTAAAATGGCTTATGTCACCTGATGTAATCCTTAATGAGGGAAATAAAAGGCCATGATTATGCCTGGCTTTTTTTCTTATATGTTAGATTTGAGTGTTAAAATGACCTCGAAGCGGCGAAAGAAAGGAACGGAACTGCCCTCCACATTAAAAATGAGCAGGCTCCATAGGTTAATTTTACTCTTCCTCACGCACGGCACTTACATGTTGCAAACTCTCTGCTCCACAGCACGCACAGACATCCCAAATCCCGGATTGGGCCTGAGGAACATCTCTGCAAAGAGCGCCAGGAGGGCGTGGGGGTCCCGCCTCTCTCGCCAGGGACCAGGGAGTGGACACTCACTGGTCCAGTCATGAGGAACTCAGCATCCTCCTGACGGGAGGCGCCTCTTTCCCAGAAGCGGTGGGTCAGGAGGAATCTGACTAAACCCTGGGTTGCCGGCCCGGAGGGCGCGGTTGACCCCGGGGCCTCGAGGTTGTGGGCGAGGAGTAATCCGCCCGCCGAGACCGACCCGCAGATCCAGGAGACCGAAACCCGAGGGCGGCGCTCCAGGGTGCTGAGGAGACCGGAAAGGCGGCCAGGACCTTCCGGTCGCCTCGGCCCACCACCCACCCAGTGTCCGCGCAGCCCTAAAGCCTGGCAGACGCGGAGCGCACGCGGCCTTTGCCTCGGCCAGGACAGGGCAGCGGGGAGAGGGCTGCTAGACAACAATTCTTGACCCCTCCTCGACCCACGACCGCCAGGTAGGCGCGCAAAGCTCCTACACCTGCGGCGCGCCCCCGTCCCCTGGTCCAGCGGACACGCCACGCACGCAGCCCCGCCCAGCGCCGCTCGCGGTAGGGGCGGAGCCGCTGAGCTGGCCAAAGCGGATTTGCCCAGCTAGGCCAGGGGCGGGGCAGGCCCTCCCAGCCAGGACCAGCCCCAGTCTCCCCGCCCCTGAGCCGTGAAGGAAATAGGGACCTGGCCCTGGGCCTTGTGTAGCGGGAGGGGGAGCTAGGAAGCAGCTGAGGGCAGAATCCAGGAGGGCCTGGCTGCGGGGGAATGAAGCCTCCGCCTTCGCAGGCAAAAGCCTTTAAATACGGGCTCAGGCCCGGGACTCAGAGTGTAACGCGTGGCAGCCTGAGGGAGGGGCGTGCGCCGAGAGGGAGCTCAGATCGAGCGGGGCGCGGGTGGAGAAGCTGCGGCGGCGCGGCCCGTAGGAAGGTGCTGTCCGAACGATCGGGATAGGAGCGGTCCCTGCGCTTGCTGCTGGGAAGTGGGTAAGCGCCGCTCCCAGGCTGGCCCCGCCGCCCGGGCGGGATGCTCCCAGGTCTGGGCGGGATGTGGAGGGAGCGGGGCTGGGGTGTGCGCGCTGCTCCCGGTCGCTCGCTGCGCTGGGTCCCGGGCTTCCCGTCTCACGACCTTCGTCTCTTTGGGGCTTAGGGCGGGAACCGCATTTTGGAACTGCTGTCCTGGGGATGTGGTCGTCTGGGCTTCTTATTCAAGACTCGTGAGTCTTCCAGCCCCTTCTCTTTCTGCCTTTACCCACTTTCCTGACTTGGATGAGATTTCCCTGCCGCCTCCAAAGCCGAACGCCCACCACAGGAAGCGGTTCTCTCGTTGGGGACCTCATTTTGGCCGCAGAGTCGTAGTCTTTTGTTTGTGTTTAAGAGTCTGCTCACCTGAGGGGCTCCTGCTTTTCTCATGCCGCCCCTCTTAAGAAACCAAAGAGAAACGAAGCCAGAAAGCCCTCTTGAGAGCAAAATACTAAGACTGCCGTGATATCTGTCCGGGATGTCCTGGAATCCATTGTTGGCCCCCTACACCACAGAATTGCTCTGTTTGATGTCGGGGAAGGCCTTTCCTGGGTGCCTCGGGAGACCATGTTTGTGTGAGATCTTGAAAAATTATACGTCCTATAAATATATAGGAAGATAACTTAGTAGGGTTAGGAATTCTAGTATAGAGAAAAGAGGGGTTCGCTGGTAGGGATCTATTCATGGGCATACAGAGCAGTAGCTGTCTATCGACAGACCTCAAAGACACAGTGAGCCTTTGAGTTTCTTCAAATCCCTTAAGAAATGGAGAACAGTAGTCTTTCTTCAGGGGGGTTCTGGAAATGAAAGAGCTGACTGTCTGCTCTGAGATGTGCTTATTAGTGGCCAGGATCCAGTTTAAGGTAAGGGGTAGACAACCCTGATTGAAAAGATCTCATTTCTTCTCCCGTTGCTGTACTCCTTTTTCTAACAAAATCTATAACTGGATAAGCATAATCCATCTTCCTTCTTGTTTACTTCCACAGCTTTACATGATAACCCTTAGACATAAAATTAATACCGGCTTTCTTACTGATTAAATATTTTTCTCTGGTCAGGCATCTTTTACTGTTTAATTTCTGGAAATGATTAAAATGTGTGAAGCTGATGTATCCAACTATAATGCCCATCGTTAGCTCCTGGGTACCTATGCAAAATATGCTGTAGAGAGCTGGGGCTAGAAGGATTATATTCCGTTTAGATTGTAGTAGGGCATTTGTTATTTGTTAGTGACCCCTTCTGGGTTGGAATGTTTATTTGAATTTATGAAATTTTACATGAAGAGTAGTTTTGGAACGGTTTGGTTTGTTGTGACTCTCCCAAAATACAGAGGTAAAAACTCATTTCAAAATAACCCATTTAATAAGGAAACACTCCTATGTCTCTGACAGCAGAATAGAGGGCCAGAGGGTACATAAAAGTAGAAATAGAAAATGGGGGCCGGGCGTGGTGGCTCACGCCTGTAATCCCAGCACTTTGGGAGGCCGAGACGGGCGGATCACGAGGTCAGGAGATCGAGACCATCCTGGCTAACATGGTGAAATCCCGTCTCTACTAAAAATACAAAAAAAAATTAGCCGGGCGTAGTGGCGGGCGCCTGTAGTCCCAGCTACTCGGGAGGCTGAGGCAGGAGAATGGCATGAACCTGGGAGGCAGAGCTTTCAGTGAGCCGAGATTGCGCCACTGCACTCCAACCTGGGCAACTGAGCGAGACTACGTCTCAAAAAAAAAAAAGAAAAAGAAAAGAAAATGGGGCTGGGCGCAGTGGCTCACGCCTGTAATCCCAGCACTTTGGGAGGCCAAGGTGGATGGATCACCTGAGGTCAGGAGTTCGAGACCAGCCTGACCAATATGGTGAAACCCCGTCTCTACTAAATATATAAAAACTAGCTGGGCGTGGTGGTGGGCACCTGTAATCCCAGCTACTCGGGAGGCTGAGGCAGGAGAATTGCTTGAACCCAGGAGACGGAGGTTGCAGTGAGCCGACATGGTGCCACTGCACTCCAGCCTCGGTGACAGTGAGACTCCGTCTCAAAAAGAAAAAAGAAATAGAAAATGGAGTTGGCAGACATCTGTGTCATGCAAAGTGTGTCACTAACACTATGTCAAACTCCATGTTAAAGCTTATTGAAGATTTTATTGAAACTTCCAAGTGAGCATTTATTTGGACTTGCACAGATTGTACATCAGCCTTTTCATTGATTCTCCCATTGTCATCGGTAAGCCGTATTTCATGGGAAATAGCAAGGCGAGAATACCCAAAATAAAGCTTGTGTAAAACACATCCAGTTCTGTGATACAAGTTCACCTGCCATCAGTAGTCTATCCCAGCTGATGTATGTAAAGCAAGTTGAAATGTGGTCTCACAATCAAGGCAGATAAGAAGTAACTCTGGGGAAACATGCTGAAGTTCTTTAGGTAACTCAAAAAAAGAACTTGGCCAGATGCGATGGCTCACACCTGTAATCCCAACACTTTGGGAGGCTGAGGCAGGTGGATCAACTGAGGTCAGGAGCTTGAGACCAGCCTGGCCCACATGGTGAAAACCTGTCTCTAGAAAAAATACAAACATTAGCTGGACATGGTGGCGGACACCTGTAGTCCCAGGTACTTGGTACTTGGGAGGCTAGGTGGGAGACTCACTTGAACCTGGGAGGCGGAGGCTGCGGTGAGCCCAGATTGTGCTGTTGCACTCCAGCCTGGGCAACAGAGTGAGACCTTGTGTCAGAAAAAAAAAAAAAAAGTTGATAGTATTCTGGTCAATTACTGCAAAAATACTATGATCGGCAATCTGAACTAAAGCTATTTACACAGAAGTCTTCATCTCAAAAAGAGACGCCCTTGTGGAGAGTTACTCATTCATTCAATTAATAATCATTGAGAGGCTGCTATTCTAGGAGTCAAGGATACAGCAGGGAGCAGCAGCAAATAACTGTTAGCCTGGCTGTGCCTTATTAAACTATGAACTCCTTAAGCCCAGGAGCTGCAACGAGTAGACACTGATTCTACATTTAATAAATGTGTTAGCAGAACCTGTCCTGGTTGAGATTAAGAGTAAAGGCTGCCCTAATAACCTTTTGGCTAGGAGATTAAGTGGTAACCCTAAAAGATCCTCTGGTCCAACATTACTTTGAGATTCTACTCTTTAGGTATTCTAGATATACTGGGTTTAATTAAGTGAAAAAAGCCAGGTGTTAATAGTATATATGGTATTCTATTGAATTTAGAAAGACAAGATTATTAGAATATATATGTATATTTACTTGTAGCTGGGAGGATATACAAGAAAACGGATTGCTTGTGTGGAAGCAAAGTAGGGGATAGCAAAGTAGATAAGGAAGGGGTTGGAGTGAGACTTCTCATGTGTACCTTGTTACAACAGATTTAATTTTGAACCATATGAACATTATTCAGAATCAATAATTTTTTTTTTTTTTTTTGAGATGGAGTTTCGTGCTTGTTGCCCAGGCTGGAGTGCAACATGGCACGATCTCAGCTCACTGCAACCTCCGCCTCCCGGGTTCAAGCGATTCTCCTGCCTCAGCCTCCCAAGTAGCTGGGATTACAGACATGTGCCACCATGCCCCGCTAATTTTGTATTTTTAGTAGAGATGGGGTTTTGTCATGTTGATCAGGCTGGTCTTGAACTCCTGACCTCAGGTGATTCAGCCTCCTCGGCCTCCCGAAGTGCTGGGATTACAGGCATGAGCCACCGTGCCTGGCCAGAATAAATAATTTTTAAAAATTTATTTCATATGGCTAAGAATACTATTTGAATACAGATTCAAATAGAATACTGTTCTATTTAATTGAATCATATAATTCAAAATTCTGTCCATTTTTACTATTTTACCAAAGTTCTATTTCTTTTAATTGTTTTTTAAAAGTCATGAGGGGCCTGGCACAGTGGCTCGTGCCTGTAATGCTAGCACTTTGTGAGGCTGAGGCAGGCAGATTGCATGAGCTCAGGAGTTCGAGACCAGCCTGGGCAACATGGCAAAACCCTGTCTCTACTAAAAATACAAAAATTAACCTGGTGTGGTGGCATGCACCTGTAGTCCCAGCTACTTGGCGGGCTGAGGCACGAGAATCAAACCCAGGAGGCGGAGGTTGTAATAAGTGCAGCTGAGATGGTGCCACTGCACTTCAGCCTGTGTGACAAAGTGAGATTCTGTCTCAAAAAAAATAAATACCGTGGTGGCTCATGCCTGTAATCCCAGCACTTTTGGAGGCTGAGGCGGGTGGATCACGAGGTCAAGAAATCCAGACCATCCTGACCAACATGGTGAAACCCCATCTCTACTAAAAATACAAAAATTAGCTGGGCATGGTAGTGTGTGCCTGTAGTCCCAGCTACTCGTTAGGCTGAGGCAGGAGAACTGCTTGAACCCAGGAGACGGAGGTTGCAGTGAGCCGAGGTCACATTGTACTCTAGCCTGGCGACAGAGCAAGACTCTGTCTCATTAAAAAAAAAAAAAAAAAGTCATGAGGGATCAGACTCCATGAGTTGATATCTATACCACTAAAGATCAATGCATAAGCCAGATTGGTAGTTTATTAACACAGGCTACAAACAATCCAGGATACCTACATGGATTAGTCAGCTCATTTTCTTCTAGTAGGGAAATCTATCCAGAGAACCAAACGAAAATTTAGAATATTGTTTAATACAGATTCAAACCAAAAAGAATTGGATAATCTTAATTATATGATTTGTCTTTTTTCATAATAGGGATATTCTTCTTGCCAGGCATTCAAATTAGGCCAGCCTTCCAGAGTGCGTTCTCTGATCCATACAGGAGTATACTAAAAAATTCTTAAACTCTCTGATTACCATTTTCCTTCTCTTTGGAATCTGTGAATGGGTTAGATTAGATGATGTCTGAGGTCTTGGCAAGGCAAAACCATTCTTTGCTTTTAAGAATCTGATCAGTTTGACAGTTCTCATTATAACGGATAAATGAGCATACTTATGTATAAATCAGTTCCTTGTCATTTTGATTAGTGTGAATCAGTTCACCTAATGCTTTTGAAAATCTATCAAAATCTGTGTAACCCACTTTTCTGCTGGCATTGGGAAGGAAAAAAATCTGTGTAACAGCTTTGGTAATTACAGAAATTACATTTTCTTTAACCACCTTATGGTTTCTGATTAAAGTTGAAATGGAGTTTAAGATTATTGCCTAGTACCTAAAAGTAAACTTTGAAAGCCAAAGTAGTGTGTAGGGCATATAATCTCATCAGAGGCCAATTCTGGACTGTGGAACTAATCTTATTCTATATCATCGTAATCTAAACCTGTTATAAACTCATCTTTGTACACTAGCATTTATTTAAGCAAGAATCGTACAAGTATGTTCATCCTGGAGCTTTCTCTCAGCAATCAAAGTTGTCCTAGTGTATTATAGACCTAAGGAAGGTTTTACTTTGATTCTTTACTTTCTAAATATTAGGTCATTATAATCTTTGTGGCTCCCCTTCAGTAATATCAGTTACTGTAATTATTTCCATATGTTTCATGCTAGTGCAGCTGAGAACAGGCTAGGTCATCCAATTGGAATGTTATTTTTTAAATCACTATTTCCATAATTCCTCAGAGCGAATGTAGGAAATCTTTCCAGATATCTGTCACCTTGACAGTTTTTATAAAGTATAATTAATGTACAATATTATTTCTTTAAATTTTCTGTTTTCAATACTAGAACAGTCTTACTGTTTTCCTTCTAGTACAATCATGTTT
Organism: Homo sapiens; assembly: GCF_000001405.40. Taxonomy (NCBI): domain Eukaryota; kingdom Metazoa; phylum Chordata; class Mammalia; order Primates; family Hominidae; genus Homo; species Homo sapiens. The sequence goes on along the minus strand of NC_000004.12, from coordinate 39,521,506 downwards.
GAAATTAAGAAGATCTGTTGCATCGGTGCAGGCTATGTTGGAGGACCCACATGTAGTGTCATTGCTCATATGTGTCCTGAAATCAGGGTAACGGTTGTTGATGTCAATGAATCAAGAATCAATGCGTGGAATTCTCCTACACTTCCTATTTATGAGGTAAACATATTAAACATCTCTTTGTTTTTATGCTTTTTTCTTACTGTCTTTATTATATCATTTATATGCACTATTAATATAAAAATCTATAACAGCAACTGGTAAGAAATTAAATGAAAAAAATCTGGATACAAAACACATGGACATTAAAACACATTACTTCGGGTAATGTGGGTAGGAAAAATGACCAGAAAGAAGTCTATCAGAATGGTGTATTAGTGCAGTGAGATTATGGATAATTTTTTCTCTTTCCTGTTTTCTTTTTTTTTTTTTTTTTTTTTGAGACGGAGTCTTCCTCTGTCGCCCAGGCTGGAGTGCAATGACGCGAGCTCAGCTCACGGCAACACCCACCTCACGGGTTCAAACAATTCTGCCTCAGCCTCTTGAGTAGCTGGGATTACAGGCGCCCACCACCACACCCAGCTAATTTTTGTATTTTAGTAGAGGTGGGGTTTCACCATGTTGGCCAGGCTGGTCTTGAGCTCCTGAACTCAGGTGATCTGCCCGCCCCGGCCTCCCAAAGTGCTGGGATTACAGGCGTGAGCCACTGCACCTGGCCTTCTTCCCTGTTTCCTAATTTTGTCTGTTAGTATCATTACCATATTATAATAAAATTAAAAAGTGGTATCCTGTAAAAATAAAATAAATACAACTTTTAATAATATTAATATAAATTTAATATATTTTTGGATTATTTTACTAACATCACATAAACATTAGATGGACAAATGGCATCTTTCATATTTAGAGTTTGGTGCCACAAATATTTTTAACTGGAATTTCAAAATTTTGTGAATTTAGAGAATTTAGAAAAATATGCTTCTAACTATTTTACTGAGCTATCTGGTTTCCTTTTTTTTTATTATTTCACTGTAAAATGAGTTCATCATATTATGCTTTTGAAACTCAACAGAAAAGCATTTGCAAATTTGATGGTAGCATTTTCTAGCTAACATTAATATGTTTATATTTTTCCCCAAGAAAAGCTTGGTTATTTTTTATTTGTTTTTTGAGACGGAGTTTCACTCTTGTTGCCCAAGCTGGAGTGCAATGGCCCGAACTTAGCTCACTGCAACACCTGCCTTCCGTGTTCAAGCGATTCTCTTGCCTCAATCTCGTTAGTAGCTGGAATTATAGGTGCCCACCACCACTCCCAGCTAATTTTTGTATTTTTAGTAGAGACGAGGTTTCGCCATGTTGGCCAGGGTGGTCTTGAACTCCTGACCTCAGGGGATCGCCCCTCCTCGGCCTCCCAAAGTGCTGGGATTACAGGTGTGAGCCACCATGCCCGGCTGAAGCTTATTTCTTTATGACTATTATCAACCATAGACTTTAGTTGCCTTAGACTTTTAGAAGGAAAGTCTCAATCCAGTTTTATCTCTAAGATAGGTCTGCCTGCTATCTATAGGAATATAAGATATGGAAATCTATGAAAAAGCATCTATAGACTAATAGTCACTCAAAAACACAGATTTACTTATTATATCTGAATCAGATTTAGGATTGAAATATTGGCGGCACGGTGGCTCACACCTGTAATCCTAGCACTTTGGAAGACCAAGGCAGGCGGATTACCTGAGGTCGGGAGTTTAAGACCAGCCTGGCCAACATGGTGAAAGCCCGTCTCTACTAAAAATACAAAAAATTAGCCGGGTGCAGTGGTGCGCACCTATAATCCCAGCTACTCGGGAGGCTGAGGCAGGAGAATCGCTTGTACCCAGGAGGCAGAGGTTGCAGTGAGCCGAGATCACGCCATTGTACTCCAGCCTGGGCTACAGAGCAAGACTTCGTCTCAAAATATATATATATATATTACTACTATATTTGGTTTAGGGTAATTTTTAAAAATGTTTTAGAAAGATAACTTGATGGTGAGTTCTATAATGCTGATATTGATAAAAGGGTTGCAAGTCATTTGAAACCCCATAAACCATACTTATATCCAAACATTCAGTAATGAATTCTGCCAGCAGTGTATTCTAGTCTTCACAAATAAGCCAGGCATGGTGGCATGGCCTTGTAGTTCTGGCTACTCAGGAGGCTGAGACAGAAGGATCATTTGAGCCAAGGGTTTCAAGTCCAGCCTGGGCAACATAGTGAGACTCCCATCTCCAAATTAAAAAAAAAAAAATACGGCCAGGCACAGTGGCTCACACCTGTAATCCCTGCACTTTGGGAAGCCGAGGTGAGCAGTTCACTTCAGGTCATGAGTTCGAAACCAGCCTGGCCAACATGGCAAAACCTCGTCTCTACTAAAAATACAAAAATTAGCCAGGTGTGGTGGCTCACGCCTGTAATCCCAGCTACTCAGGAGGCTGAGGCGAGAGAATTGCTTGAACCTGGGAGGCAGAGGTTGCAGTGAGCTGAGATCGCACCACTATACTCCAGCCTGGTTGACAGAATGAAACTCTGTCTCCAAATAAGTAAATAAATAAATTAGAATAATGACACCCATCAGAATGGTTAAAATGATATTACTGACAATACCAAGTGTTTAGCAATTAGAATTTTATGCACTGCTTGGTAAGAATATCAATTGGTACAGTCACTTGGCAGACGTGTTTGATAGTATCTACTAAAGCTGAAAATATAGGCCAGGCACAGTGGCTCATGCTTGTAATCCCAACAGTTTGGGAGGCCGGGCGAGAGGATTGCTTGAGCCCAGGAGTTCAAGCCCAGCCTGGGCAACATTGCAAGACCCCTGTTCCTTTTCTTTTTTTTTTTTTTTTTTAAAGGCCAACCGCGGTGGCTCACACCTGTAATCCCAGCACTTTTGGAGGCCGACTCCATCCTGGTCAATATAGTGAAACTTTGTCTCTAAAAAATATTTAAAAATTAACTGGGCATTGTGGCATGTGCTTGTGGTCCCAGCTACTTGAGGAGTTGAGGCAAGAGAATCACTTGAGCCCAGGAGGCTGAGGCTGCAGTGAGCCCTGTTGGCGCCACTGCACTCCAGCCTGGGCAACAAAGTGAGACCCTGTCTCTTGAAAAAATAAAAAAAAACTATTAGTCTGTGATCCAGCAATTCCAAGTGTATATCCAACAGAGATGCATACATATGTGCACTAAAAGACAGAAGGAACAACCTAAATATTAATCAGCAATAGAATGGATGCATGAGGCTGGGTGCGGTGGTTCACGCCTGTAATCCCAGCACTTTGGGAGGCTGAGGTGGGCGGATCACCTGAGGTCAGGGGTTCTAAACCAGCCTTGACAACGTGGTGAAATCCCATCTCTACTAAAATAATACAAAAATTAGCCAGGTGTAGTAGCACATGCCTATAGCCCCAGCTACTCGGGAGGCTGAGGCAGGAGAATCACTTGAACCTGGGTGGGGGAGGTTGCAGTGAGCCGAGTTTGCACCACTGCACTCCAGCGTTGGTAACAGAGTGAGACTCCGTCTTAAAAAACAAACAAACAAACAAAAAGAATGGCTACATGAATTATTTTATAATACTGCAACAAAATACTGTACTGTGTTGAAAATCAATGAAACTACTCCTGCACTTAAGAATATGGTTAAAATCTTACAAAAGTAGTGTTGCCAGACACAAAGGAGTACATACCGTATAATTCCATTTGCGTAAGTTTCAAAAATAGGCAAACTAATCTATGATTATAGAATTCAGCATGATGGTAATTTGGGAATAGTAGTGACTAGGAGAGGGCATACAGTGGGCTTTGACTTACTGTTAATGTTCTTTCTTCTCTCATTACATGAATTACTGAGAAAATAGTAGATTCTATTAATATTTAACAGTTAAAACACTTCCTTTTGTGTTGTCGTGTTTATTGAATAGACATTGCTTTTTAAACTTTGTTCTTTAAAAAATACAGTTTAGGCCGGGTGTGGTGGCTCACACCTGTAATCCCAGCACTTTGGGAGGCCAAGGTGGGTGGATCACCTGAGGTCAGAAGTTCGAGACCATCCTGGCCAACATGGTGAAACCCCGTCTGTATTTAAAAAAATACAAAAAAAAATTAGATGGGTGTAGTGGCTCGCGCCTGTAATCCCAGCTACTTGGGAGGCTGAGGCAGGAGAATCGCTTGAACCCAGGAGGTGGAGGTTGCAGTGAGCCGAGATCGCGCCACTGCACTCCAGCCTAGCAACAGAGTGAGACTCTGTCTCAAAAAAAAAAAAAAAAATTTAGTAGTAACTACTTTAAAAAAAAATGGATAATTTGCTTTGCTTTTTTTCTGGGTAAAATTTTTATTTTACTGAGGATAATTTTACCCTGTGAAAGGATTTGAGTTCTTCTAATAAAAGTACCATATAAATTCTAAATACCAATTATGATAATTACATAATGAACCTAATAACAGATAGAACCTATATTATTAACTGCTTCTGCATCAGTTTTGGCTTTAATATAATTATGTAAGTCTTCATTTTGAGGTTTTATTATATGTATATGAATTCTGCATTGCTCTGATTTTAGTAACTTTAAATATTAGGAGATTATACACAGGACTGAATTAAATTTTATTCTCTGCAAATCCTGACTCTATAAAACTTTTCCCTCATTTTCTAGAATCTAGCCAAAATAACCAAGGAAACCCATTACTGTGATTGGTGACATCATATTCATGGTTGTAGTGGTTCATATATCTTGCTTGTCCTGTTATTTTAATCAAACTAATGGAAATTCATATGTACATTTTTCACATCCTCCAATTACTTATGTTAAGAGACCTCGGAACCATTGGAGAAAAGGGAGTTGCCTCTATATGTAATGCCAGACCTATGGCCCCTGAAGGGCTTTCACTTTGCTATAGACATAGTTTTCTAAACATCCATAATATTATGGATGGATATTGTTTGAAGTTTCTCCCCTAAGAGTGAGCTTCAGTGGTTTAGGTATGTTTTCTTTTTGCTTTTTGTTGTGGAAGATTTCAAGCATGTAATTAAAGATAACAGTACAATGAATCTCCGTGTGCCCATCATCTTGTTTCAACAGTTATCTACGTGGCCAGTCCTCCTTCCCAACTACCACCATGCTGATTATTTATAATTTCATCCATAAATACTTTATCATGTATCTCTAAAAGATAATTTTGTTTTTCTTTGAGACAGGGCCTTGCTCTGTGGCCCAGGCTGGAGTGCAGTGGCCCGATCTTGGCTCACTGCAACCTCCGCCTCCTGGGCTCAGGTGATCCTCCCACCTCAGCCTCCTGAATAGTTGGGACTACAGGCAAGCGCCACCATGCCCAGCTATTTTTTAAAATTTTTTTAGTAGAAATGGGGTTTCGCCATGTTGCCCAGGCTGGTAGCCCACAATAGTTGTGCTTCAACCAGTATCTATTGGTTGAAGAAACCAGTTTGTTTATTGGCTAGAAATTATCACAGTCTAGGCCAGGCACAGTGGCTCATGCCTGTAATCCCAGCACTTTCGGAGGCTGAGGCGGGTGGATCGCTTAAGGCCAGGAGTTCGAGACCAGCCTGGCCAACATGGAAAAACCCCGTCTCTACCAAAAATACAAAAATTAGCCAGGTATGGTGGTGTGCGCCTGTAATCCCAGCTGCTTGGGAGTTTGCGGCACGAGAATCACTTGAACCTGGTAGGTGGATGTTGCAGTGAGACGAGATGGTGCCACTGCACTCCAGCCAGGGTGACAGAGCAAGACTGTCTCAAAAAAAAGAAATTTTTCAGTCTAGATTTTGCTGGTTCAGTTCCTTGGAGTTTTTCAACTTATTCTTTATTTAATGTAAATTGGTAGTTAGATCTAAAGGTACAGGTCCAATCAGATTTAGGCTTGATTTTTTTTTTATAAGAATATTTGTTAAGTGGTTTTATACCCCTCCATATTCTTAACATAAATATATCTCCTGTTAAACTGGGATTTTTTTTTTAAATAAAAGGGTTCCTTGCAATAGGACTTAGAAAAATTTATATTTATTTAAGCATATAGAAAAATTTATATTTATTTAAGCATATATGGAGTAAATTGACTTTCACAGCCAGTTCTATGGCCTGAATTATTGGGAGTAAAAATGTGCATTCATAATGACAATGCAAAATCATATATTTGCTTGAAATCACAGAAGACCTTGAATTTTCTGAAAATTGTGTTGATACTCATAGTTAATGGTTAACTCTTATGAGTTAGTCACATGGTAAACAATGACAAAGCATTAAATGAGCTGCTCTTCTGATTGTAGCAAGTTTAATGGCAATTTCCATTTTACTTTATTTACTTAAGTGTACTTATGAGGCAGGGCGTGGTAACTTACTCCTATAATCCCAGCACTTTAGGAGGAGGAGCAGGGAGGATTGCCTGAGCCTGGGAGGTCAAGGTTGTAGTGAGCTGTTACGCAACTGCACTCCAGCCTGGGGAACAGAGCGAAACCCTGTATGAAAAAATAAAATAGGCCAGGTGTGGTGGCTTGTGCGTGTAATCCCAGAACTTTGGGAGGCCAAGGCAGGTGGATTACCTGAGGTCAGGAGTTCAAGACCATCCTAGCCAACATGGTGAAACCCCATCTCTACTAAAAATACAAAATTAGCCCAGTGTGGTGGTGCATGCCTGTAATCCCAGCTACTTGGGAGGCTGAGGCAGGAGAACTGCTTGAACCCAGGAGACGGAAGTCGCAGTGAGCCGAGATCATACCACTGCACTCCAGCCTGGGTGACAGAAAGAGGCTCTGTCTCAAAAAAAAATAAAATAAAATAAAATAAATGGGCTGGGCATGGTGGCTCACTCCTATAATCCCAGCACTTTGGGAAGCTGAGATGGGAGGATTGTTTGAGCCCAGGAATGTGAGACCAGCCTGGACAACCCAGTGAAACCCCAAAACCCCATCTCTGCCAAAAAAAGATACAAAAATTAGCCAGGCCTCATGGCTCCTGTGGTCCTAGCTACTTGGGAGGCTGAGATGGGAGGATCATTTGAGCCCAGGAGGCGGAGGCTGCAGTGAGCTGAGATTGCACCACTGCACTCCAGCCTGGGTGACAGAGTGAGACCCTGTCCCTATTTAAAAAATGAGATGTGCACTTATGGCCTTTGGTATATGATCCTTAACTTGTCTACAAAGGTAATTTGAGCACAACCTAGACCTTTAAATTACAATATTACCATGCCCTTTAACAAATGTAATTCTATACTATTAGGTTATCTCATATCACTGGCAAGCTATATGTACAATTCCTTTTCTTTTTTCTTTTTAGCCAGGACTAAAAGAAGTGGTAGAATCCTGTCGAGGAAAAAATCTTTTTTTTTCTACCAATATTGATGATGCCATCAAAGAAGCTGATCTTGTATTTATTTCTGTAAGTATTTTCCTTTGTTGTGTGAATTTTAATGTATTCTTGTCTATATAAAAGTTTCATCATACTTTAATAGTAAATCCATTGGTATTAAGCCTCAACATTGCTTAGTATAGAGTTGTCCGGTGAATTTTGGTTGTCACTTTGTCTGACAGTTCACAAAACCCCGTAATCATCTAGTCAAATATGTCATTACAAGTCATTGAACAAGTAAACTCAAAGTTCTAATTTGAGATTTAGAACTAGGAAATGGGCGGGTGCGGTGGCTCACGCCTGTAATCCCAGCATTGTGGGAGGCCAAGGTGGGCAGATCACAAGGTCAAGAGATTGAGACCATCCTGGCCAACATGGTGAAACCCCGTCTCTACTAAGAATACAAAAATTAGCTGGGCGTGGTGGTGTGCACCCGCAGTCCCAGCTACTCAAGAGGCTGAGGCAGGAGAATCGCTTGAACCAAGGAGGCAGAGGTTGCAGTGAGCCGAGATCGCGCCACTGCACTCCAGCCTGGTGATAGAGTGAGACTCTGTCTCAAAAAAAAAAAAAAAAAAAAAAAAGAACTAGGAAATGCTGGTAACATGAGAGCACATGTGATGATAGTATATTTCATATTTATTTCATTATTTCTTGTTTCCAGTGGTTGGCAGAGGTGAGATGAAGAAAATCAGTTTGCAAACTTACAGGCATCTCCTCTCTAAATGAATTTTACATTAATTGTTTGTAACTTGGCATATGTTGGTTAGATTATCAGGCTAACCAACAGACACCTTTACCTCATAATGTGGCTGAACTGTCCTACCTTTATAATGAAAAAAACAGAACCAACACTTGAGATTAAACTCTAGTAAACCACTATTTGAACCAAAGCAACTTACATCTTGCTGTCCTAGTAACCATCTACTCAAATATTCTGTATGTAATGATATAGCTATCACCAGTTGGAAGCTGAGTGAGGGTGTTATATGACTTAAGATCTTTACGAGCTGGGCATGATGGCTCATGCTTGTAATCCCAGCACTTTGGGAGGCCAAGGCAGGCGGATCGCTTGAGCATAGGAATTTGAGACCAGCGTGGGCAACATGGTGAAACCCTGTCTCTACTTAGCTGGCCGTGGTGCTGTATGTCTGTAGTCCTGACTACTTGGGAGACTGAGGTGGGAGGATTGATTGAACCCTGGAGGTTGAGGCTGCAATGAGCCATTATTGTACCTTGCACTCCAGCCTAGGTGACAGAAGGAGACCCTGTCTCAAAAAAAAAAAAAAAAAAAAATTCAGTCTCTTCTTTTTGACCTCCTTAATCACTTCAGAGAAATTGATGCAGCTTTTATGACTTACCTACCCATCCCCTATTTAAACTTGCAGAAAGTTAGAGTGGAGGCATAAAAAAATAAGAAAATATTTTGGAGTAGCTAGGTACCTGGAAAAAATCAATGAGTTACTTAGTCTAATTTTTAGGTGACCAGAGCCTAGAATGGTAATAGAATAATTTTCTGCAGAAAGGACATTTAAAAATAATCTGTTTTTGAATGCCAGACAGGAATTATTTTGTAGCAATCAGTTTTCAACTGTTGTTTTCAAAGCTCCTTTACCAGGGGAAGCTGTCTGATCATCTCCCATCTCTAGCCAGTTTCACCCTACATCATGAGCTGTCTTTGCCTTTCCGTACACCATTACATGTAACTCTTGCCCTAAGTTGTTCCATGCATGTAAACAACTTTTTCCTCCTGCTTTTCACACCTCAACTCAATCTTCAAGTTTTGATTTATTTTCACTTGATTCCTTTATTTAGTCTCCCATTGGGTTATAATCTCATCAAGAGAAGAGAGTTAGTACTACTTACTATTAGTTCAAAAATAATTCCTATTCCCTTTAAGTTTTAGACTTTTCAGAGCACTTTCATTTTTGTCAGAGCATTATAACATTCATGTGTTAGTTTTTAGAGAGCTCACTATCCTCATTTTCCAATGAGGTCACTGAGGCAGAGGCAGCCACACTTCTCCAAGGTTACATGTAATCCAAAACTAAATGCCTAGACTCTGGGCCCATGATTTTTTTTTTTTTTTTCTAAATGAAAGTCTTCGCCCATTGGCCAGGTGCAGTGGCTCATGCCTGTAATCCTAGTACTTTGGGAGGCTGAGGCAGGCAGATCACTTGAGGTCAGGAGTTTGAGACCACCCTGGCCAACATGGTGAAACCCCGTCTAAAAATACAAAAATTAGGCGGGTGTGGTGGCGCACTTGTAATCCCAGCTACTCAGGAGGCTGAGGCAGGAGAATCGCTTGAACCCAGGAAGCAGAGATTGCAGTGATCCGAGATCGCGCCACTGCACTCCAGCCTGGGTGACAGAGCAAGGCTCCATCTTAAAAAAAAAAAAAAAAAGCAAGTCTTTGTCCACATAGTATTCTATATCCTGAAGATGATAGGTAATGTCTAGCTTTAATGAACTCAGAAAGCATTTGTAAATGATATTGCAATATTTTAAAAGACTGTTGATATAGGACTGTAAAAATAGGGGAATAAGAAAGGAGGCCAGGTGCGGTGGCTCACGCCTGTAATCCCAGCACTTTGGGATGCTGAGGTGGACAGATCACCTGAGGTCAGGAGTTCGAGACCAGCCTGGACAACATGATGAAACCCTGTCTCTACTAAAAATATAAAAAAAGTGGTGGGGTGTGGTGGCGCATGCCTGTAGTCCCAGTTACTTGGGAGGCTGAGGCAGGAGAATCGCTTGAACCTGGGAGGCAGAGGTTGCAGTGAGCCGAGATTACACTACTGCACTCTAGCCTGGGCAAAGAACAAGACTCCATCTCAAAAAAAAAAAAAAGACTTTAAAACTTATTTTTAAGGACTATAATAATATATTATGTACAATAAAGAAAGGGAATAAGAAAAGGCTTACATTTCATTTCAGATTGTGAAGTCCTTTAGGATAACCGTCTCATTCATTTATGTATCTTCAGGGCTTAGCTGGAATCTGCCTGCCCTAGTTATCCGGCATATAGATAGTAGCTTCCTAACAAAAATTTATTGAATGAGTTCTCTAGATGCTTCAAGCTATTTCTTCTGATTATTATATTTATAAAATGTATTATTTCTATGGAACTAACAGAGGATTAAATCAGGGCTACTGATGATTGTTAACTCCACACTTTAACCAGTAGTTCAGGGTATATCTTGAAATCCCTATCTCACAGGCACTCTGTTCTTTATCCCATATACTTACATCAGGTGAATACTCCAACAAAAACCTATGGAATGGGGAAAGGCCGGGCAGCAGATCTGAAGTATATTGAAGCTTGTGCTAGACGCATTGTGCAAAACTCAAATGGGTACAAAATTGTGACTGAGAAAAGCACAGTTCCAGTGCGGGCAGCAGAAAGTATCCGTCGCATATTTGATGCAAACACAAAACCCAACTTGAATTTACAGGTATAAAAAATGAAGCATTAGAATCTGGTTATTCTTATGTAAATACTGATGTGTTAAAGTTGCCCATAATTAATTCTAGCTTAAAACTTTCCTTTGCATTGGGATTCTAGGTGCTGTCCAACCCTGAGTTTCTGGCAGAGGGAACAGCCATCAAGGACCTAAAGAACCCAGACAGAGTACTGATTGGAGGGGATGAAACTCCAGAGGGCCAGAGAGCTGTGCAGGCCCTGTGTGCTGTATATGAGCACTGGGTTCCCAGAGAAAAGATCCTCACCACTAATACTTGGTCTTCAGAGCTTTCCAAACTGGTTAGTATATAGCATTCAACTCTTCATTAAATTAAAGCCAAATATTTATTTATTTCAAGCCTGATAAACTACACAGATACTTTTTTAATAGTAGTAAGAGGTTATGCTTTTGAAGATCATATTCTTGCACATTCAAATTATGAAATAATTTTCACAAGGGAGATCATATATGAGGGTATAAAAGATTCTGAAAAATTCTGAAATCTTAAAATAGTAATTTGGTTTTTATCACTCTTTCCCTCTTTACCCTTTTTCTTAATCATCTGTCCTCTCTAATTTAAAACATTTTCCCTTTCTAACCCATCCATTGTCTCCTCAAATTGAGCTCATCAGTATCTTATATATCTCCCTCAGTAATTTGCGTCAACGCAATGAAATATAAACTAGATGTATAAAATTGCTGTTTTAGCTTATCTTACTCTTCTCTATGTTTTTTTTTTTTAAGGCAGCAAATGCTTTTCTTGCCCAGAGAATAAGCAGCATTAACTCCATAAGTGCTCTGTGTGAAGCAACAGGAGCTGATGTAGAAGAGGTAGCAACAGCGATTGGAATGGACCAGAGAATTGGAAACAAGTTTCTAAAAGCCAGTGTTGGTAAATTCAAATTTTTCTCTAGTAGAAAGAGCTAGTGTTTATTTACTGAAGGCATATTATTTGCTGGTACCAGCGCTTTATATATCTCATTGAATCCTTATAACCTGTTAGGTAGATGCTGTTATTTTCTTTTTTAGAGATGATTCAGACTCAGGGAAATTTGTGCAACTTGCTCAAAGTCATGCAGCTGAGTGACTAGATGTTTCTAACGCCAAAGCCATATTATTCCTTACTGCATACTGCATTGCACTAGAGCAAGGGTGGGCAAACTATGGCCTTTGGGTCAAATCCAGCCCACAACTTGTTTTTGTAAATAAATTTTATTGGAACACAGCCATGACCATTAGACTACATATTGTCTATGGCTGCTTTTGAGCTACAGTGGCAGTTTAATAGTCTCCTCAGAAACTGAATGGTCCACAAAGGCTGAAATACTTACTGTCTGGCCCTTTACCATGAAAGTTTGCTGACCCAGGCCAGGCACAGTAGCTCATGCCTATAATCCCAGCACTTTGGGAGTCTGAGGCCAAGGCGGGCAAATTGCTTGAGCCTAGGAGTTTGAGACCAGCCTGGGCAGCATGGTGAAGCCCCAGCTCTGCAAAAAAAAAAGACAAAAAATTAGTCAGGCATGATGGTGCACACCTGTAGCTCCAGCTACCTGGGAGGCTAAGGTAGGAGGATCACCTGAGCCCAGGAGGTCAAGGCTGCAGTGAGCCATGTTCATACCCCTACACTTCAGCCTGGGCGACAGAGGGAGACTCTGTCTCAAAAAGAGAAAAAGTTTGCTGACCCTGTGCTAAAGAATGTGGGGCAGTCATACTAGATGAATGAGAAAAAAAAGGAGATAAAAGGAAACAATATAAAAAGTTAAACGTAGCCATAATGAAATTTTAGTTAGAAAATTATTTGGAAGTTACTTGTGGAGTTGTTTAGTTGCCTGCAAATTTTACATAATTTATAAGCCCATTATTTATCCATCTGAATTTTATTATTAAAAAATCTTAGTATAAGCTTTCTGATTTAGTATAAAGAAATTTGTCACATGATTGAGTTTTCTCGTTCTTACATGAAAATATTGTTCATTTTTTTCTTTCTGCAGGGTTTGGTGGGAGCTGTTTCCAAAAGGATGTTCTGAATTTGGTTTATCTCTGTGAGGCTCTGAATTTGCCAGAAGTAGCTCGTTATTGGCAGCAGGTATTAATCTCTATAGGTAATAATTTCTGTTTAGCCAGGCATAGTGGTTCACACCTGTAATCGCAGCACTTTAGGAAGCCAAGGCAAGAGCATCACTTGAGGCCAGGAATTTGGGACTGGCCTGGGCAACATAGTGAGACCCCATCTCTACAAAAATTTTAAAAATTAGCCAGGCATGGTGTTGCACACCTGTAGTCCTAGCTACTTGGGAGGCTGAGGTGGGAGGATCACTTGAGCCTAGGAGTTGGAGGCTCCAGTGACTGACTTATGATCGCTCCACTGCACTGTAGCCTGGACAACAGAGTGAGACCCTGTCTCTGACATAATAATAGTAACAGCAATAATAATAGCAGTTTCTGTTTAGCTTCTCATTAAGCATGTCACTTTTTGTCCATGAAATGTTTTTGATGGAATTTATTTATTCCAGGAAGTCAAAAATTAGTATATTCAATTTGCTTATTTTATGTTTATTTATTGGGTATCTGTGTTTTTAATTTATCTTTCCTGCTAATCAATGTTGATGGAAGTTTGTGATAAGCCAGTATTCTAATTTGCTCCCAGAGTAAAACAAAAACAATTATCCTTAATTATAACTCTTCTCTCTTTTTTTTTTTTTTTTTTTTGAGACAAGATCTCACTTTGTCACCCAGGCTAGAATGCAGTGGTGCCATCGCTGCTCACTGCAGTGACCTCCTGTGCTCAAGCAATCCTCCCACTTCAACCTCAACTTCAGGAACGCACCACCACATTGGCTAATTTTTTTATTTAAAAAATTTTGTTTGTAGAGACAAGGTCTCACTATATTGCCCAGGCTGGTCTGAAACTCCTGGGCTCAGCAGTCCTCCCATCTTTGCCTCCCAAAGTGCTGGGAATATAAGTGTTAGCCAGTGAACCTAGCCTAATTCTTCTCTATCTTGAAAGGCATAAAATCAAAATAAAATAAGAACCTATATTATAACGTTGGTCGGGCATGGTGGTTCACACCTGTAATCCCTGTACTTCGGGAGCCTGAGGTGGACAGATCACTTGAGGGTTGGGAGTTCGAGACTGGCCTGGCGAGGCTGAGGCATGAGAATTGCTTGAACCCAGGAGGCGGAGGTTGTAGTGAGCCAGGATTGTGTCACTGCACTCCAGCCTAGATGACAGAGCGAGACTTCGTCTCCAAAAAACAGAACCTATATTGTCATGCTTTCAAGTGGTTTTGTATCTGCTGATATTTGTTTTGGACCTTTCAGACTCACAGAGCTAAAATTAGAAACCCCTTCCAAATTGGAAGCATTAAGTGAGCTCTGGGAAGTAGAGTTGATGTTTATTGAATGCTTACCCTGTACTGGGTACTCTTTTGGGCACTTTGCATACAGTATCTCATTTAATCCTCATCACTAACATTATCCTCTTTATTTGATGAGGGAACTGACATGGAGATATTAAGTAATTTGCCCCAATTACTAGTCGGTATATGTGCCTTTCCCAAATATTTTCCCCGAGTTTATAATTTTTCAGGTTTCAGCAGTAGATATGGGAGGGAATCTAAAGAAATGCACGTTTCTTTTTTTAAAATGTTTTACTTTTTAGAGACAGGGTCTCACTGTGTTGTCCAGCCTAGATTCCAACTCTTGGGCTCAAGTGATCCTTCCACCTGAGCCTCCTGAGTAGCTGGGACTACAGGTGCACCACCCTGCCTAGCCGGAAATGCACATTTTAAAGTGAAAACAGATACAATTAGTGTCATTCCAGTCAATCCATCATGATGGCTTTATCTCACTGTTCATTGTGTGAAAAATGCAGATAAACTCTTGATTTTCCAACACTTTGGGCTAATTGCTTAAGCTCTCAGGGTTTGATTGAGATGGTCCCTGAAAGCTTAAAGCCTTAAAAAAGTTTCTTTTGCTTCGCCCACCCGGTTACCAACCTAAATTTAACAGATTAAGTGATCAGAGACTCTTATAACATTTAGTTAGTTAAAAAACCTTGTCAAATAGTTGTGGTGTTATGGTTCATCCAGAGGCAGCTAGAACTCTGCACATTGTTTGTTGCCTGTCCACTTTCCACTGAAACTGAATTTTTGTGAATAGTGGGGCACAAGCAAATGAAGGAATACTTTGGGGTTTCATTGCTTGTAGCTTGTTTCCACAGAATTTGGAGACACGGACTAAGGATAGTATGGTTTCCTATGTGCCTTATTTAGGTTGGTCTCATAGCTGAACCTCAAATGCGCTTAGAATTAAAACTTGGTTGTGCGCTCCACTTTTGGCATCCATCCTAGCCTTATGCATAGAAAATCAAGCCAAATGAAATTAGAAATTTTTAGAATGGCTTTTTTTTTTTTTTTAAATTTACGGCAGGGTCTGGCTCTGTCGCCCAGGCTGGAGTGCAGTGGCATGATCTCGGCTCACTGCCACCTCTGCCTCCTGTGCTCAAGCCATCCCACCTCAGCCTCCCAAGTAGCTGGGACTACAGGCACATGCCACCTTGCCTGGCTAATTTTTGTATTTTTTGTAGAGACAGGGTCTCGCCGTGGTGCCCAGGCTGGTCTTGAACTCCTGAGCTCAAGCAATCGCCCACCTCGGCCTCCCAAAGTGCTGGGATTACAGGTATGAGCTACCACTGCTGGCCTAGGATGGCTTTAAGGAAGGGGATGAGTGATTTTTTTTTTTTTTTAATCCATAGGCACTAGAGTTTGGTTAATTTTTGCCTCTTGTTAATATGTAAGCATTGTATTTGTACAATAGCACTCACCATAAAATTCTGAGTAATGTGTGTCATAGGCTGTGCCTCTTTTAACTAATCATTGCACAATTGTACATGTAATTTCAGGTCATAGACATGAATGACTACCAGAGGAGGAGGTTTGCTTCCCGGATCATAGATAGTCTGTTTAATACAGTAACTGATAAGAAGATAGCTATTTTGGGATTTGCATTCAAAAAGGACACTGGTGATACAAGGTATCAGTTTTTAAAAATATTTCAACCCTTTTGAGATTGTGTTAACTCCTCATCTTAATTTTTTGATTGGGGTAGGTGTACATAAAATACATGTATATATATAAAATATAAAGAATAAAAATAAATATCCATATCTTCACCACTCTACCAGCTTCAGAAATATAATTTTACCTGTATCTTAAACTCCCTGGTATTAGAATATAATGCCACATAAAGCTTACCAATACTGATTTTTTTTTTCCTATAGAGAATCTTCTAGTATATATATTAGCAAATATTTGATGGATGAAGGTGCACATCTACATATATATGATCCAAAAGTACCTAGGGAACAAATAGTTGTGGATCTTTCTCATCCAGGTGTTTCAGAGGATGACCAAGGTAAGGCTTTGAGTCTCATGAATCATTTTGAGTCCAGACCTGAAAACTTTTTATCTTTTGGAAACCTTAGGTTGTTCAGTTTTATCATGTATATCATTGGTAGGCCCTCTTTTCAACCTCATTTCTCTGAAATTAAAGTCTTAGGCATAATGTCATCAACATTGATTTGAAGTGATCAGCTGTGGATTGGTCCATTGATTTTTCCAACATACTCCACAAATCCCCAAAATTCCAAAGAGATGCTTCCAAAGCAGGGTTTGGGGCCTCCCACCATCACTCCCATTGATACTGCAATCAGATTATTCCCAACTCTTCCTGCAGTCCTAGTGTTAGAATACCTATAGTACTATCCCCTTATGTGTGGTTTTGCTTTCCACGGGTTCAGTTATCTGCGGTCACTTGCAGTCTGAAAGTACTAGAAGGAAAATTCCAGAAATAAACAATTCATAAGTTTTAAATTGTGTGCTGCTTCATCCTGCCTGGGACATTTATCATTCCTTTGTCCAGCATATCCACATTCCATATGCTACTTAGTCACTTAGTAACTTTTGGCAATCAGATTCAAAAAACAGGTATGTGTGTAAGTATATATAGGGTTCAGTACTCTCCACAGTTTCAGACATCTACTGGGGGTCTTGGAATGTATCCCTGCAGATAAGGGGGGAACTACTGTAATGTCATATAACTCCTTTCTTATTTCTGTTTTTTTGTTGTTGCTATTGTTACAGTGTCCCGGCTCGTGACCATTTCCAAGGATCCATATGAAGCATGTGATGGTGCCCATGCTGTTGTTATTTGCACTGAGTGGGACATGTTTAAGGTAAGGTAACAGAAAAGATACTAAGGAAAATTCTAGAGGTGTTCCACTATCAGCTGGGGTTGAGTATGTGTTCATGTATGTGTTTTTTTGTTTTTTTGTTTTTTTTTTTGAGATGGAGTCTCGCTCTGTCGCCCTGGCTGGAGTGCAGTGGCGCAATCTCGGCTCACTGCAAGCTCTGCCTCCTGGGTTCACGCCATTCTCCTGCCTCAGCTTCCTGAGTAGCTGGGACTACAAGCTCCTGCCACCACGCCCAACTAATTTTTTGTATTTTTAGTAGAGACGGGGTTTCACCATGTTGGCCAGGATGGTCTCGATCTCCTGACCTCGTGATCCACCCATCTTGGCCTCCCAAAGTGCTGGGATTACAGGCATGAGCCACTCCGCCCGGCCCACGTATGTGTTTTAATTGTTCCTGTGGTTTGTCTTTACAGGAATTGGATTATGAACGCATTCATAAAAAAATGCTAAAGCCAGCCTTTATCTTCGATGGACGGCGTGTCCTGGATGGGCTCC
Organism: Homo sapiens; assembly: GCF_000001405.40. Taxonomy (NCBI): domain Eukaryota; kingdom Metazoa; phylum Chordata; class Mammalia; order Primates; family Hominidae; genus Homo; species Homo sapiens. Next base: position 39,503,903 of record NC_000004.12, on the reverse strand, counting down.
ACAATGAACTACAAACCATTGGCTTCCAGGTAATCATGATCCTGGATTGTTTTTTTTCTTTTTGTTTGGTCTTTAGTGTTTGATTCAACAACTGGGGACTATAATCTAGTCAAGTTGACATCAAAAGACCATCACAGCAGGTCAGAATATGTTTGGCTAATTAAGATGATACCTTCTTTCTAGGGAAGTTCTTTTGGGGAACCAAATCAATATCAGAAGTTTATTTCAACAATTAGGAAAGTGCTCATTTGCTTTTTAAACCCATTGTGTGGGTTTTAGAATTTTCTTATTTTCTTTAGCAGTAACGTAACTCTGGGGCAACATGTCAGTTCTTTAGGAAGTCCCTATGGGATTTTTCTGACTACTCTACTTCTCTACTTCCTCCCTAAATTTGCGATCTAAAGGTAGAGAAAGAAAGAGGTCTTGGTCAATCAGCAGGTGTTCATCCTATACCTTCTGAGTACTCAGCACTGTGCCAGTGCTGTGAGGGGTCTGAATGAAACATATGGGAGTTTCAATGGTACTGGCCCTCTTCTGATTCAAAGTTTGTCAACTGGCCAGGCATAGTGGTTCACACCTGTAATCCCAGCACTTTGGGAGGCTGTGGAGGTAGACCACTTAAGGCCAGGAGTTCGAGACCAGCCTAGCCAACATGGTGAAACCCCGTGTCTATTAACAAATACAAAAATTGCTGGGCGCGGTGGCTCACGCCTATAATCCCAGCACTTTGGGAGGCTGAGGCGGGCGGATCACAAGGTCAGGAGTTCGAGACCAGCCTGGACAATACTGTAAAACCCCATCTCTACTAAAAATACAAAAATTAGCTGGGTGTGGTGGCACACACCTGTAATCCCAGCTACTTTGGAGGCTGAGGCAGGAGAATCGCTTAAACCTGGGAGGCGGAGGTTGCAGTGAGCCAAGATCACACCACTGCACTCCAGCCTGGGTGACAGAGCAAGACTCCGTTTTGGGAAAAAAAAATAATAAAAATTAGTCAGGCTTGGTGGCCTGTGCCTGTAATCCCAGCCACATGGGAGGCTGACGTGGGAGGATTGCTTGAGCCCAGCAGGCAGAGGTTGTAATGAGCTGAGATCATGCCATTGCATGCCAGCCTGGGTGACAGAGCAAGACCCTGCCTCAAAAAACAAAAAACAGTTTGTCAATTATGGAACATTTGGAAAGCTGACAGAAGCCTCCACCCAGAACAGTGTTTTTGTAGGTTACATCTATTTCAGTTCTCCAAGGAGTCCCAAAGGTATTAATAAGGAGCTATTTTCCATTTCCTCAGAGCAGTATGTATATGGGGATAGGAGGATGGGGAGGTGGAGTAAGTTAGGGAGAATAAAAAAATATGCCAGGGGGTTGTTGTCAATGTAGTGCCCAAGCAAGCAGAAAAGCAGCAGTGTTTGACAGCTTGCTATGCACATCTCAGCACCAGCTATCTTGGAGAGGTATCAGTAAGGCCTAATCTGCTATTCAAAAATATCTGATCTGGTTCTCTTAACCTCTCACCAACTTGTTGAAGGTCCTTATTTAGAATTCAGTGCCCATTTCTCATTCATGAGAGATTTACTTGTGGAAAGAATCAAATGGCATCCTTGTCTGTGAACTCTTCCATCCAAGACCTTGGGGACTCTTCTATTCCACCCCTCCCTAGTGAGTAACAACATGACTGTTTTTCCCAGTCATGACTAAACTCAGGAATGTTATTTTTAAAAGGTTATTTGCAAGGCATAGACACATTTTCTCTCATTCCTGTTTTACTCATCTAAGGGAAAAGATATGTAGAGAAATACATATTTTAAATGATTTTAAGTTATTGTAAAAGTTAACTTTCCTAGTGAGAAATTAAAAAAAAACAGGAATGGAATCACTAAATAAGGAGAATTTGTAAGTCACTGAGACAACTGGTTAATATAAAGCAGAAGCCCTTTCTTTGTGGTACGAGTCAGAATTAAATATTAGTTTTTAATTCAAAAGACATGAAAAGTGAGTAGTATGTTTATCTCTGCTGTGGAGGGGAGATAAATTCATGACTGTTGAAGTAGTAGTGTTTTTAATGATAAGATGATGATTTTGAATATATGGAATAAATGAAAAATGTAATAGGCAAAACCAAAATTGATTATCATTTAGTGAAGGCTGGCTTGCTGTATGCTAAGCACTTTACCTAATTTAATACTTACCACGACCCTTTGAGTTAAGTGGTGGTAACACAATTTACAAGTGAGGAAGAAAGACCTAGAGAGTTTAGGTAATGCAGCAAGTGCCAGTCAGGATTCCAGCTGGGGCCTTTCAGACTCTGAAGTCTGAATTCTTAAGAATTATGCTGGCCGGGTGCGGTGGCTCACGCCTGTAATCCCAGCACTTTGGGAGGCCGAGGCGGGCGGATCATGAGGTCAGGAGATCGAGACCATCCTGGCTAACACGGTGAAAACCCATCTCTACTAAAAATACAAAAAAATTGCCGGGCGTGGTGGCAGGCACCTGTGGTCCCAGCTGCTCGGGAGGCTGAGGCAGGAGAATGGTGTGAACCGGGAGGCAGAGCTTGCAGTGAGCCGAGATCACGCCACTGCACTCCAGCCTGGGCAACAGAGCGAGACTCCATCTCAAAAAAAAAAAAAAAATTTATGCTGTTGGCAGGGCACAGTGGCTCACGCCTGTAATACCAGCACTTTGGGAGGCCAAGGCGGATGGATCACGAAGTCAGGAGTTCGAGACCAGCTTGGCCAACATAGTGAAACCCCGTCTCTACTAAAAATACAAAAACATTAGCCTGGTGTGGTGGCGGGCGCTTGTAATCCTAGCTACTTGGGAGGCTGAGGCGAGGAGAATCGCTTGAACCTGCGAGGCAGAGGTTGCAGTGAGCCAAGATCGTGCCACTGCACTGCAGCCCAGGCAACAGGGCAAGACTCCATCTCAAAAAAAAAAAAAGCATTATGCTGTTACCATTCGGGCACAGTGGCTCACGCCGGTAATCCCAGCACTCTGGGAGGCCGAGGCAGGCAGATCACTTGAGGTCAGGAGTTCGAGACCAGCCTGGCCAGCATGTAAAACCTCATCTCTACTAAAAATACAAAAATTAGCCAGGTGTGGTGGTGCACGTCTGTAATCCCAGCTACTCAGAAGGCAGACAGGAGAATTGCTTGAACCTAGGAGACGGAGGTTGCAGTGAGCCAAGATCAGGCCACTGCACTCCAGCCTAGGCGATAGAGCAAGACTCCATCTCAAGAAAAAAAAAAAAAAAAAAGAGAATTATGCTGTTAGCTTTTGCAGGTTTTTTAGTACAAGGGAAATTGAAATGAGAATGGAGTTTGAAATAAAATATGAACTCACTGGAAACTGGTAGGTTAATTTCATACATGTTTCTAAAGACAGTGGTGGCACATAATTGACTACTTTGAGGGAGTCAGGTGTGGGGAATGGCAGGAGTGAGAAAGTCTAGATATGAATATTACGATGGAGTACAGATTAATTCTAGGAACAAAAAATAGGGAAGAAACCAAAGATCTCTCATAGCAACTCAGACAACTTGAGAATCCTTTTCTAAGAAAAAAATCTAGATTCCCCCTGCTCCCATTTCAGTACATTATAAATTCTTACACTTATATAATTGTTAATAGTTCTCTTAAATTTTATTTTTTTTTCAGATTGAAACAATTGGCAAAAAGGTGTCTTCAAAGAGAATTCCATATGCTCCTTCTGGTGAAATTCCGAAGTTTAGTCTTCAAGATCCACCTAACAAGAAACCTAAAGTGTAGAGATTGCCATTTTTATTTGTGATTTTTTTTTTTTTTTTTTGGTACTTCAGGATAGCAAATATCTATCTGCTATTAAATGGTAAATGAACCAAGTGTTTTTTTTTGTTTTTTTTTTGAGACAGAGTCTCACTGTTGCCCAGGCTGGAGTGCAGTGGTGCAATCTCGGCTCACTGCAAGCTCTGCTTCCCAGGTTCACGCCATTCTCCTGGCTCAGCCTCCCAAGTAGCTGGGACTACAGGCACCCGCCACAGTGCCTGGCTAATTTTTTGTATTTTTAGTAGAGACAGGGTTTCACCATGTGAGCCAGGATGGTCTCAATCTCCTGACCTTGTGAACCACCCGTCTCGGCCTCCCAAAGTGCTGGGATTACAGGTGTGAGCCACCACGCCTGGCCCATGAACCAAGTGTTTTTAAGGAAACAAAACTATTTTTTTAATCATCAGATTTATACTAGCTATATGGATATTAGCATATCTGGTAATTATGAATCTAGAATTTTTTTACATATTTTTATAATACTGTTAGCTCAGTTATTGGATGAGTGAAAGATAATCATGTTGGTTTTAATAGTGTCAATTTTTGTAAAATAAAAATTAAACTTCAAACTCTTTACTTTATAAATTGTCCATAGGCCACACTTTAATATCACATTATAAAGGGAAGGACAGTCTTCATTCCTCCTGGTTATTGGTTTGTTTGTCATTAAAGATATATTTTGAATCCATGAAATTGCTATGCTAAACAGCCTTTACATGTATGGTCTGGTTAAAGTTCCTTTGTTCCTTTTGTTTTAATAAAATGTGTCACTGATTTTTTAGCTCAAAATCATCACTGTTAATTTCCAGTCACCCCAAATATGGTTAAAAGATTTTTTTTTTAATCATGAAGAGAAAATTAGTAGCATTTCTTTCTCTCCCCATTATTTATTGGTTTTCCTCACTAATCTTTTTTTTTTTAGTCCAAAAGCCAAAAATATTTATCTTGGTTTTACATTTTAATTTCCATTCTTAATTGTAATTTTTTTCTTTAAATAAGGAAACCAATATAATCTCATGTATAAAAACTTAAATATTTTACAAGTTACATATAGCATCATTCTAAAATAAGAATTTTTTTTGTTTTCTGTCTGCTTTTTTCTTATGTCTCTTGTTGAGTTTTATATTTTCAGTGGTTATTTTTGCTTGTGTTAGATCATTATTAAAATATATCCAATGTCCCTTTGATACTTGTGCTCTGCTGAGAATGTACAGTTTGCATTAAACATCCCAGGTCTCATCCTTCAGGAATTTTGCAGTTCAATGAGAAGAGGGAGACAAATATAAAGATGAGGACAGAAGCATCTCTACAGATGAAAATTACATAAATAAAACATTCTCCATCAACAACTATATGGGTGTAATTTTTGTCAATTCACAAGTAACTGAGTCATGACAGCCTGACATTAGATGGGAAAAAAATGACACCTCACTTTTTAGAGAAAATGGTATATCATTCTCTCAAATGATGCAACAAAGGGAGAGAATTTAGCAAATAAACATTGGCAAACTGTAGCCCCTGGGTCAAATCTGGCCAGCCATGAGTGAGCTAAGAATGGTTGTTACATTTTTACATGGTCATATGTTAAATGGTTTGACCAGGCATGGTGGCTCATGCATGTAATCCCACCACTTTGGGAGGCCAAAGAGGGAGGATCACTTAAGGCCAGTTTGAGACCAGCCTGGGCAACTTACTGCCTAGGCAATAAGTAAGACCCCATTTCTACAAACAAACAAAGCACAAACATTTTAAATGGTTATACAAATCCCTACATAATATCCTCAACTTTACCTCTTGGCTGGCAAAGCCTAAAATATTTCCTACCTGGTCCTTTAAGAAAGTCTGCATACCTCTGAAAGAGACAAATGCTAGAGTTCGAACATAAGGTGAGCCTTTACTCATAAGACTTTGAAGTGAGGATGAGTTTATTAATTAGAATTTGCTTTACATTTCTGCTTGAAAATATTATTGTATTCTGCTTAGTAATTTTATATTCTAGTAAAGGCATTGTAAGTCCAAAGATGTATGAAGATGTATGCTAAAGCAGATAGAATTAGGCACTTGTCCTGTCCAAATGAGGAATTTTTAAATTTTTAAATGGTTTTTTTTTCTATTTTTAGACATCTAATGCTATAGATTCAAACTTTTTCTACTCTTGTCTAGATATGCCAAATGCTGGCAAAAAATTGCTTTTGTTGTTGTTGTTGTTCTTTTTTTTTGAGACAGAGTCTTGTTTTATTGGCCAGGCTGGAGTGCAGTGGCACCATCTCGGCTCACTGCAACCTCTGCCTCCTGGGGTTCAAGCCACTGTGCCCAGCCTAAGAATTGCTATTTGGATGTTGCCGAATTTGTAAAAACACAGCAATAAGCAAAATCCTTTTGAACAAAGAAGTCCTGAGTTCATCTCATTGGTGGACTGAAGCAATTCTGTAGCAAATAAATCCTTTGAAAGAGCTCCAAAAAGAAGAAAAAAAGAAATAGGTACTTGTGCCGGGTGCAGTGGCTCATGCTTGTACTTTGGGAGGCTGAGGTGGGGGATCACCTGAGGTTAGGAGTTCGAGACCAGCCTGGCCAACATGGTGAAACCCCGTCTCTACTAAAAATACAAAAAAACTAGCCAGGCGTAGTGGCACGCGCCTGTAATCCCAGCTACTCAGGAGGCTGAGGCAGGAGAATCACTTGAACCTGGGAGCAGAGGTTGCAGTGAGCCAAGATGGCGCCATTGCACTCCAGCCTGGGCAACAAGAGCGAAACTGTCTCAGAAAAAAAAGAAAAGAAAAGAAAAGAAAGAAATAGGTACTTGTTTTAAATTGCAAGATGTTTCAATGCCTGGAACTGATAAGTAAACAATTATTGTAAGATATAATTACTGGCCGGGTGTGGTGGCTCATGCCTGTAATCCCGGCACTTTGAGAGGTCAAGGTGGGTGGATGCTTGAGCTCAGGAGTTCAAGACCAGCCTGGGCAACATGGCGAAACCTCGTCTCTAAAAAAATACAAAAAATTAGCCATGAGTGGTGGTGCATGCCAGTAGTCCAAGCTAACTGGGAGGCTGAGGTGGGAAGATCACTTGAGCCCAGGATGTCAAGGCTGCAGTGAGCCGAGATTGTACCACTGCACTCTAGTCTGGATGACAGAGTGAGACCCTGTCTCAAAAAAAAAAGAAAAAAGTTACTGGTAAATGGAGGAAAATGGGCAAAAGAGGGCTCATAGAGCCAGATAAACTTGCTGTTTGAAATGGGAGGAAAAACTCAGTAATTAGGCATGTAACTTAACAGCAATTTGAGACTTTCATGTGAAAAGTTGAAAGAAGGTGGTTAGTCTTTTTTTCTCTCCTCAACCAGTTAAAGACAATTGTTGTTTTTTTTAATCATACAAACTTTCAGTTTTTAAAAATATATATATTTAAATTTTTATACCTGATCCCTACCACCAGGAAAAGTTTCAATTTTTTATTAGCTAATATATTTTTGGTAGGGCAGAGGAATATTGGTAAGATTACTAACTGTACTTAAAATTGAAAATAATAGGCCGGGCGCTGTGGCTCACGCCTGTAATCCCAGCACTTTGGGAGGCCGAGGTGGGTGGATCACCTGAGGTCAAGAGTTCGAGACCAGCCTGACCAACATGGAGAAACCTCGTCTCTACTATAAATACAAAATTAGCCGGGTGTAGTGGTGCATGCCTGTAATCCCAGCTACTCAGGGGGCTGAGACAGGAGAATCGCTTGAACCCGGGAGGTGGAGATTACGGTGAGCCGAGATCATGCCATTGCACTCCGACCTGGGCAACAAGAGTGAAACTCCTTCTCAAAAAAAAAAAAAAAAAAAATTGAAAATAATATATGGACATGGTAAAAAGACATTCACATAGATACAAAAGGATAAACAAAATCTCTCTCCTACAATTTTCTCTCCTACAATTCCACTTAAGACTTCTTGGCTAAGCTACCTGAAAGCCTTATTTTTCCCATCTGTAAAACAGATAATCCATCTCCAACTCGAAGAATTGTTATAAAGATTACATGAGATGAATGTTTACACAAAGATCTTCTTGGCACAGTGACTGGCAGGCAATGAGCACTCCTGTTAGCACCATAACAAGCTGGTCCCACTGCACCAGAACCACGTGTAGGCTCTGGAATCACTAGAAGGACAGTAATTAACACTGAACATTTTGGACAGGCACTATGCAAAGTCCTTTAGGTGCATTTTCTCATCTGTTCCTCACATAAGTCTTTATTTCATTTCATTTTTTACTTCCCCATGTTATTCTAGGACTCATTTAAGTCTTTTGAGGTAAGTTCTGATCCTGTGATTCAGACTACAGGCAGAAGGCTCGGAAGATTTAGCAGCTTGCTCAGGGTCACACCTTAATAAGTGGCAGAACCAGAATTCAGGACAGACTATGTGACTTTTCTCTCCAGCTTTTAATATTAGTCATTCTGCTTCTCTGGATACATAAAGGTGCCCAGGTAAAAGTCATTCTTCTCAAATGCAAAGAATTAACCAGGCATCAGGCCAATACTTGTCATGCAGACTTAAGCCAATACTTTGTTATGCAGTACTTGTCACTGGTGCCTTATCTTCCTATTTCTCAAGAAAAAGCTAAAAATCTGGATTTGGTGGTGTGGTGTTTTTTGTTTTTTGAGACGGAATCTCTGTTGCCCAGGCTGGAGTGCAGTGGTGCAATCTTGGCTCACTGCAACCTTCACCTCGCAGGTTCAAGCTATTCTCCTGCTTCAGCCTCCTGAGTAGCTGAGATTACAGGCACCCACCACCATGCCCGACTAATTTTTGTAAAAATCTGGATTTTTATATAAAATCTCTCAATTTATAAGTGTTGGCACGATGTTTAAAAACAAATTTTTACACTACACACACCAAAATATCTGTGAAGGGTAGATCTAGATCAAAGGTTGCTAGTTTTTAAAAAAAGAAAACCCTAAATTCTGACATAATTTTAGATTTACAGAAAAGTTGAAAGAATGGTACAAAAATGCTGTATACCCTTCTTATTCACTAAATATTAATATTATATTTGCTTTGTTTTATCCTTCCTGTATACATCACACATAAAATTTATATTTATATAAATTTTTTTCCTGAATGATTTGAGATTAAGTTGCAAGGCCAGGTGCGGTGGCTCATCCCTGTAATCCCAGCACTTTAGGAGGCTAAGGTCAGGAGTTTGAGACCAACCTGGACAACATGGTAAAACCTCATCTTTACTAAAAATACAAAAAATTAGCCGGGCATGGTTGTGCGCACCTGTAGTCCCAGCTACTTGGGAAACTGAGGCAGGAGAATCATTCAAACCCGGGAGGCAGAGGTTGCAGTGAGCTGAGATTGTGCCACTGCATTCTAGCCTGGGTGACAGAGCAAGACTCTGTCTCAATAAAAAAAAAAAAAAAAAAAAAAAAAGAGAGTAAGTTGGAGACATGATTCCCTTTTCCCCTAAATACTTCAGGGTTATCTCAGTTTCTGTGGGTCAGGAATTCAGGAACAGTTTAGCCAAATGGTTCTGGGTCAAAGTCTGGTTGTAATCAAAATGTCAACCAGGGCTTTGGTCATCAAAAGGCTTGACTGGGGCTGGAAGATTGTCTTCCAAGATGGCTTGCTCATATGACTATCAAGTTAGTGCTGGCGGTTGACAGGAGGCCTCAGTTCTTTGCCAACTGGATCTCCTCATAGCACTGCTTGAATATCCTCATGACACAGCATAGCAAGTTGGCATCTTCAAGAGTGAAAAAACCAATAGAGGACAAGACAGAACCTCCAATGTCTTTTATTATCTAGCCTCAGAAATCATACCCCATCATTTCTATAATATCCTATTGTTTAACCAGATAGCTCTATTCACTGTCTGAAGAGACATGGATATCAGGAGGTGATAATCACTGGGAGCCATCTTGGAGGTTGGCTATTGGAGTTTTATTTCCCAAAAAATAAGGAAATAGGGCAGGTGCAGTGGCTAACACCTGTAATCCCAGCACTTTGGGAAGTCAAGGCAGGAAGATTGCTTAAGCAATCTGGCAAAACCCCATCTCTACCAAAAATACAAAAATTAGCCAGGTGTGGTGGTGCATGCCTGTGGTCCCAACTATTTGGGAGGCTGAGATGGGAGGATTGTTTGAGGTGGAGGTTGCAGTGAGCTGAGATCTCACCACTGTACTCCAGCCTGGGCGACAGAGTGAAACTGTGTCTAAAAAACAAAACAGGCCAGGAGCCGTGGCTCATGCCTGTAATCCCAGCACTTTGGGAGGCCAAGGTGGGTGGATCACCTGAGGTCAGGAGAGTTCGAGATCAGCCTGGCCAACATGGTGAAACCCCATCTCTACTACAAATACAAAAATTAGCTGGGCGTGGTGGCTGGCACCTGTAATCACAGCTACTCAGGAGGCTGAGGCAAGAGAATTGCTTGAACCCGGGGGCTGAGGCTGCAGTGAGCAGAGATTGTGCCACTGCACTCCAGCCTGGGTGACAGAGCGAGACTCTATCTCAAAAACAAAACAAAACAAAACAAACAAACAAAAAGATTGTTACTCCTTTAAACTTTCATCCACTAGTTTTAGCATCTACTAATGATTCCTGTCTGAATCAATTATTATAACAATGGTAGCTTCCAGTTTTTGATCAAGTTTGAATCTTGCTTTTACCACTTAGTAGAAATGGGACCTTGGCCCAGATAAGTCAACTTTCTTAAGTCAATTTCTTCATATATAAAGCAAGGATAATACAGTACACTTCAGAAGGCTGTTTGTGAGGATTACATTAGATAAGAGTGTAAAACACTTGGCACAGGGCGTGGTACACAGGAAACACTCCAGAAATGTTAGGGGGACTTTGTTGGTTGCCCATCCAGAGGATCCATTCCCCTTTCTTCCTTCCTAACAGAGCCCCAGTGTTCAGATGTTCATCCCCACCTGCTTACCTCACCTTCAGATCCAAGGATGGTCCGTCTTACTTTTGTTTAACAAATTTCCCTTGCCAATGATTTTTCTTGCCAATGATTGCTTCAGAAACAACCTTGTGACCAATGCTGGCGATTGAGAATTGAGGGGTAGTTTGTTAGTAAGGCTCCTGGGACACATTCCTGAAACAGCTACAAGGAAAGTTGCCCTCTCTTCTCCTTCTGGATGTTGTGGCTGGATATGATCCCTGGATAACAGGTATTTGGTTGTGACAGCCACAGCCACCATCCTACCAGACTGGGGTGAAGCCAACACCAAAGATGGCAGAGATAATAGAAGGAAAAACCTAGATCCTCGATTACTTTGTTGAGTCCCTGAATCAATGAACCTTGAAGACTACTTCCTGTTTGGTGACATAAATGTCCTCCTTAATGACACGATTGAATAGGACATTTCTTATTTGAAGCTGAAAATACCCTACTTTTAGAGGTATTGTATTATCATCATTATTAAGAAGAACGGCCAGTCACAGTGGCTCACGCCTATAATCCCAGCACTTTGGGAGGCCGAGGCAGGGGGATCACCTGAGGTCGGGAGTTCGAGAACAGCCTGGCCTACATGGTGAAATCCCATCTCTACTAAAAATACAAAAATTATCTGGGCATAGTAGTGGGCACCTGTAATCCCAGCTACTTGGGAGGCTGAGGCAGGAAAATCACTTGAACTCGGGAGGCAGAGGTTGCAGTGAGCCGATATTGCGCCATTGCACTCCAGCCTGGGCAGCAAGTGCGAAACTCAATCTTGAAACAAAAGCAAAAACAAAAATTAGCTGGGCATGGTGGCGGGCGCCTGTAATCCCAGCTACTTGGGAGGCTGAGGAGGGAGAATCACTTGAACCCAGGACGCAGAGGCTGCAGTGAGCCAAGATCGCACCCTTGCACTCCAGCCTGGGCAACAGAGTGAGACTGTCTCAGAAAAAAAAAAAAAAGAAGAAGAAGAAAAGAGAAGAACAAGCACCAATGGCTTTAGACAGAATAATGAAATAGCATCTCAAGGAAAGAATCAGAAGGTTGCACTGGGTGCGGTGGTCACACCTGTAATCTCAGTAGTATGGAAGTCTGAGGCTGGAGGATCACTAGATGTCAGGAGTTCCAGACCAGCCTGGCCAATATGGTGAAACCCTGTCTCTATTAAAAAAATACAAAAATTGGCCAGGTGCGGTAGCTCACGCCTGTAATCCCAGCACTTTGGGAGGCCAAGATGGGAGGATCACCTGAGGTCAGGAGTTTGAGACCAGCTGGGCCAACAGGGTAAAAACCTGTCTCTACTAAATATACAAAAATTAGCTGGGCATGGTGGCAGGTGCTTGTAATCCCAGATACTCAGGAGGCTGAGGCAGGAGAATGGCTTGAACCAGGGAGGCGGAGGTTGAAGTGAGATTGCGCCATTGCACTCCAGCCTGGGCAACAAAGCAAGACTCCATTTCAAAAAAAAAAAAAAAATTAGCTGGGGGTGGTGGCAGGCACTTGCAATCCCAGTTACTCAGGGAGGCTGAGGCAGGAGAATCGTTTGAACTGGGAGGCAGAGGTTGCAGTGAGCTGAGATCACGCCACTGCACTCCAGCCTGGGCAACAGAGCAAGACTCTATCTCAAAAAATAAATAAATAAGTAAGTAATCAGAAAGTTGCTAAAGGAAAATTGCTTGAACAGCAGCTGAAATGGAAGTGAACACATGGCCTCCAACCTCCTGGGGACACCCAGAAAGGGTCTGAGGTTCTACAGGAGGTATGGGATAGGGGACATGGAGGAGGGTTCAGTAAGACAACTCAGCTGGTGAAGGTAAGGTCTAATTGTAATGTGTAAAGTAAGCTCATTTGTACTCACCTTTAAGTAACTCTACTTAGAATATGTCAAATTAGGGCCGGGCGCAGTGGCTCATGCCTGTAATCCCAGCACTTTGGGAGGCTGAGATGGGTGGATGACCTGAGGTCAGGAGTTCGAGACCATCCTGGCCTACATGGTGAAACCATGTCTCTATTAAAAATACAAAAATTAGCCAGGCGTGGTGGCATGTGCCTGTAATCCCAGCTTCTTGGGAGGCTGAGGCAAGAGAATCGCTTGAACCCGGGAGGTGGAGGTTACAGTGAGCCAAGATCGTGCCACTGCACTCCAGCCTGGACAAGAGCAAAACTCCATCTCAAAAAAGAATAATATTTCAAATTAGGTGTCTGTGCACCTACTATAATGCAGATACTGTGAGATGCTAACAGAGGGCACAGATGAATGAGAGAGATCTTAAGAGAGGCAGGTACACAAATAACTGGCCCAACCAAGAAAATAGCCATAAGTGATTTTAAAAAATGCTGTGTGGACACAGAGGTAAAGATTACTCCAGCTGAGGAAAACAGGAAGCCTTCCCGGTGGCATTTGAGGTGGATCTTAATAAAGAGACATGATCTTAGTAGGGGAAGGGTGGGTTTGAATTGGCAGGTCCATGGCAGAAGCAATGGGAAGAAAAAGATGGAAGCAGGAAGATTCAGGCTGCTTTTAGGGAAAGCAAGCTGTCTTTTTTTCTGGAGTTGAAGGGAGTAGGAGGAGGAATAGCTGGAGAAGACTGGAAGGTTAGACCAAGGGCAAATTGTGGAAGGCCTTGAACTCTACACTGAGCTTGGGCTTCACTCACTTGTCAAAATAGAGACACTGATGGTTACATAACATTGGGAATGTACTTAATGCCACTGAATCGTACACTTCAACATGGTTAAAGTGGGCTGGGCATGGTGGTTCATGACTATAATTCTAGCACTACTAGGTCCTGACTTCTTACATAGTGTTATCGGGACCTTGTCTTGGCCTGGGCTGTGTCTGTTACTGCTTTTTGGGATGAGACAGCCTAATACAGGAAAACTTGCTTTTCTCTTTTAGTTTTTATTTCTTCTTTCTCTAATTTCTGCCTCATTCCCCCCTTTGATGCTTTTTATAAATGAAGTTTAATAGAAAGCATCACTATTATTTAATTCTTCATGGCAGCATAATTTTCTTCAGTTGGCAATGGCTGGTACTTAGAGCCATTAGTCGAGTGGTGGTTGTTTTGTCTACTAAGTCGATTGAATGCTTCTGACAAGGAGGGGTAAGAGGCAAGGGAGTATTAAGCAACCACTTAACGTAGCCAGCACCACTTCTGTTCATGTTTTAAATCCACCAAAAGACGAAAACCAACCTCTGAAGAGGGAGTCTGGGGACTCTTTTGGTTTTCAGGTTTGGGTTTCAGGTATGAGCTTGGGATTATAGCACATAGAAGGCCGGCCATCTCTTGGGTCACAGACTGAATAGGTTGTCTGGTTGTGCATGCAAGTCCCCAGATGGCTTCCTGTTCACTCATAATACGTATAGTACAATAAAGTCTTATCTATTGTGTTTCTTAACCATGTGGTATGCATGCAGTGAGGGATTCCTCTATGGGTCTTTCTCTTTTTTCTGAGACGGAGTCTCACTGTCTCGCCCAGGCTGGAGTGCAGTGGCGCGATCTCGGCTCACTGCAAGCTCCACCTCCCAGGTTCACACCATTCTCCTGTCTCAGCCTCCAGAGTAGCTGGGATTACAGGCGCCCGCCACCACACCCGGCTAATTGTTTGTATTTTTAGTAGAGATGGGGTTTCACCATGTTAGCTAGGATGGTCTCGATCTCCTGACGTCTTGATCCGCCCGCCTCAGCCTCCCAAAGTGCTGGGATTACAGGCATGAGCCACCGCGCCCGGCCAGCAAAACAATTAATATTATACGGAAAGTTATTGGGCTTAAGATCTCTGGCTACATTTACTTCCCTGATGATGATTCTTCAAGCTTCAGCCGGTGCATAGACTAGTCAGCTTCTGGAGTGACTAGAGCAGGTCTGCTGTCTCTACTGGCAGCTTAGTTTTGTCGCAGGCTGAGTCGGGTCGGGTGGTCTGGGTCCTGGTGGCTGATCTACCGGTCTTGGGCCGCCAGTTTCAGCAGACTGTGGTGGATCTTAGGCACGATTCTCGCAACTTTAACAGCAGTGGGAGTGGACAAGATTACAGTATGGGGCCTATCTCTTATGGGTCCCAAAGTGGTTGGATTCCAATTTTTTAACCTAAAGAAAGTCCCCAGGTTTAAATCGGTGTGCTGGGTCTGTTAGACTTAACAGGTATTCTTTCATGTACCCAGCTATGAACTGTTTACATGGCTATCCCTAAGCCTGCATTTGCTTTCTCAAAGTTAGTTTTCCTAGCTCACGGAGATCACCTCTAACTTGACCTATGATTAGGGATGGCCGGCTAAACAAAATCTCACAGGGCGAATACTCAGTTTGTTTAGTGGGGGTGCGCCTGACTCAGAGGAGGACCATGGGCAAGACTTGATCTAATCTCAGATAAGTCTCCTGGCAATATTTCTTCAGTAGCTGCTTGAGTGTCCATCCAGTTCATGCACTCCACTTTTCCTGAGCTTTGTGACTGGTAGGCCTTGTGTAATTTCCATTTTATTTTTAACAGCCGTGTTAGATCTTGAACTATTTCAGCTACAAATGCCAGTCCATTGTCTGACACTAGAGTTAGAAGCAGTCTAAATCTGGGAATAATGTCTCTTATCGGTACTTTAGTTACTTCCTGCGCCTCTTCTGTCCGGGTGGGGAAAGCCTCAACCTACCCTGAGAAGGTGCAGATGAACACCAACATGTACTGATAGCCTCCTGCTTGGGGCAGCTCGGTAAAGTCCAGAAGCAAGTTTTCACAAGGTGTGGCCTCTATTTCTTGAATTCCTGGGGGCCGGGTAGGCCCCTGCAGAGGGTTGTTCTGAACACAAGTTAGACATTGTTCACAAACGGCTCGGGCAATGGCAGTGAGTCGTGGCACACAGAAATGGAGTCTAAGTAGTGTCTCTAATGCCATTTTTAAAAAATATGAGTTATTTGATGGAATTGTTTTTACAAACTTAGGGGCTACCATTTCAGGAATGGCTAGCCTCCCATCTGAGAATTTCCACCATCCTCCTTCAATGTAATTTCTGGCTTCTTGGGCAAATTAGGCCCGTTTCATTTGGAGAATAATTTGGGACCTCTGGCAGGGGAGGCTCTGGGAGGAGAGGCAAAGCTAGGATCTCCTCTTTACAGTGCGGGGTAGTCATTGCTGACCGTTTTGCCTCCTTGTCTGCTTTTCTGTTTCCTTTGGCCTCTAGTGTTCCTGCCTTTTGGTGCCCTTTGCAATGCATAACGGCTACTTTCTTTGGAGCAGCCCATATAGCATTTAAGAGCTGTAGAATTTCTTCTTTGTACTTTCTTTGCCCCCTACAGTTAAAAGTCTTCTTTCTTTATATATAGCTCCATGAACATGTAATGTAGCAAAGGCATACTTATAATCCATGTAGACATTGACTATTTTTTTTTTTTTTAGACGGGGCTCGCTGTGTCACCCAGGCTGGAGTGCAGTGGCGCCATCTCGGCTCACTGCAACCTCCGCCTCCCAGGTTCACACCATTCTCCTGCCTCAGCCTCCCGAGTAGCTGGGACTACAGGCGCCCGCCACAACACCCAGCTAAGTTTTTGTATTTTTAGTAGAGACGGGGTTTCACTGTGTTAGCCAGGATGGTCTCGATCTCCTGACCTCGTGATCCGCCCGCCTCAGCCTCCCAAAGTGCTGGGATTACAGGCGTGAGCCACCGTGACTGGCCAGACATTGACTTTTTTTGTCTTTTGCTAGCAAAAGGGCTCTTGTCAGGGCTATTAGTTCTGCCTTTTGGGCTGATGTTCCGGTGGGCAGAGACTGTACCTCTGCTGCTGAGTTTAATGTTACTACTGCATACCCGGCTTGTCAGATCCCTTCCAGTACAAAACTGCTTCTATCTGTAAAGTATTCAACATCTGGGGCCCTGAGGGGTTGGTCTGTAAAATCTCTCTGGCTTGAGAACACCTTATCTACTATATCTCCACAGCAATGAAGGGGGCCTCCTGGTTCTGACCCTACTACTACCAGTGCCTGATTTACAGCCAGCCCTGGTGAGTTATCTTCAGCCTATACTCCAGGAATTTTAGTAAGTAACCGATACATTTCATTTACTCCTGGTTCTGGAGTCTTTTTTGCATATAGTCTCCAGTCCTCAGTCTGTGGGACAGTAAGGGTTAACATCATGGCCTTCAGCTCAGTTAGGCTCAAAGTCATACTTCCTTGTGGCCCAAAAGCAATCTGTACTTGGAGTTTTTGGAGTAGGTCTCTTCCCAGCAAAGGAACTGGACAATTTGGGAGGTATAGGAATTCATGTTGGACCTCTCGTCCTCCTATAACACACCTCCTTGACTGACAGGCCTTTTCTCTGAGACTCTAGTGGCTCCTACAATAGTTGTATAGTTCGTGATTAGTGGCCCTATAGGTCAGGTCACTACTGAGTGTTCAGCCCCAGTGTCTACCATAAAGTCCATTAGCTGGCCCGCAACTTCTAATGTGACTATTGGTTCCTGGGGGCCTAAAGAGAAGGAGCCCAGTCTGTCCCAGTCTTCATATCCTTCAGCCCCTGCCAGCCTGATTAGATCAGTATCTAGTTCCCCCAGGGTGCGGCAGCCCTTGGCAGATGGTCTCTTCATACCATGGCCCTGACTACTCTCCTCATTACCTTCTGGACACTCATCCTTCCAGTGTCCCTTCTTTTTGCATCATGTACATTGATCTCTCTCTAGCCTCGGCCGGCTCTCAGATCTCTGCCTAACTTGACCTCTTCCACATCCATGTCCACGTCCACATCCTCTTAGAATACTAGTTTCCCTTTCTACGAGGGCTGCCGCTAACAGATCGGCCCTTTTCTCAAGCCTCTGTTCTGCTTCCTTCTTTGCCTCTTGGTCACGGTTAACATACACCTCAGTGGCCACCTCTATAAGCTGGGTGGCATTCGTGCCTGTAAACCCTTCTAATTTCTGCAGCTTCTGTTTGATGTCACCCTGGGCTTGTCCTACAAATGCTGTGTTCACCATGTGCTGATTTTCAGCTGCTTCAGGGTCAAACGGAGTACAAAGCCGGAATGCCTCATACAGTCTTTCATAAAACTGGCTAGGGCTTTCATCTGCTCCCTGGAGCATCTCTGAGATTTTCCGTATGTTGATTGCCTTTTTCCCACCATTTCTCAGCCTTTGCAGGATTGCCTCTTGGTACCTCTGCAGGTGCTGAAACTGGGTTACATCATTTGGGTCCTCGTGTGGGTCTGCTTCTGGGAGGTGGCCTTGAGCATATGCCTGAGCGTTCATTGTGCCTGCTGGTACATTTGCTTCAAGCCAGTGGAGGGCTGCCTGAGTTATCCTCCGGTGCTCCTCAGTATTAAACAGCATCAGGAGGAGCTGTTTGACATCTGGCCAAGTTGGATTGTGTGTTAGGAAGATGGACTGCACCAGATCTATAAAGGCCTGAGGTTTTTCTGTGCAGGAAGGGGTATGGTGCTTCCAGTTTAGGAGATCAGTGGTTGAAAAAGGCTGGTAAATGAAGGTTCATTCCCTTCCCTGGATTTGACCTTGTTCATTATAATAGAGGGGGGTCCTCTTTTTTACCTGAGAGGCATTTGCATAACCTGAGTGCGGCCATGAGTAGATATAGGGGAATTGGTCCAGGTGTCCCGGCTGTCCTCCGACCCCAGTTACTACCCTAAATACATGACCAATTGCTTCCCTGCCACTCTTGCGTCCTGGGTTGGTTAGGGTGTAAGTTTCCCCAACATTTACGAGCCATTCTCTCATCCTGTGTCGGACTACTAGTTGCACCCTGGAAGGTGATCAGGCTCCCCTTCCCTCCTTATGGGACAGGTCCTGCCTTGGGCCCCAATACCTTACCGTGGTCCTGAAGTGCACTGACCCTGGAATCGTCCTATACCCCTTAGGTTCCGTTGCACTGTCAGCGAAGGGACACTGGGTCGCAGGAGAGCTGATCTCCCCTCCGGGTTGAAGTTCTCCTGATGGCACACCTGGGGTCACAGGTATCCCGCCAGTCTGGGGCTCCAGCCCCACAGGCAAAGGAGACAGCAAACCTGTCATCTCCTCTCCCGGCTGGCTCACCAAAATGTTGTAGGAATCAGAGGACCAAAGAGACCAAATGGGTGTTACAGGAGGATTTTTATTAAGGTGTATGCTGGCTCAGTGGATTCATATCCAAAAAATTGAGGCCAGAACAAAGACAGGGCTCAATTTTTATAAGAAAGCTTACAGAAGCAGAATAAAGACAGTTAATGAAACAGTGACAGGTCTCGTAATCTCTAGCATAGCTTGTGACCTTGCAGTTGCATTGAAGGAGAAACAGGAACTTCTAAAACTTGCAAAATATTTATGGGGAGGTGGTAAAGGGCTAAAAGAGGAATTTTGTTTTTCTTATCCTTATGTTGGGGAGTGCTGGGAGAGCCTCCAGAGCACATTCCTTTTGGGTTCTGACTTCTTAGATAGTGTTATCAGGACCTTGCCTGCACCTGGGCTCTGTCTGTTACTGCTTTTTGGGATGAGACAACCTAATACAGGAAAACGTGTCTTTCTCTTTTAGTTTTTATTTCTTCTTTCTCTAATTTCTGCCTCACTATGGGAGGTCGAGAAGGGAGGATCACTTGAGCCCAGGAGTTCAAGACCAGTCTGGGCAACATAGTGAGATCTCTACAAATAATAGAAAAAAAATTAGTGAGGAGTGGTAGCATGTGTCTGTAGTCCCAGCTACTCAGGAGGCTGAGGTGGGAGGATCACTTGAGCTTGGGAGGTCAAGGTTGCAATGAGCCGATTTGTGCCACTGCACTCCAGCCTGGGTGATGCAGCAAGATCCTGTCTCAAAAAAAAGGTTAAAATGGTAAAAGGAAACATTGAGGTGTTTTTTATTTTTGTAGTCACTTTTTTTTAACTTAAAAATTTTATTTATTTATTGTGTGTGTGTGTGTGTGTGTGTGTGTGTGTGTGTTTTTGACAGAGCTTCACACTCCTGTTGCCCAGGCTGGAGTGCAATGGTGCAATCTCGGCTCACTACAACCCCCGCCTCCTGGTTCCAGCAATTCTCCTGCCTCAGCTTCCCGAGTAACTGTGATTACAGGTGCCCGCCACCGTGCTTGGCTAATTTTTGTATTTTTAGTAGAGATGGGATTTCACCATGTTGGCCAGGCTGGTCTCAAAGTCCTAACCTCAGGTGATACACCTGCCTCAGCCTCCCAAAGTGCTGGGATTACAGGCATGAGCTACCACACTCAGCCGATTTTTTGTGCTTTTTTGAGATAGAGTCTCACTTGCCCAGGCTGGAGTGCAGTGGCACAATTGCAGCTATCACATTATTTAAAAAAAACAACAAAAAAAGGCCAGGTGCAGTAGCTCATGCCTATAATCTGAGCAGTTTGGGAGGCCACAGTGGGTGAATTGCTTGAGCTCAGGAGTTTGAGACCCACCTGGGCAACATGGCAAGACCCCATCTCTGCCAAAATGACAAAAAAAAAAAAATAGGCAGGTGTGGTGGTGGGGACCTGTAGTCCCAGCTATTTGGGGGGCTGCGGTGGGAGGATCACTTGAGCCAGGGAGGTTGAGGCTGCAGTGAGCCAAGATTGTGCCACTGCACTCCAGCCTGGGCAACAGAGTGAGATCCCATCTCAAAAAAAAAAAAAAAAAAAAGGCCAGGCACTGTGGCTCATGCCTGTAATCTCAGAATGTTGGGAGGCCAAGATGGGCAGATCATGAGGTCAGGAGATCAAGACCATCCTGGCTAACACAGTGAAACCCCATCTCTACTAAAAACACAAAAAAATAAGCCAGGAATGGTGGCGGGCACCTGTAGTCCCAGCTACTTGGGAGGCTGAGGCAGGAGAATGGTGTGAACCCAGGAGGCGGAGCTTGCAGTGAGCTGAGATCGCACCACTGCCCTCTAGCCTGGGTGACAGAGCGAGATTCTAGCTCAAAAAAAAAAAAAAGGCATGAACTTTGTTAGTCACTTTTTAGAGACTTATCCTAGCTTTCCATAGCATGTGGTCCCCAACTAGCTGTTATCATCACCACATACTGGGAGTGTGTTCAAGTTTTAGACCAAAAACTCAGGAAGAAATATATCATTAGTGTTTGCCTTGCAAAATAATATGTATAAGCAGAGGATAAGTTGGATACAGTGACCGCTTGCTCCCTTCTTCCCTTCCTTTTTCTTGAATACAGACATGTAAGAGACTACTCACTAGATAATGCTAGTAACATGGGAGATTATTTTAGGTGCATATATATCTTTCTTAATTTTAATAGGCATTTATTTTACGGGCATTAGAATAAACATAATTTATAAATTGCATTAGCATATAAACTTGGATGCTCCAAGAGGGACCCAATATTATAGTGTGTTAAGCAGAATAGTAATGTATTTCTCTCTCACACAAAAGTCCAGGTAGGTGGTCGAGGGCTGGAAAAGGCCCAAGCCTTCCTCATCTGGTCGCTCTGCTGTCCTTGACACAAGTCTCCCATCTCATGTCCAGGATGGCTGCTCCCACTCTAAGCATCATGTTTTCATTCTAGCCAGCAAGGAAAAAGGAAAAGAGGAAGGGAAAGGTACCACCTGCTCTTTAAAAGCAGATTCAAAAATAGCAGCCCCAGCTGGGCGCAGTGGCTCGCGCCTGTAATCTCAGCACTTTGGGAGGCCAAAGCTGGCGGATCACTTCAGGTCAGGAGTTTGAGACCAGCCTGGCCTACATGGTGAAACCCCATCTCTACTAAAAATATAAAAAATTAGCTGGGAGTGTTGGCGCGTGCCTGTAATACCAGCACTTTGAGTCGCCGAGATGAGTGAATCACTTGAGTCCTGGAGTTCCAGACCAGCCTGGGCAACATGGTGAAACTCTGTCTCTACTAAAAACACAAAAATTAGCTGGGCATGGTGGTGCGTGCCTGTAATCCCAGCTATTCAGGAGGCAGAGGCACGAGAATCACTTGAGGTGGAGGTTGCAGTGAGCCCACATCGCATGACTGCACTCCAGCCTGGGCGACAGAGCGAGACTCTGTCTCAAAAACAAAACAAAACAAAACAAAACAAAAACATCTCCTGCTATTCCTCTTTCAAGTTTCTGTATTAAATTTAACTGGAAAGTATCCAGACATTCCAAGATGAGGTGTTTTACCATTTTTAAAAATTATTTACTATTTTTTTCTTTTTAAGCTATGCTATTAACTGAAATTTACTATTATTTAGCTATATTAGAATTGTTCTCAATACTGTGCAACCAAAACAAATAAGTAGACTCTTGAGGCTGAAGACAGCAACTGTTATCCATAAATCCCAATTTTGCATATGTATCAAAATTGCTTCATTTTACTTATTCCCTATTTTTATTTACAGAGTAAATGTTACAAATCTGAAACTTTAACATACACTGCTAATAAAATGCCATTTTAATTATTTTACATTGAAGTTCCATGAGATTTTTATTATATTTATTATTTATTTTTAAAATTGAACTTCACCCTTTTGTAACAAAAAATTAAAAATTTTTGTTGACTCTGTTTGAACACAACAGACTAGGAACTCTTCCCTAGACAGTGTTAGAGAATTGGCAAGAAATGTCACCAGCAACTTTTAGAACTTTCCGGTGGTCCACACTCGGCCAAATCATCTTCAAAAAGGAGGCTCAAATCAGGCCCGGTCCTGACCCCCAGGCACAGACCCAGGGGACCGCCTCCGAGACATCATGTTTCTTGCCAATCCGGGTCAACTTCCTGATGGTCTATCGCATGTGGGAGCAAAGGGACTTAACAGTCACTCTTCCACAGTTTAATTGTTTTGTCATTTTCTAGCGCGGCAGAGGTGATGATGTTTTCTGTTGGGTGACAAGCTGTTGAGGTCACAACATCTGTGTGGCCTTCTAATTTCTGTACAATCTCTTTCGTCTGAAGTTTCCAGATGTAAAGAAGGTTATCCTCCGAGCCAGACACAATCCACTTCCCGCCAGTAACAGAGAAATTAGCAAATATGCAGTATTTCTCGTTCTTGTGGCCAGTGTATGTCTTCAGGCACTTCCCCTTGCTGTAGTCCCAGAGCTTGAGTGTTGCCCAGCGTGGCAGCCACGATGTATCCACCCTTCGGGGAGAGCTTCACGAAAGACACCAGGGGTTGTCATCATCAGTGAGCGTTTTCAGGCACTGGCCTGAGGCTGTGTCCCAGATGTGACAGAGACCATCATAGCTACTTGAAACTATCAAGAATCCATCACGATTAAAATGAATGGCCGAGACTGGATCGGAGTGAGCTAGCAGTCTTGTGGCACTTCCCTGTTTTCACAACCCATATCCTCACACTTTCATCAAAGGATCCTGAGACAGTAAGGCTGGACTGGGGATTGAAGTTACAGCAAAAGACATAATTACTGTGTCCCTTCAGGGTTTTCAGACACTTTCCCGAGCTCACGTCCCGTATCTTCAAGGTTTTGTCATCTGAGGCGGAAACAAAAAGGTTAGAATCTGACGACCAGGCTGTGACCAGACGGTTTTCTCAAATTTCCCATCATATGAGTCCCCCAAATTTTAATGAGTTTATCAGCAGATGAACTTGCCAGCCACTCTCCATTCGGGCTGAATTTCACGGAGGACACTGCTTTGGTGTGGCCAGCAAGGGTGAACTTTAGAGAGCATAGTTTGGCTTCACGGGCGTAGGCTTGCTCTGAGTGGTGGATGACGAAGGGGTCGGCTGTGCTCTCGTTGCCTCGGTCTCGGGCTTCCTCTCCTCCATCGCCATGGCTCTGACGCTGGCCGCACAGGGGACGTGGACGGAGGGTCCTGATGACAGAGGCAGTCTGCCGGGCTGCTGCGGAGGGCCGGGCGCTCGGGGCGTCGGCGCATCCTCCCTGGGCGGGAGCGCGGCCTATTCATTTATTTTTTTTGAGACAACAGTCTCACTGTGTTGCCCATGCTGGAGTGCAGTGGTGCATTTTCGGCTCACCGCAACCTCTGCTTCCTGGATTCAAGCGATTCTTGTGCCTCAGCCTCCTCAGTGCCACAGGCACGTGCCACCACACCCAGCTAATTTTTTATATTTTTAGTAGAGATGGGGTTTTGCCATGTTGGCCAGGCTGGTGTCAATTCCTGATATCAGGTGATCCGCCCGCAACGGCCTCCCAAAGTGTTGAGATTATAGGCGTGAGCCACCGCGCCGGCTGAGAATTTTATTTCACCAAATGAGTCTCCTGCTAACAAATGTTTACCTGCCATTGGCCTACACTGTGCAAAGGGCCTAACTATTAGATAATATCTAGAAATGTCACAAAATTAGCCTGAAAAGTAATCCATTTTTTTCCTGTAAAATAAGTTAAGGTAGCTTGAGATGTTTCTATTTTAAGTTGGTAGGGTTAGGCCCGGTGGTGGCTCACAAATCCCAACATTTTGGGAGGCCAAGGCGGTCAGATCGTTTGAGGCCTAGAGTTTGAGACCAGCCTGGCCAACACGGCAAAACCCCATCTCTACTAAAAATACAAAAATTAGCTGGGCGTGATGGTGTGCGCCTGTAATCCCAGCTACTTGGGAGGCTGACGCAGGAGGATCACTTGAACCCAGGAGGCAGAGGTTGCAGTGAGTTGAGATCGCGCCACTGCACTCTAGCCTGACAGAGTGAGACTGTCTCAAAACAAAAGAAAGTTGGTAGGGTTAAATTTGCATCCCAAAATTTACTAGCATCTATAAAGACATACATTACTTTTTTTTTTTTTTTTTTTTGAGGAGTTTCACTCGTTGTCCAGGCTGGAGTGCAATGGTGTGATCTCAGCTCACTGCAACCTCTGCCTCCCAGGTTCAAGGATTCTCCTGTCTCAGCCTCCTGAGTAGCTGGGATTACAGACATGCGCCACCACACTTGGCTAATTTTTTAATTTTTAGTAGAGACAGTGTTTCACCATGTTGTTCAGGCTGGTCTCAAACTCCTGACCTCAGGTGATCCACCTGCCTCGGCCTCCCAAAACGTTGGAATTACAGGCATTAAGCCACCATGCCCGGCCCATGCATTACTTAAAAAAATTTTTTTTGAGACACGGTCTCTGTCACCCAGGCTGGAGTACAGTGATGTGATCTCAGCTCACTGCAACCTCTGCCTGTCAGGTTCAAGTGATTCTCCTGCCTCAGCCTCCCAAATAGCTGAGATTACAAGCATGTGCCACCACACCCAGCTAATTTTTTGTATTTTTGGTAGAGATGGGGGTCTGACTGTGTTGCCCAGGCTAGTCTCAAACTCCTGAGCTCAACTGATTCACCCGCCTCAGCCTCCCAAGGTGGTGGGATTACAGGCGTGAGCCACCACACCTGGCAAGGATGTGCATTACTTTTATAATACTGGCTCGTTATAAGAATTCAAAACAGAATTGGCTATCCACTTTACATATTTTACAACATGGCCACCTAAAAGTGTCCTTTTAGATATGCAGAAAAAGTAGAAAGGCAGGATTCAGTCAAAAGATGAATCTGAGTTATTAGTATTTTGGAAGGAAATTCCTTTCTCAGGCCTTTACCATCATATAATACAACCAATGTGAGAAATGAAAGGAATAGGGCATGTGGATTTAGCAAGCTACTATACAAATAAGGGTTAATATTTCTAGGTTCTATTTCCATGTCTTAGGCAGCATTATGGCCTTGGTGTTTTCAGAGGGACTAAATGTAATCAGCATAAAACTATTTTGCAGGTTCTGAAGTAGTCACACCAATGTAAAAAATCAACATTTACTTTTTTTTTGAGACAGTCTCACTCTGTTGCCCGGGCTGGAGTGCAGTGGCACGATATCGCCTCACTGCAATCTCTGCTTCACAGGCTCAAGTAATTCTCGTGCCTCAGCCTCCCAAGTAGCTGGGATTACAGGCACCTGCCAACACACCTAGCTAATTTTTTTATTTTTAGTAGCAATGGAGTTTCACCAGGTTGGCCAGGCTGTTCTCAAACTCCCGACCTCAGGTGATCTGCCCACCTCGGCCTCTCAGAGTGCTGGAATTACAGGCATGAGCCACCACATCTGGCCAACATTCACTCTTAAGCCTTTCTAAATTATTCCAATATTACAAGGACAAATGCTAATCTGATGAGTTTCAATCTACGTTGAATGAATGCTAAAGTTGAATGAAATGCTAAACTGATGAGTTTCAATCTATGTTGACTGTTTCATCACAGTAACATAAATGAAGTTTTTATTTTTCATAAATGAAATGTAATGATGTTAACAGTGGATTGGAAAATCTTCTGGAAGTTTTTGGGTTTTTTTTTCAAGACAGAGTCTGGAGAGCAGTTGTAGCGCCCAGGCTGGAGAGCAGTGGCACCACCTCAGCTCATTGCAACCTCTGCTTTCCAGGTTCAAGTGATCCTCTCACCTCAGCCTGAGTAGCTGGGACTACGGGTGCGTGCCACCACGTCTGGCTAATTTTTTGTAGAGATAAGGTCTCATCATGTTGCCCAGGCTGGTCTCGAACTCCTGGGTTCAAGTGATCCACCCGCCCTGGCCTCCCAAAATGTTGGGATTATAGGTGTGAGCCACCATGCCATGTTTTTAATGCATTTTAAAATTATGTTAAAAGAAAATTCTTACAAAGATATTTTAAGATTACATCACAGCAAGCAACTGTTTAATTGGGACAAAGAAGATACACTAAAAGCCAAATGAATTACTGTAATTAAATTTGTACAGTTTATTGACTTTTTTTTCCTTTTTATTTATTTGAGATGGAGTTTTGCTCTTGTCACCCAGGCTGGAGGGCAATGGAGCGATCTTGGCTCACTGCAACCTCCCCCTCCCAGGTTCAAGTGATTCTCCTGCCTTAGCCTCCCGAGTAGCTGGGATTACAGGCACCCACTACCACGCCTGACTAATTTTTGTGTTTTTAGTGGAGACAGGATTTCACCATGTTGGCCAGGCTGGTCTCGAACTCCTGACCTCAGGTGATCCACCCGCCTTGGCCTCCTAAAGTGCTGGGATTACAGGCGTGAGCCACTATGCCTGGCTATTGACATTTTTTTTTTTAAGCAAAGAGGTGGGGCACATCCACTGCAGTCCAGGCATTCTGGCACCACCTCTGTTATTAACTGGAATCAAATTTTAAAAATTTCTGTGATCTTGAAGGTCTTGTTGAAGTTTTAGAGGTCTTTTGTTTTTCTTTTAGCCACTAGATTTTTCAGGAAAAATTCACCTATTTAGGAAAAAGGAAAACACATTAATATCAATTTAAAGTAAATAACAGTGAGACAACTATTTCAGAATTATATTTTTGGTGTTCCCCCTTTAAAGAAGACTTTTGTATTTATTGGCACTTCTCTCTTCTCAAACCTCAATGGCAATATTTTTCTAACCTAAATATCCCCTATTATCTTTGGCCTTTCTCCCCAGCAATAATGACTAGAGTCTCCTACTATTATTCTTTCTAGTAAGCCAATATTACAAAGGGTGACCCTACTGTATATATGGGTCTGCACATTAATTCTACTTTATGTGCACTATCTATCCCTCATCACTGTCAAAGTATTGCTCTTGGCAAAATTCATTTCCAAGAGCAATTTTGCTACATTATTAGGCTGGATCTGATGTTTATAAAACAGATCTCGTTGCAGCTGAGCAGACGCATCTGATGGAATCTCTTTAGCTTATTCCCCTCTAGGGAAGCAAGAGCTCTTCATTTGTAATGGGCTTTCTCCCCACCGCCTGAGTTGTGCCTACGCAATAAGTTAGCAGCTTAGAGGGCACATTCTCTTTTTAGGCCATTAGTGTTCCATTTAGTCTATTGCTCTTACAGCATGACTCAATGCTTATTGGTAGAGTGCAGCACTAGAGGCCTGATTTTATGAGGAGTCTGATTAACTTCTCTTTGTCATCTTACATATGAGTAGAACTGTGATGAGTCTATCTACATATAATCTCTGCAAATCCCAAGGCTCATAACCCAGCCAAGTAATCCATGCTGCTCCATACCTCCTCCAAATGTCGTGGGAGTAGCACCAACTTTATCAGACCCTAATCCATCATTTTAGTCTAATGCTCATCATATACCAGAATCTGATCTTTTCCTGGTAATTTAGAAAGCATCAGAAAGTTCATAATTTACTTCCTTTTATGTTAGAAATTTTTCTTTAGCAAAAGAAAAACTCCTTTCAAAGGACATTACTCTAACCATTCTAGAAGCTGATAGTGGTTCTATCCTTCACATGTATTTTTAGCTTGCCAGCAGTGCTGCTTGAAGACTAAATCACTTACAATTACTGGTTTTCAAAGTCCCCACATTCTGTCACTCAGTGCTGAATCAAATTCTTGGGTTTTCAAACTATGATGAGCTACTAGTTCATTAAAATGTTTTAAATTACTATTTTTATTTATTTATTTTTGAGACGGGGTCTCATTCTGTCACCCAGGCTGGAGTGCAGTGGCACGATCACAGCTCACTGCAGCCTCAACCTCCTGGGCTCAGGTGATCCTCCCACCTCAACCTCCTGGGTAGCTAGAACTAGAGGTGCCCACCACCACCCAGCAACTCAGCCACCCAGCTAATTTTTGTATTTTTGTAGAGATGGGGTTTTGCCATGTTGCCCAGGCTGGTCTTGAACTCCTGGGCTCAAGTGATCCACCCGCCTCGGCCTCCCAAAGTGCTAGGAGTACAGGCGTGAGCCACTGCACCCGGCCTTAAATGTCTTTATAGGAACTAGGAACATACAGAATATTACTAATACTGGAGCATTAATTTTTTCAAATAGAATTTGTCTAATTTAAACATATTTAAGATTTAGACCCCAATATATAAAGCAATCATTTAAAACATCACCACTTTAGATAAAAAAAAAAAATACCTAGTTTATTTATTTATTTACTTATTTATTTATTTTTGAGACAGAGTCTTGCTCTGTTGCCCAGACTGGAGTGCAGTGGCATGATCTTGGCTCACCACAACCTCTGTCTCTCGGGTTCAAGCAATTTTCCTGCCTCAGCCTCCCAAGTAGCTGGGACTACAGGCACACACCACCATGCCCGGCTAATTTTTGTATATATATTTTTTCTTTTGGAGACAGAGTGTTGCTCTTTCGCCAGGCTGGAGTGGAGTGGCAGGATCTTGGCTCACTGCAACCTCTGCCTCCCAGGTTCAAGCTATTCTCTTGCCTCAGCCTCCCGAGTAGCTGGGACTACAGGTGCGCAGCACCATGCCCAGCTAATTTTTGTATTTTTAGTAGAGATGGGGTTTCACCATGTTGGCCAGGATGATCTCAATCTCTTGACCTTGTGATCTGCCCACCTCGGCCTCCCAAAGTGTTGGGATTTCAGGCATTAGCCACCACGCCTGGCCAATACCTAGTTTATTTTTAAAGAGACAAGGTCAGCCGGGTGCGGTGGCTCACACCTGTAATCCCAGCACTTTGGGAGGCCCAGGTGGGCGGATCACAAGGTCAGGAGATCGAGGTCATCCTGGCTAACACGGTGAAACCCCGTCTCTACTAAAAATACAAAAAATTAGCCAGGCGTGGTGGCGGGCACCTGTAGTCCCAGCTACTCAGGAGGCTGAGGCAGGAGAATGCCGTGAACCTGAGAGGCAGAGGTTGCAGTGAGTCAAGATTGTGCCACTGCACTCCAGCCTGGGCGATGGAGAGAGACTGCATCTAAAAAAAAAATAATAATAATAAAATAAAAAATAAAGAGATGAGATCTCACAATGTTGCTCAGGCTGTATTTGAACTCCTGGGCCCATGCGATCCTCCTGCCTCGGTCTCCCAAGAAGTTGGGACTATAGGCACACACCACCACACCTGGCCTAGCTGTTTCTTTTTTTTATTTTATTTTTGAGACACAGTGTCTTGCTCTGTCACCCAGGCTGGAGCTGTAGTGACACGATCATAGCTCACTGCATCCTTGAACTCCTAGGCTCAAGTAATCCAACTGCCTTCCAAAGTGCTGGGATTACAGGCATGAGCCACCTTGCCTGGCCTATTTATTCTTTTTTTTTTTTTTTTTTTGAGACAGAGTCTTGCTCTGTTGCCCAGGCTGGAGTGCAGTGGCACAATCTCGGCTCACTGCAAGCTCGGCCTCCTGGGTTCATGCCATTCTGCTGCCTCAGCCTCCCGAGTAGCTGGGACTGCAGGTGCCCGCCACCATGCCCGGCTAATTTTTTTGTATTTTTAGTGGAGAGGGTTTCACCGTGTTAGCCAGGATGGTCTCGATCTCCTGACCTCGTGATTTGCCCGCCTCAGCCTCCCAAAGTGCTGGGATTACAGGTGTGAGCCACCCCACCTGGCCAGCCAATTTATTCTTAATCATTATAATTGTTAAGTCCAACTGACAGGGACATCATAAACACTTTCTAGATTAAATTCGGTCTTCAGATATGTTCTTTTGGATCCTCCGACAATCATTATCACATGACTTTTTATCCCTTGGAAAATGATTTTCTTTTCATAAATCAATTCAAGCTATTGATTAAAATAAGAGCTGAAATTCCAAAAGTAAAAAAAATTTGCATTGTAGCTAGTAAAACAACTAAACGTTCCTACGGAGAAAAATAATCTTATGGATATTTTTCTGTTGCCTCTGGGGGAAAAATACAAAGAAATTTAATGATGCAAGCAATGCTATCAAATAAGATACTTTTCAGTGCTTAAACTGATTGAAACTGAGTCTGGAGATGCAGCTGGCATCATTTCCAAATAAATATGTATTTCTCAGAAAACCCTATTAGATGCTTGACATGCTCTGTCATTTCTGAATAACCTACTACTGAAATCTACACATAGAAAAAATTAATAAACTAATTGTTTCTGCTTTTACTATAGTAGCTGAGTTACAAAGCAGGGG
Source organism: Homo sapiens (assembly GCF_000001405.40). Lineage (NCBI taxonomy): Eukaryota > Metazoa > Chordata > Mammalia > Primates > Hominidae > Homo > Homo sapiens. The sequence goes on along the minus strand of NC_000004.12, from coordinate 39,473,427 downwards.
GCTGAATTTGTTTAAGAAACAAAAGATTAAGAGAAACTTTTCTTAATATGATCCCCATGGAGCAAAGCTCCTAAGGATGTTCCAGAAGAAAAACTACGCCCTCTACCAAGACCACCAAAGGTATTAGAATTTGTCAAGAGTTTTAGTGACTGGTGGTAGAACTTAATGTGGAAAGTTAACGGCCTAAATGAAACCATGCCCCACAATCTAACTTACCTGCTTTATATGAAGAACGCACCAAAGGGCCACTTGCAGTATAATGAAATCCAAGTTCATTTCCTACTTTTTCCCAGTATTTGAATTTTTCAGGAGTAATATATTCTTCAACCTAGATTTAAATAATTACTTCTGATCAGATTTTAGAATTCCACTTTGATTCTGCAGAAAGTCTATACCTATGTATGCAGAATGCTCTTCACTGCGTAATTTATCTTGCCCCCACCCCCAGGCTTTTGTCCTCTCCCTCCTCCCTGACTACGTGTTTACTGGTTACTTTTTGGCCACTCTATTGGGATGTAAATACAGGGAATTACAGAGACAGGGAAGCATATCAATTTTGTGCTACAATGGCTATTCCAAAGGACAGAGAAAGAAGAGATTATCTACAGATATTATTTATCTATATTTTTCCTTCGTTAACAGCTAAATTCAAGAATTACTCATGCTTATCTGATTCTTGAGGACAAGACTGTCTTACTCAACTTGTATCTTCTGCTTAGCACTGTGACTGGCACATGGTCACTGCTCAACACAAGCTTCTTGAATGAATGGATAAATGTCCATGATAGAAATAGAAAGAATGGTTTCCCATTCTTTCTTCGCCTCTGGCTCTAACATAACAAAAACAAGTTACACAATAACCAAGTGTAAATGAGTGCCATTTCCCAACTTTTAAATTCTTTTTCTCTAGGTTCACTTGAGTTGTGAAATTTGTGAAGAGAATGGGGGAGGCAGCAAATATGTGCAAACGTAGCTGATTTATGTAGATAATAAAATGAAAACTGGGACTTATAAGAATACAGCTGAGCCTTGAACAACATGGTAACTGCACAGGCCCACTTATACAAGGATTTTCTTCCATTTCTGCCACCCCTGAGACAGCATGACTAACTCCTCCTCTTCTCCCTTGTCCTCATCTACATGAAGATGATGAGGATGAAGACCTTTATGATGGTCCACTTCCACTTAATGACTAGTAAATATATTTTCTTTTCCTTATGATTTTCTTCAAAAAATTTTTTCTCTAGCTGACTTTATCATAAGAATAAGATGTGTATATATGTGTGTGTGTGTGTGTGTGTGTATATGTGTGTGTGTATATACAGATATACACACACACATACGTATATATATAAGTACATGTAACATACAAAATGTGTGTTAATTGACTGTTATTGGTATGGCTTCCGGTCAACAGAAGGCTATTAGTAGTTATGTTTTTTTGGGAGTCAAAAGCTATACATGGGCTGGGCGCAGTGGCTCACACCTGTAATCCCAGCACTTTGGAAGGCTGAGGCGGGTGGATCACCTAAGGTCAGGAGTTCAAGACTAGCCTGGCCAAAATGATGAAACCCCATCTCTATTAAAAATATAAAAAATTGGCTGGGTGCGGTGGCTCACGCCTGTAATCCTAGCGCTTTGGGAGGCCGAAGCGGGTGGATTGCCTGAGCTCTCAGGAGTTCGAGACCAGCCTGGGCAACATGGCAAAATCTTGTCTCTAAAACTACAAAAAAATTAGTCGGGTGTGGTAGTGTGTGCCTGTAATCCCAGCTACTCAGGAGGCTGAAGCATGAAAATCATTTGAACCTGGGAGGTGGAGGTTGCAGTGAGCCGAGATTGCCCCACTGCACTCCAGCCTGGGCGACAGAGCGAGACTCCGTCTCAAAAAAAAAAAAAAAAAAAAAAAAAAATTATATATATGTATATTTTAGCCGGATGTAGTGGCACCCGCCTGTAGTCCCAGCTGCTCAGGAGGGTGAGGCAGGAGAATCACCTGAACCCAGGAAGCAGAGATTACAGTGAGCCGAGATTGTGCCACTACACTCCAGCTCAGGCGACAAGAGCAAAACTCCATCTTTAAAAATAAAAAAAAAAAAAAAAAGCAAATCAAGATACATGTACCTTAAGGTGACGCCTTGTTGGCTGCATATATTGTCCTAAAGTCAAGCAGTCTACATCTGCCTCACGAAGTGCTGTAGGAAGAAAAGCACAAATTACATTAGCAAATACTTTAATTGTAGATCTAAGCATAATTTTCCTAAGGAATATTTAAAAACGGTGTGAACTTTATGACAGTCCATAATCTTCATGTTGGGGAATAAGACAACATCTATTCATTCAAAAGTATTATGTGCCAGGGACTGTGGTAAGGACTGAAAACAATAATAATTAAGACAGTCATGTAGGGCTGATACATACAAGGATAAATACTTCTAATACTATGGAATCAATGCTAAAATAGTAGTGGAGGGTATTTTAGAGTAGGAGTCTGGTAGAAAAGGTATGGGAAATGGTATATGCAAAAACCTCAATGCACCTATATTATAGAGCAAATATGTTGCATTAGGCTTTTACTCAATGCACAAGATATGCTATGGGGGCTGTGATTTAAACTATGACATATCAGAATCTTTCTAATAAACTGTGTGCAATGTGGTAAACAGCAGGTCTTGATTATTATATGAACTTATTACTCTTTGAACCACTAAATAACTACAAGTAGTCCAAGGGTCCTCAGCTAAAATTAAAACTTTGAAATTCCAAAGTTTAAAAAGTCCAAGAATCACAAAGCAAATGGACTTACGGGACTAAAGTTCAGCAAAGTCCAAAGCACACCATGTTATGTGACAATGCTACAAGTAAGCTCTTTCTCAGAGGCCTGGATTAGTCTCATTGATCTATGAACTGTCAGTGCCTGGTACCAGGCTGGCTCTCCAAAAGTGTCCAATGATAGAATGAGAAAAGTGGATGAAATCATGCTTTCAGTGGATGCAAAGGATGGGGAATAAAATGGGATATAAATTTTGTATCCTGAGCGTCATGCATATCACTCCATGAAATTCCAAGAAAATTTATTTCCTTTGCTTTTTTTTTTTTAACTTGTATTTTAGATTTGAGGGTGCATGTGCAAGTTGGTTTCCTTTTCATGCTGCCATCTATAACCATATACTTTTCTTTGTTCTTAGAAGGGCCTTCAAAGTGAGTGGGTTCCTGCTATTACTCAAATTACATGGGAAAGATTTTTCATTTTTCAATTTCTTTACCTTTCATTGTTGCATATACTTGCTCATCATTCTCGCCTAAACCCAACATTATAGATGTTTTAGAAATAACATCAGGCTGAACCTTCTTGGCATGTTTCAGTACACGTAGGGACTGATCAAAATTGGCCCGAGGATCACGAACCTTACTGGAAAACAGCAGGACTGTTGTCAGCAAGAATTACAAGTTCAACCAAGTACATAGTTATGCAAGCAACCTGAAAGACCAGAGAAGTACATTCTGCACATTATCTTAAATCACATAGTTCAAAGGTAGCATTTATGCACAGATGCCTGTTAATTTAGGAAAGAAAAGGCCTCACTGGGCTCCCTAGTTCTATCTCAAGCCTGGGGCAGAGAAAAGTAGAATGGAAGAAATTACTTCAGTTTATGCATTGAGAAACCAGAATTCTGAAGCGAAAAATTAGAAGAGAAAGGAAAAAAAGCAGAAGTAAGAGAGTCTCCATACTGAACAAAGAAAAAAATAAGCTGAACCCACATGTCAGAGGGTTGAAACTTTCAAGTTCATTTCTTTTCTGAAGACTAAGCTGCCCTCTGCTGGTAAGTATACAACACTGCCACATATTAGGTAAAGAAATGCATGATTCTGGAATTTTCACTGGAAAGGATCATGTTTTTAAGTGAAACCAGGGAAACTGGCACCCACTGGTGGTGGTATCATGATGAGGTTGGAACAGGCTGTGTCCTAGACTTCAACAATGGCCAAACCACCATGGCTTAAATGACTTATCCTTTAAGCCAAAAGGCCAGAAAGCTTCTGATGTTAAACTGGATTTCATTTCAATTCTAATGCAGCTTTATTTTCTGTAATTGTTTTTCATTGGAGACTAGTTAACAGGAAAGAGAAGAAACAAATTTATGAACTTAAAAGTAACTGAAACTGACATTATAGAAATCACTTTTTAACAGAATTTCTCCACTGAAATTAAGTTATGGTCTCTACTGTTTATGATTTAGTGAAAATGGTGGTTATTGTTTACTGTAACTTCTTTCAGGCTCTATGACACAGATCATATGTAGAAGCTAATAAAATCACTGCTAAATGCTAAAATTAAAGAAAAAAATGATATTACTCTTGCCCGAAGCTTAAAATGTTCATTTTTCTAAAATTTGAATGGATGTGGATAACAATCCTTACTTTTTTTCTTACATCAGTGTTACTTGCCAATGATTAGTCTTAATTACTGAAATTATTAGGAATAAGAAAGCATAGTGTCTACTTTTTTTAAAAAGTACATCTGAATGATATGAGTTTTTTTCTTTTTTTTTTTTTTTGAGACAAAGTTTTGCTGTCGCCCAGGATGGAGTACCATGGCACTATCTCGGCTCACCGCAACCTTCGCCTCCCGGGTTCAAGCAATTCTCCTGCCTCAGCCTCCAGAGTAGCTGGAATTACAGGTCTGCACCTAGCTAAAATTTTTTGTATATTTAGTAGAGATGGGGTTTCATCATGTTGGCCAGACTGGTCTTGAACTCCCAACCTCAGGTAATCCGCCCGCCTCGGCCTCCCAAAGTGCTAGGATTATAGGCGTGAGCCACGAGTTTTTCTTCTGCATCATTTATTACACATATTAGTGCTGAATATATATATATAAATATATATGAATATATATAATATAAAAAAATATATATATATATATATATTTTTTTTTTCCTTTCTCTTTCTAGATGGAGTTTCGCTCTTTTTGCCCAAGCTGGAGTGCAATGGCGCAATCTCACCTCACTGCAACCTCCGCCTCCCGAGTTCAAGTGATTCTTCTCCTGCTTCAGCCTACCGAGTAGCTGGGATTACAGGCATGTGCCACCACGCCTGGCTATCTTGTATTTTTAGTAGAGACGGGGTTTCTCCATGTTGGTCAGGCTGGTCTCGAACTCCCAACCTCAGGTAATCTGCCTGCCTCTGCCTCCCAAAGTGCTGAGATTACAGGCGTGAGCCACAGCATCCAGCCAAATATATTTTTGAAGTCTTTTCTTTAGAATTACAACCAAAGCAATTGCTCTAGTGTAATTTTTTCCCTCCTTTGAAAACTTTATTTGTGGGGAGGGGGAAACAAACAACTTATTGAAATTTGCAGTATGATATTATTTTAAAACAAAAGAAAAAAGATGTTAATTATTTGTGGGTATTAAAACACACACAGTAACTTAGTAATATGAGTTACTAACATCTTAATGTTTGTAATATAAAAATTAAGTATATTATAAATATAAAAATACAAATATGTAGTATAAATATAGTGTTTATAATATAAACACTAAGGTGTTAGTAACTGATATTGCTGGGTGGAAATACTATTATGGGTGATATTTATGCTGATTTTGTTGGTGATATTTTCTGATTTTTATGTAAGAGACATAGATTGAGTTTGCCTAAAAAACAAAAAAGAATAGAGTTTACTTTGTAAAAGTCAATGGCAAAGTTCAGCCCTGGAAAAGGCAAGAATATATGGCATATTTTGACCCGCCTAACTTCCCAACATTACTTTGTACACGTATTCACCTCTGTAATTCCGGGACTGTTTCTACATTATGTGCATACACATCTAATCCTGACAGAGCAACTTTTTCTATTGCTTTGAGATCACCTCGAAAATCAGGAGTAAGACACTCCACAAGGATTTTTGGATTCCTAAGGGGAAAAGAGAGAATTATCAAACAGAGAGAAAGAACTGACATACCTGTTCCTCAAAATAGAAATTATCAGTAATCGTTCAGTATGCTTCAACACAGTAACCTTTAGAACTTTGTCAAGAAAAGTATGAACATACAGATGTTCATACATGAACCATTATTAAAAAAAAAAAAGCAGACCGTTAAATACTATGTACACAGTGGTTAAAACACACCTGTAGGCAAACTGAATAAAATTTCAAATTATATATAGTAGACTTTTAAACCTAATTTAAGTAGGTTTTAGAAAAAGTAAATAATTGCAAGAAACTAAAATATGAAATATTAAAACATTAAATATAAAACTTTACTCATTGGAAAGTAAATTGAAGTATTTCTTATATAAATGTGAGTATTATTTGATTGCTTTAATTTTGATTTCTTTAAAAAGTCATCAAATCATGCTCTCCTCCCTTCCTCTAGGCAAATATTTCACAAGTGCTACGGGTTTTAAAAACTATTTTCTGGGTTGCTGAGTCATGAGCTTTGTTAAACGAAGTACGAGCTAAACATTAATCTTCCTATTTATATTGTGGCTATATCTATTCATCCAAGTATTATAATGTGAACTGGGTCACAGAGCTGTTCCCTTTGACACCAGCAAAAACGACTGAAACAGCTGACACATTTTTTCACAAACCCACTGGCAAAGTGTCTGGAGTTGTTCCCTGAAAGAACAGATGTAGAAAAGACCACATGTACACCCTTATCATGAATATAAGAGATATTCAAAGAACATATCCTATAATTTTTTTTTTTTAAATAAAAACAGGGTCTTGCTCTGTTGCCCAGTGCATCATAGCTCACTGTAACTTTAAACTCCTGGGCTCACGCAATCCTTCTGCCTCAGCCTCCCAAGCAGGTAGGACTATGGGCACATGCTACCACATCCAGCTATTTTTTTTTTTTAATTTATTTTTTGTAGAGACAGCATCTCCCTATGTTGCCCAGGCTGGTCTTGAACGCCTGTCCTCAAGCAATCTTCCTGCTTTGGCCTCCCAAAGTGCTAGAACTACAGGCGTGAACCACTGTGCTTGGTTCTATTGCTTTTTTAAACTGAAAGCTGAGACCCACTGAAGCTTGTAAAATAAACCTAGTGGATTGCAAACAGATTTTTCAAAAATGAACTATAGTAAATAGAAAATAGAAAATACTAGGGAATCATTTAAAAAATTTACTAAGTGCGCTTAGGTGCCAAACTAGTACTGAGCTGTAGAAAATTAGAATAATCTCAGCACTTTGGGAGGGCGAGGCAGGAGTATTGGTTGAGGTCAGGAGTTTGAGACCAGCCTGGGGAACATAGCAAGATTCCGTCTCTAAAAAAAAATGTAAAAACATTAGCCAAGCGTGGTAGTGTACCTGTAGTCCCAGCTACTTGGGAGGCTGAGGCAGAAGGATTGCTTGAGCCCAGAAGTTTGAGGCTGCAGTGAGCTATGATCATCAGGCCGCTGCACTCCAGCCTAGATGACAAAGCAAGACTGTCTCTTAAAAGAAAAAACAAAACAAACCCAAAAAAACAGGCCGGGCGTGATGGCTCAGGCCTGTAATCCCGCACTTTGGTAGGCTCAGGTGGGTGGATCAATTGAGGTCAGGAGTTTGAGACCATCCTGGCCAACATGGTCAAACCCTATCTCTACTAAAAGTACAAAAATTAGCTGAGCTTGGTGGCGTGGGCCTCTAATCCCAGCTACTCGGGAGGCTGAGGCAGGATAAATGCTTGAACTGGGAGGCAGAGGTTGCAGTGAGATGGTGCCATGCACTCTAGCCTGGGCAAAAGAGCGAGACTCCATCTCAAAAAAAAAAAAAAATCATTACTAAGAAGACCAGGTTTATACTTTTTAAAGAAAATTATTCAAAGTTTAGACTAATGCTCTAATATGAGGGAGGGATTCTATGGGCTAAAGGTCTATGGGTAAGTTCATGTCACTGAGCCCCTAAAATTCTCTGCAAATATGTATCTGTACATACAAATATGCTTTTTCCAAAGAAATGTGTACATAATTTCCAGTGAATTATCAGAAAACTATGAAACTCCTCAAAAAGTGAATAATCCCTGTTTCAAGGTAATGAACTTAAACTTAACTCATATGGGTCCAAAAAGGTCCTTAAATTACACAAATGCAAAAATAAGTACCTTTCCTTTAAATATGATACGGTCTTTGCAATGTGTTCAGCTCCCCCATCAGGCATATCTAGAAACAAAAGAATCCACTGCTCAGGATGATGTCATCATTTAGAGCCAGTTTCTGGTAGAGGCCATGATGACACACTAACCATCTCGATCCACAGATGTCAGGACAACATAATCCAGACCCCATTCTGCAATTGCCTTTGCAGTATTGTAGGGCTCACTGGCATCCAGTGGAGGAGGATTTCTTGCAGTCTTAACAGAACAAAATCTGCAACCTCTTGTACATGTGTCACCCATCAACTAGAATAGAAATGTTACAATTTAAATGAAATAGACAGATGACCCTTAAGGACATAATGTTGAGAGAATAAAGCAAGTTGCAAAGAATGCATACAGTTTGGTTCTGTTTATAAGAAATTTGAAACATTCAAAACTAAATGATAGTCAAGGAACATAAATATATGTGATAAAACTAAAAAGGGAAATAATAAACTCAGCAATAAGAATAGTGTTCAGGGGAAAGGGGATGGGATCAGGAAAGGACGCAAAATTTAAATTTAAAAACAAAGCAGGGTGCAGTGGCTTGCTCCTGTAATCCCAGCTACTCTGGAAGCTGAGGTGAGAGGATTGTTAAGAGTCTGAGACCAGCATGGGCAACACGGTGAGACCCTGTCTCTAAAAATTAGCTAGTGTAGTGGCATGTACCTGTAGCCTCAGGTATTTAGGGAGGCTGAGATAGGAGGATTACTTGAGCCTAGGAGTTCGAGGCTGCAGTGAGCTATGACTGTGCCACTGCACTCCAGCCTGGGTGACAGAGTGAGACCCCCATTTCTTAAAACAAAATAGAAACACAACTGAAAAATGGGATTCTAATATACAGTTTAGGGGGTACAGAGGGGTATTCAAAGATAATGCTAACGTTTTAATCTCAAACTGGAGGTATGAGGGTGTCTGTTGTGTTATTCTTTATAACTTACACAGTTTATAAGATACTTTTTTTTTTTTTTTTTGAAACAGGGTCTTGCTCTGTAGTCTAGGCTGGGACGCAGTGGCATGATCATGTCTTACTGCAGCCTCAACCTGTTGGGCTCAAGTGATCCTCCCACCTCAGCCTCCTCAGAAGTTGGGTATACAGGCAAGTGCCACCATGCCCAGCTAATTTTTAAAAACTTTTTTTTTGTATGGACAAGGTTTTACCATGTTGCCCAGCTGGTCTTGAACTCCTGGGTTCAAATGATCTGCCTGCCTTGGCCTCCCAAAATGCTGAGCTTACAGGCATGAGCCACTGCACCCGGCCTATGAAGATACTTTTATATCTATTCAATAATAAAAAAAGATGATTTTAAAAGACATAAAATATATGACAGATCAATGTACAGGTCTCTATGGATGTAAAAACAGAAAGCACAGCTCCTTCTTGTTGAATATGTTAAACAGAAAACACATAAAAAGCTAAGCAATCATGAATAATGTTTCCAAACATTGATAGGAGAGGTATCTCAAGGCAGCACGTGATTAACTATCACATAAATGAAAGAACCAATAATAGATTTATTCAGAGAAGGGTGAGATTACAACAGGTTGGATTATTCCATCAGGTTTTTTCTTAATATTTTTCATAAATGCAAATGTAATGAAAAATCTGACCAGAGATTCATAATGCACATTTTTAGGAGGAAGACACAAAATAGTCCCTTTCAGTTTCTAGACTAAAGCCATAGAGGTTGAGGCTGGCCCTACCATGATCGTGGCTGTGGCGGTGGCATATTCTCCACCTCCCCAACACTCTCCAATATTGGGACATCGAGCTTCCTCACATACCTGTATGCAAAAGGAAATGGAACACCATTAGGTTGACAATATCCACCAACTAAACAGTTGGTGACTGTGATTAGACATTTTAAACTTCTCATTGTTTACAACATATTTTTGAAGACATTCACTATTCAAAAATGCTGTTAAGACCAAGTGCGCTGGCTCATGCCTGTAATTCCAGCACTTTGGGAAGCTGAGGCAGGAGGATTGCTTGAGCCCAGGAGTCTGGAACCAGTCTGGGCAACATAGTGAAATCCTGCCTCTACAAAAAATCAAAGTTAGTCAGGCGTGGTAATGTGCACCTATACTCCCAGCTACTCAGAAGGCTGAGGAGAGAGGATCACTTGAGCCTGGGAGGTCAAGGCAATTGTACCACAGCACTCCAGCATAGACAACAGAGCAATGCCCTGTCTTCAAAAAAAAAAAAAAAAGGCTGTTAAACTGCCCAACTCTATATTAAGATTAGAGTGTAGTGAGCATGTCCTATAGAGGTGTACTCCCTTACATAATTATGTAAGAATGGACAGACTTGAATTTTTATTTTTTAAGATGGAGTCTCACTGTCGTCCAGGCTGGAGTGCAGTGGTGCCATCTCAGCTCACTGCAATCTCCACCTCCCAAGCTCAAGTGATTCTCCAGCCTCAGACTTCCAAGTAGCTGGGACTACAGGCTCACGCCACCACGCCCAGCTAATTTTTTTTGTATTTTATTAGAGACGGGGTTTCACCATGTTGGCCAGGCTGGTCTTGAACTCCTGACCTCAGGTGATCCTCCCACCTCGGCCTTCCGAAGTACTGGAATTATAGGTGTGAGCCACCGCACCTGGCCAAAATCCAATTTTTAAATTAAAAACTTTACGAATGTATATACTTCATATGTGCAAATAAAAAAGTCTGAAAGATTATATACTGAAGAGTTAAAGGTAAAGGAGTATGGTTTATATATGGCATTGCGTATGTGACATACCTTCATATTTAATTTTATATTCTTTCCAACAAATCATATATCTAATTTGCAATATAAAACAAACAAAGCCTTGTTTCCAAACTCGTAGGGCAAAAAATCTCTTTGTTTGCCGGAAAAATGATTCTAAATATATTTCCATTCCTGGTAGTAATGTATCACTTAACATATTTACTTTCTTTGCTATTATTTATATATTTATTAATAATTTTTAAGTTATATAAACGTAGAAACATGGCTTTTGGTGAAGAGGGATAGTTTACACTTTGACAACTTACTGTATGGAGATTTAAATTCCGCAAAGTATTTTTCAGTTTATTGTAATTTTTCCCCATGGGAATCTCTGTCTTTAGCCATGGAGGTAGTCTTAACCTAAGGAAAGCCAAACATAACTATCTATTAACAAATATGCTGCCAAATAATTACACAGCTTTGAAGTTAATTTCTTCTATTACAATTCCTAGTTAATAATTTTTTCTATAACCTTAGAATAACTCTTATAATTTCTGTCATAGGAGTAAGAACACAGAATCAAATTTAGCCTTGCTCAAACCACTTTAGAAAACACCAATAATGGCCGGATGTGGTGGCTCATGCCTGTAATCCCAGCACTTTGGGAGGCCGAGGTGGGCGGATCACAAGGTCAGGAGTTCGAGACTAGTTTGGCCAATATGGTGAAGCCCTGTCTCTACTAAAAATACAAAAATTAGCCGGGCGTGGTGGCAGGCGCCTGTAGTCCCAGCTACTTGGGAGGCTTAGGCAGAAGAATCCCTTGAACCCAGGAGGCGGAGCTTGCAGTGAGCCAAGATTGTGCCACTGCACTCCAACCTGGGTGACAGAGCAAGACTGTCTCAAGAACAAACAAACAAAAAGAAAACACCAATAATGGAGTGTAACAGGGCGCTATACTCACGTCTACCTTTTTTGCAAAGGCAGAGTTACACTATTCTAATAAGAGAATGAGCAAGTTTTCAAATATCTCATCCCTCATGAATGATACTGCCAAAAAGTACTCTACTTGTTTAGACTGAGGAAAGATCACAACTGTGCACTGTCTGCTCTACATTCTAGATTTTATAGTGGTTACTCAATGGAAAAAAGATCTAAAATTTGGACTGGAGACTGTGTATCCTTGGTTCTCCATGACTTCCATCCACTTGTGATATAGAAGGAGCAGGATTAAGTTATCTTTCAACTCAATCTACCTTCTACATAAAATTCCATCATTCTTTTAAATTAAGGCAAGGTATCCATAGGTCACATGTAAATTGACTAGGAGAAGCACAAGTTAGATCATCAACAGCTACTAACCCAGATCTAACAGACTAGTAGCAAAGCAGTAATCTTTACTCTGAAGAAGTTGGATGCTGGGTAGAAAATGGGGAGATGGCAGTGTAACATAGTAAGGGCAAGAGAAAAGAGAAAGATTCCAAAAATTTCATCTGCTTACTTGTTCTATCTAGTTCTGTTATCACATCTTTCTAATGATTTTTAGCTAAATTTAACAAGTCTGATATTAAAAACAGATTCTAGGGCTTGGTTATATCTGAAAATAATGCACAATAAAGGAACGGGACGTTAAAATTATCTCAAATTTTCAATTACCTTTCTCCTTTCTGGCGTTTTAGGTTTCCTTTATATTCATCCCAGGTGCTCCTGTCTGCAAGATCACCAGATACAAAATCTTGAAGGTCTGGTCCATTCTGTAGGAGTTCCTTTTTTTTATCTGGCAAGGAGCTTAACGGTCTGACTGGGCTGCAAAAATATCTCCCAAATACCTAAAGAAAGAGTTAATTATGACGTTTATTTAGTGGAGTCCGTAATAATTTAGTTTTAACCCATCATAACACCTAAACGGAAGGGTAAAGCCAAAAAAGTGATTCAGAAATTATGTCAAACTAGGAGCTCTAGTATTCTAGGGCATTAGAATATAAAAGATGACTGAAGGAACCAAACCTAAAAGAGAGTAAGAGTTGACTGTTTACTACTGAGTTTAGAATAGATTTGGAAATCTGTTTTTTTTTTTTTTTTTTTGAGACGGAGTCTTGCTCTGTTGCCCAGGCTGGAGTGCAGTGGCGCAATCTTGGCTCACCGCAAGCTCCGCCTCCCGGGTTCACGCCATTCTCCTGCCTCAGCCTCCTGAGTAGCTGGGACTACAGGCGCCCGCCACCACGCCCGGCTAATTTTTTTGTATTTTTAGTAGAGACAGGGTTTCACCATGTTAGCCAGGATGGTCTCGATCTCCTGACCTCAGGTGATCCACCTGCCTCGGCCTCCCAAAGTGCTGGGATTACAGGCGTAAGCCACCGCACCCGGCCCGAAAATCTCTGGAACTAACATATATCACACTTTCATGTACTCCACCTACCAGGAACTAGATGTTTGTCTTTCAACAAGATTGAACTGCAATAACTGAAGAAGGTGCCACAGTTTAAAACTGTTCTGGTCCTGACTTGAATCAGGGGCGTTTAAAGTGAAGTGTGCAATAAATCTCTCGAGCTTTGAATAATTGTTGAAACGTAGGTTAATAATGCCCAATTAGTTTCAGACAACTGGAAGGTTAAAACCAAGCCTAACGTTTTTACTTTCTTTTTCTTTTTTTTTTTTTGAGATGGAGTCTCGCTCTGTCGCCCAGGTTGGAGTGCAGTTGCGCGATCTCGGCTCACTGCAACCTCCGCCTCGCGGGTTCAAGCGATTCTCCTGCCTCAGCCTGGCGAGTAGCTGGGACTACAGGCGCACGCCACCACGCTCAGCTAATTTTTGTATTTTTAATAGAGGCGGGGTTTCACCATGTTGGCCAGGATGAACGTTTTTACTTTCTAGGTTACATTGTTTCTGTGTTTGAACGTGGCAGTCAAGAACATAAGAAATCATGGTATTCGGCTTTTACATCTGAACACAAACGTGTATGAGATAGCCAAAACACTACAAAATCCACGAGTCTGCACATGTATCTCAAAAGAACCTTCGACAACTCAAAGAGTGCCTGTTAGGGTGTTGCACGATTGCTACTGCACTTCTCAATGTCTGCCGCTGAAGCCTAGCGGACAGGTTTGTGTTCTCTGCGGCTAGAGTGGTGTCTCACACACAGTAAGAGTCCAAGACAGAATAGCTATGTGGGGTGCTCACTGCAGTGCTCCATAAATATAGGGTACAAACCACTCTAAGCAGAAAATAAGTCCTCGGTGCTGGCCCAGAGAGACTTGCAAACAAACTGATGCCAGAGACTCTATATCATGGGGCTGGCGGGATAATTACATGAGATTACACGAAAAACGTTTAAAACTGCCGTTGGCTAGTAGTAAATGTTCAGTAAATGCACTGGCCTTTATTATTGGGCATGGGCGCTCTGAAGGGATAGGATCCCCCCACCCCACGCCCAAACCCGTTCGCCCCGCCGCTCACCCGGGGCCCCAGGGTGCGGGCTGCATCCCCGCAGCGTAGAGACATTTCCTCTTTAGGACTAGCGCAGTGCAGGGGTTGAGGGATCGCTAACTCCCGGGAAAGGACAGGTCGAAATTACGTCGCTCCATTTATGACAAGCAGCCAAGCTGCTCCACGATTGGCTGCTTTAGCCTTACGTGCGTCGCGCACTCATGACGCAATACGCAGGCCCCTTACGCGATACAAGTACGTAATGACGACAGACGTTCTTTCTTTGCTGCGTCTACTGCGAGGTAAGGATGTTTCTGTGCTCGTGGGGGTACTGGGAATCTGAAACCATCTGCTCTGGGAAAGGCTGCGGCGCGGCTCCCACTCTCGGAACCTTGTCCTGTTTGTCCCCCAGCTCGGCAAGCGCCATATGAGCCTGGCGGCGCCAGATGCGAATCCTGTTGTGGGCTTTTTGGCCTATTCCCGCCCCTCAGTCTTGCCGGGATGGCACCGCCCGCATAGGACTTCCAGGGTTGGGCTGAGTGGGAGTTCGACTGCTGGGCCTCGTAATTCTCGCTTTGGGGCTGCTCCTTCCAGGCTGGGACACACTGGGGCCCGCTGTCGGTCTCCCGTCCTCCGACATCTTGTCTGGAACTTCCGCCTGGCAGTCTCCAGTAGGAGTGGAGCTCTGTGCGGCGTAGTTTGGTGGAAAAACGGGCCTTGCGTCGGCCTCACCCCCAGTGTTTGTGTTTCAGAATGAAGACTATTCTCAGCAATCAGACTGTCGACATTCCAGAAAATGGTATGAGACTTGATGTCTTTTACTTACATCTTTACTGCACGTTCCAAGCGTTGTGTGGCCTGACGAGTGTGTTCTCTCTTCTAGTCGACATTACTCTGAAGGGACGCACAGTTATCGTGAAGGGCCCCAGAGGAACCCTGCGGAGGGACTTCAATCACATCAATGTAGAACTCAGCCTTCTTGGAAAGAAAAAAAAGAGGGTGAGGGTTTTTCTTCTGATAATTCAGTTGCTCGTTGGAAGGTGGTTTATAACAGCATCACATTTGGTTGCTTTAACAATTTTCGAATTAAGGTTCAGTGCTTCAGCTTTAAATGTTGCTGTCCAGAATACCAGCCTGTTCAGTGAAATTGAAAAACCAGATTCTGAACACAGCCAATTATATAAAGCTCAAATGTAATAGTGGTCATCAGTGACACGTCTTAATGGTGTTAGAAGTTTGGTTTATTTTCCTAGTGATTGCTTTGTAAAAATCACAGGAACCGGCAGTAGGTCATTTAAACCTGATGATTTAATTTTCCAGAAGGGAAGTTTGTTGCAACTTCTACAAAGCTTAACTGTTGGGAGGTTTTATAGGTGGTTGGATTTTTCCAGTTGAAAACCATGTGCTTTGATAAGGGTTAATTCTAGAATCTTAAAGTAATTCGGTAAGTGGTCTGTTGTCTTTTAAGCCTGCATATTTCTGGAAAGAATACATTTTTTGTTCTGTTACAGCTCCGGGTTGACAAATGGTGGGGTAACAGAAAGGAACTGGCTACCGTTCGGACTATTTGTAGTCATGTACAGAACATGATCAAGGGTGTTACACTGGTAAGCAGATGTATCAGACTTCCTTGTTTTGGAAAGGGAGGTTTCTCAAACCTGTGCTTTATACAGCGTAAGTGTCTCTTTCAGAGAATGGGTCATGTATTTTATTTGGTGTAATACGCAAGAACTTGGCAAAAATAGGCATCTGTGGGTCTTTAAGCGATAGAGCTGAGAGCAAAGACCAGATGGGTACAACATGTTTGTTTTTTTCTGTTGTTGGGTTTTTTTTTTTTTTAATCAAGGCTGGGGTCTCGCTATTTTGTCCAGGCTGAGCTCAAGTGATCCTCCCACCTTGGCCTCCCATAGTACTGGGATTGCAGGCATGAGCCACCATGCATGGCTAGATGGGTACAACTTTTAAAAAGTAGGCTAATGATGAATTTTCATACCTTCCGAATTCTTTAAGATAGGAAATCTACAGTTGCAGTACTAGTTGGTAGTCACATCTCACCATCAGGACCCCTTGTTGGGATAGAAAAAGATGTAGTTTCTGAGTTTTCTGTCTGCTGCCATAATGTATGTCATTATTCTTTCCAACCCACCGTCTCTCCCCTCAAGATAAAAAGTTCATGCTGAAATGGTTTTCTTTGCATTATACCTTCTAGAATGCACCTGATAATGGCACCCTGTACATCTATTATAAATCTGTTAAGATTCCCCCATCTACCCTTGCTCTTAGCCTTAAGTTCCTTGAAGGCAGGGGGCCTGCCTTTGGCTTGGTGGTCTCAATTCCTGCCATGTGCTGTACCTTAGTAACTCAGTAAATGTTAGTCTAATGTCTAAGATCAGGGCTTTGGGGTTCTCATTAAAAGAAGGCAGCATTGTTCATTGAGGGCATAAGAGCTAGTGAAATAAAGCCTCCGCAAGGAGCTTTACAGTCCACTGAATAGACAGAACAATGTTTATAAGGCTTGGTTCAGGTGACAGTTATTAGAAAATCTTGGCAGTGAGTGTTACGTTTTAAAATAAGTATAAGCATCTTAGAAAATTTTAAAACTATTAAAAATATTCCTCAGCATTGCTAATAGCTTGCTTATTTATTTAACATAGGGCTTCCGTTACAAGATGAGGTCTGTGTATGCTCACTTCCCCATCAACGTTGTTATCCAGGAGAATGGGTCTCTTGTTGAAATCCGAAATTTCTTGGGTGAAAAATATATCCGCAGGGTTCGGATGAGACCAGGTATGTGCATACCCTCAGACAGAATTAAGAAATTTTTCCTTCATATTTTTTTCCTCCTTTTCCACTCCCAACTTCCATACTTTAGTTGGCTGTTGTTTTGTGTTTGTGCTGAGTAAAACCAGATTTGTTTTAGAATTATCTCTTGATTACACTTAAACTGTTGGTGCTACTTAAGGGTTTATATCATTATGTCGATTACAATTTCAGAAAGTTGATACATTGGAGTAGCTTGCAGTGGTGGTTGTATTTAACTTGGCAAATGAAATCTTTTAAAAAGACTTTAAATTTACAAAAGGTGTATATAATGGTGTGTATTTATGGAGCACAATGTGATGTTTCAACACATGCATATTCTGTGGAATGACTAAATCAGGCTAATTAACACATCCATCACTCCATTTATTTCTTCGTGGTAAGAACCTTTAAAATCTAAAGAGAAAACTACATGAGTAGTGGTTAATAGCCTAGCGTAAATTTCAGCTCTCACTGTCCACCTTGGGCATGTCATCTCTCTGCAGCTTAAAATTGCAAACATCTTTGATTAAATGAGTTAAAGTTGAAAAACAACAATGCATGCGTAATACATAGTAAACACAGTAGCTTTAAAAAAAATTTAAAGCTTAGTGCTTTTTATTTGAGGCAGGGTCTTGCTCTGTTGCCCAGGCTGGAGTACGGTGGCGTGATCTCAGCTCATTGCATCCTCCACCTTCGTGCTCAGGTGTTTCTCCCACCTCAGCCTCCCCACTAGCTGGCACTGCAGGTGCCTGCCACCACATCCAGCTGATTTTTGATTTTTTGTAGAGACTGTTTCGCCACGTTGCCCAGGCTGATTTCAAGGAATGCTATGGTGCCTGGCCCCAGCTAATTTTTAAGTTTTTTGTAGAGGCAGGGTCTTGCTATGTTGTCCAGGCTGGTCTTGAACTTGCAGGCTCAAGCAGTTCTTCCCCCTTGGCCTCTTAAAACATACCTGGCTCGGCCTCTTGATGCATTTTGATTCCATTGGGGTGGGGAGGGGTGGGAAGAAGGGAGATTCTTAGTATCAAAATAATGGCTGTCCAGAAATACTCTGATACTAGCTATGGTCAGCAACATTTAATGAAAACCCTTATGTTAAAAATAAACCCCTGCCTCCTGGCTTCAAGCGATTCTCCTGCCTCAGCCTCCTGAGTAGCTGGGAGTATAGGCACGTACCACCACACCCAGCTAATTTTTTGTATTTTTACTAGAGATGGGTTTCACAGTGTTAGCCAGGATGGTTTCGATCTCCTGACCTCATGATCCGCCCGCCTCGGCCTCCCAAAGTGCTGAGATTACAGGCGTGAGCCACTGTGCCCGGCCTCAAAATCTTAAGAAAAGGTTCTTTTGGTGCATGGAGTTTTACATGGAATAAATTAGTGCCTCTGCAATTTAAATATTTTTTACACAGATTTGATGCTGTGCAAATGCCCTCTCCCCTTTTAGGTGTTGCTTGTTCAGTATCTCAAGCCCAGAAAGATGAATTAATCCTTGAAGGAAATGACATTGAGCTTGTTTCAAATTCAGGTTTGTATGTTTACTATGTCTAACTATGCCTACAAGATTTTGTCTAAATCTTGTTTAAAATACAGTATTTTGCTAATTTTTATTTGATTAGCTTTTTAAATTGTGAAAATAAAAAGGTCACATTCTGAAATTTTAAGTACAGCACATAATGAAATACTTTCTTTTTAAGATGGGTTAGGCTGATGTATTAATTGCTTTATCTTCACTCCTATAGCGGCTTTGATTCAGCAAGCCACAACAGTTAAAAACAAGGATATCAGGAAATTTTTGGATGGTATCTATGTCTCTGAAAAAGGAACTGTTCAGCAGGCTGATGAATAAGATCTAAGAGGTAAGTTCTTACAGTGTCTTAAGTTTTATTACTGCTCTAGTTGAATGAAGCTCTTAATTTACTAAAAGACTTAAACTGAATTTGTAGTAATAGAAAATGGAGAGTTAAGCATTCTGGAACACAGTAAATTTGACAGAATAAAAGATGGAATTGGCATGCATTTTACTACGTATAGTTTACTATGAATCAGTAAGTCATAGTCTTGAGGTATGTTTTAGATTATTTAGAATAGTACAGAAAAAAGATTAGTACTTTCCTGGGCAAGTGTATTGATGGGGATTTACAGATTTTTTTTCTTTTTTTACAGTTACCTGGCTACAGAAAGAAGATGCCAGATGACACTTAAGACCTACTTGTGATATTTAAATGATGCAATAAAAGACCTATTGATTTGGACCTTCTTCTTAAACCGGTTATCCTTTTTAGCTAGTTTTTTTCCCTCGTGGAACAAGGAGCTTTAATCTGGTTCTTGAAGGAATAGCAAGGATATATTTTAGGCAAGAGGAATATTGTACCAGTGACAGGCAAACATGAGGCCATTCATCATTGCATATAGAACTTTAGGAATACCCTGAAAGTGTCTAAATTTGCTGAGGCATGAATTTGAATATTTGGTAAGGCAAATGTTGTCTTAGTCACTGGTGGAGAAACAGCTGAGGAGTAGAACAGAGTGATACAGCATCAGTTAGAATTAGAAGGTGTAGTTGGTTTGGTTCATGGTCTCAATAATCTTGTCCTTTACCTCAGCCATTTACTTCCATACCCTAGAACTTGTTTTTAAAAATTGATAACCCTTCCATAATCTCTTAATTCCATGTGTTATACTTTAAATATGGTACAAGGCCACCATAACTAGACTTAGGTCAACATGGTGACCCCCAAACCTTTGTGAATTCTACATCTCATTTGATGGAAACTGCAATTTCTAAGGCAAAATTTAACATTCATCCTTGATCAAATGCGTCAGGAAAACGTACTAAGTACCTTCATTGTAAGGTATGGTCAGGTACTTTATCAGAAAAAGTAAATATAAGGACAGAGGTCACGATCAGTTGGCATATATGTTATCTTGGATCTTACAATGTCTTACTCAGTTGCCCAGGCTGGAATACAGTGCCATAGTCATAGCTCTGTAACTTCAACCTACTGGACTCAAGCAATAATCCTACCTGCTTCAGCCTCCTTAGTAGCAAGGACTACAGGCAGGCACCGTCACATCTTTTTTTTTTTTTTTTTAAAGTATGGATGGGGTCTCATGTTTCCCAGGCTGGTCTTGAACTCCTGGCCTTAAGTGTTCCTCTTTGGCCTCCCAGAGGGCTGGAACTACAGGCATGGGTCACCATGCCCTATACGTCTTAGATCTGGATTCAAGTACACTAATTGAACATACATTAAGGAGTCTTGTTGTTTGATGACTATTTGGTTAGGTTTTTAAGAAATTTGGAGGAAATCATAAATCTCGGATTTGCTCAGAAATAACGGATGGGGTTGTAGGCGATGAATGGGATCAACGTGAAGTAAGATCACATCCTCGAAAGGTTGGGAAATATGGGTCCATTAGATACAAATTTTTTACAATGTAGAAAATGAAACAAAGACCTGCGAAGTTCACCTGGATTATTGTGACAGTCAACTGGTCATCTTCCTCTCCTGTCTATTTTCAGCATCAGCCAGGGTACTGATTTTGAAATGGATTATAGCACTGTTTCAAATCCTGCAACAGGTTTTTTTTCCCTTTTTTCTTTTTAAAATAGCCTCCCCATTGTACCTGCAGCCGTTTTTAACTCAATTTTTCTGACTTCTGCGCTATAGCTGAATTGACCTGGCTAATCCTCTATACCAAGCACTCTGTCATTAAGCATTTAAGTTGTCGTTTTCCCTTTGGAATGCTCTCAGCTGAGCTGTGTGGCTAATTTCACTTACCTTCAGGTCTATTCAGTGAATCCTGCCTTGACCACCGTATTAAAAATAGTAGACCGGCTCCTTAAGCTTGTCCTACTGTCTCGTTACCCTTCTCCACTTGTTTTTGTCAATAGCATTTGTAATTTTAATATTTACAATTGGTTGTGTATTGATGATGTGTTTTTTTCTGCTAGGATGTAACCTTCACAAGGAGGTAATTTTGTACTCTGGTGTATTCCAGCTACCAGAACAATGGCATGTAGCTGTTTCCTGGATTGCCAAGGAACTCAGTAATAGCAGTGGGACTGGAAGAGAGAGATTTTGGGAAGGTATTGACAGGATTTCAAAACAGTATGAGGCTTGTGGGAGAAATTTCCAAGTGGCAATATTCTAGTGGGGTGGAGATGCTCATGAGAGGATCAGCTTATGGGGAGTAGCTGCTGTGGGAGTAAATGAGATTTCTTTGAGCATGAAATGGACTGGCATGCTGGGTCTGACCTTCATAAGGTAACTTAAGAGACTGTAGCTAAACAGTGATTTTTTTTTTTTAATAACTTGGGTATAACAAATGAGCCTAGTTCTCCAGGGAAAACTTAATTATTGTCTTCTGTGTCTACTATGGATAAGCACTTGTGCACTATTTTTGCAATTTTTAGATGTAGGTGTCCACATATTTTTGAGACGGGGTCTCTGTCACCCAGGTTGGAGTGCAGTGGCGTGATCTTGGTTCACTGCAACCTCTGTCTCCCAGGCTCAAGCAGTCCTCCCACCTCAGCCTTCTGTGTAGCTGGGACCACAAATACGTGCCACCATGCCTGGCTAGTTTTTTGTAGAGAGGGTTTTGCCACGTTGCCCAAGCTGGTCTCAAACTCCTGGAATCAAGCAATCCGCCCACCTTGGCCTCCCGAAGTGCTGGGGTTACAGGTGTGAGCCACCACACCTGAGCCACATTTTTTGAGAAAATATACCCAGAAGTAACATACCAAGTTGGTGCACAACTAGGCAGAAAGGGATTCAGGGGAGGCAGTCTTGGGGCAGAGCCCATTTACAATGCCAAACCCATTCACATTCAACAGTTCTTAAAATTGACCAGGTTGTTAGTTGAATACAAGTGGTCAGCATGAACCAGTTTATTTGGAATAAATTACATTGAAAATTAAACATGTAGTCACACTGTACTGGCCTCATTTTCCAGAGGCTCTTTAAATATAGTTGTGATTCTCCAGGTTGTTACATTGAATATACGATAAACACGTTAGATTTTTCACAACACATCTCAGAAAAGCTTAAACTCCAAAGATCTTACCTGTTTGCTCCTTTCAAGAGTTATCAGTTTCTGGTTGACCTTTGATGGTTTTTAAGGAGTTTATGATAAACCTGAATATTTAGTATGATAGAGCATGAGCCAGATTAAATGCTTAACCTAATTTGCTGTACATATTTGCCAGTGGTTAAAAAATTTAAGGGTTTTTGGATTCTTGTGCGATGATGGCTTAAAAACTAGTAAAATAATGCCCAAGTGGCAGAGAAGGAGGACTCTCAGTACTGGGTTAGGAATTTTATTACTTAGGGGAGTTTATGGTAAACCAGCAAGTTAGAAAAGGGGGGCATGCTTTAAGCATAAGCTCTTAATGTGAAAGAGACAGTGAAGGTTAATTTGTGAACTGTGAGTACGAGATACTTTAAACAAAGTGAGAAAGAGAAAGCAAAACCTGAAAGATAAATTCCAGGTTTTTGTTATTCCTGTGGCTAACCTTTTTTTTTTTTTTCCCAAGCCCTTGATGTTAAAGAGAGGTTAATGAGTTGCCCAGTTGACATTAAAGAATTTTCCCTGGAGTTCTTGGGTCAGGGTGAATCAATGTGGCACAAAGGGGAAAAAACCCAGCCAAGTGATTGTTTTAAGTGACTTACTGTTTCTACATAGTTAGAGTAATAAAAACAGAATTGACTAGTTGTATGCGTGACCTTAGGTACATAGTTCTCAGAGGGAGATGTTAATACTAAAAAAATTCCTTGAAAATCATACCTCAAAACTGCCAACTTTGGGGTAGTGGGTGCAGCTGGGGCAAGGAGACTAGAGAAGAGTAAAGCAGAATTTTACTGTTCCCATTTGCCAGGCCAAATAGCAAATTGATTTCTCATCATATTTGCATTTACTCAAATTGACTAATTGTATTTTTACAGTATTTTGGAAACTTGTTCATTAGCAGTTAGATACTGAATTTAGCTTCAGACATAGGTGGACCTAGAATATAATCAAAACTGCCTTAATTTACTAAGGCTTTGTAACAGAAGAACGTCTCTTGTGACTGTTAAGGTCTAAATTGCTGGAGTGAGCAGACAAGGACAAATTAATGTATGCAGTGGGTGTTAAATGTTGACCTAAAGAAAGAATAGGTATAAATAGGTGCATATTTAAGTTTTCTTCCTCAGATGTTTAAAATACACTGAACAAGTCTCAAGAACAGAGTTCATTTCCCAAAGTGTCAAATTATCCAAGTCAGATCTAGTAATTAACCCTAGCCCAAAAGGGTGCTATATAAAACAATTTAAACTCATTCAGTATTCTGAATTGTTGCTTTACTTACAGTATAGCAACTTCTATTCACAGAGTTGAGTCTAGCTTTCCTTCATCCTGTGATCTTTCCATGAGATGAGGTTTTGGAAATTACTTTTATTTTTATTTTTATTATTTTTTTTTATTTTGAGAGACAGTCTTGCCCTGTCCCCCAGGCTGGAGTGCAATGGCACGATCTTGGCTCATTGCAACCTCTGCCTCTCGGGTTCAAGCGATTCTCCTGCCTCGGCCTCCTGAGTAGCTGGGATTACAGGTGCCCACCACCATGCCCGGCTAACTTTTGTATTTTTAGTAGAGATGGGGTTTTGCCATGTTGGCCAGGCTAGTCTCGAACTCCTAACCTCAGGTGATCCACCTGCCTTGGCCTCCCAAAGTGCTGGGATTACAGGCGGTGCCACCGTGCCTGGCCGGAAATTACATTATTTTAAAAAATCAGATCTAGTAAAAGATCACAAATTAGATATTCTATAGGTGATTTTTTGTTGTTAGAAAAATGAAGGGCTTGATCCTCTTTAAGAGTCTGTGTTGTAACTGGCTTAGACAAGCACTACTTACCCTATTGTGTTTTCTTTCCATTTTAGAACCACCCTGACCTAAAGGAGAAGGCACCTTATTAGAAGTGACAGAATATATATTATCTATCACTGACTACCCAGTTTAAAGAAGGGTGTTAAATCTCTGCTGTAGAGTCTAACAAAACAAAGTTTTGCTTTTGCTTTTTTTTTTTTTTTTGGACACAGTCTTGCTGTTGTCGCCTAGGCTGGAGTGCAGTGGCGCAATTTTGGCCTACTGTAACCTGTTTCCTGGGTTCAAA
The DNA here is from genome assembly GCF_000001405.40 of Homo sapiens. Classification (NCBI taxonomy): domain Eukaryota; kingdom Metazoa; phylum Chordata; class Mammalia; order Primates; family Hominidae; genus Homo; species Homo sapiens. The sequence continues at coordinate 39,449,238 of NC_000004.12, read as the reverse complement.
CTTCTGCCTCAGCCTCCCAAGTAGCTGGGATTACAGGTGCCACTGTCACCACGCCTGGCTAATTTTTTGTATTTTTAGTAGAGACATGGTTTCACCATGTTGGCCAGGCTGGTCTCGAACTCCTCACCTCAGGTGATCTCCCCGCCTCGGCCTCCCAAAGTGCTGAGATTACAGGTGTGAGCCACAGCGTCCAGCCCCAGAGTTTTACTTCTTAAAAATAATTTATTGTACCACAAGTAGCTATTGGTAGAGATGAAAGCTAAAGCAGAATGATGGAATACAGTTGATGAAACTTTAAGAAGCAATGTAGCATGTAATCCTCATAGCTTACTGTCAGGATGAAGCCTTTATGTTTACATCCAAGAACTGAGTTCACTGATGTCAACACCTAAGGGAATGTTCTTTGAACCACACAGCAGAGACAATTGTCATCACCTTGGTTACAGCTGTATCTCAGATTGTCTTTCTATAATACAGGTATATCTCCTGTAAGTTACCAGCATATGGAACTGGGATGAATTTTTAAACTGTCTATCATGCAGACAGATCAGTTTAGCTAACAACTCTCTTGCCTTTCTTTAATGGTATGTGTTGTAAGTTTTTTGCTTTCCAAAACTTTCTTCTCTTCTGCCTTTGAAAAATGGCAATTGATAAGAGTAGAACCAGGGTGGAGAAGAAGCAACAACCCAGGAATATCAGTGGTTTCTTCTGCACAAGGAATAAGCAGACAGTGCACTCTGTATTTTCTTGGGTCTGACTGCATCTAGAACTACTGTTCTCAAAAGGGAAGCCCCTGCTGCTGATCACTTTGTTGTAAAATTGTATTGAGGATTTAGCTTTAAAATCAGATGTGAAGAATCCAAATCTGGGTTTAGATTTCTCTTCAGCCAGTTTGAATGCATAATAGCCTTTGATTCTGACTTTATCAATCAGGTATGCTGAAAAAGATAAGAAATTAACATTAATCACAAATGGACTATGAAGTATCTTTGAGGAAGAATTTAGTTTTCATTGAAACAAGCTAAAATTATGCCCATAATAAAGGTAGTGATTTTTATTAGAGGGTTTTTTTTGACATTTATTCTTTTATGATCTATGTAAAGGAGAAGGTGAAAATATGTATAATTTAAGTCTGAAAAATTTGTAGTGAAACTTGATCCATAAATAATCCAAAAACTCTTGGAGGAAAAAGCAAATTTAAGGAGCAGAGCAATGAAGGTTGTCACTTTTGTTTAAAGGGTCACAAGCAGAAAAACGTTGCCTATTTGGCCTGATTGTGAACCTCAGATGTGCTCTTGGTGCAGCCCAGGAATCACAGTTGGTTTTACCCACTCACTCACTGTCGCTCGCTTAAGCTACCATGATGTGGTTATTTCACATTGCATGCTTGTATCGAAACATTTCATGCATCCCATAAATTTATACACCTGTTTACCCACAACCATTTTTTTAAAGCCTAGCAAGCATGGTGAAAATAAGTAACCCAAAATAGTGACTGTTTATCCTGGGGAGTGAGATTTCAGGTGATTTTTTAAAAACTTCTCCACGTGCCCAGTTTTCTATAATTGGTGTGTGTTACTTTTATGATTTTAAAATTTTTTCAAAAATCCCATAGGCCAGTTTTCAGGACAAAATTCAATTGACAGGACTTGGGTGCCACAAATTGGATGCTGTCAGGCACCAGCCTGCTGCTCCCATTCTTTGTTCTTGTCAGGTAACAGGAATCTCGCTCTGCCCTGTGTCTGAAGGGGCCCCGCCCTTACCTTTCAGCACCTCCTGAAGGTACTTCCCTAGGTAGTACTTCCGGAGCCGGTCATCCTCCAGAGCCTGGTCGTCGATGCCACTGGCGGTGATGTAAATGTCCATGTCGCCGTAGTTCCTCCGGACCCACCGCAGCAGCTTGCGCACCCCCCAGGGAATCACAGCCAGGCGCGTGGGGGAGCTCAGGCGGGTGATGTCCTGCAGAAACTGGATGTCCCTGTCCGAGTCGTAGCGGCTGCCGGCCAGCTGCTCGTGCATCACGAACCTAGTGGTGAAGTGGTTGAGCGCGCAGAAGTCGACCGTGCCCTTGAGCAGCCTCCTTTCGGCCTCGGTGAGGCGCGGCAGGGCCGAGCTGGAAAGCCCCCGTCGGTGCTTGGAGGCAATGTATTCCCTCATGGCCGCGGGGTAGTCCCCGGTCTTGAAGAGCGGCTCGGCGAACCAGGCGATCTCGAACTGCAGGAAGCGCTCGGCCGCCCTCCAGTGCGAGTCAGCATAGGGGTTGGCGGGTTCCGCCCAGTCCGCGTGCAGCGACAGCGACACGGCCCCGCGCTGTGAGGGCCTGAACTGCCGGTCGTAGAGGCGCCAGGCCAGGGCGTGGGCCACCAGCAGGTTGTGCGCCGCCCCGTAGGTGTCGTTGCCAGAGCGGTTGTAGATGTCACTTAGCCGGTTAGGCTCGTTGATGGTGATCCAGAGCTTCACCAGGTCCCCCAGCTCCTGGAAGCACAGCCCAGCGTAGGCCTGGAAGGCCTCGGCCGTCGATGGGTTCAGCCACCCGTCGGCATGCAACAGAGGCTCGGGGAGGCCTAGGTGGGCGTGGGTCGGATAATACAGGGTGACCATCGCGGAGATGCCAAGCTTCAGCCCCTCACTGACCACGCACCTGTAGTACCTCAGGGCCTGTCGGTTCACCGCGGACAGGTTGCCAGTGGGAAGGACCGAGGCCCAATCCAGAGCAAACCGGTAGTGGGTGACTTTCATTCTTGCCAACATCTCAAGTTGTTTTTTGATGTTTACAAAATCTGTGCATTGAGCGGGTCGTGTTTTCAGCCTCACCCCTTCCACTCGGTGCAACAGTCTGTTGCCAGTGGCGTTCCACACGTACAGATGAGGATCGCTGAACTGTGGGGACGAAGCCACAGACTCGGGCTGTGAAAAACAAGCTCATTTAGGTCAAGCATGCGCTGGCAGATGGAGGCTCAAGTGATCTGCCTACCTCTGCCTCCCAAAGTGCTGGGATTACAGGCCACCACGCCAGGCCTATTCCAGCCCTTGAAATCTCCCAAGGAGACCAGAAAACAGAGAAGGAGCCACACCCAGGTCCTGGCTTGGAAAACAAGTTGTTTGAGAAAACATTGGGAAGCCATTTTCCAGTTCATTTAACTTTAAACCCTAGGTTATATATGGTGGGGTTTGAAGTGATTCTGTTCAAATGCATCAGGAAATTGGCTTGGTACACTCAATTAAAAGCAATTACAAAAGAGATTCTAAACCCTGCCATAAATTGAAGACAAAGTTGAAATTCCTGTTGTAGAGATTTCACTGAGAAGAGGAGGTTGACCCCAGGCACAATTCCTTAAAAAGGCTGGTGCGGTGGGGTAGGCAATGACCCCTTGCTTTTGCTGAATGCAAATTTCTAACTTGTATTTAAAAAATCCAGGCCGGGCGCGGTGGCTCATGCCTGTAATCCTAGCACTTTGGGAGGCTGAGGCGGGCAGATCACCTGAAGTTGGGAGTTTGAGACTAGCCTGACCAACATGGAGAAACACCGTCTCTACTAAAAAAAAAAAAAAAAACAAAAAAACAAGATTAGCCAGGCGTGGAGGCGCATGCTTGTAATCCCAGCTACTCTGGAGGCTGAGGCAGGAGAATCGCTTGAACGCAGGAGGCGAAGGTTGCAGTGAGCCGAGATCATGCCATTGCACTCCAGCCTCGGCAACAAGAGCAAAAACTCCATCTCAAAAAAAAAAAAAAAAGAAAAGAAAAGTTCAAGTGATAACACATTTGCATCCATCATGTCTCCCCGACCCATGTGCCTGTGAGAACATAGCATTTATTCATCCAACAGATGAATAAATGGGTTATGGGTGGAAAGGACAGTAGACTATCCCTAGAAACTCCCAAGGTTGACACTTGGATCTGACAGAGTCTCATTCTGTGTCTCTCCACGAAGGAGAGAGCCCTGGACTCCTGTTCTAGTTCTGCCCCTTTGAAACTCAGGCTTGGCAACTATATAGTGACGGAGTAATCGCACCCACCTCACAGGTGTGCTGTGAGGACTCAGTGACTCTGGGAAGGTGCTCTGGGAACTCTAAAGCGCTATACAAACACAATGTAGTCATGACTTGGGTTTCATTTTCCCTAGTGGCAATAATTGCCTGCTAGGCCCTTGAGTCCAAACTAAAACAAAGCCCTTAAGAAAAACATTCCCAAATTCAAGATTAATAAGGGAAAGTAAAAGTTAAGTACTTGTTTTAAAGTACTTCTTTTTCCCCTCATGACAGAATTTAAATACACCAGGAAAAAACTATAATTAACCTTTGGTAAATATCTTCCCTCTAATTGTTTTTTCGTGTGTCATCTTTCATAGTTTAATTACAAAACCATATCACTGCCCGTTTGCCATCTGCCAACCAGTTATCTAGAACATTAAACTAAGAGAACATTGATCATGTGAGCATGAAGTTAAATCCGTATATAATTCATTATTTGAGTAAAATCCTCCTAGCCTAGATGGCCAGTTTTAATGTTTTGAAAACTCAGAACATCATGGTATTGAAAGGATGTTTATAAAAGGCAGTCTTGCTATGGGGCAAGGCAAGATCAAATAAAAATGTCTTACGTTAAAAACCTTCAGAAAGCATTAATCTCAGCAAGTGTGTATGATTAGTCTGCTAAGAGGTTAATTTTCTAGTTAAAGATGATGCATCCCAATCCCAACCCCAGCTCCCAGAGCTTGTTTCTAAAATCCTATTCCCCACCAAAAGGACCTTGTACTCCTTGGAGAAATGGCTTTTTCCAGGAGAAGAATGAGATGAAGGTGGGCATCTTGTGCCAGAAAATAAGGAAGTGCTTAAAAACTGAAAGGGAAATGTGGAAAAGACAGAAACAGCTTGAGGGGGTCCCATTGACTAAATTTGAAACAACTTGAGCATCAAAAGGAACAATATCATAGTGACAATAATGAATTATAAAACATCATCCAGCTAATAAATGTGGAGGGAATAATCCGATTAGAAATTTACCATTTTGCAATTTACAAAGTAATGATTAAGGCAAGGTTCATGAAAGAATGTTTTGTTTGTTTGTTTGTTTGTTTATTTGAGACGGAGTTTTGTTCTTGTCGCCCAGGCTGGAGTGCAATGGCGCGATCTTGGCTCACTGAAACCTCCGCCCCCCGGGTTCAAGCGATTCTCCTGCCTCAGCCTCCTGAGTAGCTGGGATTACAGATGCCAGCCACCATGCCTGGCTAGTTTTTGTATTTTTATTAGAGACGGGGCTTCACCATGTTGGCCAGGCTGGTCTTGAACTCCTGACCTCAAGTGATCCACCCACCTCGGCCTCCCAAAGTGCTGGGATTACAGGTGAGCCACTGTGCCCGGCCCGGTTCATGAAAGAATGTTAAAACCATGGAGTGAAATGTTGTTGAGGAATAGGATATTCATAGAGTCCCAAGTATCAACATCAGATTTCTTCTTTTTTCTTTTTTTTTTTTTTTTTTTGACAAAGTCTCACTGTGTTGCCCAGGCTGGAATGCAATGGTGCGATCTTGGCTCACTGCAACCTCCGTCTCTGAGGTTCAAGTGATTCTTCTGCCTCCGCCTCCCAAGTAGCTGGGATTACAAGCCCATGCCACCCTGCCTGGCTAATTTTTTTTTTTTTTTTTTTGTAGAGACAGGATTTTGCCACGTTGGCCAGGCTGGTCCTGACAGGCCAGACAGGTCCTGACCTCAAGTGATACGCCCGCCTCGGCCTCCCAAAGTGCTAGGATTACAGGTGTGAGCCATCGAGCCTGGCCAGCATCAGATTACTTCTTAATTAAAAATGGAAAAGTTACCATATGGCACATATCACCTTTTTTTTTCTTTTTTCTTTTTTTTGGGGGGAGTAGGGAGGAGGGACAGGGTCTTGCCCTGTCGCCCACACTAGACTGCATCCTCGACCACCTGGGCTCAAGTGATCTACCCACATCGGCCTCTCAAAGTGCTGGGATTACAGGAGTGAACAAGTGTGCCTAGCCACAAATGCCACCTTAACCAAGAAATCTGGTAATACTACTTCAACCACAGTAATATCTTCAGTAATGAAACAAATTGACATCATTTACCTCCTGATATGATACAAAGGCACATCATCTATGTAGTATTATTTCCAGAAATGGTTAACTGAGTCATTAGACTCAGAAGAACAACCAGAGAAATCTACAAGCAGTTGGCCTGGACTCTTCAAACACGTCAATGCCATGAGGTGATTGTCCTGAATTAAAGGAAGCTAACAATACATGACAACCAACGTTTGATCTTTGCTTGCATTCTTAATCAAAGATTTTTTTAATCTATAAAGGACATTTTTGGAACATTAAAAAAATTGAATATGGATTGTATTTTAGATAGCGTTGAATCAGTGTTAAATTTCCTGGGAATCATAATAAGAATGTCCTGTTCTTAGGAGATACATGCTGAGATATTTTGGGGTGGAGTGTAATGATGTCCGCAATTTATCAAAAGTTTATAAAACAGAGAGGCAGAGGCCGGGTGCAGTGGTTCACGCCTGTAATCCCAGCACTTTGGGAGGCCAAGGTGGGTGGATCACGAGGTCAGGAGTTCGAGAGCAGCCTGGCCAAAATAGTGAAACCCCGTCTCTACTAAAAATACAAAAAATTAGCTGGGCATGGTGGGGGGCACCTGTAATCCCAGCTACTTGGAAGGCTGAGGCAGGGGAATCTCTTGAACCCGGGAGGCAGAGGTTGCAGTAAGCTGGGATCGCGCCATTGCACTCCAGCTTGGGTGATAGAGCAAGGCTCTGTCTCAAAAAAAAAAAAAAAAGGGGAGAGAGGCAGAGTTGAAACAAATATGGCAGCATGTTAACAGTCAGTCAGTCTTGATGAAGGGAATATGCATTTCTATTGTATGTTTGAAATTTTTCAAAATAAAATGTTAGAGGAGTAAAGAATGCTAAGAGGCTAGGGAAAATAAGATAGAAATGTGCAAAGTTAGGCTTAGTAATTTTTTTTTTTTTTGAGACAGGGTCTTGCTCTGTTGCCCAGGCTGGAGTGCTGTGGCACGATCACAGCTCACTGCAACCTTCCTCCCGGGCTCAAGCGATTCTCCTGCCTCAGCCTCCTGAGTAGATGGAATTATAGATGGAATTACAGGCCCACACAACCACACCCAGTTTTTTTTGTAGAGACAGGGTTTTGCCATAATGGCCAGGCTGGTCTCAAACTCCTGAGCTCAAGTGATCCTCCCACCTTGGCCTCCCAAAGTGCTGGGATTACAGGAGTTAGTCACCATGCCCGGTCTGGCTTAGTAATATTTTTCAAGTATTACTTTAATTTTATCAGTCTCCCTATAGAGGACATCTAGTTTTCTGTGTACACAGTGTCTATACATATATTTATTGGCTGATTTTTCAAAAAGCACCGTAATTTTTCTTGGCAAACCATTCATCTTTATTTATTTATTTATTTATTTATTTATTTATTTATTTATTTATGTTTGGGCTAGCCAAATGAAGCAGTGGGAGTAGAGAAGGAACAGAAATCTGTAACTGGTTGTAACCAGCAAGTTGTAAACACCACCACACTCAGATCAGCCTTATCCTCATTCTTAATCCAAGTGGTTCAAATGAATCTGGCTCTTTGCTGGGCTCCAGAGATGAGTATGAAACCCAGACCTGACAGATCACAGAACTGCTTTTCCTGACCTCATGATCAATTCTTGCTCTGAAATGTAGAAGGGGCAGACATTCACAGTATCTGAGGAACAGGTGGGTTTTAGCTGAAGCAGGATCTTGTAGGTTGGGTCTCCCATACAGGCAGGCAAAGAAACTCTTATATCTCCTGGGGTCTTTGCTAGGTCTGGAATTTTGAAATATATAAACCCAATTAAAGTGATAGGGAAAAAGACATTTTTGGAGCATTTAGCAAAATTTGAATATGAATAGTATTGAACTCTTCTGCCTCTGCCATGTGAAGGAAGAGGTAGGAACTGGCTCTGGAGGGGACACAAGCTGAAGATGAGACACTGTTTATTCTGCTCTCTATAACTTTCCCCCTTTAATCACCGTGAGCTCTTGCTAAAGTCTTGTTTAAATATCCACAGGGAGCTGGGTGCAGTGCCTCACACCTGTAATCCCAGCACTTTGGGAGTCTAAGGCAGACAGATTGCTTGAGGCCAAGAGTTCGAGACCAGTCTGGCCAACATAGTGAAACCCCATCTCTACTAAAAATACAAAAATTAGCTGGGCATGGTGACAGGCACCTGTAATCCCAGCTACTTTGGAGGCAGAGGCAGGAGAATTGCTTGAATTCAGGAGGCAGACTGCAGTGAGCTGAGATCACGCCACTGCACTCCAGCCTGGAAGACAAAGTGAGACTCTATTTCAAATAAATAAATATTCACAGCTGGGCACGGTGGCTAACACCTGTAATCCTAGCACTTTGGGAGGCCGAGACAGGCAGATTGCCTAAGCTCAGGAGTTTGAGACCAGCCTGGGCAACATGGTGAAGCCCTGTCCCTACTAAAATACAAAAAATCAGCTGGGCAGGGTGGCAGGCGCCTGTAATCCCAGCTACTCAGGAGGCTGAGACAGGAGAATTGCACGAACACGGGAGGCGGAGGTTGCAGTGAGCCAGGCAACAAAGCAAAACTCTGTCTCAAAAATAAATAACTATATAAATATAAGTAAATATCCACAGGGGTTGAGATTCATAACCTGAGAACTTTGCTAATTCATGGTTTGAACCCTTTTGTCTGGTCTCAATCCTTGTACATCTTGTCTTTCCATATGCTTCTATTAATAGAATACAGGCATGTCTGGGCATGGTGGCTCACACCTGTAATCCCAGCACTTTGGGAGACTGAGGCAGGCAGATCACTTGAGGTCAAGACATTCAAGACCAGCCTGGTCAACAAAGTGAAACCCCATCTCTACTAAAAATACAAAAATTAGCTGGGCGTGGTGGCGGGCACCTGTAATCCCAGCTACTTGGGAGGCTGAGGCAGGAGAATTGCTTGAATCCAGGAGGCAGAGGTTGCAGTGAGCTGAGATCACTCACTGCACACCAGCCTGGGCAACACAGTAAGACTCTGTCTCAAAAAAGAAAAGAAAAGAAGAGAAGAGAAAAAAGAAAAGAAGAAAAGAAAACAAAACAAAAAGCGGGCATGGTGGCTCACACCTGTAATCCCAGCACTTTGGGAGGCCGAGGCGGGTCGATCACCTGAGGTCAGGAGCTCAAGACCAGCCTGGCCAACTTGGTGAAACCCTGTTTCTACTAAAAATACAAAAATTTGGCTGGGCGTGGTGGCTCATGCCTGTAATCCCAGCACTTTGGGAGGCCGGGGTGGGTGGATAACCTGAGGTCAGGATTTCGAAGCCAGTTTGGCCAACATGGTGAAACCCCGTCTCTACTAATGATACAAAAATTAGCCAGGAGTGGTGGCACACGCCTGTAGTCCCAGCTACTTGAGAGGCTGAGACAGGACAATTGCTTGAACCCAGGAGGCGAAGGTTGCAGTGAGCCAAGATTGCACCATTGCACTCCAGCCTGGGCGATGAGCAACAAGAATAAAGCTCCGTCTCCAAAAAAAAAAAAGAAAAATTTGCCAGGCATGGTGGCGGGTGCCTGTAATCCCAGCTACTTGGGAGGCTGAGGCAGGAGAATCGTTTGAACTAGGGAGGCAGGAGAATCGTTTGAACTGGGGAGGCAGAGGTTACAATGAGCCAAAATCGCACCGCTGCACTCCAGCCTGGGCAACAGAGCGAGACTCTGTCTCAAAAACAAAAACAAAAACAAAAACAAAAACAACAGCAACAAAAAACAATGCAATATTGTGGTGTGGTATTGTGAAGTCTTAAAGCATAGTGGTTGGAAGACAGACCTAGGTAACTTGGGCAAGTTATGTAACCCCCTTAAACTTCAGTTGCCTTGCCTGTAAGATGAGGGTTTTAAGATTAAGTAGGTTGGATGCAGTGGCTTGCACCTGCAACCCCAGTACTTTGGGAGGCTGAGGAAGGATGTGTGTTTGAGCCCAGGAGCTCCAGACCAGTCTGGGCAACATAGTAAGACTCTGTCTGTACAAAAAAATCAAAAAATTAGCTGGGCATAGTGGTGTGAACCTGTAGTGCCAGTTCAAGTTTGAGGTGGGACGATCACTTGAGGCCAGGAGATTGAGGCTACAGTGAGCTGTGATTGTGCCACTGCACTCCAGTCTGGGTGACAGAGCAAGATCCTGTCTCAAAAAAAAAAAAAAAAAGATGAAGTAGAGAGAATGTGCATACATAGAGCAGTTAAATCACTGTGCATGTGGAAGCTTGAAGACAGTATGTTAACAGTTCTGCCAGCACTTGTTAGCAAGTTGATAGGTCTCACTTTCCTCCCCCCGTAAAATGAAGGATTTGGAATGGGAGGTCTCTAAGGTCTCACCTGGCTCTAAAAGGTGATTTCTTGATTTCCAGGTAGCATAGTTAAAATAATAATAATAATAACAACTAAAAGGTGAGCTCATTCATTCACCTGGTTCTAAAAGATAAGCACCTGCCATGTGCCCAGCACTGCCCTAGTGAGGTATATAGCAGGCATCAAAGCCTCAGACATTTTTGCTCTTATGCAGCTTGCATTCTAGTAGGGGAAGACAGGTGATAAGTATGGAAAATGTGGAAAGCACATAGTATGTCAGGTGGTGGCGAGTACGCTATAGAAAAGCAGGAAAAGAGGAAGAGAAGTGATAGGAGGATGGTTTCTGGAGTGGAGGGAAGCCTTATGGAGAAGGTGACTTTTGAGGACAGCTTAAGGGGGTGAGGAATGAGATGTGTGAGGAGGCTCCACTGGGATATAGAGACCTCAGAAGGCAAATTACCCAACTCTGTGAAACAGCAAGAATCAGTTAAACAAGGTGCTGCTAATAATTTGCTTTTGGCAAAACAAAAATCTGAAAACAAATTTCCTATCATTTTGACATTACTATTATAACAAAAACCTGACACAGAAATGACAGTAAGTTCCCTCTAGACTGTATGCTCCTTGAGGGCAGCCTCTTCACCTCTCCATCTCCATCACCAATTATGAGTTCTGGCCCATGAAAGGCTCTCAGCATTTATTTCCTTCTTTTTCTCCCTTCTCTTTCCCTAGCTCTCCTTCATAACCTCCATACAATTGTGGTATTTGATATTGTCTGACAGCTATCTCTTAGCTGTCATTGAGTAAATGAAATAGTGTGTACTGTTTTTCCCAGTTTATGGTTAATTTGGAAGTAACCACTTACCTTAAGAACAGATTCAGTGACACCCCAGGAGAAGTCACAGGGAAACTGGCCCTGCACATCTGGCGTGGACTCTTTTAAAGAAAAACCATTTTCTCGTATGATCTGTTTGTAGTAGTGTGCTGAAGACTTAGGTTTCCGCTCTTTCTGTTTACTGTTAAAATCCACATAAAATAATCCTCGGCGGATGGTGTAAGCATCCTGCCATTCAAAGCCATCCAGGAGAGACCAGGCAGTATAACCAAACACTCGTATTTCATCTAACCTTATTGCTGCACAGAGAAAAGAAAGCAGAGATGTTCAGAGGCCTAAACATTCTAGTTCATGTTTACAATTTCACTAACATGCCAGAGGACAGCATATTGTAAAACGAACCTTTGCCCTAATTTTCAGGTCTGCTGTATCAAATAGAAAATTCATGTTTATACTTCAAAAGTGGCAATTACTATCATCCAGATTGGTATCTCCTGATCCCCCCACTCCCACTTGGAACAAGTGTATGTCACAGTTAAAGGATCACACCTTAAATACTCCTGAGACTTGGTGTGCAAATCTGTGTCAGAGGGCATGGTAATTTCCAGAACTCTTTGGGACAAATGCATATGTGTGCTCATGACCAAGAGTTTCTTATTTCAAGTTTGAGTTGGTTCTTATTCGTGGATAAGCTATTAATTCTAGGAAACTATCCTTCAAGGAGTTAAAAAAAAAGCTGCTTTTAGAATTAACATAAATGAATGTAGACATAAGGAGGTAAAAGAAGAAAAGTGATGTAAGAGAATGGGAACTGGCTGGGCTAAAGAGCAGGGGGCTGAGGAGCTTACCCTGCTATGCTCCAGGGAGCATGCTATTGGGCAAATTTCTTGGCCTCGGTTTCCTCATTTTTAAACAAAAAAGATTGGAAAATAGGATCTCTAAGGACCTTTCTAGCTTTAAAACTCTGATTCAGTAACTTGTAGGAATTGTGTAAAAATGAAATATGAAAATCAACAGGCGGGGCGCAGTGGCTCATGCCTGTAATCCCAGCACTTTGGGAGGCTGAGGTGGGTGGATCACCTGAGGTCAGGAGTTCGAGACCAGCCTGGGCAACATAGTGAAGCCTTGTCTCTACTAAAAATACAAAAATTAGCTGGGGATGGTGGCGGGCATCTGTAATCCCAGCTACTCGGGAGGCTGAGGCAGGAGAATCGCTTGAACACAGGAGGTGGAGATTGCAGTGAGCCAAGATTGTACCATTGCACTCCAGCCTGGGTAACAAGAGCAAAACTCCATCTCAGGGAAAAAAAAACAAAAAAGAGAAAAGAAAATCAACAGCAGTCCAAACAACAAATACCCAAATTAGCCCTGAATCCTTTTTTCTTTCTTAAAAGATTTCACTTCTCTCATAGAAATGCCTCCTCATCTCTGCATTTTGGGGATTTTTGTCACTGACATTCTTTTCCTAAAATGAGGAAAGTCCAAGCCAAGAGTTTCCAAGAAGATAAATATGTTTAACAGGCTCTGGTTCTAGCCTATAGCTGTTGTAGGGTCCTAAGGAGAGGTGGAATGGTAACACCTGGGGAATGGACACCCTTTCTGCCCAAGAGCATGGCATTTGACCCAGACCCTGTAGGCAGAACCCTCAGCCTTGGCCCCTATGTGCATGGCCCGTAGCTGGGCGTGGCTCGGTTCCATGCTGTTCCTTCCTGCAACTTGGGGCGGCAGGGTCTTGCTCTCCCTCAGGACCCTCCCTGAAGGCTCTCTCCAGCAGCACCTGGGATTTTCTTCCTGGCTTGTGACTTCTAAAGAGAGCAACAGAATTTTAGAAAGATCCATGGAGAATTCCTTAATATGAGAGTGAAATAGAGCCCAACTCCAGGGAACAGAACCATCGTAACCTCAGCTTGTCTTCTGCTCCGTTGTTTCTATCAGCCACCTGTAGATGTCACTACTTGAGTAATAGAGAAGGAGTGAGGGGCTAAGTGGGGGCCAAAAGTCTCTGGGAGCAATAGAAACAACTCATTTTGTCTTCAGACCTTTTCATCATGCCGTCATGTAATAGAGTATAAAGATCACAATTTCCAGAAAAACTTTCAACATCTTGGAATAAAGTACTACTGTTAGGAAACTTTAAGCATACCTCTTTTAGCACTGTGTCCTTTATAAGGAATGAAACAGCATCTTCTTGCCAATTAAGGGTGTAGCCCTAGTCTGAAAGGATTCTGTTCTCAAACTTTTATTTTAAAAAGGACATGGGAATAACATAAAAAAGTGCTGTCAACATTGGACAATACAATGGCTGGGTGTGGTGGCTCATGCCTGTAATCCTGGCACTTTGGGAGGCTGAGGCAGGTGGATCACCTGAGGTCAGGAGTTCGAGACCAACCTGGTCAACATGTTGAACCCCCGTCTCTACTAAAAATACAAAACTTAGCTGGGCGTGGTGGCAGACACCTGTAATCCCAGCTACTCGGGAGGCTGAAGCAGAAGAATTGCTTGAACCTGGGAGGTGGAGGTTGCAGTGAGCTGAGATTGCACCACTGCATTCCAGCCTGGGAAACAAGAGTGAAACTCCGTTTCAAAAAGTAAAGAAAAAAAAATTTCAGGCTGGGTGCGGTGGCTCATGCCTGTAATCCCAGGGCTTTGGGAGGCCGAGGCGAGTGGATCACTTGAGGTCAGGAGCTCGAGACCAGCCTGGCCAACATGATGTAACTCCATCTCTACCAAAATATAAAAAATTAGCTGGGTGTGGTGGCATGCACCTGTAATCCCAGCTACTCAGGAGGCTGAAGCAGGAGAATTGCTTGAACCCAGGAGGCAGAGGTTGCAGTGAGCCAAGATTGCACTGTTGCACTCCAGCCTGGGCCACAGAGTGGCTCCATTTAAAAAAAAAATATTGGACAATACAAAAGGCCAGGCCGGGCATGGTGGCTCATGCCTGTAATCCCAGCACTTTGGGAGGCTGAGGCGGGCGGATCACTTAAGGTCAGGAGTTTGAGATCAGCCTGGCCAACATGGTGAGACCCTGTCTCTACTAAAAATACAAAAATTAGCTGGGCGTGGTGGTGGACACCTGTAATCCCAGCTACTTGGGAGGCTGAGGCAGGAGAATCACTTGAACCCAGGAGGCGGAGGTTGCAGTGAGCCAAGATGGTGCCACTGCACTTCAGCCTGGGAGACAGCGAGAAACTCCGTTTCAAAAAAAAAAAAGCCCAACAATAATAGTTACATATTCAAAGGTGACTTTAAATATCCTGTAAGTTTTTAGAATTTTTAAAAAATTAAGCAAGTGTACAACCAACCTTGAAGCACCTGGCTGAGGAAATTCTTCATCATGTAGATGGCCGTGGTGTCTTCTGTTTTCACACGACTGTCTGTGAACCAGCCATTCTCAGCAATCAAGATTCGAGGGTTGTTGTATTCCAGTTTAATCCAGTTCAGCGCTTCTCTTAAATTAAGTGAAACATTTTGTCCCATTTTAGCCATGGTGTTTAGGGGCTTGAAGTTGTTGGGTCCAAAAGAAAAGGCAAAGAAATCAGCTGTGCCTCTCATCTCATGCTTCTCTGCTTCAGAGAAAATGGGTAGAACGGAGAACAACTTCTTTCTCATCCCCTCTGGATAGTCGCCATCCCCATGGATAGGGTTGGCAAACCATCCAAGCACAGAAACCATGGATTGTTGACATTTGAATATATCCATCGTGTTTTCCGACCGGTTTGGCTCGATCCAATGAGATCCCAACGTGATCGATAACCAACCCTTCTGATGTGGGCGGAAATGTGTGTTGTAGTTATGCCAAACTTTCGAGTGAGCCTAAAAGAAGAAAATATTATTGATCTTTGTTGTCCTCACTTACAAGGGCTGTAACATGGCTGGTAAATGGCCTTTTCATGGATAAAATTAATGCAGCGTACAGTGATTCAGGGGAAAGCTGCCAGGGAGCCCTGATGACCTCAAAGTCTGTTCTCTATGCCCCTAGTGCTTCCAACCTAAAACTTCTGCTACAGGAGAGCTGGAGGCTGGCAGAAAGCCTAGTCTAGGCTCTTATTTCCCCTCTGCCTGGCTCCCTTCCTGGGCCCTCTTGGGGTAGTGTGTAGGGTTTCCTCCTCTACATAAGAAGATACATAGCAGTGATTTTTTATTTTTTATTTTTATTTTATTTTGAGACAGAGTCTTTCTCTGTCGCCTAGGCTGGAGTGTAGTGGTGCGATCTCAGCTCACTGCAACCTCCGCCTCCCAGGTTCAAGCAATTCTCCTGTCTCAGCTTCCCGAGTAGCTGGGATTACAGGTGCACACCACGACGCTCGACTAATTTTTGTATTTTCAGTAGAGACAGGGTTTCACCATATTGGTCAGGCTGGTCTGGAACTCCTGACCTCAGGTAATCCACCCTCCTCGGCCTCCCAAAGTGTTGGGATTACAGGCATGAGCTATCGCGCCTGGCCCAGAGCAGTGATCTTTCACCATTCTACAGAATCTCCCTTTGGTCCTAATTTAGAAGTCCAGGACAACACAGGCCCTGAATCCTATAAATGAGTAATAATAGAGCCCACCTCCTAGGGATGTTGTGAGAATTGAGTGAGTTAATCTGCGTAAATTGCTTTAGAATCATGCCTAGCACAGAGTAAGCTCTATATAAGCCTTAGCTATTATTGCTATGATTATTAAAGGGTGGTCGGCACTGCCCACAGCAGAAGACCAATGGAAAGAGTGTAAGCTTTGGGGTCAGCACACCTAGGCTTGAAGTTCACGTACTCATTGTGTAACCTTAGGCAAGTCACTTAACCTTTCTGAAATCTCTTAGTATCCTCAGTTGTAGAATGAGGTTAATAACAACAATATCCACCAGGCGGGGTGGCTCATGCCTATAATCCCAGCATTTTGAAAGGCCGAGGTAGGCGGATCACCTGAGGTCAGGAGTTTGAGACCGGCCTGGCCAACGTGGTGAAACACCGTCTCTACTAAAAATACAAAACTTAGTTGGGCATGGTGGCAGGCACCTGTAATCCCAGCTACTTGGGAGGCTGAGGCAGGATAATCGCTTGAACCCGGGAAGGCAGAGGTTGCAGTGAGCAGAGATGGTGCCACCGCACTCCAGCCTGGGTGACAAGAACAAAACTCTGTCTCAAAAAAAAAAAAAATCCCCTATAAGGTTGTTGTCTGGTTTAGAGCTAATATATGCATGAAATATGTAGCACAGAATAGAGCACGTAGGAGGTACTGCCAAAAGGTGGATGTTATTATTATTGGTCCTCCTGGAGTTTGCATTTCCAGTTGAGCTCTCTTACAACACAGCCTCGTGATGGGTTTCTGGTCCATTTAATATGATAGATACTTCCTGAGCACTTACTTCCATGCCTGGCTTGCCCTGGGCTGAGAGACTGAGATAGATGGCACAGGAACTTACCCTCAGAAAGTTTCTTATCAGGAAAATAAGGATGCAGCATGTGAAAGAGAAACATAAAATGGCATAAAATATGGCATTAAATTAAAAAAAAATTAAAAGCCAGAAGCCATGGCTGAGTTAACAGTCACAGCCACAGCTGAAGGAGCAAACATTAAGGACTCCATGCCACTTAAATGCCAAGGCCACTTCTGTGTCCCAGTTAGCTGTGGAATTGTCCTTCATCTGTGTCAGAACCACTCTCTTCCCCTCAGCATTTGACTTGCTTGTTTCTTGACATCTCTTCCCTGGTCTCTCATTTTCTCCATTATTTGAGTTGTTTTTTTTTTCTTTGAGACAGAGTCTTGCTCTGTCACCCAGGCTGGAATGCAGTGGTGCCATCTCAGCTCACTCAACCTCCACCTCTCAGGTTCAAGTGATCGTCCCACCTCAGCCTCCCTAGTAGTTGAGACTACAGGTGAGCACCACCATGCCCAGTTAATTTTTGTATTTTTAGTAGAGGTGGGGCTCCACCATGTTGGCCAGGCTGGTCTCGAACTCCTGACCTCAGGTGATCCACACACCTCGGCCTCCCAAAGTGCTGGGATTACAGGCGTGAGCCACTGCACCCGGCCCCCACTATTTGTGTGTTTCTAAAACAAATGCACAGACTCATTATCTTTAGCACACAGAGCCTGCTTTCAGTTTTGTTCCTTAGCTTTTCTTTTGCTCACTGGAGATATTTTATATCAGAATAAACTATCTGAAACTGCCTTTTACGTAGGTCAAAGACAAGCAGATATGAACAATGGATTCAAACCAGATCGATCCTGTGGACCCTGAAAATATTCCATAAACCCTGTTAGATGGGGAAAGTAGGCATTGAGGTAAGGGGTGAGGATTCTGAAACGTGCCATCCTGCTTTATGCAAGAAAAAACAATTTAAATAAATTCCTGGAAGATTTTCTGGAGAAATAAATTCCTTGAGGTATACCTCTGTCCACTTGTCCTTACTCAATTTTCATTGGAAGATTCTGGTACCATTTAGCACCCAGGTATTCCCAAGGATCCTTAAGAATGCTTTCCTCGGGCCGGGCATGGTGGCTCATGCCTGTAATCCCAGCACTTTGGGAGGCCGAGGCGGGCGGATCACCTGAGGTCGGGAGTTCCAGACCAGCCTGATCAACATGGAGAAACCCCATCTCTACTAAAAATACAAAATTAGCCGGTCGTGGTGGCGCATGCCTATAATCCCAGCTACTCGGAAGGCCGAGGCAGGAGAATCGCTTGAACCCAGGAGGCGGAGGTTGCAGTGATGCAGTGAGCTGAGATCGTGACATTGCACTCCAGCCTAGGCAACAAGAGTGAAACTCCGTTTCAAAAAAAAAGGAATGCTTTCCTCTTGGTTGGTGGTTGGGTGGGTGGCTCACATCTGTAATCCCAACACTTTGGGAGGCCAAGGTGGGAAGATTGCTTGAGCTCAGGAATTCGAGATCAGCCTGGTCAACATGACGAAACCCCGTATCTACAAAAAAAAAAAAAAAAAAATACAAAAATTAGCCAGGCATGGTGATACGTGCCTGTAGTCCCAGCTACTCAGGAAGCTGAGGTTGGAAGATCATTTGAGCCAGGGAGGCGGAGGTTGCAGTGAGCTGAGATGGCACCTCTGCACTCCAGCCTGGGGGACAGAGTGACACCCTGACTCAGGGGAAAAAAAAAAAAAACTTTCCAACCGGGAGCAGTGGCTCATGCCTGTAATCTCAGCTCTTTGGGAGGCTGAGGTGGGCAGATCACTTGAGGTCAGGAGTTTGATTTGAGACCAGCTTGGCCAACATGGTGAAACCTCTTCTCTACTAAAAAAAAATATAAAAATTAGCTGGACTTGGTGGCATGCGCCTGTAGTCCCAGCTACTCAGGAGCCTGAGCCAGGAGAATCACTTGAACCCAGGAGGCGGAGGTTGCAGCGAGCCTAGATTGAGTCGCTGTACTCCAGCCTGGGTGACAGAGCAAGACTCTGTCTCAAAAAAAAAAAAAAAAAAAAAAAAATTTCCTCTCAGAGAAGTATTCAGAATGTAGCCTCTTTCCTTGTCTCCAACCTGAGATTGCAACTTCTGGAAGAATCAGAGGGGCCTGGGACAGACACTACCTTAAATGGTTTCAGCTATTCTTTCCGGGTTTTTCTGGGGCTAGAATCACGACAGAAATTCTTGAGAACCGCTTTTTTTTTTTTCTAATTAGAAACAAAAGCAGTCATAAATTACTAGGATTCAAAGGAGGGAATTCTTTGTTTTTTTCTAACCAGTCACTTAATCCCTTGGTAGCCTTAGAGCTATCATTCATGGAAGACCCAGTGATCAGCACCTCCCTTCAGGCCTATTGTGCACCTCTCTATGCAAACTGGAAAGCACTGAGCCCGTGTAGCCTGGATTGTGAGCCTTAAACTTGTTGCTTTGCAAATTTAATGTCTTGCTTTTGCAGACACTAAATTTCAGTGATTATATGAAAGATGACCTAAGTCGTGATAAAAATCTTGGTTACATCAGCCTTTGAATGAGAAACAGTAGAGCTCAGAAGACATATCTTTGCAGTAGCTTTCCATGCAGGTTTTCTGGATATACATATGGATGTGTTGTCAAGGTGACCTTCACGTTCCACAGTGTCTCTTTCACCTTTGCTGCTATTTGCCTAGGCTATCAAGGTATCTAGGGTTATCTTTGCTCTGGGCTGAAGACAGCCTCTTCATTCTCATGTAGAGAATGTGGGGGAGGTCCTCTGTGCAGTACTTTTGGTTATAACTTGATCCTATTTGCCAAGTAACAAGGTAAAAAATTTTGCTCCAAGATCGTGAGTTTGCCATATCCATCTATGTGTGTTCTTTGGTTGGGCACTCATAAAGGAGATCTGTTGGGAAAATTAAAATGAGGTTAGTAGGGGAGTGCAACCTGGGCCCTGCAACCTTGCACAACAGCCATTCTACACTTTTCCAAGGTCACCCTCTAATTTGTACAAAGCCATCTACCTCTGTAATGATTGATTTAAGGGAGCTTCAACCTTTGTTCTTTAGATTCAGTAGCTTAAAGGGAAAGTCAGCTTCTTTTTCTTTTGGAGCCAGCTATCAGGCCCTAATGTCATTGAGAGACAACCAGGACCTAATATCTCATTCTGTTCTCTCCTCCAGTTTAATGTGGCAGCATTTTTTGATGCCCCTGGAAGTCCAGACTCAGATAAATTCTGTGGATGATAGGAAACAAATAAGATAGTAGGCACAACTTTAGAAATAGATGAAGAAGGGATTAGGAGCCAGAGGAAGACATGACAGGACACTGTTGGAAAGATGGGTTGAAGACAGATGAGCAAGCCAAACACATCACACCAGTGTATTCAAGGAACCCTCAGTCATTTGTCAAAAGTTCCATTTCCAAATCTGTGCATGAGTTTGGTCACATTTTGGCTGAAATATGTTCATGTGTACTATAAAAGTGTCTGTTGTTTAAGCTATTTAATAGACTATTAAATAACAATGGTTAAAGAAAGTTTATTTAAAAACTCCACAAGCATAACAAAATAGGTTTATATTTCTGTGTTCCCACCCAGGCTTTCCAAACATATTTCCCAGCTAAAATCACTTTAAGACCGGGTGCCATGGCTCATGCCTGTAATCCCAGCACTTTGGGAGGTGGAGGTGGGTGGGATCACCTGAGATCAGGAGTTTGAGACCAGCCTGGCCAACATGGTGGGACCCTGTCTCTACTAAAAATACAAAAATTAGCCGGTCATGGTGGCGGGCACCTGTAGTCCCAGCTACTCGGGAGGCTGAGGCAGGAGAATGGCTTGAACCCTGGGAGGCAGAGGTTGCAGTGAGCCGAGATCACGCCACTGCGCTTCAGCCTGGGCAACAAGAGCAAAACTCCATCTTGAAATAATTAAACTAATAAATAAATAAAAATTTAAGAAATAAAATCACTTTAAACATCTTCCACGCTGTTTTTGGTTTTCAGAATATCTTAGTATAATAATGATTTACTTAGCTATCTCTGTCTTTTGATAAAAATTTATTTTTCTTCGTTCTTTTGTTCTTTCTCTTTTCCTGTCATAAATGTTTCAATAGCTAACTTTGGGCATATAACCTTTAATTTATTTGAATCATTGCCTTTCATTAATGCCAGGAATGGACTACCTATTTCTTTTCTTTCATTCTTTTTTTTTTTTTTGAGACGTAGTTTCACTCTTGTTGCCTAGGCTGGAGTGCAATGGTGTGATCTCAGCTCACTGCAACCTCCACCTCCTGGGTTGAAGCGATTCTTCTGCCTCAGCCTCCTGAGTAACTGGGATTACAGGCACCCATCACCACACCCAGCTAATTTTTTGTATTTTTAGTAGAGACGGGGTTTCACCATGTTGGCCAAGCTGGTCTTGAACTCCTGACCTCAGGTGATCCGCCTGCCTTGGCCTCTCAAAATGCTGGGGTTACAGGCGTGAGCCACCCGGCCTGGACTACCTATTTCTAAAATTGTTTTAAATATTCCCAAATCGCTTTCCATACATTTTGTCCACTGGTGTGAGTGTTCTGTGACCATGGGATATAAAACATTGACAGCTCTATTAGGGGATAAATGGCATTTGAGAATGATATAAAGGTGCTACTCATCTACCTGGTACTATACGGGAAATAACATTGGTCTTGAAAGCAGGAGACCTGGGCTCTTGTATTAGCTCTGCTGACTCATCAGCTTTACGATCTTGGACAGATCATTTCACTGTCAAAGACCTGTTTTTCCCTTCATTCTACTGAGCTAAAAATAAACACCCTAGAGAATTTTCGTGAACGTCAAATGAGGCAATAATATCTGTGAAGACCCTGTGAAAATGACACAAACGTAAATTTGAAGTACTTTGAAAGAGCAAGCTGAAAATAATTTAACTTGGTCTAGAAAATCGTAATGGAGACTGTGTGGACGTGAAGAGTGTTCTGCAAATAGCTCCCAAGCCTTTACTTGCCAAGGCTCGTGGCTGAACATGTTTGCCCTCATTTATTGTTTGCAGCTTCCTGAGTTTTACTCGTTGTCCTTTTGGGATTAATTTCAATTTGATTCATCTTTTCATCTGCTTAGCCCTTCTCTATTTTGGTATCAAGTTGATTTTTTTTTTTTTTTTTTTGAGACAGAGTCTCCCTCTGTCACCCAGGCTGGAGTGCAGTGGCTCGGTCTTGGCTCACTGCAGCCTCTGCCTCCTGGGTTAAAGTGATTCTTCTGCCTCAGCCTCCTGAGTAGCTGGGACTACAGGTACCTGCCACCACGCCCAGCTAATTTTTGTATTTTTAGTAGAGACAGGGTTTCACCCTGTTGGCCAGGCTGGTCTTGAACTCCTGACCTCAAGCAATCTGCCTGCCTTGGCCTCCCAAAGTGCTGGGATTACAGGCATGAACCACCGCGTCCGGCCTCAAGCTGATTTTTTAATTTGTTTGTTTTGTAAAGACAACCTCTCACTATGTTGCTCAGGCTGGTATCGAACTCCTGGCCTCAAGCAATCCGCCAGCCTAAGTCTCTGTCTCTGTGCCAGCCTACTATCAACTTTTATGTTAATTACCAAATGCTGCTCTTCCAGATTGTTTAACATTCATTCATTCATCCATGCTGCAGTCTACAAATATTTATTGGATGCTGTGGCTCACATCTGTACTCTCAGCACTTTGGGAGGCTGAGGTGGGAGGATCACTTGAGGCCAGGAGTTCAAGACCAGACTGGGCAATATAGTGAGACTCTCTTTCTCTACTAAAAATTAAGAAAATGAGCCAGGCATGGTGGCATGCCTGTAGTCCCAGCTACTCAGGAGGATTAGATGGAAGGATTGCTTGAGCACAGGAGGTCAAGGCTGCAATGAGCTATGATCATGCCACTGCACTCCAGCCCAGGCAACAGAGCAAGACCCCGTCTCTTAAAAAAAAAAAAATTATTGGATGCTTAAGGTATGTGACCTTTACTGTTCATTGCTAAAAAATTATAAAATTATGTGACAATTATTTCTTTAATTATATTATGTGACTATTTTTTTAAAAAGTTTTTGGCAATCTTGAAACTCTTTTGCAATCATTATTTTACCTTTGCTTTTCTTAGGAAAGAATTTAAATATTAACAAAAGTTACAGCCTTTCATAAAGAAAATATTCACCATCCTATTTTTAATGGTCCAAATTTCATGGCCCTTTTTTTTTTTTTTTTTTTTTTTTTAGATAGGAGTCTTGCTCTGTCACCCAGCTGGAGTGTAGTGGCGCGATCTCAGTTCATTGCAACCTTCTTCTCCCTGGTTCAAGCCATTCTTCTGCCTCAGCCTCCTGAGTAGCTGGGACTATAAGCATGCACCACCACACCTGGCTAATTTTTTTTTTTTTTGAGATGGAGTCTCGCTCTGTCGCCTAGGCTGGAGACCAGTGTCACAATCTCGGCTCACTGCAACATCCACCTCCCAGGTTCACGCCATTCTCCTGCCTCAGCCTCCTGAGTAGCTGGGACTACAGGTGCCCGACACCACGCCTGGCTGATTTTCTGTATTTTTATTAGAGATGGTGTTTCACCATGTTAGCCAGGATGGTCTCAATCTCCTGACATAGTGATCCGCCCGCCTCGGCCTCCCAAAGTGCTGGGATTACAGGTGTGAGCCAAGCGCCCGGCCTAGTTTTTGTGTTTTTAGTAGAGACGGGGTTTCACCATGTTGGCCAGGCTGGTCTCAAGCTCCTGACCTCAAGTAATCCGCCCGCCTCAGCCTCCCAAAGTGCTGACATTACAGGCATGAGCCACTGCGCCTGGCCCAAATTCATGTTTTCTATAGTTGAAATAACTCAGTATTACATTTTAATGAATTTCTCCCTATTCTTTTTCAATCATTATATTTTCAAATTTTCTGGCCAGATGTGGTGGCTCATGCCTATAATCCTGGCACTTTGGGAGGCCAAGGAGGATGGATTGCTTGAGCCCAGGAGTTTTAAGACCAGCCTGGGCAACATGGCAAAACTCTATCTCTACAAAAAATACAAAAATTAGCTGGGCATGGTGGCATGTGCCTGTAGTCCCAGCTACTCAAGAGGCTGAGGTGGGAGGATCACTTGAGTCCAGCAGGTCAAGGCTGTAGTGAGCTGTGTTTGAGCTGTGTTCACACCACTGCACTCCAGCCCGGGTGACAGAGCAAGGCCTTGTCTTAAAAAAAAATTATTCTAACAAATTATTGATTATTCTCAGTTTGTATTGTCTCAGAATTTTCCTGAAGGAATGTAAAAACTAAACTCTAGCATATTTGTTCCTTTAAAACAAATGTCCTGTTAAAGAATTCTGATTTCAATGATAATATTACTAAATTAGACTAGTGGCTGAGCCAGAATCTATACCTGGCAACACAAAAGGAAAAAAGTCTAGAATAAAGTTCATAATTTGATTAAATGAAGCATCTAGTTTCCCTCTATTAGAAATTGGAAGAAATCAGCATTAGTAAATTAGTGCTTTAGTGAAGTTCTCTTTGCCGGAGGAGAGCATTTGCATGCCATCTTTGTAGAGGGTGTAATGATATTTAAGGCTTTTTGTTAGTGATCCTGATAGTAATTTTTTCATGCAAAAGGACTATATCTCATGGTATAACTGAAGCTAAAATGGTCTGGGTTGGTGACTTGAAGCCTTTCCTCAGGATTTGGGAATACAGATAGTCAACATATAAACCACCATGGAGGCCTGGCACAGTAGCTCTCACCTGTAATCCCAGCACTTTGGGAGGCCGAGGCGGGTGGATCACTTGAGGTCAGGAATTCGAGAACAGCCTGGCCAACATGGTGAAACCCCATCTCTATTAAAAATACAAAAATTAGCCAGGCGTGGTGGCACATGCCTGTAGTCCCAGCTACCAGGGAGGCTGAAACAGAATCGCTTGAACCCGGGATGCAAAGGTTGCAGTGAGCCGAGATAGCGCCACTGCACTCCAGCCTGGGCAACAGTGCGAAGCTCCATCTCAAAAAAAGAAAAAGAAAAAGAAACCACCATGGAGATTACAAATTATTATAATAATAAAAACAAGGGCCATCACGTGTAGAGCCTGCAGCAAAGCCAGATTTACTGTGAGCCTAATGAAGCTTTAGCTTCAGGTCGCCTTGCTTACCTACGTCCCTAGAAATGCCCTGGGTGGGTCAGGGAGCCTAGTTGCAATTGGAAGCATTTCTAGGTGAGCAGTTCTTGCAAATTCCCTAAAGAGACTTTAGAAAAAAAGGACTCTAAGGCTATAGTAATTTATTGTGCTAGGCGTGGTAGCTCATGTCTGTAATCCCAGCACTTTGGGAAGCCAAGGCTGGTGGATCACTTGAGCCCAGGAGTTCGAGACCGGCCTGGCCAACATGGCAAAACCTCGTCTCTACAAAAAATACAAAAATTAGCTGGGTATGGTGGTGTGCACCTGTAATCCCAGCTACTCAGGAGGCTGAGGTGGGAGGATCACCTGAGCCCACGGAGGTTGAGGCTGCAATGAGCCGTGATTGTGCCACTGCACTCCAGCTTGGGTGACAGAATGAGACCTGTCTCAAAAACAAAAACAAAAACAAAAAATAACTATCATAATTTATTGTGATGTTTTTCTCATTCTAAATAAATGCTCATTTATTTATTTTTGCAGAGACAGGGTCTCACTATGTTGCCCAGGCTGGTCTCAAACTCAAGCAATCCTCCTGCCTTGGCCTCCCAAAGTGCCTGAGCTACTGTACCTGGCCAGATATTTACTTTTGTACTGATTTTTGTCTCCCTTTAAAATTTTTTTTATTTTAAAAAAAAGATCCTTCCCCACTATTGTAAAAGTCTCAGGCTCGTGCAGTGTGGCTCCACACCAGGTCTATTAGCTTCTTGAGGGCAGAGACTGACTATATTTATTGTGTTCACAGTTGTCCACACAGATGCCCAGGGGAGGGCCTGGCCTAGAATATTTGTTGAATGAATGCCTATTATGGATCAGCTAGTTTGTTGGTTACTTGACGTACCTTATTGATAATACAGCTTCTGCAAGACAAGTCTTATTTTTCCCATTTTAGAAAAGAAATTGAAGTTTACAGTTGCAGAGCTGGGATTTGAACCCACTTTATTACACCATCCTGCTTTCTGTATGTCCTGCCAGTTCTAAATTTTGAAGCTATTCGGGAAAGACCATTTGACATATTGTTTTAAAATTACATTTTCTCTCTGCTGTACTTGGTTATTAAAAGAGCTAAATAGTCCTCGAATGAGGGTACTACATTCCACAATTGCATGTTGAGAGAAAAATATCTATATACCTTTGGAATTCAGTATCATCTAGAGAGGTCATGGAGGACCTGTCAGCAAATTTGGGGTGTTCAGAAAACCATTAGTTGTCCAAGTGCCTAGCACAGCGCTTCTATGTGTAACATTTATATGTAATTCTCGATTCACCTCTCTCCTAAAACCAGTAACGTTAGCGTTGGATTATTTTCCTCACTGATGTCAAAAGCTAAGTGAATCCCTCAGGGACCACCCCTGTGCTGGATTGTCTTCCCCTGTGAATGGTGATCTTTACACCATTGTCAATGTTAGACTGAGGCCGGGAGCGGTGGCTCACGCCTGTAATCCCAGCACTTTGGAAGGCTGAGATGGGTGGATCACTTGAGGTCAGGAGTTTGAGACCAGCCTGGCCAACATGGTGAAACCCTGTCTCTACTAAGAATACAAAAATTAGCCAGGCATTGTGGCATGCGCCTGTAGTCCCAGCTACTCTACTCGGGAGGCTGAGGCAGGAGAATCACTTGAACCCAGGAGGTGGAGGCTGCAGTGAACCAAGATAACACCACTGCACTCCAGTGTGGGTGACAGAGCAAGACTCTGTCTCAAAAAAAAAAAAAAGTTAGACTGAAAGGACAGAGATCCTTGTCTGCATAGCATTTAGAACAGCATGGCATTCAATCAAGTAATAATTAAAAGGGTCTTAGAGATGAGTGATTTTCATAACTGAATGTAACAGAACAGTAATGGAAATAAGAGCCATAGAAATTGAATAATATAAATATTAATAAGAGCTAACACATATCTAGTACCAAATGTGCCGGACACTGTTCCAGGTGTTGTGTGTATACTCTCTCACCTAATCCTCACTGAAATTCTGCGAGGTAGGTACTGTGATCATTCCCACTTAGAGGAGAGGAAACCAGGGGGTGGAGAGGTTAGGTAACTTGCACAAGGTGAATCAGGCCCAGGCTATATCGCCCTATGTGCTCTTGCCTGCCAGTTAGAGGTAGAGTGTGGACCTCAGAGGTCATTTTGTTCAATTTTTAAAAGTTTCTATTATAGATGAAGAAGCTGAACCTCCCTCTCTCCCACATAAATGACCTGCCCAAGATATCAGTTAGTGGTAAAGCTAGAAATAGAACTAAGTCCTTCACCTTCCTAGTTCACTGTCATTCCAGGATATCGTGCAAATTAAATTATGTGCCTTTGAAATACACTTTTACACCGTAGACCCGAAGGTGATTGAACAGGCTGTGAAAATGCAAGGGGTATGCAACAGACATGACACAAAACCAAGGGACAGTAGACTGAGAAAGCCTCTAAGAAACACTCAGAGGCGGCCGGGCGTGGTGGCTCATGCCTGTAATTCCAACACTTTGGGAGGCCGAAGGGGGTGGATCATTTGAGGTCAGGAGTTCGAGATCAGCCTGGCCAACATGGTGAAACCCTGCCTCTACTAAAAATACAAAAATTAGCAGGGCAGTGGTGGCACATGCCTGTTATCCCAGCTACTTGGGAGGCTGAGGCAGGAGAATTGCTTGAGCCTGGGAGGCGGAGGTTAGGGTGAGCTGATCGCACCACTGAGCTCCAGTCTGGGTGACAGAGTGAGACCTTGTCTTTTTTTTTTTTTTGACGGAGTGTTGCTCTGTTGCCCAGGCTGGAGTGCAATGGCAGGATCTCTGCTCACAGCAACCTCTACCTCCCAGATTCAAGCAATTCTCCTGCGTCAGTCTCTCGAGTAGCTGGAGTTATAAGCACGGGCTACTATGCCCAGCTAAATTATTTTTTGTATTTTTAGTAGAGACGGGGTCTTGCCGTGTTGGCCAGGCTGGTCTTGAACTCCCGACCTCAAGTGATCCGCCCACCTTGGCCTCCTAAAGTGTTGGGATTACAGACATGAGCCACTGTGCCTGGTCGGAGTCATAGTTTTGATTATGCCTGCATCCCACTTCACCACCTGGGGTGCCCCTCAGAACCCAATCAAATGGAGAATTCATCAGCATTACCTTACGTTTCATCCTGTTCATTACACAAAGTTATATACATCAACAAAAACATGTTTAGATAAGTCACTTTTATTTGTCTGAGTTTCCTTCAACCTCCAGCTATTATTTTATCCCTTTTGTCACTCTTCATCCATTTACTTTATTTATTTAAATTCAAGTCTACAAACATTTATTTAACAAATACAAGGCACTGTAATAGACATTTAGAAAAACAAGGTAGCCCCTGCCTTTAGATGATCTATGGTGTCTAACAGGAGAAAAAAATATGGAAATGAGTGAAATAAAAACAGTATGCTTTTACATTTTGATTATTGAGAAATAATAACTGAAACTAAATGTAATAATACGATTCAAAAATCACTATATGTATGTATATGTTATGTGTACATATATACATAGAAAAAAATTTGAACATTGAACAAATTGCTGGCAGTGGTTACTTCCCGTGGTGTGTGGTTAGGGAGTAAGGAAAGAAGAGAACCTTTATTTTTAACAATGTGTTTCTGTGTTGTTTGAATGTTTTGCAATACAAATGCATTATTTTTGTAGTTTAAAAAAGTTGGGTTGGGCATGGTGGTTCATGCCTGTAATCTCGGCACTTTAGAAGGCTGAAGTGGGAGGATCATTTGAACCCAGGAGTTCAAGACCAGCCTGGGCAACAAGAGTCAGACCTTGTTTCTACAAAAACTAAAAATGTTAGCCAGGTGCACCTGTAGTCCCAGCTACTCGGGAGGCTGAGGCAGGAGGATCACTTGAGCCCAGGAAGTTGAGGCTGCAGTGAGCCATGATCATGCCACTACACTCCAGCCTGGACAACAGAGTAAGACCCTATCTCAAAAAAAAAGAAGTCAAGGGTATTGGTTGAAACTGTTCCTGTTGGTGACTTTGATTGTTCTATGCTATCACTCTTCAGCTTCCCCCGACTTCCAAAAATCTCAAAGGAAAAAGCAGACTTAAATGTAAAGTTCAGCTACTCTGAATTTCATTCTATATTAAGGAATATTTTGTCCTCTATAATAATACGTTGATGTTCAAAACAATGTAAGGAGGAGTCATGTATTATACATGATTAACATGAAAGAAAAACTCATAACAGTAGACCCTGGCCCTTTACTCAAGACTTTGGTCATGTAATCTCTGGTCAAGATATGACATTAAGCAGAACCAAGCAATGAACTCCCCCAAATACTAAAAGATCCTGGCTTTCACCAACCTCAGGGTTACCCAGAAACATTTTCAAGTAACACTACTAGATCACCCAAGGATTACTTTAATTACTTCTGTGATTCACTCTTCACTGGCCAGTAAATTAGAAGGTTCTGGTCTATTCTCAGCTTCCCTACTACTTTTCAGCAACAGAATTGTTGTTAATGTTCAGTAGTTTTAATCATATCTTTTTCTTTTTAAAATAGCCTTTTTTTTTTTTTTTTTTTGAGATGAAGTTTTGTTCTTGTTGCCCAGACTGGAGTGCAGTGGCACGATCTTGGCTCACTGCAACCTCCGCCTCCCAGGTTCAAGCGATTCTCCTGCTTTAGCCCCCTAAGCAGCTGGGACTATAGGCACCCACCACTACGCCCAGCTAATTTTTTTTTTTTTTTTTTTTTGAGATGGAATTGCTCTGTCGCCCAGACTGGAGTGCAGTGGTGCGATCTTGGCTCACTGCAACCTCCGCCTTCTGGGCTCAGACAATTCTCCAGCCTCAGCCTCCCGAGTAGCTGGGATTACAGGCACACGCCACCATACCCAGCTTATTTTTCTTGTATTTTCAGTAGAGACAGGTTTCACTATGTTGGCCAGGCTGGTGTTGAACTCCTGACCTCAGATGATCCACCCACCTCAGCCTCCCAAAGTGCTGGGATTACAGGCGTGAGCCACCGTGCTCGGCCAAAAATAGGCTGTTTTCGAATGTTGAGTTTGCTCAGTAAAACTTTCTATATGTTATTACATGACTTATTTTATATTATAAAGTCATGTAAAGTTTCCCTCAGTTCATAGTTTCATCATGTCCAGCACTGTTTCCATTACTTAAAATATTTTCTGATCTCCATTTGGGTCTGATTTTCCATGTATGAGAGTGCTCATATCAAATCAAGCTGTTTAAATAGGATCGCAATATTATTCTCTGAGCATTTATAATTACGTTTATTTAAACTCTTGTTAATCATTTACTGAAGTATAACTTTTTCTACTTAATGGTTAGAAAAAGTAAATATTGCTCTCTTGAAGGTTTTAGAATACCAGTCGTAGTTGAAAAAGTTTTTTTTTTACACGATTCTTATAACTAACAGTGGTATTCTGGTTATAGAAATTCTCTTTGGCAATTCTCCACAAGCAGTTTTCATAATTTATTCAAACTTAGTTTAAAACATCTATAATAATAATAGTTTTAATGTATTTGGTCAGTATTTCTTTTTTCTTTTTTTTTTTTTTTTTAGAGATGGCATCTTTGACATCCAAGCTGGAGTGCAGCGGTGCGATCTCAGTTGACTGCAACCTCTGCCTCCTGGGTTCAAGCGATTCTCCTGCCTCAGCCTCACAAGTAGCTGGAATTTCAGGCTTGCACCACCACACCCAGCTAAGTTTTGTATTTTTAGTAGAGACGGGATTTCACCATGTAGGCCAGTCTAATCTTGAACTCCTGACCTCAAGTGATCCACCTGCCTCAGTCTCCCAAAGTGCTGGGATTACAGAGGTGAGTCACTGTGCCCGGCCTGATCAGTATTTCTTATACTGTATTTTGTTAGAGGTGTCTTAGATCGTGATGGAGATGGGTTGGCATTATATGCAGGTACCATGCCTTAGCTAATCAAATGAAGAACTGTGCTAACTCTAGATGATATGGCCGGGCACAGTGCTCACATCTGTAATCCCAGCACTTTGGGAGGCTGAGGTGGATGGATCATTTGAGGTCAGGAGTTCAAGACCAGCCTGGCCAACATGGCGAAACCCCATCTCTACTAAAAGTACAAAAATCAGCTGGCACGGTGGCTCACGCCTGTAGTCTTAGCTACTTGGGAGGCTGAGGCAGGAGAATCGCTTGAACCAGGAGGTGGAGGTTGCAGTGAGCCGAGATTGCACCACTGCACTACTCCAGCCTAGGTGACAGAGCGAGACTCTTCAAAAAAAATAAAAAAGATATTGTCAAGGGCACACTTCAGTGATTTAACATCACTTTAATGGGATGCTAAATTTTGAGCAAATAATTAAAATCATGAGGACAAATGAAAAACCCAACTTTTAATATATGAGTCAGGGGATAAATGGTTCATAGATCTCATGGACAAATTAAACATGTAGAGAGATTGTTCTGGCCTTTTAATAAGCAAAGCAAAGTAAAATATCTGCTGAGACAGTATCAAAACAAGTGATGGACATGGGTTTTGAAGCTGTAAATTTTTTTTCATTGAAGCGGGGCAGCTGATTTATGTCATCAGAACTTGCTAGCTTGGATTGACACAGATCAGACTTTAATTTTGGCTTTGATACTTATCCTCTATGTAATCTTGGGCAAATTTCTCTGGGCCTCAGTTTCATCAATTGTAAGTTGAGTTTCAGAACACCTACCTGGCAAAGCTGATGAGTGAATTAAATGAGATAATATATTACAGGTACCTAGTATGTTTCTGATATTACAGTATGTATGCAATAAAAGTTCTTACAATAGTAATTTAAAAGAATATGATAGAATGTCAAAAAGTTATCTGTAATAATTGTCTCAGTCCTTCACTTTAAGAATTAAGACTGTTCTTTATTCTTTCTTCTTTTTTTTAAAAAAGCATTTTGGGCTGGGTGCAATGGCTCATGCCTGTAATCCCAGCATTTTGGGAGGCCGAGGTTAGGAGTTCAAGACCAGTCTGACCAACATGGAGTAACTCTGTCTCTGCCAAAAATACAAAATTAGCCAGGCGTGGCGGTGTATGCCTGTAATCCCAGCTACTCAGAGGCTGAGACAGGAGAATTGCTTGAACCTGGAAGGCTGAGGTTACGGTGAGCTGAGATCACGCCATTACACTCCAGCCTGAGCAACAAGAGCGAAACTCCGTCTCAAACAAACAAACAAACAAACAAACAAAAAACCACTTTTTTGATGTGGGAGGGGAAAGTGGTGGAAGGAAGAAAGTAATAGGTTTTGTTGTTTGTTTTAACCCTCTTTCTTTCGTCCTTTGTCAAAAAAAAAAGCTTGGCTAATTTTTTAGCTATAAGACTTAGCACAAATTAATTATGATACGTTATTCTCCTGAAACCTGACTTTACCAAGGGAGTTTTAAAAAAATCCTTTTTTTCAATTAAAGAAAATAATTTCAGATAATCCTTGGAGATTTTGCTTCTATATAACCAAGACAAACTAAAAAGGCTCCATCTAGTATTTCCATTTCAAAATATTACACTTAATCTTCAAGACATTGGTGGGGGATTTGGGCAAAAGAGTCTTTAAAATGACATTTTGTTTACTTAAATGTGCCTAAGAAACACTGCAGCCTTCTTCATGTTCAAGAAAGCAGTTGCAGCAGTCCGTTGGCAAAGAAGGCTTAGCTATTAATCATGGGAATGGTGGCATTTTCACGGCTGTTTTTGCAGTTTTATTATTTACTTTTTGAGACAGGGTCTCACCCTGTCACCCAGGCTGGAGTCCAGTGGTGCCATCATAGCTTTAAACTTGAATTCTTGAGCTCAAGCAATTCTCTCACCTCAGCCTCCCCAGTAGCGGTAACTACAGGCTCATGCCACCATGCCTAGCTCATTTTTATTTTCATTTTTTGTAGAGACCGAAGTCTCACTACGTTGCTTAGGCTGATCTTGAACTCCTGGAGTCAAGCAATCCTCCTGCCTCAGCCTCCCAAAGTGTTGGGATTACCGGCATGAGTCACTGCACTTGACCCTTGTTTTTGCAGTTTAAATACTAAATTTTGTTTAATAATTTTAACAGAGCCTTTAAGAAGAGAACTATATGAAGATTTAAAAAAAGTTTTTTTTAGTTTCTTGTTGGAAAAAGTCTTTTATTTTTAAATGTAAAATATTCTCTTTACCTTCTTATGCTACTTATTTTTTTACTTTTAATTATGGAAATTGTCATAATACACAAAAATAGAAACAATAATAAACCCTCATAAACACATCACTGAGTTTTAACAGCCATCAAAATTCTGCAGCTTGTTTCAAGATGGGTTTTTAATGTACAATATTTTAAAGAGACATATCTAATTGATTTGAGTGTTCTGGAAAGACTAATGTTTAGCCTGTGTGTGTGTGTGTGTGTGTGTGTGTGTGTCTGCAATCTACTTTTTTTTTGTTGTTGTTGCAGGTTTAAATCCTTTCTGGAACAAGGTAGATCTTCCTTAAATTGAAAATAATCAATTACTCATTGAATGCCTAACACGTGTCCAGCATGTGTGAGCTTCTGTGAAGGAATTATGCCAGGAAATGTTAAAACAAAGTTAGTCAAAGAAGTGGAAAAATAGGAAAGAAATCCAGTTTTATCCTAGGCTCAGGAAAAAGTTGGTGAGGCCTTGACCTAGAGTAGGGTTTCCCAACATATCTTATCCTGAAAGCCACTTTCACAGTGTTAAGCAATCTCTTGAACCCATGAGGAATTTAAAAAATTATTTCATCATTTGTGTGTGGTAATAAAAAAATATAAAAAGCGTTGACATATGCTTTATTTTATGTAAATATACTTTATTGACTATTGTATTTTAAGGCCTATTTAAATTTAAAACATTAATAGAATAAATATTTTAAATGCTAATAACACATGCACATAAATTTGGGCATTTTACCATCTAATAAATAATGCACATTATTTAAATTATTTTCATTATGTAATAAGGACAAGCATTTTATGACTTAAATATTTTTGAAATTTTATTTATTTTTTATTTTTTTAGAGATGCAGTCTCCCTCTATCACCCAAGCTGGAGTGCAGAGGCATGATCACAGCTCACTGCAGCCTCGAACTCCTGAGCTCAAGCAACCCTCCTGTGTCGACCTCCCAAAGTGTTGAGAATACAGGCATGAGCCACTTCACCTGGCCTCAAAATATATTTCTAACAGAAAAATATTTTAGTAAACAATAGTACATAATGATACTTAGATATGTATAGATATGTATACAAACAGAAAACCAGAAAAATAGAACATAAAGTGACACATAAAAAACCAAACTTTGGACAGGCGCAGTGGCTCACGCCTGTAATCTCAACACTTTGAGAGGCCGAGGCGGGTCTATCACCCAAGGCCCAGAGTTCGAGACCAGCCTGGCCAACATGGTGAAACCCCGTCTCTACTAAAAATACAAAAATTAGCCGTGAGTGGTGGCACATTCCTGTAATCCCAGCTACTTGGGAGGCTGAGGCAGGAGAATCACTCCTTCTCAAAAAACAAACCAAAAAACCCAACCCCCACCAAACTTTGTGAAACACAATGTTATAGCATCAAAAATGGATAAACGTTGCTTATATAACATTTTGTTTGAATAGTTGAATTTTGCTTTTTTTTTTTTTTTTTTTCCTGAGACAGAGTCTTGCTCTGTTACCCAGGCTAGAGTGCAGTGGCATGATCTTGGCTCACTGCAACCTCCGCCTCCCGGGTTCAAGCAATTCTCCTGCCTCAGCCTCCCGAGTAGCTGGGATTACAGGCACCCACCATCGCGCCTGGCTAATTTTTGTATTTTTAGTAGAGATGGGGTTTCACCATGTTGGCCAGGCTGGTCTCGAACTCCTGACCTCGTGATGTGCCCACCTTGGCCTCTCAAAGTGTTGGGATTACAGGTGTGAGCCACCACACCTGGCCGAATTTTGCTTTTTAAAAAAGGAAAAGCTTTTTTAAAAAGTAAGATTAGTGTTTTGTTCATGAATGGTTAATATAAGAAAATATTAATGGTTAAGAAATAACTAATGCTTAATATAAGAAAAATGGTTTGGGGCAGCTCTTTCAAGTATTTCACAAATAAGGCAAAGCCAGGAGGGACAGTCTTTATTCTCGATATGTGAAAAGCCAAACTAGATGTAATCATGTTGATGATTAAATATTATTTCCTCTTTTAACATTTTAAAAGCACTGTTTTTTTTTTTTTTCTAAAAACAGTATAGGCTGTACATTAATTTTGAGTTTCTGTATGCAACTTACAGATCTGGTGAAGATCTCCTTGAGGCAATTGTGTAAAATAATCATTTTTATGCCCCTCATACTGGTTACATGTCAATGTCCTTGTTCTTTGTGCTTCATGTCTTTAACCAGTTGTCTACTATAGAATAAGTCAGTGGTTTTCAAAGGTGGAGTGAGGGGGAGGAATTTTGACTTCCTGGGGACATTTGGCAAGGTCTGGAGACATTTTTGATTGTCACAACACTGAAAATGGGGGAGCTACTGTCATCTAGTGAGTAGAGTTTAGATGCTGCTGAACTCCTCCATTGCACAGGACAGCCTACCACAGCAAAGAATTATCTGACCCCAAATGTCAATAGTGACCAGGTTTGAGAAATCTTTGTACTATGTAAACAGTATTTATCTATGAAAGATAACATTTTCCCCCTAACCCAATGTGACTAGTAAAAGACAAAGATTTTTAAAGTCATGAAATGGTCAAAACTGTCATGAAAGCTGGCAGTATTTTTTGTTTTATTTTATTTTATTTTATTTATTTTTTTTTTTTCCTGAGACAGGTTTTTGCTGTGTCACCCAGGCTGGAGTGCAGTGGCACAATCATAGCTCCTTGCAGCCTTGACCTCCCGGGCTTAAGTGATCTTCCCACCTCATCCTCCCAAGTAGCTGGGACTACAGGTATGTGCCACCACTCTCAGCTGATTTTTTATTTTTTGTAGAGACAAGGTTTGTCTTGTCTCTACAAAACTATGTTGCTCAGGTTAGTCTTGAACTCCTGGGCTCAAGGGATCTTCTTCCCTCGGTTTCCCAAAGTGCTAGGATTACAGGCAGGAGCAACTCTGCCCCGCTTTGGCAATATTTAGTGGAGTAATAAACAGAATGAGTTATTGTCTCATGAGCAAATTCACCTTCCCAAACCTCTGTGCATGTTTACTCAGAGACTCTCAAATGTTCCATTCTAAAAGGGAAATGTACAAATTTAAATTATTACATGTATTTATTGATTTAAAAATAGAATGAAAACAGACATTACTGCCTTTACTAATGTGAACCCTTGGGGCTTTGCTGCATAGGCCAAATACATTTCTGGGATTGAAAAAACTAAACTTGGGAGAGAGAAATCTTTCCTCTACAAAGGAGAAGATGACACAACCCGAGGAAGAAATGGACGTGAGAGGCTGAAATAAAGGGCCTTCCTGGTCACTGAGCCCATTCATCCCTGTGGTCTGGTTACTGAGCCAGGAAATTGCCCCTTTTTGCTTTAGCCAATTTGAATTAGATTTCTGTAACTTGCCACCAAAAAAGTCCTGACTAATATACCACCCGATTAATATCAGTAATATTTCGACAGTTTGCAATAATGCAATGAAATATGAAGATTGAACTTGAGATTAGTTTTTGATTACAGTATTTAAGACAGAAATCCTAAACCATTCATTTAACCAACATTTACACCTAATATGTACAAATATTCTGTGCTAGGTGCTGAGAACATAAAGGCAAATTTAAAAATTGTCTCTCCTTTGAAAGAACTCTCAGTCTAGCTGGGGAGATGGAAAAGTATCATGTCGTATGAGTGCTATGCTAGAAACAAGCCCATCTTATGGGAGCCAGCAGAAGGGGCACTTAAATCCTAAAGGGGCAAGAATGACTTGGAGGCAGTGACCATCACGAAGTAAAGAGGGCATTTGAGCTAGACAGAGTGGGATAGTTGAGGCTGGGTGGAGAGAAATAGTAAGGAGAGACTGAGACACTGGCAGTAGTGTGTTATGATCGAATATGAAGTGCAAGAGGATGGGAGAGTGGCCAGGAAGGAGGCTGGGAACTGTATCTCAAAGGTCTTGGTGAAAAATTGAGACTTTATCCCCAAAGCTTGGGGGGGCCACTAATGGATTTTACACAGGGGAGCAATATCACGCATATTCAAAATATCACACTGTAAGATGAGGATAATAGTTACCTGGCAAGATTGTTGTAAAGAGTATAGATAATATTTATTTATTTATGTCCTTTTGGAATGTAAATGTTCATAATATTTCTCTTTTTAAAAATATTTTTAAAATTTCAATAGTTTTGGGGTACAAGTGGTTTTTGGTTACACGGATGAATTGTATAACGGTGAAGTCTGAGATTTTAGTGTACTCATCACCAGAGGAGTATACATTGTATCCAATATGCAGTTTTTTTATCCCTTACTCCTCTCCCAGCTTCCCTGTTCTGAGTCTCCAAAGTTGATTATATCCTTCTGTATGTAGGTATATATCATTCTGTATATATAGTCCATTGTATCATTCTTATATAGTGGGAGCTAAGCTATGGGTATGCAGATGCATACATAAGCTCAGTATACCCATAGCTTAGCTCCCACTATATGAGAGAACATATGGCATTTGGTTTTCCATTCCTGAGTTACTTCACTTAGAATACATAGATATTATTTCTTTTTTCTTTAAATAGAGAAGGGGGTCTTGCTATGTTGCCCAGGTTGGTCTCAAACTCATAGGCTCTGGGATTACAGGTATGAGCCACCATGCCAGGCCTAGAGATGATATTTAAAGTGATGATTACCGTGCTTAAAAATGGCCAAGCCAGGGCCAGGAGCAGTGGCTCACACCTGTAATCCCAGCTACTCGGGAGGCTGAGGCGGGAGAATCGCTTGAATCCGGGAGGCGGAGGTTGCAGTGAGCTGAGATCGAGCCACTGCACGCCAGCCTGGGTGACAGAGTGAGACTCTGTCTTAAAAAAAAAAAAATGGCCAAGCCAAAAAATACATCCTCATTCTATTTCAAATGCTGTTAAAAACAGCTTTGACGGGAGACTGAGGCAGGAGAATGGCGTGAACCTGGGAGGCGGAGCTTGCAGTGAGCCGAGATAGCGCCACTGCACTCCAGCCTGGGCGACAGAGCAAGACTCCGTCTCAAAAAAAAAAAAAAAAAAAATCAAAACAAAACAAAACAAAACAAAAAAAACCTTAGTTTTGAGGCCGGGCGCTGTGGGTCGGGAGTTCCAGACCAGCCTGACCAACATGGAGAAACCCCGTCTCTACTAAAAGTACAAAAAATTACCCAGGCGTGGTGGCACTTGCCTGTAATCCCAGCGACTCGGGAGGCTGAGGCTCCCGCTTGAACCCGGGAGGCGGAGGTTGCAGTGAGCCAAGATTGTGCCACTGCACTCCAGGCTGGGCAACAAGAACGAAAACTCCGTCTCAAAACAAAACAAAACAAAAACAAAAACTTAGAGTTGGTTCATCCATTAGTAGGTGTGATTATGGAAAATTTTTACCTGAGTCTTAGACCCGCATTAAGGTACTCCCTACATCTGCAATAAAGTGGAATCTAAATTGCAAGTCAGCCTTGGGACCCTCTGGACCATTCAGGTTTCCTCCAAATGGGAACATTTCAAACCGAGATGGAGTTTTCCAGATCATTCTGGAACGAAAAGGACCCCAATAGCCACTATGAAACCTTTTCTCTATCTGAGAAGTGGGGAATGAAGGGGTCCATACCCCCCCAGAATTCAGTTTTATATTAGGCTTGTGTAGCTCAATAAATGTTTTCGGTCTAAAAACTATTCCTAAAGAATGCTTCTTCTGGGTCACAAGGGGGCAGGAGAAGGAAGAAATACTTCATTGCAACGTAAAATATCAAATTAATGTTTTCTACGTGAAAGTCAAGACAGCGAGGGGACAAGTGGGAAAAACAAGTTCACCTCAGGCTACCAAATCATTGCAAGATTTCTTTAGTGCTATACGTCACTGGGTCATGCAGTGTATTTCACTTTCTGACTGATTTCAAGGACCCCTCACACCATTTATTTAGTCTAGTGATTTAGAACTTTTAAGGCAATACAAACATTATTTGGAAAACACAATAGTTGAAAAACATATCCCTCCATTTAAAATAATAAAATTTATCTCACGATCATAAAGTGCTAATTTTGTGTTAAAGGCAGAGAATATCTCAAATTAGAGGAAAATGAAAACATCTGAAAATATGTCATTTTATCAACTATGTTTGGAAGCAATATCTGTTAAAGCTTTTTGCCTGTTTATTCTTATCAGCCAATTTTAAGGCTTTAATCCTTAAAATACATTTTCATGAAAACTCTAATTGTTGACATTTTTCCAGGTAATGACTTTTCAACAATTTAGAATATTTTTCTTTATACAAAGGTTAAATAAACATATTCATGCATGTATTTGCATAGAAAACTTTAAAAAGAATGTATAAGAAACTATTAACAGTAGCGTCCTTGGCCTGGGATTGTCAGGTGAAGAGAGGGAGAGGGATTTAACTTTTTCACTTTAGATCCTTTGGTACAATGTGATATTTTTATTTTTTATTTATTATTTTTTTGAGACAGAGTTTCACTCTCGCCCAGGCTGGAGTGCAGTGGCGTGATCTCGGCTCACTGTAACCTCTGCCTCCCGGGTTCAAGGGATTCTCCTGCCTCAGCCTCCCGAGTAACTGGGACTATAGGCACGTGCCACGACGCCCAGTTAATTTTTGTGTTTTCAGTAGAGAGGGTTTCACTATGTTGGCGAGGCTGGTCTCAAACTCCTGATCTTGTGATCCACCTGCCTTGGCCTCCCAAAGTGCTGGGATTACAGGCATGAGGCACTGTGCCCGGCCCAATCTGATATTTTTAAATGTACATGAGCATGAATTGTTTTAAAAATTAAAAGGACTGGCTGAGCGCAGTGGCTCACACCTGTAATCCCAGCACTTTGGGAGGCTGAGGCAGGTGGATCATGAGGTCAGGAGTTGGAGACCAGCCTGGCCAACATAGTGAAACCCCTCTCTACTAAAAACACAAAAATTAACTGGGCTGGTGGCATGTGCCTGTAGTACCAGTTACTCAAGAGGCTGAGGCAGGAGAATTGCTTGAACCTGGGAGGTGGAGATTGCAGTGAGCCAAGACTGCGCCATTGCACTCCAGCCTGGGTGACAGAGTGAGACTTTGTCTCAAAAAAAAAAAAAAAGAAAATTAAAAGGACTAAATGAGAGGAATATTTTTCTAACTTTTGTATGCATAATCTTGATAACTGTTAAATACCTATACAATTTCTACCCTTTAAGGTCTTATTTTGTCAAATCACAGTATACCCACACATTAATATGTTCTATATACAACTCTAGTCAAAGATATGCAAATGACCTTGAAATCATAATGCAATCTGTTTACCTCAAGGGCAGATGTATCTGAAACCATAGTACAATGCACATGTGTAATAATCCAGAAAAGTTCAAAAAGAAAAGAAGTGATAGCAGATATTTTTGTATGTACAAATTTAGACATGGAATTATTTTATGTTGCTGTATTTTTTTTCTACTTCTGTATATTTAGCTTTTGATTATTAATAATTAAATTACTTTTTGTAGCACATTATAAAATTATATTGATAAAGTTTTTTCATTTTTAAAATGTAACAGGTGTGCAGAATAATTTATTTTTCCTAAGTAAACTATTTGACTCAAAAAGTTAAATTCGATTCTAGA
Source organism: Homo sapiens (assembly GCF_000001405.40). Taxonomy (NCBI): domain Eukaryota; kingdom Metazoa; phylum Chordata; class Mammalia; order Primates; family Hominidae; genus Homo; species Homo sapiens. The sequence goes on along the minus strand of NC_000004.12, from coordinate 39,408,778 downwards.
TATTAGCCTCAATGTGAGGCTAAATCTCTTGCAAATTCCTGAGTCTTCTTTTCAAAGCATTCTTAATGAAGACAGTTAGTGTTAATTATGTTGTCATTTAAAAAATCCATGTCCACAACAGCTGTATTTTACTCCTTAACCTTGGGAAAATTATTTAATCTCATTAAGCTTCAGTTTCCTCATCTTTTAAATGGGAAGAATAATAAAACTAGTTCAAAAGGCTGTTAAGAGGATCAACTGTAACGATGCATGTAAAATACTTAATGTAGTCTGTGGTACATAATAAGTACTCAGTAATTATTACCTATTATTTTGCTTGTATTTTCACTATTGTTTTACTAATTTTAACATTTCTCAACATTATCTCTAGCTTTTGAAATATATTGCTTGAAAATTGCTTTAGTAGAGCACATTCTTCCCAGTTCTTATGGGAAGAAATGTGTTTAGCTCCCATAACAATTAATCTTCTCTTTTTTGCTATGTAACACAAATAAAATCAAAAGTGAAGTATATTTAAATTTCTGTATTTAATATGCATGAGTTAGCTAACATTTATTTGGCTTACTTATTTACTTACTTTATTTACTTATTAGCTAAGTTAGCTATACTTAACAACAAATACATATTTGAAATGGTTGTGCCTTAAGATAATTCTGAAATGATTGCATGTTGTCAGAAAAGGGTTCCAACAATTAAATTTATGAAGCACTGTTTTCCCACAGAATGAAAGTAAGCTCATATATTCACACTGTAGTGTATAATGGTAGATTTAAAAATAGCCTCAAAGTGCAACTTTTGAAAAAACTAATTGGATTAATACATTAAAAATACCTTAGATAAATAAAACATACACTAACTTAAATGCAAAATTTGAGGATAGATCTTTTGAATTAGCTTAAAATCAGTTGCCTTGATTTCAGTGAAGAGAATTACTGAGGCAGAAGGTAAATTCTTAAATTCTTAGTGTTTTCTGAAGCTATAAGAAGAAGCTAGCTGTACAGTACCTTGATCAAGTTGTGTCCCACAGTGTAGACAGCTGCTAAATTTCCCTTCTCTCCAGGGGCATGCATACCTGTCCCATACCCATGCCAAGCCACTAGATATGGGTTGTGAATTGTAATCCAATATTTGACACGGTCCCCAAACATCTGGAAACAGTATGTGGCATAGTCATTGAAGATATCTATTATGGTATCATTTTTCCACCCCCCATATTTTTCTTGTAGTGCCAAAGGCAAATCCCAGTGGTATAAAGTAACTATAGGTTCAATGTTTCTAAGCACTAGAGCGTCCAGAAGAGTACTGTAGTACTGCAGACCTTTTGCGTTGGCAACTGTTACTATTCCATCGGGGAAAAGCCTTGGCCAGGAAATTGAAAATTGATAAAAAGAAACTCCTATAAAATCCAGGGCTGATAAGTCTTTTTCCAGAAAAATATAACTGTCACTGGAACCATTCGTGCTGCTGACATTTTTAAGGTGTGTGTGGATGAAATGATCCCATATAGAAGGTCCTTTTCCATCCTTCTTCCAACTCCCTTCCACTTGCAATGCTCCAGTCCCAATACCCCAGAAAAAGTTTTTAGGGAAAGTGTCATAGAGAAACAGCTGACTTTCATTTACCGGAGTAAAATTAGGATTTTTAGACCATATAGCTCTTCCATCTCCAGAGAATCCAGTAACAGCTCGTAGCAGAATAAGTGCTGACAGGATGACAGATCTTTGCAATCCCCCGTTGGACATTGTATTCCTATAGCGTGTGGTTATTTCATCAGTGCTGAAGAAAATCCATTCATTCCCTGGAGATCCTGCCGCACAGCCTGGCTTCATTTGCCACCAACTGCTGGACTGTCTTATCAAAGCTTCAGTAAAAGCTTGTGATTGTAAAGCTCTGTCAATGATTAGCTTGAACTGGGAGACTGAGGATGGGTCATAGAGAGCAACGTAATTTGAGGGAGGTGGCCCTATTGCAGTCACCAACGCGTCTCCTTCTCTCTCATTATGGAAAAAATTAGATGAAAATGCATCGGTGACAAGAGTTTGAATGTGTAACTAACACATATGTAAACACTGGATTAAAATCACATTATTTTCCGTGTAGCCTTTCATATTGACCCAAATCTTTTCTGAATGTTTTGAACATTATTGAATAAGGTATATAGCTTTTCTATTTTTAGAGTTTTTGTGTGGTAATTTTATAATCTCATATATCAAGAAAAATAACATATACAAGTATATAGCATTCCTACATACCAATAGTAAAGAATTAGAAAACACAATAAGAAATTACACTTCTCCACAAAATTATAACGCATCTAAGAACAATCTTAATAAATGTTACCTATTTTAGGAAAATTGCAAAAATGTATTGGTAGATTTGAGAGAAGACTTGAATGAGAAAATATAGCACTTTGTGGATGGAAAAATGAAATACTTTTCAATTTAATACATTTAACTTAACTAAAATCCTCTAATCTCTAATTTTATTTTTTATTTTATTTATTTAACTTAACTAAAATTCTCTAATCTCTAATTTTTTAATTAATTAATTAATTTTTAATAAGAGTCTTGCTTTGTAGCCTAGGCTGGAGTGCAGTGGTGTCATCACAGCTCACCGCAGCCTCAACTTCCCAGGCTTAAGCAATCCTCCCTCCTCAGCCTCCAAGTAGCTGGGACAACAGGCACATGCCACCATGCCCAGCTGATTTTTGATTTTTTGGTAGAGGTGGGGTCTAGCTATGTCCCCCAGGCTGGTCCTGAACTCCTGGGCTCAAACAGCCCTTCTGCCTCGGCCTCCTAAAGTGCTTGGGATTATAGGTGTGAGCCACCATGCCTGGCCTAATCCCAAATTTTAGTTCAAGAAAATTATTACGAAAGGCCAGGCACAGTGATTCATGGCTATAATCCCACCACTTTGGGAGGCCAAGGCAGGCAGATCACTTGGGGTCAGGAGTTTGAGACCAGCCTAGCCAACATGTTGAAACCCCGTCTCTATTAAAAATACAATTAGCTGGGCACGGTGGTGGGCACCTGTAATCCCAGCTACCTGGGAGGCTGAGGCAGGAGAATCTCTTGAACCTGGGACGTGGAGGTTGTAGTGAGCTGAGATCGCACCACCGCACTCCAGCCTGGGCAACAGAGCAAGACTCGGTCTCAAAATAAAAAAAAAAAAAAAAAGAGAAAATTATTATGAAAGTTCCCTTGAAGAATAGGCAATATTTATTTTTAAAAAGGAAAGAAAAACCTGAAAAAGAAAATAGCAAAGGCATAGACTACCTTCAGCATGATTCTGGAATAAAGATAAACATACAGAAAGAAATACATGCACATACAGAAAGAAATATTGTACCAAATCGATAGCCTCCAAATAACCTGTAAAAAATTTAATGTTTTACAGCCTGGGGAACATAATAAGGCCCCATCTCTACAAAAAAAATTAAAAACTAACCGGGTGTGGTTGTGCATGCCTGTAGTCCCAGCACTTTAGAAGGCCAAGGTGGGAGGATTGCTTTGAGCCCAAGAGGTCAAGACTGTAGTGAGCCATGATTGCACCACTGCACTCCAGCCTGGGTGACAGAATGAGACTCTGTCTCAAAAAATAATAAATAAATAAATAAATAAATGTTTTAAATATTTGAAGTATCACATATGAATGAGAAGCAGAGTGGTTAATAGTTTGGTCTCTGTGCCAGATGAGGTGGCTCACACCTATAATCCCAGCTACTTAGGAGGCTAAGTGGGGAGGACTGCTTGAGGCCAGGAGTTTTGAGACCAGCCTGGGCAATATAGTGAGACTATCCTCACCTCTAAAAAAAGATGATTGAGGCCCGGCACAGTGGTTCGCACCTGTAATCCCAGCACTTTGGGAGTCCGAGGCGGCTGGATCACCTGAGATCAGGAGTTCGAGACCAGCCTGACCAACATGGTGAAACCCCATCTCTACTAAAAATACAAAATTAGCTGGGCATGGTGGCACATGCCTGTAATCCCAGTTACTCGGGAGGCTGAGGCAGAAGAATTGCCTGATCCCGGGAGGTGGAGGTTGCAGTGAGCCGAGATCGCGCCATTGCACTCCAGCCTAGGCAACAAGAGCAAAACTCTGTCTAAAAAAAAAAAAAAAAAAAAAAAAAAAAAAAAAAAAAAAAGAGAGATTGAGCCTCTAGAGGCAGACTGCCTGAGTTTAAATATAGCTGTGTAACTTGCCCTCAGTTTCCTCTTTAAGAAAAGGCATAATAATAATATGCACTTCATGGATTATTGTGAGAATTAAACGAGTTAATACACTGAACCAAATGGTTTTCTCTGGAATATAGAAACGAATGAGCCAGTACATGTAAGGCACTTGGAACAGAGACTGACACATAGTAAGTTATGTGCTAATATTATTTTTGTGTGAAAGGGAAAGATTATTCAGGACATGATGCCAGGATTTAGCATAAAAGACAATTTGTTCTGGCTCCTGCCCACATTTTTAGCTTCACTTCTCTCAGTTGACTAAGGGGTACACAGCCTGCTAACTTGTAGCCCTGTACCTTGGTATGTGTGCTCTCTGCACAGAGTATGTTTCTCCCTTCATCTAGCTCATGTCTATCTTTTTTTTTTTTTTTTTTTGAGACGGAGTCTCACTCTGTCTGCCAGGCTGGAGTGCAGTGGCGGGATCTCGGCTCACTGCAAGCTCCGCCTCCCAGGTTCACTCCATTCTCCTGCCTCAGCCTCCTGAGTAGCTGGGACTACCGGCGCCCGCCACCACGCCTGGCTAGTTTTTTGTATTTTTAGTAGAGACGGGGTTTCACCGTGTTAGCCAGGATGGTCTCGATCTCCTAACCTCGTGATCCGACCGTCTCGGCCTCCCAAAGTGCTGGGATTACAGGCGTGAGCCACAGCGCCCGGCCGTCTTTTTTTTTTTTTTTTTTTTTTTAACTTTTAAGTTCAGGGACACGTGCAAGTTTGTTACATACGTAAACTTGTGTTATGGGTGTTTGCTGTATGGATTATTTCAGCAGGCAGGTATTAAGCCTAGTACTCATTAGTTTTTTTTTCCTGATCCTCTCCTTCTTCCGACCCTCCACCCTCTGATAGGCCCCAGTGTGTTATTTCCCTCTATGTGTCCAGGTGTTCTCATCATTTAGCTCCCACTTATAAGTGAGAACCTGCGGTATTTGGTCTTCTGTTCCTGCATTAGTAAGGCCTTTCTGACTCCCTATGACTCCCTAGCCTGATTGGATTTAGATGGATCTTCTGTTTTCCCATGGCAGCCCATGTTTTCTCTATTATGACACACAATAAATCAGCTAACCACACAATAAATGTATCTGTATCCTCTGTTTGAGTGTAAGTTTTCTCTCTCTCTCTCTGTTTCTCTCTCTCTCTCTCTTTTTTAAAAACCAAAACAGGGACCATGATTGGTTCCCTGTTGATTGTCTGTGGCCCAGCATGGTACTTGACATATAGCAGTCACTAAAGTATTTACTGAATGAATGAGAGTATCTATAGTAGGCTGGGCATGAGGGCCCACACCTGTAATCCCTGCACTTTGGGAGGCTGAGGCAGGAGGATCGCTTGAGTTCAGGTGTTCAAGACTAGCCTGGGCAACATAGTGAGAATTCATCTCTACTAAGAAAAAAAAAGTAGCTATAGTAGACTATGTATACCTCTATCACTGCATTTATCACATAATCCTGGAGTTGTTTGTCTCCTCCACCACACTGTAAGAATATCTCCTATCTAAATGTTTATAATTGCTTATCAGAGTAAATGATTAATAATTATCTATTGAATGAATGGAGTTGGTACATTACTATTTATGAAAATAAAATTTTAAATGCAATATCTTAGATCCTCACAAATATATTTAATTCAAAAATGTATAACCACAGAAATGGTTAAGATGGTACATTTCATATTACTTGATTTTACCACAATTTAAAAAATATAGCCACAGAAAATTAAAGAAAACAGAAGTAAATATTAAATTATGTAAATGTGTAGATTATATATATTATTCTATTTACATATGATGATATATAAATAATTTATAATTAAAATATAAAAAATAAAATTTAAAGGCAAATAACAAACTTGGAAAATGTCAAAGCAAATCTAGAAGGCAAATGGCCAAAGTAAGGCAAATGGCCATAAGTAATTCATGCAAATCAACAAGAAAGCCACTAAATCTCTAACAGATAAATGGCCAAACAACATGAATTTAAAAATACACAAAAGAGGAAATGCAACTAGTGAAAAATGTGGCTAATAAAAAATTAAACCATGAGTAATTAGAAACATACATAAAAAGAGGTATATAATATTTAATCTTTTTTTTTTTTTTTTTTGAGATGGAGTCTTGATCTGTCACCCAGGCTGGAGTGCAGTGGCACGATCTAGGCTCACTGCAACCTCTACCTCCCAGGTTCAAGTGATTCTCCTGCCTCAGCCTCCCGAGTAGCTGGGATTACAGGTGTCTGCCACCACTCCCGGCTAAGTTTTGTATTTTTAGTAGAGACAGGGTTTCACCATGTTGGCCAGGCTGGTCTCGAACTCCTGACCTCAGGTGATCTGCCTGCCTTGGCCTCCCAAAGTGCTGGGATTACAGGCATGAGCCACCGTGCCTGGTCAATATTTTATCTTATAAAATTAGCAAAAATAAAAATGATAAGTGATGAAAACCAGTGTTGATTAGATTGTTGATTGCAATGTAAGTTTGCACAATACTCATGAAAAGTATATATGTGTGTGTATGTATATATATATATATATATATATATTTTTTTTTTTTTTTTTTTTTTTTTTTTAAAGATAGAGTGTTGCTCTGTCGCCCAGGCTGGAATGCAGTGACGTGATCTCAGCTCACTTCAACCTCTGGCTCCTGGGTTCAACCAATTCTCCTGCCTCAGCCTCTCAAGTAGCTGGGATTATTTAAACGCATACCATCACAGTTGGCTATTTTTGTTTGTTTGTTTTTGAGACAGAGTCTCGCTCTGTCACCCAGGCTGGAATGCAGTGACGTGATCTCGGCTCACTGCAACCTCCACCTCCCAGGTTCAAGTGATTCTCCTGCCTCAGGAGAATTGTTATATTTTTAGTAGAGATGGGATTTCACTGTGTTGGCCAGGCTGGTTTTGAACACCTGACCTCAAGTGATCCACCTGCTTCAGCCCCCCAAAGTACTGGGATTACAAGCCTGAGCCACTGTGTCCGACCACATGGAAAGTAATTTTCCAATATACCATGAACCTAAAATTTTTTGATTCAAGAATTTCTGAAATATATTGTAATGAATTGTTTCTAAATATATAAAGTCCTCCATGCAAAAATATTTTTATAGCAATATTATTTATAACAGAGGAAAATTATAAATAATTTAAAGATCCATCTATAGGGGAATACTTATCTAAGGCATGGAATATTCATTTGAATATTCATGAAATGTTGTAGAGTCAGTAACATTTTCAGAGAATATATAGTAGCATTAAAATACTTAAAAAACCATTAGAACAATAACCACATATAGAAATTATAAGAAAATGCCCACATTTTGCCATATTGTGTTTGGACGGTGAGCTAAGGGTTATAGTTATTTTTCTTCTTTTGTATATTTAATCTGATTTTTTAACTTTTAATAACAAAAATGGGCCAGTGCAGTGGCTCATGCCTGTAATCCCAGCACTTTGGGAAGCTGAGGCAGGTGGATCACCTGAGGTTGGGAGTTCGAGACCAGCCTGGCCAACATGGTGAGACCCCCCCATCTCTACTAAAAATACAAAAATTAGCCAGGCATGGTGGTGTGCACCTGTAGTCCCAGCTACTTGGGAGGCTGAGGCAGAAGAATCGTTTGAACCTTGGAGGCAGAGGTTGCAGTGAGCTGAGATCGTGCCGCTGCATTCCAGCCTGGACGACAGAGTGAGACTCTGTCTCAAAACAACAACAACAACAAAACCCAAAAATGAACATTAAAAGAATACAAATAGTTGATATTAGATGTAAAAGTTTATTGAAACCCAGGCGTGGCGGTGTACACTTATAGTCCTAGCTACTTGGGAGGCTTAGGCAAGAGGATTGTATGAGCAAGGAGTTCGAGGCTTTAGTGCAGTATAATTGCGCCTGTGACTCGCCACGGCACTCCAGCCTGGACAACATAGTAAGACCTTGCCTCTTAAAAATAAAGTCTATTGGAGAAACTAGATACTTTCCTACTAAGATTAGGAATAAGACAAGGATGTCTGTTCTCATCACCTCTATTCAACATTACGCTGGAAGTTGTAGCTAATGCAGTAAAACAACAGCAACAAAAGAAATAAAACATACAGAAAGGGAAGCAACGAACAAAACTGTGTTTGTTCACAGATGATAATGATTGTCTATGTAAAAACTTCTAAAGAACCAACCAAAGAATCCTGGCACTAATAAGTGATTACAGCAAGGATGCAAGATACAAGATTTTTTTTTTTTGGTAAAAACAAAATGTGTTTTTTTTAATTAAAAAGTATGAAGTCTGCCACTAAACTCTCGAAGCAACCCTTTTTTCTAATCCCCTTCTTGTGTCAAAGAATGTGTTGCAGTTGATTACTTTGTGGTGGTTTCCAAATGGGCAGGTGGCAAGTTCTCTTGGATTTCAGCTTCTACAGTTATCCAAAATCAGCGTCAGCTGAGCTATGCTCCCTCTGAAGGCTCTGAGGGAGAACCCTTCCTTGAGTCTTCTGGTGGCTCTTGACATTCTTTGGCTTGTGGCAACATGATTTTAATTTCTGCTTGTTTCACATGGCGTTTTTTTAGACAGAGTCTTGCTCTGTCGCCCAGGCTGGAGTGCAGTGGCATGATCTCAGCTCGCTGCAACCTCCACCTCCCAGGTTCATGCCATTCTCCTGCCTCAGCCTCCCGAGTAGCTGGGACTACAGGTGCATGCTACCACACCTGGCTAATTTTTTGTATTTTTAGTAAAGACGGGGTTTCACCATGTTAGCCACGATGGTCTCGAACTCCTGACCTCCTGATCTGCTTGCCTCGGCCTCCCAAAGTGCTGGGATTACAGGTGTGAGACACCACGCCTGGCCTTTTTTTTTTTTTTTTTTTTTTTTGAGATGAAGTCTTGCTCTGTTGCCCAGGCTGGAGTCTGGAGTGCAGTGGCACAATCTCAGTTCACTGCAACCACCATATCCCAGGTTCAAGCGATTCTCCTGCTGCAGCCTCCCGAGCAGCTGGGACTCAGGCATGAGCCACCATGCCTAGCTAATTTTTATTTTTAGTAGAGATGGGGCTTCACCATGTTGGCCAGGCTGGTCTCCAACTCCTGACTTCAGGTGATCCACCTGCCTTGGCCTTCCAAAGTGCCGGGATTATAGGCGTGAGTCACTGTGGCTGGCCTCACATGGCCTTCTTTGTGTCTTTTCCTCTTCTTGTTTTTCCTTTTTCTTTCTTTTTTTTTTCTTCAGAGAAAGGGTGTCACTCTTGCCCAAGCTGAAGACAAATAAAGAATGCTTCACAAATCTTTTTTTTTTTTTCAGAGATAGGGTGTCACTCTTGCCCAAGCTGAAGACACATAAAGAATGCTTCACAACTCTATCCTTGCACAGAGGCTATGCTAATCTTCTCTGTATCATTCCAATTTTAGTAAATCTGTTTCCAAAGTGAGCACAAGATGCAGGATTAATACACAAGAGTCAATTGTTTTCTTATATGCCAGCAATGAACGATTGAAATTTGAAATTAAAAAGACAAAATCCAGTCTGGATAACATGGTGAGACCCCACCTCTACAAAAAATAAAAATAAAAAATTAGCTGGACATGGTGGTGCACACTTGCGGTCCTATCTACTAGGGAGGCTAAAGTGGGAGGATCACTTGAGCCTGGGAAGTTGAGGCTGCAGTGAGCCATGACTGTGCCACCAAACTCCAGCCTGGGTGACAGAGTGAGATTTTCTCAAAAAAGGAAAAAAAGAAGCTTCTCAACAAAGGCTAAGTTTTAAAATATGTACTCTAGCTGGGCGAGGTGGCTCATGCCTGTAATCCCAGCACTTTGGGAGGCCGAGGGGAGTGGATCATGAGATCAGGAGTTCAAGACTAGCCTGGCCAATATGGTGAAACCCCATCTCTACTAAAAATATAAAAATTAGCTGGGCGTGGTGGCGTGCACCTGTAGTCCTAGCTACTTGGGAGGCTGAGGCAGAAGAATTGCTTGAATCGGGAGGTGGAGGTTGCAGTAAGCAGAGATTGTACCATTGCACTCCAGCCTGGGTGACAGAGCAAGACTCTGTCTCCAAAAAAAAAAAAAAAAAAAAAAAAAAAAGTGTACTCTAGGACTGAAGTAACTTTTCCTTAAAAAAGAAAAGGAATAAAAATAAAGTGTACTGAATATTTATTTGCTAGTGAGCAATAATTTATCACTAAATGATTTCAGATTTCACATGAGAAAATGCAAGAAATGAACATTTTCAGAGCAAGTTCATTAAGCTGATTAAATGAGAACACATGTAGATAACAATAACATAATTTCACATCCATTATGATGACTATGATTATTTTTTAAAACCCAGAAAATAATAAGTTTTGGAAAAGATAAGGAGAAATTACAATGTTTGTGCCATGCTGGTGGGAATATAAAATGGTGCAGCCATTGTGGAAGAGGGTATGGTAGTTCCTCAAAAAATTAAACAGAATTACCATATGATCCAGCAGTTCTCCTTCTGGGTAGGTACCCCAAAGAATGGAAACCAGGGACTTTGCCAGGAGCATGTCTCAGCACTTTGAGAGGCTGAGGTGGGAGGATCACTTTAGCCCAGGAATTGGAGACCAGCTTGCTCAACATAACAAGACCCTGTCTTTATCACAAATTTAAAAAATGTCCGGGTGCGGTGTCTCACACCTGTAATCCCAACACTTTGGGAGGCTGAGGCGGGCAGATCACTTAAGACCAGCCTGGGCAACATGACAAAACCCCATCTCTACCAAAAATACAAAAATTAGCTGGGCATGGTGGTGCACGCCTGTAATCCCTATTCCAGAGGCTGAGGCACAAGAATTGCTTGAACCCAGGAGGTGGAGGTTGCAGTGAGCTGAGATCATTCCACTGCACTCCAGCCTGAGTGACAGAACAAGACTCTGTCTCAAAAATAAATAAATAAATAAATAAAATAAAAAGAAAGGGATTCAAACAGAATTTTTTGCACTAATGTTCATAGTAGTATTATTCACGGTAGCCAAAAGGTGGAAACAACCCAAAATGTCCAATGACTGACGATTAGATAAACAAAATGTGGTATACACACAAATATTTTTTAGCTTTAAAAAGGAATGAAATTCTGACACATTCTACAACATGGATTAACCTTGAAGACATTATGCTAAGTGAAATAAACCAGACACAAAAGGACAAACACTGTATGAATCTGCTTATGTGACGTACCTAGAGAGGTCAAATTCAATTCATAAAGACAGAAACTAGGATGCTTGTTGCCAGGGGCTGGAGGGAGGAGGGAATGGGCAGTAGAGTTAGTGTTGAATGGGTAGAGTTTCAGTTTGAAAGAATGAAAAAGTTTTAATGATAAATAGCAGTGATGGTTGCACAACAGTATGAATGTACTTAATGCCACTGACCTGTATACCTAAAAATAGCTAAATAATAACTTTTGTGTTATGATTTTTTTTTTTTTTTGAGATGGAGTCTCGCTCTGTCGCCCAGACTGGAGTGCAATGGCGCGATCTCAGCTCACTGCAACCTCTGCCTCCCAGGTTCATGTGATTCTCCTGCCTCAGCCTCCCGAGTAGCTGGGATTACAGGCATGTGCCACCATGCCCAGTTAATTTTTTTGTATTTTTTTTCTTTTTTTTTTTGAGACGGAGTCTCGCTCTGTTGCCCAGGCTGGAGTGCAGTGGAGCGATCTCGGCTCACTGCAAGCTCCGCCTCCCGGGTTCACGCCATTCTCCTGCCTCAGCCCCCCGAGTAGCTGGGACTACAGGCGCCCGCCACCACGCCCGCCTAATTTTTTGGATTTTTAGTAGAGACGGGGTTTCACCGTGTTAGCCAGGATGGTCTCGATCTCCTGACCGCGTGATCCACCCGCCTTGGCCTCCCAAAGTGCTAGGATTACAGGCGTGAGCCACCGCGCCCAGCCTATTTTTTGTATTTTTAGTAAAAATGGAGTTTCACTGTGTTAGCCAGGCTCGAACTCCTGACCTCGTTATCCGCCTGCCTTGGCCTCCCAAAGTGCTGAGATTACTGATGTGAGCCACCGCGCCCAGCCTGTGTTATGAATATTTTACCATAATAAAAAATTTCTTTTTTTAAAAATAAATGAGGCCGGGTAGAGTGGCTCATGCCTGTAATCCCAACTACTCAGGAGGCTGAGGCAGGAGAATTGCTTGAAACCAGGAGGTGGAGGTTGTAGTGAGCCGAGATTGCACCATTGCACTCCAGCCTGGGCGACAGAGTGACACCCTGTCTCAATCAATCAATCAATAAGCAAAACCTGCATATGAAGAAATCTTTATGATAGTGATGACTTAATACCGTGGCTTAGTCTGGGCGTGGTGGCTCACACCTGTAATCCCAGCACTTTGGGAGGCCATGTGGGTGGATCACTTGAGCTCAGGAGTTCAAGACCAGCCTGGGCAATATGGTGAAATCCCATCTACAAAAAATACAAAAATTACCTGGAGGCCGGGTATGTTGGCTCACGCCTGTAATCGCAGCATATTGGGAGGCCAAGGCGGGTGGATCACTTGAGGCCAGGAGCTCGAGACCAGCCTGGCCAACATGGTTAAACCCTGTCTCTACTGAAAATACAAAAATTATTGGGTGTGGTGGCACATACCTGTAATCCCAGCTACTTGAGAGGCTGAGGTGGGAGGATGGCTGGAGCCCCGGAGGTCAAGGCTGCAATGAGCCATGATCACACCATTGAACTCCAGCCTGGGTGACAAAGTGACTGTTTCTGAGACCATGTCTCAAAAAAAAGGAAGAAAGAAGGAAAAAGAAAAAAATACTCTTAGAGAATTCTCAAATATTTATGAAAACAGATGATGAATTTATGAAATATTTATTACAACTTAGTGAATCAGGATAGGGACTTCATCTTTTCTAAACGATTATTAAGTATTTATTGAATATTTTACTATATTGAGGGCTACAATGGACTGAGTGCTTGTGTTCCCAGCAAACTCGTATACTGAAATCCTAACCCCCAATGTAATGGTATTAGGAGATGGGGTCTTTGGGCGGGTAATTAGGTCATCAGGATGGAGCCTTCATGAATAGATTAGTGCCCTTATAAAAAGGACCCCAGGCGGGGCGAGGTGGCTCACGCCTGTAATCCTAGCACTTTGGGAGGCCGCGGCAGGCGGATCACAAGGTCAGGAGTTCGAGACCAGCCTGGCCAACATGGTGAAACCCTGTCTCTACAAAAATTAGCCGGGTGTAGTGGCGTGTGCCTATAATCCCAGCTACTGGGGAGGCTGAGGCAGGAGAATTGCTTGAACCCAGGAGGCAGAGGTTGCAGTGAGCTGAGATCACACCACTATACTCCAGCCTGAGCTACAGAGCAAGATTCCGTCTCCAAAAAAAAAAAAAAAGGACCCCAGAGAGAGCTCTCTCACTCACTTCTTTTTCTTTGCTATTTTTTTTTTTTTGAGACAGGGTCTCACTCTGCCATCCAGGCTGAAGTGCAATGGCACGATCTCGGCTCAGTGCAAACTCCACCTCCTGGGTGGAGTAGCTGGGATTATACATGCTAGCCACCACGCTGGGCTAATTTTTGTTGGCCAGGCTGGTCTCAAACTCCTGACCTCAAGTGATCTGCCCGCCTCGTCCTGCCAAAGTGCTGACATTACAGATGTGAGCCACTACACCCAGTCCTCTCACTCTCTTTCTGCCATGTGAGGATACAATGAAAAGATGGCAGGGTGCCAACCAGAAGAGGGCTCTCAGCAGCACCCCACTTCATTGGTACTCTGATCTAGGACTTCCAGGCCCCAGAACTGAAAAATACATTTCTGTTGTTTAGAAGCCACCTGGTCTATGGCATTTTGTTACAGCAGCCCAACTAAGACAAGAGGCCATGTTAAGCAATGTAAATTTAAGGAATTTACATTTTATTATTATTACTATTATTTTCTCTCTTTTTTTGAGGCATAGTCTCACTCTGTTGCCCAGGTTGGAGTGCAGTGGCATGATCTTGGCTCACTCCAACCTCTACTTCCCGGGTTCAAGCAATTCTCCTGCCTCAGCCTCCTGAGCAGCTGAGACTACAGGCATGCACCACCACGCCCAGCTAATTTTTATATTTTTAGTAGAGATGGGGTTTCACCATGTTGGCCAGGCTGGCCTCGAACTCCTAATGTCAAGCAATCCACCCGCCTTGTCCTCCCGAAGTGCTGGGATTACACGCGTGAGCCACTGCACCCAGATGGAATTTACATTTTAAGAAGAAAACATAATAAAAATTATAAAAGTTTAAGAATACAAAATATAGTATCTGCCAAGTATTAAATGAGTGGGGCAGACATATATACTCCAGGAATTCTATATTCAAAGCACTACTTCATAGTGCTTTGTACAATGACAGAATTTTGCAGCTGGAAGGGATCTTGGAGATCATCTAGTTCTTTTTTTTTTCATTTTTCTTAACTTTTTTTATTACAAAACTATTTTTATCTTCAGAAATTAGGTCTTGCTATGTCGCCTGTGCTGGACTTGAACTCCTGAGCTCAACTGATCCTCCTGCTTCAGCCTCCCGAATAGCTTGGACTGCAGGCGCATGCCACTGGGCTGGCTTGATTATCTTTTTAAAGAATTTCAATTGACGCACAATAGTTGTACACACTTATGGGGTACAAAATAATAGTTCAATATATGTATATAATGTGTTATAATCAAATCAGGGTAATTAGCATATCCATCACCTCAAACATTTATCATTTCTTTATGCTGGGAACCTCCAAAATCCTCCATTCTAGCTATTTGAAAATATACAATAAATTATTTTAGCTATAGTCACCCTCCATTTCTATAGAACACTAGAACTTATTCCTCCTACCTAGCTGTAATTCTGTATACTTTAACCAATCTCTCCCTATCTCCTCTGCCCACTACCCTTCCCAGTCTCTGGTAACCACTATTCTACTTTCTACTACTGTGAGATCAAAACAATTTTTTTTAGCTCCCACATATGAGTGAGAACATGTGGTATTTGTCTTTTGGTGCCTGACTTATTTCACTTAACATAATGACCTCCAGACTCATCCATGTTGCTGAGAATGGCAGGATTTAGTTCTTTTTATGGCTGAATAGTATTCCATTTGTTACATATACCACATTTTCTTCATCTACTCATCTTCTGATGGACACCTAGGTTGATTCTGTATCTTGGAAGGAGTTCTTTATATATATATATATGATTAAATCTCTTGTTTGATATACATGCATATATTTTCTCCCAATAATTTGTTTTTTAACAGCTTTATTGAGCTATAATCCCCAAACCAAACAATTCGTCCACTGACAGTGTTAAATTCAATGTTTTTTGGTATATTCACAGAGTTGCACTACCATCACCAATCAATTTTAGAACATTATTTAACTTTTAATATTTTACATGTGCAAAAGTTTTTTTCAGTTTTGTGCAGTCAAATATCTCCATATTTATACTTTCTGTAATATGGAGATACCATCTTTCATCTCATTAATTTTATTTTTATTTGTTAATTTTTTTTGAGATGAAGTCTCAGTCTGTCGCCCAGGCCGGAGTGCAGTGGCACCATCTCAGCTCACTGCAAACTCTGCCTCCTGGGTTCAAGCGATTCTTGTGCCTCAGCCTCTTGAGTAGCTGGGATTACTGGCATGTGCTACCATGCCAGGCTAGTTTTGTATTTTTAGTAGAGACAGGGTTTCACCATGTTGGCCAGGCTGGTCTTGAACTCTTGACCTCAGGTGATCCACCTGCCTCGGCCTCCCAGAGTGCTGGGATTGTAGGTGTGACCCACCATGTTCGGCCTTAACTCATCAATTTTAGATTTTGTCAATTGATTTCCTATTATTGTAGATAAAGATTTGGCTTTCTTATACAATCATTTCGTATTGGTAAAAAAAAAAAAAGTCTACTTTTGTAGTTAAATAAATATTTAGACTCTAAATTATGTTTATATAAACATTATTCAATGCTGAGTATTATAATGTACTTTATGTCTTATTTTTTACTTTTTTGTTTTTCCTATAGTTTAATAATTGCTGTGTTTTTGTTTTCGTTTTTGTTTTTTAATTGAGACAGAGTCTCACTCTGTCTCCCAGGCTGGAGTGCAGTGGTGTGATCTCGTCTCACTGTAACCTTCATCTCCCGGGTTCAAGTGATTCTCCTGCCTCAGCTTCCTGAGTAGCTAGGATTACAGGTGTGCACCACCATGCCTGGCTAATTTTTGTATTTTTAATAGAGACGGGGTTTTACCATGTTGGCCAGGCTGGTCTCGAACTCCTGACCTCAAGTGATCCACTTGCCTCAGCCTCCCAAAGTGCTGGGATTATAGGTGTGAGCCACTGCACCCGGCCAATTGCCTTGTTTTTTGATTTGCTTAGTCATATTTGCATCTGTTACTAAATCTTCTCATGCCTGCCAGTAGCTTTTGGTACAATTTCTCACAAGGTCCACGTCCTCTATACATATATTCGTTTTAGTTCTCTCCTGGAGATCTTTGTTTCCCTCTATCTAGTAATGTCCTATGCCTGCTCTCAGTTGCCTATTAGTCCTCTTGAGACTTCCCTTTGCTGGTATTTTAGGAATTCCTCCTAATCTGAATTCTGTTCTTTGAATGATTTCATTTTTCTTGGTTTACTGTGTCATTTTCATGGAGCGTATGTTCCAGTAGCTTTGGCCAGAGGGTATAGTGGCGACAAGTATTACTGTGCCTGTCCCTTGAGTGACACTGCTGTAGTCCAGACAGTTTGCCCTCTCCCGCTTATGCACGTCTGTGATTTGGGGATTCCCTTCTTTTTTCTCCTGTGCTGGGTCGCCTGTTTTCTGTTTTCCATATCTGCCTCTTCTTTGTTTACCCCACATTTTGATAAAACATATTTTCCAATAGTTTCCTGAGAAAAATTACAGAGGAAACACATTTTTTAAAAAATGTATTTTTTGACTGGGCGCAGTGGCTCATGCCTGTAATCCCAGCACTTTGGGAGGCCAAGGCGGGCAAATCACGAGGTCAGGAGTTCAAGACTAGCCTGACCAATATGATGAAACCCCGTCTCTACTAAAAGTACAAAAATTAGCTGGGTGTGGTGGTGCGTGCTGTAATCTCAGCTATTCAGGAGGCCAAGGCAGGAGAATCTTTTGAACCCGGGAGGTGGAGGTTGCAGTGAGCCGAGATCATGCCACTGCACTCCAGCCTGGGCAACAGAGTCAGACTGTCTCAAAATAATAATAATAATAATAATAATAATAATAATAATAATAATAATAATAATGTATTTTTCTTCCCACACATGTGTTTGTTTGGCTGGTTTCAGGGTTCTAGATTGTGGATCATTTTCATATAAACTTTTGAGGGAAACAGAGGTGATGCTTCCTGTGGTGATGGAGGCTGAAGGGTCCTCTCTGGTATGCCTGAGAGTTTTCAGGAGCCAGTTCCACATCCCATGGAATGTCTCCAGATTCATGAGCACGCAGAGGTTGTGGCAGTGGCAGTGACAGTAGCAACAGCAGTTGTACCTTCTAAGTGTGACCTTAAAGCCAAAAGTCTAGTGATGGTGTCTGGCATTGTTCCTTCCGTTCCTGCGCCCTGCCCCGCCCCAACCATGTTAAGTACCAAATTTCCTGAAAACAAAACAAAACAAAAACAAAACACTTTTTTGAATGAAATACTTGGAGTGATTTCTGTTTCCTGTGCTGAAGGCCAACAGATAATGTTCTCTTTGTGATTACGTCCATAAGTATGTCACATGTGGCTATTCCATATTCTGAATTGTAAATCATTTGGACTCTAAATCTGTTTTGTCTGTTTGTTTCTGCTGAGTCTCATGGTGCTGGTGCTTGGTCATATTTATTGTGAGTAGATTTTACTGTGGTCAGGGTGGTGATGGTATGTACAGATCACAGTAGGGAAATAATGAGGAGTGAGTGAAAAACCCTCGAAGTAGAAGCACGTCCGGCACCTTCAGGAAGTAAGAGGTCGGTGTGGCTGCAGTGGAATGAGCGAATGGCAGACAGTAAGTACAGAGAGGTAACGGGTCAGATGGTACAGGGATATGGGCAGGAATTTGTCTTAGACTCTTAGTGAAAAGAAGAGCACTGGAGAGTTTTCAGCCGAAAGAGTGATATGATCTAACTTACATTATATAAGAATCACTCTGGATGCCATGTTCAGAGTGTACTGTAAGGGGAACAAAAGCAGAATCAGGGATATCAGTAAAGAGATAATAACGAGATGCAGACGATGGTAGCTTGGACCTGTAGGTAGTATTGGAGGCAGTGAAAATTGCTGGATTTTGGCTGTGTCTTGGAGATTGAGCCAATAGAATTTGCTGATGGTTTAAATATGAATGTGTGCATATGTTTGTGTGTGTGGAGAGAGAGAGGAGAGGAGAGGAGGAGAGGATTACTTCAAAGTTTTCAGCCTGAGCAAATGGAAGGATGGAGGTATTATCAGTTGAGTTGAGATGCAGGCTTGTGAAGGAAGATCAGGAGTTTAGTTTTGGGGATATAACTTTGATATATTTATTAGGCGGCCAAATGGAAATGTGAAGTTGGGAAACGGATATGTAAGTCTGAAGTTCATGGGAAAAATTAGCAGTTGATAGGAATTTGGAAATGTCAGTATTCAGATGGTATATAATGCTATGAGATTGGATGAGATCACTAAGTAGTGAGTATAGAAACGAGTTCTAGGGCAATTAAGTATTAAGAAGACAGGAAAACCAGGAACAATGAACATGACCATCTGAGAAGGAGTGGTTATCAAAGAAGAAAACCAACCCATTGACGTCCTTGAAACTTAGTGAAAAAGTATTTCATCAGGAGATTTTTCTCAGGCCGGGTGTGGTGGCCCATGCTTATAATCCTAGCACTTTAGGAGGTGGAGATGGAAGGATGGCTTGAGGCCAGGAGTTTGAGGCTGCATTGAGCTACGATCATGCCACCGCACCACTCCAGCCTGGGTTGGAGAGCAAGACCCTGTGTCTAAAAAAAGGAAAGAAAAGAAAATCTTCACTTAACATGGAGAAGTGTTTTGTTGAAATCATAGAGACTTAAATTCCAGATTATTAACAATTTTCTCTTTTTTTGAGAGAGGGTCTCACTCTCTTTCCCAGGCTGGAATGCAGTGTCAGGATGATCATGGCTCACTGCAGCCTCCACCTCTCAGGCTGTAGTGATCCTCCTGCCTCAGCCTCCCTAGTACCTGGGACTACATGCATGCACCACAACGCCCACCTAATTTTTTGTATTTTTGGTAGAGATGGGGTTTCACCCTGTTGGCCAGGCTGGTCTCAAACTCCTGGACTTAAGCGATCCTCTCACCTTGGCCTCCCAAAGTGCTGGGCTTACAGGTGTGAGTCACGGCACCTGGCCTAACAATTTGTTAATTATACTTTTTTTTTGCAAAGGATCCTTCTTAAATATTTAATGAAACTTCACAAGCATATTATACATTAGACAGAAAATAATGCAAATTTTCTGATCTTATTTCTTTTTTTTTTTTTGAGATGGAATCTCACTCTGTTGCCCAGGGTGGAGTGCAGAGGTGCGATCTCGGCTCACTGCAACCTCTGCCTCCCGGGTTCAAGTGATTCTTCTGCCTCAGCCTCCCAAGTAGCTGGGACTGCAGGCACACGCCACCACACACAGCTAATTTTTGTATTTTTAGTAGAGACAGGCTTTCACCATATTGGCCAGGCTAGTCTTGAACTCCTGACCTCGTGGTCCACCTGCCTTGGTCTCCCAAAGTGCTGGGATTACAGGCTTAAGCCACCACGCCCGGCCTCTTTTTTCTTTATATATGTATAAATAGAGATGGAGTCTCGCTATGTTGCCCAGGTTGGTCTCGAACTCCTAGCCTCAAGTGATCCTCCCACTTTGGCCTCCCAAAGTTCTGGGATCACAGGCCGAGCCACCACATCTGGCTCCAAAAAACAAACTCTTATCTCTTACCTCCAATCCTAATCCTGTTGGGTCAAAAGTACATCATCCATTTTTGGATTATCTATTGTTTTTATTTAAAAAAAGTTATAGAAAAGTTGCAAAAATAGTGCAGAGAGTTAACATTATATCTTTTACTCAGTTTTGCTTCGTGTTAACAATTTCCATAATCATATACAATTATGAAAGACAGAAAATAAACATCAATATGATACTATTTGCTAGAGTACAGGCCTTATTCAAATTTTACCCTTTTCCCACCTGTGTCTTTTTTCTGTTCTGGGATCACCCATTGCATTTAATTGTCATGCCTTGAATCTGTGACAGACTGGACAAGCAAAGACAATGAAAGTCAGGGAAAGACAATCTTTCCTTGTCTTTCATAATCTTGATGTTGATGAATCCTGGTCAGTTATTTAGTAGAATGCCTTTCAGTTTTGGTTTATCTGTTGTTTTCTCATGATTAGATTTAGATCATGCATTTTTTGGCAAGAATACCATAGAAGTGATGTTGTGTACCTCTTTATACATTATACCAGGGGATACATGATGTTAACATGTGTAACTACTGGTGATGTCAACCTTGATGATATCTGCCTGCTTTCTTCATAATAGCCACTGTTAAAGTGAAAGAAAATGACTGTTTTTCCCCTTTGTAATTGATAAATATCTTGGAGGCAATACTTTTTTTTTTTTTGAGACAAAGTCTCGCACTGTCACCCAGGCTGGAGTGCAGTGGCACGATCTCCGCTCACTGCAACCTCCACCTCCCGGGTTCAAGAGATTCTCCTGCCTCAGCCTCCCAAGTAGGTGGGATTACAGGTGCCCACCACCCCGCCCAGCAAATTTTTTGTATTTTTAGTAGAGACGGGGTTTCACTATGTTGGCCAGGCTGGTCTCAAACTCCTGACCTCATGATCTGCCCCCCTCAGTCTCCCAAAGTGCTGGGATTACAGGCGTGAGCCATGTCGCCCAGCCCTTGGAGGCAATACTTTTAGACAATGCTAATAATCCTCTCTCTCCTCAAATTGTCTTTATTTTATTTTATTTTATTTTATTTATTTATTTATTTATTTTGAGACGGAGTCTCGCTCTGTCCCCAGGCTGCTGGATTGTAGTGGTGCGATCTCGGCTCACTGCAACCTCTGCCTCCTGGGTTCAAGTGATTCTCCTGCCTCAGCCTCCCGAGTAGCTAGGACTACAGGCGCGCACCACTATGCCCAGCTAATTTTTGTATTTTTAGTAGAGGTGGGATTTCACCATGTTGGCCAGGATGGTCTCAATCTCTTGACCTTGTGATCTGCCCACCTCGGCCTCCCAAAGTGCTGGGATTACAGGTATGAGCCACCATGTCCTGCCTCTCCTCAAACTTTCATCCATTGATTTTAACATCAATTGGTAGATCTTGCCTGCAATAATTATTATTGTGGTGTTTTCCTAATGGTGATTTAGTATTTCTCTCATTCTTTATATATATATATATATTAGTTAAAATGTTTCTGTAAGAAAGAGATGTCTTTTGTTTATTCAATTACTTATTTCACTATGAATTTATAGATATTTTAGTATATGGGTTTAGCACAAATATATGTATTATCTTTATATATATACACACATGTTCATATAATAAGTATTATTAGCTATTTTGTGGTTCAAATTGTTCTAATTTTGGTCATCAGGAGCTCCTTTAGTTTGGATACTATGGCTTCTTCACATATCCTCATCCTTGATCACTTTCTTATTTTTTGGCACCATAAGGTGTTTCAGCCTCTTCTATATTTTTTCCTTCCCAGCTATAAAATCAACTGCTTTTCCAAGTTCCTTTTATTGGAGAATAGTACTTAGAAAAAAATATCTGGGTTTTAGGTATGCTCATTGTTGCTACTGGGATGTCATTGCTCCTAGGACCTTGTAGTGGATACAGCTAAGAGCTAAGGAATGTAAGTATGTATATTAACCCATGCATACACACACATTCATATTTATTTCTATGTCTATCAATCAATTGATCTGTATATCTATTAAAAATCATGTCCTCGGCTGGGTGCGGTGGCTCACGGCTGTGATCCCAGCACTTTGGGAGGCTGAGGTGGGCAGATCACCTGAGGTCAGGAGTTAGAGACCAGCCTGAGCAACATGGTGAAGCACCGTCTCTACTAAAAATACAAAAATTATCCGGGGGTGGTGGCAGGCACCTGTAATCCCAGCTACTTGGGAGGCTAAGGCAGGAGACTCACTTGAACCTGGAAGGCGGAGAATGCAGTGAGCTGAGATGGTGACACTGTACTCCAGCCTGGGCAACAAGAGTGAAATTCCATCTCAAAAAAAAAAAAATCATATCCTCCAATTGCAATTCAACACTGGAGTTAATCTTTCATAAACTATTTTAAAATTTTATTTAAAGTAATAAAAATATGACACAGAAGGGAATTATAAGTCCAAAACTGAAGTGAATATGAAAACTCAGAGAGGTAAATAAGAATGGAAATCACTTAAGACTTAACTATTATTCTGCATGTGTATTACACTTCAATAAAAGTTAAAATAAAACAAAACACAACAGGTCCTACATGGTGGCTCATGCCTGTAACCCCAGTACTTTGGAAGGCTGAGGCAGGAGGATCCCTTGAAGCCAGGAGTTTAAAACCAGCCTGGGCAGGACCCTGTCTGTACATAAATAAATAAATAAGCCTGGCATGGTGGCATATGCAGTATTCCCAGCTACCAGAGAGGCTGAGGCAGGAGGATCACTTGAGCCCGAAAGTTTGAGGCTACAGTGACTATGATAGTGCCACTGCTCTCCAGCCTGGGTGATAGAGTGAGGCCCTGTCTCTAAAAACAAACAAACAATCAAACAAAAAGTTAAAAAACAGGGCTGGGCACGGTGGCTCACACCTGTAATGCTGCACTTTGGGAAGGCCCAGGAAGGAGAACTGCTTGAGCCCAGGAGTTGAAGACCAGCCTGGGTAACACAGCGAGACCTCATCTCTACAAAAATACAATTAAAAAATTGGCTGGGCCGGGTACAGTGGCTCACGCCTGTAATCCCAGCGCTTTGGGAGGCCAAGGTGGGTGGATCACGAGGTTGGGAGATCGAAACCATCCTGGCAAACACGGTGAAACCCTGTCTTTACTAAAAATACAAACAATTAGCTGGGTGTGGTGGCACGTACCTGTAATCCCAGCTACTTGGGAGGCTGAGGCACAAGAATCGCTTGAACCCAGGATGTGGAGGTTGCAGTGAGCCAAGATCGCACCACTGCACTCCAGCCTGGGCGACAGAGTGAGACTCTGTCTCAAAAAAAAAAAAAAAAAAAAATTGGCTGGCATTGTGGCACATGCCTGCAGTCCCAGCTACTTGGGCTGAGGTGGGAGGATCACTTGAGCCTAGGTGCTTGATGTCACAGTGAGCTATAATCATGCCACTGCACTTCAGCCTGGGTGACAGAGCTGAGCAAGACCCAGTCTCTTATGGGGAAAAAAAAAAAAAAAAAGGGACAAAGCAAGATGGCAGAATAGAATGCTCTACCAATCATTTTCCCAGCAGGGACACCAATTTAACAACTATCTACACACCAAAAAGCACCTTTTAAAGAATGAAAAATCACATGAGCATTCACAGTACCAGGTTTTAACTTCATATCGCGAAAGAGGCACTAAACAGGTTAAATAGGAAAGAGAGTCTTGAATTACCAACATCACCCCTCCCCCACCCCCCAGCAGCGGTAATGTGGTGCAGAGAGCATTTCGGTGTATGGAGAGTGAGAGTTCGGCAATTGTGAGGCATTGAATTCAGTACTGTCCTATTATAACAGAGACAAAGCCAGACCAAACTCAGCTGATGCCCGACCACTGAGGGAGCATTTAAACCAGCCCTAGCCAGAGGGGAATCGCGAATCTCTACAGTCTGAATGTGAGTTCCCGCAAGCCCCGCCATCTCGCCATCTCGAGCTAAAGTACCCTGTGGTCTTGGATAAACTTGAAAGATCGTCTAGGCCACAAGAACTGCAGCTGCTGGGTAAGTCCTAGTGCTGAACTGGGCCCAGAGGCAGTGGACTGGGGGGCATGCAACCTACTGAGATACCAGGCAGGGTGGCTAAGAAAGTGTTGACATTGCCCCTCCCCTAGCCCCGGGCTGCACAGCTCATGGCTCCAAAAGAGACCCTCTCTCTCTACTTGAGGAGAGGAGAGGAAGAGTGGGGAGGACTTTGTCTTGCATCTTAGATACCAGCTCAGCCACAGCAGGATAGGGCACTGGTCAGAGTCATGGGGTCCCCTTTCTAGGCCCTAGCTTCTGGACAACATTTCTTGACACACTGTGCCAGAAGAGAACCCACTGCCTTGAGGGGAAGGACCCAGTTCTGGCAGTATTCATTATCTGCTAACTGAAGAGCCCTTGGGCCCTGAAAAACCAGCGGTGATACCCAGGTACTATGTCAAGGGCCACAGGTGAGACTCAGACATGCTGGCTTTAGGTGAGACCTAGCACATTCCAAGCTGTGGTGGCTACTGGGTGAGACTTCTCCCACTTGGGAAAAGCAGAGGGAAAAGTAAAGGGGACTTTGTCTTGCACCTTAGGTACCAGCTCAGCCACAGTGGGGAACACCAACCAGACTCTTGGGGTCCCTAATTCTAGGACTTAGCTCTTGGATAGCATTTCTGGACCTGCTCTGGGCAGGAGAGGAGTTCACTATCCTGAAGGGTGAGTCCCAGGCCACGCAACATTCACCACAGCTGATTGAAGAACCCTTGGGCCTCAAGGGTGGTAGTCTGGCAGCACCCCCTGTGGGCCTGTGGTGGTGGTGGCCATGGGATGAGGCTCCTCTGCCTTTGAAGAAGGGAGAGAAGAGTGGGAAGGACTGTGTCTTGTGGCTTGAGTGTCAGTTCAGCCTCAGTATAATAGAACACCAGGTAGACTTCTAAGGTTTTTAGGTCTAGTCCCTGGCTCTGGATGGCACCTCTGGACCTGCCTGGGGGAACTCACCACCCTGAAAGAAGGACACGGGCCCAACTGACTTTGCAACCTGCTGATTGTAGAGCCACAGGGCCTTGGGTGAACATAGGCTGTAACTAAGGGGTGACTACAGGGAGCCTTGAGTGAGACCCAGTGCTGTGCTGGCTTCAGATCTGACCCAGCACAGTCTTAGTGATGGTGGCCACAGGGATGCTTGTGTCACTCCACCCCCAGCTCCACGTGTCTCAGAACAGAGAGAGAAGAGAGAGAGAGAGAAAGAGAGAGAGAGACTCCATTTGTTTGGAATAAAGTAAGAGAAGAGAACAACAGTTTCTGTGTGGCGATTCAGAGAATGCTTCTGGATCTTGTCTAAGACCATCAAGGCGGTACCTGTGTGAGTCTGCAAGAACAACGGCATTACTGAGCTTGAGGTGCCCCCTAAAGCAGATACAGTTTAGATCACAACACTGAAGTCTTTTTGAATGTCTGGGAAGCCTTCCCAAGAAGATGCATACAAACAAGCCCAGACTGAGAAAACTACAATAAATACCTAACTTTTCAATGCCCAAACACAGATGAATATCTACAAGCAACAACACTATCCAGGAAAACATGACCTCACCAAAGGAACCAAATAAGGCACCAATCCTGGAGAAATAGAGATATGTGACTTTTCAGAGAATTCAAAATAGCTGTTTTGAGGAAACTCAACAAAATTCAATATAACACAGAAGGAATTCAGAATTCTATTGGATAAATTTAACAAAAAGATTGAAATAATTAAAAAGAATAGGGGTGAGGCGTGGTGCCTCATGCCTGTAATCCCAGCACTTTGGGAGGCCGAGGTGGGTGGATCATCTGAAGTCGGGAGTTCGAGACCAGCCTGACCAACATGGAGAAACCCCATCTCTACTAAAAACACAAAATTAGCTGGGCGCAGTGGCAGATGCCTGTAATCCCAGCTATTCAGGAAGGCTGAGGCAGAAGAATCGCTTGAACCCGGGAGGCTGAGGTTGCAGTGAGCCAAGATCGCGCCACTGCATTCCAAAAAAAAAAAAAAAAAAAAGAATAAAGCAGAAATTCTGTAGTTTCTGGAGTTGAAAAATGCAATTGGTAAGCTGAAGAATGGATCAGTCTTTCTTTCTTTTTTTTTTTTCGAGATGGAGTTTCACTCTTGTTGCCCAGGGTGTAGTGCAATGTCATGATCTCGGCTCACTGCAACCTCGCCTGCCAGGTTCAAGCAATTCTCCTGCCTCAGCCTTCTGAGTAGCTGGGATTACAGGCGTGTGCCACCACACCCGGCCAATTTTGTATTTTTTTAGTAGAGACCGGGTTTCTCCATGTTGGTTAGGCTGGTCTCCAATTCCTGACCTCAGGTGATCCGCCTGCCTCGGCCTCCCAAAGTGCTGGGATTACAGGGGTGAGCCACTGTGTCTGGCCGCATCAGTCTTTTAATAGCAGAATTGATCAAGCAGAAGAGGGAATTAGTGAGCTTGATGACAGGCTATTTGAAAATACACAATTAGAGGAGACAAAAGAAAAAAAGAATATAAAGCAATGAGGCATGCCTACAGGATCTAGAAATAGCCTCAAAATGGCAAATCTAAGAGTTATTGGCCTTAAAGAGGAGGTAGAGAAAGAGATAGGGGTAGAAAGTTTATTCAAAGGGACAATAACAGAGAACTTCCCAAACCTAGAGAAAGATATCAATATCCAAGTTCAAGAAGGTTCTAGAACACCAAGCAGATTTAACTCAAAGAAGACTACCTCAAGGCAATTAATACTCAAACTCCCAAAGGTCAAGGATAAAGAAGGGATCCTAAAAGCAGCAAGGGAAAAGAAACAAATAACACACAATGGAGCTCCAGTATGTCTGGCAGCAGACTTTGCAGTGGAAACCTTACAGGCCAGGAGAGAGTTTCATGACATATTTTAAGTGCTAAAGGAAAAAACTTTTACCCTAAAATAGTATGTACAATGAAAATATTCTTCAAACATGAAGGAGAAATAAAGGCTTTCCCAGACAACAAAAACTGAAGGATTTCACCCTCAGCTTTCATCAGACCTGTTCTGTAAGAAATGCTAAAGGGAGGCTGGGGGTGGTGGCTCACACCTGTAATCCCAGCACTTTGGGAGGCTGAGGCAGGTGGATCACCTGAGGTCAGGAGTTTGAGACTAGCCTGGCCAACATGGTGAAACCCTGTCTCTACTAAAAATACAAAAAATTAGCTGGGCATGCATGGTGGTGAATGCCTGTTATCCCAGCTACTTAGGAGGCTGAGTCAGGAGAATTGCTTGAACCCAGGAGCTGGAAGTTGCAGTGAGCCAAGATCATGCCATTGCACTCCAGCCTAGGTGACAGAGTGAGACACCATCTGAAAAAAAAAAAAATGCTAAAGGGAATACTCCATTTAGAAAGACAAGGATGTTAATGAGCAATAAGAAATCATCTAAAGGTTCAAAACTCACTAGTAATAGTAAGTACACAGAAAAACAGAATACTATAACATTGTAACTGTGGTGTGTAAACTACTCTTATCTTAAGTAGAAATACTAAATTATGAACCAATTAAAAATAACTACAACAACTTTTCAAGACATAGACAATGCATAAGATTAAAGAGAAACACATAAGTGGGAGTTGAACAATGAGAACACATGGACACAGGGAGGGAAACATCACACACTGGGGCTTGTCAGGGGTTGGGGGGTAAGGGGAGGGAGAGCATTAGGACAAACACCTAATGCATGCAGGGCTTAAAACCTAGATGACAGGAATATAGCAGGAGTAGCTATACTTACATCAGATAAAATAGATTTCAAGACAAAAACTATAAGAAGAGACAGAGAAGGTCATCATATAACGATAAAGGGTCAATTCAGCAAAAGGATATAACAATTTAAAATATATATGCACCCACCACTGGAGCACCCAGATGCACAAAACAAATATTATGAGAGCTAAAGAGAAAGACAGGCCCCAATTCAATAATAGCTGGAGACTTCAACACCCCACTTTCAGCAGTGGACAGATCTTCCAGACAGAAAATCAATACCAAAAAAATCACACTTATCTGCACTATAGACCAAATGGACCTAATAGATATTTACAGAACATTTCATCTAATGGCTACAGAATACATATTCTTTTCCTCAGCACATGGATCATTCTCAAGGACAGACCATAGATTAGGTCGCAAAACAAGTCTTAAACATTCAAAAATGGAAATAATACCAAGCATCTTCTCTGACTCCAATGAAATAAAAATAGAAAACAATAACAAGAGGAATTTTGGAAACTATACAAATACATGGAAATTAAACAATATGTTCCTGAATGGGTAAATGAAGAAATTAAAAAGAAAACTGAAAAAAAATTCTTGAAACAAATGATAATGGAAACACAACATACCAAAATATATGGGATACAGAAAAAGCAGTACTATCAGGAAGGATTATAGCTATAAGTGCCTACATCAA
The DNA here is from genome assembly GCF_000001405.40 of Homo sapiens. Taxonomy (NCBI): domain Eukaryota; kingdom Metazoa; phylum Chordata; class Mammalia; order Primates; family Hominidae; genus Homo; species Homo sapiens. Next base: position 39,380,231 of record NC_000004.12, on the reverse strand, counting down.
AAAAGAAGAAAAATTTCAAATAAACAAGCTAATGATGCATCTTAAAGACCTAGAAGAACAAGAGCAAACCAAACCCACCAATAGAAGAAAAGAAATAATAAAGATTAGAGCAGAAATAAATGAAATTGAAATGAAGAAAACAATACAAAAGATCAATGAAACAAAAATGGGTTTTTTTTAGTTAAACAAAATTGACAAGTTAACCAGACTAGTGAAGAAAAAAGAAAGAGAAGACTCAAGTAAATAAAATCAGAGATGAAAAAGAAGACATTATAACTGATACCATGGAAATGCAAAGGATTAGTGGCTATTATGAGCAACTATATGCCCATAAATTGGACCTCTAGAAGAAATGGACAAATGCCTAGACACATACAACCCACCAAGATTGAACCAGGAAGAAATCCAAATCCCGAACAGACAAATAACAAGCAACAAGATTGAAGCCATAATAAAAAGTCTCTCAGTAAAGAAAAACCTGAGACTTAATGGCTTCACTGCTGAATTCTACCAAAAATTTAAAGAAGAACTATTACTAATCCTACTCAAAGTATTCCAAAAAGTAGTGGAGGAGGGAATACTTCCAAACTCATTCTACAAGGCTAGTATTACCCTGATACCAAAGCCAGACAAAGACACATTAAAAAAAAAAAAAAAAAGAAGACAACAGGCCAATATCTCTGATGAATATTGATGCAAAAATCCTCAACAAAATACCAGCAAATGAAATTTAACAATACATTAAAAAGATCCTCATGACCAAGTTGGATTTATCACTGGGAGGCAAGGATGGTTCAACATATGCAAATCAATCAATGTGATACATCATATTAACAGAATGTAGGATAAAACCATTTGATCATCTCAATTAATTCTGAAAAAGCATTTGATAAAATTCAACATCCCTTCATGTTAAAAACCCTCAAGAAACTCATTATATAAGGAATATACTTCAACATAATAAAAGCTGTATATGACAGACCCACAACTAATATCATATTGAATAGGGAAAAGCTGAAAGCCTTTCCTCTAAGTTCTGGAACACAAGAAGGATACCCACTTTCACCACTGCTATTCAACATAATACTGGAAGTCCTAGCTAGAGGAATCAGATAAGAGAAACAAATAAAGGGCATATAATTTGGAAAGGAAGAAGTCAAATTATCCTTATTTGCAGACAATGTAATCTTATATTCAGAATAACCTAAAGACTCTACCAAAAAACTTAGAACTGATAAAACAAATTCAGTAAAGTTGCAGAATACAAGATCAACATACAAAAATCAGTAGCATTGCTATATGCCACAGTGAACAATCTGAAAAATAAAAAAGTAACCCTATTTAGAGGCCAGGCATGGTGGGTCACTGGGCACATTGGAAGGCTGGTAGGCGGATCACCTGAGGTCAGGTGTCTGAGACCAGCCTGGCCAACGTGGTGAAACCCTGTCTCTACTAAAATTACAAAAAATTAGCTGGGCATGGTGGCAGGAGCCTGTAATCCCAGCTACTCTGGGGCAGGAGAATCGCTTGAACCCAGGAGGTGGAGGTTGCAGTGAGCCGAGATTGCACCACTGCACTCCAGCCCGGGCAACAGAGCGAGACTGTCTCAAAAACAAACAAACAAACAAACAAAAAACAAACAAAAAAATCCTATTTACAATAGCCACAAAAAAATTAAGTACCTAGGAATTAACTTAACCAAAGAAGTAAGAGACATCTACAATGAAAAATATAAAACACTGATGAAAATAATTGAAGAGGACACCAAAAAAATGGAAAGATATTCCAGGTTCATGGATTGGAATAATTAATATTGTTAAAGTCCATGCTACCCAAAGCAATCTACAGATGCAATGCAATCCCTATCAAAATACCAATGACATTCTTAACAGAAATAAACACAATCCTAAAATTTATATGGAGCCACAAAGACCCAGAATAGCCAAAGCTATCCTAAGCAAAAAAGATAAAACCTGGAGTAATCACATTACCTGACTTCAAATTATACTACAGAGCTATAGTAACCAAAACACCATGGTACTGGCATAAAAACCAACACATAGACCAATGGAACAGAATAGAGAGCCAGAAACAAATCTACACACCTATAATGAACTCATTTTTGACAAACGTCCCAAGAACATACACTGGGGAAAAGGCAGTCTCTTCAATTAATGGTGCTGGGAAAACAAGATATCCATATGCAGAAGAATGAAACTAGACTCCTATCCCTTGCCATACACAAAAATCAAATCAAAATGGATTAAAGACTTAAATCTAAGACTTCATAATATGGAACTACTACAAGAAAACATTGGGGATACTTTCCAAGACATTGGCCAACATTTCTTGAGTAATACTCCACTAGCACAGGCAACCAAAGTCAAAACAGACAAATGGGATCACATCAAGTTAAAAGCTTCTGCACAACAAAGGAAACAACAAAGTGAAGAGAAAACCCACAGAATGGGAGAAAATATTTACAAACCATCCATCTGACAAGGGATTAATAACCATAATATATAAGGAGCTTAAATAACTCTATAGGAAAATAATCTAATAATCAGATTAAAAAATGGGCCAAATATTTGAATAGACATTTCTCAAAAGAAGACATACAAACGGCAAACAGGCATATGAAAAGGTGCTCAACATCACTGATCATCAGAGAAATGCAAATCAAAACTACAGTGAGATATTATCTCACCCCAGTTAAAATGGCTTATATCCAAAAGACAGGCAATAACCATTGCTGGTGAGGATGTGGAGAAAAGGGAACTCTCAAACACTGTTGGTGGGAATGTAAATTAATACAGCCACCATAGAGAACCGTTTGTAGGTTCCTCAAAAAAGTAAAAATGGAACTAATATATGATCCAGCAATTCCACTGCTGAGTGTATACCCAAAAGAAAGGAAATCAGTATATCGAAGAGATATCCACACTCCCAAGTTTGTTGTAGCACTGTTTACAATAGCTAAGATTTGGAAACAACCTAAGTATCCATCAACAGATGAATGGATTAAAAAAATGTGGTACTTATACACAATGGAGTACTATTTAGGCATGATAAAGAATGAGATTCTGTCATTTGCAACAACATGGTTGGAACTGGAAGTCATTATGTTAAGTGAAATAAGACAGGCACAGACATACAAACATCATGGTCCAATGCGGTGGCTCACGCCTGTAATCCCAGCACTTTGGGAGGCTGAGGCAGGCAGATCATGAGGTCAGGAATTCAAGACCAGCCTGACCAACATGGTGAAACTCTGTCTCTACTAAAAATACAAAAATCAGCCGGGCGTGGTGGCAGGCATCTGTAATTTCAGCTACTTGGGAGGCTGAGGCAGGAGAATCGCTTGAACCCGGGAGGTAGAGGTTGCAGTGAGCCGAGATCACGCCATTGCATGCCAGCCCAGGCAATAGTGCGAGACTCTGTCTCAAAAAAAAAAAAAAAAAAAAAAAAAGAAATACAAACATCACATGTTCTCACTTATTTGTGGGATCTAAAAATCAAAACAACTGAACTCATGAACATAAAGAGTAGAAAACTGGTTAGCGGAGGCTGGGAAGGGTAGTGGGTGGTGGTGGAGAGGTGAGGTTGGTTAATTGATACAAAAAAAATAGAATGAATAAGACCTAGTACTTGATAGGACAACAGGGTGACTATAGTCAATAATAACTTAATTGTACATTTAAAAATAACTAAAATAAGGCCAGGCGCGGTGGCTTATGCCTGTAATCCCAGCACTTTGGGAGGTCAGGAGTTCGAGACCAGCCTGACCAACATGGAGAAACCCCATCTCTACTAAAAATACAAAATTAGCCAGGCGTGGTGGCACATGCCTGTAGTCCCAGCTACTAGGGAGGCTGAGGCAGGAGAATCGCTTGAACCTGGGAGGCGGAGGTTGTGGTGAGCTGAGATCACGCCATCGCACTCCATCCTGGGCAACAAGAGCGAAACGCCATCTCAAAAAAAAAAACACACACACATTAAAATAGTGTAATTAGATTGTTTGTAATACAAAGGACAAATGCTTGAGGAGATGCAAAAAAATGGGCAAAATAAGAGAGAGTTTGTCAGGGAAAACTTTATCAACAAAGCCAATTTTGTGAAAGTAGGATCTATTTCATGCCCCTCCACCCTTAAAAATATACCACTGGTGGAAGAATAATTTACATTCCATGAAAAACTCTACCCCCAAATTTAGAGTATTTACATTCACATCTTTATTAGTATGTTTCTAAACATGAGAATAATTGAATTATGCTTATAGTAAATGGCTCTTTCTGTAGCATAGAGAGAGAGATAAATCATAGCCCTCCTGAAATGATTAAAAGTTGCATATTGGTCAGAAAGTGCATGATCTGAATTTTGGTCCTTCCTTACAGTCTAACTCCTACCGTGTGTAAGTGAAAAACAACTGAAATGGTCAAAGTAAATGCTCAGTGTTAATATATCTGGCTTAGTTAACTTATCCATGTGACAGACATAACTCTTAAAGTCACTTTTGAAATCTTTTTCAGAAGCACAATAATCACATTGTCTTTCACTAGACTTTTGAAAGTCAACAGAAATCAATAGAATTTTCACTGTGCAACAACAAATGTGACTTTCTGCCCTCTGGATAAATATTAGCATGTCCTGCTTTGTCAGAGTTTATTGGAACATTTTCCTTACAGACAACAGTCCATTAGGCAGCTTACTCTTTTCTGTGTTCGTGATGACTGCAGGTCTCGACCGGTGATGTTGACCTTATAATCCATTTATGAACATAATCATTAAATCATAATTTGTCACTATTAAAGTACACATATTCTAATTTAGGAAATTGGGCACTAACTATGTCATTTATCTTAATTCTTGAGTGATATCCATTTAACCTTCTTAATATGACTATGCTTGACTAAGCTAAGTTTATGTAAACTTGCCTAATAATTTTTATAGCCCGAAATAACAAAGTTTTTGCTAAGTAAATCAGTATCTTCACTTAGGTGAGAAGAAGCATTTACATCTAAAATAGCAAAAAAACCATATAACTTTACTGTTGACATACTCCTTTGATTACATATCTAATGTGTCTCAAGTCATGGATTAATTCCTAAAATATTCATTGGCAATTTTATGGGTGTGTATGAACAGAGTGACAGGAATTCCATCAGCACTTTGCAGTGATAGTAGATTTTATGATTAATCTTTTTTCAGTCCTACAAGCCAAAGGAATTCCAGGATTTGTGTTGTTGTTTTTGTTGTTGTTTTGCAGAAATAATGTGAGGCATAGCAAATAAAAAGCTACCCTCAGTTACTTGAGAACTGCTGCTATATTAGGGATGATCACATACGTGGATGTTCCAGACCCTTAGGACCTCTGAAAACCTGAAATGCTATGAGAAGGTATGCCCGGAATTCTCATTCATATTTCAGCAATGTTTGTGATAAAAATACATTTTGCCCCGTCTCTACTAAAAATACAAAAAATTAGCCGGGCATGGTGGCGGGTGCCTGTAGTTCCAGCTGCTTGAGAGGCTGGGGCAGGAGAATGGTGTGAACCCGGGAGGCGGAGCTTGCAGTGAGCCGACAGAGCGAGACTCAGTCTCAAAAAAAAAAAAAAAAAAAAAACATTTTGAACTTTCATGGAAATCTCACATGTTGTCTTTCTTGACATGAAGTTTAAATAGAATTAAATATGATCATCAGTTTATACGGAGTAGTGTATATTAGACGTTTTAAAATTTTACAAATACATCCGGTGTGGTGGCTCACGCCTGTAATCCCAGCACTCTGGAGGGCAGAGTTGGGCGGGTTGTTTGAGGTCAGGAGTTCCAGACTAGCCTAGCCAACATGGTGAAACCCCATCTCTTCAAACCATACAAAAGTTAACTGGGAGTGGTGGCGTGCATCTGTAGTCCCAGGTATTTGGGAGGCTGAGGCACAAGAATCACTTGAATCACTTGCACCTGGGAGGTGGAGGTTGCAGTGAGCCCAGACCGCACTATTGCACTCCAGCCTCGGCGACAGAGAGAGACTGTCTCAAATAAATAAATTAATTAATAAAATTTTACAAATAAACACAGATTAAAGTAGGAAAGGCATAAAAAAGGAATCCCAATACATTCACATCTTCTATAAAATATACGGCAAAAATCTTACTCAGATAAAATCTGGTTCATGACCACAACAGGATATAAACAATACTTTTAACATATCCATTTAAATTGTTAGTTGCTATGAAGAGAGCTAACTTTGTTTTAGTACAAATAAGGTAAGTGCTTTGGACTCTACATTTTAAAATATTACACCTGCGTTGATGGCTTCATATAACTATTAACATTAGCTCTGGATGGTGGTGCTTCATATAAATATTATCATTAGCTCTGGATGGTGGTAAGCACTTGATAAAGTAAATACAGTTTATCACTAATACCTGAGATTCTCTAGACATTTTTTTTTGAGACAGAGTTTTGCTCTTGTTGTCCAGGTTGGAGTGCAGTGGAGCAATCTTGGCTCACTGCAACCTCCGCTTCCCGGGTTCAAGCAATTCTCCTGCGTCAGCCTCCTGAGTAGCTGGGATTACAGGCATGCGCCACCACGCCCAGCTAATTTTGTATTTTTAGTAGAGATGGGGTTTCTCCATGTTGGTCAGGCTGGTCTTGAACTCCCGACCTCAGGTGATCTGCCTGCCTTGGCCTCCCAAAGTGCTGGGATTACAGGTGTGAGCCACTGCACCCAGCCGATTCTCTAGACATTTGTAAGAAAATGTTTTAGTTTAAGAGTGTGTGCCAGGCGTGGTGGCTCACGCCTGTAATCCTAACAGTTTGGGAGGCCGAGGCGGGTGGATCAGTTGAGATCAGGAGTTTGAGACCAGCCTGGCCAACATGGTGAAACTGTGGCTCTACAACAGAGACAGGGCAATAGAGCGAGACTCCATCTCAAAAAAAAAAAAAAAACAAAAACGAAGTGTGATTAGCAAAACTATAAATTGAAACTCACTACTATAGTTGAATTTCACCTCTTTTCCGTTCTCTCACTGATTGACTTTAAGTGCCAAGAATGATTATTAAAATTGCATAAAATGAAGACAAAGAGTAGTTCAGTTGTCAGCAAATCTCTACACATTAAAGAAATATTTTTCTTAGCGATTGCTCTAAGAAATATATATACATAAAATATATATGTATAATAGGATATCTCCTATTTAGAAGTCGTCATAGTTTCCTCATTCATACACCCTGCATTATAGATTGTGTAGAATTTAAATACTGCTATTCATATTTCCACTGGAGGCCGGGCACAGTGGCTCCTGCCTGTAATCCCCGCACTTTGGGAGGCCAAGGTGGGAGGACTGCTTGAGGCCAGGAGTTTGAGCCCAGCCTGGGCAACAGAGCAAGATCCCGTCTCTACAAAAATAAAATAAAATAAAGTAAAAAATAAAATAAAGTTCCACTGGAGTCAAAAGTTCTGAAAATTATAGGTGAATATGTAATTATAAATAGAAATAATTGAACAAGTAATAGACTTAAACTAAAAGAAATTTTGTATTAATGGCAACTACTGATAACTTTATGACATACTAAAATTATTTCTCTATCAGCTAAATGCAACCTATGCCATTGTTACCTGCTTCATAGAGATACAGATGTTATTTTTTGTGTGTGTGCAGTGTAAATATTTTATCCTCATTTCATTCATAAAATTCACTGAGGTAGGGAAAGCTTTTACTGATCTTTCCATTCAGCCTGAACAGCCAGCAAAATATATTGCATATGGAATAGATGCTTCTTTTGCTCAATGGTATATGTATTAGCCCATTTTCACACTGCTCATAAAGACATACCCAAGACTGGGCAATTTACAAAAGAAATAAATTTATTGGACTTGCAGTTCCACATGGCTGGGGAGGCCTCACAATCACGGTGGAAGGCAAGGAGGAGTAAGTCACAACTTACATGGATGGCAGCAGGCAAAGAGAGAGAGTATGTGCAGAGAAACTCACATTTTTAAAACCATCAGATGTTGTGAGACCCATTCACTATTACGAGAACAGCATGGGAAAGACCTGCCCCATGATTCAATCATCTCGCACTGGGTCCCTCCCACAACATGTGAGAATTATGGGAGCTACAAGATGAGATTTGGGTGGGAACACAGAGCCAAACCATATCATTCCATCCCTGGTCCCTCCCAAATCTCATATCTTCACATTTCAAAACCAATCATGCCTTTCCAGCAGTCCCCCAAAGTCTTAACTCATTTCAGCATTAACTCAAAAGTCTACAGTCTAAAGTCTCATCCAAGACAAGGCAAGTCCCTTCTGCCTATGAGCCTGTAAAATCAAGAGCAAGTTAGTGACTTCCTAGATACAATGGGGGTACAGGCATTGGGTAAATACAGCCATTCCAAATTGGAGAAATTGGCCAAAACAAAGGGGCTACACGCCCCATGCAAGTCTGAAATCCAGCAGGGCAGTCGAATCTTAAAGCTCCAAAATGATCTCCTTTGACTCCATGTCTCACATCCAGGTATGCTGATTCAAGAGGTGGGTTCCCATGGTCTTGGGCAGCTCCACCCCTGTGGCTTTGCAGGGTACAGCTTCCCTCCCAGTTGCTTTCATGGGCTGATGTTGAGTGTCTGCGGCTTTTCCAGGTGCATGGTGCAAGCTGTCAGTGGATCTACCATTCTGGGGTCTGGAGGACGGTGGCCCTCTTCTCACAGCTCCACTAGGCAGCGCCCCAGTGGGGACTCTGTGTGGGGGCTCTGATCCCACATTTCACTTCAGCACTACCCTAGCAGAGGTTCTCCATGAGGGCTCCGCCCCTACAGCAAACTTCTGCCTGGGCATCCAGGCATTTCCATACATCTTCAGAAATCTAGGCAGAGGTTCCCAAACCTCAATTCTTGACTTCTGTGCACTTGCAGGCTCAATGCTACGTGGAAGCTGCCAAGACTTGAGGCTTGCACCCTCTGAAGCCACAGCCCAAGCTCTACATTGGCCCCTTTCAGCCACGGCTGGAGTGGCTGGGACATAGGGCACCAAGTCCCTAGGCTGCACACAGCACGGGGACCCTGGGCCTGGCTCATGAAACCACTTTTTCCTCCCTGGGCCTGTGATGGGAGGGGCTGCTGCAAAGGTCTCTGACATTCCCTGGAGACATTTTGTCCATTGTCTTAGTGATTAACATTCGACTCCTGGTTGCTTATGCACATTCCTGCAGCCGGCTTGAATTTCTCCTCAAAAATAGGATTTTGTTTTCCACTGCATTTTCAGGCTGCAAATTTTCCAAACTTTTATGCTCTGCTTCCCATTTGAAACTGAATGCCTTTAACAGCACCGAAGTCAACTCTTGAATGCTTTGCTCCTTAGAAATTTCTTCCACCATATACCCTAAATCATCTCTCTCAAGTTCAAAGTTCCACAGATCTCTAGGGCAGGGGCAAAGTGCTGCAAGTCTCTGCTAAAACATAACAAGAGTCATCTTTGCTCCAGTTCCCAACAAGTTCCTCATCTCCATCTGAGACCACCTCAGCCTGGACCTTATTGTTCATATCACTATCAGCATTTTTGTCAAAGCCATTCAAAAAGTCTCTAGGAAGTTCCAAATTTTCCTACATTTTCCTATCTTCTTCTGAGCCCTCCAAACTGTTCCAACCTCTGCCTGTTACCCAGTTCCCAAGTTGCTTCCACATTTTCGAGTATCTTTTTAGCAATGCCCCACTCTGCTGGTATTAATTTACTGTATTAGTCCATTTTCACGCTGCTGATAAAGACATACCCAAGACTGGGCAATTTACAAAATAAAGACATTTATTGGACTTACGGTTCCACATGGCTGGGGAGGCCTCATAATCATAGTGTAAGGCAAGGAGGAGCAAGTCACATCTTATGTGGATGGCAGCAGGCAAAGAGAGAGCTTGTGCAGAGAAACTCCCGTTTTTAAAACCATCAGATCTCATGAGACCCATTCACTATCATGAGAACAGCATAGGAAAGATGCACCATCATGATTCAATTATCTCCTATCCCACTGGGTCCCTCCCACAACAATGGGAATTATGGGAGCTAGAAGATGAGTTTTGGGTGGGGACACAGAGCCAAACCATATCAGTATATAAGACTGGGCCAGGTGCAGTGGCTCACACCTGTAATCCTACCACTTTGGGAGGCCGAGGTGGGTGGATCATTTGAGGTCAGGAGTTAGAGACCAGCTTGACCAACATGATGAAACCCTGTCTTTACTAAAAGTACAAAAATTAGCCAGGCATGGTGGTGGATGCCTGTAATCCCAGCTACTTGGAAGGCTGAAGCAGGAGAATTGCTTGAACCTGGCAGGCAGAGGTTGCAGTGAGCTGAGATTTCGCCAATGTATCCCAGCCTGGGTGACAGAGCAAGCCTCCATCTCAAAAAAAAAAAAAAAAAAAAGTATACAAGACTGATCTGTAGTGTTGTATGATGTATGATCTGTATTTCATTGATTTTTATTGTTGTATGAATATATTTCAATTTATCCATTTTCTTTACAGTTAACATTCAGATTGTTTACAGTGGTTTTTGTTTTGTTTTGTTTTTGGGACAGCATCTTGCTCTGTCGCCCAGGCTGGTCTTGAACTCCTGGCCTCGAACTCCTGGTCTCAAGCAATACTCCTTCCTTGTCCTCCCAAAGTGTTGGGATTACAGGCATGAGCCACTGTGCCTGGCCTTCTGCGGTTTTTTGATTATTCTCTGCTTTGTGGTATACAGATATTGCTGAAAATGTCGAAAAGGCCTGCAGATACCCCTTTGGGTAACAGTGATAAGAAAAAGAGGAAGCATTTATGTTTATCTGTGGCACAGAAAGTCAACCTTAGAGAAGTTGGACAGCAGTATAAGTGTGAAAATCTTACAAAAGAGTATGGGATTGGAATGACCACCATATATGATTTGAAGAAACAGAAGGAAAAACTGTTGAAGGTTTATGCTGAAAGTGATGAACAGAAGTTAATGAAAAGTAAAAAAACAAAACCAAAAAAACCCTCCCAGCACTTTGGGAGGCCGAGATGGGTAGATCACGAGGTCAGGAGTTCGAGACCAGCCTCACCAAGATGGTGAAACCCCGTCTCTACTAAGAATACAAAAAATAGCCAAATGTGGTGGTGCACAACTGTAATCTCAGCTACTCAGGAGGCTGAGGCAGAAGAATCGCTTGAACCTGGGAGGCGGAGGTTGCAGTGAGCCGAGATGGCGCCACTGCACTCCAGCCTGGGTGACAGAGCAAGACTCCGTCTCAAAAACAAAAAACAAAACAACCCCCCCCCCAAAAAAAACTACGTAAAGCTAAAAAAGAAAATCTCAATCATGTATTGAAAGCATAAATTCATAAGCATCATAGTGAACACATGCCACGTGATGGTATGCTGATCATGAAACAAAGATCTATTGCAATGAACTAAAAATTGAAGGGAATTGTGCATATTCAACTGGCTGGTTGCATAAATTTAAGAAAAGACAGGGTGTTACATTTTTAAAAAATCTGTGGCAATAAAGCATCTGCTGATCACAAAGCAGTGGAGAAATGTGTTGATGAATTTGCCAATATTTTCACTCATGAAAATCTGACACTAGACCAAGTCTACAAGATTGCTGAAACATCACTGTTTTGGTGTTATTTGCCCCAGATAGATACTAACTATGGCTGATGAGCTAGCCCATAAAGGAATTAAGGATGGGAAGGATGGAATAACAGTGCCGGCATGTGCTAATGCAGCAGGCATCCATAAATGTAAACTTGCTGTGATAGGCAAAAGCTTATATCCATACTGTTTTCAAGGAGTGAATTTCTTTCCATGCCATTATTCTGCTAACAAAAAGGCATGGATCAGCAGGGAAATCTTTTCTGATTGGTTTCACTTTTTTTTTGTTTTTGTTTTTTTTTCCTGAGACAAGGCCTCTCAAAGTGCTGGGATTATAGGCATGTGCCACCATGCTCAGTCCTATTTTGGGTCTTCAAAAATATTTCCATTCTGGATATCTATTCCTTTATAAGAAACCACTCCAATACTTATTACCTTAACAGAGCAATCATTTAATTATGTTCACGCTACTGTGGGTCAGGAAATTTGGACAGGCCTTGACTGAGTGATTTTTCTGCTCTCCCAGGTGTTGAATGGGGTCAACAAAGCTAGTGAAATTCCATCAGTTGCTGGATGGGATCTGAGATGGCTTCATTTACATGCATGGTGCCTGGTGGAGATGGCTATAAGGCTGGTCTCAGATGACCACCTCCCTGGCTTTACATGGTGCTCCAAGAGAGCAAGACAGGAGCTGCCAGTCTTCTTAAAGCTTAGGTCTGGAGTTGGCATAGTATCACTTCCATTGTATTCTTTGATCAAATCAGTCATAGGCCAGTCCAGGTTCAAGGGAGGAGTTTCAAAGCATATGCAGTCATTTTAGATCTGGTATATTTCTGAGATAGAGTATTTTCATGTAAATAAATATTCCTAAAGAAAACAATCTCACAAAGAAGTTACAGTCTCCTGACTTAAGTCTCATTTAAACTCAAGGAAGGCTTCAAATGCCAAAAAAAAAAAAAAGCAAAAGTTAAGAGGAATGTAATATAAAAGACACGTACAACTTTTTATGTCTTATTTACTCATTTATTGATTTATAACACAATGAACATTATAAATTGGTGTAGGTCCTCTAAAATTATGGGCAAAAATTTGTGTGATATGTCTGCTAAGACAAAACCGAGGCACAGTAACTTGCCCTTGGTCACATAAATAGCAGGTGGTGGGGCTGGAGACCTAGCATCCTGGCTTCAGAGGGAACAGTGCAGTGAGGCCCTGTTAATAAGTAACAGTCTGTCTGTAAATTCGGGATAAGAGTAGTCAGTGTCATCATGGGGATAAAATGAGCTAGGCTAGTCCAGAGCTGCACGTACAACAATAGGCGTTTAATAAATACAAGCTGTCAATGCTCAGCCTCTGTTGTATTCCAGGCTGTTCTATCTTTCGCCATAGAAATGTTGGTGTCATAAAGCGCAAGACCCAACAGGGGGTGGATGGGTGAGAATTTCAAAAGTGTAGCTAGAGCCAAAGCTGGAGATACTGCTTTCTCCATTGAACTCTTTATGGTCTAATCTTTCTCTTGAAATCGTACGCAAATGTTTCATTGTATTCCGTGATTCAATTGCTAATCTATTCATATACAACTGGTTTACCCCAAAGCTTTCGGTATCTTTTCTTTTTTTTGAGGCGGAGTTTCGCTCTGTCGCCCAGGCTAAAGGGCAGTAGCTCGATCTCGGCTCACTGCACCACTGCCTCCTGGGTTCAAGCAATTCTCCTGTCTCAGTCTCCCGAGTAGCTGGGACTACAGGCACACGTCACCACCCCCTGGCTAATTTTTGTATTTTTAGTAGAGACGGGGTTTCACCACATTGGTCAGGTGGTCTCGAACTCCTGACCTCAGGTGACCCACCCGCCTCGGCCTCCCAAAGTGCTGGGATTAGAGGGGTGAGCCACCGCGTCCGGCCTCTTGATGAAACCTTATTACAGAATAGATATTTATACATAATATGTAAAACGCACAGCTAAAACATTTATCTTACTAAAGTTGGTAGTAAAAACTTTTCAAAGTTACTATAGGGAAGTGCATTGTCCAGACGTGTAACCGGGAGGTACTTGGGTACCCCGCCTGCCAAGGAAACCAATATCGGATCCCCCTACTTTAGCGCCCCCGCCAAAAACCGAGCTCACACCAAAGCACCGTGGTTCCTCTCGATGTCAGCGGCCCGCCTGCCCTCGGGGCAGCACCTGGGCAGGCGTCGCACCTCCCGCCTCTGGGCGGGACGGAAGCAAAGCTCGCGCCTCCTGACGTCATCACCGCGCGCCACTGTCTTCGCCTTCTTGCACTTCGCGGGAGAAGTTGTTGGCGCGAATGGATCCTGAGCCTCGATAACAGATTCCTCAACCGGCCCACCCGCCAGCCAGCCAGCGCCTTCATCCTGGGGCTGCGATGGTGAGCCGCTGGGGGAGGCCGTGCGGCTCGGGGTCTGGGGGGGCTTTGCAGGCCTGGTGTGGACCGGGCACTCCTGGTATGCAGGGTGGGGGAGGATGGCGGTGGGTGGTTCCGGAGGCTAGCAAAGGCAGAGAAGGGGCCGCACACCGGGCACTGGACGCAAAACTTTCATTGCATCGCGGGCTCTGGCTCTGGGCGGCAGCCAGCGCGCAGGGATTTTGTTGCTACGTGTACTTGCACTTTCCCCCCGCCCCCCACTCTTGGGGGAAGGGAGAAAGGAAGAGAGGAAGGATGGTGGTTTTGGGACGCATTGGTAAAGTTATTTTCTTGTTCGGCGTTGCCCGAACCTCAGTTTGAGTACTGCCTAAAGCGTGGATTTCAAGCTTTGGGTCACGAGGGAGAAGAATGTAACAAACTTTTCTTTCTTAGGGAATATGTTGTGTAGGGCCTTAAACTTTTATCATTAACAGCTCAGCTCGTCTCATCTCCGCTCGTCATTAACGATCACCTGAGCGGTGTTGAGACCGAGGGCATGGAGAGGATATTTTATTTTGTTTAGATGAGTTCATAGGAGTCAAAAGGATAACATGGCTTACTAGGAAAAAGAAGTACAGCGAATAGAAACAGATGCAAGACATTTGACAGCTGTCATCCTCTTACCACCTGATGTTTAAAATCTGAAAAAAACCCAAGCCTCACTGCATAATTCTGGATAAAATGTTCAAACAAATTGAAAGTGAAATGATTATGCAGCCAGCAAAGCAGACATTCCTGATGGTATGGCAATGGATATGGCTCTGTGTTTGAAATATTTTTAAAGGACCATTTAAAATGTTCATTAAGCTAGAAGATACTTAACAATCCGATATAATTTTTTTCAATCATTGGTCAACGTGTCACAGTGACAACATTCTGGGGGGGGGCGGTGAAAATTTTATGCCACACTGGGAAACGTTGCAGGCCTTTGTGTTTCTTCTCAAAAAAGGGCAACAGTAATGATAGTAGCTACCTTGTACCAAGCATCTTCTTTAGGTCAATATGTGAACTGTTGGTTTTCCATGGTTTTTTTTTTTTTTTTTTTTTTTCATTTCAACCCACATCGATGCAGTTTTACAGATGGTGCAAGCACCTTTTTGGAATTTAAACAGTGTATCATATAACTAGTAGGTGGTTGAACTAGAATTAGAATCTTGGTGTTTCTGACCACCATGTTATACTACTTCCCTATAATGATCATCATTACATTTTGGAGGCCAAAGCACTGTGGTATTTTGGAAGCTTGAGACTTGGAGTCTTGAAGATGAAGAACGTGGTAATATTTTAGTTTAATGGTTTATATATTAATTTATAGTTATATTACTATGTTAGTATAGTCTAGTTTAATAGTTACGTGGTCTTGGGCAAGTAAATAGCTTAAGTTTAATCTCTTTAAGCCTCTGTTTCCTTATCTGTAAAAGAGGGGAAAATAATAGCTGCCATAGTGATTGTTTTGGGGATTAAGCAAGATGTATAGGTAAAGCTTCCGTTCTGGTTCTGGTGCCTGGCATGTTAGGCAACTACACAGCTACCAGTGATCTATTTTCTCAGAAAGGACTCTATGGAAAGTTACATAGATTTTAAGAGGCATGGTAGATTCCTCTGTCATTTATGGTGAACATAGCTTGTGTGGTCAACTTTTGATCATTCAGGTGCTTTTACTTTTGGTTCTTTTCTTTCTTTAGTACTCCTGTTCATGGTGCAGATAAAAAATAGACCTCTTCTCAGAAAAGAAATAGGTCAAATTGGTCAGTTTTGTTGTTAGTGGGTAAACATCCTATGAGGTAGATAAGAATTTTGTATTATACTGATATTTAATTTAGCCCTCCAGTCTCTAGTGCAACAATTAGCAAAACCCTAGACTAAAATTGATTCAACAAATGTTTATTGAACACTTGTGCAAAGTTATAAGACAGTAGTTCTTTTTTTTTTTTTTCCCTCAGACTGTGTCGTTGGGTATGAAGGACAGTAGTTCTCAATCTTTGTTTCAGTTACAGTTTCCTTTGATAAATACAGTGAATGATATGCAAATTTTCTGCCCAGAGAAATGCATATGGGCATATACACACCATTTTAAGGGATTGACCTATCTTCTTCTTCTTTTTTTTTTTTTTTTTTTTTTAAAGGCAAGGTCTTGCTCTGTTGCCCAGGCTGGAGTGCAGTGGTGTGATGATAGCTCACTGCCATCTCTAATTCCGGGGTACAAGCGATCCTTCCACCCTGGCCTCCCAAAGCATTGAGATTACAGGCATGAGCCACTGTGCCTGGCCTGTTCACTTATCATCTTCTTCTTCTTCTTCTTTTTTTTTTTTTTTTGAGAGTCTTGCTGTTTTGCCCAGGCTGGAGTGCAGTGTGCAGTCTTGGCTCACTGCAACCTCTGCCTACCAGGTTTAAGCGATTCTTGTGCCTCAGCCTGCCTGGTAGCTGGGAATACAGGTGTGTGCCACCATGTCCAGCTATTTTATTTTTTTATTTTTAGTAGAGATGAAGTTTCACCATGTTGGCCAGGCTGGTCTTGAACTCCTGGCCTCAAGTTGATCCACCTGCCTCAGCCTCTTAAAGTGCCGGGATTACAGGCATGAACCACTGTGCCTGGCCTATTCACTTATCTTCTGAAGCCCATCCATAGACAGCTCTTGCCCTGGGAGCTGCATTGAAAACAAAAATTCCAATTAAAAGTTATCAATAAAGAAATAAAGTACGTGTATTCACACAATGGAATACTGTGCAACCTTTATAAAAATGAGAAAACTTTATACTCTGATATGAAACAATTGCCAAAATATAAAATTTCTCTGGAAAGATACAGAAGGAACCAACTGATAACATTTGTTGCCTCCAGAGATGGGAAATATGTGTCTGAGAGGCAGGATAAGAGGGGGACTTTTTACCCTTTCGAAATTTGAACCACGTAAATAAATAGAAAGAAAATTAAAAATAAAAGAAATAAAGAAGCCATGTAGACAATTTGAATTTCACTGAGATTTAATTGTTTGCACAAAACGTGAATAAAACCTGAGAGATGCCATTTTTAAGAAGTCAGCATATATAATTAATTGGTTGGTATAATTATTGAAAATATGCATAAGATTGAATTAAACACACATGAGACTTAAGGAACAGCTGTTTGAAGAGCCGTGAGGTCAGTTTAAATAAATTGTGGTCTGAACTGTTTCATTGCTCCACTCCTACAGGCAGGCAACTTTCACATCATGGTTTACTATGTGGAATGCTCTCCCTGGAGCAGTGCTCGACTTTATTATAATATAGCTTTTGCCAAATAATATGCTTTTGCCATGCATATGTACCTGAACTTGGCCTCTAAGGCCCCTACCTACCTCTCTGATTTTCTCTCTCTGTCTTTTGAGTGTGTTAGGTTGGTTCTGTTTCTCTCCGGGCTTTTGTTGCTATTTTCTTTCTTTGAAATAGTCTTCCTCCACATCCTTGCATGTCTGTCTTTTTTTCATCATTTAAGTTTCTCTTGCTAATCCAAGGTCATGAAGATTTATGCTTAAGAGCTTTGTAGTTTTAGCTCTTACATTTAGGACTTTTATCCATTTCTGAGTTAATTTTTATATAGGGTGTGAAGTATAGAGGTCCAATTTTATTCTTTTATATGTGGACATCTAGTTGTCCCAGAACCATTTTTTGAAAAGACTCTTCTTTCTCCATTGAATTATCTTGGCACCCTTGTCAAAAATCAGTTGACTGTAAATGCGAGAGTTGATTTCTAAACTCCCAGTTCTGTTCCATTGATCTATATATCTATCTAAATGCCAGCAACACACTGTGTTACCGTGGCTTTGTCATAATTTTTGAAGTCAGGAAGTATGTCCTCCACCTTTGTTCTTTTTCAAGATTGTCTTGGCTATTCCATTTCCTTGAATTTCTATATGAATTTTAGAATCAGCAAAGATGCCACATGGAATTTTGATAGGGAATTTATTGAATCTGTAGGTCAATTTAGGGAATATTGCCATCTTAACAATATTACATCTTCCGATCCATGAATGTGGGATGCCTTCATTTGTTTAGGTCTTCAGTTTGTTTAAATAGTATTTTGTAGTTTTTCACAGTGTGAGTTTTACACTTCATTTGTTAAATATATTCGTAAGTATTTTATTCTTTTTGGTGATTTTTTTAATGGAACTGATTTCTTTTTTTTTGAGACAGTCTCGCTCTGTTGCCCATGCTGGGGTGCAGTGGCACCATCTTGGCTCACTGCAAGCTCCGCCTCCCGGGTTCACCCCATTCTCCGGCCTCAGCCTCCCGAGTAGCTGGGACTACAGGCGCCCGCCACTGCACCCATCTAATTTTTTTTTGTATTTTTAGTAGAGATGGGGTTTTACCATGGTCTCGATCTCCTGACCTCGTGATCAGCCCGCCTCGGCCTCCCAAAGTGCTGGGATTACAGGCGTGAGCCACCGCGCCCAGCTGGAACTGCTTTCCTAATTTCATTTTTGGATTGTTTATTGCAAAAGTATACAGAAATACAATTGATTTTTGTATATTGATCTTGTATCCTTGCTGAACTCATTATTCTAAATTTTTTAGTGGATTTCTTATGTTTTTCTGTAAGATTGTTTCATCTGTAAACACATGGGTTTACTTCTTGTTCAATGTAGATGTCTTTTATTTCATTTTATTGCCTAATTCTTTTGCTAGAAACTCGACAACATTGAGTACAAGTGGCAAGAGCAGACATACTTTTTCCTGATTTTAGAGGGAAAGCCCTCCAACTGCTTACTTTTTGCTTCCAAGGTATAAGGCCTTAGTATAATTTTAAATATTTTATTGATTGATTGATTGATTGATTGAAACGCAGTCGCGCTGTTACCCAGGCTGGAGTGTGGTGGCGTGATCTCAGCTCACTGCAACCTCCGCCTCCCAAGTTCAAGTGATACTCCTGCCTCAGCCTCCCAAGTAGCTGGGATTACAGGCATGTGCCACCACACCTGACTAATTTTTCTGTTTTTAGCAGAGACGGGGTTTTGTCCTGTTGGCCAGGCTGGTCTCGAGCTCCTGGCCTCAGGTAATCTGCCCGTCTCAGCCTCCCAAAGTGCTGGGATTACAGGCGTGAGCCATCGTGCCTGGCTTAAATACTTCACAATTATTTCATGATTTTTTTTCTGTGTTCCCACCAGTTAAATCATTATATATTTTATTCAGATATATGATTTTGCATTTTAATGATTTTCAGGATAAAAGATTTTTGTACTTGGATAGACTTTTGTGAAGTATGTTGATGATAATCCATTTCTGCTCATGGATTTGGTGGGCTGTTTTAAAATATTAACCAGAAATACTTATATTTCTTTATTACTTTCAAAATAGAGAAGTAAAACCAAAATACAATATTTTGTCAACCGCTCTGCAGCATACTGCGGTACTTATTTTGCATAAAACTGTGTACTCTTCAAAGATAAAATGAACACAGTGACATAATTTGCTTTCTCCTTTTTTTTTCTGAGACAGAGTCTCGCTCTGTTGCTCAGGCTGGAGTGCAGTGGTACAATCTCAGCTCACTGCAACCTCCGCTTCCCAGGTTCAAGCAATTCTCCTGCCTCAGCCTCCCAAGTAGCTGGGACTGCAGGTGCTCGCCACCATGCCAGGCTGATTTTTGTATTTTATTTTATTTTATTGTATTTATTTTATTTTATTTTATTTTATTTTATTTTATTTTAATTTTATTTTGTATAGAGATGGAGTCTCGCCCTGTCACCCAGGCTGGAGTGCAGTGGCGCGACCTTGGCTCACTGCCAACCGCTGCTGCCTGGGTTCAAGCGATTTGCTTGCCTCAGCCTCCCAAATAGCTGGGACTACAGACGTATGCCACCACGTCTGGCTAATTTTTTTGTATTTTTAGTAGAGATGGGGTTTCCCCATATTGGCCAGGCTGTTCTCAAACTCCTGACCTCTAGTAATCTGCCCGCCTTGGCCTCCCAAAGTGCTGGGATTACAGGGGTGAGCCACCGCACCTGGCCGATTTTTGTATTTTTAGTAGTGATGGGGTTTCACCACGTTGGCCAGGCTGGTCTCAAACTCCTGACCTGAAACGATCCACTCACCTTGGCCTCCCAAAGTGCTGCAGTTAAGGTGTCAGCCACTGCACCCGGCCAAAAAAAGAAAACATTTTTGTGTTGCCTTCATTTTTATTTATTTATTATTATTTTTAAATTTTTTATTTCCATGGGTTTTTGGGGAACAGGTGGTATTTGGTTACATGAGTAAGTTCTTTAGTGGCGATTTGTGAGATTTTGGTGCACCCATCACCCAAGTAGTAGGTATGAATCCAGTTTGTAGTCTTTTATCCCTCACTTCCTTCCCACCGTTTCCCTGACTCCCCAGAGTCCACTGTATTATTCTTTTTTTTTTTTTTTTGAGACAGAGTCTCGCTCTGTCACCCAGGCTGGAGTGCAGTGGCGCAATCTTGGCTCACTGCAAGGTCCGCCTCCCGGGTTCATGCCATTCTCCTGCCTCAGCCTCCTGAGTAGCTGGGACTACAGGCGCCCGCCACCATGCCTGGCTAATTTTTTGTATTTTTAGTAGAGATGGGGTTTCACCGTGTTAGCCATGATGGTCTCGATCTCCTGACCTCATGATCCACCCGCCTCGGCCTCCTAAAGTGCTGGGATTACAGGCTTGAGCGACCACGTATTGTATTATTCTTATGCCTTTGCATCCTCATAGCTTAGCTCCCACTTATGGGTGAGTGAGAATATACAATGTTTGGTTTTCCATTCCTGAGTTACTTCACTTAGAATAATAGTTTCCAGTCCCATCTGGGTTGCTGCGAATGCCATTAATTCATTCCTTTTTATGATTGAGTAGTATTCCATTGTATATATATATCTCCCACAGTTTCTTTATCTACTTGTTGATTGATGGGCTGAATGACTTTATATTTTAAAAGTGCTCAAATCATTGCATGGCACAGAGTGAGGCCTCTAGAAAGTTGTGTTAAGTAAACAAAAGAAGTCCTGAATCAAGGCAGTGGCAGTGGGAATAGAGGGGAGAAGACAGCAGTATTTGGGAGATCGTTTAGGTTGGATGATTAGGTGGAGGGCCAGAGGGAGGAGGAAAAGCAGTGGCCATGTTTCTGTTTTGGGTGAATGGTGGTGCTATGCATGGAGATGGGGAATAAAGGGAGAGAAGCAGGTCCCAGCTGAAGATAAATTTAGTTGAGGACATTATTAGTTAGAGGCACCTTTGGGAGATTTGCAATGGGATGGATTTGGCTGCATGTTGGCTGCATAAATATGGAATTCAGAGCTGGTCTGGAGAAACAGACACAAGATTTAGGAAGTATCGGTATGTACATAAGTGGTACTGGGGTTAAGTAGGTGTGAGTTAGTTCGCACAGTGTGAGTGTGTGGTTCCGGAGTTTTGACTTGGGGTTCCCAATAGGCTTTAGGGGAAAACCCCTAACATTGGATACAAAGTTTTGTGCATATGTTTGTTTTTTCGTATTTCCGTGGAAAATATGTGTAGCTTTCATCCACAAAAGCATAAAAACAATTGGCATGATTAGTGGGAGAGCACCTGCTTTGTTTCCTTGGCACACATTTTGGCTTATTTTAATAAATGAGCAACTTGTTGCAGGTGTTGACAACTTCCTTCACTAGCATATAAGCTCTGTAAGGGCAGGGGTCACAAGGAGAGGGAACTGCCATATAGCGCGTGGCTCACGGTGCGTTTTCCACAAATATTAGAGGAATGAATAATTACAAGTGAACTTTATATTTCCACTAAAAATACAAATAAACTAGAAGGTAAAACTTCCTGGTATAAAAACATCTCTCGCACTGTTGCATGACTTTATATCTAAGCTATTAAAACACTTAGCGACAAATAATATTGCCTAGAGAAATACAGTTATTTTATTATGTTGTAGGTCTATTTTCAGTTTGGACTTAATTTCTTTTTTTTTGAAACGGAATTTTGCTCTTGGCCAGGCTGGAGTGCAATGGTGCGATCTCAGCTCACTGCAACCTCTGCCTCCCAGGTTGAAGTGATTCTCCTGTCTCAGCCTCCCTAGTAGCTGGGATTACAGGTGTGCACCACCATGCCTGGCTATTTTTGTATTTTTAAGTAGAGACAGGGTTTCTCCATGTTGGTCAGGCTGGTCTCGAACTCCCAACCTCAGGTGATCCACCCGCCTTGGCCTCCCAAAGTGCTGGGATTACAGGTGTGAGCCACTGCGCTTGGCCCAGTTGGACTTTATTTCTGTGTTCATTTAAGTAGTTTAAATTTGATTTTTTTGGCTCAGAAGTCAGTTGTAAAAAGCTAGCTTCTGGGCCGGGCGCTGTGGCTCATGCCTGTAATCCTGGCACTTTGGGAGGTGGATCATGAGGTCAGGAGTTTGAGACCAGCCTGGCCAACATAGTGAAACCCTGTCCCTACTAAAAATACAGAAAAATTAGCTGGGTATGGTGATGGGCACCTGTAATCCCAGCTACTTGGGAGGCTGAGGCAGGACAACTGCATGAACCTGGGAGTTGGAGGTTGCAGTGAGCTGAAATCGCCCCACTGCACTCCAGCCTGGGCGACAGTGCAAGACTCTGTCTCAAGGGAAAAAAAAAAAAAAGTTAGCTCCTGGATGAATAAAAACCATAATCGGAGTACATTAGCCCTGGTGAAAATGTCAAAATTCTGAAATAAACCATTAGATCAGGCATAAACAGTCTCAAATGCTTTAGTTATCCCAGTTATGCAGGTATGAAAAGATGCTTTTTAAACTTAAATTAGATAATTATTTCCATTTGCTATTTTAATATGCCTGTGTTGATTTGTATTTTTGGATCAGGTACCTGGAAACTTCTGTGATAGAGTATTTCATTGAATGCGTAGTCTAAAGCTCAATGATAGTAAATATTATGACTTCAGAATCTTATTCTTCCCTCTTGCCACAACAGCAGTAGAAATGGGTCTTTTTGCTGTCATGGGAGTGGCCTCTCAGGTAGACTTAACAGATACTGGGGTGAGTAGGGGAAGTAGTTTCTATTCTCTATTTCTGTTCCCTCAGTGTGCTTTATTTCTTCTGTTCTTTCTTTTCTGTGCTCTGCTTTGTTTTCTAAAGATGGATTAAAGAAAGATTAGGAACAGAAAGTAGAATGAAAGCTTCACAAGAACAGAGACCTAGCCTGTTTTGTTTATCCCAAGCATCAAAAATAGTTCTTGGTCCATAAAAGGCTCTGAGTAAATATTTCTTGAATGGATAAATGAATGATTGAATGAAAAAAGTTGATGCGGGCTCTTAAAATTCTTCCTAGCTAGAACTTGTTACTGTTCAAAAGTTTTTCAGACCACACTTATATTTCACTCACCAGTGTTTTCCTCAGAGAAGTTTTTGAGACCCATGCTAGACTGTTAAATTAGTAACATCAATTATAAATCTAGAGATATTTCTGATTTCTTTAAAAAAGTTATTAGTTTGACTTAAAATAAATTTTAAAGAAGAGGAAATGTCCTACTAAAAGTGAAAGTATATTTTTGTTTTTTGTAGCCACAATGTTTTAATATGAGAGTAACAGAAAATCAATTATAGAAACTCAGTTTTATTAACTTAGCTCAGAAATAATATATAATCAGCATTAATTTAATACCTTCTTAAAATTTCTTAGGTAAAGTCATAGCACAAAGTTAATCCCAATTAAAAGATTCTTTTAATACATAATCTTTAAAAACAAATCTACCATTTATTTTGGTTTACATAATCAAGAACCTCTCTTTCTGAGTGCAGTTGTGAAGGTCAGTGGCCTGAGGAATAACCGTTCATGTGTTCAATGAATTTTTTTGTTTTTAAGACGGAGTTTTGCACTTTTTCCCCAGGCTGGAGTGCAGTGGCGTGATCTTGGTCCACTGCACCCTCCACTTCCCGGGCTCAAGCCGTTCTCCTGCCTCAGCCTCCTGAGTAGCTGGGATTACAGGCACGTACCACCAAGCTCGGCTAATTTTTGTATTTTTAGTAGAGATGGGGTTTTGCCATGTTGGCCAGGCCAGTCTGGAACTCCTGACCTCGTAATCCACCCGCCTCGGCCTCCCAAAGTGCTGGGATTACAGGTGTGAGCCATCACGCCCTGCCTACCATTTCTTTTAGAAATGAAATTACTGGGCAAAGGGTATGTACCTTTAAAATTTTGGTAAGTGTGGCTAGATTGCCTTCCATAAAGGTTATACCAGTGTTTTTTTTTTTTTTTTTTGAGGTGAAGTCTCGCTCTGTCACCAGGCTGGAGTGCAGTGGCATGATCTCGGCTCACTGCAGCCTCCACCTCCCGGGTTCAAGCGGTTTTCCTGCCTCAGCTTCCCAAGTAGCTGGGACTACAGGTGTGTGCCACCATGCCCAGCTAATTTTTGTATTTTTAGTAGAGATGGGGTTTCACCATGTCGGCCAGGATGGTCTCGATCTCTTGACCTCGTGATCCACTCACCTCGGCCTCCCAAAGTGCTGGTATTACAGGGGTTAGCCATTGCGCCCAGCCAAGGTTATACCAGTTTTCACTTTTATCAGCAGTATAGTGCGTGAGCATCTGTTTCCCCACATCCTTGACAGATATGGGCATTATCAGTCTTCTAAAACTTAGGGGAAAATGATCAAGTTTTAACTTATCTGCTTATTTGTGACATCTAGCATTTTTTATGTGTGTTGGCTATTTGCATTTCTTTTATACTTTGCCTATTAGGAGCTTTTATTTATTTTTTCTATTGGTTAGGTTATCTTTTATTGATTTGTAGGAACCCTTTTACAAGTTTTGTGTGTGTGTGTGTTTTAAGATAGGTTATTGCTCTGTTGCCCAGGCTGGAGTACAGTGGTGTGATGGTCATGGCTCACTGCAGCCTCAAACTCTTGGCGCGCAAGTGCCACCCCAGCCTCCTGAGTAGCTGGGACTACAGGCATGCAGGCATGTGTCACTACACTAGGCTGATTTTTTTTTTTTTATTTGTAGAGATGGGGGTCTCCCTGTGTTGCCCTGGCTGGTATTAAACTCTTGGGCTCAAATGATCCTCCCGCCTTGGCCTCTCAAAGTGTTGGGATTACAGGTGTGAGCCACCACACCTGGCCTGTTGTGTGTGTGTGTGTGTGTGTGTGTGTGTGTGTGTGTGTATTTTTTTTTTTTTTTTTGAGATGAGTGTCGCTCTGTCGCCCAGACTGGAGTGCAAAGGGGCATTCTTGGCTTACTGCAACATCTGCCTCCCAGGTTCAAGCGATTCTTGTGCCTCAGCCCCCTGAGTAGCTAGGATTACAGGTGTGCACCACCACACATGGCCAATTTTTGTATTTTTAGTGGAGATGGGGTTTTGCTGTATTGGCCAGGCTGGTCTCAAACTGCTGGTCTCAAGCAGTCCAACTGCCTCGGCCTCCAAAGTGCCGGGATTACAGGCGTGAGCCACTGTGTCCAGCCTGTTGTAGATGTTTTTAAGTTAGTTGCTTTTTTTTTTTTTTTTTTTTTTTTGAGATAGTTTCACTATGTTGTCCAGGCTGAACTTGAACTCCTGGGTTCAAGCAATCCTCTTGTCTCAGCCTGTCTGGTACCTGGGACTGTAGGTGTGCACCACAGTGCCCAGCTCTGTTGCTTGCATTTTAACTTTGTTTATGGCACTTTTTGTGTAGTAAAATCTGCCTTTCTTTAGGGATGGTTTCTGGCCTTGATGTTCTGCTTTGAGGGACTTCTACTTGCCAAGATTGAAAAATAAATTTAAATATTTGTTCCTTTCTCCACTCATATGCTCAACAAGAATTATTCTGTGCAGGCAAGAGAAGTGTTTAGATTCATTATTTGGGAGTTAGACTTGTTTTTCTGCATTTCATGAAGTCTTTGAAGGTCTAGAACACTGGACAGCAAATGTTAATTGGAACAGTCAGGTGAAGTCACGTGCTATAAATTAAGGACAAATTGCTGACCTTTGCCTCTTAGATGTTTATACCTCAGATGGCTGCTCACACTGGAGATAGTTCTAAAAAAGTATGAGTAGAATGGCTTCCATTCTGATGAAAATTATTTTCTAAAAGCTTTGATTTTTAGTGTATACTGAGTTAGGTTACGATGCTGCAATTTCTTTAACTCTTACGTTGCCATCAGAGTGTGGGGGAGTTTAGGGGAGTAGGGTAAAGTAATGCAAAGGGAAAGAAAGGAGGATGTGAGTGGAAATAATTACGTAGGGAGGAAATGGTGTAACAGTGCTAAGGAGTGGCAGTGCAGATTTTTGTACAGACAAAAACCAGACAGATCAGTGTTAACAGTGGCTCTGTTTCCTGAATTACATTTTGTTTTCTTTCTCTTCTCAGTTTTAAGCATTTTTGGTCCGAAAACAGGTTGAAAACCACCACTTGCTTTAACCAGATTATTAATTTACAGTTTGGTTATTTCCATGGCACACATGCACTATCACTCTGTCTTTGTGTGTATGTGTTTAAACAATCACTACTTTTTATTTTTAAAATGTTTCCATCTATGAGCTCACTTAGAACAGTCATGATTGTTTGAGTGAAGAATCACTGTGTAATTTCAAAAGTGAAACTGATACGAAACTCATTTGCTCCAGAAGCAATAAAGTAGTTGTCAGCCTCAGACTTGATTCTCTGTAATTATAGGAAAGACTGTGGTTTTCTTTATTGTTCTTCTCCTCTTTAGCATCTGATACAGATGTCTCAGTTTCATAGCTGAGACACCCAGTCTGTAAGCAGTATCTTTTAAACTTAGACTTAATTAGGATGGATTTGTAACTAGGAGATTTACAAAAGAGGATATAAAGCCAGAGAAGTCTTTAATCTTTTTTTTTAATTTTTTTTTTTTTTTTTTTTTTTGAGACAGTCTCGTTCTGTCGCCCAGGCTGGAGTGCAGTGGTACAATCTCGCCACACTGCAACTTCTGCCTCCCAGGTTCAAGCGATTCTCGTGCTCCAGTCTTCAGAGCAGGTGGATTATAGGCATGCACCACCGTGCCTGGCTAATTTTCATATTTTTAGTAGAAATGGGATTTCACCATGTTGACCAGGCTGGTCTTGAACTCCTGGCCTCAAGTGATCCTTTTGCATTGGCCTCCTAAAGTACTGGGATTATAGGCATGAGCTACCTTACTTGGCCTTAAAAAAATTATTTAACATGCTATGTACTTCAATTATCTGCTTTGTTTATTGGCTTAGCCACAGTTATTTGTGTGTGTGTGTGTGTGTGTCACACTTATTTGGGATTTTTGACATTGTAAGAGTATGACAATTATTGTCAGGATCTAGGAAATAATTGCTAACTTTTCTTAACACTTTACAAAGTACTTTTATAGGCATTTCTCTCAGGCAATAAAGAGAGGTAGGTTGTAGGGATAAAAAGTGATAAAAACTGGTGATTACAACCATCAAGGATAGGAAGAGGGAAAATGATACAGGTGGTTCTTAAATCCAGTTCTTTGGAATTCAGATCCTACATTCTCATTATTTTTTCTTCTTATACCCTTCTCTATAAGCAGAGATAATGATAAACAGAGTGTTTCAGTAATATGAAGGGATGATAGTTCAGAAATGAGGTGAGGGTAAGATTTTTACTGGGCCAGAATTGTGGTAGATGCATAATTAATCCACATAAAGGGTCAGTATTAGTCCCACTTTACTGAGGAGAAAACAGATAAAGTAGCTTGCCCAAGATCACACAGTTAAAAAGCACTAGAGCACAGATTTGAATTAAGGCTTCTGATTCTAAGGTCTGTTCCCTTTCCTCTATACCACAGTTTCTTAAACTAAATTTTAGAGAGGTGGGGAAGACTATGCAAAGGTTAGGAAAAGTGAGTGATTTTAATTGTAAATTACATTGTAAATGTTTCAGTGTGATTAATTTGAATTCTGTGGTTTAACACGGGTAATTAAAGAGCATATTGTAATAAGCATCAAAGGTTTTTTTTCTTCAGGATGTTGAAAAATCATATAAAGGAAAACAATTTGAAGCTTTTTAGTTGCCAGGAATGATTAGGGTTGTGAGAGTTATTCTTTCATACTGGAGTATATGTTCCACAGACAAGGATCATATTCTCCAACTTTGTCTTCTCCCCAGCTATGCCTGGGATGATGGGATGTGTATGTGTATGTGCATGTATGATCAATAATAAGTAACTGCCACTTGCCTCTTTAATAACTCTGATGTCATTAGCAAAAATATCACTTGCTTATTTTGGCCTGTTTTTGGCCTGATTCTGAGAATTTATATTACTCTTTATTAGACAAATTATTCTTTTTTTTTTTTTTTTTTGAGACGGAGTCTTGCTTTGTCATCCAGGCAGGCTGGAGTGCAGTGGTGTTACCTGGGCTTACTGCAACCTCTGCCTCCTGGGTTCAAGCAATTCTCCTGCCTCAGACTCCCAAGTAGCTGGAATTACAGGCACCTGCCACCATGCCCAGCTAATTTTTTGTATTTTTAGTAGAAACGGGGTTTCACCATGTTGGCCAGGCTGGTCTCGAACTCCTGACCTCAAGTGATCCACCCACCTCGGCCTCCCAAAGTGGAGGGATTACAGGCGTGAGCCACCGCGCCTGGCCGACAAATTATTCTTAACTCAGGTAAAGTTATCAGTTAACTTTTGCACATGAAAAGAAAGCTACTATATTCGTGGAACTATCTTGGTATGGAAAAATTACTCAGGGTAACCCAGTGTGTACATAAAGCTGTCCCATCTTACAATTGAAGTTATAATTTTATGCGGTTAATGTTTATTCGTGAATCTCCTGTTTTTTGCTTTTAGGACATTCGGAAATTCTTTGGAGTAATACCAAGTGGAAAGAAACTTGTAAGTGAAACAGTAAAGAAGAATGAGAAAACAAAGTCTGATGAAGAAACTTTAAAAGCAAAGAAAGGAATAAAGGAAATCAAGGTTAGTTTTCTGGGTATAATTTTGCATTGAATGAAATGTAAAATAAACTCAGTTCTTATAAGTTTTTTTTTTTTTTTTTTTTTTTTTTTTTTTTCCTGAGACAGAGTCTTGCTCTGTCGCCCAGGCTGTAGTGCAGTGGTGCAATCTCGGCAGACTGCAAGCTCCGCCTCCTGGGTTCATGCCATTCTCCTGCCTCAGTCTCCCGAGTAGCTGGGACTACAGGCGCCCGCCACCACACCCAGCTAATTTTTTCTATTTTTTAGTAGAGACGGGGTTTCACCGTGTTAGCCAGGATGGTCTCGATCTCCTGACCTCGTGATCTGCCCGCCTTGGCCTCCCAAAGTGCTGAGATTACAGGCGTGAGCCACCGTGCCAGCCATTCACTCCATTCTTTATGCCCTAGTTGTCATATATATTACACCTACATATGTTAATACTGCACAATTCAATGTAATTTTACTTTAAATAGATGTGTATTTTTTAAAAAAATTAAGGCAAAAATTGCTGTTTTTATTTTATGCACGTATTTGCTATTTCTGATGCTTTTCATTTCTCACTGAAGATCTGAGTTTTCGTCTAATATCATTTTCTTTCAACTTGAAGAATTTTGTTTAGCATTTTTTGTAGTGTAGGTCTGTTGGTGATAAACCTCTATAAGTTTTTGTTAATCTGAAAATGTCTTTATTTTGCCTTCATTCTTGAAGGTTATTTTTGCTGGATATGGAATTTTGGGTTGACTGTTTTTTAAAAAACTTAAGCCTTTTAAAGATGTTCCACTGTTTTTTGGCTTCTAGTTTATCTGATGAGATGCCTCCAGTCATTGATGTTGTTTTCTCATGTGTGTTGTTTTTCTCATGGTTCATTAAAGAATTTTTTAATTTTTGGTTTTCAGCAGTTTGACTATGGCTTACCTGAGTGTGGTTTTCTTTTGTTTATCCCATTTTTGGTTTCTGAGCTTCTTTAATCTGTAAATTTATATCTTTTATCAAAATTGGGAACATTTTGCTATAATTTCTTCAAATATTTTTTCTGCCTCATTCTCTCTCTTCTCTTCTTGAATTACAATTACATAAACGTTGGAGTTTTGATATTGTCTCACGGATCATTGAGCCTTGTTCATTTTTATCAGTCTTTTTTTCAGATTGAGTACTTTCTCTTTCTGTCTTTAAGTTCATTGATTCTTCTTTTATCACCAATTTACTGTTAAGGCTATCTAGTGAATTTTTATTTTACATATTGTATTTTTTAATTCTAGAATTTTCATTTGTTTCTTTTTTGTAGCTTTAATTTCTGTCTTTTATGTCCTTGAGTGTAATTATAGTAGCTGCTTTAGTTTTTATTTTGAGATGGAGTTTTGCTCTCATTGCCCAGGTTGGAGTGCAATGGCACGATCTCGGCTCACCGCAACCTCTGCCTCCTGGGTTCAAGCAATTCTCCTGCCTCAGCCTCCCAAGTAGCTGGGATTTTAGGCATGAGCCCCCATGCCCGGCTAATTTTGTATTTTTAGTAGAGTTGGGGTTTCTCCATATTGGCCAGGCTGGTCTCAAACTCCCGATCTCAGGTGATCTACCTGCCTCGGCCTCCTGAAGTGCTGGGATTACAGGTGTGAGCCACCGTGCCCGGCCTAGTAGCTGCTTTAAAATTCTTATCTGCTAATTCTGACATCTGTGTTGTATCAAAATTGGTCTTCATTAAATGCCTTTTGTCCTGATTCTTTGGGTCATGTGTTAGTTCAGGCCACCATGACAAAATACTACAAAATAGATGGTACTGGCTGATTAGGTGTCTGGTGAGGGCCTTTTTCCTGCTTTGTACATGGCTGCCTTCTCGTGTTGTCCTCACATAGCCTCTTCTTAGTGCATATGGGTGGAGAGAGAGATTGAGCACTGGTGGAGAAAGAGAGATAGAGATTGAATGAGCACTCTGGTGTCTGTTCTTATAGAATGCTAATCCTGTCAGATCAGAGCCCCACCCTTACGACCTTATTTATCCTTAATTACTTGTTTAGAGGTTCCAACTCCAAATATAGCCACCCTGAGGGTTAGGGCTTCAACGTGTGAATTTTGGGGACACAGACATTCAGGATATAACATTCCATCCATGGCCACCCAGAATTTATGTCCTTCTTGCATGCAAAATACATTCATTCCATCATAACAGCCCCCAAAGTCTTAACTCATTTCAGCATCAAGTCTGAAGTCCACAGTCTCATGTCAATATCATCCAAATCAGATATGGGTGATACTTGAGGTATGAATCATCCTGAGGGAAAATTTTCTTTTGCTGTGAACCTGTGAAACCAGATAAGGAATGTGCTTCTAAAATATGATAGTAGAACAGACATATAGGATAGACATTACCATTCCAAAGAGGAGAAATCAGAAGGGAGGGAGGGGTGATGGATCCCAAACAAGTCCAAAACCTAGCAAGGCAAATTCAATCAGAACATAAGCCTTGAAAATAAACTCTTTGGCTTGATGCCCTGCCCTCTAGACCCACTGGGTTAGTGGCCCTACCCCCACAGTCACAGGCAGCTGTCCTGCTTCTGCAGCTCTGCTGGGCCATCCTGCCCACAAGGCTTTGGGTGGTGGCTGTCTCATCTGTTGAAACCAAGCTCCATCTTTTGAAGAGGGAGTTCTGATGGTTGATCTCTGAATTGCTTTTGGGGCCATTCTTCCCTTTTCTTGAAGAATAGCTGTGTTGTCCTGTCACTGGAATCTCAGAAGTCTGACAGCCTTCTTTCATTTTGTCCTTTCTCCATCCTCTTCAATTCAAACTGACAGTGTTTTTGCCTGTATAATCCCATAATCTCTTTATCAAGTGATACTCCAGCTACACCGTTGCTATTCTCTTTAGAACATGCTTTTTCTTTTCTTTTCTTTTCTTTTCTTTTCTTTTCTTTTCTTTTCTTTTCTTTTCTTTTTTGAAACAGAGTCTTGCTCTGTTGCCCAGACTGGAGTGCAGTGGCGCAATCTCGGCTCACTGCAACCTCTGCCTCCCAGGTTCAAGTGAATCTCCTGCCTCAGCCTCCTGAGTAGCTGGGACTATAGTCGCGTGCCACCATGTCCAGCTAATTTTTTGTATTTTTCCTAGAGATGGGGTTTTACCATATTGGCCAAGCTGGTCTCAAACTCCTGACCTGAAGTGATTGGCCTGTCTCCCACAATGCTGGGATTACAGGCGTGAGCCACCACACCTGGCCTAGAACTTGCTTTTTCATTTTCTGAAATACGGACAGGCTGAGAATTTTACAAATCTTCAAGTTCTGGTCCCTTTTGGCTGACCGGTTTCTTCATTAGTTCATCTCTTCCGTTTTGCATTTGACTACAAGCAGTCAGGAGGACTCAGGCCGCATCTTCAAGATTTTGCTTTGAAATCTCCTCAGCTAAATATCTGATTTCATCATTCACAGGTTCCATCTTTCACAAAGCACTAGGACACAACTTGGCCAAGTTCTGTGCCACTTTATAATAAGAATTGTCTTTCTTCCAATTTCCAATAATCTCTTTCTCATTTCCATGTAAAACCTTACCAGGTTGGCCTTTAACATTCATATTTATACCAACATTCTGTTCATGATGATATATGTATTCTCTGAGATGAAAGAGGCTTCTTCTCTAGCTCTTCTCTTCTCTTCATCAGCTCTCATTGTTATTACATTTAACGTTCATATTTCTACCAGCAGTTCCTTCATGGCAGTCTAGGCTTTTTCTACATGCTAGAAAATATCTAGCCTCTCCCCAGTTCCAAAGTCACTTCTGTATTTTAGGTTTTGTTTTGTTTTTGTTTGTTTGTTTGTTTTATAGTAGTATCCCATTTCTTGGTACCAAAATCTGTATTATACAGTCAGAGTTCTGTAGAGAAACAGAACCAATAGGATGTATGTGTGTATACATAGAGAGATTTATTACCAAGAATTGGTAGAGCTGATGTTTTAGTTGGAGTCCAACGGCAGGAAGAAAGTGTCCCAGAGATATCCCAGCTCTAAGGCAGTCGGGCAGGAGGAATTCCCTCTCATTCAGCAGAGGGTTGGCCTTTGTTCTTTCCAGGCTTTCAGCTGATTAGATGAGGCTTAATGCCATTAGGGAGGGCAGTCTGCTTTACTTAGTCAATTGATTTAAATATTAAGCTCATTCAAAAACACCCTTGTAGAAACACCTAATATGATGTTTGACCAAATATCTGGACATCTTGTGGTTCAGTCAGGTTCACATATGAAATTAGCCTCCACAGGTCACATTTCCTCTTTGCATGTTCTAGTTATTTTGGATTTATCTTGGACATTGTGAACGATACAGTGTAGGAACTTTGGATCCTGTTATTCCTTCAAAGAGTGTTCTTTTGGTTTATCAGGCATTGATCTTGGCTGTACTCAAGCTCCAAACTCTTGTCTCCCCTGTAATGGGCAGCAGCTGAAATCTTTATTCAATTCTTTTAACCTTAGCTAAGCTATAGGAGTTGTTCCACATATGTATAATTCAGGAGATAGCCAGAGATTTGGGTAAAGTTTACAGGCAGAATTTGGGATTTCTTTCTGTGGCTTTCTCCTTTACTTGATACCTTCTTCTCTTACTTTTGAGGTGTGGTTGATTCTGACTCTGTCCTTGATCCAGTGGTATATATAAATTATAATTGCTCATTTGTTCCATTTTCTTGCAAGCTAGTTGATTGTTCTTATGTTTTTGAAGTTTTATTATAATGGATAGAAATAGTTTCTATTTCTACCTTATAATTGATTACAATCAGTTTTTTCACTGCCTTCTTGATGCTTTCTGAGAAAATTTGAATATGTTAGAAATGTGATGTTTAACTACAAAATATATAATAATACCTTTTGCATTGGTTTTATTTAGTACTTTTTTTTTTTTTTTGAGACGGAATTTTGCTCTTGTTGCCCAGGCTGGCATGCAATGGCGCGATCTTGGCTTACTGCAACCTCTGCCCCCCAGGTTCAAGCGATTCTCCTGCCTCAGCCTCCCAAGTAGCTGGGATTACAGGCATGTACCACCACGCCTGGCTAATTTTGTATTTTTAGTAGAGACGGAGTTTCTTCATGTTGGTCAGGCTGGTCTTGAACTCCTGACTTCAGGTGATCTGCCCGCCTCGGCCTCCCAAAGTGTTGGGATTACAGGCGTGAGCCACTGAGCCTGGCTGGTTCTATTTAGTTTCCTAACAGGCATTGGCTAGTGGTAGGCCACTAGCTTAGCATTTATTCCTGTTTCTGTCGTTTCATTTTCAGGAAGCACTTGCCTTGTAATATCTGATATCCTTTTATTCTTTGTTGTATACATAGGTTAGTGTTGAAAATGGAGCTGAATAATAATATAGCGTTTTCTGTAATTATTTTTTTCCCATTGTGGTACAGTTACTGTCTGGCCTATTTTTAGCCAATAAGGGTATATTACTGACAGTTTAGTCTGGAGAATTCTTTGTTGTGGAGGACTGTCCTGTGCATTGTAGGATGTTTAGTAGCATCCCTGATCTACCTGTTACATGACAGTAAACCTCCCTACCCCCATTTGTGATAAGTAAAAATGTTTCTAGACATTGACAAATGCCTTCTGGGGGGCGGGGATGCAAAATTCCCCCTGGTTAAAACGACTGAGCCCAAATCTAACGAGAAAAAAGGATAGCCCCGTCTCTACTAAAAATACAAAAAATTAGCCAGGCATTGTGGCGGGTTTCTGTGGTCCCAGCTACTCAGAAGGCTGAGGCAGGAGAATGGCGTGAACCTGGGAGGCGGAGCTTGCAGTGAGCCGAGATCGTGCCACTGCGCTCCAGCCTGGATGACAGAGTGAGACTCCGTCTCAAAAAAAAAAAAGATAGTTATATAGGCTTCTTTATGTTCTAATTATATTGTGATGTTTATAGGTAAATAGCTCCCGTAAAGAGGATGACTTCAAACAAAAGCAACCAAGCAAGAAAAAGAGGATCATCTATGATTCAGGTAATAATTTCTTCTGAGGAGCTTTAAAATTTTAAAGTTATTGTATATCCCTTAGAACAGTGCTTTAAACTATGTTCTAAGGATGGGTGCGGTGGCTCATGCCTGTAATCGCAATCGCAGCACTTTGGGAGGCAAAGGCAGGCAGATGACTTGAGGTCAGGAGTTCGAGACCAGCCTGGCCAACATGGTGAAACCCCTTCTCTGTTAAAAATACAAAAATTAGCTGGGCGTGGTGGCACGCGCCTGCAATCCCAGCTACTCAGGAGGCTGAGATATGAGAATTGCTTGAATCCCAGAGGCAGAGGTTGCAGTGAGCCAAGATCGCCACTGCACTCCAATCTGGGTAGTGAGACTTTGTCTCAAGAAAAAACAAAAAAATTATAAATAAATAAATCAACTATGTTCTGAGATACGTAGCTCTCTGAGATGTTAATAAGTCCTGTGAGAAGAGGGCTGTATGCTCAAGTAAAATTTCAAACAATTTTATTATAGAACTTATCAGAACCAAAATATGTTTGTATTAAAGATTCCTTCAGAAAGTGATATAGTATGCAGCATTTGTCAAACTTATTTTGAATGTGATATATGTGTTTTTATTTAATTTAATTAATTTATTTAGAGACAGTCTTGCCCTGTTGCCCAGGTTGGAGTGCAGTGGTGCGATCTGGGCTCACTGCAACCTCTACCTCCCAGGTTCAAGCGATTCTTGCGCTTTGGCCACCTGTAGCTGGAACCACAGGCGTGCAGCACCACATCTAGCTAATTTTTATAATTTTAGTAGAGATGAAATTTTATAATTTTAGTAGAGATGGGGTTTCACCACGTAGACAAGGCTGGTCTCAAACTCCTGGCCTCAAACAATTCGCCTTCCTCGGCCTCTCAAAGTCTTGGGATTACAGGCATGAGCCTCTGGCCCTATTATTTTTTAAAATACTTGTATTAATTTCTTTTCCAGTTGAGGTTGTTGGAAGTTAAATTTGAAAAATAGTGCCTTAGAATACTGTTTTTAAAGCAAAGATCTAAAATTTAATTTTTGTGCTTTATTGAAAGATCTGGCTTTTTTGGGTTGCATTTAAAAAGGAATAAACACAATTTAAAGGCTTTTCTTTGAACATAATTTTAAAATAGGGAACATGAATTTTTTTGCATGCCTTTTATGATGCACAAAATGATGGTAAAATGGTAGAATTCAGAAAGTTTCAGTTTTTGCTTTTGTGGACAAGATCTGCTGTATTAATTCTCTCTTTCTGTTTTATTTTTATCTGGTGTGAATTTTTTTTTTTTTTTGAGACGGAATTTTGCTCTGTCACCCAGGCTGGAGTGCAATGGCATGATCTTGGGTCAGTGTAACCTCTGTCTCCTGGGTTCAAGCGATTCTCCTGCCTCAGCCTCCCAGGTAGCTGGGATTACAGGTGCCCACCACCATGCCCAGCTAATTTTTGTAGCTTTTAGTAGAAAAGGGGTTTCACCATGTTGGCCAGGCTGGTCTCGAACTCCTGACCTCAGGTGATTTTGCCTGCCTCGGCCTCCCAAAGTGTCGGGATTACAGGCATGAGCCACCACACCCGGCCTTCTGGTGTGAATTCTTAAAATAAAAAATGTGCCTAAAGAAGGATTGTCAAAATTTTCACAGTACTATCAAAGGTTCTGAATTCTGAAAGTACTTAAGTGTTTACTCTGTGCCTTTTATTGCTCTATATTGTAAAGAATTTGAAAGAAGTACGCGTTCCTCTTCCTCAGGAGTTTTGTTTGTTGGGAAACTGGACATTTGTTTGATACAGTTTACTACAGTGTGACAGGATTTATAAATGCATGGTGCAGGGGAAGAGGAAGGACACTAAAGTTTATGAAACATCTATTTTGTACCAGGCACTGTGCCAGGTACTCACACTTTGTTCTGATTTATATTTAAGTGCCCTGGGAGATTAGGCTGTGGTAGACAGAATAATGCCCCCAAAAGATATCCACAGCCTAATTCCTAGAACCTGTGACTATATTAGGTTATATGGCAAAGGGAAGTAAAAGTTACAGATGGTGTTAAGATGGCTAATCAGATGACCTTAAAAATAGGGAGATTAGGCCAGGCGTGGTGGCTCTTGCCTGTAATCCCAGCACTTTTGGAGGCTGAGGTGGGCGGATCACTTGAGGTCAGGATTTCCAGACCAGCCTGGCCAACATAGTAAAACCCTGTCTCTACTAAAAATACAAAAATTATCTGGGCGTGGTGGCACGCGCCTGTAGTCCCAGCTACTCAGGAGTCTGAGGCAGGAGAATCGCTTGAACCTGGAAGGCAGAGGTTGCAGTGAGCTGAGATCACGCCACTGCACTCCACAACAGAGCGAGACTCCGTCTCAAAAAAGAAAAAAAAATAGGGAGATTATCCTGGATTATTTGGATGGGCTCAGTGTAGTCACAAGGAATAGGGAGGTAGAAAAAGGGTTTAGAGAGTGAGATTAACTGTGGAGGAAGATTAGAGGATCCGGGAGATGGCAACGTGAGGGCTTTCGCTTGATGTTGCTGGCTTTGAAGATGCAGGAAGGGTCTTTGAGCCAAGAATGCTGGCATCCACTGGAGACTGGAAAAGGCAAATAAAATTCTTTCTTAGAGTATTCAGAAAGGAACATAGCCCTGCTGGTACCTTGACTGGCCCAGTGAGACCCATATTTGCCATCTATCTAACCTCCAGAACTGGAAGATAATAAATTTAGTGGCTTAGTTGTTTTAAGCCACTAAGTTTGTGGTCATTTATTATAGCTGGAATAGGAAACTAATACATAGGCTTAGCACTGAGTAAAAGTAACCTGTGAGAATTCACAGAAGACATGTGCCTTGAAAAAGACCTTGAGGAATTGGTTCACCGTGACTACTTTAAACATGCACTATATTATAATAGTTCTTTTCAAAGTTTTGTTTTATTTTTCTCTCACATACAGATTCAGAGTCAGAGGAGACGTTGCAGGTAAAAAATGCCAAAAAGCCACCAGAAAAACTGCCAGTATCTTCTAAACCTGGTAAAATTTCACGGCAGGATCCTGTTACATACATTTCAGAAACAGGTAAGGTTGCATTGTGGTATATGAGATGCCGTGTGTGTTATGTTCTTGAGTTTTTTGTTGGTGTCTAAATGTACCTCCTTCACTTTGAATGGAATTTCTACTGCCTTTTTGCTTTGTTGAGTTATATTTGTCAGGGAAGGCTGGGATCATCTTTTGCATTTCCAGTAGATTAAGGACCAATTACAGGGAAATTGCTCTTGGAATTTTTTTTAAGTGCTTGTATTGAATCATATAAGTTGAAGCTTAATCTTGAATCACATATTAAAATAGTATTGGGTTGTTTTAGAACTACTTTTTTAATGCAAGCTTTTTATCTGGCAGGCCAAAGTCAATAATCTAAGTGTAGAGTGATTACTCATATTTGTGATTTATAATTTAGCACGGATGTTGAATTCCTTGTATTCTCTGGTGACACTACAAATTTAAGTATTGGGTTTTTTAAAGAAGATTGTTTTGTACTTAAATTTAGTTCTGTTACATCTGTTTTAAGAGTAATGAAAGTGCAAAGGACATTTATAAATAATTATGTGCTAATCTCAAATATTTTGTTGTGTAAGTAATTGTTTCATGGATATTGTTCTTTTATGTAAGGATCCCAGAGTTATATTGTCATCCTAGGAGAAAAACTCAGATAAGTTAGTGGTGAAGTCATTTTGATTGTAATGTTGTTAACCCTTAGAGGAGACAATAACCGGAATAATACGGGATGCTGTACGTGAAAGGGCCAGACCCAGTGCCTGACACATTGAGTAGCAGTCCAAAGGAAAAAATAAAAAGAAAAACAAAGTCCATAGGTGAACTTTGTAGGTTACGTGAAACATTTGTTGATGAAACTGTTCAAAATATCAAAGACAAAAAGTAAGTGATGTGAACATATTTTTTGGAAAATTTTTACCAAACAGACGTTTCTTTGTTATGGGCAGGTGGCTGATTGACTCTTAACCTTTTTGTGCTGTTGCTAAATATCTGCCCAGGCACACTGTGTAAACGAACTCTTAAATTAAGAGGCTCTCCTCTTAGCTCTGGCTACCTTTGTGAAGTTTTGAATACGTGGGAGGGGAGAGTAAGAACAGTATAGTGATAGGTTTATTATGTAACTGAAGGTGGTGTGATAGGGCTTTCCAGTGACACCCTGAAAAACGTCAAAGTTAGTGTGCAGCCAGCCATGGCCTTCAACTGTGGATCAGGGCTGTTGTTATCTTGTGATTTTAAGTAAACAAAAAGGTCAGACAATTTAAGCTCTGATCACAGATTTTCTTTCACATGGGACTAGTTATTTCAGACAAGCAATTTTTTTCTTTCTGTATCCAGTCATCCATTAAGATGAGCAGTTTTTGAATGTTGTTTTGTGAAGAGATGTCCAGCTTTTTATCTGGACTTTTTATGAACGTTAGGCAGTATTTGTGTCATTTGCTGGTAGCATATACATGTGAAAGTAAACATTGTCCTCATGTTTTAGCTAAAAATCTTGGGGTATGATGTACCTGTCTCAGATGGTGTTCAGTATTATGCATTATTCTATTTTTTTCTTAGAATTGAGATGTAGGGAAGAAGCTTGCTTTATTATTGCCTGTTTTATCTTTTCATACTTTATTGTTTGAAATGATAGGTGAATGGGAGGAAGATAAGCCCTTTCCTTCATACAAGAGAATGAGACTATTAAAAAAAGCCCACAATAAGATTGGCATAATAAAATCACAAATGTAAGAGTTTCAAAAAAGAAAAGTGCAGCTTTTTCAAATTAATATAGTACTGGAAAATCCTTGACGTTAAAGTAATGCTTTCATTACTCTTTACGTTAGGCTAAAACCATACTTTTCAATATTGGGTCATAAATATTTTTGTTTTATATTACCAGTATAAGGTTAAATAAAATGTGTGTGTGTGTATAATAGAATTGGGCAATACCTCATTCCATAA
This sequence comes from Homo sapiens, assembly GCF_000001405.40. NCBI lineage: Eukaryota > Metazoa > Chordata > Mammalia > Primates > Hominidae > Homo > Homo sapiens. The sequence continues at coordinate 39,340,424 of NC_000004.12, read as the reverse complement.
AACAGAATAAGTGTTCCCAATATTTGTGTAATAGTTTAAAAATTCTAATCTAAAACTGTATTGATTGTCTGGAGATTGGAGCTTCTTGTGAAAAAGTGTCATATGACATGATTCAGTTTTAAAAAACCTGTTAATTCCAAAAGATAGAATTTTTTCTTCATTATTGCATACTTTATCTTTTCCTATCTTCTGTATTCTGACTTTAAAAACAACCTTTGGTTCTATTGGCATTTTTCTTGCGGCATAGCATGTATACTGTTTAAAAGCATGGCCTTGTTTACTTAACTTTCCTTGTGTTTTAGTTTACTTATATGTAAAATGGAGACATCGCTAGTACCTGCATCAGCAGCCTTTGTGATAATCAAATGAGATAATGCTTGAAAAGCATTTAAAATAGGGTCTGACTTAGGGTCTAAAATAGTAAATGCTCAATAAATATTAACTGTTATTCTTATATTTTGACTTTCTTATAAGCCTACATCTGCCTTTAAAGACATTTTGTATTTGTTTAGTTACTTAGGGCTTTCTGTTGATTTTGTAATTGAGCTTTAGAAATTTGGAAATGATATTTGGCCCACTTATGTTATGGATTTGTGTGGTCTCGTATGGGAACTACTAGTTATTTGTGGCTATGGAGCGCTTGAAATGTGCTTTTAGCCTGAATTGAGAATGCTGTAAATGTGAAATACACACAGATTTGACACAGCAAAGGAAACAGTCAACAAAATGAAATGACAACCTACAGATTGGGAAAAAATTTGCAAATCATATATTTGATAAGGGGATGATATCTACAATGTATGAATAATTCATACAATTCAATAGAAAAACAAACAATCAAATTTAAAAATGGGTGAAGGACCTGAATAGACATTTCTCCAGAGAATGCATAAAAGTGGCCAACAGGTATATGAAAAAGTGCTTAATATCATTAATCCTTAGGGAAATGCAAACCGAAACCAGTGTGCGATAACACCTCACTCGTTAGGATGGCTATTATCAAAGAGTAAAGGGATAACAAACGTTATTCAGGGTGTGCAGAAAAGGGAACCTATACACCATTGGTGGGAATGTAGATTGGTGCAGCCATTTTGGAAAACAGCATGGAGGAGCCCAATGAAATTAAAAATAAAACCACCATATGACCCAGCAGTCTCTCTTCTGGGCATATACCTAAAGGAAATGAAATCACCACCTCAGAAAGTTATGTGCAATCCCATATTCATTGCAGCATTATGCACAATAGCCAAGATATGGAAACAACTTAAGTGTCACATGGTGGATGGATGAAGGAATTGCGGTATATGTAATAATGGAATATTATTTGGCTTTAAAAAAAAAAGGAGATTCTGTCATTTGCCACAGCATGTGTGAACCCGGCGGACATTATGTTAAGTGAAATGTCAGGCACAGAAAGAAGAATATTGCATGATCTCACTTATAATGCGGACTCTTAAAAAAGAAGTCAATAGAGAATGCAACAGTGGTTGCAGGGGCATTGGGGAGGACATGGGGAGATATTGATTAGAGGTTACAAAGTAGCAGATACATGGGATGAACAAGTCCAGAGATCTAATGTATAACATGAGGACTATAGTTAATAAAGTTGTACTGTATTTGGGATTCCTGCTAAATTAGTACATTTTAGTTGCTCTTGCCACAAAAATAAAATGAGTAACTATGTGAGATGATGGATATGTTAATTTGCTTCACTATAGTAATTATTTTACTATCTGTGTATCCCCTGACATCATGTTGTATACTTTAGATATATACAATAAAATTTATTTTAACAACACCGATTTCAAAGACTTCCTACACAAAAAAGGTAAACTACCTTGTTAATTTTTTATTATTGATCCCATTTTGAAATGCTAATAATTTGGATCTATTGGGTTAGATAAAATATACAGTTAAAATTAATTTCACTTGTTTCTTTCTACTTTTAAAAATGTGGCTGTGAGAAAATTTGAAATTTTATATGTGGCTTGCATTTTACTTCTATTGCATAGTGCTTTATAAACAATGAAAAACAGATTTAGGAAAAATGTAGGTTTCAAGTATTTTTGCTTATATTATTATACAGCTAGCTTTTTAGATTATTGTTATACAGATTTTTAGGCTTTCCGTTTCACTCCATGAGAAATATTTTTCATCATCACTTTGATTAGATCTGTCTTCTACTAGGATTTATTGATTTTTAAAAACTAATTTAACCACATTAATTTCCCAAGTTACAGGAAAAGGAAAGAACTGCTTATAAATATCTTTATAGCCAACTATTGACTCTAGTAAAATGTTCTTCAAGGTTGGTAAAAACCCAAATACTTGTTGTACTGGGTAAATATATTTACTTTTAGCTGTTTAATGAAGTGAGAGACCTTGAGTCTTGTTTGGCGAAGATTGACCTTTTATTACGGTTTCATCAGGGCCTGTTGTTTGATCGAAAATGGTGGGGGTTTTTCCTGTCTTGAATTGTTTGACTGGTAATTTTAATTGTGCATATAATTCTGGAGGCAGTTAGTACTCCTGAAGTTAAAATTATTTGAGGAGTGTTTAAATGGGAAAAAAATTGGCGATGTTGTGTTCTCTAGGTGACAGGTTACCATGTAATAAGAGTGACTTGTGACTTTGGAAAATAGTAGCAGAAAATATTCTTGGGGATGTGTGTAACATTCTCTTTGCTAACTTTTAGAGACATATAGTCTTGTGTATCAGACAAATAGGTATATATTCTGTATATGATAGAGAGCTTCTCTTAGATGTTTGCAGGGAAACCTAGAGTGATAAAGGTAGAAAATTTCCTTCAAGTGAGTATTGTATTTTTTTGATTATACTTGTTAAAAAATCAATAATTTGTACACTAAAATTCTGTATAAAAGAAACTAAATTTAGAATTTTTGAAGATGAGAGATTTAAATTAATAATTTTAAATTACCTAAGTAAATGTTACACACACACACACACACACACACACACACACACACACTTATTTGAGTAGCATCTTATTGTAAAATTTCTACAGCTTGCTTTTTCTTTTTTTTTTTTTTGAGACGGAGTTTCGCTCTTGTTGCCTAGGCTGGAGTGCAATGGTGCGATCTTGGGTCACCGCAACCTCCGCCTCCCAGGTTCAAGCGAGTCTCCTGCCTCAGCCTTCTGAGTAGCTGAGATTACAGGCGTGCACCGCCATGCCTGGCTAATTTTGTATTTTTAGTAGAGACAGGCTTTCTCCATGTTGGTCAGGCTGGTCTCGAACTCCCGACCTCAGGTGATCCGCCTGCCTCGGCCTCCCAAAGTGCTGGGATTATAGGCGTGAGCCACTGCACCTGGCCTACAGCTTGCTTTTTCATAACTTAATGGCTTAACCCTCCCTTCTTCCTTCCCGCCCAGTAGAAGAATCTAGATCTTTGGATGTCTCTCATACACTTATTTTTTCATGTCATCTAGTTTTATATCTTCTATAAATTTGATAGATTTATCTTTGTGTTCCTTCCTGAATCATTATTAAAATTGTTTAGCATTAAGGGACAAATAAAGTTTTTTTCAAAATTTGCTTTGAATCATCATCAGCACCCTGGATATAGCTGTTTAGTTTCTTATGAATAACTGTCTAATTACTTATGAATCTTAGTAATGACTATTGTTTTGTATTTCTCTATCTTGCCATAAATCAGTGTTTCTCAACCAAGGGTGATATTGCCTTCTGAGGGGCCTTTGGCAATATCTGGAGACATTTTTGGTTGTCACAACTAGGGGATGCTACGGCATGTAAGTGGCAGAGGCCAGGCATGCCACTAAGCATCCCGCAATGCACAGGACAGAGAGTTACTCGGCTTCAAATGTCAGTAACGTGGAGGTTAGAAACCCTGCCTCTTATCAGAAGAGAATTTGGTGGATACTTTAAGTCCAGATATCATTTTTAGTATTCATTTCACCTACTAGTCTGATAACTCACAGAATAAATGAAGGCTTAGGCCTTGGTTTATGCTTAGTGAGCCCTTGTCTACTTCAGTTGAGTGCCATATGCTGCTCCTGACCAGTTCATGATGTTACTGTATAGCATTGTCACTAAACCTGTCTTCTGTAGTTCTGTGGTGTGGATCTGCCTTTCTCTTTTTTTGACAATTAGGACTTCATTTCTTTAATCTTCAGGGGCTTCTATTTTATATGATGATTCAAAGGTCACTGATAGTGCTTTAGCAATTTTATCTGCAAATGCACATATTTATGAGAGCTAGATGCTTTCTTATAATCTTTTTTGGTAATTTGTTCTTCAATTCTCTTTTATTAGTGTGTATTATGGGACCTGAAAAAAATTAAGTGGCATATGGAGAGGAAGGAGATTTGAAAAGGGCACAGTAAATAATGAGACACTAAGATACTGAGGTTCCGAAGCATCTTTGAAAATGAACAGACTGTTCTGGTGACAGGTACTTTACTGTCAGGCACTTGTGAAACTGTGAGAGACATAGGACTGTATTCCTGAATGCCAAGGAAGTAGGATTATGTGATGAAAATATCATTAAGTACTAATACAATACAATATATAATAATAAAATAATATACAAAATGACTTATACTTGGCTTTCGTACTGAGACCAGCACTGTTCTCTCCTCTTGTGTGGGGAAGATGTATGTGAATGGCAGTGGGGAAATTGCATCGATTGCAGAATCACTCCCTTAACTCTGTGGTCAGGCAGATTTCCTTATATTGCCCGTTTTATGCCTTAGAATTGTAAGAAGCTTTGGGTAATGTACCTGTGGCCAACTGCCCAGGCCTTTCCCCCACTTTTTCTTATTTAGGCATTCCAGTGGACTCGGTACCTGTGTGGTGGATAACATCACATTTCAAGCCAGTACTTTTTTCTCTTATTTATCATTACTCAGCTACCTCACTAGACCCCACGAATTATAAAATAAGGTTTATTTTAAAAATATAACTGACTCTGTTTGATTCTAAGAGGATTCATTTGTAGTGAATCATGAGATCTCTGGTTTCTTGATTGAAGATGAGCAGTCTTAGGGGTTTTATTTTATGCTGATATGTATAGAATGTCTGATTTACCACATAAATGGGCAAAAGTGCTATGTTTAGTTTCTCTTCCATCCACTTAATTTAACCAGTATTTATTGAAGGCTTGGCACATACATGAACCTTTTTCTGTCTCTGAAACCAAAATGATGGTTTAGATTTTTGACTCAAGGAAATATTGAAAAGAAACTTTATAGAAAAAGGCTTTAAACACCTTGATTCCTTTTTTAGTTTTTGTTGCTAAATAAATTATTTTAATCCCCGTAACTGGATCTCTTCATTAATTTGCTTTTTGTGTATTCTAGACCAAAGAAAATAAAATCACAGAATTAGAATTCAGAGATCTGTTTGGAAAGGCCAGATTCTCAGCAGTATGAATTCCAGAATTAGACTTTTTTCCTTTTTGCCTTTTAAATAGATTTTTATATGGACCCCCACATTTTTTATTTCTCTTTTGTTATTCTTCTAAATAAATGAATGTATCTAACACAGAGTGTTAAAGCAATCTTCTCTCCCAGGCAATTCCTCTGCTGTGTGTAGGATAATGTGATAATGCTAGTTTGCTTGGTTGTTCGTACCACATTTGAGGTTATGTTGCCTATAAATAAAAATAAATGGTGTTTTTACAAGAAGACAGATATCCTAGAGGGAAAATCTAAGTGTTCAATTGTTCATGATTTTCAACCAGTTCTCCTCAATTTGACTTAGATCTGTTTATCATTATTTTATTGTAAGTTTCTGGGGAGAAGAGAACATAGTTTGCCTTTGGCTTCCTATGAGGCGGAATCCAATTTAAGCTTATTAGAAAACAAGAACAAATGTTAAAAAAGAACAACTACAACTTTATTTGGAATGTTTCATCTCTACACACTGTGTAGGATTGTAAAATATTTATTTTACATGAGGATCCTCACAGCAACACCTGTTAAGTCACTGTCTGTTGGAAGCAGCTAGTTGTCTTCTTGGCCTGTTTTGTCTTCTTTCCATAATATATTGGTATAGCCTTTAAAATGTTAAGGGCAAAGGAACTTTAAGACAACTAGTTCAGAAGTCATAGTAGAGAAACAGTAGGACTGCTCGTTCTTCAAGTTTTCTGGTTTCATCAAGGCAAGATGACAGTGTTTTCAGATATGCCTGTGGCTTATAGGGTACCATATTTATTTATAAAATAAATATGAAATCCCTTATATTTGTGAGAAATATCTCAATGCTTAGGATCATGAATTTGCTTTTTTTAATGTTATTCTCATAACTGTAAGGAGTATGGGGAAATTGGCAAATCAGGGGGCACTAAATAGGTATTAAAGCAAGAGAGCCAGTCCTTGAGAATTACCCTCCCTTTTTCTTTTCATAACTGTGTTTTACTAGAGTTACTCGTACCTTCCTAGGGGCCTAGAGAGCTGTTTATTTTGTAGTTAACAGAGAAAAGGAGCCTTATTTGCACTTTTTGTTTAACACAATGAAAACATACTTGAAGTATCTTATAGAACACTCCCATATTTTTTCTTTGGAGAGCCATGTGTAATTAAATTTTTCTCAGAAATTATAAAAATGTTTATAAAATTATGCCTGTGTTTAGCTATAGTACATTTTTTAAATCTATAGCTTGAAGACATTGTTCAATTTAAATTCATGTATTCAGAGAAGGGCTCTGTTACCCTCCACTATTGTAAAGAGATCTCTGGTAGAGGAGGCTCATAACAAGAACCTCCCCTTTTAGGGGTGATGTTTATACCTATAACATTAGGGTGCACATAAAAGAACAGAGTGATGTATTTTGTTTTTTTGACAGCCGTTTTGCTATTTTCATGAGGTTTTTTTTTTTCAGCCTCGAAATTTGGGCTTAATTTTTGATGGCTTCATGAGTCCATTGTATAGTTAGACCATAATTTATATAAAAATTTCCCCGATTTCAGCATTTCAGTTGCTTATACTTTTCATGTTCCTAATAGTGTGATGACTAGACTAAATTTATATGCAAATATTTGTCATCACCTCTGATTATCTCCAAGAGTTACTATGCTAAAGGATATGAACTTCTTTAAGGTTCTGGTGTGTTCTACCAAATTACTTTCTAGAAAAGTCACACTAATTTACACTTTTATAATTAGTGTTTTTATTAGTACAAACTCATCACATTTTTACCAATATTGTGTATAATATTAAAAAAATCTATATGGCTACCCATAGGGTCATAAAATTGTAAAGGGGAAAATCTTAAGAGTTCGTTTGGTCCAACATTTTACAGAAGATCGCAGTGAAACCCAGATGGTTAATTAAAAATAGTAAGTCAAACTTAGGTTAGAATTTTAGTTTTCTAGACTTCTGGTTCAGCACTGTTTTTCCCAGAGAATACTACTTTTATTTATTGAATGGCTGTAACATGGCTAGGTGCTACACTGGGCACTTAGCCTCTAAAATTTTGTCTTATTGTATTTGTAGAGATGGGGTCTTGCTCTTTTGCCCAGGCTGGTCTTGAACTCCTGGGCTCAAGTGATCCTTCCGTCTTGGCCTCCCAAAGTGCTGGGATTATAGGCGTGGGCCACCATGTCCGGCCCTTCAAGAAAAATTTAATCTTCCCAGTAACCTAAATGTTGATTGGCTTGAAACTGTTTTACTATTTATAGAGAAGGGGACGTAAGGAAGAAATAAGGGCAGACTTCAGAGGCTGAATGTGGAAAAAGTAGATAAACTTTTTCTCCCTGTTCAGCGGATAGATTAAGGAAAGTAGGTGGAATTCACAGGGAAGTATTTTGACTTAATATAAGGAAAAACTTTCCTAAGGAGTATAGTATTTTGCTATTTGCTAAAGAAAGAAGGTGAATTAACATTGCTCGATTTTGAAAGTATTTAAGTCTAGTCTATTTTTTTGTTAGAAATGTAGAAAATGGGGTCTATGTATTGAATAAGGAGGTAGGACTAGTTGACTAAAGATAATTTATTATAAAGTTCTTGGCATGTAGTTTAATGCTCAATAAAAACTTATTAATAGTAAATAAAAAGATACCATGAAGTCTGTGAAGCCAGCAACAGAATAGCAGAGGTGCTGATAAATAATGAACAGAAGTAAGCAAAGAAGAGTGGAGAGGAGGTAGAAACTAAAGCACTGACTCTGAAAGCTAAGGGGTCAGAGAGTTCTAGGATGTATTCAATTTGTTGTAAAACATTAGACGGAGAAAAGGGTGTATTAGTCCGATTTCATGCTGCTAATAAAGACATACCCAAAACTGGGCAATTTATAAAAGAAAGAGGTTTATTGGACTTACAGTTCCACATGGCTGGGGACCTCACAATCATGGTGGAAGGTGAAAGGCACGTCTCAAGTGTCGGCAGACAAGAGAAGAGAGCTTGTGCAGGGAAACTGCCCTTTATAGAACCATCAGATCTCATGAGAGTTATTCACTATCACGAGAACAGCGCAGGAAAGACCTGTCCCCATGATTCATTCACCTTTCTCTGGATCCCTCCCATAATGTGGGAATTCAGGATGAGATTTGGGTTAAGGGCACAGCCAAGCCATATCAAAAGGTGTGAAAAAAACATAAAAATTACCCATATTTCCCTAATCAGAGATAAAAATTGTTAATGTTTTATTGATTCTTTTCAGATTTTAGAATGTGAATTTAAAAGTTATGTATATAGCTATAGATAAACAGTGTCATTAAACATACTGTTATGTCATCTGCTTTTGCCACCTAGTAAACATATGAATATATTTCTATGAGCAAATATAGATATTTTTTATAATTTTTATTGCTGTAGAGATTTTGTTACATGGTTGAGTATACATATTAATAGATATTTAGGTTATTTTTTTTCCCATATTATACACAATACTCACATCTCTCTGTTTGTACTGCCATTGTTATGGTTGTTGAGGCCATCTTTGCCTACGTGGTCATTTACTTTTTGTCTTCCCCTTTTCTTGCCCTGTTACAATCTGCTCTCCATAGTAGTTGATCTCACCCACTCAGCTATGGGGTTTTCTGTCATACTGCTTATAAGCACGGCTAAGTGTAGTGGAAATGGAATGTTAGTATTTTAGGCATTTTTAAGGTGGTAGGAAACTAGTAGAGCACCATCATTTCAGAGACAATTTAAGTTTGTTCTTTCTCCATTAAGGGACTCCCTCTTGCCCAGAAGTACAATTGTTGAACTTAAAGCAAATAAACATTATAAAATTTAATAAGATAAGAAATTTAACATATACTGGGTATAGCTGGTCAGCTGTCAAGTATTAAAAAAATTTGAGTTTCTATAATACCATGATCATTGTGTAATTATTTTAGAGAAAAGGAAAGGACTTTGAGATTATATTCTCAATGGTTAGTTACTAGGACTATTATGGGTGATCCACGTGGCTGTTATAAATGGAATGGTGATGTTACCTAGCCTTTTGCAAAGCCTTTTTCCCGTCTGGCAAAGAGGCAGAGAAGAACCAGTAGTTAGGTAGGGAGAATATATATATATGTGTGTGTGTGTGTGTATATATATATATGAATGACTGAACCTAGTCTGTTGACTCTTTGTAACGTGGTTGAACTGAAATCTGTTAATTGTATCAGGCCTTGGATGTGCTTTAGAAAGAGTTATGGATAAATTTTTAATTAAAGCTTGACGGTAGATTGACTATAGTTGAAGAGAAGTGAAACAAGTATGTTTTAATTTAACTCTTTCGGTTGCAAACACTTTAGTGTAAGCAAAATGGGGAAATTTATTAGGAGCCTGCTAACTTATCTCATTGAATGTAGAAATAAACCTTTTGCACCTTGGTTTGTACATACTGGTTGAGCAAATCAAGGATAAAGTTGGCCCCACCTTGCTGAAGTGCTCACTCCTGGTCTAGCTGATTGTGGTCAAGAGTGTGGAGCCATCTAATGGATATATCTGTGGTTTTTGGAGGCCCTTGGAGGGAGGGGTGAGCTGTAAATTATTAGAGAAAATGTGCTTGTAGTGAAGGGCACTGGCATCCTCAGAGATTTCTACTACATGCTTGCTTTAAATAGTGGGTTACTTTTTACATTTAGTAATCAGAAACCTGTAAGAGTGAAGTGTTGCAAAATTTATAGTTTCATTTTAATATAAATATAATAATTAGAAGGTAAGGCTGAATCCTTTTGATTTTTACATATCATTAGATACTTTCATGTTTGAAATGGCAGCCACCTAAGGATAACACAGTGCCTGGGACGTAAGGCCTTTAGCAAATGTTCATAGTTGAATGAGGGAGCAGTTGAGAGGACATAGGAGCCACTCATATGTGGCTTTGCATACCAAATTGATACAGTGAACCGTCCCCCATCCCCACCAAGACCTAGTCTTCATGGTTGTCTTTTATTTAAAAAAAAATTTTTTTTTTGAGAGGGAGTCTCACTCTGTCGCCCAGGCTGGAGTGCAGTGGTGCAATCTCAGCTCACTGTGACCTCCGCCTCCCAGTTCAAGTGATTCTCCTGCCTCAGCTGCCCAAATAGCTGGGATTACAGGCATACTCCACCACGCCCAGCTAATTTTTATGTTTTTAGTAGAGACGGGCTCTCACCATGTTGTCCAAGCTGGTCTTGAACTCCTGACCTCAAATGATCCGCCCATCTCGGCCTCCCGGAGTGCTGGGATTGCAGGTGTGAGCCACTGCACCTGGCCTATTTTCAATTGTATTAAAAAAGTTTTTTTTAGAGACAGGTTGGAGTGCAGTGGTACAATCGAGGCTTACTGCAGCCTCCATTTCTTGGGCTCAAGCGATCCTCCTACTGCCTTAGCCTCCTGAGTAGCTGGGGCTACAGGCCTGCACCACCATGCCCAGCTTAATTTTTCTTTTTCTTTTTTTTTTTTGAGACAGAGTCTTGCTCTGTCTCCCAGGCTGGAGTACAGAGGCACAATTTCAGCTCACTGCACCCTCTGCCTCTGCCTCCGGAGTAGCTGGGACTACAGGCGCGCACCGCTACGCCCGGCTAAGTTTTGTAATTTTAGTAGAGATGGGGTTTCACCATGTTGACCAGGCTGGTCTTGAACTCCTGACCTGAAGTGATCTGCCTGCCTCCCCAGCTAATTTTTTTTGGTAGAGATGGAGTCTCATTATGTTGCCCAGGCTGATCTTGAATTCCCAGGCTCAAGCAATCCTCCGCCTCAGCCTCCCAAAGTACTGGGATGACAGGTGTGTGCTACCGTGCCCGGCCTCATGTTTGTCTCTTAGATTTTCATTTTTATTGGATTTCTTTTGTTTATAGGCCAAATCGAAAAGCTTTTTTTTTTTTTTTTTTTTTTTTTTGTGAGTCACTGAAGCAAACAAATTTATTGAGGCCCTTTTGAGGTACATTTTTGGAGCTCCTAATTATCTAAACGTTGTCATGAATGCTTAAAAAGACATTTAAAGCCAGATGTTTTGTGGAAACTTTTTAGAAAAATAAAATGTAACAAAGAATTTATGGTCTTAAATGAATGGTTAGATATCAGTAGATGGTTCACCTGCAATATATAGCTAGAACCTGACAACTTACTACCTCTGCAAATACCACCACAGTCCAAGCCTTCCGTATCTCATCTGAAACTGCAGTAGCTTTCTAAGTGGTCTCCCTGCATTCACTTTCCCCGCTCTGCAGTGTGTTTTCCAAATGACAGGCCTTAAGTTGGGTCACAAACTATTCTCAGAATTCTCCAGTGGATTCCCGTTCTATAATAAAGACTAAAATTATTCCTATTGCCTAGAAAGTCCTCCAGGATTTGGCCCCTACCTCTTTCACCCGAACTCTTCTGGCACGCCTCCGCATTGTGCTGCAGCCACATTGAACTCCAGGCACACTTCCGTCTCGGCTTTTCCATTTGTAGTTTTAATTGCCCAGATATTCTTGCCTGAGGTATCTTCATTTCAGGCCTCCGTTAAAATGTTGTTTATCAAAGAGGCATTCCCTCACTACCTTATCTCAAAGAGTACCCTTCATCACTCTTTAATTCTTTCACCCTGTTTTACTTTTTATTCATAGAACATTTAACTTGACAGTGTATATTTGTTTATTTGTATATCTGTTTCCTCTTCTAGACTTTAAGTTCCATGAGGGCAGGGATTTTGTCTTTTTTATTCACTGCTGTATCTTAAGTTCCTGGTACATAATGAGTGCTCAGTAAATATTTGTGTACTCTTGGTAGTAACTGGGGGATATAGCGTATTACAGGCCTGGCACTGGTAAATGTGGGGATGATGGTTGAATTTTGGAGATAGGGGGAAAAAGTTATTAGCATCTCTAAGTTCTTGGATGTTTATTTTGTTTTTGAGACAGGGTCTTTGTTGTTCAGACTGGAGTGCAGTGGTGCAATCACAGCTAACTGCAGCCTCAACCTCCTGGGTTTATATCCTCTTGCCTCAGCCTCCCTAGTAGCTGGGACTACAGGTGTGTACCACCATGCCTGGCTAATTTTTTGTTAATTTTTTTGAAGAGAAGGAGTTTCATGATGTTGCCCAGACTGGTCTCGAACTCCTGAGCGCAAATGATTCTCCTATCTTGGTCTCCAAAAGTGCTGGGATTACAAGCATGAGCCACCATGTCTAGCCTCTTGTATACTTTTTATAAAGTTGGTAGAAGTGTTTTCTTTGTATAACCGAATTGATGTTTTATAAAAAATATTTGGTTACATTTCATTTAAGATGAAGAAGATGACTTTATGTGTAAGAAGGCGGCCTCTAAATCAAAAGAGAATGGAAGATCTACAAATAGTCATCTTGGAACATCAAACATGAAAAAGAATGAAGAAAACACTAAGACCAAGAATAAGCCTTTATCACCAATAAAACTTACACCCACATCAGTACTTGATTATTTTGGAACTGGAAGTGTCCAAAGATCTAATAAGAAGATGGTGGCAAGCAAAAGAAAAGAGGTAAGTGTTCTACATATAAGCAAGTATGCTCAGGATTTATACCCATTCACTAATATTAACAGGAGAAACTAGGATGTAGTAAATAGGCAACATGTTTTAATAATTAAAATAATTTTCCTATGATTATGGATAAAATGTATTGCCCTCATTTTAAAGGATGAGGAAGTTGGAATGTTACATATTTAATTTTTTAATTCTTGAAAGCGGGAAAAGATCATTTAAGCCATAAGAAAAAATGATAATTATTCGAATTTAAATTGAGTTCTCAGAATGGAAACTCATTTTACTATTGACCTCAACCAGTCAATATTAGCGATAAATTTGTTTCCAAATGAGATAATAAATAGATTCCTTATAAATAGAGCATACCTATGCTACACTTGTGACCTTCTCTACTTTGGCAGATATTGGATTCATCTGTTTCTGGCCATTTAGGAAACAGACATACCAGATAAATTATGGTGAAAGTAGTCCCCTGAGTTAAAGAAAGCCTGCCCCATAGTGTGTGTTTGTTGATTCTATCACTTCCTCCATAGAACAATGTAATCATTCTCACATATTGGTTTGCCAATGTTCTGGGCTACTTGTCAAGCCAAGACATTAATCTACAGGATTGGGTTTTTTTATTTTTATTTTTGGTACTTCTCTTGAACATATCAATAGAACTAAGTGAGACAGGTCTGTCTATAGGATATTTATTAGGGATTGGATATGGTCAGGGAGTAGCCATAAATTTGACTTTCTGGCTGGTGTACATTGCAGCTGTTACTGATAGATACACTTATCTCTCACTGGTGTATTTAATCAGCAACAGTCAAGAAAAAGTGCCTTATTTTTAACTTAAGGTTTATGCTGATTTTGCTTGATTTTCTTTGAAATATAGCTTTCACAAAATACAGATGAGTCTGGATTAAATGATGAAGCCATCGCCAAGCAATTACAGCTTGATGAAGATGCGGAGGTATTGGCATTTTGCTTAGAATCATTAGTAACTTGATATTCTGACTAGCTATTTAGTCCAGCCAGGTTTTGAATTGAACCTCATTGGAAGTTACATGTAAAATAAGTTAAAATCTAATAAATGAAAATCTAAATTTCTATACAAGATAAATGATGAGACCAGGGGAGAATTATTTACTGAAAGATTTATTTTTAGAGAAGATTGATCAAGTGCTGTGAGATGATTTTGAAGAAATGGCTAGCAGCAAATCCTGTAGGTCATGATAGGTCTTTGATACCTACAAAAAGGATGTTAATTATAAGGACTTTGGAATTTAGTTTCTTCCAAATGGGAAACCATTGGAGTTTTTATTTTTTATTTTTTGAGACAGAGTCTCGCTTTGTTGCCCAGGCTGGAGTGCAGTGGCATAATCTGGCTAATTGCAACCTCCACCTCCTGGGAATCAAGTGATTCTCCTGCCTCACCTGCCCCAGTAACTGAGACTACAGGCGCCCACCACTACGCCTGGCTAATTTATGTATTTTTAGTAGAGACGGAGTTTCACCATGTTGGCCAGGCTGGTCTTGACCTTGGCCTCCCAAATTGTTGGGATTACAGGTGTGAGCCACCACACCCAGCCCCATTGGAGTTTTGAATAGAAAAGTGACATGACTTGGTGGATCTTAAAAGAAAATTACTTTGGCTTCGATGATGTTAATAGTTCATGGTGGGGGCAAGATCAAAAGCAGATCAGTTTGCAGACTGAATGGTAGGTGAGAGATGTCAGCTTGTAATAGGAAAAGGCAGTGAGAAGTGGGCATAATCTGAATGTGCCTTGAAACATGCAAGTTCTTTTTGACAGATTGGATGTAAGGTGTGAGGGAAGAAGATTCACAGATGAGGCTGGGTGTGGTGGCTCATGCCTGTAATCCCAGCACTTTGGGAGGCCGAGGTGAGAGGATCACTTGTGCCTGGGAGTTTGAGACCAGTCTGGGTAACATAGGGAAATCCCATCTCTACCAAAAATACAAAAATCAACTGGGCATGGTGGTGCACACCTGTGGTCCCAGATACTTGGGAGGCAGAGGTGGGAGGATTGCTTGAGCCTGGGAGGTTCAGGCTGCAATGAGCTGTGATTGTGCCACTGCACTCCAGCCTGGGTGACAGAGCAATACCTTGTCTCTCGGAAAATAATATTCAGTTATGGCCTTAACAACTGGGTGAATGGTGATACGATTTACTAAGGCTGGAACACAGGAAGCAGAACAGGTTTGGTACAGAGAGATCTTTTGGACAAGTTAAGTTTGAGATGTCTAATAGACTTCCAAATGGAAAGGCAGAGTAGGTGGTTGGGTAGAAGAGTCAGGAACTCAGGGGAGAAGTCTAAACTGAAGATGGACATTTGGAAATCATTACCAGTTGAGTAATATTTAAACCTGTGTAACTGGATGAGATCATGGGGAGATAATGCAAATAGAAAAGAAAGAAAGGTCTCAGGATTGAGCCCTGGGCCACTGTTAGAGGTCAGGAAAAGGAGGATGATCCAGCAAAGGAGAGGAGAGAGTGGCTAGTGAAGTAGGAACATCAGGAGAGGTTGATATCTTACAGAAGCCAAAGAAAGTATTTCAGGGAGGAGCGCTCATCTCTGTCAGAGGTTCCAGGCTTAGCTGCCGGCTGTTAGAACTCCCTTCCTCTTGCTTAGCTTAAGTGTCACTTTCCCAGACTACCTCAACTATATTAGAAACCCCTCCGATATACTCTGTCACACTCTGTCATAGCTACTATTATCATTTATTATACTTGCTATTTAATTAGAATGGCAAGTATAGGCTCTAAGGTCCCCTCACCAGGACTCTCACTCAACCATTTGTCTCAACCATTTATGTCTCACTCAACCATTGTTACATCAGTGCTTATCTTAGTGTCTGGCATACAATGGGCTCTTGATAAGTATTATTGTGAGAGAACAATATTGTGATTGTTCACATTTTATTACTTTGGCAGTTTAGTTTGTGTTTTCAAAATGTTTTTCTATCTTATTTGATCACACTGAATTACATAAACTACAAGCGAGTATCCACATGACTCAAGGTAGCACAAGTAGCCTAGGTCAAACTAGGAAGTAATTTTTAGGAACCTGACTTCTCCTGATCCAAATACTAGAGGGTTACCTAATCCTTTCCAAACCAGGTGTGGTACTTTGTATCACAATCCTCTATTTTTCCATTTTTATCACATTCTTTCAGAATCTTGTTTGGGTAATTTATTAATCTGATTAAGGACTTCTAGGTGTCAGTAACTGAAGATGTCTTTACTAATTATCCCTGTAAGAGTTTTTCCTCCCTTTTTTTTCACTTCACTTTT
The DNA here is from genome assembly GCF_000001405.40 of Homo sapiens. Taxonomy (NCBI): domain Eukaryota; kingdom Metazoa; phylum Chordata; class Mammalia; order Primates; family Hominidae; genus Homo; species Homo sapiens. The sequence continues at coordinate 39,324,219 of NC_000004.12, read as the reverse complement.
AAAAGATTGAGTGGATTTTGAAGTCCTTTTCTTTGTTTGAATAATGTAGGGTGTTTTTTATTGAATATCACGTAAGGCCATTTTACCAGGGAGCATACAGCCATTTGGTTTATAATGAGAAAGATACTCCACTGCTATATATTCTCTTTTGGAAGAGCTCCATTTTGCTGAATGTGAAAGTATTTTGAAATAACTGAGATAACTAGAATGTCTCTGTGTTACATTAGCATGTTAGTAGAACTCCTGACATGATGACTTAAATTTTCAAAAGTGAGAACAGATGCATTTGAATTAGTAATTGAAAATAGGAGTTTGATAGTAAAAGTGATTTTACATTTGTATATAGCTTACTATATGTGCCAAAAAAATACTGTATAATTTTTTTAAATTCTTAGATTCACTATTTTTGTACTCCCCAGATGATTGTGTTTTCCTATTAGGTTGAGATTCCTTTCAGAGGTCTTTTTAGATAATAAATAGAAATAAGAAAGCTGTGTTGCATAAGAACCATTAAGAGAAAAGTACAGACCTCATGTTTTATAAGTAAGAAATATGACTTTAAAAATATGCTCACTTTATCTGTCATCCCTGCAAAACCAGAACTGTATGTTCCAAAATCTGATTCAGCTTAGTGAAACAAACCTGTGATACTTCACTATTAATGTTGAGTGGGAAAATGTCATAATTATTTTCTGGAAAATGTTTTTCTAGTTTCTTCTAAATATATGAATCAGACATTTAAAAATTCTATTTACGAAAAGAAAAAGAGCAACTCAACTCACTTTGCTGACACATTTTACAGCTGGAGAGGCAGTTGCATGAAGATGAAGAGTTTGCCAGAACATTAGCCATGTTGGATGAAGAACCCAAGACCAAAAAGGTGGCATAATGTTGGGCTATTTGCGTTCTGAATATACAGTACAGATCAGTGTTCATACTTGCGTGTTCTAGGCTCTAGCCAAAACATGAATAACTTTTCCAGAAAGAAATTAAATTATTTTATAAAAATGTTTTTGGGGAAGCTCATTGAGAAACTTATTCTTCTTAAAAGAAGGGTGACGGCATCAAAACAAACCAGAACCTTTTATCACAAAACAAAGAATTATATCTTTTCCTTATTCTTTTTATATTTTATTTTATTTGTTTTAGAGACAGGGTCTCTCATGAAGTGCAGTGGCCTGATCTGGGCTCAGTGCAACCTTTGCCTCCTGAGCTCAAGTGATCCTCCTGCCTCAGCCTCCCGAGTAGCTGAGACTACAGGTGTGTGCCACCACACCCATCTAATTTTTGTATATTTTTGTAGAGAGGGGGTTTTGTTATGTTGGCCAGGCTGGTCTTGAACTCCAGAGTTCAAGTGATTCTCCTGCCTCAGCCTCTCAAAGTGCTAGGATTATAGATGTGAGCTACCATGCCTGGCCTTTTAGTTCTTTTTTTTTTTTTTGAGACAAGGTCTCACTCTGTTGCCCAGGCTGGATTACACTGGCACGTTCATAGCACACTGAAGCCTCGAACTCATGGGCTCAAGCTATCCTCCCACCTCAGCCTCCCAAAGTGTTGGGATTAGAAGCATGAGCTTCTGTGCCCAGTTTACCTTTTCCTTACTCCTTTATCATAGGAGTTCTTATGTACTTGTTCAGAAAATAATGCTCATAAAAATTCTTTTGGAACACAAGTTTAATAACTTCAGTATTAATCACTGTCTTTTCAGGAAGCACAGTTTTGTCAGTTCTAATTAGTTAACTCTAAGATCTATATTATGACAGTCTCATATAATAATGAGTATATTTTGAGGAATCTTTTTCTTTCTTTTTTTTTGCGAGGTCTCACTTTGTCACCCACGCTGGAGTGCAGTGGTGCTATCTCAGCTCACTGCAACCTTGACTTCTTGGGCTTGATTGATCCCCTCACCGCAGCCCCCCAAGTAGCTGGGACTACAGGCATGTGTTACCACACCCAGCTAATAATTTTGTGTTTTTTGTAGAGATGGGGTTTTGCCATGTTGCCCAAGCTGGTTTTGAACTCCTGAGCTCAAGTGATCTGCCTGCCTCAGCCTTATTTTGGGGAATCTTTAAAACATCAAGACTTTAATTTTTTTAATTTTTTTATTTTTATTTTTTATTTATCTCCAGGAGATTAGCTTTATTTCTGATGAATCACATTCTGTTAATATAATTGTCAATGTCAATATGTGATTACTTCAAAAGATTTTACTTCTTTAAAGCAGAGAGTTGTAAACCTAGATACATCAGGAGCTAAGACTAAACAGGCAGGTATTAAGACAGTAGGGAGTGGTAGAGACTTTGCCATTTGAAAAGTCTTATTTCATCTAAAGACACTCAAATTATAATTACTTTAAAAGACTGTATCACACACCTCAATTTGTGAACTTTTTATAAAATGGAGTTTTGAAGGAGCAGTGGAAAGAATGGATATATTTTTTTCCCCTTTGAGAAAGTGCTCTCATTTTCTTTCGAGCTTTTGTTTATTTTTATTTTAGTCTTTTAAATTTAGATTTTAGTTTTTAACTACTTAATACTAACAATTTGAGAGTTGAGATGAAGGAGAAATAAGGCTTCTACTTCCAGATTTACAGGTTGGGATGAAGAGAGATAATTTTTATAGATGTATTTTTATACCCTTTCATCTGTTTCCTCATTTGTAACATGAAGTAATAAAATATGCCTCATTTGCCTTGGAAATTTTGTGGATGAATGAATGACAGTTTATTGTAGTGTCCTGCTAGTTGAAAGGTGACCCTTAAAATTTTGATGGATTTTAACAACAGATTTTATGGTAATAGTTTTTCTATTATTTGTCACATTTGACACTTTTAAAATTTGTTTAGGCTCGAAAGGACACAGAAGCGGGAGAAACGTTTTCATCTGTCCAAGCCAATTTAAGTAAAGCAGAAAAACATAAATATCCTCATAAAGGTAATACTAGCAGAAAAAAGTAAGATGGAGCACTTGTCTTCATGGAAGTAAATTCATGATAATCTTGTTTAAGTATCCTATTCAGTAATTATGTATTGTTAGGTAGACATTATTTCACAGGACTATTAGAGCATATTGAACTTAGAAACTTTGAAAGCTCTTTGGATGCTAGCTGGTACAGAATGCCCATCTGCTCTATGATTACTGTGAGAATTGTGTTAAAACTCCTGGCTTCTTGTTAATTTCCAAGTATAGTGCAATATGTGGATTTCAATATATAAAGATGAAGAACCTAGATGTTTTGAGCTTTTCATGTCAGAGGTAGTCTCAGAGTTGACTCATAGTTGGCCAGGTCATCTTCAGCTCTCTTGCTTATTGCCTGTAGGTTTTATTCTTCAGTGGTTCTGATAGCAAATCATCTGCTAGTCTAGATGATCTTAGTCCTATAAGTAAATGTATTTATAGATTTACTATAAACAGATGGTCTTGACACTTTAGGACTTTGGGCCTTCAGGGTATATTCTGTGCTAAGATTACTCAGTTGAAAAATGAAAGAAAAGTTGATATAGATTATCATTTTCCAAAAACAACAACCATAATCTTTTCTTTCTTCCTAGTAAAAACAGCACAAGTTTCAGATGAAAGAAAGAGCTACAGTCCTAGGAAGCAAAGTAAATATGAAAGTTCAAAAGAATCTCAGCAACATTCCAAGTCATCAGCTGACAAAATAGGAGAAGTCTCTTCTCCCAAGGCCAGTTCTAAGCTGGCAATTATGAAAAGAAAAGAAGAGAGCTCTTATAAAGAAATAGAGCCTGTGGCCTCAAAAAGAAAAGAAAATGCCATTAAATTGAAAGGAGAGACAAAAACTCCTAAGAAAACCAAAAGTTCTCCAGCTAAAAAAGAGGTAAGAACTTTGTTTTTTTTTTTTTTTTTTTTTGAGATGGAGTTTTGCTCTTGTTGCTGAGGTTGGAGTGCAGTGGCACAATCTCGGCTCACTGCAACCTCTGCCTCCCAGGTTCAAGCAACTCACCTGCCTCAGCCTCCCAAGTAGCTGGGATTACAGGCATGTGCCACCATGCCTGGCTAATTTTGTATTTTTAGTAGAGACGGGGTTTCTCCATGTTGGTCAGGCTGGTCTTGAACTCCCGACCTCAGGTGATCTGCCCACCTTGGCCTCCCAAAGTGCTGGGATTACAGGTGTGAGCCACCGCGCCCGGCCTTGGTAGGAACTTTCTAGGGAGTACAGTATTCCCCCTTATCCATGGTTTTGCCTTCTGAAGTTTCAGTTACTTGTGGTTAATCATGTTCTGAAAGTATTAAATGGAAAATTCCAGGAATGAACAATTAATAAGGTTTAAATTGGGTACTCTTCTGAGTAACATGATGAAATCTCTCTGGCCAACCTGCTTTATCTCACCCAGGATGTGAATCATCTCTTTGTCCAGCATAACCATGCTGGATACACTACCCACCCGTTAGTCACTTGGTAGCCGGCTTGGTTATTAGATAGAAAAAACAGTACATGTAAGTATATATATAGTTTGGTACTGTCTGTGGTTTCAGGCACCTACTGGGGTGGTCTTGGAACATACCCTCCTCGGATAAAGGGGGACTGCTGTATATATTTTGGTGCTATGTGTTAGTCTGGGTTTGTTTTCAAGTTTTATTTCTAACGATCATAAGTCATTATAATATTTTTAAGATATCTTATTTAGAAGCTGTTGTAGGATATGGAGTATTAATATAGCTAAGTAAGCCCATATTTATTGTTATTGTGTGTCAGATACTGTGCGAATACTTTACATGTGGTAGCTCATATAATTTTCACAACAACCCTGTGAGATATTTATTTTTATTATTCAACTTTTAAAGACGAGGAAACAGGCTGAAAGAGTTTAACTATTCTAAGATCATCCACCTGGTAAGTGGCAGGGCCAGCCTTGAACTCAGGTCCTCTGAAGCAGTATAACATAGTGGCTCCACACACAGGCTCTGGAGCCAGTTTCAGGCTCTGGGACTCTGAGCAGGTTTGGTCACTTCCCCTGTCTGTGCTTTGGTGCTGTTTGTAAAATAGGAATAATAATAATAGTACCTAATGACTTCATATGTAAAAGCACTTAGAGCAGTGCCTGGGACCTAATAAGTGCCATCTTAACTATTATTATTAAAATGATTGTTATTTGGCTTAGTCCTAAATTTACTCTTTTTTATTCTTGTACAACAGTGTTGCGATACTGAAATTATTTTTAAAGGAAAAAATGATGAGATAATGAATATCTTTGAAAAATTTTGCTAGGAAATATATTTGAGAAGCGAACGGTCTCTGAATCTCCAATTTGGAACTACTTTAGATTCATAATGAGAAACCACTATTCATTCATGCCTCTTAGGCACTTAGGATTAAAAGCAGAATATCACCTATTTTAACTGGTCATCACCATTATATTTTAGTGCAGAACAGTGAAATGGTGATGATTTCAGAATGCTTTTGTTTGTGGACAATGCTTATAAATACGCTTAAAGGAGCAATTAACTTTTTGATCTCAGATTTTTTCTGCACTAAATGCTTATCTGGTAAATGAATGGTTTTCTTCAGGCACACTAAAACATGTTCCATTTACAGAGGCAGTCTGTTTTTATGAAGAAAGAGGAAATCTTTAAATGATACTCTTCACTGTACTTTTTAAAGTTAGAATAGAAATAACTCAAAACTTTTACTTAAGCAGTTTTGGTTGGAAACGTCAAATAAAGTCTATTTAATACATTTAGTTGGTCTTGGTCAAATAATTCTGACTTCATAAAGTGGGTGTCCTTCAAAGTTATTGTATACGCTGTTTACCATTCAGAATTCTTTTCATAGAATGAGTGTCGTAAATTAATCGTTTTTCCATGTTGGTATGCACTGGACTCTCTTGTGAAACTTGTTAAAAAAATGGAGTTTCCCAGGGAATGTGGTGTGGGCAGCTGTATTTTAATAAGCTCCTCATATGATATGAACACACACCAACATTTGAGAACCATTGTTAGAAAGTAGGGTTAGATTCTAGGACCAGCCTGTTAATGGCTTATCGACCTCTTAGCCAAACCAGCTGAACTATTTTATTGGTTAAGCCATTCCTTTTTTTTTTTTGAGACGGAGTCTCGCTCTGTCACCCAGGCTGGAGTGCAGTGGCGCGATCTCAGCTCACTGCAAGCTCCGCCTCCTGGGTTCACGCCATTCTCCTGCCTCAGCCTCCCGAGCAGCTGGGACTGCAGGCGCCCGCCACCAAGCCTGGCTAGTTTTTGTATTTTTTTAGTAGAGACGGCGTTTCACTGTGTTAGCCAGGATGGTCTCGATCTCCTGACCTCGTGATCCACCCACCTCGGCCTCCCAAAGTGCTGGGACCACAGGCGTGAGCTACTGCAGCCGGCCGCCATTTCTTTGTATAGAAGTTACTATTTTGTCTACTCTCAAAAGGATTTGGGATTGCTTACAAGTTAAAAATAATGTTAAAATAGGAAGTGGAAAAATAACAAACACCTGATAGTGGTTCTTAAATGAGAGCTATCTAAGATATTTTTCCCCCACATAAACACATTCTAGCCATACCCCATATCTCCGAAAGAGAAACTTGGAGGTGGATCTAGGGATGCATAGTTTGAAAAGTTTCCCCAGGATTTTCTGAGATATACCTATGGTAAATTCCCCGAGAGAAGTAGAATGGGAGGAGATGAAATAGCATAGAGAACGTGTCTTCTCTTTGGAGTAAAGCTTGTACCTTCTTTGAGCTGACTGTTTAGATTCTCCTACTGGAATGCTTATGTCCTTAGGGATGCAGGCTGGTGCTTTAGGGGCATGGAAGGTCATAGGATTAACACAGAATATCTTCTCGGGCGATCAGGTTTACTTGGGGAAAAAATGTATTTTCCCGTTAAACATGGATATATGGATATATCATGAAATATAATTTAAAATTCAGGTGAATTCCTAAAGTAAAACACTTTTTGCATTTCTTTGCTTGGAGCTGGCAACTTGGCTTATTCCCATAATCTGCCCTGAGGTGTGTGGCTTTAGAGAGTGGAAAGTTTTGAGAAGCGCTGATGCAGGGATGTTCGTAAGTCAGTTGTCTGTAAGTTAGGAAGTACTTGTGTAGCTAAAACTGTTAATTTCACAGCCAGACACAGAAGTGACACAATAAAAATAATGTTTATTTCTAGATATGTATTTTAAATTTTGCATGAATTCTGTATGACTTTGTTCATTTTCCTTTCCCTGTTCCCAAAGTCTGTAAGTCCTGAAGATTCTGAAAAGAAACGCACTAATTATCAAGCTTATCGAAGCTACTTAAATCGAGAAGGTCCCAAGGCTCTGGGCTCCAAAGAAATACCAAAGGTAAGAGTACTGAGAGGGCATGCCATTCTGTGAGGGCCTCTGCCGTATGGGTCCATGTATGTATTCACGATGATTATAGCAGCAGAGGATTAATAATTAAAAATGAGCAACAGAAAAGCTTCAGTTACTGTCTTCAAGAATTAGGGATGTTTATTCATGTTATGAATCACTGCTTGATACTTAGAAAAATTTCCCTTTAAATAACAAGTAGCCCTAGAAAGGCTGAGCTTTGAGACTATACCAGTGACAAAACTAATGTTTTTGCTTGCATGGCACTTATAGCCTAAAGAAAGAGACATTAAATAAATAATTTAATTATAATTGGGATATGTGCTATGAGGGAAAAATCTAAGATGCCCTTAGGTAGTATAACAGAGGAACCTGGTCCTTGGTGGGGCATGTAGAATGTGACATTTAAATGGAGACTTGAAGAATGAAAGGGATTCAACAGGTGTGAAGGGGTTGTGATGGCGTGGTGGTCTGGGCAGAGGGGCCAGAATGTATGATGTTCCTGCAGGGGGAAGGTTCTTGCATGGTATGTTTGAGGAACTGAAAGAAAAATTATGGTTGGAGCATAGTGACCAAGGGATGAGAATGGCCAAAGAGGTTAATAGGATCACATCTTGCAGGGCCTAATGTTTAAGACTTTTGTCTAAGAGAAGGAATTTTTATTTTGTGTTTTTGAAATGGAGTTTTCGCTCCTGTTGCCCAGGCTGGAGTGCAGTGGCGCAATCTCAGCTCACGGCAACCTCCACCTCTTGGGTTCAAGCGATTCTCCTGCCTCAGCCTCTGGAGTTGCTGGGATTACAGGCGTGCGCCACCATGCCTGGCTAATTTTGTATTTTTAGTAGAGATGGGGTTTCTCCATGTTGGTCAGGCTGGCCTCGAACTCTCGACCTCAGGTGATCTGCCTGCCTTGGCCTTCCAAAGTGCTGGGATTACAGGCGTGAGCCACTGGGCCCGGCCGAGAAGGAATTTTAAAGTGGAGGGATAACATGACCAGATTTGAATTTCTGAAAGATCGCTCTGGCTGCTGATGTACCAAGTGCTGTGGATGGGGCAGAAATAGCTACACAGAGATCATCAGGAGAGATGGTGAGAAGTGATAGGGACTGGTCTGGGGGAGCAGTGAAAATGTCGAAAAGTGGAGAGGTTTCACTAGAAGAGGCAAAATCTATGGGACTTGGTGATAATTGAAGTGGAAAGTGAGAAGAAAGAGTATTGGGGATGATCTTGTTATTGGCATGAGCAGCTTGGTGGATCATGCGATTGGTGGCAGGGCTAGTTTGGGGAGATGATAATGAGTTCGTTGTTGGCCACACTGTGCTTTAGGGTTATGTGAGATGTCCACATGGAGATGCTGAGTAGACAAGCAGATATGTGGGACTGGAGCTTAGAACAGAAGTCAGAACTAGATGGACAAACTTGGGCATTCTTGGCATGAAGGGATTAATAGCATCTGGTAAACTAGTACAGAACAAGAAGAGAAGAGGGCCTTGGCCCCTGCTTCTTTGTGAAGTAGAAGAGGGTGGAAACCAAAAGGAAACTGAGAAGTAGCAGCTACAAATATGGGAGAGAAGTTTGATAAGCGTGGGATCACAGAAGCAAAGGGAAGAGAGAGTATTTCAAAAATGATTGAGTAGTTAAGTCTGTCATGCTGTTAAGATTCCAGGTAAGGGAAGACCGGAAATTGTTCCATTTAGTAACATGAATTAATGATCCTTAGTGGCCTTAGCAAGAGCTAAGGACAGTGGAGGCAGAGCCTGATGGAAGCGGGTGGAAGAGTGAGTGTGAGGAGACAAAATGGAGACAGCAAAAGTAGATATTTTTGATAAGTTTGGCTGTGAAGGAGAAAGAAGTGGGAGGACTTCTAGCTAGAAGGACTAGAAGGGGAAGTGACTTCTAGCTAGAATGGAAAGTGGAATTTAGGGGGAGATTTAAGTATTTTTATGGTAGGAGATATTTAAAGCATGCGTTTTGCTAATGGGATAGATCCTACCAGAAAGGGAGAGATGGAAGTTATACCAGCAGGAGAAGGAGAATCAATTGTAGCATGAGATTTCTAAGAAGGCAGGAGGGGAGGGGATAAGTATACAATATATGTATAAATTTAATTTTCAGTTTGCTTGGTATATATAAGTACATATAGAGATTAATAGCTCCCCTAATAAAGAGAGGGAGAGATGGTGTAGCTGGGACCGGAGTGGGGAGCGAGAAGGTCGGCCTTAAGGGGCTTATGGGTTTTATGGGAGCCTGCAGGAAGATGCCAGTCTTGCCTCCTGTACATGGGTATGAGAGACCAAACAAGTTCTGCTTGAGAGGACTTCAGTCAAAGTGGTGCCCTGAGGGGACAGACAGGTTTCAGTGAAGGCAAGGCTATGGAGGGAATGTTGGAGAAGAGGTTGAGGATACTAGGGGTGGCTGGCTGCTCCTGGAGTAAGAGCTTAGCCAAATTCTAGAATAGAAGAGTTTGATAGGGAGGCTAGAAGTGCTAAGATTGGATAAGTAAAAAGATAATCAGAGCCATAGTGGGTGATAATTTGGGAGATAATAGATGTTTGGGATATGGGATATAGGGGCTTGCATGTGCAATTTTTCCAGGGTTGTTTTGAGTTTGTTCAGAAGTAGTTAAGTTCCTGTAGTGTTACAGTAGATCATTTCAATCCAAGAACCCATAAAGGCTTCAAGGGACCCTGAGATATTGTTAGTCAAACCTTTTCTTTCCAAGCACCTTCATAGCTGTTTCTTTTTGTCTTCCGAGAAAGATTCTTCATCTGAATGGTGAAGGATTGAACTTACATGGAGGCAGTCTTTGAATTTTGGTTGGCTGCTGCTTTTCAAGCCCATTTTAAGTTTATTAATCTCAATTCTCTATTAAAAGAGTAATAAGTAACTTGGAATGTCATGTATAATTTTCATTTTGTTTGGTTGTATAATTTTATTGAACCATTGCAAAAATATATAACTCAACATAGTTCCAATTAAGATTTAATGTCTTTTCCATCCAGCTCTCTTTGGCAAGTATCTCTTATATTATACATTATGAGAGTTATCTTTCCAATCCAGAGATAATACGATCTTGCCTTTAAGTTACTAGAAGATTGCTAGATTTACTATCCTAGAGTAATGAGCAGAGAGGAAGGCACGAGCTCACACTTGCTTAGCTTTTTAGAATCAAAACTTTCCCTTTTTAACAATAGCAAGAGTTGCCTTTTTTCCCTTTTTTCCCATAAAACAGTAAAAATTTTTTATTAAGCATTATAAGTTGCATTCAGTAGCCTTCAGATATGCCACACCACAATCCATTGGCAGACCATCCAACCCAGCAGCAGTTTGTTCTTGTACAATCCATGAGTTCGGGCAAAACTCCCTTCAACTTACAGTTAAGATCCTACTTAGCTCTTGCGGGCAGGGATTGGGGAATTAGACCTCATTTCTGATCACTAATGTGGTGAAAAGCATCAGAAGTATTTGAAAATGATAAGAAGTGATTCTGATTTTAAAGTACATTGTTTCGAAACATTAACAGAAACATCAAAATGATAGGAGTATACCTGCTTCTATTAAATTCTTGTTGGGAAAGTTCTTAAGAACAAGCAGTTTCCTGAATAGCAAGAGTTTCTACAGATGGATTGCATTTGGTTGTTTATTTATAGTTATGCAAGTTAACTAGTAGTTTAGATATGAAGAGGGCATAATGGAAAATAGTATGAATGGGTAATTTTAATAGCTTTGCTAACAGTGTTGGATGTATGTTTTTCACTGCTTGTTTTGTAAGTTTATTAAACGTTAGCCATATCAAAATTTCTTAGGATCTAATTTCAGGTGGTGCTTATTTGCTGTAAATTTCCAGCAAACTTTCCATGCCAAGGTTATTTATGATGTGAAATGAGAAAAATCAACTTCCTGCAGTTTTGATGCCAAATGTTTCTTTGGAAAGCTACCATGTAATTTCCTCTCTGCTTGAACATTTTGGTTTTTAGGGAGCTGAAAATTGCTTGGAAGGCCTTATATTTGTAATCACAGGCGTGCTGGAGTCTATTGAACGAGATGAGGCCAAGTCTCTAATTGAACGTTATGGGGGAAAAGTAACAGGAAATGTCAGCAAGAAAACAAATTATCTTGTCATGGGTCGTGATAGTGGACAGTCCAAGAGTGATAAGGTGGGTACTGCTTTGTTCTCAACACCATGACACCTCCTGCCTGCCTTGGCACACTCTTGATGTGATTTGCCCTTTACTCAGAGTTAAATGAAGGAAAGAAATAGAAAAGTAATTTCTTGCCTACATTATTTCTTCTCCACAGAAGTGTTATTGGCTCTGACACCAGGATTTTGGTTTTCCAATGGAAGGCATAGTTCCTGTTTACTTGACTTTTTTTTAGTGTATTTAAGTTTAAGTCTTTTTTTATTTTTGAAGATAGAAACAAATGCAGTTTTCTTTTTCTTCCAGTCCGAAGTATTCCTATATATGCCACTGTATACACCATCTTAGGTTTTTTTAAATTGGTGTTTTTAGAAAAAGAATCAGCGGCCTGTTGGGTAGGATTGTGTTTAGCTCCAAACAGCAGAATATCTGATTAACCGTGGATTAAACAGCTGCTAATTTTTCTCACAAGAATTCTGGAGGTATTGCTGGGATAGTTCGGCATCTCAACGATGTGGTTCCTCCATCTGTCCTTATTGTGTTAACTTTTGTCCTCATGCATGTTGCCTTGTGGTTGCAAGGTAGTTGCAGCTCTAGGCATTTAAATTCTTATTCAAGGCAGGAAAAGGGAACAGTGGCAAGTATGTCATAAGAGCTGTGACTGGCCTGACGAGAGTTTTCCCAGAAACATGTCTTATAGAATTTCACATAAGGCTCATTGGCCAGAGCTGTCACCTGGCCACTCAGAGCTGTATGGGAGGTTGGGAAGAACCAAGACGTTTCTGGTTGCCTTGGACCAGTCATCATTCATCACTTGAAGAAGGACACATTGGAGTTCCATCAGCAGGGAAGAAGGTGGGGGAAATGTCTGCCATATGCATTAAATATGGGAGAAGGTATGAAGAGCTGGTCTTAGGCCCTAGTGGCCATTGCCCCTTTCTAGGGGAGGAAAGGTAAAGCAGTCCACAAAAGTAGAAATGGACCACTTCCCATGCCAACCTGCTACTCTTAGGGAATGTATCTGTTATTTTCTTTCTTTTCAATGTTACTTTTTCAATGAATGTGCTATTTTTTGTTTTTCTTTTTTAATTCCAGTGTTATCTTAATTTACGAATGTGGTTTTTCACCTACTAATAGGCCCTAGAATTTTTTTTTTTGTAAGAGAAGGGAATGGTAGGATGCAGGATGCAGTTTTGATGGTTTACATTTTTAATCAACAGGCCGCAGCCTTGGGGACAAAAATTATTGATGAAGATGGCCTGTTGAATCTGATTCGGACTATGCCAGGCAAGAAATCCAAGTATGAAATAGCAGTTGAAACTGAGGTTCGTATAAAATGAATGTGATTTAAGTTGGTGTATATTAACTTTTTAATTTCATAGACATATGTCTTGGGTGGATACAGGCTTGTTGGCTGAAAGATTAACATCCCTGTCTACCACAAATGGACCACCTTAGTTCCTTTTGAGCTGGAAGACTCTGCTTCAAGATGTCTACTTTGTTGTTTTTCCTTATCTTTGTCAGGGAATATGAGTAGAGAAAGGACAGTATATTGCATATAACATATCTACTTATCAAACTTTCCTTATTTTCCATATTACTATTATTACTACTATTTTTTAATTTTTTGAGACAGAGTCTAGCTCTGTCCCTCAGGTCGGAGTGCAGTGGTGTGATCTCGGATCACTGCAACTTCTGCCTCCTGGGTTCAAGCGATTCTCCTGCCTCAGCCTCCTGAGTAGCTGGAACTACAGATACCTGACACCACGCCTGCTAATTTTTATATTTTTAATAGAGACGGAGTTTCACCATGTTGGCCAGGCTGGCCTTGAACTCCTGACCTCAAGTGATTCACCCACTTCAGCGTCCCAAAGTGCTGGGATTATAGGTGTGAGCCACTGTTCCCGGCCATATTCTCACGTTGACTTTATGCAAAGGTTATTGTTTAAGAGTTCCTTAAAGGATATTTTAATAGGTATTAGCATGATAAATTTGTTTTCAATTAGAACTGTATTAGGACTTTTTAAATTGTGCAGACACCTAGCCTGTATTAGCTTTTGCAAAAGGAAAAATGTTGGCTCACATAACTAAACTATGGGCAGGGAGGGTCTGGTCTAGGAACTATTGGATCCACAGACTACAAAGCTGTGAGGACCCCTTCAGTTTCTGTCTCTCTGTTTCTACTAGTTAGCCTCATTCATTCCCACTGTAGACCATCTTTTTTTACACACAGGACACAGGATTGCCAGCATTCCAAGATTTTAATGTCCCCAGCTCTGTCACCCAAATGGCAAGATGGTCCATCCAGGTTATTCCGGTTAGAGAAATCTAGGGAATGATTTCGATTACATAACCATAGCATAGTTATAAAAACCAGGAAATTAACATTGATGCCGTATTGTTAACTAACCTGTACATATTTTTCGAACCTTACATTTTTCCCTGTAGTTCTTCTGTTCCAGGGTCCCACACTGCATTTAGTTGTGTCTTCTTAGTCTTCTCCCGTCGATGACATTTCTTCAGTCTTTCCTTGTCTTCTTACAACCTTGACACTTTTAATGAGTACTGGTCAGTTTTGTGGAATGTCTCTCAGTTTGGATCTGTGATGTTTTCTCATGATTAGGTTGAGGTTATGCCTTTTTTCTAAGAACACCATGGATGTGATCTTGTGTCCTCAGTGCATCCTATCATAGATACAGGATGTCAATAACGTCTTATTATTAGTGAGGATAATCTTGATTATTTGGTTAAGATGATTCAGCATCCCACTGAAACTAGTGCTGGGTTCCTTCACTAGTAAAGTGACTATTTTTTCCTTTGTAATCGATAACTGTCTTGGCAGGAGAAGGAGGTACTTATGCTTATATCCTGTTTGTCCTTAAACATTCATCCACTAATTTTAGCATCCACTGCTAAAGAGGCACTAATTTTTTTAAAAACTGAGATATTACATACTATAAAATCCACCCTTATAAAGTATACAAATCAGTGGTTTTTAGTATATTAACAAGAGTATACAACCATTAGCACTGTGTAATTCCAGAACATTTTCCTCACCCTGAAAAGAAACCCTGTACCTATCAGCAGCCACTCATTCTATCCACCCCGTGGCACTCACTGCTCTGCTCTGTCTCTATGGATTTTCCTATGCTGGACGTTTCACGTGTGTATGGAGACATTAGAATATATGGCCTTTTGTGTCTGGCTTCTTCCACTTAGCATAGTGGTTTCAAGGTTGACCTGGGTTGTAGCATGTATCAGTGCTTCAGTCCTTGTTAGGGGTAAATAATATTTCATTGTGTGGACACATCCTATTTTGTTTCTTTTTCAGTTGATGGACATTTGGATTGTTTCCATCTTTTAGCTATAATGTGGTTATGAACATTTGTGTACAAGTTTTTGTCGAGGCATTAACTTTTAATTAGGAAACTTTGAAACAAAAATCTCAACACTGTACCTTGTTTTTTTCAAACTAAAATTGGAGTACTTATTACTTTTAAAAATCAACGTGTTGTCACTTTTAGAAATTGCATTTGGTGGTTTCTGGTGTGTTTGTTAATTTTTATAGTTTAGAAGGTGGTGATTTCCACAAACAGGAAAGTCTGTTGTGAAAAGACCAGCCCAGGTTGAGTAGCCCACTTGGATATCTCTGATTGCTCTCTGTAGTACGTTTAGCAGGATAGAAATTCTGTATGTTTCATCAGGTTTCTTTTTTCCTCATTTTTCCACTTCTTAAGATGAAGAAAGAGTCCAAACTGGAGAGAACACCCCAAAAAAATGTCCAAGGAAAAAGAAAAATTAGTCCATCTAAAAAGGAATCAGAATCTAAAAAGAGCAGGCCGACTTCCAAAAGGGACAGTTTGGCAAAGACAATAAAAAAGGAAACAGATGTGTTTTGGAAAAGCCTGGATTTCAAGGAGCAGGTGGCTGAGGAGACAAGTGGTGACAGCAAGGCTAGGAATTTGGCTGATGACAGCAGTGAAAACAAAGTGGAAAATTTGCTCTGGGTGGATAAATATAAGCCAACCTCGCTCAAGACCATAATTGGACAGCAAGGTGACCAGAGCTGTGCCAACAAACTCCTACGCTGGCTCCGAAACTGGCAAAAGAGTTCTTCCGAAGATAAAAAACACGGTGATTTTACAACCTCACTCATTTTTGTGTGTGTGTATATCAACATGTGATTGCTCAGTGGCACATATATGAGAAAATCTAACGATTCATTCATCTGTCAGCAAGCATTTATTAAGAGCTTGATCTGAACCCAGGTGCAGTACTAGACCCTGCTGGTGGTGTTGTGAACAAAACAGTCCCTCTCAGGAGCTCACAGGCAGTGGGGGAGGCATATCTGAACCAGCCATTAAAATATATTTGCCAAGTACTGCTAGAGGGGTAAGTCCAGGGTGCTGTGAGGATGAAGATGTGTGGTCAGGGCCAGGGTGTGTGTGCTCCCATCCCAGAGGAAGGGATGGCTAAGCTAAGACTTGGAAACAAAGTAGGAGCTAGCTAGGTGAAGGGAGGGAGAGATGAGTGTTGGGTAGGAAAGAGTATGTGTCCCAAGGTCTGAAGCCATGTGACAGCAAGACCCCTGAGTGGCAAGGGCACTAGGAGGAAAGCTGTGAATAAATAACAGAGGCATGCGTGCAGGGCAGTCAGCCTAAACTCCCAGTAGCAAGCACGATTTGCTGTGGCAGGCCCGATAGGCCTGTGCTTCTGTAGTTTCTGTCCTTGTTTATGATGTATTATTTGTCGTGGAGAGTGAAAAGCTCCAATATGTATTTAATGTCCAAAGTATTTTCTTAACTGAGCTTTGAGATCACAAATGTTTTAGTAGTGTTTTCAACATAGACCAGTGATGACTAGATTGCCAATCATCATTGCCAATGATGCCTGTTTATTTATAAAAATAATATATTGTAATGATACAGGACTAAATTTAAGTTAAATCACTTTTTTCATTCTGAAACTTCATAAAATCTCCCTTAAAAGAGGAGACAGGCATTTCATGTGCCTGGAGAAGACTGTTTTTTTTTTGTTTTGTTTTGTTTTGTTTTGAGACAGAGTCTTGCTCTGTTGCCCAGGCTGGAGTGCAGTGGTGCGATCTTGGCTCACTGCAACCTCTGCTTCCTGGGTTCAGGTGATTCTTCTGTCTCAGCCTCCTGAGCAGCTGAGACTACAGGTGCACACCACCATGCCTGGCTAATTTTTTGTAGTTTTAGTAGAGATGGGATTTCACCATGCTGGCCAGGCTGGTCTTGAACTCCTGACCTTGTGCTCTACCCGCCTTGGCCTCCCCAGGTGCTGAGATTACAGGCGTGAGCCACCGCACCCAGCCAAGAAGACTGTTTTAAAGCTTCGGGTGAACTCTAGTCCCTGTCTTCATGCCCGCTGGCAGTAGGTTGAAAACCATTGTCTCTGTCAGTTATTGAGTATGAGTTGAGCATGATGTATGTGCCAGGTGCTCACGTGGTGAGGGGAGGAAGAGTGCTGTAGTGTTGAGGGGCACAAGGTAGTTGCAGACGCAGCATCTTCAAGTCATTTTTTCTTCTTGTGACCATGTAGCTACTATGCTTGTTAACATTTAGTGAAGCTTGCATGGCTCTGTGCTCAGCCATTCCGTCCTCACAACATCCTTAGCAGCAACTTTACTGTTGTTCTCCTCATCTAACAAAGGAGGAGGCAGGCACAGAGGGGCTAAGTCACTTCTAAAGTACCCACGGCTGGTGAGAGGTGGCATGAGGATGGATGGAGTTGGGATCGAGCCCCGGCAGCGTGCTCCATGGCCTGTGCGTTCACAGGAAAGGAAACTCATACAATTATTATTTCAAATCAAGAGTTTTAAGTGAGTTAGTTTTAGTTTTTTATTTTGGGTGGGGGTGAGGTAGGAAGTAGAATTTCACTGAATGCTCTGGAAACTTGTTTATGCTTTGTAGAAAATAGTCTGCAAATTTAGAACTAAACTGGAGGACAGCTGTCTATGTGAAGTTTAGGCATAACTATTTCTGCCATGCTTGAATTTCTGTTAGGTGATATAGGTTGACACTCTGGAACTTCTTTTTTCCTAGCAGCAAAGTTTGGTAAATTTTCCGGCAAAGATGATGGCTCTAGTTTTAAAGCAGCGTTGCTGTCAGGCCCTCCTGGTGTTGGCAAAACCACCACAGCTTCCCTGGTGTGTCAGGTGGGTGCGTTGTCACAGTGTGGTCGGACAGATAACCTCGAGTGGTCATGGCTAGGAGATAAAAGTGTGTACCCACATCTGTGCGTGTGCATGTGTGTGTGTGGTGTCTATATATAAACTGTGTTTATTTTTCTAAGATAAAACCTTTAGAACCTGTTTTGGTTCTGGCGATGTTTGTAATTTTAATCCTTTTAAAATATTGGTAATTAAAGTAATAAGCAATACTTACCAACGAGCGAGGCAGTGTACTAAGCACGTGGGTGTATTATAGATAACAAAAACATGTATTCTAGACTCTGAAAGATGCAAATATCTTAATGCCTTTGAATAATTCTGTGTACTGAATAATTATCTGTACTGTCATCATCCACATGTGTCAAATGAAATAGGCTTAGGGAGGAGGGTGGAGGCCCAGTTTTCACCCGGTAGCGCGACTCAGGGTTCTGCTCTTCAGCACTGTGTGATCCTGCCTTCGTTCCTATTGTCTCTATTGCTACTGAATCCCTGTAGACAATGGGAGAACTTGACTTGCTTAGGCACTAGAGCAGATCAGAGTTCACGTGTTAGTATCACAGTGATGAAATAAGAGATTAGAAATTTATTGCTGGATTTCTCAATCCTCTGCTGCATAAGCTTGTGGTTTCTTTTGTTTTTTTGTTGTATGCATCTGCATAAAATTTAAATAAAATTTTATCTGTTTCCACTGTGTTTATAAACATTAATGAAAAAGCAAAACAACATTTTTTTCCTAGTCCCTACAGTTGTGAACACAACTCTTTTTCTCTCTTTATTATTATCATTATATTTTTTATGAATTAAGGCATAAGGTAATCAGTTTTGGGAAATGAATCAGAAGAATTTGAATTTTCCTGATTTCAGAGGAAAATAGTTTATTGGGATAGTGTCGTGACAAAGAATGATTTAACTTTATAAATTATCTTAGAGAGGATTACTTTTTGATATCTTATTTTATTTTTTTGTTTTGAGACACAGTTTTACTCTGCCACCCAGGCTGGAGTGTAATGGCACGGTCTCGGTTCACTGCAACTTCTGCCTCCCAGGTTCAAGTGATTCTCATGCCTCACCCTCCAGAGTAGCTGAGACTACAGGAACACGCCACCACGCCCAGCTAATTTTTTGTATTTTTAGTCGAGATGGGGTTTCACCATGTTGGCCAGGCTGGTTTCAAACTCCTGACCTCAATTAATCCATCCACTTTGGACTCCCAAAAGCGCTGGTATTACAGGTGTGAGTCAACGCACCTGGCTGGTATCTTATACTAGATTAATTCTGTGTCTGATAGTGAATTGTTGGGATGATTATGTTTAATCCTTTTTTTAGGACTTTAAGAAGTAAATTTAGTAAAATTGCTTGTTTGAATATACTCTTCCAGATTAGTGATTTGTCAGCTGAAGTTTTAAGACCAAACTTATTTGTGTTTGTATGTGTATGTTATATGTATGTATATGATATTCTAAAAATTTCTAATATTGTAAGGCATACTATAGTTAATCTCATTGTCTGTTAGTATCATACTTTATACTTTACCTATGGGTTTTTATATTAATTTTGTACCTTCTTTCTTTCTTAACTGGCCTTTCTTGGCGGGGGTGGTGGAGTTAATTTGTATTGTGCCTTCAGTGGTTTCCAATATTTTGATTAGGAGTTGGGATACAGCTACGTGGAACTGAATGCAAGTGACACCCGGAGTAAGAGCAGTTTGAAGGCGATTGTTGCTGAGTCACTGAACAATACCAGCATCAAAGGCTTTTATTCAAGTATGTGGCTTTTTGACCTCCTGTTGTTGTTATATAAGAAAAATATGTTCATTTCAATGTTCAGTAACCAGTATTGAACACAGGTTGTGTGCCAAGCACCCTACTAAATTCTGGGGCTAACAAGAGAATAAGAAAGCCGTCTGACATCACTCTTATGGGGCAGTACTTACCCTTTCGTAGGTCTTAGAGGTTTCTAAGAATGTGATAAAAATGTGTACATGCACATATTCGTTTTTCATGATTTTAGAGGATTCACAGGTGAATCCTGTAAAGAGAGAAAGAAAATAAAAAACCATGTGTAATGCAGTGTGACTTATTACCTCATTACCTTATTAACCTCACTCTGCATGTATGTAATAAAGTATGTAATACAGAGTGAGGTAATAAGGCCAGCAGATGAAGAAGTAATTATGCTTGGGGCATTGAGTTAAAGGGGTGATAATTGTTTTGAAAGACCTCAAAGAATGAGAAAGAAAACTATTTGGAGGTGGAAGAGGTCACTGCAGGCAAAGGTAGTAAAAGAGAAGACAGTGTGCAAATGCCCACTGTGTTTCAGGTTGTAGCTAGTGGTCCTCTATGGCCAGAGTTCATGGAAAATAAGATGCTCAAGTTAAGGACCGCACAGTGCCTATTTAGAGTCTATGGTGTGTTGTTTTGTCACCTGAATTCTTGGTGCCTTCACATTGTTCAAAATAATTTGCTCAGGAAATGTCACTCTTAGACGTGGCTGGTGGGAGGGTAGATTGGTACAACTCTGGAGAGAGTCCAGCAATATTTCTCAAATTACACATACCGTCTAGCCCAGAAATTCCAATTGCTGGAATTTAGCTATTATTTTATATGTGCAAAGTGGCATATATATGCCATATAGATAAGGATAGTCATTTAGTATGACATAATAGAAAAAAGCTTGGAAGCATCCTATATATTTCATTAATGGTGATTAAGTAAAGTGTGTGATACAAGTGTAGAATGGAGTATTAAATTGCCTTAAAAAATGAAGTGTTCTGTATCTGTAAGATAAAGAATGAATCACCAAAATACATAAAATGACAAAACTGGCTGGGCATGTTGGCTCACGCCTGTAATCCCAGCACTTTGGGAGGCTGAGGCGGACAGATCACCTGAGGTCAGGAGTTTGAGACCAGCCTGGTCAACATGGTGAAACACCGTCTCTACTAAAAATACAAAAATTAGCTGGGTGTGGTGGCGTGCGCCTGTAATCTCAGCTACTTGGGAGGCTGAGGCAAAAGAATTGCTTGAACCCGGGAGGCGGAGGTTGCAGTGAGCCAATATCGTGCCATTGCACTCCAGCTTGGGCAACGAGTGAAACTCTGTCTCAAAAAAAAAAAAATTCAAAACTCAGTTGTATATTTTTATGCACATATGTGTACAATATCTCTTAAAGGACATATAAGAGACTGTTGTTTGCCTCTGGGAAGGGAATTGGGGTCTGCAGGGGAAGGGGTGGCAGGGAGAGTTTCTCTTCTCTGCATATTCTTTTTTTTTTTTTTTCTTTAACAACACTCTGTAGTCCAGTGCTGCATATTCTTGTAGCTTTTGAAGTTTAATATCTGTTACATAATTTTCTACAGAGCAGCAGTTTTTGAGCAATTGTTATTTTGTTTTTGTCTCATCCCATTGCTCCTCAACCTGGGTCAGATGGAGCAGCCTCTTCAGTAAGCACGAAACATGCTCTCATCATGGATGAAGTAGATGGCATGGCAGGCAATGAGGATAGGGGAGGAATTCAGGTAATTCAAGTGCTGTATTTTTGCAGTTTCACTGTTGATAATTTAGATTGTTAGAACATTGTCATTCTCTCATACTTAGGGCAGTTAAGGCATGTTGCTGAGGAGATTTTTAGAACCTAAAATAGCTTGTGTGGTATTTGTCATTTTTAAAATAATTATTTTTGTGTTGCAAACTTGCCTTTCAGGAATTAATTGGCCTGATAAAACATACTAAAATTCCCATTATTTGTATGTGCAATGATAGAAATCATCCCAAGATTCGCTCTCTGGTTCATTATTGTTTTGATCTTCGTTTTCAAAGACCTCGGGTTGAACAGATTAAGGTATGATGATTGAAATTTTTTTTCCATCACACTAGCCTATTTATTTAAGGGTCAATTTTTAAAAGTACCTGATAAATATTTTTAAAATACCTGATTATATGAGTTAAAAATCATTGAGGACTCCTCCCTTGTCAATTTCAGGGTGCTATGATGTCTATTGCATTTAAAGAAGGTTTAAAGATTCCCCCTCCAGCTATGAATGAAATAATTTTGGGAGCCAATCAAGATATCAGACAGGTAAATTAAATATATATCATGTAACAGTTGTTGATTATTTTTAACTAATGCTTTCAACCTTGTAGGGATGGGGAGCAACAGGATTTTCCTATCTTGACGTTGTCTTATTTGTGATTCTTTTAGGTTTTACATAATCTGAGTATGTGGTGTGCACGAAGTAAAGCATTAACCTATGACCAGGCCAAAGCTGATTCTCACAGAGCCAAAAAGGATATCAAAATGGTAAAATAAATGTCCATGTCTTAGTTACTTTCCTAAGCCAAAACACTTCTTGTTCTGTAGGTAGCTTGATAGAAGTAGTTATTATAGTTCCTTGGTATGCCTGTGGAATCCAGGGATATATAGTAGGAAGTATAGACAGCTGCTGAAAGTGTTTCTAATTCAAATGATTTTTTTCTCAAAGATTGTCAATGTCAATTATAAATTTTGAGAAAGGGATAAATTTTAAATTATACTTATGCTTCAACAATTATAAAATGGCTTTTCCAGAGTTCTTTATGTTTGGCTTTCGTGTTTGGAATGGTTTTGCACTGTTCAGAATAATCCATGTCAAATGGTTTAGTTTAATGACCTCTCTGAAACTAGAGGTATGTATCAGTTTCCTCTGTGTTGTATTTTACCTAGTTGCTAATCAGAATTTATAGTTAGAGCAATGATTAAGCAGGTTCTAAAAAAGTTAATACACTTTCTTATTTATTTAAATTTTCAAAATTTTTGGTAGAGACAGGGTCTCGCTATGTTTCCCCGACTGGTCTTGAATTCCTGGCCTCAAGTGATCCTCCTGCTGTGGCCCCCAAGGTGCCGGGATTATAGGTGTGAGCCACCACGTCTGGCCTATACGCTTTATTTTTTAGAGCAGTTGAGGCTCAGGAGTTTGAGACCAGCCTGGCCAACATGGTGATCCATGCCTGGCCTATGGATTAAAAATGGAGTGGAAGGTACAGAGAGTTCTCACATACTTCATGTCCCCCTCACACGCACAGCCTCTCCCACTGCCAACATCCCCCACCACAGTGGTATATCTGTTACAATCGATGAACCTACAGTGATACCTCATTATCACCCAGAGTCCGTAGTTGACATTAGCATTCCCTCTTGGTGTTGTACGTTGTGTGGTTTTGACAAATGACATGTATTCACCATTGTAGTATCATACAGAATAGTTTCACTGTCCTGAACATCCTCTGTGCTCTACCTGTTCATTCTTCCTTTCCGCTTTCCTCCCTACAACCCCTGGCAGCCACTGATCCTTTCACTGTGTCCATAGTTTTGCCTTTTCCAGAATGTGGTATAGTTGGAATCATGTAGTATGTGGACTTTTCCAGTTGGCTTTTTTCACGTAGTAATGGCATATAAGGTTCTTCCATAACTTTTTTGTTTTTGTTTTTGTTTTTTTTGGTTTTTTTTTTTTCGGAGTCTTGCTTTGTCACCCAGGCTGGAGTACAGTGGTGTGATCTTGGCACACTGTAGCCTCTGCCTCCCGGGTTCATGTGATTCTCTTGCCTCAGGCTTCTGAGTAGCTCGGGTTACAGGCACCTGCCACCACACCTGGCCAATTTTTTATTTTTAGTAGAGACGAGGTTTTACTATGTTGGCCAGGCTGGTCTCGAACTCCTGACCTCAAGTGATCCGCCCACCTCAGCCTCCC
The DNA here is from genome assembly GCF_000001405.40 of Homo sapiens. Lineage (NCBI taxonomy): Eukaryota > Metazoa > Chordata > Mammalia > Primates > Hominidae > Homo > Homo sapiens. The sequence continues at coordinate 39,300,851 of NC_000004.12, read as the reverse complement.
AAAGTGCTCGGATTACAGGGGTGAGCCACCATGCCCTGCCCCCCCATGTCTTTTCATGGCTTGATAGCTCACTTCTTTTTAATGTTGAATAATATTACATTGTGTGAATGTACCACAGTTAAATTGTTTATTTACCTACTAAAAGGACATCTTGGTTGCTTACAACTTTTGGTAATTATAAATAAAACTGCTTGTAAACATCCTGTGCAGATTTTTGTGTGAACATAGTTTCATTTGGGTGAATACCAAGAAGCGTGGTTGCTGGATCGCGTGGTAAGAGTATGTTTAATTTTGTAAGAAACTACCAAACGGTACAGTTTTGCATTCCCACCAGCAATGAATGGAATTCCTCTTGTTCCATATCCTCGTTAGCATTTGGTGATGTTACCGTTTTGAATTTTGGCCATTCTAATAGGTGTGTCCCTCTCTTTTTTCAGGGCCCATTTGATGTTGCCCGGAAAGTGTTTGCAGCTGGAGAGGAGACTGCTCACATGTCACTTGTGGACAAGTCAGATCTCTTTTTTCATGATTATTCAATAGCACCCCTCTTCGTCCAGGAAAATTACATACACGTGAAGCCTGTAGCAGCAGGGTGAGTGTCCAGAGCTGGTGAGAGGTGTGCTTAGTATCCAGCACTGCGAAGGCTAAATACCCGTGAAGAAGGGACCTGGGGTGTGGAGAGTGGGATAATCCAGACTGGTTCTTTCCTGCAGGGGTGACATGAAAAAGCACCTGATGCTTTTAAGCAGAGCAGCAGACAGCATATGCGATGGTGACCTAGTGGACAGCCAGATCCGGAGTAAGCAAAACTGGAGTCTTCTGCCTGCGCAGGTGAGCAGAGGGCTCTCCCTAACATGCAGGCTCTGCTTTTACTAAGAGAACTAAATAGCTTTTAGCTGCTGTACTTATTTTATTTTATTTTGTTTACTTTATTTTTGAGATCGAGTCTCGCTCTGTTGCCCGGGCTGGAGTGTAGTGGTATGATCTCGGCTCACTGGAGCCTCTGCCTCCCGGGTTCAAGAGATTCTCCTGCCTCAGCCTCCTGAGTAGCTGGGACTACAGGTGCCCGCCACCATACCCAGCTAATCCTGTAGTTATTTTAAATACCAGATAAATGTTATGGCTCTTGTGGCAAAAATATAGTCTGTTACAGATTATAATACTCTGTGGTAACTATCGTCTGTTTCCTAATCTGGCCTTATTTTTCTTTTTTCTTTCTTTCTTTTTTTTTTTTTTTTTTTGAGACAGTGTTGCTGTGTTGCCCAGGCTGGAGTGCCGTGGCGTGATCTTGGCTCACTGCAAGCTCCGCCTCCTGGGTTCATGCCATTCTCCTGCCTCAGATTCCTGGGTAGCTGGGACTACAGGCGCCCGTCACCACGCCCAGCTAATTTTTTGTATTTTTAGTAGCGACAGGGTTTCACTGTGTTTGCCGAGACCAGCTCAGTCGGGGAGACCCTAACCCAGCGGCACTAGAGGAATTAAAGACACACACACGGAAATACAGAGGTGTGAAGTGGGAAATCAGGGGTCTCACAGCCTTCAGAGCTGAGAGCCTCGAACAGAGATTTACCCGTGTATTTATTAACAGCAAGCCAGTCATTAGCATTGTTTCTATAGATATTAAATTAACTGAAAGTATCCCTTATGGGAAATGAAGGGATGGGCCGAATTAAAGGAATAGGTTGGGCTAGTTAACTGTAGCAGGAGCATGTTCTTAAGGCACAGATCGCTCATGCTATTGTTTGTGGTTTAAGAATGCCTTTAAGCGGTTTTCTGCCCTGGGCGGGCCAGGTGTTCCTTGCCCTCATTCCCGTAAACCCACAACCTTCCAGTGTGGGCGTTAGGGCCATCATGAACATGTCACAGTGCTGCAGAGATTTTGTTTATGGCCAGATTTTGGGGGGCCTGTTCCCAACAGTGTTGGCCAGGATGGTCTTAATCTCCTGACCTCGTGATCCGCCCGCCTTGGCCTTCCAAAGTGCTGGGATTACAGGCATGAGCCACTGCGCCCGGCCCAATCTGGCCTTATTTTTCTATATTTCAAAAAATTTTTAATGTAAATGGACACATAGAAATAGGAATGTTAGATTTTGGTTGTAAGATGTGAATCAAAAGTTTCATTTGCTGTGTTTTACCTTAAGAATCCTTGTTTTTTTATTTTTGGTCATTCTTGGCTCTCCCAGGTGGTCACTGAGTAGCGGCTTCTAGAAGCAGTGCAGCTAGGGCAGGCCAGCAGCCATGTCTCTGATGCATTCATTCGGATTTTCTTCCTTGCTAAAAAGGCAGTTTTATATTGGGTACTGTATTTAGGTTGAGATCTTTAACTCGAAACAGAATTTGATAGACATTTGTAATTAAGAGAGTTATTCGTTCTTTTTGACTTTTGTATAGTTATACAGGATTATTGGCCTGAGTAATAAAATAAGTAAGACGCTTCCAGAAAGCCTAATGCTTCTCTTGATTCCACTCACACATTGCTTGAAAACAAGAAACAAAATTTCATTCTGGAGATACAGAATTTTTTTTTTTTTTTTTTTTTTTTTTGAGACAAGGTCTCACTCTGTCAGGCAGTCTGGAATGCAATGGTGTGATCATGGCTCACTGCAGCCTTGCCCTCCTGGGCTCAAGTGATCCTCCCGCCTCAGCCCTGCAAGTAGCTGGGACCATAGGTGTGCGCCATCATGCCAGCTAATTTTTGTATTCGTTGTAGAGACGGGGTTTCGCCATGTTGGCCAGGCTGGTCTTGAACTCCTGGGTGCAAGCTGTCTGCCCATCTCCCAAAGTGCTGGGGTTACTGGCATGAGCCACTGCACCTGGCCCAGAATCTTTTCTTTTACATTTTATGTGTTTTGTTTTGTTTACTTAATAATTGTAGCTTAAAGGCATAATGTTTTAACACAGGAAAAGCTTAATGTACAAAAATACTTCCTAAAGTGTTCTGATAACAAAAAGTTGGAGAAAATCTCCATGTCTAGCAGTAGGAGAATAATTATGATGAATCCTCTTGAAGAAGTATTTATAGCCTTTAAAACTATTTGCAAAGATTATCTAATATGAAAAAGTGCTTGTGAGGGAATTACTAGAGTAAAGCAGCATACAAAATTTATGTAAACTATAATTCCAGCCTTTAAGAAAGTGAAGTGCTCGCTTCGGCAGCACATATACTAAAATTGGAACGATACAGAGAAGATTAGCATGGCCCCTGTGCAAGGATGACACGCAAATTCGTGAAGCGTTCCATATTTTTATGGAACAGAACAGAGCCCTCAGAAATAACGCCGCATACCTACAACTGTCTGATCTTTGACAAACCTGAGAAAAACAAGAAATGGGGAAAGGATTCCCTATTTAATAAATGGTGCTGGGAAAACTGGCTAGCCATATGTAGAAAGCTGAAACTGGATCCCTTCCTTACACCTTATACAAAAATCAATTCAAGATGGATTAAAGATTTAAACGTTAGACCTAAAACCATAAAAACCCTAGAAGAAAACCTAGGCATTACCATTCAGGACATAGGCATGGGCAAGGACTTCATGTCCAAAACACCAAAAGCAATGGCAACAAAAGCCAAAATTGACAAATGGGATCTAATTAAACTAAAGAGCTTCTGCACAGCAAAAGAAACTACCATCAGAGTGAACAGGCAACCTACAAAATGGGAGAAAATTTTCGCAACCTACTCATCTGACAAAGGGCTAATATCCAGAATCTACAATGAACTCAACCAAATTTACAAGAAAAAAACAAACAACCCCATCAAAAAGTGGGCGAAGGACATGAACAGACACTTCTCAAAAGAAGACATTTATGCAGCCAAAAAACACATGAAAAAATGCTAATCATCACTGGCCATCAGAGAAATGCAAATCAAAACCACAATGAGATACCATCTCACACCAGTTAGAATGGCAATCATTAAAAAGTCAGGAAACGACAGGTGCTGGAGAGGATGTGGAGAAATAGGAACACTTTTACATTGTTGGTGGGACTGTAAACTAGTTCAACCATTGTGGAAGTCAGTGTGGCGATTCCTCAGGGATCTAGAACTAGAAATACCATTTGACCCAGCCATCCCATTACTGGGTATATACCCAAATGACTATAAATCATGCTGCTATAAAGACACATGCACATGTATGTTTATTGCAGCATTATTCACAATAGCAAAGACTTGGAACCAACCCAAATGTCCAACAATGATAGACTGGATTAAGAAAATGTGGCACATATATACCATGGAATACTATGCAGCCATCAAAAATGATGAGTTCATGTCCTTTGTAGGGACATGGATGAAATTGGAAATCATCATTCTCAGTAAACTATTGCAAGAACAAAAAACCAAACACCACATATTCTCACTCATAGGTGGGAATTGAACAATGAGATCACATGGACACAGGAAGGGGAATATCACACTCTGGGGACTGTGGTGGGGTGGGGGGAGGGGGGAGGGATAGCATTGGGAGATATACCTAATGCTAGATGACGAGTTAGTGGGTGCAGCGCACCAGCATGGCACATGTATACATATGTAACTAACCTGCACAATGTGCACATGTACCCTAAAACTTAAAGTATAATAAAAAAAAAAAAAAGAAAAAAAAAAAGAAAGTGAAAACCCTGGACATAGAAGACATCTAAGGTTACATTTTTAAAAAACTTTTCTCAAATGCCAGTTTAATTGACCGTAATCATTAGTCTTTCTATGCTTTAATCTACCTATGTTGTCAGTCATTTATGTTAAAGACCATCATATCCCTCTTAAGTAATTATTTGCTGTGACGTTGGCATCGGTGAGGTAACCGGTATGTTGAGATTAGTTGCTTGAGGAGGCTGAGTTGGCGACATGATCTCCCTGAGGGCCATAACATGTTGGATCAAGGTGTGTACCGCAATCTGTTGTTTTCTCTGGGAGAAGTTTCCTGTACCAGCAGATCAGAGTTATAGAAAGGGTCTGACTGCCCTGTAGGTAGGTATTTGGTACAGTGTTGCTTTATCTTCCGTAGACTGTTTGGAAGCCAATGACTATTAAGGAAGTAACTTTGTACGGAACATAAATTCTGGACTGCAATTGATTTTTTTTCAGGCCATTTATGCCAGTGTTCTTCCTGGAGAGTTGATGAGGGGGTACATGACCCAGTTTCCCACCTTCCCAAGCTGGCTGGGGAAGCACTCGTCTACAGGCAAACATGATCGTATTGTTCAGGACCTGGCCTTGCATATGAGTCTCAGGTAGGTGGGATTACTCTGTTTCGGGTATTTTATCGATTTGGTGTATTTGGCCTTTATCCAGTAATGATCATGTGAGTCAAAAGATTTGTGTTTTAGTTTTTATTTTATTGGTAACTAGATGAATGATCCTGGATAAGTTCCTTATATTTTATGGGCCTGAGTTTTATCATCTGTAATCAGTATAACACTTGTTTTGCCACTTAAAAGGATACTTTGGACAATAAAATGGTAGATGTCATAATTTAAAATTTTAAAGACTGCGTAAGTCTGAGGTGGCACTGTTACTGTTATTGTTATTATGCCTATTAGTGGGAATAGCTTCGCAGCTTCAGAATAATTAATAGGAAAATAATTGAACTATTTAAAGAAATGAACTATTTTTTACCAATTTACTCTAGTAGTAAACTGACCTAGTCATTTGGGATAGGAAATAACAGTTTAGCATGTAACAGGAGGAGGCTGCTCAGATCATTGAAAATGAATGTGCTTGGAAAAGTTTAAGGAAGTTCAAAAATACTTGCATTTGGTACAGTTTTGTTGAACTTTAGAAACTTGGAAAATGTGCATAAATATTAAGTACACTTTATGGATTCTTCTTTTTATTCTTTTTTAAGACAAGGTCACACTCTGTCACCCAGGCTGGAATGCAGTGATGCGATCTCTGCTCACTGCATCCTCCACCTCCGGGTTTAAGTGATTCTCCCACCTCAGCCTCCTGAGTAGCTGGGATTATAGGCGCACGCCACCGTGTCCGGCTAATTTTTGTATTTTTTGGTAGATATGGGGTTTCATCGTGTTGCCCAAGCTGGTCTTGAACTCCTGTCCTCAAGTAATCTGCCTGCCTTGGCCTCCCAAAGTGTTGAGATTACAGGCGTGAGCCGCCATGCCTGGCCTATGGATTCATTTTTCTTTTTTTTCTTTTCTTTTCTTTTTTTTTTTTTATTGAGACAGAGTGTCACTGCGTCGCCCAGGCTGGAGTGCAGTGGTGTGATCTTGGCTCACTGCAAGCTCCACCTCTGAGGTTCAAGCAATTCTTCTGCCTCAGCCTCTTGAGTAGTTGGGACTAAGGTGCATGCCACCACACCTGGCTAATTTTTGTATTTTTTAGTAGAGACGGTTTCACCATATTGGTCAGGCTGGTCTCGAACTCCTGACCTCAGGTGGTCCACCCTCCTTGGCCTCCGAAAGTGCTGGGATTACAGGCGTGAGCCACACGCCCGGCCCCTGGATTCATTTTTAACCATGAACTACTTGAGTGATCTTAATTTGCCATCTGGTCCCTGGAAGGAATATTAATATTTGATCCCCCATTCCACTTTTAAGTTTTGGTTAGAGCTGACCTGAGCTAGTTCCTTTTTTCTGTTCCTGTAAAATTCTATTTTATTATCTTGTTCTCTTTCTAACCTATGGCATGAGTCTTTTGTGCTACCCATGTATTAGTTTTCTGTTGCTGTTGTAAGAAATTACAACACACATAATGGCTTAAAACAACACAAATTTATCAAGATCTTAGAAGGCATCAACCCTCAGTCCTGATCTTGAGCTGGGAAGATTTTCCTGGATTATCTGTGCAGTTATCACAAGGGTCTTCATAAAGGGAGTCAGTAGTGTCAGAGTCAGAAAGGTCTGAGGATGCTACGCCAGGCCTTGAGAAGAGAGACAGGGACCATCAGCCAAGACATGCAGGTGGCCTCCAGAAGCTGGAAAGTCTGCTTTCCCCATGGCTCTTCTCATTGGCAAGGCTGCGGCTGCCTCTTGCTGTTTTCCTGCTCCTTACCTGGCGTTTTTAAAGGTCATGGGTTGCTCTGCCCTAGGGTAGCCCTCTCAGATGCTCCCGCTAGACTCCATGTAGATTTTGAGCCCTGGACTTCCGGGTTGTTTTATGGCTATTCTTCACTGTCCTCTTCCCTCATTAGACCAAACATTTTTGGGGGTGGGAACTGCGGCCTCCTCATCTAGTAGTTGGGTCATATTTAGGCCATTATTATCAGCAAAGACATTTATAGTGAATTCATAATTTTTAAAGTAAATTAAGACCTCCCTACTTTTTAACCCTGATCAAGTCACTGAACTTTTTGTAGGTCCGTTTCTCTTCTTTAAAAAATGGAAGAGTGATCTTATTGGTTTGTAACCTTTTTGGGAGTCATAGATGCTTTTGAGAATCTGAATGCTTTGATTTTTATTCCCCTGACAATGCACAGATCCACAAAGAAAACACTTTTAGGGGAATTACAGATTCCTGAGGTTAAGAACCCTTGGTTTAGGTGCACTAAATGGCATCTTTGACTTTTCTATGAGTCTATTAGAAGATGATGATACTGTAAAACATTGTAGAACAGTTTTGGAAATGGTTTCATGATTTCTGGGGGTACTGTGGCTTAGGGACTCACACTGCTTCCTTTAAGTACTAGCGTGCTTAATTATGGAAGACAATCTAGAGGAAATGGATGAAATTAAACTAGGAGAGTTTTAAAAACTCTTTGTCTAGGTAATAGTTGCGAGGGTGAGTCTAGATTTCTGATCAGGAAAAAAGCTGTGGCTTCTTATGGTTCACACATTCAGTTCCTTGAAGGCAGGAGCAGGACCCATAGACAATTTGTAAAGAATCATTTCTTTTTGCTTCTGATGCTGGTTCTGATAACAACAACTTTTGAAGTTTTACGTATACAGGCTGGGTGCGGTGGCTCACGTCTGTAATCCCACCACTTTGGGAGGCCAAGGCGGGTGGATCACCTGTTAGGAGTTTGAGACCAGCCTGGGCAAGATGGTGAAACCCTGTCTCTACTAAAAATACAAAAAAAAAAATTAGCCGGGTGTGGTGGCGGGTGCCTGTAATCCCAGCTACTTGGGAGGCTAAGTCAGGAGAACCTCCTGAACCCGGGAGGTGGAGGTTGCAGTGAGCCAAGACTGCACCACTGCACACCAGCCTGGGCAACAAGAGTGAGGCTTCGTCTTTAAATAAATAAATAAATAAATAAATAAATAAATAAATAAATAATGTATACATATAAATGCCTGGTTTGAAGATAGAGGCAGCTGGGTTGGAAAGATTTAGGATGGTGGCATTTGAAATATTGTTTTGTTCAGTTGCTTTCTGTCTTTAAGAAGTGACAACATTTAAGAGAGAAAGAAAGAGTCATTTTATGATAACATTCGAGTTCTCAGCAGACCAGAGACTGTTTCCCTAAACCTTCCTCTGGCCACTGTGGATCACTTTTTGATTTTGTGGGAACACTCTGTAATTTTCTTAGATTTGGAGAAAAGCCGGCTCTAGAACTGACGATTTCAGAGTAACAGTATTAGGAAATGTGAGGGAAGCATTCATATATGATTTTGTGTGTTATAATCAGGGACCAAAAGGTGTTATACACATTCACACACTTGAGATAGGGAATTTCATTGCCTTATACTGATGCTTTTAATATTTTGGAACTTGGAACGAGTCATATTTATGAACACAAAGAAACATTCTGTTGCCTGGGCCTTAAGAGTAGGGTGGAAGTAGAATCCACGTATGTTTTTCAGTCACTGATGTAGGTAAGTAGAAAATTTCCTTTGGGCACATTGATGTGTACCCATTACCCTCATGCTGTGGTGCTGGGCTTTCTAAACTACACCAGCTGGCTGTCAAATAGTAGGCATTCCATTCAGCATTATTGAAATTGGATTGAACTCTGCCTGATTAACTCAGTGCTGTTATGCACAGTATGACTTGAGTTGATACTTTGCTGTTGACTATGTCTCTTTTGTTGTGGTTTCAGAACTTACTCCAGCAAAAGGACTGTAAACATGGATTATCTGTCGCTTCTAAGGGATGCACTTGTACAGCCCTTGACCTCACAAGGAGTAGACGGAGTACAGGATGTTGTTGCACTTATGGACACATATTATTTGATGAAAGAAGACTTTGAGAATATCATGGAAATCAGCAGCTGGGGTGGCAAACCTAGTCCCTTTTCAAAGCTGGATCCCAAGGTAAATCATGTCACTCACTGGTTCTTCGTCACTTTCTATTACCAGGTTTGTACTGACAATACTTCGGAGGTGTTTTAGATGCTTTAAGATTTACTTCTTTTTCCCCTCAAATGCTTGTTGCTTCTTATGGCCTATATTTTCCAAAGATACTATTTGAATGCAGTATTAAGAGTAGACTTCTGGGCTTGACTTTACAATTTGTATTTTTATCTTTGCTTTATGCTCAGTGGAAAAGCAAGAAGTGAAATTTGAGGAGCAAATATAAATATATTCTTTATAAAGGATGAGTGGATGAGTCTAGGGAATTAAAAGTTGAGCGGTGAGCTCTGGTGGTAATGGGTTGTAAAAATAAAATATGTTTATTGGCTGAGGATTTGTACAAATTTTCTTTTTCTTAGTCTACCTAATCTGTGGATTCAGTATTTATTCCAGTTGGATAATCTTCTCTGTAATAATGTATCCCCACTTTTCTTATAATGAGACGAAAAAAACTAAAGTGATACATCATGAATATGTAACATCCAATACCCAACTCTTGCACCTGTGTAATGAATGCGTTTTAGAAGACATATTCTCTGTAGTTTGCCCTCCCCAGAATTTTGACCCGACTTTATGGTTATCAGTAAATTCTCACAGCAGACATCCATTGTTAGAATTCATGGACTAATTCAGGAATTATGTTTAGAAGCTTGAAGGTAAGACTTTCAAGTTACTTAGTATTTTGAAGTAACTACTCTTATTATGGAAAAGGTATCTAGTGTTTTGTGGAAATTAAAGGCCAACTTATATCTTGTGATGAGCTCCCCCAACCTTTTTTTTTTTTTTTGAGACAGTCTAGCTCTGTTGCCCAGGCTGAAGGGCAGTGGTGCGATCTCGGCTCACTGCAACCTCTGCCTCCCGGGTTCAAGCCATTCTCATGCCTCAGCCTCCCAAGTAGCTGGGATTACAGGTGCACTCCATCACGCCTGGCTAAGTTTTGTATTTTTAGTAGAAATGGGGTTTCCCTATGTTGGCCAGGCTGGTCTCAAACTCCTGGCCTCATGTGAACTGCCTGCTTTGGCCTCCCAAAGTGCTGGGATTACAGGCGTGAGCCACCACACCCAGCCGAGCCCCTTTTTGATTTACTGATTCACTGATTAACTTTGCTTACTACTTTGTAGAAATGTGGAGAATGCTGAATAGGTAAACATGATGACTTGAAGTGACCTTTTGTTTGTTTGTTTGCCTAAAGTTCCCAAATATATATATACGTATTTTTTTTTTTTTTAGACAGAATCTCACTCTGTTACCCAGCCTGGAGTGCAGTGGCGCAATCTCAGCTCACTGCAACCTCCACCTCCTGGGTTCAAGATTCTCATGGAGAAGCATGAGCCACTGTGCCCCACCTTCAGTCTTTTTTGTCATGGGCTCTATTAAGAATGTTATGAAAAATATGGAACTTATCCACAGAAAAATGCACGTACTTAGATTTACATGTATATACATAAATACTTTGCAAACAGTTGCAGGGGGCTCCCAGGGTCTCTTTAGGCTTACAGAGTTTAAAAGAATTGTTTGGGACTTAGATTTTTAAAAACTCCATCTACTCCTTTCATATAGGTGAAAGCAGCCTTCACAAGAGCTTACAATAAGGAAGCCCACCTTACTCCATACTCACTTCAAGCTATAAAGGCATCTAGACACAGCACAAGCCCATCCCTGGATTCGGAATACAATGAAGAATTAAATGAAGATGACTCTCAATCTGATGAGAAAGACCAAGATGCTATAGAAACTGATGCCATGATCAAGGTAGTATTTTAAGCCACAGACAGGAGAACCTCAAAATAGATGATCTTTCCTTGCCTGGTGAATAATAGGGCCTTTTCAGCACATAGCAGAATAACTTGAAAATACTTCTTAAGTTTTTTTGTTCATCATGGTTGAGGGTGGAGAAGGTAGAGATTTCATTTTTATAAAGTTTCTTATGGTAGTCGAAGAGCCAAACAGCAAGAAAACAGGCCATGATATTGACGGCCATATGTTCTGTTAGAAAAAGTACCATTTTTATTTATCTAGCCATTGGTGTATGCTTTCAAGAAAAATGTTTGTAACAAAACAGTTTCTTCTGTTGCTTATGTTTTGCTATAGCCACTAAACTGCTTTGTAGAAGTTTCTTAGAGCAAAACATTCTTGTCTTTTGATGGGAAATATGAAAACCAATTGTGGTATCAGCCTGCTGTGTACAGCTGGCTGAGCCAAGGAACCTCATCTGATCCTCCTCTGTCCTTCGCTGGGTGTGGGTGCTTCTTGCCCTTCATTTCTGTTTTCTGTATGCAGGAGTAGGAATAGTGGCCTTCTTCACTGTGGCTCCCATGTCGACCCTAACAGGTGGTCTTCCTCTCTCCCTCTCTTCTGCTTTCACAAAATGACTGTTTACACCTCTAATCTGAAACTGAAAGAAGAGGAAATTCTTCATCTAAACATTACCCTATTTGTCAATTACCTCTTGCTTATTTTGTCTTTCCTAAGTATACCTCTGTTCTAAATCCAAGAAACTGTCTTACATGGGGAACGGATCCTAGTTCTAAATTCTAAACTAAAAGTTTTTACTGCCAGCTTTTAAAGGCTGTAAGTGGCGCAGTTGTTGCTGTAAGCGCTTCATGGGTTGCAGTAGTTCAAGATCTCGATGTTTGCAGCCTCTCTTCTTTTTTAATTAAGTTGCAGGTAAAGATTAGATTTGTTATAGAGATGAACTTATTTCATTTACTCATAAACACAGCTATTAACTATTTTGTTATCTTCCCCCTAACAGAAAAAGACAAAATCTTCAAAGCCTTCAAAACCAGAAAAAGATAAGGAGCCCAGAAAAGGAAAAGGAAAAAGTTCGAAGAAATGAAACCATTTTTCACTAGCGACAGCCACTTTTTACTCTCCCTCCTGACCAGTCCAGCTGGTCTAGAGAAAGCCTTGTTTTTTCCCAGAGCAACCATGTTTTAGCATAATGGGATGACCTGGTGTCCCATTATAAATAAAGGGTGGTATGGCTAGAAGGGTATGAGCAGTAGGCTTATGTACACCTCTTATAGAGGTTGATAGGACTGCTTGGGTCCTCCACTGTCCTCTGTCAATCTAGTTAGACGTGCTTCTGAATGACTGTAGAATTGGAACTAGAAACTACACCTGGGCTTTGGAGTCAGATTTTAGTTAACAATAATGAGCCTGGGAGCAGTAGTACTAAGGCGTCTTTTGTAGGCTTAAGAATTTATCCTAATGGCCTTTATAGGACCAATGCTGATTTTTTTTAAAGGCAGTTCCTATTATGTGGTGAAATTTTGTAAATAAATGATTATACAAAACAGTCACCACCTAGAACTGGGTATTCTTTGTACATTGTCAGATATCTTTCAAAGTATAAATTAGGAATAAAAATGTTCCACATGATATGTGTACAAATTCTTTTTAAGATTGTCATCTTGTACAGCAAAATATTATGTTGGTATATTACTTCCTTATTAATTTGCAAATGATTGGATTAAAAAAGCTCACTGTATTCCTTACTAACCTGTTGTGTGAAACATAACATTGGCAGTCGAGGAGTCAGAACTCGGATTCCCAGCCTCACTCCCTCTGTGTGTGTTGACCACGTCTCTGCTGTGAATAGGATTTCATGCAGTGGTCTGTTATGGGGCTTTGCAGCGTGGGGGGCTGCAGAAGATTCTCAGACATTCTTATCCTTCTGGAGTCTCAACCCATCAGGTTCAGACCAGTAGGAACCAGGCTGGGTCAGGCTCTTAATTTCACTATGGTGGGGGACAAAATGAACACTGGCTTTTGTTCACTTTGCCCCTGAGAGATCTAGTCCTGTCCTGTGATGGCTTCCACAAACCCTGTTGGAAGTTTGGGTTATTCCTATAACTGTATGTGTTGAGTGGCCGTGAGGCTATGGACCTAGCCTGGAATTTAGATGTCTAGCTATTTTTTAATCTTGTTGGTAAATGCTCAGAGGTCTGTGCTACCTCTGTGAGGTATATACTAAAATGAATGTAAAATAAGGATCGTATTCCCTGCTTTAAGGAACTGGTAGTCTTGTTTGGGTGATGAGACAAAGTTCTTGAGACATTTAAACTGTATTTACCAGTGTGAAAAATGTCATTTATGGAGATTAATTCATTATGGAAATAAAACATTGCCTAAGCCCTTGCCTGCTGAGTCACGACCCTGTCTTTGTTAAAGTCCATCTTGAAATTCTTATGCTTCAGGAAAGGTTTTCTCACCAGTAGGGTGAGGCTGGCTTTCCTATTCATGTTCTTCCATTTCTATGCCTTTTGGATATGCAAGTCACGTCTCCCTAGGTCTTCTGCAGCCCCCAGGAGAGAGACTTGAATCTCCATGCAGCCAGGATGCGGCATAGTGTCCTTCACTTGTTCATTATGATTTTGTTTGTAATTTTAAATGTTTTAAACCCAAGATTGGGATAATATGTGTGTAAAATTAATAGCATTTCTTTTAGAATTAGAAATTGTAAATATGCCCTTTATGAGGATGGCATAGGTCTGATTCCTCTTTGAAGCCCTCGTGACCATGAGGTGAATGAGTGAGATTCATGGTAGGAGGCAGTTGGTGGTTCTGCAGCAGTTTGGATGTGAATCTGAATGGTCTGTATTGGGGTTGAGTCTTCATTGGAGCCACCGATGATGTGGCCTTTTGGAGCCACTTGATGGCACATGCCATCTTTGCAGCATAAAACTGTATACTTACTCTTTTCGAGATCCATTGAGTCACGGCCATTTTGTTACTTACACACCATTCAGCTTTAGCCTTCATCTTGTTAAATGTTGGCAGTTTGTAGCACCACCATGATTTGATCTCTTAAAGTTACTGATGGGGTAGATTATTTGTACTAGGATGAGTAGCTTCCTAAACAAGCTCCAGTATGAGTATGCTCATGGTGAAGGTCTAAGGCCTGTAACTCCTAAGAATTATTTGCCCACTCTCACAGTCCCAGGTGCCTGTGGTTCTTATTCCTACAGCCTTACAGTATACCTCCAGGCATATTAGAGGAAGCAGGGGACTGTGGGTAGGTTTTATGATGATAATAACTTTGTACCACTTAGTAAGGCCAAGGCCTCTGGCCTGTTCTCTGGCCGGCCACTGGGAGGGAAGGACAGGTCCTGAAGCTGGAGGCATCATGCAGTTGGGATACTTGGATGCTATACAACATTACTGGCACCTTGGGCCCTAGCTTAGGCCCCTGGGTACCACTGTAATGCTCAGGTTGCTGGGGCCATACTGTAAAATAATATCATCGGATTCATTCACAGTTGACTCCCTGACTCATTTCTGTCAGCTGCTCAGACTTTGGTGACTGGCCTTGGATGGCAAGGAAGCATATACTGATGTGGGAAAAGAAGAAGAAGTATGTACTCCCTTGGAGCAAGAGAGAGTGTGTGTGTGTGTACAGATGGTGTGTGTTGTATGTGTGATATGGGGAAAAAGAACCTTCACACAGCCTCAGAGAAGATGATTCCAAACAAACAATGTATGTTTTCAGGGGAAGTCAAATGACTTAATTTTGTGACGGGAATTCTGTAGTATGCAGTAGAATGACTCGGCAGATAGATATAAGCTGATAGTTTCATTCATTCTTTACAAGATTGGTTTTCCTAATTTTTGATGTTTTGCTTCTGGGCTGATTGATTCTGCTTAATAGCTGTGATTTGTATAAACAACAGCTTTTCATTTCAAGCTTTTTACACCATTCACATCTGTGTTCAAACTTGACAATGTCCTTCAGAACTACCTTTATCTCTTTTTCTGTCTCCAAATCCAGAAAAACGTCACAGATATCTAGTCAACAATTTTATTTTAAAGTTTTTCAAAATACAAAAGTTAGCAAAAAGCTGAATATTTACAATTATGTCATAGGTTACTATTAACAGTGCAGAGGATAGAGTGTGTAAGAAAGACTTTGAAGAGGAAATAATATACAAAGTACAATAAACAGCAAGGTTACATGTCATCGTTTTGCCACCGTACAGAAGTGGAAAGTGCCGACCTGGAGAGGTCACCGTTGTTTCATTTCTCTGTATCCAGAAAGGACCGTCTCTTAAATCCACCAGGGGAGGAAACAGCCTCCTGTGGAAAATGCTGTCTTCTCAGGAGCATTGTATCTAGAAAGGACAAACAGAACACATGCCTCTAGAAGGGTTTCAAGTAATGGCTGGCATTTAGTAATAAAGCCAAACATACTAAAAAGAATTTTTTTTTGCCTGTTTCTAGAATGTGGAACAGGAAACATTCAAGTTAGAAATCTCTAGACTGTAATCCGCATCAAGTTTCAGTATTAGCCTTGCCAACTGACTAAAATTGTGTGGGTAAGCTCTTGAGCCTTTGTAATGAAGTAAGGATGCTGATGATAACAGCCATCTCACTGGGAAGAACAAATGCAAAGTGCTCAGCAATTTGTAGAGAAAAAATTTTCCTGAAATTAAACAGTTATATTTGTCTAAACGCCAGTGAACAACAGCTTCAACCAGTATTCACTGTATAAGGATGCTTACAGTGACTTTGTGTGTGTCTTTTTTTTTTTCCTAGGAGATGATGGGGTCTTGTTACATTGCCCAGGCTGGAGTACAGTGGCTGTTCATAGGCATGATTATAGTCTCCTAGAGCCCTGAGCTCCTGGGCTCAAGTGATCCTCATGCCTCAGCCTCCTGAGTAGCTGCGACTATGGCCACAGGTTCTGCGCCTGGCTATAGTGACGTTTCTGAAGGATAGTGCATAATCATAACTCAATGAAGACATATCTGCAAGGAGCTATGATGTACCATGGTCTGGTTACTTGAAGTTTTGTATAAAGCATAATCTAATGCCATGATTGATTGATAGTGTTTGGAGAGATTCTGTGGATGTTTTTTAAAAATACAAGGTTCCACTTGCAGTTTAATTTTCCCATAGATAACAGTTATAAACTTGGGACAAAATCTGAATTTTTTTTTTTTTTTTTTTTTTAGAAAGCCAGGAATGGTGGTTCACAGCTGTAATCCCAACACTTCTTTGGGAGGCTGAGGTGGGAGGATCACTTGAGTCCAGGAGTTCAAGACCAGCCTGGGCAACATAGTGAGACCCCATGTCTAAAAAAAAGAAAAAAAAAAGCTGGGTATGGTGGCACATGCCTGTAGTCATAGCTACTTGCAAGGCTGAGGCAGGAAGATCATTTGAGCCCAGGAGTTTGAGGCTGCAGTGAACGATGATTGTGGCACTGCACCCCAGCCCAGGCAGCAGAGTGAGATCCTGTCTCAAAAAAAAAAAAAAAAAAAAAAAAATTTTTTTTACTTACTTAGAAGAAAGGTCAGTGAACTAGAATATAGATCAAAACTAATTATCCAATATGAACAGAAAAAAAAGATGACAGAGGAAAGAACTTTAGTGACCTTGACATCAAGTAGTCAAACACAGATATTACTGGAGTTCCAGAATGAGAAGACAGAAAGGGATAGAAAAAGTGATTGAAGAAATAATGTCTCAAAATGTCCCAATTGAGGGAAAAATATAAACATACAGATTCGAGAATTCTAGAAAATCCCAAGTTAAAAAAATTTAAAAACCACACCCAGGCAAGTATAGTCAAAATTCTGGAAACCAAAAATAGAGAATTCCTTGAATGTAGCCAGAAAGAAACCAGTAAATGCAGGGGAACAATGAAGTTTGATACTGGAGACAATCGTGAAAGTGCTTTAAGAAAACCTCAGAATTCCATATCAAGCGAAAATATCCTCAAAAATGAAGGAAAATAAAGACAGAGAAGAAGTCACCAGCAAACCTGCACATGTAAGAAATGTCAAAGGAAGTACTTCAGGCTGAAAGGAAATAATACCATATGGAAACTTGGATTCAGGCAAGAATAACATGGAAATTATAAATGTGGGTAAATGTAAAGCTACATTGTATTTTTTTCTTTATAATTTCCTTTAAAAAGACACAACTAAAGAAAAATTATATCATTGTATTACAGGATTTATAATGTGTACATATGTATATTTGTGTGTGTGTGTATATATATAATAGGATATTAATCAAGTACAAAATTTTGTAAAAACATAGGTAAAAAGTCAATAGAAGAATCAAATGAAATACGAAAAAATATTTAGTCAAATAGAAGGCAAGACAAGAGGAACTGAACAAAAAGTGGATAGGACAAATAAAAAACAAGTAACAAAATTGTAGACCTAAATTCAGCCTGATAATAACACTTGAAAAAAAAACACAACAGAGGAAAATTGTAGACCAGTATCCCCCATGAACACAGACACAATATTCTCAATATTAGCAAAATAATCCAGCAATAGGATAATACATCATGATCAAGTGAGTTTATCTCCAGAGTAAAAGTTGGCTTTAACATTGAAAATCAATATACCTTACCATATAAATGGATTAAAGAGAAAAAACCATATCATCTCAATTGATAGAGAAAAAGCATTTGACAAAATTTGTCACATAGTAAACTAGAAGGAAACTTCCACAATTTGTTAGGAGACCTCTCTGAAAAATCTTACATCACAATAGTGAAATACTAAATGCCTTCTTCCAACACTGAGAACAAGACAAGGATGTTGACTCTACTATTATACAACATTGCAGAGGAGGTCCTAGCCAGTGTGTATGAGAAGAAAAATAAAAGTTATAAAGATTGGAAAGATAAGTAAATTTTTTGTGTATTTGTAGATGACTTTACGCAGAAAATCTTAAGGATTCTACAGTACAACTACTAGACATAAGTCAATTTAGAAAGGTTATAGGATGCAAGGTCAATATATAAAAATTAATTGCACTTTCCTACGTAATCAATTAGAAAATGAAAAACTAAATTTCATTGAGTATTAAAATCTCCCCAAATTATTTAGAAATAAATTTAACAAAAGACACGAAAGACTTCTTTATTCAAAACTGCAAAATAGGCCGGGCACGGTGGCTCACACCTGTAATCCCAGCACTTTGGGAGGCCGAGGTGGGTGGATTACCTGAGGTCAGGAGTTCAAGACCAGCCTGGCCAACATGGTGAAACCCCATCTCTAATAAAAATACAAAAATTAGCTGGACGTGGTGGCGGGCGCCTGTAATCTCAGCTTCTTGGGGGGCTGAGGCAGGAGAATCACTTGAACCCGGGAGGCAGAGGTTGCAGCGAGCTGAGATTGCATCATTGCACTCTGGCCTGGGCGACAAGAGTGAAACTCCATCTCAAAAACAAACAAAAAACCCTGCAAAACAGTGATGAGGAATTGAAAAAGATCTAAATAAATGTAGAGATATACCATATTCATAGATTGGCAGACTGCTGTTAAAGATGTCAGTTCTCAAAATGATCTACAGAATCAATGTTAACTGTTGTGATAGGCAGAATTCTAGGATGGTCCCTAAATTTCCCACACCAGTGATACTTATCCTATGTAATACCTTCCTCTTGAGTGTGGGCAGGGCTTGTGATATGATGTGATAATAACCATATTAGATTTAATTATATGATAGAGATGAAGGAATTTTGCAGATGTAGTTAAGGTCCCAATCAATGGACTCCAAATCAAAAGAGAGTTTGTTGTGGGCTTCATCAGGTGAGCCCTTTATAATAGGGTCCAGACTTTACCTGAAGGGAGAGATTGTAAATATGAGAGATGCTCTTACACTGGACTTGAAGCAGTTTCATGTTGTGGGGAGGGTCACGTGTCAGGAAACTGCCTGTAGGAGCTAAGGGCTTCAGTCCTCTGACCATAAAGATCAGAATCCTCCCCCCGCCAAAGAAAACAAAACCTAACAAATAGACTAGAAAAAGACTTCGGATAAGATTTCAGCTCCAGTCAACACGATGATTATCGCCTTGAGAGACCCTGAGAAGACCCAGCTAAGCCATACCTAGACTACTGACCCATAACCATAGAAATTGTGAGATAATAAATGTGTGTTGTTTTAAGATGCTAAATTTGTGATAATTTGTTATACAGCAACAAAATTAATACAAGCCCCAATCATAATTTGAGCAGGTTTCTAAAACAGAATTTGAGAAACTGATTCTAAAATTGTCTACAAAGATAAAAAGAATAACAGCCAAAACAATCTTGGAAAAAAAAATAACACATTGGAGGATCCACAGTACCTGACTTTAAGAGAGTCTATAAAGCCACAGTAATGAAGATAGTGTAGTATTAAAACAAGGGAAAAACACGTCAACGGCAAAGAAGAGAGGGTCCAGAAATAGGCCCACATTTTATATCCAGTTGAGGGGAAGAAAACCCAACCCCTCCTCACACTGGAAACAAAAATCATTTCAAGATAAATTGCAGATCTAGAGCTTCTAGAAGAAAACAGAAAAATATGTTCCTGACTTGTTAGTAGGCTTTCTCTCTCTCTCTCTCTCTCTCTCTCTATATATATATATATATATATACACACACACATATATATTTAGGACAAAGAAGGCAATAACCAAAAAATTTAAAATTTAACAAATTATAATTCATCAAAATCAAAACCTCATCAAAAGATACCATTCAGAAAAAGAAATGGGAAGCCACAGAGTGTGATATTTGCAAAATATATCTGACAAAGAACTTGTATCTAGAATACATACATAAAAAACTTACATCTCAAATAGACAATAATCCAGTGTCAATGAGGAAAATTTGTCTTTTCAGCAAATTCTGCCGGGTCAGCTGGATATCTACATGCAAAAGAAGGAAGCTGCATCCCTATCTCACACCAGACACAAAAACTAAGTGGATCAAAGACCTAAATATAAGAGTAATGACTATAAAACTCCTAGAAGGAAACAGGTGTAAATCTTCATGACCTTGGAGTAGGCACTGTTTTTATTTAGAGATGGGATCTCGCTATGTTGCCCAGGCTGGTCTTGAACTCCTGGACTCAAGCAATCCTGCCTCAGCCTCCTGAGTAGCTGGGATAACAGCTGCATGCCACTGTGTCTACTTTACACAATGGTTGATTGGTTGGTTGGTTTTTTGAGCCTGTTGCCCAGGCTGGAGTACAGTGGCTTGATCACAGCTCACTTCAGCCTCAGCCTCCCAGACTCAAGTGATCCTCCTGCCTCAGCCTCCCAAGCAGCGGGGACTACAGGTGTATGCCACCATACCTGGCTAATTATTTTTTTGTAGGGACATGGTCTTACTATGTTGCCCAGGCTGGTCTCAAACTTCTGAGCTCAAGTGATCCTACCACTTTGGCCTCCCAAAGCACTGGGATTATAAGCATGCACCATTGTGCCCAGCCTGGCAATGGTTTTTGATACAATACCAAAAGCATAAGCAACCAAAGGGGGTGAAAATCAAACAGATAAATTGGACTTCATCAAAATAAAATACTTGTGCATCAAAGATGCTACCAAGGCTGAGCATGGTGGCTCATGCCTGTAGTCCCAGCACTTTGGGAGGCCAAGGTAGGAGGATTGTTTGAGCCTAGGAGTTCGAGACCAATCTGCGCAATGTGGCGAGACCCTGCCTCTATTAAAAAAAAAAAAAAAAAAAAAACAAGAAAAGGGAAAAAAACCCACAAAAAAATACTTCCAAATCATATACATGATATAGAACTTGTATCTAGAACATATAAAGAACTCTTAGAACTGAACAATAAAAAGACAAACACCCGGCTGGGTGTGGCGGCTCATGCCTGTAATCCCAGCACTTTGGGAGGCTGAGGCCGGCGAATCGCATGAAGTCAGGAGTTGGAAACCAGCCTGGCCAACATGGTGAAACCCCGTCTCCACTAAAAATACAAAAGTTAGCCGAGCGTGGTGGCACACGCCTGTAGTCCTAGCTACTCAGGGAGCCTGAGGCACGAGAATCACTAGAATCTGGGAGGCAGAGGTTGCAGTAAGCCGAGATCATGCCACTGTACTCTAGCCTGGGCAATAGAGCAAGACTGTCTCAAAAAAAAAAAAAAAAAAAAAGTAAGGCAGACAGCAGCTGTTGGCAGGGATGTGGAATGGAGAGACGAACGCTTGTGTGCTGATGGTGGGAATGTAAGAGGGTGCAACTTCTGTGGAAAACATTTTGGAGTGGCCAGGGAAGGGCAAGAAGGCCAGTGGGGCTGCAACATGGTGAGTAATCAGACCTGAGGCAGGAGGAGGAGGCTGGGCCTGTTCATGGACAGACTTGGAGGCTCTTTGTTTTTGCAGGTGCAATAAAAAGCCAAGAGAACCACGAACCAGATATACTGGAGATAGCCTGAGAGCCCTTGCTCATGGGGGCTGAGGGTGAGAGGTATCTAGATAATATGTAGGTTTCTGTCCTGTCCAACTGGTTGGCTGGAGCTGCCGCTTCCTGAGGAAGGGAAAACAGAGAGAGGTTGTGGAGGGACATCTCGACTCCTATCTAACCAGGCTAAGTGTGAGATGCTGTGTCAGAGATGAATTACTTTCACCTTTCCCTTTGGTAAAAGAATATCCTGAGTTTTGGCACGGCTTTTGGCTTCTCAATTAAAGACTACATTTCCCTGCCTTCCTCCGCAGTATGTGTGGCCACGAGTAAGTGCTTCCAATGGAATGAAGTAGAAGGAATATGTGTAGCTTCCACGTGACAAAAATGGGACTTGGAAAGAAAAAGAAATGGAGATTATTTCCAAATCTCTGGAAGCCAACATTTTTACAATATATTCTCCTGAATTATATCACAGACCCTAAAAAAAAATACTTTTATTAGCTGGCTCTAGTTTTAATGGAGTGATTAAAAAGACCCCTGTGAGATTTGACAAAATCTGGTCTAGTCAGAATCATACTGCTTGGCTAAACAACCTTTGTCATTATGGAGATGATAATACCTGCATTTTAGCATTAAAAAAAATACATCAAAAGGTGGTTGTCAGATTGTTCAAATCTGGCAAGTTCCATGGTGCACTGAAAGGAGTTGATGCTGATACACAGTGAAAAGCTGCGTGCACGCTGTGGGCCCTTGCGCCCAGAAGGTGCGTGGGCGCTCTGCCACTCACCTGCACGTGCCAATCACAGTTCCTCCTCCGTTCGCAGGTACTGGGTACAGTCTGAAATCTTTTTCAGCTGAGCAGCGTTTAATCTTTCTGAACACATAGGACATGTGCTTTCAGTGTTTAGCATGCTGTTTAGGGGAGGGAAAGGCAGAGTAAATTAAATATATAACATTCCTTTAGCTTTGGGTTACTCTAATGAGAAAGACAACAACTTTCTGTCTACACCTCTTAACACATGTCCACCATGCAATTTGAGAATCAGAACTATTCAGTCTCATGCAAGATCCTCTTTAAAGATAATATTCTCAAAGGTCACAGGAGGTTCTTCCCAGAAGACAATTTGAGTCTTTAGAGATCCTTAGGAACACAAATAGAAGAATGCTTCGGAAGAAAAGAGGTAGAATGAAAGGCCTGTGTCGGGAGAAATCAGTGAGACTGAGTGACGTGATGCACACTTACATCTTCAATTCTGAGTATAGAGCAGGGAAGTCACAATGTGGACACACCGTCCAGTCATCTTTCAACATGTGTCGACCCTGGAAACAGGATGTTTAAGAGTTAAATTCATCTTTATTTTAAAAACTCCCACTGTTAGTCAATTTTTTTTTTTTTTTTGACGGAATCTTGCCCAGTCACCCAGGCTGGAGTGCAGTGGCACATTGTTGGCTGTCTGCAACCTCCACCTCCTGGGTTCAAGCGATTCTTCTGCCTCAGACTCCTGAGCACCTGGGACTACAGGCGTGCGCCACCATGCTTGGCTAATTTTTGTGTTTTAAGTAGAGACAGCATTTCACCATGTTGGCCAGGCTGGTCTTCAACTCCTGACCTCAAATGATCCGCCTGCCTCGGCCTCCCAAAGTGCTAGGATTACAGGCATGAGCCACTGTACCCTGCCTGTTATTCAATTATAATAATTGAATTCCAGTTATAAGTCAGACCTCTAAATTATAAAATCATTGCTATTTCACATGTGTGGGTAACAGAGAGACAGCATTAAAAGGATTAAAGCTAGGTTTTACTTATCAGATTCATGTTTAAAGGAATAATATTCAGTTTTGTGATATTACCTGAATTTAGTTTTCTTTAAAATAAAGCTTAAATTAATCCAGTGAATTATAAATAACCTGATATGTTAAAGTTCTCTGATACTAGGTCTCAATATTATAATAAAAACTACTGCTTATTAAGTGCTGCAGCCTGCCAGGATGGCACCAAGGAATTGTGTAGCTCGTCAATCTGTGGTTGATTCAGTAGGCAGGTGTTACTACAGAGGACTGAGCCCGGGATAGTCTGATCCCCGAGTCTGTGCTATTTGGTCCTGCAGTGATAGTGCCTCCACTATTATTATTTGCTTTGAATATCACCTTTAACTGTATTGACTATGAAATAAAATGCTAGATGTTGCAGGAAATTTGAGGGATAAGATTATTTTAAAAGTGAAGAAAATATTGACATACATCAAGTATTCAAATGGGTTACAAATATATATGCAAAGAAAGGGAAATTACTATAAAGGAACTCACTGTTGCAATGCAATATGGGATACTGTTTTTACATCCAGGACAGAGGAGTTCACACTCTGGGAGAAGAAATTTGCAGAATGGACATGGAGTCGTGGCCTCTTCTATCTCAGATATATCGGGTCTCCTGTGAGGAAGAATCATGTCATTTAAAAATGCCGTTTTATTCATGTACCGGGGATGGCAAAGAGAAAGCATATTTGGAAAACCAGGGACATATGACACACCTACTTCATAGTCAGACTCTGGGCTTAGAGAGATACTTACAAGCTCACACCAGCCCTTGATCCACTCCAGGGAGGAGGAAGAGTACCTAGGATTGGTTAGGTTCTAGGGTGTTACATGGGCCACCTTTGGGAACTGGAGTTCATAGCACATTCAACGGCAGAAAGCATGGGTAGGTCTTGCGGTCTTCTCTCTTCCTGTGCTACTGGAGTGGTGAGCTTGGTATTTTCCCTCTGTCTCTCCCTTTTGTGTAACAGAAGTGGTACAAGTTATACCAGCACCGTCCAATAGAACTGTCTGTGACAATGGAAATGTTTGGATTCTGTGCTATCCAATATGGTAGCCATGAGCCACATTTGAACACTTGAAATACGGGTAGTGCGAAGAACTAAGTTTAACTTTTATTCCATTTTAACTAAATTTAAATAGCCACATGTGGCTAGCAGGTACCATATTGGACCACATAGCTATAAACCATTTGTGCATGGGGAGAGAATGACTAGCATCTCCTCCCAGCCAGAGCCCCAGCTAGCGTGGTTCTATGCTGTTGGGGTAAACATGATCTTGCATTTTCTAGTTACCTTCTCCCCATCCCACTCTCCATACTAGCAGGTATTCTGGGTCAGACCGATTTGGTCTGAAGCTACTTAGACTTAAAAAAAGGAGTATTCTATGTACTCCCATCCAGCTTAGAGCTCTCTGCCATGAGGGTAGCTCCCAAGCCCAGCTACCAGTGAAGTGTCATTTGCTTCCATTTGTCATTACCAATCCAGTCATCTCCCTGGGCTAAGGTCTGGATCCAAGATTCAGGTACCTGGGTCTCGTCATAATGTAATGAACAGGAACCCCACATGTCATCACTTCTGAAAAAGTGGTTGTTTAGAATTACTCTATGACTGCAATGACTTTTTTCTTTTCCAAATGCAAGGGCTACTTTTTCCTAGTTTTTCTTTAGAAAAACCTAGAAAAACCAGGCTACTGACTGCTTTCTGAAGCAAGGACGTGCCTAAGGGCTTTTGGGGCTGCACAGGATTTGGAAATGAGCTCTCTGCTGGCAGTGGGCCCTGTGAATATGAAGTTCCTCACACTGAGAGGAACTTCCACTGAACGTCCACTATTTTCTTCATCCCTCTTTGGCAGACATAGTTCGCTGCTTCTCTCCATCTCCTTGCCAACAGAACTTTGTTTCCACTTAGCAGCCTTAAGTCCTGTGAGGCAGAGTACTGGCCATGGAGGTGAAAATTGAAGGTCCTGAGGATGGTACCTTTCTGAACAAAAAGGCGAAGATCCCTTTGACCTCTCATTTCCCTACTTCTTCCTGCCTGGAACGAGGACATGATGTCTGGGGGTGTGGCAGATGTCTTGCCACCATGAAGAGGAAACCTCTATGCTATGGATGTCAAAGCTGGAAGACGGGGATCTGGTCTGGTGGCATCAAGGCACGGTGACACCAGCTCTGGACTGTGATGCCTTGTGTATGAGTCAAATAAATACTGACTTGATTAAGCTGCTGTTAGGTTTTCTGATGCTTAGAGCTAAATACAATCCTAATTGATATGCCCATCTTTTTTTTTTTTTTTTTGAGATGGGGTCTCACTCTGTTGCCCAGGCTGGAGTGCAATGGCACGATCTCGGCTCACTGCAACCTCTGCCTCCCGGGTTCAAGCAATTCTCCTGCCCCAGCCTCCTGAGTAGCTGGGACTACAGGTGTGCACCACCACGCCCAGCCAATTTTTGTATTTTTAGTAGAGATAGGGTTTCATCATATTGGCCAGGCTGGTCTTGAACTACTGACCTCAAGTGATTTGTCCACCTCAGCCTTCCAAAGTGTTGGGATTATAGGTGTGAGCCACTGCACCTGGCCCCCCACCGTTTTCTTATTGAGCTTGCACACTGGCAGCTACATTTTTGGAAATACTTTGAGAAATACGATTAGATAGCAGAAATAGCCATCTCTGCCTACCTGACCATTCCCTCGATCTTCTTTTTGTATTTGGCATCTATTTTGCTGCGGTATTCAGGCCTCATCAACATAGCTGCGAAGCTGAAAGCAGAGTTCTTCAGGCCTGCCCTGTGACACTCAATCACAGTTGACGTCAGGATGGGTACAATGTCTGCAAGAGAAAAGGGGAGAGCAGCAACAGCACAGTGTCTGCTGTCCTCAGTGATACAGGCGGGATTCCACCCTGGTTCTGTAGGAAAACAGGGTCATGGTCTCTGAACTTTGCTTTTTCTGCAAAGAACCAGATATGATCTGTTTAATGAGGAAAGTACGTAGCTGTGGGGTCAGGCTAACTGCCCATCAAGTGCTTTTCCTTTGATGACACCATGTTCTGCCTTGTAACACTAGGACCTGCACCCCTTGAGGCAACACTTCCATGAGTTTCCTTTCATGCCTCTTAGATATTTTTTGCATCTGACAGGACTGCTGATAAAAGCATTAGGGGGATTAATGACTTTATACACTAATCTCTCTGCAGGCATCAAATTCTTTCTTCAGGACAGACACCCAGAATTACCGGCTCAAAAACAGGACCTTTTAAAAAATACTCTTACCACAAATTGCCAAACTGCTTTCTGCAAAGGCCATACCAATTTCCATCCCCACCAGCAGTCATGAGAGTGCCTGTCCTATCCCATACCTTGCCCGCATGGTAGACTTTGATGTAACAACAACAAAAATACACTTAGAGAATGTGGGTTGGCCAATTATGACCCATGGACCAAATCTAGCCCTCTGACTTTTTGTATGGTCCATGAGCTAAGGATGATTTTTACATTTTTAAATGGTTGAAAAAACATCAAAAGAAAAATATTTTTGTGACATGTTAAAAGTGTATGTGGTTAACATTTGTGTCCAAACATAAAGCTCTATTGAAACACAGTCATGCCCATTCGTTTACGTATTATTCATGAGAAGATGGCAGAGTTGAGCAGTTGTGACAGAGGCCACATGTCTCACGAAGTCTAAAATATTTAACATCTGGTCCTTTACAGAAAAAGTTTGCTGATCCCTGTCATGTAATGTGACAGTATTTAATCACTTAAGAATGTTATCATGACATGTCTTTTGGAATAGTGAGGCCTTTTCAGAGGCAACGTCCTACCGTGCTTGTGAACACAGAGTCAGGCTATTATTAGCTGACAATGTGATCTTGGGCAAATGTTATTTCTTTTGTCCCAGTTTGTTCAGAAAAGTACTTGTGTGTGCAGGCCTGAGACTGTCATCCTTGGAAAGGCTTGAACAGCTAACCCTCGGCTCGCATCTGGAACATAGATTTGGAGACGGTTCCCACCGTTTCCAGAACTGATGAGTGGCTCACCGTGCCTAAAATCTTTGTACAAACAACGTGGTTTATGCCGAACACCTGCTCTCTGGGAGCCTGGAAAACTGGGCACATGCCACGCAGGGGGCACCTATGTGACCACACCCCAATAAAACTCCTGGCTGCTGAGTCTCTAATGAGCTTCTTGGCACTCTACGTTTCACCATGTTGTACAAGTCAGTCGTGGAGGAGTTACGGAACTTGCGTCCTGTGTGCTCCACTGGGAAGGGACTCTTGGAGGTCCGTGCCTGCACCTGCTCGCCTTTGCGTGAATCCTTCTGCTCATTTTGCCTCAGATCCTTTTGCTGTGATAAATCTCGGCTTTGGTACTACTGTGTGTTGACTCTTGTAAATCCTCCCAGTGAAGAGTCATCAAACCTGGGAGTGGTCTTGGGGCCCTGACATACCACTTCATGGAGCTGCTGTGAGAATTAAACGAGTTAGTGTATGAGGGGAGCCTGCAAAAGGGGCGCTGGGCTAGCATGCGGCATGGGGCATGGGGCATGGGTGAGAGCTCTGGTCAGTGGTACTTACGTGATGGAAATTTGCTGATGTTGTTGGCCACCCGAATGAGCATGCGAGCCCCTTTCATGTGATCTCCATTTTTAACATGAATCTGAAACAAATGACATATTTTACTCTTCTTATAGTCATTGATTAGCCCCAATTCATGCTTTGTTCCCCCAAATAAACAACTCCTTGATGATGGCCCAGGGTCACTGTGGGATCCTTGTAGACTTTCCTGGCTGATGCCATTAGAGATCCCTCCACTTTTTTCTCTTCAACAGCTACTGCCTGGCCCCATGGCCTCACCTACTCTATGCTCTGCTTTTCACTTTGCCCTAGACCACTTGGTATGGGTTCAAATCCCCAGTCTATCTCTTACTGGCCATTCTTGGGGGACCAACTTCACCAAGTTCTGGTAAGACCCAAAAGCTGTGTGAGTCAGGAATCAGGTAGAGAGAGAGAGAATGATCTGCTAAAGGAAAGGCGCCGTGTCTGTGCTAAGAGGGCAATGACGGGCAGAAGGCCTGAGACTGGGCAAGGACCAGGAGGGTCAGTGACACATCGAGGGGTGCGTTTAGGATGGGGTGAGCCTCGAGAGTCAGCAGGGGCCAGGACATGAAGCCACTGCAGTCATCCAGGGGTGAGACAAGGAGGCCAAAAAGGTGGGGCAGTGGGGATGGAGAGAAGCAGACAGATGTGGGGTCAGGGCTGAGGATACTTGGTGAGAGTGTGGAATGATGCCAACCCTTGGGGCCAGAGAAAAAGAAAAGGACTCAAGAAGCACCCCTGTGGCTTATGGTGCTAGAAAGCTCTGTTGCAAGAGGGCCTCTTATAGGAATTCCTATTTTTGCCCCGCATCTTTCACCAATGTGTTTCTGTGCCCCCTGCACTCCTAAAGACTCCATTTTGTTAGATTCTGTGCTTCCAGGACATTGAATCACCACTCATGTCTGCAGCTGAGAAAGACTTCTCTCCTTCAAACCCCCTTCTTTATGGAAGAAGGATCCTCCTGCCTCTCTGAAGGGAAGTGTACTCCTGGAGGTTGCAAGTTATAACTCCAGATGCATTTCCCTTAGAATCAGCATTATAGACCTGTGCAGTCTCCTGTGGTAGGCATTAATCACGTATGGCTACTTAAATTTAAAAGTTAAAATCATATACAATTAAAAATGTAGTTTATCAGCTGTACTAGCTGCATTTCAAGTGCTCCATAGCCAGGTTAGTGGCTACCATATTGGGCAGTACAGTATAGAATAGTTCTATCACTGTAGAACATTCTACTGGACAGTGCTGATATAGACAATAATTAGGATGTAAATCATTCATAACATGACTGCTCTTGTGGACAGGTCAGAGAACCAATTTAGCATTAATACGGAAAGATGTACTGCGACATAAATGAATATTTGAAAAAATATGTAAGTTGGAGTCTGCCTGTATCTTTACAGAGATATGTATATATATAAATGTACACATGAATATACATGACATTTATGTAAGTTGTATTGTGTCTTTTTTTAGAGTTGAGGTCTCGCTCTGTTGCCCAGGCTGGAGTGCCATGGTGTGATTATAGCTCACTGCAGCCTCAAACTCCTGGGCTTAAGTGATCCTCCTGCCTTGTCCTCCCAAAGTACTGGGATTACACGTGTGAGCCACCATGCCCAGCCTCATTTATGTAAATTATACATACAAGTACTTGATGTTTGCAGGATCTATTTTTGTTTGTATTGATAATTACTGATTTAAAAAACAGAATATACACAACTAAACATAATCCCAATTTGGTAAAAAACATGCATTTATAGAAGTACAAAGAATATATACAACACTATTAACAATTGTTATATCTGGGTGATGGACTTAAAGGACGAATTTTTAAAAAATTCTTTTCTGGCCGGGCACAGTGGCTCACGCCTGTAATCCCAGCACTTTGGGAGGCCGAGGCAGGTGGATTGCCTGAGGACAGGAGTTCGAGACCAGCCTGGCCAACGTGGTGAAACCCCATCTCTATTAAAAATACAAAAAAATTAGCCGGGTGTGGTGGCATTTGCCTGTAATCCCAGCTACTCAGGAGGCTGAGGCAGGGGAATTGCTTGAAGCAGGGAGGTGGAGGATGCAGTGAGCCAAGATCGGGCCACTGCACTCCAACCTGGGTGACAGAGTGAGATTCCATCTCAAAAAAAAAAAAAAAAATTCTTTTCTATATTTTTTAAACTTTCTTAGGGAATATGTATTATTTTTATATTTGGATGAAAACTAAACAATATTTACAAAACAGTGGAATTTTATGAAATCCACTAACAGAATAAATAAACTAACAAGTTTTGCATAAAGAAAGATGTTTTAAGTAAATCTATTTTTCTGGCACAGGCAATACATTTACATGTTTCAAAATCAAAACAATATAAGAAAGCTGAGCGTGGTGGCTCATGCCTGTAATCCCAGCACTTTGGGAGGCCAAGGCGGGCGGATCACTTGAGGTCAGAAGTTTGAAATCAGCCTGGCCAACATGGTGAAACCCCATATCTACTAAAAATACAAAAAAATTAACTGGGTGTGGTGGTGTGTGCCTGTAATCCCAGCTACTTGGAAGGCTGAGGCAGAAGAATTGCTTGAACCTGGGAGGCAGAGGTTGCAGTGAGCCGAGGACGTGCCACTGCACTCCAGCCTGGGTAAAGAGCAAGACGTCGTCTCAAAAACAAAACAAAACAACCCACACACTATAATAAGATGCACATGATGAAGCCTGGTCCCCCTCATCTCCCCGTCTCCCTGTCCCCACACTGGAGTTTGGTACTGTGCCTCCTGCCCCGTGCCTCATTCCACACAAAGCAGCGTATTGTAGATATGTTCTGTATCTTGTTTTGTTACTTAACAATACAGACATCTAGACAATCACTCGAATCCAATGGAGAAGGGCCTGGAGAAAATCTCAATGGGGGACAAACACCTGGCAGGTTATGTCCCAAGTCACTCCATGGGCCTCACCTTTACTAGTATATAGCTGTGCAGAATCATGAGGTTGGTGGCCATCTCGGAGGGAATTTTGATCTTCTGGGATTTCAGTTCTGCATACATACTGAAGAGAACATCGTGTGCATTCCGGTAGTTGCCTTGAAAAAAGGTGGTAAAACGACATTACTGCAAAGGGTGACATCTGAGGACATTCTATGGACCCCCATCTTACTAGTGGATTTTGTTAATCTTGTTATTAGTAATCTCTTAATAATGTCTTATTCAAAGCAACTCAGCAGATTTCCTATTTATCTGTCTGTCTGTCTGTCAGAGATAGGGTCTCGCTCTGTCACCAAGGCTGGAGTGCAAGGGCACAATCTCTGTTCACTGCAACCTCTGCCTCTCAAGCTCAAGTGATCCTCCCATGCCTGGGTAATTTTTGTGTTTTTTGTAGAGACAAGGTTTTCACCATGTTGCCCAGGCTGGTCTCAAACACCTTGGCTCAAGAAATCCACCCTCCTCGGCCTCCCAAAGTGCTGGGATTACAGGCATGAGCCATTGTGACCGGCCAGATTTCCTATTTTAATTGATGTTATGAACATCTAGCCAGTTGCTCTGGTGAAAAATGGTGGTGTCCTCCTTGATGTCTTACTCTTCCTCAGGGCACCCCCCTGGCCCTGAAGTCCACCAGGCCATGGAGTTCTGAGTATAACTCTCAGTCTCCCAATTCCAGCCTCCCTTCCCATGCCTACTGTGAATGCTTCTCATCATTTCCTTCTGCTGTAGTGCTCATCAGGATTGCTCTGGGCCCACATCTGATGTCAGAGTATGCCTTCAAAACCCTCAAGCCTTGATCCACACCCAAACAACTCAAGGTCACACCCCTGCATAAAACCCTCCAATGGCGCCACTCACGCCTGGAAGTGCAAATTCCTGAGCAGAGGACTTGTGCCCTTCAGGATCGGCCTCTGCGCTCCTTTCTGGCCTGATTTTCCCTCCCTTTCTTCTCCAGGTGTGTAAATGCTGCAGCCTTGCCAGCACTTTTCCTCATCCCAGCACTTCCCCACCTCCCCATTTCCCCAAATCCCAGCACTCTGGCTCCCAGCAACCTCCACTCCCCTCGTCACCTGCTCCCCCATCCTTTCAAAACTCAGGTAAAGCTTTCATTGCCTTCTCTCGTCTCCATCCTCCAACTCTCCCTACCCCAACCTTCAGGATGCTGTGGGTAACCCAGCAGTCGCTCTTATTTTAATTGTGCCTTTTCAGCCTATTTCTCTTTCTAGTCTGGCACTTGTCATCCCGTCCAACTCTGAATTTACTTTCTGTCTCTCCCATCAAATCATGACCTTGAGGGTTGAACTGTGGCTCAGTTCTCTCTGTATCCTGAGCTCCTAGCACGCATCTGACAGGAAGAAGGTGTTGTTAGATCAACGTAAGCTGAATAAAGTAATGACTTATTTGACTGCATATTTTCCAAAATTGTGTCCACATTTATAAAGATTTAAGAAGATCAGCTCATAAAAATTAATGAAGATATCAGACTAATCCTCTTACTCACTCAATAAGTATTGACAGAGCACATGTGAGCAGAACCATCCTGAAGAGTCTATCAAGCCTCTGCATATTATAAAGAACTAGGTCTGTAACAGCACCGCATCATTACCCTCCATCGCCTAATGTCTCATATTGTTAAGGCCAAACACAGGGAATGGAAAGAAAATGCCGTGAGACTGTAGGAAGGGGGTTGTGGGCTGGAGGGGTGAGAGGAGACATCATTCATGAGACAGAACCTCTGAGGTTGTGGGGGAGAGGAAATAGCACTTGACAAGAGATGGTCTTAGTCTCTTACATTTATACAGTCTCCTGGGATAGTACATTGTTTAACCCCTCTGAAACCTAGAAATGGTCATCTCTTTAGTCTTTTGGGTTCAAAGCAAGCCTATGTTACAAACGTAGGGGCTACTCTTTCCTACACAGAAAAGGGGCTGGGGCTTGATTCTGCTGCCTGCTTGGGAAGTAACACATACGTATCACGGACCTACCTGCAGACTGCTCTTCTCTGGCAATGATGATGGCAGTCTGGGCAGCTTCTCGGTATTGCTTCAGAGCCATGTACAAGCGGAACAGGTACTTGGCATCCTGACACATAAACCATTATAGAAACATTACTTTCTTCATTAGCTAAGGGGAGATTACATTTTTGTATTGCAGTTAGAATCACATTCATCTGCCAGTAACTGAGAATTGATATTGCTTTAAAAACTCAATGAATAAAGAATTCGTTTATTTATTAAACATTTATTCAGAGCTCAATATGGCCAGGTGGTATTCTAAGTACTTGAGAAATACTAATGCATTTAAATCCTCATACCCACCCTAGGAAGAAGGCACTATTGTTATCCCGATTTCACAGATAAGAAGCTGAAACAACAGGAGGGGGCCAGTCAGGATTTGAACCACAGGATCTGAGTCTATTCCTGACCCTACTCCACAGAGTATTTCTCATGTACTTGGAAACAAAATATATTCTTACATGATATATGAACTTTGCAAACTTTCCATAATTTTTATATGCATATCAATTTTCTCTGACCTATAACATTTTCTTTGGCCTTTGGCCATTTTCCATTCCTATTCCAACTCTAGACAGCTGCGAGCATCTGACGCTGGTTTTCAAATTATTGGAATAAGTGGACACCATGGGAGGTGGCTGGAGCAGTTGAAGGGCCTGTATCCTTTGGCAAGTTAACTGAGCTGCTCTGGGTCTCTGTGGCTTTATCTGTAAGATGCAGAAAATGGACTCAGGGACCACTACGGTCCTCTCCAGCTGTGACATTCTATTGCCCTCGTTTCCAATCAGTGACTTGAGTTCTTCACCAGCAAATCTCCTTGAACATAAAGCAAAGGGGAAGGAGGTCTGGGGCATTCTCAAAGGTGTGTGGGTCTCTCCTCACCAGGACTGGGAGAAGATGGACGTTCTGTAGGAAGCCACAGTGAGTCGCATATTTTGAAAATATGCTTGTAATGATTTCTTTCTTACTTTTTCTTTTTGAGATGGAGTCTCACTCTGTCGCCCAGGCTGGAGTGCAGTGGCACAATCTCGGTTCACTGCAACCTCTGCCTCCTGGCTTCAAGCAATTCTCCTGCCTCAGCCTCCTGAGTAGCTAGGACTATAGGCGCATGCCACCATGCCTGGCTAATTTTATATTTTTTGTAGAGACGGGGTTTCGCCATGTTGGCCAGGCTAGTCTCCAACTCCTGACCTCAAGTGATCCACCCGCCTTGGCCTCCCAAAGTGCTGGGATTACAGGCATGAGACACCGCGCCTGGCCAATTTATTTCTATTTTATGTTATAGAGAACTACCTTTATGCTTAATCTGATTTTTGTTAACTTCCATAATTTTTGAAATGTAAACAAAGCACCCTCTGAGTTTTAGAGATGAATGCTAGGTCATAGTTGCAACATCAGTGATCTTTTTTCATAGTTCCTAGAATAAACAAAATTATAACATTTGAGAAAAATTGTATGTGGTGAGGATTGTTATCTAGAGGGGCATGGCTATCTCATAGGTGGCAAAGCCAATTTTAAAGAGTGAATATACGTTATCCTCCAAAACGCAGGGTCTGTCTAGATCAACTTGTCCAACCCACAGCCTGCAGGCCACATGTGGCCCTGGACAGCATTGAATGCAGTCCAACACAAATTTGTAAACTTTCTTAAAACATTATGAGTTTTTTTTGCGATTTTTTTTTTAAACTCATCAGCTATTGTTAGTGTTAGTGTATTTTATGTGTGGCCCAAGACAATTCTTCTTCTTCCAATGTGACCCAGGGAAGCAAAAAGATTGGACGCTCCTGGTCTAGATGATCTACACTACTGGCAGAGAGAAAATTTTTCATGTCTATGTTGTAAAAGCATGATGGGTAAAAACAGGCAGAATCAAACTGTAACTGAGACCTGAGGATGCACACGAAGCCCACGTGTTCAGTACCTTAGGCATGCCATCGTTCTCCCCCAGGAGATGGTCTATCAGCTGATTGGTCAGCAGTTCATCTTTGGCCTGACCAACCTGTTTAATAAGAGAGAAAAACCCAGCAAATTCAGCATCTTAAACCGAGCAAGAGTGGAGAAAAAGACAATCTTCTGCTTAGGGAGATGGAATAAAAAACATTAATAGTATCTATAGTAAAGTGCCTGAAATATGACATAGGATCAGGGCCTTTCTTCATTTGTTGCTAGAGTCTCCATTAATAAAAATCCATCCTTAGAAGCTTTTTCTTAGCTGCTGTATCAAAATACCATATTTTCTTTCACATGCACAGAGAATGTACTTCTTGGATTTTTTTTTTTTTTTTTTTTTTGAGACAGAGTCTTGCTCTGTCACCAGGCTGGAGTGCAGTGGCATGATCTTGGCTCACTGCAATCTCCGCCTCCCCGGTTCAAGTGATTCTCCTGCCTCAGCCTCTCGAGTAGCTGGGACTATAGGCATGCACCACCACACCCAGCTAATTTTTGTAGTTTTAGTAGAGACGGGGTTTCACCATGTTGGCCACGATGGTCTCGATCTCCTGACCTTGTGATCTGCTCGCCTCAGCCTCCCAAAGTGCTGAGATTACAGGCATGAGCCACTGTGCCTGGCCCTTGGATGTTTTAATAAAAACTTTCTTAAATGACTATGACACCTTGAGGACAGCATCTTAAGCACAAGCACTGACACAACGGTATCATTCCAGGGGCCCTCCTCTGCAGCGGCTCCCTGAGGAAATGTACTTGCGCATGACTACATGTCATTGAAAGTGTAAAGAAGTGAGGGTCCCAGCCAGGGGAGCCTGGACAAGAGCAAGCAGCTGAAACATGGGTGGGGTTCTGGAGGGAAGGCTGGCTTAGAAATCTTTACTTAAAAGTCATCTCCAGGCCAGGCACGGTGGCTCATGCCTGTAATCCCAGCACTTTGGGAGGCTGAGGTGGGTGGATCACTTGAGGCCAGGAGTTCAAGACCAGCCTGGCCAACATGACGAGATCCTATCTCTCCTAAAAATACAAAAATTAGCTGGGTGTGGTAGTGCGTGCCTGTAATCTCAGCTACTCGGGAGGCTGAGGCATGAGAATCGGCTTGAACCTGGGAGGCAAAGGTTGCAGTGAGCCGACATCCCGTCCCTGCACTCCGGCCTGGGCGACAGCGTGAGACTTTGTCTCAAAAAAAAAAAAAACGTCATCTCCATAAAGGCGAGTTAAATCACTGAAGTATTGGGTGGTGTTGAGCAGGAAAAATAATGTACCACATTGCAGGATGGGCATGTATGAGTTTAATAGGAACAGAATGTGTGAGGTCAGGAATTTAGGGGAGGCACTAGGGAATTACTGACAAAATTAGGAGGCTTCAGAATTGTGTGTCTATTAAAAAGGGGTGAGCCAAAAACACACCTGGAGCTCAGCTTAGGGGAAGGAACACTGAACAGTCTTGTCATGGTAATGACATTACAATGAGAAAAGCCACTGGAAAATGGAGGAGATGATCACTGGGGACTCAGCCACACATGGCCTTGCTTGCTACACCTCAGGGGAGGTATGAGGACAAGTCTGCAAGTTATCTGTCTGGCAGAGGAAGGATGCAATCAGTAGACTTGAGTAATAAAGAGATGACCCTGAACCTGCAGGTGCAGAGGCTCTCAGGCTGCAGGATTTCTGCACACTGCCCTGCCTGTGGTCATCGTCAGGGGAAAAAGCTAGGCTTTCACCAATCTGTGTCACCTCTGCTCTTGCCACTTCGGTAAAGCAGGGACGTTGGTACATAAATGAGAGCTTGTTCTCTTGATGGCTTCTGTGGATGGCTTTGGGTGAATAAGCCAGGACAGAGAAATGGTTAAAGCAAAGGCTCTGGAGCCAGCCTGCTGGAGGTCAATTTAGTGACACTACTTGAGACCCATGTGATCGTGGGCAGATTACTCTTGGGGCCTCAATATGGGCAATAATAGCACCTAACTCACAGAACTGTTGTGAGGATTAAATAAGTCAATACATGTACAGGGCTTGGACAGGTGCCAAGTAGACAGGACTGTCAAATACAGACAATAAAAATACAGGATTCCCAGTTAAATTTAAATTTCAGAGAAGCAATAAGTAATTTTCACTATTACATATGCAAAATGTGGCTACTCCACTGCTAGGGTCAGCACTCAGTAGGTGTCCCTATTTTTTTTTTTTTTTTAGATGGAGTTTCGCTCTTGTTGCCCAGGCTGGAGTGCAATGGCATGATCTTGGCTCACCGCAACCTCCACCTCCCGGGTTCAAGTGATTCTCCTGCCTCAGCCTCCCGAGTAGCTGGGATTACAGGCATATGCCACCACTCCCGGCTAATTTTACATTTTTAGTAGAGATGGGGTTTCTCCATATTGGTAAGGCTGGTCTCGAACTTCTGACCTCAGGTGATCCGCCCACCTCAGCCTCCCAAAGTGCTGGGATTACAGGTGTGAGCCACCATGCCCGGCTGTCCCTATTGCTTTTATCACCAGCAATAATGGCAGCTGCCCCCAGGGAGAGTGGAGCACACTTGAAGTGTCAGGACAGACAGGCAGACAGGAGAGCCAGCAGGGAATAGATGTGGCCAGGCAAAGGCAACTCACGGCAGGGTGCGGATGGAATGCTGAGGGGCACTGGCATTGAAGGGGCAGAGGGGCCAGGGAAGGAGGCTGAGAAGGGACCATCTGAGAAGGAAGTGGAGAACAGAAGATGCAGTGTTCTGAGGGGAAAAATGTCCAGAAAGACGTAGTATAATAGGGTAAAATGTGACCGTAACATGGAGTAGGGTGAAGACTGAGACGAGACTTCTATATTTAGCAAGTGAGAGATCTGTGGGGACCTTTTCAAGCAAGTTCATGGAGTGGGGAAGGCAGAAGCTGAGTGCAAGGAGGTAAGGAGGACTCTCCCAACTCACCTGAGGGACACCAGTGAGCCCCACCTTCCCCATCATCTCCCAGTGAGGGGCCTCGTACTTCCCTTCCCCCTCCATAAACCAAGGAGGCATTTCAGAGCCTTGAGGTGTTGAGGATTGGGGGTGGGTGGGCGTGGGTGAAGCACAAGCATTTTGACGATGTACCCAGTAACTCAGGGGTGTGGCTTCTGGCTGCGAATCACCAGGTGAAAGAGCACACAGATTGTGAGAAAATGCAAGTCACGAGTAAAAGTGATTTTTTTTTTCCCCAGGGGAAGGTCCCCAAGAAAGAAAGAAATGGAGGATTGGGAAGGAAACTTGTATCATCTGTTTTCACTGAGCTGGGGACCAACATGTGCTCAATTCAACAAATACTGAGTGACTGCCATGTGCTAAACACTCTCTTGAAGAGATGGGTTCCGGACCTTGAGGAACTTGTAAATCTGAAGGGACTTACTATAGCAATAAGTGACATTCAAAGTGCTTAGACCATTCTAGGGAGGGTGAAATTTCATCCCGAGGACAGTTTAGGAAAGGCTTATTGGGTAGGGGTATGAGATGCAGAGGTGCAGCGGGAGGGGTGTTTTAGGTGTAAGGAGCAAGAGTGAAGGAACGAAGGAAGCGGAGCCCTGAACTATTCAAATAAAAGAGGGCAGTTTAAGGCTGGGCACTGTGCTCACACATGTAATCACAGCACTTTGGGAGGCTAAGGTGGAAGGATCACTTGAGCTTAGGAGTTCAAGACCAGCCAAGGCAACATAGCAAAAACCCATCTCTACAAAAATAAAAAATTGGCCGGGTGCGGTGGCATGTCTGTAGTCCCAGCTACTTGGGAGGCTAAGGTGGGAGAATTGCTTGAACCCAGGAGGTCGAGGCTGCAGTGAGCTCTGATTGTGCCACCTGGGCAACAGAGAGAGACCCTGTCTCAAAACGGGGGGAAAAAAGTGGCCAATTTAGTTGTAGCACAGGCTGCTGACCTAAGAGGAGTGTAAGAGGTAAGTGGGAAGGAAAGGAAGCTTTGGTTTTAGTCCCAGATCAATTACTTTCTATCTGGGTGTCTGTAGGTTAGTCATATCATCTTCTGGCACCTCAGTTTCCCCATCAGTAAAGTGAAGAAGGTTAGACTGGTTCACTTCCAGGTATTTCTAATATTTTATGATCCATGAAGGATAATTTGGGAATGAATTGTGGAGGCAATGGGGAGCCACTATAGGTTTTGCAGCTTGAGAATAAAATGACTTGCAGCTGCACTTGAAAAAAAATCCAGTAGTAAAATTCAGAATGGACTTGTCTGAATGAAGTAATCCCAGCAATAAGTACAAATATGTTGGTTTCACTCACTACATGTCCTTGGCCTTAATAAAATTTAACAAAGTCCATTAGAAACACAACAATGAGAAAGTACTGTGGGATTACAGAATACTAATGAAAGGAGAGAAATTTGACAGCTGCAAGGGACATCCATAATTTTGTCTAATATTCATTCCTTCAGCTCTTCTGAGAGATGCTTCTACTTCACTTCAACCATGGAGTTCTAGTGGAAATTCCATGTCTTAACAGACCCCATCTCCATGGCTACTGAACTTTGTCTAGTGGTGGGAATTTGACCCAATTTGCCCAGGCATGATATTCCATCCCTGTGGCCACCAGTTGATTAAACCTGCAATGGACACTTGAACTACCCAAATCAGAGCCCTTCTGGACTTATTAATTAAAGGCAAGTCGTCTTCTTCTTCTTCCAATGTGGCCTAGGGAAGTCAAAAGATTGGACACCCCAATCTAAGTAATAATCATCAATGGTTGCTGAGATCATTAGGTGAAAAGTTGATGGGAAAGCTTATCATAGATTGATCAGGCTGACCACACCTACACCCAATAATCAATCTTAACACCATAAAAAGAGAGACCAGGCCGGGCGCGGTGGCTCACGCCTGTAATCCCAACACTTTGGGAGGCCAAGGTGGGTGGATCACCGGAGGTCAGGAGTTTGAGAACAGCCTGGCCAACATGCTAAAACATCCGTCTCTACTAAAAAATAGAAAAAAAAAAAAAAAAATAGCCGCGTGTGGTGGTGGGCAACTCAAGGGGCTGAGGCAGGAGAATCACTTGAAC
Organism: Homo sapiens; assembly: GCF_000001405.40. Taxonomy (NCBI): domain Eukaryota; kingdom Metazoa; phylum Chordata; class Mammalia; order Primates; family Hominidae; genus Homo; species Homo sapiens. The sequence goes on along the minus strand of NC_000004.12, from coordinate 39,261,088 downwards.
CCAGGAGGTGGAGTTTGCAGTGAGCCAAGATCGTGCCACTGCACTCCAGCCTGTGCGACAAAAAACAACAACAACGAAACAACAAAAAAGAGACCAAAAAAATATGGGCTATTATGAACTGTTTGTGTCCCCCTACATCCCCCAAATTCATCTGTTAAAGCCCCAATCTTCATGTAATGATACTTGGAAATGGAGCATCTGGGAGGTAATTAGGGTTAGATTGTAGCCTTAAGAGGAAGGGAGAGAAATCTCTCTCCTTGCATACATGTACAGGAAAGGCCACGTGTGGACACAGTGAGAAGGCTGCTGTCTGCAAGTCAGGAAGAGAGCCCTCATCAGGAACCAAATTACTGGCACCTTGATCTTGGACTTCCCAAACTCCAGAAGTCAACCAGACTATGGTATTTTGTTATGGCAGCCCAAGTTGATTTAAGATATGGCCCTACTAGGCTGGGTGTGGTGGCTCATGCCTTTAATCCCAGCACTTTGGGAGGCCAAGGCAGGCAGATCATTTGATGTAAGGAGTTGGAGACCAGCCTGACCAACATGGTGAAACCCTGTCTCTACTAAAAGTACAAAAAAATTAGCTGGGTATGGTAGCACACACCTGTAATCTCAGCTACTGCTGGAGGCCGAGGCAGGAGAATCACTTGAACCCAGGAGGCAGAGGTTGCAGTGAGCTGAGATCGCACCACTGAACTCCAGCCTGGGTGACAAAGTGAGACTCTGTCTCAAAAAAAAAAAAAAAGAAAAAAAAAAAAGATGTGGCCCTACTGCTGTGATGAGAATAGGAAGTACACGGTACCATCTATGAAGTTGTTTTTACAGAAATATCATCCATATCTGATCAAGTATCTAGATTTAACTACTAGTTAGTGGGAAATACAGGGAAATTATACCACAAGGATGTAATTAGCTAAATCAAAATGTCAGAAATTCCTCAGGATAAATGACCCATTTTCTTAACAAATAAATAGCAAGTATGCGTGTGGGGGCGGTGTTTAGGAGATATAGAGTTGAAGAGAGAGAGAGAGAGAAGGAGAGAATAAGGGAGGGGAAGGGAGATGAAAAGAGACTTAAGGCCCATATAAACTAAATGTAATACATGAGCCTTGTCTTGATACTGAGGTGAACTAAAAACTGTATGAAAGCATTTATGCAAGAGTTGAAGAAATTCAAACCCTAACTAGATAGCTGACAATATCAAGGAATTGTTGTTAGAAAAACTGGAACCCTCACACAGTGCCTGTTGGAATGTAAGTGGTCAGCTGCTTCAGGAAACAGTTGGACAGTTTCTCAGAATGTTAAACACAGAGTTTACATATGGCCTAGAAATTCCACTCCTGAGTAATACACTTAAGAGAAATGAAAACTCACACACAAATGTTAATAGCAGTATTACTCATAATAGCCAAAAAGAAGAAACAACAAATGCCCACCAACTGATGAATAAACAATGTGTGGTATATTCATACGATGGAATATTATTCAGCCATAAGAAGGCATGAATTCTTGACACATGCTACAACATGGAAGAGCCTTGAAAACATGACGCTAAATGAGAGAAGCAGGCACAAAAGGCCACATATTATATGGTTCCATTTATATAAAATGTCTAGGATAGGCAAATCCACAGAAACAGAAAGATTATAATATATAATACATATAGTAATCAAGACAATGGCGTATTGGTACAAGGACAGACGACTAAAGCAATGGAAAAGACTAGAGGATCCCAAACCAGATTCATACCACATGGTAATTTCATTTATGACAAATGCTCTGTGGCAATTCTGTGGTGGAAAGGATAGTATTTTGATAAATGGTGCTAGGTCAACAGGATATCCACACTGAGAAGAAATATCCTTGACCCCTACCTTACACCATATACCTAATTAACTCGGGATGGGCATAAGCCTAAATGAGACAGATAGAACAAACTACTAGAAGAAAACGTAAGGGAAATATTTTCATGATCATGGGATAGGCAGAGATTTCTTTTCTGTTTTTTTTCTTTTTTGAGATGGAGTTTCATTCTTGTTGCCCAGGCTGGAGTGCAATGGCACAGTCTCGGCCCACTACAACCTCTGCCACCTGGGTTCAAGTGATTCTCCTGCCTCAGCCTCTGAAGTACCTGGGATTACAGGTGCCCGCCACTATGTCCAGCTAATTTTTGTATTTTTAGTAGAGATGGGGTTTCACCATGTTGGCCAGGCTGGTCTTGAAGTCCTGACCTCAAGTGATCCACTGCACCCAGCTTAAAATTTCTTAATGGGACCAAAAAGCACTAACTATAAAAGATTCATGAGTTGGACTTTATTAAAAGTTAAGAATTTATGTTCGTCAAGAGAATAAAAAGGCAAGCCATGCCTTTGAAGATTTTTGCAACATATATCTGACAAAAAGACCTGTATTTAGAATACTATGACCTAATAATTCTACTCCTGGATATATACCCAATAAAACTGAGGGTTTTTGTTCACCAAAAGACATGAACAGCTTTAGTGCAGCTTTATTCCTAATATGCCCAAACTGGAGACAACTCAAAAGTCCATTAACGGAGTAAGGGGTAAATAAATTGTAGTACAGTCATATAGTAGAATACTACACAGCAATGAAGAAGAATGACCTATTGCTGGGCTGGGTGCAGTGGCTCACACCTGTAATCCCAGCACTTTGGGAGGCTGACGTGGGCAGATCACGAGGTCAGGAGTTCGAGACCAGCCTGGCCAACATGGTGAAACCCCGTCTCTACTAAAAATACAAAAATTAGCTGGGCAAGGTGGCAGGCACAGGTAATCCCAGCTACTTGGGAGGCTGAGACAGAAGAATCGCTTGAAACTGGAAGGCGGAGGTTGCAGTGAGCCGAGATTGCACCACTGCACTCCAGCCTGGGCAAAAGAGCGAAACTCTGTCTCAAAAAAAAAAGAATGACTTACTGCTATGTGCAATAACACAAACGGACACATTTGCATACATAATGCTGACTGAAACTGGACATAAGAGGACACATGTGTGATTCTGTTTCTATGAAGTTTATACACAGGCAAAACAAATCTATAAGAATATAAGTCAGAATTGTGGTTACCTTTGGTGGGGGATATTGACTGGGGGGTGACATGTGGAGACTTTTGGGAGCTGGAAATGTTCTATATCTTGATCTGGGTGGGGGGTACACAGGTATGCATAGAGGAAAAAACTAATCGAGTTGTACACTTAGGATTTGTGAACTTTACTGTATGCAAGTTACACCTAAAAGAAAATCCAAAGGTTCTTATCTTTTAGACACTGATATTGTATCCACAAGTGAAATGATATGGTGACTGTGATTTACTTAAAAAAAAAACCGGGGAAAGAGGGTGAGGGTATGAAAAAAATGAGGCTGTCTATGTATTGACAGCTGTTGAAGTTACACGATAGGTATGTAGGGGTTTGTAATACTGTTTGGTCTACTTCTGCATATATTTAAAATTTTTTTCAAGAAGTTTTTTAAAAAATTGGCATTATTGAAAGTTTCATTGAAAGCGTACTTACAGTTTCAATTGCCATTTCTATTGCCACATTATCTTCCGAGCTTGGGCATTTCAGGAAGTGTTTAAGTGCCTGAAAAGCGAATTACAGCAATTAAAAATTTTCAGAATGTTTTCACATTAGGGAAAACAAAGCTTTCACACAGCTTTAACACAAAGTAATTACAGTCTGTGAAAGTATCTTCATCTCAACCAGGGGCTTGCATGGTGTTGGATCTTAAATATGTCCTTAAAAGCTGGATATAGTTTAAAAAATGGAAGGACCCAGTTAACCCTCTGAAGAATCTAGTCCTGATGAAATGAAAAGGCAAAATGTGCCCTTTTCAGTAGGAAGATTTAATTATTTTCATTCATTTATTCTTTCAACAAATAGTTACTGACAACCTGCTACTATGTGTGTGGGACTTCGCTAGATCCCATGGAGAATACCAGGAATGGTATGGCACGGCCCCTATTTTCTGTGTTATGTACAGTCTTGCTAAGAAGATCTGTGTGATATGATGATAATATGAGACCGATTATTTTAAGTTATAATTGTCTAATTCCTGAACACCGTAACACCACACTTAGGAAGAAATTTACAACTATAAAAAGACAAATGGACTGGATTGTTAGTGTTTTTTTTTAATAGGTGCTCTGAGGAAGAAAAGATGGTTTTGCATGGAGATGATCCTGAAGGTGTCACTTGAAGGACAAATAGGTTTGTGGTAGGTGGTGTAGAGAGCAGAGAGGAACCCAGATGGAGAACAGGATGGATGAAGGCCTGGCTGTTAGAGGAGTGTGGGACTCTTCCATGGAAACAGCTGGGTGCCAGATTAGGGAGTTCTGGCTGGTTGGTCAAACTATGGAAATTTCTCTTAAGTGCCAGCTAAGGAGTTTGGACTTTATCTAAGAGGCCAGCAACAACAAGTTGGTGGTGGCCTGTAGGCTGAATTCACACACAGACATGTTTTTTTTGGCCAGTGAGGTATTCTATAAATATTGGGGCACATATTTCAAAACTGGCAGCCCCAAGCTTCCGTTTCTCTTGAAAAAATCGTATGATCTGGCACTACAGGGCCTGGATTCCTAAATGACAACAACTTTATGGAGGTGAGAAACAGCTGGCTTCTTAAGACATGTGCCATTCAGTAGTCCCTACCCTGTCACATGAACAAAGCGCAGCTTTACCCCATAGCTTCACTTATGATGTCCCTTCTTTGGACACTGTAACCCCTGCCTTAGGCCAAGGGGCTCTGTAACAGTGAAAGCAACTATTATTTGGGGAACAAAGTGAAGGATGACAAACTCTAAAGGCGGACAAACTAAAAACAGGAAAAATAAGAAACTACTGCAATAATCAGAAGCAAGGTCATCTGGGCCTGGATTGAGCTGACAGTAGTTAGAATGAAAGTGACAGATGTGAGAGGTATTACGAAGGAAGGTTGTGACTGGGTGTGGGAGGGAGAGGAATATTTCAGAGTTAGCTCTGAGATTTCAAATCTGAGTGGGAGTTACTGGCATTTACATATATTTCCTACAATTATTCCTGGCATTTACGTATATTTCCTACAATTATTCCTGCGGAGTCAGTGTATATTTTCTTGGCAAATACTAACTCGTGAATATTGGCCACACAGCAAGAAGAATTTTCCAGCCTGAAGATATCTCTTTTCTCCTTCAAAGTATAAGGCAATGCTTTGATAGTCTTCATTAGTAGTGTCTTCAGAACCTGTAACAGAAGTTTACTGAGTAAAATATCTGAGCAAAATTTGTTTACCTTTTATTGCTAACCTGAAAATAAAATCTAAAAATAGGTGATTAAAAACTCTTAACAGCAAACATCAATGTAATTATTAATGTCTGTTTTCATCACAAAACATACTTATCACAATTACTCCAAATAGTAACTCTGTTCCATCTTTTTTTTTTAACTCTAAATGTGAACCAGGAGAGGAAATTACAAGGTTTTTGTTAGTAATACAAATGGAATGCATACCTCTCAGCAATGCCTGGTTTAAACAATAGTCTGTATATTTGTCAGACAAGTAGGGAAGATGACATTCAAGTAGCCAGTAGATGCTGGTTAAAGATATGACTGTCTTTCCTTTGGCTTGGGGCTTAAATATATTAAGCATAGAGGAAGAAGGACCCCAAAAGCTACTGGAATTCCAACTCATTGTTTACATTTACCCGTGGGAGTTGGGGCCCAATAGAATACTAAAGTATAACAACCATGCTGCGCCTCCAGCTGGAGGAAGAGGGAGTTTATAAGAGAAAGGCATAAAGCAAAGTGGGGAAAAGTATGTGTGTGTTTTGAAGGTGGGAGGAGGCCCACACACCCCCCACCAATATACACATCTTATATAAGACAAACCATATTCTTACAAACTTAGAAAAACTGCTTTAGTGAAATGGTGGTAGTAATGTTAGGACAGAAATGTCATCTGTCAAGTTAAACATTGGCAATTCTAAAGTTGCCTATCTGTACTCCTTTTCTTTTTTTTAACTCTGTTTTCTCTAATTATCTTAATAACTTTGCAAGAAGTCATTTGGGAAGCCAAAGCATCCCAAGAAGCTTTTACCTAATTAATTTGTTTCCTTGAAGACTGAAATAAATATTTTCTTGTGAATCCTAACATCAATTCTTATGGTCATTTCGTGGATTTTAAAAAACAGAATAACACAAAAAGAACAAATATTTTATGATTCCACTTATACGAGGTACCATGAATAGTCAAATTCACAGATACAGAAAGTAAAATCATGGTTACCAGGGTCTGGGGGAAAGAGGGCAATGGGGAATTATTATTTAACGGGTACAGGGACAGTCTGGGATGATGAAAAAGTTCTAGAGATGGACAGTGGTGATGGCCGCATAACAACGTGAATGAATGTACCAAATTATACACTTTTAAATGGAAATTTTATATTATATATATTTTAGCACAATAAGAAAACAAAACAAAACACAAATAACATTATGTATGGTCCATGAAATGAAAATCTGAAAATTATTTCAGTAGTTTCTAAAAATAATTGCAAACATGAGAAGAAAACCTCTAAACAGGCATTCTCAGAATATCAAATTATCCTTTGGACTGTCCAAATCTTTGAAAAACACATCTTGTGTATATCACTGTTCACCAAAGTAAGCATTTTTCTTAATTTGTAACTCAATTTTTTAATGAAAATATTTACATTTTCAAAAATCATCTTGCATTTCCTATCACCTTCATTTTGAAATCTTTGATTTACTACTGGCTGATAAATAGCAGGATTTGGGAAATCTAGCCTCTCTTGGAATTCACACAGAAAAACCCTTAATTTTTGAAAATAGTCCTTTTTAATAATACCATCTCACCTTGAAGTAGCAGGGATCTTCAAATCCAACACATAACATAGATACATGTGTGTCTATGTATAAATGGTAAACATTTACACCAGGCGCATTCTTGTATGTATACCAATCTGATAATTAGATCATAAGAGACAAAGTGTTTTTATGATAAACATCTTGAAGAGAACCAGGGAAAAAATGATATTTACCAATAATATCTGCATAGATTTCCATTTTGTTGTGTTGCTGAGCCAGTGTGAAAGCTTCATTGTTGCATTTGGACATGACAAGAAACTGGATGGCAGACCCATAGTCACCAAGCTGTAGAAAAAACCTAAAGCAAAGTACTTTAATTAGCTAGACTCTTAATATAAATTTGTGATTTACAAAATTTTTCAACCAGGAGAAACCATTTAAAAATCAAAATTTTTAGATAAATTGCAGTTCTTTTTTTTTTTTTTGAGATGGAGTCACACTCTGTCACCCAGGCAGGAGTGCAGTGGTGCAATCTCAGCTCACTGCAGCCTCCGCCTCCTGGGTTCAAGCGACTTTCCTGCCTCAGCCTCCCAAGTAGCTGGAACTACAGGCATGCACCACCACACCCAGCTAATCTTTTGTATTTTCAGTAGAGATGGGGTTTCACCATGTTGGCCAGGCTGGTCTCAAACTCCTGACCTCAGGTGATCCACCTGCCTCAGCCTCCCAAAGTGCTGGGATTACAGGTGTGAGCCACCATGCCCAGCATGCAGTTCTATATTATATGCTTACACTTGAAAGACATACTCTTGTCTGCTGACCACGACAGCCTTTGAATTTAAACGCTTAGACCTGATAAAAAAATAAAGACTAAATATTCCTTTTGAATTAATATATTTGATGATAGAAGGCAGAGGCTTACTTTTATGGTTAGTTTTTGAAAGTCCAAAAATATTAATGTATTATGTTACCTGGCTACCATTTTGGCTCCATCCAGAGACTGGGTCTCTCTAACAATATTGACAGCTTTTTCAGGATTATTGAGGTGATCCAGATAGATGCGGATTACACTTTGCCACTGTTTTGCATTTTCATAAGCTACAACAGCTTCTTTGTATCTGTAAAAAAATAGCTCAGATAAACTTTTTTTAACACTGTCAATTTGGGGAGAAAATGTTGATAAATGTTTAGGACACTTTTAAATTTTATTGATGGTGACTGCTTATTTTTCCTGAACTTCTTTTTCCTTTATCAGAAAAATACCAGGAACCATCCCACTAAAATGTTCTGTTTAGGAATTTGATAAATGAACAGTAAAATATCAATATTAAATTGTATTTTCCCATCTGAATCAAAGCTATATATTTTTAAACATTTTACTGTTTTTTTCCTTTTAAGTAGGAAGATTATAATAGTAATATAGAAAATGTAGATTTTTTTCACAATTATAGATACAGCTTAATGTTGATATATAAAACCTTTATATATCCTTAGTCACAAAGCTCAAACTTTAGTGTTGACCTCTAGATAGAGCTCAGGACCCCTCTTCAGTTCCTGACCAGCTCTCAGCTCCATTTCAACAAGACATTCAGTGTATATCTCTATTTCCTAAGGTTACTTTTCTAAAAGTATTTAAAAGGGTATTAAATCTCCTTTAAAAGTTCCTTAATAGATATTTCTAAGTTAATTTCCAGAGGCTATAGAAAGTTACACTTCTTTAAAAAATTTTTTAATTTTTTTTTATTATTTTTTATTATTATACTTTAAGTTTTAGGGTACATGTGCACAACGTGCAGGTTTGTTATCTATGTATACATGTGCCATGTTGGTGTGCTGCACCCATTAACTCGTCATTTAGCATTAGGTATATCACCTAATGCTATCCCTCCCCCCTCCCCCCACCCCACAACAGGCCCTGGTGTGTGATGTTCCCCTTCCTGTGTCTATGTGTTCTCATTGTTCAACTCCCACCTATGAGTGAGAACATGAGGTATTTGGTTTTTTGTCCTTGCAATAGTTTGCTGAGAATGATGGTTTCCAGCTTCATCCATGTCCCTACAAAGGACATGAACTCATCATTTTTTATGGCTGCATAGTATTCCATGATGTATATGTGCCACATTTTCTTAATCCAGTCTATCATTGTTGGACATTTGGGTTGGTTCCAAGTCTTTGCTATTGTGAATAGTGCCACAATAAACATACGTGTGCATGTGTCTTCATAGCAGCATGATTTATAATCCTTTGCGTATATACCTAGTAATGGGATGGCTGGGTCAAATGGTGTTTCTAGTTCTAGATCCCTGAGGAATCACCACACCGACTTCCACAATGATTGAACTAGTTTACAGTCCCACCAACAGTGTAAAGGTGTTCCTATTTCTCCACATCGTCTCCAGCACCTGTTGTTTCCTGACTTTTTAATGATCGCCATTCTAACTGGTGTGAGATGGTATCTCATTGTGGTTTTGATTTGCATTTCTCTGATGGCCAGTGATGATGAGCATTTTTTCATGTGTTTTTTGGCTGCATAAATGTCTTCTTTTGAGAAGTGTCTGTTTATATCCTTCACCCACTTTTTGATGGGGTTGTTTTTTTCTTGTAAATTTGTTTGAGTTCTTTGTAGATTCTGGATATTAGCCCTTTGTCAGATGAGTAGGTTGCAAAAATTTTCTCCCATTCTGTAGGTTGCCTGTTCACTCTGATGTTGGTTTCTTTTGCTGTGCAGAAGCTCTTTAGTTTAATTAGATCCCATTTGTCAATTTTGGCTTTTGTTGCCATTGCTTTTGGTGTTTTAGACATGAAGTCCTTGCCCATGCCTATGTCCTGAATGGTATTGCCTAGGTTTTCTTCTAGGGTTTTTATGGTTTTAGGTCTAACATGTAAGTCTTTAATTCATCTTGAATTAATTTTTGTATAAGGTGTAAGGGGAAGGGATCCAGTTTCAGCTTTCTCCATATGGCTAGCCAGTTTTCCCAGCACCATTTATTAAATAGGGAATCCTTTCCCCATTGCTTGTTTTTGTCAGGTTTGTCAAAGATCAGATAGTTGTAGATATGCAGCATTATTTCTGAGGGCTCTGTTCTGTTCCATTGATCTATATCTCTGTTTTGGTACCAGTACCACGCTGTTTTGGTTACTGTAGCCTTGTAGTATAGTTTGAAGTCAGGTAGTGTGATGCCTCCAGCTTTGTTCTTTTGGCTTAGGATTGACTTGGCGATGCAAGCTCTTTTTTGGTTCCATATGAACTTTAAAGTAGTTTTTTCCAAGTCTGTGAAGAAAGTCATTGGTAGCTTGATGGGGATGGCATTGAATCTATAAATTACCTTCGGCAGTATGGCCATTTTTCACGATATTGATTCTTCCTACCCATGAGCATGGAATGTTCTTTCATTTCTTTGTATCCTCTTTTATTTCACTGAGCAGTGGTTTGTAGTTCTCCTTGAAGAGGTCCTTCACATCCCTTGTAAGTTGCATTCCTAGGTATTTTATTCTCTTTGAAGCAACTGTGAATGGGAGTTCACTCATGATTTGGCTCTCTGTTTGTCTGTTATTGGTGTATAAGAATGCTTGTGATTTTGGCACATTGATTTTGTATCCTGAGACTTTGCTCAAGTTGCTTATCAGCTTAAGGAGATTTCGGGCTGAGACGATGGGGTTTTCTAGATATACAATCATGTGATCTGCAAACAGGGACAATTTGACTTCCTCTTTTCCTAATTGAATGCCCTTTATTTCCTTCTCCTGCCTAATTGCCCTGGCCAGAACTTCCAACACTATGTTGAATAGGAGTGGTGAGAGAGGGCATCCCTGTCTTTTGACGGTTTTCAAAGGGAATGCTTCCAGTTTTTGTCCGTTCAGTATGATATTGGCTGTGGGTTGGTCATAGATAGCTCTTATTATTTTGAGATACGTCTCATCAATACCTAAATTATTGAGAGCTTTTAGCATGAAGCGTTGTTGAATTTTGTCAAAGGCCTTTTCTGCATCTGTTGAGATAGTCATGTGGTTTTTGTCTTTGGTTCTGTTTATATGCTGGATTACATTTATTGATTTTCGTATGTTGAACCAGCCTTGCATCCCAGGGATGAAGCCCACTTGAAGCCCACTTGATCATGGGGGATAAGCTTTTTGATGTGTTGCTGGATTCGGTTTGCCAGTATTTTATTGAGGATTTTTGCATCGATGTTCATCAAGGATATTGGTCTAAAATTCTCTTTTTTCGTTGTGTCTCTGCCAGGCTTTGGTATCAGGATGATGCTGGCCTCATAAAATGAGTTAGGGAGGATTCTCTCTTTTTCTATTGATTGGAATAGTTTCAGAAGGAATGGTACCAGCTCCTCCTTGTACCTCTGGTAGAATTTGGCTGTGAATCCATCTGGTCCTGGACTTTTTTTGGTTGGTAAGCTATTAATTATTGCCTCAATTTCAGAGCCTGTTATTGGTCTATTCAGAGATTCAACTTCTTCCTGATTTAGTCTTGGGGGAGTGTATGTGTCGAGGAATTTATCCATTTCTTCTAGATTTTCTAGTTTATTTGTGTAAAGGTGTTTATAGTATTCTCTGATGGCAGTTTGTATGTCTGTGGGATCGGTGGTGATATCCCCTTTGTCATTTTTTATTGCGTCTATTTGATTCTTCTCTCTTTTGTTCTTTATTAGCCTTGCTAGTGGTCTATCAATTTTGTTGATCTTTTCAAAAAACGAGCTCCTGGATTCATTGATTTTTTGAAGGGTTTTTTGTGTCTCTATCTCCTTCAGTTCTGCTCTGATCTTAGTTATTTCTTGCCTTCTGCTAGCTTTTGAATGTGTTTGCTCTTGCTTCTCTAGTTCTTTTAATTGTGATGTTAGGGTGTCAGTTTTAGATCTTTCCTGCTTTCTCTTGTGGGCATTTAGTGCTATAAATTTCCCTCTACACACTGCTTTGAATGTGTCCCAGAGATTCTGGTATGTTGTGTCTTTGTTCTCGTTGGTTTCAAAGAACATCTTTATTTCTGCCTTCATTTCCTTATGTACCCAGTAGTCATTCAGGAGCAGGTTGTTCAGTTTCCATGTAGTTGAGCGGTTTTGAGTGAGTTTCTTAATCCTGAGTTCTAGTTTGATTGCACTGTGGTCTGAGAGACAGTTTGTTATAATTTCTGTTCTTTTACATTTGCTGAGGAGTGCTTTACTTCCAACTATGTGGTCAATTTTGGAATAGTTGCTGAAAAGAACGTATATTCTGTTGATTTGGGGTGGAGAGTTCTGTAGATGTCTATTAGGTCTGCTTGGTGCAGAGCTGAGTTCAATTCCTGGATATCCTTGTTAACTTTCTGTCTCGTTGATCTGTCTAATGTTGACAGTGGGGTGTTAAAGTCTCCCATTATTATTGTGTGGGAGTCTAAGTCTCTTTGTAGGTCAGTAAGGACTTGCTTTATGAATCTGGGTGCTCCTGTATTGGCTGCATATATATTTAGGATAGTTAGTTCTTCTTGTTGAATTGATCCCTTTACCATTATGTAATGGCCTTCTTTGTCTCTTTTGATCTTTGTTGGTTTGAAGTCTGTTTTATCCGAGACTAGGATTGCAACCCCTGCCTTTTTTTTGTTTTCCATTTTCTTGGTAGATCTTCCTCCATCCCTTTATTTTGAGCCTATGTGTGTCTCTGCACGTGAGATGGGTCTCCTGAATATAGCACACTGATGGGTCTTGACTCTTTATCCAATTTGCCAGTCTGTGCCTTTTAATTGGAACATTTAGCCCATTTATATTTAAGATTAGTATTGTTATGTGTGAATTTGATCCTGTCATTATGATGTTAGCTGGTTATTTTGCCCATTAGTTGATGCAGTTTCTTCCTAGCCTTGATGGTCTTTACAATTTGGCATGTTTTTGCAGTGGCTGGTACCGGTTCTTCCTTTCCATGTTTAGTGCTTCCTTCAGGAGCTCTTGTAGGGAAGGCCTGGTGGTGACAACATCTCTCAGCATTTGCTTGTCTGTAAAGTATTTTATTTCTCCTTCACTTATGAAGCTTAGTTTGGCTGGATATGAAATTCTGGGTTGAAAATTCTTTTCTTTAAGAATGTTGAATATTGGCCCCCACTCTCTTCTGGCTTGTAGAGTTCCTGCCAAGAGATCAGCTGTTAGTCTGAAGGGCTTCCCTTTGTGGGTAACCCAACCTTTCTCTCTGGCTGCACTTAACATTTTTTCCTTCATTTCAACTGGTGAATCTGACAATTATGTGTCTTGGAGTTGCTCTTCTCGAGGAGTATCTTTGTGGCATTCTCTGTATTTCCTGAATTTGAATGTTGGCCTGCCTTGCTAGATTGGGGAAGTTCTCCTGGATAATATCCTGCAGAGTGTTTTCCAACTTGGTTCCATTCTCCCCGTCACTTTCAGGTATACCAATTAGACGTAGATTTGGTCTTTTCACATAGTCCCATATTTCTTGGAGGCTTTGTTCGTTTCTTTTTATTCTTTTTTCTCTAAACTTCTCTTCACACTTCATTTCATTCATTTCGTCTTCCATCGCTGATACCCTTTCTTCCAGTTGATCACATCGGTTACTGAGGCTTGTGGATTCGTCGCGTAATTCTTGTGCCATGGTTTTCACTCCATCGGGTCCTTTAAGGACTTCTCTGCATTGGTTATTCTAGTTATCCATTCATTTAATTTTTTTTCAAAGTTTTTAACTTCTTTGCCATTGGTTCGAACTTCCTCCTTTAGCTTGGAGTAGTTTGATCTTCTGAAGCCTTCCTCTCTCAACTCGTCAAAGTCATTCTCTGTCCAGCTTTGTTCAGTTGCTGGTGAGGAGCTGCGTTCCTTTGGAGGAGGAGAGGCGCTCTGATTTTTAGAGTTTCCGGTTTTTCTGCTCTGTTTTTTCCCCATCTTTGTGGTTTTATCCACCTTTGGTCTTTGATGATGGTGACTTACAGATGGGTTTTTGGTGTGGATGTCCTTTCTGTTTGTTAGTTTTCCTTCTAACAGTCAGGACCCTCAGCTGCAGGTCTGTTGGAGTTTACTGAAGGTCCACTCCAGACCCTGTTTGCCTGGGTATCAGCAGTGGTGGCTGCAGAACAGTGGATATTGGTGAACCGCAAATGCTGCTGCCTGATTGTTCCTCTGGAAGTTTTGTCTCAGAGGAGTACCCAGCCCCGTGTGAGGTGTCAGTCCGCCCCTACTGGGGGGTGCCTCCCAGTTAGGCTACTCAGGGGTCAGGGACCCACTTGAGGAGGCAGTCTGCCCATTCTCAGATCTCAAGCTGCGTGCTGGGAGAACCACTCCTCTCTTCAAAGCTGTCAGACAGGGACATTTAAGTCTGCAGAGGTTATTGCTGTCTTTTGTTTGTCTGTGCCCTGCCCTCAGAGGTGGAGCCTACAGAGGCAGGCAGGCCTCCTTGAGCTGTGGTGGGCTCCACCCAGTTGGAGCTTCCTGGCCGCTTTGTTTACCTACTCAAGCCTCAGCAATGGCGGGCGCCCGTCCACCAGCCTTTCTGCTGCCTTGCAGTTTGATCTCAGACTGCTGTGCTAGCAATGAGTGAGGCTCCGTGGGTGTAGGACCCTCTGAGTCAGGTGCAGGATATAATCTCCTGGTGTGCCGTTTGATAAGCCCATTGGAAAAGCACAGTATTAGGGTGGGAGTGACCCGATTTTACGGGTGCCGTCTGTCACCCCTTTCTTTGACTAGGAAAGGGAATTCTCTGACCCCTTGTGCTTCCCGGGTGAGGCGATGCCTTGCACTGCTTCGGCTTACACACGGTGCGCTGCACCCACTGTCCTGCACCCACTGTCCAGCACTCCCCAGTGAGATGAACCCGGTACCTCAGTTGGAAATGCAGAAATCACCTGTCTTCTGCGTCGCTCATGCTGGGCGCTATAGACTGGAGCTGTTCCTATTCGGCCATCTTAGCTCCACCCCCCAAATTTTTTATTTTTAAACTTGTTATAGAGAGAGGCTCTCTCTATGTTGCCCAGGCTGTCCTCAAACTCCTGGCCTCAAGTGATCCTCTTGCCTTGGCCTCCCAAAGTGCAGGGATTGCAGGTGTGAGCCACCACGCCCAGCCCAAAAGATACATTTCTATCAGTTGTGTAATATAAGCACATTTTGACAACATGGTTATTAGTTTAAAATAAATATTTCCAAATATGACAAGTTGCCTTAATTTAATTACTATTAGTGAGGTAGAACCTTTTCATGTTTACATCAAATACAATTTCATAATTGTGTTTCCTCCTCTGGCGCTTGTGTTCTTGTCTTTAGCCCATTTTCCTATTAGTGTCTTTGAGTTTCTTGTATTAAGTAGTGGGAGATCTTTGTATGTTTAGGATATTAACTATCCATTGCTATATTTTAACTGTATTACAATAGAGTTATACATTTTTAAATACGGTTAAAATATAGCAATGGATAGTTAAGCAGCTTAAGCAAGCTTAAACAAGCAGCCATATGTGGCTTAAGCAAGCAGCTGTATGTGTGGAATTCATGTTTCTTCACTTTTCTTTTCCCCTGCATCTGTGATTTATAAAATAATAATCCTTCTTAATAAAATAACAATCACTTTATTTTCATGCCATATCAAAATTTCAACTTCCATTATAAAACCCTCAAATAAAAAGAGATAATAGTCTATATTTGAGTATGTAAAGGAAACACTTGAAGTATATGAGGTACAGGAGGATTTTAATAGTCTGGCACTTCAGGCCAACAAGGGGTAATTAAAGGTGTTTTCTGTCTTTCTCTGGTTTGCCTTTCTTACAGGGTTGCAAATATCAATGGTTAATTTGTAAAGCTTACATTACTTTAAATTGGTATAAATTTGAGAAAGTGTACAAACCTTCCATCTGCTTCCTTGGCTTTGGCATACTGCAAATGGATCTTAGGAGAAGAAACGTGGGGCAGAAGATCACCAACTTTTGCCCTGGAAAGGTAGGTCCAGGAGAACAGTATGAGTACTGTGTTCACTCCAAAAGTAGCCTGCTATAACCAAATGTTAGGTTTTAGGATTCAAAAACCAGTTATTACTATCTTTCAAAAATCTTGGCTCCTGGCGGGGTGCAGTGGCCTGTAATCCCAGAACTTTGGAAGGCTGAGGCGGGCAGATCACCTGAGGTCAGGAGTTCAAGACCAGCCTGGCCAACATGGTGAAACCCCACCTCTACTAGAAAAAAAAAAAATACAAAAATTAGCCAGGCATTGTGGCAGCATGCCTGTAATCCCAGCTACTCAGGAGGCTGAGGCAGGAGAATTGCTAGAACCCAGGAGGTGGAGGTTGCAGTGAGCTGAGATCGTGCCAGCTGCACTTCAGCCTGAGCAACAGAGAGAGCTTCTGTCTCAAAAAAAAAAAAAAAGAAAAAAAAAAAAGAAAGAAAATCTTGGCTCCTATAGGTAAAAGCTGATTTAATTGCTTTTACTCCTAACACCCACTTCACTCCCTCCCCTAAAGGTAGGAAAATGGTTAGTCCATTAACTCTTTTAGGACAACAGGGTTTTTGTTTTTTCCTACTAATTTATCTGATTAAGGATTTCTCCACACCAAACCAGGAGAATGTGCTATTCTTTGGAAAAAGAACTATTAATATGAACTTATCTAAGGAGAACAAAAGAGATGAAGGGTAGGTCTAGATAGGGGAACAGAATGGACAGAGAGAAAGCATGGCAAGGAGGCAAGTGGGGAGACCCCAGAGGCACATTCATTTCCAATCCTGTTCAGAAACAAACCGCAGGCAGCTCTTACCAATTCTTAGAGCGGATGTAAACAGATGCTGCTTTATCGTAGTAGAGACCTTTTTCATACAGTTGGGCCGCTTCTGAAAATTGCTAAAATAAGACAGGATTATTAAAATACTAAGTTATTATGTATAAAAGACCACATGTATATTGATGCAGAGAAAAGAGGACCTTCATATTCTCCAATATGGCTCCACAGTCTCTTTTAAGGACCCTGCTGGGATGCTTGAGGGCTTGGTTAACCCCTCGACGTATGTCTCCCATTCTTATGGACATCTGGGCCACTCCAGCCAGACAAGCTTCATCATGTTCCTGCAATCACAAGGCAAACACTAACAAATCAGATTCTAGCTTAACACGATGTGTTTAAGACAGAACAATGAATTTAACTCTAAAATGAGTCCAAAGGTTATGGTTTACTTTTATCTTTTCAGGGAAGCCTCATGATTTTAAAATAACACTTGAGACTTTTTTTTTTAAAAAAACCCAGCTATTACAAAATTATATTTTGTTCTGCGAAAGCCTAGATCAACTTTATGCTTAAGACCAAATTTTTACTATCCCTCATATGTCTTTTTGGTATAAAATTTAATATAAAAAGTAATATACTGGCTATATAGCATAAATGCTATGAATAAAATTAAGAAGAAAACCATTTATCAAATTGAAGATTGCTCTATGAGGCATGATGAAACATAAAAACTTCATTTCGTTAGTAATTGTTAAATTCATTAAAGGTACCAAAGACAGCTAAAGAAACTTATCAAATAACTAATCTCTACTAGTAAGATGTAATGTCAGATTATATTTTATCTAAATCAGCATGTCTAGTAAAACTTTCTGTGATGACAGAAATGATCTGTATCTGCCCTGTCCGATATGGTAGCTACTGGGCATTTGAAATATGGCTGGTGCAACAGAGGAATTGAATTTTAAATTTTATCTAACTTTAAATAATTTAAGTAGACACATGTGGCTAGTGCTTACTGTATTTGACGGTGTAGATAAAGAATGAACTAAAATTGATGTAGCCAGACAAAGAAAATGTCAAAAACCTAAGAGATAAATGAGCAAAGGACATGACCAGACAATTCATTAAAAAATACAAGTGGAAACAAAATACAATTGGCCAATAAATAAATAAAAACACGCTCAACTTCACCAATAATCAAATATACATAAAATAAAATATATTTTTTTGCTTATAAAATTGGTAGAGATAAAACAACTGATAACATTCAGTTTTGCTGAGAATGAAGGGGACACTATCATACATGGAGTGTGTGTGAATTACTACAATTTCTTTTGAACAGCAATTTAGCCATGTCAAAAATGAAAAGTACACTTTGTGACTTATAAGAAAATATTCTTCAGAAATACTATCATAGGTAGCTAAAGATACATGTACTAGGTAGAATATTCATTGCAGTGATTTTAAAAAATGAATTTAATTTTTTAATTTTTACTTTTTAATTTTAAAAAGTTGCTGTTTTTTTAAAGAGACTGGGTCTCATTCTATTGCCTAGGCTGGAGTGCAGTGATGCAATGCTACCATACCCAGCTAATTTTTTATTTTTAAATTTGTAGAGATGGGCCGGGCGCGGTGGCTCAAGCCTATTATCCCAGCACTTTGGGAGGCTGAGGTGGGCGGATCACTTGAGGCCAGGAGTTCAAGACCAGCCTGGCTAACATGGCAAAACCCTGTCTCTACCAAATACAAAAATTAGCCAATCGTGGTGGCCCATGCCTGTAATCCCAGCTATTCAGGAGGCTGAGAGGTACGAGAATCACTTGAACCCAAGAGGTAAAGGTTGCAGTGAGCCAGGATCGCACCACTGCACTCCAGCCTGGGCGACACAGTGAAAGACTATCTCCAAAAGAAAAATAAACAAATAAATTTGTAGAGATGGGGGTCTTGCTTTGTTGTCCAGCTGGTCTTGAACTCCTGGTGTCAAGCATTCCTCCCACCTTGGCCTCCCAAAGTGCTGGTTATCACTAGCATGAGCCATTGTGTCTAGCCTGCAGTATTTTTGATGATAGAAAAAACCCCACAACTATACTTCAGTAAGGTAGTGGATACAAAAAATTATAGTACATCCAAATAATGGAATATTAGAAGCTCTTAAAAGATTAAGACTGGCTGGGTATGGTGGCTCATGCCTGTAATCGCAGTGCTTAGGGAGGCTAAGGCGGGAGGATGGCTTGAGGTCAGGAGTTTGAAGCTTCAGTAAACTACGATTATGCCACTACATTCCAGCCTGGGAAAGAAAGTGAGACAAAAATAAACATAAAAATAAAAATTTTTAATTTTATTATAAAAATAAAAAATTATCTGGGTGTGGTAGCATGTACCAGTAGTCCCAGCTAATAAGGAGGCTGGAGCAGGAGGATCACTTGAGCCCAGGAGTTTGAGGCTGCAGTGAGCTGATTCTTCCACTGCACCCCAGTGTGGGCAACAGAATGAGACCCTGTCTCAAAAATAAAAAGATTAAGACAGATTCATATGTATTGACTTGGAAAGGCCATGAAGAAAGCAAAATGCTGCTTTGCACTGAGTGAATACTCAATGATCTTTGCTGAGTGAATGGAAATGAATGATTTCATTTTTGGTAAAAAAAAAAAAAAATCCATATTACAAGTATGCTTAGAAGAGCTTCTGGAAGAAAATATATAAAATCATTAACAGTAGTTACCATTAAGGGGTGTGGATGGAGGAGAGAATATTGGACTCACTTTTCTTTCTTTCTTTCTTTTTTTTTTTTTTGAGACAGAGTTTCCCTCTTGTCGCCCAGGCTGGAGTGCAACGGTGTGATCTCAGCTCACTACAACCTCCGCTTCCCAATTCAAGTGATTCTCCTGCCTCAGCTACCCGAGTAGCTGGGATTACAGGCGTGTGCCACCACACCTGGCTAATTTTGTATTTTTATTAGAGACAGGGTTTAACCATGTTGGCCAGACTGGTCTCCTGACCTAAAGTGATCCACCGGCCTCAGCCTCCCAAAGTGCTGGGGTTACCAGCGTGAGCCACTGTGCCCGGCCCCGGACCCACTTTTTTTTTTTTTTTTTGAGATATAGTCTCACTCTGTTGCCCAGGCTGGGGTGCAATGGCGCAATCTCAGCTCACTGCAACCTCCGCCTTCTGGGTTCAAGCGATTCTCCCCACCTCAGCCTCCCAAGTAGCTGGGATTATAGGCACCCGTCATCACGGCTGGCTAATTTTTGTATTTCTAGTAGAGATGGGGTTTTGCCACATTGGCCAGGCTGGCCTGGACTCACTTTTCATGTTAACATATTTTGATGATTTTTCAAATTAGCTATCATGAGGTTGCATTACTTTTGTAATAAAAATGCTATATATAAAACAGAAAGTCAAAAGATTTTCAAGCTTCACAAGACATTACCTAACTTAAAAACAGCAATTATTATTATAAATCTTAGCTTTTTAAGCTAGAATTCTGGGATGGGAAAAAGAGGTGGCACAGTGGGTCATGCTCTCCAGGGTCATCTTAAAAGATACAGTATGAGAAAGAAACGGCAGAATGAAGTTTTACGGATTGGAAATTCACTTTCAAAATGGTTACTGAAACTTTTTTTTTTTTTTTTTGAGATGGAGTCTCGCTCTGTCGTCCAGGCTGGAGTGCAGTGGCATGATCTTGGCTCACTGCAACCTCATCCTTCCAGATTCAAGCTATTCTTCTGCCTCAGCCTCCTGAGTAGCTGGGACTACAGGCGTGCACCACCACGCCTGGCTAATTTTTGTATTTTTTTTTTTAGTAGAGATGGGGTTTCACCATATTGGCCAGGCTGGTCTTGAACTCCTGACCTTGTGATCCGCCCACCTTGGCCTCCCAAAGTGCTAGGATTACAGGTGTGAGCCACCGCGTCCAGCCTACTGAAACTTTTAAAAAGAGCAAAAGGAAAAACCTTATGAAAATCATAGCCTATAAGTAAGAAAGGATAAAAATCTTATTTCCAACTTTAATTAGACTTATATTAAGGATGTAAAACTTATCAGACTGATAAAAATATTGTCATCATCAGATTTTAAGAGCTTGAAGTGTTTTAAAAGGATTTAACTATTTCCTTGCAAGGTTGTTAGTAAACCAAAGAAAACACTCACCTGCTAGATATTAAATACAATACAAATAAGACCATGATTTTTAAAAATGAAACTGAAAACAAACCCAGACATAATTAGGCATATCTTATCTTTATCCAAGGTTACCTTATTATCACCTGTTATTCCTTTCTCATAATGAGCCAAAGCATTTACATAATCACCCCTGAAAAAAAAATAAGAGTGAATTTTAATAATTTTAATATATATTTTAGAATTTTATTTACATGTACTTTTTCCTTTTTTTTTTTTTTTTTTTTTTTTTAGAGACAGGGTCTCACTCTGTTGCCCAGGCCGGAGTGCAGTGGCACAATTACAACTCACTGTAGCCACGACCTCACTGGCTCAAGTGATCTTCCAGCCTCAGCCTCCTGAGTAGTTGAGACTATAGGCATGCGCCACCATGCCTTGCAAATTTTTAAAAGAATGTTTTGTAGAGACAAGGTCTCACTATGTTGCCAAGGCTGGTCTTGAACTCTTGGACTCAAATGATCCACCACCTCGGCCTCCCAAAGTGCTGGGATTACAGGCATGAGCCACCACTGGGGAGTAGTAGACCAATTTACAAATACAAGATTTAAAAGATAATCTTTGTCACTGAGTTGCTTAAGCTCACAAAAGATGTGGAACACTACAGATGCATTCTTTCAAAGTGCAGTCTGTCATTATGTTGCTATTTTAAAAGTAATTATTAAGCCGGGTTATGCTATACTATAAGGTACTTACTGTGTGGTATGCTAGGCATTTTGAAGAGCTACATTAATTTTTTTTTAAATTCGGGGGTACACGTGCAGGATGTGCAGCTTTGTTACATAGGTAAACATGTGCCATGGTGGTTTGCTGTACCTATCAACCCATCACCTAAGTATTAAGCCTAGCATGTATTAGCTATTTTTTCTGATAAGAAGCTACATTAATTTTATTGGCTACTTTTGGTTAATTATTTCCTTTGGGGCACTAAATGACAATCATGTGACCATAAAACACATTTTTTTTTTTTAAACCAAAGGCCCAATATTTACAAGAATATATATTGAGGGAATCTGGAGGGCTGTCAATTTATTAAAGGGTAGAAGTGGAAGAATACATTGGTGATTACAGTACTGAGGGCTCTGGTTCTTACACTGAGAAAAAGTATTAATATACATGATATAAATAATATTCCCGGGCCAGGCACGGTGGCTCACACCTGTAATCCCAGCACTTTGGGAGGCCGAGGCACACGGATCATAAGGTCAGGAGTTCAAGACCAGCCTGACCAACATGGTGAAACCCTCTCTCTACTAAAAATACAAAAATTAGCCGGGTGTGGTGGCATGCGCCTGTAATCCCAGCTACTCGGGAGGCTAAGGGCAGGAGAATTGCTTGAACCCGGGAGGCAGAGTTTGCAGTGAGCTGAAATTGCGCCACTGTACTCCAGCCTGGGTGACAGAGTGAGACTCCATCTCAAATAATAATAATAATAATAATATTCTCTTCCCATGACTGATGCTAACATGGATCTCCATATACAGAAGACTTTTATTATTTCAATTTATTTTCATTGTTTGGGATAGAATGAATCAGTGATTTGCCTGAGATACTTTTTGGGATCTATCTTCCTCTAAGAAACCATCTTCTCCAGGATAAATTAATCAGCTCTGAAATGGCATGATTTGAGATCTACCTCATCACTACTTTATCAGCTTAGGCAAGTTACTAAACCTCTCTAAGCCTCATTCACTTTCCTCATCTATTAATGTACAAGGACATTTTTGGAAAAGAAGCTGTTCTGCAGTTGAGAAATTTCTTTTGGTCAGCCTAGGACTCCATAGTCAGCAATGTTCCTAAGTGGAAATTACCAGTATGGACCTGATGACATCAACCAAGCTAGGGATTTTTCCTGAGAATAGGGAGGAGACATTCTCAGGAGATATCCCTAGCTCAGCTGATATAATCAATTGAGTTGACAGTTCCTTCCACAGGAGCCTGAGATTTTCCTTGGGCAAGCTAAATTAATACTTTGGAACTCTCACTTTATTTTTATGTTGTTTTTAGCTCACTGGATTATTTATTATTTTATTTTGAAGCTCTCATATGGAACTAACTCATTAGTTTAATCCCAGACTTTAGTAAGTTAAATCTCACCCAGACCTGATAGACTGGCCCTGCTTTGACCTAATCACTGTCTTGGATGCATAATGAAACAAGACTGTTGAAATTGAACACAGGCCTAGGGTCTTAGGTGTCAAAGTCATAGCTGGTGGCTACTCAGGTATTTGATGACAATGAACTATACCTAGGTTAGTTCCTATTATCACAAGGAAATTCCTTCAGACTATTGGGGGCTAGGGTGTGTGTACATTAGGGTCCGAAGATCTGCATACAAATATCAGTGAAAGCTTTGAGAATCGGTGGCTTCATGGTCAAGTGATGAGCAGAAAGGGTTAGAAACAACAACACAGAGGCTTTCAATTGAACTCAATTCATCTGACCATAATGAGACAAGTTTGAGAATTTGTTACAAAACTTCAATTTTCCTGAAGGAAGTGAAAATCGAAGAGTTCTGGATGGTCCGAGGGCTTACTGGGGTGTCTGTACTCTGACAGGACTTGGTGGATCATCTTTCCTTCTTAGCACAGAAGTTTTATATTCTAAGACTCAGTCATCCTCAGGATGCAGGTGGAGGGCCAGGGCAATGGGGCTCTGTCTCTTGTGTTATGTACTAAGATTCCAACGTCACTTTTTGGTATAGGCATTTATAAGGAACAGAAATGTGGCAAACTGAAATCAAGATTGGTTAAGAAGAAATAAAATCTCTATAATGTTTTTAATCTGTAGAATAGAAAATTTGAAATAAGATATCATGGTTAGAAATGAAAGAGTACTTCTTTTTTTGAGACAGGGTCTTGCTCCACTGCCTAGGCTGGTGGGTAGTGGCGTGATCACAGCTCACAGCAGCCTCAACCTTCTGGGCTCAAGTGATCCTCCCACCTCAACCTCTCTAGCAGCTGGGACTACAGTCATGTGACCCCAGGCCTGGCTAGCTTTTCTTTTTTTTTTCTTTGTAGAGACAAGTTCTCATTATGTTGCCAAGGCTGGTCTCAAACTCCTGAGCTCAAGCAGTCTTCCTCCCTTGGGCCTCTCAAAGTGCTAAGATTACAGGCATGAGTCACCGTACCTGGTCCAAAGAGTACTTTTTGACAGAATAACTCCTACAACACGAATTTATGTGTCAGTATTCTCAATGAATCCAAAGTCTCTATGACAGTAAAGTAGAATTATGTAAAAATGTTTTATAGAAAAAATCAAATGTTAGAACTATACTTTCTTTGTTTAAAGACTAATCTTTTTCCATATTTTAATATTTTTGAATGTTGGAATATATCATAATAAATGTCAAAAGAAATTGGTTGTCATTACACATACATGTACAAAATTATATTTGCAAATAAATTATTCATTTATTTTCTCTGCAGATATTTGCATTGGTAGCACCAACCATGGCTGAATGTTAACTTAAAACTGGATCCTAAATGCCTCTAAAATTACACTTCGATGCAACACTGCAATAAAAATGTATAGTCTGTCAATTAAGACTATTGACAATTAAGAGGGTCTAGCAATTAAGATCACTAGAAAATTCTAAATTTCTCAGAATAGATTATGGAATTTCCAAAGGCAAGAGAGATTTGTGACTCCTATTCATGCATCATAAAGGACTATTACTCAAGCACTCAATATCCTCCTGGGAAGAGTTTTTGGCTTGAATTGCAACAGCAATTGTCTAATTTTCATACATGTGCAACTCAAGAAAGAAAAACTGTAATAAAAAAATCATTTAGTTAAAAAAATATATGTATTTGTGAGGTGCAAGTGGAGGTCTTTGCATGCATATATTGGGTAGTGGTGAAGTCTGGACTTTAAGTGTACCCAGGTAATTTTTCAACCCTCATCCACCCTCCCACCTTTTGGAGTCTCCAGTGTCTGTTATTCCTCTCTGTATGTCCTTGTGTACCCATGGCTGAGCTCCCACTTATGAGTGAGAACATGCAGTATTTGACTTTCTGAGTTACTTCTTTTTGGCCTCCAGTTCCACCCATGTTGCTGCAAAAGACACAATTTATTCTTGTTTTATGGCTGAGTAGTATTCTATGGTGTGTGTGTCTGTGTGTGTGTGTGTGTGTATACCACATTTTCTTTCTCCAGTGCTCCACTGATGGGACACTTAGGTTGATTCTTTACCTTTGCTATTATGAATAGTGTTGCAATAAACATACGAATGCAGGTATCTTTTTGATATAATGATTTCTTTCCCTTTGGGTATACACTCAGTAGTGGTATTACTGGGTCGAATGATAGTTCTAGTTTTAGTTCTTTGAGAAATCTCCATACTGTTTTCCATAAAGGTTCTACTAATTTACATTCCTATCAACAGTATATAAGCATTCCCTTTTCTCTACATCGTTACCAACATCTATTATTTTTAGACTTTTTAATAATAGCTATTCTGACTGGTATAAGACGGTATTTCATTGTGGTTTTAATTTGCATTTTTCTGATGATTAATGATATTGAGCATTTTTTCATATTTTTGTTGGCTGCTTATATGTCTTCTTTTGAAAAATGTCTATTTATGTCCTTTGCCCAGTTTTTAATAGGTTATTTTTTTTTTCTTGTTGAGTTGTTTGAGTTCCTTGCAGATTCTGGATATTTGCTTGTTGCTGGATGCATAGTTTGCAAATATTTTTTGCCATTCTGTTGGTTGTGTTTGCTCTGTTGATTGTTTCTTTTGCTGTGCAGAAGCTTTTTAGTTTAATTAAGTCCCATTTGTCTACTTTTGTTAGAAAAAACTATAATTCTAAGCAAATAGAAAATGTAGATGAAACCTTGGTGTTTTTCACTATGGTTTGAAATTACAGAGCAAATCCTCAAAGTGTTAAAGGAGGTCAGAACCATGAACATAAGTTAGGAAAAGCAGTGTGATGCTATGCATAGTTGTTGATGGCCACATGTGATTAAAAATAATAATTAGGCTGGGCGTAGTGGCTCACGCTTATAATCCTAGCACTTTGGGAGGCTGAGCTGGGAGGATCACTTGAGCCCAGGAGACCAGCCTGGTCAAGATGGTGAGACCCTGTCTCTCTAAAAATTAAAAAAAATTTAAAAATTAGCCAGGCCTTGTGGTGCATGCCTATAGTCCCAGCTACTCAGGAAGCTGAGAAGGGAGGATCACGTGAGCACAGGAGTTCAAGGCTACAGTGAGCTATGATCATACCACAGCACTCCAGCCTGGGTAACAGAGAGAGATCCTGTCTCTATTAAAAAAAATAATAATAACATTTAGATTCTAAATGCAGAAACAGCTTAGATCCAGACTTAGATTTTGATGCTGAAAACTTAAAGTGGATAATGCATGGATAAGACATTGTTAGAAAAAACATTTTTCAGATATATAATTAATACAGTATTTTTTCTCTAAAAAAATTATTAAATCAATGGAGGGCCTTATCATTAATGGAAGTTTCGAACTGAAGATATTTGCAGTCATTAGCTACTGACTGAAATGTATAAAAACAAAGACTTACGCGAATTCAAGCTGAATAGCATATTCTTTTGATATAAAAGGTATCTGGTCTGGGGCCAAATGCTTTGCCAGTTGTAGAGCACTGTCCCAATGCTGTAAATCCCTTCTCATCTGTTAAGAAGAGAAAGACCTTAATTTCAAATGAGCAAAATTATTTTGCAAAGTTACCACAAAGAGCTAGTTTTAATAAAACTAATTACAAAACCTTTTTGTTTAAATAATGAAACTTGATCTTTACAATGATAATATATTACTATAGTATGTATTCTCAATAGGGTCTTGATAGAGCCCTGAAGGAGGCAAAAATTGATTCTTGGAGGGGCAAAAAAATCTTAGCTATTATAATGGTTTGTGGCCCTCCAAAACTCAGTCGTATCTAACAAAATCTTAGTCCTTAGTATTTAATTTTTCTCAGCAAGGAGTAATCAAATTAAATTAATGTAATCAATTAAATTAAAGTTAATTTTTATTTTTAGAAGGTAGTGATTCTAAAAAGTTGAGAACACTTTGCTATAGGAATTGGTGTGTTTTTCTTAGAAAATCTGAAGCTCTATCACAAGAGTAATAGCAAATGTAACTAAAATGTAAATATATGTTCCTGTGGTCTTTTTTCTCTGCCTGGTACATAATTCTAAATATAAACTCATCATTAATCTTTTAAAGTTCATTCCTCACTTTATTCATACTTCCTAAACAATAATAGCTAACATTTTTCAAGTGTTATTATCTGCCAGATACTGTTCTAGGGGATTAGCTTATTTATCTTTCACAACTACCCTTTTGCAATTTATTAATACTTTCTTGTATCCATTTTAGAGATCCAGAAACTGAGGCAAACAGAGGCTCCTCTGTATATAAGGTTACACAGCTGGTACATGACAGAGCTGGGCAGTAGGGCTCTGCCTCTGAACTCTTCACCTGGTTAACTCATCAGCTTTCAAAGTGAGGTTAAAGAGTAATCACCCCTCTCCATTATCAATCCATTACCTCAAATCCTTTCCAAGTCTAGCAGCACATGACAAGTGCCCACAGTTAAATGCAAAAGAGTTGAGATGATATATTTCCCCTCAGTCATCGCAGCCATATTCCTATTTCAGTGAGTACTAATCCAAGTTTTGAAAACTTCTCAGGGTGTCCCAATTATCTTAAATAATACTGTAAAATTACCTAAATTTTTCTTATAACAAAGTTAATTTAGTTCACTTAAAATTTAAAAATGAAAATTTGCTATAGAATGATTTGTAAAAGGAAAGTTGTAAAATTAATAACAAACGCTCCCAAAACAAGCTCTTTTACATAGTTGTAGAAATGCCAGTTTTAGGTGAAATAATATTAATGATTACAATAGCTAATTATGTGTCTTTACTATTGATCAGGCACTGTGCTAAAAGACCTCATTCTCATTTTTAAATCCTTACAAATATCCCGTGGGTTAGATATTATTCTTCCTACTTTAAAGAAATAGGATCTAGGGTTCAGAAAGGTTAAATAACATGTCCAAGCTTACACAGAGCTGGAATTTGAACCCAGACATGTCTGACTGTGAAGTCTATGCCCCTCATTGCTAGTCTATATTGCCAGGTTTCCCTTCTTCCCTGCCCTTGAACTAACCAGGCCCTTCATCCTGCTCTAGGCCCTCTCCTGCAATGCTCACCTCTGGGAAACCAGTGATGGTACACTAGTCCTTAGCTCACCTTTTAATACACAACAGAATTTCACACAATAAGGATAAATGTGCCTCGGTTTTCCCATCTGGAAAATAGAGAAAAAACCAATCCTATCTCATAGGATTGTTGGGAGGGTTAAATGAATTAATACATGATAAGTGCTTAGAAAAATGCCTGGCCCACATGAGCACTCAATATATGGTGATATTTTTCCTTGTATATGTTTTTGTAATTTACACAATCTGTTCTCTTTGGACACATTTAGATTTCAATTAGTAATGTTATAATACCATGCATTTTATACCTCCACAAAATGCAGAATAAACATTTTTGAATTATAATTTTAATGATTAACATTATAATTAATGAGTACTCAGGGGTTCTTAAACTGACATGTTTGAATTTTAGGAGGGGGAAGGCATATAGTGTCTGTGCTGAGAAATTTTAATTATATAGAAGGGGTGATCCTCCTTTGATATTCTTATGTTCTTTCCTTTTTTTTTTTTTTGAGACGGAGTCTCGCTCTGTCACCCAGGCTGGAGTGCAGTGGTACAATCTTGGCTCACTGCAATCTCTGCCTCCTAGGTTCAAGCAATTCTCCTGCTGGGGCAGGAGATTACAGTAGCTGGGATTACAGGCTCACTGCAACCTCCACCTCCCAGGTTCAAGCAGTTCTCCTGTCTCAGCCTCCTGAGTAGCTGGGATTACAGGCACATGCCACCACGTCCGGCTAATTTTTGTATTTTTAGCTGAGATGAGGTTTCATCATATTGGTCAGGCTGGTCTAGGACTTCTGACCTCAGGCGATCCATCCACCTTGGCCTCCCAAAGTGCTGGAATTAGAGGCGTGAGCGGCTGCACCCGGCCCCATTTTTTTTTCCCCCATTTCCCCACTGGATACCTCTTACACAATTTCCATTCTTACTTGCTGCCATACCTCCAGGGCAGCAATAGGACAGCTGGATGCAAGGTACAAGTCCTGAGCCAGGTTATAATCGTTGGTAAACATGGCAAGGTGTCCTGCCAAAAGATTGTAGTCCTCTATTCCCTACAAATAAAAGCAATTCTGATGAGAAAAAAAATGCAAGAGTTTAACTTTTTTTTTTTTTTAAGGACTTTGATCAGTAGGAAGTGGTAACGTTCTATCGATTCACTTGTTTAAGAGGTAAGATTAAATGCAAAAAATTTAGACTGCATTTAACTTAAAATAGCATTTAAATTTTAACTTGATAATTCTATAACATGCTGTTTACCTTTATTTGTTCCAAGGACATCACTATGCCAACATTTCCAATTCTCCGATAAACACGGATTGCAAACTCCACTTCCATGTGATGTAGACAAGCTCTGGCCAACTCATTCCAGGCAGCCTCATCATTCAGAATCCTGCACATTTCCCAAGCATCAGAAAACCTGGGATGTAAGAACATAAGCTTAATCAGAATGTTCCACTTGCCACATGTTAGGCAATTTTCAGACTACATGTCATCTAATAGCGTGCCCCAGATAAACTGTCTAAAACATTTCTTAACCTGTAATTGTCATTTACAAGTAATGAAAAAACACTTAAGCTTTCTTCCTTTTTTTACAGATAAATGTTTTTCCCTAAATTTCTTTTATTAATCTGAATCTACTCTGTAATAAGCCTACTCAATTAACTAAGCTAATCCTATTCATTTATTTCTTTTTATTTCACACATAGATGAATATTATTTTTGTTCTCATATAAGTCTAATAAAATTAGTATTCTATTCCTATAAATTTAGAAGTTTAAAACAGGGGTCAGCAAACTATGGCTTATGGGCCAAATCTAGTCAGGTGCTGTTTTGAAAATACAGCTTGAGTGGAACAAAGTCACTGATCAGCCCACTCTTTTTTTTTTTTTTTTTTTTTTGAAGACGGAGTCTCACTCTGTTGCCCAGGGTGGGTGGAGTGCAATGGCGTGATCTCACCTAACTGCAACCTCGGCCTCCTGGGTTCAAGTTATTCTCCTGCTTCAGCCTCCCGAATAGCTGGGACTACAGGCGCATGCCATGACACCCGGCTAATTTTTTGTATTTTTAGTAGAGACAGGGTTTCATCGTGTTAGCCAGGATGGTCTTGATCTGCTGACCTCATGATCCGCCCGCCTCGGCCTCCCAGAGTGCTGGGATTACAGGTGTGAGCCACCGTCCCCGGCCCAGCCCACTCTTTAATGGATTGTCTGTGGCCACTTTCCTGCTACAACAGCCAGACTGAGTAGCTGCGATAGAGACCCTATGGCCCGTAAAGCTTGAAATATTTGCCATTTGGACCTTAACACAAAAGGTTTTCCGACCTCTGGTTTAAAACATGAACATAAATGCCAATTAAACTTTTTGTGGAACCTCTACATGAGTGAATATATTACATCCATCTATCTATTCATTCATCCATTTATCTATTCACCTATCCATTTTTTCATCCAACACACATTTACTGAACTCGTTACATGCTTGGAAACATGATACAAAAATCAACCACAGTTGCTGTCCTTAAGGCAGTCACAATTGGGGAAGGTGGAAGAGACAGATAAGGAAACAAATGACTATAGCATAGTTTGACAGAGGTAACTGAGTACTTACAATAGGTAACTCTTTGTGCTAAGTCTTTTGCATAAATTCTCTTACCCTAATAACCCTACCCACTAAGTATTATTATTATGTCTCCTTTATAGATTAGGAAAATGAGGCTTAGAGACGTCAAAAGACTAGCCCAAGGCACACAGAGGTAAGTGGTGTCATGCTCTTCACCACTGTGTATACTGCATCCTGGCTCTGAGGCAACACATCAGAAAGACCCCAAGCAGGACTGCCTGTGGTGGTGGGGAAGTCGGGGAAGGCTTCCTGGAGCAGGAGATGGCTCCACTTATCGCTGATGGGTAAAGAAAGAGGGGTTACTACATTCAGAGCAGGGAAAGGGCATTCCAGGAAGAATCATGAAATATATGCAATTTCAGCAGCCAGTGGAACAGAGAGGGACTTGAGTGGAGACAGTTGAGCTGGTGTTAAATCATGAAGTGCCTAGTAGGTCATAGAGGTCCCCCAGGAATGGATTTGTTTGTAAAGGCAATAGAAAGTCACTGAAGGATCCTGAGCAGGGAAATAAGAGGATCAAATCACATCTTCAAAAGTGTGTGGAGAACAGATGAGATCGTTACAAGGCTATTGGCAGACAGAGCAGTTAGGAAGTGGTTAGTTACATTACACATTATTCCAGGTGAGGGCCTGGGTAAAGATGAGGGAACACGGGAGGAGGAAAGGAGCTGGTGTATATGTGTGTTAAGGCATGTGCATGTGTGATTACAGTGAGGGAAAATAGGGGCCTGTGGAAATTGATGAGTTCAGTTTTAGAAAGGGCAAGTTTGAAGAGCTCATGGACTTCCAAGGACACATGACTGGAAGGTAGTTGTAAGTACAGGTTTAAGATAAAGACACAGATTTTAGAGTCAGCTTCATATGGGTGGTATGTTGAGCCATGTTAAGCAGAGGAGATTCACTCAGGAAGAATAATTAGAGTAAGAAGAGAAGGAAACTCATGAGACCCCAATAAACAGCAGCATTTAAGAGAGGCTCGGAAGAATTAGAACGTCAAAGGAATTCACGGTGGCTCTAGGAGATAAGAGAAAAAAACAGTAAAAGGAAATTATAAGCAAAGCAAAATCAAACCTCACTATGATGAAGTCAAGATATTGTTGAAATAATTAGGTTTATTTTATTAGGATTTCCCAATAACTAGGCTCTCTGGAAGCTTAGAAACCGTTTTGTTCTTAAGGGCTTTTCTTGTAATAAAGTACTCATAATAAAAACAGCTGACTATCTTATCTGAGCCTCACAATATCCCTGTGAAATGAACAAGGTAAGTGCTGTTATCTCCATCTATTGAATAGGATTTGACATTTTATCAAAAAGACACCTGCACTCATATGTTTACTGCAGCACTATTCACAATAGCAAAGTCATGGAATCAACTTAAGTGTCCATCAACAGATGACTGGATTTTAAAAAGTGGTGTGTATATATAGATATACACACTATGGAATACTACTCAGCCATTAAAAAAATGAAATCATGTCTTTTGCAGCAATATGGATGGAATTCGAGGTCATTATCCTAAGTGAAATGCCCCAAAGTCAAAAACTGCATGTTCTCACTTAGAAGTGGGAGGTAAACAATGGGTACACATGGACATACAGGTGGAATAATAGATACTGGCAACTCCAAAAGGCGGGATGGTGAGACAGGGTTGAGGGATAAAATACTACCCACTGGGTACAGTGTTCACTATTCTGGTGATGGGTACATTAAAAGCCCAGACTTCACCATATGCACTATATCCATGTAGCACAACTGCACTTGTACTTCTACATTTACAAAAAAAAAAAAAATTCTTGCAAGGATAAAGAATAAAGCAATAAAATAAGATAGAATAATTATAGGATTTGACCTTTAAAATCACAAAAGCAAATGAGAAGTTCCAAAAGAAGTGTGTGAAAGCCTACCTCTTTAGCATTAAATTCTGTGCCAGCATTGGTCTCAGTTCGTCAGGCCCCGTATCTTTTAAGTTGCTGAGAAAGCCATGGGTGCTAAGGTAGATGTTGTTTACTTTTCCACTCTGTGTTTGGCAGGTCAGCTCTCCATTATATAGCAGCAAAGGTTTATGAGCAAAAGGAACTTTGGTGCTACCAGCCAAAATAACCTTGGCTCCTACATTATAAAACAGACATCGCAATGCTGAAAGCTAATACTCAGCACAAACATCAGAAAGAATGTTTTAATTTTACTGCAATGGGAAATTCATCTGTCAGCGAATATACACAAAAGGGGTTTAGTACCTTGTATAGTGTCCTTGTGAAAGACATAAGTGTACACCTTATCATCATCATAAGCAATAAATACACCTTTATCCATTGGCCAGTTTTCCCAAAGAACACCTTTAATGGTTGGTGAAAAATCTGGAATCTCATAGGTAGCGTCATTGACCTACAAAATAAAATTTACAGATTTGCCCCAAGTCTGTACTTGAATCATTATCATTTGCCGTGGTAGAAGCCTGTTTGCAGCCTTAGCTGGCTTAGCTTACTGAGTCATATTCAACCTAACATCACTCCAACAACAACAGGAAAGAAAGTTTCTTTTTCCATTCCTATCCTAGGTCTGGCTTGAAAAAACTATAGTTATTTGGAAAAGCCAAGGTTTGATCTAAAATCTGGCAAATTTGTAGGAGAACCCACAAGTCTAGACACAAAGCTTCAGGTTAAGGAAAAAAAATTAAAGCTGCTCAGGATGACAGAAATTTAAACTACGAACACACTTGTACTTGTGTTTAGAAATTTTTCAATAATACTGAGTATTTGATAATAGTGGGTATTAAGAAACAAATTAACTCACATGATTGAAGTAAATTACACTAGGGATACTTTATTTCAAAAGCTTCTCTAAAATGCATGTCAACAAATATAAATATACAATCATCCCTCAACATCCATGAGGGATTGGTTCCAGGATCTCCCACGGATAGCAAAACCCACAGATGGCCAAATCCCTGAATAAAATGGTGTAATATGTGTATAAACTATGTACACCCTCCCTTATACTTTAAATCATCTCTAGATTACTTATAATACCTAATACAATATAAATGCTATGTAAATAGTTGTCATACTGTATGGGGAATATAGACAACAAAAGTTTTCTGCACAGGTTTAGCACAGACAAAACCATCCATTTTTCCCCTGAATATTTTTGATCTACAGTTGGCTGAATCCATGGATGAGGAACCCACAGATAGGGTGGGCTGACTGTAATATTATACTAAATAAGCTGTTTACAAAAATCAGTCCATATAAGTCCTGTGAACTCAGGCAGGTAGGCTTGTATATATCCTGAATAGGGAACTGAAAAATATCTGCCTCATCCTACTCTCAAAATGAGAATGAAATATAAAATTCTTGCAAATAATAATTCATACTACAAAGCTGTGTTATTTAACATAGTAGTTGCTATTATAACATCTACATGTAGCCAGATGTACCTATTAAGCACTGAAATGTGCCAAGTCCGAATTGAGATATGTTTAAGTGTAAACTACACAGAGAGTTCGCATGAAAAAAAGATTGTAAAATATCTCATTACTTTTTTTATATTCAATTACACATTGAAATGATAATATTGAGATACCATTGCACACCAGTCAGAATCGCGATTATTAAGTCAAGAAACAATAGATGCTGGCAAGGCTGAGGAGAAAGAGGAACGCTTTTACACTGTTAATGGGAATGTAAATTTGTTCGACCATTGTGGAAGACAGTGTGGCGATTCCTCAAGGGTTAAATTAAATATATTAAAATTAATTTCATCTGTTCGTTTTTTATCTTTTAAAAATGTAGCTAATAGAAAATTTTTAATTACATATTTGGTTCACATTATATTTGTATTGGACAGTGCTACTTACAAGATATTGTACTAATTACTTCATTTAATTCTAACCTTATACTCTAGAAGACAGATACTATTATTATTCCCGTTTTACAGATGAAGAAACTAAAGTACAGAGAAATCTGCCCAAAGTCACACAGCTAGTAGGCTGACGAGCCAGTATTTGAACCCAGGCAGTCTGGCTCCTGAGTCTCTGCTTCTAACCACTATGCTATACTGATTCTCACTTTGTATAGATGAGCACATCAGTGCCACTGGACTAGTGGCCGAACTGTTTTCAAAAAAGATTTAGTGCTTATTATGTGGCTAACACTATACTAAAAGCTTACATGCATCATCCTATTTACTTTTCATTTAACAACCCTACAAAGTAGGTACTAGAACTGTCTCCATCTTAGACAGACAGAAAAACTGGAAATCCAATCAAAGTGAGAGCTCTTTAACAGAAATTATCAAGAAAAAGAGAACTGTAAATGGAGAAAGTAAAAATGATTGAAATCACCTTGTTTAAGGCTGACCTTACTCCTTACCCTTTTCCTAGCAGCTACACCCTATTTCTGAATTTAACTCCTGACAGATACCTGATTTACCCTCCTACTCTCTTGTATATTCTGTCTAAGCCACAGTTTCTAACTGTGGTGAACGCACACAGGGGAAATTCAAGGCAGCTCTAATTAGTTCCCTGTTATAGAAAGGAAACCTATACAAGGTGGAATTTCTGTATTAAGTAGAGGAAACTCGAGGTTTATCTTCATTTATGTCATCCTCATTTGCTTTGCAATTGGGAGAGGAATGCATTGACTAAGAACTAGCAGATTAGGAATTTGGCATATATAATCCAGGTACATCTGTGGAAATTTGTTATACTTGTCAAATAAAGAAAGAAAAGAAAAAGAGAAGAGAAGGAAAGGAAGGGAAGGGAAAGGGAAGAGAAAGGGAAGGGAAGGAAAGGAAAGGAAGAAGGGGCGGGCATGGGGAGGAAGTAAGTCTTTGTATCAAGTGAAGTGTAGCAGTGAGGAGCAGGCTGTTTACATTGGGGAGACAACACAGTGAGACCTAGGCACCTGGAAACAGTATTAAGGATGGGTCCACAAGCAGCTGTAGCTTATGTGAATTTGACCAAAAACACAGTAAACCATTAACAGGATATAAAAAGTAAATGAAAAATCCAATTGTAGTTAACTAATGTAAAGGCACATCTCCTTTTTTCTAAATCTATTTTCAAAAAAGTTAAGGATGTTTAAAAATATGAGTGACTGATTTTTAAAATGGGTTCATCCATTTTTACTCATCTAATACAGAAATACCTGTTCCTTGTGCTCAGGATCTTCAAGGAAAGAGGAAAATCAACTGAGGTGGGCAGAAGGCACAGATAAGCTCACTGCCTATTGGGAGAGAAAAGTCATGTACAGGCAGATACACTATAATTATTGTATTGTGCAGTAAGTATATGATAAGTTTGAAAGTGGTTTAGGATATAATAACTATTTTTCCCATTAAAAATCTTTCTGGGATGGCCACTATGAAAAATTACAGAATAATGGAAAAAGTTTTCTTGATATGAGAAATCTATCATAAACATGATATTATGAA
This sequence comes from Homo sapiens, assembly GCF_000001405.40. Taxonomy (NCBI): domain Eukaryota; kingdom Metazoa; phylum Chordata; class Mammalia; order Primates; family Hominidae; genus Homo; species Homo sapiens. The sequence continues at coordinate 39,225,161 of NC_000004.12, read as the reverse complement.
GATGACAGCAAAGAACTACAATCCTTGGCACTAATTAATAGAAAATTTTACATGAGATAGGCTTTAAACACTTTTTTTCCCTATATTGCATTTCAAAAAATAAACATTTAAAAATGTTCCAGACTTACTGGACAGTAAACAAATCCATCACTTTTTTCATCAATGAAAACTAATCTGGTCCCATTTGGGTCGGGAAAAATCTTTTTCACACTGACAGGATGTCGATAATCATTAACGAATTGCCAGTCTTCAATGTAGAAATACTGAACGACACCAGTCTAAAAAAAAAAAAAAATCCAGCCATGAAAATATAAAAGGTAGTCAAGGAAATCCTAACTTTCAACATTTAAATTAAACATATGTTCTAATTTTAAGAGAAAAATGTCATGTTTTTGATGAAGTATCTAAGAATAATATTTAGTATATGTGAAAGGTACAGACTCAAGAAAATAAATAAAATGGGAAAAGCTGGGCGCAGTGGCTCTTGCCTGTAATCCCAGCACTTTGGGAGCCCACGACGGGCGGATCACAAGGTAAGGAATTCGAGACCAGCCTGGCCAAGAGACCAGCCTGGCCAATATGGTGAAACTCCATCTCTACTAAAAATACAAAAATTAGCTGGGCATGGTGGCGGGCGCCTGTAATCCCAGCTACTTGGGAGGCTGAGGCAGGAGAATTGCTTGAACCCAGGAGGCAGAGGTTGCAGTGAGCCGAGATTGCACCATTGCACTCTAGCCTGGGCAATACAGCGAGACTCTGACTCAAAAAAATAAAAAATAAAAAATAAAAATAAAAATAAAATGGGACTGTACCTGTGATTAAACAGTCTATTAATTCTAACATTCTTAGTGATATTAAAGCATAATTGATTTTTAGATTTCCTACTTGCTAGAAATACCCCTATTATATAGGAGTAACTTTTAAATACATTATTTCAATTTTTTGCTATTAATAAATTAGAAAATTAATTTTAAGACAAAAAAATCCACCTGATAGAATCAACTGAATGTATATTAGCAATGAACATGTACATACCAAATTAAAAATGCAATACCATTTACAATTACTCAAAAAATGAGATACTTGGGTATAAACTTAAACATAACATGCCCAGGACTTGTATGCTGAAAATTATAAAACACTAATGAAAGACACAAAATATTTAACTAAATGGAGAGGTATACTGTGTTCATGGATGGGAAATTAACATGTTAATTATTCCCATCTGATATAAAGGTTTAATATCATTCTAATAAAAGAAATTTCAACAAGATTTTTTTGTAGATAGACACACAATTATTCTAAAATTTATACAGACTGATAAACTAGAAGAGCTAAAACAATTTAGAAAATAAAGTGGGAAATTAGTCTACCCAATTTTAAGGCTTTCTTTTTATAGCTATAGTAATCAAGACTGCGTAGTATTGGTGGAAGAACAGATACACAGATCAATGGAAGCCTGAAATAGAGACAGATATGTTCAACTGATTCTTTTTCCTGTTTTAAAGATGCCTGTATTTGGCCAGGCGTGGTGGCTCATGCCTGGAATCCCAGCACATTGGGAGGCCGAAGTGGGTGGATCACGAGGTCAGGAGTTCCAGACCAGCCTGACCCCATCTCTACTAAAACATGGTGAAACCCCGTCTCTACTAAAAATACAAAAATTTGCTGGGCGTGGTGGCGTGTGCCTGTAATCCCAGCTACTCAGGAGGCTGAGGCAGAAGAACCTCTTGAACCCAGGAAGTGGAGGTTGCAGTGTGCTGAGATCGCGCCACTGCACTCCAGCCTGGGCGACAGAGCGAGACTCCATCTCAAAACAAAAACAAAAACAAAAAATGAAAAACAAAGAGGACTGTACTTTTATTCTTATTTTTAATAGCTTTATTGATATAATTTACACACTATAAAATTCACCCTCTTAAAGGATACAACTCCATGGTTTTTTGTATATTCATAGAGTTGTGCAATACTTCATCACAATCAATATTAAAACATTTCATAACCTCAAAAAGAAACTCCACTTGGCTGTCAGTCCGTATGCCCTTCAATGGGCAAATGTTAAACAAACTAAGTACATCCATACCATGGAATACGACTCAATAACAAAATGGAACAAACTATGGATACACACAACTTAGATGAATCTCCAGAGAAGTCTGCTGAGTGAAAAAAAAGCCAATCTCAAAATATTGCATACTGTTTGATTCCATTTACACATTATTGAAATGGCAAAATTATGGAAATGGAGAACAAGTTGTTACCAGGGGTTAAGAATGGGGTGGCAGCAGAATTGTTCTGTATGTTGACTGTACCAATGTCAATATCCTGGTTGTGATTACTATAATGTTACCACTGCGGGAAACTAGGTAAAGGGGTACCTAGGACTTCTCTCTGCGTTGTTTCTTACAACTGCATGTGAATTTTACAAGGATCTCAAAACAGAAAGTTTAATTAAAATTTAAAAAAAGGTAACATTTTGGACTTCTATTCAGGGCAAGATAGAGAAGGATAATCTTTTCAAAAAATGGTGCTGGAACAACTGGATATCATTTGCAAAAAGTGATCTATACCTCATGGCATAAACAAAATTTAACTCAATGGACCTAAATGCAAAACATAAAACTATAAAATTTCTAGAAGAAAACATAGGAAAAAATTTTGTGACGCTGGGTTAGGCAAAGATTTCTTAGCTATGACACCAAAAGCATGATCCATGAAAAAATAAATTGATAAACTGGACTTTGTAAACATTAAAAAAAATCTTCTCTTTGAAAGACACTATTAAGAGAATAAAAATACAATCTGTGCGCTGGAAGAAAATATTTGCAAAGCATACATCTGATAAAGGAGTTGAATCCAAATATATATAAAGAACTCTCATAAATCAATAAGAAAACAACTCAATCAAAAATTGGTCAAAAAATTTGAACAGACGCTTCACCAAAGATATACAGAAAGCAAATAAACATATGCTAAGTGCCACATCATTAGTTCATTAGGAATCCAAATTAAAATAACAATGATACCACTACACATCTATTAGAGTGGCTAAAATGAAAAAGACTGATTATGTCACATCTTGGTGAGGACAGAGAGGAACTGGAACACTCACACACTGTTGATGGGAATGTAAAATGGTACAACCGATTTAGAGAACAGTTTACCAGTTTCTTGAACATGAATGTTGATAGAGGCTTTATTTGTAAATACCCCAAACTGGAAATAACTCAAATGTTCACCTATAATTCTTGGATAAGCAAATTATGATATATACATACTATAGACTACTACTACTCAGCAATAAAAAGAAATGAATTACTGACACACACAACAGCATAATGCATCTCAAAAAAATTAATGTTGAATAAAAGACAAACAAAAAGTAGTGCATACTTTATGTTTCCATTTATATGAAACTCTAGAATATACAAACATTTATTACATTTACAGTTACAGAAAAAGCATGGGGTGGGGACAGATGAGAGGGAGGAATCATAAAGGAGCAGGAGAAAACTTTTGGGGGTGATGAGTATGTTCACTATTTCTGAGCCTCAAACTCCTGAGCTCAGGCAATCAGCCTGCCTTGGCCTCCCAAAGTGCTGGGATTACAGGCATGTGCCACCACGCCTGTCCAAATTGTATAACTTTAATAGTGCATTTTTTTGCATATCAATTAAACTTCAATAAAGCTGCCAAAAAACATGATATTTTCTGAATCACTCAAGAATGAAACCAGGATAGTTGCTGCTTTATGAACAGACTACTACACTTATTCCAAAAGCACTGTGGCATAGTGGAAAGAGTAGATTTTCCATCAGGAAATCTTAGTTTAAGTTCCACTTTGCTACAGACTTGCTAGCCTCTCAATCTTCAGTATCTTCCTCCTGAAAATTTCCCTGTGTATTTTATAGATAATGAGATAAAATAAGTGAGATCAGGGCTCTATAAACTATTAGTGTCATACAAATTTCCTATTCCATATTTTTCCATATCACCAAATTACCTGATATATGAGACCTACCTTACTGATGTATATTATCTCAGAGACTTACTAGTTTAGGTCAAACATAAATTTTAAAAAGTCTCTCAGATGGCAACAAGCATGCTTTAAAACATGTTCTTTTAAAAAAAATAATTTAGGCCAGGCTCCTGTGTCCCATGCCTGTAATTCCAGCACTTTGAGAGGCCAAAGTAGGAGGATCACTTGAGACTAGGAGTTCAAGACCAGCCCAAGCAACAAAGGGAGACCCAGTTTCTACCCCCATCAAAAAAAAAAAAAAAAAAAAAAAAATTAATTAGCAGGTTTCTAAAATAAATAAATAAATAAATAAAAAGAAAATATAAAAAATGTTTCAGCTGGGCACGGTGCCTTGCGCCTGTAATCCCAGCACTTTGGGAGGCTGAGGCGGGTGGATCACGAGGTCAGGAGTTCAAGACCAGCCTGGCCAAGATGATGAAACCCCGTCTCTACTAAAAATACAAAAATTAGCTGAGTGTGGTGGCGGGTACCTGTAATCCCAGCTACTAGGGAGGCTGAGGCAGAGAATTGCATGGGCGACAGAGAGAGACTCTGTCTCAAAAAAAAAAAAAAAAAAAAAAAATCAAGGAGGTCTGTTTCTAAAAAAAAAAAAAAGAAGAAGAAGAAGAGAAAAAAGAAAAATAATTTAAAAAACTAAAAATTAGCACGACATGGTGGCATGCATCTGTCCTAGCTACTCAGAAGGATAAGGCAGGACGATTGCTTGAGCCCAGGAGGTTGTGATTGTAGTAAGCTATGATTGTGCCACTGCACTCCAGCCTGGGTGACAGAGTGACATCCTGTCTCTAAAAAACAATAATGATAATCATAATTTCATGTGAGAAAGTGGAAACTTTTAAAGTAGTAAATAACTTTTTGTTTGTTGTTATTGTTTTTTGTTTTTTTGTTTGTTTGTTTGCTTTTCAGACGGGGTCTTGCTCTGTCACCCAGGCTGGAGTGTAGTGGCGTGATCTCAGCTCACTGGCAACCCACCCCTGGGGCTCAAGTGATCTTCCCACCTCAGCCTCCTGAGTAGCTGGGACCACAGGCACACATGACCACGCCCGGCTATTTTTTTGTATTTTTATTAGAGATGGGGGTGTCGCCATGTTGCCCAAGATGGTCTTGAACTCCTAAGCTCAAGCAATCCACCCGCCTCGGCCTCCCAAAATGCTGGGATTTTAGGTGGGAGCTACTGCACCGGCCACTATTTTGCTAAAGTGGAAAACAAAGCATTTTCTAACAACTTAATTCTTTTACAGACTGAACAAGGTAACAGGCATGATATGCTTTGAAAAATCTGTGAAAACTGTTTACAAATATAAGATGCTATAACTAGTTTATGTGCATGTGGCTAATGTAATATTTGGAGATTTAGGGTACCCATGGTTCAAAGGACCAAGAAATTGAAGTCAGATTCTTAATATTCAATTAATTTTAATATTTGCTGAATGCCTACTAAATGCACGCATTAGAGATCTGAAGTTGAATTGTCTATGTTCATCACCAAATTAAATCCTTAAAGCACCCAGATAAGGAAAACAAGGCTTGGAGGGGTTAAGCACCAGCTAGCAAGTAATAGAACTGGTGTTTGAACCCAGATTTGCCAGTCTCCAAAGTCTGAACTTTTCACTAGGCCATCAAAATTGCTTAAAAATCACAAAACCACTGATATTAACAAATCATGCCACCTGTGTGTTCTATATATGTACCAGTCATTCGCCACATAATGTTTCGGTTGGCGATGGACTATGTACATGATGGTAGTCCCATAAGATCAGGATGGAGCTGAAAAATTCCTATTGCCTAGTGACATCATGGATGTCATAATGTCAGAGCATAAGGCATTACCCTGAAGTTTGTATTGATGCTGGTGTAAACAAACCTCGTGTGCTGCCAGTTATATAAAAGTATAGCACATATAATTATGTGTAGTACATAATACTTGATGATGATAATAAATGACTGTTACTGGTTTATGTATTTATCATACTATACTTTTTATTTTTATTTTGGAGTGCACTTCTATTTATTAAAAAAAAGTTAACTGTAAAACAGGCTCAACCAGGTCCTTCAGGAGGTATCCAGAAGAAGGCATTGTTATCACAGGAGATGACAGCTCCATGCATGTTATTCCCGCTGAAGACCTTTCAGTGGGACAAGATGCGGAGGTGGGAGACAGTGATACTGATGATCCTGATGCTATGCAGGCCTGCACTAATGTGTGTGTTTGTGTCTTAGTTTTTATAAAAAGTTTAAAAGTTAAAAAAAGTGAAAAACAAGGAAAAGCTTATAGAATAGGATATAATAAAATATTTTTTAAGAAAATATTTTGTGTAACTGTACAATGTGTTTGTGTTTTAAGCTAAGTGTTACTACAAAAGAGTCAAAAAGTTTTTTTAAATATAAAGCTTATAAAGTTACAGTGAGCTAAGGTTAATTTATTTTTGAAGAAAAAATGTTTAAATAAGTTTAGTGTCCCTAAGTGTACAGTGTTGATAAAAATCTATGGTAGTGTACAGTAATGCTGCAGGCCTTCACGTTCACTCACCACTCACTCACTCACTCACCCAGAGCCATTTCCAGTCCTGCAAGCTCCTGTCATGGTAAGTGCCCTATACAGGCATGCCATTTTAAATATTTTATATCACACATATACTGTACCTTGTCTATGTCTAGATAGCATTGTGTTACAATTACCTATAGTATTCAGTACAGTCACATGCTGTACTGGTTTGTAGCCTAGGAGCAATAGGCTCTACCACACAGGCTAGGTGTGCAGTGGGCTGTACCATCTAGGTTCCTGTAAGCACACTCTATGACATCCACACAATGATGAAATTGCCCAATGACACGTTTCTCAGAATGTATCCCCACTGCAAAGAGACACATGAATGTATATAATTAATCACAGATAACTTCATTAATTGTATTGGATTCAATATAGAAAAAAGACTGGTAGGAAAAGAGAATGACTGAGATCACAAAATAAAAATTAAAAATTCCCAGTGTTCTCTAAAAAAGAAGGCAATACATACATCTGTACCATAGATGAGGAAATCACTAGTTAAGGCATGGCATAAGATACGGCACTTATCATCCACTGCTGGGAAAAGCCGAGTCTCACGTTCTTCTTGAGCATCCAAGATTTCGCTTTCTATCTAAAACGTAAAGAATAATAATGGCTCACAGATTTATTTGAGTAAACCATCTATACAACATCTAGGGGTGTCTTTTTCTCAAGTTCACCTAAACATTCAGGCTCCCAAGACTACGAGAGGTCAGTTTAGTTGGAAAGCTATCACACAGGAACCACGGCTTGCCAGCAAGGTAGCACAGATGTCCCTCTTAGTGTGAACAGTCTTTACTGCAGGCTCTGCAGCTATTTAATTGTTAATCTCTTTGTCTTCCTAGATGTAAAGAGCCATGAAACAGATGTGAGAGATGCCCTGACTTAGAAGCCCCCTCTTCACAGGTGCCAACATCTCTTGAACAACTCAGCAGGCATGGTTTCAAAGACCCCCCCACACAAAATGCCCGATTATGAGTCAACACCTTCCAGGAAGCCCAAAGGTATGGCATTCCCATCAGGTTTTTATAGTTCATGTATAGTTCCTTCTAGCTCCAATTTACCAACAGGGTAATTATTATTATTATTACTGTTTTACTAAAGGCTATGTTGTGAGTAGCACTGTTGGTATTTATCAGGTTTTTGGGGAACAGGGTTAGAAAGTCAACAGAACTTCTAATATAGAAGGGGAAGGGTTTTGTTAATCCTTTACTCACACTTGGCTTTCTAGTTAGTCTGTACATCCTTGCTTCCTGACCAATATTCTTGATAATCAGACATTAGGCTGTTCATTATAACTTAGCGCGTCTCCAGGACATCAAAATTATACTTACCAAATGTAACTGGACTTTGCCTTCAAAAAGTGCAGCAGCATAGTCAGAATGAAGGCAAATACTGGCTACTGTTCCCAGATACTCCATATCTTTCAATTTTTTCACAGCTGTAGCAATTTTTAAAAACCAACACATTAAAATGTTGGTAAAACTATCTCATACCTACTTGCAAATAATTTTAAAAGGTGTGCTTTTGCAAAAATATTCTGAACTTAAAATTTCATTTTAATCTTAAATGATTAAATAATTAAATTGAATCTTAAAGATTAAATTTCATTTTAATCTTAGTTGCCATATAAATTTGCCTTCAGGCATTCCATTATGGTTTACCTGAAACAAAGTAATAGAAAATAAAATTATATGCAAAACAATTAAAGAATTAAACCTTAAGTTGCAAGAAACTTAATGGTATTTCCTGTTTAACAGGTTAATTTTCAGGTTTGTTCTATTCCTGAGGGTTATCTGACCTAGAATTGGGGAAAGGTGATGGGGAGGAGGCAGGGGAAGAAAAAACAAAACAAGGTTTTCCTCACATGCTAATAGCTATTATTCAAAGAATAAAAGGGGAGACAGAACTAACATTTATTAAGTACCCACTAGGTTTAAGAGTGCTTAAAAAAAGTCACTGTGCCAAGTGAGACCACGCATTTTATTTAATCTTCCTCATGATCCATTAAAAGTAGAAGTATCCTCATTTTCCAGATGAGTAAGGCTCACAAGTGTAAAATGATTTGTCTATAGTCACTTAGCTAACAGAGGCAGAAGGGGAAATTAAATCCAGGGCCTCTCTAATTCTGAAGCTCACATTCTACCCACTATGCTATGCTGCCTTCACTACAAAGGTAAAGAATAAAAGCTTTCTAAAAATTATGCAAATTTTTAGAAGACTTACAAAACCATTTAAGCTAAGAATGAGATATGTGAATAAAAAAGAGTGAAAGACTTGGTCCTAAAAGAAACTTGCAGTGCTTCCCAAATAAGAACAGAAATTATGTGCTAGATAAGAATAAACAACTGGATTTAGACTTGCCATTTTCTCCAAGGACATAAAACCAAGCTCGATTATTCATTCCTACAGCCAGATGATAAAGACCTACTGCCACAAAGTTGGGTTCCACATCAACAGAAACTGTGATTGGTAGCTCCTATAATAAAGAAAATAGTAATAAATCAACGGCTAAACTTATTTTATTAATAAATAAAAGAAAAATAACACCATTTTCATACTCCTTCAACAGGGTTGGCTACGGTGACTTCAAGGAGGGAGGTGAGATAGGCAATCCTTGTGCTGCAGGCATCCCCAAGTATGGGAAGCTTGGTCAGGAAAACATGAAGTGAGCCCCTTTGGGTAGAGAGTGCTAGCAACTGGCCATCATCAGTCCAGGACAAGGTACCCAATCCTGAAATAATCGACAAAATAAATGATTATTCAAAAACAATATATAGTTGCAGGCAGCAAACAAATATTTTCATTTAAGCTACCAGAGACATAACAATTTTCAAATATTTTCCTTACTAGTTTAAGTAGTTTTTTTTTTAGACTAGGAAATTTGCCATGGATTGGCATAAGAATATGAGCACTGGCTCATTCCCTGTGGCTCAAAGGGAAAGTACAGTTATGTGTCACTTAACAACAGGGCTATGTTCTGAGAAATCTGTCATTAGGTGACTTTGTTGTTGTGTGAACATCATAGAGTGTACTTACACAAACCTAGATCAAATAGCCTACTACGTACCTAGGCTATATGGTATAGCCTATTGCTCCTAGGCTATAAGCCTGTATGGCATGTTACTGTACTGAACACTGCAGGCAAATGTAACACAGCAGTAAGTACTTGCACATTGAATCATATCTAAATATAGAAAATGTACAGTAAGCCTGAGCAACAAAACAAGACGCTGTCTCAAAAAAAAAGAAAGAAAGAAAGAAAGAAAGAAACAAAGAAAAGGTAGTAAATATGGACCATGTATGTGGACTGAAACGTCATTATGTGGGTCATGACTGTATATAAGAATTTATACTTTACATTAGAATTAGGATAAAATTCACTATAAATCTCTGGATCAAAGTAGACATATCTTTCTAGTCAAGCAGTATGACAACATAATTACTAAAATAAGGAGACTATTTTAGGGAACTCTAGTGAAGAGTATTAAAATTTATTTCTGGCCAGGCACAGTGGCTCACGCCTATAATCCCAGTACTTTGGGAGGCCAAGGCAGGCGGATCACCTGAGGTCAGCAGTTCGAGACCAGCCTGGCCAACATGGTGAAACCCCATCTCTACTAAAAATACAAAAATTAGCTGGGCGTGGTGGCACGTGCCTGTAATCCCAGCTACTTGGGAGGCTGAGGCAGGAGAATAGCTTGAGCCTGGGAGGTGGAGGTTGCAGTGAGCAGAGATCATGCCATTGCATTCCATCCAGGGCTACAAAACAAGAATCCATCTCAAAAAAAAAAAAAAAAATTATTCCTCCTACAACGAATGCAAATCACACGATAACAAACACAACCTTACTCTCTGTAACTGGAATGATAAAATGTCAATCTGCTTCAGAAAAATCAATACCTTTATTTTCCTCATCCAGGTTGAGTATAACATACATGTCTTTTAAGTCAACCAAGTCTTGGATTTTAATGCTGAAAAACAAAAATGCATTATTAAAAAATATATATGATCTTTATATAAAACTGTTTTAATTCACAAAAAATTACAAACCATGGAATAGGTTACTGGTCTCCAAAATGTGATGTACAGAATGATCTACTGGGTTAAGAAAATATTAGAATTTCTGTACTTCATTATATTTTATCTTTAAACTTTTGGGTTTGTTGTTGTTGTTTGTTTGCTTACTGTGTGCAGAGATGGGGGGCGGGTAGGGTTGTGCCTGGCTTAATCTCTGATCTATAGCTTCAGGAATAAGGAGGTTAAAATTGTCCTGAAGAAATTTGGGTACGAAAATATTCTCCTGAGTAGTATTAATTATTGTAAGATGATACAGGTTTCTCTTTACAATGTGTTCCCTTTCTCCCCTGCCCAGAGTTCTTTCATACAAAAGGAAGTGAATTATAGTATAGAAAGAACATTAAATTTGGATCAGAAGGATCAGGTTGAAAGCTCTGAAAAATGCGGGCATAACATTATTTCATAAGGTTGTAGTAAGAATAAGTAAGTTGATGTAAATGAAAGTTGTGTAGTACAATGTTGGGAACTAATAGTTGTAACATTTCTTTCCTCCTAACCTCCTTTTCTCCTTCTCTTCTCTTCCAGTGTTTTCCTCTTACCTTTTTTCCCTCATTATTTTCATTTAATTAAACTTTTAAGATAATTTCAGATTCACAGGTAGTTGTAAGAGGCAATATAGAGAGATAGAGAGATTCCATGTCCCCTTTTCTCCCAATAGTAACATCTTGAAACACTATAGTATAATACCACAATCAGGATACTGACATTGATAGAAACCACAAATCTTATTCCGACGTCCCTAGTTTTACTTGTACTTAGTGTGTGTGTTTACTTGTACTCAGTGTGTGTGTTTAGTAACTTTCTCACACATGAGATTCATGAGACTCACAACCATAGTCAGGATATAGATAGTTCCATGACCACAAGGATCTCTCATGTTGCCTTTTTATAAACACTCACCTCCTTCCTTCTGACCCCAGCTCCATCTCTAACCTCTGGGAATCACTAATCTGTTCTTTGTTTTTATAATTCTATCTCTTCAAGAACATTATATAAATGAAATCATATAATATGCAACCTGTTGAGACTGGCTTTTTTCCATTCAGTGCAATCCTTTGGAAATTCATTCAAGTTGTTGGGTGTATCAATAGGTTGTTCCTTTTTATTGTTGAGTAGTGTTCTATGGCATGGATGAACCATTCACCCACTGAAGGACATCTGGATTGTTTCCAGTATTTGGCTATTACAAATAAAGTTGCTATAAACATTCATATACAGGTTTTTATCTGAATGTAGGTGTTCATTTCTCTGGAATAAATGGCCAGATGTGTAACTGCTGGATCATATGGTAATTGCATGTCCAGTTTTTTAAGAAACTGCCAAACTGTTTTCCAGAGTAGCTGTACCATGATGCATTCCCACCAGCAATGTATGAGTAATCCAGTTTCTCCTCATCCTTACCCACATTTGGTGTTATCACTATTTTTCATTTTAGTCATTCTAATAGATGGGTAGTAATAGCTAATAGTGGTTTTAATTAGCACTTCCCTAATGGCTAATCATGTTGAGTATCTTTTCATGTATTTGTTATTATTTGGTGAAATCTATGTCTTTTGCCTATTTTCTAATAGGGTTGTTTGCTTTTTTTACTGTTGGGTTTTTGTTTAATGGTAACTATATAAGTAAATGTATTATTTTCGTGTTGTATAAATTGATATGTAAATAGATAATTGACATTTAAACAAAAAAAGTATCAACATAGTGTTGGGTTGATAACATATACAGATGTTAAACATATGACATACTGTTGGGTCTTGAGAGTCCTTTACATATTCTAGATACTAGCCCTTTGTTGGATACGTGGTTTGCAAATATTTTCTCATTTTGCAGCTTATCTTTTCATCTTATTTATTTGTTTATTTATTTTCAGAGTCAAGGTTTCACCACATTGGCCAGGTTGGTCTCAAACTCCTGACCTCAGGTGATGTGCCTCCCTTGGCCTCCCAAAGTGCCGGAATTACAGATGTGAGGCACCGCGTCCGGCCATCTTTTCATCTTTAACAGAGTACTTCACAAAGCAAAAGTTTTAAATTTTGATGAAATCTACTTTATCAATTTTTCCTTTTATAGATCGTACTTTTGGTTTCAAGTCTAAGAATTCTTTGCCTAACCCTAGATCCAAAAGATATCCTCCTATGTTTTATATTTTATATTTAAGTCCATGAGTGAATTTTTTATTAAGGTGTAAGGTTTGTGTCGAAAATTTTTTTTTCATTTGTGGATGTCTAATTGCCCCAGTACCATTTGTTGAAAAGGGTATCTTGCTTTTATTGAATTATTTTTCACCTTTGTCAAAAACCAACTGTGCATATTTGTATGGGTTTATTTCTGTCTTCTCTATTCTGTTCCATTGATTGATATGTCTTTTCCTCTGCCAATGATACATAGTCTTGATGATTGTAGCTAAACAAGTTTTTATATTGGGAAGAATGATTTCTCCCATTTTATTGTTCTTTTTTAAGATTGCTGTTGGCTATTTTAGGATCTGTGCCTATCTACATCTATCTATCTCTCTCTCTCTCTCTCTCTCTCTCTCTCTCTCTCTCTCTCTCTCTCTCTCTCTCTGTCTGTCTATATTAGAACAAGCATGCCTATGCCTACAAAGAAGCATGCTGGGATTTTGATATAAATTTCATTAAACAATAGATCAACCTGGGGGAACTGATATCTTCACTTTGTTGAGCTTTTCAATCTATGAACACAGTATATCTCTCTATTTATTTGGGTCTAATTTGATCTCTTTCATCAGCATTTTATAATTTTCAGCAAAGACACTGTACAGGTTTTGTTAGAGGTATACTTAAGCAGTTCAGTTTCTTTGGAGTGACTGAAAATGGTATTGGTTTTCATTTTTGTTTTCATTGTTAATGTTCATTGTTAGTATATAGAAATGTGATTAATTTTTGTGTGTTGATCTTATATCCTACAATCTTGCTCAACTCATTTATTAGTTTTAGTTCTAGGAGTTGCTTTTTTGCAGAAAAATAAACTAAAACTCATTTATTAGTTTTAGTTCCAGGAGTTGCTTTTATGCAGAAAATTCCAAGATTTTTATGTAGAAAATCCCAAGATGATCATGACATCTGCAAATAGAGATAGTTTTCCTTCTTCCTTTCTAATCTGAGTGCCGTGTATTTCTTTTTCTTGCCTATTGCAGTGGCTGGAACTTCTAATGCTAGGTTGAGTAAGAGTAATGAGAGCAGATATTCTTGTCTTGTTCCTAATCTTAAGGGACGAGCATTCCGTCTTTCACCATTAAGCATGATATTAGATGTAGGTTTTTTGTAGTTGTTCTTTTTTTTTTGAGACAGGGTTTCACTCTTTTGCCCAGGCTGGGGTGCAGTGGCACGATCACAGCTCACTGCAGCCTCAACCTCCCAGGCTCAAGTGATCCTCCCACCTCAGCCTCCCAAGTTGCTGGGACTACAGGAAATGACCACAGCTCACTGCAGCCTCAACCTCCCAGGCTCAAGTGATTCTCCCACCTCAGCCTCCCAAGTTGCTTGGACTACAGGTAACTTGTAGAGATGGGGTCTCGCCATATTGCCCAGGCTGGTCTTGAACTCTTGGGCTCAAGTGATTCTCCCGCCTTGGCCTCCCAAGGTGCTGGGATTACAGGTGTGAGCCACTGTGCCTGGCCTATATTGTTCTTTATCAAATTGAGGTAATTACCTGCTATTCCTAACTTGCTGAGAGTTTTTATCATGAAGGTGTGCTGGACTTTGTGCAATGCTTTTTCTGTGTCAATTGATGTGATTATATATACGGTTTGTCTTTTTTAGCTTCTGATAGAATGATTACATTTTTTTTGTTTTCTTTTTGAGACAGGGTCTTGCTCTGTTGCTCAGGCTAGGGTGCAGTGATGCAACTGCAGCTCACTGCAACCTCAAACTCCTTGGCTCAGCAATCCTCCCACCTCAGCTTCCTGAGTAGCTAGGAATACAGGCACATGCCGCCATGCCTGGCTATTTTGTTTTAGAGATGGGGTCTCGCTATATTGCCCAGGCTGGTCTCGAACTCCTAGCTTCAGGTGATCCTCCTGGCTCAGCCTCCCAAAGCGCTGGGATTACAGCAGCCATGTGCCACTGCACCTGACATAGATTACACTGATTTTTAAATATTGAACCATTTGATATTTTCAGTATCTGAAATAAATCACACTTGGTCATGAAGTATAATTCTTTTTATACATTGCTACATTCAGTTTGTTAAATTTTGTTGAGAATTTTCATGCTCAAGTTTATGAGAGATATTGACCTGTACTTTTTCTTTTTTAATACACTGTCTTTGTTTGGTCTTGGTATAAAGGTAATACTAGCCTTATAAAATAAGTTGAAGTGTTCTCTACTCTTTATTTTCTAGAAGAGATTTTTAAAAAATTGGTATTAATCCTTTCTCAAGTGTTTGGCAGAATTCTTCAATGAAACCATACAGGCCTTGAGATTTATTTTTTGGGAGCATTTAAATCACTAATTCCATTTTATTGTAGTTATAGGGCTAATCCAGATGATCTGTTTTCATTTGGGTTGAGTTTTGGTAGTTTGCAGTTTTCAAAGAATTGTCCCATTTCTTCTAGGTTGTCAAATTTTGAGTGTAAAATTGTTTGTAGTATTCCTTTATTATTCTCATAATGGCTTTCAGATGGATACTCCTGTTTCATTCTTGATATTGGTGATTTGTTGTGTCTATTCTCTTATTTTTGTCAGGCTTGTTAGAAGCGTATCAATTTTATTTTCTTCAAAGAACCAGCTTCTTGTTTAATTGATTTTTTTTTTTTTTTTTTGAGACAGAGTCTCGCTCTGTCACTGAGGCTGGAGTGCAATGGTGCGAACTTGGCTCACAGCAACCTCTGCCTCCTGGGTTCAAGCGATTCTCCTGCCTCAGCCTCCCGAGTAGCTGGGATTATAGGCATGCACCACCATGCCCGGCTAGTTTTGTATTTTTAGTAGAGACAGGGTTTCTCCATGTTGGTCAGGCTGATATTTAAAATTTTCTCATTTTCCATTTCACAATTTTCTTTTTATTATATTCTTCCTTTTGCTTTATGTTTATCTTGCTCCTTTTTTCAGTGTCTTGAGGTAGAAACTTAGATTACTGATTTGAGGCCCTTTTTCCCCCTAATGTAAACATTTAGTGCTATAAATTTTCTTCTAGGCTGCTTTAGCTGCCTCCCACGTATTTTGATATATTTTCATTTTCATTCAGTTCTATGTATTTTTTAATTGCTTTGGGGCTCTAGGACCCATGAATTATTTAGAAATATGTTGTTTAATTTCCAAGTGTTTGCAGGTTTTCCTGCTGTTACTGACTTCTAGTTTGATTCCATTATGGTCAGAGAACATATTTTATATGATTCAATTTAAATTTGCTGAAGTTTGTTTCATGAGCCAGGGTAGTCTATTGTGGTGAATGTTCCACAGGCACTTGAAAAAAATGTGAATTTTGTTGCTGCTGGGTGCAGTGTTCTATTAGGTTTAGTTGGTTTATAGTGCTGACCTAGTCTTTTATATCCTTGTTGACCTTCTGCGTAGTTGGTTCTATACATTACAGTTGTCCCTCAGTATCCCAAGAGGATTGGGTTCCAGGATCCCTCTGTGGATACCAAAATCCACAGATGCTCAAGTCCATTATATAAATGATGTTGTATTTGCATATAACCTATACACATCCTCCCATATACTTTCAGTCATCTTTAGGTCACTTACAGTACCTAATACAAGGTTAAATGCTGTGCCAAGTTCAAACATATCAATGTAAATGATGGCTAGAGTAGCTATCTTCTGGTTAGCATTTGTATGGTCTTTTTCTATCCTTTTACATGGTTATATCATTATATTTGAAGTGAATTTCTTACAATGACCCTTTTAATAGGGTCATTAAAAATACATTCTAGGCTGGGCGTGGTGGCTCACACCTGTAATCCCACCATTTTGGGAGGCTAAGGCGGGTGGATCACTTGAGGTCAGTTCGAAACCAGCCTGCCAACATGGTACAACCCCGTCTCTACTAAAAATACAAAAATTAGCCAGGCATGGTGGTGCACACCTGTAATCCCAGCTACTTGGGAGGCTGAGGTAGGAGAATCACTTGAACTTGGGAGGCGGAGGTTGCAGTGAGCCAAGATCATGCCACTGCACTCCAGCCTGGGCAACAGAGTGAGACTCTGTCTCAAAAAAAAAAAAAAAAAAAAATCCACTCAGTCTATGTCTAATAAGTTTTTCACTTACATTTAATGGGCTGACATGTTTGAATTGAAGTCTACTGCTTTATTATTTGCTTTCTATTTGTTCTCTCTTTTATTTGTTTTTATTCCTGTTTCTTTCCTTTGTTTAGATTTGAACATTTTTTAGTATTCCATTTTAATTTATCTATTGTGCTTTTGTATATTTCTTTGAATAGTTTTCTTAGAGGTTGCTCTAGATTATAATATACATATTTAAGTTTTCATAGTCTACTTAGAATCAATATTTTGCCATTTCAAGTGGAATGTAGAAGTCTTATCGCATACAAAAACTTTTACCCTCTCTCCCCTTTATAGTATAGTTGTCTTATATATTGCATTTTCATGCATTAAACACCCTACTGAGCAATATTATAATTTTTTTTTTAAACCATCACATATACGTTAAAGATCTCAAAAGAAAAATGTCTATTATATTTACCCGGATATTTACCATTTCTGTTGCTCTTCCTTCATTCTTAATGTCCCAAATTTCCTTCTGTTCTCAGTTCTCTTCTATCTGAAGAACTTCCTTCAGCAGTTCTTTTAGAGAGCAAGATAGTCTCTTCATTTTCCTTCATCTAAAAATGCTTTTATTTCACTTTCATTTACTGACATACATTGTCACCGGATAAAGAATTTCAGTTGACAATGCTTTTATTTTAGCACTTTAAGAATATTGTGGCATTTCCTTCTAGCCTCAATGCTTTACGGTGAGAAAATCCACTGTCATTCAAAATGTTGCTCTCTGGCTGCTTTCAAGATTTTTTCTTTGTCTTTATTTTTCAACAGTTTGATTATGATGTGAATAGCTCTAGATTTCTTCTGGTTTATCCTTTTGGGGACTTGCTGAGCTTCTACAATATGCACGTTTATGTCTTTTGCCATAAAGTTTCCAGCCATTATTTTTGGGATTCCGAAGACACAAATACTAGACCTTTTGTTACTGTCTAATAGGTCTCTGGGACAAATAATTTTGTTTCATTTTTTTCTTCCATGTTCAGATTGGATATTTTCTAATGATCTCTCTTCAAGTTCACTGACTCTTTATTTTCTCCATTTGCTACTAAGTCTATCAAATTTATTGCATTTTATAGTTCTAAAATTTCCATTTGGTTCTTCTTTATTGGTTCTATTTCTTTTCTGAGACTTTCTAGTTTTCCATTTGTTTCAAGAGCATTAGCCCTTACCTCTTGGAGCATTTCTATATCTGCTATCTGCATAATCTTGGCATTGGTGTTTTTTTATTGTTATTTCCTGAGCGAGTTAAAATTCTCCTAATTCTTCATATGTCAAGTAATTTGGGGTTCTATTCTGGACCTTGTGAAATTATGAGATTGTGTCTAATCTAAATCCCATGGAGAAGGTTAATATTTTTGTTTCAGCAGGCCATCAACCTGGCTGGGTTCAGGCCACAAGTTTCAAGGAGCCTTCTGTAGCTGACGGTTTCAATGTCAGTTCTATTTTCAACGCCTTTGCAGTGGTATTCAGATATGTCCCTCTATGGCCCACTCAGTGGCTAGTATAAGACCTTGGCTATGATCTATGTCTCAGTTCAGTTCACAGGGTCTTTGGTATATGTTTAGGATAAGTCTATACATATGCGCTTAAGGATGAACCCAGGAGTTCATAAATATCTTTACAGGGTTGCTTTCCTGAGTTCCTTCCTCCCTATGATCAATCTAGTACTTTCCAATCCCTAGGTCTCCTAATTTTGGTCCTCTATTAATGCTTGATCTCTAGTTACTCTGTTCTACCACATAATTCCCACACTGTATGAGCACTTGTGACCAAGGGAGGACAGAGAGAAAAATAGGCAATAGTGGTTTGCCCTATCTTCTTGAAGCCACAGCCTCTAATTGGAGAGAAGATTATCCTCCATCAGAGTTTTAGGTGCCTGTGGGTCCTTGGTGCCACTGTTCTTGTTGCCACTGCCATGGGGAGACTGCTTGGTGGCTGGAGCATTAGAGAACAAAGAACAAAAAAAGAAAAAGAAAACCAGGGGATTTCCCCAACTGCCTTTGAGCATTATAAGTTCTCTTTCCTGCAACTTAAGCCAGAACCAGAGAGTTTCCTTAAAGCTCTCTCTGTGCTTTGGTGCCTACTTCTAGGTTTCAGACTTCCTTGAGTCCTGGCTGTGAGACAGCAGAGGACAAGTGGGAGACTCCCCACTGGTTAGTTGGCACTTCAAATTCCGTCTTCTTTTCCAATCTGCCTGCTACCATTTACTTTTCAGAGTCCTTAAATATCTGCTCCATGCATTCTGTTCACGTTTTATAGCTGTACTCAGTGGGAGACATGGGGTGGAGTGTGCTTACTCCATGTTACCCAGAACTACCTATTTTATTTTTAAGATTGATTTTCAACTATACTTTGTTTTATATTTTTGCCCTGAATATTAAAATCAGGAGCAAAGTAGTCTTAGACGTTTTAAATTGTAAACATGATTGCCAGATTCATATTAGCTAACAAAGTTTGGCTGATTCACTTAAGTATTTACTATATAAGCTTTCCTAAAAATATGTGAAAATAACTTACCAGTTATCTCCACATGTAGCAACTTTGTTAAGAGTCTGTGATACTGCAATGCTGGTTAGATTATCTTTATGGTTACGAGCCTGAAATATCTCTTGACCAAGCTCTCCAGTATGAGTAGAAATGACCACAAAATGTCCACATGAAAAACCAATCATGATGCGGCCATCACCATACCTATAGCAAAGAAGGCAACAATATGGTAAACAAGGAGATTAGCTATCAGTGGCAACATGGTAAATTAGCAAGTACCTTAAAATTAAGGAATTATAGAATATAATTTATCAAGGGCCTACTTTGTGTCAGATAATATACTAGGTAGTTTTGCATACTAAATCACAGACCATGAATCAGAAAATGTGACGTATAGAATTGAATGTTACAAACAAAAATTGAATACAATTAGTAAGGAAAAACCTACAGATGTCCTTCTGTAATGAGCTTTTTGTACATACCAGTTATAGCAGACATACCAATTATAGCAGACAATGTTGCCAAAGTCCTGCTGAAATTCAAGATCAGCTGGGTTATCTGGTTCATTCAGATTTAAAAAAAACAAAGTTTTCTTGCCAAGCACCACACTTATCTGCCAGAAAAGATTAGGAGATTGTGAAATGAGTTACTTAGTACTTCATGAAAAGACCATTAAGCAAATCCAACAGCTGAACCTAATTTGTGAAAATAATAAGCCCAATTTAGATGTGCTAAATGCTGTAACTAGTACAATATGACTAAAAATGTATTTACTAATATATAAACTGGTAAGCGTCCTTGGTTTTACACATCTTCAATATACCCTTTGAAATATACTACAATTCCTTTGTGGAGTGTCCATTTAAATTTTCTATACCTTTCATTAGAGTACTGCACACTACAGGATTGTAAGTCTGACAGTTCCACTGCAAATGAATTCATATTTAGATTATAAAGACTCTTCCACTCTAAGAGGCTGTTCTGCTCTTGAGCCATTTGGGATTATAGGTCCACACTCCTGTGGATACTCCAGCTTGGCTTTTATATCATCATTGGTTCCATCACCTGCAGGTCAGTGTTGGCTAAACTAGTGTCTCTTTGCTACTCATGCAAGTAAATTCTTAAGTGTAATTCCCAGTGGAGGATGTAATTATGTTGGGGAGAAAAAAGTACATTACTTATTTGGGCTCATTATCATGTATTTCCTTAATTATAAGATGCTCTCAATTGTAAGTCACTATCAATTTAATAGGTTTTTAGGAAACAAAGAACTACTACTTTATTAAATATATTCATATTGATTGTGAAAATCATACTGATTTCAGAATGTTAAGATGTGGCAGGGAAGATGCATCTAAGTATTAACCAAAAGCTACAACTTTGGCCGGGTGCGGTGGCTCACGCCTGTAATCCCAGCACTTTGGGAGGCCGAGGGAGGTGGATCACCTGAGATCGGGAGTTTGAGACCAGCCTGACCAACATGGAGAAACCCCATCTCTACTAAAAATACAAAATTAGCTGGGTGTCGTGGCGCATGCCTGTAATCACAGCTACTAGGGAGGCTGAGGCAGGAGAATCGCTTGAACCTAGGAGGTGGAGGTTGCGGTGAGCTGAGATTGCACCACTGCACTCCAGCCTGGATAAAAAGAGCAAAACTCTGTCTCAAAAAAAAAACAAACAAAAAAAAACAAGCCTACAACTTCAAGAGGTCTGCTAACCACATCTCATAGAGTAAAAATTTTAAAAATAATATATGAATTAATACTTCTGTTCTGCAAGGTACCCCTAATGTTTTTGCTATCACAAGAATGAAAAGAGCAATACCAATTGTAACAGAAAGCTGTCCTCATTTGCTGTAATGCCAGGTAGTCAGTAGCAATTACAACAACTTTTAGGGACTAAAAGACCTAGCTCTACCTTGGCTTAAAATACAGTCAATGGACCTAATTTATTTATCACTATTTTAGTCATCCAAGAAAAGTAAATTATACATTCCACAAAATTACCCAAATGATTTGCACGTGGATTTGATTAGAATTCTTACCATGCTTTCAGCAGCAGAGGTTCGGTCATCCATCTTCATCAAGAAAAACTGCATGTTGCTAGGCTCTGATCTCACTTGTGTCTAAAGGAGTAAAAACATCATCACTATGAACAAACCCAATATTTAAATTCATTCTGAATATTAATAGAATGGATAACTTGTTTTCATTCCTGACTAATGTTGGACTAAGAACCTGAAAATCCTACTGTCACAAATATCTAGAAATTCTAGATGAAACAGAAAATATATCTTATTAAATAGATAAATAAGCTTGAAAGAAGAAAAGGGAAATTTACAGGGACCATCAGCAAAGATCACACTAAAACCAGAGTGTGTGCAGAAACTGATGCTGCAGCTATCCAGAGCAGCTAGCTATGGGAGACAATAAGGAAATCCATTTGTTTTGGCTTGAGTGTTGAGTCAGACAAAACAAAGTTCATTTCAATAATTTAATTAAAGGATGGGTGCGGTGGCTCATATCTGTAATCTCAGTACTTTGGGAGGCTGAGGTGGGAGGATCGCTTGAGCCCAGGAGCTTGAGGCTGCAGTGAGCTATGATCATGCCACTGCACTTCAGAGCAAGACCCTGTCTCAAAAAAAAAAAAAAAAAGAAAGAAAAAGAAAAAGGAAAAAGGATTTAATTAAAGACCTCCCTTCCTATTCTCATTATAGTCTGAGGTTCAAATGTGTATGTTAGGTCATTTGGTAGCTCCCAAGATGAGAAATTAACATAAAATATGGAAGGATCCAGGCTCATACTATCCCTGCAGTTTTGGAAAAAACTAACCCAGAACCTCTACCAAGGTTTTAAAAAATTTCCACACATAAACTTTGCTAAAGATGAGCTCATAATTCAAAATTACAAAACTCGTAAAGAAACAATGCATCAAGAGAAGGAGTTAGCAGATATAAAAATAATAGAATTATCAGAGAGAGAAATTATAAAATAAATATTTTAAAAATGACTAAAGCTGTAAAAGAACTCATAAATATGAGAAAAGAATTTTTTAAGTTCAGGCAGTTTTTTTTTTAAGTGCATATGTACTTTTGTATTATAGGAGGTGTATCTGAAGGGTAGAACCCTAGAAATGGTATTGTTAGGTCAAAAAGTACATACAGATGTAGTTTTGTTAGCTATTTCCAAATTTTCCTCCAGAAGGGACATACTAATTTTATCTACAGTTTCACCAACAGAATATGTTGTCATATTTTATATAATTTTGCCACCCTGATAGGTGAAAAATGGTATTTCAGTGTGGCTTTAATTTGTAGTTATTTAATTATGAGTAACTTTGAAATTTTTTTCATATGTATGAGAGCCATTTTTTATACATTTTTGTGTGAACTGTCTATTCATGTATTTCAAGTGGATTTTTAAAAGAACTACAAAGTACTTTCTAAAAACGAGGCGTCATTAAAATAAAAAAACTCAATGTATACACAGATGATTAGACAAATTTGAAGAAAGAATATGTGAACTAATATGAGGAAATCATCCAAAAGGTTGCAGAGTGATAAAAAGATAAAACTATGAAGAGGAGAGATTAAGAGACATAAGAAGGTCCAACAGCTATCTAACAGACGCTCCTGAAAAACAGAATAGAAAGGGCAAGAAGTAATATTCAAAGAGATAATGACTATGAATTTTCCTGAATTGACAAAGGATAACAATCTTCAGATTCAGGAAGCAAGACAAATCCTGAGCAGGATAAATAAAAATAAATCCATACAAGTAACACCATAGTGATCTTCAGAATGCCAAAGTTAAAACAATTAAGAAAAAACACAAAACAAAGCAACACTTATAATGTATATTTTGCTTACTACATGACAGCTTAAGTAGTATGTCTAATTTTGGAAGCAGACTTCTTAAGGATTAGAAATGAAAAACAGTTATCTTATATGTAAATAATGGCTGAATTGTAGTGACTTCCTGGAATGCTATACGGAAAAAATATTCTAAGGCCATATTTTTATTCAGTGGAGGGAAAAAAAATCCACTATCTATTGGTAATGTCTGATATGGACACAAGAGAGGGGAGCTGTAGCATTTATACCATATTTACCATTCTATTTCTAAAGGGCATTGAAAATAGAATGATTAAAACAGATACAGGAATCGACTTTCTTCTTCAGCCCTATTTTCTAAAAATGCCCAATCAAAACCTCTATCTTCAGTTAGTCCAGGCTTGAACAACTCAGGAACAAGCTGTAGTTTTTCCTTGCTGTTCTGCTTGTACTGAATGAGTAAATGTTTTGCACTATCTACTAAAATAAGTTTTAGCAAGGTACATAGTCATCTAGCTGGACTAAAATTGCAGCTTTCCTGGGAGCAGGTAGATTTGGCCACATGACTAGGTTCTAGTCATATGATATGAAGGGAAATAATAAATGCATCTTGCAGATCAAGTCCTTTACAAATTTCTTACACTCTATTTCTTCTCTTTGTCCTTTCCCTGGAGCTGAAATGCAGATGTGATCCTGGTACACTAGCTTCAATCATGCAGATGAGGGTACAATACTCTAGAAAATGGCAGAGCAATAAGATGGAAGGAACCTGAGACTCGGTACAATTTAGTGAAGCAGAGGTACGTAGGTGACTTTGTCTCTCTGTTACATGAGAAAAAGAGAGAGGAAACCCCCGACCCCAACCCATACTATCATATTCTTCCGGCCCCTGAAGTTTTAGGACTCTCTGACCCAACAGTTTAGTCTATACCCTGACTGATTCAGATAGCCTTCTATCTTTGAGAGACTCACAATCAAACTTTCATTGATCTCCTCTATCTCCCAAATGTTATAGGACAGGTAATTTGTACCACAAAATATGGCAATTAATCAATAAGGCCATGTGTGTTTTATAATATTACTAATGTCTTCTTAAGAGTGGGGCCCTACGATCAGCAGCCTGTAAGATGGCCCACAATGATCCCCACTTTCTGGTTTTATGCCTGTGTGGTCCCCATCCCTGCCCTACTTTTTGTGGGCTATACCTTGTAGTTCACTTCTAAAGAACAAAATATGGCAAAAGTGATTCTGTGATTAGGTTATAAAGAGATGCAGCTTCAGTCTTGAATGGCTGCTCTCACTCTCTCACCAGCTGCTGTGTTGTGAGGCACTCTATGGAGAGATCCATGTGGCAAGGAAGTGAGGAAGGCTTCCAGTGAATAGCTAGAGAGAAACTGAAGCCCTGAATATAACAATCTGTAAGGAACTGAACCCTGTCAACACCCATGTAAGTGAGCTTGGAGGCAGATTTTTCTCCCTATTGAGCCTTCACATGAAACTGCAGCCCTGTCTGACAACACGATTGCAGGCTTGTAGAGACTTTAAGGCAGAGACACCCAGATAAGCTGCATCTAAATTCCTCATCCACAAAACCATGAAATAGTAAGTGTTGTTTTAAGCTTCTACATTTTGATTAATGGTTAATTTGTTATGCAGCAATAGATTGGCTAATACAGAGCCATATTTCATATTCTTTCTATAGTATATAGCACAGTGCCATGTGCCTAGCAGGTATTCAAAGAATGTGTTAGTCAATATTGCTCTAGCAATACTAAATCATAAGCAGTAGTCCAAAGTGAAATTTTCCCATTGGCCACATTATGTAGCTACTGGCGATACAAATTCCCATAAGGAGGGAGCCTCTGAAAGAGCTAATCAATCTTGAGAAATGTGAATAGTAGAAACATTTAATCTTAAAATTAAATTCCATTAGGATTAGTTTAGAAGCAATTTATCAGTTAAAGGTATGAGCTTTAGAATTAGGCAGATTTGACTCTGAGTTCAAGATCTACCAGTTATTAACATTTGTATTATAAATACACATATATAAAATAAGAGTTATTTCACAAATACACTGTCTGACTAGAACCACAGAGCTGATAATCCATGTTAATACGGAAGGGAAATATACAAAGGAGGATATTTGGATAACATATTCATATCAAAGAAAAATGTTCTGACAATAAATAGAAAGGTTTTTGAAGTTATTGTGTATACACACACACACATATATACCTCACATATAGATTTTTAAAAATTGTATAGATTAGTTTGACAGACAAACTATTTATTTGGGGGGAAAGCTTGAATATATCAGACCAAAGAGACGTTACTGTATTACCTGTCTTATCGTGTCACCTTCCTGATTACTAACTGTAATCATTTTATCTTCACCACCTAAAGCAAGCAGATTTTCTGCATTCCAACATCCACAAGTGATTCTCTTAGTATGTTTTCCTGAAAAAGAGATTATTTTTATACAGACATGTGGATTTCTCAAAGAAAAAAATCTGTGATGCCAATCTGAATATAGCAAGAAATTAAACAGACAAGAATTTAGAATTTCATCAAAGCAGTTAATGTCTACGCAACCTTATTTAAAACAGTTTATTACCAAGGTATAAAATAATGGCATATAAAGGCATTACTGTTTTCCAAATTTTTATCTGGATATAAGCCCTAATGTAAAAAGATATTCTGCTCCTTGACAAGATTTCTTCGTTTATCATATAACCAAACCTGCAAAGATAATGTCTTTTTTTCTTTTTTGAGACAGATTCTGGCTCTGTCATCCAGGCTAGAGTGCAGTGGTGTGATCTCAGCTCACTGCAACCTCTGCTTCCCAGGCTCAAGCCATCCTCCCAACTCAGGTCCCAAGTAGCTGGGACTATAGGCACATGCCACCACACCCAGCTAATTCTTTTTTTTTTTTTTTTTGAGACAGAGTCTCACTCTCTTGCCCAGGCTGGAGTACAGTGGCGTGATCTTGGCTCATTGCAACCTTTGCCTCCCAGGTTCAAGCAATTCTTCCGCCTCAGCCTCCCAAGTAGCTGGGACTACAGGCGAGCCACCACACCCAACTAATTTTTATATTTTTAGTAGAGACAGGGTTTCACCATGTTGGCCAGGCTGGTCTTGAACTCCTGACCTCAGGTGATCCACCTGCCTTGGCCTCCCAAAGTGGTGGGATTACAGGCGTGAGCCACCGCACCTGGCCATTTTTGTATTTTTTGTAGAGATGTGGTTTCACTTTGTTGCTCAAGTTGGTCTCCAACTCCTGAGCTCAAGCGATGCACCTGTCTTGGCCTCCCAGAGTGCTGGGATTACAGGCGCGAGTCACCGTGCCTGGCTCCAAAGTTAATGTCTTTTTTTTTGAGACGGAGTCTCGCTCTGTCGCCCAGGCTGGAGTGCAGCGGCGCGATCTTGGCTCACTGCAAGCTCCACCTCCCGGGTTCATGCCATTCTCCTGCCTCAGCCTCCCCAGTAGCAGGGACTACAGGCGTCCGCCACCATGCCTGGCTAATTTTTTTTTGTATTTTTAGTAGAGATGGGGTTTCACCATGTTAGCCAGGATAGTCTCAATCTCCTGACCTTGTTATCCGCCCGCCTCGGCCTCCCAAAGTGCTGGGATTACAGGCGTGAGCCACCACTCCCGGCCGTTAATGTCTTAAGAGAAGTAAAT
Organism: Homo sapiens; assembly: GCF_000001405.40. Taxonomy (NCBI): domain Eukaryota; kingdom Metazoa; phylum Chordata; class Mammalia; order Primates; family Hominidae; genus Homo; species Homo sapiens. The sequence goes on along the minus strand of NC_000004.12, from coordinate 39,198,252 downwards.
TCCAGAGCAGTGAAGTTAACTTTACTTATATTCAGCTTCATGGTGTGGTATACCTTTGACATAAGCAGATTTAACATTCACTGTTTAACTGTTCAGGTATAACTAAAAGAGGCCAGGCACAGTGGCTCATGCCTATAATCCCAGCACTTTGGGAAGCTGAGGTGGGAGGATTGCATGAGCCCAGGAGTTCAAGACCAGCCTAGGCAACATAGTGAGACTTCATCTCTACAAAAATTAAAGAAAAAAAATTAGCCAAGTCTGGTGCACACACCTGTAGTCCCAGCTACTCGGGAAGCTGAGGTGGGAGGATCCCTTGAGCCTGGGAGATTGAGGCTGCAGTGCGCCGTAATCCCACCACTGCACTCTGGCCTGGGTGACAGAGCAAGACCTTATCTCTCAGAAAAACAAAAACAGTAACAACTAAAAGATATATAATAATTTATGATAATACTGATGTACCTGTTTGAATGCACCTCAGTAAGACTTGTGTTAAGAACTGTGTAACTATGCTAATGAGTAACATCAGATAGCCACTAACTATTGGGAAGCTTTTTCATTGAGCTTTCCAGTCAGTGCAAAAACTATATATTTTTTTTTTCAGGGAAATCACATGCTTGACACTATGGGTATTTCTGAAGGTCTTGGGATAGATAAATCCTCAAGAGTCCCAAGGGTAATTCTACTAATGAGAAGAATAGTTAAGTGTATAGATTCTGGAGCCAGACTGCCTAGCTTTGAATCTTAGCTCCACTACCTACTGAAAAAACCTTGCGTAAGTTACTTAACCTTTTCTTTTCTTTTTCTTTCTTTTTTTTTTTTTTTTTTTTGAGATAGAGTCTTGCTCTGTTTCCCAGGCTGGAGTGCAGTGGTGTAATCTCAGCTCACTGCAGCTTCTGCCTCCTGGGTTCAAGCAATTCTCCTGCCTCAGCCTCCCAAGTAGCTGGGATTACAGGAGCCCACTACCACACCTGGTTAATTTTTTTGTATTTTTTGTAGAGACGGGGTTTCACCATGTTGGCTGGTTTCGAACTCCTGACCTCAAGTGACCCGCCTGCCTCGGCCTTCCAAAATGCTGGAATTACAGGGATGAGCCACCATGCCCAGCCAACCTTTCTATTCCTTACTCACTTCATCCATAAATTGGGAATAATAGTAGGACCTCTCATAGGGTTGAGGATCAATTGAATTAAAGCACTGACCAAAGTGCAAGGTACATATGAAATGCTATCACAGTGTCAGCTATTTTAGCTGTTACTGAGAGCAGAGACCACATTCATTTTATTCTTCGTACCCTCAAAGAATCTAATACAGTACCTATGCAGAAAGCAGGTATTAAATGAATGCTTTAAGTGAGTAGACCCCAAGGCAGGAGTTTGCCTAGTGTGTTAGAGGCTCAGCAAGGACAATGTGGTTGGAGCAGACAAATGAGGAGGGAAGAACATGAGATGAGGTCAGAGAGGTTGCGAAGGCCAGATTATGGAAAATTTGTTCTGGCCATTTTAAGGCCTTTTGCTTTTATCCTGGGTGAGACAGAAACCATTGAAGAGTTCTGAGCAGAGGGCTCATTCTGGCCTCTGGGTTGAGAAGATTCTAGAGTGGGGCAAGAGTTGAAATGGAGAGGCCAGTAAAGAGGAGACTGCAGAAATTAAGGTAGAAAATGTCTGAGACCACACCATGGTGGCAGCAGTAGAGATGGTGAGACCGGCTGGATTCTGGAGATATTTGGAGGTTGAGTCTGTAAGATTTTCTGACAAATTAGTTATGGAGAGTATGAGAAAGAAAAGAGTCAAGGATGGCCCTAAACATTGGCCTAACAATTTGGAAGAATGGAATGCCAACAATGGTGGAAGGCAAAGCTGTGAGTCAAGAAGGTTTTGGAGATACTAAATTTGAAGTGTATACTAGACACCTCACTGAAGATGTTGAGTAAGCGTTGGAGGTATGAGTCTACAGTGTGGAAAAGATATAAATTTGGGAGTTTTCAGGATATAGACAGTATTTCATATCAGGAGACCAGAACACAAAAGTGAAGGAAATATTCAGAGAAGAGACTGGGGCTACAGAGATTTTGCTGATCATAGATTAAGGGACTTGGGTGTTAAATGGAACTGGGTGTCCAAAGAAACAGGCATTAGGAAGGGGAAAAGACTATACAATGACAAGTAGGAAGATGCCAAAGACATCTTTCTATACCCAAGAAAGGGAGAAGAAAATCTCTTCTTCCTCCTCCTCCTTATATACCTCAAAGCCCTTTTGCTTCCAGTGCTCAGAAATCAAGTTAGTCTTAACACCAATAATAACAGTTAATAGACAAACTAATTTAAAGTTGATATTTGTAACTTAAAAAAATTTAGTTTAACTTTTCAAATAGTTCAATGACATTAATGTTTAGCTATAGCACCCAAAATTAATGTTAACATTAAAGAGATACATATATGTAAAACTAATTTGAAATGATCGTCTTGAATGGAAGGGCACTTTCTCAAGTATCTGTGGGTGCCATGATCTCCAGAGTGTAATTCCTTTATTAGCAGTAAGTTATACTTTTCCTGGCCACCTGGATGCAATTAAGCCCACTAGGTTCTACCATTCATCACAATGATGTTACAATAATTGACAAGAATAGATGTTTCTTCTTGGCTATTCAGAGGGCAGATGCCAAGTGACCAGAGGTTGGGGGAATCAAAGAGCCAAAACAAGAAGGTCAAACAAGGAGGGACATAAAAACACCCTCTGGCTGCATATCCTGAGGCAAATGGAACTCATAGTCCACATCTAGATTTAACTAGGATTTGGAGAAGGTGAGGGGTCAGAATTAGAAATCTTGCTTCTATCCAAGCAGTAAATGTTTTTTTTTGTTTGTTTGTTTTTTTGTTTTTTTTTTTTGAGATGAAGTCTCACTCTGTCACCCAGGCTGCAGTGCAGTGGCGCGATCTCTGCTCACTGCAACATCCACCCTCCGAGTTCAAGTGATTCTCCTGCCTCAGCCTCCCGAGTAGCTGGGATTACAGGCGGCTGCCACTGTGCCCGGCTAATTTTTTGTATTTTTAGTAGAGATGGGGTTTCACTATCTTGGCCAGGCTGGTCTTGAACTCCTGACCTCGTGATCCACCCATCTTGGCCTCCCAAAGTGCTGGGATTACAGGCGTGAGCCACCACGGACTCAAGCAGTAAATGTTTTAATCTACCATGTGGACTAAAATTACCACATATTATAATGCAACTAAATTAACTAAAATTAATAACAAAAATAGCACATATTATCAAAATGTGTTCATATGTGTATGAGCTATTCCTCGTCCAGAGGTACAGTCTGGGTGGGAAAGGACAAATGGAAGCCATGCTGTTAATGTCCTGATGCGAAAGGCACAGCCTGACTTTAACTCAATCTATTCTATGTACCCTGGCAAGTTCTTAGTAAGCAGTGAACAGGGATCTTCATGTTTAGCTAAATGTAAGACTTGCGGAGGGACATGGGGAGGGGGTTTGTACTGCAAAATTTCCATTGCAAGATCAGGGAAACCTGAGGCGGCAGAATTTACATTGAGGTAGAGCATCTCAAATATTTAGCAGTGTTTCCAGCTATCACCTACCAAGGACAGGAATCTTTCGAGATGTCTGATGATTATAAATAAGCAAATTTCCTTTAACAGTTCCAACAGCCAGGAAACTTCCAACTTTTGACCAAAGAAGGAAAGACATTTGATCCCTGTAACATTAAGATATAAATTACTAAACAATTCACGATCATAACCTCTAAACAGTCCTTTAAAAAAGTACTCCTTGGATAATTTTAACATCTACTTAGAAGCCAAAGTACAAAATACAACTTAATGCTTTAGGACAAAGACTAAATGCTAAAGATATTTTGGAGATGCTACAGAATGATCTTAGGGTCAGTTAGACTCAAAATACAAAAGTATAATGAATGTAGACTTCAGTTATGATGGAACCTCAAAATTCATGAGATGACCTATGATGAGATATTTATTAATTTGTCTATTAATGATAGTTTTAGCTCTAAATGTGATTACAAAAATATTAATGGATGGTGAAACCTCATACTTTAAAAAAGTGGCACCCAATAACATATTAAATGGTAAAAATCATTGGGAATTCATGACTTTAAAAATGATATATCTTTTCCAGCTCCGTCACCATTAAGAGTAGCTCAAAAGCAGGTAGAAAACACTTTTGCCCACCACCAGTTCTGACATGCATTCTACGATTCATGAGGTTGAAGTGTTATACAATTCCCTACTAAGGGGAAGCAGAACTTCTTGGAGAGTACCTCTTTCCATATATTGAGAAAAGAAATCACAATGAGTCAAGAACAGTGGTTCTCAAAATTTGAAATCAGAACCAGCAGCATCATCTGGGAACTTGTGAGAAATGCCAGTTCTCAGATCCCAGCCCAGACATACTGACCGAGCAACTCTGAAAGTGGCACCCAGCTACCTGTGTTTTCATAAGCCCTCCAGGGGATTCTGATGCAGCTAAACTTTCAGCACCGCTGACAGACCATGGTATGGTTTTCAGAAAGCAGCACTGCTTCCAAGAATGTTGAGGGCAGTGATAAAAGGACAAAAGAGTAAGTTTAAAGAGGTTTCCTCTGGCTAAATTAGGAGAATTTGAGGATTAAAAATTACATACTTATTTGATACAAGTTGAGTTTGTGAAAGGTCGTAAAATCATGATGTTACTTGGAAGAGAAAAAATAATTTAAAGTATGTGGAAAAATTAGTTGTAATAATAGAAGCATATAATAAAATGCTTAGTTAAAAAATTAATTTTAGGCTGGGCATGGTGACTCACGCCTGTAACCCCAGCACTTTGGGAGGCCGAGGTGGACAGATCACAAGATCAGGAGTTCGAGACCAGCCTGGCCATTATGGTGAACCCGTCTCTACTAAAAATACAAAAATTAGCTGGGTGAGGTGGCATGCACCTGTAGTCCCAGCTACTCAGGAGGCTTAGGCAGAAGAATCGCTTGAACCCGGGAGGCGGAGGTTGCAGTGAGCCAAGATTGCGCCACTGCACTCCAACCTGGGCGACACAGTGAGACTCTGTCTCAAAAAAAAAAAAAAGAAAAGAAAAAAAATTAAATTTAGCAAGTAAGGGAGTAGTAACATACCAGGCTGCTAGGTTCTTCTATTAAGTATCTATTTTACAAAAGATAAATACGCATTTTAATCTTTTTTTCCTTTTTTAAAATAAATGCTGTAGCCGCAATAATGTGCCTCTCAGATTTCCCTCCGTTTGCAGAAAGTGTAACTGCCCATGAGCCCCAGCTGCTAGGCTTTGGAATCCATCACCTCAATGAGCTGGGCTGTGCTTTCTCATGGGCTGTTCCCAGACAATGACTGAGTGAGGGAGGGATAACTGCTGGGCCCATTCCTGGGCAGAACTCCTTTGACAGGTAACTTTTGCCCAAAGACTCCCCACAGACCTAGCTGAACTTTCTTAATTAGAACTGTGCTACAATTTAATGGGCTGGGCACGGTGGCTCACGCCTATAATCCTAGCACTTTGGGAGGCTCAGGTGGGCAGATCATCTGAGGTCAGGAGTTCGAGACCAGCCTGGCCAAGATGGTGGAACCCCATCTCTACTAAAAATACAAAATTTAGCTGGGCGTGGTGGTGGGCACCGAGCTACTTGGGAGGCTGAGGCAGGAGAATCGCTTTGACCCGGGAGGTAGAGGTTGCAGTGAGCCAAGATCAAGCCACTGCACTCCAGCCTGGGCAAAAGAGGGAGCCTCCGTTCCAAACAAACAAACAAACAAACAAAAAACAACTGTGCTACAATTTAAGACACTTCTTCCCAACCTTACTTCTTTCCCTCTCTCATTTATAAGGGTCAGACATGCACTGAGGTCTAACAGCTCTTCCAATCTCTTCTAACCTCTCTATGTTCCCTCATAGGCATTTCCTGTAAGAAATCTCTTACACAGTTAATCCTGTCTTGGAGACTCCTTCAAAGAAAATATGAATAAAAATAATTTTGCATGAGCTAAAAATAGTATCAGAGAAAACTGTATAACAAGAACAAGATCTGATCAGCAACAGTGATCATATATAATAAGATAAATATAACATTAGTCCATTCAATAGTTTATCAGCACTGACAGTTACTCAACAACCAACTAGAAAGAAAGTGTTAAATAATGTGTTCTAAGAAGATCAAGTAATCAAATGTTCTCAAAAGAAGAGCTAACTGAACAGACTCCATCCCTATTCTCTTAGGATATAAGGCCCGTAGAAACCCTTGCAAATTACAATATGATACTAAAGCATATGTAAATTTCCAATAATGCCATTGGATCAGGACAACATATAACAATTACATGTATCTCTGGCCAAGCAAAATTTAAAGAATATATCATGCTAGGGAAATGTACAGGTTACAAAAAATTGCAACCTATGTATAAGGCATGGGCTTAAAAGAATTTTACTAATACGACAACTCAAGGTCAATTTAAAAAGACACTGAGTAGGATACCTAGTACTCAGGTCCAAATTGCCTTGGGAGAAGCAACCATGTTCTGTGATCCATCCAAGAATGAACTGGTTGATGAAGCAGATGTTATGTATAGGGTTTTCTCTGGAAAGAAATGGCTATATCCCAGTTACATAATTAAATGACTACTTCTGTTAGGCCTAGGCAGGAGCAGAGTAAATACCGCTATAATTCTAAAAGAGTATAAATGCATACATAGCAAAAATAAATGAATTCAGCTCATTGAATTAATATATTTTTAGTTAAGTGGCACCACAGTAAGTTTTGTGATAATTACATTTGGATAGGTTTTGGGTACTATTTCAGGTGTTTGAAGTGCTCAAAAGACTCACTTCAGATAAATTTTATAAAACCTAAATTGCTTAAAAGCATTTATTTACTAAGGAATAACAACCCAGAGGAAGCAAGGTGGTCATGTACAACAGGACCTTCTTAAATAAAAATACTTAAGAAAAATTGATATTCCAAGTTTTGTTTAATAACTAGCTAGTGTAACAGATTGACCTTTGAATAAAGAACAAACAGTGGGTATGCTTTTGTATATACAAAAGTCCTTTAGACATTAAATATAAACATCAACAGTAAAGCAACCTTAATTTTATTTTAATGACAATTACGATAACATCTACCATTTACTTGGGTCTTAATTTTATGCCTGGCCATGACATATATTTAAACATCACAACAATCCTGAGATGATGTGGAGAAACAGACACTGTGGGAAGACAGAGAGCTGGAGGCAGAGATAGACCAGTTAGAAACACCAGGGGATTAATTATGCACTTTGCTCTGAGTGAGAACATGGCCTTACTGTTGCTGAATTTGGCTCAAGAACCAGTACTTGAAGTTTATTAAACTTTCCCTTGAATGGAAGCACAGAGAGTATATAAAATCTTTCTGAAAAGTGATGTAAACCCAAAGTGTAAGAGGACAGAGCAAGAAATGAAGGTTCTTAGACTCAGGAAGACTTTACATTGGTAGACAGTATCTTCTGCAGCTACTTGCCTCAACGGTCACTTTGGAGGGTCAAAGGCACTACACTCACTAGGTTGTATCTGATCCTGCGCTACATGACTGCCTTGCTTTCTCTGGGTTCAGTTATTCCTTAGTAAATAACTTGAAAACTTATAGTCTGGTCTCATAGCGTGTATATGATCTCTTCCTCCCCACATGAGGGGTACATGAAGCCATGAAGCATGTTATACCCATGTCATACAGATGAAGAAATTGAGGCTTGGAGAGGGGTTAAGCAATTTGTCCAAGGTCAAAATGGCAAAGTTTTAGTTGGAAATGCTGACAAGTTTTTCTTTTCCATATTGGAAACTGGTTTCTCTTTTAGCAGATATCTGTCATTTATTCTGTCTGCCCAAGATTTTTTTCCATTTGGGAACTGCCCTGCCCTTTGCTCTTCCTTTCACTTGGTGGGAGTACCAATCCATGGCCCTGCCTACTCCACTCAGAGACCTGCTGAGGAACTGAATGGGCTCTGGTGATGTCAAGGCACATGCTCTTTTCTCTGGCATGACTTGCTGTGAAGAATGATACATACTGATAGCTACCAGTAGTCGTGGGTGAGAATCTGATTTAGAATAAAGTCAATATAGAGAAAAGAGGAGCTGAGAGATGGAGAAAAAGTCTTGATTGCACCATTATAACTCCTAGATCTAGCCATGCCTATGGTCAAGCCCATCTCTGGATTTTCCCATATATATTTTGTCTCATCTCTGCACTTCTTAGTCTGTTCCACTGAAAGCAACTTTTTAAGAAGCTATTTATAATTCACAGTTATAACAATTTCATTCTAATTGGGTAACAATAATAAAAATAATCCTTTTCTATGAAAATAACTCATTGAGGAATCTTTAAAATGAAAGTAGTAAAGAATTGTTAGCACCAAACCTACAAATATTCATGTTTCTAAGTGAAGCTTTAAAAAATTAAAAAGTTATCTTACCTCATGCCATTGTCTAACTGGCTGGTCTTATTTGTGTTGGCATCCCAAAGATAAATGCAGCTAGATTTCTCAGCAATCACTGCTAGGACATCTCCATCTTTATCCCAATCCATGGCAACACAGTTACTTTTAAAAAAGAGAGCAAAATACCACTATACAGTTTTTTAAAGTAAAATTACTATTTGTGATTTTTGTCTATAACAAGATTATTCAATCTATTTTGAACAGATAATAAACTCTCTAAAGTGAGAAATACAACTCATTATTCACTGCATGGGTAATGTTAACTTCAATTTTTTTGCTGTGGTTGAGGGGACGGTAAAATTTAAAATTTTACTTTTAATACCATTTTCATATACTACATTAAATATAATCATACTTAAGTTAGCAGATTTTCTTCAGTCCTATAAAGAACCCTGCCTTTTGATAAAACAAACTCGCCACGCACCTTTACAAATGAATCACATCTGGAATCGAGACATAATTTGTATGATCAACTTTTGAAAGATTATTTTAGATTGACAGAGAGGACAAGAAGGTATTGATAAGAAACAAAGTGGCTGGGCGCAGTGGCTTACACCTGTAATCCCAGCACTTTGGGAGGCCGAGGCAAGCGGATCACCTGAGGTCAGGAGTTCGGGACCAGCTTGACCAACATGGAGAAACCCCGTCTCTACTAAAAAATACAAAAATTAGCTGGGCATGGTGGTGCATGCCTGTAATCCCAGCTACTTGGGAGGCTGAGGCAGGAGAATCGCTTGAACCTGGGAGGCAGAGGTTGCAGTAAGCCAAGATCGCGCCACTGCACTCCAGCCTGAGCAACATGGCAAGGTCCCATCTCTACCAAAAAAAAAAGAAAAAAAAATGAGCTGGGCGTGGTGGCATGCACATGCTACTCAGCTACTCAGGAGGCTGAAGTGGGAAGATTACTTGAGCCCGGGAGGTAAAGGCTGCAGTGAGCCATGTTTGTGTCACTGTACTCCAGCTTGGGAAACACAGAGAGACCCTGTTTCAAAAAAAGAAAAGCAGCAAAGTTATAGCTAGATAAATTGAGTGATTGGGTAGATATAGGATTGTAAAAAAGGGAAAGATAGAATTCTAAAGTGGTGAATAAGAAATGTTATTTTCTTTTCTTTCTTTCTTTTCTTTTTTTTTTTTTTTTTGAGACAAGGTCTGGCTCTGCCGCCCAGGCTGGAGTGCGGTGGTGCGATTATACTTGGCTATAACCTCACACTCCTGGGCTCAAATGATTATAGTTCACTATAACCTCGAATTCCAGGGCTTAAGCGATCCTCTGCCTCAGTCTCCTAAAGTACTGGGATTACAGGTGTGAGCCCCTGTGCCTGGTCATTATTTTCATTTTATATCTTGATGGAAAATAACGAGAGTAATTTGATTAAGGTAACAACATAGTTATAAACAGGAAATGGTCTATTTAACATGATTCTTGCTATTATTCCAAAATGTATATTATAAAAAACTTTACAATTTCTTAAATCCTTAATAAAAATATTTACCTTTTCTTTTCTGATGTTATTTTTCATCTTGGTATTAAATATATTTTTCATCTTGGTATTAAATATTTTTCATCTTGGTATTACATATATTTTTCATCTTGGTATTAAATAACCAAATGTGTATTATAAAAAACTTTACAATTTCTTAAACTCTTAATAAAAATATTTACCTTTTCTTCTCTGATGTTATTTTTCATTCTTGGGTATTAAATAACCCATACTTTGATTTATATTTAAGACAGTTGGGAATTACTTCAATTATTTTATTTTTCAAAATGTTGAAATATGTTTTAGGATCTTCATTTTCTAAAGTATATTCAGAGATTTGGGGAGTATGGAAGAGGGAAGCTTTCAAATTATTGACAAAATCATCTGCTAATTAAAGATTGTGTATTTAACAGCATTTTCCTTATCTGGAGATCCTCTGTCAGTCAAATTCCACTATTATGAATACAGCAAAACAATACAGAAGAAATGAGACCATTATGTAACAGAAATAGATGTCACAGAGATCACACAATAAAGCTCACGCAATTTACTCCAAGACAATTTTTACTGAGTGCCTTCTTTCACTTCACATATAATTATAGCTTCTTTGATCTGTTTCCAGGAATACAGAAACCAGAAGCCACAATTAAGAGAGTTAATGGAAAATGCCAAAATGATAGCATTAGGTGGGTGGGGCAGGGCAGGAGGTAGGAAAGGCTGTTAGAGACCAAGAGAAGTAAAACCTAATTTTCAAAAATGGTCAATAAACTACAGAAAGAAACATGAATTTTAAAAGCACAGCAGCATAAGTCAGTTTAGGTGAGGGACTCTATACATCTTTTTTTTTTTTTTTTTTTGAGATGGAGTCTCGTTCTGTCACCCAGGCTGGAGTACAGTAGCGCAATCTCGGCTCACTGCAACCTCCACCTTCCGGGTTCAAGTGATTCTCCTGCCTCAGCCTCCCAAGTAGCTGGGACTACAGGCGCATGCCACCACGCCCAGCTACTTTTTTGTATTTTTAGTGGAGACGAGGTTTGACCGTGTTAGCCAGGATGGTCTCCATCTCCTGACCTCATGATCCACCTGCCTCGGCCTCCCAAAGTGCTGGGATTACAGGCATGAGCCACCACACACAGCCTTTATACATCTTAATAACCACTGAGACCATCAGTAGAATAACTAATATAGGTAGTGATTACACTGAATCATTAAAAATGCTTCAATTATGCTTAGTATAATGTAGAATGATTTCCTGAAAATGGATAAAGCCTTCACCCTTTACAAAGTTATGTGGAAAGTCACTATTTTCCAACAATTTATTAGAGATGGAAAACTAAAGTAGATACAGGTTTATCTTATCTGCCTATACAAACACTAAGACTTGTTTATAATTTAAAAGAATTGTTTCGTGTGGACTCTAATTCTTTCACACGGTCTGATTTATAATCCTGCCGTAAGGCTTCTCTGTGAGTATATGGGTGTTTATAGATAGAAACTCTAATTCATGCTATATCTCTACATATTTCATAACTACTTATGGCTAAAAAAACAAATCCCTTTGCAAATGGAAGAAGCAAAAGATTCCATCTGATTATAATTTTAAGGCAGTATTTTTTTAATCTTTTAGGCAACAAAACTTGACAGGTTTTTTTAAATCTACTTCTGTACTTACCCAGGTAAGTTAATTTCACTTCTTTTTTGACCATGGCGATCAAAGATTTTCACAATATAATCAGCTCTGAAAGCAATCAGAACATAAAGATATGATTTACTTTTTTTTTTTTTTTTTTTTTTTTTTGAGACAGAGTCTCCCTCTGTTGCCCAGGCTGGAGTGCAGTGGTGTGATCTTGGCTCACTGCAACCTCCACCTCCCAGGTTCAAGCGATTCCCCTGCCTCAGTCTCCTAAGTAGCTGGGATTACAGATGCCTGCCACCATACCTGGCTAATTTTTGTATTTTTGTAGAGATGGCGTTTCACCATGTTGGCCAGGCTGGTCTCAAACTCCTGGCCTCAAGTGATCTGCCTGCCTTGGCCTCCCAAAGTGTTGGGATTATTGGCATGAGCCACTGCACCTGGCCTAAATGTTTCTTTCATTTATCTATGTATATAAAGCTGCCATCCAAATGATTTCAGTGTTTTCTCCTGATAGTTTCAGAATTTGCATAAAAAGTTATTACCAGGGAAAAGGTTCTATGAACTTTCATGTTAATGGAGATGAATATATTCCTTTTCCTGTCATATAACTGTTAGACAAAAACTTTTACTGAGGCCAGGTTCACTTGAACCTGGGAGGCGGAGGTTGCAGCAAGCTGAGATCGTGCCACTGCACTCCATCCTGGGCAACAAAGCTAGACTCCATTTAAAAAAAAAAAACAACAACAAAAAAAACTTCTACTGAGTAGATGGTGTGATTACATGGGCATGCAACCACTGCTTAAAACATTCATTGGTTTCTTACCCTGTTACTGCAAGGTAGTTTCCTGATGTTTTTTGCCAGGCAAACTGTATTGGTGCGCCAAGCCAAGTCTTTTCTAGCAGTGAGAAAATACGCTAAAAAATAAACACAATTTTTAATATTTTCAAAACATACAATCAAGTGTTGATCAGAAAAGGTATCAAAACATGGTCATGAAAACCATGTTTTCATAGGATTCAGGATAGTGAGGATTATGTTAGAGCTTATCTAGAAGTTAACAACAAAAGAAATAAAACAAAATCAACCAACCAACTAAACATACACAACTACTTGGTAAATTACAGATCTCAAGATATAGGAGGGCTTTTATTTTAAATTTTTTTTGGCTTTTTAATGTTTCTGAATGTTAATTTTACAAAAATATGTAATTTTAGTGTTTTGTAGATGTTAAAGACTAAAATAATTGAAGCCTGAATTCAGTTAATTATCTGTGGCACGGATTCCTGGTGATTAAACTGAACAAAAATTGCTATCTTAAACATGATAAAAACACAAAATGTCTTTACTCCTTTCAACATTATTTTCTTCTATTAGTTCCATTAGTTATATTTACATCATCATTAAGTGTTTAACTTGGCTACTGGGTGAATAGTGTTATCAACTGAAAACTCTTTCTTTTCCTTGAAACAATCAAGAAACGTGATGTCCAATATGGAGGCTACAAACCACATGTAGCTATTGAGGACTTGGAATATAAGTAATCCCAACCTAGCTGTGCTGTAAATATAAAATGTATATCAGATTTCAACAACTGGAAAAAGAATGTAAACTATCTCGTTGTTAATTTTTATATTGATTACATGTTGAAATAACATTTTTGATATACTGGGTAAGATAAAATATATTATTAAAATAAATTTTACCTGTTTTCTTAAAAAATTTTAATGGTCAATAAAAATATGAAATTACATTAGCTCACAGTACATTTATATCAGACAGTGTTGATCTAGAACATTTAGGAATATGAGTTTCAGTGAAAAAATTTAGATTTCAATATTAGGTTAAATTATAGATTAAACAATGATGCCCATTTCTAGGCATATGAAATTTAGATACTGTTACACGGGACTTAGTCTGTGCGGCAACACAAAACTCTTACAATGCTCAAAATTAAACACCGCCTGGCCAACATGGCGAAACCTCGTCTCTACTAAAATTACCAAAAAATGAGCTGGGCATGGTGGCGCTTGCTGTAATCCCATCTACTTGGGAGGCTGAGGCACGAGAATCCCTTGAACCCGGGAGGTGGAGGTTGCAGTGAGCCGAGATGGTGCCACTGCACTCCAGCCTGGGTGACAGAGCAAGACTTCGTCTCAAAATAAATAAATTAACAACCAACAACCAAACACAAAGCAGTGAGGTTGTTTATTTTTATTTTTATTTTTTTTTAGACAGCGTCTTGCTCTGTCGCCCAGGCTCTGGAGTGCAGTGGGGCGATCTTGGCTCACTGCAACCTCCGCCTCCTGGGTTCAAGCGATTCTCCTGCCTCAGCCTCCCGAATAGCTGGGATTACAGGCACACGCTACCACGCCCGGCTAATTTTAAAAATATTTTTGGTAGAGACAGGGTTTCACCATGTTGGCCAGGCTGGTGTCGAACTCCTGACCTCAAGTGATCCACCTGCCTCGGCGTCCCAAAGTGCTGGGATTACAGGCGTGAGCCACCGCACCCTGTCCCAATGAGCATTTTACATGCTAAAGAAGAAATTCCCCTCTATTGAAAGTAGAGGTGGGCTATGATCATGGGACATAAAAGTTTTATAGAGCATAAAGAAACTCATGAAGAAAGAATATTTAAAAGCATCTTACTTTTGCAATTTTGTGACCATTTCACCCTGGAACTCCTTCATGCAAGTGAGAAGTCCTTAAACTTGAATTTCATTACCTTCAATGGCTGACTTGCCTCTAGCTGTGATTTCATATTATTTTTTTTCAGTGGAGCTCTATAGATGCTCCACATACCGTGCAGAGGAAAAACTGCTAGTTTCACAACCAAAAAACCAAGACTTAAATTTTGTTTGTAGCTTATTAGCTGTAGGGCTTTAAGTAAGTCGTTTAAATTGCCTCCAGCAAAAAATTCTCAACTGTAAATCATGAATAATAACTCTTCACTTCTAATATTTCATAAATTGTAAAGAGCTTTAGAAATAAAAATGGGAGTTATGATTACTGGTCCGTCAATTCCAATTTCCACACTAATAGCCACGAAGAAGCATGAGGACATCTAAAATAATTTTAAAATTGAGCCTTCCAGCCGGGCGCGGTGGCTCACGCCTGTAATCTCAGCACTTTGGGAGCCCGAGGTCGGGGGATCATGAGGTCAGGAGAGTGACAGCATCCTGGCTAACACGGTGAAACCCCATCTCTACTAAAAATACAAAAAATTAGCTGGGTGTGGTGGCACGCGCCTGTAGTCCCAGCTACTCGGGGGGCTGAGGCAGGAGAATCGCTTGAACCCAGGAGGTGGAGGTTGCAGGGAGCAGAGATTGCGCCACTGCACTCCAGCCTGGGTAACAGAGCGAGACTCAGTAAAAAAAAAAAAAAAAAAAAGCCTTCCATTTCTTTGCCAGAGCAGAGCAAGGGGGGACTGCTCTGATAAATCAGAAAGTGGGGTGAACAAGAAGCCCAAGCCTAGAAACCGTGCGTGCAGAGGATGAGGCACATGAGCGTGAGACCTGAGTTTTCGGGTGCAGATTTCCCGTCAATAATGTACACTCGCTAGCAGGTGATTGGACTGGTCACAGGTAATACATTTTGAAGTTATTCTTTAGGAGGCTTTTCATTCTTTTTAAGGCGCTGGGCAGCTGCGCGGCTTGCCAGAGGCTTAGCCCCAAGAAATGAGGTAGCTCGTGACATCGGACCCAGTCAACTTCACAGCGACCCTCCAAACGCGTTAACTCGACCAGTTCTTTCCGCGTGCGAAGCTGGGGTATCTTTAGATCCAGTCCGCTCATTTCGGCCAGGGAGGGGTTCCCACTTTCTGCACCGCTTCTACGGCGTCTGCAGTCCCCAAAACGAGAGGCCTCTCTCTCCGCCCTCTCCTCTCCTCCTATTTTCTTTCCTTTCTCTCGTCCCTTCAGCTTCGCCCCCGCTCTCTCTGGCCACCTCTCTCTCTCTCTCTCTTCCTCATTTCCAACGAACTCAGAAGGGAGAGGGACAGATATCCTCTTTTAAAAGCGACCAAGGGCCAGTAGTCGCGTTTTCCCGCCCCACCCCGGGAATTTGTAAGTTATTTACCTTCATCTCCACGCTCGAGCCGCTACGCGAACTATGAAGTACGCAGGCGCACCCGGTCTCCACCAAGCAGGCTACCGCGTTCCCGTCACCCAGGAGACCGCGCGAGCAGCGACCAATCAGCGAGTGCTAATTGAAAGGCGGTGCCTCGAGGGGCCGGGCCAAGCGCACCGCCCTCTGCGAGGGTGGGTGAGAGGCGGAGGGTGGAATCACATGACATCAGAGACGCTAACCCTGGGAAGTTGGGCGTCGCGAGGCCTTGCTGAGCCTCGGCTTCCTGGCTGGCTCTGATTGGATGAGATTCGTCCGGGAGAGACGGGCTCTGTGAGCCCTCAAAGGCGCGTGCGTAAATTTTGGACCGCGATGACTAAGATGTCAGTGCTGGCCAAAGGGGGCGCCGAGAAGCTGAAGGAAAGAAGACGCAGAATGTTAGATTAAAGGAGGCAGGATGGGCTAAATACTCCTATACAGTCCACGCAAAGAGGGGTTGGACGAGCTCGGGTATATCTTTTTTTCTTCCAGGTTTCTGGGGTAGAAGGGAGGAGGCATAAGAGGTACAATAGTTTATTTCAAGGTAGGGTTGTTGGTGCTTTTTTTTTTTCAGTTTCACCAAAATCTTTTTTTTTTTTCAATGTCAACAAAATGTGCTAGCTAACGTGGGCAGGAAAAATGAGCTCCAATAGTTTTCCTTTAGAGTTTGGATCTGGCAGCTTTTCCCCAAGTATAAAGCCCTGTTGTACAGTATTTGTGCTGCATTATTTATAGCATGAAAGTGCATCTTTTACCCAAGCGTCTGAAAGTGTTGAAACAGTCTACCTTTTGCTTTTCTTTTCGACATCAGGTAGGAATCTGATTGGCTTAGAGAAAGTTAATCAATGATTTGAAATAACTAATAATGAATGTTTGCAAATTCTTAAGTAGGGTGCTATGCCTTTGCACTGGGGTTTTCAGTTACGTTACGACAGGGGTCCGGATCCAGACCCCAAGAGAGGGTTCTTGGATCGCGCGCAAGAAAGAATTCAGGGCGAGTTCTCAGTGCTGAGAAAAGCAAGTTTATTAAAACACGTAAAGTGGTGAAAGGACAGCTACTCCATAGACAGAGTAGGACATTCCTGAAAGCAAGAGAAGGGACGCATCCACCCTAGGTACAATGCTTGTATATATGGGGAGATGTGCTCTGCTACAAGGGTTTGTGATCAAAGATTAATTTTCTTAATTATTTTGCAGGAATTGATATTATTATCTTTAAAGCAAAATTAGGAATGCCTTTGTTCTCCAGATATCCCGATATCTGGGTCTGTTTTAGTAAACATTATTAATTTATTCCCTTAATCGTAAACATCTAGAGGCGAGGAATGCCCAAATTCTGAGAATTCAGCCCAGCAAGTCTCAGCCTCATTTTCCTAGCCCTCACTCAAAATGGAATCGCTCTGGTTCAAACGCCTCTGACAGTTAGGTTAATTACTTAAATTTTTACTGAAAGATTCCTCTGCTGAAAGGGTAACCATTTAAAAATAGCCAGAGCAATCAGTTCTTAACAAGACCTGCCCTCAGGAGAAAGTATTTTTACCAAAGCCTAGTCTGCTGGGGTTTTATCAGAGCCTAAACTACCTGGGAGAAGGGAAATACTCAACTTCAGCCTCCATAAACCATCCTGTTCCACTTAAGTGTGGGAGATTAAGAAGTATTGGCGGGCGCCTGTAGTCCCAGCTACGCGGGAGGCTGAGGCCGGAGAACGGCGTGAACCCGGGAGGCGGAGCTTGCAGTGAGCGGAGATCGCGCCACTGCACTCCAGCCTGGGCGATAGAGCGAGACTCCGTCAAAAAAAACAGCAAAAAGAAGTATTGGTGGCCAGGCTCAGTGGCTCACGCCTGTAATCTCAGCACTTGGGGAGTTCGAGGTGGGGGGCTCACTTGAGGTCAGGAGTTCAGGACCAGCCTGGCCAACATGGTGAAACCCCGTCTTTACTAAAATACAAAAAATTAGCTGTGCATGGTGGTGGGCACCTGTAGTCCCAGCTGCTCGGGAGGCTGAGGCAGGGGAATCGCTTGAACCCGGGAGGGGGAGGTTGCAGTGAGCCTAGATCGTGCCACTGCACTCCAGCCTGGCGACAGAGCAAGGCAAGACTCTGCTCAAAAAAAAAAAAAAAAAAAAAAAATTAGCCTGGCGTGGTGGCACATGCCTGTAATCCCAGCTACTCGGGAGGCCGAGGCATGAGACTCGCTTGAACCTGGGAGGCAGAGGTTGCAATGAGCCGAGATTGTGCCACTGCACTCCAGCCTGGTGACGGAGCTAGACTTCGTCTCAAAAAAAAAAGGAAGTACTGGTGACTTTTACCATCCACACCGGCTCACTAAAGGCTGAGGCCTAATCATAGGACTATAGAACACTTGCCCTATCCTGTACCTTACCACATACCACTAAAAGACTACTTACAAGTATTCCTTTTATCCAGTATATCCTGTCTGGTGTCTTAGTTGTTTTCTGTTGTTTATGACAGAATACATAAAACCGGGTAATTTATAAAGAAAAGGAACTCATTTGTCATAGTTAGGGAGACTGAGAAGTCCAAGGTCAAGGGAGTGCATCTGGTGAGATCCTTCTTGCTGGTGCGGACTCTCTGAAGAGTCCTGAGGCAGCACAGGATATCACATGGCAAGGAGGCTGAGTGTGCTAACGTTCTAGCTAAGGTCTCCTTATAAAGCCACCAATTTCACTCCCATGATAACCCACTAATTCATTAACCCATTAATCCCTGAATCTTTGAATGAATTAATCCATTCATGAAAGCAGGGCACACAGGAACCATTTGCCTCTTAAAGGCCCCAACTTTCAATATTGCCACATTGGTGATTAAGTTTCAACATGAGCTTTGGAGGGGACATTCAAACCATAGCATCCAGATTTCAACAAAAAATTACAAGGCATACTAAAAGGCAAAAAACACTGCTTGAAGAGACTGAACAAGCAGGAGAACTAGAGTCATATATAGCAGGAGTGTTGAAATTATTAGACCAGGACTTTAAAAAAAAAATAAGATGAATGTGCTACTGGAGGTAATGGAAAAAGTAGACAACATGCAAGAGCAGATGGAAAACACAAGCAGAGAGATAGAAATTCTAATAAAGACTCAAAAAGAAATGCTAGAGATCAAAAACACTAACAGAAATGAAGAATGCTCATGATTAATTTCCCCCAAGTTCATGTCTGACAACAAATCACACCTCCTGGAAGCTCAGAGAACTCCAAACAGGATAAGTGCTCAATAAACCACACCTAGGCATATCATATTTAAACTTTGAAAAATAAAATATTTTTCAAAAATCGTGAAAGAAGCTGAGGGGAGGGGGGCATTATGTATAGAGGAGGTAAGATAAGAATTACATTGAATTCTCAGAAACCATGAAAGGAAGAAGAGAGCGGAATAAAATATTTAAAGTGTTGAGAATTTTTTTTAAACCCACAAATCTAGAATTCTGTATCCTGTAAAATTATCCTTCACAAGTGAAGGAGTCCACTCCTCATTGATTAGATGCCAAACTCAAAATGGCTAACTTTGGTGAAAGGATCTTGACCTGCCTTTTTTCAAACTGGAACTGTTCTTGCCATGCATTTTCCTCCTGACTCAACAGTAAAGCTACTTTAGTTCTAAGTGTTTTGATACCACAAGGATGTAGTGGTCAGTAATCAGATCAAGACTTGAAAAAAAGAGTATTTCATGTAAACATTATTTGGGGGTTACTCAAACAATACTAGTGATTTATGATTTAATGTAAAACACACACACACATTTTTACAGAAACACTATATGAGGATTCAAATCCCTGAATATCAGTAAATGGGATTGAGAAATATTTTTGTGTAAGGATGAGGAAGTTGATCCTGTACTATGAAGGAGGTACAGTTGTTTCATGTAGACTTAAAAATGTTTTAATGTGTTTCATGGCCAGGAGTAGCAGCTCAAGCCCGTAATCCCAGCACTTTGGGAGGCCAGAGGTGGGAGGTTCACTTGGGCCCAGGAATTTGAGAATGGCCTGGGCAACAAAGCAAGACCCCTTTGCTACAAAAAAAAATAAATAAATAAAAATTAGCCAGGCATGGTGGCATGTGCCTACAGTGCCAGCTACTTGGGAGGCTAAGCCAGGAGAATCCTTTGAGGGTATCACATGGCATTCAAGGCTGCACTGAGTTATGATCACGCCACTGTGCTCCAGCCTGGGTGACAGAGTGAAACCCTGTCTCAAAAAAAAAAAAGTGTTTTATGTTTTTTATACTGTTTTTAACTAAAGTTATAAAAATGTTTCCAACAAGTTATCTCTCCTTATGTTTTAAGAATCTAAATTATCTCAGTGAGTTGAAATAAGGGTGTTAGCAGCTTTCTAATTAGTATATAAATCTGTCCAAACAAGAGGACATCCTAGTACACAAAATAATGTCACTGTTTCAAACCAGTCTAGACCAAAAAAAATTAAAATTTTCAGAGTCAAAAATGAACATCTGAAGAGAAACTAATTCCTCCTTAAAAATAAAAGTATCTTCAAAATAGAAAAAAAAAATTCAGAATCGTTTCATAGTTTAATTGCAATATGTCACTAACAGATGGTGATTCTTCTCTTGGTAAAGATTTAAGTAAAAACTTTGATATAAAACCAAGGTAAAACATACAGTGTTCATGTAGATGTACACATGGTATTACATATAGACATTAAATTATACTTATCATTAAGCTAATTTTTAAATTAAAATCAAAGATTTTAAAAAGTGAAGAAGTAAAGACTTTCTTAGACAAAAAAAAAAAAATTTTGAGGGAATTTGTTGCTAGTAGACCTGCCTTGAACAAGAAATATTAAAAGAAGTTTTGTTTTTCTTTTAGAGAGAAAGAAAATGATATATGTCAGAAACTCAGATATCCGTAAAGAAAGAAAGCATTGGGAAAAGAATAAATGAAGGTATCATTAAGTATTTTTTCTAATATTTAATTGATTTAACAGGTAACAGTTCTGAATAAGAATAGCAACAATATATTCAATGACATGCTTATATATAAATATATGCTTATATGTAAGAGAAATTAATGATAACAATGATTTAAGGAATGGGAGGGAAGAAATAGAAATATTTTATTATAGGGTACTTACATTACCTGTGAAGTGGTAAAGTGTTATTTGACAGTGGACTTGGTAAATGTATATTGCTAAATATAGGGCAACTACTTAAAAAAGATTTTAGAAAAGTATAATTGATATGCTAAGAAAGGAGAGAAAATAGAATAATATAAAATGCTCAGTTAAAACCACAAAAGGCAGGTTAAAAAAGTGTAGAAGACAAAAATAAGAACGAAGAGCAAATAGAAATGAAACCATACAATGTCTGATCTCAATCCTTATGTATTTAAACTAGAAATCAATAACAGAAAAATTGCTGGAAAATCCCCAAATACTTGGAGATTAAACAATACACTTCTAGATAACACATGGATCAAAGAAGAAATCTCAAGGGAAATTTAAAATATTTTGAACTAAATAAAGTGAAAATACACTTGTTAAAATTTGTGGGATGTGGTGAAAGCAGTGCTTAGAGGGGATTTTTTTGTTTGTTTGTTTTTGTTTAGTTGTTTTTTTTTTTTTTTTTTTTTTTGCGTTGTGGTCTTGCTCTGAAGCCCAGGCTGGAGTGGGAATGCAGTGGCATAATTATACCTCACTGCAGCCTCAAACTGCTGGCTTCATGCTATACTCCCACCTTGGTCTCCCAACATGCTGGGATTACAGCCATAAGCCACCATGCCTGGGGAAGATAGAAATTTATAGCATCAAATGCATATTTTAGAAAAGAAGAAAGCTCTAAAAATCAATAATCTAAGTTTCCACTTTAGGAAACTAGAAAAAGAAAATTTAAATTTAAAGTAAGAAAAATAAAAGATATAATAAGAATTAGAGCAGAAATCAATAAAATTGAAAATAGGAAATCAATAGAGAAAGGAGACCAAAAGTTGGTTATTTGAAAAGAGCAAAATTGACTAGCCTCTAGCTAGGCTAAGAAGAAAAGAGAGAAGCTCAAAAATTACTAATGTCAGCTGTACTAATGAATTACTAATGAATAGCCTGTATCTATTTAAAAAATCAGATCAATAATTAATAATTTTCTAGGCTGGGTGCAGTGGCTCATGCTTGTAATCCCAGGACTTTGGGAGGCTGAGGCGGGCGGGTCACCTGAGGTCAGGAGTTAGAGACCAGCCTGGCCAACATGGTGAAACCCCGCCTCTACTAAAAGTACAAAAATTAGCCGTGCATGGTGGTAGGCGCCTGTAATCGCAGCTACTCGGGAGGCTGAGGCAGGAGAATCACTTGAACCTGGGAGGTGGAGGTTGCAGTGAGCCAAGATTGCACCACTGCACTCCAGCCTGGGTGACAAGAGCAAGATTTGGTCTCAAAATAAATAAATAAATAAAATAATAATAATAATAATTTTCTGAAAGAGAAAGCACCAGGTTCTGACAGGTTCACTCGTGAATTCTACCAAACATTTAAGGAAGAAATTATACCAATTCTCTATAGTCTCTTTCAGAAAATAGAACCTGAGTGAATACTTCATCACTCATTCTATAAGGCCAGAATTACACTAATGCCAAACCAAAACAAAGACATTACAAGAAAAGAAAACTATAGACCAATATCTCTCATGACCATAGATGCAAAAATTCTCAACAAAATGTTAGCAAATCAAATCCAGCAACATATAGAAAGAATTATACACCATAACCAAGTGGGATTTATTCTAGGCATACAAGGCTGGTTCCACATTGGAAAAACAATGAATATAATTCATCACATCAACAGGCTAAAGAAGAAAAGCTATGTTTGTAGACCAATAGATGCAGAAAAAAGCATTTGACAAAATCTAACATTAATTCATGATAAAAACTCTCAACAAATGAGGAATAGAGGAAAACTTCCCAACTTGATAAAGACTGTCTACAAAAAAACCTACAGCTAACATCATACTTGCTGGTGAGAAACTTGAGGATTTTCCCACTAAGATCAAGAACAAAGCAAGGATGTCCCCTTCTTACCACTCCTTTTGAGCATCATACTGAGAGTTGTAGCTAATGCAATTAGACCAGAAAGAAAATGAAGGGTATATTAATTGGGAAGGGAGCGGGAAAAAACTGTCTTTGTTTGCACATGATGTGATTGTCTATGTAGAAAATCTGAAGGAATGGACAAAAAAGCCCTCCTGGAACTAATAAGTGATTATAGTAAGTTTGCAAGATACAGTGTTAATGCACAAAAGTCAATCACTTTCCCCTATACCAGCAACAAACAAGTAGAACTTGAATTTAAAAACCAATATCATTTACACCAGCATCGCCAAAATGAAATACATAGCTATAAATCTAACAAAATATGTACAAGATCTATATGAAGAAAACTATAAAACTTTGTTGGAGAAATAGTCCAGGTTCATGGATGGGAAAACTCAGAATCGTTAAGATGTCAGTTTTTCCCAACTTAATCTACAGATTGAATGCAATCAAAATCCCAGCAAATTATTTTGTGGCTATTGACAAACTGATTCTAAAGTTTATGTGGAGAGGCAAAAGAACCAACTCAGTTTTGAAGGAGACGAACAAAATTGGAAGACTGACGCTACCTGACTTTAAGACTTATGCCACAGTGATCAGAGAACATGATACTGATGAAAGAATAGATGAATAGATCAATAAAACAGAATAGAAAGCATAGAAAAGACCCACATAAATTTAGTCAACTGATTCTTTTTGTTTTTTTGAGATGGAGTCTCACTCTGTCACCCAGGCTGGAGTACAGTGGCACAATCTCGGCTCACTGCAACCTCCGCCTCCCGGCTTCAAGTGATTCTCCTGTCTCAGTCTCCCGAGTAGCTGGGACTACAGTTGCACACCACCACGGCCAGCCAATTTTTGTATTTTTAGTAGAGATGGGGTTTCACCATGTTGGTCAGGCTTGTCTCAAATTCCTGACCTCAGGTGATCCACCCATCTCAGCCTCCCAAAGTGCTGGGATTACAGGCGTGAGCCATGGTGCCCTGCCTAATCTTTGACAAATGAGTAAAGGCAATACAGTGGAGCAAAAGTAGTCTTT
This sequence comes from Homo sapiens, assembly GCF_000001405.40. Classification (NCBI taxonomy): domain Eukaryota; kingdom Metazoa; phylum Chordata; class Mammalia; order Primates; family Hominidae; genus Homo; species Homo sapiens. The sequence goes on along the minus strand of NC_000004.12, from coordinate 39,174,446 downwards.
TCCAACAAGTTGTGGTGGAACAACTGGACATCCACATGCAAGAAATGAATCTAGACACAGAGCCTTTACAAAAATTAACTCAAAGTGGATCATAAACCTAAATGTAAAATGTGGAACTATAAAGCTTCTAGAGTATAGGAGAAAATCTAAGATGAACTTGGGTATGGTGATGACTTTTTAGATATCACACTAAGAGCATGGTCCCTGAAAGAAATAATTGATAAACCTGCATGTTGTGCACATGTACCCTAAAACTTAAAGTATAATAATAATAAAATTTAAAAAAAAAGAAATAATTGATAAGCTGGACTTCATTAAAATTTAAAATTTCTGCTTTGCAAAAGACACCTGTAAAGAGAATAAGACAAGCCACAAACTGGGAGAAAATATTTGCAAAAACCACATTTGATAAAGGATTGTTACCCAAAATATACAAAGAATTCTTAAAACCCAGCAATAGAAAACAAACAACCTGATTTTAAAATGTGTAAAAGACCCGAACAGACACCTCACCAAAGAAGGTATACAGATGGCAAGATAAAGAAATGTTCAAAATCATATATCATTAGGGAATTGTAAATTAAAACAACTACTATTACACACCCATTAGAATGACCAAAATCCGGAACACTGACAACACCAAATGCAAGTGAGGATGTGGCACAACAGGAACTCTCATTCATTGCTGGTGAGAATCCAAAATGGTACAGCTACTTTGGAAGATTGTTTGGCAGTTTCTTACAACACTAAACATACTGCAAACATACAGCCCAGCAGTCATATTCCTTGGTATTTATTTAAATGAATTGAAAACTATGTCCACACAAAAATCTGTACAAAAGATGTTTATAGCAGCTTTATTCATAATTGCTAAAACTTGGAGGCAATCAAGATTATCAAGATGTTTGTTAGTAAGTGAATGGATAAATAAGCCATGGTATATCCAGACTATGGAATATTACTCAGCACTAAAAGGAAGTGAACTATCAAGCCATGAAAATATATGTAGGAACCTTAGCAGCAAATTGCTGAGTGAAAGAAGCCATTCAGAAAAGGCCACATACTGTATGATTCTAACTACATGACATTTTGGAAAAGGCAAAACTATGGATATAACTATAACAAAACTATGGATATAGCAGGAGAAATAGGCAGAGCACAGAGGATTTTTAGGGCAGTGTCACTATTCTATACAATACTGTATTACTATGGTGAATACATATCATTATACATTTGTGAAAACCCATAGACTGCACAACACCAAAAGTGAACCCCAATGTAAACTGTGGACTTTGGATGACAAAAATATATCAGCCTTAGTTCATCAACTGTACTTAGTTCAACCAATGTGCCACTATGGTTAAACTGGAATTTTAAGGGACCAGAATACCCAAAACAAAAGAATAAAGTTGGAGAACTCACATTTTCAAAACTTACTACAAAGCTGCAGCAACTAAAATAGTGTGGTATTGGCATAGGATACTATATATAGATCAACAGAACAGAATTGAGAGTCCAGAAATAAAACCATACATCTGAGGCCAACTGATTTTCAATGGTTGTCAAGACAATTCAATGGGTGAAACAATAGATTTTTTCAACAATTGGTGTTGGGACATGCAAAAAATGAAATTGCACCCCTACCTCACAGAATATACAAAAATTAACTCAAATGGATCAAAGTCCTAAATGTGAGTTAAACTATAAAATTTTTAGAAAAAGCCTAAGAATTCCTGACCTTGGTTTAGACAATTATTTATTGGACCTGACAACAAAATTGCAAGTGACAAAAGAAAAAAATAGACAACTTGTACTTCATCAAAATTAAAAAGTTTTATGCTTCTAAAGACATCATGAAAGTAAAAAGATAACCCATAGATTGAAAGAAAATAATTGCAAATCATATATCTGATAAAATATTTATATCCAAAATAGATAAAGAAATCTTACAACCCTAAAACAAGACAAATAACCCATTGAAAATGGGAAAATGATTTGAATAGACATTTCTCCAAGGAACGTATAAATGGCTGATAAGCTTATACAAAGTTATTCAACATTATTAGTCATTAGGGAAATGCAAATCAAAACCACAGATGCACTTCATGCCCACTAAGATGATTAAAATAAAAAAGACAATAACAATTGTTGGTGAGTATGTTGAGCTATTGAAACCTTCATACATTGCTGGCAGAAATTTGAAATGGTGTGACCATTTTGGAAAACGGTCTGGTAGTTCCTTAAAATGTTAAACATAGAATGAACATTTAACTTAGCAGTTTCACTTCTAAGTATCTACCCAACAGAAATGAAAGCATATGGCCAAAAATGAAGGATATGGCAGCATTCATAATAGCATTATTCATAATAGCCCCAAAGTGAGAACAACACAAATGTGCATCAACTGATGAATAGATAAACAAAATGTGGCAAATCCATATAACAAAGTATTATTAATCAATAAAAAGGAATTAAGTACATGCTACAACATGTACTATGAGATGAGCTTTGAAAGGATTATGCTAAGTGAAAGAAGCTAGTCACAAGAGGCCACATATTGTATGATTCCATTTATACTGTATATCCCAAATATATAAATCTGTAGAGACAGAAAGTAGTTTAGTGGTGTGTGGATGTTTTTATTCTGGGGAGTGATGAAAATTTTTCTAAAATTACATGGTGGTGATAATTGCATAATTCTGTGAATATATTGAAGCCATTGAATTGCACACTTTTAAATGGTGGATTTTGTGGCTTGTAAATTACATATCAATTAAGCTGTAAAAAACTGGCAGATAACACTTCATAAAACATAGGTATTATGATCAATAAGGGAAATAGTATTTTCTAAAATCTGAGAAGCAAACTTTGGTTTTTATATGCAAAAATAAACTGGTTAAATTTTATAGCACTTCTGTGTAGCAAGATCATCATTATTATAGATATGATATTGTGATAGATACAGTTCCTGACTCATGTGACTTTAAAAAAGATTCATGACAAGCAGTTTCAAAGTGTCAAATTTTGGTGGGGCGCCGGTGGCTCACGCCTGTAATCCCAGCACTTTGGGAGGCCGAGGCGGGCGGATCACGAGGTCAGGAGATCGAGACCATCCTGGCCAACATTGTGAAACCCCGTCTCTACTAAAAATACAAAAATTAGTTGACCCTGGTGGTGCGCGCCTGTAGTCCCAGCTACTCGGGAGGCTGAGGCAGGGGAATCGCTTGAACCCGGGAGGCGGAGGTTGCAGTGAGCTGAGATCGCGCCACTGCACTCCAGTCTGGGCGACGGTGTGAGACTCCGTCTCGGAAAAAAAAGAAAAACAAACAAACAAACAAAAAACAAAGTGTCAAAATTTTTTGACAAATTTATCCCTACCAAGTGTCAAATGTTACTAATTTGCTAGTAAGTATGCCAGCAATGTGGCACGAAAAGGTGCATGTGATCAGAGGGTATGAAAAGTGTATGATCAGAGAGGGTATGAGAAACGCATATGATCAGAGAGGGTATGAGAAGCACCTGTGATCAGAGAGGGTGTGAGAAGCGCATACGATCAGAGAGGGTGTGAGAAGCGCGTACGATCAGAGGGTGTGAGAAGCGCGTACGATCAGAGGGTGTGAGAAGCGCGTACGATCAGAGAGGGTATGAGAAGTGCGTACTATCAGAGAGGGTGTGAGAAGCGCGTTCGATCAGAGGGTGTGAGAAGCGTGTACGATCAGAGAGGGTGTGAGAAGCGCGTACGATCAGAGGGTGTGAGAAGCGTGTACGATCAGAGAGGGTGTGAGAAGCGCGTACGATCAGAGAGGGTGTGTGAAGCGCGTACGATCAGAGAGGGTATGAGAATTACGTACAATCAGAGAGGTTCTAGAATGGGGAAACTGAGTGCTTACATAACAAGAAAGTTTTTTTAAGTATGAAAGAATGTGGTTTCATTTCACAAGGTCATGCAAATATCATATCCACATCAGTTATTGTGAAAGAAGTCGGTAACAGTACAGTCTGAGATGGTGTGTGTACTATCAGAAGAATTAAAATAGCACATTTAAGAAGCAAGTTTTAAGCCTTTATTTGTGGACCATACGAACAATAAACTTTCATCCCCCAATGGTAGTGTTCGATAGGGCCAACTGATATGAAAGCATGCAATAGCATTTTAAAAAAATCTGACCGGGCGTGGTGGCTCACAACTGTAATCCCAGCACTTGGGAGGCCGAGGTGGGCAGATCACAAGGTCAGGAGCTTGAGACCAGCCTGGCCAACGCAGTGAAACCCCGTCTTTACTAAAAATACAAAAAATTAGCTGGGCATGGTGGCGGGCACCTGTAATTCTCGCTACTTGGGAGGCTGAGGCAGGAGAATCACTTGAACCCGGGAGGCAGAGGTTGCAGTGAGCTGAGATTGCATCACTGCTCTCTAGCCCGGGCGACAGTGTGAGTCTCTGTCTCAAAATCAATCAATCAATCAATCAATCAATCAATCAATCTGTTGTTGCACAACAGCAAAATTTAATGGTCTAAAGTAATAACCACTTTATTATTTCACAATTCTATGGTTGACTGGGCTCTCCACAATGGTTTTTCTCCTCTATGTGATGTTGGCATAGGCTCCTGTCATTTGTGGGCTTGATTAGTTTGGAATGTCCAAGATGGCTCACTCAGATGGCTGACATTTGATGTTTGCTACTGGCTGCTGGCTATTGGCTGGGAGCCCACCTGGAGCTATTAGCCAAAGCTTACTTACATGGTGGCTACTTTATATGTGGCCTCTCCACGTGGCTTGGGCTTCTCAGAACATGGTAGCTGGATTCTGAGAGAGAGCATCCCAAGAGTGAGCTCGAAGAGGTAAAATTGGAAGCTGTCAACTGGCATGATGCCCACTTCTGCCACATTCTTTTGGTTAACCGATTCACAGATTCAACCCAGAGATAAGAGGAGGGGAAAAATATTCCACTGCTCAGTGCAAATAATCACAAAGATTTTATGGTCATTTAAAAACTATCACAAGTGCCAACAGAAATCAGAAGCAAAGCACAATGCAACCAGTTCAAATTTTAAACATAATTACCAGTAATTTTTCTCAAGCTGCGAAGATTCAAAACTATGCAATTCACCCATTTTAAAGTTTGAGACCAAAGTTTTTCTTTGAAAGCTTCATTAAAAACAAATCATAAAATTACTATGTAGAAAGACCTGAGAAGTATTATATTTAAACATAAACAGTATAAAATATTGGTTTTCTTTCAACAAAGAATTTTTAAAAATCAATGACATTATTGTGCATAGTACATTTGTTTTCTTTTAACATGTAAAAACAGACTCCATTAACAATTACAGATCTAGCATTTGCAGTTTCAGCTGCTTGCAAATGGCTCTGAAAGTCATGGAGCATTTGAATTACAAGCTTTGAGGCTGATGTGTAGTGCCATCAGATCACTTATCTTGTGAGTGAGCTTAGTTTTCTATCTGGCATTTGCAACTTTTTGGAATTTGTTTTATTCTACATGTTATCATTTGTATTAATAAGTGATTAAATTTGTTTCTTTGTGGTAAATAATTCTCAAGAGGAAAAAAATATGTTACAGAGCCAAACTGACAGTAGAAAGCCAGAAGCCTGTACAAAGGTTGACATACTCATGAATATGAGTGGTTCAACATGGTGAAACCCTGTCTCTACTAAAAATACAAAAATTAGTTGGGCGTGGTGGCATGCACCTGTAATCCCAGCTACTTGGGAGGCTGAGGCAGGAGAATTGCTTGAATCTGGGAGGTGGAGGATGCAGTGAGGTGAGATCACGCCACTGCGCTCCAACCTGGGTGACAGAGCAAGACTCTGTCTCAGAAAAAAAAAAAAAGTCTCTGAGATCACTAATGTCAAGAATCCAGTGTACTATACAAGGGGACTTCAAACAGTTTTTGAAAGATGAAATTAAAAGATAAAAATTAAAAATGTAAACATATTTCTCAAAATAACTCCATCATGCTCAAGACAGTTTTGTAAGCAATGATAGCCACTTAGTCCACCCCTAAAGAACTGAGAATCCTGGAAATTTAACCAAGTCAATGCAGTCTTTTTTACATAATTAACTGAAGAAAAATAGGTGCCTTTTCAAGATTTTTTAGGATTTGAAAACAAAAGGAAGTCAGAAGGGGCAAAATCAGGACTGTAAGGCAAAAACCTAGTGATTTCCCATTGAAACTTTTGCAAAATTTTCCGTTTGATGAGAGGAATGAGCATGAACATTGTCATGGTAGAGGACTCTGCTGAAGCTTTTCCAGGCATTTTTTTTTAAACTAAAGCCTTGGCTAACTTTCTTAAAACACTCATAATAAGCAGATCTAATTGTTCTTTGGCCCTTCAGACAGTCAACAAGCAAAATGCCTTGGGCATCCCTGAAAATTTTTGCCATGACCTTTGCGCTTAACTGGTCTGCTTTTGCTTTGACTGGACTACTTCCATCTCTTAGTAGCCATTGCTTTGATTGTGCTTTGCCTTTTGGATTGTACTGGTAAAGCCGTATTTCATTTCCCATTACAATTCTTCAAAGCAATACTTCAGGATCTTCAGCCACATCCTTTTTTTTTTTTTTTTTGAGACAGAGTCTCACTCTGTTGCCCAAACTGAAGTGCAGCAGCAGCAGCACAATCTTGGCTCACTGCAAGCTCTGCTTCCTGGGTTCAGGCAATTCTCATGCCTCAGCCTCCTGAGTAGCTGGAACTATAAGCATACGCCACCATGCCTGGATAATTTTTGTATTTTTAGTAGAGATGGGGTTTCACCATGTTGTCCATGCTGATCTCGATCTCCTGACCTTGTGATCTACCCACTTTGGACTCCCAAAGTGCTGGGATTATAGGTGTGAACCACTGCAAACATTTTTATCATTTTTTTCTAAAAAATTGATGTGGGTGGTCTGCCGCCGTGAGTTTCATCTTCAGCTTGTCTTGTTCCTTTCTAAAAGGACTGATCCATTTGTAAACTGCTGATTTCCTTGGGGCATTGTCCCCATAAACTTCCCGTAAAGCATCAGTGATTTCACCATTCTCCCACCCATGCCCCACCATAAAGTCGATGTTTGTTTCGTTTCAATTTCAGTAGCATGTTGCTCTGATAGGGATCTTTTTAAAACTGATGTCTTATTCTTTTTACTACCTCAAACTAGATCTTGTTCAGACATGTTGTAACAAGCTGGTACAAGTTTATTTTGGTGCAAAATAATCTTAAAATCCATATACACATTTTTCATAGTGCACTTTTTTTTGTTTTTGAGACAGGGCCTCTGCTCTGTTGCCCAGGCTGGTGTGCACTGGTACAATCATAGCTCCCTGCAGCCCTGATCTCCTGGGCTCGAGCAGTCCTCCAGCTTCAGCCTCCTGAGTAGCTGGGACAACAAGTATGCACCACCATGCCTGGCTAATTTATTTGATTTTTAGCGGAGACAAGGCCTCGCTATGTTGTCCAGGCTGCTCTCAAACTCCTGGGTTCGAGCAATCCTCCTGCCTTCGCCTCCTGAGTAACTAGGACTACAGGCACATGCCACTGCATCTGGCTGACTTAGGTATTTATTTATGGAGGTGGAGTTCTCGCTTTGTTGCCCTTGTGCTGAGATTGCAGGTGTGAGCCACCATGCCTGACCTGTTCAACTTTTATCTGCCAGATACTGCATCATGCCAGTTACAGAGATCAAAGACTCAATCAGTCTTCGAGAAGCTACATCGTTGTACAGATAATAAGCAATAAAACAAAACAAAATTATAAATCAAGCAGGACTCAGGGTTCTGGCTTCTGCAGCCGAATAAGTAGCTAAGATATACAGATAGATGAGATTTGGGGAGTATCAGTTTGGTTTGGAGTATATTAAATCATGAGGGACTCATGGGATATCAAGTTGGAGATGTCTAATGTCTAACTTGGAAGTGGGCCTTACGAGGGGTCACAGCTAGACATGTTGTCATTGGCATATAGTCATTGGCAGTTAAAGCCACGAGGGTGAATAATGTTTTTCCCCAGAGGGAAATAAAAAGAAGTAAAATGTGTTTCACTTGGTTTGATTTGGGGGTTAGGGGGTTGGTTTTTGTCTTTATTTTTTCCTCTTCTTAAATGTTTGATGGAAGGCTTGTAATAGAACTGAATAGCATGAGGAAGTGAGACTGAATTCACTGAAGCTCGGATAGAGTATAGGAGATTTTTGAATGAGAAAAGACCCTTAGCCAGTGGAAGCTGGGTGGTTAAGTTTCATGTGGTAGCTTCCTTCAAGGAGCACACAGGAAAATCTTTTCACGGAGAGACACCTAAGGAGCTGAGGACAGTTTAGCCTGACTGGAAGAATACAGGCAGTGCTACAATATGAAAAATGCTGAATACTTTTAGAACTAGTCGTAACTAATGGGAGCTCTACACTGAATGACATTTCCCATTCTTGTGAAGAAGAGGATGCTACTTTTTGCATTTAGGATTTTCTACAGTGCTTTGAGCAGACTAGAAGATGTGAGGATGGAAGTCTTCCAGTCTTCCACATGTTAAAACAGAAAGGAAAGTGGGGGACCTTTGTTGTTTTGTGTTTTCTACAGTGCCTTGAGTAGTGCCTTGCACAGAATAAACACTCAGTTTATATTTTAATATGAATTGATGGCATTTATTAGCTAGGAATTGGCCATCAAGATACTTATTGATAAAAGAAACTCCTTGTATTAGCTAGCTAAAAAATGAAAGAATGGATATAATTTTGCTCTTTTCATATAAGAATTACCTATTCTTTAACCTGTATAATTTTTTCCAGTTGCTTAGTGCTTTTGCAGCACTCATTTTTAGTGTAATGTGTTTCGTGTTTCTTAGGAATGTGGTGGACCACCTTGGTCAGCAGAAGGGAAAATAGGGGTAGCAGTAAGATCCACTAAAAAGAGTGTAATAATTTTTAGTGTGGCTGTTTCCTTCCTTTTTTTCACCATTTCTTCCCTTCCCTTCTTCCTCCTCATAAACCCTTTCCCCCTCCCCACAAGAAGACAATACATGTTAGCAACTTAATATGAATTCTGCCATACTTTTCCTCTATGGTCATAAACCATAAATGTGGCACACACATGTATATGTGTTTGTGTGTGTGTATCCATATATGTAATGGTGTTTTTGTGGCACTGTTGAACAAATGGTAATGTATACACATTTTTTTTTTTCTGTATCTTACCTTTCTCATTCAATAATATCTTCTGGATATTCCTCCAAATCCCATTTCATCTTTCCCCTGTGGCATCCACTTTATGCTCAGGGTTTTGCTACTAGAACATTGAGGTCCTTATAGATATTTTTAACATAATCATACTTTTATTTCTTTGGAATAAATTCCCATGAGTAGAATTGTTGGGCTGAGGAGTATATGTATTTTTAATTTTAATAGATTTATCAGAGTGATTTTCAAAAAGATTATAATGCTTAATGCTCCCACTAGCAACTTATGAAAGTACTTTTCCTTCACTTTCTCACCAGAAACGATCAACAATTTTCATAGGTTCTCTTAATTTTTGCTAGTCTGATAGGAATAAAGTTTCATTCTTACTTTAACTTGCATTTCCCTGAGAGCTAATGAATTTGAACACTTTTCATATGTTTGTTGGCTATTTCAATTTGTTCTTCTGCTATCTAACTTTATGGAGTTGTTTTTCTTTTTTTATTGTCAATTTGTAAGAGCTCTTTTTCATATTCTTGTGTAGTTAAACATGTCTATTTTAAAAATAGCTACTTGGTTTCTAGTCTTGGCTTTGAAGTTTTTATCTGTTTATAGGAGACTTTATTGAATGATTTTAATTTTTTTACACTTAAGTCTTTAATATAGAATTAGTTTTTACATATGGTATAAGATGCAGATCTTCTTTTATACTAAACTCAGCCCAAACTCCTCTCCAGACCTTCACCCGGGGTAGAGAGCTTGCTACCTCCTAATTGTGTTAAAATACCACATATATTTTTATTATACTCAGGAGGGGGTCCTATGGCCAGGACACCTTATATTTATTTAGTGTATCAATCCGTTTTCATGCTGCTGATATAGACATACCCGAGACTGGGAAGAAGAAGAGGTTTAATGGACTTACAGTCCCACAGGGCTGGGGAGGCCCCACAATCATGGCAGAAGGCAAGGAGGAGCAAGTCGCATCTTCAGTGGATGGCGGCAGGCAGAGAGAGAGCTTGTGCAGGGGAACCCCTCTTTATAAAACCATCAGATCGCGTGAGACTTATTCACTATCATGAAAACAGCACCAGAAAGACCCGCCCCCATGATTCAATTACCTTTCACTGGCACTGGGTCCCTCCCACGACACGTAGGAATTGTGGGAGTAACAATTCAAGATGAGATTTGGGTGAGGACACAGCCAAACCATATCAATTAATTCAGTCTCAGAAGAAATCTTTCCAGAAAGTCAAACTGATGCTCTACTTTTGGCCTAGAATTCTGGTAGAGGCAAGAATGTAAACATTCCACATTAGTCTCCTCTTTATTCTGTCTTTTTTTTTTTTTTTTTGGTTAGATTTTGTTTTTTTGTTTTCTATAAGGTCTTAGTAACTTACATAATTCCCCTACTTTCACTGACTTTATTCTATTTTTATTAACTAACCTTACATTTCTCCCTCTTCTTAATCATTTTCCTTATGATTAATATTGCCCACTCAACAATCCTTAGTCCTACCAAAGGACTTTTTTTGGAAGTCTTTTAGGAATGCTAGAACTTACTGATATACTATACCCATTGTTATCTTTTTTATTATATTATAAAATTCTACTATCTTAGTTTTTCATTTTTACTATTCACTTTTACCTCAAGTTTGATAAATATTACATAATAAATAAAAATTACATAATAATAAATTGACCATAATAATATGGTCAATTTAACATATTTTCAAGAAATTGGCTGAGACATTTTTCAAGCTTGTGAACATAATTTTTTCAACATTGCAAAAACCTAGTAACTAAACGAAGCTGGTAGATAATGACCATTGCACATTTGATCTTTAAACATGATATTAAACATCACATTTGGGTTCTTAAAAAATTTATTTTTGTGCATTGCCTTACAATACATATTTATATTTTAAGTGTTTCTATTGTAAAATGATAAGACTTGCTTAAGGACCACATGGTGTAATAGCAAATTGAACTTGGTCATGAACCTCTACTTTAAACCCAGTTCATGGAACTTACTGATTCTTTGACCTTGGGAAAATTATCTCCTCTGAACCTGTGCTCCCATGTATAAAATAGGAATAAAAATGTTTATGGAATTTAGTTTTAGAGACAATTTAATCAGTTAAAAAGAAAGAGAAAAGAAAACAAAATCCAATTATCAATGTATATTACTTTTTTTGCATATTTCCTTCTGGTTTTTGCCCCTATGTATATCTATTTTACTATGTATTTATGAATATGGTATATGTGTATATTTAACACGTTTATTTAGGTCAAATAAAAAATTTAACACATTTATTATGCTGTTCAGTATCGAGCAATAAAAAAGCATATAATCTTAAATAGATTTTTAGTTTTCTCATAACAAATAAGTCAACTTATTTGCATTTCAAATTGCAGTTCCTGGCTGATGCTGATTTTGCTGGTCCAGGGAGCACACTTTGAGGTCACTGATCCCTAGATAATTGTTTCCAAAATCCCATTCACTTTTTGTCATATGAGTTATATGAAAAACAGCATGTATTTTTTAATATTGATTGTTTATGAAGCAACAAATCTTTTCCTATTATATGCCTTCTGAAAGTCACTTTTCAGTTTATTATTTTTAAGCTGCAAGATGCATTTGATATTTTATATAATTTTATTGTCTTATATCATTTTATAATTTTAAAATTAGGGACCCTGATTACTGCCTCATTTTCTGATTTTTATTATGTATTCTGTTTTTTCTCGTTAGGCTGACAGAATAGATAAGAAGATTTCAGTAGGTAGATATAAGGGAAGGGATATTTAGAGGTAATGAGGTAGAGTGGAAAACACAGACAAACTGATCTGAACTCAGTAATAATCCTTTAATAACTTGGAAATAACTTTCTCAGCTTCACTTTTCTTGTCTATAATACAGCTAATAATATCCACTTTAGAGGGTTGTTAAAAAGATGAGATAACATATATGATGGTTGCTAGCCATGCGTGGTCTATAGTAGGCACTCAATAAGTAATAGGTGAGGTAATGTTGTTACTGTTATTAAGCAACGAGAAGTTCAAGGTTGAAATTGTTTTTTATTTCAACATTATAATTCATGTATATCGCAATAAATCTTGATAAAAATAAAGGTATAATACCCATCAAACTAATAAAAAACATTTTCTAGGTTGAAAAATGACAGATGCAATTTCTTCAAAAAAGAAAATGTATGGAGGAGAATATCCAGACAGTGATGACAGGAAGCAATAGAGATTACACAAGATCGGAGTAAAATGTTCATAATTGTTAAAGCTGGGGGATAATCACATGGGAATTTATTATACTATTGTGTCTATTCTTATGTATGCCTGAACGTTTTCATAATAAAAAGTTTCAGGCTGGGCGCAGTGGCTCACGCCTGTAATTCCAGCCCTTTGAGAGTCCAAGGCAGGAGGATTGCTTGAGCCCAGGAATTTAAAACCAGCCTGGGCAGCATAGTGAGACCCTGCCTCTACAAAAAAATTTAAAAATTAGCTGGGTGGGCTGGGTGTGGCGGCTCATGCCTGTAGTCCCAGCACATTGGAAGACCGAAGCTGGTGGATCACTTGAGCTCACAAGTTCAAGACCAGCCTAGGCAACATGACGAAACCCCATTTCTACAAAAAATACCAAAAAAAAAAAAAAAAAGAAGAAAGAAGGAAGGAAGGAAGGAAAAGAAAAAATTAACTGGATGTGGTGGGTCACGCCTGTAGTCCCAACTACTTGGGAGGCTGAGGTGGGAGAATCGCTTGAACCCAGGAGGTGGAGGTTGCAGTGAGCCAAGATCATGCCACTGCACTCCAGCCTGGGTGACTGCAGTGAGACCTTGTCTCATAAAAACAAAAAAACCCCACAAAATTATTTTAAAATCAATGCTCTCATTTAACAAACATTTTCTGAGCATTTATCAAGTGCCTTGCTCTACATCGAACTGTACTTCAATCCTATTGCTGTTACTGAGGTGTGAAGGAAGTGTGGAGCATAGGACGGGTTTAATATCAATGGATTGAGGGTATGTGGAAAGAATCAGGAAAAGCTTATAATGTTGAAGATATGGGCTTTGAAGAACGAGTAGGGTTTGGTTGGATGGAAAAGAGATTAGAATGGGTATTCCAGAGAGAGAACAATCTAAACAAAGGCATGGCGATATGAAAGTCCTGGCATTTTCCATGATTGATGCCTTTTCTAATATGCAGGCCTGTGGGAGCTGAGGCTGGAAGGACCTTGTATGTCATGCTGAGAAGTCTGGACTACATGTCTTCAACTGAAGGTTTTCGAGGAGAGGGATGTGATTGGATATGTGTTGTAGAAAGATAACTTTGCTTTTTAAGAAAACAACTTTATTGAGGTATAGTTGATATATAATAAACTACACATACAATTGCTGAGTTTGGACATATGCACATACCTGTAAAACTATCAACACAATCAAGGTAATAGACATAAGAAAGATAACTTTGATTACGAGTTTGAGAAAAGATCGGAAGAATAAGACGCTAGAGACAGACTAGTTACGACACTTAGAACCTATTGAAATAAGAACTAATTTAAGGACTTTATGAGTATTGGCAGTAGAAATGGAAGGGTGAAGACAAGTTCAAGACATTTTCTGGGTAGAAATTTGACCTAAGATTGAAGTAGGGAGCTATACTGTCCTCCACAGTGTAAACTAAGTTGCTATGAGTCATATAAAATAGCAATAACTCGAATTTTTTTTTCCGCTTCTACTGAAAGCATTTAAAGAATGATTTTTCTCACCTGTGCATCTTTTCTTCAAGTTCATGGTTCAGCTTTATAAAGACTAGTATTGTGCTTTCTGGGGCTGTTTTTTTTTTATTGATCCATTCATTCCCCCTCACCTTTCTCCTTTCTTCCTTTTGTGTGTGTGTCCATCCACACACACTCCTTTCTTTTGAACAAAAAATAATTTACTTTCTTATGACTTAACTCGTGGATATAAAATCATCATTATCTTTTGGGCTTAACATTTAAGACAATTTCATACATGTGAAGCTTAAAACCTATTTCCCCAAATATTTTGCATTATTAGATTTTGGGGGGTAGTACGTATTGCTGACATGTAGAAACTTTTTTTTTTTTTTGAGACAGAGTCTCGCTCTGTCACCCAGGCTGGAGTGCAGTGGCATGATCTTGGCTCACTGCAGCCTCTGTCTCCCGGAATCAAGCAATTCTCCCACCTCAGCCTCCCAAGTAGCTGGGATTACAGGTGTGTGCCATCACACCCAGCTAATTTTTGTATTTTTAGTAGAGATGGGGTTTCACCATGTTGGCCATGCTGGTCTTGAACTCCTGACTTCAGATGATCTGCCTGCCTCGGCCTCCCAAAGTGCTGGGATTACAGGCATGAGCCACTGTACCCAGAAACTGTTTTTTTTTTTTAAATCATAGAATCTGTGTAGGTAGTATTTTTATAGGTGGAGTTTCTCTGTTTTTTTTTCTCTCTTCCCACCCCCCACAACACTAGAAGACCATAAGTTATGCTTTGTTTTAGAAAAAAGCACATATCAAATTTCTAGATCTTCTTGGTACATTACAACTAGAATATGTCTATAAGGAGAAAATAAATGGGTAGAAATACCAGCACAATAACCAAGACATTGATTTCAGGAGGCCTCTATTAACAAAATAAGTTAGAGAAGCTGCTACATGGCAGAAATCATGAATAATATGTTGAATTGGCTTAGATCCCTTAAACCCAGTCTTGCTTCACATCAGGTACCTTTGTTGGGCTTCCTAGTTGGAGTTTACCTGGAGTGCAGCTTTGCCATAAAGTAAACCATGGGCCTACATTAGAAATTGGTAAAAGTTCCTCTCTCTCAGCACTGCTAAATCAACTTGATGAGAGTGTTTATTTTGTAAGGAAATACCGCATTGAAATAATCATGTAATGAAGAAAGATTCTTACTCTACTTGCTACCACAGACATACACCACATCATATTCTAGATCTAGACTTTTAAATTATAAACAATTAGCAATTGAAAGAAATAAATGAATCACTCTTGGGACTGTATTTTCTCTGTATATTTATGCAACTATACTTGAGTTGTCTTTGTTGGCAAGAATCAGATATAACATAAAAATGCATTCCTGCCTAAAGTGTGTAACCTATATCTAATCATAAGGAAACATAAGACAGACCCAAAGTGAGGGACATTCTACAAAATAACTGGCTTGGATTCCTTAAACATGTCAAGGCTAAGCAACACAAAGGCTGAGAGACTTGCAAGTTTTTTAAAAAACAAAGGAGATGTGATAACTAAATGCAGTGCATAAACCTGGATTGGATCCTGCTCCAGGTGAAGATGACATCTATAAGAACATTACTGGGGCCAGGCGCGGTGGCTCATGCCTGTAATCCCAGCACTTTGGGAGCCTGAGGTGAGTGGATCACGAGGTCAGGAGTTCGGGACCAGCCTGGCCAACATGGTGAAACCCCGTCTTTATTAAAAATACAAAAATTAGCCAGGCGTAGTGGTGGGCACCTGTAATCCCAGCTACTTGGGAGGCTGAGGCAGGAGAATCACTTGAACCTGGGAGGCAGAGGTTGCAGTGAGCCGAGATTGTGCCACTGCACTCCAGCCTGGGCAACAGAGCAAGGCTCCGTCTCAAAAAAAAAAAAAAAAAAAAGAACATTATTGGGACAAGTGATGAAATTTGGATATGGACGGACCATAAGTTAGAAAATAGGGCCTGGTGCAGTGGCTCACACCTGTAATCCCAGCACTTTGGGAGGCCAAGGTGGGTGGATCACTTGAGGCCAGGAGTTGGAGACCAGCCTGGTCAACATGGCGAAATCCCATCTCTACTAAAAATACAAAAATTTGATGGGCATGGTGACACACGCCTGTGATCCCAGCTGTGTGGGAAGCTGAGGCACAAGAATCACTTGAACCTGAGAGGCGGAGGTTGCAGTGAGCTGAGATGGCACCACTGCACTCCAGTCTGATCAACAGAGGGAGACTCAAGTCTCAAAATCGTTTTGTATCAGTATTAGATTTCTTTATTTCAGTGACTGTGCTGTGGTTATATAATAAAATGTCCTAGTTCTTAGGAAAATGCATATTGAAGTATTTAGGGCCAAAGCGACACTTTATGTAAACAGTTGGTAAATCCAAGTAAAAGGTAGATGTGATTTTTTTGTGCTATTCTTGATATTTTGTCAGAAAGTAACCTCTACAAAAATATCTTAGAAAAAAATCATTATTTTTGAGAATGTTTTATTATTGTCCTAAGTTTTTATTTCAAATTGGTGTGTTGACTTTTATAAATTTCTTAATAAAAGATGTGTATTAAACATATTATTTATTATTAAACATTTTCTGATGACAGTTATTCACAATTACCTTCCAAACAGCTATTTTATCACAAGTTCATTTTAAGTGCTGGCAATTAAAATCATATGTACCATATTAGGGATGCTGAGAAAGAGAAGGGCAGCCCTTGACCTGTGGGGCCAGCCTGGCACTCACTGGTAGGCTTTGGCGCTCTCCTGTTGGACATAGTTTCACAAAACATCAGCATTAGACAAGGCCAATCTGAGACCATGCTAAAGTGATGCAATACAAGATAAACACACATTTTTTTCTAAATGTGCAAAAAAATAAGGCTACCGTGTCATCCCCAAAATACCAAACATCCCCCTTCCTGGCTAATATTAGTGACAGTTGCTTCTCTACCAATTATAGCTTGAGCTATGCTCTAGTGCCCTCCCTATAGATAAGATTTATTGAGGTAGCCAGTCACAGAATTGTCCTCATATTCTGCCAACACTCAGTATACGGTGAACCCCTGCTTCCTTGAACTCTCCCTCAAATCACAACCAGACATGACATATTCTAACAGCCTCTTAAAGAGGTGTGCCAAGCCTCATGGTGTGCCTCTCAGGTTCAAGTGATTCTTGTGCCTCAGCTTCCCACATAGCTGGGATCACAGCCTCATGGTGTGTGTGAATAATAAACACAACTTGTTCAACCACAGGTCTGTTCCTGACTACAAGACATTGGCAATGTCTAATATGATGTATAATACAAATCAATAGGTAGTAGGTCACTCACAGACATATATTTCTACCAATATGTAAGTGCTATTTGATTTTTTTGGTTTAAAAACAGAAGGTTTATAACTACCTGGCTAAGATCATTTTGTGGTAAGGAATTTATGGCCCTGTATTTTAAAAATCAAGTTCTATGGTACAATAAAAGTAAGTATTTTCTTTTGTAAACATTAATATTTTACTGTGTGGATGGTAAATGATGGACAGTTGTTGGCAACTGAATGAAAGAAAGATGCTCCATGTTTTCCTGAAAAAACACTTGGTTCTTGGAGGTGATTTAATATTCAGATTGCATATATATATATTTTTTCTTTTTGAGGCAGTCTTTCTCTGTTGCCCAGGCTGGAGTGCGGTGGCGTGATCTCGGCTCATTGCAGCCTCTAGCTCCCAGGCTCTCACCTCAGCCTCCCGAGTAGCTGGGACTACAGGTGTGCACCACCACACCTGGCCCCTTTCCCTTAGTGTAATGTCTTCTAGGCTCATCCATGTCATAGCATGTATCAGTACTGCAGTCCTTTTAATTGCCAAATGATATCTCATTGAATTGATACACCACATTTTCTTTTTCCATTTATCAGTTGATGGCTATTTGGGTTGTTTCCATTTTGGGGCTATTTTGAATATTACTGCAATTAACATTGGTGTACACATTTTTTTTTGTGGACATATGTTTTTATTTCTCTTGGGTAGATACCTAGGAGTGAAATTGCTGGGTCATGTGTTAACTCTATGTTTAATATTTTAAGGAACCGCCATACTGTTTTCCAAAGCAGCTGCACCATTGTACAATCACATCAGCACTGTATGAGGGGTCCACGTCTCCACATCTTTGCTAACACTTATCAGTTCCTTTTATTATAGCCATCTTAGTGAGTGTGAAGTGATTTTTCATTGTGGTTTTGACTTGCATTTTCTTATGACTAATGATGTCGAGTATCTTTTCATGCGCTTATTGACCATTTGTGTATATTCTCCAGAGAACTGACTTTTCATATCCTTTGTCCATTTTCAAAATTGGGTTATTTAAGTTTTTATTGTTGAGTTGTACATGTTCTTTATATATTCTGGATACAAATCCTTTCTTTATCAGATAGACGATTTGCAAATATTTTATCCCATTATGTGAGTTATCTTTTCAACTTTTTGATGTGTTTTGCAGCACAGAAGTTTTAAAATTTTTGGCTGGGTGAGGTGGCTCACGTCTGTAATGCCAGCACTTTGGGAGGCTGAGGTGGGCAGATCACCTGAAGTCAGGAGTTCGATACCAGCTAGGCTAACGTGGTGAAACCCCGTCTCTACTAAAAATACAAAAAAATTAGCCAAGTATGGTGGTGTGTGCCTATAGTCTCAGCTACTCTGGAGTCTGAGGCAGGAGAATTGCTTGAACCCAGGAGGCGGAGGTTGCAGTGAGCCGAGATCGCGCCATTGCACTCCAGCCTGGGCAATAAGAGTGAAACTCCGTTTCAAAAAAAAAAAAATGATTGCCTGATCCAAGTTCATTCAGAATTATGCCTCTGTTTTTTTCTGAGAGTTTTATAGTTTTCATTCTTACATTTAGATCTTTGATCCATTTGGAGTTAATTTTTGTATATGGTGTTTAATAGGGTCCAAGTCCATTCTTTTGCATGTGTATGGCATCACTTGTTGCAAAGACTATTCTTTCCCCATCATCTTAGCACTCTTGTCAAAAATGATCATAAATGTTAAGGATTATTTCTGGACTCTCAATTCCATTCCATTGATCAACATGTCTATCTTTATGACAGTACAGCACTGTCTCAATATCTATAGCTTTGTGATAAATTTTGAAATGAAAAAGTGTGAATCCTCCAACTTTTTTCTTTTTCTTCAACATTGTTTTGGCTATTCTGGGTCCCTTAAATTTTCATACTAATTTTTGGATTCAGCTTGTTGATTTCTGCAAAGAAGCCAACTGATATTTTGATTCAATCGTTTGGTTTTTAAATTTAAATTACCCACTTCTGTGGAGTCATTTGGAATTTATAAAAAGCTTTTATTTATGCTTCTTGAATAATTATCTCAGTTATCCTTTTCTCTAAGCATTGTTGTACATTTTGTAAATAAGGGCCTTAAAGGTTCAAAGAGGCTATGTAATTATTAGTTTTCTTTTTAACTCTAATACTTGTTCTTTATATTGTAGCTTCTTTCTTAATATGCCCTCAAATAGCCATTTAGAATAATAAAATCTAAATTATAAATGTGATACTACATTGGTGGGAAATGAGTCAATAGCTAAATTAAAAACCATTCTTATTAGGAACATTTTTTTTCAGTTGGAGGATATTTGACTGCTTAGAAAAATTGTGAACAATTTGTGTTAATCCCTTACATCTAGTTAATTGTCTCAGCCAGGGTTCAGATGACATGAAGTCACCCAGTGAGTAAGGAAGGTAGATAATGACAAGTTATTATTTGTAGTACACTGAATGAAGAATATTTTATTTAAAGGGTCCTAATTATTCTTTTTCTAGAATGATTTGAATATGGAACCGTACACCTATTAAAAATCACACTTATGAGGACCACAATGATACAATTTTTTATTTGTTTTTGAGACAGGGTCTTACTCTGTTGCCCGGGCTGGAGTGTGATGGTGCAATGGTGGGCTCAAGTGATCCTCCCATCTCAGCCCCCAAGTAGCTGGGACTACAGGCATGCAGCACCATGTCTGACTAATTTTTAAATTTTTTTGTGGAGATGAGGTCTCACTATGTGGCCCGGGCTAGTCTTGAACTCCTGAGCTCAAGAGAGCCTCCTGCCTTGGCGCCCGAAAGCGTTGGGATTACAGGTGTATTAGTCTGTTTCACACTACTATAAAGAACTACCTGAGACTGGGTAATTTATGAAGAAGAGATTTAATTGACTCACAGTTCTGCAAGACTGGGAGGCCTCATGAAAGTTACAATCATAGCGGAAGCAAAGGGGAAGCAAGCACCTTCTTCACATGGTGGCAGAAGAGGGAGAGAGAGTGAAGGGGGAAGTGCCACACACTTTTAAACCATCAGATCTCTTGAGAACTCACTCACTATCATGAGAAGAGTAAGAGGGAAATCCACCCCATAAGCCAGTCACCTCCATTCAGGTCCCTCCTCTAATTCCACATGAGATTTGGGTAGGAACACAAATCCCAACTATATTAACAGGTATGAGCCACCTTGTCTGGCCCACACTGGTATAATTAATACAAAATAAAGTTACATCTTTTTATTGTTTTTTTTTGCATTATGTAGATATGGTCAAAGAAAATGTCATTAACGTTTGTGAGAGCTTTAAGTTCCACCTGAACTCATTTTTTAAATATTAAGAAAATATTTATTGAGGCCATGTATAGTGGCTCACGCCTGTAATCCCAACACTTTGGGAGACTGTGGTGGGCAGGTCACTTGAGGCCAGGAGTTCGAGACCAGCCTGGTCAACATGGTGAAACCTCATCTCTAATAAAAATACAAAAATTAGCTTGGTGTGGTGGCACTGTACACTGTACAGGTGATGCCTGTAATCCCAGCTACTCAGGAGGCTGAGGCAGAGAATCGCCTGAACCTGGGAGGCAGAGGCTACAGTGAACTGAGGTCATGCCACTGCACTCCAGCCTGGGCAACAGAGTAAGACTCCGTCTCAAAAAAAAAAAAAAAGAGAAAATATTTATTGAGGTAAAATGCATATAACATAAAATTAACCATTTTAATGTGAACAAATGCTGGACTTTTATCATGTAAAATTTCAGGGACACAGAACAATAAAGAAAATAAATATCATAAATGCTCTTATGCCCATCACCCAGATTCGGAATAGTCTTAGCATTGTGCCTTATTTGATGAGGACTTTAATACTTTTTTTCTGGAGATGGAGTTTTGCTCTTGTTGCCCAGGCTGGAGTGCAATGGCGCAATCTCTGCTCATTGCAACCTCCGCCTCCCAGGTTCAAGCGATTCTCCTGCCTCAGCCTCCCGAGTAGCTGGGATTACAGTCATGCGCCACCATGCCTGGATAATTTTGTATTTTTTTTAGTAGAGATGGGGTTTCACCATCTTGGCCAGGCTGGTCTCGAACTCCTGACCTCAGGTGATCCGCCCACCTCGGCCTCCCAAAGTGCTGGGATTACAGGCGTGAGCCACCATGCCCAGCCTAATACATTTTTAAAAACAAAACCTTATAGATAAGTTTAAGGCTGCATGCCTGTTTTTCCTGATTCTATTTCTCAAAGGCAGCCACTATCCCAAATTTGGTTTATTATTGCTATGAATATTTTCATACTTTTGCTATATATATATGTATCTGGAAACACTACATAGAATATATGGAAGGAATATATAGACTGTATAGAATTTTTTGACAAATTTTTATATATACATGGTTTTATATTGAATCATGTTTTGCATGCTTTTAAATTATGTATTTATTTACTTATTTTTTAGACACAGAGTCCCACTCTGTTGCCCATGCTGGAGTGCAGTGGCATGATCATAGCTCACTGCAGCCTGGAACTCCTAGGCTCAAGTGATCTTCCTGCCTGAGCCTCCCAAAGTGCTGGGATTACAGGCATGAGACACTGTGCCTAGCCACATGCCTTTAAAACAAAATGCAACCCTGTGTTTCTGGGACTCATTATGTTGACGCATACCTTTGTAACTGCTAAACAGTATTCCATTGTATGGCTACATCACAATATACTTATACATTCTTTTTCTGATGGACATTTAGTTTCCAGCAAGGTTTTTTAAATTAGAAAATGCAACAATGAACATTCTTTTTTATATTTTTATTTTTTTTGAGACGGATCCTCACTCTGTCATCCAGGCTGGAGTGCAGTGGAGCCGAGGCTCACTGCAACCTCCGCCTCCCAGGTTCAAGTGATTCTCCTGCCTCAGCCTCCCAAGTAGCTGGGATTACAGGCGCACAACACAATGCCTGGCTAATTATTTTGTATTTTAGTAGAGACAGGGTCTCACCGTGTTGCCCGGGCTGGTCTCGAATTCCTGAGCTCGGCAATCCACCTGCCTTGGCCTCCCAAAGTGCTAGGATTACAGGCGTGAGCCACCGCTCTCAGCCAAACATTCTTTCTTTTATTTCTTTTTTCTTTTTTCTTTTTTTTTGAGATGGGGTCTCGTTCTGTCGCCAGGCTGGAGTGCGGTGGCGATCTTGGTTCACTGCAACTTCCAACTCCTGGGTTCAGGCGATTCTCCTGCCTCAGCCTCCCGAGTAGCTGAGATTACAGGCACGTGCCACCACGCCCGGCTAATTTTTGTATTTTTAGGGGAGACAGGGTTTCACCGTGTTGGCCAGGATGGTCTCGATCTCCTGACCTTGTGATCTGCCTGCCTCGGCTTCCCAAAGTGCTGGGATTACAGGCGTGAGCCACCGTGCCTGGCCAACATTCTTATTTCTAATGCTGCATAGAGGAGTGGTTAGGAGCCAGGGTGCTAGAGCCACATTATCTGTATTTGAGCTGTGTCTCTATGGGCAAATTACTTCTCTGTACTTCTCTTTAGTGCCCTGTTCCCTTCAGTCATGAAAGCAATGAAGGAAGACAGAACTTCTAATATTATGGTTTCTGAATCATCCTTAATGAGCCTGTCATCAATAAAATGAGAAACTGCAACCTATTTAAACACTGTTTATCAGATTATAACACACATTAGAGAATTTAAATATCTTTATGGCAGGACAATGAAAGTAAAGTGCAGTCAGTCTCTATTCTGATTATTGTTTGAAGCTGAAATTTATTGGTATTTTAATACCAATAAATTAAAGTTAGTAAATAACTTACTAAGTAAGACCAATCATGGCATACTACTCAAGGAGCATTTTACAAAGATCTAATACAGAAACTATGTCTGATGCAACACTAACCATAGTTGCCAGATCCCCATTTTACTTCCTGTAATTTATAGTTAATGTTCCTGGATTCATCTGTCTTTTTGAGCAGCCTACCTAATGTATGAAAAGGGAGAAGTTAATAGGTGTATATACTAATGATTTTATTTACTGTCCTTGGGACCTAGTGCTGTTTTAAATTCACAGTTTGGTGGGGTAGAGTGCCCATTTGGCATGTTTCTATGTGCTTGGCCCATTTAAGTAGAGCTCTTCTTTGCCCTAGGCTAATTAAAAAAAAAAATCAATTCCAATAGCACATTTGAGAAGAGGAACAACCATCATTGGAAACTTCTTTGATGTTTAATTTGTAATTTTAAAGCATAATTTGGTAAACTGAGGTGTTTTTCCCCTCCTTTATGTTCTCCAGTGGCTAAAGTTGTCTCTCTTATTAGAAATAGCCTTTTGATTTTTTTTTTTTTAAACGAGACAGAGTCTCGCTCTGTCACCCGGGCTGGAGTGCAGTGGCGTAATCTTGGCTCAATGCAACCTCTGCCTCCCGGGTTCAAGCAATTCTCCTGCCTCAGCTTTCCGGGTAGCTGGGATTATAGGCGAGCACCACCACGCCCGGCTAATTTTGGATTTTTAGTAGAGACTAGGTTTCACTGTGTTGGCCAGGCTGGTCTCAAACTCCTGACCTCAAGTGATCCACCCTCCTCGGCCTCCCAAAGTGCTGGGATTACAGGCGTGAGCCACCGCACCCGGCCTTTACCTGTGGTTCTTGTATCTGAAGTGAGAAGTTGTGAAAGTTGACTTCTGTCCAAGGTATCCGTACTTGAAGATTGACAGTAGAGTTCCTCTGGGCAGATCTGACATAATAACTGAATAGGAGGGATTGGAGATGGGAGCTGTTGTTCCCTTCCTCCCTCTCCATCCCCTGCCCCCACTTGGACTGAACCCTAATCTTCAGAGCAAGACTCCTTAGGATTAGGATAAAAAAAAATTTAAGATCTCAGAAGTTTGAACTGGTTTGTCCCTGACTAGGTAGAGAGTTTCCCTTGGTTGTTTCAGTGCTGAGAATTTGACCCTGTCTGGTGCTGCACCTATATTTTGTAATTATATACATTCATTGTTGTTATAACAATTTTCAAAAGCCACTTATATGGGCTTATTTTACACAGATAAAGTTAACCATTGTCTTGTTTAAGCCATGTTACTTTCAATTACAAGCAGCCTACACGAATTCTAACTGATACTGATGGAATTGGATTAAATGACTTTTGGTTCCTTTCTAGTTCTGACATATGAGCTTAAATATTTTTTGAGGGTCAGTTCTATGCCTGGTGCTATGCTAACTGTCCACATTTCCTTCCTATCTGTCCACATATCCTTCAAAGTGATCTTCTTTGAACTACATGCTTGAAGCCCTGAGTTGGTTAGCATTCAGAGACTGGGTGATGCAGCTTGAGTGGCTGAATTTTCTCCCTACCTTCTGACAGTCAGTGGGCTCTGATGATCAGTATCTTGGTCCTGCCCATTTTTGCTAAGAGCATGAAATAACTTAGTTTCTAACCTCAGTATCCTAGTTTTGAAGTCCAGACTGATGCTCAGAGAGTCTATACTTCTTTTTTTTTTAAATTTTACTTGAAGTTCCGGGATACATGTGCAGAACGTGCAGGTTTGTTACATAGGTATACATGTGCCATGGTGCACCTATCAACCCATCATCTAGGTTTTAAGACCTGCATGCATTAGGTATTTGTCCTAATGCTCTCCCTCCCTCCCCTTGCTCCCCACCCCCTAACAGGCCCTGGTGTGTGATGTTCCCCTCCCTGTGTCCATTGTTCAGCTCCCACTTATAAGTGAGAACAGGCGGTGTTTGGTTTTCTGTTCCTGTGTTAGTTTGCTGAGAATGATGGTTTCCAGCTTCATCTATGTACCTGAGCGCACCACACCTGATGCATCGGTAGCCTGTGACTACACTGTCAAGGTCAGCCCACTTGTAACCCCCACTTGTACCCCAACCCCTGATCTGGGGATTCCCCGTATCTGTCATTGTCACTACTCTCCCTTGGGGTCTTCCATCTGATCACCAAGGCTTAGTTTGAGACATCTGGTTAGCATCTGCTACTTACGCTTACATTACACGTCACCAGGGACTCTACTTGCTTCACCTTCTTTGGGCAGTCCTAGGACGAAACAATTGGGTCCATTTGTTCATTCATTCATTTTCTCATTCCTTCTGCAGTTAGTACCTCTTATTTAATATAGCCAAGGGATCAAGATACAGTTACCCTTGATGAGGTCATCAAGATCTATTTGCTAGAATGCTTTAGATATGTTAACCTTTTATCAGAAGGAAGAAAATGGCAGGAGGCCACTGAAGTTCAACGGACAGAACTCTTATTTCAGCAAATGTGGCCAGATTTGCTAAAGATTGTGTTTATCTGGGTCTAGCATTATCTCTTTGCATTTCTCTCTCACACTCTCCCTGTAGTAAGATATCCGAAGTCAGTATTTTCCAGATGATGATGATCCACTGGAGGAAGATGTCCTTGTTGATGTATGTGTTTTAGGTTCTCCAACAAATAAGTATAGAGCTTTCGTTTTTCTTTATTTATTTTTAAATTTTATTTATTTATTTTTTGACAGGGTCTCACTCTATCACATAGGCTGGAATGTAGTGGCGCGATCACAGCTCATTGCAGCCTTGGCCTCCCAGGCTCAGGTGATCCTCCCACCTCAGCCTCCCAAGTAGCTCAGACCACAGGCACACACCACCATGCCTGGCTAATTTTTGTATTTCTTTTGTAGAGACAGGGTTTTGTCATGTTGCCTAAGCTGGTCTCGAGCTCCTGGGCTCAAGTGATCCTCCTGCCTCGGCCTCCCAAAGTGCTGGGATTACAGGTGTGAGCCACCGTGCCAGGCCTAGTTTCTGTTTTTAATTGGAGAAATATCTTCAGATTTGGCCAACTTACAAAACACTTATTTTAAAGTCATTTGAAATATAATTTATTTGAAACTTAAAGATATTTTTATTTGTGCTATTCTTTTGAAAATATTTGTGTCCTTTGCAAATAGTCGTATCCTTATCTGAATAATCTTTTGTAAATATAATTTCTGGATAAAAAGGGAAATTCAGCTTCCTATTCTAAAATGTAAGAACCAGGAACATGATGAAACCTGGCCTCTGGGAAAGAATCTGGCATCCACTTGTTTCGGAGATATTCATTCAAGAGTTAGTGAAGCCATTATACAACCTGTGTGTGTGTGTGTGTGTGTGTGTGTGTGTGTGTGTGGAGGGGGGGCGGGAAGGGTGATTCTAAAGAGCACAGAGCTTTTTAATAGCTATGCAATTTAAAATTGATTATTTAAGTATAAATAAATACCTGTTATAGTAATTTTCAGAAACCTCTAATTTATTTGGGAAAGGATGGCATTATAAGAAAGTAGTATTTGTCAGACTCTGCTATAAAAACTCGTTAAGATTATGTGAAGCTCAACAGAAAGATACGCGAAAAATTAATAGCATGGTTTGCTGCAAATCAGAAAAATATATTCACAGGGATTGCAGTGGGGGAGGAAGAGTTTCCAAGGTAAGGGAAAGGGGGATAGCTGTGACATTGGGGATGGAGAAAAATCACATTTAATACTAAGTACAGAACTGGGACATTTAGATAGAATTCACATTATAAAAATAAATAAATATAAATATAGGGATTTTTAATTGCATACTACAATTCTAGAAAATGTCAGGATTGTTTGATCATCTTATATTTTTGCTTCCAATTTATCATTTAGCCTTGCATACTTTAAAATAAAGGCTATTTTAGGCTGGGCGCAGTGGCTTATGCCTGTAATCCGCACTTTGGGAGGCCAAGGTGAGCAGATCACTTGAGGTCAGGAGTTCGAGACCAGCCTGGCCAACATGGTGAAACCCCATGTCTACTAAAAATACAAAATTGGCCGGGTGTGGTGGTGCATGCCTGTAATCCCAGCTACTTGGGAGGCTGAGGCAGGAGAATCGCTTGAACCTGGGAGGTGGAGGCTGCAGTGAGCTGAGGTCACACCACTACACTCCAGCCTGGGCAACAGAGTGAGACTCCATCTCAAAAAAAATATAAAAAATAAAATAAAATAAAGGTTATTTGAGGAAATAAATCATTTTCTACCAATATTACATAGAAAGTCTAAAAAACATAGTTAATAACTAGAGAAAGATAGTGTATTTAAAAATAATATCTAACCAGAGAATTTCAGGTTTCCTTCTGGTTTTCTAACTATTGGTAGCTAAAAATACTGATGTCATTTAAAATTATTAACTGCTGTTTTATATGATCCATTTAAGCTTAAAATAAAACTGGATATTCAACATTAAGCCAATATATTTGTTCAATTCTGTGCCAATAATGATTCTAGGTGCAGATACACGGCTGTGAATCAAACAGCCAAGGGAATTAAGAAATGGAAATGAGTTCTGTTTCCATGACAATTTAATGATTCCTATTCTGTAGGGAAAAAATTCTTGCACTACTTCCCCTGAGTTCATGTAGAGTAGTAGTTCTCAATCCTGGCAGCCATTAGAGTTACTTGAGGGTCACTTGGAGTGGCATGGGCTCAACCCAGATTTATTAGAAATAAACAGAATTTCTAGAGATGGAGGCTGTTACCTTCTTCTTTTTGAGCTCCCTATGTTGTCAAGCCAGAGTTGAGAACCACCGATTTATTCTAGAGTATGCCAAATCCAAGGAAGCAGATGGAAAGCCTACTTCATTTCTGAAGATTCATAGCTTCTGTTTTTAAAAATCAATGCACAGGAATGTAAAATGGCTCTGTTGCTGTGGAAACTGGTTTGGCAGTTTCTCAAAAAAATTAAACACCATAAAATTACCATATAACCCATCAATTCCATTCATAGGTGATATACCTTCAAAGAATTGAAAACAGATGCTTAAATACTTGTACATGTATGTTCATAGCAGCACTATTCACAATAGCTAAGAGGAGGAAATCATCCAAATGTCCTTGAATAATGCTCTGTGGTATATACGATGGAATATTGTTCAGCCACAAGAAGAAATGAAGTAATGATTCATGCTACATCATAGATGAATCTTGAAAACATGCTAAATGAAAAAAGCCTGACACAAAGGGTCACACTGTATGATTCCATTTATATGACATATTCAGAATAGGTAGATTTCTAGAAATAGAAACCATATTGGTGGTTGCTGGGGCTGAGAGGAAGGAAGAATGGGGAGTAAGTGCTAAATGGGTATGGGTATTTCTTTTGGGATGATGAAAACCTTTTGGAACTAGATGTATTGCTTGCACAACAGTATGAATGTACTGGATGCTACTGAATTGTTCACTTTAAAATGGTTAATTTTATGAGATGTGAATTTTGCCTTAATTAAAAAAAAACCTATCTACAAACATTAAATCTTTACTTTTAATTTTTCTTGATTAAAGAAAACTAGCTTTTCGGCTGGGTGCGGTGGCTCACACCTGTAATCCCAGAACTTTGGGAGGCCAAGGCAGGTGGATCACGAGGTCAGGAGTTCGAGACCAGCCTGGCCAACACGGTGAAACCCTGTCTCTTCCAAAAATACAAAAAAATTAGTGGTGCGTGGTGGCAGGCGCCTGTAATCCCAGCTACTCGGGAGGCTGAGGCAGAGTATCACTTGAACCCGGGAGGCAGAGGTTGCAGTGAGCCAAGATTGCACCACTGTACTCTAGCCTGGGTGACAGAGTAAGACTCTGTCTCAAACAAAAACAAAAACAAAAACAAAGCAAAACAAACAAACAAAAAACCTCAAAAAACTAGCTTTTCTGGAAATCAGATTAAAACTTGTCATAAAACACCTGTTGAATTAACTTAATTCTGTGATCCAGGCTTTTTGTTTGTCTCATAACCAGCCTTAGATAGAAGCTGTGACTTGCCCACATTCTGAATACATCTAAGAAGATACTGTATCTGGAAATTTTAATTTTTTTTTAAGTCTGTGTTTAGGTCTTCACTGGGGAGCACTCAGGGACCAAGGGATATCCCTTGTCTCAATAATTCATGCTGGTGATTTCAAAACTTCTGGCCATGTCTTCTGAGGCTAAAAATATTGAAGATACTGCCTTCCCCAAAAGGACAGAGGAGAAGCATGCCAAAAGGAGGAAAGGAAGTTACCATATCAAAAAGATACCTGCACACATATGTGTGTTGCAGCACAATTCACAATTGCAGATATGGAGTCAACCAAGGTGCCCATCAGCTTGTGGATAAAGGAAAGTGTGATGTATATAGGCCAAGCACAGTGGCTCATGCCTGTAGTCCAGCACTTTGGGAGGCTGAGGCAGAAGGATCCCTTGAAGCCAGGAGTTTGAGACCAGCCTGGACAACAAAGTGAGACCCTGTCTCTATTTTTTTTAAGTGGTGTATATATACCATGGAATACTACTAAGCCATAAAAAGAACCAAATAATGTATTTTCAGCTATTTGGATGGAACTGGAGGCCATTATCCTAAGTGAAGTAACACAGGGACAAAAAACCAAATACCGCATGTTTTCACAAGTGGGAACTAAGCTATGGGTAAGCAAAGGTATACAGAGTGCTATAATGGACACTGGAGACTCAGAAATGGGGAGGATGGGCCGGGCGCGGTGGCTCACACCTGTAATCCTAACACTTCGGGAGGCTGAGGCAGGTGTCTCACTTGAGATCAGGGGTTCAAAACCAGCCTGGCCAACATGGTGAAATCCTGTCTCTACTAAAAGTACAAAAAAATTAGCTGGGCATGGTGGCGCGTGCCTGTAATCTCGGCTACTCGGGAGGTTGAGGCAGGAGAATCGCTTGAACCTGGGAGATGGAGGTTGCAGTGAGCCAGGATCATGCCACAGCACTCCAGCCTGGGTGACAGAGCGAGACTCTGTCTCAAAAATAAATAAATAAATAAGAAAGGGGGAGGAGGGTGGAAGGGGGATGAGGGGTGAAAAACTACCTATTGGGTACAATGTACACTATTGGGGCGACTGGTGCACTAAAAGCCCAGAATTCACCACTCATCATCCATGGAACCCATAACCATTCCTACCCCTAAAGCTAATGAAATAAAAAAAGTTTTTTAAAAATTAAGAGAATAAGAAAAATCAGCATAAGAGATGTGAAAATGTTACAAGTAGCTAGAGACTTCAGGTTTTGAAAACATACCAGAAATCTAGATTTTTCTTCACAAAAAGATATAAGGATACTCTAGTGGTATTTAAAAATGCCAAACAAGGCCGGACACGGTGGCTCACGCCTGTAATCCCAGCACTTTGGGAGGCCGAGGCGGGCAGATCACGAGGTCAGGAGATCGAGACCATCCTGGTTAAAATGGTGAAACCCCGTCTCTACTAAAAATACAAAAAATTAGCCGGGCATGGTGGTGGGTGCCTGTAGTCCCAGCTACTTGGGTGGCTGAGGCAGGAGAATGGCGTGAACCTGGGAGGCAGAGCTTGCAGTGAGCTGAGATCGCACCACTGCACTCCAGCATGGGCGACACAGCGAGACTCCATCTCTAAACAAACAAACAAACAAACAAAAAAACCACACACACACACAAAAACTAAGGCCAAACAATGGATATAATATTTGGAACCTAGAAAAAGTTGTTATTGTTTGAGAAATAATCTTCTGGAGGAGTGAAAATGGTGGGCAAGTAATATAACTGATTTACTGAAACATTCTGTGATAAACACTCAGGATCTGACAGGTTGAGGAATGATCAAGGGCCCTGAAACCTGTCCTTAGATTTCTTCTATGTGATACCCATACCCTTAGAAGGTTGGCAAGTATAACACAGAGCTAAGGCCTTAACACACTTTGGTTCCATCAGGTCTTTGAAACTCTGTGGCTAGCACTGAATGCAGAACACATTTTTATCTTCCTGGTTAATATATTAAAAATACGCTGTTCATAGGAAATACTGCCATATTGCTATGGCAATACATAGGGAGTGGCCACCATACATGCCAAACAGCTAGCAATTCCCTCCCCTGCTCCCCTGCTCGTCTTTGTATCTTCAAACAAGTCACCTTAAATATAAAGATTTAATGTGTGTACGTGGGCTTTTTTTCTTTTCTTATGAAATAATGATAGATTTATAGGAGGTTGCAAAGAAATGTCCAGGAAATTCTCATGTACCTTTTTCTCAGCCTCCTAAATATTAGCATCATACACAACTGTAAAATAATATCAAAACCAAGAAATTGACACTGGTCCAATCCATACAGTTTAATCAGATTTCACCAGTTACATATGCACTTGTGTGTGTGTGTGTGTGTAACTTTATACACTTTTACCACATCCATAGCCTTGCATAACCACCACCACAATCAAGAGACTATACTACCATCACCACAAGACTCCCTAGAGCTATCCCTCTACAGCCACATTCATCCTCTCTCCATATCTCTAACCTCTGACAATCCCTAATCTGTTCTTCATCTCTGTAATTATGTTATTTTTTTGGATGTTACATAAATAGAACTATGTCGTATGCACCATTTTTGAGACTGGCTTTTTTTTTTTTTTCACTCAGCATAATTTCCTTGAGGTTCTTCCAAGTTGTTGCCTGTGTGAAAGGTTTGTTCCATTTTATGGCTGGATCGTATTCCATGGTATGGATGTCCCATAGGTTCTTTAACCATTCACCATTACAGGACATTTGGGTAGTTCCTAGTGTTGGGCTGTTATGAATGAAGGTGCTGGGAGTCAGTCTTCATTTTCTCTGGTACACCATGAGTGACACCACGAGTGCCCTTGCTGGATCATAGGATGAGTCCATGCTTAGTTTCAAAAGGAACAGCTGGGTGCTTCTCCAGAGTGGATGCAGTCTTTTAAGAGAGAAAATACTCTTTCAGAAGTACTGACTTTACCGAAGAAGTCTCCCACATTTCTCTAAATAAATCTTTTTTTTTTTTTTTGAGACAGAGTTTTGCTCTTGTCGCTCAGCTGGAGTGCAATGGCGCGATCTCAGCTCACTGCAACCTCCGCTTCCCAGGTTCAAGCAATTCTCTTGCCTCAGCCTCCGGAGTAGCTAGGATTACAGGCGCCCGCCACCACGCCCAGCTAATTTTTGTATAAATAAATCAATTTTTAAAAGAAAAGGGAAATACAATTATTTTCTTAAAATGTTGAGTTTGAATATACTGTATTTTAAATTTTATTTGGAACTCAGACATTTTATTTTTCTAATATCTCTGTCATGATTCAGATGTTGTCAAAAAGCAGTTGATCCTGTGTAGTTTGTGATTTCACGGCATGCTAAACATAACAGAATGGTGGAGGTGGTCGTGAGTGATAATGGCTCAGAGATAAAAATAATTGTTTATAGGGTACTTTGGTTAAAAGAATCATGAAAACAATATTTTCAAAGATTTAGAAGACAACATAATTGTCTCTTTTTGCCCACTGAATTCTAAATGATTTGCTCATGTTCTCTCATGATTCAGTAGCACAACACCTTCACATAGTCGAATTGTGGCTGCTGCTAGCCTCAACACCCTCTTTTTCTTTTTTCTTTCTTTTTCTTTTCTTTTTTTAAATAGATACAGTGTCTTGCTATGTTGCCCAGGCTGGTCTCGAACTCCTGGGCTCAAGTGTTCCTCCTGCCTCAGCCTCTCAAATTGCTGGGCACAATTTGCTGGGCACAATTATAAGTGTGAGCCACCACACCCACCTTCAACCCTGTCTCAAGACTAAAAAATAGGCCGGGCTCGGTGGCTCATGCCTGTAATCCCAGCACTTTGGGAGGCCGAGGTGGGCGGATCACGAGGTCAGGAGATCGAGACCATCCTGGCTAACACGGTGAAATTCCGTCTCTACTAAAAATACAAAAAATTATTAGCCTGGCGTGGTGGCGG
Source organism: Homo sapiens (assembly GCF_000001405.40). Classification (NCBI taxonomy): domain Eukaryota; kingdom Metazoa; phylum Chordata; class Mammalia; order Primates; family Hominidae; genus Homo; species Homo sapiens. Next base: position 39,141,455 of record NC_000004.12, on the reverse strand, counting down.
GCGCCTGTAGTCCCAGCTACTCGAGAGGCTGAGGCAGGAGAATGGCGTGAACCCGGCAGGTGGAGCTTGCAGTGAGCCGAGATTGCGCCACTGCACTCCAGCCTGGGCAACAAAGCGAGACTCCATCTCAAAAAAAAAAAAAAAAAAAAAAGACTAAAAAATAATGAAGGCGGGAATGAAGGAAGTGGAATGTTTAATATAGCTCAGAAATATAGACATTAATGAGACAAGTAGAGGATAGGTTTGGGAAATAGAGTATTCAGCATAATTGAACCTGTTTCTGGTTCTCTTGTGTTTTTATTCTTTAAGTTTAAACTTTAAAAGTTCTGTTCAGCTTCTCACTTCCTTTGACCCTGTCTCCTTGTTACTTTTCCTCTGCCCTGGAAATCATAACTAACTGAAAAGTAAGCTTTTCCCTTCATTGGCTCATCACTGGCAAGCTATTTTAATGTAAATATCACCTTAAACTCAAAAATTTGATAATTTTGAAGGTCTCCATGCTTCTTTTCAAACCTTCATTCACTTTCTCTTATCTCTTCCACAGGGAAGGGTATCAATTTACTTCTAAGAATTCCCCAAAAGGAACAAATGGAAAATAGAATTTTATCTGCTTCATTTGCAATGTCACAAGTATGGATCATTTTCATAAAATTCATCTCATACCCCTGGGATGAAAGAGTTGATGAGGTAATGTGCAGAGAACCTTCATTGGCAATTCTGAGATCAGATGTGCAGTTTTCAATAATCAATTATTTGTAGATTATTTTCAACTCTACTAATGTTTCTTATGCATCTGAGGAAGACAAAAATATTTGCTGTGTGGAAGCTGGAAGGAGGAAGCCTAGGATGTGGAGAACATGTATCAAGCCTGAAAATGGGCCTATTTTTGTTTTTTTACTATTTAACCAAAATTTGAACCAATCAGAAAATTACAGAAAAATTGAAAGTATAGTTTAAATAAACCTTTTCCCCTGAACTGTTTGAGAATAAGTTGCCAGCATGCGGGTCCATCACCCTGAAATAGTTTGTATTTCCTACAAAGACACTTATCTATAAAACCATAATACAATCATAAAAGTTAGGCAGTAAACACTGATACATTACTATCATCTAATTCACAGAGCCATTCAAGTTGACAGTTGTTTCAATAATGTCCTTTATAGCGAAAGGATTCAATCCAGGATTATGCACTGCTTGTAGCTGTCATGTTTCTTTTTTGTTTCGTTTGAGACAGGGTCTCACTTTGTCACTGAGGCTGGAGTGCAGTGGGGTGATCTTGGCTCATGGCAGCCTCGACCTCCTGGGTTCAAGCAATCCTCCTGCCCCAGCCCCCCCCAAGTAGCTGGGAATACAGGCATGCACCACCACACCCTGCTAATTTTTGTTTATTTTTTAGAGATGGGGTTTTGCCATGTTGCCCAGGCTGGTCTCGAACTCCTGAGCTTAAGTGATCCGCCTGCTTCGGCCTCCCAAAGTGCTGGGATTGCAGGTGTGAGCCACCGCGCCCAGCCTCATGTCTCTTTTGTCTTTGATCTAGTACAGTTACTCAGTCTTTCCTCAGATCTCATCCCTTAGCACATTTGAAAGTTCCAAGCTAGCTATTCTGTAGGATGACCTGCCATTTTAGTTTGTCTGGTGTTTTATCATGATTAGATCCAGATTATGCATCTTTGGCAGGAACATCACAGAAGTGATACTATTGCGTCCTCTCATTGCATCCTATCATGTGAAGTAAGATTTTTTAAAGAAATAGATTTTGTTTTTTAGGTTCACAGCAAAATTGAGCGGAAGGTACAGAGTTCACATATATCCCCTGCCTTACACATGCATAGCCTTCCCCCGTTATCAACCTCCCCCGCCAGAGTGCTACATTTGTTACAACTGAGGCCCACATTGATGCATCATCACCTAAAGTCCACAGTTTATATTAGGGTCCAGTCTTGGTGTGGTACATTCTGTGAGTTTGGACAAACGCATAATGACATGCACCCATAATTATAGTGTCATACAGAATAGTTTCACTGCCCTGAAAAAACCCTGTGCTCTGTCTGCTCATCCTTCCCTCTCCCCTAACCCCTAGTGCCCACCGATCTTTTTACTGTCTCCATAGTTTAGGCAAGATTATCATTTGTCCCAGTATTGATGATGGGCTTTTCTTTTTTTTTTTTTTTTTGAGATGGAGTTTCATTCTTGATGCCCAGGCTGGAGTGCAGTGGTGTGATCTCGGCTCACTGCAACCTCCGTCTCCTGGATTCAAGCAATTCTCCTGCCTCAGCCTCCCGAGTAGCTGGGATTACAGGCGTCTGCCAACATGCTCAGCTAATTTTTGTATTTTTAGTAGAGAGGGGGTTTCACCATGTTGGACAGGCCGGTCTCCAACTCCTGACCTCAGGTGATCCACCTGCCTTGGCCTCCCAAAGTGCTGGGATTACAGGCGTGAGCCACCACGCCCAGCTGATGGTGTGCAGTTTGATGACTTAATTAAGGTGATGTCTGCAAGGCTTCTCAACTGAAAGTTACTCTCTGACCTTTGAAAAAAATAAATATTTGGGGGGAGCTACTTTAAAACGATGTAAACATCTTGTTCCTCATCAAACTTTCAATTTATGTATTTATTTTATTTATATTTATATGCGTTCCTATTTTATTCAAATGGTTATAGTTCATGGTTCTCATTTTTTAATTTAATTTTTTTAACTTATTTTAAGTTCAGGGGTACATGTGCAGGTTTGTGACATAGGTATACTTGTGTCATGGAGGTTTCTTGTACAGATTAATTAATCACTCAGGTATTAAGCCTAGTACCCATTAGCTATTTTTCCTGATCCTCTCCCTCCTCCCACCCTCCACCCTCCATTAGGCCCCAGTGTATGTTGTTCCCCTCTATGTGTCCATGAGTTCTCATCATTTAGCTCCTACTTATAAGTGAGAACATCCAGTATTTGGTTTTCTGTTCCTGTGTTAGTTTGCTAAGGATAATGGCCTCCAGCTCCATCCGTGTCCCTGCAAAGGACATGGTCTCATTATTTTTTATGGCTGCATAGTATTCCATGGTGTGCATGTATTACATTTTCTTTATTCAGTCTATCATTGATGGGCATTTAGGGTGATTCCATGTCTTTGCTATTGTGAATAGTGCTGCGATGAACATACATGTGCATATGTCTTTATAATAGAATGATTTCTGTTCCTTCGAGTATATACCCAGTAATGGTATTGCTGGGTCAAATGGTATTTCTGTTTTTAGGTCTTTGAGGAATCACCACACCATCTTCCACAATGGCTGAACTAATTTACACTCCCACCAACAGTGCATAAGTGCTTTTTCACTTGTGTGTAACTTGTGTGTAAAAGGAGCACTTCAGTGTATAAGTGCTCCTTTTTCCTTGCCAGCATCTGTTATTCTTTGACTTTGTAATAATAGTGTGGTGTGAGATGGTATCTCATTGTGGTTTTGATTTGCTTTTCTGTAATGATCAGTGATGCTGAGCTTTTTTTCATGGATTCTTGGTGCATGTATGTCTTCTCTTGAAAAGTGTCCGTTCTTGTCCTTTGCCCACTTTTTAATGGAGTTGTTTTTTTCTTGTAAATTTGTTTAAGTTCCATATAGATGCTGGCTATTAGATCTTATTTATTTTTATGCTTAAATTGTCTCCTATTTGGCCAGTGGAAGCCCATCCAACTGGGCCACAATGTCTTCATCAGTCTTTGAGCACAACCTCGTTTTTTGGTTAGATGGTAAGATGTTCCCGGTTCACCTTGTATTTTCCATGCCCCAGCTCTGGAATCAGCCATTTCTCCAAGATATTTTATTCTTTGTTTGTTTGTTTTTGTTTGAGACAGGGTCTCATTCCATCACCCAGGCTGGGGTGCAGCAACGTGATCAGGGTTCACTGCAGCCTCGACCTCCTGGGCTCAATCTTCCCACCTCAGCCTCCCAAGTAGCTGGGACTACAGGTGTGCACCACCATGCTCAGATAATTTTTTATTTATTTTTTGTAGAGACAGGGACTCACTATATTGCCCAGGATGGTCTCAAACTCCTGGGCTCAAGTGATCCTCCCCACTTTGGCCTCCCAAAGTGAAGATCATTCTTTTTTTTTTTGTAAAAATTGGTATTTAGAAGCCAAGACCTGGACATGAGGTGTGTTTATTGCTATTCTCAGGCTGGCTCAGTTCAGAGTTAAGGAATATCTGTTGGTCTGTATCTGTCTACCTAAGGAATATCTGTTGGTCTATATCTGTCTACTTATCTTTCTATACACACACACGCACATATTTGCATATGTATTTATTAATCTATTATCTCTATCTTGAAAACCGTGAGTTTACAACAATATGCCGAATTCCAATTCAACACCACGGGGGTCATCCTTGTTTTTTCCTCTGCTGTATTTGTAACTTCCTTCTCCAACAGTGAAAACCTTGTCTTTCATTTTCCTTAAGATAATTACTAGTTTGATCAATCTTCTATGGAAACAATCTCCAATTTCTGCTACCACACCCACTCCGGCCCAGATGCCCATGTTTTCCTGCTTGGCTCTCACTCTCCTTTCCAGGCAGTTCTCCGTCGTGGATGGCCTCCTTGCAACGCTTGGGCTCTGAAAGCCCACACCATGCACAGGGGTGCTGTCCTCTCCCTCCCTGGGCCCTGGCTAACTAGCCACTGCAGGCTGTCCCCTGGACAGGCACCTTCCCCATCGTGCCCAGGCTCTAATCCCCCAGGTGCTGGGCTGTTCTCAGGTGTGGATATCTCCCTCATCCTACTCAGGCTCTGACAGTCCGGGCCAGGCTGCCGTGCTGTGTGGACGCTGTCCTTACTCTGATGGGGGTCTGAGACCCTGTGCCAGGTCACCCACCCTGTAGCCCACCCTCTTCACCCTGCTTGGACTCCAATACCCCACATTGGGTCACCATGAGTCCTCTCGACACCACTGTGGATGCCATCCTTCCTATACACTACCTAATGGCTTTAGGCCTGAATTATTAAGGAAGGGGCTGGGTATGGTGGCTCACGCCTATAATCGCAGCACTTTGGGAGGCTGAGGCAGGCAGATCACCTGAGGTCAGGAGTTGGAGACCAGCCTGGCCAACATGGTGAAACCGCGTCTCTACTAAAAATACAAAAATTAGCCAGACTTGGTGGTGGGCACCTGTAATCCCAGCTACTCGGGAGGCTGAGACAGGAGAATCTCTTGAACCCGGCAGGTGGAGGTTGCAGTGAGCAGAGATCATGTCACTGACTCCAGCCTGGGTGACAGAGAAAGACTCAGTTAAAAAAAAAATTATTATTATTAAGGAAGGGAAATGATTTTTAAAAATAAACTTTAAATTATTTAAGTACTATCTATGTTTTGAGTAGATTTTTTTTCATGTCTTTGAGCTACCTTAGCTCTGAGAACATAGTGGCGATCTCACACACACACACACACACACACACACACACACACGTGTTAGAATGAATTGAATCACTGTCCCTTTTTGGACCATATCATAATTCGGCCGTGTCTGGTACTGCTGATAAACATATACGCCAGTTTGTTTGTTTTTTGAGATGGAGTTTTGCTCTTGTTGCCCAGGCTGGAGTGCAATGGTGTGATTTCGGCTTACTGCAACCTCTGCCCCCCAGGTTCAAGTGATTCTCCTGCCTCAGCCTCCCAAGTAGCTGGGATTACAGGAGCGCACCAACACGTCCGGCTAATTTTTGTATTTTTAGTAGAGACAGGGTTTCACCACCTTGGCCAGGCTGGTCTCGAACTCCTGACTTCAGGTGATCCACCCGCCATGGCCTCCCAAAGTGCTAGGATTACAGGCATGAGCCACCGCGCCCGGCCCACACCAGTTTTTAATTAGTGCTTCTCATCTACAAATCCAGTCTTCATTACCTGCTCAGTCAACGTGGACATGAGCCTTTTTCTCCTTCGCCAGTCTGCACAGTGCTAATTTTGTCGGTAGAGGGTGCTGGAGACATTGCAGAAGGAAGGGGAGAGGCACTCTGCTGCGGGTTCTGAGCGTCCCCGCCCACTACTGATTAGCTGGGCCATTTCTCAGGGTTGTGTTTGCAGCGAGAAATCTCCAGGACAAAGAGCAGGATAGCCTACCACTTACTATAAAAGCAGTGGATTTCCCAAGCTCCGTGGATTTCCACCTGGGATCCTCTGTCTTGTTCCTGTGGGAATTGAAGGGCACAGGGAAGTGACCCCAACACGATATTCCTACTGCTTTCTGTGCCTTCAGTAATAAAATCCTTTTCCTTCAACCCATGGATGTCTTCTGCCAGCATCCATGAAACCATAACAGGTCAGCTTATTAGCTCCAGTAGGGCAAAAGCAAATCTCAGATCCTGATAACCAGCCAATCCTTTCTGAGTCCAATCCTCTGTTATGGGACATGATTATTTATTTAAAATCTTCCCTGTTCAGATTACCCTGTGATTTCTGTCTCCCAACTGGACTCTGTCTGATACATCACAGCAGCAGACGCATCCTCCTTAGGTGGCTATTCATAGTCCTTAGAATTGTAAAGCATTTGGCTCCCTTCAATGACATGAAACTTCTAATAATGGGTTTATGACTTCCTGCTAATGGCTCATGCTCTCATTTCCATTCATGACTGCTCCACTCAGCATCCCTGCTCTCTGCTTTATTGACAGCAACAGCCCTCTGCACCCAAGTCATTAACTATGCCATCCTTTCTAAAATGCCCTTCTTTTGTCCTTTCACAGAACATATTTAAAAAGAAAATAGAAAGGCACTTATGAAACCTCTCTGTGTGTGTATCCATTCAGGCACACCATAGGCAGAATTATATAGCCTGTTTCTACTCACTAAAAGTAAAAACTTAAAATGTAGCACAGATGTGGTGAGGATGTATCTTGGCATCAAGTATGTATCATCCTGTGTAATGTAGACAGCTTAAACTCACCTCCATGTAGCAATCTTGCAAAGATTTTTTAAAAGGCTCTAAGGTCATACAGATCTGGTTGGTTTTGAAATTTGGCTCTGACATTTACTAGCTAGTTTGCGTATCATTAACTGGGAATAGTCATATCTACTTCATACAGCTGTTGTAAAAATTAAATGAGTTAACATACATATGAAATGCTTACTTAGTACAGTGTCTGTCACATATCAAGTTGACTCAACCTCCCTATGTTAAAATAATCAAATGAACAAGTCTAAAGCAATTTAATAAAATATGAATTTTTAACTCAATTTCACTTAGGTGCCTCCACAGCTAAGATAGTCCCTAATTGTTTTCAGACCCAGAGAAAACTTTCTCAGAGGCTCTTAGAGACTTTCTCAGGGTGGCCCTGACATGTGGAGCTCAGGCCCTCATTCCTCGGTCTTTCACCCCATGCTCTCTTCTTTCAATTACTTTCTTATCATTGGAAGCTTTACCTTGGCTTACCATTTTCTTTGCTAGTATTTGCTACCATTTTCTTTGTAGTTTTTTCCCTCATTCTCATCCTCTCGGAGGCCTCATATTCTAGGTGACGGAAGAATGATCCCCCATGCACAGGTTGGAAATGTTTTCTGTAAATGTCAAGAAAAAGATATAGTCGCTGTCACAGCTATTCAACTTTGTTGTCATAACACAAAAGCTGCTACAGACATCAACAAATGAGCATGTCTGTGTTCCAATAAAACTTTATTTATAAAAACAAATAGCAGACAGAGTTGACCTGTGGGCTGTAGTTTGCTGACTATAGAGCTATAGTTTCTAGGTCTTTTGACCTAGAATGCTGAGGTATAATATTATATTGGGCATTTTTCTCTATCTTTGTCCTTCAGAAAGGTGCTCATTTAAATATGTATTTGTTTGGGAACTTTGCCTTACTACAGATAAAAAATTTTTTTTTAATTAAAAACTTTTTTTTTTTTTTTTAGGAAATGGGGTCTTGCTATGTTGTCCAGGCTGGTTTTGAACTCCTGGCCTCAAGCAATCCTCCTGCCTCAGCCTCCCAAAGCACTTGGGTTACAGGTGTGAGTCATACAGATGAAACCCTTAATTTTAAGTATATTCCTTATGCCAATAATACTTATCACATTTTTATCATGAACTTTAATTGAATAGTTCTACCTGGCTCCCTGGGAGTCTATACTCACAGGTTATTATATGAATGTACATAATTCAGTGCAAAAAAATCTTTAGCTCAAATCTTAAAGCACAATGTAATTAGTTGAAAAAATGACAATGTGCTAAATACCATTAACTATGCAGTATCAGCAAACAACCAAGAATCATAAATTAGCATAATTTTTAACACTTTGATTTAATCTAAAACATCTGCTGGATAAGCCAAAGAAAAATTGACCTGAATAATTTTTATTACTAACAAGAGAGAATAATTTTAAAATTATGACTATTAAAATATATAATATTAAGTTATTATTTTATTATGGTCAGACGACTTGTCACCAGTGTGCAGATGTGGATGGACTGTGGTTTTGATTCCTGCGACTAGACTATCATTTAACATTTTTAGGTATTACAATACTTTCTGAAATGCTCATTATTTAACAGATTATAGTAATGGCAGTCAATATAGTGAGCAATATGAAAGACTAGATAGAATTAGAGAAGAAAGTCTTTCACCATATTTTGAGTAATTATAGAATTGCTTAGTGTAATGAAATGAACACGTTTTAGCATTGTTGAAGGGAATATGAATGAGAAATGTACTAAAATTGTGTAGCTAGGGCGTTTCCCTTGTGCTATTTTCTGTGGGCATTTATTTTTCTGCTTAAATACCTTTCAGAAAGATAGTCTTCCTTGACTGGTAGAAAATGACAATGAAAATATCAAGGCCTAGAGTTTTCTTTTCCTTTCTTTTTTTTTTTTCTTTGAGATGAGGTCTCACTCTGTCGCCCAGGCTGGAGTGCAGTGCGGTGATCTCGGCTTACTGCAACCTCTGCTCCTGGGCTCAAGTGAGCCTCCCAACTCAGCCTCCTAAGTAGCTGGGACTACAGGTGCGCACCATGGCACCTGGCCACTTTTTTTATTTTTAGTAGAGACAGAGTTTTGCCATTTTGCCCAGACTGGTCTCGAACTTGTGAGCTCAAGTGATTCACCCGCCTCAGCTTTCCAAAGTGCTGGGATTACAAGAGTGAGCCAACACGCCCAGTTTAGAGTTTTCTTTGTGGGAAGATTTTCTTTAAATAAATAGGATTATTCAGATTCCTTTTTCAAGTAACGTGAATCTGGGCTGCAGCTTTCCGGGGAGACTGGTTTGTGGTCACCTCTTCCTGGACATTCCAATGCATTTCCTTTCCTTTTTTTGTAGTCTCCTGATAATGGGGAGTGAGGTAGGTGTTCTTCTGGTTTGTCCTTACCTTCGAAGCTGTAGTACTTAGAGGTCCCAGCTATATAGAAATAGGATCTTCCCACCTTGGACAGATCCTAGGTTTTGAGTTCTCTATCCCATCCCCTGGGAGGTCGACAGAACCGAAGGGGAATTTTTGAGAGTTTGGCAAATGCCCTTGGGGCAAAAGAGCTTCAGTTCTCTGCTTATTTTTCCAAGTCTTCTCTCCTTTCACTTGGATTTTTTTCTTTTTTTTTTTTTTTTGAGACAGGGTCTCGCTCTATCACCCAGGCTGCACTGCAGTGGTGTGATCTTGGCTCACTGGAGCCTCAACTTCCCAGGCTCAAGCAATCTTCTCACCTCAGCCTCCTAACTAGCTGGGACTACAAGCATGCACCACCACACCCGGCTAATTTTTGTATTTTTTGTAGAGACAGATGTCACTATGTTGCCCCAGGCTGGTCTCAAACTCCTGGGCTCAAGCAATCCTGCCTGGGCCTCCCAAAGTGCTAGGATTACAGGCATGAACCACTGCACCTGGTTGGCTTTCACTTAGATTTTTGTCCTCTTAATCCTGAAAATTTTGTCTGTGCTTTAATGCTTTAAAGATAACATATTTTATGTTTCATTCTGAATTTGTGGTGGTTTTAAGCAGGATGATTCTTCTGAATAATCTACTCAAACATGGTACCCAGAAACCAATGTCTGCTGAGTTGTTCATGGCTTTAAAAGCTCTGATCCATTTTAGACTCTCACAAATATCTCTTTAAGTAACTTTAATTAAAATATTCCATTTCTTTTACAAAAATATGATATTTGTCAGCCTCACTGATTTGGTATAATTTGGGAAAGCTCAACTAAATTAGTAGAAACCTCCACATGGTATGATGTTTTAAAATAAATTAAATTGTATATCTTGCACTGGCTTGATACAACTAGTAAAGTACCTAGTAGTTGTCTTCAGGGAACTTTAGCAGATAAAAAGGATTTGTAATGTCAGGCTGGGCACGGTGGCTCACACCTGTAATCCTAGCACTTTGGGAGGCCAAGGCAGGCAGATCTCTTGAGTCCAGGAGTTCTTGACCAGCCTGGCCAACATGGTGATATGCTATCTCTACAAAAAAAAAAAAAAAATACAAAAATTTGCCAGGCATGGTAGTGCATGCCTGTAGTCCCAGGTACTTGGGAGGCTGAGGCAGGAGGATTGCTTGAGCCTATGATGTGGAGGTTGCCGTGAGCCGAGATCACACCATTAAGCTGCAGCCTGGGAGACAGAGTGAGACCTTGTCTCAAAAGAAAAAAAAAAAGAATTATTTGTAATCTCATAATTATGTAAATAACTGGCTCTTGTAAACGTGCTTGAGGGTGCTTGAAAAGTTTGCTCGTGGAATAACACAAAGGGCCCGGATTTGAAGAAGTTGGTGAGTCAGGGACGCAGTGTGAGAGGAGCCTACGGCACCATTGTGTGGAATGGGGCCTGGTCATCCTCCTAAAGGTGGCTGCACATTAGAATCACCTGGGTTCTGGCTGGGATTGGCATCCCAAGATGTCACACCTGGAGTGAAGTGCAGGCATCTATGTATTTTAAAATTCTTTGAGTTGTTGGGAACAAGCCCCCCAAAATCTGGCCATAAACTGACCCCAAAACTGGCCATAAATAAAATCTCTGCAGCACTGTGACATGTTCATGATGGCCATAACGCCCACACTGGAAGGTTGTGGGTTTACGGGAATGAGGGTAAGGAACACCTGGCCCACCTAGGGCAGAATACTGCTTAAAGACATTCTTAAGCCACAAACAATAGCATGAGCGATCTGTGCCTTAAGAACTTGCTCCTGCTGCAGTTAACTAGCCCAACCTATTCCTTTAATTCGGCCCATCCCTTCGTTTCCCATAAGGGATACTTTGTTAATTTAATATCTACAGAAACAATGCTAATGACTGGCTTGCTGTTAATAAGTATGTGGGTAAATCTCTGTTCGGGGCTCTCTGCTCTGAAGGCTGTGAGACCCCTGATTTCCCACTTCACACCTCTATATTTCTGCGTATATGTCTTTAATTCCTCTAGCGCCGCTGGATTAGGGTCTCCCCGACCGAGCTAGTCTCAGCACAGGTAATCCTACCATGACACTGTAGTTGAGAATCACTGGATTGTAGTTCAAGCAATGGGGTAACAACTCCTGTGGCATTCCAGGTTCTGGCTGGGATTCATATTCAAAGATGTTATAGTTGCTGGGTGGGTTCCCAGGAGACAGTCATGTGATATTCAGTCTACCTTAGTGAATACTGGAGCTGGAAGGGATCTGACCAATCATCTGGTACAATCTTTGCAATGACTGTTTCTCATTGTGAAGGATTTATGTAATGCAAATAAATTATAAAATTTCTCCACAACCCAAATATTGAGTAAAATACAATAACATTTGAAAATCTGTTATAAAGGACATAAAGATGGAACAATAGACACTGGAGACTCCTACAGAGGGAAGGGAGGTAGGGGCTGTGGGCTGAAAAACTATCTGTTGGGTGCTGTGTTCACCACCGAAGTGACAGGATCATCCGTACCCCAAACCTCAGCATCACACAATATACCTATGTAACAAACCTACACTTGTATCCCCCTAACTCTGAAATAAAAGTTGAAGCCAGGCACAGTGACTCATGCCTGTAATCCCAGCACTTTGGGAGGCCAAGGCGGGCGGATCACGAGGTCAGGAGTTTGAGACCAGCCTGACCAACATGGTGAAACCCTGTCTCTACTGAAAATACAAAAAAATCAGCCAGATGTAGTGGCACATGCCTGTAATCCCAGCTATTCAGGAGGCTGAGGCAGGAGAACCACTTGAACCCAGGAGGCGGAGGTTGCAGTGAGCCGAGATTGTGCCACTGCACTCCAGCCTGGGCAATGCCACTGCACTCCAGCCTGGGCAACAGAGCAAGACTCCGTCTCAAAAAAAAAAAAAAGTTGTAATTGTTTTTTTTTTTTAAGAAAATATGTTGTAATATTGCTGGGAGAAGAGAAAATAGACCGCTTAGTTAATGTATTTCAGCTGGAAGCAGTCCGTATGGCTACTTAAACAAGGTTGGGAGGGAGGAGCAGCTGGACTGAGTGTATGGGGGCCCGCTTGCTGATTGCATCTTTGGCAATTTTATGACCAGCTGCTGTGTCTCCATATATTTTATTTTATTTTTTATTTTTTGAGGCAAGGTCTCACTCTGTCACCCAGGCTGATCGTAGCTCACTGCAGCCTTGGCCTCCCAGGCTCAGGCAATCCTCCTGTCTCTGCCTCCTGAGTAGCTGGGACCAGAGGTGCACACCATCACGCCTGGCTAATTTTTAAAAAACATATTTGTAGAGACGAGGTCTCCCTGTGTTCCCAGGCTGGTCTCGAACTCCTGGCCTCAAGTGATCCTCCTGCCTTGGCCTCCCAAAGTGCTGGGATTACAGGTGTGAGCCACTGCGTCTAGCATCCATAATATTAGTCATGTACAGACAGAAGGCATGATTGGCATTTTAAAAATTAGTTTTGTTATTACTTTATTTATTCTGCTGGCAGTCTTTATCCCAGCACTGAATGGCTGGCATTTTTAATTTGAAACAATGAATTACAAACTGTAATGATAAAATTAATTTTAAAAACAATAAATTGGCAGATAGTTCCCTCCATCCTTCTGCACATGTTCCACACTGCAGCCAGCCTGGGCCACTCACTACTTTCTGAAGGTATCCTGGCTTTCTCTCTTCCATGCCCAGGCTTTCCACCCCTCTCCTAGTCCACCCCCACCAACATGTGAACAAGGAAGCTGCAAGGATTCTTTCTGTTCTGTGTTTCAGAATCTGTGATACTATAAACTCACACTCCAATACCTCGGAGATGGTTTACCTCAAAAGATCAAATCTACTTCATATTTATATTCAATGAATAATTAGTGGAAGCTAATTATGTGAAGGTATAACAATAGATAAAGTGCTAAGTGCTGCAGGGAATACAAAAATATACCGCCATATGTGGCCTTAAGGAACTACCATTCTCTCCCCTCCTTTGTTTTATCATCTATTACTGTATAGGATCTTAGTCTCCCTACTGTTTTGCTCAATGCCTTATTGATCAGAAAGTTTCTGAGGTCAAGGGATTCTCTATTGGATTAACTCACTCTGCCAGTCCGTCTCTGCTGCTTTGCTACTGAGTTTCTGATACAGAATCAGACAATAGGTAGGTCAGCTTTTGCCAAACTTATTACCCAACATTTTTCTTCTCTGAGGTTCTCACACAGCACAGCTATTCTTGTCACTGCAGAGATGGCTCTGAATGACAGCTTCTCCCTAACCTCATCACTCCAGCTACCACTAAGCAGGGACCTCTTTCCTTCCACAAAATTTGCGCCAGGTCGGTGTGGTGACCCAGGCCTACAATCCCAGCACTTTGGGAAGAGGAGGCGGGAAGATCGCTTGAGCACAGGAGTCTGAAACCAGCCTGGGTAACAACGTGAGATCCTGTCTCTACAAAAAATAAAAACAGAAAAAAAAAATTAGCCAAACATGGTGGTGCATGCCTGTAGTCCCAGCTACTGAGAGGCTGAGGCTGAGGCTGAGGTGGCTGCTTAAGCCCAGGAAGTTGTGGACGTAGTGAGCTATAATCAGGCCATTACACTCCAGCCTGGGCGACAGAGCAAGACCCTGTCTCAAAACAAAATCAACCAATCAAACAAACAAAAAACCCCCAAATTTACTCTACGTCCTTTTTGTTTTTCCTTTTCTTCCCCCGAAGGTGAACGCCTCCCTGAAAATCAGTACTCATTTAAGTTGTATTATTTGTAACTTTTTTTTTTTTTGACACAAGGTCACCTGTCACCAAGGCTGGAGTGCAGTGGTGCAATGTCAGCTCACTGCAACCTCCGTCTCCTGGGCTGAAGTGATCCTCCCACTTCAGCCTCCCAAGTGGCTGGGACTATTCCTGGCTAATTTTAGTATTTTTAGTACAGACAGGGGTCTCAAGATGTTGCCCAGGCTGGTCTCGAACTCCTGAGCTCAAGCAATCCCCCAGCCTCAGCCTCCCAAAGTGCTGGGATTGCAGGTGTGAGTTCTTTATAGCAGTGTGAAAATGGAGTAATAACAAGGTATTTATGGACCTTAAAGCAGGAGTGTAAGGGTAATTTTGACCACATTCGTTACACAGGTCATGGTAAACGATTACATTTGTACACATTTTGGTGCCTTGACGTCAGCAAGGGTTGCCCAGTAACTTCTGACACACATTCATTCCGGAGATGTATAAAAATTCTAGTTACTTACATTAAATACATTTTTGGTAAAGAAGCCTAGTACAAGATGCCGGCTTTAGATAATAGGGCAGTCTAATGACTTCTGAATTCCTCAGATAAGGAGTTTTGCCTCCAGATGGTCTGCTTGATGGCCACCAGGTGATCTTTGCTGTCCTCAAAAGTATGTGAAAATACCTGAATTAAATATAATTGTTTATTATCCACAAAGAAATATGGTCAAATGGAACCAGCTTGAACCTGGGCAAAGATCCAGGGCACTAGATTTGCTTCCCGAGCTTCCCTGGGTTTGCTTTCTAGATTATACCTCGTTAGCCCAAATAATTACCCAGGACTAGGGGGAAATGAGGGTGGCAGTGAAGTCTAGCGATGATGCCAATACCCACATCTGTCAATACGGCATTTCTTCAAGAGGCTTGCAAGTTGTTCAGCCCCAGGAGAAGATACAAAAAAACACGGTACTCTCCTACATCTCAGGAATGAGGACAGAGGCTGTGATGGAAGAGGTGGTGCGTTCATATAAGTTCTTTAAGACTCAGAATGATGAAAATGCCATAAGTAGCCTGTAATTTTTCATGGCATTTGATTTTTTTTACTCCAGTTAAAAAATAAAAAATATTACATGAGTATTATCTAGTCACAGTGAAATTAAATATCATTTTATTGAATATTTGTTTTTGTGTAAGAGTTATCAATAATTTCAAATATTACAGAGTTCATGAAAAGATGTCTATTTCAACTTTCAGAAAACATTTGTGGAATGCCTGCCATGTACCGGACGGTGGGGAAGTTCCCCGTTAACTCTCCCCTCATGGTTCTCGTTGTTTCTCACTCCCTTCTTAGGTTGAAATTAAGATTTAAGAGCCTTTCTGTTAGATTTTTAGAAATTCATTTATTTGCAAATTACAGTGAAAAATTTCTCTTCCAGATGCATATAAATCCGAAGTTTTTATCCTAGTGAAGCGTACAGAATGCTATTGTTATGACATTTAAGTATCATAACATAATGTAGCTAATAAAGCTTTTTAAAAATTATGGTAAAGTGTATGTGAAATTTACCATTAGTGACATTGAGTACCTTCACCATGTTGTGCAATCATCCCCAATAAGTAGTTCCAGAACATTTTCATCACCCTAGAAGGAAACTCCTTTTTAGCAATCTCTCCCCACTCCTTTCTCTCAGCTTCTTACAACCATTTATCTGCTTTCTGTCTCCATGGATTTGCCTATTTTGGATATTTCATATAAATGCACTCATGCAATACGTTGCCTTTTGTGTCTGCCTTCTTTCACTTGGCAAAAATGCGCTCAAGGCTCATCCATGCTTTAGCATGTATCAGTCCCTCATTTCTCTTTATGGCTGAATATTCTATTGTGCCGTGTGGAGATACCACAATTTGTTTATTCATTCATCAGCTGATGGCCATTTGGGTTGTTTCCTCTTTTTTGGCTACTGTGACTAGTGCTGCAATGAATATTTGCGTGAAAGTTTTTGCTTGAACACCTGTTTTCAGTTCTTTTCAGTATATGCCCAGGAGTGGACTTGCTGGGTCATATGGTAATTCTTTTTTTTAACTTATTGAGGAACTGCCAAACTGTTTTCCACAGTGGCTACACCATTTAACATTCCCACCAACAACGAATGAAGGTTTTCAATTTCTCCACATCCTCTCTAACATTTATTTTCTCTATTATTCATTTTTTTTCCTGTAGGTTTAGATCCTAGGTCTATTTCGTCATTCTAATAGGTGTGAAGTGGTATCTTCTTGTGGCGCTGATTTGCATAATGACTGATGAGGTTGAGTGCTTTCCATGTGCTTGTCGGCCATTTGTATATCTTCATTAGAGAAATGTCTATTTAAGTCCTTTGCCCATTTTAAAATTGGTTTGTCTTTTTGTTGTCGAGCATCGGAGTTCCTTATATATTCTAGGTATTAGTTCCTTACCAGATATGTAAGATTTACAAATATTTTCTCCCATTCTGTGGGTTGTCTTTTCACTTTCTTCATAGTGTCCCTTGATATGTAGAAGCTTTTAATTTTGATTTTTTTTTTTTTTTTTTTTTTTTGCTGTTGTTGCTTGTGCTTTTGGTGCCATATCTAAGAAACCATTGCCAAATCCAAGGTCATGAAGATTTATTCCTGTATTTTCTTCTCAAAGTTTTATGGTTTTAGCTCTTACATTTAGGTCTTTGATCTATTTTGAATTAATTTTTATATATGGTATGAAGTACAGGTACAAATTCATTCTTTTGCATGTGAATATTCACTTGTCTTAGCACTATTAGTTGAAGACACTGTTCTTTCTTCATTGAATGGTCCTGGAACCCTTGTCAAAAATCAATTGACCATAGTGTATTGGCGTAATTTGTTTCTGGACTTTCCATTCTACTCTATTGCTTTATATATTTTTATACCAGCACAACACTGTTTTGATTGAAGTAGCTTTGCAGTAAATTTTGAAATTGGAAAATGTGAGTCCTTCAACTTTATTCTTGTTCAAGATTGTTTTGAACAGACTTGAGTACCTTCAGTAACTTGCAATCCCATATAAATTCTAGGGTCAGCTTTTCAGTTTCTGTAAAAGGGTCACTGGAATTTTAATGGGGATTGTATTAAATCTATAGACTAATTTTGGGAGTAATGCCATCTTAACAATGTTAAGTCTTCCAACCTGCCAGCACAGGATGTCTTCCATTTATTTAGGTCTTCTTTAATTTCTTTCAGCAACGTTTTGTACTTTTCAGTGTCCAAGTCTTGCACTTTCTTGGTCAAATTTATTTCTAAGTATTTTATTCTTTTTCATGTTATTGTAAATGAAATTGTTTTAATTTCCCCTCAGGTTTTTCTTAGACTTTTGTGTGTTGATCTTGCAACCTGCAACATTGCTGAATTTTTAAAATCAGCCGGAATCATTTTGTGGATTCTTTAGGATTTTTAATATATAGGACCATGTTTTCTGCAAATGTAGTTTTACTTCTTCCTATTTGGGATTCATTTTATTTCTTTTTCTTGCCTAATTGCTCTGGCTAGACCTTCTAGTATAATGTTGAATAGCAGTGGGGAAATCAGGAATTTTCATGATATTAGGGGAAAAATTTTCAATGTTTTGCTATTATGTTGTTAGCTGTGGGTTTTTATGGATGTCTTTATCAGGTTAAGAAAGTTCCCTTTTCTTCCTAGTTTGCAGAGTGTTTTTACCATGAAAGGGTGTTGGATTTTTGTCAAATGCTTTTTCTTATCAATTGAGGTGATCATGCTGTTTTTTCCCCTTCATTCTATTAATATGGTATATTATTACATCGATTGACATTTGTATGTAGAACCATCCCTGCATTTCTTTGATAAATCTCACTTGGTCATGCTGTGTGATCATTTTAATAAGCTGCTGGATTTGGCCTGCTAGTATTTTGAAGTTTTTTTGCATCTATATTCATAAGGGATATTGGTCTGTAGCTTCCCTGTGAGGTCTTTGTCTGGCTTTGGTGTTAAGGTAATGTCCGCCTTATAGAATGTCACAGGGTGCTCCTTTCTCTTCCATTTTTTGGGAGAGTTCGAGAAGGATTAGTGTTAATTCTTCTTTATATGTTTGGCATAGTTTGCCAGTAAACTCATTTAGTCCTGGACTTTCTTTGTTGGGAGATTTTTGATTACTGGTTCAATCTCTTTACTTGTTACAGGTCTGTTTGGATTTTTTATTTCCTTTTGAGCCAGTTTTGTCAATTGGTGTGTTTTTTCATCGAGGTCATCTAAATTGTTGGCAACAATGCTTCTATGAATAAATTTGTTTATAGTTAAGTTGCCTAAAATACCATGCAATTCATCTAATATGTATAAAACTTGAAATATATTATATTGCATCTACTTTTCTAAATCAAAACATGTAAAATTCCATAAGAGATTTAAACAAAAGTCTTCCCTAAATACTAAGGAACCAAAATTTTCTGATTGGGTGTTACTGGTAAATTTTATTACTATAGAGCATAAACCCTCTTTTTTTTATTAAAATAATTCCTCACATAAAATGAAATCTTTTATTTTTTTTTTATTTATTTTTTTTTGATGGAGTCTCGCTCTGTCACCCAGGCTGGAGTGCAGTGGTGCGATCTTGGCACACTGCAAGCTCCTCCTCCTGGGTTCACGCCATTCTCCCGCCTCAGCCTCCCGAGTAGCTGGGCGTACAGGCACCCGCCACCACGCCTGGCTAATTTTTTTTTATTTTTTATTTTTAGTAGAGACGGGGTTTCACTGTGTTAGCCAGGATGGTCTCCATCTCCTGACCTCGTGATCCGCCCACCTCAGCCTCCCAAAGTGCTGGGAATTATAGGCGTGAGCCACTGTGCCCGGCCGAAATCTTTCTTTTTCTACCTAGTGGCAGGAATAGTAAGAGTGAAGACTGCTGAGTGAGAAGGTCTTTGTATGAATCCCTGCTCTGCCACTTACTTGCAATATATAACCTTGGGGCTAACTTCTCTGTACCCCAATTTCCTTAGCTATAAAAAGGGAATAGAACTACCTCATAAGGTTGTTATAAGGATTAAGTGCATTGATGCATACAAAAACTTTGATTCCTAGTTCACAATAAACAATATTAGCAAATATTATTTTCCGTAAGGTGGTTATTAACTGGGGTTAAAATAAAAAGCATCTTAGACATCTCAATGACTTATATCTTATAGGATTTATCACAAAATGTTACTGCCCAGTGCATTTTTGCAAACAATAACAATTCACTGAGAGTAATAACATTCACATATGTAATTAGAGTTTAAAAATGTAAAAAACTTAGGGTAACAAACACTTTAAACTTATTTTTTAGACATTCAATAAGCCCATTCTCCCACAAACTGTTTGATTACAAAGAAGCACAATGGGTTAACTGTGGCAAAACATAAGAAATAAGGCAGGGGAGGCAGATACAGACTTGAGAACATAAGGATATCCAAACAATTTTGTCAATATCAAAAGACAAAATCAAAACATCTTTTATAATATAAAACAAATCCATATAATTAAATACTAATTAGGTGAAAGATTATAGGGTATATAACATTTATTTTCTCTACATAAATTTGCATATCTTAAATTTAATGCAAAACATCATGTTTCAACTTCAACTTAACATCATAACATGTAGTTCTTGGTGAGTCTAGATGTAATGGAATGAATATTTAAATAGACTTCAAAGATCCTATCAAGTTTTTATTTGGTTATTGTTGCTTTAAGTCCTTAATGCTTTTCTTTATTTATTGGACTAAGCCAATTTTAGAAACAAAATCCACAACCAACACACATATAATGCAGATGTTTCTGAAAAAACTAAATAGTGTTATCTTTAGTATATCATTAAAATAGTGGTTGTGGTTAAACAAACAAGCAAACAAATTACTGCAACTCATTTATGATAAGCTTACAAAAAGTAACATTTTAAAGTTTCATCTGGTGTGTTTGCACTGTAGGAAAATAAATCTGGATGTGAGTAAGATGTGCTTGACTGAATAAATGAAACCCCCAGTTAGCACTGGGTTATGTTCCAGAGCAGTGCATTCGTCCTCACTTATTACTTCGGGAATGTGTGATCACAATCCACCAGCTGCAGGTTTTAATTTACTAAGAAATGAAAGGAATTAATCCTGGTCCATCCACTGCTTCCTCCCTTGTTTTACTATCTTCATTTTGACATCAGGCACTTTGTGCCCAGGATTGTGACAATGCACATTTACTAAAAATGTATCCATTGATAGAATAATTATACTAAATTAATAAAGGAAGACGGTGTCTTCATGTAGAAAACGGGGCACTAAATTATAATTTTACAGTCACAACACAAGCTCCAGCTCTTCCTAGGCACAGTGGAGCAACCTAAAAAGGAAAAAGAGATATGTATTGGATCTGTAGGTTAAAATGTCAACACTACTATGCCAGTTGGTGAAATATTGAAACAGCCTGTACTTGTTGGCAAAGGGTTGTTGCCCTGGCCCCTGCTGTATCAGCGCTGTTTCTGGCCTGGTCCCCTTCCCAAGAGCCACCTTCCATGGCAAAGTTTCATAGACTAAGTTGTTTTGGGTACATCATGATTGTGTAGCATTCATTCTTCTTTAAAGGTGATTTTTAAAACAGCTCAAGAATTAATCTACATGAAACACTCTATTTTAGCCAAAATGATACACAGTATGGATATGAAGAAATGCTGAACACTTACAGTAACTCTGTGACCAATATGGAGGAAAGATCAAGTGTTATCTAGAGAGGTCCTCTAACAGCCATGCTATCTCAGAGGTAGCACACAAAATACTCTGAATGCCTGGGGATCTGCTTATTCTAGAAGAACTCATAACCTCACATTTTTTGACTACCTTCTACGTGCATGGCTGAAAAGTCTAAACCCATTCTACTACTTTTTAGCAGACTAAATAAATAATAAATGCTACCCATCCAACTCCCCTGGGAGTGGAAACAAACTCAGTGAATGAGCTCTATTACAGTGAGATAGAAGTCAGGGGAGGGTTGCTAGGGGAAGGAATGCAATCTAAATTTATGGATAAAGAACAATTCTTAAATCTTTCACCTCTTTTTTGAACAATAGGAACTCTAGACACTGGGTAATTCATAGTGGAAATAAAAGTGTGGACAAAAATAGTTCTGAAGAATTACTCTGAACACAGTAAGAATCTATGCATTTGACCCAGGAGAGTTAAAATGTTAACATGGATTCAGCGGGTGAGTAATGCAAAGTACTAAGAAAGTTTGCTTTGTACTTATATATGTTAGGGTATGTACTAAAGTATTTTTGTCAAATGCCAAAATGACTTCCTAATCAGTTCGACCCCCTAGACCAATGAGTAGATTTTAAGAACAGGTCAGACTTCAGTTATAAGAGAATTCTCAGTAGTTCTCCATCTGAATCAGTTGTTTTGATCACTGTAAGTCTCTTGGAACAATCAACCTATTTTAAAACCATACTTATTGATAGCATTATCGAACTGACCTCAAAAATCATTTATATCAAAATGTCAGTTTATAATTAGTAGCTCTTCTCAAATCATCCAAGACACTTAGTCTCTACATTGTGAATAGCTGACACTGTCATGACAACTAGCTAGAAAGTGTAGCTTAGAGAATTTGTTAAATACAATGCAATCACCTCTTGCTTTGAGGTAAGGCTGGTAGTGAGGTGGGTAGTGGCTTAGGACTTTGTCATCTCATTTTAGTGCCTATACAAATGTCCATCTGTCAGAACACTGAAAGGAAAACTTCAAAATTTTTTTGTTTGTTTGGCTTGTTTTTGAGATGGAGTCTTGCACTGTCACCCAGGCTGGAGTGCAATGGCACATCTCGGCTCACTGCAACCTCCACCTCCTGGGTTCAAGCAATTCTCATGCCGCAGCCTCCTGAGTAGCTGGGACTACTGGCACACACCACCATACCTGGCTAATTTTTTGTATTTTAGTAGAGACAGGGCTTTACCATGTTGCCCAGGCTGTCTCGAACTCCTGAGCTCAGGCAAACCACCTGCTTCGGCCTCCCAAAGTGCCGGGATTACAGGGGTGAGCCACCATGCCTGGCCCAGGAAAACTTTTATTTTTCAGACACTATGATAACGAGTTCACATTTTTAGGTGCTTTAACATAGAGAGGTGGCTTGCAAGCAAAATAGCTATGTGGACACTGATGATCAATTTTGATATGGGGTGATTTAGCATAAAGCATTAATTATAAATAATAACAAGTCTCAAATAACTGGCTGATAGGTCTTAAATCATATATATAACTGGACTTAGGGCTTAAATACATGTCAGAAAAAGAGATTCTTATCTTTCTGAGCTCCTTGGGTGTCATTCACAACTATTTTTGCCATAGTGGGAAGCTGATATTAGGTAATCATCTAATTTCCAATGAAATCTTGTAGCTCTCAATCTTATCCCTTCCTCCCTCCATCAAGTGATCTCACTTAAGAAACAGGATAAAGCCCACACAATCTAAGTCCTTTTCTTCTCTTTCTCTTCACTTAAAAACTCCCTGTACCTTTCTACACTCAAATTCTCATCTTTTCCCAAGCCTTGGAGGGTAAGATCTTTCTTCTAGTCTGAGGGTGACCAGTCTGCTTTTTTTTTTTGAGAGGGAGTTTTGCTCTTGTCACCCAGGTTGGAGTGCAATGGCGTGATCTTGGCTTACTGCAACCTCTGCCTCCCAGGTTCAAGCGATTCTCCTGCCTCAGCCTCCCAAGTAGCTGGGATTATAGGTGCACGCCACCACGCCCAGCTAACTTTTGTATTTTTAGTAGAGATGGGGTTTCACCATGTTGGCCAAGCTGGCCATGAACTCCTGACCTCAGGTGACCCACCCGCCTTGGCCTCCCAAAGTCCTGGGATTACAGGCATAAGCCACTGCGCCCTGCCCCCAGTCTTTGCTCTTAATTCTGTTTCCTGCCCTTTTCTCAGAAAGGTGCCCTTCAGTTTCACTTTTTCTTTCTAGTATCTGGAATCTCTCTCTACCCTCTTCTTGTCATCTCTATTGTGGAGCAAAAAAAAAAAATCCTTGGCTCTAATTCTAACTCCACCATTTATTTGCTATGTGGCCTTGGGTTAGCTGTTTAACTTCTGTGTCAGATTCCTCATCCTGTACAGTGCGAAAATACCAGAACTCAACCTTATAGGGTTGTTGAAGATTAAATTCTTTACAGTGCTTAGAACAGAGCCTGGCCTGTAAGATATGCTCAATAAATACTAACTTTCTATCATCATCATTTAAAAACTGCATGCCTCTCTAGCTCCTACACTCTATTCTTCTGTTTACTTTTTTTTTTTTTTTTTAGATGGAGTCTCGCTCTGTCACCCAGGCTAGAGTGCAGTGGCACGATCTTGGCTCACTGCAATCTCCACCTCCTGAGTTCAAGCGATTCTTTTGCCTCAGCCTTGTGCCTCAGCTGGGACTACAGGAGCATTAATTTTTGTATTTTTAGTAGAGACAGGGTTTCACCATGTCGGCCATGCTGGTCTCGAACTCCTGGCCCCAAAAGATCCGCCGACCTTGGCCTCCCAAAGTGTTGGGATTACAGGTGTGAGCCACCGTACCTGGCCTCTTCTGTTTACTTTTGAAACTGTGTGCTGGCTTCTGCTTCTATCAGATTTTCAGAGGGTCCCACAACTTTAAAAATGACAAATCTTCATTCTTTCTTACACTGTTGAAACTCCTTACTCCTCCCTTTAGATGCTCTATTCCATTGTCTTCTGAGAACTTCTCTCATCATTCCTTTCCTGTTTTCTTCAGAGACCACACCTCCCAATTCAACCCAGTAAGTGTGTGTATATAAAGAAAGATCAACAAGACCTGGCAATATCTCTTGAATCCATCTACATTGAATGCTTCAAGCCTTGCAACTGAAGCAATCCTCTAAATACTTTTCCTTTTATCCAGCCCTCACTTCCCCTGCCCCTAACCCAACCTATGCGACCCCAACTGCATCATTCTCTTGGTTGAAAGTTTCTGCTGGCTTCTTGTTACCAAACTCTTTAGCTTGGCCTTCACACATCCCCATTCTTTTAAAAAATCATTATTATATGATTATTTTTAAGAGACAGAGTCTTGCTCTGTTGTCCAGGCTGGAGTGCAGTGTCATGATCATGGTTCACTTCAGCCTCAACTCCTGGGCTCAAGCGATCTTCCGCCTCAGCCTCCCAAGTAGATAGGACTACAGGTGCGTGCCACCACACCTTGCTAATTTTTCAAAATTTTGGGGGCTGGGCATGGTGGCTCATGCCTGTAATCCCAGCACTTTGAGAGGCCAAGGTGGGTGGATCACGAGGTCAGGAGTTTGAGACCAGCCTGGCCAACATGACAAAACCCCGTCTCTACTAAAAATAGAAAAATTAGCTGGGTGTGGTGGCGGGCACCTGTAATCCCAGCTACTGGGGAGGCTGAGGCAGGGGAATCTCTTGAATGCGGGAGGTGAAGGTTGCAGTGAGCTGAGATCGTGCCATTGCACTCCAGCCTAGGTGACGAGAGCAAGACTCTGTCTGAAAAACAAAACCAAAACAAAAAAACCCACAAATTTTTGCAGAGATGGCGCCTCACTTTGTCACCCATGCTGGTCTGGAATTCCTGGCCTCAAGCGATCCTCCCACTTTGGTCTCACAGATCTCCATTCTGACCCCAATCTTCCTCTCCAGTAAGCACTCCTTCTCCTCTCAAGCACAGATCCTATAACCAGTCATACTTCAATACGTATTACACAATTCTGCTTTGGTGACATTTCTTTCACATTTTCTCACAATTTCTTCTTTCCAATCTTTTTGAATTGGATCAATTCACTAAGGCTTGGTTTAAATCCCCCTTCATTCTCACTAAAGCTTTCCCCATAACCACTTTCTTTTTTCTCTCTTATCTCCCGTATCACTTGGCGCCTGTACCATGGGACACTAAATACCCACTGCCTTGTGTGGTGCATTCTCCTCTTGCACATGTAGATCTTACCTACCCAAGACCTCAGGTTACATGACCATGGGTCTTCTCAGAAGCTTTCTTTTCTTTTCTTTTTTTTAAGATGGAGTCTCACTCTGTCACCCAGGCTGAAGTGCAGTGGCATGATCTCTGCTCACTGCAACCTCTGCCTCCTGGGTTCAAGCGATTCTCCTGCCTCAGCCCCCCGAGTAGCTGGGATTACAGGCACGTGCCACCATGCCCGGCTAATTTTTTTGTATTTTTAGTAGAGATGGGGTCTCACCATATTGGTCAGGCTGGTCTTGAACTCCTGACCTCGTGATCTGCCCGCCTCAGCCTCCCAAAGTGCTGGGATTATAGGCATAAGCCACCATGCCTGGCCTAGAAGCTTTGTTTTCTTGACCATACTTATCATGGCTCCTTGTATACAAGAAAATCTTGGCTCAGTTAAACATTTATTGTCTTTTATGTACCAAGTACTGAACTGGGTGACACAAGCACAAATTCCTGATTCTGTTCTTGGTGATGATGGAAGCAAAGATCTCAAAAGATCATTTTTAGAAGTGCTAGACCCTCCCAGAAATACACAAGGGTGAAATTCTTT
This sequence comes from Homo sapiens, assembly GCF_000001405.40. Lineage (NCBI taxonomy): Eukaryota > Metazoa > Chordata > Mammalia > Primates > Hominidae > Homo > Homo sapiens. The sequence continues at coordinate 39,115,828 of NC_000004.12, read as the reverse complement.
CTGTTAGTAAGACTGCCAGATCAGGTTTCTTACTCAGTGTAATTTAGGGTTGCCATCTTCATTAGGTTATCAGGACTTTAATCTGCTCCCAGATATCAATGGGTTGAGTATTTAAAAATCCGACTGCTCACACATGGGCAAGTTGTTCAAAGTTTTCTGACTACTATCCTTGTTTTTATTTTCCAGTCTCCCCTCCCATTGTTGCAGCCCTCCAGTAGTCCTATCAGCTTTAATCAGGCTAGAACACTTCATCATGCAAGTGGTAGCAGATAATTAATAATTTCTCTGAGTATTAACTTACATCTCAAAGGTAATTCTGGATTTTAATTATGTTATAAAATTAAACATTGCCTCTTTTTCTCATCGCTAATCAAAACGTGATTGTCATATTTATGCCATATATTTCAGTATTGGACAAGATTGAGGGGATCTGTTTTACCATAAGAATTGTTTTAATAAAAAGAGAGTCAGTGTAATAATGAAACATGAATGCCATACCTGGGTCCACTCATTTGTCTGGGGATCATAAGCCTCCACAGTATTAAGGTATGCCTGTCCATCATACCCCCCAACAGCATATAACTTATCACCAAGTAAACAGACCCCCACTGCATCTCTGCTGATGCTCATGGATGCTACTGCAGTCCACATGTCTGTTTTGGGATCATATCTGTAAGAAAATTTTAGAACCGGAGCTGACATTATTCTTAAAATATTTATGTAAAAACAGTTTTGTTCTTCAAGTCTATCTTCTGACTCATTATCTACTATGTAATCAAATACATTTGAACATATTTTAGAGAAAAATATCAGTATTTCTCTGAAAACTTTAACTTACAGTATTATATTAATAGATCCACTTAACAGATGTATAACACTTAAAAGGAGCTAGTGTCAATACTGAAGACTGCTTTCAGACCTTAGATTACCTACCGAAAATTTGGGGAAAGCAATGCATTAAGCTCTGTGTAAGATGACTTACACCCTCAATCATTGTAGCTGTCCATTTTTGGGCTGTCTTGCTCTTTTCATGAGGTGTCTTAACTAGAATTGCCCAAAGTTGTATAGCTAAGAGCAGATACATCATGCTAAGATGACTGATACTGCCCCTAAAATCTGTTGTATCAATGAACAGCTTTCCACTGAGTGTAGTACAACAGCAAGCCCATAATTCATGGGGCCAAGTATATAAACACTTCCACATTCCTTTCCTGGATTACAACATGCAACGAGCATAGGTCTCAATTGTTTTCCCCCCAATATAGTGAAATGCAGTTGTAACTTTCCTGCTTTCTCAAACAACACCAATACAGAAAGCACTTGTTATGGTTTGGATGTGGTTCATCCCCACCAAAACTCAACGTTGAAATTTAATTGCCAATGTAATAGTGTTGGGAGGTGGGGCCTTTAAGAGGTGATCAGGTTGATAAGATGGATTAGTGTTTTTCTCCTTGGTTAGTTCTTGTGTGAATGCATTAGTTCCTGTGAGAGCAGACTGTTATAAAGTGAAGTTGCTTTGCATTTTTGAATGCCGACTTTCCCTTCCAATTCTCCAACATGTTATCACACAGCACAAGGCCCTCACCAGAACCTGCCAGATGCAGCCTCCCAATCTTGAACTTCCCAGCCTGGAGAACTGTGGGCTAAATAAACCTCTTTTCTTTATAAATTAATCAGTCCTGGATATTCTGTTATAGCAATGGGAAACAGACTAAGATAGTGCTCATTATCATCAACAAACTTTGATTTTACTTTTTATCCTTCTTATGGTCACTTGGTCACTTACAACTTAAATACATCAAACTAATCTTTAAAAAAATCTGATCACATCCAACAGACACAAACACACACACACACTCTCTGTCACACATGGGCACTCATTAACTTCCTATTTTTCTTTATAGTCCAAAACCCTTAACAATGTCTCAAGGAGTCTAGATGATCTGCACCACCCTGCCCACTCCGCCTCCTTTCCTGCCTTTCCCTCCCCATCACTCTTTGCTCTTCAGCCACAATGGCTGCCTTTCAGTATTTCTTTCTGCTTTGGAGTGTTCAGACAAGCTCCTATTGATTGTACCACCTAAATCCATTCAATTCTCTCTATTCCTTGTACTAGACTAAACATAATAAATGGGAACCTGACCTACCATCCAAATCTTCCACTGCTATTTGGCTCTCTACCTGGCACCACACTTGAGTTTTGTGAGGCCAGTTGGGATGACTTACGTTTGTAAGCCTTATTATTAGTTTTTTATTTCATATCAAAACACATAGAAATGTCCCTATCCTTTTTGCTTTTTATTTAGTCTACAGCCCTTAAGTCATTCTGCCTAAAATTCATCAAGCTCCTCTTCTTATTAGGTCCAATATCCCATATAAAATAAAATTGCCTTGCATGTAGTGCATGCTCAATACAAACTTATTTTTCTGGAAGTATCACTTCCTGTGAGAGCAGGCTGTTATAAAGTGAAGTTGCTTTGCATTTTTGAATGCCGACTTTCCCTTCCAATTCTCCAACACGTTCTCCAAATATATGTAAGTATCAGAGACTTATATATATCTTTTTTGTTCCTAGTTTTTCTTCCCAGGAAATTACCTTTCCACACAGTCTGAGAGTCTGGAAGTCAAGTTGGATGCGGGAGCATCGTGCCCCCCTATAGCATACAGCAGTCCATTCCAGGTCGTCACTCCTACGCCACCTCTCCTTTTTGACATCTGTGCACACAGTGTCCACTTATTAGTATGAGGATCAAAACATTCTACTGATTTGAGACAAGAACTTCCATCACGACCACCAACTGCATAAAGTCTGCAAAAAGAATATATGAAATGATAAATAAGACATGTGCCATTATGCTTAGAACAAAGAGGCTCTTCTTATGTTGTTATCTCATTGAATTTAAGGTGCCATCAGTTATAAAACACACTGTCAATGTGTGTGTCATTAAAAAAGTATGCTATGTTTGAAATGACACATGTAAGTATCATATATCACTCTGTATATACATGAAAAGGAAAACAAACTGCACATGAAGGCAGTGACAACTGTTTCATCACTGCCATCTCTTTGACAAGTCACCATTGGTTGTAATATGCATGGAAATTCAGAGGTGTTAAAATATGTCTTAGAATAGACAAAATATGGTGTATAAATATACCATGGCTTTTTTTTTAATAGTTAAGACTTTATTATCAAGGAAAGAAGCTAACCTTCTCTGAGCACCTACCATAGGTTAGGCACTTCACATGTACCGATTTAATCATCACAGTGATATGAGAAACTGTTTGAATCCCTGTTTCACAGTGTAAAGAAACAAGGGTTCACAGAGAGTAAGAGACTTGCACAGGGTCACCCAGTAAGCAGCAGAATTGGGACACATAGTTTCATTAATGAACAGTTGGACAGTCAACACAGTCATGTAGAATGTACTTGTAATAGTGAAATAGGAGAATAAAAATATAGCTTGAAACAATGGCATAAAAAGTAACATTTGTTATGTATGAACAATGATCCTTCATTAATTTAAATTACTGCAGAAAAGGATATAGGTTATCATGTGAGCAACCTAAATGTTACCTAGTAGATCAATTTAAATTCATTATCAATCAATACACTGCACTAATTTGAAAGTCTTTTACTCTGAACCTAAAAGTTTGTAAAATATTTTAAATATTTGAACACAATATTTCTTGTTAAGCAAAAATCTTCTTGTACTTACTATTCATTTGGGAAGCTTTCCATAAATATTTTTTCTACTAGTTTTTTAAAAGAGTAAATTTACGTTGTTGCTCATAGAAAAGATTATACATTTTGAATTTACAAATGTTAGTTAATACTTAACTGTTTTTATCATTTCTCAAGAAATAATATTTTAAGTATCCCAAATTTCTGCCAATTAAAACTCTAGTTATTTATATTTGGGTAAATCTACATACTTAACCACAGATTTCCTAATTAAGGTATGCCACTATGTCACTGAAACTGTTTCTTAAATAATAAGATGACCATATCTTAAACAGCAACATATGGTTATAGCAATATCTTGTTCTAAACTTAAACTATATTAATAGTATGGAAATTGAAATTTATTTGAAACTTATCTATTAAAATTTATCATAAAACTTTTTATCTGTTAAAAACTTTTATCTATTAGTAACTTGTTTATGTTCTAGTTCTTAATATTATTCTTATCATCAACTAATACTTGGTAGAAGAGTTATCTAAGTATGGATCACAGAACATGAGAAGCCTTTAACAATTAAGGAATATCAATGATTTAAAATAATTCACACATGCATATGTGTGTGCACACGTGTGCACACCCACACATACCCACACACAATAGGCTTTAAAGCATCTTACCCTCTTGAACAGTGGATTCGTGGGACTTTATTGTAAAGAATGGCATAGTACAATGATTAAGAGCATGAACTCTGGAACCAGAATCTGTGGGTTTGCATTCTGGTTCTACCACTTACTAGTGTGACTATGGACAAGTTATTTAACCTCCAACTGAATTTCATCATCTATAAATCCTGCCTCACAGGATGCTTAATAATTAAATTTAAAGTACTTTGAACACTGCCTAGTACATGATAATCATGGCATAAACATTTACAGAGAAAAATTAATTACGTCTCTGTGTTCTTGTAGAAAATAGCACTTACAGGAGATCTTAAGTGTACAAACAATGTTTATATTCAGCTAATATTAAGGGTTAAAACCAATTGGTAACACTTCCTAAATAATCATTATCTCAAGCAATGATTTTCAAGCTGTGTTCTAAGAATAGGACTCTATGAAGAAATTGAGGGAGTCTAAAAAATGGTTCATTTGAATTTCAAATTTTAAAAATTATTTTTAATTTTCAAAAATATCACCTGGCTCAATTAAATGCCATGTAAGACTCAGAACTCATCTCTCTTCACCACGATAGTGTCTATTACAATAAAAAGAGAAATATTATGTCAAGTTGTGAAAGTATTGTACTACCTATATATACTTAATAATAAGATTTAGGTCTTGCCTGACTTTTAAAATTATGATCAAGAATGCAAGTAGGCTGGGCACGGTGGCTCACACCTGTAATCCCAGCACATTGGGAGGCCAAGATGGGAGAATTACTTAGGCCCAGGTATTTGAGACCAACCTGGGCAGCACAGTGAGATCCCATCTCTACAAAAAAATTTTTTTTAAAATTAGCCAGGCATGGTGGTGTATGCCTGTAGTCCCAGCTACTCAGGAGGCTGAGGTGTGAGGATAGCTTGAGCCTGGGAGGGAGGTTGAGGCTGCAGTGAGCTGTAATTGTGTCACTGCACTCCAGCCTGGGCGACAGAGCTAGACCCTGTCTCAAAAGTAAAAGGAATGCAAGTAATTGGCAGATACTGTTTGAGATTCAACTTAGAAAAAAAATTATTACTACTTTCAAACTGGGCAATTTAACTGAAGAATTTCCTGAAATTCCAATTAAATTACTCTAGTAGTTAAAATAACTGTTACCATTTCAGCCTCTTATCTGTGGATCAAGATTTTCCTCATATTAGACAATCAAGACAAAACACAGAAATAAGCTGTGTTCTTTAAAGTTTATTCTTCTGTTCTTCAGCACTTACTCTTCTTCACAGATTTTTATAATAAGTAAATATGATATGCTTGAACTTGTAATACATTTTAAATAAGTTTAAAATAAACTTGAACTTCCATTTGCCTTTTAAATGTTGAGGTATTTTTAAGATTTCATTTGAAAGAGAGATTCAACTGCTAAAAATATTTGCCAGCCAGTGGCTTAAAGGTAGCCTGAGCAATTGGAAGTCTAAATAAGGTTTCTTTCTGTCAAACATGGTAGGAAGAAAAATTTTAACACCTTAAAAATTTTAAGATTTGGGAGGCCAAGGTGGGCTGATCACTTGAGGTCAGGAGTTTGAGACCAGCCTGGCCGACATGGTAAATAACCCTGTCTCTATTAAGAATACAAAAATTATCTGGGCATGGTGGCAGGTGCCTATAATCCCAGATACTTGGGAGGCTGAGGCAGGAGAATCACTGGAACTCAGGAGGCTGAGGCAGGAGAATCACTTGAACCCAGGAGGTGGAGGGTGCAGTGAGCTGAGATTGCCCACTGCCCTCTAGCCTGGGAGATAGAGCAAGAGTCTGTCCACTTCCCCACCACCCCCTCCAAAAAAAAAAAAAAGAAAAAAAAAGAAAAAGAAATTATAAATAAGTTAAAATAGGCCAGGTGCAGTGGCTCATGCCTGTAATCCCAGCACTTAGGGAGGCCAAGGTGGGTGGATCACCTGAGGTCAGGAGTTCGAGACCAGCCTGGCCAACATGGTGAAACCCCGTCTCTACAAAATATACAAAAATTAGCTGGACATGGTAGTGCACACCTGTAGTCCCAGCTACTTGGGAGGCTGAAGCAGGAGAACCGCTTGAACCTGGGAGGCAGAGGAGGCTGCAGTGTGCCGAGATCATGCCACTGCACTCCAGCCTGGGCGACAGAGTGAGACTCTCTCTCAAAATAAAGAAATAAATAAGTAATAAGTTAAAGTAACAAAAACCACAAAAATCAAAGCTCTTCATTTTACAGAATAAAAAAATTGAGGCACAGAGAAATGATTTGTTCTAAATCACAAAGCAATGATAAGAAAAGATGCATCGTTGGTTTTTTTCAACCAACCGCATACTTTCTACTTACTCCAGATTCTTTAGTTATACTATACATTCAAAATCAAATTTCTTAATAGTTAGTAGATTAGAGATCCTTAGCTTCTGATATGATTAATTAGGTTGTCTCTGAATTATATTCAATTAACTGTACTTTAGGTGGGTTAAGGATTGAAATATTTCTCATTAGAGGGCAAGAAAAGGTAAGTAAGTAAGATGTTTCTATGCCTAGAAATCTAAGCTACGGTAGGTCCGGAAATCAGGTTTTAGAGAAGGCAGTTATTCTTTTGTCCTCTATTAGAAATAAGGGCTAAGAAATATGTTGCTGAACAAAAATTAATCCAATGAATCAATCCCAAAGGTTTAAACCAAAGGGTCAAAACCAAGAAGATACTGTTTCATTTTCTTTTTTTCTCATTTACTAGATTCTTTAATGGCTGACTCTTACCAAAGAGTTTAGAAAGATACCTAGTGATGAACTTTGAAGTGATTTCTTTAGCTAAAATAAATGAGGGGAGGGGCATGGAGATAAAAAACATCTAAAAAGTGATTTCCATTTATCCATCTTATCACATGTAATAGTGCTTACAAAAAGTATCAAAAAATAGAACATAACTGACAGGTCCTGAAGAAACAAGATCTTAGGTCCTAAAATATAAAAAATTTCACTATTTTTTTCATTTTTCTTATAATAATCAATAACACAATTCTATACATAATTTTAATTCTATTTTAACCTTGATTCATTTCTTTTTCTGGAAACAATGATAAAGCATTCTAAATGAGCAAAAGGTACCCCACAAATAACTTTCTTTAACAACCACAGACAGCTTCATTTTATGGAAGAAGAAAGGACTGAAAAAATATTTACTCTCTGAGTAACTGAGAGCTATTAGTGATGGCTCTACCTATATTTGTTTATTCAGAGCAGACAAGAGGTAAGAGAGTACCTCTTTATAAATCCATTCTAGTTTTCACCAGTTTTCCAAGATAAGAAAGAAAAGAGGTAAAAGTCAAGATAAATCAGTAGAAAAGATGGAAGGAATTTTTAGAGAAACACTGAGAAAGACTACACTACTTTTAAAAGACCATATATACTTTTAAACATAATATAGATAATATACTTTTAAATTATATTATTTTAATATAGATATACCAGATTTTTATAGTACAACTTATTAATATTGAACATTAATATAAAATGTCTTCACTCAAAATGATAACTAAAAATGTATAGTATCTGCACATTAAAATGAAAGCCTAGCTTAACAACTATTAAAACAATATATTTACAACTATTATAGAAAGAGACATTGTTTTAAAAGTTTCTTCAAATCACTGTAAGTATTTATGTATATCTTTAAATTAGAAATGATATAGCTTAATAAATTTGGTGTATTGCATTTTAAATGGAACTTTAAATATTTCCTTACTTTCCACTTAGTACTGCCACACCTACTGTACTCCTAGGGGTAGACATAGTGGCAACAAAATTCCACTGGCGAGCCTGAGGGTCCCATCTTTCCACTGTGTTCAGATAGCTCCAGCCATCATGTCCTCCTACGGCATACATGGGACCTTCCAGTACAGCCACACCTATGAGGAGACAGGAAACAATTAACGACTTCAGATTGGCTGCTGTCTTAAAAATCACATTTTAATTGAAGTATAAGTACAATAAGCCTTAAACATACAAATAGAACTGAGTAAACATTTATGATGCAGACAAGTGTCCTCCTCACTATTCTTAGTAGGTCGGTGGGTGGGTGGGTGGGTTGAAATAGCACGGTAGTTCTGGTTTAAAAGTTCTAGAGACTGCCCAGGCACGGTGACTTATGCCTGTAATCTCAGCGGTTTGGGAGTCCCAGGTGGGAGGATCACTTGAGGTCAGGAGTTTGAGACCAGCCTGGCCAATATGGCAAAACCTCTTCTCTACTAAAAATACAAAAATTAGCCAGGCATGGTGGCGGGCACCTGTAATCCCAGCTACTTGGGAGGCTGAGGCAGGAGGATCGCTTGAGCCTTGGGGGCAGAGGTAGCAGTGAGCCAAGATCATGCTGCTGCACTTCAGCCTGGGCAACAGAGTGAGACTCCGTCTCAAAAAAAAAAAAAAAGAAAAAAAAAAGTTCTAGAGGCTGGGAACGGTGGCTCAAGCCTGTAATCCCAGAGCTCTGAGAGGCCAAGGTGGAAGGATCTCTTCTGAGGTCAGCCTGGGCAACACAGCAAGAGTGCCATCTCTACAAATTTTTTTTTTTTTTAATTAGCCAGGCGTGATGGCATCACCTATAGTCTTAGCCAAGGTGAAAGATCCCCTGAACTCAGGAGTTTCAGGTTGCATTGAGCTATGATCACACCTCCAGCCCGGATGACAGAGTGAGACGCTGTCTCTAAAAAAAATTAAAAGTTTTAGAGGCAATATTTTTAGGTACAACAGTGGAAAATTATTTTAAAACTGCACCAGATGCATACATTGCTACTATTTAAAACATTTTTCAACAATTTGGATTTAAGATATATTTGGAAAAGTATTTTTATACCTTCCCCCCTGTTAATTCAAATTCATGAGATTTTACTATAGTTAGATTTGATACCATAATCTATTGGTATGATTCATCAGCACGGAGCTGAGCTAGACTCATTTGTTAATTTATTCAACAAATACCTACTGCATGTCTACTAAGTACCGGGCACTCAATAGAATATAACGGGTAAGGGCTGTGCCCTCATAAATCTTATAGTCAGGAAATAGACATAAAATATATTTTAGGTAATAACAAGTGCTAATTTAAAAAGTGGTGCAGAGTAAAAGGATAGAGAGGGTCAGGGGAGACCTTTCTGATAAGGTAACATTTAAGCAGGAATGTGAATGAAGTTGGGAAACCAGATTTGGAGATAGCTGGGGAAAGAGAAGGTGAGGCAGAGGAAACGGCACGTGCAAAGGTCCTGAGGTATGCTCACTGTGTCTAAGGGACAACAAGGTGGCCAGTCTGGCTAGGCAGGGTGAGTGAGGGGGAAATGTAAGAGATGGGGGAGAGTGTGGAGCCAGATCATGCAGGACAGTCAGAGACTGCAGATAAGGACTCTGATCTTATCTCTTGTAAGGACTTCGGATCTTATTCTGAATGAGATGGAGAACGGTCTCCATGATGGCTTTGAGATGGCTTTGAGGTAGAGGGATTTGAGAAGAGGTGCGACATGATCATGGCCAGGTGAGATAAAATATGTCACTTGGGGGCCAAAAGAACCCCTGTATTACAGATATATTTTAATTTGTGAAATCACAGCCAGATAAGAAAAATACTCATCATTCATGCATGATCCAAATCAACAGATTGTTCCACTCATATGTTATATATTGTGCCCCACCAGTACTAGCTTTTGGAGATTTTATGTGTGTGTGTGTGTGTGTGTGTGTGTGTGTGTGTGTATACATATATACACACATATATGTGTATATAAATATGCATGCATGTTATTTATATGTATATATGTGCATATACACATTTTATATGTGTATATATATAAACATATAAATACACATTAAAATATACATATATAATATATACACATACTGTATATACATGTTTATGATATATGTATATCTCTAATTTTACATATATACATATATATGTAATGCATAATATGTCAAAGGGGGCAGAAAACTTAAGGGGTTCACCTAATTCAACCCATTAAAAAATGACTTTGAAAATAAATTTTAAGCCTGGTGCAGTGGCTCGCAAGTATAATCCTAGCACTTTGAGAGGCTGAGGCAGGCAGGTTGCTTGAGCCCAGGAGTTTGAGATCAGCCTGGGTAACATAGTGAAACCCTGTCTCCACCAAAAATTAAAAAATTAGCCAGGTGTGATGGTGCATGCCTATAGTCCTAGCTACTAGAGAGGCTGAGGTGGGAGGACTGCTTTAGCCCAGGAGGAAGAGGTTGCAGTGAGCCAAAAACATACCACTGCATTCCAGCCTAGGTGACAGAGCAAGAACCTGTCTCAAAAAAAAAAAAAATTTAGCAGAACTCCTTTTTTAAATGAAATTTTCATATAATTACCACATATGAAGAGATAAAAGGAATGTTTCTTAAAAGTTTATTTTAGGCCAGGCGTGGTGGCTCATGCCTGTAATCCCAGCACTTTGGGAGGCTGAGTTGGGTAGATTACGAGGTCAAGAGATCGAGACCATCCTGGACAACATGGTGAAACGTGTCTCTACTGGAAATACAAAAATTAGCTGGGCGTGGTGGCACATGCCTGTAGTCCCAGCTACTAGGGAGGCTGAGGCAGGGGAATCACTTGAACCCGGGAGGCGGAAGTTGCAGTGAGCCGAGATTGTGCCACTGCACTTCAGCCTGGCAACAGAACGAGACTCCGTCTCAAAAAAAAAAAAAAGTTTATTTCTTAAGTTCAAATTTGTAACAGTTATTTAATTATAAGGTAACTTAATAAGAACATTGCTGCTTTGAATGACACAAAAATTTTAAATTAGGGCTTAAAGAAGACAGTTTTGAGCTATGTGATCATTTTCCTTTCAACTTGCTGCAGTTCAATAAAGTCTTTTGTATGGCACCTAGAACTAATGACAGTATTCAATGCACAATGTCATCTGCACGAAACAGCTGGACTATGAGCAATCACATTCTATGTACTATATCCATAAGGATTTAGCCTGTGTTAGAATTATATTTTCTTCCCCATGGTAGGGGAGGGGAAGCACGCAGTTGACTCACTCTATTTACCCTGGATTTTATGGTCAACCCAAATTTCTAAGTCTCATTCATGCTTAACTCACATTTTCCCAGTCTGTGCCTATATAATAGTTGATTTTATGGACTCAGGAGTAATGTTTTACAAGTTTACTGTGTTAAATTTCATATAGTTAATTTTAAGCTCCTTCTCTGTGTCTTTGCCTTAACCCTCTGGTTTTATTTCCTTATCAAACTTAAAATCATCTTTCACTGAGAACTAATTACAACTAGTGGAAATCTATGTCTCTTTGATCTTTTACTGTACCCACCACCATTCCCATTTCAATCTTCATCCCTAGAGAGTTTTCATTACTCTCTATTGTTATTTGGGGGAAGCCTCTACTCTGGTGGTATTAATAAATTGAGTATTGTATAAACCATACTATCTAAACTCAACCATACCTTCACTGGTATTGATCCTTTTTTTTTTTTTTTTTTTTGAGATAGATGTTTTGCCAGGCTGGAGTACAGTGGCACAATCACAGCTCACTGCAGCCTTGACCTCCCAGGCTCAAATGATTCTCCCTCCTCAGCCTCCTGAGTAGCTGGGACTATAGGCCAAGCCACCAAATTTTTTAATTAAAAAAAAAAAATTTCCCAGCTAATTTTTAAATTTTTTGTAGAGACTTTTTTCCTATGTTGCCCAGGATGGTCTTGAACTCCTAGGCTCAAGCAATCCTCCTGCTTTGGCCTCCCAAATTGCTGGGATTATAGGCATGAGCCACTGCATCCGGCCTCATCTTTTATGATGACCTACCAAATTCTTTATTGCAGCATGTGAGGAATGCTTGGTGACTGCTGCTGACGCAGTGGCTGCCACACGGGTCCTCTGCCTGGTTCAGAATGTAAATGTGCCGTGGGAGCTATGTGATATTTTGAGTGAATCTGCATAGTTGTACTTACCAAGGCCATGTCTATGTGTGGACATAGGTGGCATCACACTCCAAGTTTTTGTTTTGGGGTTGTAGCACTCTACAGTATTCAAAGTCTTCAGTCCATCTCTTCCTCCAACCACATACAGTTTGTCATCTAGCACTGCAACACCGAACTGTAGCCTCCTCCCATTCATATTTGCTACTGGAGTCCACATATTTGTACGGAGATCATACTTTTCAATGCTTGTTGCTCCTTCATAGTAATATATAGAAGTTATGTAAATAGAAATTATACCATGATTGGTAATTTTATGAAATTACAGATACAAAAATATAATCTTATTAGCATTGAGAATAATAATTTTATTATATTTCATGAAGGTCCTGCATGATCTAGCCTCTGCCTACCTCTGTGTCCTCATCTCCTACTATTCTCCAGGGCATACACAGGCCCCAGTAAGAAAAGGTCAAATGGACAAGGATTAACTGTCAAAGGAGGGTGAGAAACAACACCCAGAAGCGGGGGAGAAAAAAGCAGAGGCGTTAAGTGTCATGGAAGCCAAAGGAAGAAAGTTTATAGCAGTAGGTCTGCTAACAGTATCCTACTGAAAGGATCAAATAAGATGAAGACTCAGAAGTATTATTGGATTTAGCCACACAGAGGTCACTGATGACTTCAGGGGGAGGTTCCTTATTGAGTGGTTGAGACGTGACTGGGAGATGAAGAAACACAGTGAGCATAGAAGATTCTTCTGAGAAGTCTGGCTATCAAAGTAAGGAGAGATAGAAATTACTAGAAGAGTTGAGGAAGGTTTTGTTTTGTTTTGCTTTGAAAATTTGAAAACTCAGAGTTTGCTTAAATGTGAATGAAAAGGATCTGGTTGAGAGGAAAGCAGCTAAAAATACAGGAGATGAAAGGGATCATAACGAACATAATGAACCATGTTCATTATGGTTCGTGGGGAGGCAGGAAAGCACAGTATCCAGGGCATAGGCAGAAGAGCTGTCTTTCACGGGAGGAGGGAACATATTCTACTGCAATAAGCAAGGGCGGGGTAAGTACGGATCGGGTACTTTGGGAACTATGACGGTAGGGAGTTCAGGAAGTTGCTGCCTGAAGGCATCTATGTTTTTCTTTTCTTTTTTTTTTTTTTTAAGAATTGGAAGATTCCAGGACTCCTTTGTTCTCTTTATGAGTTAAGATGAGCAGATGTTTAAAAAAACAAAAAAAACAAAACCCTCTAAAAAAACCTAACCCCCAATTGTGAAGAGTTCAACTAGAACCCACTTCTCTCTTCTAAGCTTCTAATACATCATGTAAGCCGCGCTAGCCTTATAGAATTATAATCTTGACTAACACTTATTCTAAAGTATTTGTTATAATTTGGTCATCAGAGCACTAGTATTATTGATAACTTCCTAAAATTTAGAAATAGTTGTGTTATACATATAGATTTTCTCGTGTTATAGTTTTTATTATTTTTTATTTACCCTACAGAATTCTAAATTATTTGGGATAGACAAGTCTTTTTCTACCTCTGCATGCATATATATATATATATGTATACATATATATGTGTGTGTATATATATGTGTGTATATATGTGTGTATATATGTATATATATATGTGTGTGTGTGTATATGTGTGTGTGTGTGTGTGTATATATATATATATATATTTTTTTTTTTTTTTGAGACAGACTGTTGCTTTATCACCCAGGCTGGAGTGCAGTGGTATGATCTCGGCTCACCACAACCTCCACCTCCCAAGTTCAAGCAATTCTTGTGCCTCAGCCTCCCAAACCGGGATTACAGGTATGTACCACCACTCCCAACTAATATTTTGTATTTTTAGTAGAAACAGGGTTTTGCTGTATTGGCCAGGCTGGTCTCGAACTCCTGGCCTCAAGTGATCCTCCCGCCTTGGCCTCCCAAAGTGCTGGGATTACAGGCATGAGCCATTTTGCCCGGCCTTTACCTCTGTATTTTTCACAGCACCAAACAGAGTCCCTTATACTTAGTACAGCTGTTGAAAAATATGTTTGAATACTTTTTCTTTATAGTTTCTAGCTATAGTGAGGTTTTTTACTCATATGCTTACATTATAATAGTAACATACATAGTAATAGTATATTTAATTACTCTAAATTTGATCTTAAAATATTATCCCTTCCATTAAATAAATCAAATCAAATTAGAAAATTCCCTCCAACAAATAAAAAGCTAATCATCTTTCTTCATGAATACATTTAGGGAATACTTTTCTTTTGAATTTTAAGTTATTTCTTTTAGATCTAGTTTACTAAGCAGTATCATATTCATATGAATTGGTAACTAAAAGTTATTTTGCTAATTTCAAACATAAAGATATTAAAACACAGTCTCAGGTAGATATATATATATATATATATAAAATCCAAATATCCAAAATTAACAAAATCCTAATAATTATAAAATTTTATGTAAATGCTTGGGACTTCCCTAATTTATACCAAATAATTAACCTTTTATAAAAGTAAGCACAAATATACTCTAACATTTTCACAGTGGCTATTTGGAGCCCGTATTAGCTGATTTGTTTGGCCCTATACTAAACAGATATATGAAGGGACCAAGAGTCCAATGGTCAGACTACCAACCGACTAAGGCAAACTGCTCTTCATTACAAAGATGGGAAATAAGATAAATTAGGGCCAGGCAGATAGCTTGAACAGGATAGGTCAGAATATTTAATCACTAAAAAAACTCAGAAATAAAGTTGGTCAAACAGAAGGGCCAGATTAGAGAAAGTCTTAAATGAGGCATTTGCATCTTATGTGGTAAGAAATAGACTGCTGGAGTTTTTGAGCAGAATAATGGCATGTTCACTGAAGAGTTAATGGAGTAGAGTATCATCTCCAAAGCCAAAATGCCTGTTTGAATCTTGATCTTATCACTAATTAGTTGTCTAATCTTTGGAAAGTTGCTTAAGTTCTCCAAGTCTTAGCTTCCCTATCTATAAAAGAGAACTGTTAAGAAGATGAAATGAAATAATATAGGCTAAGTGCTTAGCATAATGCCTTCCATATATTAACAACATAATGAATGCTATTCCCTCTAAATTAACATGACCAAAATATGTAGGCTGACAGAAGGCTAACTGGAATTAGAAGGATGGCAGCAGAAATTTGGAAGAATTAGATATAAGGCCCATTTGAAAAAAGACCTGATGACTGTCAGAATTTAAGGTTCCAGAGAGACAGAGAGAGAATGAGAATTGTTTACTTTGGGTGCTTAGTATCTAGTCCCCTTCCCAAGCTTGGGGAGTTTTCCACTGTATGTATGAGCCTTGATGGGAAGCAGGAACTCATCTCCCAGAAAGCTGAAAAGACAGATACGCATTTTCCTTGCCATGTACCAAGGCAAGTTTCCTTCCCTTTCCATGTACCAAGTTTGAGTTAAAAGCTGAGCATCAAATAGATATTTTATACAAGTTGGAAATATGAGAATAAAATCAAAGTGAGGGTATTATACATAAATATAGAGATAACAGTTAAAGCCTTGAAAAGGAGAGAAAAAGAGGGAGAAGAAGAGTGCTAGTAATGACTACAAAAGCTAGCACCAGTTCCAGGTACACAGATGATACTTAATAAGTATTTGCAGATTATCTGAACAATGGAAAATCTTTTCCAATGTTGAAATATTTATACTGTAACCCTAATCAGTTATCTTAAGTTATTTATTTCTGTACCATGCAGTCATCAGGCCTATATCTAAAACTTAAGCATCTACAAATAAATAGCGCTATGTTATATGTTATTCAGGTTAGAAAGTGGTAGTCGGGGGTTGCTATTGAATGGTCATGGAAGGGCTCCTTGGTAAGCTGACATTTGAGAGATTTGAGTGAATAATTTCTGCTAGGTACTTCAATATCCGGGGGCAGAGCATGCCAGTGAGAGCATCAGCTAAAGCAATATCCTGGATATGGATAAAATGTTTGGCCTGTTAGATGAATGAAAAGGCCAATGGGGTTGAAATAAAAGCATCAGTGAGGGAAGAAGTATTAATAGAATGAGCTGACATCAGAGAGGTAGCCAGAAGTCAGAGAGATTGTCAGGAGATTGAAGCCTGCTAGTACTAGGAGTTCAAAGAAAGGGGAGATCAATGCATATTGAGGGATAACACACAGAAAGCTTCTAGCATAATACTGACACCCTGTAGGCACTGTGCATAGTGTTTATTGCTATTATTTTTAGCTATTATTATTTTTTTGAGACAGACTCTTGCTCTGTTGCCCAGGCTGGGGTACAGTGGTATGATTTCAGCTCACTGCAACCTCCACCTCCCGGGTTCAAGTGGTTCTCCTGCCTCAGCCACCTGAGTAGCTGGGATTACAGGCACCTGCCACCATGCCTGGCTAATTTTTTTTGGTATTTTTTAGTAGAGATGGGGTTTCGCCATGTTGGCCAGGCTGGTCTCAACCTCCCGACCTCAAGTGATCCACCCGCCTTGGCCTCCCAAAGTGCAGGGATTACAGGCATAATCCTGGCCTATTTTTAATATTAATAATAACTTGTGAGAGTGGTACAAAGAATTCTTAAGATTCCTTTGACCCAGTTTTCCCAAATGTTTACTTTTTACTGTATTTGCTATGTAGGTATTTTTTTTTTCCTGAACTGTTTTAAGAGTAAGTTGTGGCCGGGCACTGTGGCTCATGCCTGTAATGCCAGCACTTTGGAAGGCCGAGGAGGGCAGATCACGAGGTCAGGAGATCAAGACCATCCTGGCTGACGTGGTGAAACCCCATCTCTACTAAAAGTACAAAAAAATTAGCGGGGCATGGTGGCAGGTGCCTGTAGTCCCAGCTACTCGGGAGGCTGAGGCAGGAGAATGGTGTGAACCCAGGAGGCGGAGCTTGCAGTGAGCCGAGATCATGCCACTGCACTCCAGCCTGGGTGATAGAGCGAGACTCCATCTCAAAAAAAAAAGTTGTGGCCCGGTGCGCTGGTTCATAGCTGTAATCCCAGCATTTTGGGAGGTTGAGGCGGACAGATCACTTGAGGTCAGGAGTTTGAGACCAGCCTGGCCAATATGGTGAAACCCCATCTCTACTAAAAATACAAAAATTAGTCAGGCATGTGTGGTGGCATGTGCCTGTAGTCCCAGCTACTCAGGAGGCTGAGGCAGGAGAATTGTTTGAACCTGGGAGGCAGAGGTTGCAGTGAGCTGAGATAGCATCACTGCACTTCAGCCTGGGTGACAGAACAAGACTCTATCTCAAAACAAAAAAAACAAAAAAACAGTAACTTGCAGAAATGATGGCATTATACCCCTAATACTCAGTGTATCTTCCTCAAAATGAGAAATTATAAGACCAAAATACAATAATCAAAATCTGGAAATTAACTTTTTTTTTTTTTTTTTGAGATGGATTCTTGCTCTGTCACCCAGGCTGGAGTGCAGTGGTGCAATCTCGGCTCACTGCAACCTCTGTTTCCTGGCCTCAGGTGATCCTCCTGCCTCAGCCTCCCACGTGTAGCTGGGACTACAGGCATGCACCACCATTGTTGGGCTAATTTTTTTGTATTTTTGATAGAGATGGGGTTTCACCATATTGCCCATGCTGGTCTTAAACTCCTGACCTTAAGCAATCCACCCACCTCGGCCTCCCAAAGTGCTAAGATTACAGGCGTGAGCCACAGTAGCTGGCCTGAAATTAACATTTATACAATGTTATTATCTAATCTACAGACCTTGTTTGGATTTTATCATTTGTCTCAGTTACGTCCTTTACAGCAAAAGAAAATCCAAGATGATGCATTATAATAGCTGTCATGTCTCTTTAGTCTCCTATAATCTGGAACAATTTCTGAATCTTTTTTATATTTCATGACACTGACATTTTTGAATACTATAGACAGATAAGTTATTTTGTAGACTGTCTCTCAACTTAGATTTGTTTCCTCCTCATGATTAGATTCAGGTTATATGCTCCTGGCAAGGACGGCATAGATGGGCGGCTAAGTTCTCCGTGCAACCTATCTTGCACAATGCTGCTGCTTAGTCTGATTTCTGTCAACATTATCTTTGATCGTTTGCTTAAGTGCTGTGTGCCAGGTTTTTCTACTGTAAATACACTATTTTACTCTTTGTAACTAGTAAACATGTGGCTGAGAGACACTTTTAGACTATCTTGTTCTCAAACTTTTCCCACTAGTCTCAGCATCCGCTGATAATTCTTGACTGAATTGGTTATTGGTGGTTACTAAATGGTAACTTTTGTAATCTCATCTTTCCTTCTATATTCATTCGTTGGCATTCTTCTGTAAGGAAGAGCTTTCCTTTCTCCCTTGTTTATTTGTATAGGTGTGGAACCGTGGAAACTTACTGATTTCATAGGTTATAATATTTTACTATTATTTATTTTGATGCTCAAATTATCCCAGATTTGTACAGTAGTAGCCCCTGCAAGCTGTTTCCTGTGTCTTTTGACCTATCTCCATCATTCTTTGAGCACTTCCTTATTTTCTGGCCTAGAGGATGTTACACAATTATCTGGTACTTTTTCTGCCCCTGTCCTGCAGCCAGCCATTTCTCCAAAGAGTTCTTTGGCCATATATACACTTATTAAAATATCTTTTTCTCTGGTCCTCCCTCCCCAAATAAAAGATTATTTGATACCTTTTGTTGAATCCATTCCCCCAACTGCAAATAATGTACCAACAGTTGACTTCCTAGGTTTTGTCCGAGGACTTTGTAACATGGGTCGTCTCTCTGGTAATAAATGGTACTTCATTGCTTCCATAATGAGTTTCTGACATTCTATATCATCCCGAAAAAGTACATTATTTTCCATGTCTGCCAGGAACTAGAAAAGAATAGTAGGTATGTATACTGAATGACTAAGAAAATGGTAGGGTTTACAGAAAAAAATGACATAGTTCTCAAATGGATTTTACATATTTTTAAAAAATTCAAGCATAGGCACATATTTTTAACTAAAATATGCAACATTTACAAGATTTACATTTTAAATTTCATTGAAAAACAAAACACAAGTAGCATAAATGGTATACTCTAAAATCTTAGTACTGTAGTGCTTATCTCTGGGTAGTAGGAATACTGGTGCTTTTTAAATAAAGTTTTTTTTACTACTTTTCTATAATTTCCAGATTTTCTAAAATAAATAATTTTACTATTAAAATCAGAAATAATTCTAATGGAAGAATAATTATAAGTAGGAGTTGACTAATTATGCTGCGTTCACTTAACTTTGCTAAATGATGTTCAGCTCACAACTGCAAAAACAAAAGTTACCAGTTTCTCAAGGGGAAAAGAACTCCAAACAGTGATTGGTCTAAAAACATTAAAATCCCTTTTGTGTCACTGAATCCAGCTTTATATATTTATATAACACAAATACAATTTTTATATGTTTAGCACAAATATGATTACACCTTGTCTTTTAAAAAATAAAATGAAAATATGATCACATTGGAAATTAAATAAAACAAAAAAAATTAAAAATCTTTTCCTTTTGTGCTTGGTTCTCCATTGCCCCTCCCCATCCTGCAATTCTTCCCTGCCTTATAAACAACCTGGTGTGCAGCCTTTCATATTTTCTTCATATTTATGCAAACCTCTGCTGACATAATTCTCATACATTTATATGTATAACATATATAAATATATGTAATAATTTTTACAGTTTTTTCTTTTACTAATTGTTTTATTATATACTTTGCTGCATCTTACCATCTTTACTCAACATTATCTCAAGAAAATTCCTCCAGGTCTTCTGAAAAGGTATAGTTCTGATTTATTCTTTTTAATAACTGAATAATACTCCATAGTATATAGATATGCTAATTTTTTAGCCATTTCCTTATTACAGACATCAATTTTGTTTCAGTATGTACATACATATATACATATGTATATATATGTATATATATACGTGTATATGTAAACATACTTTTTTCTGCTACTAAAAACAAGTCCAGTACAGAAGTCCTTATGTATTAATTTTTACCTTTATAGGATAGATTTGTAAGAATTGAATTGACTCCAGGTGGGTCAAAGTATATATGTATGTATGTTATGTATGCATGTGTGTGCACATATATGTGTATCTGTGTGTGTCTATGTGTATGATCAATGTTGTCAGATTTTCCAAAGTGGCTCACATTCCATTATAGCCATGTATAGCAAAGTGGCTCACATTCCATTACAGCCATGTATAAGAGCACAAGAGCACAACATTCCTGCCAGGAATAAGTGTTTTAGCTCTTTTTGTTAATGATATCACATTTTCCCTTTAATTTGAATTTTCCTGATAAGTGAATATAAGCATTTTAAAATATTTTGACCATTTGTACTTTTTTCTTCCTTTATCTGCCTCTTTTCTACTATCTTTTGATTAAAAATTTTAAGAGTTCCTTGTAATACACACACTAATCCTTTATTTTTCAATTGTATTTTTCTAGATTTTTAATCATTTGTCTATTAAGGTTGTTTCATAATACTTTTGCCATTCAAATAATTTTTCATATTTAGGTCATCAAATATGTGTCTTTCTTTTCATAGTCCTGGTTACAAAGTCTTGTCTTTTTGCTTCAGTTTGTAGATGTAGTCTTCTGGATTATCTGGCAAGATTTTATTGCTTTCTTTCATTTAGGCCATTGATCCATGTGAAATTCATTTTTTTGAAATTAATGTTTAAATAGAGTATGAGTGGAGGAGCATTTTTATTTTCTTTAAGATCAGTAGCCAGTTCTGTACCACTTATTAAATAACCCCCTCCATTTCCAGCTGAATTGAATCTTGGCCATACTACATTCTCATAAATAGATCTCAAAGTATATGAGATTTGTTTTTTTTTATTCTTTATTCTGTTCTATCGATCTATTTGTCTATTCCTATTTCTAAATAGTATATTACAGTGTCTTTATAGCATATTCTGATACCCAGTATTTTTAAGTTTTCCCTCGCTGTTAACTTTCATAGCTTCCTTCGGTATTTTTGTGCCTTTATTTTTCATGTAAACTTAAGACAAATTTATTCAGTTCTTTTTATCCTGATTCTCTTGGAATTCTAATAAGAACTTAAATTTATTTATTAATTAAATTTATTAATTTTATTAATTTTTGGAGAACTGATATTTTTATATTAAGTCTTTCTGTTCAAGAAGCCTTTCCATTTATTCTATAGGTTTCTACATATTATACCTTTCTTGATTATATATTTCCTATATATTTTATTATTTTCATTGCTATTGGGAATGGGTTTTAAAAGTTTATTTCATATATGTTTTGCAGGAGAGAAAATCTACTGATTACACTTGTATTAACCTATTACTTTACCAAATTCCCTTATTAAACTCTACGTGTTATGCAAATAATCATAACTGTCACCAAATAGGGATAGTTGAGTATCTTTTTCTAATGTGTATGCCAATTATTTTATTATTGCAATTGCTAAAGCCTTCTAAAAAATGTTAAATAATTAGGCCGATACAGAGTATCTTGTTTCTGGTTTGAATTGATATGGTTTTAGTGTTTCATTATTTAGGATAATAGTTGCTGTAACATTTAGTCATCTATTTTTATTATATTCAATAAAGATAATATAGACTTCCATAGATTTTTTTTTTTTGAGACGGGAAGTCTCTGTGTCACCCAGGCTGGAGTGTGGTGGCGCAATCTCAGCTCACTGCAACCTCTGCCTCCCAGGTTCAGGCAATTCTCCTGCCTCAGCCTCCTCAGTAGCTGGGATTACAGGCATGCACCACCACATCCAGCTAATTTTTGTATTTTTAGTAGAGACAGGGTTTCACCATGTTGGCTAGGCTGGTCTTGAGCTCCTGACCTCAAGTGATCCTCCCACCTTGGCCTCCCACAGTGCTGGGATCACAGGCATGAGCCACCATGCCTTGCCCCTTCATAGATTTCTTAATAATCATTTTAGTATTCCTGGAAAAAGACCTTTCTGGTCAGAGTGTATCCTTTTGATACACTGTGGGTTGTATTTGACAATATATTTCTTTACAATTTTATTGGGGCATATTTTACGTGTCCTAATTTATCCATTCAAAGTACACAATTCAATGATTTGTAGTAAATTACCAAGTTGTGGAACCATTACCATAAAACAGTTTTGAAACATTTTCATCACCTCAATTAGATCCCACATGCCCATTTACTGTTGATCCTCATTCCCATCTTCTCTCCCAAGCACTAATCTGTCTCTACAGATTTGCTTTTGCTGGACATTTCATATACAGAGAATCATACAATATGGAGACTCTGGTGTCTTGCTTCTTTCCCTTAGCACACTTTTGAGACTTGTCCCTGCTGTAGCTCCTCGTATCAGTGCTTCATTTCTTTTTACTGTTGAGTAATATTCCACCATCGGGGTACTCCTCATTTTATCTATCCATTCACCAGTTGATGGATGCTTCTTAGGTTGCTTCCAGTTTCAAGCTATTATGAATAAAGCTGCCAAGAACGTTTATGTCCAAGTCTTTGTGTGGATATATTTCTCTTGGGTAATTATTACCTAGGAGTAGAACTGCTGGGGCATATGGCAAATTTATGTTTAACTTTTTAAGAAACAACCTAACTGTTTTCTAAAGTGGCAGCCCCGTCTTACATTCCCACCAGCACTGTACGAGGGTTCCTGTTTTTGCACATCCTCGCCAATTGTTAGTTTGTCTCTATTTTAGCCATTCGGGAAGGTGGAAAATGTGGTTTTATTTTGCATTTTCCTAGTGACTAATGATGTTGATGATATGTTCATGTTTTTATAGACGAAGAGAGAAACAGTCTCTAAAAAGAGTCACTATAAAAAAGTTGGTGGTATTTGGAAACTAGCACTGCATACGAAAGGCAAAAAAGCCAAATTAAGACCTAAGTCCCCGACCTACACCAGAATATACATTTTGGTATTAATTACTCCACATTTTTTTCTATGCACGCAAAACCTAGTTATACTTGTCACAGAAACCATTAGTGAATATGCATAAAGTTGGCTCATTAAGGTTAATTTTAATGTTTATGTTAATTCTATTATATACAATTACTTTAGTCCTTTCTAAATAAAAATAAATGTGAAAAAAATGTAGAAAGTAAACTCTTGGGAGACTTAATAGTAACTGCAATTTGAAGCAAAGTATATTTCCTAATATACAGATAGTATCTATAAATTATGAATAAGTAGGATTAATTTTATTTGAGTAAGAAAAGCCATTAATCTAAGTATCAGATTAATCAAATGGGAGGAACCAGGTATCATTTAGAAAATTATTCAGAAGACACTGAGAGAAAAACTACAAAATATATACTTTCATGAACTCTGCATTTTTGGTGAATACTAAATGCCTTCTCTGCTACAAAAGAAGAGCAAATTATTAAACTGAAAGCATTCATAATACAGGAATAAATTTTCATTTTGTAAATTTTTATCCTCACTTTCGTATTTGTTCACCTTATGACTATTGCTCTAAAACTGTCCCCTCAAACACAAATAGAATGTGAATAATTTATTAACTCTATAGATGTTAAAAAAATGTTTTGGAGGCTGGGCGAGGTGGCTCATGCCTATAATCCCAGCATATTGGGAGGCTTAGGCGGGAGGATTGCTTGAGGCCAGGAGTTTGAGAGAGCTTGGGCAACAAAGTGAGACGCTGTCTCTACAAAAAAAAAAAAAAAAAAAAAAAACTAGTCAGATGTGTGATGGGGCACAGTGACTGTAGTCTCAGCTACTCGAGAGGCTGAGGTGGGAGGATCACTTGAGCCCAGGAGTTTGAGGCTGCAGTGAGCTATGATTGTGCCACTACACTCAAGCCTGGGTGACAGAGTGAGACCCTGTCCAAAAAAAAAAAAAAGTTGTTTTAGTATCAAGACCTTGTAAACTAAAAGAATGCTAAAGGTAAATACTGACTCATTTTATATTTCTGACTTTCTGTAGAAAACAATACTAAACTGAGAGCAGAATAGTGGAGACTCAGATACTTATAAATTCAGGCTAAACATTGAAAACGTTCATAATTTAGGTGTCAAAATCTTTTAAATAATGTATATATGTCTGTATTTCTATTCACATGGTTTAAAATTTGATCAAATTGAAATGTTTGGAATGCTTTCAAAAGTAAAATAAAATCAATCACAGTACTTTGAGAAGCCGAGGTGGGAGGATCACTTGAGTCCAGTAGTTGAAGACCACTCAGGGCAACATGGTGAGACCCTTTCTCCACAAAAAAATTTAAAAAACCGGCTGGGCATGGTGGCTCACACCTGTAATTCCAGCACTTTGGGAGACCGAAGTGGGTGGATCTCTTGAGGTCAGGAGTTCAAGACTAGCCTGGCCAACATGGTAAAACCCTGTCTCTACTAAAAATACAAAAATTAGCCAGGCGTAGTGGCATGCGCCTGTAATCCCAGCTACTGAGAAGGCTGAGGTACGAGAATTGCTTGAACCCGGGAGATGGGAGGTTGCAGTGAGCAGAGATCGTGTCACTGCACTCCAGCCTGTGCAACAGAGTGAGACTCTGTCTTAAAAAAAAAAAAAAAAAAAATTAAAAACTGACTGGGCATGGTGGTGTTGGTGGTGTGTGTCTGTAGTTCCAGCTACTCAGGAGGCTGAGGTGGGAGGATCTCTTGGGCCTAGGAGGTTGAGGCTGCAGTGAGCCATGATCATACCACAGCAGTCCAGCCTGGGAAATAGAGTGAGACCCTGCCTCAAAATATAAAATAAAATGACCATAAATACTTCTCTTCTGGATTATTCAGAGTTTTTTAAAAAGCCATACAAAGGTTGGGCATGGTGGCTCAAGTTTGTAATCCCAGCATTTTGGGAGGCCGAGGTGGGTGGATCACCTGAGGTCAGGAGTTCAAGACCAGCCTGGCCAACATGGTGAAACCCCATCTCTACTAAAAATACAAAATTAGTTGGGGGTGGTGGCATGTGCCTGTTAATCCCAGCTACTCGGGAGGCTGAGGCAGGAGAATCTCTTGAACCCAGGAGGCAGAGGTTGCAGTGAGATGAGATTGTGCCACCGCACTCCAGCCTGGGCAAAAAGAGCAAAACTCAGTCTAAAAAAAAAAAAAAAAACCATACAAAAAGGATCATTTGGTAGAGGATTACAATCACAGGCATTATTTCCTATATTATTTTAAGAGTCTACTGTTGGAGACACGATGATAAAATTACTGTATGTAAGTTGAATCCCTTCTAGCTAGGGTAAGTGGAATGTTTCATATTAACAGAGTAGAATAAAATCTCATTTAGTTGGTATCATTGGAAAAGGAACTATTTCACAAAAATAAATTCTCTTGGTAAACAGACCTAATCCCAATTTTTAAAATATTAGTCATTTATTATTTGATTGGCATATGGCAATTTAATGATTGTTATATTTTCCTACCTTTTAAAATAAAACATACCGAATACAATCCAACATTTTCTTCATTATTTTAGTGTCTACTTCAAAACTTTATTACTTGATAACTCTAATTCTGCAATCTTGCCATTCACTTTTGGCAATGAAAAAAAATCAACCCTGACAATATCTCTAAATGTCACAATACTGCAGCACAGTATTATCACTGTAGGAAAGAAAAATGTTCTGAGAGGTAAAGTAACTTGTTTAAATTATACAAGGCAATGTGGCTTCCATCACCACTACTTGTGGTGGATAATGGTTCTCAAACTTGAGGATGCATCAAAGCCACTGGAAGACTTATTAAAACACCATTTGCCAGGCCCCAGCCCCACAGTTTCATATTCAGTAGGTGTGGGGTGAGGCCTAATCTGTATTTCCAAGAAGTTCCCCAGTAGTGCTGATCTTCCTGTTAGGGATCACACTTTAAGAACCACTGGGCTAATCCACTGGATTTTTCTTCCTTGTCTTCTCTGTAGCAAAGGATGATGATAAAACTTCGTCCTTTTTCAAGTGTGACATCAATTTTTAATAACACTCAGTTAATTAGCCAGGTTTGGGAACAACCACTATATACTGTGTTTCCTAGGGTTCCATCCCAAGCACTCTTGTGTACTCCTTGGCCAGTGTCATTCTCTTGCCTTTGGATTCAACAATCTAAGGAAGTAGTTTTCAAAAAAGTCTAAGGACTTCAGAGTCCTTAGACTCTAAAAGAATTAAAGGTGCCAAGAAGCTTTGGGAACATGATTCTTCAACTTCCTTCCCCATTCCCTGAATTAGCTCTTCATTCTATATTCCTTGTTTCAATTGCCGGCACCTTTTAATTAACCTAATTGCACAAATCAGAGTCATTCTTGATTCCTCTTTTTGTATACCTTCACCATTCAGTCATGAAGTTTTGTCAATTTGACCTCATAAATAGCTCTTGAGTCTGGTAATTTCTATCTATATCCACTGCCACAGTGTGCCTAATTCACTTGTCTGAATTCCAAAAGCCTTCCTAATTGGTTTTTGGCTTTGACCCCTCAGATCCATTCTCCACAATGCAGTTATAGTAATCTTTCTGAAATAAAATAAAATTTCTGAAATAAAATTCCTATTAAAATATCCTTTAGTGCTTCCTCATTGCTTTCAGGATAAAATTCAAACTCCTTGGCATAACTAGAGGTTCTCCATGTTCTGGTCCATTCCCCTCTTCAGCCTCATCTCTTTACTTTATCCCCTTTTATTTCTGCAGTCCAGCCATGCAAACTACCTTCAAATTCCAAAACACAATATATTTGCTCATGACTTCATGATGAAGTACAAGCTCCTATTTCTCCTGGTTATCATGCCCCCTCTTTTGGGTGGCTAATTCATAATGTGGATCAAATAACACTGTAAGAAATTCTCCCTGCCTTCTCGTCAAAACCCCCTCTTTTTGGTGGGCTACTTCTATTATTTTCAGAATGCCACATTCATGTATCTGTCACAGTCTTCATCTCATTATAATCACTGATTTATTTTTTTAATCTATTTCTTCCACCATCTGATACCATCTCCCTGCCACCCCCAGCAATTTTACACACAGTACACTCAAGAGGCAGAATGGTTTAGTGGACAAGGCACAGAACTGTACTTGGGTTCAAGTCCCACCTCTGCCTCTTATTAGCCCTATGATGTTAGCCAAATAGCAAAAACTAAATAAAACTACAATGCAGAAAGAGAGGAATTTATGCAATCACATTGTAATTTTGAACATATGGATTTACTTTTTTGGTCTGTCACTTCATTTGTACAACAGGTGTTCGAACAAATGATCTCCAAAATGCCTTTCAACCCTAAGAACTTATGGCTAGGATTATCAGCAGTATCCTGGATAAGAGATATTTTAAAGGTCTATGAGAGTCATGCAAATATAGTATCATAAATATCTGAAACTACAGAAGTGAAGTCAATTGTCAGGTTACTTAATTACACAGATTCTTCTCAAAGTCGAATCGGATTTTTCAAATTCGGTTTGATTTCATCTAGAAAGAATTTTTAAAAATCTGCTAAGTAGCAGTAAAAATGTAACTCCCTTTTAAAAATCTGATTTCAAGAGAAACATTTTATTATGTTACTTTTCCTGAATTATCATCAACACATGCAGTTTCAGTTCTATGTATTCATACAATATTCTATTTCTGAAGAGGAAGGTCTTAGAAAGCATCCATATTGATTACTGTCTCTGTAAAAAACAAACAGTAACTTTTGCTCACAACAGCAGGAAATAATACATTATGCTCAAGATAACTGCAAATATGAGAACATTTGTGACACTTTAAATTAAAAAAAGAAAAAGAAAGTCTGAACTTGAACAGTAACAGCTCATTCTTTTTCTGCTTTCAAGACCTCTTTCAGCATTCAAGGCCTTGAGATAGGCAGCAAAGTATGCAGGGAAAATTTTTATATATTCCAGTGAAAATTGTAAAAAGGGGAAAACTATGCATGTAAATGTTATGACTGATTGCCTTGAACACACCAACTAGATATCTCTTAATTCTGAAATAATATTTTTATTCATAGCACATTTTATATCATAGAGCATGTTTCTGATCCTTATAATAATCCTGTGAGGTAGTCAGGGAAGATGTTATCTCTACTTGACAGATGAAGAAACTCAGCTGTGTGAATATGCCAAGTCACAGAGTTTTAAAATGTCAGAGCTTTGACTATTAATATACCTTGTTAATCTATATATCACCAGAATCCAATATTTAGTGGATACTTAATAAACATGTGGCAAAGAAATTAATCTAAATTTTCTGGTTTCAAGAGTCCAGTGCTCCTTTTATTAGCAGTTTTGGTAATTCTCCTCCAATTGGTAGGATAGGTTTGTAGCTGAGTCAATTAAGTTACTAACCCAAAATCAAGAATGTTACTTAATTGAGGCCGGGCACAGCGGCTCATGCCTGTAATCCCAGCACTTTGGGACGCCAAGGCAGGCAGATCACTTGAAGTCAGGAGTTTGAGACCAGCCTGGCCAATATGGTGAAACCCTATCGCTACTAAAAATACAACAATTAGCCAGGCATGGTGGCATGCACCTGTAGTCCCAGCTACTTGAGAGGCTGAGGCAGGAGAATAACTTGAACTGGGGAGGCGGAGGTTGCAGTGACCTGAGATCATGCCACTGCACTCCAGCCTGGGCAACAAAGTGAGACTCCATCTCAAAAAAAAAAAAAAAAAAAAAAAAGAATGTTACTTAATTGAAGCAATTTAAGTAGCCAGATCTTCTGGACTGAAAGCATAAGCAGAATTTTGTTAGCTCACTATCTTTTCACCTACACGTTTCATAGGAATACATGTACAATTATTTTCTTTGATAGAATAGGCAAAGAAAAATTCCTATAAACAAGTGCCTATTAATTACCTGTGGTGCAAGAAGAGGTAGCCTAATATAAGCCAAAAGTTTACTTAGATCTTTCCGTCTCTGTTCCAAATCATGACGGACCCAAGTAAGAAGTGCATTCAATATTGTCTCCTCATTAGGAATGTTCATGTCATCACTAGCCAAGAGCTTTGCAATTTCGCTGGCTGGTAATAATACAAATTCCTGGTTTCTGATTACTTCCATGAAATGCTCCTAGAGGGAAGAAATAGCAGATAAACAATATTGTTCCTTCTGACCTTCACAATTTACTTAGAAGAAAGTAAAAGCTTTTTATATTAGCTACCAACACACAATTTATATTTTAGACCTTACAATGTAATACTTACTTGTTAGGAAAGAAACACAGCAGAGAAAAAAAAATTAAACTGCAATTATGTTGTTAAACATATGCAAGTAGAATTAAAGTGTTGTATCACTTATTACATTTAAAAAATGGACCTAGGACATTTAAGTGTTACTTCACTCAAGTTAGGAAATACTTTTGGCAATTCTTTTGAAGGAAGAGAGAAATAATGAATTAGACACTGAGATGTATGATACTCTAACACCAGAAGTGGGTGGATTTGCGGTTTGGATTTGTGGGTGCTGAAGAATTCGGCCAGCAGTGGAGCCAAATACCTAGAGAGCTTGGTTACTTCTCTTACTAAGAAATGGCCTCCAGAGTGGCTACATTTCCCAGAATCATTCTAGACCACAGATGTCTTCTCAGATCCTCCCTGGAATGAGTATTTGTTCTTAGAGTTATACGACAGTCAAATCGGTCTTCAAGATCGTTTTAATGATATTTATAAGATCATCTAGGATTTTGGGTCTGTTTTCGAATTTTTAATCTCTTTTAAGGGTCTGTTTTTAAATTTTTAATCTCTTCTAATATAATTTATTTACAAAGCTCTTTTGGTCTCACAGGAAAAAGGACCAAAGGTGGAAAAAAAAGTAGTGACCTATAATGCCCTGGGATCAGGACATTAGACTGAAGATGACTCAGTCCTGGCCTCACGTTAGAATCAAATCCTCTATAATTTGAAATGGGAAATAAAAATGCCCTTAGGTGTGAGATGACCTTGATAGGCTATTATGCTAAATAATCTGGAGAGAAGGAAAACATACCATCTGATTTGAAAGGTTTTAAGTCTTAATGAATGGATAGTTGACACGGTTATAAATGCAAATACTAGACACATATTGTCCCTTAATGTTTTTCTCATATTTCCTGATGTATTATCGCTGTCTCAGCATGCAGAGGTTTACTAAAGAAGCTAAAGCTGTTTAAATTAGAGCTAGAAATAAGGACTATCAATAACTATCTTCTATATTAAAATGAGAATTATATTTTCCATATAGCCTGTGGTAACCTGAGTGAGGTACTAATCTAAAATATATATTAGCTTGACATTCCTATCAGTAGAAGTTCTAAAGGGGAAAACCATTCATGAATAATTAATGAATTTCAATTGCTTCAATTTATCATGATTTGTTCAAGGATGTCTAAATGAGTCTATTTTAAATGATGGATTATCATTTTCAGAAACATATTTTAATAAAACTTCAGTGCTAGAATGGCTTCAAGCAAAAGGTTCTATTGAATTGCATACTGACATTATTTTGGTAACACATAGCAAGATCTACAAAAATGTTGAAACTCTCAACCCAGTTATCCCACTTGTAATTTAAACCTTAATAATAATTTGTAAGCAAAAAGCAAAGCTGACTACCTAACAATACTTCTCTGTATTATTATTTACAATGGTAAAAAATGGGAAATAGCCTATATGTTCAGTTATAGGGAGCTGTATATTAAATAAGCATTAAAAATTTCAAAGACAAAGATCACGTAGGTACATGGAAAGGTACTTATGATAAAATGTTATGTGAGATTGTGAAGAAACTGAAATAATAATATATATTTCCAATTCCTTAAACATATAAAGTATAATTGACAGATTTATACATTGGTATAACTATGCCATACTTTCAAATGGCATTAATTGGATTTCATCAGTAACAAAAGGACTATCACGTAAATATGCACTTGACGAATTATTTGTTGATATATCTATTTCAGAATAATGCCCATTCCATTCTAGTATAACTTACATTAAGTGAAAACTGAGTTTTTCAACAACTTATGAAATACTACTGAACTCAAGGTTGAATACAAAGTATTTTTCAAAAGTATTAATTTGGTTTTGAAGCAGCTACTTTAGCAGATCTCAATGTTTTTTATAAGTCTTCTAGATTGAGAAAGACAATTTTAAGTTTTAAAATTAAATGTTTTTATTTGTGTCATAAATTCAAAATGACATTAAATAGTTGTAATCATACAACCAGTCTTAAGACTTTTTTAGAGGTTACATGACTTGCTCCAGGTCATGTTCAGTGGCAGGCAGAATGAGAAAACAGGTTTCCAGATTCATGGATCCTGGAGAGGACTCCTCATTTTTTACCACTTGTATTCGTGCAGGATCAGTGAACATCCCCAGTCCACGCACCATTCACTGATTGAACTCACTGGCGTGGCATTATGCTTTACATTTTAAATCCATATTATAATATACACAACTATCATGTTACCAAACGCTTGCTAGCATTGTGACCTTTCCCCCTTTGGAATAGTTTTTAGGCAACTGAAATTACGGAGGGATTTATTTAAATTGAAGATTGAATTTTGCTATACATTTTCATTTGGTTCCCATAGCAACAATTCAAATCAGACAAGCTGCCTCTAAATTACTTATTGTTATTAGAATTCAATTTCATGTCTCTGTTAAAACTGAATAATGTTAAATAATGGCCTTGAGAAAAAAAATCTAACACAACTAATTGGCTATGAAAATAGCTTTAAAAACATCCAGCTAATTTAAATTTAATTTCTGTGTAAGCCTTAAAGCAGCAATCATGCCTCTACTGTAAACAACAGGAGTGACCTAAATGCATACAAATGTTTTCACCTGAATAAAACACCTTCCTAGAAAAAAGATGATTATTCAAATTCTAAACTGATTTTGAAGAAAAAAATCCAACTTTATTTATATTCATCTCATTCAAAAAAGTAGTTGAAACTGCAGGTGTATGGTTAAAATGAGAATCTATAAAGAGTGATAAAGACCGAGGGAAAAAAACATTTCAATGGACTTAATTTTTAAAATGTCAACATAATAGCATGCTAGGGCTATATATTATCATCCTGTTGTACAATCTCTTTATTTTTTCAGTTGAGACTCTGTGACTATCATAAAAAATTCCTGAGAAATGATTACACCACAGGGAGGAAAACCAGTCATTAAAGGCTGTGGTTTTGTGAGTGCTTTTGTTCCCTCCCATAATTTTCTATTGTTTTGGATAGAGGAAATCTATATAATGATGATGACAACAATGGAATGAGACTCACTGACTGGATATATGACATGCCAATCAATGTTCTGAGTGTTAAAATTCCATTAACTCATCTAATCCTCACACCAAGCTCATGAAGTAGACAGAATTGATCTTGCCAATAGTTTGTAAATACCTATTCTTACAATTTTTCCAAATCTCTATTTCTCTAATGAAAGATTCCTAAAGCACTCTCAATCTCTTCATATCCCAACTCAGTGGAACGACGGAGGAGAGGGTAGGCAAAATAACATTTCTTAAATGTTGATAAAATTGGTAATATCCATAACTGTACATATGTATGTGAATATTCACATTTTTTCTTCTCTTAGAAACTGTATTGCCCTAAACTGAAGCATTTAAAGCAACACTCTTCAGTCATTGCCCAGGTGTGAAGAACTAACTGCTACAGTGTGGCAACATTCCTCAAAAACCCATAACACCCTCCCTTGCCTGCACCCCTCTACTGTTAAGACCACAGAGGGTGGTCCTAACACTATGCTCTCAACATGCCCTTATTTTCTTACTATCCTAGGTCAATCCATTTTTTAACTTTTAAGTTCAGGGGTACATGTGAAGGTTTGTCATACAGGTACACTTGTATCATGGGGGTTTGTTGTACAGATTATTTCGTTTTATCATCCTTCAGGCTACTGAATCAGAACCTCTTCTATGATTTATTGAGCACATAATTTGCTATAATGAATAAAAACATCATTCTACATGGCTGTAAATAGTTTATACATAGTCAGATTTATCCTTAACAAAAAGCCTCCCATTTGTCCTCTACCAATATGCTGCAACCTCTGTCACCAATTTCTATCAGTGAATATGTGAACAATCCTGAAATTCATCCATGTGCAGCAAAGTAAAATGTTTGGGGAGAGTCCTATTTTAAAAAGCAGCAAATCTGAAAATCTTAATGGAACAGTCCTAGGCCACTGTTCTGCTTCCCAGTGACTGCAGTAACTTAGGGCTTGATTCAGATACCCACGAGAAGTATTACTTGGTGCTTTCCCATTATAACTCAATGAAAATATGACACACTAGGCAATGAAGCTCAATCGCAAGACACGTGGCAGAGCCATGGGAAAACAGTAACATGCAGATAAGCCTGCAACAATAAGAAATATGCATATGGAGGATCGACTTTCTCACCTTCAAAAAATACATACCATAGTATAATTGTGAGCCACTTTATGCAAATCTGTACAACCTTGGGCATCAGCAAAAGAACGAATTCCAAGACAGTTGGATGGATGAAGCTGTTTCATTAAAAACTTACAGCATGCTTCTACAACCTGTGAAAGCTGAAGAAGGCAAGCTGTAGATAACAGGCACTCAATATTATCTTCTTTTAATTCAAGGCGGCCTTAATGATAAAAAGAAATTCCATTAGCCATGGAACTACATTAACCTTATTTTATAAAATAATTGATGTTAACAGTAGTGGTTCCATATAAGAGCTCATTACATGCATTACAGACCTACATGGTTTAAGACATCCCAAAAAGAAAAGAAGGACTAAATGGGGAAAAAATTATTAGCTCCTTGAGACATCTACTAAAATAAAAACTAATGGCTTATTTTCAGAATTTTAAAATGATACGTTAGTAACTTATGTCTACTATATACCTGTATAACTCTCAATTTTTTTTTTTTTTTGAGACACGGTCTTGTTCTATTGCCCAGGCTGGAGTGCAGTGGTGTAACCAATGGCTCACTGCAGCATCGAACTCCTGGGCTCAAGCGATCATCCGTCCTGCCTTGGCTTCCCGAAGTGCTGGGATTTACAGGCATAAGCCACTGCACCTGGCCAACTCTCAAATTTTAAATGCAAAAATTTGACACTATGTAATTCATTTAATTTTTATATTAACATTTTAAAGGGCCATTCAAAAACTTAATTATGATAACCATTTTAAAGGTTTTAGTATGGAAATTTTAATTCATCACCAGGTTAAATACAAAGGGTAGTAATGACAATAGCAGAACTAACTGTTAGCTATGGCATGCTTTCTAAAAACAGAAATCTGAAATCTAATAATACAACATAAATCTAAGAGGTTTTAATTTACATTTTCAGACTCGTTACCTGTATAAGCATACTGGATCAAGGACCACAACGAATTTGGTTCTACACCTTCCATTTTTATTTCTTCTTGTCTTGCCTCTCTGACATCATTAGTAAACATGGCAGCAAAATAGTCTGAGACAGAGGAGAGCACCAATCTGTGAACACATTAGGAAAAAAAAAATCAATGACCACATTCGAGTTGATGTTCATTAATAAATGCTGCTGCTTCTTTTTTATTTGTTACTCACAGTGCATGGTACTAGGAAATGCATTTTAAGCTTGACAAATTGCTTTATGCTCTAGTTCCTTCCTTTGAATAATAAATTACCATTACCAAATTTTCTGCTGAGGTGAATGCTTTACCACTTCACTACTCAAATAATGCTATATGACATCCAGAAAACAAGCTATAAGCCCATAGCATCAAATCAACTATATAAAGGAAAAAATTTAAAAGTTATTGTTTATCATTTTTGAAAATAAACTAAGCCATTTTTAAAAAAATTTAATTATAGAAGTAGTGAATATATGGGAGACATTTGAAAATGGTTTTTGCTAGCAAGTTTTAAACTTTTATAATATTCTATTATTATCTTAGTCTGCATTTTGTTTTAAAATTATGTTGTAATAACACTATAAAACTATATTTTTTATAATTATAAAATATATTAGCTATGTCTCTAAGTTTTTAATGGTCATATATAATACATTTAAATTATAATTTTTTTTTTTTTGAGACAGTCTCATTCTGTTTCCTAGGCTGGCGTGCCATGCTATGATCTCGGCTCACTGCAACCTCTGCTTCCCAGGTTCAAGCAATTCTCCTGCCTCAGCCTCCTGAGTAGCTGGGATTACAGACGTGACTACCATGTCCAGCTAATTTTTTTATTTTTAGTAGAGATGGAGTTTCGCCATGATGGCCAGGTTGGTCTTGAACTCCTGGCCTTAAGTAATCAGCCCACCTGAGCCTCCCAAAGAGCTAGGATTACAGGAGTGAGTCACAGCACCTGGCCGTATTTTTGAAACAGGCATTTTTTCACTGGATAATGTCTTGAAGATATTTCCATGTCAACACACTTAAATAGATTTTAAATAAACATTTTCATTTTTAAAAGTAATAAAAATTATGATACAGATAATCATTGGCTCCCTCTCTAATTCCATTTTCTTACCTCCCCAGGAGTGGCACTGCTGAGCCATTAGATTTGCCAAAGTAAGGTACCAATTTAGACCCCACCAGCATTGTATAAGACTAACATTTTCCCCATAATATTATCAGATGTTAAAATTTTTGGCCATAAAGTGTTAAATGATATCTCATTGTTGTTTCAATTTTCATTTATCTGATTGCTAGTGAGGTTTTTCAAATGTTTATTGGCCATTGGTTGCTTCTTCAGAAAACTGCCCATTCATTCATTCATTCATTCATTTAATGAACAAATACTGATGTGTGTCCAGTAAATACTGGGTACTGTTCTAGATACTTGAGATACATTGGGTACAAAATAAGACAAAAGATCCCTTCTCTTATGGAGTCTTACATTTAGAGGGTAGGGAGACAATGATCAGTAGAAGTAAATTCTGTAGTACATTAAGAGGTGATAAGTGCTAAGGGGAAAAAAAGTTGGGCAAAGGCAAATGGGGAAAGGGTGGTAAGTTTAAATAGGTGGTCTCACCGGAAAGTGACACGGGCAAAGATGTGAAGGAGGTTTAGGATTTGGTCATGCAGGTATCTGGAAATAGCCTTCAGGCAGAAGAAATAGTGCAAAATTCCAAAGGTAGGAGCAGCATGCCTGGCACATGCAAGGAACTACAAGAGGTTCTGAGTGGCTGATGCTGACTGAACAAGACAGAGACCAATAGGACAATACTAGAGAGATACGGCAGGCTGGATCGTGTACGCCATTGCATGTACTTTCCCTTTCACACTCAGTGACATGAGGAGTCAATGAAAGATTTGATCAAAGAAATGACTGAATCTGAGTTCCACTTTAAAGGATCACTCAGGTAGCTACGTTAAAACAGAATGTAGGGGCAAAGAGTGGAGGCAGGGAGACCAGTTGGGAGGCTTTTGCATCAGTCATCTAAGTGAGATGTTGATGGCTCACACAAGCATGGCAGGTAAGGTAATGAATGAGTTCAGTTTTGGAAATACAGAATTTGAGGTGCCTCTATGAAATTCGGGTTGAAATAGCTTTTCTAACAAACCCACGTTCATAACCTGGACTTTCTGTCACAGTACATAGTAGTATCTCAATAAATGTATGCTAATTGAGTCACTGAAAATTTTAATACCAAGCCAATTCCTCCTAATGATTTTATTTCCACTTTGGAAGGTTTTTTTATTTTTTATTTTTTATTTCAGTAGGTTTTGGGGCAATGGGTGGTGTTTTGTTACATGAATAAGTTCTTTAGTGGTAATTTCTGAGATTTTGGTGCACCCATCCTCCAAGCAGAGTACACTGTACCCAATGTGTAGTCTTTTATCCCTTACTCCCTTCCCACCCTTTCCCCCAAGTCCCCAAAGTCCATTGTATCATTCTTTTTTGCTGGGGGTGAAGACAGAGTCTCACTCTGTCTCCACGCCCAGGCTGGAGTGCAGTGGCATGATCTTGGCTCATTGCAACCTCTGCCTCCCAGGATCAAGCAATACTCATGATTCAGCCTCCCAAGTGGCTGGGACTACAGGTTCACGCCACCACGCCTGGCTAGTTTTTGTATTTTTAGTAGAGATGGGGCTTTGCCATGTTGGCCAGGCTGGTCTGGAACTCCTGGCCTCAAGTGATCCACCCACCTCGGCCTTCCAAAGCGCTAGGATTACAGGTCCTGAGCCTACCAAGCCTGGCCTATTGTATCATTCTTTTTTTTTTTTGAGACAGGGTCTTACTCTGTCACCCAGGCTGGAGTGCAGTGGCGTGATCTCGGTTCACTGCAACCTCTGCTGCCTGGGTTCAAGCAATTCTCCTGCTTCAGCCTCCCGAGGAGCTGGGATTACAGGTACCTGCCACCACACCGGGCTAATTTTTGTATTTTTAGTAAAGATGGTGTTTCACCATCTTGGTCAGGCTGGTCTTGAACTTCTGACCTCGTGATCCACCTGCCTCAGCCTCCCAAAGTGCTGGATTACAGGTGTGAGCCATCGCGCCTGGCCTCATTGTATCATTCTTATGCCTTTGCATCCTCATAGCTTAGCTCCCACTTATGAGAGAGAACATATGATGTTTGGTTTTCCATTCTTGAGTTACTTCACTTAGAGTAAGTCTCCAGTTCCATCCAGGTTGCTGAGAATCCCATTATTTCATTCCTTTTTATAGGTGAGTAGTATTCCATGATATATGTATACACCACATTTTCTTTATCCACCTGTTGATTGATGGGCATTTGGGCTGGTTCTATAATTTTGCAATTGAAAATTGTGGTGCTATAAACTTGTGTGCAAACATCTTTTTCATATAATGACTTCTTTTCCTCTGAATTGATAGTTAGTAGTGGGATTGCTGGATCAAATGGTAGATCTACTTTTAGTTTTTTTGTTTGTTTGTTTTTTGTTTTTTTTTTTTTTTACCTTTAGTTCTTTAAGGAATATCCACACTGTTTTCTGTAGTGTTTGCACTAGTTTGCATTCCTGCCAACAGTGTAAAAGTGTCCCCTTTTCACCAATATCTATGCCAACATTGATTATTTTTCGATTTTATGATTGTGGCCATTCTTGCAAGAGTAAGGTGGTATTGCCTTGTGGTTCTGACTTGCATCTCCCTGATCATTAGTGATGTTAAACATGTTTTCTTTTTTTTTTGAGACGGAGTCTTGCTCTGTCACCCAGGCTGGAGTGCAGTGGCGCGATCTTGGCTCACTGCAAGCTCTGCCTCCTGGGTTCACACCATTCTCCTGCCTCAGCCTCCCGAGTAGCTGGGACTACAAGTGCCTGCCACCATGCCCGGCTAATTTTTTTTTGTTATTTTTAGTAGAGACGGGGTTTCACTGTGTTAGCCAGGATGGTCTCAATCTCCTGACCTCGTGATCTGCCTGCCTCAGCCTCCTAAAGTGCTGGGATTACAGGCATGAGCCACCGCGCCCGGCCAAATATGTTTTCATATGCTTGTTGGCCATTTGTAGATCTTCTTTTGAGAACTATCTATTCATGTCCTTAGCCCACTTTTTGATGGGACTGTTTTTTTTTTTCTGATTTATTTGAGTTTTTTGGTAGATTCTGGATATTAGTCCTTTGTCGGATGTACAGATTGTGAATATTTTCTCCCTCTCTGTGGGTTGTCTGTTAACTTACAGACATTCTTTCTTTTGCTGTGCAGAAGCTTTTTAGTTTAATTAAGTCCCATCTATTTATCTTTGTTTTTGTTGCATTTGCTTTTGGGTTATTGGTCATGAAGTCTTTGCCTAAGCCAATGTCTAGAAGGCTTTTTCCGATGTTATCTCTCTTTGGAAGGTTTTTAAAAAAAACCTTTGGGACACAGTGTCAATTAGTTTTGATGGGCATCCAAAAAAAAAAAAAAAAACCTTTGAGAATCATAGTGGTGATTAACAATGAACAACTGAATACAGAATTATAAAAAAATGAATTATTCTTTATTAAATGGCTCTTTTCCTTTTCTTACTTCAAGAAATAATATGTAATTTGTAGGAAAGGCTTTTTTTCCCTAGCACTGCTTTTCATACTTCTTGGAAATCAGCAAACAGAAGTTGGGATAGATATGGCTATTTTAAAAACTCTTAAGAGTTTTTGCTAGTCCACTTCACCAGCTTTTCTTCTTCTAAATATCCACAAACTTTAATTGCCACTGAGTTTACTTAAAGTATTTAATAGGTAGAATATGGCATAAAAGCTTCTTATAGTAGCTGCAATCTACACCGAACAATACCAACTTATATGAGGCTAGTATGTTTTGTTATTGTGCTTCTACAGCAGGAAAATGACCCTTTTAGGATCACCAAATGTGTAATAATTTCATATGCACCGTTTTCTTGATGGAAATTCCATGAACTACACCCCTTCCCAAAAACATAATAGTCAATTGAAGTAGGTTACCTCAATATACATATCTAAATTACCGAGGAAATATTTCACACATACAGAAATATAGAAAACAACTACCTGTGAGCTGGAATTCTGCGATCACCAGCGACTAAAATTACATCACACAACTGTTTATGTCTCAAATAGTTTTCCATTTTTTTAAATGTTTGCTCGGCATGATTAAGGGCTTGGAAAAATTCATCTGATGTACATGGCTCCATAGTATGACAGGATGATAATGTCTGACTACTATTGGAAGTCCTGAAAAGAAAAAAAAACACACATTTTGAAATATCACTATCACATTAAAAAGATCTTTCCTATTAAGTCTTTTGAAAGCCTTCAAATGTAATAGAAGAAATCAATGCTACCTATCAATATTAATGTATAATCATTCATCATTTTAGTCTCTTAAAAATCAATGATGCCTTAAGTCATATGATTCTTGTAAACACTGTAAGTGAATATAAACTGTTAATTAATTGCTACATATATTCTTTGTAGTATCTTTTTGTGAGGTCTTTTCTCTGTTAAAGCCAATGTCTCTGCTGAAAAAGAGCTAAGCTATATTCATATTGATAACCACATCTCCTAACGTTATATTTAAGGATATAAGAGATCATTCATCTTTGAAGGCAGAAAGGCAATTAAATTATTTTGGAAATACAAATTCAAGTCAAGTTCATTAAAAAATATATTGTCATAAAAACAGTGTTATAAATAATTATTTTGGTTCTCTGTCCAGTCCTCAAAAGCCCAGGTAATCTATAACTTATATTACAGGTTAAAGGAATTTGATAGCCTAATACAGCTGTCTAAAAAATTATTTGAAATTTCTAAATTATAATTTGAAGAGTAGGCATTCTGATTTCTTTCTTTTTTTTTTTTTTGTTTGAGACGGAATTTCGCTCTTGTTGCCCAGGCTGGAGTGCAATGGCGCGATCTCGTCTCACCACAACCTCCGCCTACTGAGTTCAAACAATTGTCCTGCCTCAGCCTCCTAAGTAGCTGAGATTACAGGCTTGCACCACCACGCCCAGCTACTTTTGTATTTTTAGTAGAGATGGGGTTTCTCTATGTTGGTCAGGCTGGTCTCGAACTCCTGACCTCAGGAGATCTGCCCACCTCAGCCTCCCAAAGTGCTAGGGTTACAGGTGTGAGCCACCGCACCCACCTGTATGTTCTGTTTTCATATGATTTACTGATAAAAACTGTGAAAAAGTGAAAAGGTTAGGACTAAGAATGAAGTCCTGAGTCCAGTTCTTTCCTCCTCACCCTCACACCCAGTTCTCCTCTCCAGGATCACTTAAATC
The DNA here is from genome assembly GCF_000001405.40 of Homo sapiens. Classification (NCBI taxonomy): domain Eukaryota; kingdom Metazoa; phylum Chordata; class Mammalia; order Primates; family Hominidae; genus Homo; species Homo sapiens. The sequence continues at coordinate 39,074,912 of NC_000004.12, read as the reverse complement.
AAGTAATCAAAGTCGGTTGGTTATGCAATTAACTATAAAACCAGTGACTGTGCCATAACTTAGTTCTCATTTCTCATCAGATCTTCTTTTAAGGATATGATGGTTGTGACATATGCTTTGTTGAATCAAGCCCCACTATATCTTAAGAGAATCTTGTTAATATAATAACCTTATCAAAAAAGAAAAAAGTCACCATATTTCTTACTTTTAAAGTAAAGGAACTTAAGCTAAGGAGATTAAGTGCCTTGCCAAGAGTCAGAGTTCATTCATGGCAGAGATAGGGCTATCACAGAAACTGCTATGTGTTCACCAAAATATTCTTTTTTCCGCCTGAGAATATAGCTAGACTATATTTCCCAGCCTCTCTTGCAAATAGATGTGTTCTTATGGAAATGAACTATTACATCACACAGTTCACCTTAAAGTGGCTAAGAACAGGTATGGCTTTTCCATATTTTCTTTCTCTATACACGGGTTGAAGGGAGAGGATTGAAGACTTAGAAAAAGGAAGAAGTAAAATACATAAAAGATAACTCAAGCAAGAACACTCACATTGAACTAAGATTTATCTGTTTTAGAAGTTAACAGTGCCTTAACTGATAAATATTCCTTCCTAAATCCTCCTAGTCCAATGTATTTTCAGTACCATACAAACATGGGCATCAGATAAATGCCCTTGGAGGATAATTGTCAATAATGACAACAGAAGTCAAATGTATATTATCTAGAAAGGATGTGTTGTACACTATGAATATTACTGGTGTAATGACTTGGAAAATCCAAGTCAAGTAATACTCAACTTCACATTTAAGATCATTATTATAAAAATGGGTTGAATAGTATGTAATTATATATGCTTATACAAATAAATGAGAATTAGAAACTATTTTAAAATTTAGGAGACAGGATAACATAAGCAAAAAAATAATGGTGGTTTTGATGAATAATAATTTGAAGATTTCGCAGGTACTATAATCCCAGCACTTCGGGAGGCCGAGGAGGGTAGATCATGAGGTCAGGAGATTGAGTCCATCCTGGCTAATATGGTGAAACCCCGTCTCTACTAAAAATACAAAAAAAAAAATAAAAATAAAAAAAAAATTAGCTGGGCGTGGTGGCACACGCCTGTAGTCCCAGCTACTTGGGAGGCTGAGGCAGGAGAATCGTTTGAACCAAGGAGGCAGAGGTTACGGTGAGCTGAGATCACACCACTGTACTCCAGCCTGGGCGACAGAGTGAGACTCCATCTCAAAAATAAATAAATAAATAAAAATAATAATAACTTGAAGATTTAAAATATTTTTTGATAAAGTTTTATACTGTTAAAATATTGACAAATGATTATAAGAGCATTAGTGACCTGAGGGGAAAAATTATAATATCTAATTTTTATAAGCCATAAATTCAAGAACAAGTAAATAAATCAAGTACGTCTTTCTTAAGACTCCTATATTTTGTATCACATTTCTTGTACTTCATATCAAACTACAAGTGATGATTAAACAAATAAATTAGTTGAATGTTTGAGTGATGAACTGCCATCATCTAACACAGATGCTAATCAATGTTAAGTTCTGAAAGAACAACAGAACTTTGTAATACTATCATCACTGTTATTATAGGCTACTTCTGATGTTGGCATATGCCCAGTTAATAATTTTCTTGTCAAGAACTTTCAGGGTATTTTGGTTCAGATGCTGAAACAAGTCAGGACAACCCAGGGAGCATTTCAGTCGCAGTGTTCAAGGCCTCATACCCTGAGACTGATTCAATAGGTCGGAGGCGAGATTTGAACACCATATTTTAAAAATAATTTTTTAAATATTATTGACAAATAACAATTATATATATTTATAGGGTATAATGTGATGTTTTGATACATGTATATGTAGTGAACTGCTCAAATCAGGCTAATTAACAAATTCATTAACTCTAATATTTATCAATTCTTTGTGGTGAAAAACATTTAGAGCCCTCTCTTTTAGCTATTTAAAGCCCTCTCTTTTAGCTATTAACCATAGTCACCTTCCTGTGCAATGGCACACGAGAACTTGTTCCTCCTAATTGTAACTTTGTGCACACTGACCCAAGTCTCTCTTTGGCACTCCCCATCCTCAGCCTCTGGTAAGCACCTCTGGTAAGACTTCCTTACTCTTTTTGTTCCTATTATATCTTTTGTTTAGCATATAATAGGAAAAGAGAATTAAGGAGGTATTGGTGAGCGATGAAGCACATTTTAGGAAGTTTCTAGAGCTGTGCTGTCCAATACAGTAGCCACTAGCCCCATGAGGCTATTTTAATTTAAATAAAAATTTTAAATTCAGTTCTTTAGTTGCACTAGTCGTATTTCAAGTGTTCAGTATTCTCTTGGGGCTAGTGGCTACCAAATTGGACAGTACAGATATGGAACATTTCCATCAATGCTGAAAGTTCCATTGTGCAGTGCTGGTCTAGAGTCCTATAGACCTCGGTTCAACTCTCACTCTGTCACTCACTATGTATAATTCTGGACAAGTTATTTAACTTCTCTAAGGCTTACTTTCTTTAACAGCAAAACAGAAATAATACATAGTGCTGTCTTTTAGGGGATCCCTCAAGAGAAGATTATTAAACGATCTAATGCATGCACAGCCCTAGTGCAGATTAGTACACAATCAAGGAAAGCTATTGTTAGTAGAACCCTGCTTTTCAGTGGCCAATGGGAAGGCCTGTAATTACAGTCTTTTGTCTTTATATAATGTTGTTTGGATGGTTGTCTTTTTTAAAAAATGATCCCTGGCATCATCATTTTTTATAACTAAATTTCATACTTCTTATTTAAAATGGCTTTTAGTAAACTCAGTAGACATCCTAACCCACAACACAAATATCTGGGAATAGGCCATTCCTGAAGCATTTAAAATATATTTCTCTCTGATTTCTACTTGATCTTTTACATAACAACAGAGGAAATACATCTAACATCTCTGCTTAGTTTTGCTTATATGATACCACTAAATCATATTTCAGAAAATTACATAAGATCATTCAAATCTTTTATATTAGACTTTCACTGTAATGAATACATTGCTGAATATTTCTAGTCTACAGGGAAACATTTAATTTGTAGCTTATGTCTCTCTCTGCAGTAGGCAATGAATTTTAAAGTCAGAAAAATGCCTAAACATAGAAAAGAGGCAAGTATCAAATAGAAACAAGTCACCAACTATTCACAGAGCAACTATTAATGTTGCAGCACTGCACCAGTTAGAAACTGGGGAAATGCTAAGAAATATATTATTCCCTAGTGAAGGGATTTGGAATTTGAAGAGTCAAGCTCCATATCTGGAAAAAGTGAAATAGCAACTCTAACCCTTGTAATTCCCCAGATTTTAAATGTGCTTACATGTACATGTGCTCACACAATACACACCATGGCCAATACACCTTTTTATTGTAAACTATTTAGATCCCTTTACTTTTATCGCCAGAATTTACACTAGAATTTCTTAATGGAGTAATTTTTCAAAAGAAGTTTTACAAATTAATTTATAAAAGTTATACTGTCTATGAGTAGGAAAAAAAGCTCTTCCGAAACTCTAAATAGTCTGGCTCACTCTCTAGGTAAGTGATTTACTCCTAGTTTGTGGCATTCAGAATTCATGTTTTTGCAGAAGTGTGCTTACTATATTATGAATCTTTTGTCATCTTCTACAAATATTCAAAACTACAAGTTGCTAGGTATAGGCTAGCAGTCTCTAAATTTGATACATATCCTTTTCAGTATACTTTTAAGCATGTGCCCAAATTTACTAATTTATAAAAGATATAGACACCATTGTACAATTTCTATATAATATACAGACAAAAACAGAAATTTAAAAGATAAAATATAAATAGAAGCTTTTATATATATTTTTAACCATTACTCCAATTGATCACCTTGTGCATCTTTAATTGGAGTATAATTGCTACTGGAATACAGAAAAGGGGAAGATCAGTATGGGCTAGTGTTTAAAAAGTCAACAAGCAGTAGGTGAGAATTGAAATGTCTTGACATTTATATGGGTGAGGAAGAAGAGGAGACAAGGCAATTGTGTAAAGAGAAATAATAAGAGCTAAGGAAAATGGATGTCTTCACCCTTTCCCTCCTCAAGAGAAATATATTTTGATTTGGAAATTTATAGGGCGTTTTTCCCCTGGGATAGTGCCAGAATATCTGTGGTGAAGAGAGTTAAATGCTGTTTATAAGAATCCAATTTTCTTAAATAATAACCAGTATGAAGGGGAAGGGCAAATGGACATTTTTATACAATGCTGGTGAGAATTAAAATAGAAATGTTCCTGAAATGACTTTGAAAATACAAATCAAAACCCCTCAAATGTGAAAACCCCTTGGGATTTTGTCCAAAGGAAAGAATCATCAATAGGTACAGAGATCTAGCTACAGGGTTTATCACAGGTTGTTTCTAATAGAGAAATACCGGAAACAATCTACATTCAAAAAAATAGAATACTGGTCAAATAAACAAAAAGACAATCCATACATGGAAGAATGATGGAGCCATTTGAAAAGATATAGAATATTTAATGGCCTGGAGAACTGTGTAGTGGACATTGTTTTTTCCTATCCAGCATTCCTTCTTACGGTAATAAAACCCACCTCTACTTTTTGGGAAACCACACATTCCCTGCCTTAGTCTACAGGGAATGGTCAGAGGTGTAGAAGCCAATGAGGCCTGGCCAATAAGAGTATTGTAGCTCCTGGCAATAACAGTTGGTTCACGTGGGCACAGGACCCAAACAAGACCAATCAGAGTCAATTTCATGATGTTTGATCACACTCTTGGAAAAGTGTCACTTTCTTTCCATTGAGCTTGCTAAGCTGACAAAAAGTAAACTTGGAGCTGTTAATGGCCTTTCCGCTACTGCACTGAGAGACTACCTGAGATAATGCCATCACAAAGGAAAACAGAATTTAGAAATGGAGAAAAACAGATTATTGGTGTTATTTGATCATTTGGATCCAGCTATGTCTAAAGCTAGACTCTATCCTTGGACTTTTTATTTATGTGAACCGAAAATTTCTAGTTTTTGTTTAAGTCAGTTTGATTTGGGCTTCTGTCATTTTCAACCACGAGTCCTAATTTAAAAACTTACATTAGGGCAAAAAAAAGCAGGCTACAAAACAATATGTACAATAAGATTGAGATTTTTATTTTAAAAACACATTATACACGTATAGAAAATATACCAGAAGGACACTTCCCCAAATTAACAGTTGGTATTTTGAGGTGGCTAGGTAGTTGATGATTTTTACTTTTTTCATTTTTACTTATCTCTATTTTCTGATGGCTCTATGGTTTATATATATATATATATATATATATATATATATGGTAAAAAAGTATAAAAATAGTATAAATATGTATGTGTGTGTGTGTGTGTGTGTGTGTGTGTATATATATATATATATATATATATATATATATATATATATATAAAATGTTAATAGGGAAAAATTCACTTAAAAATTAGATCCAAAGAACTCTGAAGAGTTCTATTCAGCCATCTTCACTTCCTGCACTCTGTTGATTATAACCCAAGATCCATTCTTTATATCTACCACAGTAAATGACTTTTAGCTGGAGACATGGCTACCTAGGGTAAGACTGTATTTCTGAGCCTCCTTTGTAACCAGTTGTGGCCATGTGACCAATGAATATGTGCAGAACTGATATGTGCAACTTGTGTCGCTTGCTTAATGTTTTCTCTTCCTCTCTTCGGTCCTTCCTACAGGTTGGCATGCTGAGGGACAGCTGAGTAAGCTTCAATCATGGAGAAAAGATAATATCCTACAGGAAGGAGAAACAATATAACAGGAACCTGGGTCTCTGAATGAACTTGTGAAGCAGAGCTACCTATCCGCCCTGGGCCACTTGCCCACCTATGAGGTGATAGAAAAACAAACTTCCATCTAATTTAAGCCACTGTGTTTCTGAATCTCTTTGTTATATCATTTTAGCCTATGCCTTACTAATATACTTCCTAAAGTTAAATGAGCAAGTTATGTAGTTACGTAGTTAACTATGAGGTGTGTGTATGTACATACCATTGTTTTCATGCCTAATATATCTGATTCTAAACACTTAAAACTTCACTCTCTAGTTCCAAGTGAAACACAGGTAAAATAAAATGTGAGCAATAAATGGCATAAAGACAGGTTTTCTGCTTAAACAATTTGGAGTTTAAAAGGTCAACTGTGTAACTGTAGGACCTATCCTTTTCGTATGCCAATTCTTCAGCCTTCCCAGCAGTTCTGGGAACTATTATGATTCAATAACTTCCTATTTCTGTTTAAATCATCCAGTCAACTTCAGTTGCTTAAAACTAAGAACTTTGATGGATGCAGCATACAGATAGCCTTCAGAGGGTTCATGAACTCCTTGAACCCTATATGAAATATTTCACACACACACACACACACACACACACAGTGTTTTCTGGGGAGAGGTTACATAGCTTATGTCACATTCTCAATGGAGTCCATGATAAGATGTGGGCATATATGTGAGAGGGGAGACAATGCAATATTATCCTTTCCAGATACAAGTTCATTATAAACTTCTTCTGCTATCCCTGGAAACACATTTTTTTTTTCATTAGAGGAATTTAATTTAAAACTGAACCAGAATTAATAGACTAGATCAAATAATAAGATGCAGAGACAACATAAAGAAGGTCAAGAAAAAGGAGAATGCCCATGAGGAGTGGTGATATTATGCAGATAACCTCTTGTTGGGAGGGGAGGAGGACCTATGCCTTCAGGATGAGTTGAAGAGTAGCAAATCAACTGACCAAAAAATAAGAGTTTGGGCTATCTGCAGTGGAAAGACAGAGAGGCAAGCAACCAGTAAGATGGGGTAGAAGACTGTGGATAAGGAGTTATGGGGCCAGGTGTGGTGGCTCATGCTTGTAATCCTAGCACTTTGGGAGGCCGAGGTGGACAGATCACTTGAGCTCAGGAGTTTGAGACCAGCCTGGCCAACGCGGTGAAACCCCATCTCTACTAAAAATACAGAAAAATTAGCTAGGCATGGTGGTACGTGCTTGTAATCCCAGCTACTCTGGGGGCTGAGGCAGGAGAATCGCTTGAACCCAGGAGGCAAAGACTGCAGTGACCCAAGATCCCGCCACTGCATTCCAGTCTAGCCTGGGTGACAGAGTGAGACTTTGTCTCACTAAAAAAAAAAAAAAAAGAGTTATGGGTGAGTCAAGAGATTATACTTGTAATGTAGCCAAGCTTGGCATTCTCAAGAACTAAGAGAAGAGAATTAACTGAAGAAAGAAGGTGAAACTAGTTAGAATGAATAATTAGCTATATGCTACAGCTGAACTCTGTGATTAGTCACAAGTATATAGGCAATATATTAATAGTACAGTGTTTGTTAAGAGCATGAAATCTACAACTTAATTTGAGTTCAAAAATGCAACCATTTCCAAGTGATCAAGGTCACTACCAACAGTGGTAAGACAGATTAATGGTGTGTATCTTTGATATGATGTGAAAAAAATGGCACTTTATCTCTGTGATATTCCTCCCCAAAGCCCATAACCTCAGTCTAATTATGGGAAAACAAATCTCAACTGAGTAAGGCATTCTACAAAACACCTGATTAGTACTCCCAAAACTGCCAAGGTCATCAAAAGCAAGTAAAATCTAGGAAACTGTCACAGCCAAGAGGAGGCTAAGGAGACATAATGATTTAATGTAATGCGATATCTTGGATAGGATCCTCGAACAGAAAAAGGGCATTAGGTAAGAAACTAAAGAAATGTGAATAAAGTATGGACTTTAGTTAATAATAATGTATCACCACTGGTTCATTACTATAACCCATGCACCATATTAATGTGAGATATAAATAACAGGGGAACCTGGGTATGGGGTATATAGGAACTTAGTGTATCATCTTTGTAATTTTCCTGTAAATGTAAAATGGTTCTAAAAAAATAAAGTTTCTTTTTAAAAAATGCAGCTATTTTACTTACTAACCTTGAGCAAGTTAGCTTTTCTGTGTCTCACTTGACTCATCTATAAAATTAGAATTAGGTTGATAATAGCAGCAACCTAACTCAAGAATTTGTTGTGAAGACTAAATGAGTTAATATAGTAAAGTGCTTAGAACAGTGCCTCACAGTTAGGAAGCACTGCTTAGTATCAGCAATGATTATTTTTTAACACAGATGCTCCTTAACTTATGATGGTGTTGTGTCTGGATAAACCCATCAAAAATAGAAAATGCGCTTTCAACTTAGGATATTTTTTCAACATATTGTGGGTTTATTGGGACATACCCCATTGTAAGTTGAGGAATGTACTGAATGCATGTTGCTTTTCCATCATCGTAAAGTTGAAAAATTTTATGTCAGGAGGCATCTGTACTTGTAAAGTGCAGTAAAATTGTATGCAAAAGGAGTAAAAAACAGCCTGATATTAAACTCTAACTTTATAAATGAAATTTGAAATAAAATTCCTCCAATTGAAAATATGTCAAAAATTACATAATTTCAAGGTCAGTAAATCAAGGGAAGTATAAATCATGTTTATACTATGGTTACATGGTGGGCCGCCATATAGATTTTGCTAGCCCTGGTATGAATTCCTCCTCAATTAAGGACTTAGGATCCTATTGCTCACATAAAAGGTGACAGCTCTGTTACTTAAGGTCTAAAATTCCTCATGTTATAAGAAGACTAAGTTTGTATTTTAATAGCAAAGTAATGACTTAGATGACTGTCATGGAGAAAAGGTAGCTAGGCTACAGAGGCAAAGTCAAAGTTAAAAGACAAGAAACTTTTAAATCACTTAGGTGGATGGCAGTAGAAATTACCAGAAGTCTAAGACTCAGACAGACATTTTTCCTTGTTAGAATACAATTGATAAAACATGACCAACATACGCTGTCCCTTAATTCCTGCTTTAAACTGTCCAGATCCACCATGGTTAATGAGATTCTGAGTATGTAAGACCACTTAGCTGTCTTCCCCTTTTTCTAATAACTCAAAATTTCAGTTTAAGTTCTGAAATCCATGTAAATATTATGACGGTTAAAACGAGTAATTAGTATATCATATGCATTTCTTCATTATGTCTAACATTTTAAGATATCAATCTGTAGTATGCTCAGAATGTTTACTATATATTTACTATATATTATTTGCAAAATATTATATAAGAAAAAGAATTGTTCCAAAGTTATATTTAAAAAATTGATGAGGCCAGGTGTGGTGGCTCACGCCTGTAATCCCAGCACTTTGGGAGGCGGACGTGGGCGGATCACTTGAGGTCAGGAGTTCAAGACCAGCCTGGCCAACATGGTGAAACAGCATCTCTACTAAAAATACAAAAATTAGCCGGGAGTGGTGGCACATGTCTGTAGTCCCAGATACTTGGGAGGCTGAGGCAGGAGAATGGCTTGAACGGGAGGCAGAGGTTGCAGTAAGCCGAGATCACGCCACTGCACTCCAGCCTGGGTAACAGAGCGAGACTCTGTCTCAAAAAAAAAAAAAAAAAATTGATGAATGTCAGTGTGACATTAACAGTGACAGGCTTTGATTTGTTTACAGTAGGTGAACAACTACTTAGAGAAGTCTGACTGCTCACTTAATCAAAAAGCTGAGGGCAAATAAATGTATCTTTATGACAAAGGTCAAAGACTCAGCCAGGGTGTTGAAGGAAGATGTAAAAATTAGATCTATTTAATCTAGAAAAAAATAGAGAAAAAGAATATACACACAAAGGACTTTTCTAAAATCTTGAATGTTTTTTTCTTATTTGCAATAAGAAGATTGAAATTTCAAACCATCCAAAATATTAAATTCCTTTGACATATTTCCCCTCATATCTAAAAATCAAAAACATTTTCTCACAGTACATTTTATTTTTGAAATTTTATTTTTGGAATAGTTTGGTCACTGAAGATGTAAACTGTCCACACCCGTCTTACTTTGATGAGTCTTCTTGAGTAGCATTTTTTAAACAACTTCATTTATTTTAGATTTTTAAAAATGCCATTTTATTTTTATATCTCCTATAAATGAAAAACGTCAATTTAAAATTCTTGAAGAATGCACATAGCAATCTCTCAGTCAAAAAAGGATAATCTTTTTATTTCATAATGAATAGCCCACCAAGATATTTCTGTATGCATACTAAAGAATAGCTTAATTTTATTTCAGTAATCATTAGCCATGCAAACTACCTTTGTTGTAAGGAATTATAGCAACCAATGTGTGTATAATTTTTCCAAGATTACACATGTATAAAAATTTTATATTCACATTATAATTTCTCCAGTAGTAGATAACATGTTAAGAGTTTTATATGTGAATTTACTTATGTTGGTAAATGAATGTTTTATTTTTTCTAATTTTGTTAAAATATTCTTGATATATTGATTTTCAAATGAAACATTTACTCTTTGGTTCTCCACAAAAATGATGAATCTTTTACTATATAAATTGTTCTCTTTATGGCAACAAGTCTCCAAAGAAAATACAAACAATGAACCACATTAGCTCAATTGATCTCCAAATTAAATTAGTGGCTTCTATTCCCTTAAGATAATGCCAAGTCATGAACTAATTAAAAAAAATTTAAATTAAATACACTATTTACCTACATACAGATATTCCCCTCTCTCCATTACACAGAAGATGACAGATGACTAGAGTAAACATTTTTTATCCTTCCAAGTCCACATTCTTAAGGTTAGAAGAGGAAAAGGTGGTAAATATCCTCAAGTAAGAGACACTTAAATATATAAATTCATTTTGTCTCAATCCATATGACACCTACATCATTAATAACCAACTTACAAATTACAAGTGTTATCAAAAGCTGCACAGAAATTTTAAGAGAAAAATATAATAATCAAATTAGACAAATGATAAGCTATTTGTGCCTTTAAATATTTAGAAATATTTTCGAATGAAGATTAATCAGAAAGATGACTTTCATGCTCTAAGTTGTTATATAATCTTATTGTAGTTTAAACTGATGAATAAGAAAATCCATTTCAAAGATAAAGGCAGATTCCAAGATAAAGGTAGATAAAGTCACTATGAAATTACCTATTTTTTTCCTTATTTTCTTTCTTCTAACTGATTTCCCCTTCTTCCTGTCCCCTTTTCACCAGATAATCACATCTAGCCCCTCTACATTCCCTTAAACTCTCCTGGAGGAATGTCCTTCATTTCCCTAAATAGCACACATTTCAGTGAAAGTGAAGGTAACAGGAATTAGTAGCTGTCATCTTAGAGACATGTTACTTAGTATTCTCTATATTAGTCTGGAGAGCTGTAACACAGACAGGACAAAGAGAAATAACCATAAGAAAAATATTATTGACAACTACAATTGTGTCAAAAAATTGGTGACTATAATGTGCATCTCTTTGCAAAACCTTTCCTTTTCATTAAATTAAAAAATGACTCTATCATCTGTTATAAACTAAAATGTCACATAAAATTTCATACTATAGAAATATCTTCTATAGTTTTGATATGAATATAGAAGGTTAATGAATGAAGCAAACCACAGGCAATGATACATGAAATTGCTACTATATATTATTTTCAAAGCTGAGCCAGATCTATATATAGAACACAAGATATTTCAAAATGAATGCTATTTGTTGTCTTTGTAATTTTACAGACTATTAGAACATTAAAAAAACCCTAGCAGAAGTATCACATGTTCATACCAAGATATTATATATATGTATGCAGATGTACATATATAATCAGATTTTAAATAATAAATACTAAATTATTTAAAAACATTATAGAGCCATACCCCCACACCCCTTTTCTAACAGTAAGAAAATAATCAACCTGCATGAACTGGAATCAGATTCATTTTCTTCTTCACTAGTGCCATCATCCACTTCTGGTCTATCCAGCCAATGTGCACCGCCACAATCTTCTGCTGTAAACTCAAATGCAGGGACTTCAGAGGTGGATGCCATTGGCCAAGAAGGTGAATTCTGAAAATCCAGTTGGCTGGACCTTCGGTAACCAATTGAAGCCAAAGGCAATTGTAGGCTACATGGATCTAAAAACTTTCTCCCACCGTTTGCTCCAGTCTGTCCTCGGTTCCAAAATTCTCCCTGCTGGCTGTCAACTGTAGAATTAGGAGATGATGCTTGATGACCAAACCACCTCCATCTGATTTTCAAAATCTGTTTCACATCAAACTCTTTACGAGAACCAGACATCCTCAGAGAAACCAAGTGATCGTCTAGGCAACGGGCAAAAAGCACTGCACACAGATTTGTGCATCCAACCAAGACAAGAGAAGTATATGCCCTGCTGTACACAACAAAAATATGTAAAGGAAAATAAATCACATTCATATATATATCTACAATTACTTTTATGCCAATATATCAGATTTTAAAGAACAAAGGATAATGAATAAAGATGAAACACGGTGGAACATTCCGTTCAATCAGAGCAAACTCTCATCCACCTATCCTGAAGCAGCTAGACCACTTTCCCGGCTCTCCTTTCCCATACTGACCATTAGGTCTCACAAACACTGACAGCATTCATTAAAGTCCTTTCAAATGCAGAACACCACCCCCTTTTTCTTAAACCACAAATGACAGAGACAGAAAACACTATCCCCGTTGCAGTATCTCAGTCTCTGCTGCTTAGTATATTAACTCTTTCATTGCTGAAACAATAAATGTATTCTATAGCATTTCCCTTTGTACTTAAAAATAATCACTTTAAAACTAAAATGTTTCTATTTCTAAACTAAGTCCCTAAGTGAAATACCACAAAACAAGTTTTTAAAAAAGCATTTGTAAAATTAGATGAGTTATGGTGATTTTCCAGGTGTGCTCTTTGGATGGGGAATGAGGAGGAAAGCGGAGTACAAAGGTGGGGCTCCAGACTATTGCCTTCACCTCTATCTTCTCCCTTCAGAAAACAAATGGATCTAATTAATACAGTAAGATCCTGGGTAAGATTTCACTTGGATAAAGAATAATGAGGAGAATAAAAAGTTTGAAAACTACAAAGGATCAAAATGTAACAAATACTCTTTTTCAAATAAACTGAGGCCAGGATTTCTCTATAAGTAGAAATGGGCCACTGCCAGTTAGTGTAACATCCAAATTTCTATGACATTACTTAGGAAAAGGAAAAGTGCGGCTCAAAAAAGCTACCAGGGACTGGGATAGGACTATTGGGTGTACAAGTGCCCTAATGGTGCCCTCTGTTGTTAGCAAAACAAACAATGGTTTGAACATGGTTACAGTTAAGGCAAATTGATAAAGCAAATACAAATAAACTCAAAAATACTGAGTAGTTATTGTGAACAATGCAATCTACTAGGCATTGTCAGGGACACAGAGATATATATATCTTGGTTCCTAACCCCCAAAATAATTAAATCTAGCTATTGAACCAAATACAAAATATTTGATAAGGTAAAATAAGAAACATTAAAATGCTGCAATATTAAAGTGTGATCTATCAATGCAGAATTTGAGTTTTCAGGGTGCTCAGTATTTACTCCTTTATCAACTAATTCCATACAAAAGGCAATGCCTATCTAAGCTGACCAAAAAACAAAAACAAAAACTACTTTGGAGGCTTACAAAAATATTGTGAGGTGTCTATCTTAATACAAATTATTCAGAGAAACAAGAATGAGAAGCATAAAAAGCCAAGTATGATTTCATGCTAAATAATACGGGAAAAACCATACAAACTGTAAGAAAGAAAGGAGATATCAGGATGGCAATGGAGTGGTATGGGCCAGTTTCATTAGGGAGAAGGCTGCTAAGAATAGTAAAACATTGTTTAGGTAGAATGATAGATTTCTACAGAAAAAGATTCTAATAAAAGCATGAAGTGGGCATATCTACAAGGAAGAAGTGGGAAATAATCAGTTTGATCAGCCAGCCATACCAAATTAATTTTAAGGTGTAGTAAGAGATAAAGTTAGATGAATACGATGAGATAAAATGCCTTGAGCAAGCAGCAAAGACATTATTGAATGGACTGTTGAACAGGACAATGTTTTAGGAAATTAACTTGGCAGTACTGTGCAGGACGCATTAGAGAGTGAAATGACACTTTCCCCTCTCCTCTCACCTTTGTCAGACTCCTTCTGATCAACATCCTTCTAACTTCACTCTAGCTATCCAACTTTATTTCTAACCATTTTCCAACATAGACACACCACTTCATTGGTCAAGGCAGTCTACATTATGGTGTTCCCTCTTTTATAACACTGTTTGCCTCCCAGAGAAACTCTGGTTTAAAAAACACACTTCATCCTTCAAGATTTAGCTCAGGCACTATCATCTTTGTAAACACTTCAGTTACTCTAAGTAGCTGGTTCTCAACAAGGGAAGCATCAACCTGCTCCTAAAGGCTTCTGGAAAATAGGTGGTGGTGGTGGTGGTGGTGGTAGATTTTTAGTTGTTGGAATGACCAGAGTGCTATAGGCATTGAGTGTGCAGGGGCCAGAGACAGCAAACATCTGGCAATGAAAAATGATACCTTTATTTTGCCAATCCTCCTCCACTCATTCCCATGGTAATCATTGCTGACGCCAAGCTTGGTACATATAGCCTTTCACACCTCTCTCCATGTTTATAAATCATGGACAAACTTATATACACATATATAAGAGATTTGCTATTGTTATACAAGAGATCATATTGTATTCATCTTTTAGCATTTTGCTCTTCTCACCTAATTTTATATATACATGGAAATATAAATTAATAATCTTTTTAAGAGTTACATGATATTTCATTACTGTAAAAAAACCAATTTATTAAACTATCTCCCTGCTAATGGGCATTCAGGTTGATTTCAGGTTTTTGGGTTTTTGCCATTAAAATAATGTTGAAAGAAACATCCTTGTGAGGCTTTTATATCTACAGAATTTATTGCCAGGAGTGGACTTGCTGGGTTGAAGGTATGTGCATTTTATTTTGTTTTATTTTAAGACAGAATCTAACTCTGTCACCCAGGCAAGAGTACAGTGGTGTGATCTTGGCTCACTACAGGCTCCATCTCCTGGGTTCACGCAATTCTTATGCCTCAGCCTCCTGAGTAGTTGGGACTACAGGCACACACCACCATGTCCAGCTAATTTTTTATGTTTTTACTAGAGACAGGGTTTCTGGAGTGCAGTGGCGTGATCCCGGCTCACTGCAACCTCCGTCTCCCAGGTTCAAGCAATTCTCCTGCCTGAGCCTCCTGAGTAGCTGGGATTACATGCGTGCACCACCAAGCCTGGCTAATTTTTGTTTTTTTTAGTAGAGATGGGGTTTCACCATATTGGCCAGGCTAGTCTCAAACTCCTGATCTCAAGTGAGCGGCCCACCTCGGCCTCCCAAAATGCTGAGATTACAGGCGTGAGCCACCGTGCTTGGCCATATTCTCTTTTTAATTTTGGTCATTCTGACAGGTGTGTAATGGTATCCCATTTGGTTTTCCTTTACATTTTCTTCATTATTAATGTGGCTGAATAACTCTTCATGTTTATTGGTTATTTGGATATCCTCCATGAAGTGGCTATTTAGGCCCCTTTTTTTTTCTATTAAGTTATCAGTCTTTATCTTCTTGATCTGTAGTTCTTATATTTCTGATATTTTCTTTATAAAAATATGAAGTAAGCTTAAACATTAATGCCTTTATGGCATGAAATTCAGCATTCACTTAAATAACACTTTTTTTTCTGTTCCGACAACTTTCACCAACAATATAAAATTGTTTTGCCCCAAAATTTGTCCAGCTCTGATGCCAAGTATTTCCCAGGAAAATTATTTATAAACGATCAATACGTATTAAAAATCATTACATTATTAAATTATCAAAATGGTCTTCACTGACTACTCTCTGTAAATTAGACTCATCATTCACAAGCCCGCTGACCCTCCTAATTTTTTTCATAGCAGTTACCACCACTTGGCATATTAGATGTTTATTTGCTTATTGTCTTTATCCTCACTACAAAGTAAGCTTAAGTGGGGCTTTGTTTTGGTTATCACTGTAATCCCAGCACTTAGAATAGTACCTAGGAGACAGTAGGTGCTCAATAAATATTTCTCTAATGAATACATAAATTATTCAACAATTATAAGAGCTATAATAAAATCCAACAATTATAAGAGCAATAATAAAAGTATATACTTATACTATTTTTTAAATTATAAAATAAAGAATCTAATTTTAAAATTACAGACACATTTACCTTGGTGACAAAATATATATATATTTTTTGAGACAGGGTATCACTCTGTCACACAGGCTAGAGTGCAGTAGCTCGATCTCAGCTCACTGCATCCACAACCTCCCGAGCTCAGGGGGTCCTTCCATCTCAGCCTCCCAGGTAACTGGGACTACAGGCACGCACCATCACATCTGGCTAATTTTTGTAGAGCCAGGGTTTTGCCATGTTGCCCAGGCTGGTCTCGAATTCCTGAGCTCAAGTGATCCACCCGCCATGGCCCCCTAAAGTCCAAGGATTACAGCCACGCTGCCTGGCTGACAAAATCGTACGGTATTTTTTCAACTTAGGAGAAAAATCACAATGTTATTCTAAGAATTTCTTTTTTCTATTCATTCTTAAGGCATAAAATTCTATCACTTGAAATCCAATGGCTAAACAGATGTCTTTTCAAATGGACACACTTTCTTCAAACTAATTACAAAATTATATTCTATACCTCTAATTTTATAACCTTGCTTTATTTCAGGTTAAACTTGAGATACAAAAGCTCACGTATTATTTAAAATAGATAATATGTGTCAATTATGAATACATTTTTCAAAATGTAATTAAAGGACCCATGTGCAACTTCTGTTTCAAAACCGCTCAAATCTTGTCTGTGAATTTAAAAGATGACACTATTCAGTATTACAATAGAAACACTGAAATGTCATTAAGATAGACTGAAGGTGAGCTCACTTCAACAGTGTGGCTTTTAAAGCTATGTCTTCACTCAACTTAAATCATGGCTATTTGGTAACTAGTTTATATTAGTAATCATAATTACATCAATCTCTCTTCACATAGAGTTTTTTAGATAACAGTATTTATGGCTCATCAATTTTAATAAATCTATTTCTAAAGTTTTAAGTGTGTGATATGCACTGCATTAAAAAAATCAAGAATTTTACCATACTAACCCAGCAGCTCTCACCTCTCTGTTTTTCCTCAGTTATAAAAAGAGTAAGTTGCATTGCATGATTTTGAAGCACCCTCCAAAGTTTAATAATTCAGGGATACTTTTTAAACTTTGTCAAATTAGGTCTATCAGAATTTGATTTAAAATATTTGAATATTAGTATAATTCTACCAACATGTAAATTCCCTAACACTTAAAAATGTATGATGGTGGAAAATTTCAGTTATTTACCCTAAAAGATTTGAGATCTATTTTTACTAACCTTGACTTTAATTCTAGAAATATACCAGATATTCTGTACTGCTTCTCCATTCTCATAAAAAGCAAACATTAAAAATGTAAAAAATATCCTGTATTTCTGTAAATGCAACAAATCTTTTGTTCTGTAAGCAGAACAGAATGCAAAGATAAGGAAATAGACCACAAAAATCAATTAGGACAGGGACCACTATATCCCTAACAACCTGTACAGTGCATGGTATTTAAATAATTTCTGACTTTAAATTTTAAAAAATGAATAAATTAATGGCACAGCTCTTGACTTGAAAGATTTTAAAATCCAGCAACAGAGGGTCTTGAATGAAACTCTTACTGAATTAAGAAGAGGTAAGTATGTCCTTTATTTGGTTGAAGTTGAGGTTTTTGAGGTGAGGATTTACAGATAATATCTTAAGATTAATTTGGCAATGGTGAAAAATGGATTTACAAGGGAAGATACCTCATAAGGAAACAAATTAGAAAACTCTACCATGTGAGAGGCACAGCTCAAACTTGACTGGAAGCAACAAGATCTGAAAGGGCGGTTGAAGTTGAAGATTTTACAGAGACCTTATAGGATGGCTGTGGCAAATGGAGAGGAAAAAGTCAAAGATGACAGCATTTTCAAATTTGAGTGACTGGAAGAAGAACACTAAAATTAACATAAGTAAGGAGGTAAGGATATTGTTTCAGGAGGATTGAGTGAGGCTTTAGACATGTTTGGTTTTAATTATATATCAAGCAATCAAACAGCTAGGATAGGACTCTAGAGCCAAAAATTAATCTATTTAAGAAACCGGAAATTTAAAGTGTGAACAAGTGAGCCCTGGGTTAACACTGGTTATCTTTGGTTATGTTTGTATTCTATTCACTCGATACCACAAACACATGGCACCAAAATTTCTTCTGTAATTAAAAAAACTTATAGTTTGAAATTCAAAACTAAGATTTCTAGCACCATGTTAAATCTTTCACTTTGTTAAAAACAACTGGGAAATACTTCTAATTTAATTGGTAAATGAAAATTTTAAAATGTCAAATTTAAATTCAGGCCGGGTGCAGTGGCTCATGCCTATAATCCCAGCACCCCTGAGGGTGGATCACTTGAGGTCAGGAATTCGAGACCAGCCTGGCCAACATGGTGAAACCCCATCTCTACAAAAATACAAAAATTAGTCGGATGCAGTGTAGTTCCAGCTATTCAGGAGGCTGAGGCAGGAGGATCACTTGAACCTGGGAAGTGGAGGCTGCAGTGAACCAAGACTGTGCCATTGCACGGCTGCTCGGGCAACAGGGCAAGATTGACACAATACACATACACACACACAATTTAAATTCAGTTGTATTATACCAAGACATCTGGCTCTACAAACCACATGGTAGACTGAAAACTAAGCAGTCAAGGACTTTGATATATGCTGAAAACTGAAGATGACTTCATGGTAAAAGCCATGTAATATAGGGATTTTATTTCTTTGTGTATCCTAAATAAATCACTGTAATATATACCTATAAGTATACGAGGGAAGATCAAGAGGAAAAAAATCAAGGCAAAAAAAGTAAATGGAGTAAACTTTAACCTTTAAACTAAACTATGTCCCTTTACCATATCACGTACAATGCAGGAACTGACATTAAATTTAAAAATTATAATACAGCATGACGAAGATACACACAGAATGCATATGATAAGCTAAGATATAGCAAGGCAAGCTTAGACAGCTGCAGAGGTCAAAGATTTATTTCCAGTCAACCTGGAACTCTGAGTACAGTGAAAGCCCCCTTTTCAGATGAAACCTGTAGATGGTCCACTAAAGAAAAAAGTCAATAATCATAAAAATAATAAATACATTCCTTTAAAGATGTTATTTTAACTTGAACATATACATGCACATTCATTTGTAAATCTTTTCATATAGGGTTAATGCCATATATTTGATAGGGGTCTCCTACTGAGTTTGGGTCCTTTGTCTTGCATAAGCTGTACCCACAATGATCCATCATCTATGATTTCCACTTATGGTTTCTATAAATGGAAACAGAACTTAAAAGCACTTCTGAAATAATATGAATACAGAATCCATTAGACCAGTGGTCTGTCCACCACAGGAAAAACTTGTGCCAGATTGTAAATTAATGCATCGCTTTCTTCAAGGAGAAAGTCTCACCATGAAAACAAAACATTTGCTGAACCAGTGTGCATTAGTTTGCCTAATGTAGTTAATTAATATTCTAATGTGCACTCCTTATATTCTTGAGGACCCCTAGTAGTCTGAAGACCAGGTAGCTGGTTGATGGCCTTTGACAGGCCCTGCTTTAGACTTTGATGACTTTTTCCCTAGTCTCTTAGAATTATCCAGCCTTTATCCAACTTGATAGAATTTTTAAAATAACTCATTTATATAGAGGCATCCCAAAGCATTCAACTTAATTTTCATAGGAAGAATTATCTTTTCTTTACACTTTCATCAATTTACATGTTTACTAATGTTTTATAATTACTATAACAAGTATAACTGTTAAAAACAGGTTTGTGAATAAACAGAACCAACTTCTGGTAAGTACTCAATTCAACGAGTAAGCAGAGATGTACAGGTCAGCTATGGAGCTGCCTGCTTACCCATGAGTGTTCAGTTGGCCCATGCTATCAGTAAGTACATTTTACAGCAGAAGAGTGTGCCTCAAGTTAGAGCTGTAAGTCAGTTCAGAAGCAGTTGGTGGAGAGCGCTTCTGCTGTTATTTTCCCACATTATCACTTATTAATGGTAGCCTAAGTGACACAGCAGAAAGAGCCTGAGTCAACAGCTAAGCCACTCACCAGCTAGCTGTATAATTTGGGCAAATCACTTCACCTCCTTTGTCTTCAGTTCTCTCTTCAGTAATAGGATTAAGTAAGTGGCACATCTAAGTATTGAGTAACGGTCAGGATTTATAGCAGCAGCTACTATCTCTTAAGTGCCCAAATGAGCACAATAATATATAAAATACTTTACACTGACTGGGGCATTTTGTTGTCAGAAAAACTCTGTCCAACAGGGGTCATTCCTGCCCCCAGCCCACCACTCCTTATAGATGAAGATACTGAAGTGAGATTAATTAACCTGACTTAATACCTATATCTGGTGAGTGGCAGGGTCCAGGATGGACCCTAAAAACCATATACTTTCGAATACACCACAGTGCTTCTTGCTTTCAAAGCAAGAAGTATTCTCATTCACTACTCAAAAATACCTTGTGAGGCAGGTAGAGTAGTTGTGCAAATGAGGAAGTAGATTGAGAGTATAGTTGACTTGGACAAGGTTAGATGTCTAGTAGAGAGTAGCAGAACAGACAAATTCTTTGCCGATAATATCTGACCAAACTAAAAGCAAGTAAGGCACAAAAGGCAGCGGGGAGGGGGAACAGAATACTTAAGGAACACATGATTTCTTAAATAAGAAGAAACTTAAATTAAGTTCATCGTAACTGCAGTTAAATGCCAAAATGACATTTATTCACCAAGTACAAGTGCCTCACAGATTTCTCCCTACTTAGCTCCCTCCCAATTGCTGCTGCTGTTTCTTACAAAGTACTGGCCCACAGTAACATCAAAAGAATCGTTTTATTCCACAACTACCTATCAGTACTGATACCTGGTAGTAAAGCAAGGGACATTTTAAAACTCAGCTAAATTAATATTATATAGCCTTTATTTTAAGCTCACCTGTAAAAGTTATTACAGCTGATACTACTATGATATAACAAAATCGTTACTTTTGAAAACATTCCTTCAGCTTGATGACTGGTAAAACACAAGGTTCCCTTGCTATCCACTCCTTAGATTTTTGTCAGTGTTAAGCACATATTTGCTGTGCACAAGGAAGAAAACTGTAATATCATTAAAAAAATGATGGAAAACCACTGCTAAATTCTTGCCTGATCCATTACAGTTGGCATGTGCTGAGACACCCAATTATCTTATGTGCCATAAAAAGTAACAATCTGGATAACCACAAATTTGTCTTTTACTGACTTCAACCAAATCCAGAAGTGTTTCTGTCTTTCACGTAGCTTTATGGTGATGGAGATTAAAAAAAATTTTTTCTGAAAAATAATGAATCAGTACTCTCCAGACACAAGTATAATCAATTAAAGTTGCCTGGGCTCTCTGATCACATAATGAGCCAATCACAGATCAACTTGATTCTGCTGTAGGACCAATCCAGATTTTGTAAATTATCTATTTTTGTTAGAACAGCATAAGTCAGGTAGGGAAAGGGTAGTAATGGGCAGTGAAAGCAATAAAGAGGAGAAAATGTGAAGCACTATTTCTCAACTGCTCATAATTAGAAATGGTTAATCACTACAAATGTTAATTAAACCAGTTAACCATTAAAGAAACTGCCTAGCTTGCCCTAAAACTAGACCCAAAGAAAAGCCACCAATAACCTGTTCAATAATTTAACTTCAGCAAAAAGCAAAATGAGGATGTTAGTGGTCAAATGGAGATTAGTGGAGATCAGTCGAGGCTAGAATTTCTTAGTGTTAATCATGCATTAGATTAAATCCAATGTTCTTAGGAGGCACTTCAGAGTAGTCCTCCCAAACTCCAATGGGGGGAAGGAGATGACAAATAAATTTAGGACAAACTGATTCAGGCCTCTCCAAAGAACCATGCAGAAACCAGGCCATCAATTCTAAACTCCTGCGGAGCACGGACTTGAGTATTCCTTCTTTCTGCTTATCAGAGAAATAGCTCCCCAAAGAAAGGCAAATATTAAGTAGAAATGAACCAACCAACTTCAAGTCTAAATCCTCTCTTATTCTCCATGCTATCGCCAAAGTAGCCTTCTAAAGTGCAATTCTTGACTACATCACTCTACTTAAAACATTTACTTTTGTTTGTTTTTGATCAGCTACAAGATAAATAAAAGCTAAGATCTTTAGCATGGAATTCAGGATTTTTAATGATCTAGTAGTCTTTGCCTGCCTTTCCAGGCTCACCTTCCTCTCAACTTATTTCACTTTCTCCATTATAAAAAAGAGTAAATGGGCCAGGTGTGGTGGCTCATACCTGTGATCCGCAGCCCTCTGGGGAGGCTGAGGGGAGCAGATCATGAGGTCAGGAGTTCAAGACCAGCCTGGCCAATAGTGAAACCCCATCTCTAGTAAAAATACAAAAAATTAGCTGGGCGTGGTAGCAGGCACCTGTAATCTCTGCTACTCGGGAGGCTGAGGCAGGAGTATCACTTGAACCTGAGAGGCGGAGGTTGCAGTGAGCCAAGATCACACCACCACACTCCAGCCCAGGTGACAGAGCGAGTCTCTGTCTCAAAAATAATAATAACAATAATAATAAATTTAAAAAGAGTAAAAACACTACATCAAAATAAGCAAAAGAAATATTATGGAATACTTCTTAATGAAAGGCACTGCAGATAATACAAGTATGAGTAGAGTTAAGCTTCAGTTAACTCTTTTGGCTCTGTTCCCTGGCCATCTGTAAAACTAGGTACCTCAACTGTTATTAGGTAACACTACTTGTAGTAAAAATGATCCCTGTGATTAGTAAATTTGCATCAAGACTCAAGAACTATAAATGAACCATAAATACCTCATAAGGAAGCTATAGCTTTGACTTCCCTGTGATGGCTCTTTTAATTAGCATAGCTTTTACAGAACCCTGGAAACTCAGTCTATGGAGTTGTGTAAGAGACACTGGCTCCTGTGGGACCTGGTTTGTTTGTTTGTTTGTTTGTTTTTTCTTTTTTTAAGCCAAGGCAGCTCCTGCACCACCTAGTGTGAGCTTCCTCTGAGGTGCTGCCCAGATGGCTATGAGCTGCCTGCGTGGACTGCTGTGAAAATCACTCCCACTGAGGAGGAACATTTGATGCTGCCCTGCTGGCAAACTATGATTCCTGTCTGATAGCCTTCTGAGTAAACAAGCTTTCTGAATTTGAAGTTTAGTTAAACCCAAGAAAACCCCTTCATTTGCACAGAAACAAGTGTCTAAGAGTCTTAATATGACATTCCAGATATTCTACAACCTGAATCTAATCTCATACACAGCTTTTACTCATATTCTTGTTTTTTTTTTTTTTCTGGGAAATCCTCTTCAGGTAACATATACCATCTCCCCATAGTTAATCTCTTCGGCCACTGATGAGGTGAAGCTATGGATATTTTTCAAACAGGAAGAAAGGAGATTATCGCGTAGTTTGAAAATGCAAGGGAATTCTGCTAGTGAAGCTACATACACGAGTCTAACAGAAAATGATAGAAATTTATTGAGAATAAAATTAGATTAAATTGGTGAAGAGATATGATAATAGCATGTTAAAATGTAAAATGTCCAGATAAAGAGTGTCTAGGAGACCAGTTTGGATGGAAGAAAAGAGCAGAGCTAGGTAGTATATTACATGTGCCGTTCTTCCTGCATTATTACCCATGAGGAGAAGCCAGGAAGCTCTGTATCAGGATCAAAGCAGATGACTTATAAGAGTTAGACAATTCAGTCAATCCTTACCCTGGGAGAGGAAGAAGGGATGGATGAAAGGATTACAATGGAGATGGCATTTGCCAGTGTTCAGGGAGGGAATATCGTAGTTACTTAAGTCAGATCCAGTTATACCTTCTTATCCTGATTATCATAATCAGCCTGTCTCACTAGAATTTGCAAGCTCATGTTAATTGTGTAGAACTTTCCATGGCACCTCGGTTTCTTTGATTGAAAGCTATTATAACTGCCTCTTTCTCTACTATAAAGTTGTCAATTACACTAATTTGTTATACCTTAGAGTCAACTGCATTATTTCCTAAGTCTGGTGGTTAAGAGCTTACAAAGACAATGCACTTAAACATTTTTAGATTGTCTGAAATTGTTAAAGCCTCTAGTTTCAAGTTCATAAACTCTTAGATTAAAACATCCATGTAACAGCAAAATAGAGAAAAATTAATCAATAGAGAAAAAGAAGAAAGAAATACATGTGCAGAGAGAGACACTAGCAAGAAATCATATAGACTTGGAGAGAGAGAAAGTAGCCCTAGCTCCTAGCTTTCTGTTATTGGTGCCAGTTGCTTTGAGGCCCAGCTGTACTTCTTGCCCTTGGACTCTGATACAAACTATATTCCTTTTCTAACATAACATTTCTTTTGCTTATGCTAATTTAAGTAACATTGTTTAATTTGTCATGAAATACTCCTTAAGTCCAAAAAGGCAGAGAGGAACAAAGTGTAACAGTTTATATATTTAGTATTTTTCACTATTTTATATATGTGTGTATACACATCATTTACATACTGTAAATGATGCCTTAAAGAGAAAGGGAGAGAAAACTCAAGTATAGCTATTTTCTATTGTGATTGTAAACTCCCCACTTATTTATTTATTTATTTTTGGGATGGAGTCTCACTCTGTCGCCCAGGATGAAGTGCAGTGGCGTGATGTCAGCTTACCGCAACCTCTGCTTCCCGGGTTCAAGCGATTCTCCTGCCTCAGCCTCTGGAGTAGCTGGGATTACAGGCGTGCACCATGATGCCCAGCTAATATTTTTTGTAATTTTAGTAGAGATGTGGTTTCACCATGTTGGCCAGGCTGGTCTCGAACTCCTGACCTCAGGTGATCTGCCCACCTGAGCCTACCAAAGTGCTGGGATTAAAAGCGTGAGCCACTATGCCCGACCCTCATTTATCTTTTTATCCTCACAGGCCTAACACAGTGCCTTATACACTTTCATTTATTTATTTATTTATTTATTTTTTATTTATTTATTTTTGAGACAAGGTCTTGCTGTCCCGTAGGTTGGAGGGCAGTGGCCTGATCATGGCTCACTGCAGCCTTGACCTGCCAAGCACAAATGATCAATCATCTCACCTCCCTACCCCCGCCCCCAAGGAAGCTCGGACTGGAGACACATGCCACTACACCCAGCTAATTTTATTTATTTTTTGTAGGCATAGGGTCTCACTACGTTGTCCAGATTGGTCTCAAAACTCCTGGACTGAAGAATCCTCCCACCTTGGCCTCCCAAAGTGCTGGGACTGCACAGTCTTGAGCCACTACACCTGGCCCCTTATACACATTCAACAAATGTTTATTGAATGGACATACAATTTAAAAAGAATGAAATTCATTTGGCCAAAATAACAAACTTAATTGTGAAGTTCTCAAAAGCATTTCATTTCAAACTAATAAAAGACATTCTTCATAATTCTCATTAGCATAATTCTGTTTAAACACACTCACATACACAAAGAAATGCTGTTTTCTATTTTCTAAATAGAATACTGTACTGACATATTTGGCTTTTGATTTATTTAGATTCTGTGTTAGCTCATGGGACTCTGAAGCCTCTTTAGTAGTCATTAAGACCGTTCACAGACTATTCCAGTTCTCCTCTTTCTGGGCACATGGTAGAAATGCATTTCCCCATCTCCTTGAAGTTGGGTGTAGTCAAGTGACTTTTGGCCAATGAAATAGCAGTGGAAGTTAAGTGTCACTTCCAGACAGAAGCCCTGAAGAGCCAATGTACACCAGGCGCGGTGGTTCACACCTGTAATCCCAGCACTTTGGGAGGCTGAGGCAGGTGGATCATGAGGTCAGGAGTTGGAGATCAGGCTGGTCAACATGATGAAACCCCGTCTCTACTACAAATACAAAAATTAGCCAGGCATGGTGGTGGGCGCCTGTAATCCCACCTACTCGGGAGGCTGAGGCAGGAGAATCACTTGAAACTGGAAGGCAGAAGTTGCAGTGAGCTGAGATCATGCCATTGAACTCCAGCCTGGGCAACAAGAGTGAAACTTCATCTCCAAAAAAAAAAAAAAAAAAAAAGCCAATGTAAAATCACCACATCCTTTTCCCTGTCCTAACAACTGCGGAAGCATGTGTTGAGATACAGCCTCCAACAGCCTGAGACTGACCATTTGTAATGGAGTTCTCTTGCTGACCTGCTTCAGCATGTAGTATAACAGAAAAAAATCTTTGCTGTTTAAAATCAACAGGATGTGAGAGTTCTTTTGTTACCACAGCATAATCTATCCTGCCTGGTATACTCAGCAAACCCCTTTCTCATAAATGGAGTGAAGCAATGAACAGCTCTGGCCCTCTATTTTCAGAATGGTATCATTTTGTATAGCACTATCATTTGGAGAATACTTTGGAATGGAAGTGCCCCTCATTATCCAAACTCATCATCCGAACACAAGAACCGAATGGATTCTGATAAATTTTTGGACCAACACCTCATTCTCTCAACTCTCTGTACTTGCCATCTCGAACTCTGGAACCAAATACATTTGGATAGGTGCAATTCCTTGCCTTCCATACTCTTGCCACCTGCACTCAGGAATGGAATAAATTTAGACAGTGAAGGATTCTTGATACATTATTTCATTTGTTCTCTTAAAGCTGTTTTTCTACTACCCAGTACCCAGTAGATTCTCAACATTTATTCCATAAATGAATTTATGTGCTCTCATCATTCTAATTTTACAAATAAGGAAATAGATTCAGGGAGGTTCATCAACCGGCTGGAAACAACCCTGCACATACAGCAGTGACACAATCCCAGACTTTCTGGCTTCAAATCTTCGCTCTTTCCACTCTGTACTGTGTTCTCTTAGGTTTCTCATAGCTATGGAATGCTTATGATTTGACAGTAAATTAACAGTACAAATAGTGTTTGTGATAAAAAATGTCAATCCCATATTTACATCCAAGAATAAAGTCATTCCTCAAGGACTTCAACTTGCCTATGCCTAGTCTAATTCATAGACACTAAGTACCCTGAAGCACAGAAGAAGGTGCCCTAGAGGTCCTTCAACAGGCAACTTGCAGAACAATGAAGAAATGTGAAAGAATTCGGGGGAAAGTAGTGTTCTCCTTTGCTATACAGTATGTTAAAATGCCGACTTTTAGATTATCTTCACTTTGGTCCTTAACAAATTGGCTAACTTCAACTCTTTGCTTTCCAATTCTCATTAAACCTCAGTTGTAAGAAATACTAATGAAGAACTGCCTGAAGAATAGATAACTCATCTTTTTTTATTTTTTGAGATGGAGTCTCACTCTGTTGCCCAGGCTGGAGTGCAGTGGCACCATCTCAGCTCACTGCAACCTCCACCTCTCAGGTTCAAGCGATTCTCCTCCTTCAGCCTCCTTAGTAGCTGGGACTACAGGTACGTGGCACCACTCCCGGCTAATTTTTGTATTTTTAGTAGAGACGGGGTTTAACTGTGTTGGCCAGGGTGGTCTTGAACTCCTGACCTCAAGTGATCCACCTACCTTGGCCTCCCAAAGTGCTGGAATTACAGGCGTGAGCCACCGTGCCCAGCTAATTCATCTATTTTTCTAGGTTCAGTGGTCCTCAATTTGTGTTACATAGTCATATAGATTTGGAAAATATTACAAAATACATCCCGCTTTAAAACAGCAACTTGAACATTAGTATAGTAAATCTCCAAGAAATTCTGTAGTAAAACCAATTTTCTAATCTAGTTATCTCAAACTTACTTGAGCTCAGAATCTTGTTGCAAGAAAGGAAATATTTTCTCATTCCTTAGAACACAGTTTGGGAAATACTGTTCTAGATCATTCTAAATGTTATAAATGGATCAAGTGACTCCACTCCTTCAGAAAACTTATTAACAGTTTTATCACTCTCCTATATTGAAAAACACTGTCGTGCAAAATTCACTATTTTCCTTAGGGGCGTTTTAAAGATATTGTCAACTGCATCCCATATCTCCTTTTTTCATTAGGGCCCAGGAGGAAAATACGCCTCTCAGGCCTCATTACTGGAAAACGCCTTGGTTAGGGCAGAACTGGTTTGTTTCTAATCTTGGAATTAGAAACAAAATGAAACTTTGTTATTTTATTTTATCTTTTCAAGCAGGGGTCTCACTATGTTGCCCAGGCTGGTCTTGAACCCCTGAGCTCAAGCGATCCGCTCGCCACGGCCTCCCAAAGGGCTGGAATCACAAGCGTTAGTCACCGCGCCCAGACAAAACAGGCTGAAACTTATGTTGTTCCTTTTTCTCTTTTTACCTAGCTCCCAGGAAGCCCAAGGCCCAAACTGTGACTCATCTCTAGTACAGGATCTTTTAAATAGGAACTTGGTATTATCTTTTTTCTTGACTTTGTGTTCTTCTTTTCCTGCTCTACCTCAATTTTCCCATTTAGTTTGTTTTATCCTATGGTACTACATGGTCGCTAGATTGCTTCAAATATATAGTTTCTGGAACTATATATTGTACATATTGCATCTTCTTACAATTTCATGTTGATTCTGCCCTCCCTGCCCAATTACCCAACAACGTCAGTGTATTCATCTTTGTGTAAAAGTATTCACATAAGTCATAACAAGCCAATAGGACATACACATTCACAATGCAGTCAAATCTGTAAATGCTGAAAACCAGAAAAAAAAAAAAAAGTCATGATTGGTTTTTTGCCGCCAGAGGTCTAATAACCAAAAAGAGTTATTAAACTGTTTCCTAACAGGAAGGAGAATCAACATTTATTTAGCACCAGCAGATGCCAGGCACATAACAGCAGCTCATTTTTCAAAGCAAGCAGGAGGGGCATCCGCACATCTAACCTCTGGAAGAAGACACCAGAAACAGAATATTGGGAGGGTGCAGGGGTGGGTGGGGTGAGCCTGTCTGCCCCTTTTGTACCTTTTGAATTCTGTGAACTTGTCGACTACTGAAGAATATTTTTGAAAATGAAATGAAGCGATAAAAAACGACAGTAACGCTTTACTCTCTGACATAGCAAACTTTTACCGCCAGCTTCTGATCCCAGAGCATGCACTGAAATAAATGCCTAAATGCAAAAGTTTCACCAGGCACGCCGGGTCTCGGGAAAATGAAGTCCCCGTCTTATTCTCCACACTCCGGGGGCGAGGGTATTATTTAAAAGAAAAGCTTAAAAACTTAGGTCAAAATTGCCTGCAAGTAATAAGGAGAGGAAAAAAAAAATCCGAAATGGTTTCCAGTTTGTTTTATTGGCAGGGACAGTCCGGGAAAGCAGCAACGGGTGCACCGCAGTCCGCTCCTCACTGCCGGCCACCAGCACCGCGTCCACAACTTTCCACAACTCCAGGGCGGCCCGGGCGCCGGCTCCGGCGCTCGGGGGTGCGCAGCGGGGAGGCCGGGCCGGGGTTCGAGCCCCGGGCGCGGTGTGCGGAGGCCCCCGCCCGGCCCAGCCCCTCCGGACCCGAGGGCCTCGCAGCCGCCTCCGGGAGGGGCAGCGTCTTCGCGCCCCGCGCGCTCCGGGAGGCCGCAGCGGGGCGTGAGAGTCGCGTGGGGGCGGGAAGCGGGCCCTGCCCGAGGCGGCCCCCTCCCCGATGCCGAGAAGGAAGTCGCACTTACCGCGTCGGGCTCCGGAGGCGGCCGTGGGTCACGGCGGGCCGGGGCGGCCAGGCGGGAGGAGCGGGGGAGGCGGGGGCCGGGGCCGGCGAGCTGAGTGGGATGCTCGGCCCCTCGCGCGCCCCTAGACCCTGTCCGGGCAGCCTCATCCCCGGCGCCGGCCGGCCCGGAGCGAGCCACTCCCGCTCCGTCAGGCGGCGCCAGGCCGGGGGGTCAGAGTCCCCGGGTGGCCCCGGAGGGGGCGGGCGAGTAGGTGGGGGTAGGGGACCGGTTAGCCCGTCAGTCCCGGCGCGGCGCAGTCGGCTGCCCGCCCCGCCCCCTCCCGCCAGGCCCCGCCCCCTCGCCGGGTCGCGCGCCCGGAGAGGCCGCGGCCGCCACTGCCCCGCCGGGGGTTTCTTTGCTCTCCTGCGCGGCGTGGGGACGGCCCGAGCCGGGGAAGGGGGTGGGGGAACGGGAGCGTCTGTGGCAAGAGGAGCTAGTGGGGGAAGGGGACGTCAGGCTGGGCGGGGCTCTGGCGAGGAGGGGGCGTGGCGTAGAGGACCTGACAAAGATTCTGGTTGTTCCCCGCCCCTTGAAACTGGGGTTAGGGGAATTCCTGGGGGTGGAAGTTAGGAAGAGGTCCCTCTGCAGGGCTGGAAGGCCGTGAGAGAGGCGGCCTCTGTTGTCTCAGAGCTTAAAGGGAACTCACTAAGACTCGCCTCCCTTCTCCAGCCTCAGTAACCATTCCCCTTGCAATAATCTGATAATTAGTGTGCTCTAGGTGGTGGGTTTGTGGCATCGAAATTATGATCCTCAGCACTGTGACCATAATCATTGTTTTCCAGTGGTGGAATAATAAGAATCAGAAAAAGTAGGTTCTTTATTCATTCCTCTACCCAACATTGAACTCCTATATGCTAGGTCGTGAGAATAACAACTAATTTATTTGGCGCCTTATGAAAACACTAAAGTACTTTACATATTAATTCATCATCAGGTTTGAGCAAAACAGCTATGGTCCCTGCCCCCCGTAGCTCATGATGCATTAGGAAGGGAGGGATTTCCTTACTTTGTCTCTGAGTGATGTGTAAACCAAATGCCCACGTGCTTTCTTTTGGTTCTTAAAATAATGCCTATGTTCATTATTCGTAGATTAGTGTTTGCTACTCTGAGTTAGCTGTATGCTCTCCGTCCGTGATGGTTGAATGTGGTCATTCCCCCCCAGATGACATTTGTTCAGGAGCTCTTCAGTTTGTCTCCGTAATAAAAACCCAATGCAAGCAAAGCAAGTGGTCCAGAAGACTGATAATCAAATAACATAACCAAATTGTGGTAGCCTGGGGTGGCTGGGAGATCTATTTAGGGATGTTTTGTGCACTTCCACTTGGGGAAGTGGTTAGGAAAAAACAATATGATGTAAAAGAATGAAGTACTCACATGGACAGCTAGTTCAAAGGGAAGCGGATGGGACAATTTAAGATTGTTACAGTCAGGAAGAAGATACATCACAAACTCTCCCAAGGAGGGTTCCAACCACAAAGTACAGGATACATTTTTTATCGGAGCTATGTGGAAGAGACACCCTCCACCTCCTGTGCCATGACACCTACGCCCATAGATAAAAATGACCTCAGTAACTTTGTTTTTAAACACAAAAGACAATTGTGTAAACAAACCCACTGCTTGAATTTTTGGAATTTGGTACTACGTTTCAGCCCTTATTGGATTTTTCAGTGTTTACCTTTGTGTACATTAACCGCAATGACATTCTTCTCATAGTTGTTTTTTTTTTCTTCCCTGCTCATAGTTACTTGTTCAGTCTTGGATTTTTAGTTCAGCATTTTTCTTTCAGGTTTATAATGAGAAAGACTAGAAAAGCATTGCAATCTAATCAGATAACAATTGCAGTAAAAATTCCTGATTTAAGAAATAGGCATTCCCGGCCAGGCGTGGTGACTAATGCCTGTAATCCCAGCACTTTGGGAGGCCAAGGCAGGTGGATCACGAGGTCAGGAGATCCGAGACCATTCTGGCCAACATGGTGAAACCCCGTCTCTACTAAAAATATAAAAATTAGCTGGTTATGGTGGCACGTGCCTGTAATCCCAGCTACTCGGGAGGCTGAGGCAGGGGAATCACTTGAACCAGGGAGGTGGAGACTGCGGTGAGCCAAGATTGTGCCATTGCACTCCAGCCTGGTGACAGAGTGAGACTCCATCTAAATAATAATAATAATAATAATAAAGAAAGAAAGAAATAGGCATTCCCATACATGATCTTTTATTTTTCCTGGTGAAATATATTGTTTGTTCTATCCTGAAACTTATTTTATTTACTGATCTGTATTTTCAGCTCATTTGCTCCATCAGCCCAGTAAAAACAATTAAATAAAACATCCCCTGTGATCTGGCTGCCTCCATGGGCTCTCATGCTACTCCCAGACACTGGATTCCTTCCTCTTCTGCCAACAGGCCAAGTGCTTGCCCATGCAGCCTTCACATGTTCCTCTGTCTAGCAGGCTCTTAGCTGTTCTCACAGCTAACTCCCTCCTCCATCATGTCACTTTTCCTGACTATCCATGTAAACCTGTAACCCGCCCCCCAACTCCTCACTTCTCAGCACTGAGCACCACCTGACATATACATCTGTTTATTTATCTCTATGCTCCCACTGGAATGTAAACTTCATGAGAGCAGAGCTTTGTTTTGTTACTTTTAAATCTCCAGTGCCTATTATTCACCACATCTGTCATATAGTAGATAATCAACAAATATTTTTTGAATGAATTAATGAATCCAAATAGGAGAGATAGCTCGTATTCCTTTTGTAGTGGCCAAACAGCTTTCGTGCAATTTATCTTATAACTGAATCATGTGACTTAGATGTATTAATAAGGTCTAAAACACAGCCCACATTTACCTTATTTAAAAGTAGAATTTGGCCGGAAGCGGTGGCTCATGCGGGTAATCCCAGCATTTTGGGAGGCCCAGGTGGGTGGATCACTTGAGGTCAGGAGCTTGAGACCAGCCTGGGCAACACGGTGAAACCCCACCTCTACCAAAAGTACAAAAATTAGCTGGGCGTGGTGATGGATGCCTGTAATCTCAGCTACTTGGGAGGCTGAGGCAGGAGGATTGCTTGAACCTGGGTGGGAGAGGTTGCAGTGAACTGAGGTTGAGCCACTGCACTCCAGCCTGGGAGACAGAGCAAGATTCCATCTCAAAAGAAAAAAAACGTAGAATTTGAAAAGGCATTTTATCTCTCATTCTGGCAATACTAAGGAACAGGATTTGAAGAAGCATTCACAGCTAAGAATTTACGCTGAGATCTTATAACTTTGCCCATAAATGGATCCATAGAATCAGAGGGGTATGATGGATCAATACATGCTGTGAAAGTCTTAATAATTTTCCATGAGAGGAAACACAGCCATAATCAGAAAATTTGACAACTCTACTGATAATTTGATACATGATGTCAGTAGGATGTCTTTTGTGAATGCTTAAATAATTTTAATTGATAATTATGATGATGAGGTTAACAATGTTTTAGTCTGGTTAAAGTGTAATACCAATACATAGTAAAGAGAACTTAACCCTAGTATGTAAATGCGCTTAATAAAGAAACGGTTTGATTTTTCATTTTGTACTCTGCCTACTGGGTGTGTGGGTGGGGAGGATTAAAAGATTAAACTATGATTATATACAGTATATATGTTCAAAATCTGGATCCCAGGAATGTGATCTTTTTTAGAGGACTTAGGAGTTCTTTTAGTAGTATTTCTGCTCTCCAAGTTCTGACATGAACAGCCTCCTGTGGAATCAGTCTCATTAAAATAGAGAGCTATATAAATATGACCAGATCGTACCCCTGGGAAGCAAATCTCCAAATCAGGAGAGAAAGGTGGCCAAGTAAATCCAACTAAAAGTGTGTCCCTTGAAGTTTACCTTATATTCTCACTCTGGTTTCTCTTGGTTCACCTGTCAATTTGGCCCAAATACAAAAAAAGAAAAAAAGAAAAGACAAGAAAGAGAATTTCCTTAGCTTTTTTTTTTTTTTTTTTTTTTTTGAGATGGAGTCTTGCTTTGTTGCTAGACTGGAGTGCAGTGGCATGATCTCGGCTCACTGCAACCTCCACCTCCTGGGATCAAGTGATTCCCCTGCCTCAGCCTCCTGAGTAGCTGGGACTACAGGCCTGCACAACCATGTCCAGCTAACTTTTTGTATTTTAGTAGAGGCGGGTTTTCACCATGTTGGTCAGAATGGTCTCTATCTTCTGACCTCGTGATCTGCCCGCCTCGGCCTCCCAAAGTGCTGGGATTACAGGCATGGGCCACCACGCCCAGCCTCAGCTCTCTTCACCACAGCTAAACCAATCTAGAATTTCTAAGTGAACTTTGCTAAAATCTAAAGGAGAATAAAAATGAAATTATTACTATATTATGGAAAATATAAGCAACACCGATAACTTTATTCATTTGCTCAGCTTCTCTTCTCCATTTACATTCTTCCAGGAACAAACTTCCATCCCCAAGGGGAGATATAAATTTGCAGGCAACCTGCCTAGTTTCCTTCCCTCTAGGCTCTCTTTCTTTCTCTGCACAGTAAGGTCATTTTTCTGTCTTATTATTTTTTTTCTTTTTAGACAGGGTCCTGCTGTGTCACCCAGGCTGGAGTGCGGTGGCACGATCCTCCCACCTCAGCCTCCCGAGTAGCTGGGACTACAAGCCACCATGCCGGCTAATTTTATTTATTTATTTTGTAGAGATGGAGTCTTACTATGCTGCCTAGGCTGGTCTCAAACTCCCAGGCTCAAGTGATCCTCCTCAGCCTCCCGAAGTGTTGAGATTACAGGCATGGGCCATCATGCCTGGCCCACTTTTCTGTCTTTCACATGGCCGCCACAAGCCTGTCCCAGTCACAGCCAAGACTAAAAGCCCCACTTGTCCTCTGTCCCCATTCTTCTGGTTAGAGGGATATGGCATAGTCCGGGTCAAACTGCGGGACTATGGTGACTGTCCTAATATATGAGCTGCTTCTTCAGGTGAGACTCACTCTTTACACGTGTTGGGAAGGTCATCACCGGCCCACTGTCAGGCCACTCCTTGCAGTCCCCAGAGCATTCCCGAAAGAACTGCCCAACACAGCGTTGGGGACATGGGGAAGGAATGTGCATTCTCTCATGCAAGTATTTCCATTCACCCATTTACAAGTAGGTCTCCTGTAACCAGGCCATAGTTACTGACTGAATAAAAAGGTCTTTGCAAAAAGACTTTCCGTACTTCCTGTCAGTCTCCTTAACCTTTCTCAAATACAAATTTAATTCTGTTCATCCCTCAGGACCGTGTTTAACATGCTTTAGTGACTATTGCTTTAAAAGTAAAGTTCAAACACCTTAGCATTGTTGTAAGGTCCTTTGTAATCTAACCCCTATCTACCTATTTAGCCCTATGTCCATTCTGAACTATTTGCAGCATCGAGAACATATCATTTATCCCACAGCTGTGCTTTTAAATAAGTTTCCTCCTTCTGAAATACCCTGCTTTCCAATATCTGCTAGCCCTCAAGACTCAGCTCCAGGGTCACCTCCTCTGGTGATCTTTATCCTGAACTTTCCAAGCTGAACGAGTTCCTTCTTCGTACCCCCAAAGTACACTGGATGCCCCTTTCATTGTAGCAGTTACTCAATGGGCTGTGAATATTGGCTTAGTTGTCTATCTCCTTGACTAGCTGAGAGGTCTTTGATGGCAGGCACTCAGAAATATTTCTGAATGAATGAGTGAATGAATGAATGAATGAATGAAATCCACCCTCCCCCTGCATATGAAGCCTTTACAAACAAAAACTTACTTGAGTATGGCCATTTTTCCACTGAGTGTTATAACATATACAGACAGGACCTTTCCTCTATAGTGTTTTACTACGAGTTTCATTAAACTTTAGAAGGTCATTAACTTAGGATTTCAGAAACTTACAAGGACAAGGTTATGAACACAAAGTTCTTGTATTTATTTCCATGCATTGAAAAAATTATTTCATACTTTCATGTATTAAAAAATTATTTCAGCATCTCTATATAATTATTTTACATTTTGAAAATAACAGTTGCAAGACTACTAATTGATGTTGATGTCTCATG
Organism: Homo sapiens; assembly: GCF_000001405.40. NCBI lineage: Eukaryota > Metazoa > Chordata > Mammalia > Primates > Hominidae > Homo > Homo sapiens. The sequence goes on along the minus strand of NC_000004.12, from coordinate 39,038,981 downwards.
AGTTAAAAATGTTCCAGGATGGGCCGGGCGCGGTGGCTCATGCCTGTAATCCCAGCACTTTGGGAGGCCAAGGTGGGTGGATCATGAGGTCAGGAGATCGAGACCATCCTGACTAACACAGTGAAACCCCTTCTGTACTAAAAATACAAAAAAAAAAAATTAGCCAGGCATGGTGGCGGGTGCCTGTAGTCCCAGCTGCTCGGGAGGCTGAGGCAGGAGAATGGTGTGGAGGGAGGAGAATGGTGTGAACCCAGGAGGAGGAGCTTGCAGTGAGCCGAGATCGTGCCACTGCACTCCAGCCTGGGCGACACAGGGAGACTCCGTCTAAAAAAAAAAAAAAAGTTCCAGGATGAATCTTTGTATTTGATATATTACTTCCTGATTCACTAACAGAATGGAACTACTCAATCTGACTTCTGTTTTCATGTTGTGAGAGAATAAGTTCATAACCGCTATACAAGTTTAAGCATTTAGGTTTGTTACTGTGCTGACAGTTTGTGTACAGAAATCACAAAATATTTACCAAATATTATAAAGAGGGCTACAGCATAGAAAACACTGCTACTTGTTATGAGGGAGAGAATGAATAAAGATGAATCAGATATGTAAACTGCAAAGTTCTTATCAACTATTAAGCTTCTTCTAGCTCCATCTTGTTCATCTTTGTAAAAGCACATATTCCTGTATTCACACCTGCATTCTATATTCAGTGACTATACTTAGCACAGAATTCTTGGGGAAAGATTCTAGCTAAGTAACAAGCAGCTGACCTGAAATACACAAACAGTGAGTGAATAGAGGGTGGCACTCTCTGTACACATTTGAAGACATTCAGAGTCAACGGGCTAAGCAATACAAAGAAGGAAGAAAAAAACAAACAGACAAAAAAAAACAAAACCAAGCATTTCATTCTCCTCTGCTCTATCCCCAAGAAAACCAAGAAATGGTATTACTTAGAGTCGGACGGGCTCTCTTGTTGCAGCCAGTTCTTTTTATCTGAGACTGGATCTATTAGGCCTGATACTTTCAGACTCTGAGCAATTTATTTTACTTTATCTCGTACATATTCAATGGTTGTTATATTTACCATCATGAAGAATGTTTTGGTTATGCTTTCCTGCCTGTTTATGCATGTAATTAACAATATAATGAATTCTGTGGTTCGGTTGCCAGACTTTGTTTCCAGAGGCTGAAATATACCACAGTGGTTCCAGAATCCATTCCAGGGTGGTTTTCCCTCCTTGTCCCCGCAACTCTGTGAGTATACAGCTGGGCAGACAAGCCTGACTCATAGTTCTTTTGAGGAAAGAGGCTCCAACAGGTTCTTTCCTGTCTAAGCTGCAGTCTCAGTGCAGGGGGTTTTGTTAGTGAAAACAAACTGCCTTTCCAGCCACAGGTGATTGGGGTCAGGACACAATGGGCCAAGCAGCCCTGTGTGGGCTGCGCATGAGAAGACCAGCCACGTCTCAGGAGGCCTGAGTGTGAGGGCCTGGGGCAAACTCTGCCCACTGAGGATTCTAAACCCGGTGGTGGCAGGTCAAACCATATTTCCCCACTTACAGGAGAAATGCACTGAGTGGGCCAGGCGCAGTGGCTCATGCCTGTAATCCCAGCACTTTGGGAGGCCGAGGCAGGTGGATCACCTGAGGTCAGGAGTTTAAGACCAGCCTGGCCCACATGATGAAACCCCGTCTCTACTAAAAATACAAAAATTAGCCAGGCGTGGTGGCGCACGCCTGTAATCCCAGCTACTCCGGAGGCTGAGGCAGGAGAATCACCTGAACCTGGAAGGCGGAGGTTGCAGGGAGCTGAGATCACGCTCACTGCAACAAGAGCGAAACTCCATCTCAAAAAAAACAAAATAATAATGATAAAAAAGAAATGCACTGAGTGAACAAAGATAAGGCAGCTCAGTGACCCGCAGCCTGGGGTCTGAGCAGTGCTGAGCACCTTTTCCGGTTCTCTGAGGGGCTGACTCAACCTGGCTGTTGAAGGGGTGACCTCCTGTGTGCACTCATGTCATGGAGTTCTTTGCCGCAACCTTGCCACAGCCACTGAAGGTACCACTGCTGTCTCCTGTTGGCCTGCTCAGAGGTTCTCTCTAGATTTCTGCTCTATTAAGTTCAAGCTCCAGCCCAGGGGAGAGCCGCCAGCCTCAGAGACACCACAGCCCCTTTCTTAATTATCTGTTTCTAAAATAGCAAACAGGCTGTGTGAGTGGAGAGAGACAGAATTATGTTTATTAAATTATAATTTATATACAGTAAATGATGTACATCTTTTTCAGGGTACAGGTCTAGAATTTTGACTAACACACAGTTGTATAATCACCACCATAATCAAGATATAGAACATTTCCATCACCCTAAAAATTCCCTTATGTCCCTTTGTCATTAACCCCTCCCTCTGTCTCCAGCCTCTGGCAACCACTGATCTATTTTCTGTCTCTGTGGTTTTGCCTTTTCCCAAGTGTTGTATTAATGACAAGGCCTTCATTAACATCCTTATTTAAACCAACATGTGCCCTGCCCAACTTTCTGCTGGCACATCTCACCCTCATACTTTGCCCGATTTTTTTTTCAGGACACCCACAATAACTGAAAATAAATTATTATTTACTTAATTACTCTCTCTCATTGGAATGTACGCTCTCACTAGAATGTGAGCGTGAGAACCTTGCGTGCTTGCTGCTAGATCTCCAGCGTTCAGGACGCTGCCTAGTGTCTTGTTAGTGTTGGGTAAATATTTTTTGAATGGACCACAAAATGAATGAGGATACTGGAATTTCCGGGGACCCTCTCCATACTCAGGTAGACCTTGTTAAAAAGAGATTATTTTTCCCCACAAAAATGTGTTAATCTAAGAATTGCTGTGTTGCCAAAGTAGATGATTATCTGCCAGTAACACAATTAGGGGTAATTAGGGGCCAAGAGCGGTGGCTCACGCCTGTAATCCCAGCATTTTGGGAGGCTGAGTGGATCACTTGCGCCTAGGAGCTTGAGACCAGCCTGGCCAACATGGCGAAACCCCTTCTCTAAAATACAAATACAAATACAAAATAAATACAAAATAAAAAATACAAAAATTAGCTGGGCCTGGTGATGTGTGCCTGTAGTCTCAGCTACTCAGGAAGCCGAGTTGGGAGGATTGCTTGAGCCCAGGAGGTTGAGGCTGCAGTGAGCCTTGCTTGTGCCACTGCACTCCAGCCTGGGCAAAAGAGCGAGACCCTGTCTCAAAAATAAAAAAAAGAAAAGAAAGATAAGTAGTTAGGCTGATCCAGGTTATGGATTGTCTTTTAAGTTTACTTTCTGGCTGATTAGGTTACCTAGAATAGAACTGGCCTGAAGTGACTAACATGGAAATAATGATAGTAACTATTTCATAAGGTGGTTACAACAATTAAATGTTACAAATTAGGTTCAGTGTTTACTGCTCAGATGATGGGTGCACCAAAATTTCACAAATCACCACTAAAGAACTTACTCATATAACCTGTTCCCCAAAAATCTATGGAAATAAAAAAAAATTTTTTAAATGATCTAATATAAGTGAAGCGTTTCATGCAGTGGTTCTCAGCTGGGAGCTGTTTTGTCACCCCAGGGACATCTGACAATATCTGGAAACATTTTTTTTCTTTTGTTTGTCAAAACTGGGGCGGGGAGGCCAGGTGTGGTGTTCATGCCTATAATCTCAGCGCTTTGGGAGGTTGAGGTGGGATGATTGCTTGAGGCCAGGGGTTTGAGACCAGCCTGGGTAATATAGTGAGGCCCCATCTCTACAAAAATTTAAAATTAGCCAAGCCCGGTGGCACATGCTTATCGTCCCAACTATTCAGGAGGCTGAGGTGGGAGGATTGCTTGGGCCTGGGAGTTCGAGGCTACAGTGAGCCGTGATCATGCCAGTGCACTCCAGCATAAGTGATAGAGACCCTGTCTTTTAATTTTGTTTTTTTTAATTAAAAAAATAAAAACTGGGGTGGAGAGGGCTGCTACTGGAACCAGCTGTTGAACATCCTACAATGTACAGGATATCCCGCACAACACAGAATGACCTGTCCCAAAATATCAATAGTGCCACCAGTGAGAAACCCTGGGTTAGTGCAGCATCAGGCACATAGTAAAAACTGTATTGGTGTTTGCTATGATTATTATTTTATAAGTGGCCCTTCTTGACAAATGTTCCCACACAGTCTGACAGTGGAGGTATAATGGAGTGTTGGGTTGAGAGTTAGGTTTGACACCTAGCTTCACCCTTTATTAACTATGTGACTTTTGAGCCCTTACTTGACTTCGCTATACCCCATATTCTTTGTCTATCCAATTGGAATAACAGCAACTCCCTGAGAGAGTTGCTGGGGAATTGGATAAAATAATTCATACAAAACATTCAACACTGCAGTAGCACATAGTAAATGTTCAGTAAATGCCATCGATTGTTGCTGCTGCTGTTGATCCAATAAAGACCTTTCCACAGAATATAGTGAAGGGATAGAGGACAGTTTCAACTAGGAAAAAAAATTACTCATATAAAGTATATAAAAGCGTATATTTCGTATATTAATAAATATGTAGAAGTTAAATTTAAACTATCCTTTTTAAGGCTGCTATTTATAATTTTCTAAAAAGTATATTGCTTTTGCTTTCCTAGGGTAGAGCACCTCCTTGATATAAAAGATCCTCTCAATTTTAAACATTTGTATCTAACACAGAATGCATAATTATTTAATTAAGACGTTTGGTCTTGATTAGAAATAGAAACACATTAAAGTATTTTTGAGAACCTGGATCTCAGATATGAAATATAAGACTTAGGAAAGTTAAACACTAGCGTAGTAGCAACAACCTCTTGTGTTTGAGATTCGTTAATCTCTTATTCCTTCATTGAAATAGGAAGGAGAAGCTTGCAGTGGGTAAGTAATTGCAGATTTGTAGCCATTTCTAGCAGTTCCTAGAATCCCCTTTATAATCTAATATTTGTGTTTTTAAAAAATAATCTAATATTTGTAAAAGTGCTTTGGAAATTGTAAAACAAAACTATGGAGATGTGGGCCATTAGTATTATCATCAACCCTAACAGGATGTTAGAGAGTCAGATGTTGCCACTTCAAGGGAGATGACCGAGTTTTGGTGCATTTCAGGAAGCCAAAATCAGGCTGCAAGTAAACTTTGTATTTAAGAATAAATGAGACCGGGCTTGGTGGCTCACGCCTGTAACTGCAGCACTTTGGGAGGCTGAGGTGGGCAGATCACGAGGTCAATAGATCGAGACCATCCTGGCTAACATGGTGAAACCCCGTCTCTACTAAAAATACAAAACATTAGCTGGGCGTGGTGGTGCATGCCTGTAGTCTCAGCTACTCAGGAGGCTGAGGCAGGAGGATCACTTGGATCTGGGAGGCAGAGGTTGCAGTGAGCCAAGATTGCACCACTGCACTCCAGCCTGGAGACAGATTGAGACTCCGTTTCAAAAAACAAAAAACAAAAACAAAAGAATAAATGATTAAATTGATAAACTATACATTATTTCGTGTAATATTAGAAATACAATGAAGAACTGTGTTTCTCTGCATAAAACTTTTAGGTACGTGTTTTATACTCTGTTACAAAATAGTTGGGTGGAAAAACTCCCACCATATACAAAATGAAAAGGCAAATGACAACCTGGGAAAAATGTTTGCAAAACATATGCAAAGATTTCATATTCCCAATAGAGAAAAAAGTCTTATAGATCAACAGGAAGGATATAAATGCTGCAATAAAAGACATGAACATGCAATTAACAAAAGAAATTCAAATTGCCAGCAAATATTAAAAATCTTTAGAATTACTGTCAACCAAACAAATGCAAATTAAACAATACTTTTTTTTCCTTTTAAATTGGCAATGGTTAAAATGTTTCTATCTTCTAGATGTACTATTTTCTGAACACCAGAATTCAGCACAGCACCTGGCACCAAACAGGATCGACAATCATTTAATAAGTAAATGAATGAGTCATGTGCATGCAACCTAGACATGACTGACATTCACCCTTTTATTTCTTTCTCTCTTGAGAAGGGATCTCACTCTGTCACCCAGGCTGGAGTGCAGTGGCCTGTCATGGCTCACTGCAGTCTCAAATTTCTGGGTTCAAGTGATCCTCAGCTTCCTGAGTAGCTGGGACTACAGGAGTGCACCACCACACCTAGCTATATTAAAATTATTTTTGTAGAGAGGAGGGCTTGCTCTATTGACCAGTCTGGACTCAAACTCCTGAACTCAAGTGATCCTTCTGCCTTGGCCTCCCAAAGTGCTGGGATTACAGATGTGAGCCACTTCGCCCAGCCCACCGTTTTATTTTTGTGAGTATACTGTGGGTTTATATTTATAAATTGGGTGGGGAGAAGATCCCCTTGCTTCTTGAGATCATTTATTTACCTTTCTTGCTTAGAAAGACAAATAAATGGTCTGAAAGTGCTTATTTGGGGGGTAGTTTTTTTTTTTAATGGGAAGTGACTCAAAAGTGAAGTCTCAGTTCAAGACCTTTTTTTTTTTTTAAGTCTTACTCAAAAGGAAGTGAGTATGAGGTGAACTGCATTAACCTAAAGTGCTGCAGAGATAAACTTAAAGCAGGAAGCAACATACCATGAATGTACTGCAAGGGAACACATTTGTGTCATGTGAAGAGACATGACAAAAACAGCCCTCCTTAAATTATTTGTGGCAATAGTGATCACATTCATTTTAATTTTGCCGGAATATTTCAAGACACCGAAAGGTGAGTATATAATTGTAATCTAGCTTTCCTTTCTTAATTTAAAAAAATTAGTGTCAGCTAGTGGTTACAGAAAAGATCCTCTTTTTGGACACATGCTGCATAGGCTGAAGTTCTAGATCTGAAAAACTAATAAAACAAGATTGCAATTTTAGTTGACTGTTATATAGTACAGTAACCTAATTCATAGTACTTAATTATCATAGCATACCTAAAAATGAAAATATTTAAAATCTGTAGTCTAGATTTCAGACATTGAGATTACAATAATTGCATCATGATTTTGCTCTTTGAAACACTTTCTTCAAAGCAGTTTTTTTTTATTTTTTTATTTTTTATTTTTTTTTTTTGAGATGGAGTCTCTGTCGCTCAGGCTGGAGTGCAATGGCCTAATCTTGGCTCACTGCAACCTCTGCCTGCCGGATTCAAGCAATTCTCCTGCCTCAGCCTCCGAGTAGCTGGGATTACAGGCGCCCACCACCATGCCTGGCTAATTTTTGTATTTTTAGTAGAGACACGGTTTCACCATGTTGGCCAAACTGGTCTTGAACTCCTGACCTTGTGATCCACCCACCTCGGCCTCCCAAAATGCTGAGATTACAGGCTTGTGCCACTGTGCCTGGCCCAAAGCAGCTTTAAGTATGCTTTTTACATTTTGGAATTCTTTAATGAAGAAAGTGATATTTATTGTGTTAAAAATGCTAGAATTCCCTTTACTACAACTATTTCACACAGATAACTTACCGTCACCTTTTGACAAGAAAAAGCGTTTATATATTTTGAAAATACAATCAAAATAAGGTGAGTGGAAATTTAAACAGATGTATGTGTATGTATTTGTAACTGGAGAAAAATGGAACAAAATTAACTTTGTGAACGTTTCAGAAAATTGTGATATAATTGCTGAAACCTAGATTAGGAAAATAAATAGGTATAAATTTAAACTATTTTGATGTTAGCAAAGGACTTGAAAATTTATTAATGTGAGGTTCAAATGGTAATTGTGCTCCCTAGCATTTAATAAGAAGAAAAGGTGAAAAGAAAAGGCTGTATTCTATCATTAAATAGTCTTTATATGAATTTGATTAAAATCAGAGAAAAACTCATATTTGATTATTTGCTGCAATGAATATTTATTGTTGCATATATGTAATGCTAAATAGCCAGATAAAAATATTTTTGCTAATTATATTTGATGACATATTTCAGTGATTATTTGATGTTGCATTTACATGATGCTAAGTAGCGAGTTAAAAATATTTTTGCTAAATAAACACTATGACTACAATTTGGTTTTCTGGCATTATGTTACTTAGATGAAGCAATCATAGCACATATTTTCAGTGCTTGATTCCACTGGGTGAAAATGTGTTATAAAGAGAATAGTTAGAATAAAGATAATCTATTTTTAAGATATTGTGGGCTGAGAGTAAGCTCATTTAATAGTTATCCGGAGTAGGTTCTATCTATATATCTATCTAGCTAGCTAGCTAGCTATCGATCTACACCTAGCACCTCTTAAAAATCAGGTTGGATCTAATAAAAACCAGGTAATCATCCCAAAAATGACTTAATTAACTATTGGTTAGTATTTTATGAGAACTGGTGACTACAGGAGCATGTTAAAGGTTTTCATTTTGGGGCAGACATGTAGTTCTTTTAGTTTTTGTTTCTCAAAGTGAGAAGCATGGCCTTCTGGGGCAGTGGTGAGCAGAAAGAAGATAGATGAAGCACAGAGAAATTCTTAGTGGGGGACAGATGGGAGCCCCTTCTATTGGTAGGTAGAAGAAAGAGCTCTTATAAAATCCATCTTAGCCAAACTTCCTTGGCCTAATAGTAATGTGTCAGTTCTTCTTCATCTTGTCAATAGTCAACCATCATTTATAATGATGTTTGTTCTCTTGCTTTCAAAACTGGTTATATCAGCTCCCAATACTACCTTTACTGCCTTCCCAAACTTAAAATGGCTGTTTCTCTTCTCCTGGTCCAAGAACAGCATAGATAATGCTCCAAACTCTTTCTGGGTTGATGGGTTGTTTTTTTTTTTTTAAGAGACAGGGTCTTGCTGTGTTGCCTAGGCTGACTCCTGGGCTCAAGCAATCCTCCTGCCTCAGTCCCCAAGCAGCTGGGACTACAGGCACATACCACCACACTCAGGTGGATTTATTGGGGAATTTTGTTTCAAAGGAACCCTACTTGGGGCCAACAAACAAAAATGTTCAAAAACCACTGTCTTCTTTTACATTATTTAGTGGTAGAAGGAATTTTGCACAGAGCTGCCATAAACAAAAAGTTGATTACTAGGCAAAATGTTATACACATGCAATTGTGTAATAATAATAAAATAATAATAATAAAAACCATTATTTTTTTCTAATGGTTTATGGATCACCAGTAACATCTTTTTATAGCCTCATTTAATATAGTCCCATATTGATTAAATGAAGAAAACTTGGACATAATTGTCTTGGTTTTTAAAAATTAGTTCTTTTTTTTTTTTTTTTTTTTTTTTTTTGAGACGGAGTCTCGCTCTGTCGCCCAGGCTGGAGTGCAGTGGCGCGATCTCGGCTCACTGCAAGCTCCGCCTCCCGGGTTCACGCCATTCTCCTGCCTCAGCCTCCCGAGTAGCTGGGACTACAGGCGCCCGCTACCACGCCCGGCTAATTTTTTGTATTTTTAGTAGAGACGGGGTTTCACCGTGTTAGCCAGGATGGTCTCGATCTCCTGACCTCGTGATCCGCCCGCCTCGGCCTCCCAAAAAAATTAGTTCTTAATCACAATAATAGTTGACCTATGAAATGAGTTAAATTGACAACTAATGCTAAATAAAATAGCTAGTAAAATTATTTGATGGTAAGCTAAGAGTGCTCTAGAAGTGCTGCAATTAACCTTGTGAAATTCCCCTGCCTAGTCTTACTCCATTCGTTTCTTGTCCTTTTTTTTCATTTTTTCTCATGTTCTATTCACTTTAATTTCTAAGATAAATATTATAAAATAATTTTTACTTATAAATTATTCACTGATACCCTGTCTTTAACATGTGAAATGAATTCAAAAGGAATCTTAATGAGAAATAATATACTCATGATGTTTAATAGATTTGATTTCGAAATAATAAGCCCTCTGAAGTCCTAAGTTAAAAATAAAGCAACTTGTTTGATAATTTTTCATCAAGAATGTATCTGAGTCTCTGAGTAATTATTAGTAGGAATATTCCATTATCACAATTACACAGTATAAGCTATTTAGTCTAACTTTACCAAAAAAGGGAGCTACTTCAACACTGTGTGAGACTTTTAATGGGTTTGCATTGGGTATGCACTATTAGCAAGATAACCTATTTTACAGCAGTGTTTTTTAACCTTTCCATTTATTTGAAAGGCAGCTAAGATATAGTAGTTAATATAATGGTTTGATGCATTTATATTACATGTAGATAATGGAGATACAAAAGGGAGTGGTGGATATATTTTGATTCAGAGCTTCTTGCAATTAAGGGAGCTAGCTTACTCCCAAATAAGAAACTTTCCAACCTGTTTTTGTTGGACTTACAGTGTTTAAGACAGAACTTGGCTAACCCTCATGTAAATCCCAGTGATCTTTTATTTATTTATTCTTTCACCTGTGCTAGAAACCTGGGGCTACAAAAAGGAAAGACAACTCTTTGATCAAGGAGTTTTCAGTCGGGAGGACAACTGACTGGCAAACAACTAAATAAAATACAGGAATTAACTGAAACAGGGATGTAAACAAGATGCAATGGAAACATAAGTATTGCTTCCACGTCAGTCTTTGGGAGGACGTTCCTTGTATTTCCATTTGCAAAGAGAAATAAATAATTGTCAGAGTTCAAATGATCACCTAGTATTCCTTCTTACCTGCTTGCAAAAGCACTTTTCAAGAGAAGAAATGATGACGATTATTAAATAAAATATTCTCATATCAGTATATCAATAGTTCCTGAAAGTGGCAATTGCAGTGAGTCACACAAGTGTACTCCCAGTGATTTGTGGCAATACAGGATAAGAATAGCACAGATGAGGCTGGGTGCAGTGGCTCACGCCTGTAATCCCAGAACTTTGGGAGGCCGAGGCGGGTGGATCACCTGAGGTCAGGAGTTTGAGACCAGCCTGACCAACATGGTGAAACCCCGTCTCTATTAAAAATACAAAAAACTAGCTGGGGCCAGGCGCGGTGTAATCCCAGTACTTTGGGAGGCCAAGCTGGGTGGGTCAATTGAGGTCAGGAGTTTAAGACCGGCCTGGCCAAAATGGTGAAACCCTGTCTCTACTAAAAAATTAAAAATTAGCCGGGCATGGCAGTGCACACCTGTCATCCTAGCTACTCTGGAGGCTGAGACAGGAGAATCACTTGAATCCAGGAGGCGGAGGTTGCAGTGAGCCGAGATTACACCACTGCACTCCAGCCTTGTGGACAAAGCGAGACTTCTTCTCAAAAAAAAAAAAAAAAGAAAAAGAAAAAAGACAGAAAGAAAAAGGAAAATTAGCTGGGCATGGTGGTGGCATGTGCCTGTAATCCCAGCTACTCTGGAGGCTGAGGCAGGAGAATCGCTTGAGCCTGGGAGGCAGAGGTTGCAGTGAGCTGAGATCACCCCATTGCACTTCAGCCTGAGTGACAGAGCAAGACTCCGTCTCAAAAAAAAAAAAAAAAAAAAAAGGAATAGTATAGATGAAAACACCTCAGACCTAATTTTATCTGTTTTGACTTCCTCACTTTCTTTTAAGAGCCAAACTGACATAAACTCTGTTTACCAGCTTTCATTTCCCCTTCTCTTTCACGCTTTGTGAAGGAAATGGTGGTATAATGAACAGTGAAATTGAAGAAAACAAAGGATAAAGCAACTATAGGATAAACTGACATAATATGAGCATATGTTCACAGTGTTTAAGTCTATATTATAATGACCACCACATCAAGGGTAATTGCAATTAATTTCCTGAAAGTGTTATTCTAGTTCTCAAAAATGAATGCTCTTTTTCTTATTCATAAATATTTAATCAGTAATCCCCAATAAGGCCTTATGACTATTTAAACAATTTTTTTATTTTAACAAATACATTTACATGTGCCAGTAATATGCCAAGTACTTTGACATATATTTTACAAAATAATAATTCACAGTAATGTGTCAAATATTTCTACTCATTCATGGCGCAGCATCATTCTCAAGAGAGAATGTTCTGAAAATCTTTAGAAAGAAGGAATAAAACTAGATGGATAAATGTACTTTGTGGTAAGATTTTGCTTCTTTTTAAAAATTTTTATTTATTTATTTATTTTTGAGACAACAGCTTACTTTGTCACCCAGGCTGGAGTGCAGTGGCGTGATCTCGGCTCACTGCAACCTCCAACCCCAGGGTTCAAGCCATTTTCCTGCCTCAGCCTCCCGAGTAGCTGGGACTACAGGCACGCACCACCATGTCCAGCTAATTTTTGTATTTTTAGTAGGGATGGGGCTTTGCTATGTTGGCCAGGCTGGTCTTGAACTCCTGATCTCAAGTGACCCACCCGCCTCAGCCTCCCAGAGTGTTGGGATTACAGGTGTGAGCCACCACACCCAGCCAGATTTTGTTTCTTATTGAATTTTCTGAATCATTACAATTTTAAAATGGCCACTAATGGACACAATATTTTCATATATATATTTTAGGCACTAGGTGTTGGCAAAAAAATGTGTTAAATATAACGCTTTTCATCACTTTGACAGAACTGGCTTTATTCTCTAATCTGTTAGGTTGCAATACCTACCAACAATCCTTGCTTAGGGTGCTTTCTAACTGCTTGTCTCATTGTTTTGGTGGATAAATGCTCCCTTAGTATATCTCTTTTTTTTTTAATTTTTTAAAAAAATTTTTTAAGAGAGACAGGGTCTTGCTTTATGGCCCAGGCTGGACTCCAATTCCTGGGTTCAAGTGATCCTCCCACCTCAGCCTCCTGAGTAGCATATCTTTTTTGCTTTAATAGAAAAAAAAGACTTTCTCTAAAACATTCATATGGTGATATATCTTCCCCTTACACTGTTCTGTTTCTTTTCTCCTATCACTTATATTTTATCACCTATATGATTTATTTATTATGCATTTTTTAAAATTATCTGATTTCTCCAAATAGAATGTAAGCTCCATGAAACCGAGGTTTTGTCTGCTTTGTTCACTGATGTGTTTCAAGCAATTAAGAGAGTGTCTGTCATATTAAGGGCACTCAATGAATATCTGTTGAGGGAGCAAACTTGCTGAATCATACTGTTAAGGAAATCAAAAGAAAACCTTGAAGGAGGCATTTCTCATCTGACGTTCACAAACATCTTGTGATTTAGGCAGGCCAAGTGTTATCCTCATATTTTTGAAAGATTAAATTTCATCACAAACCTAGAGATTTTAAGTTGTGCTAGCGTGTGAAATTTATTTTGCAGAATATTTTACTTGAAAGGTATGTGTCTTTTTACCCTGAGTCATTTTCCTGCCATTTTCTTTATCTACAGGGAATTTCATAATATTCATTTGCTTCTCTTATTTTGACAAGTAAAATGAGCAGTCTCCTATGTCTCAAACCTGCCTTTCAAATATTGCTATGGTATGTCGAAAGTTATCCCAAACTTTGCTCCCTGCCTCCAGCAAACATTTCAAATGGTCTTTCCCAAATATCCTATGAATAAATCCGTAGTCCCTTGCTCCTGATCTGGCTGACACTACAGATATATCACCCATACACAATATGATATGTTTTTCCCTCTTTTCTGCTCAATATTACCAGAGAGCCTTCAATGATTGGCCTCCAAATTGAAATATAATCTAGTTTTTGCTATTGAAGTGGATAATCTTTTTGAGTTTATTCCAATCTTTTTTTTTTTTTTTTTTTTTTTGAGACAGTCTTGCTCTGTCACCCAGGCTGGAGTGCAGTGGTGCGATCTCAGCTCACTGCAGCCTCCGCCTCCCATGTTCAAGCGATTCTTCTGCCGCAGCCTGCCAAGTAGCTGGGATTACAGGCGCCCCCACCACGCCTGGCTAATTTTTGTATTTTTAGTAGAGACAGGGTTTTGCCATGTTATCCAGGCTGGTTTCAAACTCCCGAGTTTAGGCAATCTGCCCACCTCAGCCTCCCAAAGTGCTGGGATTACAGGCATGAGCCACCGCACCCGGCCTATTCCAACTGTTAAAGAAGGCAGACCTGTGACCAAAGGAAAACATCATATGTTAATGAATGTCTCTGTAAATTAGGCAGCTAAACCATAAGGTTTCTCCTATCCTGACAGCTAATATTTTTAAATTGCTGAATTATGCTATAGAATAACTAATAATGTGAAAGATTTTTAGAAATAATCGACTATGTTTTTAACAGGCATAATTTACATACGATAAAATGGAAAGATGTTTTTTAAAAAACTTTTATTTTAAGCTCAGGCCTACATGTGCAGGTTTGTTATATAGGTAAATGCATGTCACTGGGGTTTGTTGTACAGATGATTTCATCATCTAGGTATTGAGCCTAGTACCCATTAGTTATTTTTCCTGATCTTCTCTCTCCTTCCACCCTCTACCCTCTGGTAGGCCCCAGTGTCTGTTTTTCCCCTCTATGTGTTCTCATCATTTAGCTCCCACTTATAATTGAGAACATGTGATACTTGGTTTTCTGTTCCTGTGTTATTTTGCTAAGGATAATGGCCTCCAGCTCCATCTATGTTTCTGCAAAGGACATGATCTCTTTCTTTTTTATGGCTGCATAGTATTCCATGGTGTATATAATACCACATTTTCTTTATGGAAAGATCTTAAGTGTTCAGTTTCATGAATTTTGACATTCGTGTGCACCTGTGTAACTACTATCACATACCAGATACAGATTTACATCTCCCCAGTAAAGATTCCTCTGGCTCGGCTGGGCATGGTGGCTCATGCCTGTAATCCCAGCACTTTGGGAGGCCAAGGTAGGCAGATCACAGGATGTCAGGAATTAGAGACCAGCCTGCCAACATGGTGAAACCACATCTCTACTAAAAATACAAAAATTAGCTGGGTGTGGTGGCACGCGTCTATATCCCCAGCTACTCAGGAGGCTGAGGCAGGAAAATCACTTGAACCCAGGGGGCGGAGGTTGCAGTGAGCCAAGATGGCGCCACTTCATGGCAGCCTGGGCGGAACAGCGAGACTCCATCTCAAAAAACAAACAAATAAATAAACAAACAAAAGATTCCTCTGGCTCTTTCCTTTCAAATCTCCTCCAGCATCCCCAAGGCAACATCTGACCTGTGTCACCATAAATTGGTTTTGTCTCTTCTTTTATTTTGTGTAAATGGACTCATCACACAGTAAATATTTTTGGTCTGGCTTCTTTTTTTATTTTTATTTTTTATTTTTTAAACGGAGTCTCACTCTGTCACCCAGGCTGGAGTGCAGTGGTGCTATCTTGGCTCACTGCAACCTCTGCGTCCTGGGTTCAAGTGATTCTCCTGCCTCAGCCTCCTGCGTAGCTGGGACTACAGGTGCCCACCACCATGCCTGGATTTTTTTATTTTTATTTTTTGTATTTTTAGTAGAGATGGGTTTCACCAAGTTGGCCAGGCTAGTCTTGAACTCCTGACCTCAAGTGATTCGCCCACCTTGGCCTCCCACTGTGCTGGGATTACAGGCGTGAGCCACCATGCCTGGCCTGGTCTGGGTTCTTTACTTAGCATGTTTTTGAGATTCATCCATGCTACTGAGTGATTTAGTAGCTCCTATCTTTTTGTTGCAAAGTACTCCATCATATAAATACACAACATTTGTCCCTTTATCTATTGGGTTATTTCAAGTTTGGGCTATTATAAATATGCTGCTATGAACATTATTGTACAAATGTTTGTGTCAGTATATGTTTTTATTTCTATTCAATAATGCTCTAGTTGTGGAATACCTGGGTGTCTTAGTCAGCTTGGGCTGCTGTAACAAAGTGCTGTAGACGGAGTAACTTGTAAACAACAGCCTTCACAGTTCTGGAGTTTGGAAATCCAAGACCAGTATGCCAGCATGGTTGATTCTGATGAGGGTCCTCTTCTGGGTTGCAGAATGCTGACTTTTCTTTGTATTCTTACAGGATGGACTAGTTACCTCTCTGGTCTCTTCTTATAAGGACACTAATCCCATCCATTAGCTCTCCACTCTCATGACCTAATTACCTCCCACAGACCCCACCTTCAAATACCATCATATTGGAATTTTAGGGGTACACAAACGGTTAGTCCATTTCACTGGGTACGTTTAATTTTACAAGAAGCTGACAGATGTTTCTCTAAAGTGGTTGTACTAGCAATATTTCTAGTAGCAAAAAATTCTCATTTTCTCTAGTTTATATTTAATATACTGAATTAATAACACTTAGAATATGTATAGTCAAAGAAATAATCTACATTTCTTCCAAAGTTCCCTGACAACTAGTTAATGAGGTCTTGGGAAAATGTGAGTTGACCTAGAGTAGCCTCTGGTGTGCCTACTATCTGTCAAATAATGAAGATTTTAATTTACATTAAAATTTTATGGAAAGATATTCTACAAATAAGTTTTCACTTATTGGTAGAGGTCAACGGATAGTTGAGATTTCTTTTCTTGCAGTCATACTCTGAAAAATACTCCTGGGACAAAATATCTAAAAATGTGAAATAAAATGTATTTAAAACTTTAGAAATGTAGAGTTAAACTGATAAGACAATAAGACTCCTTGGAGGCAGAAAATGAGTAGGAATTATAAATACGTATGGCTAAGCAAGAGTGAACAAATTTGTGCCTCAGGAGCATTTGCAAATCTCTGGTGGCCTGGAATTTCAGTTTCACTGGGTCATACGTCAGGAGACAGAAGGCAAAGTGTAAGACTGAGATATGACTGAGATACTAAAAAGTGATATGCTCCATAAAACAGTAATCTAGCACAAATTATGTCTGGTTTTGAGGAAATTTGTCTGTCTTCACTTTGGCTATGGGTGGAGAAAGGAAAAAGAGTCCTTTGAGAGTTTATAAACACAGTTGGCCATAACTTGGATGTTGAGAATCATTACCTGTGACGTGTGAAAAGTCCAATCCAGGAATGTAGTTAAAGTCACTTTGGGTTAATGGTGCCATTAGACACTCACCAGAGGAAAACACCAATCCTCTCTGGAGGAAAACATCTTTACACCATTCCTCAAATAATTTCCCAAAGTAAAATTCCAAGGAACAATAGCTATTATCAAAAATGATAAAACACGTGAAGACTCAATGGACAAGAATCAACAGAAACAACAAACAGCAGAATCGGATCTTCAAAGAATTCCGATATTGGAATTATGAGATATAAAATAGAAAATATTTAGCTTGTTTCAGTACAGAAAATATTACATCAAAAAGTATGAGTAAGCACAGAAGAATGTAATCAGACTCATTTCACACCATGTACAAAAACCAATTCAAAATGGATTAAAGACTTGAAGACCTAAACTGTAAAACTACTAGAAGGAAACATAGGGAAAAATATCAATGACATTGTTCTAGGCAATTATTTTTTTGGTTATGACCCATAAAACAGGCAACAAAAGCAGACATATACAAATGAGATTGTATCAAACTAAAAATCTTCTGCATAGCAAAGGAAATGAGTGAAAAGAAACTTACGGAATGAGAGAAAATAGTTGCAAACCATATATATAAGGGTTTAATATCCAAAATATATAAGGAATTCAGACAATGCAACAGCAAGAAAATAACCTGATTTAAAAATGGGCAAAGGATAGTGAAGAGTTATTTCTTTTTTACTTTTTTCTTTTTTCATTTTTTTCTTTTCTTTTCTTTTTATTTATTTATTTTTTTTTGAGACAAGGTCTCACTATGTTGCCCAGGCTGGAATGTAGTATGGCTCACTGCATTCTTGACCTCCAGGGCTCAAGCGGTCCACCCACCTCAGCCCCCTGAATAGCTAAGACTGCAAGTGTGGGTCACCACACTGGCTAATTTTTAAATTTTTTTTGTAGAGACGGGGTCTCACTATGTTGCCCAGGCTGGTCCCAAACTCCTGGGCTCAAGCGATCCTCCTGTCTTGGCTTCCCAAAGTGCTAGGATTATTGGCATCAACCACTGCATCAGGCTGACATTTCTTGAAAGAAGACATACAAATGGCCAATACATATATGAAAAAATTCTCAACATCGCTAATCATCAGGGAAATACAAATTGAAATTTTATGAAAATACAGTGAAATATTATCTCACACCCAAGATGGCTATTATCAAAAAGACAAAATATAGCAAGTGCTGGTGAAGATGTGGAGAAAAGGGAACCCTTGTATACTGTTGTGGGAATGTAAAATAGTACAGCCATTATGACAGACAGCATAAAGGCTCCTCAAAAAATTCAAAATTAGGCTGGGTGCGGTGGCTCACACCTGAAATCCCAGCACTTTGGGAGGCTGAGGTGGGCAGATCATGAGGTCAAGAGATCGAGACCATCCTGGCCAACATGGTGAAGCCCCATCTCTACTAAAAATACAAAAATTAGCTGGACATGGTGGCATGTGCCTGTTGTCACAGCTACTCGGGAGGCTGAAGCAGGAGAATTGCTCGAACGGGAGGTGGAGGTTGCAGTGAGCCGAGATCATGCCACTTCACTCCAGCCTGGTGACAGAGTGAGACTCCATCTCAAAAAAAATAAAAAAAATTCAAAATAAGAACTACTAATAAGGCACAATGACATGCACCTGTAGTCCCAGTTACTTGGGAGGCTGAGTTGGGAGGATCGCTGGAAGCCAGGAGTTTGAGAGCAGCCTGGGCAACATAGTAGGATCCTGTCTCTTTAAAAAAAAGTAGAACTACCATATCGCCCAGCAATCCCACTCCTGGTTATATTTGAAGGAAAGGAAATCAGTGTGTCAAAGGATCTCTGAACTCCCATATCCACTGCAGCATTACTCACAATAGTCCGGATGTGGAATCACTCTGAACTCCCATATCCATTGCAGCATTACTCACAATAGTCCAGATATGGAATCAATGTAAGTGTCCATCAGTGAATGAATGGATAAAGAAAACGTGGTACATATACACAAGATAATACTATTCCACCTTAACAAAGAAGAAAATTCTGTCTTTTGCAACAGTATGAATGAATCTGGGGGATACTATGCTAAGTGAAATAAACCAGGCACAGAAAGAAAAATGCCACATGATCTCACTATATATGGAGTCGTAAAGAGTTGAACTCACAGTGGCAGAGAATAGAATAGAATGATGTTTACCGTGGACGACAGGGTGGGGTGAGGGGAATGGAGAGTTGTTGGTCAAAGGATACAAAATTTCATTTAGACAGATGAATAAGTTCTGGAGATCTATTGTATGGCATATTGACTATAGCTAATAATAATGGATTATATACTTGAAAATTGCTAAGAGAGTAAATGTTCTCGCCACACACAAACGAAAATGGTATGTGAGTGATGGATATGTTATTAGGTTTGATTTAATCACCTAACAATATATATATCTCAAAACATCACATTGTATACCATAAATATATATATAATTTTTGTTAGTTAAGTATACCTTAATAAAACTTGGGGAAAGGCACCTGAAAATATATGAAGTTTAAAGCAAAATGTAAGGTACTGTGATTGGGAAAATAGCAAAAATAGCAACAATTCGTACACACAAAGTTAATAGGGAGGACAAACAGAGTCGTTTATTCCCCCAGCCTAAAAATAATATAAAACAAATATGTGGGGAGATCCAATGCTCTGCCACATTTTGTGATTCTAAAAAACAATATGAGCAAGGAACAAAGACTATTAAAAGTTACCAGGCAGATTTGAAAAAGAACCAACTGGAAGTTCTAATTGTGAAAAATATAATAAATTAGAAATGCAAGGAATGAAATGAACAGATTAGATGCAACTAAATAATGAATTAGTGAACTGGAATAGAGATCTAAAGAAATTACCTAGAACATAGCACAGAAGTTAAGAGACATGGAAAGCAAAGGGAGCTATTTCTAATCAAAGCTGCAAAGGATAGAAGAAATAGAATAGGGTAAAGGCAATATTTGAAGAGACAATGGCTAAGAAATTTACAGAATCATTGAAAGACGTAAATCCTCAAATTCAGGAAACCCACAAATCCCAAGCAAAATAAGTGATGAGAAATTCTGCAGAGCATGAAAACTGAAGAGGTTTTTTTTTTTTTTTTGTTTTGTTTTTTTAAGATGGAGTCTCGCTCTGTCGCCCAGGCTGGAGTGCAGTGGCGTGATCTTGGCTCACTGCAACATTTGCCTCCCAAATTCAAGTGATTCTTCTGCCTCAGCCTCCTGAGTAGCTGGGATTATAGGAGCCCACCACCACACCCAGCTAATTTTTGTATTTTTAGTAGAGACGGGGTTTCACCATGTTGGCCAGGCTGGTCTCGAACTCTTGACCTAAGGTGATCTGCCCACCTTGGCCTCCCAAAGTGCTGGGATTACAGGTGTGAGCCATCGTGCCCGGCCAAGAGATCTTTAAATAACCAGGGATAAATGCAGATTGTCTTTAAAAAGTTTAAAGGAACAATAGTCTGATAGCTCATCTCTTGAAAACAACAATGAAAATCAGAAGGCAGTGAAAAATGCCTGCAAAGTGCTGAGGCAAAATTTTTGTTGACCTAGAATTGGTGAGATGTATATTTTCAGGTAAACAACACAGAGAGTTTACAATCATCAGACCCTCAGTGAAAGAACTTCTAAATAATTAGCTTTAGGAGAAGGAATGTAATCCCAGAAGGAAGGGCAGAGATGCAAGAAGAAATGGCAGGGAAAAAAACCTCAACAACAATTATAAACATGTGAGTAAATCTAAACAAATCCTGAAAATATTAGATGCATAAAATTTAAAAACTCAACTAATTTGTATGTCAGTGAAAAAACAAGATAGAACCAAAATGCTGTATAAAAGTAACCTTTAAGTCAGGAAGGAGATGATCCGAGTTAAAGTATCCTAAGACCCTTGTATTGTTTGAGAGAGGTTAACTGTTGATTGACTTTAGGCTTTAAGAATGCATGTTAAAAATTACTATGGTAACTACTAAAATAATAGAAATATAGTATCTAACCTCACATAACTAAAGGGAAAAATAATGGAATGAGAAAAAAAAATCACTGAATCAATTTAACAGCCAGAAAGGCAAGAAACAATAGAAAGCATGGTACAAATAGGAAGCATTAATAATATGATATAATTAAATCTAAATATACCAATGATCCCAGTAAATGTAAATGGGCAAATCTATCCAGGTAAAAAGACAAAAAATTATCAGACTAGATTAAAAAAGCAATTTCCGGAAATATGCCATTTAAAACAGACCTATCTAAAGCATTAAGATAAAAGTGAAAAGATGAGAAAAATATACGGAACAAATAGTAACTGAAGAAAGCACATGCCATGGTATTAATGTAAGATTTTAAGATTAACATCATTACTAGCAATAAAGAAGGTCAGGATATATGGATAGAAGTTTCAATTCACAAGAATATGCATCAATTCTAAATTTATATGCCCCAACAAAGATAGCTTTAAAAAGACAATTATAAATCCATTATTTAGTGGGAGATTTTAAACATACTTCCCAGTCATAAAATACAACCATGTGAAGAATAGGAATATAGACAATTCAAACAATTCAAATAGCTAGTTTTATCTAATGGATGTATTTAGAATATTGAACTCAACATCTGGAACACATATTCTTTTCAGGGAATAAAAATACATACTTGGGCTGGGTGCGGTGGCTCACACCTGTAATCCCAGCACTTTGGGAGGCTGAGACAGGTGGATCACGGGGTCAGGAAATCAAGACCATCCTGGCCAACACGATGAAACCCCGTCTCTACTAAAAAAAATACAAAAAAAATTAGCCAGGCGTGGTGGCGGGCACCTGTAGTCCCAGCTACTCGGGAGGCTGAGGCAGGAGAATGGTGTGAACCTGGGAGGCGGAGCTTGAAGTGAGCTGATATGGTGCCACTGAACTCCAGCCTGGGAGACAGAGCGAGACTCTGTCTCAAAAAAAAAAAAAAAAAAAAAGAAGAAATACATACTTGATATGGTTTGGCAGTGTCCCCACCCAAATCTCACCTTCAATTGTAATAATTCCCACTTGTCAAGGGTGGGACCAGGTGGAGGTAATTGAATCATAGGGTGGTTTCCCCCATACTGTGTCTTGTGATAGTGAATAAATATCATGAGATCTGATGGTTTTATAAATGGGAGTTCCCCTGCACAAGTTCGCTTGCCTGCCACCATGTAAGACATCTCTTTGCTCTTCCTTCATCTTCTGCCATGATTGTGAGGCCTCCCCAGCCATGTGGAACTTAAGTCCATTACACCTTTTTCCTTTATAATTTACCCAGTCTCGGGTATGTCTTTATTAGCAGCGTGAGAATAGACTAATACAATACCAGACTATAAAAACAAGCCTCAATACATTTCAAACAATCTTTAATATACTTCTCTGACTAAATGAAATTAAATTAGATTCTAGTAACAAAAAGAAAGCTAAAAATAGGTAATATATTTGGAAATTTAGAAAATTCACTTCTAAATAACCTATAGTTGAGAAGAAACTATAATGGAGAATAGAAAATACTGTAACTGAATGATTAAAAAATACTATCTGTTTAAACTTATGCAATATTACCAAAACATATAACTTTAAATGCTTATACCTAAAACATCAGAAAAAGAACAATAAGATAAACCCAGAAAGTAATGGCAGGAAATAATAAACACAGGAGCAAAAGTCAATGAACTTAAAAGAATAGATACAGAAAGGATCAATAAAATCACAAGTTGGTTCTTTCTTTCTTCTTCTTTTTTTTTTTTTTAGGCAGAGTCTTGCTGTGTTGCCCAGCCTGGAGTACAGTGATGTGATCTCAGCTCACTGCAACCTCTGCCTCCCGGGTTCAAGCAATTCTCCTGCCTCATCCTCCTGAGTAGCTGGGACTACAGACTCACACCACTATGCCCGGCTAATTTTTTGTATTTTAGTAGAGATGGGGTTTCACCATGTTGGCTAGGCTGATCTTAATCTCCTGACCTCGTGATCTGCCTGCCTTGGCCTCCCAAAGTGCTGGATTACAGGCGTGAGCCACCACACCCAGCCAAGCTGGTTATTTTAAAGGACTATTTGTATGGATAAACCACTGGAAAGATTCATATGTTAATGTATTAGTCCATTTTCATGCTGCTGACAAAGACATACATCATTTATAAACAAAAAAGAGGTTTAATGGACTCACAGTTCCACGTGGCTGGGGAGGCCTCATAATCATGGTGGAAGGCGGAAGGACTTTGTACTTGGTGGCAGGCAAAGAGGGAATGAGTGCCAAGCAAAAGGGGGTTTCCCCTTATAAAACCATCAGATCTCATGAGACTGTTCATGAGAACAGTATGGGAGAAACAGCCCCCGTGATTCAATTATCTCCCACTGGGTCCCTCCCACAACATGAGGGAGTTATGAGAGCTACAATTCAAGATGAGATTTGGGTGGGGACACAGCCAAACCGTATCAGTTAATTTCTTAGGGCTGCTGTAACAAATGATCATAAACTTAGTGGCTTAAAATGACACAAATGTATTGTCTCACAGTATAGGTTAGACATTCAACAGAGGTATCCCCGGGCTAAAATCAAGGTATCAGTAAGACTGTGTTCCTTTTGGAGGCTCTAGACTAGAATCCATTTTCTGGCTGTTTCCAGCTTCTGGAAGCTGTCTGAATTCCTTGGCTTGTGGCCTCCTTCCATCTTCAAAGCCAGCAATGGCCTGCTGAGTCTTTCTCATATTGTATCACTCTGACATTGACTCTTCTGCTACCCAATTCCACATTCATGATTACACTGGATCCACCCAGATAATCCAGGATAATTTCTTCATTTTAAGATCAGCTGATTAACAACCTGAATTCCATCTTCTGCCTTAATTCCACTTTGCCATGTTATGTAATATATTTACAGGTTCCAGGAATTAAGATAGGGACACTTATTCTGCCTGCCAAAACTGAATAATAAAAAAAATGAGAGAAGGTACAAGTAACTAATGTTAGAAATTAAAAAGGGATATAACTACAGACATAGCAAAATTAAAGATGTAATAAGAGGATATTGTGAATAATTTATGTCAATAAATTTGAAACACAAAGACACATATCTAGGAAACTTACTTAGGAAGCAATGGAAAGCTCAAGAGTTTTACAACAATTAAAGAAACTCAGTCCATGGTTTTTAATCTTCTCTGTTTCAGATGATTTTCACACTAGTTTCAGATGATTTTCCAGGCAATTCCTGCCAAACTTTCAAGAAACAGACCAAACAGATAAATGTAATTTTATGTAATTTTTTTCAAAGCATAAAAAAGAGGAGACATTTATTTATTTCTTTTTTAAAAAAAGATGAAAATTTTATTTACTGGGAAATTCTTGCTGATTTTTTTTTTTTTTTTTTGAGATGGAGTCTCACTTTGCTGCCCAGGCTGTAGTGCAATGGTACAATCTCCGCTCACTGCAACCTCAGCCTCCTGGGTTCAAGAGAGTCTCCTGCCTCAGCCTCCCGAGTAGCTGGATTACAGGTACACACCACCATGCCCAGCTAATTTTTGTATTTTTATTAGAGACAGGGTTTCACCATGTTGGCCAGGCTGGCCTCAAACTCCTGACCTCAAGTGATCTGCCCACCTCCGCCTCCCAAAGTGCTGGGATTACAGGTGTGAACTACCACACCTGGCTCTTGCTGATTTTTGCATAGGGATGTGACAAAAGCAACATCAGAATTTATTGTGATTCTATCTACAGAAACTGGAGAAGATGATTTCATTGGTTCATTAAACCCCTCAATGTCTTCTACCTGCCCTTCCTAACCTTTACATTCAAAATTATCTTCCTGCCTATATATCTGTTAGTCAATCATCTTTCTTCCATTAAGTTTATGAAATTCTTCATGACATGATATGGACTTTGACAGTGCTGTTTTTGATGTCGTAATACATGGCAGATTGACTCGTGATAATATCACTTATAGCTTATTCAGGGGTCAGTAAACTATGGTCTTTTACAGCCTCTTTTGTTTAAAATGGTTGGGAAATAAAGAATATTTTATGACATAAAAATTATATTAAACTTGAAGTTTAGTATCCATAAATAAAGTTTTATTGGAATGCAGCCATACTCATTTTTATATGCATTTTCTGTGGCTGTTTTCATCCTATAAGGTGAGAATTGTGTAGTTGCAACAGAGACCATATGACCCACAAAGGCTAAAACATTTACTAAATGACCCCTTATAGAAACTAAGTTGCAGACCATGGCCTATATATTTACATTACACTACAATTATAAAATATAAGTATTTGACAGTATTTAAACCTTTGGATGAATGATCTTACATAGTGAAATGTATAGGTATATCTACATTACAGATATATCCTCTTAATTTTTACCATTTTTCAGTTGACTGTTTTAGCTTTTTTAAATACACACTTTTGTCTGTAAATAATTATAACAATTGGCCGGGCGCGATGGCTCATGACTGTAATCCCGGCACTTTGGGAGGCCGAGGCGGGTGGATCATGAGGTCAGGAGATTGAGACCATCCTGGCCAACATGGTGAAACCCCCGTCTCTATTAAAATACAAAAAATTAGCTGGGCGTGGTGAGGTGTGCCTGTAGTCCCAGCTACTCGGGAGGCTGAGGCAGGGGAAATCGCTTGAATCCAGGAGGCAGAGTTGCAGTGAGCCGAAATCGTGCCACTGCACTCCAGCCTAGCGACAGAGCAAGACTCCGTCTTAATAAATAAATAAATAAATAAATAAATAAATAAATAAATAAATAAACCAATTATGTCATACTACTCTTTTTTTTTCTTTGTTTTCTTTTTCTTTCTTTCTTTTTTTTTTTTTGAGACAGGTTCTGGCTCTGTCGCCTAGGCTGGAGTGCCGAGTGCAGTGGTAAGATCTCTGCTCACTGCAGCCTCTGCCTCGCAGGCTCAAACCATCCTCCCACCTCAGTTTCCCGAGTAGCTGGGACTACAGGCATGTGCCACCATGCCCGGCTGATTTTTGTATTTTTTTTATAGAGACGAGGTCTCACTTTGTTACCCAGACTGGCCGCGAACTCCTGAGTTCAAGAGACCCACCCACAGTAGCCTCCCAGAGTGCTAGGATTACAGGCGTAAGCCACCATGTCCAGCCTCATACTACTCTTTTCCAACACTTCCAAGCATTGTTTCCTTCACTTCTTTCTTTTTTTCTTTCCTTTTTTTTTTTCTGAGACACAGTCTCAATCTGTTGCCCAGGCTGGAGTGCAGTGGCGTGATCTCGGCTCACTGCAACGTCTGCCTCCCTGGTTCAAGCAATTCTTCCTGACTCAGCCTCCCAAGTAGCTGGGATTACAGGCACCTGCCCCACGGCAGGCTAATTTTTGTATTTTTAGCAGAGATGGGGTTTCACCATGTCAGCCAGGCTGGTCTCAAACTCCTGACCTCAAGTGATCTGCCCGCCTCAGCCTCCCAAGTGCTGGGATTGCAGGCGTGAGCCACCATGCCCGGTCTATTTTTGTATTTTTACTAGAGACCAGGTTTCACCATGTTGGCCAGGCTGGTCTCGAACTCCTGACCTCAGGTGATCCGCCTGCCTCGACCTCCCAAAGTGCTGGGATTACAGGTGTGAGCCACCGCACCCGACCTTCTCCACCTATTTCTAATCAATGTTTTCTCCTAATTGCTTTGGCAGATTTTCCTGGCAAATATTTATAGGGAAAATTTCTTGCTTTTTCATAACTTTGACATAAATATTTATAGTGTTTATCACTAAAATATATTTACATCAGTATCCTTAGTGCTATTGATATTTTGGTCTGAGACAGATAGACTTTATAATGTAAGAATATTTCTCTTTTACAAAGAGAATATAGTAATTTGCAAATAAATGTGATATTTATTACGTGATTTTGAAGCATCTAGATGTAGTTCATATTCTTTTAGACCCACTGATGTAATGTATTTCATTAATATATTTTTAAGTACTATATCATTTTTAAATTTTAGATTCAGAGGGTACATGTGCAGGTTTGTTACATGGATATATTATGTGATGCTGAGGTTTGGGCTTCTAATGATCCCATTGCCCAAGTGGTGAACATATTACCCAATAGGTAGTTTTTAAGCCCTTGCTTCCTTCCCTCCCTTCCCACTTTGGGAATACCCAGTGTCTGTTGAGCCCGTCTTTGTGTCTGTGTGTACCCAATGTTTAGCTACCACTTATAAATGAGAACATGTGGTATTTGTTTTTCTGTTTCTGCATTAATTTGCTTGGGATAATGGCCTTCAGCTGCAACCATGTTGCTGCAAAGGACATGATTTCAATCTTTTTTATGGCTGAATAGTATTCCATGGTGTATACGTACCATATTTTCTTTTATTATTATTATTATTTTTGAGATGGAGTCTCACTCTGTTGTCCAGGCTGGAGTGCAATTATGTGATGTCGGCTCACTGCAACCTCCGCCTCCCGGGTTTAAGCAATTCTCTGCCTCAGCCTCCCGGGTAGCTGGGATTACAGGTCCTTGCCACCATGCCTGGCTAATTTTTGTATTTTTAGTAGAGATGGGGTTTCACCATCTTGGCCAGACTGGTCTTGAACTCCTGACCTCGTGATTCACCTGCCTTGGCTTCCCAAAGTGCTGGGATTACAGGCATGAGCCACCACTGATGGATTGATTCCATGTCTTTGCTACTGTGAATAGTGCTGTGATAAACGTATGAGTGCAGGTGTCTTTTTGGTAGAACGATTTATCTTCTTTTAGGTATATTCCCAATAATAAGATTACTCGGTCAAATGACAATTCTATTTTCAGTTCTTTCAGAAATCTCCAAACTGCTTTCCACAGGGCCTGAACTAATTTGTATTTCCACTAACAGCATATAAACTTCCTTTTCTTTGCAACCTTGTGAATGTCTGTGATTTTTTAAATAATAGTCATTCTGACTAGTGTGAAATGGTATCACATTGTGGTTTTGATTTATATCTCTGTAACAATTAGTGATGTTGAGCATTTTTTAATATATTTGTTGGCTGCTTGGATATCTTGAGAAGTGTCTGTTCATGTACTTTGCCCACTTTTTAATGGGGTTGGTTTTTTTCTTGTTGGTTTGTTTCAGTTCCTTATAGATTTTGTATATTAGCCCTTAGTAAGATCCATAGTTTACAAATATTTTCTTCCATTTTGTAGGTTGTCTCTTTACTCTGTTGATAGTTTATTTTGCAGTGAAGAAACCCTTTAGTTTAATAATGTTCCAATTGTCAATTTTTGTTTGTGTTGCGTTTGCTTTTGAGGACTTATTCATAATTTCTTTGCCTAAGTTCATGTCTAGAAAAGTATTTCCTAGGTTTTCTTTTAGGATTTTTATAGTTTGAGGTCTTACATTTAGATCTTTAATCTACCTTTAGTTAATTTTTGTATATAGTGAAAGGGGTCCAGTTTCATTCTTTGCCTATGGTTAGCCAGTTTTCTCCGCAGCATTTATTGAATAGAGTATCCTTTCCCCAGTGTTTACTTTTGTCAGCTTCATCAAAGATCAGTTGGTTGTAGGTGTGCAGCTTTATTTCAGGGGTCTCTATTCTGTTGCATTAGTCTATGTGTCTATTAATGTTTTTGTACCATTACCATGCTGTTTTTGTTACTCTAGCCTTGTAGTATAGTTTGAAGTTGGAAGATATGATGCCTCTGGCTTTGTTCTTTTTGCTTAGGATTGCTTTGGCTATTTTGGCTATTTTGTGTGTGTGGTGGGTGGGTGGTTCATATGAATTTTAGAATAGTTTTCTCTAATTCTGAAAAGTGACATTGGTAATTTGGTAAGAATAGCGTTGAATCTGTAGATTGCTTTGGGCAGTATGGATGCTTTAATGATATTGATTATTCTGATCCATGAGCATGAAATGCTTTTTTATTTGTTTGTGTTATCTATGATTTCTTTCATCAGTGTTTTGTAGTTCTCCTTGCAGAGATCTTTCATCTCCTTGGTTAGATGTATTCCTAGGTGTTTTATTTCATGTTTTTTTGTGGTTATTTTAAATGGGATTGCATTCTTCATTTGATTCTCAGCTTGAATGTTATTGGTGTATAGAAATGCTACTGATTTTTGTACATTGATTTTGTATCCTGAGACTTTGCTCAAGTCATTAGATCTAGGAGTCTTTTCACGGAATTTTTAGGGTTTTCTAGGTATATAATCATATCATCAATGAAGAGAGATAACTTGACTTCTCTTTTCCTATTTGGATTCCTTTTATTTCTCTCTTGCTTGATTGCCCTGGCTAGGACTTCCAGTACTTTGTTGAATAAGAATGGTGAGAGTTGACATCTTTGTCTTGTTCTCATTCTTAGGAAGAGCACTTCCAACTTTTGCCTGGTCAGTACAATGTTGGCTGTAAGCTTGCCATAGATGGCTCTTATTATTTTGAGGTGTGTTCCTTCAATGTCTAGTTTGTTGAGGGCTTTTATCATGAAAAAATGTTGGATTTTATTGAATGCTTTTTCTGCGTCTATTGAGATGATCATACGGTTTTTGTTTTTATTTCTGTTTATGTGGTGAATCACATGTATTGAGTTGCATATGTTGAAATATCCTTGCATCCCAGGAATAAAGCCCACTTGATTGTGGTGAATTAATTGCTTGATATGCTGTTGGATTTGGTTTGCTAATATTTTGCTGAGAATTTTTGCATCTATGTTCATCAAGGAAATTAGCCTATAGTTTCCTTTTTTTGTTGTGTCTTTGCTAGATCTTGGTGTCAGGATGATACTGGTTTCATAGAATAAATTAGGGAAGAATCCTTTCTCCTCAATTTTTTGGAATTATTTCAGTAGGATTGGTAGCAGCTCTTTCTTTTATGTCTGGTAGAAATTGGCTGTGAATTAATTTGGTCCAGGGCTGTTCTGGGCTGGTAGGTTTTTTATTACTGATTCAATTTCCTTATTCATTATTGGTCTGTTTGAAATTTCTGTTCCTTCCTGGTTCAGTCTTGGGAGGTTGTGTGTTTCCAGAAATTTATCCATTTTCCTCTAGATTTTCTGGTTTGTATGCAGAGATAGTAGTCTCTGAGGGTCTTTTGTATTTCTGTGTGATCAGTTGTAATGTTACCTTTGTCATTTCTGATCATGGTTATTTAGCTCTTCTCTTTTTCTTTTTTAATCTAGGTAGCAGTTTATTAATCTTGTTTATCCTTTGAAAAAACAACTTTTGTTTCATTGAACCTCTGTATGGTTTTTTGGGGCCTCAATTTCATTTCATCTACACTGATTTTAGTTATTTCTTTGTTTCTGATAGCTTTGGGTTTAATTTGTTCTTATGTTTTAGTTCCTCTAGGTGTATGCTTAGGTTGTTAATTTAAGATTTATCTTCTTGATATAGGAATTGGCACTATAAACTTTTCTTTTAACACTGCTTTTGTTGTAACCTAGATGTTGTAGTAGATTGTTTCTCTATTTTCATTTGTTTCAAAGAATTTTTTGATTTCATTCAGGAGCAAGTTGTTGAGTTTCCATGTATTTGTCTGGTTTTAAGAGTGCCTCTTGGTATTCAACTTATTTTTTAAGGCTAGTATACCTTGTTACTCATACTCAACAAAAATGAGACAAAAAGAAAAATTTACAAGCCAATCTCAGTTATAAATATAGACATAGAACTTTGAAACAAAACATTAAGAATACACAAGCAGCAATGTAGAAGAATGATCAAATTAGATTTATTACTGGAGTGCAAGATTAAGTTAGCATTAGAAAAATCTAATAATGTAATTCACTACATTAACAGATCAAAGAAGAAATACTATATAATCATCTTAATAATTGTTGAAAGAGCATTCAATTATATTCAATAGCCCTTATAATTAAAAATTCCCAGCAAACTAGGACTAAAAGAGAATTTGCTTAAATTGCTAAAGGGCATCTAAAATAATTATAAGAAATATTATCAATGATGATACATTGTAAGTGTTCTTAAAATCAGGAGCAAGCAAGAATGCCCACTCTCATAATTTCTATTCAACATGGTACTGAACGTCCTTGACATTGCAGTAAGACAAGTATAAGAAATAAAAAGTATGAAGATTGGAAAGTAAGAAATAAAGTTATAATTATTTGCAGTCAATATGCATATTTGCATAGAAAGCCCAAAAGCTATAAAAATTAAAGTTAATAAAAAAGTTTAATAAAGTGGCAAAAAATAAGATTGATATTTAAAGGTCAATTGTATTTCCATATACTACCAACAGACAGAAAACATATTTCCTAAAAGATGCTATTGACAATAGCAACAAAAAGCAAGGCGCCTAGGAGGAAATCTAACTAATTATTAATCTAATAATATATAAGATCATAATGGAGAAAATTTAGAAAACTTATTGAAAGATATCAAAGAAACCAAAGAACTCTACATAAATAGACAGAAAGGGCTGGGTGCAGTGGCTCATGCCTGTAATCTCAGCACTTTGGGAGGCCGAGGCAGGCAGATCACAAGGTCAGGAGATTAAGACCATCCTGGCCAACATGGTGAAACCCCATCTCTACCAAAAAATACCAAAAAAATGAGCTGGGTGTGGTGGCACGTGCCTGTAGTCCCAGCTACTTGGGAGGCGGAGGCAGGAGAATCGTTTGAACTCGGGAGGCAGAAGTTGCAGTTATGCAGTTAGCCAAGATCACTGCACTCCAGCCTGGTGACAGAGCAAGACTCTGTTTCAAAACATAAAAATAAAAAAATAAAAAATAGATAAATAAATACATAAATAAATAAAAAGAAAGGAAGAAATGAATGATAGGAGGGATTCAGTTTCATATCTTTCTTCTCCAACTGATTTCTAGAATCAAGTCAAAAGTACCACCGGGTACTTCACCACTTAACAAGCTGATTTTAAAATTTATTGAAATGAGCGAAGGATTGCTAAGATACTTCTGAAGAAAAATAACAAGGCGACGGGACTTTTTCCTCTCAGATATAAGAGCTTGTATACAGGAAAAGTAGTTTGCCAGCATGATACCTTTGCAAAGATGGAAAAATGGACTAAAGGAACAAAATTGAGAACCCGGAAACACGCTTATATGTACCTGGAAACTTTATATGACAGAGGTGTCATTACAGATAAGGAAAGATAGACTACTCAATAAATGCTAGTGTAATTGGTTATACATAAAGAAAAAACAAATTTAGTTCCACACATCGTACTGTATACAATTCCATGTTTTTGTTTTTTTGTTTGTTTGTTTGTTTTAGACAGGTTCTTGCTCTGTCACCCAGTCTGGACTGCAGTGGTATGATCATGGCTCACCACGGCCTCAACCTCCTGGGCTCAAGCAACCCTCCTACTTCACCCTCTGTAGTAGCTGGGACCACAGACACGCACTACCACGCCTGGCTAATTATTATTATCATTATTATTATTATTATTTTGTATTTTTTGTAGAGATGGGGTTTTGCCACGTTGGCCAGGCTGGTTTCAAGCTCCTGGACTCAAGTGACCCACCCACCTTGGCCTCCCAAAGGGCTGGGATTACAGGCATGAGCCACTGTGCCCAGGCAGTCCGTATATTAAGAAATGAAATGTGAAAGGCGAAACTTTAAAAACAACTTTTAGAAGAAAATATAGGTAAAGATCTTTTTAACCTTAAGGAAGAAGGACTTCAGACACAAAGCTCAAATTAGAAAGAAAGTGGTTGATAAATTCACTACATTAAGAGCTCCCTTTAACTGAAAGATCAAAAAAAATAAATAGATAAGGTACTGTGAGAAGATATCCTGATAAAAAATGTAGAGAATTCATTGAAATTTTAAGCAGAAAACGTAAATAACTTCTAAACATTAATTAAATAAAAGACAACCTAACAAAAAATCAAAACTTAGAAAAAATCGAGAAAATTAGGAAAATATACATTAAAACCATGATGAGATTCTATTTAACACTCACCAAATTGGCAAAATCTGAAAAGCACTGGTCAGAATGTGTGTCAAAAAGAAAGAACTGCCAGGCAGTGGTTCATGCCTGTAATCCCAGCACTTTTGGAGGTCAAGGTGGGCAGATAACTTGGGGTCAGGAGTTTGAGACCAGCCTGGCCAATATTGTGAAACTTCATCTCTATTAAAAATACAAAAATTAGCCAGGCATGGCGGCAGATGCCTGTAATCCCAGCTACTCAGGAGGCTGAGGCAGGAGAATCGCTTGAACCCGGGAGGCAGAGGTTGCAGTGAGCCGAGATCGTACCACTGCACTCCAGCCTGGCAACAGAGTGAGAGTCTGACTCAAAAAAGAAAAAGAATTTTTATACACTGCGGGTGGGAATATAAATTGATACAAACCATTTTTGTATAATGATATGGCATTTCTAGTAAAACTGAAGAAACACTAAATACCCAGTAATTAAACCCTTAGTGTACACTAAAGACATGTTCATCAATTTTCAGAGTAGCATTATTTTAACATCAACTTCACAGACATATAATTTACGTACAGCAAAATGCTCCTACTTTAAGTGTATAGTTTGATGAGTTTTGACAAATGTACACACCAGTGTACCTACCACCACAATTAGGATATAACACTTTCTATCACTCCTAAAAGTTTCTTCTTGCTTGTATTAGTCTGTTTTCACACTGCTATAAAGATACTATCCGAGACTGGGTAATTTATAAAGGAAAGAAGTTTAATTGACTCCCAGTTCTGCATGGCTGGGGAGGCCTCAGGAAACTTACAGTCATGGTGGAAGGTGAAGGGGAAGAAGGCAGCTCTTCACAAGGCAGCAGGAGACAGAAGGGAGAGCAAAGAGGGAAGAGGCTCTTATAAAACCATCAGATCTTGTGAGAACTCACTCACTATCCCAAGAATAGCCTGGGGGAAACTAACCCATGATCCAGTCATCTCCCACCAGGTCCCTCCCTCAACATCTGGGGATTATAATTCAAGATGAGATTTAGGTAGGGACACAAAGCCGAATCGTACATTACAAAGCTCCATTACAGAAGAGCCCTTCTCCTACTGCCAATGCACTTTTCCATTTTCTTGAATGTCATATGAGTGGAATCATACAATATATAGTCACTTGATTTTGTCCTCTTTATAATGCTTTTGAGATTCATCCACGCTGTTGCTTGTAGTTTGTTCCTTTTTGTGGCTGAGTGGTATCCCATTACATGAATACAGCAAGAGTTGTTTATATATTCACTAGTTTTTAGACATTTGAATTGTTTCCAGTTCTTGGCTATTATAAGTAAGAAAGCTGCTATAAAAATTCACGTACAGGTCTTCATGTGGACATATGTTTTTATTTCTCTTGTGTAAATTTCTAGGAGTGGAATTTTTGGGTCATATGGTAAGTATATGTTTAACTCATAAGAAAATCTGTTTTCCAGAATGATTATACTATTTTACATTCCTACCAGCAATGTATGAGAGTTTCAGTTCACAGCAACATTATTCATAACAGCAAAAAATGGAACAACACAAATGTTCACTGTCAGAAGAATGAATAAATAAATTATAGTATATTCATTCATAAAAATACCATATATAATTAACTACAGCTCTATGTATCAACATGACTAAAACATGTTAAGCAAAGTAAAAGCAAATCACAGAATACATATGGTATATTCCATATATATGTATATATTTCTAAACTATGCTATAGTGTAGGGGTGAGAAGAGATAGGGGTGCTTCAAATGCATTGGTAATATTCTGTTTCTTAATCTGGGTGATAGGTACATGGGTCTTAGTTATTATTATTTAACTGGCACAATACATTTTATATATGTGTGTATAATATATTTTTATAATAAAAGTTTAAAAAGAAAGGTAGTTGATGTTTCTTTAATCTTACTGTTGCTTTTCTTTAAAAAGAGAAAATATTTGACTTGAGCATTTGTCCTATAGTGCCATGTATTTTCCCAATTCTGTTCAGTATTCTATGTACTTCCTCTGAGAGGTTGCAGTCTTAGTACTGGAGTAATTCTGGAATGCATTTCCATCTCTGAGAGTGAACATTTAGATGTTGACTCTCAGCAGTATTAATGGCAGCAGTTAAATTCATAAATCCTTGCTTATGGAGATGAGAATATAGTCCACCTGATAGCA
The DNA here is from genome assembly GCF_000001405.40 of Homo sapiens. Classification (NCBI taxonomy): domain Eukaryota; kingdom Metazoa; phylum Chordata; class Mammalia; order Primates; family Hominidae; genus Homo; species Homo sapiens. The sequence goes on along the minus strand of NC_000004.12, from coordinate 39,004,087 downwards.
AAAATGATTGAGTAGAATTTATTTATTTCTTAAAATTATACTGGGGAAGGATGTGTCTTCTATTTATTTCTTTTCCAATTCAATTATTTAAAGCTGAGGTTTAAAAGTCATCACGAAATTACCCCATAGCCGAATATAAAGGATCTGTCATCAATTCTAGAAAGCTCAGTTGGTCACTTATTGAATAAGAAGACTACACTATTGACAGTAAACATTTCTCTATCTCTCTTTTAGGTCATATCATAGCAATATAAATTGAAGAAGTTGAAAGTTTCATAAAATGAAAAGTGCCAGTGAGGAAAATGGAAAGATGGCAAGAAATCAGTTTTTCATGTATTTTAGTGATATTAAAAAAGATACAGATTATGGAGTTCCATCAGATGGTGCATCTCCATATCCTTCCTGGGGCATTATTAGTGAAGGCAATTTTTTTTTATTGTAGTTACAATCTGATTACAACTTTGATTATAAATATATTAAGATCCCAGCACTTTGGGAGGCCGAGGTGGGCGGATCACCTGAGGTCGGGAGTTCAAGACCAGCCTGACAAACATGAAGAAACCCCGTCTCCACTAAAAATACAAAATCAGCCGGGCGTGGTGGTGCATGCCTGTAATCCTAGCTATTCAGGAGGGTGAGGCAGAAAAATCACTTGAACCCAGGAGGAAGAGGTTGCAGTGAGCCGAGATCATGCCACTGCACTCCAGCCTAGGCAACAAGAGCAAAACTCCATCTTAAAATAAAATAAAATAAATAAATATATTAAGACATAATGAAATTGTGTATTTGAGTAAATTTTGTATAGCTGGAAATTAAATGTGAATTATTACAGAAGAAATTTCAAATATAGAAGGCTAGTAAATTAGCTCTTAATTTATTAAATAAAAACAAAAATCACCAGTGATTCAACACTTATGGAATTACTATCAAAATACAAATTATACACATTTTAAAAATGCTTTAATATCAATCATGAGCTTGATTTTTTTCAAGTTTGAAGCAAGGTATATGAGTAGGGGTAATTATTTTATTTCATTTTTTAAATTTTTTTATTATTATACTTTAAGTTTTAGGGTACATGTGCACATTGTGCAGGTTAGTTACATATGTATACATGTGCCATGCTGGTGCGCTGCACCCACTAACTCGTCATCTAGCATTAGGTATATCTCCCAATGCTATCCCTCCCCCGTCCACCCCCCCACAACAGGCCCCAGAGTGTGATGTTCCCCTTCCTGTGTCCATGTGTTCTCATTGTTCAATTCCCACCTATGAGTGAGAATATGCGGTGTTTGGTTTTTTGTTCTTGCAATAGTTTACTGAGAATGATGATTTCCAATTTCATCCATGTCCCTACAAAAGACATGAACTCATCATTTTTTATGGCTGCATAGTATTCCATGGCGTATATGTGCCACATTTTCTTAATCCAGTCTATCATTGTTGGGCATTTGGGTTGGTTCCAAGTCTTTGCTATTGTGAATAATGCCTCAATAAACATACGTGTGCATGTGTCTTTATAGCAGCATGATTTATAGTCCTTTGGGTATATACCCAGTAATGGGATGGCTGGGTCAAATGGTATTTCTAGTTCTAGATCCCTGAGGAATCGCCGCACTGACTTCCACAATGGTTGAACTAGTTTACAGTCCCACCAACAGTGTAAAAGTGTTCCTATTTCTCCACATCCTCTCCAGCACCTGTCGTTTCCTGACTTTTTAATGATTGCCTTTCTAACTGGTGTGAGATGGTATCTCATTGTGGTTTTGATTTGCATTTCTCTGATGGCCATTGATGGTGAACATTTTTTCGTGTGTTTTTTGGCTGCATAAATGTCTTCTTTTGAGAAGTGTCTGTTCATGTCCTTCGCCCACTTTTTGATGGGGTTGTTTGTTTTTTTCTTGTAAATTTGTTTGAGTTCATTGTAGATTCTGGATATTAGCCCTTTGTCAGATGAGTAGGTTGCGAAAATTTTCTCCCATTTTGTAGGTTGCCTGTTCACTCTGATGGTAGTTTCTTTTGCTGTGCAGAAGCTCTTTAGTTTAATTAGATCCCATTTGTCAATTTTGTCTTTTGTTGCCATTGCTTTTGGTGTTTTAGACATGAAGTCCTTGCCCATGCCTATTTCCTGAATGGTAAAGCCTAGGTTTTCTTCTAGGGTTTTTATGGTTTTAGGTCTAACGTTTAAATCTTTAATCCATCTTGAATAGATTTTTGTATAAGGTGTAAGGAAGGGATCCAGTTTCAGCTTTCTACATATGGTTAGCCAGTTTTCCCAGCACCATTTATTAAATAGGGAATCCTTTCCCCATTGCTTGTTTTTCTCAGGTTTGTCAAAGATCAGATAGTTGTAGATATGCGGCGTTATTTCTGAGAGCTCTGTTCTGTTCCATTGATCTATATCTCTGTTTTGGTACCAGTACCATGCTGTTTTGGTTACTGTAGCCTTGTAGTATAGTTTGAAGTCAGGTAGTGTGATGCCTCCAGCTTTGTTCTTTTGGCTTAGGATTGACTTGAGAGTAGGGGTAATTATTAAAAAAAAAAAAGAAGAAGTAATTCTTTCATTGTGCTCCATATTATTTAGAAATCTTAAAAATATATTTTGCCCCAAATGATTATATGAGAAATGGTGAAGATGCTACATAAAGGTGGAATTAACCATGTCAGTTGTTTTCTTTCTTTTTTTTTTTTCTTTTTTTTTTAGATGGAGTCTCATTCTGTCACCCAGGCTGGAGTGCAGTGGCACGATCTCGGTTCACTGCAAGATCTGCCTCCTGGGTTCACGCCATTCTCCTGCCTCAGCCTCCTGAGTAGCTGGGACTACAGGTGCCCGCCACCATGCCCAGCTAATTTTTTCTTTTTTTTTTTTTTTTGTATTTTTAGTAGAGATGGGGTTTCACTGTGTTAGCCAGGATGGTCTCCATCTCCTGACCTCGTGATCCACCCGCCTCAGCCTCCCGAAGTGGTCGGTTGTTTTCTTATGCTAACAAAAGACTATCAGACTGGGAATTTCTGAAAGATAGGTTGCCTATTCCTTAGTTGATCATTACTGCTAAATAGGAATTCCCAATTTTTACACAGTAAGCTTTGATTATTTTTATGAATTAAATCATAGATAATTCTGTCCTAAAGGAAAGATGAATTTAAAATTTTTACTTTGGAATATAGGTTTGCATTTAATTTAATTAAATTAATTTATTTGAGATGGAGTCTCACTCTGTTGCCCAGTCTGGAGTGCAGTGGTGCGATCTTGGCTCACTGCAACCTCCACCTCCCAGGTTCAAGCAATTCTCCTGCCTCGGCCTCCTGAGTAGCTGGGACTACAGGTGCCCACCACCATGCCTGGCTAAGTTTTGTATTTTTAGTAGAGATGAGGTTTCACTATGTTGGCCAGGCTGGTCTCGAACTCCTGACCTCAAGTGATCCAACTGCCTCAGCCTCCCAAAGTGCTGGGATTACAGGCATGAGCCACTGCGCCTGGCCTGGATTTGCATTTTAAATGACATATATTTGTACAAATTTCAAAAGTGTTTTCATATGTACTATACAATTTGATGTTACTATAACCCCATGAGATTAGCAGGCTTATCTCTATTTTGCTAGTAAGAAAATTAGACTCGTGGAGATTAAGTAAATTGTCTAAGTATCTTGACTAATGACTGACAGATATAGCACTGGAATCTTTTTTCTCCTTTTGAGACATGGTCTCCCTTTGTTGCCCAAGCTGAAGTGCAGTGGTGTGATCATGGTTCACTGCAGCTTCAACCTCCCAGGCTTAAGTGATCCTTCTACCTCAGCATCCTGAGTAGTAAGGACTACAGGAGTGCACCACCCCGCCTGGCTAATTTTTGTATTTTTTGTAGAGATGGGGTGGCCATGTTGTCCAGGCTGATCTCAAACTCCTGAGCTCAAGCAATCTGCCCACCTCTGCCTCCAAAAGGACTGGGATTACAGGTGTGAGCCACCACACCCAGCCTAGAGTGTTTGTCTTTTGTTTCTGAACTCAGTATTATTTCTATTATACCATAATTTCCATATCTTATGTTTGTCTTCAGACAAAAGTAAAAATTAGGCTGTCATCTTGTTAAATTTCATCTTTAGAAGTTGTGGTAGGCTGAATAATGGCCGTCTAAAGATATCTGGTGCTAATTCTGGAAACCTGTCAATGTCACCTTATAAGGAAAAAGGGTCTTTACAGATGTGACTAAGTTGAAGGTCTTGAGATGTGAAGATTATTCTGGATTAGCCTTTTTGGCTAGTAGAAACAGAGACACAGAGGAGAAAGCAATATGACTATGGAGACAGAGATTAGAGTGATGTGGCCACAAGCCAAGGAATGCCAGCAGCCACCAGAGGGCCAAGGAACAGATTCTTCCCTAGAACCTCCAGAGGTAGTACAATCATGTAGACCTCTCAACTTCTGACTACTGAAACGATGTTGGACTTCTGGCCTCCAAAACTGTGAGAGAATGAATTTTTCTTGTTTTAAATTACCAAGGTTGTGGAAATTTGTTACAGCAGCCCTAGGAAACTGATACAGAGATACTGTTCAAAGTTTTCATACCCTGTTCAACTCCATGCAATTGACTTGAGTCTTTATTTTGGAACAGATGGATTCAGAAGAATCTAAGGTTTGTCCATAAAAAATTCCCCAGAATAGAGAATGGTTAAAATGCTGAGATTCCAAGCGCTTCTTTATAAAGACACCTCTTCTCTGAAAGTTAATAGGGAATGTTCACAGGTTTAAAAGAGAAATGTTGCTGGGCACCATGGCTCCCTGTCTCTACAAATAATTTTTTAAAAATTGGCTGGGCATGGTGGCATGCCCCTGCAGTCACAGCTACTCTGGAGGCTGAGTTGGGAGAATTGCCTGAGCCTGGGAGGCCAAGGCTGCAGTAAGCTATGATTACACCACTGCACTCTAGCCTGGGCGACAGAGCAAGATCCAGTCTCAAAAAAAAAAAAAAAAAAAAAAAATAAATAAATAAAAATAATGAAATAGAAATATTTAAATGGAATAGTTATTGTTAATTCAAGTTTAAAAAACAGTCTTGTCTCTGATAAGCTGAAATGTACTGAATCCACCTAAGAAAAACTGGGAGCATACTGTGTATTTATTTGAATGCCAAAAACTCAAAGCTTTACAGTAAAGAAAGTGTTTTTCTTTTTTCTTTACAGAAAGAACATTGGAGCTATCATGTCTGGAAGTGTGTTTGCAATCTAATTTTACCTATTCACTCTCCTCCTTAAATTTTTCTTTTGTGACTTTTCTGCAACCAGTAAGGGAAACTCAGATTATCATGAGAATCTTTCTAAATCCCTCCAATTTTCGTAACTTCACCAGGACTTGCCAAGACATCACAGGTGAATTTAAAATGTGCTCCTCGTGTTTGGTTTGTGAGTCTAAAGGAAACATGGATTTTATTTCTCAGGAACAAACATCAAAAGGTAAACACAAAGTGAAGGTGAGAATAAAATGGTATCAGGTATAAATTAATTTATTCTGTTAAAAACGTATTAATAATATATTCTTTTTTTTTTTTTGAGATGGAGTCTCGCTCTGTTGCCCAGGCTAGAGTGCAGTGGTGCAATCTCAGCTCACTGCAACCTCCACCTCCCAGGTTCAAGGAATTCTCCTGCCTCAGCCTCCCGAGTAGCTGGGACCACAGGCGCCTGCCACCACACCCGGCTAATTTTTTGTTTTTAGTAGAGACAGGGTTTCACCATCTTGGCCAAGCTGGTCTCGAACTCCTGACCTTGTGATCCACTCACCTCAGCCTCCCAAAGTGCTGGGATTACAGGTGTATTAGCCACAGCGCCTGGCCAATATATTCCATTTTTAGATCCAGTGGCACTGGAACATTCAATGATGTGGCTCTTGATGAGTGACTTGCTGGGCTTTGGGATGTTACTCGGTTTTGGTTTACTTTGACTTATTGAAAACAAAGAATTCTTAAAATACATCAAAATGCCACTGTAATTCATATACACATGATGGGTAGAGGATTATTTGGCATATACTCTCTTCAAAAGTAGTAAATCTTTAAAAAACAATTTTAAGTGAATCTGTAGTTTCTTATAGTAAAATCAAACTTTGATTCTCTAAGGAATCATTGAGCCCTTGCATTTATACCTACTCCTGCTTAACATTTAGTCATTGTATGTGAAGTCTTTTTACTTCTCTGACTCTCCAGTAAGCTTCTTGAGGGCAGGGCCTTTGTCTTTGCTTACTACTAAATTTCAAGCTTTGTGCACAATGTCTGACATAATACCTAGTAGACACTCAGTAAATTTTTGTGGAATGAACAACTGAATAAATAAAGAATAACTGCTTATTATCTGCAGTGCCTAACTGAACCTTGCAGTTATCATGAGACCAATCTATATTATTTAATTAAATCAAATAAAAATGGATCATTGAGAAATTAAATAATTCCTTTACAATCATAAAATATGCTGATGGCCTCAAGCCCAAACATCAAATTTATTACTTGTATTTATTCAGTGAGAGAGGTTGCCTCCTTATCACTAGATACTGAAATTTATTTTTTTGGCATTCTTTGAGAATGGGAACATAATTTCTTGGCATTTACCTTGTTTTTCTGTTGTTTTCATGTACTTATTGGGCATTTATGTATCTCTTCTTTTAAAAAATATATCATTATAGATTCAGGGTGTACATGTGCAAGTTTGTTACATGAATATATTTTGTATAATTGTGAGGCTTGGGCTTCTAGTGCGCCCATCACCCAAATAGTGAACATTGTACCCAGTAGGTAATGTTCCAACCCTCACCCCTCTGCCCCTTGTCATTGACTTTGGATGAAGTTCTTACTCAAGTAGTGCCGTAACTCCTCCAGGTTCTGGGCTGAATGCAACAGAAAGCAAATTGTGAAAATGCCTCTATGATGACAGAGAACTAGGAAGTGTTTTAAGGGTTGGTAGCTCACAGATCTTCTCTGCCTCCTTGAAAGGTGAAAACAGCACATTGACACATTGTCCCAGTTGCTGTGGCTCTGTAATAAAGTACCCCCAAAACTCAATGGTTTTAAACAGCAATAATTTTATTAAATAAATTTTCTTTTTTTGTGTGGGTCCTAGCTATGTCTATTACATTTTCTTTATCCACTCATCTATCAATGGACATTGATCTATCTGTCTATCTATCTATCCATCTCTCCAGATACCTATCTATCTAGTTTACTTTTTCTTTATCTACTCATTTATCAATGGACATTGACGTTGTTTCTATTCTTGGCTGTTGTGAATGATGCTGCAATGAACAAGAGAATGCAGATTGTGTCTTCGGGATGCTGATTTCAGTTCTTTTGGCTACATACCAAGAGGTAGAATTGCTGGATCATATGGTGGTTCTGTTTTTAATTTTTTGAGGAACCGCCAGACAGTTTTCCATAGTAGCCGGACCATTTTACAATCCCACCAACACTGTGCAAGAGCTTAAATTTCTTCACATTTTTGCCAACGCTTATGTTTTTTTTTCTTTTCTTTTCTTTTTGAGATGGAGTTTCACTCTGCTGTCAAAGCTGAAATGCAGTGGCACGATCTCAGCTCACTGCAACCTCTGCCTCCTAGTTTCAAGCGATTCTCCTGCCTCAGCCTCCTGAGTAGCTGGGATTACAGACGCCTGCTACCATGCCCAGCTAATTTTTTTTTTTTTTTTGTATTTTTAGTAGAGACGGGGTTTCACCATGTGTTGGCCAGGCTGGTCTCAAACTCCTGACCTCATGTGATCCACCCGCCTCGGCCTCCGGAAGTATTGGGATTACAGGTGTGAGCCACTGCACCTGTTCTTTTTTTTTTTTTTCTTAGTAATGGTCATCCTGACAGGTGCGAGGTGTTTCTGATTGTAGTTTTGACTTTCATTTTCCTAATGATTAGTAATATTGAGCACCTTTTCACATATATCAATAGGCCATATATCTTTGTTGGAGAAATGTCTATGAAAGTCCTCTGCCCATTTAAAAATATTTGATATATATATTTTTTGCAATTGAGTTATAGGAGTTCCTGATGTGTTTTGGATATTAACCTTTTATCAGATAAACAGTTTGAAAATATTTTCTCTCATTCTGTAGGTTGCCTTTTCACTCTGCTGATTGTTTCCTTTATGTGGTCTTTCTACCTGGGCTAGTCTGGGTGTCTTCACATCATGGTGGCCTTAAGGTTTTGGACTTTTACGTAGTGGTTCAAGGCTCCAGTATGAGTGTTCTGAAAAGCAAGACAGGAATTTCTTTGCCTTTTCTGACTTAGTCATGCAGTGTCACTTCCTCTGCCTTTGATTGGTTATAAGCAAATCACAAACCTTCCCAGATTCAAGGGAAAAGAAATTATTTATTTATGTATTTATTTTTTTGAGATGGAGTCTTTCTCTCTCACCAGGCTGGAGTGCAGTGGCGTGATCTTGGCTCACTACAACCTCTGCCTCCCAGATTCAAGTGATTTTCCTGCTTCAGCCTCCGGAGTAGCTGGGATTATAGGCGTGCGCCACCACGCCCAGTTAATTTTTTGTATTTTAGTAGAGACGGGGTTTCATCATGTTGCTCAGGATGATCTCAGTCTCTTGACCTCGTGATCCACCCGCCTTGGCCTCCCAAAGTGCTGGGATTACAGGCGTGAGCCACTGAGCCCAGCCAGGAAAAGGAATTAAAAGCAAATCACGAATGCTACCAGATTCAAGGGGAAAGGAATTAGATTCCTTAATGAGCAAATGGTGAAGTTTTTAGGGTAACATGTGTGTTATGGATTGAATTGGGTCCTCTCAAATTCACATGTTGAAGTCCTAACCCTCGATACCTCAGAATATGACATTATTTGGAAATACGGTCATTGTAGATGTAGTTAAGATGAGGTCATTAGGATGGGCCCTAATCCAATATGACTGATATTCTTACAAAAAAGGAGAAGTTTGGACACAGAGACATGGACACAGGGAGACTGACATGTGAAGATGAAGGCAGAGAGCAGGATGATGCATCTCCAAGTCAATGAATGCCAAAGGTTATCAGCAAACCACCATTAGCTAGGAGAGGGGCTCAGCCCTCAGAACAAATCAACCGTGCCAACACCTTGATCTCACACTTCTAGCTTTAGAACTGTGAGACAAACTTCTGTTCTTTTCTTTTTTTTTTTGAGACTGAGTCTCCTTCTGTTACCCAGGCTGGAGTGCAGTGGTGCAATCTTGACCCACTGCAACGTCTGCCTCCCAGGTTCAAACGAGTCTCCTGCCAAGTAGCTACACCTGCAGGCACACATCACCACGCCTGGCTAATTTTTGTATTTTTAGTAGAGATAGGATTTTGCCATGTTGGCCAGGCTGGTCTCGAACCCCTGACCTCAGGTGATCTGCCTGCCTCGGCCTCCTAAAGGGCTAGGATTACAGGCAGGATCGCCGTGCTTGGCCCAAACTTCTGTTCTTTAAACCCCCCAGTTTATGGTACTTTGTTACAGCAGCCCTAAAAAACTAGTACAGTGTGGAATGGGAAATATTGTTGTGACCATATTGGTCACACAATACAGTCTGTCCCACAAGTCACTGGGGAAATGTGTGTATTTTCTTTTAGATGCTCCAATCCTATTCCAACACTACCACAACCTGGTTTTCATGATCTTAAAAAATATAACCACCTTACTGATTATTTTTAGGTTGGCTGCAGTGGCTCACGCCTGTAATCCCAGCAATTCAGGAGTCTGAGGAGGGAGGATCCCTTGAGTCCAAAAGTTGGAGACCAGCCTGGACAACATAGCAAGACCCAATCTCTACAAAAAATTAAAAAAATTAGCTGAGCATAGTGGCATACACCTGTAGTCCCAGCTACTCAGGAGGCTAAGGTGGGAGGATTGCTTGAGCCCGGGAGGGTGAGGCTGCAGTGAGCCATGATTACGCCACTGCACTCCAGCCTGGGAGACGGAGTGAGACCCTGTCTCAAAAATATGTATATATTTTTAGTGTAGGAAACTTCTTGTTTCTACTTTCTTGTATAGAAAGGAAGAGATTTAGTTTTGAATTGTATGTGTTTTCTTGCTATGTATTAATATTTTGCAAATAACATTTTCTTAATCACTTTCTAGTTCTTATCAGGAGAGGATCAATGGAAGTGAAAGCAAATGATTTTCATTCACCTTGTCAGCACTTTAACTTCAGTGTAGCTCCTCTGGTTGACCACTTGGAGGAATATAACACTACCTGTCATCTAAAAAACCACACTGGAAGATCAACAATCATGGAGGATGAGCCAAGCAAGGAGAAATCGATAAACTACACTTGTAGAATCATGGAATACCCGAATGATTGTATACACATTTCTTTGCACCTAGAGATGGATATAAAAAGTAAGTTTTTAAGGAAACTAAAGGGAAAAGGAGTTATCCGATATAGATATGTAAAATTAAGTAAGGGCTATCACATTAACTGAAAGCCAAATAGCTGAAGAATTTTACTGATGAAATAATATAGCCTGAAAGAATGTTAGTCTATTTATCTGTTTATTTTTCTTTCAAAATATGCTTTTTATGGGGCCTACCTGTAACCTGAGAAAGAGGAGGCATTTATGGGTCACGATTTGAGGAGCACTGGAAAGACCTTCTGCCTCAGAATAATTTTTTTTTATTGTTGCAGTGGGGTGGTGGTGGTTGTTTGAGACAGGGTCTCACTCTGTTGCCCAGGCTGGAGTGCAGTGACACGATCACTGCTCACTGCAGCCTTGACTTCCCCGGGCTCAGGTGATCCTCCCACCTCAGCCTCCTGAGTAGCTGGGACTACAGGTGTGCACCACCACACCTGGTTAATTTTTTGTATTTTTAGTAGAGACGGGGTCTTGTCATGTTGCCCAGGCTGGTCTTGAACTCCTAGGCTTAAGCAATCCACCTGCCTTGGCCTCCCAAAGTGCTGGTATTACAGGTATGAGCCACCACAGAATAACTTTGAAACATGCCTATTTTCTGTGAGTGAAATAATACCACCATATTTGTGTACTAAAGGGAGGCATTTCTTTTAAAATATGAATATTGGCTGGGTGCGGTGGCTCACACCTGTAATCCCAGCACTTTGGGAGGCTGAGGTGGGAGGATCATGAGGTCAGGAGTTCGAGACCATCCTGGCTAACACAGTGAAACCCCGTCTCTACTAAAAATATAAAAAATTAGCTGGGTGTGGTGGCATTTGCCTGTAGTCCCAGGTACTTGTGAGGCTGAGGCAGGAGAATCGCTTGAATCCGGGAGGCGGAGGTTACAGTGAGCCGAGATCGCGCTGCTGCACTCCAGCCTGGGCAACAGAGTGAGACTCTGTCTTGAAAAGACAAAAAAAAATATATATATATATAATATATTATATATTATATATATATTATATATATATAATATATATATATTATATAATATATTATATAATATATTATATATATATGTAGCACATTGTGATATGCTATTAAATTTTTGTTTTGAGTTGATTTAACATGTTCTCTCTTGGAGCTGAGAACCAGGCCTGGATGAAATGGGAGTTTGCTGTAATGCTGTGAAGATAGGGTGAGGTACAGATTAGGCACCTAGAGGAAAAAATAGGAGATTAAAAGACAAATCTTACATACTTGCATAACTTAATTCTGTTTAAGGTTGGTTAACTTCCTAGTTACCCTATTCTGAAATACCACAATTATTCCTTTCTACTAAGCAGTATGCCCTACTTCACCCAAAAAATCTATTCCTGGAGAGCATCTTTTGATACATGCATTTAATGAGTGCCTGCTGTATGCTAGGCAGTGTGTCAGGTGTTGGGGTCATGAAGTTAGATGATATGAAACAATCTGAAAGAGGGCGACCCCTCACCTACACCAGCAAGTGCCTTCCAGTGCCACAGGTGCTATGGGAGAGTAATTTGCTGTCCTTTTTGATATTCCAGACATACGGAAGCCTTTCAGATTGCTTTTCTAAAGCTTTAATTATTGTAAAGGTAATGATTTTCAAAATATTACATTCACTTTAAAGCAAACAGAAATATATAATGTGCACGCATTTTTAAGATAAAATGTGAGACTTCAAAGAAATTTCTCCTGTGACTAAGTTTTCCCACGGCCCTATAACCTCTGCAATTAGGGGTCATTTCAAGGTGTGTGCATGAGTGGGGGCTATGGAAGAGGATCTGAGTAGATCTGAACAGAAGGATCAGTTCCCTCTGATTGAGGAGTGAATGAATTGGAAGATGGACTCTGGAAAGATTGCCTAGAGAAGGTGACTGTAGTGAAATCTGAAGGGTAAAGAAGTTTAGATTATAGACATCAAAAACATATTTTTTTCAATGTACATTTGTATATCCACCTAACTGTATTTTATATTTTTTCTAAAATAAAGAAAAAATAAGCACTTCCATAATAATAATTTTAAGATTTTTGTGTGTGTGTTCATGGAAAAAAATCCATAAATTCTAGAATCAAAGTGAAATAATAGTTAACAGCTTTTGGGTGTCCACAAAGATAGCAGTGGTGCACAAATATGTACTCTTGTATTCTGCGAAAAGTATATTCATTTTGCCATGGGTAGAAAGTTAAAGGTGGCTGGGCACGGTGGAGGCTCATGCCTGTAATCCTAGCACTTTGGGAGGCTGAGGTGGGTGTATTGCTTGAGCACAGGAGTTCGAGACTAGCTTGGACAACATGGTGAAACCCTGACTCTACAAAAAGGATGAAAATAAGCTAGGTGTGGTGCACACCTTTAGTCCCAGCTACTTCAGAGACTGAGGCAGGAGGACTGCTTGAGATAGGGAAGACAAGGCTGCAGTGAGCTGTGATTAGGCCACTGCACTCCAGCCTGGGTAACAGAGTGAAACACTGTCTCAAAAAAAAAAAAAAGAAAAGAAAAGAAAAGAAAAAGACAGTTAAAACTTTATTCATAGTTTACTCTGCTGTGCAAAAACTAATTTGATCTTGCTTAAAAGCCTTCTTAACTGGGCGAGGTGGGTCATGCCTGTAATCCTAGCACTTTGGGAGGCCAAGGTGGGTGGATCACTTGGGGTCAAGAGTTCGAGACCAGCCTGACTAACATGGTGAAACCCTGTCTCTACTAAAAATACAAAAAATTAGCCGGGCATGGTGTCATGCGCCTGTAAACCCAGCTACTCGGGAGGCTGAGGCAGGAGACTCGCTTGAACCCGGGAGGTGGAGGTTGCAGTGAGCCGAGATCGCACCACCGCACTCCAGCCTGGGTGACAGTGAGACTCCCTCTCAAAAAAAAAAAAAAAAAAAAAAACCAGAAAACAAACCAAAAAAACAAAGCAACAGCAACAACCAACTTTGTACTTTGGTGGGAGTAAAAGCCTTCTCCATCAGGGGGTCAAACTAAATGTGATCCAGTCTGGCAAATTTACTCTGAGATAATAATTTAAACTGTTCCTCGATGTTCCCCCCAGATTTCTGTCTGTTTCCCCTTGCTCCTCTCTAAGAAGGCTGCAGGGATGGGTGGGCAGCACAGGACCCTAGGAGATACACTCTTCTGAGATCATGCTGGTGGCTGCACTGGCTGGTCTGGTCCCCATCATGTGTCTTGTGTTATTGCAATATGAAGTTGGTTCTGTTTCCATAGCTTTATCAGTGCCCAATGACACCTTGGTCTTTGGACCCATCCTGATCGTTGCTGGCACTGCCAGTGTTCTCTGCTATTTAACTTCATGCTTTTATTTTGCTGCGTGAGGAATGCAAGCCTGGCAGCTGAAGAGCGTGGAATAGTCTTGGGGAGGCTGAGCGCCGCCATCCTAATCCACCTCTGCCCTTTTTCTACTTAGCCACCTCTCTAAATGAATGCTTAATGCCTATTTAGTGTACATCTGGGTTCCTGTAAAGGGGACACCCAGGTTATGAACCCCACAAAGGCAGTTCATACCAAGAGTATAAACATGGTATACATTCTGCTAAGGTGCATAAGTACTAGCTGTCTTTTGTATGCAAAGAAGAGTGTACACAGGGTGGGCTTAGAAAGTCAGTAGACAGGCCAGGTGCAGTGGCTCACGCCTGTAATCCCAGCACTTTGGGAGGCCGAGGCGGGTGGATTGCCCGAGGCCAGGAGTTCAAGACTAGCCTGGCCAACATGGTGAAACCCCATCTCTACTAAAAATACAAAAAATTAGCCGGGCGTGGTGGTGAGCACCTGTAATCCCCTCGGAGGCTGAGGCAGGAGAATCGCTTGAACCCGGGAAGTGGAGGTTGTGGTGAGCTGAGATCGCGCCATTGCACTCCAGCCTGGGCAACAAGAGTGAAACTCTGTCTCAAATAAAATAAAATAAAATAAAATAAGATAAAATAAAATAAAATAAAAAATGAGTCAGTAGACAGTTGTGTGTTAGCTATGATGATGCCACCCTTGTGTGAGTCACTGATTCCTGGTTCTGCTGGCCAGTGTGTCTTTATGAGACCATGGGAGACCGTGCTAAGCTACTGCTGCATGGTGAACATCCTTCCCATGTTGCCTCATTGTCATCTGAATGAATGAGTTTATACCTGTATCCTTATTAAATTTAGGCCAGGGCAACTACGTTTAATTAGTGCATGCACTTGATCTGATCATTGGCGTGCAAAGCACTGTACTTACCGCCTATTACCCTGTGGAAAGAGGGTCTGATTATTCATTGTCCTGGCCACTTATATGCCTCAGACCAGTCCTTTGACTGCCTGCCTTTCTCTTTCTTCCCCATCTTCCTTGTACTCACTGCATCTTTGCTGATTTGAGGACATATTTTTGGGCTGCCTGGCCCAGGGTCAAAATTATGAATTGTAAGTGGTTCTGATTCTGGGATTGCTATGTTGTGGTCTTACCTTAGTTACAGCGAGGATAGTGAAACTAATATCAGCATAACCTGTAAGTGAAAGGAATCCTAGAATTTTGGAACTACATGGATAGCTGGAAGCTACCTACTCAAGTTTACCCGTATAATACCTTCATTTCATATATCAAGAAAGAATTCAGGAGAGCTAGTGACCCTGTAACAGTGATGGTCATAATTTCAGCTTTTCAATTCAGGGCAGAATATGTTGTAGAACTCAGCTACACTGCCACATTGCCTTTTATCTGTTGAATAATTTTACTGGGTTTTTACAGTATTTGTTTTCTTTACAGATATCACTTGTTCCATGAAGATCACTTGGTATATTTTAGTTCTATTAGTTTTTATATTTTTGATCATCCTCACTATCCGCAAAATACTTGAAGGCCAGAGAAGAGTGCAAAAGTGGCAGAGTAAGTATAATCCCTGTAGTGCCGAGGAACTCCTGATCTCTTCTATGGATTTCATTTCCTTTTTAGTACAATTTAGCATTTCTTGTGCACCTACTGTGAATAAGTGGTGATTCTTGGTAACTCAAGGAATAAAAACGTAGATAAAACACAGTTCCAGCATGCAAGGAGCTTCATTCATCTTTCTTCTACTCGGGCAAGTAAGAGAAGAAGAAAGACTGGGTGAATAGGAAGAAGCTGATGAGCTGGACATTGAGCAGGGCTTAGCGGAAGTGAGGGCAGAGAGAGAGAGAAGAACAGGAAGTGGGGATAAAGAATTTCAGGCCGAGCGCGGTGACTCATGCCTGTAATCCCAGCACCTTGGGAGGCTGAGGCAGGCGGATCACCTGAGGTCAGGAGATTGAGACCAGCAGACCAGCCTGGCCAACATGGTGAAAGCCCGTCTCTACTAAAAATACAAAAATTAGCCAGGCATGGTGGCGCAAGCCTATAATCTCAGCTACTTGGGAGGCTGAGGCACAAGAATCACTTGAGCCCAGGATGTGGAGGTTGCAGTGAGCTGAGATCGCGCCACTGCACTCCAGCCTGGGCAATGGAGCAAGACTCAGTCACAAAAACAAGAATTTCAGAGTTGGAGATCTTGAGCAGAGTGGCTGTAGGTGACGGGTGTGAGGCAGAGTCGATCTTTAATAAGCATGGGGGTATCAGATTTTTGGCAGGGCTGAGCTAAAGGAAATTAGAAATTAGGAATCAGGACAGTAGGAGCAACGTTAAAAATATTTAATAACTCGTATGACCTAGGCACCCACCTATCAGGATGGACATTGATTGTAAATTACTGGTATGATGCTACCGGTGTGTACCCATGCAAATACTGGCTCTACTGGCATGTCCCCAGTGCATAAAATGGATGACTATCAGGCCCAATGGACAATTCATAATATGAGTAGCTAGTCTCTTAAAGACAGTGCAAGATGTATTACTATAAGAATAGGCACTAAAAATAAATAGATTTATGTTAGAGTCCTAGTACTACCACTTACTAGCTATGTGACATTAAGCAAGTTATTTAAATTATGTGAGCATCCCTTACATCCTCTGTAAAACAAGCATAATCACCACTACCACACAGGGTTGAGGTAAGGAAATACAGAGATTACTTACAAAGTTTACCACAGTGTCTAGTGCATAATTAGTTTTCATTAAAGGACAGTAGTATTGTGGTGGTTGTATGATTTCCCAAGACTCTTTCCTTCTTTACCAGGCAAGGCTGTGTTAGCCATTTCAGTAGGCAGAACAAGTGGTTGCCTCCAGGTTTCAGTAAAGTTGCAATTCATTCTTTTGACTAGGTATTTGTTGCAGATATTTTTGAGAGCAGTTTCATATCAAGTGTTATCATTGATACCTTAGTAATAAAGCCCTTTGTGCAGTGGTTAATAACATAATCAATACTGTTTATTTGTAGAATAACCATTTTCAGAGCATTTTCACTAGATTCTTAAACTGTGTAAACAGGATATATGCTATTTTTATTTTGTAGATAAAAATCCCCTGAGACTTAGAGAGGTTAAGTGTTTATCCAAAGCTGCACAGCTAGTAAAATGTCAGAACTAAGATGTAGGGTATTTAGTTTTGAAAATTCTATTATTTAAAGTAAATGTGTGTTATTTATAAATAGTGTATAGTTCTGAGTTTCTTGACCCATTTTCCCATATGAAAAGCTATAAGCAAAGAGAGATAGAAGTGAGCTAGAAAAAATGTCTAGAAGGAGACCAGTAGTGGGGAGTCAAATTAAATTCTTACAAATATCTGCCCAAATGACAGACTTAGTGATTTTCAAAGGCTTGCAAATCCAAGCATACAAAGTAATAAAAAATGTCACACTACTTAGCACATTAAATGTTATTGAATATTAAACATACATTGAATATTCTTCACATCATATCTATGTATATAATAAGATAAAAATATACTTTTCTGTGTATAAGAGCTGTCGCTTTCCTTTTTTTTTTTTTTTTTTTTTTTTTTTTTTTTTTTTTTTTTTTTGAGATGGAGTCTCACTCTTTCGTCCAGGCTGGAGTGCAGTGGCATGATCTCGGCTCACTGCAACCTCCACCTCCTGGGTTCAAGCGATTCTTTTGCCTCAGCCTCCTGAGTAGCTGGGACTACAGGCATGCACCACCACGCCCAGCTAATTTTTGTATTTTTTAGTAGAGATGGGGTTTCACCATATTGGCCAGGCTGGGTTCGAACTCCTGACTTCGTGATCTCCCTGCCTCAGCCTCCCAAAGTGCTGGGATTACAGGCGTGAACCACCGTGCCTGGCCATGAATGGCTCCATTCTTTTTGGTAATCCTTTGAACCAACATGGGGAATATATGTTAACAATGCGCTTGTTTATCATCTAAATACTTCATTTCTTTTCTGGGAATAGGTCATAGAGACAAACCTACATCTGTTCTCTTAAGAGGAAGTGATTCGGAGAAACTGAGAGCATTGAATGTGCAGGTTCTTTCAGGTAAGTTCTGTGGCATGTAAACAAAACAGCACTCAGGAAATTCCAAAGCTGCATGGTTTCACTACACAGTAAACTCAAGATCTGAGATCTGAGCTTATGTAAATTAGCCTTGTATCTGGAATAACAGAGCTGTGGGCAAATGAAATCCAGTTTAATATGTCTTATTATCAGGGGACAGTAGCAATCTAAACTATCTCCTTAAATAATGGAAAGTTTGCTTAATTGGCAAGAAGAAATTCATGTGAGTAGGCAGAGGAGAGAAAGCAATAGGGATAAGACTTAGATTTATTTTTAAATGAGACAAGATACCATTATTCCCCAGAATTGCAAGAAGTAATTGCAGAGTGGGCATGGCTTTCGCTGGAGCCTTCCCTTAGCAGAGGGTGTCATTGTGTAAAGAGAACTTCTAATAGCCCCAATTAAAAAGCCCCCTGTCCTCTCCTGAGAAACAGAAATGGAATAAGGGAATTCTAATTAGAGCAGTGATGGGGGCTGTTAGCACAGATGTTGTGGTTCAATCCCTTTCTTCTAATTGTGAAGCCTCCTTTTGGATTCAAGCTGTCAAATCACGTTAAAAAGAGAAAGAGAGAGAATGTGACATGGACGAAGCCCTCTTCTTTAGCAGAGAGAAATAATATCCTTGACCGTGAAAACCACAGAATTATGAGTGCTGTTACCAAAGCTCCTTGTACACAGCCAGCGAGTAGGTGCCTTCGTACTTTGTGAGAAGTTAGAAAAAAAAGGAAGCTTCAAGTCTGGCATGTAAACAGTTTTCAAAAATGGGAGGATGCCGAGCAAACCTCCAGTCCCCCACCCTACAGCTGCATCAGTAGCGACATAGAGATTTGCACCGCATTTCACTGGGGACTTTGTTCACTGGGGGCTTTTGTTAGCCATTTAAATTAGCAGATACACGGAACCCTAGCTTGAGTGCACCTAAGGAGCTCAAATATTTTAAAAATTTAGGCTTTCTACCCAGCATTAGCAGTGAAAGTATTAAGCTATGACTGATAATAAGCATTAGCTAAATAATCATTTGACACCAGTTAAATGTGGGGTAAGTTGGTGGAAATTTTGTCCAGTCAATGAAAATCTTATTTGATTAATAAATTAAAAGCTATAACGTTGTTTTCAATGGCAAAATTAATTTTTAAAAGGCAAAAATGGCATTTTTCCCTGGGCTCCCCTCTTACTCAGTACATGTGTCCAAATATGAGGACAGTTTTAACACAGTTCTGTGGGGCTTTTTGGTCACCTTAGGAATTCTGGTCGTTTCTGTTTTCAAGTCGTAATTTTGAGCACTGCTGTCTTGTCTGAGAAAAAGTCTATAGTTCCCCCGTCAACCCATATAGTCGAGGGAATCACAAATTTTAAGTACTAGCTAACCACAAGACTAACCTCGCAAAGTTGTATTTATGAGCCTGTGACTTTCATCCACCAAAGAAACCTGTCTTAGCCATCCTTTCCCTTTCATAGCTCTCACTAAAAATCCTCTGGCTTTATTACCAGGTATATAATATTAATGTTTAGTGTAGGTCAAGGGGTGATGGCCTTTTTAAAACCAAGAACCCTTTTGAGGCTTAGCGTCTTAAAGAGAGAAAGAGGCAGACTCTTTCTTATTTATATTCCTTTAACCTAAATGCAATCTTTTCCTTCCCTATTATGAGTTGCTTTTCTGACAGAGAAAGGGAAAGGAAATCATGTCTCCCTTGAGTGCAGTTTTTAAGGCCTCTCTTTGTAGTGATGGATTATAGGCAGCAGTGAGAATGTACGGGAAAAATGTGTCAGCATGGTTCTCTGGAGATGCAGTAACACGGGTAGAAAAAAAAAATGTAGTTCAAAGCGGTGGTGACTGTGTCACATTCAGCAGAAGCAGCTTGTTGTCAACACTAGCCACACATTCCAGGATGTCTCTCCATTTGTTCATGCATTTAAAAGTGAGTATTGTTCAACACACACACACACACACACACACACACACACACAGAGAGAGAGAGAGAGACAGAGAGAAAGAGAGAGAGAGAGAGATAAATGGGCTCGTACCTCCAAAAGAAGCTTATTCATCCTACAAGAGAGAAATAAGGAGAGATTACCAGGACGCAGGCACCACATTGTGCCTGGCAGATTCTAGGGGCACGGTGGACACTGATGGAATAAATGCATCCTGCTGCTGTAGAAAGAGATGTCAAACTGAATCAAATCCCCATCTTTTATGTGTCTCTAATATTTTCCTCCTTGCTTTGAGAAGCGTGACAGCTTATGTGTCCTGGCTGGGCATTAATCTACTTTCCATCTTATTCATTTAACTATCGTCTTCACACACGTGATCTCTGTCTTATTTATCTGTGGAGTGTTGTTGCTAGCATAATATCTGGCACTATAAAAGCTTATTAAATCTCGCAAACCCTCAAGGGAAATAAGTATAGAGTAAAAAGAGCGGATGAGCAAGAAATGAGTCTGAGGGATTGGGAAATATGACAGCAAATAAAGAGACAGAGTAATTACAGGGCATAGAATTCCACTTTATTAAAGAAGGCATAGCACGCTTTGTAGAAGGGCTATGGATATCAAAGAATCATAAAAAACATTGACTGTCTTGAAGAAGGGATTTTGAAAAACATGCAAAAGTAACTCTAGGCCGAGTGTGGTGGCCCACGCCTGTAATCCCAGCACTTTAGGAGGCCGAGGTGGGAGGATCACTTGAGTCCAGGAGTTCAAGACCAGCCTGGGCAATATAGTGAAACCCCATCTCTATAAAAAATAAACAAAATTAGTCAGATGTGGTGGCACATGCTTATAGTCCCTGCTACTCAGGAGGATGAGGTGG
This sequence comes from Homo sapiens, assembly GCF_000001405.40. Taxonomy (NCBI): domain Eukaryota; kingdom Metazoa; phylum Chordata; class Mammalia; order Primates; family Hominidae; genus Homo; species Homo sapiens. The sequence goes on along the minus strand of NC_000004.12, from coordinate 38,983,508 downwards.
GAGGATTGCTTAAGCCTGGAAAGTCGAGGCTGCAGTGAGCCGAGGTCACACCACTGTACTCTAGACTGGATAACAGAGCAAGACTGTGTCTCAAAAAAAAGTAACTTTAAAACGTACCCCTAGAAACAGTGAGTGCTTAATGAGTTGACCATGTTGGGAAACCAAAGCCAGGGGCAGGAGGAGTGGATTAGAATCTGAATCGTTGGATGCAAATGATAGAAGCCCACTTGACTGACTGCAGAGAGGACATTTGTTGGAAAACCAGTAGGTAGCCCACAGAAACAACAGGAGGCTAGGGAAACTAAGCGTGGAAAATAAACAGGTATTAAGGTGAGGGAGGGCAGGAAACCAAAAATACAGTCCAAGTTGCATGTCAGGAATGGTCTGGTGAGAATGCTCCCGCTGGTGTCACCCCCCTCTGAACTGCTGGGGCCACTCCTATGACTACCCTGCAGCTTTGCATCTCTCCTCAGGATTGCAAGCTCCAAGGAGGAGTATGAGGGGAGGCCATACAGTGGTACTCCAGGTGCCAGGAAGCAGGGAGAGGGGATAATATCTGCTCTTCTGGCTTTCTGCATACTTGTCATCACCCCTGACATGTCCACATGCTGGACTGCCAAATAAATATCGACATCAGGTTTCCGGGATCAGAGTTTCCATCCACTCCTGCTGTGTGGGTCAGTGAAAAGTTCATTTCATATCTCCCCTATATGTCCATCAAAAAGAGTGAAATCCTTAAAACTTGAAATTCTTCACATTGGATTAGTCAGGGTTCTCTAGAGGGACAGAACTAATAGGATAGTTAAATGATAGTTATTCATTTAACTATCATCTTCACACAGGTGATCTCTGTCTTTTTTATCTGTGGATTGTTGTTGCTAGCATAATATCTGGCACTATAACAGCTTATTAAATCTCGCAAACCCTCAAGGGAAATGAGTATAGAGTAAAAAGAGCGGATGAGCAAGAAATGAGTCTGAGAGATTGGGAAATATGACAACAGATAAAGAGACAGAGTAATTACAGGGCATAGAATTCCACTTTATTAAAGAAGGCATAGTACGCTTTGTAGAAGGGCTATGGATATCAAAGAATCATAAATAACATTGACTGTCTTGAAGAAGGGATTTTGAAAACTATGCAAAAGTAACTCTAGGCTGAGTCTTTATAAAGGGAAGTTTATTAAGGAGTATTGACTCACGTAATCACAAGGTGGGGTCCTACAATAGGCCATCTGCAAGCTGAGGAGTAAGGAAGCCAGTCCGAGTCCCAAAGCTGAAGAACACTGGAATCCGATGTTCCAAGGCAGGAAGCATCCAGCATGGAGAAAGATGGAGTCCAGAAGACTCAGTCAGTCTAATCTTTCCAGGTTCTTCTGCCTGCTTTTATTCTGGCCTCCATCGCTGCTGATTAGATGGTGCCCACTCAGATTGAGGGCAGGTCTGCCTTTCCCAACTCACTGACTCAAATGTTAATCTCCTTTGGCTACACCCTCACAGACACATCCAGGAACAATACTTCGCATCCTTCAATGCAGTCAAGTTGACACTCAATATTAACCATTACGACCATTAAGTATTTAACCAATATTTACTGAATACTGACTACGGGTCAGCCATTATACTAAGCATTGGTGATATAATGGGCACATACCATAGGCACAGTCCTTGCCTTTATAGAGCTTCCAACATAGTTAAGGAGATTCTACCTGTGGTTGACATAGGAGAAGGGAAACTAATATCTCATTAAGCACCTTCCGTATGTTCTGTACTTTCATGCACATCATTTCATTTGATTTCAAAACTCCGTTTTTTTTCCTGATGAGAAAACTGAAGATAAGGGAGTTTAAGTAACTGGTTCATAGCTGGTTTCTAACAGAGCCAGGGTTCAAACTCAGTTCTGTCCAACTGATGCACTTTCTAGCACGCCATGTAATGTCAATAGTGAACTGGGGGACTGGGGGTTTAAGCCACAGATCAAAAGCCTTCCTGCTCTTTTGCATTTTCAGTTTCTCATTGGAAACTGAGACAAAACATTTTGTCTATATAAGGTCCTAAGAGCTTGTGTATAACAATGTGAGTCATCCTCATTGTGGCACTGGCTGAAATTTTCTTGCAATTAATGTGAGTGGGTTCTGAGGGAACACGAAGCAAAAGAAAATGGAGTTTTATTGTGAAAGAGAATTACTAAATGTCAAAAGGAAGTGGATGACCCAATAATTTATATTACACCAAAATAAAACTAATGGCAATGTAAAATTATAATTTGGAACATGTTTATGGCCGCTATAATAAATACTAAGCAGGTTTCAACTTCCTGCAGATGAGAAGATAAATTACTGGTGCCAGATGTCCTGCAACCAAGAAAGATAACGTGAAAATTTAATTTTTACTTGCTTAACTATCTTATTTATGACTCTTAAAATACAGATTTGGGTTCATAAAACAGGAAAGGTTACAGCCATCTGCTTGGTTACAGAATGGATCAAAGTGAAGAGGATGATTCTTTTTGCAGGAAGAAATTCACAAATGTGAAGAATCTATAGGCGGAATAGGACGATTTATTCCAGTCATTCATTGAATGCCTTTACGTGACAGGCATATATGTCAGGCCTGGAAGAATTGATGGTAAAACATGTGCACATAAACATCTCCTTCATCTTAATATAGATTGTCCCTGCCTGAACCATCCCGCCTCTCCTGCCACCCTCTACAAACCTGCTCCCCTCCCACCCTGATGTTGTCTCGTTAGCTCCCATCTTTCCTTTCCCATCTGATCTTGGCTTAACTAACGAAGTTGTTTCAGACCTCCTGGACTAGGTCGATTCTCCTTATTACACACCCTCATAACACCGTACATCTTTCTTTGCAGCAACAATCACTGTTGCTATTTTACATTTTTGTGTTATTGTGCTTTGTGTTATTATTTGATTAGTGTTTCTCCCATGAGCCAGTTGGCTCTTTGAGGTCAAGGACACTATCTGATGATACTCATCACTGCATCCCCAGCTCATAGCATAATGCATATATATGGGCATGTCATAGGTACCCAATAAATATTTGCCAAATAAATACAACTCTACATTGACTGCGTTGAAAGAATGGCTGCTGCTGTCTTACAAAAGCCTTTCAAATACTTTCACCTCTAACTTATAACTTTTGATTATGCCTATCCAAAATAATAAAAAGAAAATGGTTAAACACTTCATCAGTTTTATCCTTTGGAGTATTAAAGATACCTGCAGTGTGAATTAACCAGAAACTGAATCAGTGTCTCAGAATATTGGCAGCTGTCAGTTCAAGATTTTTTTTTTTTTTTTTTTTAGTTAATCTGGAAAATTTTGCAGTCATTTATTTTCCATCCTCATTTTATTTTCACATTGACTAGATTTGGAGCAGATGACTAGTTTTAGGATCATTGTTAATAACAGATGGAGCTTTGAACATGGGAAGAAGTTGGCACCTTGAATAACAGAAATCTATTTTAAGCGGCCATAATTGGTTCTGTTAGCCCTAAAAGGCTACTCGCTATCTTGGGCTTACAGAAAACTGCCAACGTTTTTATGTGATGAAAAGGTCAGAATGATGTATAGCAATATTGAAGTTCTGCATTTCTCTGGTAATAAGGAGACATAATTAAGACTGGAAGGTTTTTTGAAGCCAGATCACTGAACTGAATAAGAATCACTAAACCATCAGAAAATTTTCACAGCTGTCTTGACCTGAGTAATCTATGAAGACTAACTTGAATTCCTTCATTTTTGGAGAAGCTCTTGTGAGGAAACCCAAATACTTCATGGATAACTGTTTAGACATTTATTGCCATAGTTTCCATGAAGAGTCATGATGGCTGCATCTCCCAAAGTGTGATGGAGAAAAGAAGGAGCTAGGGACATCATTTCCAAGGTCAGCTACCCATAGGCCTCCCCTGCTGAATATATATGGCTCCTACTAAATTCTGTGCATGCCCCCTGGGAGGGCTTAAAAAGATGCTGGTGAAAATATTTTTTGTGCTTCATAGTGCTTTCTATTTTCCCAAGTATAATATATCAAAATTCACAGTTCTCATCTCATTTTATCCTTACCTTTATTTTCCTCCTTTTAGCCTCAAGGCAGCCACACTAGCTTTGCGAAAGCCACAGGGAAGTGATCTTGGTTGTGCAGGTGTCGGTCCCCACTGCCAAAACTTTGAATGGAACGTGTGGGGCAAGGCCAGGACCCTGCCAGGACTGGCTGCTTGGCTGCTGCTGCCCACAAGGCTGCACAGGTGCCTCATGTCGGTGAATCTATCTGGTCCAGTGCTTCCCTTTATGCCTGGGGACTTAGCCTCCTGCAATGGCAGCACATCAAGAAGGATCCATTGTATAATGCAGTTCACACCAACAGGTTTATAAAACCTCAAGGCCAGTGCATTAATCCATAAAGAATGATACAATTGAGAGAAATACAGATCAAACACTTCTGACAGCAAATGTGCATTTTCTCTCCCAAGACAGATCCGTGTGGGAAGTCAAATCACAGGAAACAGATGTTGGTTAGGTCTTAAAATGCATTCCCTTGCCAGTCCAGGTGTGGTGGCTCACACCTGTAATCCAACATTTCGGGAGCCTCAGGTGGGAGGATCCCTTGAGCCTGGGAGGTGAAGGCTGCAATGAGATGTGATTGTGCCTCTGCACTCCGGCCTAGGTGACAGAGCGAGACCCTGTCTCAAAAGAAAAAAAAAATGCATTCCTTGGCAGATAGCTTGAGACTTTCTCCCCATTTTAGGGGTAGCCTGACAAGCTCATTTAACAGAGAGGTTTTAACATTTAACAAGCTTTGGATTGGGAATAATTTTTTGAAGATGAATTTGTGTGTCTGTGTGCTGATCGTGTGCTGATTTTATAGATTAAAATCAGAGGACCATTTTATTTTTGTTACCCCCAAATCATGGGTGGCCCTCTGGAATTGCTCCTTGAACTGCCTGAACCCATACCCTGTTGCTGAGCGAAATGAGGCACAGAGGCGTTAAATGATATTCTTTTGATCATTCAGCCCATATTTGTTGAGTACCTATTATGTGTCTAAGGTAGGTTCTGGGGAATAAAACAGTGCCCAGAATACCAGCTTTGTGCTCAAGGAGGCAGACAAATGAGTAATTACAACAAAGTTGGGTAAGTTCTCTATTTGGGACGTGGAGGGCACAGAGGGACAGATACTGTGTGATCTCCTAACCCTATTTACTCCTTCTTGGTATTTTTTTAAAAGTTACTTTTGGCTTTCCAATTTAATAACCATATAAAATGTAGCTGAACAAGTAGTTTTGGAGATAAGAGAATAAAAAAAAATGGCTGGGGCAAATTCCCTTAGCAGTCAAGAGAGGCTGGCTAGGATGAAGAAGTTTTAGATGAGCTTTCATGGTGGGAGATGGACCTTGTCTTTGACATGAAAATCATCAGGACCAAAGTAACGAAAACACCTTGCAAGTTTCCAGTACTCAGTGGGAATCAAAAGTTACTTGGGAAAGATGAGTTGAGGTTAGATACCAGATGTCATGGATATAAAGCACCTTTGAAAAGCGATAGAAATCTTTATCTAAAAGAAGAAAAAGAAGAAGCATCCGAGGGCTGCCTGGGCATGGTCAGGGATAGTGTGATAGGGGCTTTATTTGAGAGCATAAGGCATGGAATTTTATTTTTAATCAGTTTCTACTCCTGAAAATCCATTTTGTTCACTAGATTCAGCCAGGTCAAAATTCAGACTGGGATTTAAAAAAATTTTTTTAAGGCTGTTTGAAGTTTCTGAAAAGAAGTCATAGAAATGTTTGTTTCAGAGATTTGATAAATTCATGAAAAGACTGCTGTGAAGCTTTAAAATATTTCTGACTGTTTCTACTGCCTTAACTAGTGTTGGTGAATTAATATTATTTGAAAGAAATTGTATTTCTTATGTAGAACCAGAAAAAATTTCCACCCGTTTTAGCTATTCTGAAGAAGGCATTAAAATGACATATATCCTACCTTTTTGCCTTTTAATCAATTTTTAGAAGATTTGCTATTACCATATAAGTTACATGACTTTGGATACTGAAAGAAACTGAAGATAATGCCCCACTAGAGAATTACTTTAGACTAGCCATCATTTTGACAGGCAATCGCTTTCTGTTGTAAATTACAGTTATATTTTATGCTATAAACACCAGCAAACACCAGCCAAACCAGCGGTTTGGCTTTTCAACGAAAAGAACTCTGTTAATTTCCTTGGATAATTATTTAGTTTCATGAATAGGCTCTTTTGATATCTTAACCTTTATAAAGAATGATCTCAGCTGGGCCCAGTGGCTCAAGCCTGTAATCCTAGCATTTTGGAAGGCCGAGGTGGGCGGATCACTTGAGGCCAGGAGTTTGAGACCAGCCTGGCCAACATGGTGAAACCCCATCTCTACTAAAAATACAAAAATTAGCCGGTGTGGTGGTGCACGCTTGCAGTCCCGGCTTCTCAGGAGGCTGAAGCAGGAGAATTGCTTGAACTTGGGAGGTGGAGGCTGTAGTGAGCCAAGATTGTGCCACTGCACTCCAGCCTGGGCAACAGAGCCAGACTCTGTCTCAAACAAGAACAACAACAACAACAACAACAACAAAAGAACAATGTCAAATGTTAAATTGTGGGTTATAAGATGCTTTGTTATTTGCATGGTAAATTCATTCTGAAGCTTTAATGTGCGTCAGAATCAACTTGGATGTCTATAAAAATCCAGGCTCCTAGGCTTCTATGAAGATAGATTCTTAATTCAATAGATCTGCAACATGCATTTTAAATAACTACCTCTGTTGATTTTCAGGCCAAGGGTCTGTCAGTCACTGTACTTATTAGCTTTCTGTTGTTGTGTAACCAATTACCACACACTTAGTGGCTTAAAACAGCACACACTTATTATCTCACAGTTTCTGTTGGTCAGATATCTGTGCGTGGCTTAACCGGATCTTCTGCTTAGGGTCTCACAGGCTGAAATCAAGATGTCAGCTGGACTGCATTCCCATCTGGATGCTATGCATCTACGCTCACTCGGGTTATGGGAAGAATTCACTTACGGCTGTGTACGGAGGGCCTTGGCATCTTCCCGGCTGTCCACTGGAGGCTGTCCTCAGGTCCCAGAGGCCACTTGGCAGTCACCACCAGGAGTCCCTGTCCATAGGCATTTCACAGCATGGCAGTTTGCTTTTTTTTTTTTTTTTTTTTTTGAGACGGAGTCTAGCTCTGTCACCAGGCTGGAGAACAGTGGCATGATCTTGGCTCACTGCAACTTCCGCCTCCCGAGTGAGTTGAAGGGATTCTCCTGCCTCAGCCTCCCAAATAACTGAGATTACAGGCACGCACCACCATGCCCAGCTAATTTTTGTGTTTTTAGTAGAGATGGGGTTTCACCATGTTGGCCAGGATGGTCTCGATCTCCTGACCTCGGGTGATCCTCCCGCCTTGGCCTCCCGAAGTGCTGGGATTACAGTCGTGAGCCACTGCGCCCAGCCTGCAGTTTGCTTCTTTAAGGCTAGTGAGAGTCTTTCTGACCTCAGGAAGGGCCGTTTCTCTTTTAAGGGATTTTACCTCTTTAATTCAGGCCCATCCAAGATGGCCTCCCCTTTTATTGATTTGGGATATTAGTCATACCTGTAAAATCCCTTCATCTATGCCTTATAATATGACCTAATCACAGGAGTGAAATCCCATCTGGTTCATGGTCTTGCCCACGCTCAAGGAGAGGAGATTATAATGAGTATTGCACATCAGGGGGGTGGGACTCCTGGGGACTATCTTAGAATGATCCACAGCCATTCTTTTAGAAAGACAAAAATCACAGGCCAGGCGCAGTGGCTCATGCCTGTAATCCCAGCACTTTGGGAGGCCAAGGTAGGCCTCGAGATCAGAAGTTCGAGGCCAGCCTAGCCAACATGATGAAACCCCATCTCTACTAAAAATATAAAAATTAGCTGGGCATGGTGGCACATGCCTGTGATTCCAGCTACTCGGGAGTCTGAGGTATGAGAATCACTTGAACTCTGGAGGTGGAGGTTGCGGTGAGCCGAGATTGCACCACTGCACTCCAGCTTGGGTGAAAAAGCGAGACTCTGTCTCAAAAAAAAAAAAAAAAGAAAAGAAAAAAGAAAAGAAAAAAAATCACAGACTGCTAGGAACTTCTAGTGTGAGACTGGGCTGACAGACATAGCCCCATAGATGTGGTTGGTACTTAATGACAATAAAATAAAAGTTAAGGATGCCAAGGGGCTCAAATGCAATGGATGTGTGTGGAGGAGAGCAGGAGATGAGTGCTGTGGGCCAGGTAAAGATGGCCTCGGGTCTCATTTTCCCCTCTTTGTCCTAATAAGTCAAAGGAAGTTTTGTCATTTACCCTTTAGAAGTCTAAAGGGTAAGAAGAAATTCTAACTTTAGTGGTGATTTTAGTTTTTCCGTAGACATCTAAGGGCCCTCAATATCTGCTGGAAATGGCCTATTTATTCCTGCCCCTTAAACAGTAGTTACTATCTTAATTTTAAAAATCTTCAGATCAGGCGCGGTGGCTCATGCCTGCAATCCCAGGACTTTGGGAGGCCGAGGTGGGCGGTTCACCTGAGGTCAGGAGTTTGAGACTAGCCTGGCCAACATGGTGAAACCCTGTCTTTACTAAAAATACAAAAAAATTTGCTGGGTGTGGTGGTGTGTGCCTGTAATCCCAGCTACTTGGGAGGCTGAGACAGGAAGTCTCTTGAACCCGGGAGGCAGAGGTTGCAGTGAGCCAAGATCATGCCATTGCACTCTAGCCTGGGCGACAAGAATGAAACTCCATCTCAAAAAAAAAAAAAATTACTTTTAATTAAAAAAAATCTTCAGTTAAAATATATAATTTTCTGGGAAAAATGTATAAAACCCAACACCAGAAGAATTAGAAAATCTAAATTGTCATGGAAGAAATAGAAAATGTGTTAATTGTCCTTCAAAAAGTAACAGGAAGAGCAGTTCGCAGGAGAATGCTACCAATCTCTAAGACATAGGTATTTCCAATGTATTTAAACTGTTGCAAGACCAAAGATATTTCCTAATTCTATTTTTGAAATAAACATTATTAATAATATTCAAATCCAAGAAAGATTGAGTCTAAAATGAAATCAGCCTGGATGCAGTGGCTCATGCCTGTAATCTCAGGGCTTTGCAAGGCTGAGGCAGGAGGACTGCTTGAGCCCAGGAGTTTGAGGCTGCAGTGAGCCATGATGGCACCACTATACTCCAACCTGGGTGACAGTGCAAGAGCTTGTCTAAAAAAAAAAAAAAAAGAGAGAAAGAAAGAAAAAATAAATAAATCATTGAGAAATCTTACTTGTGTATATCCATGCAAAAATCCTAAATAAAACATTAGCAATCCAGTAGCACAGTTTAAAAATAACACACACACACATACACACACACACACACACACACACACGCACTCCTTCCTGATCAAGGGGGCCTATTCCAGGAATTATAGGACAGTTTAGCATTAGAAAACCTGTTACTCATCATCATATTTATAGATGTAAAGAGATAAATGGTTGGTTATACTAAAAATGCATTTGACAAAATACAATGCATTTTTCATTAAAACTTCTAATAAAAATAAGACAAATACATACTTCCTTAATGTGATAAAATGATAAAATATATTTCTCTCAAACAAACAAAAAACCCCAGAAATATGTTTTATAGGGAAACACTAAAAGCGTGCCCTGCCGAGCCAGAAATTTTCCAGGGTGTCCACTACTGCCATTTTATCTACCATTGTATTGGAAGTACTAGTCAACACAGTTAGTTAAGTGATCAGAAATACGAAGTTTCAAAACTGGAAAGAATAGGTAAAATGATCACGTATTCTGCAGATGATACAATTGTGTACCTGGAAAACCTAAGACAATTCCCTTAAAGAAATCATGAAAAAAGAAAAATTTAGTAAGGGACAGGGTACAAAAATATTTAAAAAATTAATGGGATCCACCTACTTAAACAATAACCAGTTAGAGGATACACTGTATTTAAAACAATTATAAATAAAGTAACTAGGAATAAACTTAGTAAGAAATTTGCAAGATCTTTCTGAAGAAAACTTCAGTAAAATGCTACTGAGTGACATAAAAATGACTTGAATAAAGGAAAAATGTATCATGTTCTTGAAGAGGAAGACGAATATATAAAGATGCTAATTCTTCCTAAATAAATAAAAATAATATCTTTTGAAATAAACAAGTTCATTTCAATATCCCTATGAAAAGTAAACTGTGAGTAATAGCCAGGAAAAAATTGAAATAGAAGAATAGAGGAGAGGTATTCATTCCATCAAGGTACTGGATTACAAACTGACTGGTATTGGGATGACTGAATAATCGTTTAGGACAACAAGTTAACTTAATCAAGATCTCACACTCACATTAGGGTGACTTTTAAATGGATCAATGATTTTAATTTAAACATTAAACTATAAAAGTAATAGAAGAATCAATGCTACGACTCATTTATAACTGCAAAATTGGTCTTTCTAATCATGACACAAAACTCAGAGAAGAGACTCATCAAATTGACTATGTGGAAAAAAATGTACACAGCAAAAAAACTATCACAAGCTAAGAAAAAAGACCAACAATTAATGGGCAAAATTATTTGCAGTTTATCGAGTAAGCAACTAAATCTCTAGTAAATAAGGAGCTTCTAATAATTGAAGAAAAGACCACAATGCAGGAGGCAAATGGTGAAGGATAAGACTGGACTGCCTACAGAAAAGGAAATACAAACGGCTGGCGCTTACACACGTGAAAGGTTGCTCAGGCTCATTCAGAATAAATTCTTCCAAAAACAGTTTTTTGGTGTGAGCCTACTATGTGCCAAGAATATTGACCTTCTGGGTATAGAAGGCAGTGAATCCCTCCCCACTACTCCCCAGAAAAAAAAAAAAAGAAAGAAAGAGGCAGGGAATGGTGGCTCATGCCTGTAATCCCAGCACTTTGGGAGGCCGAGGCAGGTGGATCACTTGAGGTCAGGAGTTTAAGACCAGCCTGGCCAACATGGTGAAACCCCGTCTCTACTAAAAATACAGAACTTAGCCAGGTGTGGTGGCACACATCTGTGATCCCAGCTACTCAGGAGGCTGAGACAGAATTGCTTGAACCCAGGAGGCGGAGGTTGCAGTGAGCTGAGATCGCACCATTGCACTCTAGCCTGGGCGACAGAGTGAGACTCTGTCTCAAAAAAAAAAAAAAAAAAAAAAAAAAAAATTCCCAGAGAAGGTTCTACAGTATTTCTGTACCAGTGTTTGATCATCTTCATGGACAAGAAGCATAATTTTCTTGAATACACTAAATCTCCCTTTCTGATTTCTCTTCTTAAGTAGCAACCACCCAAACTTCTCTTTAAATTGTAGGTCACCTCGGCTGGGCGCGGTCACTCACACCTGTAATCCCAGCACTTTGGGAGGCTGAGGTGGGTGGATCACCTGAGGTTGGGAGTTCCAGACCAGCCTGATCAACATGGAGAAACCCCGTCTCTAGTAAAAATACAAAATTAGCCGGGCATGGTGGTGCATGCCTGTAATCCCAGCTACTCGGGAGGCTGAGGCAGGAGAATCACTTGAACCCGGGAGGCAGAGGTTGTGGTGAGCCAAGATGGCACCATTGCACTCTAGGCTGGGCAACAAGAGCGAAACTCTGTCTTAAAAAAAAAAATTATAGGTCACCTCAATTTCACCTGTGTTCAGGGCTTTGTATCAAAAGTAGAGATGTCTATGAAACAAAAACTCAATTCTCAATATAAAAGCTAGAAAAACAAGACCGTGGATCTTAGGAGAATGAACGAGATGTCATGATGTAGGAAATAAAGTTTCATCTTCCACCTCGAAGTCAGCTGAGGATAATATTAGAAGAATTTTAAAAAGTCATACAGTCATGAGCAGGAAGACAGATTAGAATTCATCTAATTTGTGACTTTGCTTCTTGGTAAAATTGTCCCTGAGATCAAAGACATCATTAATATTCTCCTTAGGGACATATTTCAACAAAATGTGATAGAATAAAATGTTTGCAGTCAGTTTCCAAACTAAGATTCTTTGCTTGCTACTTGACACTGGACTTTAAATTTGTTCTCTACGTTGTCTTCCTTAACTATGCTTCAGGTATTTGTGCCCAGGACGTGGGGTGAGGAGTTGAGAGAAATGGGTGAAAGGTGTTAGAGAGGTAGGCAGGAAAATTAGTGAGGGTAGAAAGTCCCAAAATCCTTTCTAGAGGTAGAGCATGCTTCTCTTGCTACTCTTACTACATTAGAATAAGCCTGTCTCTTTTTGCTATTTACTACATATAGACTAAAACAGTTCTCCTTCTTAAATAGCAGAGACCACGCAGAGGCTGCCTTTGGATCAAGTCCAGGAAGTGCTTCCCCCAATTCCAGAACTATAAGTTACTTCCACAGTGCATCAGTGAGATCAATATACACGGTGAGTGATGATTCGGCTTTATCGACTTCTTCATTATAAACACAGATAAATTCAAGGATGCACAGTTGATCCCAAACTCCATTTCTATCTGGTAGGAGGTAGAAAATGATGAATTTGCAAAGTCAGTTCATATGAATTAGATGACATGAAATAAAATGACTATTTTCTCTAAGATCTAGGAAGGATCAGTAGATGGATCTCTTAGTCTGTTAAACTAATCTGTTAGTCTTTTAAACTGCTCCTGAGATGATAGCTTATCCCTTGGCCCTGTTTTTCCGGAGTTGAGCCATAACTTAGTTAGACTATGAGAAAATAGAGAATGAGATGTGTAAAGCAAACTGCCTCCTCCACAATTATTGAAATAAAAACTTCTCTAAATGTAACATCTGATAATCTAAATTAATGCATATTGATTTCCATGAATTTAAGTCTAAAAGTATGGTCAAAAGTGTTGAAATTTTTTTTTATTCATTCATCAAATCTTTCTTAAGTAGCAATTATGTTAAAGGCACTAGGAATAGCCATTGTAGGGGGTATAAAAATTATAACAGGGAAGGGGAGGGAAACTAGCATTTATAAGCATCCCACTTATTGTGCTTTGTGGTAATTGGTTATATCATTTACTCTTCAGAATACGTGGGTGGTTTTTCAGTCAAGGTCCTATCAGGAAATTGATATTGCACTCAAATTGAATAATTTGAGATTAGTTTAATGAAGGGCATATTAAACTAGGGTGTGGGAAAACTAAAAGGGAGAATGCAGCACCCTGAGACTAGGAAGAGTGGGGCCCTGCTACTGTCTTTAAGACTAAAGGGGAAAGAAACCCAGAGAGACAGAGACAGAGACAGACATGCATGCATGTATACACACACACACACACACACAAACACACACACACAGTGTGTGAGGAGGGCTGTCCTACAGGAGCTGTGACATTTGGTCAAGGGACACTATAGCCTGGGGTCACCCTGAAAAGAGAGAATAACTATCCTAACTTTGGGAACTCTTTTACACTGTTGGTAGGAAGAGTATAGCCACTACAGAAAACAGTAGGATATTTCTCAAAAAACTTAAAATAGAACTACTCTTCCATTCAGCAATCCCGCTACTGGGTATCTACCCAAAGGAAAATAAATCACCTCAGGGTGTGGTGGCTCACATCTGTAATCCCAGCACTTTGGGAGGCTGAGGTGGGCAGGTTGCTGGAGCTCAGGGGTTCGAGACCAGCCTGAGCAACATGGTGAAACCCTGTCTCTACAAAAAATACAAAAATTAGCCAGGCGTGGTGACACGTGTCTGAAATCCCAGCTACTGGGGAGGCTGAGGCAGGAAGATCACTTGAGCCTGGGAAGTTGAGGCTGCAGTGAGCTGTGTTCATGCCATGCCACTGCGCTCTAGCTTGGGAGACAAAATGAGACCATGTCTTAAAAAACAAAAAAAGAAAGAAACGGAAAAAGAAAATAAATCACTATAGCAAAGGGATACCTATACTCACATGTTTATTGTAGCACTATTCACAATAGCAAAGATATGGAATGGACCTAAGTGCCCATCAACAGGTGAATGGATAAACAAATGTGGTGCATATATACAATGAAATATTTGCCATAAAAAATGAAATCGTGCCATATGCAGCAACTTGGATGGGACTGGAGGTCATTATCTCAAGTGAAGTAAGCCACGGACAAAAAGGCAAATATCACATGTTCTCCACTTGTAGGTGAGAGCTAAAAAAGTTGATCACATGGAAGTAGAGTGGAAAGATAGAGAACAGAGACTGGGAAAGGTAAGTTGTGGGGAGAGGATGAAGGGAAATGGATTAAAGTGAAGGGAAATGGGTTAAAGGGTACAAATGTACAGTCAGATAGAAGGAATACATTGAATGTGTGAAAGCACAGTAGCGTGACTATAATTACACAAAAATGTATTGTACTTGGGCGACAGATATCCTAAGTATTCTGACTTGATCACTAATCACTATGCATTATATACATAGAACAAAAGTTAACAGGTACCCCATAAATTTGTACAAACAAACCCCAACTTTGCCATCATCTCTTCCTCTAATGTGCTAGTACTCCCCCATTGACCAAACCCAGCCAGAGCCAGAGGGCACTGGAGCCCAGCGGAGGCAGTTATGTAAGTTGGCCTCCCAGGGCACCAAGTAGGGTGGAAACGAGTGGAGGGCAGATTGGGAGAGGCAGCCAAAGGGATCCAGCGTCGATGGCTCAATACGCCAAATTGAAACTTAGTGCCAAGAATCTGTCTGTGTTCAAGGTTAAAGAGAGGCAGGTCTTAGTACTTTGGGTCTCAGTGCAACCAGGGTCTGCTGTTGGCTCAGAAATTCCTAAGTAGCATATAGTGTAGTCATATGATTGTGTCAATGAAATATTACTGGATATTATTATGCTCGAGACCTCTCATTCTGGTTGTTCATTCTGGGATGCTTATCTTTGCATCTGAAGAGTTCCTCTTTCTTTGTTCATTCACCAAATGATTTTTGACCACCTACTGTATGTTGAGAATCCTACTCATTGGCAAAAACAACAATGTAGTCAATGGAGGAGTCAGATTAGAGAAGCCCTAATTCCAATAAAGACTCAAGTAACATGATAAAGGTGTTCACATGTGAAGAGAGGGACTTGGGGAGCACGATAGAGAGACTCCTCCTTCAGAGGACATGATGCCTAGCGTTTAGATGTTCAATAAGGATTTGTTGAGTAAATGAATAAATCCCAATTTCTATGTCTCTGTGTTAGAATCATGGAATGTTATAATTGAAAGAAACTGGCATGAACACTTACACTTTCATTTGATAGATATAGAAAATAAACCAAACATGCTGTAGCAGCAGAGGTTAGTGGAGACTCTAGGTTTCCTTGGTCCTAGGCTGAGAAGTTTGTTATCACTGAGCACAATGTCTTCTTAGGGATATAATGGGGGGTGTCATGGCGTAACACAGAATCAGTCCTGGGGTCACCCTGAAAAGGGAGAATAACTGTCCCAACTTTGGGAACTCTTATACACTGCTGGTAGGAATGTAAACTAGTATAGCCACTACAGAAAACAGTATGGAGATTTCTCAAAAAACTAAAAATAGAACTACTGTTCCATTTAGCAATCCCACTACTGGGTATCTACCCAAAGGAAAAGAAGTCATGGAAGGGTGTGGTGGCTCACGCCTGTAATCCCAGTACTTTGGGAGGCTGAGGCGGTCAGGTTGCCCTGAAAGAGCCCTGAATCAGAGACTTGAGAACATTTTTTGGTGGTCTTATAAGCCATAGTTTTAACAAACGGTTTTAAAATTGTTTTCTGCCCATTCTAATTCAAGTAACACTTAACAAAATTTTTGTGTGAATAATATTTTCTTGCTTTTATTTAAATCTTCAGAATATCCCCGGGCAAGTTGGACCGAGCCCTTTGAAGAATACTCAGAAGTTTATTTTGTGAATGAGTAGACTGGAAAATGTTTGTGTCCAGCTGAGGATGCACAGTTGGAAAGCAGGAGGAATGCTGACTGGTTGATGAAAACTAGCTTAAGAGCATTCATTCGCTCCATGAGATCAAGGGAACAAGAGTGTTTGCAAGAAGCCATTATGAGTCATGGAAAAAAAGATGATGAAACCCATGGAAACAGCAAGAGAATTCCCACTCTCTCTCTTCTTAAAAAAAATCTATCATTATACAGCACAGAGTGGAGCCAAGTTTTTAATTTTGAGGAACCAAAAACAGGATCAAATATGAAAACCCTTTCTTTTATTGGGCCACATTGTAGATGCTGATTTGATAATTGTTTCCTATGCAGATAGATTATTTTTATTTCACAGATTATTTAAAAGGGAAGAGGGCCTGGTTGTTTATTTATATGTTTGTTTGCATTTATGAATCTTGCTGCCTTTTAGCACCAGGATGTTTTTAAAAAAATTCAAAGAGGCCAGGCGCAGTGGCTCATGCCTGTAATCCCAGCACTTTGGGATTCTGAGGTGGGAGGATCATGAGGTCAAGGGATCGAGACCATCCTGGCCAACATGGTGAAACCCTGTCTCTACTAAAAACACAAAAATTAGCTGGGTGTGGTGGTGCGCGCCTGTAGTCCCAGCTCCTCAGGAGGCTGAGGCAGGAGAATCACTTGAACCTGGCAGGCAGAGTTTGCAGTGAACCAAGATCACGCCACTGCATTACAGCCTGGTGCAGAGCAAGACTCTGTCTCAAAAAAAAAAAAAAAAAAAAATCAAAGATACCAATAAAACGAATTTAAATAAAATACTTAAGTACTTTAATAGCAAAACGTTTCCTTTGATTCTTTTGGCTTTCATATTTGTTATAGCCATTGTTAATGTCAAGCATAATTATAGTTACTAATAACAATAAAAAAGCACATATAGACAAGAGGGCAGCTCTTGACATTAAAATATAAACATGCTTTTCCAGAGTTAAGGTGGAACTTAATCTCCTGGCCATCATTATATGGCTACAGTTGCTTATCTGAGTTGATTTACAGGATTAACTGCAGGGTCAGATTTAATAATCAGTGATGGGGTTGAGGACACGCTGCCCCAAAATATGGCACCTTGGCAAACTGAATTTTTTAAGCTGAAGGATTTGAGAAAATGGCAAATTTTAAGTGGAAATATTACTCTGACCTTCCTTTGCCACCTTTCTCCCCGGAAGCAGGTAATAAAACCTTTGCTGACCTTCCTCTAAAACACATCATAGGACCCTCATGTGAGAGGTGCTCTTCCTGTATCCACAGAGGAAAGGCAGTTCCCTATCTCCCAAGACACAGGGACCCAGAGGAGAATCTGAACAAACGGGCTCTGCTAAGTTTCCCTCCATTTATTCCTATTAGATCTAGTACTCTTTTTGCCTGATCATATTTCTGCAAGTGTCTCTCCATTCTTCATCAAACCTACTACTAAAAACACTCAAGTGTAACTGTTTCCTCTGATCTTCACTTCCTGAGGATGGCCCTTGTGTTACGTAGAACTTGTTTAAATAAACCACTATGTTTTTCTCTGGTTAATCTTTTATTATAAAGGATTCAGCTCTGAATTTAAAAGGGTAGGAGGAAAAGATATTTTTCCCTTCCTACATAAGCAATCTAACAGGCATGAATATTCCAGCACACAGAGGTTTTTTTTTCTGGTATTCGATTATTTTTTCTCTAGATCACAAATTGAGATTCTAATTGTAAAATTTAGAGATTGAAGATTTCGCAAACGGAATTACAGTAGTCTCACTTTTTCTGGTCTGTGTATCCCTAAATAATAGGTGAGTCAAACTCAGGTCTGGGATTTTTCAGCGGTAGTGAAGGGGCATTACACCCTGTGAGGTATGGATATTATGCAATTTCTCAGAAGCCAAATTATTGTTTCCCTACACACCACCTCTTATGTTCTGACCAATGACTTAGAAATCAATGAGAACTTGGCTTGCAAAAAGCAAACATAAAGCTTCGAGTCCAGTTAAATTGTGGCAGCTTTCAGGAAGCTAATTTCGCCGATTCATTAAAATAATCGACTTTTAACAGATACTGTGACGCACGCAAAGATGTAGATGGCCTACTCTGCCTACAGAGAATTTACACTCTGGCAGAGGAGACAGGATGTGTACACCACTGGTGAAAATACTGGACACAATACGGTAAGCTAAGTGTCAATTGCAGGATGCATGCTTCCTGCTGAGAATTTACAAGCCAATAGGATCACTTCCAGTTGGGAGGAATTAGGGCAGGCTTTTGAGCAGGGTTTTGAAGATGGCTTTTCCTGATTCTCAGAATCACCAAACCTCTCAAATAAACACGTTCTCAGCCCCCATAGCCCTTTTCATACCTGTTACTTTGTCATTATTTTTGTGGTTACGAATTAATGTCTGTCTTCCCCTCTAGACTGGAAGCTGCATGAGGACAGGGAACATGTCTGGTTCTGCTCACCATAAAATCCCCAGCAGCTGGTAAGGTGTTTGGCTCACAGTAGGTTCTTTGTAAATATTTGTTGGGTAAAGCACTAGGCCGGGTGCAGTGGCTCACACCTGTAATCCCAGCACTGTGAGAGGCAAAGGCAGGAGGATTGCTTGAGGCCAGGAGTGTGAGGCTGCAGTGAGCTATGGTTGTACCACCGCACTCCAACCTAGGCAACAGAGTGAGACCCTGTCTCTGAAAAATTAAGAAGACCTATTTATCGAGCCTTCACTCTACACCTGGCATGGGCCCCGTGTACTCTCATTTATTCCTCACAATGATGCCTTGAAACAGGTGTCATTCTCTCTGAGGAAGCTGAGGCCAAGTGAAGCTCACCAATCCTATTGATTGATATTCTTCAGTCTTAGGTTGGTCAGGCTGCAAAACCTGTGCAGCTTCTACAATCTGCCTTGTGGGGTAGAGACAGGGCAAAGGGAGCAAAATGGATGGAGGGCGTGCCTGAGAGAAGTGGCTGCGGCTGAGAGCACTGTCAAAGATGTCTTCAAGGAGCGCAAGGAGGCTGGGTGAACTGGGCCCTGGAAGAAGACATCTCACTGGAGTTGTTATGTGGTCACTGGTTCTGTGTGCCTCCCCTAGCCTGGTAGTTCTGTCCCCCTCCCCATACAACTGGCCCCAGTAAAAACCAACCAGTGGTCCTTGGTGCCTGGTATGATTGAAGGCTTCCCATTGACACCACTAGCTTTTCGTGTACCCTGCTTTCCAGTTGGTTCCAAACTTGACCTTGACCCACCCATACCCCCTCCCTATGACCTGTGGCTTAGTCCTGTGTTCGTGGCTCTCACTGCAGGCTTTCCTCCCCAGCTGTAAGCCACACTCACCTCCTTGACCTCTGTGTCCTGCTAAGCAGCCAGGTCCCTAGCCTGCCTTTCAAAGGATTCAGGTGTAGATTGAAGAGGGAGAGAGGAAACATGGCACCATGCAGGAGTCTTTCAGTCATTAAGCACACAGTGGAATTAGAGTGACAAAAAGAAGAGATAGAAGAGAGGATATGGATGGAGAATTGGTGGTGCTTGGTAAGTGATTTGATGCAGGGGTGATAGGGTAGGCAGAGAAAGGAGGAGAGATGAGACACACATGACAACCTTCCAGACTCCCGTGTGCAGAAAATAAATATTGCCCAAACTTATAGCTAGTTTTTAGTTTCTAGAAGAATTTTTATTTTCCAGGGGATTTCTACCAAACTCTGTACTTTCATCCTAGCCTGAAGTTGGACTCTTCCCTCTCCTATACTTAGTCATCCCTGGATGAAATAGTCATTCAGACCACCTTCTTTTCCCTGCCTTTTTAATGATTGTTACATTTGCCCTTTCCTTTCATCTTTATAAATCCTTTACACGAAAGGCAGATAGGCCACCTTGTCCATGAAGTTTCCCCTGCTCACCCCAGATGGAACAATGTCTGTTGTTTCTGTGTTTTTCTAGGATTTAGTCCTCTTATCATGGTACTTCTCACATCTTGCCTTGTACCACAGCTAGTTGTATTCATTTCTCTTTCCCTACCAGACTGTGAGTGAGAGAGGGAACCATATCATCTCCAGCTTCTGAGTCTCTGATGATAGGTACTCACTTCTCTCCAACCTGCTTCTCCCAAGCAATAGTCATCTGGGTTAATGGAGTTAGCCAGATGTTGGCTGTAGATTCAGGTTATCTGTAAGGGGATGGAATTGGAGGCCCACACATCAGGGCCTTCTAGCCCAAGGATAATGTTCTTTTATAAACTTGGGGGCAGGTGTATGAGAGTTCATTGGGTCACAATTCTATATAGCTTATATATATTGTAAAATGAACTTTAGTACCTACTTAATATTTAGTAAAATAAAATTCAAAAATAGACAAATATTGTACTGAATTGCATCCATCCTTACCTTCTCCTTCTGTCAGTAGAGAACTCCTGTCTGTTTCTCTCTCTCTGAACTATCTTCCTTTCCCTTTCTGTCAAACATTGTGGAATAAAGACTTGGACTCAATTTTCTGACACAGTTTATTCTCATAATTTGACTCCATTTACTTCCTTCTCTGTCTCCTTGTCTATTTTACTTCTTTTTCTGTCTACATGTTTCTTCACCATCTCCAACTATTTGTACTATTATGATGGATGGCAATCTTAGGATAATGAGTGGAAAGGAGTTCTTAAGTTTTGAAAATTTAAGTAAGGTGTATTACCAGATTAACCTAGAGCCATGAAAACTAAAATATACATTTAAAAAATCTTCTGTGAACTGGGAATTATGTACTTTGGTAAAGGTTCTGAATAGACTTCTTTTTTTTAAAAGAAGACATAAGTATATGAAAAAATGTTCAACATCACTAATCATCAGGGAAATATAAATCAAAACCATGCTGGGGTATCATCTCACTCCAAGTCAAATGGCCATCCTCAAAAAGACAAAAAATAACATAAATGCTGGAGAGGATGCAGAGAAGAGGAAACTCCTGTGCACTGTTGGTGAGAATGTAAATTAGTACAGCCATTATGAAAAATAGTACGAAAGTTTCTTAAAAAACTAAAAATAGAACTACCACACGATCCAGCAGTGCTATTACTGGGTATTTATCCAAAGGAAAGGAAATCAATATATCCAAGAACTACCTGCACCTCAGTGTTTATTACAGCCCTATTCAAAGTAGCCCAAATATGAAACCAACCTACAGATCCATCAATGGATGAATGAATAAAGAGAATGTGGTACATATATGTATTAGTCTGTTTTCACACTGCTAATAAAGACATACCCAAGACTGGGTAGTTTATAAAGAAAAAGAGGTTTAATGGACTCATAGTTCCACATGGCTGGGGAGGCCTCACAATCATGGCAGAAGGTGAAAGCCATGTCTTACATGGCGGCAGGCAAGAGAGAATAAGAGCCAAGCAAAATGAGTTTCCCCTTATAAAACCATCAGATCTCATGAGACTGACTTACTACCATGACAATAGTATGGGGGAAATCGCCCTCCTGATTCAATGATCTTCCACTGGGTCCCTCCCCACCATGGGAGCTACAATTCAAGATGAGATTTGGGTGGGGACACAGCCAAACCATATCAGTATAAACAATGGAATACCATTCAGCCACACACACACACACAAATAAAATTCTGTCATTCACAGCAACATGGATGAGCCTGGAGGACATCATGTTAAGGGAAACAAGCCAGATGTAGAAAGATAAATACCAAATGTTCTCACTCATGCAAAAGCTAAAAAAAAACTAGCTTGTAGAAGTAGAGAGTAGAATTGTAGTTATTAGAGGTTGGGAAGGGTAGAGAGAGGGAAGGATAGGGAGAGATTGGTTAATGGTTAAAAAATTACAGAGAGGAAGTCACTGTATAGTCACTACAGGATGGCTATAGTTAACAAAACAGTATTGCATATTTCAAAATAGGTAGAAAAGAGGATTGTGAGGGTTCCCAACACAAATAAATGATAAATGTTTGAGGTGATGGACATGCTAATTACTCTGATTTAATCATTACACATGTATCAAAATATTACTCTATATCCCACAAATATGTGCAATTATTACATGTCAACTAAAAAAAGATAATTCTTCTGCAAATAGTAGAAGGTCCAAGTGAAAGTGATTTAAATGATGAGGAGATTTATTATGTTATCTAATGGGAAATTCTAAATAGGGTGCTTCCAGAGTTGCTTAATTCAAGACTCATCATCAAGCACTCAAGTTCTTTCTTCTCTTTCCTCTTTGCCATCTTCAGATTGTTGGTGTTTGTGTTCATGCTTCCCTTCTCATGGTTTCAAGGAAAGATTATATTAAATGGTGGGGCCATAGCAGCAACAATCATCACATCTTTTTTTTTTTTTTTGAGATGGAGTCTTGCTCTGTCGCCCAGGCTGGAGTACAGTGGCGCGACCTCAGCTCACTGTCACCTCCGCCTCTGGGGTTCAAGCAATTCTCCTGCCTCAGCCTCTCAAGTAGTTGGGATTACAGGCACCCACCACCACTCCTGGCTAATTTTTGTATTTTTAGTAGAGACGGGGTTTCGCCATGTTGGCCAGGCTGGTCTTGAACTCCTGACCTCGTGATCCACCCGCCTTGGCCTCCCAAAGTGCTGGGATTATAGGCATGAGCCACCGCACCCAGCCCAATCATCGTATCTTTACACCTTGATTTTTCTTTTTTAGTTACCTAGGCTGGTCTCGGACTCGTGGGCTCAAACTATACTCCTGCCTCAGCCTCTTGAGTAGCTTGGATTACAGGCATGAGCCACCACACCTATAGCCACAATGTCCTCTATCCAAGTGAAGAAACCTTTACAAGGAGTCTCCTCCATCCCCAGCAGATTTATTCTCATGTCAGAGCATCTAGAGCAAGGTCACAGAGCTACCCTTAAACCACCCAATGGCAGGGGGTATGGGACCATCATGACTAATTACAACCAATCAGGATTAACCTGATTCTCAAGTTGGGGAGGAGAATTGACCATCAGAATAAAAACAGGGCTCTGTAAACACGGAAGAAGAGGAAAATGACTCTTGGGTGCCTCTGTGAATGTTCCTTCTCACATCCAAGGAGATGTGCAAAGACAGAAACAATTTTTTTTTTTTTTGAAATGGAGTCATGCTCCGTCGCCCAGAGCTGGAGTGCAGTGGCATGGTCTTGGCTCACTGCAACCTCCCCGTCCTGGGTTCAAGCTATTCTCCTGCCTCAGCCTCCCAAGTAGCTGGGATTACAGGTGAGCGCCACCATGCCCAGCTAGTTTTTGTATTTTTAGTAGAGACGGGGTTTCACCATGTTGGCCAGGCTGGTCTCAAACTCCTGCCCTTGTGATCTGCCCGGCTTGGCCTCCCAAAGTGCTGGGATTACAGGTGTGAGCCACTGTGCCCAGCCGAGAGAAACATTTAGAACAAAACACAGACTTGTGTTTTTTCCCCCCAGAACAATCTCTTGAGGCATGCGAAGGCTGTTCTGCAAGCATGTGTCATTGTCTAACATTTTGTGATGGGTGGTCACATCTGTGTATGGATACAGTGTTGTCATGGGGCCAATATCTCTATCCAAAGTTACATCTGTTTTCAGATGGGCTGTGAAAATAGTCCATCGATTTTGACTTAGAAAAGTTCTATTAATGTGTGGTATCACAAAGACAGACACAACATTTGTAGTGAAGAGCTGCCCAGTAGTCAGTGCACTTCTCATAATCATACCCCAATGTCCTCTTAGGGAATCACCTCTCACAGGTTGAACAATGTCTTGGTGGGACTATTAATCAAGGGTTCTTGCCCACCAGCCAATGAGTGGCATGTGACTTGAGCTAGACTAATTTGACCCTCTATCTTAGGACTTTGAGTTTTGGATTCAGTGAGGTAAGGGTGGAAAAAATGAAGCTCATTCACTTCAGTAACATAGTTCAGTTATTCCTGCCTCTAAACCCCAAACACATCCCCTATCCTCACCAAACTGCCTTGGTTCTAGTACTAGTCTGTTCTCATGCTGCTAATGAAGACATACCCGAGACTGGGCAATTTATAAAGGAAAGAGGTTTAATGGACTCACAGTTTTCCGTGGCTGGGGGGGGCCTAACAATCATGGCAGAAAGTGAAGGAGGAGCAAAGTCACGTCTTACATGGCGGCAGGCAAGAAAGTGTGTGCAGGGGAAATCCCCTTACTAAAACTATCAGATTCGTGAGACTTATTCACTATCACAAGAACAGCATGGAAAAGACCTGCTCCCATGATTCAATTATCTCCCACTGGGTCCCTCCCATGACATGTAGGAATTATGGGAGCTACAATTCAAGATGAGAGTTGAGTGGGTACACAGCCAAACCACATCAGTTCTGAACCTGGTTCTCCAGGCTTCCCTTTGATTCTGTGGGCTACCAGTGATATTCTTGCAAAAATATCCTTTTCCCGCGTACGTTTCCAGAGTTAGTTTCTGTTGCCTGCTGGATACATTTAACATCTATTTTATTTTATAAAGTCATAGGATGTCAGAGCTGTAAGAAATCTTATAGATCTAGTTCATCTCCCTCATTTTACAGCTGAGGAAGCTGATGCCCCCAGCGGTTGAGGGTTTCACCCAAGATCACATCACAGAGGTTGTCAATGATGGAACTTGGAAAGAAGACAAGGTCTCCTTTCCCTAGGGTAGTGCAGGCTGCTTTTTTCCCCTAAGTCTCTTTTTAGTGTAAAGCACAACTTCTCTTCTTTTTCTCTCTGTGTGTGTTTATCTGCAATATTTAATAGGAGATAGTGACTTTAAAATCCTCATTTCCCCCCCAGACTGACAGTTTGCTTTGTATAGTTTAAAGGCTTGTTTCAGAGATAGACCTCTCAGGGACTTGGTATCTGGCAAAGACAGGCATTAGTTTATGTCCCTATATGGAGCCTTGCTTCTTTCCAGCTATCTGTAAATGTTTATTCTCTTACATGAAATTCATGTTTGGAAAGAAAGTGGTTTGCTCTAGGGAAACATATGGGCTAGAGTTCTGAAAGTGATTATCTACCATTTCTAAGTCTGCCCCTTGTAAGCTGTGTATATTGGGAAAGGATCTCCCTTCACTCACACTAAAGGATATATAGCTGCTCTACATTTTCAGCTGCTTTAGGGTAGCCATAGCTCATGCAACCACTGTAAAAAATAGCCCAAGGTTGGGATAGGAGTTTGGAAGGGAATTTAGAACAGTATTGACTATGTGCCAGGTACCATATGAAGCACCTAGCATGTATTAATTAATGAATTAATATTCTCCTCACAAGGTTAGGAGGTAAGTACCATTATTATTACCCCTTTTTATAAGTGAAGAATTAAGTCAAAGAGAGGTTAAGAAACTTGTTCAAGGTCACACAGCTTTTAAGTGGCAGGATTGAAATTCAAACCCAGGCAGTCTAGTTTTAAAGTCTGTGCTCTTAACCCACTGCTCTGTTGCATCTTAATCGCTGAATCATGGAGGTAAAAGTGAATCATTTCTGTTGAACTCCCAACCTCAAGTGATTCTCCTGCCTCAGCCTCCCAAAGTGCTGAGATAATAAGTGTGAGCTACCTTGCTTGGCTATGATCTTTTTCTTAGGAAAAAAAGATTGTTCAATACAGACAAATACCTTTTCATAAACACTTCTAGTAGAGAGTTCTGTATTGCGAATCTCTTGATCTCAACAATGCTTGGAAGGTCTACTTATAAACCGTACTCTACCACAAGTTCGCTACACAACAAACATGCTCTCATCTGTACCCATGTAACAAAGTACCTCAAAGAACTCAATTATTTGGTAGTTGTGAGAAGAATTGCACAGAATTAAGCTTTTTGCTTTGGATGCTCATAAAATAGGATCAATAAGCAATGTGTTAATTGATTTTTTAAGAGAAATTCTTTTAAGCCATGTCGAGATCCTCTGTGGTTAAAAAAAAAAAAAAAATTAGTTACAATACAAAAACACCCAAGCAATGATAAGAAAAAGTCATGGACTGAGTCTCTGGAAAGTCCCCTTTCCCCTTGCTGGGTTCAAAACACGTTTTTCTACTTGAAATTTCTTGTCTACAGAGAGAAAGGAAATCATCTCTGTTCCATTTTTATTTTGGCAAACAATGTAGGGCTTCTTTTTAAGCAATTTAGCATTACAAAGTTCCAGTATGTCAAACAAAACAACAGTGCTTAACGATTACATCACAGTGAGATATTTTTCTTGTGTTAGTCTTTATTCAGTGTAGACAATTCAGTAGGAAAAAAAGGATACTTAAAAAATTGTCAGCCGGGCACAGTGGCTCATGCCTGTAATCCCAGCACTTTGAGAGGCTGAGGCGGGTGATCACCTGAGGTCAGGAGTTTGAGACCAGCCTGGCCGACATGGCGAAACCCCATCTCTATTAAAAATACAAAAATCAGCCAAGCGTGGTAGCAGGCGCCTGTAATCCTAGCTACTCAGGAGTCTGAGGCAGGAGGATCATTTGAACCCAGGAAGCGGAGGTTGCAGTGAGCCGAGATTGTGCCACTGTACTCCAGCCTGGGTGACAGAGCAAGACTCCATCTCAAAACAAAACAAAGCAAAACAAAACAAAAATTGTCTACTTTATTTCTACTAACTTTATTCTGACAATTAGACTCATGCTAGAAGAAAAGTTCTCCAGATTTAGTAATTGTTGCTTCTTTACAGAAGAATTAGATCAACGTACGCAAAAAAGACCTCTTTCAATGACATGTTTTAGTGCCGGCAGTTTCATCAGAGACAGAAATCACACAGGATGTCTTCTAGAGACTCTGCTGGTTGGGATGGGATGGATGGGGAAGCAGGCGCAGTAGGGAGGTGTGTTAACCTATTCTCGTATTACTATAAAGATATATCTGAGACTGGGTAATTTATAAAGAAAAGAGGTTTAATTAGCTCATGGTTCTGCAGGCTGTATGGGAAGTACAGTGGCTTCTGCTTCTGGGGAGGCCTCAGGAAACTTACAATCACGACAGAAGGTGAAGGGGAAGTGGGTGTCTTACACGGCAAAAGCAGGAGCAAGAGATGGGGGGCGGTTAAACAACCAGATCTCGGGAGAACTCACTCGCTATCATGAGAACAACACCAAGAGGATGATGCAAAACCATTCATGAGAACTCTGCCCCATGATCCAATCACCTCCCAGCAGGCCTCACCTCCAACACTGGGGATTACAATTCAACATGAGATTTGGGTAGGGACACGGGTACAAACCATATCAGGAGGTGACAGAAGAGAAGATTAGATATTTGAAAAAAAGCTCGGAGTCGTAAGGAAAATGAGTACTTAGACAAAAGGATTTCTTAACAAAGCAAATTTCCTTCTGTGCAGAGGGGACCTTCTTGTTTGGCTAGTCGCTATGAGAGCACACAGAACAAAGGAGAGTGAAAGTTTTTATTCTTGATGTAAATTTTGCCCTTGTGCTCTTTTTTTATTGGCTGGGGTCAGATTGCACAATCTAAGCTAGACTTGATTGGCTAAACATTTGAACTTTTTCTTAGATAAGGTGGGTTTGTAAGGGAGAGAGGGGAAAGGGGGAAGAGGTGGTCTGCGGTGAGCTAAAGAGCTAGTTTTCTTCTTAAGGAAAGGAATGTGATTTAATGGTGACTCTAGTATAATTAACAGTAGATTATGTGACTTCTCTTGGGACCCAGTTGTATGAGCCCTGAATATGTAGGTCTCCCTTCCCTGGGGACCCAGGTTGGCCCACCTGTACCCCAAACAAGCTAGTTTTTTACCTGTTTAACCCCAACACAATAGTTGAGCAGCGTGGAGACTCCTCCATCACCTCAGCACCCAGACCTCGTTTATTAGCAGTTTTTCCAGTGAAATTTAATGGAAATTTATTACATATTAAAGCCCGGGATGGTCTCCCTTTTGATATTAACATGTTGCTGAAGCAAAGGTCTTTTATTTATCCATCCATTTGTTAATATGACACCTAGCATATACCAGGCACAGTCCGATACCAGAGACAGGTGACCCAAACAATTACAATGTAGTTTGGACAGGGGTAGGCTGGGTCTTAACTCCTTGAGGGACTAGTTTTATCCATCTCTAAGTTCCTAGTACCAAGCCATGTACCTGACATAAAAATTACCCAGTAAGTGTTGACTCAATGAATGGAGCACTGTGGCAGCCCAGAAAAGGGGCACCTGAATCTAGGTGGAAGATGGAAGTAAGGGAAGACTTCCTGGAGGAGGAGACACATTTGATAGGGATAAGTTAAATGATCCTTACAGTAGGATTAGTTAAAAGATAAGTTGGCTGTGGTGAAGGGAACACATATAAAGCTACTTCATCAGTGATGTACAGAAAATGAAGCCCTAATTCGAGGTCTACACGTCCTCCAACACTCACACACACACACACTCACATGCACATGACATGTGGGCTCCTGACATTCAGGAGACAGAAGTATACTTTTTTTGCAAATAATAACTATGCCATTCTCTATTCCAAGGACATTTCAGTCATTAATGTGAGAGAGGTGAGCTTTGTTATGTTTGAGAATGTCAGAGTTCTGTAGGAGAAAATTGACAACACTGTGATCTATTGCAATATTTTTACACTATATAATTTGAGCTTGTAACTACTTAGCCAATTAAAGATTAAGCAGGTAGTCCTTAAATACTACTGCACAGCTGAAAGAATGATTTATTACATTGGAATACAGGGAAGCCAGATTGCATTCAAAGAAAATCACTATGGGTAGCTGTTAATCAGTGCTCTGAAACCAGGCTTCCCTGTTCAACCTGAAGAAAAGCTGCTCCTTAAATCCCTCTCTTGGAGAGTTCCAATGCATAATAACAAAGTCCTGATGGTTAAGGAAAACAAGTTTATTAA
The DNA here is from genome assembly GCF_000001405.40 of Homo sapiens. Taxonomy (NCBI): domain Eukaryota; kingdom Metazoa; phylum Chordata; class Mammalia; order Primates; family Hominidae; genus Homo; species Homo sapiens. The sequence goes on along the minus strand of NC_000004.12, from coordinate 38,954,763 downwards.
TGGCTGAGCAAACACATTTTCTAGAAAAATCCTTTGTGTTTTCTCTCCAGTTTTCCCTAAAAACCAGTTCTTGAATCACCACAGTAAGAATACTGAGACATAGGAGGACATGTGGAATTTTTTTGTTTTTGTTGTTTGTTTGTTTGTTTTGTTTTGAGATGGAGTCTCTGTTGCCCAGGCTGGAGTGCAGCTGCGTGGCTCACTGCAACCTCCACAAACCAAATTCAAGCAATTCACCTGCCTCAGCCTCAGAGTAGCTGGGATTACAGGTGCGTGCCACCACACCTGGCTAATTTTTTGTATTTTTGGTAGAGATGGGGTTTCATCATGTTAGCCAGGCTGCTCTTAAACTCCTGAACTTGTGATCCACCTGCCTGGCCTCCCAAAGTGCTGGGATTACAGGAGTGAGCCACCATGCCTGGCTGACATGTGGAATTTCATTTACTCTTCTGGGGTGGTGCCACAGCCAGATTAAAAAAACAATCTAGCCAAAGATAAATTCCATTAAAGCCCAGTTTCATTTGTGCTAATGATGCTATGCTGATTTTACAAACACATTGGTCTGTGACATCAATATTAGTGAATCTTTCAATTCATATGAGTCCCTCATGGTCTCTAATCAATGCGTAGTAGTAGCTGCATGAGTTAAATTGCCACTATATAGAGGTAAGAAGGCTCATGGTGCAAGGGATAACTCGTGGGGATTTTGGAGGATTTTACACTTGAGTCTTGTGGGAGGTGCCTGAAAAGATAGGCAGGGGCCGGACCATAAAAGGGCCTTGTTTGGGCATTTTCCTGAATGCTGGGGTGAGCCAGTGAAGGTTTGAAACAGAAGAATAACCAGATTTGCACCTTCTGAGAGACTATGCTGACACTAATGTCATGGGTGGCTTGGAAGGGAACTGAGACCTGTGCTGAGACCAGGCTGGTCTATCATGCTAGTTTGCAGGAAGGATGAGAAGAAAGTGAAGCAAGACCAAGGCAATGGGATGGAGGAAGGTACACAAAGGAGTAGTTAATAGCACTTGGAAACTGACTGTGTGTTGAGGGTGAGGAAAGGCAACAATCTATGGCCATAGCTGGGCTTCTGGCAGAGGCCACACTACACATCCAGCTCAGATAGAGAATAAGAGGAGGGGGAAAGAGGATGAATTCAATTTGGATGTGTTTCGATTAAGTTTAGTGGGACACTTAAATACTGATGAACGGGGGTCTGGTGGGAAGTTGATGATAAAGCTGGAATTCAAGAGTGATGTCTGAGCTCCATGTAGAAATTTGAATGTCACCAGTGCATAGTGGGTGGTTGCCGAAGCCATAGATATATCCAGTGGATTGCTTTGCTCAAGCTCATATATAATTTTGGATGAAAGAAGCACAAAGTAAATTTCAAATTGAACCTTATTTTACTTGGGAAAGTGTACAACAATTGTAATAAATGTTTGTGGACTGACTGGATGAACATAAGGATAGAGAGGTGATTAAATGAATAAAAAGTATGAGTTCATGAAAATCAGTAGATGTTCTCTTTTACTTTATCTCATGACTTATTTCCATTTTAGCTCTGGCATGGAAAAAAAGGCAACATTTGGATGCAATACACAAAGATCTTTAAAAATCTGTGAGCCTTTTTTTTTTAATTTTAGAAATAGGGTTTCCCTCTGTTCCCCAGGCTGGAATTCAGTGGTACGATCATAGCTTACTGCAGCCTCGAACTGCTGGGCTCCAGCGATCCTCTCGTCTCAGCCTCCCACAGTATTGGGGCTATAGGCGTGAGCCACTGTGCCTAGCTGCTTTTCATTTCTAAAGCCTACTAATTTCAGACCATTTCATATGTGTTATTCCTATTTGGTATTGATGCCCTAGTAGTGGCCGATCAACTGCTTCCTTTGCAGCAAACTCAGATGGAGATGACCAGCAAGTGACAGACCTGTTCAGCAAGCAAACATATTATTTTGCACATGACTTCCCTTGAATAAATGTGAGCCTCCACTCTGCAATCCTTGCCGGAGACCAAGTGGTTTTAAAATAGAGACAGATGTGTGATACCACGCATTGGCTTGTAACACCCGTATCTTATACAAATGGCCACACTGTAGTCCCAGGGTCTGCAGAACAGACCAAGACTCCTTAGTAATCGATCACATCACTATCAAGGCAGCAAACAGGGAAGGGTGGAAACATGCCTTCCGCTGTCATTGATGGAAAATTGTACCTTGACAGGGAAAGGTAGTTCGGAGCCTTCTTGAATCATTGAGGAACTGCTTAAAATGCACATTTGTGGTCTAAAATGTCCAAAATATCTTAACACCTCACAACAGGCACCGAATGGTTTGGGCAATATCAGGTAAATTATGAATCCATTTTGTAGTTTGGGAAGGTCATTAGGACACAGATTCATTATCTGCTGAGACTTTTTTGTTGCTTTCCATTTATTACTCTCCTTTGAGTGAAATGGAGCTGTGAGAGCAGAGCAGAGACCTCAGTTCACTCAGCCCTGACACATTACTGGTGTCTATAATTTCACCATAAATTTGGAGAGGGAGAGACAGAAATTGCAAATGCAGGGATTTAAATCCCCTTGTGCTGCATTTGTTAAGCTGAGCAGATTGTAAACTGCCTCTTGCAAATACGATATGCATCTGGGCATCAAGCTAATAATTCTGAACCACAGAATCATTCATTTGTGTGATGCTTCCCTCCAGAAGTTTCTGAAATTGCTTCTGTAGTCATTATGTATCCCAGAGCTGTTCAGTTTTAGTCTGAGGATTAGAGAGACGATCTGGCTAAGGAAGTGAGAGGCCTTTTTCAATGAGATGGAAATGACAAATTTTTCTGTGTACATCATCACAATCTTTACAAATTATGCATTTGAAGTACTTGGTTTGGGCTTTTCTGAGGAAAGCAAGGAGAGATGTGTAGAGTCATCAACTTTGTGTTAGAAACTTACAGGCACATCGATGACAAATAAATTCAAATCATTTAGACACTCTCATGGACACTTCTGGCTCTTCTAGTGAAAAACAATCTGTGTGTTTTTACACTTTCTGTCTCTGGCAGGGCCCTATCCTCTTACCTCCCTGATCAGAAGCAATTTCTTTTGCTTCCTGTTTTGATTTCTAAAAATTTAGTTACATAAGTATTCCATTAATATATTTCATTATACAAACATAATTATTGCAAATAACATTGCAGTCCCTTTTGATTATTGTGAAATTCTGATGTTTTCCCCCACCTATGGCACCCCCTTTCACTTCTGGTTATAAGCAATGTTAACAGTTTCATGTGTATCCTTCCGGATCTTCTAGGGGTGTGTGTGTGTGTGTGTGTGTGTGTGTACAAAGATGTTATTGTAGACAAATATCATACTACAGCTTCTTTTTTTTTTCACTCAATTACACATCTTGGAGCTGTCACTACAGGGATCTATTCCATTCTTTTCATTTGTTTTTACTGTTGCATAATATTCCAGAGTATTTGTGCACCACCATTAACTTCTTCAGGGCTTCTGAATTTTCACTGCAGTCTACCTTACCCTGAAGAATCTTGAAAGACCCCTCAAACAGCAAATTCTTCAAAGTAAAAAAAGAGTACATCGTATTAATTTTACTGGGAAAAAGCTTACTCATTTCTAAGCTCCCCAATCATAATCATTAATGCTATACCACCAAATACCATTAAAATGAGCACCATTACTTCACAGTTAACATTTCCTAATGTAACTCAACCAGATATTTTCCCACAAATTACCCTATAGTACAGCTATTTCCGTTCTCTCATTCAGCGTTTACAGATTATACACAGAAGACTTTGACCTATTTGTTAATTCAACAAATCATTATTGAGCACCGACTATTTGCCAAGCACTGCTGTGGGTGTTAGGAATATGGTAACAAACAGAACACAGAAAAATCCCTCCTTTCCTGGAATCTACATCCTCGTGCAAGGCAGATAACAGAAAAATCGGTAGGATATAAAGGATGTTAGACAGTGGTATGTCCTGAAGAGAAAAAAATACGAAGGTGGGAAAGGTGGTTTATTTAGAAGGTGGTTTTTGAATAAACACCTTCAAGAAGCGAGGGAGGAAGCCGCGCGGATGTCTGGGGGAGAAGCCTTCCTGATCAAGATACCCTGTGGGAACAAATGATTTTTTCTGACAGAGAAATGGCCGGGGTCTTTCTGTCCTGCAGTTCATCATTTGGGTTCTTGTCCTTTATCACTTCCTACCAGTGGAATTTTTTTCCCAAGGAGAGTTGACTAGAGCTCTCCTGCAGAAATGTCGAAAGGCGATCATATTTTTCAATGAGAAATGAATCACTCAACATACAAGGTTTATAACATGAGGGAGACCAGGGCACATAGGGCACTCATTTTCTCCTGGGATCAGGGGTGCTGGCAGGAGAAATGTGGTTGGCTCTCTGACAGAAAGATTTGTGGAGCAATTTGTCTCTGCTTGAGGCCACAGGACAGAGAGCAGGGAGGGGGAGGCCAAATATTAGCTGAAAGAAGGGAACTCAGACCCAGGAAAAAATGAGCAAATTTTCTTCTTTATGACTGGGTATCTGCTTCTCCATGGCTATGTTTAGCATTCTACATACTGCTTGGATATAAATCCCAGCTTTTCTAATTCTTAGTCGGATAATCATAGGCAGATCACTCAATCTCTCTGAGCTTCATTTTCCATCTGTAAAATGGAAATGATAATAATAGTAGCTATCTCCTAAGGTTGATATGGAGGATTAAATGAGATTGTAGAGGTAGAGACTGTGTACTTTGTGTCTCAAACATAGCGACTGATCAGTAAGTATGCCATCATCATCACATCACTATCACCACCACCATGATCATTAGTTCCTGAGCTTAACAGGAAACAAGTTCAGGGGTAGAAAGGCATTATTCAGTACTTCTTTAAACATCAATCAGTGTCTCACAGAGCTTGGTACTGAAGATTCAGCTTAAAGGCTGTCTAGATAAGTAAACAAACCCCACGCTTTGGGAAGGTAGGAGAGGGTTAAGGATTTTCAGGAAGGTGGTTATGTACAAATGGGCTTCCTTGGCACCAGAGAAGGGGAAGGGAGAAGGAAATGGAGACGTTTTTGTGATATCAAAGTCACCTGTGAGACAGGATGCTGAGTCGATGATGACCAGGAAACTGCTTGATGTAAACGTCTGTGAAATGATGAAGAGGCCTGTGGTGAGAACCACCCAGAGGCCAAATAACCTCATGTGGCTGCATTCTGTGTCTCTTTAGTCTCAGTTTGTTCTCAGTTGCATGGAAACAACCAAAGTTGACAACCAAATCTTTCAGCTACAAATCTACCTCACAGCTCAAATCTACCTTAGAGCTAATCTGAGCGTGCAGGTGTCTCTAAAAATAACCATGTTACATTCGTTTTGTTGGGAGGCTCTGTCTAATAGTTAAAAATGCTCGCTAGCTAGTCAGGCTGAACTGACCTGAGTTTGAATCCTGGCTCTTTTTTTTTTTTTTTTTTTACTAGTTGTGTAATTCTGGACAAGGTAGATAATGTCTCTGGGTCTCAATGTTCTCATTTGTGCAGGGACATGATAATATCTACCTAATAGGGTGATTACGGAGATGAAGCGGGATAATGCAAATAAAATACTCAGCACAGTGCCCAGCACACAATAAATGCATGTTGGTGATTATGACCGAATCTTTTGTATGAATTGTTTTCTGGTTAATGGGGAAATAAGACAAAAAAATGTAGAGGAAGAGAAGGGAAATAAGAGATATGGAAAAGAGGGGCAGGATGTTAAAAGCTGATCCTGGAGACAGGTACTTGGTGATTGCCAAAAAAAAAATAAAATCCTGAGAGAGAAAAAGGATAAAGATGGCAGAGACTCAGAGGCAGAAGCTCAGCCTTGTTTTTTGCCAAGCTTTCATCCATCTGGCCTTGGCTTCTGTGCTTGCTTTTCCTTCCAAGTGGCAGCTTCCAAGCCTGACGGTGAAACCCAGGGCCGGGAAATAGAACATCTCTGGATCACCCTAAACTTCTGCACTCAGTGAAGGCATTTAAGAAATAAACATATTCTTCTTTTGCAATATAGAATTCCTTTGAGACTAATACAAGAGACAAGCCTGTCAAGTGAGTCAGCAGTGACCACAGGCTGATATAATCCAATTGCTTTTTGGCTGACAGCTCAGGCAGAGAAAAATTCACTCTGATGCAAAGGTAAATGTAGTTTAAATCTCAACACAAAATTCTGATCCTCCCTAATCAGCTTCTATTCCCAGTCTATGATGACCCCAGACACCAGAAATAGCAGAAATACCATTAATACATTTCCTACTGTTTGGGGTATAATAATTTAATCATTGGTAAAGGTAAAATGTTCAAAGGGTAGAATAATTCAGATTATTTTCAGGGTCTAAGAAAAAAAAATAGGCCAGGTGTGGTGGCTCACGCCTGTAATCCCAGCATTTTGGGAGGCTGAAGTGGGGAGATCACATGAGCTCAGGAGATCGAGAGCAGCCCGGCCAACATGGTGAAACCCCGTCTCTACTAAACAAATACAAAATTAGCCGGGTGTGGTGGTGTGCACCTGTAATCCCAGCTACTCGGGAGGCTGAGGCAGAATTGCTTGAACCTGGGAGGCAGAGGTTGCAGCAAGCCGAGATTGCACTACTGCACTCCAGCCTGGGGGACAGAGTGACAGTGTGTCTCAAAAGAAAAAAAAATGAAAAAAAGAAGAAAGAAAGAAGAAAGAAAGAGAAGAAAGAAAAAGAAAGAAAGAAAGAAAGAAAGAAAGAAAAAAAATAGAATATCTTTCCTCAGAATTGGATAATAGTAGATATTCTAGTGCACCATCCAGCACAGATGGACATACAGAAAATGAACATAAACTTGCATAAGTGATGAGATAATCTAGAAAAATACAACACATGGTTAACTATATCCTTTTTTTCTTTTATGGGAAGAATGGCTGGTCTGAATAGACTCCTATGGTGTTATGAATTCTAATCAACTACAAAACCAGAGCGAAACTGAAGTTCTAAAATGGATTTTCAGTATGATCTCTTCTGATGAGCCTTTGCAAACACAGTAATTTAAGACACCAAGTTGAAGCCTGGATCTGCATATCAAAATGTAGGGCACGCTTACTTAGGAGGAAGATCAAAGGGCAGTTTTTACATTATAGAAAAAACTAGCTTAACCCTGAAAAATAATTGCTTTTATAAAAAATTAAATCATTTGAAGTCATGTATTATGATCAACCCCATCTGTTCAACACACACACACACACACACACACACGTTTTTAGGAAAGATGAGAAATTAAATGTTCATTTCAAATTGTTGCTAAATTGCTTTCCTGAGATGTTATATCCTGGACCTCCGGGATGGCTATGATTGGAATCTGTCTGCCTTTATTTCTAACATGAAAACACCATGGCCCGCCTGTGCAGAAGGTGACTTCCCAGGTATCTGAGCACCTTGGGGAAGCTAATTTCTACAAACCGCAAAGGAACTCTCTTATTTCCCTATTCAGGCCCCTACCTTGTATTCAGCACTTTACTTCAGCCTGCCGAAGGCTGAACTTCCTTCAACCCCTTTGAGCCCTCATCTGAGGTCCATAGTTCCTTAGCTGGTATTGCTGAGGCTGTAGCACATCCTCACTCACCCCTGCCAGGGCCTCAGCTCATCACACTGCTCATTTAGCTATGAGCTTGATGTGCAGCCCAGGGTGACACTCAGAGAAAACAGAGCCTTCTCTTCTTGGTTGGGTATAATATTTAAGCTAAGGCCTATGCTTTAAGATTTGGGACTCAATTTTGCCCTTTCGATCTGTCTATATCAATACCTGAAAGCAGTTTTTCTTGAACTCATTTTACTTTGATTTTGAGATCCGCTTTTGATGCTTCTTATTTAATAAGGCACAGGCACAGGCCTACATTCATTATTTAGACTAGAACTGATTTTGCACTTGATGTTAAGAGAAAAAACTGGCACGCTTGTTCAGGGTAATTGCATAGAATGAAATGAATGCAATTTATGTAAAGCATTATTGAAGGAATAAAAAACTTCCAAGGTAAGCCTGTTAAATCATTCATTTAGTAACTGACTGACATTTGCACAGATCTGGATCCTGCGCTTTGCCAGATTTTAAAGCAAAGCAAAGAAACAATTACCTAAAAGTGGTGGTGAAAAACAGTATTGTAAGAAATCCTGGAAGGTGGATCTATTTTAAGTGATTATTCTCTCTTAAATAATGTAATTCACAGACTATGGAACTAGGCCCAGGGAATCATCTCTCAGCCTGTCTTCACCTGGCAACCTTAGGCATTCCAGCATTAGAAGATAAGTGCAATGCCAATGACACCAACCACTTCTTTTTGAATGATTATCTCTTATTCTTTTAAACATTTATATTTCATTTTATCATTAAAGTTTTTGCTATGCACGCACTACACAGGTGCAGTTAGGCTTAAAGTCTAAGTCTAGGATTCTAGCTCCTTGAGAAATACTTGTTTCTCTTTTTTTCTCTCTTTTTATTTTTTTAATTGAGACGGGATCTCCCTCTGCCGCCCAGACTGGAGTGCAGTGGTGTATCTTGGCTCACTGCAACCTCTGCCAGCCAGGCTCAAACGATTCTCCTGCCTCAGCCTCCCGAGTAGCTGGGACTACAGGCGCGACCCACCACATCCGGCTAATTTTTTTGTATTTTTAGTGGAGACAGGGTTTTACCATGTCTGCCAGGCTGCTCTCGAACTCCTGACCTCAGGTAATCCGCCCACCTCAGCCTCCCAAAGTGCTGGGATTACAGGTGTGAGCCACTGAGCCCTGCCACTTGTTTCTCTTTTACATTTCCACTTAATATCTAAACCCATCTGATGCAAAAAACAAAACAACAAAAAACAACAAAAAACTGATGTGAAGAAATTGTAAATCTATATCATTTCCTCTGCCCTACACATAAAAAGTCTAAAATTGATGAAGAGGTAAATGCAACATTTTCATCAGTTAATCATTCTCTAGACTTAATAAAAACATTTCTGGCAATCAGAAAAGGGGAAAAATCTTTAATTGATTTCTCAGGTAATTTTTTTCCAGATTGTACATAAAGTGTTCTTATGTTCTCTATTTGGATGTTTCAGGAGACATACAAATGAAATACAGTACATAGACAAATGAAATGCTAATAAGAAGTAGGATGATATTAAAATATCCTTACTTTGCCTGTATGGAACAAAGGCAGTCTACTCCATCGGGGAATCAAAGCAAATGTGAATAAGAGGTTTCCACCTTGCAAAACTGTGAGCTTCATTTGCCCTGGAGAGAACTACTAGGCAAGGCTTCACATGACAGTACCTGTAGGGATGTCCATGGGGCTGTGAAGCAGGTGTATTGTATCGAACATGCAGCTGCAATGAAGGCGTGGAGCTCAGGAGAAGCAGCCACTGACAATGCCCCTCCTGGCCGCAGGGTCTTCTGTGCAGCCTCCCATGGATCAATATACCAGTTAGTTAAAACACACATCAGTATTTTCTGTCCTTTAGCAACGATGATGATATTTGCCACCAGCGAGTGTGATCTGTGAGGCGATTTTAAAATGCAGTCCTGGGATTCTACTGTATTGAAACACCTTTGATTTTCTATTTGAATACTTCCAAGCTTTGTAATTATGCCACCATGTGCTCGTGATCGTAAGAAATTAATTTTAAACTAAATATTCTTCAGTATCCCTTTTCATATATATTTTCACCTCATATACATAGTTTGGGATAAAATAGTGTAAAGAGTATAGGAAAATGCAACAAATTAAAGGGTAGGACATTAAATAAAACACCAATTTACCTTGTTCTTCAAAGTTTTTAAGGTTCAAAAATTTATTGGTATTTTAAGCCAGTGGTCCCCAACCTTTCTGGTACCAGGGACCGGTTTCATGGAAGACAATTTTTTCACGGACTCGGGGTAGCGGGATGGGGGTGGGGGATGGTTTCGGCACGAAGCTATTCAACCTCAGATCATGAGGCATTAGATTCATCAGGCATTAGATTCTCATAAGGAGTGCACAACCTAGATCCCTCGCATGTGCAGTTCACAACAGGGTTCGCACTCCCATGAGACTCTAATGCTGCTGCTGACCTGACGGGAGGCAGAGCTCAGGCAGTAATGCAAGCTCTGGGGAGCAGCTGTAAATACAGATGAAGCTGTGCTCACTCACCCACCGCTCACCCCCTGCTGTGTGGCCTGGTTCCTAACCAGTGCCACGGACTGGTACTGGTCTGTGGCCTGGGGGTGGGGACCCCTGTTTTAAGCAGTTTAAGAATTATTCTTTTTCAGAATATCTACCTCTACTGGGATAAGATCACGTTTCTTTACTGTGAGCACACAGTAGGTGCTCAATAAATGCTTGTTGCAAGAATGAATGACCGGCCGGGCGCGGTGGCTCAAGCCTGTAATCCCAGCACTTTGGGAGGCTGAGGCGGGCAGATCACGAGGTCAGGAGATCGAGACCATCCTGGCCAACATGGTGAAACCCTGTCTCTACTAAAAATACAAAAAAAATTGGCTGGGCGTGGTGGCACACACCTGTAGTCCCAGCTACTCAGGAGGCTGAGGCAGGAGAATCGATTGAACCCAGGAGGCGGAGGTTGCAGTGAGCCGAGATTGTGCCAACGCACTCCAGCCTGGCGACAGAGTGAGACTCTGTCTCAAAAAAAAAAAAAAAAAAAGAATGACAATATGTTCCTATTTTTTACCATAATAGGTAAAATCTATAAGTAGTGTTATTTTTGCCTGCGACATTTATGTAACAAAACAAAGTTCAGTTTTAGAATTGATTTAAAGTAATACTATAAGAATGGAACATTTAAAGGTTGAAACATAAAGGATTAAACAAAAGTCTAAGGTCTCCCCATGAGTTTCTAAATATAGCATGCTTAACCAGGAAAATGAACACGAATATTTGTAAATAAATTTCAGATGAAAGGAAATTTTCAATATAAGCTGTGTAAGTTTAAATTAACATAAAGAAAACACAATTGTTTGTAAAAACAATTATACACATTGAGAGAAATGATAACTCTCTCTAAATTTGCATTCTCAATATTGTCTGTGCAAAATTGCTTGTAGTGTCCTCAAATGGATGTCTGTGGCCAGGCGCACAGAGAACATCCCCTTAAATGGTACATATTGAGGCAAGGCGGCCAGCTGTCTCCTTTAACTAGATGGAGTCTGGCCAGGTCACGGCTGTGCTTTCAAACAACTGGTCTGGATATGTGAGACCTGCAGAACAGGCAGCAGCAGCTGGAAGGCATCCTGTATGTACGTTGTACTGTTGCAGCCCTGTGAGAGGAGAAAAATGAGGTTGAAGGGTTATTTTCATAGTTCAACCTTGACAATACTTCCAATTGGATAATGTTCCCACTCTTCAACCCACCCCCCATATTGGATTATATTTATCTTGCAATATTGGTGCTTAAAGCAAGTGTAAACACATGCTTTTGGATGGGGCATGTCCAGCTCTCAATTATCTATACTAACAGAGAGAATAATTCACTCAAAATGAGGCAAATCATTTTCATGGAATTTTTTTTTTTTTTTTTTTTTGAGACAGAGTCTTGCTCTGACGTCAGGCTGGAGTGCAGAGGCACGATCTTGGCTCACTGCAACTTCCGCCTCCCAGGTTCAAGCAATTCCCCTGCTTCAGCCTCTCGAGTAGCTGGGACTACGGGCGTGCACCACCACGCCCAGCTAATTTGTTTGTATTTTAGTAGAGACAGGGTTTCACCATGTTGGCCAGGATGGTCTTGATCTTCTGACTTCGTATCTGCCCACCTCGGCCTCCCAAAGTGCTGGGATTACAGGCATGAGCCACTTCTATGGACTTTTAAGATCCATCAGTGTGTGTACTTTCTTGGCCCAGGGTATGTCCTGTCTTATCTATCTCTTTCCCAGATCAACCCTACTGCCCTGAAATAACACAAAAACACTGTATGAAGGAGCTCAGTTTGCCCCACCCTACAGATAGATAAGCAAGAATGGTCAACATAAAGCTAACTGGAGATACTATTGGGCAGTTATTCATGGCAAACTTGAACACTGTTATCCTCCTATGCATGGTACTTTATGTTTGGTTGGGATAGCTGAAATTATTATTCCTGTTTTGTGGTGCACTAACACACAGTATTGGATGGAGAGGCCATTTAAAGGTTAGGGTAACTAAAACATGTGAAAACATCTATTGGGGAAACGGAAAAAACATTTGACCTCATATTTCTCATACCTGACATGGTAAGTTAATTTTATGCCTTCTGGGTGGCCAGGGGAGAGATTTTTCTTGTACCACATTCTGCCTCTGACTGCCAGGGTTTTCTCTTAGCTATGTCTGTTCCTCCAAGACCTGCCCCTACAGCTCCTATTCCTTCTGGCTGATGCCATCCCACTGTGCGGCCGCATCCTAAACAATAATATTCAGTGCCATCACTTAGTTATTTCTGTACCTTTGTCGTTTTCCTTAACAGTAAGGTACAAGTCCCCAAAACAATGATATAAATATATAGGTAGCTGATATGGTTTGGCTGTGTCACCACCCAAATCTCATCTTGAATTTTAAGTCCCACAATTTCCACATGTTGTGGGAGGGACCTGATGGGAAGTAATTGAATCATGGGGGCAGGTCTTTCCCGTGCTATTCTTGTAATAGTGAGTAAGTCTCATGAGATCTGATGGTTTTATAACAGGGAGTTTCTCTGCACAAGCTCTCTTGTCTTGTCTGCAGCCATGTGAGATGTGCCTTTCACCTACCACCATGACTGTGAGGCCTCCCCAGCCACGTGGAATTGTGAGTCCATTAAATTTCTTTCTTTTGTAAATTGCCCAGTCTCAGGTATGTCTTTATCAGCAGTGTGAAATTGGACTAATACAGTAGCCCTCTTGAACTTTTGTAATTTCCAAATTTTGCAATGGACAGCCACTTCAGAAAGCAAAATCCTATGATATATGCATTGCCCATGTTCAAACTTAGCTTGTTAACACCTTGTGCCTTCAGCTGGGTGCCCCGCGGCTGTTACTTATAGTTTAGCCCCTAACAGAAGATTTTCCTCTACCAATCTTCTACCTTTCCTCTACAGGTGGAACACAGTGCCTATGATTCAAGAATGAGAAATCTTCCTGGACCTCTTCTCTCTTAGGCTACCATTTCTGGCAAAGACACAGCAGTGTTGGTTGGGGCAGCTTTATATCAACACAACTGATGCTGCAAAGTCCTAGTGAGTGGGCAGGCCACAGAGTGAGAAGTCACAGAGGATGGTGTCCCTTGTCATTGACTGGGCATAGGCTAAACATTCTCCTTGTCATTGTTGCCAGCTTGGACATTAGACCCAGCTAAACCAAAGGTTATTCTAAATAGAAGGAAATGCCCATTTTTATGAAAATCACCGATGAGCAATAATCCCTCATTGCAGCCAATAATCATAGTGTTAAATCTAGTGTCAAATTTGGCAGCAGAAATCTGCTTCTGCTGGAGGAAACAGTGACAGAAATAACGTGCAAGCTTAGCATTTCTTTTTATAATCAGGAATTCTTGAAAATTAGGTATTGTTGCTTCATCAGAGGGTTTACAGCTGGTTGAGCTACACAAATTTACTCAAAAAAGACCTGATGATGAGATTCAGAATTGCAATAACATTTGCTGTGGGGGAAGAAAGGCAAAAAAAAAAAAAAGTAGTTCTAACATTTACTTTGATTCAGAAGCACTTTCTCTCCAGAGGCCACTTACCTCTAACAATACACTACTGATCATGGGGTTAAGGACCTCGGCCTTCTTGTTGCTCTGTGGAATCAGAAGTATGAAATTGACAGATTAGGTGCTCATACTACAAGGCTTGCCACGTAAAATGTAATACACTAGCTTTGTTGAGGGATCTCTTGCAGAGGAAGAGGAGGGGAAGCAGAATGCTTCCTACAGACCAGGCTTCATACCCGCTGCTGCACCTTTTTAGTCTCATTTAATTGCAACGGAAATCCTAGGAGGTAGGCAGGTATCATGATAACCCCAATTTAAAGAGGAGAGAATAGGGATCAGAAAGGTTGAGTAACTTGCTTAAGGTCACATAGCTAGAAATTGAAACCGAGACCTTTTTCACTATGTAAATTTTGTAGCAGGTCTGGGATAAGAGTGAAGTGAGGCAGGTTGAGTTGTGTAGGCAGAGTGGATGCTGTCTTTACTTAAAATTTTGATATTTTGATGATCATAATATTTTGGCACTTTTATTTTAAAATATATTTCATTAAAATATCTATCTAGATTCCTGAGGTTTTTTTCTGTTTCTTTTTTGGGCCTCCTTCCATTTTGCAGGTGAGTTAAGTCCCTCACTCACCTAACCTAGTCTAAGCCCTGGTCTACCCCTTTTTTTTTCTTTCTTTCTTCTTTTAAATGCAAACATAGAAACTTGGTTATAGGGCATCTTCTAGAAGAGCAGCAAAATTAAGACATTCTTAAATATAACTTGAAAACAGGTCTGCAGATCCACATTTGAAAAATGCAAATATACATAAAGCAGAGAGTACAGTGCCTGGTATAAAGCAGGGGCTCAAAAAATGAAAGGCAGGCCAGGTGTGGTGGCTCAAGCCTGCAGTCCCAGCACTTTCAGAGGCCGAGGTGAGTGGATCACCTGAGGTCAGGAGTTTGAGACCAGCCCGGCCAACATGGCGAAACCCTGTGTCCACTAAAAATACAAAAAAATTAGCTGGGCATGGTGGTAGGTGCCTGTAATCCCAGCTACTCAGGAGGCTAAGGCAGGAGAATTGCTTAAACCTAGGAGGCAGTGGTTGCAGTGAGCCGAGATGGCACCATTGCACTCCAACCTGGGTGACAGAGTAAGACTCCGTCTAACAAAAAAAAAAAAAAAAAAGAAAGAAAGTGAAAGGCAGAGTTGGTATCATTATCTTTGCTTATGCTATCGGTCTATCAATCAATAGTCTTCTCTGTCTAAGAGTTCAATCTACTCTTAGACCATAAACCATTAAAGGGATTGGAGAGAGAGAGGATGCAATCTTAATAAGTCAGCTTCTCTTATAGTACCTGGAAGAGTTCAGAGTAAACAAAAATACATAAATTAAATATATCTTCCCAGAGCAGCCCACTTTCATTGACGTTACTCTACTGAGGGTGAAGTAATGTCTTCCTGGGGAAATCATGATGGAGCCTTGGGAGAAACCTCTTTAAAAACCCAGTCATTTTAGTAAGTAACCAGAAAATCCATTATGGTATTTGCTTTCATGTTTATTTGATTATCAATAAACCTCTAAAATATAATCAAATGAGGGCAATAAGATGACATTGGTTTTCAGAATCAATGAGGTATGCAAGCAATTTAAATAGAGTCTAGAGAGCAATACACACTCATTAACTTCAAGTTATGAATAATGGCTGCTTTAGAGAACAGAAACACTGACTTGATGTAAATGATTCATCACAGCACAAGATCAGAGGTATTGTTGTGGTGAGATGGCCTTTCTAAATTCTATTTTAGATTCAGGTTTTTCTTCCCCATAATGATAACCTGTGTGGTCCCGATTTTGTTCATGCAAACACTTGTATGTGTATGTGTGTACATATAAATATATATGAAAGTTCAAGTGCACAGCCATCTGCCACAGCCTTGCTACATAAAATATGGGCCATGGATTAGGAACATTGTCATCACCTGACTGCTTACTAGAAATACAGAATCTCAGCCTCATCCCAGACCTACTGAATAAGAATCTTCATTTTAACAACATCTCCAATTGATCCATGTGCACCTTAAGTTTGAGAAGCACTGTGCTGGAATACAATATGCAGAAGGAATGGAAAGCAATACCATGAATACTAGTAGGTAAATTAAGATTTAACACATATTATGCAAAATATAATACAAACATGCACACAGACATTCACACTCTCAAGCCTAAACAAACACAGAGAACCAAAGAGTTGGTGTCTATCTGATGTATCTGGTGGATAACCAACTGGGAATTAGGAGATCTACTGAGAGGCTTGAGTGAATCAATTCACCCCTCTAGGCCTCAGTTTCCTCACCTAGTAAACTGTGAAAAGGGTAACAAGAGGGTGCAATAGAGCCTTAGGAACCGGTGTCACTAAGGCTATTCCATCTTGATTAAGACCTCGCACCTCTCTGCAAGCCTAGTGTTTATATCAAAGTCCATGGATATCAGGTAACTTGGACCACACGAGGGTGCAAATGCATTTTGTCCAGCCTATCATATCAATGAGCTTCCACCTCCCTTGTCATTCTGCTTGTATACAGTGAAGCTCTATTGCTGAAGGCCTGAAATTAGACAAACATAAAAGGTGTTGTTTTACAAAATAGGAGAAGCAGGTCAGATTTCTTGACAGCAGAATGAATAGGCGGTGCGTAGCTCACCCCTTATTCACAGAGTCACTGACAGAAGTGTGGGGGACAGGTGTCTTTTTGGGTGACAGCCAGTACCATGGTCATTTCTCATCTTTTTAGAAATGCTCTTGGCCTGAGGAGGAGGAGGGGGCATGCCCCAGAAGCCAGGTAGGTCTGCAGGTTTGCACAATGAGACACTGTCCCCAATTGCTGCTGAGTGAAGCCAAGGTGGACATGTGACCCATGCTGATGAGCTATTCAAACCTTTTTACCCAGGAACCAGGAATTTGAATGGAAAGACACAGGGTTAGGAACTGCTGTCACTGAGTCACATTAATAGCAGCACATTAGAGAAAGTATGTGTAGGTCGGGCGCCGTGGCTCACACCTGTAATCCCAGCATTTTGGGAGGCCGAGGCAGGTGGAGCACCTGAGGTCAGGAGTTTGAGACCAGCCTGGCCAACATGGTGAAACCCTGTCTGTACTAAAAATACAAAAAAATTAGCTGGGAGTGGTGGCCCGCACCTGTAATCCCAGCTACTCAGGAGGCTGAGGCATGAGAATCACTTGAACTTGGGAGGCAGAGGCTGCAGTGAGCCAAGATCGCGCCACTGCACTCCAGCCTGGGCGACAGAGCAAGACACGGTTTCAAAAAATAAAAAAAGAGTGTGCCTGAGCTCTGGTGCTGGGTCCCCACAGCGGTTCATTTCCCCCAGTGCCTTTCATAAAGCCTCCTTTCTGTCTAAATTTTTTAGAATGTGTTTCTATTGCTTCCTGGTATGGTTTGAATTGTGTACCCTGCAAAAAGACATATTGAAGTCCTAACCCCCAGCACCTCAGACTGTGACCTTATTTGGAGATAGGGTTGTTGCTGGTGTGATAAGTTAGGATGAGGTCATATTGGTCACGCGCTAACCAAATAGGCCTGGTGTCCTTATAAGCAGAGGGAAATCTGGACACAGACATGCATGGAGGGAAGGTGATGTGGAGACACAGGGAGAAAGCAGCCATGTCAAGACACAGAGAGAGACTGGAGTTTTGCAGCCACAAGGCAAGGAACACTTGGGGCTACCAGAAGCTGGAAGAAGCAAGAAAGAATCCTAGAGGCTTTGGAGAGATCAAGGCCCTGATACCACCATGCTTTCAGATGTCTAGCCTCCAGAACCACGAGAAAATAACCCAGTTTATGGTACTTTGTTAGAGCAGCCCTAGGAAACTAATATACTTGAAACCAAGAAAACAACCTAATTAGAATAAGAAGTAAACCTGCTGTTTCTCATGGAGAACATCATTAGACTTTGCATCCAGTGTTTTAAAGAGAAAAAACAGGAAGGTGAAAGGGAATATTTTCCACTTTTCTCTGCGCCTACTAAGGTGAAGCTAAATAACATGACTGATTTCCAAAGAAAATAACCAGAGGCCATACCTCCAAGTAAATGCTGAGCCTTTCAGACTTGTTACCCTGTTAATAGAAACACTTGAGCCAATCAGTAACATTTTTTTCTTTTGGTTAAAGTCAAGTGCCACAATGAAGCAAAGAAAACTCTTATCTCTGCCAGGCGCGGTGGCTCATGCCTGTAATCCAGCAGTTTGGGAGGCCGAGGCCGGTGGATCACTAGGTCAGGAGTTTAAGACCAGCCTGGCCAACATGGTGAAACCCCGTCTCTACTAAAAATACATAAGTTAGCTGGGCGTGGTGGCGTGTGCCTGTAATCCCAGCTACTTTGGAGGCTGAGGCAGGAGAATCGCTTCAACCCAGGAGGTGGAGGCTGCGGTGAGCCGATATTGTGCCACTGCACTCCAGGCTGGGCGACAGGGCGAGACTCAGTCTCAAAAAAAAAAAAAAAAAAAAAATGAAAACTCTTATCTTGCATGGCTTATAAAGTAGGCTCTGAGGGCAACAGTGAATATTCAAAATTAATAATTTTACCAGAGATTCTGAAGTACATACATCACAGATATTAAGTAATAAAAGGAACCTTCATCTGACACTTTAAAAAAAACAAACAGGCCAGGCGCGGTGGCTCACGCCTGTAATCCCAGCACTTTGCAGGGCCGAGGTGGGCGGATCACGAGGTCAGGAGATCGAAACCATCCTGGCTAACACGGTGAAACCCTGTCTCTACTAAAAATATAAAAAAAATTAGCCGGGTGTGGTGGCGGGCGCCTGTAGTCCCAGCTACTTGGGAGGCTGAGGCAGGAGAACGGCGTGAGCCTGGGAGGCAGAGCTTGCAGTGAGCCGAGATCGCGCCACTGCACCCCAGCCTGGGCACCAGAGCAAAACTCCGTCTCAAAAAAAAAAAACAAAAAAAACAAAACAAAAATCAAACAAACAAACAAACAAAAACAAAGAAAATAAGGGCCACAGAGGTTTGAAAACTCACTCACCCAACATCTTGTAAGACTGAGATGGCAGATTCAAGGCTAGAACCCAGTCAGGAGAGTCCTAAGCTGCCTGTCCTTAGAGAAGTTACTCTTGGCCTGACTTCAGCTTACATCATGGCATAGCTTCAGTTTTATGGAGCTACTAAAGAAGGCGCTGCATCTCCACATTTCCTCACAGACATACTTCCCTTAAAAAAGGTGAAAAAAATTCAAGACTGTAATCTTACCCCAACAGTGGTTAAAGAATTCGTAAACTTCTTTGATAAAGAGGCCACTTCATTGCACATTGCAGTAGTTAATCTGAAAGAAGAAAAAAAAAAAAGCTTGGATGTTTTCAATAAGGTAAAATAATTTAACTGTCACGACCATTTCTGATACTAATTCAGTATGACATTTAAAAGAATGCCACACATGCTTGAAGATGCTCTACAGAAATGTGCAGTCAGGCGGTTTTCCTTAATCATCTTCCATGATTCGCAATCACAGTTTAATCTAATCCTGGTTTTCTTTCCATGCTTAATTAAAGAATAATCATCCAACTCACTTGACCTCTTTTAGAATCAAAATCATGTGCAGGAAAATATCAGGCTTGAGCTCCACATGTGTAGAGCTTATACACTCTGGCCAGACGGCTGGTTTCCAGCTTTTTGGTCATTTCAAAATAATCATGAGCATTCACTGAGGCACTATGTTAAGCACTTTTGTGTGCCTAATCATATTTAATCCTCAGGGTGACCTTATGGGTTATATTATTATTTCCATTTTATATAGATGGAAAATCGGACATTTAAGAAAGTTAGGTGGCCGGGGAACAGTGGCTCACGCCTGTAATCTCAGCTGTGGGAGGCCGAGGTGGGTGGATCACCGGAGGTCAGGAGTTCAAGACCAGCCTGACCAACATAGTGAAACCCTGTCTCTACCAAAAATACCAAAAAATTAGCTGGGCGTGGTGGCAGGCGCCTGTAATCTCAGCTACTTGGGAGGCTGAGGCAGGAGAATCACTTGAAGCCAGGAGGTGGAGGTTGCAGTGAGCCGAGATCATGCCATTGCATTCCAGCCTGGGCAACAAGAGCAAAACTCCATCTCAAAAAAAAAAAAAGTAAGAAAGTTAGGTAACCTGTTTAGGACCTGCAGGAGAGGAGGGATTCAAACTCAGGTGTCTCTGGATAGTTTGATTATGTTTTTATTATATGATTCAAAATAAAGATCCTGTAGAATATGTAGAATGTGTTTTTAATACTGATATCAAAATTCCAAGTTTATGCTGGCATTCCACTTCTAGAACTTTATCCCAAGAAAACAATGCAAGATACACACAAATATTTAACAAAAACAACATTTATCCTAACACTATGGATGATGACAAAAACTGAAAACAATCTGATTACCTAGTAATGTAGGTAATGTCTGATATTTTTCTATCAGTTAGTGCATACAGCACTCATGAATAGTGATTAAAATGCTATGGGAATGATAACCCCAAGTTAAGAATCTTATATGTTAAAATATCTAGTAAAGTCAGTAGAGGTAAGTTTTGCTTTGATAAAAGAGGCCTTATCTAATATATATAGGTTTTATGAGCTATATCCACCCATCCATCCACCCACCCACCCATCCATCCAAAAATTGTCTGCAGAAAGGGCCAAGAGTAAAGCCAGGAGATATCCCAGAGCCATTCAGTCTATGTTCTTGGGCAGGTGGGTGGGGAGGCACTTATTGTACAGGCAAATCAGGGACTGGGTGCAGCTTGGTAAGGTCAGGACAATCAGGGCTAGGAATCAGAAAGGAGCAAAGAGTAAGGTCACTATCCATACCTAGGGGCTTCTGAACTTTGGCCCTCTTCTTTCCAATTAGTACTGCAAAGATAAACCAGTACCTAGAGATTGTCCTCAGCATTTTCAACTTCCCTGACTTTGTCCTTTCCTCTTCCTTCTAAATGTTTAGGCAAGTGCCTATTCTTTCTAGGAATATTAAGGTGGGGATTCTGTGGTTCTTATAATAACTTTGATTTTTATATCCTTAGATATGGAAATCTAGACTAGATGACGGATCTTTACAAGTGAGGAAAAATGCCGCCAGTACAAAGACACTAATGCTGACTTTTTGGAAGATCTTTCCACTAAAAACTTACTCCCCAACCGACAATGTCAAAGCAGTAATAAGCAAAGACTAGTTAGCTAGCAAATTGAGTGTGCTGAGACCTGTGTGTGTCCATCCCTGGATATTTTCAGGGGCTCTATTTTGGCTCCTGTGTCTGTCTAATAATACGAGGGTACTTAGGCCTATGTTAATTTTCCACATCACAGTATACAGTCATGTGCATAAAAGTTAAAGGCTTATTTTTCAGCTCCATACCAACTATTTTCATGAATGCTCCATATCAACTATTTTCATGTATATTCACTAGATTGCATATTCATATATGTTACACATATATTTTAATTTTACTTAATAAACTAATGATAATAGCTATTATTTATTGAAGAACATGATATAGGACAACACATACATGCACACATACAACCCACAGTGAACTGGTTAATATTAGTGACCGTCATCACTGGAGTTTGGAACGTGGAGACCTGGTATAAGTCCCCAGGAGCAGTGGAGTGTATTTGCCTATTTTGTGAATCTAGCTAGAAGTTACATTAAAGTGTCCTTTCTCTATTCATGTATATGTTGAAAATGTAATTACCCTCAAAAGGTTTTACTTCTAAGACTTTGATCTATTAAATAAGTACTTTCACGCCTCATGCAATGATTTAGTGTGTTTTCCCTTAAATCTCTTCATAAATAATTCCTAGAATGGCTAGTTAAGTCTTCTTCTTGCTAACATAATGCACTTGCTAAAGAAATCCTTATTTCTGGCTAGGCGTGGTGGCTCACGACTGTAATCCCAGCACTTTGGGAGGCCGAGGCAGGCAGATCACAAGGTCAAGAGATGGAGACCATCCTGGCCAACATGGTGAAAACCCGTCTCTACTAAAAATACAAAAATTAGCTGGATGTGGTGGTGCGCACCTGTAATCCCAGCTACTCGGGAGGCTGAGGCAGGAGAATCGCTTGAACCTGGGAGGCGGAGGTTGCAGTGAGTTGAGATCGTGACACTGTACTCCAACCTGGTGACAGAGCGAGACTCTGTCTCAAAAAAAAAAAAAAATCCTTATTTCTTAAGATGACCGTAGAACAATGGAATTGGTTGACTTGAAATTTGAATCTTTGGCCAGGTATGGTGGCTCATGCCTGTAATCGTAGCACTTTAGGAGGCTGAGGCAGGAGGACTGCTTGAGCTCAGGAGTTTGAGACCAGCCTGGGCAACGTGGCCAGGCCTGGTCTCTGCAATTAATTAAAAAATTAGCTGGATGTGGTGGCACGCACCTGTGGTCCCAACTCCAGGGGAGACTGAGGCAGGAGGGTCACGTGAGCCCAGGAGTTTGGGGCTGCAGTGAGTCATGATCATGCCATTGCACTCCAGTCTGGGTGACAGAGTGAGATCCCGTCTCAACAAAACAAAAAACAAAAACAAACAAAAAGAAACCTGAATCTTCTAGTGGCTTAGAGGGTGTGGGTGTGTATGTGTGTATCTGAATGGTACCTATATATAAAACTGGGAAAATAAGAATTTAAAGTAACATTTACTTACTTTATTAGAACTTTTGCTTGGTCCTGAGCTGGTTTTTCCTCTTCTTGTCCATGAAGAATTAATTCTGCTACTTTATGAAGCTGCTCAATACAGCGCGCTGTTACCTCCGCCAGACTTTCAATGGACGACATGTATACTTCCTGAAATGAATAGACACAAGCAAGAAATTTTTTACTGAGCAGATGCTTTTTTAAAAAAATGCTGTGACATTAGAAGTGATATAATTCTTTCAAAAATACCCCAAATATAACCCGAAATAGTTAACCTGATGATTACAAGCATATCTAAGACTTTAAGTGTAATGTTGCCAGGAAGGGCTGTAAAGCCCCCACGGATGTGGCAGGTCTGTTCACAGCTGCATCCCCAGTGCTTACAGCAATGCTGGGTACAAAACAGGCAGGTGCTAAAGAAGGTGTGTGGAAGGCCGGCTGAATGAACAGAGCTCAATGGATATTTTTCCTTACAGTGATCTAATCACTGCAACCTCCACCGCCCAGGTTTAAGCAATTCTCATACCTCAGCCTCCCAAGTAGCTGAGAGTACAGGCACACGCCACCACGCCCTGCTAATTATTATTATTATTATTTTGTATTTTTACTAGAGACAGGGTTTCACCATGTTGGCCAGGCTGGTCTCAAACTTATATTTCTATAACACGGAACAAATGAAAAAGAAATGGCCTCTCCTCAATTAAAATTAAGCTGCTAATAAAATGAACACACTCTTATTACCTTGTAGGCAGACAATCTAGAATGAATTTACCTCTATGGTCTTAGTTTTCTTTTCCTCCTTTTTGTCTTCTTGAGGGTCTTGAGATTTCTCTTCCTTTTCTTCCTTCTTTGTTTCTTCTTCGGACACTTTTGCCACATCTACTGACACCACGGTTTGATCCTCTTCCACCCAGTCATGAGCCCTCTTCATGGCCTGCAGAGGTCCCCAACCAAACAATCCTTTTATGGCGCAAATATGGAAACTAAGTCATTCCAACCCCAAGACTAGAATCAAGTGTCTCTAAGCCTTCAAGAATGGATCTCTGTATGTTTGGAGGATGACGGGGCAATTTTTCAACCCCCGAAAAAGATAACCTTGTTGTTGCTTTCTGGTAAATATAAAGTAGAAAAGAGGGACAGAACAGAAGGTATGGAAAGAACAATGCAAGCCTGAGGACTCTTCAAAAAGCATTTAAAAATGATATTCAGATAAGAATAAAAATGACAGTCACATTGAAAAATCTATGGTATATTTTTCACTTTTCATGACCATCTATAAAAGAATAATAGTATTTTTAAAAATATGTGTTAGAAATTGAGCCATGGGGCCGCGGCTACAGCAAATGTCCTCATCTGATATATTTCAGGAAGCTCTTCATGTTTCATGAACCTAACAATGTATCATGCTGGGAAGGTGAAGAAGGGCTCTGCGTTTCTTGATTCATGACAGGTCTTCCACCCTCAAGGGGGAGAAGAGAAGCGCTGCTGGAAAGGTCTGGTGCTGCTCTGTGTCTAGTTTAATTTCACATGAGTGCAGTTTACGCACTCTGTGCCCTGCAAAATCATGGCTAAATTAAACAATCAGAAACCTCCTCCCCTGCCTGTTATTCCCTGAATTTAGAACGAAGGGGCAGACTCACTCCAATTTTATCATTATAGTTTAAGCTGTTTGCTTAAGTAAAAGTTGTTTTGGGGCTTACACTAAACTTACTTCCCACGTTAAATCTTACACGCCAAAGTTAAAAATATCAGAGTGTTGAATGGTAAGTTAACAGCAAGAAGATCTGGGGAGAGAAAACCCAGCAAAACTGTCCTCAGTGTGTCCTCTATTACAGACAAAGATTTAACCCTAAGCAAATAAGCCAGTGGAATCTCAGAGCCACCACATGCCCCCTCTGAGCAGTGGCAGATGCTGCACGGAGATGAATGAGGCAACTTCCCACTGTGTTCAAGTCACTGACCTGCCAGAATCAGTGACCCCCATCAGAGATAAAGAAATTACTCATCTCACCTCCTCATTCTGCCCTTTTCCTCACCCACCTGGATAAGTGAGTACCTATGTAAACCACTGCTTGCTAAAAAGAAGAAAGAAAGAGAGAGAGAGAGAATGGAAAAACATCATGCAGTTTTAAGTAATTAATGATCATGGCCTCTAAAGAAACTTCACAGCAAGACCTTGTACTAACTTGCAAAACACACTGTGGTATTATTAGAGGAACCCAGATTGTTAAAGCTGGAATGGTCTTAGACATGATGCAGCCCCTGTGCTCCAGGTGGGAGGAACTGTGGGGTTTACCTGGCTGACGTGCCTCTCTCTACCTAATTCTGGCATGTTTCTTTAGAAGGGGGGCGGGGTGAAATTTGAAAAAAGCCTCTTGGTGATTCTGCACCCTTTTTCCCTGCCCTAACCTGATGATAACTACTGCTCCGACATAACATTCTATTTTGCCATGAAAAGGTAAGTGACTTATTCAAGGTTACAAGGTAATTACTAGTAAAATTACAACTAAAATGCAGATCTCATGACACAGTCTAGCATGTTCTCCACCACCACATTCCATTATGTTGCCTCCTCAAATCTTTTCGTTTTTTCCTTTTTTTAAAATTTGAGAGAGAGTCTCACTCTGTCACCTAGGCTGGAGTGCTGTGGCACAATCTCAGCTCCCTGCAACCTTGGCCTCCTGGGTTCAAGCGATTCTCTTGCCTCAGTCTCCCGAGTAGCTGGGATTACAGGCATGCGCCACCGCACTTGGCTAATTTTTGTATTTTAGTAGAGATGGAATTTCACCATGTTGGCCAGGCTGGTCTCAAACTCCTGACCTCAGGTGATCCACCCGCCTTGGCCTCCCAAAGTGCTGGGATTATAGGCGTGAGCCACGTGCCCAGCCCCTCCTCAAATCTTAATTACTGACCTCAAACTCCTCTCCCGGCACTATGCCACATAAGATTTGGGGGTTTTCCATTTCAGGTGCATCTCTGGAACTTTACAACAGAGACTCTCCCCTGCACTGTTTTTTTTTAACCAGAAACTATAAATCAGACAGTGCTGACCTTATTGAGTTTGTCAGGTGTGGCCGCCACATGTAATTCAAAGAGAAGCTCTGTAAGCATGCGAGCAAATTCTTCTCCCTTTTCTTCTAAGCCTAGAAATAGAACACGACAGAAGAAGCGTGATTTATTTTTCATCCTTCAGGATGTGGCAGCTCCCCCAACATTACAGCCTGCAGCTGGGGTAGACTAAGTGGAGGTTGTAGCAGCCTGCCCGCCAGCCGCTGGGCAAAGATGAATGTCTTCCATTCGTGAGCATGGCAGTGAGGCAGCAGATGCATCCGGGTGCAGGGCCGCTGAAGTCTTGCTGTTTGGCAGCTCCAGCAGGGACACCCCCAGGACAACCCAAAGGCAACAAGAGGTCAGGGAGGGACCTCGCTTGTCTTGTTCACAGCTGTAGGTGGTCAGCAGCTATTTGCTGAAAGAAGGACTGGGATGAACAAAGGCATGACCTTTCTCAGGCCTAAGAGACCTGGGACAACATCATATTTATGACTTCGATATTGTTATGCTTAGCATTGCAACCCTAATGGTACCCAGGTGCCCTTTTATGTCCACAGAGCCACAGTGCTGAATAAACCGAATTAGTCTCAACCATCTCTCTGGAGAAATTTCCCAAGGTTCCCTAGGATACCTGGCTGGTCCTACAATATTTCTTAATGATCTGTCTTCCTTTCACCCTGGAAGCTACTGAGGGACAGAGACAGTATTTCTTCTGCTCACTCTTGAATCCTAGAGTATCTAACACAATACCTCACATATCATAGGTGCTAAAATGAATATTTACAGAATGATTTATTAATACATTGCCTAATATATAATATGATATATTAATATATATAACAGACAGTATACGTATTAAAATATCAAATATCATAAAATAAAAAAATTAGGATCATTGTGGGCAATAAAGAGATTGTTAAAGATTACAATCTTATTTTTCTCTTTTAAAGTATCTGCAAGGCCATGCCATTTTTAACAGTTCTGAAAGGTGCCAAAGAATGGATTCCACATGGATTTATTACCAGTTTGGGGGAGAATAAAGGCATCATTTATCTCACCTGACTACATGATCTCAGAACTCTCTAAGAAGAAAATACTGTGGCTTATGCCAGTGGGGGAAGGCAGAGCCTTGAAGAGGGGACTAAGCCATGTGAGAAACACTGCATCCAGCCCTTGTCTGGAGATGCTATTTTCTGTTTTATGGACAAAATGGTTGATCTGCAGCCCACGAAGATAGCCTGGCATAGCTTGTAGGTATTTATTCAAAACATTTAGCTTAGATCCGCTTATTATTACCTATAACTCATCTATTCTCATGAGGGAAACAGATCAATAATCAAAACAGATAAGTAGTCCAGGCACGGTGGCTCACGCCTGTAATCCCAGCACTTTGGGAGGCCGAGATGGGTGGATCATGAGGTCAGGAGTTTGAGACCAGCCTGGCCAAGATGGTGAAACCCCGTCTCTACTAAAAATACAAAAATTAACCGGGCGCGGAGGCGGGCGCCTGTAATCCCAGCTACTTGGGAGGCTGAGGCAGGAGAATCACTTGAACCTGGGAGGCAGAGGTTGCAGTGAGCGGAGATCATGCCACTGCACTCTAGCCTGGGTGACAGAGCAAGACTCTGTCTCAAAAAACAAAACAAAATAAAACAAAACAGATAAGTAAATAACATCAACGTCAAGGGATACGTTTTATGGAGAAGTATAAACAGGGCTAGCTGGGGTTTAGGAGTTTTAAACAGGAGGTGCTGTGGTCTGAATGCCCCTGTCCTCTCCAAATTAATATTTTGAAACCTAATACCAATGTGATGACAATAGGAGGTGAGGCTTTGGGGGTGTGATTAGATCATGAAGTGGGGAGCCCCCCATGAACCGGATTAGTGCCCTAAAAAAAGAGGCCCCAGGGAGCTAGCTGGTCCCTTCCACCATGTAAGGACACAGCTAGAAGACACCAGCTGTGAACCAGAGATCAGGAGACCTCATTAGACACAGAATCTGCCAGCACTTTGAGCTTCGACTTTACGGTCTCCAAAGCTGTGAGAAATAGATTTCTGTTGTTTATAAGCCACATAGTCTATGGTATTTTGATATAGCAGCCTGAAGGGACTAAGACAGGAGGGAAGCTAACTAAGAAGGTGACAATTGAGTAATGTGCTAGAGGAGGAGAGCAATGAGCCAGCTACAAGATGTCAGGGGGGAAGAGCCTTCCAGCTGCAGTGTAGCAAGAGTAGAGTCCAGGAGGGAGTATGCCTGGTTCATCCATGGGAGCAGCAAGGACGTCAGCGTGGCTGCAGCAGAGTGAGGCAGGTGTGCGCAGGGAGGAGGCAGAGACGGCTGTCTTTGCTCATGACGAAGCCACAACAAGCAAATCGTTTTAACCCAAAGAGGTAAGTGCTCTAAGGGGGCTTTTGCAGCATATAATCCAGTTCTCAGAGGGGTGTGAAGCAGGGTTCCTGGAGGAGGTGATGCCTGAACAGAGCCTTCAAGAAAGAGAATGCATTAATCACACAAAGGGAGAGCTGGAGGGCTAGACAGTCTCAGAGATAGAGAGACAGTCTCAGAGATAGATAGAGAGGGCCTGGCACAGTGGCTCACGCCTGTAATCCTAGCACTTTAGGAGGCCAACGTGGTTGGATCACTTGAGGTCAGGAGATGGAGACCAGCCTGGCCAACGTGGTGAAACCCCATCTCTACTAAAGGTACAAAAATTTGCCAGGTGTGGTGGCATGTGCCTGTAATCCCAGCTACTTGGGAGGCTGAGGCAGGAGAATCACTTGAACCCGGGAGGGCGGAGGTTGAAGTGAGCTGAGATTGCACCACTGTACTCCAGCCTGGCCAACAGAATGAGACTCTATCTGGAAAAAAAAAAAAAAGGGGAGAGAGAGAGAGACAGAGCTAGAGAGCTAGATTGATTCCATCAGAAGCTGAGATTCTCTCTGCTGGGCAGAGGTCTTGGTCTAGTCTTCCCCAGGGAGGGACAGTGAGAGGGGCTGGGCACACCTGGGCAGCATCGACAAGGTCTCTTCCCAAACTGCCTGCCCCTCACTCTGTATGAGGCAGTGTTGCAGAGCACAGAGAGTTCTGGGCTGGGACTTGGAAGGCATGGATTCTACCCAGCTCCTGCATCTGGTAGTTCTGTGGCCTGGGGCCAGTCACAGAGCTTCCTCAGCTTCCACTGCCTCCTCTGAAAATTGAGGACAATAAAACCCACTCATATCCTCTTTACAGCTGTTGTAAGGACCAAATACTGCAACAAACGTGAAAGTGTTTTGTAAACACAAAGTTTTATGTAAACAAATTATGTGCTACACTGATACAAACATAGGGAGATTAAAAGTATTTGGGAGGAATCAACACTAAATTAAGATACAAGCACTTTGTAGAGCTCCAGCTTTTAAAGGTGTATTAATTCTGTAAAACATACAAAGCAAGTTTTAGAAACTATTTTGGAAAAAAAAAATCATAGAGAAAAATGGAGGTTGATAAAAACAGATGATAATAAATATTGCAACAAACAATACCTATTACTACAACTCTTGGTCTGTACACATGGCCAAGAAGATCTTCACCGAAGCAATAAAAATAGAAAATGGCCTTTTAAAATCTCTTCTCAGCCATGGTAAATCACATTAAGGGATCTATGGCAGTGTGATAAAATTACACTCTGCTGGAAAAACAAACATGCAAATCATTAGCTAACATTATTAAATGCAGAGGAGACTGATATTAAATTCATCTAAAAAATGATAGTTTATTACATTTTCTGAGAGTACCAAATAAATTATTTAGTTGTTAGGGGGCTTTTAGGAACATAATGCTTACAAGGAAAAAAATGGATGAAAATGCTCAGTTTTCTTCCAGAATTTTGCTCCTAGATTTTCTGCTGGATTGCTCCTGGATTTCCCCCACTGCAAAGATTCCTTACGACAGCTTTTGCATAATCCCTGAACCTTTCTGGGGTTGTGACACTCGATAATTGGATTGATTTAATGACAACGTCTATTCTTTTCTCCCAGTTCTTCATTAAGTTTCTGAAGGACATTTATTTATTAAATTAAGTTAATTAACATTAACAGTGTTTTGAAAATCTGGAGATGCCCTCTTGGGAAAATTGATATATTATGGGAGATAACAGGGTTTTGTCAAATTAAGGCGAGGCAAACCTACCATTGCTAAAGCATGCTGTTCGCACTTCAGGTTTTTCTATGTGTATATGTGAATGTGTATTTAAAGAAACTGAATTTACTGAAGGTCTACACTAAGACTAGAACACATCACTTACAGCAACATTTTCTATTTAAGTTGAAATTAAGTTTCCCCTCCAAGGAATAGCACCAGTTGGGGATGCAATATTTCTTTAGTTGCATTGGCAACAATATCTCCTTGATGTTGGGGGGAATCTGGGATTCTCTTTTTGTCCTTTCTAAATGACACCCTTAATAGGACCAAGGTCTACCTCAGACACCATGACTCTTGAAGAGAAATAGCTTGATTCTTTTTGGTGATTGCTAGTCTGGGAAAGGGGCATCTATTAGTTCATCCTGGGTCCACAAGGCGAGCTACATGACCTTTGACAGCTAGTGTTTTAGTTTCTTCATTAGAAAAACAAAGACAAGGCTGTCATCCTTTGTGACTCCGGGAGGAACATACTAATGCTCAAAAACATGATTCCCAACTGTCTCTGATACGGCCTCTTTCTATGCTTCAGTATAATTGATTCTTTTATTTTGATGCAATGAGCATAAATCTCATTAAGCTGAAGGCATGTAAGGTCAGTGTGTGGAGCTAAAGAGGGAAAGGGTGTCTAAATGACAGTTTCTGAATGCCTAGAATAATTTCGCCCTGAACATCAAGGCTCAAGCATTTGAGCTCTTGTGTCAGAGCTTTGATTAAAAGAATGTAACACATCAGGCACAAAACACTGCCAGCGATTTAAGAATGCACATTCTCATTACTTTGCATGCCGGGTAATAACAACGAGCATAATAATACATGAAAGTTATACTTTATTGCACCTTTACTTTTTCCTGGCATTGTGTTCGCACTTTAAGTAATAAGCACAGCTAACATTTTCGAGCAGTTCTGTGTGCCAGGCACTGTAATATATGTTTTTAGATATATTATCTAACATGACCCCCTACAACAGCTCTTGAACCTGATATATATATCATTGTCTCCATTTTACAAGTGAAGATACTGCATTTCAGAAAGGGTATATAACTTGTTTAACGCCATATAGCAAGAAAATGGTGAAAATGTTTCAAATGGGACCCTTCCAAAGGTCCTAGGAGAAGCCAGACCTGTCTCTGAGGTTGTCTGACCTTTCAGCATAACCTACACAAAACAACTGTGGGTCGGTGGTTATGACATCAGTAAGAAATCTCTCTTCAAGTACATAGCAAATGTTTTACTCTCTTCTGCTCCCAAATGGACAACCTAAAGGAATCATTAACCATGCCCAACCCAGAGAATAAGTTTTCCCCTCTTAAGGAAGCCTTGCTTCTCATAAAATAAGTTCTAATCTCCTTGAGGTCAAGTTATCATCTGGGTGGAAGATTATTGGGAAGTGTGGTTGCCAACCTGATGTAGCATGCCCTGGTGCACTGTCAGAAAATGGTACAGACTTTGTCAGAACTGAACTTTTTAGGTAGAGCGTAGGACACCTGCAAATATACCCGAACTCTTACACCTATAAATTAAAAGGAATAAGAAAAATATACAAAAAAATTCAGGGAAAGATTTGCCCACCATCAACATTAATCACACTAAATAACTTTCACATGCAGATAAAAATTATAAGTGGCAGCATAGGCCAGGCAAGGCGGCTCATGCCTGTAATCCCAGCACTTTGGGAGGCCGAGGCAGGCAGATCATGAGGTCAAGAGATCGAGACCATCCTGGCCAACATAGTGAAACCCCGTCTCTACTAAAAATACAAAAATTAGCTGGGCGTGGTGGCAAGCGCCTGTATCCCAGCTACTCAGGAGACTGAGGCAGGAGAATCACTTGAACCCGGGAGGTGGAGGTTGCAGTGAGCCGATATCACGCCACTGCACTCCAGCCTGGCAACAGAGCGAGACTCCATCTCAAAAAAAAAAAAAAAAAAGTGGCAGCATAAACTCTAGTCATCAGGGCTCTGCTTAGCACATTGCAGTCTTTGTTTATCTGACTATATGCATTCACATTTACTGCATGCCTGTGATGTGCCAGGGATTGTGCCGAACACCAGAGGACCAATAGGAGTTCCCGACCAGTGAAAGAGAGTCTTATAAATCAATGTGACCAGCTCCTGTAACAAGAGCAGATGCACAGTGTCTTTTGGAAGCATGGAGGAGGAGCACTTGAATTAAGTAATTCAAAGGGCTGTGTTCATTAACAGCAGTTTCGTAAGGATTATGCCAACAGTTTGTCTTGCTATTTAAGTTATTTTCCTTTACCTTGTTCTTCTTGATTTTCTTCATTCTCTAATTCTTTGGCTGCAAAGATGTCTTTAATGGAAATTAGGTCATTTTTTAAGAGTTCCAGCTTCTCTCCATCAAGTGATGCTAAAAATGACTGAACCTGAAAAAAGAAATAGGTCAGCACGACTGTCATCTTTTCTTCTCGTTAATAACGTTTACACACAGCGGTCCCCAGTTTTCCCAGGACAAAAGTGATTCATGGTGTGGGAGGTATCGCTGGGTTGAATGTTGGCTTGATGCATGTTAACTGTGCAACTTTGTGCAAGTTAGATAAGCTCTCTGGGTCTCAGTTTTCTCATTTTTAAAGGGAGATTCTTTGTGGAGTAAATGAGATACAAAATGTGAAATACTTTGCACAACTGCACACAGTATGTGCTGCATAAATGGTGGTGGTAGCTCTTCTATCACAGTGGTTAAAAACGCAGTTTGACATCAACCCTGCAGTCAAATGTCAGCTCCTCACTTACTATGACCTTCGGTAACTTATTTAACCTTTTAATGCCTCAGCTTCTTTATCCATAAAATGGAAACTAATTGCACCTCCTTATAAGGTTGTTTTGAGGGTTAAATGAAGTAATCTACTTAAAATACTTAGAGTGATGCTCAATACTTATAAATATACATGCATACGGCCAGACGCGGTGGCTCACGCCTGTAATCCCAGCACTTTGGGAGGCCGAGGCAGGCGGATCACGAGGTCAGGACATCAAGACCATCCTGGCCGACAGGGTGAAACCCCGTCTCTATTACAAATACAAAAATTAGCTGAGTGTGGTGGTGCATGCCTGTAATCCCAGCTACTCAGGAGGCTGAGGCAGGAGAATCCCTTGAGCCAGGGAGTCGGAGTTTGCAGTGAGCCGAGATCGCGCCACTGCACTCCAACCTGGTGACAGAGCGAGACTCCATCTCAAAAAATAAATGAATGAATAAATAAATAAACAAACATGCATCCATATATAAACATAAATAAATACGCATCTATAGATGCACATATATACTTGCTAGATGTCAGTTATCACACTGGGTTTACAAAAATGCACAAGACACATTTTTCTTCTCCAACATCTTGCAGGCTAAAGGAGTGAGGCTGTGTCAACCAAGAACAACTATGACAGGCATGAGAGGAGGGTACAGTGGAGGGAAGCACTAGGAAGGGCACTGTCCTTCCCCCTTGGGGAACTGAGAGGGTACACACAGGGAGGGCTTCACAGAGGAGGTGATGCTGGGACTGACGTCTTCCCTGCTCACTGTCTTTAGAGCCCCTCTTTTGAAACTATCCTCTGTATACAGTTAACAATTATTTGTACAGGCCAGGCATGGTGGTTCACCCCTGTAATCCCAGCATTTTGGGAGGCTGAGGCGGGAGGATCACTTGAGCCCAGGAGTTTGAGGGCTCAAGCAATCAACATAGTGAGACCCCATCTCTATAAAAAATTTTAAGAAAATTAGCCAGGAATGCTGGTGCACGCCTGTGGTCTCAGTTGCTCAAGAGGCTGAGGTAAGAGGACTGCTTGAGCCCAGGAGTTTGAGGCTGCAGTGAACTATGATTGTGCCACTGCACTCCAGCAAGATCCTGTTTCAAAAAAAACAGAACATTATTTGTACAGATGGCCGCTCATTCTCTGAAGATTGATTTGAATTTCCAAAATGGTAAAAGGGCACAGGGAAGGCACCTTATAAAATATTAAGTATAAGTATAAAGTAGTAAAGTTTTATTTTTTCATTCTGCAGGTCAAACTCTTGCTCTGGCGAGAGAGACAGCGGTGGAGCCGTAGTCCTCTTTGGAATAGGTTTTAATATTCATTGTGGTAATAGATGAGCACATCGGGATAACTGAGAGAGGTAGAGAGGGCATCTGGGATACCAGGACACCATTTTCCTAAAAGTTGCTAAAGCTCATTGCCAGGGCATAATGCAGCCAGCACTGAGGCTCTGGGAGGAAGCTCTGCAGGAAGTCATCAACACAAAACCCATTAGCGTGGAGTTCAGCAGGTGGAAGTAAATGTGCCCAGACTCATGGCTGCACGCCACTCCGTTCTGCCCTGACCTTCTCAGACTCTTCATTTCAGCTCGCACACTCATGTTTAGGGGTCAGGGTCCCAGATGTGCATCAACGTATTCTTAGGCTTCAGATCTATTTTCTAAACTGCAGTTTTCTAACATTAATTATTGAATAAATGTGTTTGAATACCATGCTTAGTGAAAAGGTATGCAGACCTGTGGAACATTTGTGTTTGCCTATGTCTTCTGGCGGATGGCAATCATCTGGAAGGGAGAGCATTGGGGTTTTCCATTTGGGGCACCCCTGGGAAGGGTTTTCTTTAGCGAAGCACTCTTTTGTCAGCATCTTTCCACTATAGCATCTCTCCTGCTTTCTCCTAGCTCATTGCATTATGCCAAGGCCATGTGCATTGAATCTTTAGTTCAATCCAATAATAAATATGACATAATCACACACTTCTCCATAAGTATTTATGGAATGCTGACTATATGCTTGGCACAGTGCTGAGTGTTGTTCAGGACACAGGGTAGAGAGGCTGTCTTATAAATCTTTTCCTTGAAAGGAGGTGTGTGCTGCCATTGTGAAGATTTTTGTTTACTATTCCTAACTGTGGAGTATAATGGTGATGAAAATGATTAGTTTTTCTGTTCTTTTTTTTTTTTGAGACGGGTCTCATTCTGCTGCCCAGGCTGGAGTGCAGTGGTGCAATCTTGGCTCACTGGAACCTCCGCCTCCCGGGTTCAAGCGATTCTCCTGCCTGTCTCCTGAGTAGCTGGGAC
The DNA here is from genome assembly GCF_000001405.40 of Homo sapiens. Taxonomy (NCBI): domain Eukaryota; kingdom Metazoa; phylum Chordata; class Mammalia; order Primates; family Hominidae; genus Homo; species Homo sapiens. Next base: position 38,920,088 of record NC_000004.12, on the reverse strand, counting down.
TATAGGTACACGCCACCACTCCCTGCTAATTTTTGTATTTTTTGTAGAGACAGGGTTTCGCCATGTTGGCCAGGCTGGTCTCAAACTCCTGACCTCAAGTGATCTGCCTACCTTGGCCTCCCAAAGTGCTGGGATTACAGGTGTGCCATCGCGCCCAGCCGAAAATGATTAGTTTCTCTTTAACCTTTATCAAACACCGCATCGCCATGCCTGTTGCCATCCTAGAATCAATCTAGTAAAATAGTAACGATAGTAATTCCTTATATTTCCATGATGGGGTCTGAGTTTCAGCCAATGGACTGTCAGCAGAGAAGATGTGCATCATGACTGTCAGCAGGGATGATGTGCATCATTTCTAGGCAAGGCTTTTAAAACATGGGAGTGTCCTCTCTACACTCTCTCTCCTTATGCTGATGTGACTCAGAAGACAATAAGCCCTCAGAGGGCAGGGAAATCCAACACTGCCTTTAGGCTTCAACACAGGGGAGTCCCCAGGCCCAAGAAATGGTCCCACCAGAGCCCACATCTCCATTCTAGAATACTCTCCAGGTCACCAAAGGGTCCCTCTCACAGCCTGCATGGAACTCTTCCCTAGGCTGTGCTCCTGACAGTGGGATGGTGCCACTGGCTGTGTATCCCTCAGCCCACGGGATAGCTAAGAGGTGCTGCTTACAGGGGGTATGGCTGGAGCTTGAACTAGGGCATCCTCCCACAGCCACATAACGTTCCCTGGGGTGAGAGATAGAGCTGCAGATAGGAGGCAGGCAGGCTGAAGCAGAGTCTGGGAATTCAAATTTGAGGAGTCTGGGAATTCAAATGGGAACTTGGCCTTCCAGGTCATTATACAAGTATGTTTGTCAAGTTAAGAGGATGGAATACATTTTCTTTAACAATTTGTTTCTAAAGTTCTTTACCGTTTTAATTTTTATTATTTTTGAGACAGAGTCTCATTCTGTCACCTAGGCTGCAGTGCAGTGGTGTGATCTCGGCTCACTACAACCTCCGCCCCCCAGGTTCAAGTGACTCTCGTGCCTCAGCCTCCCGAGTAGCTGAGATTACAGGGATGTGCCATCACACCCTGCTAATTTTTGTATTTTTAGTAGAGATGGGGTTTTGCCTTGTTGGCCTGGCTGGTCTTGAACTCCTGGCCTTCAGGTGATCCACCTGCCTCGGCCTCCTGAAGTGCTGGGATTACAGGCGTGAGCCACTGTGCCCAGCCAGCTCACCCGGTTTTACATCTACCTTAGACCATAGGCAGTGCCACCATGCCTGGCTCTAATTTTTGTATTTTTATTTGAGACAGGGTTTTGCCATGTTGGTCAGGCTAGTCTCGAACTCCTGGCCTCAAGTGATCTGCCCGCCTCAGCCTCCCAAAGTGTTGGGATTACAGGTGTGAGCCACCGTGCCTGGCCCCAAAATTATTTAACTTTTAAATACTTGGTATGTGTAGGGTTGCCAGATAAAATACAGGATGCCTAGCTAAGCTTGAATTTCAGATAAACAGTGAATATTTTCTACATATAAGTATGTGTCCCAAATATTGCATGGGACACATTTATACTGAAAAAGTATTCATTGTTCATCTAAAGTTAAAATGTAACTAGTCATCCCGTATTTTTATTCGCTACGTGTGTCAACCTCAGTCTAAGCCTCCATTTGTTTTCTTGCTGGAGGCCTGTGTACCTTGGAACGGGCCTAGCGGAGCCACAAGACGGACACAGTCTGGTTCCTGAAGCCCTAAATGCAGGAATGCTGCCTGCTGACCAGGCACTCCTATCTTGGACTATTACAGGAGTGAAGAATAACTCTTACTGTTTTTGACCCATACATTTGTAGGACTGTTTATTTATTTATTATGTTTTTTGAGACGGAGTTTCGCTCTTGCTGCCCAGGCTGGAGTGCAATGGCGCGATCTCGGCTCACCACAACCTCCACATCCTGGGTTCAAGTGTTTCTCCTGCCTCAGCCTCCCGAATAGCTGGGATTAAAGGCATGCGTCACCATGCCCGGCTAATTTTGTATTTTTTTTTTTTTAGTAGAGACGGGGTTTCATCATGTTGGTCAGGCTGATCTCGAACTCCTGACCTCAGGTGATCCGCCTGTCTCAGCTTCCCAAAGTGTTGGGATTACAGGCGTGAGTCACCGCGCCTGGCCTGTAGGACTGTTTATTATAGTACCCATTAACTATCATTACTAAGTCAAGACAAAAATTTATTTTCCTTACTATGAATATCACAAAAATCTCCAGGCTAGGGAAAGAAAGCAGAGCTTGTGGAGGCAATGGGCAAACTGTTCCCCTCCAAAGGCCGAACCTTCTTCCTAGAAACTAAGTCCTTGGGGGCTCTTTTCCAGGGCCCTGGGGCTGTTTCACAGCTGAGAGCTGTGATGGAAGTCACCACAATGGAATCATTCTCCACCACCATGATATCTTGTAATGTTTTTTTTACAGCAGGGCCACGCTCCCCTGTGATATTTTTAATAACAACAAATGTCTATGACATAAGAACGCATATAAAAATCAACTGTCATCAACATGTGTACATTATTCAGTGCTTACTTCTGTGTTAGTCATGCTGCTACTAGCTTTCCATGGATTATCTCATTTAATTCTGTTAATAATTCTGTGAGGTAGATTTTATTATTCCCATTTCACAGATAAGGAGATTGAGGTAAGGGGGTCCAAAATCATACAGCTTCTGCATGGTGTTTAATTAAATAATGTCTGACTCCAGACCTTGCCTTTTTTTTTTTGAGACAGAGTCTTGCTCTGTCGCCCAGGCCAGAACGCAGTGGCACGATCTCGGCTTACTGCAACCTCTGCCTCCCAGGTTCAGGCGATTCTCCTGCCTTAGCCTCCTGAGTAGCTGGTATTACAGGCACCTGCCACCATGCCCAGCTTTTTTATTTATTTATTTATTTATTTATTTATTTATTTATTTGTATTTTTAGTAGAGATGGGGCTTCACCATGTTGGCCAGGCTGGTCTTGAACTCCTGACATCAGGTGATCTGCCCACCTCGGCCTCCCAAAGTGCTGGGATTAAGGCATGAGCCACTGCGCCTGGCTAAGAACTGCATTTTCTAGAGCACATCTTACTGGACTATTGGATTCTGAATTTATCGGAGCAATTTTATGACTCTGTAAATTGTAAAGGGCTGACAACAATGCAAAGCCATTGTTGTCAATAGTCATGTGAATGAATTCTGTGCAGTGGGAGGACAACCTCCCCTATGTGGAAAAGCAGGTTTGTGTCTATTGGCACCTTCATATATTTTTTAATTATTATACTTAAGTTCTGGGATACATGTGCAGAACGTGAAGGTTTGTTAACATAGGTATACACGTGCCATGGTGGTTTGCTGCACTCATCAACCTGTCATTTACATTAGGGATTTCTCCTAATGCTATCCCTCCCCTTGCCCCCTACCCCCGACAGGCCTCGGTGTGTGATGTTCCCCTCCCTGTGTCCATATGTTCTCATTGTTCAACTTCACTTATGAGTAAGAACACGCAGTTTTGGTTTTCCGTTCTTGTGTTGGTTTGCTGAGAATGATGGTTTCCAGCTTCATCCATGTCCCTGCAAAGGACATGAACTCATTCTTTTTTATGGCTGCATAGTATTCCACGGTGTATAGCCACATACATATTACTCCACACACATTTGTGCTTCTTTGGCTTTTCCTTTGAATCATTTATAACATCTGCTTGGTTCCCTGAATTAATTAATGAGCTAAATAAATCCTTTAACATAGGTCATGTTGTATCTGTATGAGAGTCCCAATTTTGCCCTTTTTGAAAATTATTCTTGAACAGTTTTAACCACAAGACTTTCCCTGAAGGCTCATGGATAACAAAGAAGGAAATAAACAGAGTAACATGTAGCTCCATCATCTGGGGCAGGGGACAATGTCTCCATCCTATTTGGTTCTTGGTTGCCTGTTATGTGGCAGATGTTGTCTTTCTCTGATTAGACAGGCATCAAGAATGGCTCAAAGTCCAAACATAACAGGATAAGGTCTAGGGAGAGTCAAAAACTACTTCTCCATTCTAAGGCTCACTGCCAAATTGAGCTTCTTGTCTAGGGACCTGCCTCTCCTCAATGAATGTCACCACGGCCCCTCCCTCTCTGGAGGCCCAGAGGGTACTGCCTGGTGGCCTCCACTAGAAAACCACTCCGGAGCACAGTCAGCCTGACATCCACAAAACAGCCACATATATACAGTTAAATAAGTTAACAGTTTTATGGTATTTAGAATAGTGGCTATGTAAGTGCCATTAAGTGCTTGCTAAATAAACACACACACACACACACACACACACACACACACACACACACACACACACCACTATAGATGCTTTAAGGGAAAAAAATCACCAAACCCTGCTGACTTTTGCTATTCATCTTTTGTTTTCCTGGGACCAAGTGGAGGAGTATGAATGTGCAGGGCCATTGGGTAGGCTGGGTTTCCCAGGTGTGTGTACGGGAGCATTCCCTAATAGAACCTTAACCTTCAGTAAGATAATCCTGCCCTTTGTGGCCCAGGAGTCCTAACAAGATGGCTGAATAAATAACTATATAACCCATAAGACAAAATATATTAAAACCCTGAAGTCTAAAAGGAACATCAAGTGCTTTGTTTGCATTGGGTAGGAATGAAGATGTGGGCTGGCAGGGCATCTCTGACCTGGGTACTTCGTTACCAAAGGGAGGCAGAGGGCCAGCAGCTGGACAGCCACATTTCTGAGCAGCCTTTTGCACCATGAGGTGGGGGGATAGTGGTGGCTCTTACTGTGCAGGCCTTTTTGGAGCTGGGGTGGGGTAATAGCTTAGCATAGGACAGAGAAGAGATGATATGGAGCTCGAGGGTCATCCCATTGTACAGTATTTCTGACCTCAGCACAATAATAATGAGGCTCTAAAAATGAGATCTTTTAATGGCAGATTTTCCAGTTTCTTTCATGTTTAAGCAACACATGACTAAGCATGCCATTTCAAACGAGTAGTGCAGAAGTACCTTGCTTTCGCTTTCATTGGACAGAATTTCCAGGGCTTCCAGGTGTGACAAGCCTTGATATTCATCAAACAGCATCCCGTAGTGCGCGGTTCTCTCCATCGTGAGCTGCTGTGCCAGTCTCTGCTTCTCCTTCTCCTTAGCTTCCCTTAACATCTGCAGAAATACACAATGTTTGTACTCTGGATGTACATTTAAAAGCACCGTTTCCTGTGTAAGACATGGGGGAGGTTGGGAGGACTGATTTTGTGTTGGAGAGGGGGAGATTCTGGTCACTTTAGAATTTCTAAAAAATGATTTTTTTGATTGATCCTATTGATAACTTTTACATCATATCCTACTTCACATTTTACATGTTCATTATGTGAAAGGCAAAACAAAGCAAAAATTCAATGCCTGGGAATAAACTGTTAAGAAACACACCAAAAGCTTTAACAGTGGTTTCCACTGAGGCGTTTCCCACATGAGTGATTAACTTTCTTATTTTCTTATTATTTTATTTATTTATTTTGAGATGGAGTCTCACTCTGTTGCTCAGGCTGGAGTGCAGTGGCACAGTCTCGGCTCCCTGCAACCTCCGCCCCACGGGTTCAAGCGATTCTCCTGCCTCAGCCTCCTGAGGAGCTGGGACTACAGACCCTTGCCACCATGCCCAGCTAATTTTTGTATTTTTTGGTAGAGACAGGGTTTCACCATGTTGCCCAGACTGGTCTCAAACTCCTGACCTCAAGTGATCCTCCTCCCTCAGCCTCTCAACATGCTGGGATTGCAGGTGTGAGCCACTGCACCCGGCCAAATTTCTTATTTTCTAAAGTCCCCAAATTTTCTATAATGAGCGAGTTTTATGTATGCTTGAAAAGTTGAATCTCTTATGACAGGATTAACTTTAAGTCCTGCACCTACACAGACGTCAAAGCAGAAATAAGCTGGCCTGATTTTTTCTAAGTTATAATTTTTTATTTTATTTTATTTTTTTGAGATGGAGTTTAGCTCTTGTTGCCCAGGCTGGAGTGCAAGGGTACGATCTCAGCTCATTGCAACCTCCCCATCCCAGGTTCAAGTGATTCTCCTGCCTCAGCCTCCCGAGTAGCTGGGATTACAGGCACCCGCCACCACAGCCAGCTAATTTTTTTGTATTTTTAGTAGAGATGGGGTTTCACCATGTTGGCCAGGCTGGTCTCGAACTCCTGACCTCAGGTGATCTACCCAGCTTGGCCTCCAAAAGCGCTGGGATCACAGGCGTGAGCCACTGCACCTGGCCGAGTTTTAATATTTTAAAAATTTTGTGTACGTGGTTATTAAATTTCCTCAATTTAAAAATTAATAAACATAATCTCATAATGTATTTGTCATCATATACTTACTGCAATTAAGAATATTAACTTAGGGCCAGGCACGGTGGCTCACACCTGTAATTCTAGTACTTCGGGAGGCTGAGATGGGCAGATCACTTGAGGTCAGGAGTTCGAGACCAGCCTGGCATGGTGGAACCACGTATCTACTAAAAATACAAAAATTAGCCGGGCATGGTGGTGCATGCCTGTAATCCCAGCTACTCAGGAGGCTGAGGCAGGAGAGGCGGAGGTTGAACCCGGAGGCGCAGTGAGCCGAGACTGCGCCGTTGCACTCCAGCCTGGGCAACAGAGTGAGACTTGGTCTCAAAACAAAAAAACAAAAAAGAACATTAGCTTATAGATTCTTAAGTCTGGTTTCCAGAAATATGACTGTGAACCAAGTTTCCTCTCCCCATTAATAACTTTTCTCCAGTTATTTTTTGTTGGTTAAGCAAAAAGACAACAAATAAACACAAGTCCATCAGTCACTCTCAATTTTCTGCACTTGCGTTTTTGATTCTAAGCATCTTTTATGTGATTCCTCATTAAGTTTACTGAGGCATTACGTGTATGGGGTTCTTTAATTTCTGTGGAAAGCACTGTAAAGACACTGGCCACCACCACAAGGTCACAGGGGAAGACAACTGAAGAATAGACTTTGGTTTTTATTGTGTGCCAGAAAAACAATCAGCCTTATTTCCTTCTGGGTTCTCGAGGTTATCTGCCAAGAACCCACAGGGCCGCAAAGAGAATTCTCTCTCCTGTCTGTCTTTAAGACTAAATTAGCACAGACTCTGAATCTTAAAGTTTTTCAAACAACCCAATGAAACCATCACTGGAAAATTTTAACACTGGCAATAAAAACTAATTACCCGCACTGATCTCAGGACTTGGTGGTGGTAAAATAAAATAACAAAGTGACACTGAAATCACTTCCTTTCTCTACACCAGCTTCCACCTCCGAATGTGGGCTTCGGGAGAGAAAAAAGAAGGGATGAAATTGAAGAGAAAGGGAAAGGGTCACTCTGGAAAGATGTGGACTCACTCAAAACTGGGGAGTAGGCCAGGCGCGGTGGCTCACGCCTGTAATCCCAGCACTTTGGGAGGCCAAGGTGGGCCGATCACTAGGTCAGGAGTTCAAGACCAGCCTGGCCAATATGATGAAACCCTGTCTCTACTAAAAATTCAAAAAATTAGCTGGGCATGGTGGCGGGCACCTGTAATCCCAGCTATTCAGGAGGGAGGCAGGAGAATCACTTGAAGCCAAGAGGAGGAGGTTGCAGTGAGCCAAGATTGCGCCATTGCACTCCAGCCTGGGTGACAGAGTGAGACTCCATCTCAAAACAAACAAACAAACAAAACACAACTGGGGAGTGAAATTAAAGCTGCCTGAGGGATAACCAGCTTGACAACGGAGGCTGGTTCTATTTTCCCACTAGAGAAGAAAGGGAAGTGGGTTTCAATAGCAGGGAATGATCCTGGCCTGGAAGAATTCCTGACACAGAGAAGCTATGGAGACTTCCATGTGTGGAATCCAAGGACCCCCTGTCCCCGTGTTATTTAAAGAGTATTCCCTGCGCTTGGCTGGGTGCGGTGGCTCATGCCTGTACTCTCAGCACTTTTCAAGGCCAAATAGGGTGGATCACTTGAGGTCAGGAGTTCGGGACCAGCCTGGCCAACATGGTGAAACCCCGTCTCTACTAAAAATACAAAAATTAGCCGGGCGTGGTGGTGCACACTGTAATCCCAGCTACTCAGGAGGCTGAGGCAGGGGAATTGCTTGAACCCAGGAGGCGGAGGTTGCAGTGAGTCAAGATCGCGCCACTGCACTCCATCCTGGGCGACAGAGTGAGGGCTCTGTCTCAAAAAAAAAAAAAAAAAGAAAAAAGAAAAAAAAAGAAAAAAAAAAAGAAGAAAGAAAGAAAAAGAAAGAGTATTCCCTGTGCCACTAGGATAAAAATACGTGAGAAATGTAGGTAGTGCACGCGTGCACGCTTCTAGTTTCCATAGTTATATATTTCTTTAGTGTGTAAAGGAAAAATATGTGAGCTTCATCCTTCCAGTTGTCCGAAAGACCTTGGAGCCATCCCTGACAACTGCTTTTATCTCACAGCTCACATTCATTCCAACAAGCGATCTGGATCTATCTTCAAATTATAGCCAGAATCAGCCATTCCTCACTACCTACAAGGCCTCCATGCTGCACAGGGCCACCATTATCTCTTGTTTAGATAACAGCAATTGAAAGTGCAATTGCCTCCAGTGGAGGGTGTGACAGTGCAACCTGCAGACCTCCCTCCTACTCCTGGGAGCATAAATGCTGGACTTCGAAATCCAGCCTTCAGCCTCCCACAGCTCTTCCCTGTCAATCACTGGTGCAGCAGGGCACTAAGGCAGACCTGTTCCTGGAAGATGAGGTCTCCTTTGTCAGCAGCCTTTGGCTGAAGGGCTTTCCCATGGCTTCGCCCAGCCTTTCCCATGCCGCACTGCAGTCTGGGACACTTTCACCCATTTTTCTCACCCTCTTCTCTTCACTGGGGTGGGACCGGCATCCTGGTCTAATGGTTCTCCCAGCCTTCCTGGGCTCCCTCCCCATTTTCTCTCACACAAGCACTTCCCCTAATGAAATCCTTGCATGTTTAAGCCCATCTTGGTGTCTGTTTCTGGGAGGGCACAGACTGATAGTCACTCTAACCAGTCTCCCTGCCCTTGGTCCTCCCAGCCAATTTTCTACCCAGGAACCAGAGTGGTCCTGTTAAAGCACAAATCAGATTCTGTCACTTCTTTTCTCAAAATGCTGCAATGGTTTCCCCATTTCACTAACAGTCAAACCCAAGGTCCTTACGAATGTCTGCCATGATCTGCTATCACCTACTCCCTATCACCACTCTGATGTCCTCCTCAACAGCTCTCGCCCGGAGCCCACTCCTCTCCATCACGGGCATCCTGCTGTTCTGTGTTCATGCCAGACACTCCTGACTCAGGGCCTTTGCGTGAGTTCTCCCTTGGCCTGGAATGAGCTTTACTCAGGTTCCTGCATGGCCAATGCTCTCATCTCCTTCAAGGATTTGCTCACATGTCATCATCTGCCCAAGGCCCCCTCACTATCCTACTTAACACTCAGCCTGCCCCTCACACCCACATTTCTGATTCCTCATCACCTCTTCCTGTTCTACTTTGTCTTTTTCCCCATGGCACTCGCTCGTCACTTTCTGAAATACCAGATATTGCCTTCCACATCCCCTCTCTGTGAGGCTGGAAGTAAGGCATTTCAAGATGATGAGGCCAGAAGATGTGGGCTCAGAAGTGTGCTAGCCATGAGAGCCCCCTGGGACGAGCTCCTGTGTGAGCAGGAATATTCATGCTGCACTTTGTGAGAGCGAAAGGTAAACCTTTTTGTTCTAAGCCACACTGATACTTAGGGGTGGTTGTTCTTTCATGACATCTAGTGCTAATTACCTAACTAATACTAATCTATTTTCCTTTCTCTTCTTTTTTTTTTTTGAGATGCAGTCCTGCTTTATTGCCCAGGCTAGAGTGCAGTGGCACAATCTCGGCTCACTGTAATCACCACCTCCCTGGTTCAAGCAATTCCCCTGCCTCAGCCTCCCGAGTAGCTGGGATTACAGGTGCTCGCCACCACATCCGGCTAATTTTTTTTTTTGTATTTTTAGTAAAGACAGGGTTTCACCATCTTGGCCAGGCTGGTCTCGAACTCCTGACCTCAGGTGATCTGCCCGCCTCGGCCTCTCAAAGTGCTGGGATTACCGGCATGAGCCACTGTGCCCAGCCATCTATTTTCTTTTTCAAGGAGCAGCAGGGTGATGGTCTAGATGATCCTGCAAAGTCCCTCCCTGGACTATAACATCGGAGTGCTCATACTTGGGTTATTCCAGAAGAGACAAGAAGAAATAGCCTAAAACAAAAGCTTCTAGGGGTTGCCATGAACATATTCTCAGTGATAGCTGTTCATGAAGGCAACCTTCATGGGTTCCTAGTACCAAGTCCTGCCTGTGACGTTTACAAAATCCACTGCTGCATCAGCTGCTTCTGATTTCAGGAAAGCACAGAGACCTGGTGTATCAGTCTCTCGTGGAGGAGGTGGACTGGGGCATGCCTGGATTGTGGGGTAAGCTAGGCATGTTCCATCTGGAAAAGTAAGTTTAATATTAGAGTCATATTTGGAAAACAAGACTAATATTATTTCCAATTTTCTTAACTATTGTAAGTAAGCAAAGACAGATTGAATTCTTTGTTTTATGTTTTGCAAGAAGGGCTGGAAAACTTTAGTGCTGGAAGTGTGAGAGGAGAAGACCATCCTTGCACATATCAAGAGAAACAGAATTTAAAATTCCAATGAGATACCATTTCCACCTATTATACCGACACATAATAACGGCAATGACAACAACTAACATTTCTGAATGCTTACTAAGAGCTGGGTTCTATTCTAACTCAGCGTATCCTCACAACAAAGTTATTGGTAGGTATTTAAATTATCCCCAGTGTACAGATGAGTAAGCTGAGGCACAGAGGGGCTAAGTAACTTGCCCAAGGTCACTCAGCTACTAAGTGGTAGAGATGGGATGCATACCATGACATAAATGGATCATCTTCAAGAAATAATATTAAGTGAATTAAGCAAGGAACAAGAGTGTGTTTAGTATGTTACCACTGGGTTGAAAAAATATGTGTGTATTTATGTGCATGTCTATCCACATGCATACATATGTACTTTTACATCTGTATATTTATGTATAGCTGCATCTATAGATCTATATCCATATCTCTCTGCGGTCTCTGATAGAATCCTTAAGGAACTGTTAACTGGTTGTCTCCTCTGAGGAATTAAGTGACTGGGGAAATGGGGGTATTAGAAGCTCAGTTTTCTCTCTCTGCTCTTTGGTGTCATTTGATTTGAATCACATGCTTTAAATGAGCTATTCAAAAAGATAAATAAAAAATTTATTTACTTTATTGACTGAAAGAAAAAATTGCAAACGTATATAATCCAACCTGAGACAAGGAAACAGTTCTCTCCATGAGCGTCTTGGTCCGCTTAAAGCCCGGGTCACTTTCTGCAAGGACATTCATGGTTTTCTTGCCGATGAATTCCAACGCATCAAGGCCTCCAGTTAAGACACTTTTACCCTGCAGATGAGATAACTGCATGAGATTAGATGTTTAGGTTTTGCTGTTTCGCAGCAGTCAGCAACTCCTAGGTAACTGGCACTATCTTCAAATATTAAAATCAATATAAAGTCACAATTTTTTCTCATCAGGAGATTTATCATCCATTTAATCCTATTCTCGTTTCCTTGGAAAAGCATATGTTATATAATTTGTAGGACATACAATGTTATTAAAGACTGATGCTTAGAAAAAAACCAAAGCACATAAAATAAAATTAATCCCACAAAGGGATTAATTTTACTGGCTCTCTGTGTATGAATGGATGTGTATCTAAGACATAAAATTAACATAAAATAAATTGCTAAGACATAAAATTAACATAAAATAAATTGCTGTTTCTGTTTAAAAATTTTTTTAACCCAAGTAACAGAGTTGCTTGGAGCAGTCTATTAAAATGTCAAACAGTCCTGCTAATTTAGGGAATTCTTTAATCTAGGGCCCTGGAGGGTAAGACCCTCAGGCTGTTTCAGATGGTTCTTGCATACTCTCAGAAACTAGCAATAACTGCCTATAATTAGTATATCCATGAAATGAGACAGGTTGATTTCCTTGTACTTCTGGCTTTAGAAACTGGTGTATTATATAGCTATCCTCCTGCAAATCCCTTTGTCAGTCATTGTTGCTTTTTTTAAAAAATTAAAATAACCCAGACTTACTCACACATAAACTATTCAAGTGAACAGAACTGCATACATGTCTTTGCAACTCTTTCATACTTACACTCCAACTGTATAACTGCAATTATAATATGCATACATCTGTGTTTTTCCCCACCATATATAAAAATGATATAAATTGTATTTTATTATGATATTATTACTGATATGCATTTTCCAATCTTCATAATTATCATTTAAATAGAAGTATTTAATTTCATAGAATTAATATACTTTATTTTCATCTTGGGTATTTAGACTTTGTTTTTAGATTTGGGAGCCAACCAGTAATCATGCTGTAAATCAGTTTTCAGTGCGCACACTTCGGGGGGATGATGGGACAGCAGCAATTCACACTTCTGTGTAATTTGACTTAGTGCCTGCTAACATCCTATGAAAAATTATTTTATTGAGAATAAAATGGTGGAAGAAAGGACACAGGGATTTGTGTTAAGGATAGACTTGGAGGGGTAGTGTCTGGAACTTGGGAAAAAGGGGTCAAGAAGGTTGGAGAGAACACAGAAAGGAATGTGAGGCTGCTGAAGACAAACTCATAGTGCCCTCTTGGTAGCTCAGATAGGCCGTGAATTCATTTCTTATACCAGAGGTACTGACAGAGCTCCATCCATCTCCCATCCTACAAACCCCCCACGGGGGTGGTTGACTTGTATTGCTACTTGACTCCTAAGACAGATTTGCTGCTCCTCCTTACTTCCCCCACCCCAGTCTAGAGGTCCTCAAATAGCAAGGAGAAGACCAGTCATTTTCTATATTTCTGGCATGTCCTGACCCCAAGGTCTGGGTGAGATCCTCTCATGTTTGACCGCAGCCCTCACCTCTTCCCGAATTACATTGTGTTTATTTGTTCAGTCGCCTCAGTCCTCTGGGATATTGTGCCCTCTTGTTTGCCAGCATATATCCAAGATCTAGCATAGATACTGGAACATAGTGAGGGCTAATCATGTTTGTGTTGTTGTTTTTCTTTTAATGAATGAATGAATGAATGAATGACTAAATGAGACACGAGCCATATTTTTAGAAAAACTAGTTAGTTTACATAGTAAGAAATACACCTTCACACCTGTAATCTCAGCACTTTGGGAGGCCGAGGCAGGAGGATCACCTGAGGTCAAGAGTTCAAGACAAGCCTGGCCAACGTGGTGAAACCCCATCTCTACTAAAAACACAAAAATTAGCTGGGTGTGGTGGTGGGCACCTGTAATCCCAGCTACTTGGGAGGCTGAGGTGGGAGAATCACTTGAATCAGGGATGCGGAGGTTGCAGTGAGCCGAGATTGCACCACTGCACGCCAGCCTAGGTGACAAGAGTGAGACTCCATCTCAAAAAAACAAAAGAAAAAACAAAATAAATCTTTGCTCCCTGACCCTGATGACCAGCTACCTGCCTTATCTCAGTTGAGGTGCCTCCCCTTTTTTCATTATTCACCAATGTTTTGCTGCTAATATGGAGCTTCTTCTAAGAGGTAGGCAGGGATCTAGGGGGATACACTTAGGGTGGTGTAAGGAGGAGGAAGGGTGGGAATGAAGAGGTAGGGATGGGGGAAGAACGCTGGTCTCTGGAAACACTTCAGAAACATATTTGGGCTGTTTTTCCTGTCTTGTAACGGGTACTTTTTATTTAAACGGTTTAATGCTTTTTCAAACTCAGGGATAAGATAAGCAGAGCATTTAGGAAAAACAGCTGTCCCAGCTCTGATAAAGAGTTCTCTCTCCCCTCAACCAGAGGCTGTCCTTGCCGCAGCTGGAAAGGACACTGTTAAATCAGACTGAAAAATGTTCCTTCCAAACAGCTCCCTTCTTTTAAACATAAAATATATTTCATTTTGCCCTTATTATTTTGAATCCAAGGTTACGTCTACTTTGTAGCAGAAAACATTAAAAAAAAAACCATAATCCAAAGTTCTGAGCAAGGCCATCGTTTCTCTGATGTATCTAGGTCACTGGTAAATGGAAATATCAAAAGAAGGCCCTGGGAAATACAGGGGAAAGAGAGGAAGCAGCCAGCGACTCACTGTGTTTTGAACCACATTGGTGATGGCAGACAGCATACCCCGAGAGGCTGATGAAGGGGAAGTGGGTGGGCTTTCTGCAGGGCCCTGATCTGTGGCTGCATCTGTTACTAAAGAGAAAAAAGAAATCCTTTAAGAGTTCACGTCGCTGATCTGAACTTGGAAAACCTCTGATTATGCACATGGTGTAATAAAGTCCAAGAACACCCAGAGGAGACACATCACTCACTTTCAGGGACTCCGTTTTCAGTATTTGGTTGGGCTCCTTCAGAAGATCCAGAATTTACACCATGAATCCGTAGAGTGGCTCCTGCTTTTTCCTTGACTGCCGTCAATCCATGACCTGTTGGAAATAAAAATATGGTTCATGGATACATTAGAAATCCACGGTCTGCAAATCCTCCACCAAATCTTACAAAGCTGTTTCAAGTTGCAGAAGTACATCTTTCTTTTTTTTTTTTTTTAAAAGATGGAGTCTTGCTCTGTCACCCAGGCTGGAGTGCAGTGGTGCAATCTTGGCTCACTGCAACCTCCGCCTCCCGAGTTCAAGTGATTCTCCTGCCTCAGCCTCCCTAGCAGCTGGGATTACAGATGCACACCACCACGCCCGGCTAATTTTTGTGCCTTTAGTGGAGACTAGGTTTCACTAAGTGTTGGCCAGGCTTGTCTTGAACTCCTGACCTCAGGTGATTGGCTCACCTCTGCCTCCCAAAGTGCTGGGATTACAGGTGTGAGCCATCGCACCTGGCCTGTAGAAGTACATCCTGATTGAAAGAAAGAGGAATCCCTGCTCCCTGAGATGTGGGTTCCAATATGAGCTCAGTTTCACCCCTGCCTGGTTGAATGACCTTGGAGAAGTTACCTAGCCTCTCTGTGACTCAGTTTCCTCATTGAGTTATTGTGACGTGCAAATGAGATACACGTAGGTAAAGTGCTCCCGGATGCTTCACTGTTTGCTTTTGCTTCTCACACCACCTAGCTATCAACCTGGAATTCTAAGCTCAACACAGTCTTTGTATAGTGTACCTGTCTCATCCTCTTTACTCTTTTGTAAGCTCCTTATGGAAGATATTCTTCATTCATTTTTTTGATTCCTTGCAGGCTTAGCACATTGCAGATGATCAATTAATATTGGTTGGATTGAAATCACCTGAGCCTCAGAATGTTTCTTTAAAGCATTAGGCCTTCCTTTAGGCATGGAGAGTGAAGGTCCTGGAGCTGACATCCAAAAATCAAAAGGCAAGTCAGTGGAGAAACCAGGAAGGCCACCCAACAGCCCCGACAGTTGTCTTAATAATGATATAAATCAACCTTAACAGCAGTCAGGCAGGCGAAGAGCACAGGTTTTACTCCATCTAAGCAGGGATAATACCCTTGTTCCCTGAGCCAGGCAGAGCGGTTATTCAATAACTATTTGGTAAATACAGAGCTGACCTTCCTACCCACAGGGAAAAACCCCAACCTTTGACCTGATACGGACATAGTCTTGTCTACATTTTATTCTGGAGAGATTTTCCTCCCTTTGAGGCCTTCACGATGAGCTATAGCTTTTCTGAGTTGTCAAACTGTTGAAGGAATGAATAGCCTACGGATGGTCCAAAGTGGCTGTCTGACTTCTTGAAGGAGAAACAGCACAGGCTGCCATCATCACAGAACTCCCCATCCCCCGAGCACTCACGGAGAAAATGAAAGATTTCTCTCGGGACCTGGGTGACCTCAGGTTGCTAAAACACAAGGCAGTAATATGAGGAAAAACGTCCCAAGTCCCAACAGAATTTGAGAGCTAACTAGAACCACCTAGTCTTAGAAGGCACTGTTAAAATAACCAATTGCCCATTTCCTGAATAAGAAAGGGGAACACATGGATGACTCCCAAACCTAAAGAGTAGCATTTTAGCAGTTGTAACCTTATTTATCCTAGTGATCTTAGCATTAACAAGGCACTGATATTTGACAAATGTAGAAGGAATTATGTCCAATGGAAATCACCTGTCCTTATACACTACCTAGAAAACCCTGAAATGTAAACATTATTTACAACTGTAATCACATATAGAAATACGTGTTTATAGTCATGTGCAGATCATTAGACACAGTTCAAATTAATTACTGAGTTACTTGAAAAAATAAAGGTGTATTGCGACTGTTAAGGCTTGAATTAATTATCTCTAGCGTCCAATGAATTTCAAGCATTTCAATGGAAACTTATTGAAGTTTCAATAACACATTTAAGTTAGAGGATAGAATATCTTACTCTTTTACATACTGAGTCCAACTTCCCTGCCATTAAATATATATATATGCATTTTCCAAAAGGAAATAATGTGCCTCCAAATCTCAACCTATGATTCTCGTCTAGATTTCTGAGAGCCAAAATCAAGGAAAAAAATGAGGTCAAGGAGGCTGGGAGGCACCATCTTCTCTGTCTTCTTTGCTTAAGCCACTCAAGAAAGATGATCACACATCCTTCCCTGAGACTGTTTCAGGAGATAATGAAACTCATATTCAGTATCTCTTCTTTCACCTTCTCCGTCCCTTGCAGGTTAGGATAATGTCTGGTTCCTTTTGCAGGAAGAATGGCTTCTCGCCATCTCAGAACATAAACGATCACAGATATGTATACACGAGCTGCCTCTAGAAAAATCACTTTGTTACTAGAAGGAAATACGATTTTATGTGCATGTAAATGGGATCTATCTATTTAACAGACATCAAAATAGGCTGCTGTTCCAACTACATTTTCTTATTAACAATTCTTTTTCTGAATTTTTTGTTAGGGAAAGTACCCTTTTACTGCATTCTACCAGAAATATAAAGTTCAGCTTTACAAAAAAAAAGAAACAAAAAATAAATATAAAGTTCAGCTTTATATTTATGTATGAGCTATAATTTTTCATAGCTAAGATTTTAGACACTGTGCCACACCTTACTCTAAAGAGTAACCTCTAAAACTTTACTTAGTGTGACATCTAGTGTCCAGAACAAGAAAATAATAATATGAAGTCACTGTTGCCTTTTGATTGGGAGTGATTTCATCTCCAGAGGTACTGACTGGGACCTACTAATAAGAGAAAAACAACAAATATGAATAATACTATAGGGTACAGTTCATGGATTAATTTCTTCATGTGTCATCCCAAACCCCAAGTATCCCCAAAATCTGAAACCCCTCTAAACTCCATGGTTCTAAAGATGGAATATCCTCTACTCTTTGGCTCACTGCAATAGAAGGTGAGTGCTGCAAAGAAGATGAGAATGTCGTACAAATGCTTCGATAATGTATCATTTTAAAATAAATGCTGAATGATTGGCTGGTATTTAATTTACCATCTATACTCAAATGGAAAATACCTTAAACTTAGGAGTCAGGAGTCTTGTGGAGGATTTCTGCTCCCATCATTTATGAGCTGTGTAATGCTGGTGAGCTGCTTAACCTCTCTGAGTCTCTGCGGCTGTGCATTCTCTGAAAGGAGGATTACCTCTCAGAGTTTTGCGAGATTATTGAGAAGAAACATGTGAAATCTCTGCTATGGCCGACATTTATTGAGCACTTACTATGTCCTAACACTGTACTAAATACTTTTAGTACAGTACATTATCTCATTTAATCTTCTCAATGATCTTATGAGGTAAGGGATATTAGTATACTCATTTCACAACTGAGAAAACTGAGACCTGGTGAGGTGAAATCACTTTCCCAAGGTCCTAAAGCCAATCAGTGACAAAGGCAGGATTCCAACTCAGTCCTTCTGACTCTAGAACCCACATGTGTAATCACTATGTTATGTTAAGAAAGTTTTATGTGTCATTTATAGTTGATTAAATGTCATTTTAATCCCATTTCTGTAACTCCTTGGAAATCAGATCCTTGGTTTGGAGCTTCCTACTTTTTAAAACATTGTTTTATTCTAAAATGCACTTGACTTACCTTACCTTGACCAAAGAACAAGGTGAAGATCACCTCCAGGGTGAAACCTGACACTAACCCTCTCCCTGTCAACTGTGTCTAGTGATGGCATAGCTTAGTGTTTTTAGGATCATCCCTGTGCTGTGCAGGCTGTATTCTCAAGACACTGTGTAGGGCTATCTTACACATCCACTTTGATCTTTTTCTTCCCGCAAAGCACTGTGATCTTATGAAGCTCTCTTCTTGTGAATTCCACCAGGATCAAAAAGCCATTGAAGGGAAGTCTCTCCTCTTTCTGGAAAGATGAAATAACTGCTGGCTATTTGAAATAATCAAGATGAAATAATTTGCAAAAAGAATATGATGGACCGGGCATGGTGGCTCATGCCTGTAATCCCAGCACTTTGGGAGGCCGAGGTAGGCGGATCACCTGAGATCAGGAGTTCGAGACCATCCTGGCCAACATGGTGAAACCCCACCTCTACCAAAAATACAATACAAAATTTGCCGGGTGTGGCGGCAGGCGCCTGTAATCCCAGCTACTTGGGAGGCTGAGGCAGGAGAATCGCTTGAACCCAGGAGGCATGGGTGCAGCGAGCTGAGTTTGCACCATCGCACTCCAGCCTGGGTGACGACAGAGCCAGACTAGGACTCCAGCTCAAAAAAAAAACAAGAGAATATGCTGGGAAGTTCTCTCTGACCAAGTGGTAACTCAGGGAAGCAACAGCAGTTCTCTGCAGCACCCTGGATGACTGGATAGCTCAATGGCTACTTCCTATTGGTCCCATATGCTAAAGGATCACGAGAAGGGCCCACGCTAACTCATCAGGAAAGTTTCTCCCTTTTAGCTTGTTTTATTTTTTAAGACAATATTTCCTTCTTTTTCTTATTTTAACTTTCTCTTTTTCCTTCTTTTTCAAAAAATGAATGTATTAAAAAGAGACTTTTAAAAATCCCATAATATCATATCTCTGATATATCTGGTTGAATTTTTACTCCATTTTTTTTTTGTGGTAAAATGCACATGACATGCATTTTACCACCTTAACTTTTCCTACCTGAATAGTTCAGAGATACCAAATACCTTCACAATATTATGCAACCATCACCACCATCCATCTCCAGAACTTTTTCCCTTGTATAAAATAGAAACTCTATACCCATTTAAACAATAACTCCCCACTCTCCTCTTTTACCAGCCCCTGGCAACCATCATTCTACATTCCAGTAGTCAGAACGTTCTCAAATCTCTATGATTTTGACTATTTCTAAGTGCCCCACAGAAGTGGAATCACACGGTATTTGTCTTTTTGTGACTGGCTCATTTCACTTAGCATAATGTCCTCAAGGTTCATCCATGTTGTAACATATGTCAGAATTTCCTTCTTTTTAAAATCTGAATAATATTCCCTTGTATGTAAAGACCACATTTTGCTTTTCCATTCGTCTGTCGACAGACACTGTGGTTGCTTCTGTGTTTTAGCTATTGTGAATAATGCTGCTATGATCATGGGTGTACAAATATCTCCCTGGGACCCTGCCTTTAATTCTTTTGGAAATATAATCAGAAGTGGAATTGGTGGATCATATGGTAATTCTGTTTTTAGTTTTTTGAGGAACTGTTGTACTGTCTTCCACAGCAGCTGTACCATTTTATAACCCCACCAAGAGCACACAAGGGTTCCAGTTTCTCCGCATCCTCACCAACGCTTATTTTCTGTTTTTTTTTTTTAAAATAATCGTCATTCTTATACTGAAATATTAGTGGTAAAAAAATTTTCAAAACGTCATTCTAATGGGTGTGAGGTATTATCTCATCATAGTTTTGATTAGCATTTCCCTAATGATTAGTGGTGTTGAGCATGTTTTCATGTGCAGATTTAAAAAATAAAAATTTCATAATATTAGCAAGTCCAAAGAGTATAGAAACATAGATAACAGAAGGTGGGCCAGCCTCTTTCTGCTTAGATAGATTCCAGTAACGTAATAAGCAATAGAGTGTATGAGCTTATAAGGTCCTGTGGAAATAAGTAAGGCCTGCAAAAACTGATGGCTTTAAAAGAAAAAAAAATTGCAAATTAGATAGTAATTAATATTTACTTAAATGTATTCAAAATGTAATATTGGATCAGCTGGTCTATTATCATTCAAAGAAATTCAACTCCTACATAGTTACATATGTGTGTGTGTGTAGGAAATTTAATGAAAAATGTGGGTACATTCTAATGTATTTGCTCTGATATAGGAGTGACTTCTAAAAAAAGCAATGCTTGGAGCTTTTGAAAGACTTCCTTCTAAAGATAACAGTTCTAATTATTTCTTGTGATTCCTTTCAAGAATATAAAAGCATATTTACCTAAATATAAGTCTTCTGGACCTGGCTTTTCCCATTTGGCAGTTCACAGTTGAAGTCTCAGCACACACAGATAGTGCTGTGTGCTATGTGCTGCCTGGAATCACAGTGCTCATTCTCCTTGATTCTGGGAGTGTTGTCTACTGACAGCGCTCAACTAAATAAATGCCTCCCTTTGAATTGCCCTTGACCAAAGGGAGTTGGTTCCACCAAGACTATACTATAGTGACTGGTCAATGAGGGAGCTGTTGATATAAAGGCCCGGTGCTGTGGATTAATGGAAGACATCTCCTAAGAGTCATCCCAAACCCCAAGCTCCCAATGGGATAGGTTAAGACCTCTGCTGTAACGACACTGCAGTTCAGCTTCTCCCTTGGCTTAGTTTTGCTTCCCAATCCTTTGCTCTCTTGCAAAGCTTGTTCCAGAAAGCACTTCACAGTAAAACTCCAGCACACAATTTCTGACTCATCCCTCTGCTGGGCATCCAACCTAGAAAACTGATCTACCTTGGTCTTTTTAATGGCTGCATAGTATTCCACTGAATGGAGATAGATATATCTGTCTATATATATATATATAACATATATATGAAACTTATACTACATATATAACATATATTACATATATAACATATATATTACATATATAATATATAACATATAAATATATAACATATATATAACATATATATTACTCATATATATAAAGTACTGACTGTGTTTCAGACTCTTCTATAGATGAGTTCAAGATATTATAAAAAGTTGTGAAGAGCAATTGTTCAGAAAAGCACAAGTTGATACTGCCATGCTCAACCAAAGCGAACTATAGTGCAGCAAAAAGGGAGCCAATCAACCTTCCTTTGGAATAGTCTTTCCTCTCCATATGATGGTTGATGTCCACTCTGTAATCAGATGCTTACTTCCCTTTAGGCTCAAAATAGACAAGAAGTGTTACTGAACTGATGATATTTGCCCAGAAGTCCAACAGAAACTCATTAACCCCTGTGTTTTATTCATAGAATCTAAAGGACGATGGACAAACTCTAAGCATTATTCCTATTCTCTTTGTCTCAATGTTCCTTGAGAAATTTCATATCATCAGCAATGTCACCTTCAAAAATGAATCCATGCGCTATCGACAGTGATTTATACGGTGATGATTTCTCATCGTAGTATCATTTTGACAAGTTTGCCATTCTCTGTAATAAACACTGTCATTTCTGACCGGGCTGCTAGAAGAGTTTCATTAAAATGTGCAGAAGGAAAAAACTATGTACCTTGGGAGAGGATGAGTAAGGGGAACAATGATAATTTTGGAAAAAGTAAATATACATATCAGGTACATTCCGTACACACCAACCCCCAACCTCAGGTACTCTTGCATAAGATGTTTAAACTCATAAAACTGTCAAAACTAGAATTTCAAATAAACATTTAAGCCTTTGGTGGTATCTAGAAATAAATTACTGTATTCTACTATAGAGCTCTTCCTTTTGTATACTTATACATGTTTTAGCATTGTTGACTTTCATTTTGACTACTGGTCTATCACTCTTAGCCTAGTAATACATTTTGGAAGCAAGTCAGGTCTATAAGATCCTGTGGGATTTGGAACTACTATCAAAACCCTCTTTTCTTTTTTCTTTCTTTTTTTTTTTTTGAAACAGAGTCTTGTTCTGTTGCCCAGGCTGGAGTGCAGTGGTGCAATCTTGGCTCACTGCAACCTCCATCTCCCAGGCTCAAGCGATTCTTCTGTCGCAGCCTCCAAGCAGCTGGTACTACAGGGGCATGTCACCACACTCAGCTAATTTTTGTATTTTTTTTTTTTAGTAGAGATGGGGTTTTGCCATGTTGGCCAGGCTGGTCTTGAACTCCTGACCTCAAGTTGATTTACCTGCCTCAGCCTCCCCAAAAACCCTCTTTTCTAAAATGTTTTCTATTCTTGTGTCTGCCTGGAAATAATAACCAAGCTTACTTCATTTCACAAACTTGTCCAAAGGCATGGGTGACAGGTGATCAAATCTTCTAAGAATGTGATGACAGTGTAGCTGTAGTTGAGCCTAATGCAAGAGTTAAGTCCTCTCCAAAATAATTGTTGGCTGAAAAATGTTTGATTTTGTATAAGCATTAGGAAGGTCACTTTTTCTCATTTTCCCTTAACCTCAGAGTGAAAGAGTATTGAGGCAAAAGATAAAATATAAAAATAGAGTAGACATAATTTCAATTAATTTTCTGTATTTTTCCACTTAGCACAGTGGGCACAAATATCTTTCTCCTTCTATGCATAGACACAGGATATGGTATCAACATATTCTGGAAGTTGGAAGAGACCTTAGAATTTCTCCAGTTTTTTCACCCACGTTTTTCCATACAAAGAACCTGAGTCTTAGGTTAAGGGCACAGTGTAGCTAGTTAGTAACAGTGCCTTGTGATCACAAGTTAGCAGCATTCAGGACCAGGTCTCAGGTCTTATGACTCATGGTACAGTGCTCATTCCAAGAGATTACCATTTTTCAATTGTTTCTATTCTCCTGTTATTCTCCTGCCAACTCTCAACAGTTCTAACTATTCTAACTGCAGTTTTTCAACAACTGTTAGAGGTAATGGTTTCCATTTCTAGTGCTCAATTGACAGCTCTGTGTTTTGTTAATGTCTATATGTTTTGCACCCCTGTCTGCAGCTGGAATTACCCTGGGGGTATACATGAGGTTTCTGAGTAGACATCAATTGCAATTGAACATGTGGTTATTTTCTTTCCTTACTTTCCACAGGCAATTTATAAATCTTCAAAGCTTGTCTACTACTGTGAATGATCTGTTTTCCAATAAGTTTCTTTGCCTGATGATAATAAACTGCTAATGCTGTAAAGCCCTGGGGTTGACACTATGCCTGTACATAGCAGAAATTGTGCCTCGCTTGCCTCTCTCAATCCCAAGATAGTGGCTCAACATAGACCACAGATCAGGAAGGCACACATAACTTTAAATTCTCTGTTCACAGATCTTTGAGCCCCATTCCAACCTGTTTCAGGCTGTGAGCCTGGCTCCATGTGTGGGCAACTTATGATCCCTCTTACCTTTCAGCAGTCAAACTCCCAACCACCAGTGCTTGTTTCCAGCCTGGGAACCCATGACTTCAGCCTCCTGTTAGGCTACATGCTTTAGTTCTGTACAGGTCTACAAAGACACTTGTCCAATTTTGAAATATACATTGCTTTTGTTTTAACTACTATTACTACATAAAGTCACAGCATGTCCTCATCAGAAATCTCCAAAATATGCAGTAAGAGCAATTTAGGCAGGGTTTTCAGTTATACTTCTATTGCATTCATTTTGGGGGGAGGAGGTGGGTAGTGATGATCAGTGGTGATGAACAATTTTAGTACCTGCTTTTCTAAAGACAGCTCTAAAATTTCTCCAAAGGGACTTTTAGAATGAGCATCAATATTTCAAAATTTTAATGACTTTCCTCATGTACCCTTTGCCATTTTGTATGCAAACAAGAGAAAAATGCCAAGATTTCCTTGCTTTTCAAAATTCCAGCATGTAGCCAGAACCATAGAAAATACTAAGGTTCTGTAATTGGTGGTGTAACTGACAAAGATCTCAAACAGAGACGAGAAGAGAATTAAGGTAGGCGGGATGCACCACATGACAAACTTACGGTCAACGACGGGCCACATCTATGACAGTGGTCCCATAAGATCATAATACTGTATTTTTCCTGTGCCTTTTCTATGTTTAGATGTGTGAAATACACAAATACTTATTATTGTGTTACAATTGCCTACAGTATTCAGTACAGTAATAAGCTGTCCTATGTTTGCAGCCTCGGCGCAATAGGCTTTACCACATAGCCTAGCTGTGTAGGTCTGTGTATACTTTGGAGGTTTGCACAATGATTAAATCACCCAACGACCCATTTCTCAGAAGGTATTCCCATTGTTAAGTGAAGCATGACCGTATTGAGAGACGGCCCCAAGATTCTTGTCCCCAGATGTATACACCCTATGTGATCCCTTCCCTTTGGAGTGTGAGCCGGAGTGTAAACAGGATGGGATTTCACCCCTGTGATTAGGTTACTCTATCCAGCAATGATGGGGAGAATTTTCACATGTAATTAAGGTCCTTGATCAGTTGAATTTCAGTGACTCAAAAGAGAGATCATCCTTAGTGCGCCTGAACTAATCAGGAGCGTCTTTAAAACAAAGGGGCCCTTCCTGAAGGTAGCGATTTGAAGCATGAGAGAGATTTTCCTGCTGGCTTTGAAGGAGGACCTGAGGGCAGCCTCTAAGAGCTGAAAGTGAGCCCTGGTCAATAATCAGCAGGAAAACAGGGACCTCAGTCCTACAACTTCAAAATCTGAATTCTGCCAACAACGTGAATGACCCTGAAAGATGACGTCTTCAAAGCAGAGGTGCCAGCTGAGCAGCTGGCAGAGCCACTGGCCTCATCTTCGACTCTGGGCCCCCTTCTAGCTGCACCACCCTATCCTCCAGAGACTTTAAAGTTATGGGTGCCTTCCTGATCTGTGGTCTATGTTGAGCCATTATCTTGGGATTGAGAGAGGCAAGCGAGGAACAACTTCCATTATGTACAAGCATAGTGTCAACCCCAGGGCCATGCTGCCTCAGGTAAAAGTGAGCCTCAGATGAGAATACAGCTGGCTGCCACCCTGATTTTAGCCTGTTAAGCTCACATTATTTTACATGAGCAGCTGTCCCATACCTGAACTCTTGACCCACGGAAACTGTAAAATAATGAATGCATGTTGTTTTCAGCCTCTTTAACTGTGGTAATTCCTTACATAGCAACAGAAACTAATACAAGAGGGTATACTGAACTTCATTCTGATATTGCATGAGGAATGTGCAAATGTCATACACTCTCAGAGAAACCACGTGTTTACTCACCCTAGAAGAAAAGTGGCAAGTTTTTCCATCCACGGACTGACAGCTCGCCCATTGAATTTACTATCCAGCATCTTCTTAGGTGTCCTTTTGTAATCTGATCTTTGCATACGTGCAGATTTGGTTCCAGTGGACTGTGCTCCAAGGCCTCTAGGTTTTGTTACTTGGTTCAAATATAACCAGTAGATGGTGCTGACATTACTACTTAAAAAGCGGGATATTATTTTTCATGGCACAGTGACCATGTGACTGGCACAATGCTCATGATGGCCTACAGGAATTTACCTCTCTAGGCTCTTCTGGATCAATGATTACTCAGAGCCAGATGCGAACCATCACAATTTATAAATTGTTGTGAGAGTAACAAGATGCAGTATTTATTATCTGCATGGTGGCTCAGACACAGAGAAACTTTAAGAGCAACCCCAAACACAAGCACAGGCCGCAGATTAAGACAATGACGTCGGATCAAGTCAAAAGGGACCTGCTGTGAAAAATCACACCCTGCTTTTTTTTTTTTTTTTTTTTTTTTTTGAGACATACTCTCATTCTATTGCCCAGGCTGGAGTGCAGGGGCGTAATCTCTGTTCACTGCAACCTCCACCTCCTGGGTTCAAGCAATTCTCCTGTCTCAGCCTCCCATGTAGCTGGGACTACAGGCACCCACCACCACGTCCAGCTAATTTTTGTATTTTTAGTAGAGATGGGTTTTCACCATGTTGGCCAGGCTGGTCTTGAACTCCTGACCTCAAATGATCCATCCACCTCGGCCTCCCAAAGTGCCGGGATTACAGGCGTGAGCCACCATGCCTGGCCACATCCCACTTTTTAAGCAGTAAAGTCAGCGCCATCTACTGGTTACATGTGAACCAGGTGACAAAACCCGGAGGCCTTGGAGCACCATCCACTGGAACCAAAGCTGCATGTGTGCAAAGGTCAGATTATAGCAAGACACCTAAGAAGGTGCTGGATAGTAAATTCAATGGGAGAGCTGTCAGTTCATGGACAGAAAACCTTGGGAGGGTCCAACAAAGCCCAAAGTCAAATGAGGTACAGACACTGAATGAGAAACAACAGCAAATGGTCTGACCAACCAGGGCTAGAGCAGTTACAGGGAGATGCACCTTTAAGTGTGCACAGAGAGCACCTATAGCTGCTACCACAGAGCAGATGATTTCTGTGTTTACTGTGGCAGGAACTTATATTTAAAAGTTTAATGAAAGAGTAAGTCCTCCATCTATACTAGAACCCTCGAACCACCAATTCATTATAAACCAGAGTGGTTTGGATGCGGTTAAAACTGGAAACATCCAGGACACATGACTGTTTTATGATATAAACCACGAGAAGAGCTGTATAATTTTAGTGACCATATTATTTACTTTTTCATGACTTATTCCAATTAAAACAATCTTTTAGAACCTCCTTTTTAGTTTTTGGCTTAGAAAGCATGTCACTTCTAAGTGCCACCAGTGGCAAGATCCTTTTGATAGCCACTAAGTTCAAACATTTTTCCAAGGACAGAGGATGCCTGCAGGTGCTTGTCCTCACCCTTGTGAAGAGATAGCATCCTGTTCAGAAAACAAAACAGGCGCCTCTACTTGAATTTAGTTAAATTTGTCATCTGCATATGTGGTACTCAAGGCATAGCCATCCCCTTAATAAGCAATAGAGAAAATCTGCTCTCCAGGCTTACCAGAGAGGTCAACATTTATTTGGCCATTGCTACTTCTTCCCAGAGCCTTCCTGAGCAAACTGATATTTGACAGAGATGGAATTAGAGGAATGCAATCTATCCATTCTTCCAGGCAGCCTAAGCTCTGTCAAGTTAGATATCTGGCCCTTAACACTGTGGTCATGGTCCACTGGGGTGGGGCAAAAGGCCTGAAGACCTTCCTGGTTTTAGGAGTAACAGTGAAGTGGACCAATTCATGGCCTATCGCAAGGTCCTCATGGCCATGGACTGCACCTTAGAATACCTGAAGTGGATGATGTGAAAACTCTGTTACCTGTGGCTTCCCCTATCTTCTTATCTTCCACCTTCAAGATGAAATGCCTTTGCTAAATTATCTTAGACATATTGATGTTATACCTTCAGTTCTCATGAAGAGAGAATATAAGAAATGGTAACATGAAGAATATCATGACAAATTTGCACTCAGGAAGACACTACACTGTCCATCATATTTTCTCTTTGTATAAGAACAAATACAGGAAATTTCTTTAAAAATTTAAAACCAGAAAAATATATTTATTTAAATTAAAATTTTGTTTTCAAAGAGAAATAAATAATGTACTGGCAGCCAAGAAGCTCAGAGTTGAGGTCAATACTCAATTACAAAAACTCTATTAGCCATGGGATGTATAAAATATGTATCCTCCCTACCAGCACATTGTTTTCTCCTTATATTGTAATATCCTGCTAATGAAATGCCTTTTATCAAGATATCTCAAATCCTTTTTGGGAGTAGATGCGTTGTGCACTAAAAAAATTCAAGTGGGACGATAAACACGAAGCTTTAAGAATATATTATACTTTAAAAGACCATATAATATAGTGGCTAAAAGCCATACTACTTGGCTTTTAAATTGCAACCCAGACATTCCTGACTTTGGTCAAGGTCTTAGTCTCTCTCTGATTAGCTTCCTTACCTGTAAAGTGCAGCAAACAACAGTTCCTCCATATAGGGTTATTTTGAGGAACAAATGTATTGGAGGAATAAATGAAGCACTTAGAATAGTAAGCACTAAACATGGTTTGCTCACGGGCTAATGTTAAACTCTATTAGTATACAGTACGATCAAAACGTCCTATCCTATTAGGCTTTGGTACTTTGTCTATTCCAATGCAACATACAATGCTTACCTACTGTGGCAGATGCTGACGACAGCAGAGATTTGCCCCAGGATCCCCAGCCTGCCCATCCTCCTCCACTTGGAGGGGAATCCACAGCCTGGAGAAAAACAAATTAGCCACAGGTCAGAAATTCAGTATATCTCTGAATGGAAAAACACCTATTGGTTTGAAACAAAGAGGAGGTTTGGAAAAGAATCACCAACAACCGTATCTAATTGGCTTATAGTTTATAAGGGTCATAAAAGAATATCCCAAACCACACTGCAATGTGTACTTTGGAACCAAATTGATTAGTGCTGATGTTGGCTTCTGAAGGCTTGGTTTGAAGTGAGAAGGGAGTTTGATGTTAACTGAGCCTCGATTCTCTCTTATTATTTAGAAGACAGGGAAAAGGCTGCATGGGAAAAAGATACGCATGAGGGCACAAGAGGGATTTGAAAAAGTTCAAAATGATCTGGACCCAGGCAATTCTTACAGGGCTTAAAAAATGTGCTCTTCAAGGTAGAGTTAACTTTTAAACTCTGGGGCAGTAGGCAGGTGCTTTGGCATGGATGATGGGCAAAGTGTCTAAAAAGCGTCAATACACCTGGCGATGGATGGGCAGTAGTGACAGGAAGGCTTGCAAGGTAGAAACCTTTGATTCAAGGTGCCCTGCTTCACTCATAGTGACTCCTATAACACAGGGATAAGACTGTCCCTGACCTCAGTGGATTCCAATTCGTTTGCCTAGGTTTTTGGAATTGGAACTGAGAGACTGTGGTTCAGTGTGAACTGTGTGCATGAACAGAAGTTGAAAACTCAGGCTATGTGGATGACCCTGTTATATCCACCACGCAGACTAAGAATTAAGAGAAGGCAGAGTGAGCAGAATGGAGACTGGCTTAGAGCTGCTGTTTGGATTCCTGACAGCTTCTCAGTCCCTGGTTTCTGTCCCTCTGAAGGCCCTGCTGCTTTCTGATCTTTGGGTTCTATGAGATTCTCTCATATTCTTGTTCATTTTTTTAAATGTTTTATTCACTGATATACTCTCAGAGCTTAGAAGAGTGCTTGGAATATAATGAATGCTTAATAAATATTTGTTGAATAAATGGCTGAAACTCATCCATTTTCTCAGGTATGCGTGTTTCTGTTACTTGCAACCAATGAGTCCTAACTCAAGTAGGGAACCACAGCTTTCTCTTTCTATCTGGGAACACATTCTAGAAAACAAGGCAAGAATAAATATTCTATGAGTTACCTGTATGGAGAATCATAGCTCTTTTTTACTCAAAAGAGAAGAAGGAAGGAAGGAAAGAAGGAAGGGCGGGCAGAAAGAAAGTAAGGAGGCAGTGGAAAATTCCTACAGAGTTTGTAGATTCCATAACTTTTGACTCACAGCTGGTCCATTAGTCATCCCCAACTCCCAACTCCCTTGCTGTTTTTTTTTGTTTTTTTTTTTGAGACGGAGTCTTGCTCTGTCACCAGGCTGGAGTGCAGTGGTGCGATCTCAGCTCACTGCAAGCTCCACCTCCCGGGTTCACGCCATTCTCCTGCCTCAGCCTCCCAAGTAGCTGAGACTACAGTTGCGCACCACCACGCCTGGCTGATTTTTTCTATTTTAGTAGAGACGAGGTTTCACCATTTTGGCCAGGATGGTCTTGATCTCTTGACCTCATGATCCGCCCCCTTGGCCTCCCAAAGTGCTAGGAATACAGGTGTGAGCCACCATGCCCAGCCTCCCTTGTTATTTTCTACCCTTGCAGATAAGGATGGCCATATGAAACAGTTTTCAACCAATGAGATATATAAATGGAAAAGTTTTTGCTTTCATGATACATTATAGTTACAGCGAGTGCCCACTCTTTCCCCTTCTCTTTTTTCTGCCCTGAATGTGGACCTGAAGCTTCAAATTGAAGCAGTCATTTTTGCTGCCTCAAGGGAAAGGCCAAGGAGTCTCAGTCACTGGTCCTGGCTCCGCTGAGCTACTAAACCAACATAAGTAGCTGCCTATCTCCATTCTTTGTATTAAGTGAGAGAAAAAAAATCACTATTTTGTGAACTACTATATGTTGGATTTTAGTTACTTTGACTCAAAAGCATTCCTAACTGATTCAAATGCCACCCATCAGTGTAGAGTACTGGTTGAGACTGAGTTATGGAAGTTAAATTGCTTGGGTTTGACTCCAGGCTCTACTGTTTTGGACAACAAGTTACTCAAATTGTTTTAAGCCTTCATTTCCTCATTATAAAATGCAAACAATAGTGGCATAAGAGCCATAAGTATAGGAACCAATAACCTCACCGGTTCGTGAAGATCAAAAGAAATAATTCATATAATGTTGCGAGCATAGTGCCTGGCATATAAGAAGTACTCCAAAAGTGTGAGCTAGAAATAATAAGAAGAAACTATGCTTTTAAGACTAAGAAGCAAAAAGCTTTGAAAGTTAGCTGTCATTTTTTTTTTCTTTCTGTCTGGAAACAATGAGAAGCTTGTTAACATGAATGGAAATATTCATGACTCATCACTGCCTGCTTTCATTTTTGGTGTCTACATTGATTTACTTCACTTCAGCAATGGAATCCAGTAGCAATTTTACACCATTATGAAGACAGATGGAAATCAGTGATTAATATCATTCTTTCACAGGACAAATCACTACCTATGATTAGGAAGAGTTAATACAATTAGAGGTGACAGCTTCTGACTCAAATTTATAATATTTATTATGTTCTGACAGCTGGTAATTGACTAGCAAATGGAAATAAATGTTAAATGAGTCTAGAACTTTTTGCTGTATAATAAGTGACTACTTCAATTGCTTTATTAATAAAGTCCTTTGACATTGAGCTGTGACTTCTTGATCAGCTATAAATATGTTATCAAATGGTAAATATTCAAATGATTAAATACACATATTTAATATAAAAAATGTTAAGCATGAATTATAAATATATCTCATCATGAATATGGTCTCCACTTTAAATGGACTTAATGTCACACAATTAGGAGATGCTACAACAGGCAGCATGGAGCTGCTCAGATTGCCTATTACCAATAGAGGGATTTAAAGACGTTTTTCTCACCCTTCCCCCATAACTCCCACCTCCTTCCATAGACAACTTCACATCCTAATACATAGAGGAAAAAAAGCCATCAGATGAGAACTCTCTCAGCTTCCTGCCTGCTCCCCATAACTCTTATAACAGCAAATTAGATTTGGCTTAATCAAAAGGGATATTCAAAACTCAACTGGAAATCATTTAAACATCTAAACCTTTGTGTGGTACTAAGAAAGAATGTAGGATTCCATCAAGTTCACAGTTCTTTTTTCTTTTTAGGAGACAGAGTCTCGCTCTGTTGCCCAAGCTGGAGTGTGTGGTATGATAATAGCTCACTACATCCTCCAACTCCTGGGCTTAAGTGATCTTCCTGCCTCAGCCTCCCAAGTAGCTGAGATTACAGGCATGCACCACCACACTTAGGTAATTTTTAAAAATTATTTTTTGTAGAGACAGGATCTCACTATGTTGCCCAGGCTGGTCTTGATCTCATGGCCTCAAGTGATCCTTCTATCTTGGTCTCTCGAAGTGCTAGGATTACGGGTGACTGCACCTGGCCCAAGTTCAACGTTCTTTAAATAGGAAAGACATTTTCATATCTAGTATCCCATTTAAAGGTCTTTATCATTAAATAGAAAATGCATTTATTTTAAGCTATCAAGTTTAAAGGTATTATTAGATAGAAAAAAGTAAAATCCCAGAACTCCATCAAATTCAAAGGCCTTTATCATTTAGATGGAAAACATATGTACTTATCTTAAAGCTGAAGGAGCAACTTGGTTCTTCTATTTCCTTGAGCAGATCAAGAATCAGGTGCTGCGTATAACTTGTATCCAGGGATGTGGGCAATGAAACCTGTGAGTTTTGTAACTCATAGGGTGATCAACACTTTTTAATTTTTGTAACTCATGACATAGCTACGCTAAAAAGGGGGTCAGTATGACAGCTGGGAGGATGAAAATTGCTCTGGAGTCTGAAACTCTTGTCAAAATATCTGATTGAAAATGGCCTCAGTTATTTCCAGCTAATTTTCTTCCTTGGTAAGTATGCATCATTCAACTTTGGGAAGATTTAAAAATTAAACATAGAAAGGTTGAAAGCATGGAAGATACGCTATTCATATTTTTGGGCATATTTGTTCTTTTCTGTACTACTAATGTTGAAGGAATCTGACCTATTAGAGTGACAGTTTTTGAAAATCAATCAAAAATGAATAATTGAATTATTAGACTTCTGATTTTAAGCTGAAATCATCCCAAGTTTCCGCACATTATTAAGAGTCTTTAAGTCAACTCTGTAAATTTATTTTAGTAGCTTTATAACAATTATTAAGTACTTAGCAAGGTTTTGTATAAGTAGATAATTCAGGTACTTTAAAAGGAAGTAGAATATATTATAAATGCAGTTTAAAGTATTTAAACGTGTGTAACTTGGTAAAAAGGACCAAATCAAACATTAACCAAAAGTACCTTGAAAGTGACTGTTTGATTTTGCTGGACTTCTAAACAGTGAGATTTGTGAGATTCACGTGAAGCCTAAGGATTGGGTTTTTCAGTTTGTCATCTTCATAGATGGAACACGAATTGTTTAAACCCAATTAAACATTTGAGTAGTTCTTTTTATGCACAAAATATACACAGGCCTACACCAAAAACCCATCTAAACACAAATTAAGTACACTACCCTGCGATTCACAATTACTTCCTCCCTCTCATTATTATGGAAATGCACCTTCCTCTTAGGTACCATAGCACCTCCACCTACACATCTCCCGATCTGGTTAGGTTGGTTTTACTCTCTCCTAGCTTTTCGGCCTTTTTCTATGCAAGCTGCTTCCCTGTACAGGCTACATTCCTTTTTTTTTTTTTTTTTTGAGACGGAGTCTCGCTCTGTCTCCCAGGCTGGAGTGCAGTGGTGTGATTTTGGTTCACTGCAGCCTCCACCTCCTGGGCTCAAGCGATTCTCCTGCCTCAGCCTTCTGAGTAGCTGGGATTACAGGCACCCACCACCATGCCCGGCTAATTTTTGTATTTTTAGTGGAGACAGGGTTTCACCTTGTTGGCCAGGCTGGTCTTGAACTCCTGACCTCAGGTGATCTGCCCGCCTCGGCCTCCCAAAGTGCTGGAATTACAGGTGTGAGCCACTGTGCCCGGCCCAGGCTACATTTCTATACATGCTTTCTATATAGGTTACATTTAATCATGCACATGATTCCTCTATCTTAAAGCCAACAAATGAAAATCACGACATGAACAAAATGTGTCTTTCAAACTTATCTGGTGTCTGCTCCACATCTTTCTTCTTTGTCTCTTAAAAAAGGTGCTTATAGTGGCCGGGCACCATAGCTCACACCTGTAAACCCAGCACTTTGGGAGGCCAAGGTGGGCAAATCACCTGAGGTCAGGAGTTTGAGACCAGCCTGGCCAAAAAGGTGAAACCCCGTCTCTACTAAAAATACAAAAATTAGCCGGGTGTGGTGGCGCATGCTGTAATCCCGGCTACTCGGGAGGCTGAGGCAGGAGAATCGCTTAAACCCAGGAGGCGGAGGTTGCAGTGAGCTGAGATCGTGCCACTGCACTCCAGCCTGGGAGGCAGAGTGAGACTCTGTCTCAAAAAAAAAAAAAAAAAGGTGCTTATCTTCTGTATTCACCTCCCTTGTCCATCCTCCCTCCACAGCAAGACTCCTGTGCCACTACTTCATGAAATCGTTCTCATCAAGGTCAAGTGGCTTCCTGTTGTCAAAGCCACGGACTCATTTTAGTCTTTTTATTACTTACTTGACCTCTCGGTAGCATCCAAAGCTCACCCACTTTTACATCTGCCTTAGAGTGTTCTATTCTGATGGCCTATCTTCTGACTCTCACTTTTTTTCCTTTTTACCATCTTTTAGTATGATTTCAGTTATTTACATTAGAATGCTTCTACATGCATATTGTGACATTATGGGTGCTTCTCAAATTAACCTACAATCCAAGTGCTGTCAGCATTCCAATAAAATATGCACAGTCCAGGGTGGTCAGCCAGCATTCTAATCAGGAAAGCCATACTCTGGAGGCAGCTATTTATAGAGGTTCTATTATCTGTATCTGGTAACATCTGATGCTTTACCAATTACCACACCTAACTGCAAAAATGGGTTTTAATTGGTACACATGGTGGACTATTTACTAGCATTCTCAATATCTGAAAGGGGTTCTAGATGGTAAAAATAAAGGTATTCAAGGAGCTGGCTTCGGTGGCACACTCCTATAATCTCAGCACTTTGGGAGGCCGAGGCAGGAGGATCACTTGAGGCCAGGAGTTCAAGACCAGCCTGGGCAACATGGCAAGATCTGGTCTCTACAGAAAAATTAAAAAATTAGCCAGGCGTGGTGGCATGCACATGTAGTCCTATCTATTTGGTAAGGTGAAGCAAGAGGATCACTTGAATGCAAGAGTTCAAGACTGCAGTGAGCTATGATCTTGCTACTTCACTCCAGCCTGGGCAACAGAGAGAGAGAGAGACTATTTTTTTAAAACAGGACGGGGCCGGGCTTTGTGGCTCATGTCTGTAATTCCAGCACTTTGGGAGGTCGTGATGGGTGGATCACCTGAGGTCAGGAGTTCAAGACCAGCCTGGCTAACATGGTGAAACCTGGTCTCTACTTAAAATACAAAAATTAGCTTGGCATGGTGGCAGATGCCGGTAGTCCCAGCTACTCTGGAGGCTGAGGCAAGAGAATCACTTGAATCTGGGAGGCAGAGGTTGCAGTGAGCCGAGATCATGCCACTGCACTCCAGCCTGGCGATAGAGGGAGACCCTATCTCAAATAAATAAATAAATATAAATAAAAATTTTTAAAAGTATTCAAGATGTGTAAATAGTTAAGTATATTTTCTGCTCCTCCCAGTTTTATATGAATAGGGTGTTACAAAGGATTTTGCCCTGTGTAAATGGTCTTCCATCCATCTTTCAACTCTGGGGAATTCTGGTGACTTGATGCCAGCTATCAGGGAAGAAACCTTAGCTCTGAAATCCAGACAGTTGCCTTGAGTAAACCTTTCATTCAAGATGGTGATCAAAGCACCTAAACAATGGGATGTTCTCAAGCCTACATGAGAAAGAGTTCTCATACACCATTTTCAACTCTCTTGTTAATTACCGTTTCATTTAAAAATGTCAGTGTGGTACAATGTGATCTGAAACTTGATTTCGCTTATAGAATGTGGTAGTGGTGAGATTGTACTATAAATTCTTTGCTAGCTACCATAATCTATTTAAAAAGCAAAACAAAACCCTAAGAGCTGTGCCCAACCAAACTGGCTTAGAGACAGAAACCTTCCAGGGCTGAGGGCTTGGCCTCTGTTGTTATTTATATGTTAACACCTGAGCCATCTTACCCACTTCCATTACTGAAATAACCACATAGGTGCTGATAGCCTCTGAATCACCTATCTCTCCAGACCATTTTAACCAACTGTCCACAAAGTATCTTCACTTGGATGTTGCATGGCATATTTAATACTGAACTCAGGCCGGTGCGGTGGCTTGCGCCTATAATCCCAGCACTTTGGGAGGCTGAGGTGAGAGAAGAGCTTGAGTCTAGGAGTTTCAGACCTGCCTGGGCAACACAGGGAGACCCCGTCTCTACCAAAAACCAAAAACCAACTGAACTCACCATCTTCTCAATTATTCCCCGTACCCCAACTAGCTCTTGCTGTGTCCTAGTGTTAGTGGTTCCCAAACTCTAGTCCACAGACTGACTGTAAGAGTGTCACCTGGGGGAATTCATTAAAAATAGAGTCTCAGCTTCCACTATGATCTTGTGCCTAAGAATCTCTTAGGGTAGAGCCCAGGAATCTGAATTTTTAACAGGCTCCCCACATGATTCCAATACACCTCCAGATCTGGGAAGCACTGCTCTCTATGGCAGAATGGCACCTCCATCCACCTGGTTGTCCAAGCCAAAACTGGGTGTCACCGTTCAGGGAACACAGAATAAGGAACGTAGGCAGTAGGGAACTCTGTCCTTTTAGAGCAGGCCAAAAAGGGAAAATACTCAAACAGAACCGGAGAAAACTCTGCTCATCCGGTTTAGGAGGCTAAATGCTGTCATGTCTCAGCCTGTGTCCCCTACTCCTTGTCTCTCTTGACCATAACTTTATGGCATTTAAACATTCTGCTTCTCCTTTTTTAGGGAGAGAACTATCCATGGTGGTCCACACTCCCATGTTTTCCCATGAGAGTACTCAACAGTGTTAACATTGGGATTCTTGACCTTCTCCATAATCGGCCTTATGCGTTGGTGTTGAGCAGTAGGGATGACATTTTAAAAATTCTGGGTAACCTTTCTTGGTGTTAAGAATTCAGAGAAATTTAATCTAGATTGGGTCTTTTAAGGGTTGACTGGCTAGTATATAATAAGGTCCCATAAGAGCTCTGGGAACAAATGTTACTCCCAACCAGTACTCAAGACAAACATCTTTGAATTGAGGCTGAAGACTTCTCTGATTCTTTAAGACGAATTTAAATGCTCTGTCTAAAGCCTCCCTTGTGCCTGTCCTATCTAGTACTAGAGGACATGTAATCATTGCTCTCATACAACAATGTTTCCCCCAACTAGACTGTAGGCATCCTGAAGATAGTTACACCACCCAGATTTCTGGGCATAATGCATTGTGTCATGATGCTGGCAGAGGCCTTAGAGAATCCGGTCCAACCTCCAATGCTGAGGACCATTTCTCACGGAGGTTGTAGAGTGGGTTCCTACAGGAGAAGGCTCAATTCAATGGCTTCTGAGTCTGTATGTCAGAAAGGACAAGAAAGCAAAGAAGCCCTAAAGATAGAGATAGTTTATCCGAGTGCATAAATGGTGTGGTCCTTAAAAACAGAGGTGCCAGCCAGAAAGGTGGCCTCCTCCTTGACTCTGGCCACCTGCTAGTCGCAACACCCCATCTGCCAAGTTATGGTGGCCTTGCTGCCTGAGGCAAATGTGAGCCTAATGATGTGGATTTTAAGGGGATCCAGATCCAGGTACTTACAAATATATATGCATACACATACACACCACACACACATTTATGCGCATTATCACAAAATCTAATGTGCCTTAGAAGTACGTCCTCAAAGTCTATTCTGCCCGTTTTCTTTTTTTAGTAAAGCAAGCATTCCTCACAGAAACTTTTTTTTTTGAGATGGAGTTTCACTCTTGTTGCCCAGGCTGGAGTGCAATGGTGCAATCTCGGCTCACCGCAACCTCCGCCTCCCGGGTTCAAGTGATTCTCCTGCCTCAGCCTCTCGAGTAGCTGGGATTACAGGCATGCACTACCATGCCCAGCTAATTTTGTATTTTTAGCAGAGACGGGGTTTCTCCATATTGGTCAGGCTGGTCTCGAACTCCTGACCTCAGGTGATCCGGTCCCCTCGGCCTCCCAAAGTGCTGGGATTACAGGTGTGAGCCACTGCACCTGGTCAGAAACTTTTTTTTTTTTTTTTTTTTTTTGAGACGGAGTCTCGCTCTGTCGCCCAGGCCGGACTGCGGACTGCAGTGGTGCAATCTCGGCTCACTGCAAGCTCCGCTTCCCGGGTTCACGCCATTCTCCTGCCTCAGCCTCCCGAGTAGCTGGGACTACAGGCGCCCACCACCGCGCCCGGCTAATTTTTTGTATTTTTAGTAGAGACGGGGTTTCACCTTGTTAGCCAGGATGGTCTCGATCTCCTGACCTCATGATCCACCCGCCTCGGCCTCCCAAAGTGCTGGGATTACAGGCGTGAGCCACCGCGCCCGGCCCTGGTCAGAAACTTTTTTAAAGGGCTGATGAGAATTTATCAGGTGTAGATGTACATGGGGTCAAATAGGCTTTTGCACTTGGCTATTTTCCTGCAGAACCTGCCATTCCTCAGGGGCAGCCTGTGTTCAATCCAAACAACCACCTTGTAATGAACTTTAGATTCAAGAATTTGTTTTGTACAATTCACTCTGCTCTGGAGCAACAGGGAAAGAGTTGTTTTCATCAGTGCAAAATGATTTCTTATGAGTATGCAACAAGAGGCAAATAAAATAGAAAAAAATGAACAATAATCAAAGACTAGGCATAAAATTGACTTCTAATAAAAGGATAAGCTACTAAGAGAGACAGTAGAATCCCCTTTCCTGGTAATCTTTAAAAAGAGACTAAATTTGCACCTACGTAGAATGGTTTAAATAAGACCTGGGTGAAAGTGATATCCTCTCTTCCAGGCCCTTTCAGCCAACCTATCGGCTTTCCTGCCCTTCTTAAAACAAACTCACAGGTACTGTCCCCACTCCTTTGTTCCCTCTGAGCTTCTGACCCAACACAATACATCCAGAGCCACGGGCCCGACTCTGTGGCCAGTGTTTGCACTTCCATCCAGGTAATTCCGTGGTGCTCTATTATTAGGAATTTCTCCCCTTTCCAAGGTCCTTGAAATGCTGTCAGTGTTGTAGGGGGTGGGGAAGGTGGAGTACCTGTTACCAACCAGCTCAATTTCTGTAGCATTCAGGAGGTTTATAAGGTGTTTTCAAAGCAAGATTCATTCCATTTGACCAAAACATTTAAGGCAAATGTGGTAGAAGCATACTGATTTTTTTTTTTTTTGAGACAGAGTCTCGCTGTCACCCAGGCTGGAGTGCAGTGGCTCAATCTCAGCTCACTGCCTCAATCTCAGCTCACTGCAACCTTCACCTCCCAGGTTCAAGAGATTCTCCTGCCTCAGCCTCCCAAGCAGCTGGGACTACAGGCATGCACCACCACACCTGGCTAATTTTTGTGTTTTTAGTAGAGACGGGGTTTCACCATGTTGGCCAGGCTGGTCTCGAACTCCTGACCTCAAGTGATCCACCTGCCTCGTCCTCCCCAAGTGCTGGGATTACAGGCATGAGCCACCGTGCCCGGCCTTACTATGCTATCTTCATGAACAGTCCTGTTATAATTATTATGTCTGAAATTGGAATGTATATGGATTTTGAATTAGTATGGATTTTGAATTAGTAGAGCTTGTATAGTTTAAGTCATCTTAGGTGATAATGGTGTGGCTAAGTTATATTTTTCTTACTGTACCAAGATATTTGTTAACAGTAGCACTTAGGATGAAAATTGGGAACCATAGCTCCCTACATGAGACAGACAGTGTGGAGGCAAAGCAGGCTCTGGAGTCAGGAAGACTCTGTTCAAATCCTCACTCTGCCATTTCCTATTTGGGCTGATTCTTGACATAATCTAGTGGTCCATCTCTTCACCAATACCATGCAAACTGCCAAACCTGCGGCTTATTAATGTCCCACTTTTACTTCCTATGTGTTTTGTGGCTGTTATTGCTATTGTTGTTGTTCTAAGATCAATGGATGAAAAAGTGTCCTAGTAGCCAAAAGAATGAAAGGGCTTGTCTCCAGATACTTTTGAAGTGTTATTGTAGCACCACAGCATTTTAGAGCTGGAATGATACTGAAGACCACTTACTCAAAGAATCATAAAAAGGACTTTGAAAATTCTTTAGCCTAAACTAATTATTCTCAATCCTGGCCAAACATTACAACCACTTGGGGTACTTTTAAAAATTGCTGATGTCCAAGCCCCATTCCTGAATCAGAATCCTTGGGCTTGGGACCCTAGCATCAATATTTTCTATTCTATTCTATTCTATTCTATTCTATTCTATTCTATTCTATTCTATTCTATTCTATTCTATTCTACTCTATTTTATTTTATTTTATTTTATTTTATTTATTTTTTTGAGACAGAGTTTCACTGTCATTGCCCAGGCTGGAGTGCAATGGTGCAATCTCGGCTCACTGCAGCCTTGACCACCTGGGTTCAGGTGATCCTCCTGCCTCTTCCTAAGTAGCAGGGACTACAGGTGCATACTACCATGCCTGGCTAATTTTTTGTATTTTTCGTAGAGACAGGGTTCGCCACATTGCCCAGGCTTCAATACATTTTAAATCTCCCCCAGTGGTTGGTAACATTCAGCTGAAGTTGAGAACTTCTGGTCTAGGGGCCCTTAATTATTTAGGGCATCTATGGATGGCTTCAAAGGGTCAGCGACCTCTTGAAACTCATAAACAAAATTTTGTGTTATGTTTACCCTATCTGATTCAAACTCCCAGCTGGTCCTCAAATTGCTTCCATAACATCCCTACAAAATGACTGTTCAGCTTTTGTTTAAACACTTCCAGTGAAGGGAAACACCTTGCCCCTGAGGAAGCCCATCGCAGACAGTTCTGAGGGTCAAACCCCTTGAGAAAAGTGGGTGGGAGGGTAGCCCAATCTTGAATACAGGAGTCATAAAACATTAGTCAGAAGGATGCATCAAAGTCTTCATGTGAGAATTCTTCACTTCATAGAGGAAAAACCTGAAGCGCAGAGACATTAGTTTGTCTGGCCCAAGCTCATGGAGTTAATGATAGATTGGAGGGTGAATGCCCAGGGCCCCTAGTTCCCTGTTTAGTTCCTGTCCCTCACATCATGCTGCAGAGTCACCTCAAGGGGGTGATCTGTGGTGGCACACTTCAGGATGAACAGGGCTGGGCCTGGCTGAGGGAAGACCCCAATTCCTCCCTCCTGCACCACCCTTCTAGAAGGCAGTCCATTCCAGACAGGATGAGGAGAGCAGCCTGTCTCCTTCTTTAATGCGGGGCGTCTCCCACCCCTGCCCGGCCCCACATGGCTGGAGGTGAAAGCTCCAGGAAAACCCTGCTGGGATAGTCTTCTTGGTGGCCCAGGTGCCAACAGGGAGATCTGGCTTATCTCATACCCTGAGAGATAGGTGCAGGCACTGAAAGGGGAGGGGTGATGAGTGCATTCTGCCTCTGTTCCCCTGGAAGGTGATGTGTGATGATAAAACAGTGATCTGAAGGCTGAAGATCTCCACTATGGACTTGTAAATATACATCAGATTTTAAGTGATCTTAAAGAAACATTGACTTGTTTAGGGTGGAATCAGGCTTGTTAATTATCTGGAGTCATGATGTGTGATATTACAATGTTTTCCATTTACAACCAAGTAGCCCAGGACAAGCTACCACCTCTGAGCCTGGTTGCCACAGGTATAAGCTGGAGTTAGTAATACCCAGGTTTGAACTGTTGATGGAGTGAATTACATAACATAGAAAGTGGCTAGCAGAGTGCCTGGCACACGGCTTGTGTCTGATAATTGGTGGCTGTTACTGTTAATAATACACTTATCAAAATGCAAATATTATGACAAATTATTTTTATATATGTCTAATCTCACTACACATTTCTGATGACAGAGGGGATGTCACAGTACATTTTGAACTCCCAATTCCCACCCACAGAGCTTGGTGCTAGCTCTGCACACGGTAGATATAAGCAAGAACTTAGGCCGAAGTGAATTGAATGACCCATTCTTACCAGATAATTCTGTTCTTGCAGGGGTATTTCGGATCTGGGTTCTGCCTCAAGGCTGACGGAATCAATACATTCAGCAAGTGTATCCTCAGTCACGTCTCCATTGAGAGGGGGCTCCAGGGCGTTGGCATCCTGAGGCTGCACAGGGGGCCCAATGGCGGCAGCCCCTGCACCCTGCACAGCTGCATTTTCATGCCCCTCCCCTCTGGGGTCAGCTGGTGTTGGCTCATGTGAAACTGCAGCTGAATCACAATGCACTTCTGCATCCTCAGGTAAAGAATCACTATTAGGCATCTCAGTAACTTCTGCTTTGTCTCCAGTGGCTAAGGTGTCACCAGCATCATCAGACATTTTAGTATCTGTCAACACAATTATAAACACCTCATGCTTTCATCGAATTGTTAAGCTTCAATTCAAAGCCCTGGATAAATAAATCTGGTAGGGGAAAACTTTTTTTTTTTTTTTGAGACGGAGTTTCGCTCTTGTTGCCTAGGCTGGAGTGCAATGGCATGATCTCAGCTCACTGCAACCTCCGCCTCCCAGGTTCAAGCGATTCTCCTGCCTCAGCCTCCCGAGTAGCTGGGATTACAGGCATGTGCCACGACGCCTGGCTTATTTTGTGTTTTTAGTAGAAACGGGGTTTTTCCATGTTGGTCAGGCTGGTCTCGAACTCCCGACCTCAGGTGATCCACCCACCTTGGCCTCCCGAAGTGCTGGGATTACAGGCGTGAGCCACCGCGCCCGGCCAGGGCAAACTTTTTTTTAACCAATACTCTATGTAACCTTGTGGGTCCCCAACCCTGCATTATTCCTTGTACCAGTCCATGGCCTGTTAGGAACCAAGCTGCACAGCAGTGGGTGAGTGGCAGGTGAGTGAGCACAGCTTCCTCTGTATTTACAGCTGCTCCCCATCGCTCGCATTACCACCTGAACTCCGCCTCCTATCAGATCAGTGGTGGCATTAGATTCTCATAGGAGCATGAACCCTATTGTGAACTGCACGTGTGAGGGATCTAGGCTGTGCACTCCTTATGAGAATCTAATGCCTGATGATCTGTCTCCCATCATCCCCAGGTGGGAGCATCTAGTTGCAGGGAAACAAGCTCAGGGCTCCCACTGATTCTACCTTGTGGTGAGTTGTATAATTATTTCATTATAAATTACAACGTAATAATAATAGAAATAAAGTGCACAATAGTAATGTGCTTGAATCATCCCAAAAGCATCTCCCCCGCACCCCTTTCTGCTGATCTGTGGGAAAATTGTCTTCCACAAAACTAGTTCCTGGTGCCAAAAAGGTTGGGGACTGCTGGAATAATGAATGGCCCCCAAGATAACCACATCCCAATTCCTGGAACCTGTGAGTGTTACCTTACATAACAAAAGGGACCTTGCAGATGTGAGTAAGATAAGGATCTTGAGATGAGGGGATTATTTTAGATCATCTGAGTTGGCCTTAAATGTAATCACAAGTGTCCTTATCATATGGAGGCAGAGGGAGATTTGATTACAAAGAGGAAAAGGTGATGTGATGACAGAAGCAGAGGCTGGAGTGACGCACTTCAAAGATAAAGGAAGGGGCCCAAAGCCAAGGAATATGGGTGGCCACCAGAAGCTGAAAAGGGAAAAGAAACCACTCTCCCCTCAAAGACTCTAGAAGGAATCAGGCTGCCAGCAACTTGACTTTAGCCCATGGACACTGATTTCAGACTTCTGACCTCCAGAACTCCAAGAGAATAAGTCTGTGTTGGCAAAAGCCGTGAAGTTAGTTGTAATTTGTCACAGCACTGATAGGAAGCTAACAGAAACCTACAGGGCTATCTTTAAACTTTCCTGGAGCTCTTACTTGGCATGAAAGACTACGCCTATGGGAACTAAGAGTAATACCTGTATCTTTAAAATTATTGACTCTGGCTTTATTAATTATATTTGTAGCAATAATGAGAATAAGCATAGGAAGGCAGGGTGCAATGGCTCACACCTGTAATCCCAGCACTTTGGTAGGCTGAGGTGGGTGAATCACATGAGGCCAGGAGTTCAAGACCAGCCAAGGCCAACATGGTGAAACCCTGTCTCTACTAAAAATACAAAAATTAGCTGGGCATGGTGGCATGCACCTGTAGTCCCAGCTACTTAGGAGGCTGAGGCACAATAATTGCTTGAACCTGGGGGGTGGAGGTTGCAGTGAGCTGAGATCGTGTCACTGCACTCCAGCCTGGGCGACAAAGCGAGACCGTCTCAAAAAAAAAAAAAAAAAAAAGAAAAAAGAATAAGTCTAGAAAATACCTGAGCACTTATCAAAAAAAATACTTGCCATTTAGCTTTGTAACATCTTTGTCAGAAATTCACAGTGAGAAAGAGACCTATACACACACAGTATTCCTTGTTGGGGACCAGCTGATGAAGGTCTAGACCATGGTTTAGTCAAGGATAAACTTAAAGGGTAAGAAGTGAGGTAGAAACCAAATAAGGAATGTAGCCATTAAAGCAGAAAACTCTTTTAAAGCTTACAAATTATTGATATCATGTAGAACAGCACTATTCAATGGAACTTTCGGTGGTGATAAAAATGTTCTGTCTCAACAAACTAAGCATTGAAGGAACATATCTCAAAGTAATAAGAGCCTTTTATGACAAACCCACAGCTAACATCATACCGAAGGGGCAAAAACTGGAAGCATTCCCCTTAGGAACCAGAACAAGACGAGGATACCCACTCTTACTACTTCTATTCAACACAATAGTGGAAGTCCTAGCCAGAGCAATCAGACAAGAGAACGAAATAAAATAGGAAGAGAGGAAGACAAACTATCTTTGCAGATGATATGATTCTACACCTAGAAAATCCCATAGTCTCTGCCCAAAGGCTCCTAGATCTGATAAACAACTTCAGCAAAGTTTCAAGATACAAAATCAATGTACAAAAATCAGTAGCATTTCTATACACCAATAATGTCC
The DNA here is from genome assembly GCF_000001405.40 of Homo sapiens. Lineage (NCBI taxonomy): Eukaryota > Metazoa > Chordata > Mammalia > Primates > Hominidae > Homo > Homo sapiens. Next base: position 38,875,471 of record NC_000004.12, on the reverse strand, counting down.
AAGCTGACGGTGAAATCAAGAATGCAATTCCATTCACAATAGCCACAAAAAGAACAAAATACGTAGGAATACAGCTAATCAGGGAGATGAAAGAGCTCCACAATGAGAATTACAAAACAATGCTCAAAGAAATCAGAGATGACACAAATGGAAAAATTTTCCATGCTCATGGATAGGAAGAATCATTATTGTTAAAATGGCCATACTACCCAAAGCAATGTACAGATTCAATGCTATTCTTATCAAACTACCAATGATGTTTTTCATAGAATTAGAAAAAAATATTCTAAAATTCATGTGGAACCAAAAAAGGGCCCAAATAGACAAAGCATTCCTAAGCAAAAAGAACAAAGCTGGAGACATCACACTACCCAACTTCAAACTATACTACAAGGTTATAGTAACCAAAACACCATGGTACTGGCACAAAAATAAAACACATAAGCCAACAGAACAGAATAGAGAACTCTGAAATAAAGCCACACACCTAAACCATCTGATCTTTGACAAAGCCAACAATGACAAACAATGGGGAACGGACTCCCTATTCAATAAATTGTGCTGGGATAACTGGCCAGCCATATGCAGAAGATTGAAACTGTTCCCCTTCCTTATACCATATACAAAAATAAACTCAAGATGGACTAAAGACTTAAATGTAAAACCCAAAACTATAAAAACTCTAGAAGAAAACCTAGGAACATAGGAAACACTATCCTGGATATCGGCCCTGGCAAAGATTTCATGACAAAGACTCCAAAAGCAATTGCAGCAAAAACAAAAATTGACAAGTGGGAGCTAATTAAACAAAAGAGCTTCTACACAGCAAAAGAAACTACCAACAGAATAAATAGACAACTTACATAATGGCAGAAAATATTTGCAACTATGCATGTGACAAAGGTCTAATATCCAGAATCTGTAAGGAACTTAAATCAACAAGCAAAAAACAAAACAAAAACCATTAAAAAATGGGCAAATGACATAAATAGGTACTTCTCAAAAGAAAACATATAGGTGGCCAACAAGCATATGAAAAAATGCACACCACCACTAATCATTAGAGAAATGCAAATAAAAACCATAATGAGACACCATCTCACACATAGATTTTCCCAATAACTCAGAGCTGTCATTTACCACGCTTTCACCCTCTCAAGAATATATAGTATCAACAGCTATCATTTATTGAGTGCTTACTGTATCCATGCTCTTTAAATGTATTATCTCCTGTGAGTTGAATGTTATCAGCTCCATTTTACAGACGAGGAAACTGAAGCTCAGAAGTCACACTTTTAGTAAATTCTACATTTGAAATTTGAACCCGTGTCTGACTTTGAGACTGAACCACATCAGAGCCCTATCAGCAATGCCATCTGCCTCTTTTCTTACATTCAGTCAGTGGCCAAATCCTAGAGGCTCTTTATTGAGAATCTATCTACATTCTTTTACTCCTATTCTCATGGCAAGGTCCTCATTATGGTTCATGATGACTATTTCAGTATTGGGTTCCCCTGTTCACTGCAGCTCTTCCCCTTACTTCCCATCCTTCACCTCACGGCTCTAATTACATGGCTCTCCTGCTCACACATCCTCAGGAGCTTCCCCTTCCTCTCCCTCCTGAGATGAGGCCACATGCTTCAGCTAGTATCCAGGGACCTCTGTGCTCTGATCCCACCAGGCTTACCTCCCACGATTTCCTATAAAACCTTAAATGAGACAGTGTAAATATCTGTGCAATGCCTGGCACATCCACAAGAGACCCTCGGGGGCTGTTAGTTCCATATGTTGTTCTTTTGCACATTGAAGACCCAGTTAAAATAACCGCCTCCTCCATTCTTTGTTCCTCCAGGTTGAACATTTTCCTTCTGAACCCTTCTGAGGGCATTTTGTGTTTATCTTACTTTAGACAGTTAAAGTCCTCTTTGATTAGAGTTGCTTCAGTTTTTCCTATGATTTGTAAATTCTATAAAGACAAAGACCTTCCTTGTTTTGTATTCATATTCTACATAGTACTTGGCATGGCTTCCTGTGCATAGTAGGAAGCTCAACAAATATGCCTGTTGAGTTAGATTAATATTTGTGTACAGACACTCAGGAGCTCTCTTACAGCAGATGGTTCCAAATGACTTGACATTTCCGTATTGTCTTTCTTTTTTCCTTCACCTCCCAGTTAATTGAGTTAGAATGTATTTGTGTAAGCAAAAATATCTGCCAGACCTTGAATTCAGTGATAATATTCCTGTAAACAAGTCTACATGTAAGAATGGCAACGAATGCAGACTTCCCTTGAGCTGGTATACAAAGTTTAGGATATTCAAGGTTGGCCGTGGGCTGTCAAGGAGCCAGGTTCAAGCCTAGCTGAAATAGTAAAGAACGATAGAAACCCACTGTATAGAGAAGGGGTAGTATTGTGGGTGGTTTATGGGAGGTGAGTAGAATTGATGGGGGCTGCTAAAAAGGCTGTTGTCATTTGGAAGTTTACAAAATCTTTGTGAAAACCTCTCTCTGAATCAGGACTAGCCTAGGACAGGGTGTTGGCAAACCAGTCTGCTGGCCAACTCTTGTCCTCTGCCTGTTTTGGTAAACACAGTTTTATTGGACCAGAGATACACCCTTTGTTTACATATGGGACCGTCATGGTTTCTCTGGCACTACAATAGCGGAGCTGAGTCATTGCAACACAGGCCATATGGGCTGCAAAGTCACAAAGCCTAAAATATTTACTATCTGGCCGGTTTCCGAAAATGTCTGCTTACCCATGGCCTAGGACTTTGCTTGATTGCCATGGCCTAAAGATTTCCCTGTCTTAATTTATTATCCTCACATGAGTCGTATGGACACAACAATGAGGAGAATGGGTTCATGAATAAATGATACCTTGCCATCACTTTTATTCTCATTTTTTTAAATCGGTAGATGGTAGACATTGTCTGATATTTTTATTTCTTTGTAAGGTAATTTGAAAATCCTTATTATTAATCTGGATTATTAGGAAGTCCCAAAATATTTCAGTTTTCTATAAGCAGGAACATCAGAGTAAATCTGGCTGTGATAAACACTTATGGGTAAATAAAAACCATTATGGATGCCTAAATGTACAAGCCTTGCCCTCATGTGTTGTTATCTTGTTCATGAAGTATCCTAAAATAGTTCAGCATATACTATGTGACACGTGCATGTTACTTAGTTTTAATTTGTGCCCTAAGGGTGGCTGGATGACATTTGAAGTGCCTTATTCAGGAATATACTATCCAGGGGTCTTTAGTAAGCACTTAAAAATCCGTAATGAGGTGACCACCTCTTTTTAGAGGGTTCATCTACCGTCTTCTCTGATGGGCACTCCAGGGTATGCTAATTAGCATAAGGGATATGAGAAATAATTTTTCACTGGTGACATGAAAGATGCCTCAGGTATGTGGATCGACAAGAAATAACGTACAGGTGCCTTCTCTGCTTCTATACCCAAGACATGAGATTGCACTGAATCCAGCAGCTGACTTACCCTTTGGAGTAGCGTTCTTCTAGGTTCTCTAGCTGAATGCAGGACTCCAAAGCCTGAAGGTGACTAGAAGCTTAGTTGAGTCCTGCCTCTAGAACACAGGCCTAAAAGGACAGTGAGCTAGGACTTCCTTGAGCTTATAAGAACAGACTGGTTAACTAAGCCTGTTTGCTAATACATGTGTGGGTTTATGGCAGAATTCCATCAGTGAACTTGGATTCATGGTAATTTAACTCTTGGTAGGGAAGTTGCAGAGGAGGAAACCTAGAGCCCTTACCTATCTCTGATGGCCAAATTACCTTAGGTCAGTTTATCCCAAATGTAGAAAAAGTACTGCAGTAAAACTCCTCTCTGTGGCTGTTCTGCATTCAACCAACACAAACCATCCCTTCAGAAATACCCCAGAAACTCAGCTGTAAGATGTTAAACAGGCATTGTTAAAACATATTTATGGACTATTGTCAAAAAATATTTATGGATTATTATTTAAAATATTTATAGATTATTGTTTAAAATATTTATGGATAATTTATAAATTTTATTAATACTAGATCTTTACATCTGTTAAATTTAAAAATGGTCATCGGTCAGGCATAGTGGCTCACATCCCAGCACTTTGGGAGGCCAAGGCAGACAGATCACTTGAGGCCAGGAGTTCCAGACCAGCCTGCCCAGCAGAGTGAAATCCTGTCTCTACTAAAAATACAAAAAAATTAGCTGGGCATGGTGGCATGTGCCTGTAATCCCAGCTACTCTGGAGGCTGAGGCATGAGAATTGCTTGAACCTGGAAGGCAGAGGCTACAGTGAGCCAGGATCATGCCACTGCACTCCAGCCTGGGTGACAGTGTGAGACCCTGTCGCAAAAAAAAAAAAAAAAAAAAAGAAAGAAAAAAAAGAAAGCCATGCAAGATCAGCTCTAATTCAATTTCTAATTGTGTGTATCTCTAATCCATATTTATCTCTACTTGTTACAGGTCTAATTTTCCCCAAATCAAAACGAAAAAAAATTATTTTTTGTTTGGTTGTTCTGGTAGAACTTTATCGACTGTGGATGCTATCATGATGGGGGAAATGTAATCATTTTTCAGACTATACCCTTTTGTATGAAACCACTAGAAACTGTGTGTTTGAAATACAGAACTGTTTCTGAGCAGGGGCTGCTGGAGTCCACCAGGATTACAGTCATGACAAGCACTGTGTTTCCTGGGACGGTTTCCATCTCCGTCTGGGTGTTCCATAAGCCAGACTTAGAAACCTTTCCTGATTTATGGTTAGGAACACTGATCACTGTAGCCATGTCTCGTGGACTGGAGGCTAGGGAGACTCAACCCACAGAAACAAGGAGGCTGCTTCAGGAAACTCTAAGGAGAGGAAGGGTGGCATATAAAGAAGCCTTTGTGGGCTGGGAATAAGTTAGTTTTTCGTGAGTAAATTCATTCATCACCTAAAATGCTCCCAGAACTATGCAAGGTATTTAAGCAGCAACATCACAGCTCCAAAAATAAGTATAAAACAGAAGACATGGTCACTATCCTTCAGAAATCAATCATCTGTTTGAGGAGCTAACACAAAACAGTTAAAAAGTGATGCAAAACAGCACAGCAAATCAAGGACAGATGTGCCTGAACTAGACTGACCCTGTGCAAGGGAGAATCTTGAAAGTGTCTTTGATGTGGTGATTCAGGCCTGGTGGGATGAGAGCATGTGCAAATGTCCAAGCATCAGCGATGGACTGTAGTGATTCAGGACAGGTGTCTGAGAGGCCAGGACATGAGGCTGCATGGAGGAATGATGAGAGGTGGGAGCGATGGTATTCTGAGGTGGAAAGAGTTGTGTCCTGCAGGCGTCAAGGGATGTGGCCTCTGGTCCCAGTATCCCTTTGTGGGCACACAACTTGATCCTCACTGTGCTTACACCTGCTCCTCTGTAAAGCTAGGATGGACAAACTGATCTGGATGCTTTTTTTTCCAAACTCCACCTGCAGGACTGGGGCAAGTCTGTGATGATAGAGAAAAATGAGGACAAGATTGCAAGTTTTTCATAAATCTAAATTTATTAAATGTAAAGGACTGCCTTCATCTTTCAAGTTTAGCCTTTGTGCTTTTTCTTGGTATTAAAATGTCTTTCATTTTATGAAATAGTGACAGTGGATGGATTTTTTTAAAAAAAATGGCCTGACTTGGCAGCATAAAAATTTGGTTAGCATGATATCCTGTGTGAGGTCATCTCCCCCAGTTAAAAAAAAAAAACAAAAACAGTGCCAGTCAGCGAAGGACCAGGAATAAAAACTCTGGATGAGAGGCTCTTAATCAGGTTGTAGCAGTTTGTATGAGTTTGTATAAAGCTTGACAAGTCTACGTACCCAGGCTCCAGCCTATTCTCTGTGAGGCTGCCAGGCATTTTTGGACCTATTTGCTCTCCTGTTCAAAAACCATTAGGTGTAAATATCTTCACACTTCCCATCATAATCCAGCTCCAATCTCTCTCCACCTCTTGCAACTCTCAGTATCCTCCACTCCTGCCTCACCAGTCTTTTCTCCATTCCCCATAACTCTTCACATCTCCCTGCCTTTGCTTACGCTGGTTCCTCTGCCCCGGTGCTGCCCTTCCTCCAGCTGCCTGGCAAACTCCTATTCCTCTAGACACCCAGTGTCTAATGTTACCTTTCATTCTGAATTTTTCCTTAATCTGCCCCACTGCTTCCAATGAAATAACTGCTACCTCTTCTATGTTTTTGGCACTTTGCACAGATTTCTATTCCATGTATTTATGGAGTATTTACTTCTGCCATTCTGTCCTCCAAGACTGTGACCAACAGCACCTAGGTTGGTTTCTGTCCCTCAGATATTTACTGAATTGAAATACATTGTGTTTGATATTAATAAAAGAGAAACCATGTTTGATGTAAGCCTGGTCAAATAAACAAAGACAAGTTTACTTTTATGGTCTGAATCGCTCAGATTCAAGAAAGCCCCCTCCAACCCTCAAATTCCTTCTGCACTGTCTCACTTGTGCCTCAAATCCATCCCTAACGTCTCATTCCTTCACTTAAAGGTTACAATGTAAGAAGTTTATCAGATTCTTTCCCAAGCTCAGGCTTGATGGAAGAAAGGAGGGCGGGGACGCAGGCCTATGGGTGGGGTAGGGAAGGAGCCACTAGGCTGCAGAGAGGGCAAAAAGAGGCTCTGAGGATAGAGCCTGTCTCATTCTCAGTTGTCACAGGTTGGCTGAGGTCACAGGGAGTTCAGAGCACACTGATTTAAGAAGCCACCTGCCTGTGTCCTTCAAGATGTTTAGGATGGGAAATGATGGGATCAGTAGGGCATAGGTAATGCTCTCACAGCCCATAGAGAGATGTCTTCCTACTTAAGAAAAGGCAGTGACGTTCAGGCGCCTGGTCTGAGGTGCCTGGAAATACTCACCGGATGGCAGAGGCGAGGGCTAGCCGACTGGGTGGAGGGGGCCTGGGGATCTGCGGTAGGGAGTGGGACCCATCCCGGGGGCTGCGAGTGGAGGCGGTGCCTGCTTAGAGTGTTGGCTGGACTGGAAGAGCAGGCAGGGCGTGGGTCGGCTGTTGGGGGAGGAGTAAGGCGAGGGGAGCGGGGAGGTCAAGGCCTGAGCTCCCTGTGCCAAGGCCGAGGGCAGGCGCACCCTGGGACGAGGCCTCTGTCTTACAGGGACCTGCTCCCTTCGTGCCCGGGCTGGGGGACCCTGCAGCCCACCTCTGACTTGGCCCCGAGCCATTGGGGGCACTTTTCCAGACTTGCTTGGTGCCAGGACTGGATACTTTGGGAGATCCAGGCAGGCTCCGCGGAGGTTCACGCAGGCCGAGGGGGCAGACCCTGAGTGTGGGCGTGTGGGTGTGTGCATGAGCGTGGACCCGGAGCGACACACACTCACACACACACACTCACACGCCCGCACCCACGCAGGTCCCTCGGCCGCGCCGCCCCAGACCCTCACCCCAGAGCCGGGTCCTCCCTGACCACTGCTTCTCACTAACGCAGAGGGCAGGATTCGTGGGTCCCGGACGAGGCGCCAAGGTATGGTGTTCCCACCACCCCCGGGCAGCCGCCCCCGCGCTCGCCCGCCCCCCGGGGAAGGGGATGGGGACCGAGTGCCCGGGGCTCTTACCGCTCAGGCGGCCGAGTACGCGCGGGAGTGCCCAGCGGGTCCCGCCCCGCCACGTCTGCAGGGCCGGCGGGGACGCGGCCGGAGGGCGGGCGGCTGGAGAGGGGGCCCCGCCCCGCCTGCGCCCCGCCCCACGAGGAGCGCCGCGGGGACGCCCGGCCACCCCCACGCTGCGAGGGCCGGGCCCGCGCTGGGCGAGTCTCCTGGAAACTTGGCTTGTCCCACCCCTGTGCCAGCGCGGAAAGCCAGAGCGCGCCGCCTCTCCAGCCCAGGGCGGGTGGGTCTCGGGGTTCGCCAGATCCCTTTCCTTTCCTTAAAAGGGCTTGGAAAACCCCCCGCCGTGTCACTGGGAAGAGGTCGCTCAAATTCAGCTAAAGTTTGATCTCCTGATTCTGCGTTAAGCAGCACTCCCTTGCCCTGTCGGTGGGAGTGTGATAGATTTAAAACAAACAAACCCCAAACAAACAACGAAAACCCACTTTCCAGAAGGCCAGTTTGGAGCTGTGGGTTAAAACTCCGATGTATTAGCTTTGGCCTAGGAATTCCACATTTGTGAATTTGTCCTAAGTAGGCAGTCAAATGGGCAAATATGTATGTACAAGGATGTTTGTTGTAGTTGTTTCTGCGGGGGGAAGCCGGAGACAATCTCAATGTCCCCCAGTAAGATTGGTGAAGTAAGCTACAGTAACTTCAGACATCGAATATGTTGTAGCCCTTAAAAATGAGGATTCGTTGACATGGAGGGAAGGCCACATATGAAGGCCTTCCTCAAATATGGCTTAATATGAACTCAGATGCGGAGGAAGCGCAGTGTTTATAGTATTAACTAGTTTTGTAAACAATTTTGTATTTTCTATAAAAGTCGGAGGAAATACAATTTAAAAATAGTGATTCTTTCTGAGCGATGTGTTTAAGGCAGATTTTCTCCTCTCTCACTCCATCCCTTCTTCTTTTTGAAGAATTATAAATTCAAAGTTAAAGAAAAAATAGCCCTAGTCTCTCCCTTTCAATATCACTACCATTTTTTATAGTGTGTGGATCCTACCATAGTTTTTCTAAGCTTATATAAATACATGTATGCATAAACAGCTTTTTGTTTGCTTTTTTATAAAAATGGCGAGATGTTGACGTATTTTGTAAATTTCCCCCTATTTATTATATATTATAATCATCTTTCTTGGTCAATACATATCAACCAAAACCACTCTTCTAAGACTTGTCTTATATATTGCAATATGTTTGTAATTATATTTCATTCAATCATTCTCCTATTGACAATTAGTTTGCTCCTTATATTCCAGTTTCTTCCATATATATATTAATTAATTTATTAATTCATTTTTTTGAGATGGAGTCTTGCTCTGTCGTCCAGGCTGGAAAGCAGTGGCGTGATCTCAGCTCACTGCAGCCTCTGCTTACTGGGTTCAAGCAATTCTCCTGCCTCAGCCTCTTGAGTAGCTGGGATTACAGGTGCGTGCCACCACACCCGGCTAATTTTTGTATTTTTTAGTAGAGACGGGGTTTCACCATGTTGGCCAGGCTGGTCTCGAACTCCTGACCTCAGGTGATCCACCCACCTCGGCCTCCCAAAGTGCTGGGATTACAGGCATGAGCCACCGTGCCTGGCTATATTTCTTATTTAATATTTTTATTAAATATTTTTATATTAATAATTTTTTAAGCTACTGAATATTTATTTTATTTTATTTTTTAGGAGGACAGAGTCTTGATCTGTGGCCTAGGCTGCAGTGCAGTGGCACCATCTCCATCTCCTGGGTTCAAGCGATTCTTCTGCCTCAGCCTCTTGAGTAGCTGGGATTACAGGTGCGTGCCACCACACCCGGCTAATTTTTGTGTTTTCAGTAGAGACAGGGTTTTGCCATGGTGGCAAGGCTGGTCTCGAACTCCTGACCTCAAGTGATCTGCCCACCTCGGCCTCCCAAAGTGTTGGGATTACAGGCGTGAGCCACCACACCCAGCCTGTCATTTTTAAATTCATAGAAAAACCAGAAAGTTATCTTAATGTGAGAGTGGGTGGAAACTGCTTTAAATTGAGATCAATAGCCTTTTTGAATTGAGCGAGACTTTGAACCTTAACTAACACGTGGCTTCTGTAACTCAGTTTTTCCACCTCTAAAATAAAGAGCATTGCTCGGCACAGTCCCTTCCAGTTCTGGCTTTGCGAGTGTTATCAAATTATGTTCCAGTTGCAACAGGTGTGTTTTGGTGTAGCATATACACAGACGTCTGTGCCTGGGACTTCTGCTCCTGCCCAGAGACAGCAAGCACCTTTGCTAACCTGCCTTCCCTTCCCTGCTGTGCCGTAACAGCCCAATCAGATGTTCTCTTTTTAAAGGGCTGAGTTCCTCTTCTCCTTTGACCCAAACCACACCTATCCAATAAAGAAAATAAAGCAAACTATCCTGGCAACAAGTTTGTTTTTTGTTTTGCCCACTGCAAATTTGTCCCTTTTACTCATGTAGCTGCTTCCAGGACTACCAGATTTTATTTCAGATATTTTATTTATTTGCAATGTAAAACATTTTAAGTTCATTTAAAAATTTTCTGGAGTATTTAAAATATATAGAAAAGTAAAGAATAATATGACAAATACTTATTTGTGTAAAAAATATAGGAAATACTATGATGATATCTAGATTTAACAAAATTTTTTGCAGTATTTATTTTAGAATTTTCTTTGCAAAGAAAAAAATGTTACGGATATGTTTGAAACCCTATCCCTTCCATTGTCCACCATCTCTGCAGGTAGCCATTTTCTTGAGGTGGTTGTATATCCCTCCCACCCATATTTCTTTCTTTCTTATTTAGGAATGAGGTCTTACTCTGTCACCTAGGCTGGAGTGCAGTGGTGTGATGACGGCTCAGTGCGGCCTCAGACTCCTGGGCTCCAGCAATCCTCCTGCCTCAGCCTCACAAGGAGCTAGGATCACAGGGTGCCACTGCACCCAGCAAATTTTTAAATTTTTTTGTAGAGTCGTGGTCTTGCTGTGTTGCCCAGGCTGGTCTCAAACTCCTGGCTTTAAGCAATCCTCCCGCCTCAGCCTCCTAAAGTACTGGGACTACAGGTGTGAGCCACCATGCACAGCCCCCCTCACTCATATTTCTAAATGTTTGCTGCATATGTCCTCACCCACAAATGCACGTATAATTGTTTTTCAATGTTTTAGAATATTAAGGACATCCTGTACACTTGTTAACTTGCATTATATTTTTGAGAATCATTCATATTCACACATGTAGCTCTAGCACATTCATTTCAAAGTCTTCATAGGAGGGCATGAATATGCCACAATTTATTTCCCGATTGATCTACTTTATTGTGCTTCATATTTCACTCAATTACATATAATGCTACAATTGCCACCTTTGAATATATTTTTTAGTATCTAGGAAAAAAATGGAATAGCTGGTTCCCCTTTACTAGACATTGCTGAGTCGCCCTTCATTATGGGTCAACCATTTATTCAACATAACCTTTCTGAAAGCATGCACTGTGTACCAAATACGGCTGTAGGTGCTTGGAGTACAAAAGAAGCAAAGCAAACTCCTGGTATTCAAGAACTTACACTCCACAGAAAGGGAGATAGACCCTAACTAGAGGGTCTATATGAGGTGGTGGAGTAAAGCAGGCTATAGAATCTACAGGGTTTAGGGAATGATGGGTAGGACCAACTGTGGTCAAGGAAGTCCTTACTGATAAAGTGGCATTGCAATGTAGACTTTAAGGAAGTAGGGAAATGAACAGTGGCCATATCTGTAGACAGTCTCAGGCAGTTTGGGAGCATGGATGATGCATTCACAGAAAGGTAAGGTGGCCAGTGTGGCTGGAGCAGAGGGAGGATGGGGAAGAGTAGAAGAAAATGAGGCCATAGAGGTAGTGGAGGCTGAGAGATGGGCAGAGGGATTTTGGTTTATACTTTGAGTGAGACTGGCACCCTTATGGCTTTTGAGTATGATTCTAGTATCTGACTCTAGTCATATTGGAATTGGGTGAAGGTGGGAGGGGAGAGAAGGATGGAGGCTGGCATACCTGTTAGGATGCCATTGCAGTTATCCAGGTGAAAGATGATGATGCTTTTGACCACCATGGGAGTAGTGGGGGACATGAGAGGTGTTTGCTTATGGACATATTTCAAAGAAAAATCCAACAAAATTTGCCTATAGATTGAATGTAGAGTTTGAGCAAAAGAGAAATTAATCATTAATCACTCCAAGGATTTTAGTCTGCACTACTGGAAGAGTAGAAATATCATTTATTGATATGAGGAAGGATGCAAGAGGGGGCAGGTTTGGAGTTAGAGGTAGTAAAGATTCAGGCATTTGGCTTGCAACAGTAATGGTTTAGCAAGCATTTAGCAGGCTATTGAATGTGAGTCTGAAGTTCAGGGAAGTCTGGGACTTCATCCTGGTTTGAAGGACCAGGATGAGAGTGCATGGAGTTAGAGATGTGGTCCAAGACTAAGTCTTGGGTATTCCATGCCAGAGATATAAAGAGGACCCAGAAGGAGACTGGGAAGGAATGCCAATGAGTTAGCAGGAAATTCAGGGAAGGGAGAGTGGGGAGTGGGATATGGGGTCTAGGAAGTCAGGCAAGAAAACATTTCAGGATCTTTCAACTGTGTTAAACGCTGCTAATAGTTCAAAGAAGCTAAAAATTGAGAATTGACCGTGGATTTGGCAATGTGGTGATCATTGGTGACCTTGAAAAGAGCTATTTCTTCTGACCGGTGGGGAAGGAAACCTGACTGAAGTACATTTAAGAGAATGAGAGGAGAACAATTAGAGATAGTCAGTAAAAGCTCTTGCAAGGAGTTCTGGTATATAGAGGAGCAAGGAGGGGAAGGTTGTGGATTCAAAGGGAGTTTTTTTTTTTTTTTTTTTTTTTTAGATGGGAGAAATTATTGCTTTAAAATGTGATTGGGGGCCGGGTGTAGTGGTTCATGCCCGTAATCCTAGCACTTTGGGAGGCCAAGACGGGCGGATCATGAGGTCAGGAGATCGAGACCATCCTGGTTAACAGGGTGAAACCCTGTCTCTACTAAAAATACAAAAAATTAACTGGGCGTGGTGGCACGTGCCTGTAGTCCCAGCTACTCGGGAGGCTGAGGCAGGAGAATTGCTTGAACCTGGGAGGCGGAGGTTGCAGTGAGCTGAGATTGCACCACTGCACTCCAGCCTGGGTGACAGAGCAAAACTCCATCTCAAAAAAAAAAAAAAAAAAAAAAATGGTGATTGGGGCCAGGTGTGGTGGCACACGCCTGTAATCCCAGCACTTTGGGAGGCTGAGGCGGGCAGATCACTTGAGGCCAGGAATTCAAAACCAGCCTGGCCAACATGGCAAAACCCCGTCTGTACTAAAAATACAAAAATTAGCGGAGAGTGATGGCACACACCTGTAATCCAGGCTACTCAGAAGGCTGAGGCAAGAAAATCCCTTGAACCTGGGAGGTGAAGGTTGCAGTGAGCCAAAGATCATGCCACTGCACTCCAGCCAGGGTGATGGGAGTGAAACCTTATCTAAAATAAAAAAAAATGTGATTGGAATAATACATCAGAGCAGAAAAATGTTGATACAGTAGAGAGAAGATCATTGCAAGAGTGACTTCCTTGAGTAGATGAGCAGGAAGGGGACCCAGTGCTCAGTGGGAAGGGGCTGGCTCTTGGCACAGAGAGTTCATTCCGAAGGACAGCAAGAGTTCAGGTAGAACTCATGCAGGGGAGGCTTATAGAATTTCAGGGGAAGATGTGGAAATGCTCCTCTGGTAGCATCTATTTTCATTGTGAAAATGAAGCATCATCGCGTGAGAATGTTGGTTTTCAACAAGAATGTTTTAGCAACTATTTAGTAGGCTGTTGAATGTGAGAGTCTGGAGTTCAGGGAAGTCTGGCCTGGAGCTGGTAATTGAGGAGACATCAGCAAGCAGATAGTTTTGAAGCCACGGACCCAGATGACAATGCATGGATTTAGAAAAGAAGTGGTCCAAATCTGAGCCTTGGGTAATCCATGCCAGAGAGATAAAGAGGACCTAGACACGAGAAGGAGATTTTGGAAGTGAAAGAGACAAGAGGAGGTGTGAAAGAGGAGAACAGGAGAGTGAAGGGGCTAGGGAAGGGTAGTAAGGAGGGTAGGAGGATGGCTGCTCTCTTGAGGCTGGGATCTAGTCATACATTTCAAGTAAGCCAGTCAGCATGGGTGTGTATTTTCTCCAACTATATTCAGCCACTCAAGCTCAGTGTAGTCCAGTGGAGAGCTGGATTTAAACTGGGTTGAGGAAAGAGGAGTAAGTAGCTGCAGAAGAATAATGAAGAGGATGGAGCATGATCTTTCAGTCCAGTGCAGTGGGGCTGGGGAATCGTTGGCACTGGAGGAAGAGTTGGAGGTGAGAGAAGGAAAGTGGGATTCAGGCAACTGAGATTATGGAGGGGGTGCAGCCATTGCTAATAATGATATCTAGGATATAATAAGGGAATGCATGACTGAGGTAGGGTGCAGGACAAGATTATTAGAAGAGAGAATGTCCAAGAACTCAGAGGCCAGGTGAATGGAAGAGTCTCTATGTAGCTATGGAAATCACTAGAATTATGAAAGGGGTGGTATCGGATTGAAATAGTGAGTACTGCTAGAATACTTGATGAAGTGATGGGGCTCACTAGATGACTGCAATGAGAAGGGGTGGGTTTGGAGGAAGGAAAGTGATCTGGAAGTAGCAGTGAGAGTCAAGAACACCTGCACCACCTCCCAGGCTCTGGTGTGTGAAGGGTGCACCCAAGAAGATATAGACCACTAGAGGGCGCTGTGCTCAGGCCAGCGTGTAGGTCTCAGTCCCCTGATTTTCATGGGGTTACAATGAAATGGACTCACCTGAAGAGCTTTCAAAATAAAACGTATGCCCGGCCCCTCCCAGACCACTTACATCAGCATCTCTGGACATGTATGTGAGCTCCTGTTTCTTCATGTTCTGGCCACCATTTGTATTACTAGATGTTTTAAATTTTGTCCACCTTAGGGGTGTACAATAGTGTCTCCTGGTTGTGTTAATTTGTATTTTCCCATGTTCTAATGAGGATGCATACCTTTCCATGTGTTTGAGCTATTTCTGTTTCCTTTTCTGTTATCCATCTGTTGATCTCCTTTGCTCATTTCCCCGCATTGGGGTTGTTAGTCATTTTAAAATTGATTTGTAGGAAATCTTTATATATTTTGTATATTAACACTTTTGTGATTATACAAGTTGCAGATACCTTCTCCCAGTCTGCGGCTTGTCTTTTTTTTTTTTTTTTAATTCAGCAGAGAAGTTTAGGTTTACTATCAATACTTAATATATAAATTAGCATTTTTTTTTTTGAGACAGAGTCTCGCTCTGTTGCCCAGGCTTGAGTGCAGTGGCACGATCTCAGCTCACAGCAACCTCCGCCTCCTGGGTTCAAGTGATTCTCGTGCCTCAGGCTCCTGAGTAGCTGGGACTACAGGCGCCAGCCACCACATCCAGCTAATTTTTGTATTTTTAGTAGAGACAGGGTTTCACCATGTTGCCCAGGCTGGTTTTGAACTCCTGACCTCAGGTGATCTGCCTGCCTCAGCCTCCCAAAGTGCTGAGATTACAAGTGTGAGCCACTGCGCCCAGCCAAAATTATCAATCTTATCTCTGTCGTATGTGTATCTTATGATATTGATAATTGTCACAAAACTTACTTTAAAGCTGTTGGTAGACACTAATATTTATTTATTTATTTATTTATTATCTGGAGAAAGACAACATTTTTTAACAAGTAAAAGTCATCAAAATAATGTTTTGCCTGTGTCTGTATTGGGACAGTGTATTGGGTGGCCTCAGATTATGTTTATAATACTTAACCCAGTGTGACACTATTTTTTAAAAATTAAGACATATATACATATCTATATATAGTGAAGAATTCAAATAGGACAAAAAGCATAAAATGGTGAAGAGGCCGGGCGGGGTGGCTCAATCCTGTAATTCCAGCACTTTGGGAGGCTGAGGTGGGCGGATTGTTTGAGCCCAGGAATTCCAGACCAGCCTGAGCGACATGGCAAAACCCTGTCTCTGCAAAAAAATATAAAAATTAGCCATGCATGGTGGTGGATGCCTGTGGTCTCAGATCCTTGGGAGGCTGAGGTGGGAGAATCGCCTGAGTGGGGAAAGTCAAGGCTGCAGTGAGCTGTGATCACGCCACTGCACTCCACCCTGGGCAACAGAGCGAGACCCTGTCTCAAAAAAAAAAAAAAAAAGGCCAATAATCTATTTCTCTTAGTTCTTCTGCTCAAAGGTGAACATTTCTTATGTATCTTTTGAGAAAAAAAGATTCATATGCCTCTATCAACATATGTATGTAGACCCTTGTATTAAGTTTCCTGTGGCTACCATGACAAATCACCACAGACTGTGTGGCTTAAAACAACAAAAATTCATTCTCTCAGAGTTCTGGAGGCTAGAAGTTCAAAATCAAGCTGTTCATAGGGTGATGCTCTCTCCAGCCTCTGGTGGCTCCAGACATCCCTTGCATTGTGACTGCAATACCCCAGTCTCTGCCTCTGTTTGCAAATGCTCTGCTTCTCTGTATCTCTCTTCTCTGTGTGTCTTATGAGGACACAGGGTGTCTTCTAAGGCAGCATAGTATGATGCTTAAGTGCATAGGCACTGGGGCCAAACTGCCTGGGTTCGAATCCCACCCCCACCACTGACCAGCAGTGCAAGCTGGAACGATTACCCAGCTGCGCTAAGTGGAGATGACGTGACAGTACTTATCTCACAGCACCTTAATGAGTTAATACTTGGAAAGTAGTCACAGCAATGCCTGGCAAGAAGATAACCTGTGTAAATGGCTAGATTTTATACAATTGATGTCATACTCTTCTTACAGTTCTGCACCTTAATTTTCTTTCTTTCTTTTCTTTCTTTCTTTCTCTCTTTCTTTCTTTCTTTCTTTCTTTCTTTCTTTCTTTCTTTCTTTCTTTCTTTCTTCCTCTCTCTCTCTCTCTCCCTCTCTCTCTCTCTCTCTCTCCCTCTCTCTCTCTCTCCCTCTCTCTCTCTCTCTCCCTCTCTCTCTCTCTCTTTCTTTCTTTCTTTTTTCTTTTGAGCCAGAGTCTCACTCTGTTGCCCAGGCTGAAGTGCAGTGGCACAATCTCAGCTCTCTGCTACCTCTGCCTCCTGGGTTCCAATGATTCTCCTGCTTCAGCCTCCCGAGTAGCTGGGAGTACAGTTGCCTGCCACCATACCCAGCTAATGTTTGTATTTTTAGTAGAGACAGGGTTTCGCCATGTTAGCCAAGCCGGTCTCGAACTCCTGACCTCTGGTGATCTACCCACCTCGGCCTCCCGAAGTGCTGGGATTACAGGCATGAGACATCGTGCCCAGCCTGCACCTTGATTTTCTTCACTTCATAGTATATCCTGAAATCTTTACCCCTCAGCATACAAAAAAACTATATGATTTGCACCAAACTCCTTACTATTATGACTTCTCTTCTGTGTCAGTCACTATTCCAGCCACTTTAAATTCATTATCTTTCCTAAAAGTACTCCCATTTTGTGGATGAATAAATGGAGGTTAAGGGACTTGTCCCAAGCCTCACAGTAAGTGGCCAAGTGGAGGTTCGGCCCAGTACTGTCTGTTTCTTTGTTTGCTTAACTGTCATTGCCATCTTCGCTATTACTTGATTTTTGTGTTTTTGTCATCCCCTTACAGACGTTTCTGAGTTATGACAGCCTCGACAAGAATAGTCTCCTTGTTTCTGAACATTGGTGTTGTGATGCAATCTCCTAATGAGACATGTCAATGTGCCCAGATCTGCAGTGATAGTTGTCTGTTTTCTTAAGACTTTAGTCCACGGTTACTTGAAATTCCCTCAGAGCCACAGCCAGCCCTTTCCCTTGGCTTGTTTCACAAATCTGGTTTTCCAGGGTCACAGATACCTGCTGCTTTCTGGCTGTCTCCTTTTGCCAGTGGAGCAGAGATCCATCCACTCCTTACTGAGCCTCCCCAGGCCTGAGGAGACTTCCTGTTATGTTTGATGAGTAAGGATGAATCACAAGAAGCCAGCCTTTCTCTTCCTCCTGAAAGCAGAAGTGATTCTTACGGAGATGTCCAACTTTGTCATTAGCCAAATTGTAAGGTCTTAACTTGTTGTTGTTTTTTTTTTAATAAAGATGAGATTGTGCCAGACAGTGAGATAAATTATAGAATGATTGTTTCACTCATGCCTTCTGTCCTTTGCAGAACTCAGTTAAGCAAGAAGTCTGGGGAAAAGGGTTTACTGTCCACCAGAAGTCTCTGTTTAACCAGAGACTTCTGGTAATCAGCCTTTGTTGATGTCATTCTGAAATTCTTCTAAATGGTCTTTAGAAAATTGATTTTTAAATTAGTCTTGCAGGATTTCAGTGTTATTTATTATTCCTAAATTAAAATCTAAACCATTTAATAACACCAAATGTTGATCAGAATGTGGGTATGATTGCTCGTACATATGGCTAAATATGTAGTCATAAATATGTATCAACCAGTAAACTTTCCTTAGAAGTTGATTTTTAAAAAAAAACCCAAATTGTGGAACTATACTTATTTTATTTTAAACTATCTCATCCAGCTAAAATAATGCTCAAAATTGCTTGATAAGGGAAACTGCAATTATTCTTGAAATGTTAAATATGGTGATAATAGAAAACAGGCTGTTTAAAATAACTTTCCACTCAGGTGACAAATGTAATAACCAGGCTGCAAACTCTTACAGAGAAATATTACCTTAGAAAAATATTTTTCTTCACATTGAATTGTTTGTAAGTTGCTTCCTCACACGAATTAGAAAATTGGATTACTGGTTTTGTCTGTAGCCCAGAAAAAACTGCTAACTCACCTCCGGACCTTTGAAAGGTAAAAATATACGTAGGAGTAATTCCAGTGTGGGCCAACAGATGGCACCAATCTGTTTCTAAGGTACCGCTTTACTCAACTTTAAGAACTTGTGTTTGTCAAGCATTTTCAATTGTATTTCCGTTCATTTACAAGTTATTTTCTCTTCTTCTGAAAAAGAGATCTTGGTAAGTAGAAAGACTTCTGTGGCTTTTTCACATTATGGCACAGGTGCTTCAAGTAAGCAAGTTTGCTAACCATTCATTATATAGGAAATAGGTAATGTTTCCTTGAAATTTTTGCAAAATGATTTGAAGTGGTTTTTTTTGTAGATGTTGCAAATGTCCTTTGAATTTCACGAGCAGGATGAAGAGCAGCGTCTTTACAGCTGTCTTGAAAAGATAGAAAACAACTAGCGCTTGTGGTGATAATTAAGGAACAAAACTAATGTTATTTATTTCTTCTGATTTGGCCCAGCGAATTTTCTCTTTTCGTCTTTCTCTAGTTTATTGTTTTCAGTAACATTTAACAGTAATTTTTATATACCACTGATATGGCACCTATTTATTATATGTTTTTACAGCAGACGTGTGTTTGATCTCCCTTGTCGTTTGTCACTGTAACAGTTTGCTGGTCTGTGTCTGTCCCTAATTCATAAGCTTTTTGAAAGCAGGAATTATGTCAGTCCTATTCATATTTATATCCCTGGTGCCTAGTGCGTAGCATGGCACTGGCAGAAAAATAGACTCTGAATAAACATTTATTAAATGGAGGAAGTGGCCGGGACCAAGCCCCTTCACAAGCTTGAATCTGGCACAGTGTAGCAATTGCCTTCCTCCAGGTCCTTCCACCTTCAGTTTGACAAATGAAACAATGTTTTTCTTGCCTATTTGTTAACTTGATTATGTGATCTTTCCTCCACTTATTTCACTTAATTTTTTTTCTGCTCTCTTCTTCCTTGTAGTTTTAATTTTCATAGGTCTTGTCTACCCTTTTTTTCTGAAATGTAGCTTATTTCATCTATTTCCTCACCCTTTTTATTTGATGCATTTAAAAAATCAAGAGCATTTACCTGTTTATTTTTACTTTCTTTAAAAAACTGTGAACTCTCTAATCTTCCACTCTCATCTTCCCATTTTTCCCTCCTTTTTTCCCAATAAATAGAAAAGTTACTATCTTGTTCATTTAGTGTATTCCCTAGGAACTGCCTCAGGGTATGAACGCCTCTGGAGGAATATTGCGTTTTTGTGGCAGGATACCATAAGGACAGCTGACCAGCTTTTCCACCTGGTGACTGATTTTCAGTCCCATGAACCCAGACACCGTGGGTCTGGTTGCCGGGGACCTGTAGGGTAGGTCCTCATCTGTGAATGCCAGTTATCTACTATTATCTGAAAGTTCTCCATCTTTATATTTTAATATTCCAAATAAAACAAGCACGTTTCTTTAAATATAAAATATTTTCACACAGCTATAAAGACAACTCTTAAATTGCCTTACGATAACTTTTTTGGATTATAAAGGACATTCAAAATGAGACATTTTAGGGATATCTGAAAGTATAAGAAAGAAAATTAAATTCATCTATAATTCAGAGATTCAGAGAACCACTATTATTAGTATTTGGTATATTTCATCACATTGTTTGTCCTCTAGCTTTTACGTATATGTCAGGTTTTAATCATATTTTGCAAAATTAGAGTCTTACTACATATATAATTTTTTTTTTTTTTTTTTGAGACGGAGTCTTGCTCTGTCGCCCAGGCTGGAGTGCAGCGGCACGATCTCGGCTCACTGCAAGCTCCGCCTCCCGGGTTCACGCCATTCTCCTGCCTCAGCCTCCCGAGTAGCTGGGACTACAGGCGCCCGCCACCACGCCCGGCTAATTTTTTTGTATTTTTTTTTAGTAGAGACGGGGTTTCACCGTTAGCCAGGATGGTCTCGATCTCCTGACCTCGTGATCCACCCGCCTTGGCCTCCCAAAGTGCTGGGATGAGAGGCGTGAGCCACTGCGCCCGGCCATAATTTTCTATTACTGTATTCATTTAACATTATCATTTTTTCAAAGTACAGTATTTGAGGCTATTATTTAATTATACATAACTGATTTAATCATTTTCTACACTAGACATTCTGATTTTTTCAATATTTCATTATGTCATGAGTATCCTTATAGTCATATCTTCTGTGTGTTATTTTTGACTATTTCTTTAGAAAATTCCTTGTAGTGGAATTGCTAAAATAAAGGAAGGTATATTTTTAAGAAATTTATGTAAATTACCAAATTACCCTTTAGAAAGCTTGTACTAATTTTTCATTCCTGCCTAAGTAGTAAATGAGGGTTCTTATTTTAGTTTCCACCTACCAACCTGGATATTATATTTTTTAATTTTCCCTATTTGATAGGTGAAAAAAAAATCTTGCCTTTTAAAAAATCTTTTAAGAAACAAGAGTCCTCCTTTGACCCCCTTCCTCTTTTTATGCTTAAATATCTTATAGTAAAAATAACAGGCATTCTGGAAACCTATTTCTAAAAGCTTTATTCTCTATCTCTAAAAAAATTACATTTTCCTAAAATAGCCAAATAACATTATAAAAAATTACAATTTATTTCTTAATAGCATCTAATGGCTGGTCCATCATAGAATCTGCCCCTCCTTCTGTTACTGAATATGTTTTATAGCAAGTCTGTCTTAACTGAGATCTAATCCAAGATCATGAGTTTCATCTAGATGTTATGTGCTTTTTTGATTTAACGTGCTGTTTTATTTTTTGTGAGATTGCACATTATTCATATTATTGGCAATTGATTTTTGGCAAATTATTCAGTAAATAGTACAGTAAACTTAATTTTGAATGTTAAAAGTTTGAAAAATATAGATAAAAACTAAGAGGAAAATAAAGTTCCATTATAATCTTACTGTGCAAAGATAATTACTGTTCATATCTTGGTATGTATCTTATTAATTTTTCTACTTGCATAGGTACATATTTACTTTGGTACTTTTTAAATAAACTGCTTTTTGTCACATATAGTGAAAATATTTTCATGCAATTCGATTTTTATTATTTTTAAAGGCTACATAGTACTATTTAATTATACAGAGATACTAAAATTTATTTGATAACCTGCTATTTTTGGATAATTGAGGGATTTGTTTTCAAAATAGAATTTATTTTTGCCAGGAGCAGTGGCTTGTACCTGTAACCCCAGCTCCGTGGGAGGCTGAGGTGAGAGGATGGCATGAGCCCAGGACCTTAAGCTATGATTGTGCCACTGCACTCCAGCCTGGGCAGTGGGACAAAACCCTGTCTCTTAAAAAGAAAGTGTTTAAGAAAATAGTAATGATAATAATTTATTTTGTGACGGCCACTTTATTGTAGTCTTTTATTGGTGCTAACATTTTTTCAATGACTTCTCTTTGGCTTTCCACATTGACAGTCTTATAATCTAAAAATAATAATGATTTTCTTTCTTCATTTCAGTATTTCTTCCTGTCATTTTTTTTCTTTATTACAGTGGTTAAAACTTCCGGAAAGAACAATGTGTGCATTCTTTTTTTTTTATTATTATACTTTAAGTTCTAGGGTACATGTGCACAACATGCAGGTTTGTTATATATGTATACATGTGCCATGTTGGTGTGCTGCACCCATTAACTCGTCATTTACATTACGTATATCTCCTAATGCTTTCCCTCCCCCCTCCCCCCACCCCACGACAGGCCCCAGTGTGTTATGTTCCCTTTCCTGTGTCCAAGAGTTCTCATTGTTCATTTCCCACCTATGAGTGAGAACATGCGGTGTTTGGTTTTTTGTCCTTGCGATAGTTTACGAGAATGATGGTTTCCAGCTTCATCCATGTCCCTACAAAGGACATGAACTCATCCTTTTTTATGGCTGCATAGTATTCCATGGTGTATATGTGCCACATTTTCTTAATCCAGTCTATCATTGATGGACATTTGGGTTGGTTCCAAGTCTTTGCTATTGTGAATAGTGCCACAATAAACATGTGTGTGCATGTATCTTTATAGCAGCATGATTTATAATCCTTTGGGTATATACCCAGTAATGGGATAGCTGGGTCAAATCGTATTTCTAGTTCTAGATCCCTGAGGAATCACCACACTGTCTTCCACAATGGTTGAACTAGTTTACAGTCCCACCAACAGTGTAAAAGTGTTCCTATTTCTCCACGTCCTCTCCAGCACCTGTTGTTTCCTGACTTTTTAATGATCGCCATTCTAACTGGTGTGAGACGGTATCTCATTGTGGTTTTGATTTGCATTTCTCTGATGGCCAGTGATGATGAGCATTTTTTCATGTGTCTTTTGGCTGCATAAATGTCTTCTTTTGAGAAGTGTCTGTTCATATCCTTCGCCCACTTTTTGATGGGGTTGTTTATTTTTTTCTTGTAAATTTGTTTGAGTTCATTGTAGATTCTGGATATTAGCCCTTTGTTGGATGAGTAGATTGCAAAAATTTTCTCCCATTCTGTAGGTTGCCTATTCATTCTGATGGTAGTTTCTTTTGCTGTGCAGAAGCTCTTTAGTTTAATTAGATCCCATTTGTCAATTTTGTCTTTTGTTGCCATTGCTTTTGGTGTTTTAGACTTGAAGTCCTTGCCCATGCCTATGTCCTGAATGGTATTGCCTAGGTTTTCTTCTAGAGTTTTTATGGTTTTAAGTCTAACATTTAAGTCTTTAATCCATCTTGAATTAATGTTTGTATAAGGTGTAAGGAAGGGATCCAGTTTCAGCTTTCTCCATATGGCTAGCCAGTTTTCCCAGCACCATTTATTAAATAGGGAATCCTTTCCCTATTTCTTGTTTTTGTCAGGCTTGTCAAAGATCAGATGGTTGTAGATGTGTGGTATTACTTCTGAGAGCTCTGTTCTGTTCCATTGATCTATATCTCTGTTTTGGTACCAGTACCATGCTGTTTTGGTTACTGTAGCCTTGTAGTATAGTTTGAAATTAGGTAGCATGATGCCTCCAGCTTTGTTCTTTTGGCTTAGGATTGACTTGGCAATATGGGCTCTTTTTTGACCCCATATGAACTTTAAAGTAGTTTTTTCCAGTTCTGTGAAGAAAGTCATTGGTAGCTTGATGGGGATGGCATTGAATCTATAAATTACTTTGGGCAGTATGGCCATTTTCATGATATTGATTCTTCCTATCCATGAGCATGGAATGTTTGTTTGTGTCCTCTTTTATTTCATTGAGCAGTGGTTTGTAGTTCTCCTTGAAGAGGTCCTTCACATCCCTTGTAAGTTGGATTCCTAGGTATTTTATTCTCTTTGAAGCAATTGTGAATGGGAGTCCACTCATGATTTGGCTCTCTGTTTGTCTGTTATTGATGTATAAGAATGCTTGTGATTTTTGTACATTGATTTTGTATCCTGAGACTTTGCTGAAGTTGCTTATCAGCTTAAGGAGATTTTGGGCTGAGACGATGGGGTTTTCTAAATATACTATCATGTCATCTGCAAAGAGGGACAATTTGACTTCCTCTTTTCCTAATTGAATACCCTTTATTTCTTTCTTTTGCCTGATTGCCCTGGCCAGAACTTCCAACACTATGTTGAATATGAATAGGAGTGGTGAGAGGGGGCATCTCTGTCATGTGCCAGTTTTCAAAGGGAATGCTTCCAGTTTTTGCCCATTCAGTATGCTATTGGCTGTGGGTTTGTCATAAATAGCTCTTATTATTTTGAGATACGTCCCATCAATACCTAATTTATTGAGAATTTTTAGCATGAAGAGCTGTTGAATTTTGTCAAAGGCCTTTTCTGCATCTATTGAGATAATCATGTGGTTTTTGTCTTTGGTTCTGTTTATATGCTGGATTACATTTATTGATTTGCGTATGTTGAAACAGCCTTGCATCCCAGGGATGAAGCCCACTTGATCATGGTGGATAAGCTTTTTGATGTGCTGCTGGATTCAGTTTGCCAGTATTTTATTGAGGATTTTTGTATTAATGTTCATCAGGGATATTGGTCTAAAATTCTCTTTTTTTGTTGTGTCTCTGCCAGGCTTTGGTATCAGGATGATGCTGGCCTCATAAAATGAGTTAAGGAGGATTCCCTCTTTTTCTATTGATTGGAATAGTTTCAGAAGGAATGGTACCAGCTCCTAGTTGTACCTCTGGTAGAATTCAGCTGTGAATCCGTCTGGTCCTGGACTTTTTTTGGTTGGTAGGCTATTAATTATTGCCTCAATTTCAGAGCCTGTTATTGGCCTATTCAGGGATTCAACTTCTTCCTGGTTTAGTCTTGGGAGAGTGTAGGTGTCGAGGAATTTATTCACTTCTTCTAGATTTTCTAGTTTATTTGCATAGAGGTGTTTATAGTATTATCTGATGGTAGTTTGTATTTCTGTGGGATCAGTGGTGATATCCCCTTTATCATTTTTTATTGCGTTGATTTGATATTTCTCTCTTTTCTTCTTTATTAGTCTTGCTAGAGGTCTATCAATTTTGTTGATCTTTTCAAAAACCCACCTCCTGGATTCATTGATTTTTTGAAGGGTGTTTTGTGTCTCTATCTCCTTCAGTTCTGCTCTGATCTTAGTTATTTCTTGCCTTCTGCTAGCTTTTCAATATGTTTGCTCTTGCTTCTCTAGTTCTTTTAATTGTGATGTTAGGGTGTCAATTTTAGATCTTTCCTGCTTTCTCTTGTGGGCATTTAGTGCTATAAATTTCCCTCTACACACTGCTTTAACTGTGTCCCTGAGATTGTGGTATGTTGTGTCTTTGTCCTCGCTGGTTTCAAGGAACATCTTTATTTCTGCCTTCATTTCTTTATGAACCCAGTAGTCATTCAGGAGCAGGTTGTTCAGTTTCCATGTAGTTGAGTGGTTTTGAGTGAGTTTCTTAATCCTGAGTTCTAGTTTGATTGCACCATGGTCTGAGAGACAGTTTGTTATAATTTCTGTTCTTTTACATTTGCTGTGGAGTGCTTTACTTCTAACTATGTTATCAATAAGTGCAGTGTGGTGCTGAGAAAAATATATATTCTGTTGATTTGGGGTGGAGAGTTCTGTAGATGTCTATTAGGTTCGCTTGGTGCAGAGCTGAGTTCAATTCCTGGATATCCTTGTTAACTTTCTGTCTCGTTGATCTGTCTAATGTTGACAGTGGGGTGTTAAAGTCTCCCATTATTATTGTGTGGGAGTCTAAGTCTCTTTGTATTGGGTGCATATATATTTAGGATAGTTAGCTCTTCTTGTTGAATTGATCCCTTTACCATTATGCAATGGCCTTCTTTGTCTCTTTTGATTTTTGTTAGTTTATAGTTTGTTTTATCAGAGACTAGGATTGCAACCCCTGCCTTTTTTTGTTTTCCATTTGCTTGGTAGATCTTCCTCCATCCCTTTATTTTGAGCCTATGTGTGTCTCTGCACGTGAGATGGGTCTCCTGAATACAGCACACTGGTGGGTCTTGACTCTTTATCCAATTTGCCAGTCTGTGTCTTTTAATTGGAGCATTTAGCCCATTTACATTTAAGGTTAATATTATTATGTGTGAATTTGATCTGTCATTATGATGTTAGCTGGTTATTCTGCTCGTTAGTTGATGCAGTTTCTTCCTAGCATCAATGGTCTTTACATTTTGGCATGTTGTTGCAGTGGCTGGTACCGGTTCTTCCTTTCCATGTTTAGTGCTTCCTTCAGGAGCTCTTTTAGGGCAGGCCTGGTGGTGACAAAATCTCTCAGCATTTGCTTGTCTGTAAAGGATTTTATTTCTCCTTCACTTATGAAGCTTAGTTTGGCTGGATATGAAATTCTGGGTTGAAAATTCTTTTCTTTAAGAACGTTGAATATTGGCCCCCACTCTCTTCTGGCTTGTAGAGTTTCTGCCGAGAGATCAGCTGTTAGTCTGATGGGCTTCCCTTTGTGGGTAACCCAACCTTTCTCTCTGGCTGCCCTTAACATTTTTTCCTTCATTCAACTTTGGCGAATCTGACAATTATGTGTCTTGGAGTTGCTCTTCTGGAGGAGTATCTTTGTGGTGTTCTCTGTATTTCCTGAATTTGAGTGTTGGCCTGCCTTGCTAGGTTGGTGAATTTCTCCTGGATAACATCCTGCAGAATGTTTTCCAACATGGTTCCATTCTCCCCGTCAATTTCAGGCACACCAATCAGACATAGATTTGGCCTTTTCACATAGTCCCATATTTCTTGGAGGCTTTGTTTGTTTCTTTTTACTCTTTTTCCTCTAAACTTCTCTTCTCACTTCATTTCATTCATTTGATCATCAATCACTGATACTCTTTCTTCCAGTTGATCAAATCAGCTACTGAAACTTGTGCATTCGTCACATAGTTCTAGTGCCATGGTTTTCAGCTCCATCAGGTCCTTTAAGGACTTCTCTACACTGCTTATTCTAGCTAGCCATTCGTCTAATCTTTTGTCAAGGTTTTTAGCTTCTTTGCAATGGGTTCGAACTTCCTCCTTTAGTTGGAGAAGTTTGATCGTCTGAAGCCATCTCTCAACATGTCAAAGTCATTCTCTCTCCAGCTTTGTTCCGTTGCTGGCGAGGAGCTGCGTTCCTTTGGAGTGGGAGAGGTGCTCTGATTTTTAGAATTTTCAGCTTTTCTGCTCTGTTTTTTCCCCATCTTTGTGGTTTTATCCACCTTTGGTCTTTGATGATGGTGACGTACAGATGGGTTTTTGGTGTGGATGTCCTTTCTGTTTGTTAGTTTTCCTTGTAACAGTCAGGACCCTCAGCTGCAGGTCTGTTGGAGTTTGCTGGAGGTCCACTCCAGACCCTGTTTGACTGGGTATCAGCAGCGGAGGCTGCAGAACAGCGAATATTGCTGAACAGCAAATGTTGCTGCCTGATCGTTCCTCTGGAAGCTTTGTCTCAGAGGGGTACCTGGCCATGTGAGGTATCAGTCTGCCCCTACTGGGGGGTGCCTCCCAGTTAGGCTACATGGGGGTCAGGGACCCACTTGAGGAGGCAGTCTGTCCATTCCCAGATCTCAAACTCTGTGCTGGGAGAACCACTACTCTCTTCAAAGCTGTCAGACAGGGACATTTAAGTCTGCAGAGGTTTCTGCTGCCTTTTGTTGGGCTATGCCCTGCCCCCAGAGGTGGAGTCTACAGAGGCAGGCAGGCCTCCTTGAGCTGTGGTGGGCTCCACCCAGTTTGAGCTTCCTGGCTGCTTTGTTTACCTACTCAAGCCTCAGCAATGGCTGGCGCCCCTCCCCCAGCCTCACTGCCACCTTGCAGTTTGAGCTCAGACTGCTGTGCTAGCAATGAGCGAGGCTCCGTGGGTGTGGGACCCTCCAAGCCAGGTGCGGGATATAATCTCCTGGTATGCCGTTTGCTAAGACCGTTGGAAAAGCACGGTATTAGGGTGGGAGTGACCCAATTTTCCAGGTGCCATCTGTCACCCCTTCCTTTGGCTAGGAAAGGGAATTCCTGACCCCTTGTGCTTCCCGGGTGAGGCAATGCCTCACCGTGCTTCGGCTCACACTCATTGAGCTGCACCCACTGTCCTGCCCCCACTGTCCGACGGGCCCCAGTGAGATGAACCCGGTACCTCAGCTGGAAATGCAGAAATCACCCATCTTCTGCATCACTTATGCTGAGAGCTATAGACTGGAGCTGTTCCTATTTGGCCATCTTGGAACCACCCCCCCTAATGTGTGCATTCTTGATGTTGACTTTAACAGGAATGCCTTGGGGTGGAATATTGATTAAAGTTAGATATTTGAGGTATTCTTTATAAAGTTTTCAAAGTATTTTTTAAATACCTATAGTTGTATTTAATCAAAGATGAGGACTGAATTTTATCAAGTGAATTTTTCACCTTTATAGAGATGCTCATCTATTTTTCTTGTTTGACTTACTCAATTGAATTATTGTTATAGACTTGTTAATGATAGACCATTTCTACAATCTCAGAAACATCCTAATTACTCATTATATTTTTTCTTCAGGACACAGCTAGATTGATTGGGGTTTCTTTATTCTGAGCTCTATCCCTTCCCCATAAATGACTGAAATTTATCCCTTTTATTTGTATTTTCTCATAATTACTCTTAATTTTATAATATATATACTTACAAATATTTTTCTAACAACATCAGGAGTTAATTGGCATCTATAGCTTCCTTTCAATTAGACAA
Source organism: Homo sapiens (assembly GCF_000001405.40). Lineage (NCBI taxonomy): Eukaryota > Metazoa > Chordata > Mammalia > Primates > Hominidae > Homo > Homo sapiens. The sequence goes on along the minus strand of NC_000004.12, from coordinate 38,846,807 downwards.
CTATCTTACATGGTTTTAGTGCACTCTCTCCCTCCCTACCCCACCTTCAGCCAACTCCCTTCTCCCTTCTTATCATTGGCAGTTTTTAGCTCGAGATTTCTATTAAGATTTTTGTCATCAATACTTTTTGGTACTTAGCACTAAATTTTACTACTTTTCTTTGCTAAATAATCCTTCTTGTATTTTATTATTTTAGAGTTAATTTCTTTTTAAACTCTCCATCCTCTGGGAATTCAGATATGGATCTGTCTTCCATGTCTTTTAGCATTTTAGTATGTTTTCTGTCTCTTTGGCCTCCCCTGGTGAGTTTGGGAAAATTCTCCTTGGTCTTCTCTATCATTAATTTTCTCATTAGTGGTGCTATTTGCAACTCAAGTCATCCAGTGAATTTTTCTTTTCAATAATTGTCTATAATTTCCATGATTCTTACTCTATTTTTAAAAGAATCTCTCCTCTTTCTGAAGATATCTATTATAAATGCCTATTCTGCTCTTTTATTTCTGTTTAGTTGAGTATTAACTTCTTTCATATCTTGAGTTTGGCTCCTTTCTATTATGGTACTTGCTTTCTGCAGTATCATGCTTCTTGATTGTGCAACTGTGTTTAAGCCTTCTTGTGAGAGTGCTTGTTGATCTATTTTCATAGCCTGCTTGTTGGGATGCTGGATCAAACCAGTCTCTACTAATTTTCTTTTCTTTTCTTTTTTTTTTTTTTTTTTTGAGATGTCTCGCTCTGTGGCCCAGCCTGGAGTACAGCGGCACAATCTCAGCTCACTGCAACCTCCACCTCCCGGGTTCAAGTGATTCTCCTGCCTCAGCCTCCTGAATAGCTGGGACTGCAGGCACCCACTGCCACACCCGGCTAATTTTTGTATTTTTAATGGAGACAGGGTTTCACCATGTTGGCCAGGCTGGTCTCGAACTTCTGACCTGAGGCAATCCATCCACCTCGGCCTCCCAAAGTGCTAGGATTACAGAGGTAAGCCACCATGCCTGGCCCCAGTCTCTACTAATTTTCTGTTGATGCTGTAACAAATTACCACAAACGTTGTGGCTTAAAACAATATACATTTATTATCTTACAGTTCTGTAGGGTAGGAATCTGACACAGGTCTTGTTGGCTAAAATCAAGGGACTGGCAAGGCTGCATTCTTTCTGGAGGCTCTAGGAGGGAATCCAGGTACTTGCCTTTTCAAACTTCTAGAGGCTGCTCACATTTCTTGACTCATAGTCCCCTTCCTTTATCTTCAGGGCCAGCAAGGATGGGCCAAGTTCTTCTCATATCACATCACCCTGACATCCTCTCTGCCTTCCTCTTCCACTTTTAAGGGTGCTTGTGATTATACTGGGGCCACCCAAGTAATTCAGGATAATCTTCCTATTTTAAGATCAGTTGATTAGCAACTATAATTTCATCCACAACATTAATTTTCCTTTGCCATGTAACATAGCATATTCACCAAGTTGGGGGATTAGAAGTAGACATCTTTGGGAGGCCAGTATTCTGTCATAGGTGAGTCCCTTTCTGGATTTCAGAGGCTTCTCGGTTTCAGTCCCCTAAAGGTCCCCTTGCCTTTTAGTGTGTTATGGATCTATCAATCGATCAATATAGATAAAACTTTAATAGATAGATAGAGATATAACTTAATATTTTTCAAAATATTTGGTCATTTCAGGAATTTAAGGCAAGAAGAGGAAGCTGGAACACATACAAGCCACCCTTTTGACTATCATAATTTGTAATGTTTGTATTTGAAAATGTGGTTTTGTCACCCAGGCTGGAGTGCAGTGGCACAATCTTAGCTCACTGCAACCTCCGCCTCCCAGGTTCGAACGATTCTCTTGCCTCAGCCCCCAAAGTAGCTGGGAATACAGGTGTGTACCACCACGCCTGGCTAATTTTTTTTTTGTTTGTTTAGTAGAGACAGGGTTTCACCATGTTGGCAAGGCTGGTCTCGAACTCCTTACCTCAGGAGATCCACCCACCTTGGCCTCCCAAAGTGCTGGGATTACAGGTATGAGCCACCAGGCCAGGTCTCTTAGAACATTTTTAAATGTGATTTTAAAAGTTCCTTTTATAGTCAGAAATATGACTTTTATAATTTCTGTTTTGGGATACTTAATTTAAGATGTATGTATTTGACCTAAAAAACAATTGATTTTAGTAAATGCTCTATGAACTCTAGAGACTTAGACATATGATGTTCTCTTTTTGTAGGGTACAGCTTATGTCTCTATTAAATCCTTTATTAATTTCTCATTCAAATTTCCATATATGTTTTTATTTTTTGCTACTTGATCTAACAGTGACCCAGAGAAATATGCTAAATACTTTTACTCACAATGTCTCCATGTGTTTTGTAACATTTTTTACTTTGTAAATTTTGATGCAATATTACTTGCTGCATAACTGTTCTTATCTGTTACATCTTCATTGTGAACTATTTGTTTTGACCATATAACCAGTATAAAGTAGTAGCTTCTCCTATCGTTGCCCAACTCTCTAGTACTTTGACCGATATATACTTTGTATATATTGTGTATAAAAACTGCAATTCCTGATGAACACCGCTACCAGTATTCCAGTCGCTGTCCATATCGGTAAGTATTGTCTGAGTTACACATCTCAGAATGCGGTGTGCTCCCTAAAGTGGTTCCCTGCCCCATGTCCAGCTCTTACCTGGTAGTGTCCATCACTAAGTGTAAAGTTTGGGGAGAATGGAGTGTGGCAGTCCGTAGAAGGAAAACTCAGCATGCTGATCCACTCATGTCAGTACCATTGGGGTAAAAGGGACACTGCCTAGCTACTCATTAAGTACTAGTTGGAACTCATCCTCACTGTTTGAATCAGAGACAGAGAGAGGACAAATTTCTTTCTGCCTTTCATCAGGGAGTCTATTTTCCTGAGACAAAGCTTGAGTGTGGCAGGTTTGCCCTAACACAGTTCCAGTTACATTTTTGTGAGTGAAGATGCTCCTGGATCCTGCCATTACATTTCTGTGCTTCTTTGTTTTCAGTGGCCAAGTGGATTTTTCAAATGTATGTGTGTCTCTGTGGGTGTTCTGATGGGCAGTTGGGAGAAGTTATATGGATCAGTGAAGAGCTTTTAACCATACGCCATTCAGTAATAAAAGTTCCCCAACTCAGAGTTTTCACTCTTCCAAAGAAAGGTTGGTTGAAACTCTACTCATCTCTTGCCTGTTTTACTATTTCCAATATATCCTCTGATGACGAAAAGTGGATCCTTTGTAAATAAAGGACTCATCTCTTTCCTGTTTTACTATTTCCAATATATACCCTGATGGTGAAAAGTGGACCCTTTGTAAATAAAGGATTCATCTCTTGACTGTTTTACTATTTCCAGTATATCCCCTGATGGTGAAAAGTGGGTCCTTTTTAAATAAAACTGAGCAATGTGCAGTGCTCATTTTGGTAATCTGCTCTCAATTATCCCTGCAACACAGAGACCTACTTTAAAAATGTTGGTGGCTGCTTTTGTCCCCCAGGAGCTCATAGATGCTTTCTTGTGCAGAACAGAGCCTGAAAAGGTTCTGAGCCAGCCTGGCAGTTCCAGTCCTTTGTCTCAGTCATGAACATGGGGTTTGTGGGCTCATGCACCTGCCGCCCTGCCTCAGTCAAGTATTCTTTTCTTGTTTGCTCAGCATCATTGTCATGAACGTCAATGTCTATAATGTGTTGTAATGCAACGAGGCTTTCTGGGCCCTGAGAAAGTAGTTATCTCTTCCATACGGCAGCTTTAGCCTGGCAAACTTTTTCATTTTGTCAGTGTGTTAGCTGTTAGAACTTGATGTTTTCAGATTATCATGTGCTGAATCCTGTCTCTCTAAATTTGTGGCTTGCAGTCTAATGTTGGTTGGAAAAATACCCATTGTAATGGGAATTGTGTCAACAATGAGATTCTATAACTAAAACACTCCTGGGATTAAAAAAAAAAAGCACAGTATATGTGTCATTGCTATGGCCCGAATGTTTGTGTCTCTTCGAAATTCATGTGTTGAAACCTAATTACCAACGTGATGGTATTAGATGTGTGAGCCTCTGGAAGGTGATTAGGTCATGAGGACAGGCGGCCAGGATGCCCCTGTCGGAGCTGGGTGGCCATGGAGACTTGTCTGGCCTTGTGTGCTGGCACACAGAGGCATTCTGGCTTTGCCCCCCATGGGGGCTCACAGATGCTTTTCTGTGCGGATCAGAGCCTAAGGAGAGTAGACTCCTAAGCATATGTCTGAGTTTCTGAGACTGGCTCCTTGCTTTCCCTGTAGAATAATTTTAGTCCCACCCCTCTTTCCCAGTCACAAACATGGGATCTGTGGGCTTGTGTGCCTGCTACCAGCCCCCAGCAAGGCACAAATGACCACTTTGGCCTGGGTTAATTGCATTTTCTCACTGGCTCCATGAATGGTGATATCATTTCTGCCAGGCCACTTATGGCTAGTTTTGGTCAGGTCCAATTCATGAAGGTGGAGGGAGTAGGTAGTTCCTCCTTAAGATATAAATATAGCCTCATTCCAGTCCTCATCTGCCCTCCCAAAAGGATTGATCCCTCTCATATTCCACAGGGCTTTGGTCATCACATTGCAGGCAGATCCACCTCCTGGCCAGGCCTCAATGTCCTGCCAACCACCTTCCTCCCCTTCCCTTTCTTTTGATGTCACCTTGCCCAAATTGGGTTGGGGATCAGAAAGTCGGGTTTGGGTCAGAATCCTGAAAGATGCAATCCCAAGTGCCATAATCCTGAATGTTGAAATCCTGGAAGATCAAAATCCTGAAAATATAATTCTGAAAAAAAAATTTTTAAACATTCTTTAAAAGACATTCATTTACATTTTTGAAAGGCGATTTATTTGAGAAACATATGAAAACATGACAATATTTTATAAATCACTTTACAAATAAAATAAACAATAATGACGTACATATTTTTGCAAGCATGAACACTCAGATATGCTAAGGACAGTTGCATGCGTAAACACTCAGGAACAGATGAACCGTACTCACAAATAAATGGCTTACGTAACTGCTGCCATCCACACTGTCAAACCATGATGGGCAACCTAAGTCCTTTGATGCGATTGATCAAAAACTGTGATGGGTCACCACCGCATATATATAGTTGCCCAGAGAGCTGAGAGCTTGAGAAATTTTATCTTTCACAAATGCAGATGGGCAAAAAGGACTTCTGTTCATTTATTGAGAAAGTTTCCCTTTTTTCTTCTCTCTTTCTCTCTCTCTCTCCTTTTAATCTCTGCTCACTGCAACTACCTCTGTCTCCTGGGCTCAAGCCATCCTCCACTTCAGCCTCCCTAGTAGCTGGGACTACAGGCAGGCACCACTATGCCTGGATAATTTTTGTATTTTTTGTAGAGACAGGGTTTCACTGTGTTGCCCGGGTTGGTCTCAAACCCCAGAGCTCAAGCCATCTGCCCGCTGTGGCCTCCCAAAGTGCTGGGATTACAGAGATGAGCCTCTGCTCCCGGCAGAAGTTTCAGTGTTTTCACATACACACACAATGCTTGCACACAAAGTCAATGTTGTGATAATGTACTTTTATGGAGTCAACGTTGCATAAAATAAATCAGAACTCTCTAAATAGTCTTTACAAAATTTATACCTCCAGTATTGGAAATGATGTGAAGATGAAATACATAGCATAGCAAATTGTAAAAAATAGTGTTGATGATTTAAAATAATGGGACAAAGGAAAAGAAAAGCAAAAAAATTAACCATCCACCCCACCCCCCAAAAAAAATTAAGAAGAAAAAGTATATCACAGGGACAGATTATGGGCAATTGCATGGAGGTAGTCCATAAGAGCTGGCCAACTTTCACCATTATTAATATTTTAAAGTCTTGCATCACAACAAATAGCTGATTTATTTCTTTCAGGGCACTGTTCTCCTCAGAGAATACATTCACATTTATTTTCGATGTGGCACTGCTTGTTTGGAAATGCTTCTCTGCTTCTATTTACATATTTACACCAACATGAGCATTCCTGTTAAATGTTCTCATCTTCAGTGCCGTGCTTCTGTGTTGATTTGGGTACATGAAAATCTATTCTGCATGCACTCATATACAGACCACACATTTGGCAGAAACAATACTGGTGATCAATCAACAACAGCATTGTGTGTCTTCTTTTTTTTTTTTTTTTGAGAGGGAGTCTTGCCCTGTCACCCAGGCTGGAGTGTAATGGCGCGATCTCGGCTCATTGCAACCTCCACCTCCCGGGTTTAAGCAATTCTCCTGCCTCAGCCTCCCAAGTAGCTGGGATTACAGGAACCCACCACCACGCCCAGCTAATTCTTGTATTTTTTTAGTAGAGACGGGGTTTCACCATATTGGCCAGGCAGGTCTCGAACTCCTGACCTCGTGATCCATGGGCCTCAGCCTCCCAAAGTGCTGGAATTACAGGTGTGAGCCACCACGCCAGTCCTGTGTCTTCTTATCCTACCATATGCATTATTATTTTCAAATCAGTCAGTAACTTCACTGGGTGCTTTAGGCAAATGCAACTTTAATTCATTGAGAACTCCTGGTATTTCATCAGCCAGAAGGAATGCCAGTGCAGACAAATAATGTATTTTTAAACTAAATTTTTCATCATTGCCACATTATGTGGCCAATCCTCTCAACTGAATTTTCTGACAAATGCATTGGGCTGAATGGAAGAAAACAAACTTTATTGGTAACACCTTGAAATTCCCTTTTAGAAGCCTTGATCACACCTAATTCCAAATCAAGTGATAGGTCATTATGATTTGAGGATTCAGTTGGACATTAGGGATTTTAGACTTTGGGGACTTTGATCTTTTAGGATTTCAGCCTTCAGGATTGTGTCTTTCGGGATTATAATCAGCACTGCTGAAAGTCTAGCTCAGCACTGGCACCACTGTCGAGTGCCCATCGGAGGTTTCTCAGGCTCAACTAAACATTCATACCCAAATGCCCCAATAGGCCACACTCAGAAGCTCAATTTTCTACCTGGTACTTATAGTTCATACACAGTCCTTTCATCCTGGATGCAATTTACCAGTCAGGGATCATTGTTACAATAAGTAATGTTGGCTGGTACACAGCTGACTTTCTACATGTTTCAGGTTTTCAGAATAGGGCTAGGAAGTTAACTTGAGGTCAGATCAGTCCATGGAGAAAGAGAGAAATGGATTTGTTAACCCTTCAGCCGTGAAGGGTCACTGGTTGCAGCAGATGGCTGAGTTGGTGCCAAACTGGATACTGGTATAAACTACTGAGTATGTCTTGGAGTTTTTGGGACTGGCTTCTTGCCTGCTTTTTTAAATTATCAAACCGGCTGGTCTAATATTTGGTGGTGGGGAAGGATAAAAGAACTTCTTCTTTAAAAGAGAATAACTATTTTTTGAGTACAGCACGTAGTTAACTTTCAATACAGTTGATTTAAAGCCTTTGCCTAGTAAGTCCAATGTCTATGCTTTTTCCATTTCTATTAATTTTTTTTAAAAAAAAATCAATAGACTTTATTTTTTAGAGCAGTTTTTTTTTGTCTATTTAGTTTTGCCTTTCCTGGAATATCATATAGTTGAAATAAAATAGTATTTAGCTTTTTCAGACTGACTTCTTTCACCTAGCAAAATGGATTTAAGGATCTTCCCCCCCTTCCCTCCCCTCCCTCCCTTCCCTCCCTTCCTCCCCTCCCTTTGCCTCCCCTCCCTCCCTTCCTTCCTTCCTCTTTCTCTCTTTCTATTTCTTTCTCTCTTTTTCTTTCTTTCTCTCTCTTTCTTAACTTTCTTTCTCTCTCTCCTTCTCTCTCTCCCCCTCTCTCCCTCCTTTCTTTCCTTCCTCCCCTTCCTTCCTTCCTTCCTCCCTTCCTTCCTTCCTTCCCTCCCTCCCTCCCTTCCTTCCTTCTCTTTTTCTCTTTCTTTCTTCTTTCCTTCCCCACAAAATAATTATACATATTTATGGGGTAACTACAATATTTGACACATACATACCGTGTGTCAAATCAGGGTATTTAGGATATCCACCATCTCAAACATACATCATTTTGTGTGTGGGTGGGGGAGCATTTCAGATCTTCTCTTCTAGCTGTTTTGAAATATACAATAAATTATTGTTAGCTATAGTCACCCTACTGTGTTATTGAACACTAGAACTTTTTCTTTTTATCTAACTGTATGTTTTTATCCATTAACCAACCTCTCTTCATTCCCTCACTCACCTCTTAGTCTCTGGTAACTATTGTTCTACTCTCTACCCTCCTGAGATGCGTATTTTAGCTCCCACAGATGAGTGAGAACACAATATTTGCCTTTCTGTGCCTGGCTTATTTTGCTAATGTAATGACCTCCAGGTCCATCCATATTGCTGCAAATGACAGGATTTAATTATTTTAAATGGCTGAATGGTATTCCATCGGGTATATATATCACATTTTATTTATCCATTCATCTGTTGATGGACTGTTAAGTTGATTCCATATTTTGGCTATTGTGGATAGTGCTGCAATGAACATGGAGGTGCAGGTATCCCTTTGATACACTGATTTCTGTTCTTTTAGATAAACATCCAGAAGTGGGGTTGCTGGATTGTATGTTAGTTCTATTTTTAGTTTTTTGAGACAACTCTGTACTGTTCTCCATAATGGCTGTACTAATTTACATTCCCACCAACAGTGTATAAGAGTTCCCTTTTCTCTGCATTCTCACCAGCATTTGCTATTTATTGTCTTTTTGATGACAGCCATTTAAACTAGAATGAGATGATATCTCGTTGTGGTTTTGATTTGCACTTCCTTGATGATTCATGGTGAGCATTTTTTTCATATAACTCTTGGCCATTTGTACGTCTTCTTTTGAGAAATGTCTATTCAAATCCTATGCCTACTTTTTCATAGGATTATTATTATTTTTGCTGTTGAGTTGTTTGAGTTCTTTGTATATTGTGGCTATTAGTCTTTATTGGATGAATAGTTTGCAAATATTTTCGCCCATTTAACCCTGTTATCTATTCACCCTGTTGATTGTTTCCTGTGCTGTGTAGAAGTTTTTAGTTTAATGTAGTCCCATTTGTCTATTCATATTTTCATTGCCTGTACTTTTGAAATTTTAGCCATAAGATCTTTACCTAGACCAGTGTCCTCAAGCATTTCTTCTGTTTTCTCTTAGTAGTTTTATACTTTCAAGTCTTACATTTAAGTCTGTAATCCATTTTGAATTGATTTTTGTATATGGTGAGAGATAGGGGTCTAGTTTCATTCTTACAGGGGTCTAGTTTCATTCTTATACATATGAGTGAATATGAAGCCAGCACCATTTATTGAAGAGAGTGGTCTTTCCCCAGTGTATGTTGTTGGCATCTTTGTTGAAAATTGATTGGCTGTAAATATGTGGATTAATTTCTGGGTTCTGTATTCTGTTCTATTGGTCTATGTATCTGTTTTTGTACCAATACCATGCTACTTTTGCTTTGCAGTATCGTTTGAAGTCAAGTAGTGTGATCCCTTCAGCTTTGCCCCTTTTCCTCAGTACTGATTTGGCTATTTGGGGTGTTTTCTGGTTCCATATGAATTTTGAGATTATTTTTTATATTTCTGTAAATAATATCATTGGTATTTTGATAGGGATTGCATTGGATCTGTAGATTGCTTTGAGTAGTGTGGTCATTTTAACAATGTTAATTCTTCCAGTCCATGAACATGGGATGTCTTTCCATTTTTTTGTGTTCTCAATTTCTTTCATCAGTATTTTGTAGTTTTTGTTGTAGGGGCCTTTTGCCTTCTTGATTAAGTTTATTCCTAGGTATTGTAATTGTCTTGTAGCTATGCAAATAAGATTGCTTTCTTGATTTCTTTTTTCTTTTTTTTTTTTTTTGAGACTGAGTCTCACTCTGTCACCCAGTCTGGAGTGCAGTGGCACAATCTCAGCTCACTACAACCTCTGCCTCCCAGGTTCAAGTGATTCTCATGCCTCGGCCTCCTGAGTAGCTGGGATTCCAGGTGTCTGCCAACACACCTGGCTAATTTTTTGTATTTTTAGTAGAGATAAGGTTTCACCATGTTGGCCAGGCTTGTCTTGAACTCCTGACCTCAGGTGATCTGCCCACCTCAGCCTCCCAAAGTTCTGGGATTACAGGTGTGAGTCACCACACCCAGTCCTTGTCTGGTTTTGGTATCAGGAAAATGCTGGCTTTGTAGAATGAGTTAGGAGGAATACCTTCATCTTTAATTTTTTTGAATAGTTTGAGAAAACTTTGTGTTAATTGTTTGTTAAAAATTCAGCAGTAAAGCCATCCAGTCCTGAGATTTTCTTTGTTGGGAAATGTTTTATTACTGATTCAAACTTATTACTTGTTATTGGTCTGTTCAGATTTTTCTATTTCTTCCAGGCTCAAATTTGGTAGGTTGTATATATCCAGAAATTTATACATTTCCTGTAGGGTTTCCAATTTGTTAACATATAGGTGTTCATAATTGCCTCCAATGATCTTTTATATTTCTGTGGTATCAGTTGTAATGTCTCCTTTTTTATTTCTGATTTTATTTATTTTGGTCTTCTTTCTTTTCTTGTCTTGGTTAGTCTAGCTAAAAGTTTATTGGTTTTGTTTATCTTTTCAAAAAATAATTTTTTTGTTTTATTGATCTTTTCTATTTTTAAATATCTCTTTTGTTTAGTTCTCTGAGCTTTAGTATTTCTTTCTTTCTCCTAACATTTGAAAGTGTTTGTTCTTGCTTTTCTATTTGTTCTTGCTTCCTTGAGGTTCGTTGTTAGGTTGTTTATTTCAAATCTTTCTACTTTTTTGATGTAGGCATTTATTGCTATAAATTTCCATCTTAGCATTGTTTTTGCTGTGTCTCCTAGGCTTTGGTGTGCTGTATTTGCATTTTAATTTTTTTCAAGAAACTTTTTTACCTCCTATTTAATTTCTTCATTCACCCAGTGGTTGTTCAGGAGCATGTTGTTTAATTTCCATGTATTTATACAGTTTCAAAAGTTCATCTTGTTATTGATTTGTAGTTTTATTCCATTGTGATCTGAGAAAATACTTGATATGATTTCAATTTTTAAAACTTTTGTTGAAACTTGTTTTGTGGCCTAAGATATGGTCTATTCTGAACAATGTTCCATGCACTGATGAGAAGAATGTGTACTCTGCAGCTATCAGATGAAATGTTCTGTAAATATCTGTTAGGTCCATTTTGTCTAAAGTGCAGTTTAAATCCAATGTTTCTTTGCTGATATTCTGTCTAAATGATCTGTTCAATGCTGAGAGTGGGATGTTGAAGTTCCCAACCATTATTGTATTGGAGTCTATCTCTCTCTTTTGATCTAATAATATTTGCTTTATATATCTGGATGTTCCTGTGTGGGGCACATATATACTTAGAATTGTTATATCCTTTTGATGAATTGATCCCTTTAACATTATATAATGGCTTTTTTTGTCTTTTTTAATAGTTTTATACTTAAAGTCTGTTTTATCTGATAAGTATAGCTATTCTTGCTTGCTTTTGGTTTCCATTAGCAAGGAATATCTTTTTCCTTTCCTTCAATTTCAGTCTATATGTGTCTTTGAAGGTGGGGTGAATGTCTTGTAGGCAGCATATAGTTGGGTAAGTAAAAAAAATCTATTCAGCTAGTTTGTATCTTTTAAGTGAGGAAGTTAATCTTTTTACATTCAAGGTTATCACTGATAGGTAACGACTTATTTCTGTCATTTGGCTTATTGTTTTCTGGTTGTTTTGTATATCCTTTGTTCCTTTCTTCCTCTCATTGTTTATCATTGAACTTTGGTGGTTTTCTGTAGTAGTAACTTCAACTCTTTTCTCTTTCATTTATGTATTTGCTCTACTAGTGAGTTTTATACTTTCATGTGTTTTCATAATGGTAGATATAATCTTTTCACGTCCAGACGTTCTACTCTCTTAAGCATTTCTTGTAGGGCTCGTCTAGTGGTGATGAATTCCCTCAGTTGTCGCTTGTCTGGGAAAGAATATTTCTTCTTCATTATGGAAGGACAGCTTTGATGGGTATAGTCTTCTTGGTTGACAGTTTCTTCTTTCAGCACTTTGAGTATATTATCCCATTCTCTCCTGGCCTATAGTTTCTGCTGAAAAATCTGTTAGTCTGATGGGGAGTCTCTTCTATATGACTTGACTTTTTTTATTTCTTGCTGTTTTTAGGATTCTGTCTTAGTCTTCAACTTTTGAGAGTTTGACTGTGATCTTCCTCAGAGAGAACATTTTTGAATTAAATCTACTTGGGAATTTTTAAGCTTCTTGTATCTGGATGTCTATACCTCTTGTAAGACCTGGAAAGTTTTTAGCTATTATTTCATTAAACATGTTTTCTATCCCTTTGCTCATCTCTTCTGCTTCTGGAACTCCCAAAATGTGAATTTTGTTTGCTTAATGGTGTTCCATAGGCTTTCTTTATTCTTTTTTATTCCTTTTTTTTTTTTTTCGCCTCACTGGGTTATTTCAAAAGACCTGTCTTCCAGTTCAGAAATTCTTTATTTTGCTCAATCTAGTCTACTGTTTTTTAATTTTTAATTTTATATATATATTTTTTTTTTGAGCTGGAGTTTTGCTCTTGTCACCCAGGCTGGAGCATAGTGGTGCAATCTCAGCTCGCTGCAACCTCTGCCTCCTGGGTTCAAGCAATTCTCATGCCTCAGCCTCGCAAGTAGCTGGGATTACAGGTGCCTGCCACCACGCCCAACTAATTTTTGTAATTTTTTTTTTTTTTTAGTACAGATATGGTTTCACCATTTTGGCCAGGCTGGTCTCGAACTCCTGACCTCAGGAGATCCACCCACCTCAGCCTCCCAAAGTGCTGGGATTACAGTTGTGAGCCACTGCACCTGGCCTAGTCTATTGTTTGTACAAGCTCTTGATTATATTTTTTTACTTCATTTATTGACCTCTGTAGTTCCAAAATTTCTGTTTTGTTCTATTTTTAATATCTATTTCTTTGTTGAATTTCTGACTCAGATCATAAATTATTTTTCTGATTTCTTTTATTATTTATCTATGCTCTCTTGTAACTCACTGAGTTTCTTTAGTATCATTATTTTGAATTACTTTTCAGGCATTTTATAGATTTTCTTTTTGTTGAGATCTGTTATTAGAGAATTATTGTGTTCCTTTGGAGGCTTCATGTTTCCTTGCACTTTTGTATTTCTTGTGTCCTTATGTTGATATCTATGGATCTGATGTAATAGCTGCTGCTTCCAATTTTATGGATTGGCTTTGATAGGGAAAGACTTTTGCCTCTAGGTGTTTTTATAGTGTTAGTTGAGTATAGGGTGCTTTGGCTTTGATTCTGAGTGGGCACAGCAGTGTAGTTTCTGTATGATTTCTTCACCTGTCATCAGTGTCAGTGGCATTTGGGTTCCTCAGTGGCTTAGGTTACAGTTGTCAGCAGACACTATGGCAAGGCTTTGCTGGGGATGGGGACACCAGGCAGGCCTGTTCTCAGGCAACAGTGGTGGCAGCAGTGGCCTAGGCTTGCCGGTTCTCAGGCCCCTGTGTGAAATATGTGGGCACTCGTGGTGATGGGTCCTTGAGCCTCCAGGAGATTTAGTTGGATGCTTGCAGTGGCAGTAATGGACCAAGTGGGAGGGCAGGTTCTTGGGCCCCTGCACAATTTGTGTGGCATTAACTGTAGCAGTAGGAAAAGTGGACCAACCCTCTGGCCCCCAAGTGGTAGACACAGGCAGCAGCAGGCTGGGCAAGCCAGTCCTCAGGACCCCGTGTGGCATGCATGTGCCACACCCTGTGTGGCACTGCCCTGCCATGGCAGTGGCAGGCAGGCACTAGCAGCAAAGGGCATGGTGGACCTGTCCTCAGGCCCCTTGGAGGCATGTGTAGATGTGTCGTAGTCCTGCTGCTAGGGAAGATGGGGTTGCTGTAAGTGGCGGTGGCCCTGGGCAGGTAACTCTGAGGCTCTGGGGAATGCACACTTTGACTCCCTTTGTCCCAGGGAAAGCCACTAGGTGCACTGTGCTTCCTGTTTCCTGGGATGCGGGGCATTGCATGGGCTAGAGTGCTGGGGACCTAGCTGCACTGCTGATCTTAGCTGGCATTACAATGCTGTAGCCCTCTAGGTGGACGTAGGAGAATATCAGTGGGGCTTCAGGGGTGTGGAGATTCAGGGTTGTTGGGCCCCAGAACAGGATGTGTATGGTGAGGGCTGGGCTCTTAAAAGAGCCTTATGCTGAAGCTGTTTGGGTCTCAGGGTATGGGGTATGTGGGACCCAATGTGAAGTCCCATTGTGGAACAATGTGATTGCATATATTCCAGACAGCCCCAGGGCATGTGAAGGCCAAGGAGCTAGCTCATGGCTAGGATTACAGGAGTCCATAGTGGAAACATTGACCTCTGAAGATCTCTCAGTTAAACTTTCCCTGGAATGGGAAGTTCCTCCTGGTTCTGAGCTAGTCCCAGCTGGGCTGGCTGCTTCACTTCCCTCTTCTCCCATGCCTCAGAGGTGCACTGTCACTTCTCCGCTGAATTCCAGTGTTCTCTCTTAGATGCTCATTCAATGTGTGATTATCTGCTCACTGTTTTGGTCCTTCTTTGCAGAGGGGGTGAGGGCTAGGTGCCTCTATTCAGCCATTTTAATGCTTCTCCGGCTCATTTTTTAATTGTTCAATAGTATTTTATTGTGTGAATGTACCAGTTTGTTAATATTTTTATCTATTGAGGGATATCTTGTTGCTTCCAATGTTTGACAGTTATGAATAAAGCTTCTATAAACATCCACATGGAGGCTTTTATGTGGACATAAATTTTCAGTTCTTTTGGTTAAATACCCAGGAATGTGATTTGCTGGATTGTGTGATAAGACTATGCTTAGTTTTATAAGAAACTGCATTCCATAGTGGCTGCACCATTTTGCATTCCCACAAACAGTGAAAGAGAGTTCTTGTTGCTCCACATCCTCACCAACATTTGATGTTGTTTTTGGATTTTACCCATTCTCATAAGTGTAATGTAATTTCATTGCTGTATTAATCTGCAAAACCATGATGAAATATGATGTCAAATAGCTATGTATATGTGTATTTGCTCTTTACATATCTTCTTTGGTGAGGTGTCTGTTTAGATTTTTGTGCCCATTTAAAAACTAGGTTGTTTGTTTTCTTATTGTGGAGCTTAAGAGTTCTTTGCATAGTTTGGATACAAGTCCCTATCATATATGGGTTTTGCAAATATCTTCTCTGAGTCTGTGGTTTGTCTTTTTCACTCTCTTGCAGTGTCTTTTGCAAAGCAAAAATTTTAATTTTAATGAAGTCCAACTTAACAGTGTTTTCTTTCTTGGATTATGTTTTTGATGCGTATCTCAAAAGTCATCACCAAATCCAAAGTCACCTAGATTTTCTCCTATGTTATCTTCTGGAAATTTTATAGTTTTGCATTATACATTTAGGTCTATGGTTAATTTTGAGCTGATTTTTGTGAAAACTGTAAGGTCTGCGTCTAAATTCTTTCTCTTCTTCTTCTTTTTTTTTTTTTGCATGTGGAGGTCTAATTGTTCCAGCACCATTTGTTGAAAAGACTATCCATTCTCCACTGAGTTGCCTTTGCTCGTTTGTCAAACAGCAGTTGATTATTTTTTTGTGGGTCTATTTCTAAGCTCTGTATTCTGGTCATTTGACCTATTTGTCTATTCTTTCACCAAAACCACACTGCCTTGATTGCTGTAGCTTTGTAGCAAGTCTCAATGTTAGGTGGTGTCAGTTATCTGGCTTTGTTCTTTTAATTTCTTTTTTTTTTTTTTCCTGTGAATGAACAATACTTTCTGTTTCTTTGCATGGCTAATTTTTTTAAACAAATAAATTAGAGATTCCTTTAATGCCAAGTTACACAATCAAAAAGATAACAATCTCTTTCCATTTGCTTTTTGCAAGGTTTGTGTTATTTCAGGGCAAAACGTAGAGCAAGTCCACTGGCAAATCTGGGGGCTAGTGATTATTTTGTTTTGATTTTTATTTTTTTAAATCAGACATTTTAAACACTACAATGAGGTAACTCTAGAAATCAAATTCTGTCCCCCTTTCCCAGAGGTGTTTTATTTATTTATTTATTTATTTTTTGACAGGGTCTCATTCTGTCACCCAGGCTGGAGTGCAGTGGTGTAATCACAGCTCATTGGAGCCTCGACTTCCTCGGCCCCAAACAATCCTCCCACTCAGCCTCCCAAGTAGCTGGGACTATAGGCACACGCCACCATGCCCAGCTAAGTTTTGTATTTTTTGTAGAGATGGAGTTTCACTATGTTGCGCAGGCTGGCTTTGAACTCCTGGACTCAAGCAATCCACCTGCCTTGCCCTCCCCAAGTTCTGGGACTATAGGCTTAAGCCACTGTGCCGGGCCTCCCTTTCCCAGGGTGTATTGTTGCTTCTTGTGGCTTATAGTTGCTTGTTTAATGACTTTTCTAAATAATTTTTATAAAGATTATTCTTTGTCATGTGTGGCTATTACATTTTCTGTCCAGTTAGCTTAGTGGTCAGCCAGTAACTTGAGATTTCTTTAAACATCTGGAGCAAAAACAAAAACCAAATAAACTAGCAAAAGCAAAAACAAAAACACCCCTGATCTTTGCAGGTTGGCTGTGTTGGATCACTTTCTCAATGCTTAGCCAGTCTATTCACAGCTCTGCTTTAGCCTTCACTTTCTGCATGCATGGAAGCTAAAGATGAGCCAGAGGTGAAGTTTAGGATTTTCTCAGGTCTCCTCTGAACATGCGTCCAGCCTTGGGCACGTGAGTGGACTTCTGGACTCCCTGGTATATACAGAGATTTCCTCAGCCTTTTTTCTCCCACATATCTTTCTCCATATATCTTTGCATATTTCCCAGACTTTTTGATGTGTCTGCTGCTTGCCCCCTCTGTTAGCCCTTGCTCAGGTGGCTGCAGCTAGTATGTTTGCCTTTAATTGTTTACAGCAAACACCAGCCAGAAGGCTGTTCCAGCCCTGAGAAAGTTCTAAGGTGTACAAAACAAAGGCAAGCCCCTGAGTGTGAATCCCTCAGGCAGCAACCAGACAGGTCAAAACACACAACCACAATTCTTTGATAACAAGGCCTATATTGCCCCTTCTGGCATGAGCAAGCTATATAACTGGTTATAAAAAGTATTACATTAAATTATGGGGACAGAAATGACTCTACTAGTGAATGAAGAAATCATTTAGATTTTATGGTTAGTAAGTGGAGGTTTGAGAGTAACCATCCGATCTTTATTAATCTTAGTGTATATTATATTTCTAGAATTTGGACTCATATCAAGATGCTCTGAAGAAGAACAACCCTTTAGGATAGCCACTGCAACATCATGACCAAAGACAAAGAACCTATTGTTAAAAGCTTCCATTTTGTTTGCCTTATGATCATAATAGTTGGAACCAGAATCCAGTTCTCCGACGGAAATGAATTTGCAGTAGACAAGTCAAAAAGAGGTCTTATTCATGTTCCAAAAGACCTACCGCTGAAAACCAAAGTCTTAGATATGTCTCAGAACTACATCGCTGAGCTTCAGGTCTCTGACATGAGCTTTCTATCAGAGTTGACAGTTTTGAGACTTTCCCATAACAGAATCCAGCTACTTGATTTAAGTGTTTTCAAGTTCAACCAGGATTTAGAATATTTGGATTTATCTCATAATCAGTTGCAAAAGATATCCTGCCATCCTATTGTGAGTTTCAGGCATTTAGATCTCTCATTCAATGATTTCAAGGCCCTGCCCATCTGTAAGGAATTTGGCAACTTATCACAACTGAATTTCTTGGGATTGAGTGCTATGAAGCTGCAAAAATTAGATTTGCTGCCAATTGCTCACTTGCATCTAAGTTATATCCTTCTGGATTTAAGAAATTATTATATAAAAGAAAATGAGACAGAAAGTCTACAAATTCTGAATGCAAAAACCCTTCACCTTGTTTTTCACCCAACTAGTTTATTCGCTATCCAAGTGAACATATCAGTTAATACTTTAGGGTGCTTACAACTGACTAATATTAAATTGAATGATGACAACTGTCAAGTTTTCATTAAATTTTTATCAGAACTCACCAGAGGTTCAACCTTACTGAATTTTACCCTCAACCACATAGAAACGACTTGGAAATGCCTGGTCAGAGTCTTTCAATTTCTTTGGCCCAAACCTGTGGAATATCTCAATATTTACAATTTAACAATAATTGAAAGCATTCGTGAAGAAGATTTTACTTATTCTAAAACGACATTGAAAGCATTGACAATAGAACATATCACGAACCAAGTTTTTCTGTTTTCACAGACAGCTTTGTACACCGTGTTTTCTGAGATGAACATTATGATGTTAACCATTTCAGATACACCTTTTATACACATGCTGTGTCCTCATGCACCAAGCACATTCAAGTTTTTGAACTTTACCCAGAACGTTTTCACAGATAGTATTTTTGAAAAATGTTCCACGTTAGTTAAATTGGAGACACTTATCTTACAAAAGAATGGATTAAAAGACCTTTTCAAAGTAGGTCTCATGACGAAGGATATGCCTTCTTTGGAAATACTGGATGTTAGCTGGAATTCTTTGGAATCTGGTAGACATAAAGAAAACTGCACTTGGGTTGAGAGTATAGTGGTGTTAAATTTGTCTTCAAATATGCTTACTGACTCTGTTTTCAGATGTTTACCTCCCAGGATCAAGGTACTTGATCTTCACAGCAATAAAATAAAGAGCGTTCCTAAACAAGTCGTAAAACTGGAAGCTTTGCAAGAACTCAATGTTGCTTTCAATTCTTTAACTGACCTTCCTGGATGTGGCAGCTTTAGCAGCCTTTCTGTATTGATCATTGATCACAATTCAGTTTCCCACCCATCGGCTGATTTCTTCCAGAGCTGCCAGAAGATGAGGTCAATAAAAGCAGGGGACAATCCATTCCAATGTACCTGTGAGCTAAGAGAATTTGTCAAAAATATAGACCAAGTATCAAGTGAAGTGTTAGAGGGCTGGCCTGATTCTTATAAGTGTGACTACCCAGAAAGTTATAGAGGAAGCCCACTAAAGGACTTTCACATGTCTGAATTATCCTGCAACATAACTCTGCTGATCGTCACCATCGGTGCCACCATGCTGGTGTTGGCTGTGACTGTGACCTCCCTCTGCATCTACTTGGATCTGCCCTGGTATCTCAGGATGGTGTGCCAGTGGACCCAGACTCGGCGCAGGGCCAGGAACATACCCTTAGAAGAACTCCAAAGAAACCTCCAGTTTCATGCTTTTATTTCATATAGTGAACATGATTCTGCCTGGGTGAAAAGTGAATTGGTACCTTACCTAGAAAAAGAAGATATACAGATTTGTCTTCATGAGAGAAACTTTGTCCCTGGCAAGAGCATTGTGGAAAATATCATCAACTGCATTGAGAAGAGTTACAAGTCCATCTTTGT
The DNA here is from genome assembly GCF_000001405.40 of Homo sapiens. Lineage (NCBI taxonomy): Eukaryota > Metazoa > Chordata > Mammalia > Primates > Hominidae > Homo > Homo sapiens. The sequence continues at coordinate 38,827,371 of NC_000004.12, read as the reverse complement.
TTTGTCTCCCAACTTTGTCCAGAGTGAGTGGTGCCATTACGAACTCTATTTTGCCCATCACAATCTCTTTCATGAAGGATCTAATAACTTAATCCTCATCTTACTGGAACCCATTCCACAGAACAGCATTCCCAACAAGTACCACAAGCTGAAGGCTCTCATGACGCAGCGGACTTATTTGCAGTGGCCCAAGGAGAAAAGCAAACGTGGGCTCTTTTGGGCTAACATTAGAGCCGCTTTTAATATGAAATTAACACTAGTCACTGAAAACAATGATGTGAAATCTTAAAAAAATTTAGGAAATTCAACTTAAGAAACCATTATTTACTTGGATGATGGTGAATAGTACAGTCGTAAGTAACTGTCTGGAGGTGCCTCCATTATCCTCATGCCTTCAGGAAAGACTTAACAAAAACAATGTTTCATCTGGGGAACTGAGCTAGGCGGTGAGGTTAGCCTGCCAGTTAGAGACAGCCCAGTCTCTTCTGGTTTAATCATTATGTTTCAAATTGAAACAGTCTCTTTTGAGTAAATGCTCAGTTTTTCAGCTCCTCTCCACTCTGCTTTCCCAAATGGATTCTGTTGTGAGCAAGAGTTTATATGGCTTCATGGCAGCAAGGGAACAGTCAACTTCAGCATCATATGCACCAGTCCTCGGAGTGCCCTGTGAATCATATTGGTCTTTGGGTCAGTGTCATCATTCTCTTCAAGTCTGGGGCTTGGGGAAAAAATTAGATCAGCTACGGCATATAAAAAAGTCTTTTGTTTCACATATGTGTAATAGCTTATTTAATTTTTTATCCTGCTACACAAATATGTAATTAACCAATGAGGACTCATGACTTGATAGTGTATGTATGTAAAGGGATATATGGACTTAATCATAAGCTGTTGAGGTGAAAGACGTGGATCCACCTGCTTTCCAAGAAAACTCGGCCAAATTTATTTGCAGCTGGATATTGAATGGGACTTTTCTGGTTGTCTTAGAATTCTGGCTAAAGGCTCAAAGCTGACGAAAGACAGTAACTGCACCAACATGATACTAGACACAGCCAGTCTGGACTTATCAAAAGAGCAGAAAGAGACCAATGACTCCCAGTCCGTATTATCCATCTCTAGAAGACTAGAGTCAAAAGCGTGATTAAAGAGTCATTAAGCGGAGGTTCTAGGCCATAGGGAGATTGCTTTGAATTTCTTGCAGACAAGTGTGAGGGACTCAGCATGGTAGAAGGTAGCCTGGCATCCCACTCCAAGACTGAAAGCTTGCAGAGTAACAGGAGCACACAGGTTCAGTGCAGCAGATGTGGTGTGGCTTGAGAATTCTTGGAAGAGCTTGATGAGTGTTTGCTGGAGTCCGAGGGTGGGCACTGGGAACACAGAGACTGGTAAATAGTGTTTGGCAAATACAAGTGCTTGATGAATATTTGTTGAATGAATAGATGAGTTCTTCCCCCCTGGGGAATTCAGGAGGTGAAAGGTTGGCTTGAGCACCCAAAATGGCAGGATGAGAGAAGAGAAGCACTGATAGCAACCTGCCCTCCCATTATTGACATGGTAAAAGGATGTGAATTTCTTCACATGGCTTTGACTATGGAAGAGTAGCTGGGCTTGCATTGTCATGACGGGATATCAGCCAACAGGGTAGCCTGTTGTGCAAAGAAACTATAGCAGTAAGAGGACACGGGGTTAGGCAGAAGAGGGGTTTGGGGTGGAGGTTGCTGCAAGAGGTCAGCCAGATAATGTGGCCCTGCATCATGGAACTGTGCAATGTGGGGTACACTCAAGGCCCTCCAATAACTCACAGATGTGCCCTATGAAAAAGCCAGCATTTGGACTCTGCCATAGCAGCTGGCAGGATCATGCTGGCCTGTCTGCCTTATTCAATAGTTAACTACAGGAAGATCTGCTCCTCTTTGTGTAATACCCTCTTCCCTTGCAATGGCATAGGGACATCTAGAATATAGAGAAGACAGAGACAATGGAGGAAGAGTAAAGAAACTGACTATATGCCTTCGTCATTTCACTGCAAGGAAGGCCAAGCAGATTTTTGAATGAGGTGTGAGATTGCTGTTAAATTGGACTGGCCTGGACATTTTAATCCCTTAAATAGAGGTGCAATGACTAAAGTGAGATTTGTCACTAAAATTTATGGTATCTGCCCAAGATTCAGGAGTGATGATGGGAGGAGATCCAACAGAACTTTGTTGTAAGGCAATGGTTAGAGAAAAATGAAGCCCTCGCTTTCTGGACTTAGTTCATTCAATAAACCAGTTTCGGCCAGGCACGTTGGCTCACATCTATAATCCCAGTACTGTGGGAGGCTGAGGCAGGTGGATCACTTGAGGTCAGGAGTTCGAGACCAGCCTGGCCAACATGGTGAAACCCTGTCTGTACTAAAAATACAAAAATTAGCCGGGTGTGGTGGTGTGCACCTGTAGTCCCAGCTACTCGGGAGGCTGAGGCAGGAAAATCACTTGAACCTGGGAGACAGAGGCTGTAGTGAGCTGAGACAGCGCTACTGTACTCCCCGCTGGGCAACAGAGTGAGACTCCATCTCAAAAAAGTTAAAAGAAAAAAAATCTGGTTTCATAATAGCTGTAACGAAATAAGCCTTAATGATATTTTATTAGCATCATCTTCTGTCTGCATTAGCCCTTCCTTGCTCTTCAGGAGAACAACATTTGTTTTCCTCCCTAGGCTCTATCCCAAACGGCACATTCTTCCACAACCCCTGTTGAACAGATTTTTTAAACTGTTGCCTAATCTAAAAACAATAAAAACAACAAACAACCACAGTAACAACAACGACAAAAAAAACTGCCACAGATTCTAAATAATCAGATCTTTTTAAATGGTATCAATGTTTCCCACAAAATATTGTTGACATTGAAAATATAGAATTTTAGCATTAATTTTGTTAAACCTACATCCCCTCGGCAGAGGGGCCTCCCTGCATCCCAGTGGAAAGTAGGTTCCTCACAGTCCTCTCCGTCACATTCTTCCCATTTCTTTTCTTCACAGAACACATCACTGTCTAAAATTATCTTGTTTGCTTAGTTGCTTACTCATCTTCTTCTTCTCTCCTCTGAAGTCTAAGCTCCAGGAAAAAGGGAGACTTCTCCACCTGTTCCCTGCCTCTCCCCAGTGCCGAGGGGACACTGTGCACCCCATTGTAGATGCGCAGTAAAAACTCGTGGGATGAGCAAATGACTCTGAAACGGTCCCATGCGGGAAATGTCCATGAAGTCCTGGATTTTATCTAAAAAGCCCAGGCAGGGGGGGGCGGGGGCGGCGGGGCTACAGTTCCACGCTGAGCTGCCTCCTGGCCGCTCGTCCCCGCCGCAGTGCCTGGGCGGCCCGGGCGCCCGACCTTGGCCGTGGACACCTTCGCGGTGGGTGCTGCTCCTCCCCATCTGCCACTGGAAGATGCTGGGGCGACCCGGCTCCAGGTTTAGCAGGACACTGAGAAAAGGGAATGGCTGCCTTTCGGAGGCTGGGTGAGCCCTTCTCTGTGCCTCACCTGCCCGCCCCACAGCGGCCCTGCACCTCGTCCCACGGGGCCCATTGCCCCGGTAGGATGCGCGCTTTTGTTTTGAGGGTCAGGCATCTTCCCTGCCGTCGTTTCTGGGAGGTTGAAAAATTGATCCAGAAAGACCTAAAACAAAAAACAAAGAAAAACAAAAAAGCGAAAAGGAGGCAAAACAAAACAAAAATCCATACAAATAAAGTATCTCCTCCATCCATGTTTGCACTATTCCTTCTCATTCCCCCGTCCAATGCCACAATTTGGTAAGTTTGCCTCAACACGTTTTCAGTTCTTAACACTGTGATAAGAATAAACAATAGATCCCGTAGTAAGATGACCTGTTAAAAGGAATGGGGCATGGCAGAGATGAGTTTGGATGAGGAAAGGTGTCAGTCCGTTTGGGCTGCTCTAACTAAGTTCTGAGATGTGTGTTAGGTAATTTTGACTTTGGTTGAACATCATAGAGTGCACTCACACAGACATAGATGACATAGCTTACTACACACCTAGGCTTATGGTATAGCCTGTTGCTTCTAGGTGATTGTAACACAATGCTTAGTATTTGTGTATCCAAACATATCTAAACATAGCAAGGGTATGGTAAAAATATGGTAAAGAAGATAAAAAATGGTACACCTGTATAGGGCACTGATGTGGGTTGGCTGTGTCCCCACCCAAATCTCATCTTGAATTCCCACGTGTTGTGGGAGGGACCCAGTGGGAGGTGATTGCATCATGGGGGCGGGTCTTTTCCTGTGCTGTTCTCCTGTTAGCGAATGGGTCTCATGAAATCTGATGGTTCTTTAAGGGGGAGTTTCCCTGCACAAGTTCTCTCTCTTCCCTGCTGACATGTAAGATGTGACTTGCTCCTCCTTGCCTTCTGCCATGATTGTGAGGCTTCCCCAGCTCTGTGGAACTGTAGGTCCAATAAACCTCTTTCTTTTGTGAATTGCACAGTCTCAGATACGTCTTTATCAGCAGCATGAAAATGAACGAATACAGGCACTTACCATAAATGGAGCTTGCAGGATTGGAAGTTGCTCTGGGTGAGTCAGTGAGTGAGTGAGGGGTGAGTGAATGTGAAGGCCTAGGACATTACCATATCCTACTGTGGACTTTACCATGTCCCACTGTGGACTTTATAAGTCCCATTGTACATATAGGCCACACAAAAATTATTAAATTTGTTTTCTTTCTTTAGTAAGAAAAATTATTAAAATTGTTTTCTTTCTTTAGTAAGAAGTCAACCTTAGCTTATTGTAATGTTTTTACTTTATCAACTTTTTGCCTTAAATTTTTTTTTGGCTCTTTAGCAATAACACTTAGCTTAAAACACACATTCTACAGCTATATAAAAATATTTTCCTTCTTTACATCTTTATTTTGTTTTTTCTATTTTTAAAATATTTTATTTTTATTTTTCACTTTTTAAACTTTTCTGTTAAAAACTGAGACACACACACAGACACACACACACTAGCCTAGGCCTACTCATAGGGTCATTATCAATATCACTGTCTTCTACTTCTACCTCTTGTTCCATTGGAAGGTCTTTAGGGGCAATAACATGCATGAAGCCATCATCTCCTGTAACAACAATGCCTTCTTCTGGAAAACCTCCTGAAGGACCTGCTTGAGGATTTTTATAGTTAGCTTTTAAAAAAATAAGTAGGAGCACACTCTAAAATAATGATTAAAATTATAGTCTACTAGATACAGAAACCGGTAACATAGTTGCTTATTATCATTATCAAGTATTATGAACTGTACATAATTGTATGTGCTGTGCTTTTATATGACTGTCAGTGTCGTATGTTTGTTTACAGCAGCATCACCACAAACATGTGAGTAATACATTGCACTGCAATGTTACTAGGCCATAGGAATTTTTCATCTCCATTATTATCTTATAGGGCCATGACTGTTGAGTGAAATATTGTTATGCACTGCATGACTGTACCACAAATTGAGTAGCTTATAAACAATGGAAATTTATGGCTTATAGTTCTGGAGGCTGTAATGTCCAGGGTCAGGCTGCTGACAGATTTGGTGCCTGGCGAGGGCCCACTTTCTGGTTCATAGATGGCTTGTCTTTTCACTGTATCCTCACCTGGGGGAGGGCACTAATGCCATTCATGAAGGCTCCACATTCATGACCTAATTGTCTCCCAACATCTCCAACTCTTAATACAGCTCTTTCTCCGTATCCACAGGGGATTGGTTCCAGGAGCCCTGTAGATTCCAAAGTCTGTGAATGCTCAAGTCCCTTATGTAAAATGGCATACTTCCAACCTGAGCATCATAGTGAGACCCCACCTCCTCAAAAAAAATACATGCCTGGCGGCACATGCCTGTAGTCCCAACTACTCAGGAGGCTGAGGTGGGAGGATTGTTTGAGCCCAGGAATTCCAGGCTGCAGTGAGCTATGATCATGCCGTTGCACTATAGCCTGGGCAACAGAGCAAGACACTGACTCTGAAAAAAAAAGTGTACTATTTACATATAACCTATGTACATCCTCTCATATACTTAAATCATCTCTAGATTTCTTACAATACCTAATACAATGTAAATGTTATGTAAATGTTATGTAGTTGTTAAACTGTATGGTCTTTTATTTTTATTATTTTGTATTATTATATTGTTATTATTTATTTATTCATTTATTGAATATTTTCAATCCATGGTTGTTTGAATCTATGGATGTGGAACCCATGGATATGAAGGGCTGATTGTATTATCCCCTTGGGGGTTAGGATTTCACCATAGGAATTTTGAGGGGCACACAAACATCCAGACCATAGCAAAAGAGATAAGAAACCTAGGTTAGTGACCAGGGAGGGCTGCTAGGATGAGCCTTGATGAAAGATCTTTCATCAGGAGGATCCTGGGCATGTGGCTGGGAAGGGTCCTGGGCATGTGGCTGGGAAGACCCTTCAAAGGGGAGGGCACAGTGGGTGCAAAGTTGGAAGTGAAAGAATACCATGAGCGAAGAAAGCATCAAATTGGCAGTGTTGCTGGATGTGTTAGTTTCCTGTGGCTACCAAAACAAATTACCACAAACTGGGTGGCTTAAAACAACAGAAATATATTTCTCCCAGTTCAGGAAGGCAGAAGTCAGAAATCAAGGTTGGCAGGGTTGTTCCTTCCAGAGGCTGTCAGGGAGAAATCATCCCTTTCCTCTCTCCTAGCTTCTGGTAGTTGCTGGCAAACCTTGGCGTCCCTTGGTTTGCAGATGCATCAGCTGCTTCTTAGAATGCCCTGGAGGACATGCCCCAGTAGTTAGCAGCTTTCTATAGAATGTGGTACATAATACTTCTTTGTCTTTAGTTTTGGACCCAAGTCATAAGAAAAGTTCCAGTCAACACCCTATTACGTAATCAGTAGAACCAACAGATGAGAAGAGAAACCAAAATTATTGGTAGGCTATTGACATACATGGCAGATGCGCAATCTAAAAAAATGTATCCCAAATTTGGGTTAAATAATCAATAATCTGTGCCTGTGTCTTCACATGGTGTTCTCCTCCAAGTCTCTGTCTTTTTTTTCCTGTCTCTTACAAGGACACTCTAGTTGGATTTAGGAGCCTCCTTAATCTGATGCCATCACATCTTGGTCCTTAACTTAATTAGATCTACAAAGACTCTTTTTTCAATGAGGTCACATTCTGAGATTTCAGAATAAATCTGAAATAAATGGACATAAATGTTTGGAGGTTGGGTGGAGGACACTATTCAACCCAGTCCTCTGGAGTTGGCATGACCAGCTCTGATGCCCTGGAGACTCAGTTGAGTGTGGCAGCAGAAAAGAAATGTTATCCTGGAAAGAGTGAAGACTCTAAAAGAAGCTGCTTGGAAAGTCAGAGGTACAAAGAAAGGAGTAATAGGCAAAGAGAATAGAGTGGATGGGTGTAAGAGCACAGGAAAGAGACAGTGGATGGAGACCCGGGATATAAACGGTGAGAGTGTGGGAGTTTTAAAGAGAATGAGACCACAAATATGGGGAAAGGAGGAGGTATTTCTGTCTAGGTTTCTGGGGACTGGTTTGATTAGAAAGGAATGAGACTAAACTACAGGGAGTAAAAGACCTGAGGGGATTTCTAAAACCACAGGGACTTTCTGAGAGTTTCAATTACGGTTAGTTTATGAGGAATCTCAACATCATCTAGTCCAAATGTGAAGTAGTGTTTATTTTTCTCAGTCATTCCATCAACTGGATTCTGAAATTCCCCTCTTGTCACTCCTTAGTGATATCTTGAGCAGATTTAATACTTCTGCAGTCCTTTTGAGATACTGATACTCCAATCTAGTTTAAAATTCTAAATCTCCATCTTCATCTAAAACTCATCTTCTTTCTGCATGTCACAGGCTAGGTCTGTAGCTCAACCTTGGCATATATTTTGGAGGTAGGCATGGTTTATCTGAGATACACTCTTCTTGCCCCTCCCTCTCCCAGATCTAGCTCCCTGAAGTGGAGATCAAGGATGAGTGGTAAGAAGGCAGATATCCTTTTCTATAATTGTGTCGATTAAGGTACAGTCTAAGCTGCAGGACTGGGAGACCTCAAATACAGAGGCTTAAATAAGATTGAGGTTTATTTCTTTCTCATATAATAGAAAAAAGTATAGCTAAGAGGTCTAGAATAGGTAAGCTGTCTCTATTCCACAAAATCATTCAAGGGCTCAGGATGACCAGATGTCTCTGTTTCCTATAGCTCTGGTCTTATCCTATGGCCTCCATTCTCCCTTGCATGGAGCCACAGGAGCTGATGAAGCCCTCCTGTGCCTTTTTGTGTGTGTGTGGCCCATGGGATGCTGAGGTGGAGATACACCCCCTTTCCCAGGTACCTGATACCACAGTCTCTAATTGCCAGTTGGCAAGGGTTGGTCCAATGGAAATCTCCAACAGAGTAGACACCAGTCGCTCTACTAATTTACACTCCTGAACCCCCAGGGGGCACGTGTAATGTTCTCTAATACTGCTCAGATGGGCAGGGGGATCAACCTCAGAGGGTGATCCTACACATTGCTGCATCAAAACAAGAATCCTCTTGAGGAAAGAAATGCCTGATCTGCCTGTCCCGTGTCTAAGAGTAATTTTACTGTTATTTCCCCTTCACTTGGCTTGAGAAAGAGATGTCATCTCTTGCATAGGGAGAAGAGCTTGCAGGCTTACATCATTAACACTCATCTCCTGGTGCTGCTGACTCTCTTGTCACCCTCCCCAGCATTCTCAGGTGAATGGGGGAAGGTAGGGTGAGGCGATGCTGTGGACAGTGCTATCTGGTTCTACTGCTTCTTAGAATGCCCCGGGGGACATGCTTCAGTTGCTAGCAGCTTTGTATAGAATGTGGTACATAATACTTCTTTGTCTTCAGTTTTGGACCCAAGTCATAGGACAAGTTCCAGTCAACACCTTATTATGTAATCAGTACAACCAACAGATGAGAAGAGAAACCACATTGTTGATAGGCTATTGAATTATATGGCAGATGAGCAATCTAAAAAAAGTATCCTAAATTTGGGTTAAATAATTAATAAAAAAGACATTTCATCTATAGTAATAGAAAAAAAGGCAAAGAATAGTGGTATGGGTTTATGTCTATTGGTTCAAAAAGTCCACTTTATAGAATATATATTAAAAAAATAATTGTTCAGCCAGGCACAGTGGCTCATGCCTGTATTCCCAGCACTTTGGGAGGTCGAGGTGGGTGGATCACCTGAGGTCGGGAGTTCGAGACCAGCCCGACCAACATGGAGAAAACCTGTCTCTACTAAAAATACAAAATTAGCCGGGCGTGGTGGTGCGTGCCTGTAATCCTAGCTATTCAGGAAGCTGAGGCAGGAGAATCTCTTGAACCTGGGAGGTGGAGGTTGTGGTGAGCCGAGATCATGCCATTGCACTCCAGCTTGGGGAGCAAGAGCGAAACTCCATCTCAAAAAAAATAAATAAATAAAAATAAAAGTAATTGTTCATACACATCCCAAGGAAACATTGCTGCTTATTGCAGAATTGTTTCTAATTGTGAAAATTGGAAGCAATTTAAATGTCCAACAACAGAAGATTGGTAAAATGCATTATAAACTAAAATATTAAAAATTGCATTATAAATAAAAAGGAATATTATCCAGCCAATAATCATGAAATTGTAAATGGATAATTACTGACATGAAAAGATATTTATGATCGATTATAGGTTAAGAAAAGCATATTACAAACAGTATACGTAGTATGATGCTATGTGTGTGTGCATGCACTTGGGCATGTGTAAGTAGATAAATTGTTATAAATTTTCTGAACCACAATTTGCAGTAGGAGCCAAGAATCTAAAGAATGTTAACATATAGAGAAAAATGACTGCATGGTTGCTCTAAAAATGATATTGGTGTGATTCTATTTGGTGAGATTACTGCTTATTCAAATATTTTAAAATTTATTTATATTTCCTGATTTTCCTACAGTAAACATTTATTACTTGGATAATTGAAAATTAAAAAAACTAAAAAAATACATTTGCGAAGAACAGATACACGTATATCTATCTTATCTTGTTATGGAGAAAAACTTTCTAAATCTAAAACCAGGGTAGCCATGGTGTGCTGGAGCTTGCTTGCACAGATTTGTTAAATCTGATTCTAAAGTATTCAGGGCCAGGCACGGTGGCTTACACTTGTAATCCCACCACTTTGGGAGGCGAAGGCGGGTGGATCACTTGAGGTCAAGAGTTTGAGACTAGCCTGACCAACATGGTGAAACCCCATCTCTACTAAAAATACAAAATTAGCCAGGCATGGTGGCACATGCCTGCAATCCCAGCTACTAGGGAGGTTGAGGCAGGAAAATCACTTGAACCTGGGAGGCAAAGGTTGTAGTGAACTGTGATCATGACATTGCACTCCAGCCTGGGCAACAAGAGCGAAACTCCATTTCAAAAAATAAAATTAAATATAAATAAATACATAAATAAAAATAAAATATTCAAGAGCTTTGCCAAAAAATTAGTTGGTAGCTAGCCCTCAGCAATAGCGGGAATACTGACACTGCAGATATCAGCAAATGCTACAAATCAGACTTTTCTTTTGAAACTGCTTTACCAGCACACATCTGAAAGACAGTAATAGCAAAGAAAAGGGGAACTTACTTGTTTATATAAAAATGAATGTGGGGCCTGGTGAGAAGTAATTAGATCATGGGGGAGGAGTTCTCATGAATGGGTTGACATCATTGCCTTAGTGCTGTTCTCGTGATAGTGAGTGAATGAGTTATTGTAAGATCTGGTTGTTTAAAAGTATGTAGCACCTCCCCACACTCTCTCTTGCTTCTGTTCCTGCTGTGGAAGACACCTTGCTCCCCCTTTGCCTTCCATCATGATTGAAAGCTCTGTGAGGACTCTCCAGAAACAGAAGCCACTATGCTTTCTGTACAGCCTGTGGAACTGTGAGCCAATTAAATCCCTTTTCTTTATAAATTAGTTAGTCTCAGGTATTTCTTTATAGCAGTGCAAGAATGAACTAATACAGAAAATTGGTACTGAGGAAGGGGGCATTGCTATAAAAATGCCTGAAAATGTGGAAGCAGCTTCGGAATTGGGTAACAGGCAGGGGTTAGAAGAGTGTGGAGGGCTCAGAAATAGACAGGAAGATGAAGAAAAATTTGGAAATTCCTGGAGACTTGTTAAATTGTTTTGACCAAAATGCTGATAGTGACAGGGACAATGAAGTCCAGGCTGAGGAGGTCTCATATAGAAATGAGGAACTTACTAGGAACTGGAGCAAAGGTCACTTTTGTTAAGTGTTAGCAAAGAACTTGGAAACATTGAGTCCCTACCCTAGGAATCTGTGGAACTTTGAACTTGAGAGAGACCATTTAGGGTATCTGGCAGAATGAATTTCTAAGCAGCAAAGCGTTCAACTTGTGGCCTGGCAGCTTCTAACAACCTATACTCCTATGTGTGAGCAAAGAAATGACCTGAAACTTGAACTTATATTTAAAAGGAAAGCAGAGTGTAAAGGTTTGGAAAATTTGCATCCTGGCCATATGGTAGAAAAGAAAAGCCCATTTTCAGGAGAGGAATTAAGCAGGCTGCAGAAATTTTCATAACTAAAAGAAAGGCAAATGCTGATAGCCAAGAAATGGGGAGGTGGCTTCAAAGGCATTTCAGAGACCTTAGAGGCAGCCACTTCCATCACAAGCCTAAGGAGGCTTAGGAAGGAAGAATGGTTTCCTGGACCAGACCCAGGGACACTGCTCCTCACATCCCAGCCACTCTAGCTCCAACAATGGCTCAAAGTGGCCCAGGTACAGCTCAGGCCACTGCTTCGGAGAGTGTAAGCTATAAGCCTTGGCAGCTTCCACGTGGTGTTAAGCCTTCAGGTGTGCAGAGTGCAAGAGTTGAGGCTTGGAAACCTCCACCTAGATTTCAGAAGAAGTATGTAAAAGCCTGGATGTCCAGGCAGAAGCCTGCTGCAGGGCCAGAGCCCTCATGGAGAACCTCTACTAGGGCAGTGTGGAGGGGAAATGTGGGGTTGGAGCCACCACACAGAGTCCCCACTGTGGCACTGCCTAGATGAGCTGTCAGAAGAGGGCCACTGTCCTCAAGACCCCAGAATAGTAGACCCACTGGCAACTTGCACCTTGTGCCTGGAAAAGCTGCAGGCAGTCAACACCAGCTCTTGAGAGCAACTGTGGGGACTGAACCCTGCAAAGCCACAGAGGAGGAGCTGCCCAATGCTTTGGGAGCCCACCTCTTGCACCAGTGTACCTTGGATGTGAGGCATGGAGTCAAGGGAGATTATTTTGGAGCTTTAAGATTTAATGACTGCCCTGCTGGGTTTCAGACTAGCATGGGGCCTGTAGCCCCTTTCTTTTGGCTGATTTCTCCCTTTTGGAACAGTTGTATTTACCTAGTGCCTGTACCCTTGCTGTTTAAGAGTAACTAACTTGCTTATGGTTTTACAGGCTCATAGGTGGAAGGGACTTGCCTTGTCTCAGCTGAGACTTTGGACTTCTTTTGAATTAATGCTGGAATGAGATAAGACTTTGGGGGACTGTTGAGAAGGGATGATTGTATTTTGCAATATGAGAAGGACATGAAATTTGGAGGGGCTGGGGGTGGAATGATATAATTTGTATCTCTGTCCCCACTAAATCTCATGTCCAGTTATAATCCCCCATGTTGGAGGTGGGACCAAGTGGGAGGTGATTGGATGGGGGTAGAGTTCTCATGAGTGGGTTAGCATCATCTTCTTGGTGATGTTCTCATGTTAGTGAGTAAGTGAGTTATCATATTATGAGATCTGGTTGTTTGAACGCATGTAGCCCTTCCTCTCTCTCTCTCTCTTGTTCCTGCTCCAGCCATGTTCCTGCTCTCTTGTTCACTTTTCACCACGATTGTAAGTTTCCTGAGACCTCGCCAGAATCAGAAGCCACTGTGTTTCCTGTACAGCTTGCAGAACTGTGAGCCAATTAAACCTCATTCCTTTATAAATTACCTAGTCTCAGGTATTTTTTTCATCAGTGCAAGAATGGACTATTACACAATTAAATAGTAAAAAACAGAACCCTGAAAGAAAAATAGGTAAATGACATGAACAGGTAATTCACTAAAGAGATACATATTGCCAATAATAAAAAAAAAATAAAACAATAATGAGATGTCACTCTACATCTATAAAATTGACAGCTCTCTATAATGTTATTTTTGTGGAGGATGTGTAGAATGTCTACCCCAGCACACTCTTGGAGCGCAGGTAAAGTGGAACAAACTTTATGGAGAGCACTTGGTGCTATGTAACATGACAATGCTCATGTCCTTCAACCTAGTCATTCTTTCCCAGAAATTTATCCTAAAGCAATAGTAAAAGATTCAGACCACGACTGTGTACAAAGGTGCTTATAACATTTTGTGAAATGCAAAGGGCAAATCTCTGCTCAGACAGAGCTGAGGGTGGCTGGTCATGACCTAATATTTACTCAGGTACTGATATATCAGTGGCAATTTCAAAAATTTGACTGGAAAACTTTAGATCATTAAGGGAGAATTTATTAAAAGGTAAATGTAAATGTGATGACATTTCTCATTCCCAACACGTTTACAGGGTGCAGTTTTGAAGTTCTAGGATCAGGTGGGTAAGAGAAACTATAGGATTGTGTAGGGGCAGTAGGGAGGAAAAGAGGGAAAGGAAGATCACTATTCTGCACAATTGATGTGAGTGCTAACCTCACTGCAAGAAGCACCTCACAAATTATGACACTGTGCCCACAGCATTTGTTTCCTTCCTTATTGATTAAGAAACCATACTATCTACTCCTTCATGATAAAAACACCCAACAAGCTAGGAATAAAAGAGGACTTTCTCAACTGATAAAAAGCATCTATGGAAAAACTCACAGTTAACATTGTACTTAATGGTAAAACATATACTTAAAGCTTTTGCCCTAACATCAGCTACAAGATAAGGATGTCTGCTCCCACTACATTTTTTTGAAACTAGATCTCATTCTGTTACCCAGGCTGGAGAGCAGTAGTGTGATTATAACTCACTGCAGCCTTGACCTCCAGGCTCAAGCCATGCCCCGACCTCAGCCTCCCGGGTAGCTGGGACTTTAGGCACACATCACCATGCCTGGCTAATTTTGGTATTTTTTTTTTTTATTTTTGTAGAGACAGAGTCTCCCTATGTTGCATATGCTGATCTTGAACCCCTGGCCTCAAGTGATCCTTCTGCCACAGCCTCCCACAGTTCTGGGATTACAGGTGTGACCGACTGTGCCTGGCCCTGCTCTCACCACTCCTATTTAACATTTTACTGGAGGTACTAGCCAGGGCAATTAGGAGTTAAGAATCCATATTGGAAAGGAAGAAGTAAAACTGCCTCTATTTGCAGATGACATTATTTTCTTTATAGAAAATACTTAGAAATCTGCTTGTCTTAGTCAATTTGGGCTGCTATAAAAAGTGCTAGAAACTGAGTGGCTTATAAACAACATAAATGTATTTCTCATTGTTCTAGAGCCTGGAAGTCTGAGGTCAGAGTGTCAGCATGGTTGTCTTCTGGTGAGGGCCCTTCTCTGGGTTGTAGACTTCTGTCTTTTCTTATACTCTCACATGGCAGAAAAAGGACTAGTGAGCTCTTTGGGTCTTTTTATAAGGGCACTAATACGATTCATGAGGGCTCCACTCTCAAGACTCGATTACCTCCCAACTGATATTATCACATTGAGGGTTGGGACTTCAACATATAAATTTTGGAGGAGCACACACATTTAGTCTGTAACACCACTAAAAAACCATTAGAACTAATAAACAAGTTCAGCAAGATTGCAAGATACACATCACTATATAAAAATCTATGATATTTCTATACAGCAACAATGAACAAATCAAAAATTTGAAAAACAATGCATCAAAAGATACTTAGAAATAAACTGAACAAAAGAAATACAAAACATATACTCTGAAACTATATAAGACCATTGAAAAAATTAAAGACCAAAATCAATAAAAGACATCCCATGCCCATGAATCAGAAGACTTTTTTTTTTTTTTTTTTTTTTGAGACAGAGTCTTGTTCTGTTGCCCAGGCTGGAGTGCAATGGTGCAATCTCAGCTCACTGCAACCTCCACCTCCCGGGTTCAAGCAGTTCTCCTGCCTCAGCCTCACAAGTTAGCAAGGATGTAGAGAAATTAGAACTCTTAACTATTGCTGATGGGAATGTAAAATGATATCAAGACAAAAGTGGCTCTATCTTGGGTGCAAATCCACCATGTTGACTTCTGATTAGCCTCAGTCCCATGAATGCCTCCTGATTCCTACTTTATTTACTATCCTTAGTGTACTCACTATAGACAGTAGGAAGGGGTCTAAGCTGTTGATCAAGAATCAGGTTTTTCAAAGGCCCACTATTCTGGCATTGGGTTGCTGATCTATTTTTTCTTTGCCTACTCCAGCTGAGATCAGATCATACCACATTTGTTTCCTGATAATTCTAACCGGGCCTTTTAGGTATCCCTTTTTAAGTTCAGCAGAATTGGCTTCTCCCTTTGCCCAGGAAAGAATTCAAGCCAGAGGTAGAAGAAAACAGTTTTATTGAACAGGCAGTGTTATATCTCTGGTGGTATTATAGTTCCCTGACTGCTCCTGCAGAGCAGGGCTACCCCATAGACAGAGTAGCAACTCAGGGCAGTTTTGCAGTCATATTTATACCCACTTTTAATTGCATGCAGATTATGGGGCAGTTTATGCAGAAATTTCTAGGGAAGGGGTAGTAATCATTGGGTCATTGCCATGAAAAGGGGTGGTAATGTCTGGCTGTTGCCATGGCAATGGTAAATTGACGTGGCACGCTGGTGGGTGTGTCTGATTGAAAGCTGCTTTCACCCCAGCCCTGTTTTAGTGAGTCCTCAATCTGGTCCAGTGTCTGAGCCCCGCCCCTGGAGTCGAGTCCTGCCTCCTACCTCAAAGGCCTTAGAAACTTTAATTCAGTTGAGATAAATATACGGCTGGCACCACACCAACAACTCAGGACCACCGTAGAGGATGGTCCATTAACCACAGTGGCAAAGAAAGTCCAGCCAGACAAATTTCTACCAGAGCTGATAAAAGGCCAACAGCAAATATTATTTGGGACTCCCCAAGACCTTGAGGCAGAGGAGGGAACACTTGAATGGAAGTTTGACTGGCAATCTCCCCCAGGTTGGATAAGGTATTTTTTTTTTTGCTACAGAATAGGGAATTCCTTGGCAACTAAAGAGGTCTTCATTGATCCTGCTGGAGTCTGGACCAAGACGCTCCACATACCCATACACTGAACATGGCCCTTTTTAAAAGGCACTCTGGTGGCTGCTTGGTATGGTCCTTTGCTGCCCCTGTGACCTTACCCTCGCCCCTCAGGCAACCCGTTTGGTGTGCACCCTCAGCCCATAATCCTTGGGCTGCTTGCGTCATAACTAACAGAGATGAAGCTACCACAGCCATTTTGCTTGATGGGGAAGAACTGCCCTGCCAAGTACCTACTCGAGACTTGTATTTCCTCCCATAGTCTTCTGTTCCTGCTGCTGCTCTGCCCTGCAAAATGCCTCTTGGTTTGGATTCTGGAAAATATGGTGGCAAAGGCATGATTAATTCTGTGTCTCATACTTGACACAGGTATCATTGCCTGTTGTTTGTATTGTTGCTGCAGCCTCTGCTTACAAGTAGAAAAGAAACTGATGCAATGTGTCACCCACATCCCCAAAATGACTGCAGCAGCCCCCTGGCTCAGGACCCATCATGGAAGAGGTGGGCGCTTGAGGTTGTAAGAGCCGGATTAGAGGGGTGGAGTGTGGAGACAAAAGGGGCTCTATCTTGGAAGCTAATCCACCATGCTGACTTCTGATTAGCTCCAGTATCCTGAATGCCTCCTGATTCCTACTTTATTTCCTGTCCTTAGTGTAAGAACATGAACTCACTACAGATCCTGATTTTAGATCAAAGCAACATTGATGTTATCACACATATTATAGGCTATGGTGCACATAGCAGTCTCGCCTGTTCTGGAAGGTGGCCTTTAGCTGTCTCTATAGAGCATGTACTTCCTTTCCCTATATAAGGTGTCTATAAGTCCTGGGTCTGGATAGTAATCCTGCAGAGATCTACCTGTATTGCTCCTGTTTTGACCATGCTTCTGTGGGTAAGTTCCCCAAATAAATCACCCTTTACTGACAAACTGGATTTGTCTGCTTCGTTCTTTGGTTTCTCAGCTCCTAGGGCATTTGGGGGCTGCTTTTCCTATATGGCTGTTTCATAGAACAAATGGTACAGCTGCTTTCAGTCTGGCAGTTCCTCAAAAGGCCAAATGCAGAGTTACCATATGATGCAGCAATTCCACTCCTAGGTATATACCCAAGAGAAAATATGTCTACACAAAAACTTTTACGCGAATGTCAATGGCAGCATTATTCATAAGAGCCATAATATCCATCAACTGATAAATGGATAAATAAAATATGGTACACACATACACTTGAAAATCATTTGGCAATAAAAAAATTAAAAATGAAATATTGAGTGGACGAACCATGGAAACACTATACTAAGTGAAAGAAGCCAGTCACAAAGGGCCACTTTTTATATGATTGCATTTATGTGAAATATCCAGAATAGACAAATCTATAGAGACCAGTATGATCTATAGAGTAGATTGGTGGTTGCCTAGGGCTTGGATACGTGGAGAAGTGGAGGTGATAGCTAAGGGGTATAGTGTTTCTTTTTAGTGTAATGAAAATGTTCTAAATTGATTTGGTGATGGTTGCACCACTCTGTGAATATGCCTAGTCATTGAATTACACATTTTAAATGGGTGAAATTTTTTTATGGTTTGTGAATTATAACTCAATAGAGCTTTGTTAAAAAAAACAAGCAACAACTAATTACAGATCACATCTAATTGACAGCATATTTTTACTGCCCTGAATCCAAAAAGAAGTGCCCAGGTATGGGATAGGGGTGGGCGGAGAAACTGCTATGAAGAGATGTATGGGGTTGCTTAGAGTATAAAGTATGAAGTCTTTATTTTGAATTAACTCTGTGGGCTGCTGTTAACTGGACTTAGGCTTGTACTTCTTTGCATGGCTGTGATAATGCTATTCTAAACCTGCATTGTCCAATATGGTAGTCTCTGGCCAAACGTGATTGAGTGCCTAAAATGGTATAACCCAGTTGAGATATTCTGTAAGTGTAGAACACACAGTGGATTTTGAAGACTTAGAATGAAAAAATATAAAATACCTCATTAATAATGTTTTATATTCATTGCATGTTTGGATGTATTAGGCTAAATAAAATATTTTTAAAAATTTAAAAAGAAGCTGTATTCTCTGAGAATGGAAGTTTTCCCTGGGAAATGAGGCTGTGTCAACGCATGGTATACATGATTACAAGTGTGTGTGTTTTTTTTTTTTTTTTTGGCATTGTACATGGCAGAGACTGGAGCCCGGACTTAAACCTGGGCAGTGTGGCTCACAGTCTGTGATTTTAATAACTGCAAATCTTAATTTCAGTATCCTATTTTTCAGTTCTGGAATTTCCATATGATCCTTTTTTATAGTTTCTAGTTTTCTGCTGACATTCTTGTCATGTTATTCCCTGAATGCATTTTTTTAAATTAATTAATTTATTTATTTTTATTGATCATTCTTGGGTGTTTCTCGCAGAGGGGGATTTGGCAGGGTCATAGGACAATAGTGGAGGGAAGGTCAGCAGATAAACAAGTGAACAAAGGTCTCTGGTTTTCCTAGGCAGAGGACCCTGCAGCCTTCTGCAGTGTTTGTGTCCCTGGGTACTTGAGATTAGGGATTGGTGATGACTCTTAATGAGCATGCTGCCTTCAAGCATCTGTTTAACAAAGCACATCTTGCACCGCCCTTAATCCATTTAACCCTGAGTGGACACAGCACATGTTGCAGAGAGCACAGGGTTGGGTTGGGGGTAAGGTCACAGATCAACAGGATCCCAAGGCAGAAGAATTTTTCTTAGTACAGAACAAAATGAAAAGTCTCCCATGCCTACCTCTTTCTGCACACACATGGCAACCATCCGATTTCTCAATCTTTTCCCCACCTTTCCTCCCTTTCTATTCCACAAAACCGCCATTGTCATCATGGCCCGTTCTCAATGAGCTGTTGGGTACACCTCCCAGACGAGGAGGTGGCCAGGCAGAGGGGCTCCTCACTTCCCAGTAGGAGCAGCCGGGCAGAGGCGCCCCTCACCTCCCGGACCGGGCGGCTGGCCGGGTGGGGGGCTGACTCCCCCACCTCCCTCCTGGACGGGGCGGCTGGCCGGGTGGGGGGCTGACCCCCCCATCTCCCTCCCGGACGGGGCGGCTGGCCGGGCAGAGGGGCTCCTCACTTCCCAGTAGGGGCGGCTGGGCAGAGGCGCCCCTCACCTCCCGGACCGGGTGGCTGGCCAGGTCGGGGGCTGACTCCCCCACCTCCCTCCTGGACGGGGCGGCTGGCCGGGCGGGGGACTGACCCCCCCACCTCCCTCCCGGATGGGGTGGCTGGCCTGGCGGGGGCTGTCCCCCACCTCCCTCCCGGACGGGGTGGCTGCCGGGCGGAGACACTCCTCACTTCCCAGACGGGGTGGCTGCCTGGCGGAGGGGCTCCTCACTTCTCAGACAGGGCAGTTGCCAGGCAGAGGGTCTCCTCACTTCTCAGACGGCGCGGCCGGGCAGAGACGCTCCTCACCTCCCAGACGGGGTCGCGGCCGGGTAGAGGCGCTCCTCACATCCCAGATGGGGTGGCAGGGCAGAGGCGCTCCCCACATCTCAGACGATGGGCGGCCGGGCAGAGGCGCTCCTCACATCCCAGACGGGGCGGCGGGGCAGAGGTGCTCCCCACATCTCAGACGATGGGCGGCCGGGCAGAGACGCTCCTCACTTCCTAGATGGGATGGCGGCCGGGAAGAGGCGCTCCTCACTTCCTAGATGGGATGGCGGCCAGGCAGAGATGCTCCTCACTTTCCAGACTGGGCAGCCAGGCAGAGGGGCTCCTCACGTCCCAGACGATGGGCGGCCAGGCAGAGACGCTCCTCACTTCCCAGACGGGGTGGCGGCCGGGCAGAGGCTGCAATCTCGGCACTTTGGGAGGCCAAGGCAGGCAGCTGGGAGGTGGAGGTTGCAGCGAGCCGAGATCACGCCACTGCACTCCAGCCTGGGCAACATTGAGCACTGAGTGAACCAGACTCCGTCTGCAATCCCGGCACCTCAGGAGGCCGAGGCTGGCGGATCACTCGCGGTTAGGAGCTGGAAACCAGCCCAGCCAACACAGCGAAACCCCGTCTCCACCAAAAAAATACAAAAACCAGTCAGGCGTGGCGGCGTGCGCCTGCAATGGCAGGCACTCCGCAGGCTGAGGCAGAGAATCAGGCAGGGAGGTTGCAGTGAGCCGAGATGGCAGCAGTACAGTCCAGCTTCGGCTCGGCATCAGAGGGAGACCGTGGAGGTAGAGGTAGAGGTAGGGGTAGGGGTAGGGGTAGGGGTAGGGGTAGGGGTAGAGGTAGGTAGAGGTAGAGGTGTAGAGGTAGAGGGGAAGTGTGTGTTTGTTGATTGATGGGTGTACATGATTACAAGTGTGTGTTTGTTCTGTGGTGACCCACTGGACAGCAGGGGGAAAAAGAGGCAGGTAGGTGCCTCCGAATTAGACACTTTATTTTATTTATTTATTTATTTATTTATTTATTTATTTATTTATTTATTTTTTGAGATAGAGTCTTGCTCTGTCACCCAGGCTAGAGTGCAGTGGTGTGATCTTGGCTCACTGCAACCTCCGCCTCTTGGGTTCAGGCGATTCTCCTGCCTCAGCCTCCTAAGTAGCTGAGATCACAGGCATGTGCCACCACGTCCGGCTAATTTTTTTTATTTTTAGTAGAGACGGGGTTTCGCCTTCTCTACTAGGCTGGTCTCAAACTCCTGACCTCAGGTGATCTGCCTGCCTCAGCCTCCCAAAGTGTTGGGATTGTAGGCATGAGCTACCATGCCCGGCCTGAATTATACACTTTAAACGGGTGTATTTTTTATCGTTTGTGAAATTTTTTATGGAAGGTGAAATTTTTTATGGTTTGTGAATTATATATCAATAAGGTTTTGTTAAAAAAAAACACAACTAACTACAGATTACATCTAATTGACAGCATATTTTTACTGCCCTGAATCCAAAAAGAAATGCCCAGGTATGGGCTAGGGGTGGGCAGAGACACACACACTTGTAATCATGTACACAACTGGGAGTAGTGGGGATGAGTCTGTGGGGAAAAACAGGAATTCAGAGTGCTGAGAAGCTTCCCTTACTGCCCTGCCCACTTCCCTCCCCTGGGCATTGCTCCCTCAGCCTGGATTCACAAAGTCAATGCCTTTGGGAGCCAGGAACTAAATTCTTAGTCAAAGACACCTCCCTCCTGTCCAGTTATGGGTCTCAGGGAGGAAATGGCAGGTGGGTGGTTTCATTCTTTCAGTTTCAGAAAATATCTGTAGACATAACATATTTCCTCTATTAAACAAATTCTGAGGTAAGGGGAAACAGAGAGAGACAGTCAGAACATTATAAGTCGAAAAGAATCTCAGCATTCTTAGTTTAGGGAAGTTGGCCTTGCTCGCTGTGTGGTAGAAAAGCTGATTACGGGAGAGAACCGTGGAGGGAAGGAAGGGAGGCAGTTTTGTCATCCCCACATCCGGTTTTGACTGGACACCATGCAGGCTGAGATCAACTTCAGAGGCAGTCAGCTGGAATCCCATAGCTTTATTTGCCCATTTATTGTGTTGTTATTTTGTTGTTGTCATTACTGGAAAAGGCAAGAGTAGAGCTATCAGAATGTCTTCCTTGAACATGCTGTCAACAAACCCCAGGATTTTTATAAACCCTATGTGAAAAACACGCTAAGAATCTCTTTTCTTCTTAGCATATTTTTCACTTAGGGTTTACAAAAATATGTTTTGAAGAAAGCTTGAAAAGATCAGTGGAAAAAAATTCAGCACCAAATTTTCTCTGAAAATCAACTTGTCAAAAAAGACGTGATTAACATCCATCCTGTAACCAGCACATGAATGATCTTCCCTCTTTACGAGTGTGCTTCAGCAAAACTTTAATCTCGACCCCTCCCTCTTTCCACTTTTAATAGTGGATGGATGAAAAGGCAAGAGGAAAAACAAAGCAGCCGAAACACACCCAGACGCACACTTCTGCCAAGCATAGCCACCACGGTAAGCATTTTGAATTCAGCCAATTATGATCTGTGGATTATTAACATTACCTCATTTACTTCATCAGTGTAGACAATAGTAAACTGACTGTAGTGAAATTTGGAACCATAGAAACGTGATTCTATTTTAATACAGGCCTATCAGGTAACCCACAGACTATGCTACATATGAATAAGAGAAAATAAGTTTATTCTTAACTATGTAATGTAATTCCAGTGGAATTCGGTAGGTGGCATAAAACAGCCTTTTTGTTTTGTTTTGTTTTCAACACCAAATGTGGTTAACAGTGAAATAAATTCAAGGAAGTGCTTGAATTTCTTACAGACTGCCAAATGGAACAGACAAGCAGGTTGTCTTGGTAAGCAACACATTCTTTTCTTTTGTAAAAGAAAATAATTGTATAGCTAGTTATTAAGTACAGAAGTCTCAAAAATCTGTGTAAGTCCTGGGTGTTTTTCTAAGTGGGTTATATTTCTGATATGTATATAGTTACTGTGTAGTTTGTACTGGCATTTGTGTATCAGTTCTGAGTCCTAAATCAGAGAAAGTCCCCACACTCCTCTGGGAATAACACCTCGTGTGTGATTTGCTTATAGGAAATATTTTTGAGTTGGGAAATGAATATTTGGGTCACACACGTCTTCTGGTTTTCTTCCAGAGCAGCTGCTAGTTGTTGATTTTGACAGCATTTCTCTTCACCTAATCCCGCCATTTGTATTCTCTTCTCAGTGTTAAAGAAAATGAGATATAAGTCAGTTACTCCCGGAGGCAATGCTGCTGTTCAGCTCTTCTGTTTTTGTGGCCAGGTTTGTTTCAGTTTTTCTCTCTGGGGCCTTCCCACTAGCTAGTCCTTCTGTTTCTCAGGCCACTAACACTGTTCTGGGGAGCTAGACGTGAGGTAGAATTGCAGGTTTTGAAAATGTTTCCCAGGCTACATCCAATTTGGTCAAAAGACTTGAAAGTGAATTTGTTTTATAACAAAGCAAGAGTTCACAAAACCGCATAGAAAGCAAAGCAGAACAGTTCTTGAACTGTCTCAGATTCTTTTAACCTTTGGTTAATAGCTATTTGGTCTTGTGCAGAGAAGGCCCTTAGTAAATATTTACAGGACTAAACTTAATGGGCCAGATAGATTGTATGGGTATTGTCCATTAAGACCAGTCAAAGCCTTGATTTGATGCCTCCAAAGTCTCCAAAAGAAGACAAATTAAATGTATTGATTCATTGTATCATATAATGTGAGGCTAAACCTATCATAATAATGAAAATTCACAGAAGCTCACCTAGAGGCATTTTACACTTTCAAATTAAAGCATCCTTTTCTGCTCAGCTTATTTTTTGGATAGTAAAAGAGTTTAAAGGTTCTAAAATAGATGAGGCTCAGTCATGGTCATTAAGACGTTGATCAAAAAATTCTTTGGTCTAGGAAACTGAGACATTGATTTTCATGGATTTAGCAAGTTTGGTATATAAAATTCAAAGATCCTGGAAGTATTAAAAATCAGTTATTCCTGTGTATAACATTTTGATTTCTTAATTATAGAAATAAGAATGGTTTCATAAACTGAGTACTTAAAATTAATGACTTTAAATGAAAGGGCAAGATGGAGGTTAGGCAAATAGAAGATATTTGAGTCAATTAATTTAGCTCGACATAAAACTGAAGCTATGCTTTCATTAAATGCTTGCGTTAGCAGTGGTGAATCCATATGGGTCGTAGAAACTTAATTCTTGCCTCCTCAGTGGAAAGAATTTGTGTGAGGGGCATAAGGCAGAGTGAGAGACCGAGGCAAGTTTTAGAGTAAGAGAGAGAGTGTCACGCCCAGGGCCAGGTTCCAGCCCATACTGAGGTCTGAGGGGAGGGGGTGGATGAGCAGATAGCTGAAAGAACACTCAGGGGGCCGTAGGCAGGTGAAAGGTGATTTTATTCAGCAACAGCTCTCATTAGCAGCTTACTTACAGTAGTTCTCTCAGACTGTCCGCCTTGTCCTGGCTGCTTAGTTCGGCAGCTTCCACACACAACTGTGCGTCCGGCTCTCCCTTGCCCTCAGGGTCAGCAGCTTAACTCTTTCTCTCTCTGGGTACAAGCAAGCCGAGCTGTGTCCTGGCTCCCCTCAGTCCATCTGCAAAGATGGACAGCTTTGGCTCTCTCTCTCTCTCTTTCTCTGGCTGCCAATGCACCTGTACAGCGTCAGCAGGGCAATTATACCATTTACGGACAATAGTGGCTTAGAGCCAAGGGATGAACCTTCCCTATGTTATGGCTATGGTAAGCTTCTCTATGTTATGTCTACATGGCTATGATAAAAAGTGAGTTATACGCCTGCGCTCTAAACTCGCTGAGTCACTCTGGATGTTTACCTTGGCCTATCCTTGACCAAAGCACAGCCATATTCCTTACAGAGAGTTTATTAAGAAGTTTTAGATCAGGAACGAAAGGAAATAAAGTACACTTGGAGGAGGGCCAAGTGGGCAACTTGAGAGATCCAAGTGCCCAGTTTAACCTATTACTTGGGGCTTATTTGTTGGCAGGCTTCTGGAGTCTTGCGTCTCTTCTCCCCTGATTCTTCCCTTGGGGTGGGCTGTCTGCATGTGCAGTGGCCTGCCAGCCCTTGGGATGGGCTGCACACACACTGTGTTTACTGAAGTTGTGTACATGCTCATTGGAGACATTTTTCCCTTGCCAGACAAGTCTTCCTAGAGGAAGGTCACATACCCGTTGAAGTCCGCCATTTTGCCTCTTGGTATGCATGCTCAAGCCTGCTTGCCCAGCTCCTGAGAGTTTGTCAGGAGTCTGCTAACCACCAGCTTCAGGTGTGTTTTCTATCTATTAGGAGACTGACTTTCCCTGATGCTGGCTGCAAACAATTATTATTCTAGAGAGACTGTTTTTTTGTTTTTGTTTGTTTGTTTTTGAGACAGAGTCTAGCCCTGTTGCCCAGGCTGGAGTGCAATGGCATGATCTTGGCTCACTGCAACCTCTGCCTCCTGGGTTCAAGCAATTCTCCTGCCTCAGCTTCCCCAGTAGCTGGGATTACAGGCACCTGCCATCACGCCCGGCTAATTTTTGTATTTTTAGTAGAGACAGGGTTTCACCATGCTGGCCAGACTAGTCTCAAACTCCCGACCTCAAGTGATCCACCTATCTCAGCCTCCCGAAGTGCTGGAATTACAGGCGTGAGCCATGGCCCCCGGCTTAGAGAGACTGTTTAACAACTGCCTGATCATCACCTGATGGTCACCTGATATTCCTGGTTGGGGGGCCCCTCTCCTGTCCTGCTCATGTCTGCCTAAGTACCTACTCTAACACTTGGGGGCAGGCAGTTATATAAATTTATATATTTTTGTGATGATAGCTGTTGTTAAGGGAAAAAGGACAACTTTCATCTTGCGTGTGGTAGGTTCTGCGAGCCAAGCTCTCGCACTCATGCACGGGGTCCTGTGTGCCTCTGATCACTTTTGAATACCACGCCTGACTGTGCTGATCACTGCTTCCATGAACTCTGGAGTTGGCTAGGAGGTGGAAAGAGCCTTGATCTGGATTCAGGCATAGGAATAAGCAGGGAACCCCACTTAGGCCTTAAGACCAGGCCACTTTTGCTTCGACCTAGCTTGGCACTGCCCCAGGGTATTATTTTTATTCCCATTATTTTAGTCTGTTTAAATTGCTGTAACAAAGTACCAGAATGGGTGACTTATAAACAACAGACACTTACTTTTCACAGTTCTGGAAGGTAGAAGTCTAAGATCAGGGTGGTAGTGTTGGGTTCTGGCGAAGGCCCTCTTCTGGTTTGCGGATGCCTCCTTCTTGTATTTTCATATGGCAGAATGACAGCCTGAGGCTCTCTGGGGTCTTTTTTATAAAGGTACTAATCTGACTCATAAAGGCTCTATTCTTATGACCTAATTACTTCACAATTTTCTCCTGCTAATACCATCACCTTGGGGGTTAGGATTTCAACATAAGAATTTCACAGGGCACAAACATTCAAGCTATAACATCCATTGAAATATTGCTCCTTGTGTGAGTAGCTCTTTAAGGAAGCTGGAGAGGAAGAATTGGGAAATTTCCGGGTCTTTCAGCCAAATACAGTTAATGTCATAAAAACACCACCTTGACTTTTAACATGAACATTAATGTCTGCATCATCTTCCTTGCTCAGGGTCTTCATGAACACTAATAGGGGTACCAGGCCCTCTTCCTCGTTAGAAGAAATCAGGATAACAAAGGCATATTGGGCACCCCTACAAAAGGGTAAGTCCAAGGAAGGCTCCAAAACCCAGATAAGTTTGCACATCTAAATTGGGGAACTTTTGTAACCGAGGGTTGTTTGTAGCAGCTAAATTATTTAGGTTCTCTGTGCTCATTGAGATATGGGAGGGGATATGTGAAGAGGAATTTGGTGCTTTGCTGATACTAATGCCCTGCTTGTCTAATGGTTCTAGGGGATTTTGAATAAGTTCCTTGTGAGAACTGGGTAGCTGTGTAATCACGGCTGAAAGGGTCTCTGGAGGTGAGGACTGCACACTCTAGAGTTCATCCCAACACAGCTCCCTCTGTTCTCATACGCCACTGGAATGCTGACCACAAAATGGTGTCTTAGCTAGAGCAGTTTGAATACTGGTACAATAGGCATAACCTAGAACAGTGCCTACCACTGCATGGAGAATAAATACATATTTGATGAATGAATGAAAAAAGTATTCTGAATAAGAGAGAGGAGGAAACAACTCCCTTTCTCAAAACCTCCCAGTGTTCTCCACCCTCTCATCATTTTTGGAATAGAATCCCAACTCCTTGCAATGATCAACAAAGCCTGAGTGATCTTGGCCCTAACTCCTCTCATCTTCCCTAACTCCTTACTAACATTGACCTTCCCGTTCCTTCTCAGACAAGCCAAGCTCAATTCCATCTCAGGTCCTTTATACTTGCCTTTTCTTTTGCCAGAAATGCTGTAGGTTACCCAGATCTTCCCATAGGTTACTCATTCACTTCATTTTGATTTCTACTCTAGTGTCATCATCTCAAAAAGGCCTTCTCTAACTAATCACTCAAAAATAGCCACCCCCAAGCACTGTCTCATACCTACAATTTACCCTGCTTTATTTTTCTCTACAGAACTTATCACTACAGGAACTTGAGTTTAGTCATTCATTTATTTTCTGTCTCCCCACTAGATAAAAACTCCTTGAGAATTCGGACTTTATCTTGTTCACTGCTCTATCTCCAGTTCTTAAAACATGGCCAGTAGGTGATCAATAAATACTGGTTGAATAAATAAATGGATGAATAAATGGATCTTCTGAGAGGCCTTTTATCAGGATCTAATTACCTTTTGAGTAAGACCAAAGTTAGACCCAAACCGTGTATAGGTCATAAAGGGTAATAGAAGAGCAGTCCCAATACCACCATTAGGAACACCTCTTGAGAAAGTCATGGGGAGATGTACGTCAAAGAGTGAAAGTACACCAGTTGAGTCTTAGCTGGAGTTCTAAATAATTTTGGGAAGCTTGGGGCCAGAAAACTTTCTATGAACCCACCTGTATTAGTTTCCTGAGGCTGCTGTAACAGATGATCATAAACGTGGTGGCTTTGCCCTCAACGTTCTGGAGAGCAGAAGTCGAAACTCAAGGTGTCAGCAGGGCCACCATCACTCCAGAGCCTCCTCTAGCTTCTGGCGCCTGTTGATGTTCCTTGCCTTGTAGCTGCTGCACTCCAGTCTCTGCCTCCACTGTCACAAGGCCTTCTCCTCTGTGTCTCAATTGCCTCTTCTCTTGTCTCTTTGTCAAATATCCCTCTGCCTTTCTCTTAAAAAAGCACTTGTCATTGGATTTATGGACCACCTGGATAATTTGGGATGATCTCCTCATCTCAAGATCCTTAACTTTATTATCTCTGCAAAGACCCCTTTTCTAAGGAAGGTAACATTCATGGTTTCTGGGGATTAGGACATGGTTAAGATGTAGACATATCTTTTGGTGAGCCACCATTCAACCTATTACACCATCCATATTAAAACTTATTTGATTAGAGCTGGCATCATTATTTACCAATATATATACTTCTCTAGTTTTAGGCCATGTAACCCAAAAGAATGTAGCCTCCACTTTATAAGTCTGTAACAAAAAAAAGTTTAATGTCAGCCATGACTAATTTCGTGTATTTTAAAAATGTATGTAATGTATTTCATCATTTCATTATTTTTTTTCTAGAATCTGTATCTGTATCAAGATGATCTGAAGAACAGCTTCTACCTTTAGGAATGTCTAGTGTTCCAAAATGACTAGCATCTTCCATTTTGCCATTATCTTCATGTTAATACTTCAGATCAGAATACAATTATCTGAAGAAAGTGAATTTTTAGTTGATAGGTCAAAAAACGGTCTCATCCACGTTCCTAAAGACCTATCCCAGAAAACAACAATCTTAAATATATCGCAAAATTATATATCTGAGCTTTGGACTTCTGACATCTTATCACTGTCAAAACTGAGGATTTTGATAATTTCTCATAATAGAATCCAGTATCTTGATATCAGTGTTTTCAAATTCAACCAGGAATTGGAATACTTGGATTTGTCCCACAACAAGTTGGTGAAGATTTCTTGCCACCCTACTGTGAACCTCAAGCACTTGGACCTGTCATTTAATGCATTTGATGCCCTGCCTATATGCAAAGAGTTTGGCAATATGTCTCAACTAAAATTTCTGGGGTTGAGCACCACACACTTAGAAAAATCTAGTGTGCTGCCAATTGCTCATTTGAATATCAGCAAGGTCTTGCTGGTCTTAGGAGAGACTTATGGGGAAAAAGAAGACCCTGAGGGCCTTCAAGACTTTAACACTGAGAGTCTGCACATTGTGTTCCCCACAAACAAAGAATTCCATTTTATTTTGGATGTGTCAGTCAAGACTGTAGCAAATCTGGAACTATCTAATATCAAATGTGTGCTAGAAGATAACAAATGTTCTTACTTCCTAAGTATTCTGGCGAAACTTCAAACAAATCCAAAGTTATCAAATCTTACCTTAAACAACATTGAAACAACTTGGAATTCTTTCATTAGGATCCTCCAGCTGGTTTGGCATACAACTGTATGGTATTTCTCAATTTCAAACGTGAAGCTACAGGGTCAGCTGGACTTCAGAGATTTTGATTATTCTGGCACTTCCTTGAAGGCCTTGTCTATACACCAAGTTGTCAGCGATGTGTTCGGTTTTCCGCAAAGTTATATCTATGAAATCTTTTCGAATATGAACATCAAAAATTTCACAGTGTCTGGTACACGCATGGTCCACATGCTTTGCCCATCCAAAATTAGCCCGTTCCTGCATTTGGATTTTTCCAATAATCTCTTAACAGACACGGTTTTTGAAAATTGTGGGCACCTTACTGAGTTGGAGACACTTATTTTACAAATGAATCAATTAAAAGAACTTTCAAAAATAGCTGAAATGACTACACAGATGAAGTCTCTGCAACAATTGGATATTAGCCAGAATTCTGTAAGCTATGATGAAAAGAAAGGAGACTGTTCTTGGACTAAAAGTTTATTAAGTTTAAATATGTCTTCAAATATACTTACTGACACTATTTTCAGATGTTTACCTCCCAGGATCAAGGTACTTGATCTTCACAGCAATAAAATAAAGAGCATTCCTAAACAAGTCGTAAAACTGGAAGCTTTGCAAGAACTCAATGTTGCTTTCAATTCTTTAACTGACCTTCCTGGATGTGGCAGCTTTAGCAGCCTTTCTGTATTGATCATTGATCACAATTCAGTTTCCCACCCATCGGCTGATTTCTTCCAGAGCTGCCAGAAGATGAGGTCAATAAAAGCAGGGGACAATCCATTCCAATGTACCTGTGAGCTAGGAGAATTTGTCAAAAATATAGACCAAGTATCAAGTGAAGTGTTAGAGGGCTGGCCTGATTCTTATAAGTGTGACTACCCGGAAAGTTATAGAGGAACCCTACTAAAGGACTTTCACATGTCTGAATTATCCTGCAACATAACTCTGCTGATCGTCACCATCGTTGCCACCATGCTGGTGTTGGCTGTGACTGTGACCTCCCTCTGCAGCTACTTGGATCTGCCCTGGTATCTCAGGATGGTGTGCCAGTGGACCCAGACCCGGCGCAGGGCCAGGAACATACCCTTAGAAGAACTCCAAAGAAATCTCCAGTTTCATGCATTTATTTCATATAGTGGGCACGATTCTTTCTGGGTGAAGAATGAATTATTGCCAAACCTAGAGAAAGAAGGTATGCAGATTTGCCTTCATGAGAGAAACTTTGTTCCTGGCAAGAGCATTGTGGAAAATATCATCACCTGCATTGAGAAGAGTTACAAGTCCATCTTTGTTTTGTCTCCCAACTTTGTCCAGAGTGAATGGTGCCATTATGAACTCTACTTTGCCCATCACAATCTCTTTCATGAAGGATCTAATAGCTTAATCCTGATCTTGCTGGAACCCATTCCGCAGTACTCCATTCCTAGCAGTTATCACAAGCTCAAAAGTCTCATGGCCAGGAGGACTTATTTGGAATGGCCCAAGGAAAAGAGCAAACGTGGCCTTTTTTGGGCTAACTTAAGGGCAGCCATTAATATTAAGCTGACAGAGCAAGCAAAGAAATAGATTACACATCAAGTGAAAAATATTCCTCCTGTTGATATTGCTGCTTTTGGAAGTTCCAACAATGACTTTATTTTGCATCAGCATAGATGTAAACACAATTGTGAGTGTATGATGTAGGTAAAAATATATACCTTCGGGTCGCAGTTCACCATTTATATGTGGTATTAAAAATTAATGAAATGATATAACTTTGATTTAAACAGTTCTGACACATAAGGGATCCACTTGTTTCTTTGCTATAACTGAGTTCTGAATTTATCATGAAGTCAAGGGAAGCACCTGTTTTTCTTCAGTGATGTGTGTTCTAGTGTATCATGGCCAATATTGGAAAATGCCGTGACTTTTGTGAATATAGCTGGGTTTGTATAGCAGATTTCTACAGCTTTTGATGCTTTCCTCATATCCATGGTGCATTCAACTCAACTTATTGATGGCTGCTCGTTGATAAAGCTGGAGACACTATGCCTGAAGGTTCCTCCCCAACCCCCCACCATCATGCCCACACAAAGGGCAGTTCAGAAGTGCTGGAAATTGTCCTTGGAAACAGCCCTCAACCAATGTCAGAAAGAGCTGGTGGATAAATATCCCAACTTTCTCACTCATTTTTTGAGATAAATCAAAAAATGGGGTATACTTTACACTCTCCCTGAGTTCCCCAGTAGGATAAAATTCTGGTTGTCCACAGTAGAAATGGCTTGATTAAGTATTCTCGACTGGCTTCCTTCCCATTTTTTTCTCACTTACTTATTCCTCCATGTGTATTCCATGGGATCACCTCTGTGATAAACTACTTGCCACTGAATATTTGTCTCAGGGGCTGCTTATGAGGGAGCCCAGACCAAGAAAGTGTTCCACCTCAGTCCAAATGAAAATTCTGAGTCTAGTTTTCCATGACTGGAGATCTCGCTGAGATTCTGGTTGTATGAACTAACATGCACAAGAGCCTTTGCTCTTTTGATTAGAAGGAAGAATATAGTTGATATACGGTGCTTCTATATATAGCATCTGTCTCTTTGGGGAACTATTAAAGTAGAGCATGAGCAGATGGGGCAGTGTAAGGAATGGATATATCTGATGCTTTTCATACCCATCAAACATCCTGTCAGTCTACATTTTTACTCCAGCAGCCAGCTCTGGGCAGGTGTAGTCTTGACAAAAACCTTGTCATAACTACACCATGTATCTTTCACTTTATGCCCCATGACTTCACTGATACCACTGCGTGGGATGCTTGTAGAAGCCTGTTCTACCATTCTGATACATGCACAAACCTGGAAGCACAAGGGATAACACTACGGGATGGGAAGCATTATATACATGCTCCTTTCTTCTATTCTTGGGTTAAAAAATGAGGTGTAATTGATACCTTTTCTCAGACAATCCCTAGTGGCACTGAGGTTTACTTACCCACAGGGTAACCAGCTCAGTAACTTGGTTTTGCATTGACTTTCCATTCTTCCTTGGTCACTCTTCTCATTCGGGTCACTCTTGAGTCCTGAGATCGCTGCTCCAAACAAGCGACCTTTCCTTAACTCAAGGAGTCTAGAAAAAATAAATAAAATAAAAAGCAACAAAAACCAAAAAGCCTACAAATGACCAGCCCACAAAGCTCTCATCTCAGTCTCTACTTTTTTGAGTGGGAAGGAACCCAACTAACACATACATATCTATTAGCTTCTTGGCCTAAAGAACTTACAGTCAATCAGAGAACACTAAACATATCCAAATAACTAAAATAAAAATCAATGAAACAAAGCTATAAAATGGAAGTTCAGAGGTTGCTTAAATTGAGTGAAAAAAAATCTTAGAAATGATGTGTCTTTTTTTTTTTTTTTCCATTAGGTCTTGAAGGAAGACTTTAACTTTGGATTTTTCAATGTGTAATGATGAAGAATGGAAAGGCCATTCTAAACAGAAAGATAAAGAGAGCAAAGGCAGGTATACCCAGGCCTATTCTTGGACTGGTATCCCAGTTTGACTGGACCGTGAGGTTCATGAAAAACAACAGTAGGATAGGAGTGTGGAAAGTTATATTAAGACTATATTGTCAAGGATCTTGAAAGTCAAACCACGGAGTTAGAGCTTGAAAATAGAGGAAAGTCATTATTTAAACTTCTTTGAAGCATAATAGTGGGAGGCAAATTCAAACCATGAAATGTATGCTAAAAATAGGAGAACTATTGTTCTGTAATGGAATTGCAAAAATTGTAAGAACTGGATTTTCCCATTTTCTCTAGGATGATTGCACTTTCTGTATTGAACTTCAAGATTTCATAACCAAGTTTCAACTACTCAGCAAGCAGTTATGTATTCGTTTTCAAGGTCTATTTTAACAAAGTCTATTTTAACAAGCTGGGTGGCCTAAACAACTGAAATTTATTCCCATAGTTCTGGAGGCTGAAAGTCCAAAATCAAGGTGTTGGCAGGGTTGGCTGCTTTTGAGAGGAGAGAGGGAAGGATCCATTTCTACTGTGGACAACCCAGTCTCTTTTCTTAACTCATAGATGGCTGTCTTTTCTCTGTCTCTTCACATCGTCTTCCCTCTATGCCTGTCTGTCTCTGTGTCCAAAATTCTTTTTTTTTTTTAATAAGGACACCAATTACATTGGATTAGGGCCCACTCTAATGACCTCATTTTAACTAAGTACATCTCCCAACAACCTTATTTCCAAGGAAGGGGTAATTCTGAGGTTCTGGGGTTCAGGACTTCAACATATGAATTTTCGGAGACACAATTCAACTTGTTACACCCTGTAAATCCGAAAAAGAATTCCCTGAAAGGAACCTAAAGTCACTTAGAGTTTATTTAATAAACTCAAAATTTTTAGACGTTAGATCAGTCCTATACATAAATAGCTGATCTCATAAGTGGTTTTAAGGATGCTGGCGGGAGGTTGAAATTGTATTGGTGGAGTCTCCTGCCAAAGAATTCAAAGTTGGAAGATGAAGAATTCAGGCCAAAGTATGATAAATATCAATGAAAATAAGAGAGATTTCACAGATAAATGAGAGGAAGTATTACAGAATGGGTAAATATGCAAGCCCTTAATCAAGTCTGGGTTTCAATTCTAGCTCCGTCATGTATTTGCAGATGATCTTGGACAAGTTACTTAAACTTTCTAAGCATAGATTTCATTATTTGTAAAATATAGTCTTAGAGTAGCTAGCCAAGACCTTTAGATTTCCAAGTATAAATTAAAAGACTGGTCAAATATGTCTCCCAAACTACAGTTTTCACATAGCGAGCTTTCCAAGTGGTACTGTTGAAGCCCTTTCCCTAGGACCTAGGTCAGAGGGAGCACACCCCACCCATCCTTCTTGAGGGTAAATGAAACTCATAATATACCAAAACCTCTCTCCAAAATGCTCTTCTAATGTATAACTCCTCTCAGTCTCTCCAATCCCCTTTATTGGCTAGAGATGGGTAGTTAGCAAAGGTCACAAAACCAGTTATCTAGTCTCACACCTCACTCGGGGGACCTCCACCAAAATTGAGACTAACCTAGTTCCATTTTATCAGCCTGCTATACTAGCGAGACTGCAGTGGGATGGGCATTTCATATGGCAATAATAGGAGGGCAAAGTAATTTGGAGATATATATATATATATATATATAATTTGAAAATACTCATGCTCTTTGATCTGTCAGTTCCACTTTTAGGAATTTATCCTAAGGAAATAAGTTGAAATGTGAACAAATATTTATTTATAAGTATGTTAACTGTGAGGTTATTAGCAGCCATGGAAAATTGGAGACATTCCAAATTTCTAACAATGGGGGAATGTGTTTAATGACATATTGTACAACCATTTAATATAATGTATAGGATTAAGATGGTAATTTTTATGTTATGTCTTTTTCACTACAATTTTTAAAAAAATGTATAGGGCCTGGTGTGGTGGCACAGTTTCTGTAATCCCAGCAACTCAGGAGACTGAGGCAGGAGGATCGCTTGAGCCCAGGCATTCGAGGCTGCAGTGAGCTATGCTTATATTACAATATAAATAAAAAGCATAGGATACAAAAGTATATGTACACTATGATTTCAACTAGGTTAAAATATGCATAGAAAATGGTCTAGATGAAATATGAAAAAATTATCACTGCTTGCCTACAACTGGTGTTTGTTTTTGTTTTTATACTTTTCTGTACTTGAAAAATTTACAACAAACAAATAAGGAAATGGGGCTTAGGAGACCAAAAATAGGTCTCTCCAGTGGAACAATAGAGAATAAATAAAGGTTATAAAGCTGGGCTTTGTAAACCGGCATGCTGGGATTAAATCCTGGCTCAATTTCTCTGTAGAAGAGAAAAGAGAGGGCACAAATCCTCTGTCCATAGATGAATTCCTTCACCCTTCCTAGCCTCCTTTTTCTCATCTATAAAATGGGCATAATACTGGTACCTCTCTCATATGGTTGTTTTAGAAATCGGTGGTACAATGTGTGTAACTGACTTATCTCAGGGTCATGGCTATTCACTCTAGAGGTGGCAGACACAGTGGGGAAGAGAAGCATCTCGGACCTCCACCTGAATTTTGCTTCTTCCACCTTCTTCTAGTGACTTTGGGTGGTTATGTACTCCTTCTCTGCTTTATTACTGTGGAGACGTAAAATGAGAGTAATGGAAATACCTGTCTCATACTATTGTTACGAGGATTAAGTGAGTTAATACATATAATGTCTATAGAACAGTTCCTGGCATTAAGCAAAAGCTCAATAAATGTTAGAGTTATTATTATGTCATTATCATCATTCTTCTTGTCCTTATTATACCAACAAATATGGAACTGGAGCTGAAGTGCTGATCATGTTTCATCTAGATTATCCTGGGCTTTCTAAGATGAAATAAAATCAGAAAAGAGACAAAAGTTACAGAAAAACTGGGAACAGCTCCATGTTAAACAAGCGAATGAACAAATGAGGCAAACAAAACAACTAAAAATGGCAAATGGGGAAATAAGAAATTGGGAAGTAAACTGTTAGCAAATATCATAGATAAAATTCATGTATATCAAGAACTAATAGAATAAAATAGAAAAGCACTAAGATCTCCATTGATATGTGGGCAATAAGCATGGTCAGCCCAAAACAGGATCCAGTTAGAAAATGAATTTATGAAAAATTTCAACCTCATTAATGCAGCCCAAGTGTCCCCAAGATTTCTCATTTTTTGGGTTACCACTTCCTTTTCATTTTAAGTAAAATGACTCAAGTCCCCAACCCCTGTGTTTACAGGAAAACAGTTCCTCCTGAGGATTTCAGAGAAGAGCTGGACTTCCTGGCTGACTCTCACATTCTCTTCTTCTGAACTGCTTCTTCTGGTAGCTCCCTGTCACTTTGGACAAGCTCGCACTGCCCTCCTTGGCTGTTCTGGAACTGTGTGATGGACTTCATCCTACTAGGACACAGTTGCTTCTTGAATTCCCCAGATAAACACCCACCCGTGTGAATGACAAGCCATAATAAAAATTAATTGTCAAAATTAATCAACAAGGTCCCAAACAAGATTGAGAGCCAGGGGACAGAAGTGCCACCGGTAATTATATAGTCACAGGCAGACCTATGAGGATGTTCATCTTTCCTCTAAGACAACTTGAAGTTACAGACGTTTCTTAGAACTTAAAAAGTTTGATAGCCCCTTACCCAAAGAAATAGAAGCATTGGAAAATATGTTAAAGAAATTTCTATGAAATTAGAACAAAATGACTTATTTTGCAAGAGAAAAAATAAGTAAAAGCCTAACTCTGAGAAGTCCACATCCATCTAATAGGTGTTCCAGAATCAGAAAAAGAGATGAGGTGAAGACATTATCAAAAAAAATAATAATAATAAGACGGAGAAATCCCACTGAAGGACATGAATCTCCTAAAAGTACCCAGCAAAACGAACAGTTCAAAGACCCAAACCAAGGCACTTTCTCTTGAAATTTTAGACCATCAGGAACAACAATAGTAAAAGCTTCCAGAGAGAGAGAAAGAAAAAAGAAACCAGGTTACATACAAAGAATCAGAAATCAGAATAACCATGCATCTCTCAGTACAATGCTAGAAGCTAGAACTTACAGAACAATACCTTCAAAATTGTATAGAAAAATCATTTGCAACATATAACTTTATATCCAGCCAAACAGTCAATCAAATATGAGGCATGACATGTAAGTTCTCCCTCCAAATTAACCATCAATGCATTCTTTCGGGAAACTACTGGATGATGAATTCCACTATAACAGATAAAAACCAAGAAAGGAGATGCTGTGCATCCCAAGAAACGAGAGATCTAATACAGCAGAGAGGAGCAACAGCTTTCCAGGATAGCAACAACTCAAAGTCAGAGGATGTCAGCTCTGCAGAAATCCAATGCATGCTGGAGCAAAATGACAGACAGTAATTTGAGAGAGGTGATTGTTTATTTGATAGATTTCATTATATTACATTTTTTGACTTGAGAGCTATTTGGGAATGTGAGGAAAATTATCATAGAAGCATTGAAAACTAACAAAATAAAATACAAGGCAATTATTAACTACAAGAAAACCAAAAAGCATAATCATAGACTGTAATCATAGTGTATAATGTAGCTTTTAGTGAGGCCCAACATTACATAGATCATAATAATGTAAACACTGAACATCAATTTAACCAAAAGTAAGAGTTCATATATAAATCTCTGCCAAAATATTGCTCTTTTAAAAAGTAAACCATTGAGGCCTGATGCAGTGGCTCATGCCTGTATTCCCAGCACTTTGGGAGGCCGAGGCAGGTGGATCACCCGAGGTCAAGAGTTCAAGACCAACCTGGGTAACATGGTGAAACCCCGGCTCTACTAAAAATACAAAAATTAGCCGGGCATGGTTGTGCGTGCCTGTAATCTCAGCTACTTGGGAGGCTGAAACATGAGAATCACTTGAACCTGGAAGGCGATCACATCGTTGCACTCTAGCCTGAGCGGCAGAGCTAGACTCCAGCTCAACAAAAAAAAAAGAAAAGAAAAAGAAAAAAAAAGTAAACCATTGAGTTAGATAAATGCTTTCTTTTTAAATCAGATATAAATGATACCAGCTGCTGTAGTGTGCTGGTAAATGTTTAACAACAGATTCGCAGAAAAACAAAATGCTTTGACAAATTATTAACATTTTCTTCATTACTTTTGTAAGTCTAGAAAATTAACAAAACAATAACTAAAGTCCTAATTTATAGTGTTTGCCAATTTTATGGTGTAAATACTCCTACCATGGTTGATTTCAAGGTACCAACATGACATCGCTGAAGGTGGAGTTGGAAAGAAAAGTGCAGTATACCATTCATTGTAAAGTGTTTCCACCATAACAGATACAGTAGACAAAAATAACTCCCAGAACATAATGATGGTAAATATACAGTCAAATAATTAGGAAGTGATGAGTTCTGAGTATTTACTACTTTTGTTTTAAATATAGCTTTATTTATTTATTTATTTATTTTAGAGATAGAGTCTTGCTGTGCCACTTGTGCTGGAGTGCAGTGGCACAATCATAGCTCACTGTAACATCAAACTCCTCAGCTCCAGAGATCCTCTTGCCTCAGCCTCCCGAGTAGCTAGGAATATGGGCATGCCACTACACCTGGCTCATTTAAAAATTTTTTTGTAGAGACGGGGTCTTGCTATGTTGCCCAGGCTGGCCTTGAACTCCTGGCTTCAAAGGATCCTCCTGCCTTGGCCTCCCAAAGTACTGGGATTACACACGAGTCACTGCACTTGGCCCTAAATATAGTTTATTTAAATGCAGGTATATATGATTTCATTTTTAATAATGATTATTTTTAACAACTGGCTCACAAAATTCTTGAAAATTAAAAATTGGCTCTTATGAGCTGGTATAAGCTGGCTCTAGCAGAGCCCTGGACGTATTGAAATATATCTTAGTAAGCATGATTCAGTGTATAATTGTTCATATTCAGTGCAAGCAACAATGGCATGTGGCTTGGATGCAAACAAGGAAATCCAGGGGAATTCCTCAAGCTGACATGTCTTTTTGGATATTTGTTATATGATTAAGTCTTGGAATTCTGCCTAAGAGCAATGCTAAGCAACTAATTAATAAAGTTATAATAATACCTAGACCAGGATGAGAAATCCAGGCTTTCCTCTTTTTGTCTGTACTCTTTTCTCTTTACCGCTCCCTTGTTTAGCCTTGTATTTTATTTTCTCCCTTCCTTTTCTCTCCATTTCTCTCTTGTTCTTTGCCTTCCATCCTAATTTTCTCTATTTGTGTTTCCCTTGTTCTTTCTCTTTTTTGCTTTTCCCTTTTGATCCTCTCCTCCCAGTGCTTTTCTCTTCCATTTCTCTCTTTCCTCTTTAATTTTTCTTTCATATTTATTTGTCCTCCTTTTCTTCCCCATGTCACTTCTAATAGATACACATATTCCTTCTCTGCCCCTAAAGCCTTTGGGATAATTTCTGAGGACGTGGGTTCTAAGTGATGGCTCTTACAACAGGACCATTCCCAGAGTGAGCAGGGTCAGTTGAGAGGGGAAGTGGGAGCGGGAGTCAGGGGTAGCACATGGGAAAATGAGAGATGAGAAATGTCAATATTTGGTATCATTAGGGAAAGTTTCGTGGGTGCATTAGAGTTCAAGTTTGTTGGCTCATTGTAGGACTGTCATTTATTAACCTAAGGCTCTAGTCCTGTTTGTGTAATATGGTAGCCACTAGCCGTATGTGGCTATGGAATGCTTGAAAAGTGACAAACCTGAATTGAAATGTGCTGTAAGTGTAAAACACACACCAAATTTCAAAGACATTATATAAAAAAAGAATGTCAAATATCTTGCTAGTAATTTTTTATATTGAGTACTTGCGAAATAATATTTTAATGTGGTGAATTATATAAAATATATTATTAAAATTAATTTCACCTCTTTTTGTCTTTTTAATGTGGTTACCAAATCTCTCCAAAGTCTTTCAGGTTCCTAGCACGTATCTAGGATCATTTTATTTTATTCTTTTTCTTTTTTCTTTTTTTTTTTTTGAGACGGGCTTTGCTCATGTTGCCCAGGCTGGAGTGCAGTGGCGCGATCTTGGTTCACTGCAACCTCCGCCTCCCAGCTTCAAGCAATTCTGCTGCCTCAGCTTCCCAAGTAGCTGGGATTACAGGTGCATGCCACCATGCCTGGCTAATTTTTTGTATTTTCAGTAGAGACAGGGTTTCACCATGTTGGCCAGGCTGGTCTCAAACTCCTGACCTCAGGTGATCCACCCACCTCGGCCTCCCAAAGTGCTGGGATTACAGGCATGAGCCGCTGTGCCCGGCCAGGATCATTTTATTTGTTTGAACTAAAATGTTCTCCTTATACTCAAATGTAGTAAATGAATGACAAATGATTTAAATTTTCTAACCATGTGAGAATTTTATTACTTTTCATTTATTTTTCAGAAATAGGATTCAGAAAAAAAAAAAGTTGTTACTATTTTCACTTACTGATACCAGTAATTAAAGTAAAGGAGCTTTCCCCAGCTAACACGTGCTCCACACTAGACCCTGAACCACCCGCAGTGCTCTTAGGGAGAATGCAAGCCCAGGCCCTTTCTTCTACCCGTGAGCAGCTCTAGGTCATGTAACTTTCCTACCTGCCTGGATCAGGGACCAAGGCCCTCTTAAAGGCAAGAACTATAAAAATAGACTGGGTGCGGTGGCTCATACCTGTAATCCCAGCACTTTGGGAGGCCGAGGTGAGTGGGTCACCTGAGGTCAGGAGTTCAAGACCAGCCTGGCCAAGATGGCAAACCCCATCTCTACTAAAAATACAAAACTTAGTCGAGCATGGTGGCACATGCCTGTGATCCCAGCTATTTGGGAGGCTGAGGCAGGAGAATCACTTGAACCCAGGAGGAGGAGGTTGCAGTGAGCTGAGATCATGCCACTGCACTCCAGCCTGGGCAGCAGAGCAAGACTCTATCTCAAAATAATAATAAAAATAAAATAAGCTAGCCGCCTGTAAGGTGGTCATGAATCCTCTGCCCAATAGAGACGCTCCATCTTGCATAGTGAGGCAAAGATCTGATCAGATTTCCCTTCTTGGGGGAAGTATTCTCAGAGCGGGCCTCAGCCCTTGACTGTAAGCCATGAGCCTGGGAAAAGGCTGTAGGAAGACACATATAGAAGCAAAGGCAGCAATAAAGAGAAGTGGGGAATAGAAAGAGAAGCAGATTGAGGAAGAGTCAAAGAGAAGTCAAGTCATAGCTAAAGTGGAGAGCA
This sequence comes from Homo sapiens, assembly GCF_000001405.40. Lineage (NCBI taxonomy): Eukaryota > Metazoa > Chordata > Mammalia > Primates > Hominidae > Homo > Homo sapiens. The sequence goes on along the minus strand of NC_000004.12, from coordinate 38,786,232 downwards.
GCCCAACCAGACAGCCTGACCACCACGGCTGCTCTGGGAGTCCCCAGAAGCCACTGCTCCAGGTCTCTAGAGGGCCTGGCTGTGCTGCTGTGTTTCCTTACAGCCTCTAGTGTCTTTAAAATAAACCTCCATCCCCTTGTGGTAACCCAAGGTTCTCTGTTCATTGCAACATATATGAAGGCAGAATCACAGCTGGCCCACGTCTGGTATCAGAGGAAGACATAGGAGGGAAATGTGTGTTTGTGTGTTTGTGTGTGTGCGTGCGTGTGTGTGCGCGTGCCTGCGTGCATGCATGTGTGTAGGGGCAGGGGGAAGTTTTTTAAAAAGGAATAAAAATATTACATCTTAAAGTTATCAGCACATATGGTTCTGAGCATACTATTCTTGGTTGCTAGTTGTGAATAAAGATTTAAACGTTTTAGAAATCTCAGGTGAAGGCAGAGAGAGTATTACATAACCTCTTGGGCATCTGGAGTCGTGAAAAAATTGTGGGCTTTGGAACCAGACTTACTTAGTTTTGAATCTTGGCTCCCTCCCCTATTGGATGATGACCTTGTGCAAGTTTTTTGTTCTCTCTCAACCAGTTTTTCCATCTGGCGAATGGGAATAAAGTATATGTTCTATGTAGTTTGTGGTGGTGATTAGCCAATATCTTGTGTGCAATACTATCTGCACTTAGGAAGTAAATGCAAGCTTAATGATGATGATTAGATGACACAAGCAACAACTCTACTTGGCTCAACTTGTTTTTGGTAAACAAATGTAAAAACACTTAAAGAAAACTTCTCCGTTTTCTGACAATAAAGTATTTAAACATGTTGGTCTCTGGGGAAAGGAAGAATATGTCTTTGGACAACAAAAACCCCAAGTGATTATTTTTCCTTGAGAGGGCAATATACAGTGTGAGTGTGCTGATCATAGTAATTTGAGAATTTCTGAAATGAAAAAGATTTTAGAGCTTAGTTCATCCAACAAGCTGGGAATCCCCTCTCCAACGTTCCTGACGGGTGTTCCTGTCTTCCTACGTTTGTGTAATATAGACATGTTTGTATATGTTTAGGTGAGGAGCAGAGCTGGTTTTGTTTTGCTGTTGTTTTTCTTTTTACAGTTATTTATATTTTGTGTGATTTCCCCCTACAATATATGTGGAAATACATGGACTACATTTTAAATTTAAAAACCCCAATATGATAGTTAAAAAATGTATTTTAAGAACCCACCCACTCCCCAATTTTATAAGACATAAATCTATTATAATCATTCATGTTTAAATTGATCATTCCTCCTGTAGACAAATCCATCTGGAAATTTTCTTCTTTACTCGTGATCTCCAGCAGTCACCTAAATCTTAAGTCAAGTATGAAAAAAACCTCAAAAATGTTGCTTTAAAAATTGATCCGTACTTTGCGATCTACATTTTAAAAAATACCATGCTTATTTTACCACTTCACTTCAAGAAAAGGCCTCTAGGTCAGAGGTCTCCAATCTTTTTGGCACCAGGACCAATTTCATGGAAGACAGTTTTTCCACAGACCGGGTTTGGAGATGGAGGAGAGATGGTTTCGGGATGATTCAAGCACATTACATTTATTGTGCACTTTATTTCTATTATTATGACATTGTAATATATAATGAAATAATTATACAACTCACCATAATGTAGAATCAGTGGAAGCCCTGAGCCTGTTTTCCTGCAACTAGATGGTCCCATCTGACATGATGGGAAGCAGTGACAGATCATCAGACATTAGATTCTCATAAGGAGCACGCAACCTAGATCCCTCCCATATGCAGCTCACAGTAGGGTCCAAGCTCCTATGAGAATCTAATGCTGCCACTGATATGACAGGGTGTGGAGCTCAGGTGGTAATGCAAGCGATGGGGAGCGACTGTAAATACAGATGAAGCTTCATTTGCTTACCCACCACTCACCTCCTGCTGTGTGGCTCGGTTCCTAACAGGCCATGAACTGGTACCTGTCTGTGGCCCAGGGGTTGGGGACCACTGCTCTAGATAACTCCTTTCCACCCTCTTCCTGCCTGATTGCTGAAATTATGGAGTCACCATTCCTACTCCTGCCCATCATCACATGACTGCCCCACCCAACTGATGAAAGGGATAACCGACCTGCACCTTGAAGAAAAGCATCATCAAAGAGCTCTAAGATGCTGTGGAAAACCAGTATGGTAGTTCTGCAAAAAATTAAACAGAATGGTCATACGATCCGTGAATTCCACTTCTAGGTATAGACTCAAAAGAATGTTAAGTACCAACTTAAATAGATATTTGTGCACCACGTTCACAGCAGCATTATTCACAAGAGCCAAAAGGTGAAAACTACCCAAATGTCCATTGATGGATGAATGAATGAACAAAATGTGGGACGTACATACAACAAAATAGTATTCAGCCTTAAAAAAGGAAGGAAAGATTCTATTATTCTATGTAATAATAATAGAAATGATATGGATGAACCTTAAAGACATTATGCTCAATGAAATAAGCCAGTCACAAAAAACCAAATATGGTATAACTCCACGGACATGAGGTACCTAGAGTAGTCAAATTCACACAGACAGAAAGTAGAATTATAGTTTCCAGGGTCTGAGGGAAGGGGAAAATGGGAAATTATTTTTTAATGGCATAGAATTTCAGTTTGGGATGACGAAAAATCTTTGGAGATGGGCAGTGGTGGTGGTTGCACAACAGTGTGAATGTACTTAATTAATGCCACTAAATTGTACATTTAAAAATGCTTAAGGTCAGGCGCGGTGGCTCACACCGTAATCCTAGCACTTTGGGAGGCCGAGACAGGCAGATCACTTGAGCTCAGGAGTTCAAGACCAGCCTGGGCAACTGGCGAAACCCCGTCTCTACAAAAAATACAAAAAACTTAGCCAGGCCAGTTGGTGAGCGCCTGTAGTCCCAGACATTTGCGGGACTGAGAAGCCCAGCCTCTTGCGGGCTTTAGCGCAAGAGGTCAAGGCTGCAGTGAGCAGTGATCACACCACTGCACTCCAGCCTGGGTGACAAAGTGAGACCCTACCTCAAAAAAAATAAAAATAAAAATAAAAATAGAAAGATGGTGAGCATGATAACTCCTATGTTATGTGTATTTGACCACAATTTAAAAAAGTGCTAAGATTATAATGAATATATATAACATGCAATACCAGTAGCATGCAGAAGAGGGCGGATGGGGTTTAAGCTTTACAGAAAACCTCGATTCAATTCCCTCCTGCAGCCAATTCTGACCGTGTCAACGAATCATCCACGCACCTGCAGCTCTGCTGAGAGAGTGCAAGCCGTGGGGTAAGAACCTTAGCTTTGTTTGTTGTAACTCTCATTAAAAAGATATAAGGGCTGCATGGGTATTTTCTAAAAAGGAGATAATTTGAGCTAATATTGAGGGGAGGGAAGTAGGGTTATTTAGATTTTTAGTATTTACTATTTTGTCTAGATTAATGATTAGTGACCTTGGGGCTATTGATCTGAGGAATTTCTTGCAGATGCTTGAGAGCGTGGGTTTCTTTTCACTGATTGCGGATCAAACCTGGTCAGCTCTTCTATTCAGATTGAACGGTCCTATGCACTGTGGCAAGTTTTTTCTAGCTCTTATTTCCCCACAGCGTATGTTAACCTCTGCTGGATGAAACCTTTGGCTATTTAAGGCATATTTGTTGCTCCTTTACCCCGTTGAAAAGTTCTGCATTTGTGTTACCTGTTTAAAAGTAGGGGCAGATCTGATGGATCTTGTACAATGCAGTTCTTATTCCGTTTCCTTCAGAAGTGGACAAAGAGGGCCATATGTGGTTGCTGTAAAGAAGAGGATGGTTAACAACCTGTGAGCATTTGGTTTCTTGATAAGCTTTCTCCCAGACCACCTACACTGAGCTATTAATTAGGAATAGGATGCACTTCGAGTTTTATTTCAATTCTTGTGAACTTATAACTTTCCTAAGAATATATTTATACATGTAGGCAAAGTCTCTTGAACTTTGTGGCACCTAGCAGAGTGTCCCACAGCAGCTGCATGAAGCTTCATAGACAGGGGCATGGGGTGAGAAAGGAGGAAGTGGCCGCCATGGCAGCTGGTCAGATCAATGGATTCAACCTCAGTGATTCGGTCCTTAGGATGTCGTTACATCTTAAGCCACCTCATTTCAAGGTTTGAGGTGCCTTGCATTTGGGTTTAGTTACCATCCAGAAGGAACCAGACAGGTCTGGGTTCAAATCTCTGCTTCTTCAGTTGGTCATCTTGGGCAAGTTACTTTACCTCTGGGCTTTAGCTCCTCCATCTGTAAAATATGAATAATAATGGCCGCCATTTTGTTGAGTCATTGAGGGATTAAACAAGGTAATGGACATAAAACACTTAGCTCCATGTCAGACACGTAGGAAATACTGAAAAGAAGTCATTCTTACTCTTATGTTGCAAAGATCATTCAACATTCAATAGGTTCTTAATCTCTTTTCTATTTCTTTATATCATTGGGAAAAGATAAATTAGATGATTAAATATTCTTTGGTAAAACACTAGTTGTCATTTGATGATGTCTTTTGACTTGGACTTTTAAATTATAAGATATTAAAGATGTATTAAGGAAGGTCATTCTCTGTTTTTTACCTGCTTTTAACGTAGTAGTAGGGATATGATATTAACATATATATACTATTTATAGACTACATCACCAACATGGTGAAACCCCATCTCTACTAAAAATACAAAAATTAGCCGGGTGTGATGGCAGGTGCCTGTAATCCCAGCTACTCAGGAGGCTGCGGCAGGAGAATCGCTTGAACCTGGGAGGTGGAGCTTGCAGTGAGCTGAGATCATACCACTTTACTCCAGCCTGGGCAACAGAGCGAGACTCCATCTCAAAAAAAAAAAAAAGTGTATGTCCTACTTTTAAAATTGCTTTAATGAGGCCAAGCACAGTGGCTCACACCTCTAATCACACCCATTTGGGAGGCTGAGGTGGGAAGATTGCTGGAGGCCAGGAGTTTAAGAGCAGCCTTGGCAACATAGTGAGACCCTGTCTCTATGTAAAAGTTGTTTTTATAAAATGTCATAATGCATAAGTATTGCCTGAGAGATAGGACCTTTACTATTGTTATATTAAGAGAAGTTCAAAAAGAGTTCCTCTCCCATTGTAGTCCCAGATAAGACTGTGGTATTGGGCAGGGGGAAGAAGTGGGTAAGAGATAGAAACTCTGACTTCTCAGCGCAGAGTTCCAGCTAAAGCAACTGGGTTAGATTCTGCTGCATTCTTAAGGGGCCATGGCTCTAAGACCTAGAAGCTTAAAGTCAATTGCTACAAATTAAGCACTCTATGAGAGGATAACATTAAAAGCACCTTTGTCAACCTAATGATTATAACTGCCAGGGTCCTATCAAGCCATAATAGAGCCTGAGGCAAAAGAAACAATCAGCAATACTGATCCTGTCTTTATGAAAAATTTCGATATTTTGTTCAACATAGATTTTTGCATTAATTTTCATTTTTAAAAATATTTCATGTAAACATTATCTTGATTACTGAGTTCCTTGGGACCCCCTTAACATTTATGCCTTCCTTGCTTCACCCGAGTCTTGACCTGATAACTGCCACCATTTATTAAGTGTGATATGCTAGGCATGGTACTAAGTGACTTACATACATTGTCTTATGCCTCTTCACAAGCTCCATTTTACAGATGACAAAACCAGATCTTTCAGAGATTAAATAAATGGTCCGAGTACATAGCTAATGAGTGGATGAATGGTTAACATTGGATTTGAACACAGATCCATCAATCACTAAAACCAAACTTATTCTTTTTTTTTTTGAAACTGAGTCTTGCTCTGTTGCCCAGGCTGGAGTGCAGTGGTGGCATCTCAGCTCACTGCAACCTCCACCTTTTGGGTTCAAGTGATTATCCTGCCTCAGCCTCCCGAGTAGCTGGGACTACAGGCACATGCCACCACGCTCAGCTAATTTTTTGTATTTTTTTAGTAGAGACAGGGTTTCACCATGTTAGCCAGGATGGTCTTGATCTCCTTACTTTGTGATCCACCTGCCTCAGCCTCCCAAAGTGCTGGGATTACAGGCCTGAGCCACCGCGCCAGGCCTACCAAACTCATTCTTCAACCATCATGCCCTGCACTGTATCAGGAATTCACAACATAAATTCATTCATTCAACACATATTTATGAGAGCATATTATGCATCACGTTGTACTAAGGATTAAAACGTTGAAATTCATACATACAAGGATTCATTCATTCATATGTGCATTCAACAAGCAGTAATGAGCAGGCACCATGTGTCAAGCACTATGCTACATGCTGAGGATACAGAAGTGAACAAGACAGACAGCTACCACGGGAATGAACAGAGAAGGGACAGGTGACAAGCAAATGAATGAAAGTTTATTTACTAAGAGGTCATTCAGAAGAGATCATGAATTCATGGAAAATTATTTTCTGCATCTAGTGGCATGGAAATTAAGATATTCTGAATTTTAATGTATAGTTTTAAGAAAACTGAAAGAAAATATAAAGTTTATCATTATACATTGGATACTATGAACACAATAATTTGAGTAGTAATTACACTTCCAGGCCACAGTTGTAAACTGATTTTCTATTAGAAATATTTAAAAGTAGATGTAGAAAACTTACTCTTAAATATATAACAGTTCAAAAATCCAGCAGGAACTAAGTTAATTAAATAGAATATTCACCTGTTTTTTCTGATAATTATCCTGTGTTATATTTACATATTAATGCAGTATAATATTTTAGTATACATTACACTCTAGGGAGTCACTGAAATGTCAGCAAAGAAAAATACGGCCGGAGGCATCTTAAGTCATTTGACCACGTTTTTAAAAGTTGGTGTTTTGAGAAATCATCTAAATGTGGTGACCTTACCAAAATGATTGCTTTTTCTCCAAGATATTTGAGAACACTTACCAGAAACAATAGTTTATGAAATATAAAAATTATATGATCAATGTGGATAATTAATATTTTTACAAAGGAATTCTCCAAGTTTACATTGTAAGGGAGTTCACACAAAGAAACTATGATCATATGTGTTCCCAAGATAAGAGATAAGATGCTCTCTCTCCTTTACTAGTATCAGCAGCTAATGGAAAACTTGGGAGTGGCCCTCTCACTCCCTACTCTCCATAGGTTTTCTGGAATTTCTTCACTTCAAGAAAAAAACCAGACTTGGGAAGGTTCTAGAGAAAGAGAAATACAGATGAGAGAGAGGTAACATTCTAAGTGGCCTTATGTTTTGATTCTGCCCCACCTTTGTTACCCTGCCATGTTTGTGTGCATTCCTGTGGATGGGCGTGCCCACTGCCTCCCTCACCTCCCATCCAGGCTTTCAGAATGATGGGAACATGACACGCACAGAGAATTCTCTCTAACCCATCCTCTTTCTGTTGAGCATATCTTTTGCTCCCTCTGCTTGTCTATGGGAGTGACCTGTCTGAGGGAGGTTGAGGGTCAATGTGTAACAGATACATACAAATGGAAGCAGAAAAACTCCCCCACTAACTTATCACCTGCTCTTGGTGCCTTCAGAGAGCCTGGTGTGGGGACACGTAGAGTTAAATTGTTTACTAATTTGAAATTAGAATCTAACCACTTCTCTCCACTTCCATTGATACATTCTCTCTGGCACAAGTTACGCTATAGTGTCCCAAGGAGTCTTCCCTGCCAGCCTTGTGGCTCCCAGTCATTTCCACCCAACAAACAGAGGAATCTTTTTATTTGTTTGTTTGTTTATTTATTTATTTATTTATTTTATACTGTAAGTTCTGGGGTACATGTGCGGAACGTGCATGTTTGTTACATAGGTATACACATGCCATGGTGGTTTGCTGCACCCATCAGCCCATCATCTACATTAGGTATTTCTCCTAATGCTATTCCTCCCCTAGCCCCCCACCCCCTGACAGGCCCCGGTGTGTGTCAATGTGTTCTCATTGTTCAACTCCCAGTTATGAGTGAGAACATGTGGTGTTTGGTTTTCTGTTCTTGTATTAGTTTGCTGAGAATGATGGTTTCCAGATTCATCCATGTCCCTGCAAAGGACATGAACACATTCTTTTTTATGGCTGCATAGTATTCCATGGTGTATATGTGCCATATTTTCTTTATCCAGTCTATCATTGATGGGCATTTGGGTTGGTTCCAAGTCTTTGCTGTTGTGAATAGTGCTGCAATAAACACGTGTGTGCATGTATCTTTATAGTAGAATGATTTATAATCCTTTGGATAGATACCCAGTAATGGCATTGCAGGATCAAATAGTATTTCTAGTTCTAGATCCTTGAGGAATCGCCACATTGTCTTCCACAATTGTTGAGCTAATTTACACCCCCACCAACAGTGTAAAAGCGTTCCTATTTCTCTACACCCTCTCCAGCACCTGTTGTCTCCTGACTTTTTAATGATCACCATTCTAACAGGCATGAGATGGTATCTCATTGTGGTTTTGATTTGCATTTCTCTAATGACCAGTGATCATGAGCTTTTTTTCATATGTTTGTTGGCTGCATAAATGTCTTCTTTTGAGAAGTGCCTGTTCATATCCTTCACCCACTTTTTGATGGGGTTGTTTTTTTCTTGTAAATTTTTTAATGTTCTTTATAGATTCTGGGTATTAGCCCTTTGTCAGATGGACAGATTGCAAAAATTTTCTCCCATTCTATAGGTTGCCTCAAACAGAGGAATCTTTAAAATGTATGTCAGAACCTGTCATTCCTGGACTCTAAATCTTCTGCTGGTTTCTTATTTCAGTCAGAGGAAAATTGCCAAGTTCTTATAAGATCCGACCTCTTCTCTGATTCCGTCCCCTAACTCCACTCCAGGTCTTCCTCACATTTTCCAAGCACATCAGGATCTTTAAATTTGTACTTGCTGTTCTCTCTCTCTCCAAAATACTCTTTCCCCAGACAACAAGTGTCTTGCTTCTTTGGCCCCTTTAGATTTCTGCATGAAGATCACTATCAGGGAGGCCATTTTTGATCATTCTATAAAAAAGAAAATCACTCCCCAGTCTCTCTCTGTTTCCCTTATCTTAGTTATTTTTCCTTCAAGACAATATCACTGCCTGATATTGGTCCCCACCCAAATCTCATCTTGAACTGTAGCTCCCATAATTCCCACATGTTGTGGGAGGGACCTGGTGGGAAGTAATTGAATCATGGGGGCGGGTCTTTCCCATGCTGTTCTCATGATAGTGAATAAGTCTCATGAGATCTGGTGGTTTTATAAAGAGGAGGTTCCCTGCACATGCTCTCTTGCCTGCTGCCACATAAGACATGACTTTGCTCCTCATTCGCCTTCCACCATGATTGTGAGGCCTCCCCAGGCATGTGGAATTGTGAGTCATAACATATAAACGTATTGTTTTGTTTGCAGTCTCTCTTTTCTTAACTTCTTTCTAGAATATAAGCTATGTAGAAACAGAAATCTCTTCTGTTCACTGCTACTTCCCCAGTGCCTAGAAAAGTTTCTGGCAGAATAGGTACTTAATAAATATCTTGAATAATGAATATCGTAAAATCTTAGTACTCCAACTACCTCTGTTCTACGTCTAATCCAACCACGTGAAGCCTGGCACATCTCCCAAAGTCCTCAGAATTCTATATCCTTCAATTTCCTCATCTATCAAATGGGAGTAGTAGTACTTCCCTCACAGAGTATGGTGATAAATAAATGAGATAATATACATGAAGCAATTAGTATGTATCTTGGCACATTGAAATCTAACCTGAAAGCTTTGATTCTATGCCATAACAGAATTCAGCAGCTGAATATCAAGACCTTTGAATTCAACAAGAAGTTAAGACATTTATAGTTGTCTAACAACAGACTGAAGATTGTGGCTTGGTATTCACTGGCAGGTTTCAGACATTTAGATCTTTCTTTTAATGACTAACACCATGCCTATCTGTGGAGAAGCTGGCAACATGTCACACCTGGAAATTGTTTTTCAACATTAATACTATTATTTGGCAGTAATCCAGATTGCTTTTGCCACCAACCTGAAGACATATAGAGGCAGAAGGACAGGAATAATTCTATTTGTTTCCTGTTTTGAAACTTCCATCTGTAAGGTAAGTGTTGAAAGTCAGATATTGGCTCCAGGGACTTTCTATATCCACAAATACAAAAATTGAGGGGTAACTCCTTGATATCAAGTCAAAGGCTCACAATGTCTGGTAATAAAACAAATTACTTTCAATTTTCTTGAAATCTTCAGGCTATCAAAAGGAGATGTGAGAGAGGGTATTGAGTCTGGCCTGACAATGCAGTTCTTAAACCAAAGGTCCATTATGCTTCTCCTCTCTGAGAATCCTGACTTACCTCAACAACGGAGACATGGCACAGTAGCCAGCTTGGAGACTTCTCAGCCAATGCTCTGAGATCAAGTCGAAGACCCAATATACAGGTTGGAACCTTACTCCAACCTCTTGATGAATGTAGTCAGATGTTGGCATTTTTTTTGCAAATAAAAATCCTACAGGATTTAACAAACCAAATAAAAATCTAATATTATATACTTTTTTTTAGGGTTTTGAGCTCATCTTCATCATTCATATGAGGAAATAAGTGGTAAAATCCTTGGAAATACAATGAGACTCATCAGAAACATTTACATATTTTGTAGTATTGTTATGACAGCAGAGGGTGATGCTCCAGAGCTGCCAGAAGAAAGGGAACTGATGACCAACTGCTCCAACATGTCTCTAAGAAAGGTTCCCGCAGACTTGACCCCAGCCACAACGACACTGGATTTATCCTATAACCTCCTTTTTCAACTCCAGAGTTCAGATTTTCATTCTGTCTCCAAACTGAGAGTTTTGATTCTATGCCATAACAGAATTCAACAGCTGGATCTCAAAACCTTTGAATTCAACAAGGAGTTAAGATATTTAGATTTGTCTAATAACAGACTGAAGAGTGTAACTTGGTATTTACTGGCAGGTCTCAGGTATTTAGATCTTTCTTTTAATGACTTTGACACCATGCCTATCTGTGAGGAAGCTGGCAACATGTCACACCTGGAAATCCTAGGTTTGAGTGGGGCAAAAATACAAAAATCAGATTTCCAGAAAATTGCTCATCTGCATCTAAATACTGTCTTCTTAGGATTCAGAACTCTTCCTCATTATGAAGAAGGTAGCCTGCCCATCTTAAACACAACAAAACTGCACATTGTTTTACCAATGGACACAAATTTCTGGGTTCTTTTGCGTGATGGAATCAAGACTTCAAAAATATTAGAAATGACAAATATAGATGGCAAAAGCCAATTTGTAAGTTATGAAATGCAACGAAATCTTAGTTTAGAAAATGCTAAGACATCGGTTCTATTGCTTAATAAAGTTGATTTACTCTGGGACGACCTTTTCCTTATCTTACAATTTGTTTGGCATACATCAGTGGAACACTTTCAGATCCGAAATGTGACTTTTGGTGGTAAGGCTTATCTTGACCACAATTCATTTGACTACTCAAATACTGTAATGAGAACTATAAAATTGGAGCATGTACATTTCAGAGTGTTTTACATTCAACAGGATAAAATCTATTTGCTTTTGACCAAAATGGACATAGAAAACCTGACAATATCAAATGCACAAATGCCACACATGCTTTTCCCGAATTATCCTACGAAATTCCAATATTTAAATTTTGCCAATAATATCTTAACAGACGAGTTGTTTAAAAGAACTATCCAACTGCCTCACTTGAAAACTCTCATTTTGAATGGCAATAAACTGGAGACACTTTCTTTAGTAAGTTGCTTTGCTAACAACACACCCTTGGAACACTTGGATCTGAGTCAAAATCTATTACAACATAAAAATGATGAAAATTGCTCATGGCCAGAAACTGTGGTCAATATGAATCTGTCATACAATAAATTGTCTGATTCTGTCTTCAGGTGCTTGCCCAAAAGTATTCAAATACTTGACCTAAATAATAACCAAATCCAAACTGTACCTAAAGAGACTATTCATCTGATGGCCTTACGAGAACTAAATATTGCATTTAATTTTCTAACTGATCTCCCTGGATGCAGTCATTTCAGTAGACTTTCAGTTCTGAACATTGAAATGAACTTCATTCTCAGCCCATCTCTGGATTTTGTTCAGAGCTGCCAGGAAGTTAAAACTCTAAATGCGGGAAGAAATCCATTCCGGTGTACCTGTGAATTAAAAAATTTCATTCAGCTTGAAACATATTCAGAGGTCATGATGGTTGGATGGTCAGATTCATACACCTGTGAATACCCTTTAAACCTAAGGGGAACTAGGTTAAAAGACGTTCATCTCCACGAATTATCTTGCAACACAGCTCTGTTGATTGTCACCATTGTGGTTATTATGCTAGTTCTGGGGTTGGCTGTGGCCTTCTGCTGTCTCCACTTTGATCTGCCCTGGTATCTCAGGATGCTAGGTCAATGCACACAAACATGGCACAGGGTTAGGAAAACAACCCAAGAACAACTCAAGAGAAATGTCCGATTCCACGCATTTATTTCATACAGTGAACATGATTCTCTGTGGGTGAAGAATGAATTGATCCCCAATCTAGAGAAGGAAGATGGTTCTATCTTGATTTGCCTTTATGAAAGCTACTTTGACCCTGGCAAAAGCATTAGTGAAAATATTGTAAGCTTCATTGAGAAAAGCTATAAGTCCATCTTTGTTTTGTCTCCCAACTTTGTCCAGAATGAGTGGTGCCATTATGAATTCTACTTTGCCCACCACAATCTCTTCCATGAAAATTCTGATCATATAATTCTTATCTTACTGGAACCCATTCCATTCTATTGCATTCCCACCAGGTATCATAAACTGAAAGCTCTCCTGGAAAAAAAAGCATACTTGGAATGGCCCAAGGATAGGCGTAAATGTGGGCTTTTCTGGGCAAACCTTCGAGCTGCTATTAATGTTAATGTATTAGCCACCAGAGAAATGTATGAACTGCAGACATTCACAGAGTTAAATGAAGAGTCTCGAGGTTCTACAATCTCTCTGATGAGAACAGATTGTCTATAAAATCCCACAGTCCTTGGGAAGTTGGGGACCACATACACTGTTGGGATGTACATTGATACAACCTTTATGATGGCAATTTGACAATATTTATTAAAATAAAAAATGGTTATTCCCTTCATATCAGTTTCTAGAAGGATTTCTAAGAATGTATCCTATAGAAACACCTTCACAAGTTTATAAGGGCTTATGGAAAAAGGTGTTCATCCCAGGATTGTTTATAATCATGAAAAATGTGGCCAGGTGCAGTGGCTCACTCTTGTAATCCCAGCACTATGGGAGGCCAAGGTGGGTGACCCACGAGGTCAAGAGATGGAGACCATCCTGGCCAACATGGTGAAACCCTGTCTCTACTAAAAATACAAAAATTAGCTGGGCGTGATGGTGCACGCCTGTAGTCCCAGCTACTTGGGAGGCTGAGGCAGGAGAATCGCTTGAACCCGGGAGGTGGCAGTTGCAGTGAGCTGAGATCGAGCCACTGCACTCCAGCCTGGTGACAGAGCGAGACTCCATCTCAAAAAAAAGAAAAAAAAAAAAGAAAAAAATGGAAAACATCCTCATGGCCACAAAATAAGGTCTAATTCAATAAATTATAGTACATTAATGTAATATAATATTACATGCCACTAAAAAGAATAAGGTAGCTGTATATTTCCTGGTATGGAAAAAACATATTAATATGTTATAAACTATTAGGTTGGTGCAAAACTAATTGTGGTTTTTGCCATTGAAATGGCATTGAAATAAAAGTGTAAAGAAATCTATACCAGATGTAGTAACAGTGGTTTGGGTCTGGGAGGTTGGATTACAGGGAGCATTTGATTTCTATGTTGTGTATTTCTATAATGTTTGAATTGTTTAGAATGAATCTGTATTTCTTTTATAAGTAGAAAAAAAATAAAGATAGTTTTTACAGCCTACACATCCTACTCATTTGGCTTGATTCTTCTTTCTGGTCTCACAGGTCACAGGAAGAAAAGCACTCCTGAAATATAATTTTTGCAAAATTATATTTCAAAAATGACAATTTTGCAAAATTATATTTCAAAAACAAACATCATGTCACTTCTCTGGTTAGAAAAAAATTTTGTGGCTTAAACACATGATTCAGGGAGAGAATGTCATGCTCCTTTAAGATCTGACAGCAATCTCCTTTTATATCCTTGCATCTTCTTTATTTTTAATTTTTAGAGACTAGCTCTTGCTCTGTCACCCAGGCTGGAATGCAGTGGTGCGATCATAGCTCACTGCAGTATTGAGCTCCTGGCCTCAAATGATCCTCCTGTCTTGGACTCCCGAAGTGCTGGGATTACAGGTGTGAGCCACCACACCCAGCCCCTCCTTGCATCCTATCATTGGGCCCTATGGAGCTACTGGCCCTTCCCCAGAACTTTCAGTGTTCTTTCATGGCTCCAGAGCCCAGATTTCACATCATGCCTGCTGTAATGCCTTCCCTACTTGGGTTTGTTCAGGAAATCTTACAGTTCTCTCAGGACACAATCCACATATCGACTCTTCTTTGAAATCATCCTCACTCTTTCCCGTAAGCATGATGCTTCTTGATTCTCTTCCACACTTTGGACATATTTCTATCACCAACCTAATTATGTACATTTTTAAAGTTTCAATTTCCCACTAGACTATGAACTCCTCAAAGGCTAAGACAGACTTACATCTGCCCTTGTGTCTGCAGCAGTCCCTGGTTCAGAACTGGTGCTCAAAGAATGTTTATGGAATGGATGTTGGGTTGGCTAGAGGAGCTTAGTGGGAACTCAACTGGCTTAAGGATAGATGGTGGAATTTAAAGGCATATTCTGAGAAGCTCAGGAAGAGCAGGAATAGGTAAAACTCAGGTAAGAAGACAGAGAATCCAGAATTGTAGGATTCCTAAGTAGAGCTCACGTCATGTGAAATTGCCAAAATTTGGTTGCTCTCGACCTAGAAAAGCATCTACTTTTAAAAATCTCATTCCATCTGTATTAGGGTTCTCTAGAGGGACAGAACTAATAGGATATATATATATATATATATATCACACAATACTATATCTATATCTATATCTATATCTATATATATATATTGCAAGGTCTATTGTGGGACCTTGTAATTGTGTGGGTCAACACTCCTTAATAAACTCCTATATATATAGGAGGTACATATATATATAAAATAGGATATTACATATAGGATATATATATAAAATAGGATATATATATAAAATAGGATATATATATAATAGGATATATATAGGAGCTATATAGGATATATATACAAATATATATAAAGTATATATAAATATATATACTTTATATATATAATAGGATATTATATATATATAGGATATATATAATAGGATATTATATATATATAGGATATATATAATAGGATATTATATATATAGGATATATATAATAGGAGATATATATATAATAGGAGATATATATATATAATAGGAGATATATATATATATGAGCTTATTAAGGAGTATTGACACACACAATTACAAGGTCCCACGGTAGACCATCTGCAAGCTGAGGAGCAAGGAAGCCAGTCCAAGTCCCAAAGCTGAAGAACTTGGAGTGCAATGTTTGAGGGCAGGAAGCATCCAGCATGGGTGAAAGATGTAGGCTGGGAGGCTAGCCCAGTCAAGTTTCGTCATGTTCTTCTGCCTCCTTTTATTCTAGCTATGCTGGCAGCTGATTAGATGGTGCCCTCCCAGATTAAGGGTGGGTCTGCCTTTCCCATTCCACTGACTCAAATGTTAATCTCCTTGGCAACATCCTCACAGACACACCCAGGAACAATACTTTGCATCCTTCAATCCAATCAAGTTGACACTCAATATTAGCCATCACACCATCTACTAAGACTAATCTCCTAAACAAGTTAAAACCGGATTCTGCATCTAATTCATTTTCTTATAGTTTGTATCTTATGAATTCCTCATGCTAGTGATTATTTTAAAAATTGTACTCAAGAAGGCCAACCCGAGAGTACAGGGAGGGCACTGGGTGTCAATCTAGAAGCCAGGCCATGCTACCATTTAGCCAGTAGCTGGAGTTGAGGAGCTAGAGTCTAGCAGCTTGGGGGCTGAGCATCTCTCTTTCTCTTCCCTGGTGAGCCCATGGTCTGTCTGGCAGAAGGGGAAACCCAAGGAAACCACAGTGGAATGGAGACAAAGCATGGGGAAGGTGCCTTCCTGGGCAGGACACTGATGTAAATGTGATTCTTGGCTTCTGGAGGAGTGAGACCGATTCTGCACAAGGGTTGGTAAATCTTGAGTAAATTATTCAGAATGAGACTTTCACCTTTAATTAGTTAATGAATTCACCTTTAATTATTTAATGAATTCACCTTTGATTAATTAATCCAGCTTTAATTCACATTTAATTAATTAACTTGGAACACACGAAGAATGTAAGATTAGCCCTAAAGTCACCAGGATTTAGTTATTTCATGCTAGAACCCTCAGTTTAGCAATACCATTTACAAAACAGATGTGTTTTATTACAAGTTTAAAAATAACACATTAGGCTGAGCTCTCAGCAACTTCACAGCTGGACAATCCTTAAATCTTACCTATCAAATCATTTTGCTGTTCCTGTCTCAGAAACTTAAATACCATCCAACATTTCCTAATATGCTTGGTTTTGACTGTTATGAATTACAATCAGAAAAAATAAATTTTACATGAGTTGAACGTTATTTGCTTTTGAGGCTTGAAATACAAGTAACACCTAGCCTCATACAAACCTGATGATATACTTTTACCCAAGAAATTTCAGATTTCAACAAAGACCCACTGTTCTGAATCATGACATTGATGCGGAAGTGAGCATACCCAGGCTGAATGCTGTAACAGCAGCCGGTGTCATGAACTCCGATCATGTTTTAAAAATGACTCTGGAGCTTGTAAGTTCCTTTTTATTTCCTTGCCATTTGTCAACCTGGAGCTTGTTTCATTTTTTTCCCCGAGGAAACTGAACTCTTAAGTGAAGTCTGTCTGTGTATTCCTCAGGGGGCTTTCACAATCTCTTAGCATCTCTACAGATAAATTGCAATCCTTTCTGGACGTCAACAGTTGAGTTGTTGAGAATGGTCTGTATTCTCTCAGCAAATGTGGCAAAGAGAGCTGTACTGAAATGGAATTGCAGTCCTTGAATTCCCAACAGATTAGTGGGAAGAAGGAATTTTACATCTAAATTTTGGCAAATGTTCCCCAAAGTTCACTCCTTTATCTATTATGATGAACCATTCAAGAGAAGCATAGACTAGGCATATTAAAAGTGGGTGAGAATTTGGAGATTGTCAAGTATAACTCTCACTTTCAAATGGGGAAATTGAGGCTTTAGAATTTTAAATGGCCCACCCAAGCCCAAGGTCATAGTCTTTTAACTCCTAATGTTTTTCCTTCCAATCCACAACCAAGTGGCCTTTACTTTTTGCATTTGATTTTTATTCTCTCATTCCTTCTATTGCAATTCTCAAGAACAGAGCCCTGGATGGGGCACTTTGATTATCCCGTCTATATTCCCCAAAGTCATTTGAGGTCTAGGCTTTCTCTGCAGTCTTCCTCCATGGCCAAAGCATCCTGTATTTGCCACCTGATTCTATCCCCGAAAAAAACATTCTTTTGCCATCGGTAACTTGCAATGGGGGCTGCTCCTCAGATCAGCCACCCCTGGTCTAGGAGCCAGAAAATGTTCTCTATGTAAAGGATGGGGAATAATGGGGAGCCTGTTCTCCCCTGGAGGTTTCAAAGGCAACTTAATCACCAGCATCCTGCTGGGGATACATACCTTGGTCCCTGAGCTCAATTTTCCACCTGGTGTGCTGTGACCCATGACTTGCTGCTGCCATTGATCCTTTTAACCCTGGACAGGGCTCCTTGAGGACCCACTTGAGATAGGGAGTGGGTCTGGTAGTGCATCCTGAAGTCCTGCCAGGGGACAAGCACAATGAAAAACTCCTGACTGTGGGTCTGGAAGTGGCCTACACCTGTACATCTATTCAACAGCCAGCTGCTGAGACACTGCCCTCCTTCACAGATGGGGGCTCTGAGCTGCTGGACAACACTGCGTTCTGGATGTTCAAGGACAAAGTTGCAGCCAACAGTAGGGGTGTTCAGGATTATGGTTAGGGAAGCTGGGTGGGGGATCCTGGCTAGCACAACTCCCGACAGCAGCCCATGTCTGCCTCTTCACAATGAGATTCTTGTCTTCAGAATCTGTCTTGTTAGTGGTGTCCAAGCAGCCTCAAGGGTAACTATTAATACTCTAACAACACATGCACATTCTAGTCATTATTTTGAAATACTTAATGAAAAGCCAGTGGAGTGAACTCTAAATCAATTCACATTTTCCCCAAGACGTTTATTTCAGTATTCTTTTTGCCCTTCAAATCTTTGCTCCAATCCCATTTCCGTTGAAGACTTCCTGGATGACCTAGTAGAAAATGGCAGCACTCTTTGTCCACCTTCCTTGCTTTTTATTTCTCCATAGCATTTGCCATCTTCTAAGTTTACTTCTAAGTTTTCTCTTTATCCTGCTGATTCCCTGTCTTCCCCCACTAGAATGCAAACTCTTTTAGAGCAGAAATTTTTTTCTGTTTTGCTCACAGATATTGTCTCTATCTCTGCCTAGAACAGTGCCTGGCACAGGTCCACTCCCCAGGGATTTTCTTTCTGTGTTGATTTTATTTTCTTTGTTGATTGGCCTCCTCTGCTCCTCTGAAGTCCAGCAGGGCCTCTGTTGCCAAGGCTGCCCCCTTCAGTGTCAGCGCTTATTGTTGGAAATCAAGGATACAGATTTTACTTGTAAGGGGGTGTATTAGTCCATTTTCATGTTGCTGATAAAGACATACCCAAGACTGGGTAATTTATAAAGAAAAAGAGGTTTAATGGACTCACTGTTCCATGTGCCTGGGGAGGGCTCACAATCATGGCAGAAGGTGAAAGGCACATTTTACATGGTGGCAGACAAGAGCAAATGAGAGCCAAGCAAAAAGGGAAACCCCGTATAAAACCATCAGATCTTGTGAGACTTACTCACTACCATGAGAACAGTATGGGAGAAACTGCCCCCATGATTCAATCATCTCCTACTGGGTCTCTCCCACAACATGTGGGAATTATAGGAGCTACAATTCAAGATGAGATTTGGGTGGGGACACAGCCAAATCATATCGGGGGCATCCCTCACCATCTGTATTTTTGCTGACACTTTCTAGGACCTGCCATCACTGGCTTATTGCTTCCCCCAACCACCCCACACTTCATGAATCTTCTCTTTGCCTCCTCCTATTGGAAGCTGCTGGATCTCAGGTGCTTGCTGTGGGCAGCCCTTTAACTATTTTGGAGTCTGCAGATTATATGAATCACTGCAAATGGGGTACCTGGTTCCCCCACCCCCAACCACTTCCCCTGTTCTTTTGCTGTCTCAGCCTTTTTAGAGGGGAAGGGGCAGCACTGGGCCAATGAAGCCCCTGCCGTGGGCCCACGCCTCAGATCTCCCCTTGCCCCAGTGCTTTGGAAGGTCTCCCTTGAACTTTCTAAGTCCTTCTGAGGGCCTGGTACAGCTGGGACTGGCAGTGTTCCCCAAGCAGGATGCCCCAGCCCAGACGCAGACCCGTATGGACCCCAGTCTTTATTTCTCCCCTTTGAGATGACCTCTGACCCTCTACCGCAAACATGGAGTTAACCAGATATCCTGGGGAGCTCTGTAATTCACATCTATGGGGCTCTCTCAGAGACTGGTGGTTGGATCCCCATTTGAGGTGGGTGGCCTGGAAAGCAGTGTAGGCCCACCCAGGATTGGGCACCAGAATGCTGCTGACATGTTGATTGGGGCGACTCTCACATTGAACACAAGATGACTTCAGGGCATTGGCTACCGGCAGCTCATCGCTGACCCTTGGGCTTGAGCCACCAGTGTGGACCTATGCCCATCTGTGTTTTGACTGTGGTGCCACCTCTTGTCTATAACACCTGAGGGTGGCAGGTGTGCTGGCAGGTGTCCTTTACCCTGCGCCCGCCTGTGCTCCCAGCCTCGGGCACCCAGGGCAATAGCTGCCATTGCTGCATGCTCTGAGCCATGTGCCAGGCAGTCCTTCAAGGATGACTTTCAAAACTGAACACCAATGGGCCTTCCAATCAACGTCCTGTCTTGCCTCCCATGGTTACATGGTGCTCTGCCAGTCAGTATTAAGCTGTGCCTGATGGAGGAGGAATGTTTCTTGCAGGAGCGGGACTGCTCTTCCCTCTTTCTGCATTGACCCCTTGCCTACCCTTGTGTGGAAGGCAGGGGTTCAGTCAGAACCAAAAGTACTTCCATGGTAGGAATGCCGTGGTTACCACCTCAAGAGGCCAAGAGAAAACGCAGCTGGATGGTGGGTAGTTCTATGTTTCTACTATAAAATTCTGAATGGTAAACTTAACAGAATCGGAAAATGAATACTGTATGGGCTCACATTTCCCTGCCTCATCTGGGGAAGGCTTGCATTCATGAAGCACAGTAACAACCTTTGAGAGTCATGGGAAGCTAGGGTGGATGGATGATGTGGCGGCATGAGTAATAATTCAACCAGCATTACAAACATACTGTCAGGGAACTGCAGAGGCAAGAAGACCTACATCATTTAATGTGAGCAGGTTCTGAAGAGCTGCCTTGTGATTAATTACAACACTGCTGCTGTTTTCTTCTTGGTGAGAGACACAGTTAACCAAAAACAGCACACTGGACAATAAAATGCGTGAAGAGATGGCTCCTGGGTTTGAACAGGAAGAGGTGTTGCTTGGATGCTGCAAAGAATCCTCACAGGTAGCAGCTGGAAAATAAACAATACGCAAATGACTCTTCTGTACCAATTCTCGTTAATAACTCACTGAACCTCTCACATGGGTCCATCCATTTCAAAATCTTTTTTTTTTTTCGAGACAGGATTTCATTCTAACCTGGAGTGCAGGAGTGTAGTGGTGCAATCACAGCTCACTGTAACCTCCACTTCCAAGGCTTCAGTAATCCTCCTACCTTGGCCTCCTGAGTAGCTGGGACTACAGGCATGTACCACTGCTCCTAGCTAATTTTTGTATCTTTTTTGGTAGAGACAGGGTTTTTGCCATGTGACCCAGGCTGGTCTTAAACTGGGCCCAAGCAATCTGCCTGCCTAGGCCTCCTAAAGTGCTGAGATTACAGGCGTGAGCCACTGCGCCGGGCCACAAAACAATTTTTTTTTGAGATGGAGTCTTGCTCTATCACCCAGTCTCGAGTACAATGGCACAATCTTGGCTCACTGCAAACTCTGCCTCCCAGGTTCAAGCGATTCTCCTGCCTCAGCCTCCCAAGTAGCTGGGATTACAGGTGCACGCCATCACACTGGAACAATTTTTGTATTTTTAGTAGAGATGGGGTTTCTCCATGTTGGCCAGGTTAGTCTCAAACTCCTGACCTCCAGTGATCTGCCCACCTCGGCCTCCCAAAGTGCTGGGATCACAGGCGTGAGCTACCGCTCCCTGCCAAAACATATTTTTTAATCAAATTATTTTATAGACAGGGGCCCTGTGCTACACAGTCCTGAGAAGAAGAATATCTTGGCTTATGCAGCCAGAATGTGTATTGCTTCTGATTTTTTAGCTGCACAATGATTTGTTTCTGTTTCGGAGGAAGTCATTGGCAACAGGACAGTTTTTATCTTGAGTACTAATGGATGATGTGGTGAAATTCAGTGGTAAGATGGGTTGCTCTGACAGATTGGAACAGGCACATTCTAATACCACCATATTAAGTTTATTGGATGTTCCTCCTGTGGTGTTTATTAAAAATGGAAAGGAGATGAGGCCTTTATTATTTTAGGCCATGATGGGTTAAGGCACCACATTATTAGACTGTGTTCTCCCTGTGAAGAAAGTTAGATCTTTGGTCATGCCCAGGAACCTTCTAGACCTAAGGACTTTAAGTGTCTTTCCTGGCAGCAGTACCTTTGGCCCTGGGAAAAAACAGGCCAGAGAAAGCTGCTGAAAGAATCTGTGCAAGGTTAGCTCAGATATTCCATTAGGATCGATGTCTTTGATTCCTGGACTCACTACCCCTGAGCCCTCAACCTCTTTCTGGCTCTTTTATTTCAGGAAAAATGTTTCCATGATGCTGTCATTAACATCCTGGCCTTGTATACTTAACAGTACAAGGCACTAACCTTTCTTGAGGATTTATTATTTATTTATTTATTTAGAGACAAGGTCTCACTCTGTTGCCCAGGTTGGGTTGCAGTGGCATGACCATGGCTCACTTCAGCCTCCACCTCCTGGGCTAAAGCATTCCTCCCACTTCAGCCTCCCGCGTAGCTGGGACAACAGGCACGTGCCACCATGCTCTGCTCACATCTTAATTTTTTTGTAGAGACAGGATCTCATTATATTCCCCAGGCTGATCTTGAACTCCTGGGCTCAATTGATCCTCTCACCTCAGCTTCCCAAAGCATTGGGAATACAGACATGAGCCACCATGCTCAGCCCTTTTTGAGATTTCAAATGTGCCAGCCACTGTTCTAAGTCTGTCGTGATGTTATACTTGTTAAATCACATAGATCCAAGGGTTAAATGTTATCATTATTCCTATTAACAGATAAAGTCCCCAACCAGAAGTCAAGGTTTCATGGCTAGTAAGTGACAGAAATGCAAGATTGTGATGACAGAGCCTGTGTTTTTTTTTTTTCTTTTTTTGAGACGTAGTCTCGCTCTGTCGCCCAGGCTGGAGTGCAGTGGTGCTGTCTTGCTCACTGCAACCTCTGCCTCCTGGGTTCAAGTGATTTCCTGCCTCAGCCTCCCGAGTAGCTGGGATTACAGGTGTGCACCACCACACCTGGCTAATTTTTGTATTTTTAGTAGAGACGGGTTTTCACCATGTTGGCCAGGCTGGTCTTGAACTCCTGACCTCAGGTGATCCAACTGCCTCGGCCTCCCAAAGTACTGGGATTACAGGCTTGAGCCACCGTGCCCAGCCCAGAGTCTGCTTTCACAGATGGTCTGCTACACTGGTAGAGCCAGAGCTTGGTGACTGGAAGAATTAGTTTCTTTCCTATGTGTAGTAACATGGACATACTTGTTCCTGCTAGACCCTATTCTTGGATGGAGGTATCTCGTTGTGGAAGAGCAATTCTTATCATGACGTGTGTAATCCAAATGCTACCAATCCTTACCAGCCTGAGGCTACAAAGAAGGCACAACAGCATCAGTGACCCCAGTTCTTATTCTGGCTCCCACCTGCTGAAGCGGGGCCTCTCACCCTCCTGCAAACGTGCACACGAATATTTCCATTCGAACCTGAGATTCTCGCAGGTGCCGGACAGCTTCCTGTCAGCTCCTCTCCCCATGCTGCCGTAGTCTACTCCCCTCTAGCTCGCGGCAGCTACCCCTGGGCCCTTTGCAGGTCCTTGCAAGAGTCTCTCACTACTGACATTGCTGAATGAAGGTGCTTTCTCAATGGTGCTAACGACCATGCTAAGGGTGCTTTCTCCCAGTAATCCCAAATGCAACTATCCTTGTGACGAGGAGCCATGCCGAGTTCCACGGAGCTAGCAGTAGATTCGGTACTTCTCTCCTCAAAATTGTGTGTCAACCTCTCAGCATGCCAGTGCTGCAATGCTGGGATCCACCATCTCACCGAGTTGCTCACGAAATCCATTTCTTCAGCTCTCACTCCTCCCTCTGCGGGGGTTCCAAACCAGCCCAAGGGGGCAAGAAGGGTGACACAGCACCTCGTCCTTTCCACTGTCCCTATTCTGTCCCACCTCTCCTTTCCAACCCCCAAATAATCCTCCTTCCACCCACCTATGCATATCAATTCATGCACACAGACGGAGACGAGTAAAATTTACCCAAATAAAAGCCAAACTGTTACTCCCGGCTTGGGTACAGCTGGGACACCCTGATCCATGTTTTCTACAAATTAAATGGGAAAGTTTGTCTCCTAAGGCCGCCTGGGAGAGGTGGGAAATGAACTCCATTGTCAGAGCCTCGGAGAAAACATAGAGCCAACATCCTCCTTCACCCTTAAAAGCAGGTGGCTGGAGAAACTTTAATCTGAATCATTACAATAGATTAAAAACTGAAAAGATCGAATTTGGCTTTGAATTTTTTATTGTCTCAAAACTCAGCTTCAGACTGAAGAACAAAAACGACAAAAATGATATGAAGATCCTTAAAGAGGAAAAACCAAACCAAATCCAAAAAACAAAAATTAAAATACCAAGAGAAAAAGAACCCCAGCGGGAGGCAGCCATAATGCAACTTCCCGTTTTGCGGCGGGCATCTACCTTAAAGCAAGGGCCTGTCCATACCTACAGACGCCCAGCACTGGGGTAGAAGCAGTTTCACTTCATTGGTTGCTTCCCACGGGGCCTTCTCACTGTGGAAAGCAGAAGTTCATGGGATTAAAATAAATCTCATTGTGTATGCAAGAGTAACGCTGCCGGCAGAGCGCCTCTTCCTGTGACTCCACACTTCTTCAATTCTAAGCTTGGTTCTTTCCACCCAGACTTTTTTTTTTTTTTTGAGATGGAGTCTCACTCTGTCGCCAGGCTGGAGTGCAGTGGCACGATCTCGGCTCACTGCAACCTCCGCCTCCCGTGTTCAAGCGATTCTCCTGCCTCAGCTTCCCAAGTAGCTGGGACTACAGGCATGCACCACCACACCCACCTAATTTTTTATTTTTAGTAGAGACAGGTTTCACCATGTTGGTCAGGATGGTCTTGATCTTCTGACCTCGTAATCCGCCCGCCTCGGCCTCCCAAAGTGCTGGGATTACAGGCGTGAGTCACCGCACCCGACCTCCACCCCGACTTTCTAGGCACTCTCTCAGGAACCCTGACTTTGGTTTTGGGGGAAGCCATGAAGCACTTGCTGAAGCATCGGGTCACTTCATGTGTTGTAAATTCTGTAACAAAATCTGGAAGGAGCCCTTGTGTCAGGGAAAGAACCTACTGGGAAGGTCTGGTCTTCTCCACAACTCATCTTGACCGGGGCACCTGCTACCTTGAATCAGTCGTCTCCGAGGGCAGAACCGCAAATCTCATGGGATTGGAATGGAAAGAGAAAGCTGCCTTGGTTTTCTTTGGTTGTTTCTGATTTTTCTTTTTTCTTGCTCTTCATCACCTCCTAAAGGCACAGAAAGGGGCCATTTTTCTGGTCTTCTTAATTCTCACTCCTGTCCCTAATTAGAAACAACAGCAGAGAATTGCTGAAAGCTATATTCCAGCTAAAACCAGGCTGCAGCGTTCGCATCACCTGAGAGACGTCAGACATGCAGAATTTCAGGCTCCATCCCAGGCCTACTGATTCAGAAGCTGCATTTTAGCAAGATCCTGGCTGGATTTTATGCACAGTAAAGTTTGAGAAAGAAGGCTTTAAAAATGAACTGAGCAATACAATCCTTTTTTTTTTTTTGCACGGGGGGAGGTGTTCAATAGCAGAGTAGGGTGACTCTAGTTAACAACAATGTATTGTATATTTCAAAGTAGCTAGAAGAGAGAACATGAAATGTTCCCAGCACGTAGAAATGATACTCAGGGTAATGGAGACTCCAAATACCCTGACTTGATCATTACACATTTGATGCATATAACAAAATAGCACATGTACTCCATAAATATGTAAACTATCATATATCATTAAAAAAAATAAACTGAAGGCCTTAAAAAGGAATAAAATAATGGCATTTGCAGCAACCTGAATGGAATTGGAGACCATTATTCTAGGTGAAGTGACTCAGGAATGGACAATCAAACATCGCATGTTCTCACTTATAAATGGGAGCTAAGCTATGAGGCCACAAAGGCATAAGAATGATACAATGGACTTTGGGACCTCGGGGGAAAGGGTGGGAGCGGGGGGGTGAGGGATAATAGACTACAAATTGGGTACAGCGTACACTGGTTGGGTTATGAGGGCACCAAAATTTCAGAAACGACCGCTAAAGAACTTATGCGTGTAACCAAACACAATCTGTTCCACCAAAACCTATTGAAATTTTTGAAAAATTATTTTCCTAAAATAAAGGATATTTCAAGGAGTGCCTTCTCCATCTTGTGGCCCTCTGATGATGATAGCTCTGAAAGCTTTGAAAAGCTTGCAAATACCCAACTTCAGGAATAAATCACCTCTGAGACCCTCACCTGAAGACAGGATACTTCCTGCAACTCCAGGACTTTAAAGTCGGAAGAATTGTTTTTTTAAACTGGACTCTGAGGACACACTCTTAAAGTCACTCAAATTCTCTACAAAATTCTTAAGTTTTGTGTTTCTATTTCTAAAGATAATAAAAATAATTGATATGATCAAAAAACAAAAATTAACAAAAAAACACAAAAACCCCCCAAAATGAACTGAGGTTGTGTGCCCTTGTGTGAAATTTTGGGTTGCAGTGCCACCTTGAGGTCACTTTAGTATTTTTCGCTGAGCTTTGCAGTGGACGAGCTGCGTGGGACACAACAGAAGTCAGTTCATTCCTCCCTGGAGGAAACAGACCGCCCTTGTGTTAGTGCCCAGAGGTCTCCGACTGCGGCCTCTCTGGGCCACACTGTCAATTGAAGAGATATGGGCCCTCTTCCAAGGACGCCTTCTATCCAAGCTTAGAAGAATGGCTCATAGGCTAAGGCACTTTCTGCGTCAGCAACAGCAACAGATCTCAAAGAATGTCTGCCCCCATCACAAGATTTTTCATAAAATGTAGAAAGCCATTAAAGCTCAGAGGCACAAAGCATGGCTTTAGAGATCATCTAGATGAGTGAGCCCCACCTTTCAGGAATGAGAATTGCTTTATGATAATGGTTGGCATTTGCTGCATATTTACTGTGTCCCAAGCACTGTTCTAAGCACCTCCATGTACTTAGTCATTTGAACCTTAGAACAATTTAGTGAGATCAAAATAGTGATCTCTATTTTACAGACTCCTGTGTGGCAGTCATTTTGTTTGTACTATTTGTTGGTTAGGAAAATCTACACTAAGAAGAAACTATTGCTATGAATCTAGTAATTCTTGAAAATGAATTTGCATTGAATTAAATCCAATAACAGCCAATAACATCTATATATATTCAGGGAAGAGTAGTATAGAGATATAAATTATGTTATCTACCAAGCCTCAGACCACGGTTGTGGCATAGATAGACTTAGGGCCTCTTGCAACAGCTCCAAAGCTCTCCACGGTATTCTTAGCCCACAGGCTGGGAACCCCCAGTGTAGAAACACACCCCACGTGCTTTATAGATGGCACACCGTACAATCCTGAACACACCTGATTTCATCTGGTCTCTGATGATTAGTGGGATCAGGCTACCTTGGTCTTGGATGGGAGATTGTGGGGGAAGTTGCAGATGAGGAAACTGACTTCAGAAAGTTGTTATAGTTATTCTTCTAGCTTGAAAAAGCTACACTAGAGAGAAAAAGAGACCATGGGCAGTATCTCCTTTTCATTCTTCAACCTATACACCCTAGGAAGGTTAATTCTCCTAAAACACAGTTCTGTTTGGGTTATTTTCCCCCTCAAAATGACCCCCAGCTCTACCTGACTGCTTATTGTAAGGTAAAGCCATCTTCGTCTCCAAAGCAAAATCGAATACCAACCAACCTGCTTGTTGTTACTCTGTTGATGTCCCTTACCCTCTGTCTAGACTATGTGTTGCCCATAGGACAAGAAGAATGCTGGCCTTAGAGAAGACTTGGAGGGAGAGCTTTGGAGCTGTTGCAAGAGGCCCTAAGTCTATCTATGCCACAATCGTGGTCTGAGGCTTGGTAGATAACATAATTTATATCTCTATACTAGCCTTCCCTGAATATATATAGATGTTATTGGCTGTTATTAGATTTAATTCAATGCAAATTCATTTTCAAGAGTTACTAGACTCATAGCAATAGTTTCTTCTTAGTGTAGATTTTCCTAACCAACAAACAGACTTGGAGGGAGGCCACCTAGTGGCTAAGGTGACCTTCCTTGGGAAGCAGCACCTGAGTTAAGTCACCAGGAGTGCATGTTTAGGTCCTACCCAGACACAGGAAGACAGTGCCGGTGAGCCACAGAGTTGGAGGGCCTTCTCTCAAGACCGAGCGTGAGTTCACTGTGAGAAATATAGCTACTGAGGTGACCAGGTCAGTGCACATGCTGGCAGAGTTCTCTCCTGCAGGCCCTCATGGGACAAAA
Organism: Homo sapiens; assembly: GCF_000001405.40. Lineage (NCBI taxonomy): Eukaryota > Metazoa > Chordata > Mammalia > Primates > Hominidae > Homo > Homo sapiens. The sequence continues at coordinate 38,757,969 of NC_000004.12, read as the reverse complement.
TGGCATCATCAGAAGGCTAGTGGTTGGTATTTACTGCATATTTACTGTGTCCCAAGCACTAAGTACTCCAAGTACTTAGTCATTTGAACCTTAGAACAATTTAGTGAGATCAAAATAGTGATCTCTATTTTGCAGATTCCCGTGTGGCAGTCATTTTGTTTGTAGTATTTTTTGGTTAGGAAAGTCTACCCTAAGAAGATACTATTACTATGAATCTAGTAACTCTTGAAAATGAATTTGCATTGAATTAAGCCAATAACATCCAATAGCGTCTATATATCTTCAGGGAAGGGTAGTATAGGGATATAAATTATGTTATCTACCAAGCCTCAGACCATAGTTGTGGCATAGATAGACTTAGGGTCTCTTGCAACAGCTCCAAAGCTCTCCAAGGTATTCTTAGCCCACAAGCTGGGAACCCTCAGTGTAAAAGTACATTGGTCAGCATGTGTCTTGGCCATTTCTTGTTTCTGGCTCTGCCCAATGTCAATCTCTTCTTCTGAAAAGTACACCACTTCCTTTTTTTTTTTTTTGGCAGTGGGGACGGAGTCTCACTCTGTCACCCAGGCTGGAGTGCAGTGGCATGATCTCGGCTCACTGCAGCCTCTGTCTCACGAGTTCAAATGATTCTCCTGCCTAAGGCTCCCAAGTAGCTGGGATTACAGGCGTGTGCCACCATGTCTGGCTAATTTTTGTATTTTTAGTAGAGATGGGGTTTCACCATGTTGGCCAGGCTGGTCCCAAACTCCTGACCTCAAGTGATCCGCCAGCCTCAACCTTCCAAAGTGCTGGGATTACAGATGTGCGTCACTACACCTGACTAATTTTTGTATTTTTAGTAGAGACGGATTTCACCATGTTGGCCAGGCTGGTCTCGAACTCCTGACCTCAAGTGATCCACCCACCTTGGCCTCCCAAATTGCTAAGATTACAGGCGTGAGCTACCGTGCCCGGCTCATCATTTCCTTCGAGGCCTTCTTTCTTCCCAGGGGATATTGCCTGATAGATAGTGACCCAGATACCTGTACTGTCTAGTTCGTGGGTGGAGGCAGTCCAAGCTAGGACAATTACATACTCTCTTCCTAGTACTTGGATCTTGACCAGAGGATCAAAGGAGCAGAAAATAATTCTATTTCATCCCAGCAGTTGTGCCCTGGCTTTATGAGAGCCTGCTTTTTACACTTGCTGGTGGTCCTGGAATCCATCCCCGAGAAATATCCTGGCTCCTGCCTATTTCGAAGCCTCTACCCTCTTATTGATTTTATGAGCCCCGATGTCCTTTCCTCTCCAAAAAAAAAAAAAAACCTATTTTGAATAAGTTAATGTACTAGTCAGTTATTACTAGGATAGTATTGCAGATAAATCTCAGTAGTTAAGCAACAAAATTGTATTTTTCTAATTCACAGTTCTATTGTTCAACCAGGGTGGCTCTGCCTCAGACTTCAGGTCTGGTTTAAGTCTGTTGTCTATATTTCACATTCAAAGACAGCAGCTACTCAGGGCATGCTCATCTCATGATAAATGGAAGAGGCCAAGGAAAACCACACAAGCACATGTAAAATCTCAGGTTGGGGCTGGGCGCGGTGGCTCACACCTGTAATCCCAGCACGTTGGGAGGCTGAGGTGGGTGGATCGCTTGAAGTCAGGAGTTCAAAACCAGCCTGGCCAACATGATGAAACCCCATCTCTACTAAAAATACAAAAATTAGCCAGGCGTAGTGGTGCATGCCTGTAATCTCAGCTACTCAGGAGGCTGAGGCATGATAATCGCTTGAACCTGGGAGGTGGACATTGAAGTGAGTGGAGATCGCACCACTGCCCTCTAGCCTGCCCAACAGAGTGAGACTGTCTCAAAAAAAAAAAAAAATCGGGTTGGGCATCATGCATGTTGTCCTACATTCTGTTGGCCAAAGCAAGTCACCCAGTGAGACTCAAACTCAATTGTGTGGAGATGCATGCTGCCCACCCTACAGGCAGGTGATGCAAAGTCACTATGTAAAGGCCATAGCTGTGTGGTGATACTGTGCAGAGACAGTACAAAACTGGGACCATAGCCTACCCTGGTGAACCGGAAAATAATAAAACATTAACAAAATTAATGTTAACATAGTGACATTTATCGGTCTTTTCCTTTATGGTTTGTGTTTTCCCATCTTGTTTAAGAAATGCTTCTCTGACCCAGGGTCACCAGGAAGATATTCAGCTCTGTTTTGTTTTTCACACTGAAATCTTTAGTCCAGGGTATGACTGAAGCTAGGATCTAATTTTGAGTTTTTGCTAATGGCTGATTAATTGCCCCAGTATTATTATTTTTGAATAATTCACCCTATTTCCACTGACCTGTAATATCACTTTTGCCAACTATCAAGTTTCTATAAATGCAGGAAAGTCTTCCTGGACATGCTATTTCCATTTCATTGTTTTGTTTGTCAGTCTCTGTGCTGATCCCATGCTTCTCAAATATTTACTATTTAGCCTTCATTTAAAATCAAACTTGTCAAATTCCACAACGTACACTAAAAATACCGATCGATATTTTGTTTTGAACTACTTTGAATTAAAGAGTAATATGAGAGGAAGAAAAGTGTTCAAGGTTATAAATTTTTCATAAAGAACATAGTTCTCCATTTATTTCAGTCTCTTTAATTACATTTGATAAAATTTTATAATTTTCTTTTTAAAGATCATGCACCTCATTTGTTAGATTTATTCCTAGGTACCTTATTTTTATGCTATTACAAGTTATATAAAAGTGATCTTTTACAAATTATATATTTTCGCTATTTGTTGCAGTGTTTAGAATACTACCAATTTTTGCATATTGATCTCAAAGCCATAGCAGAATATCATACTACCTTATCATAATAGCAGACATTCATATAACTTACTATGTGTCAGGCACTGTTCTAGGCATTTTACATGGATGACATGCATTCAATCTCACAATGACCCAGTGAGGGAGATCTTATTATTATAATTATTTATAGTGAGGAAACTGAAGTCCAAAGAAGTGCAGAGAACTTAAGTAGATTCCATCATAAGTGGTGAAGCCAGGATTCAAACTCATTCTCCAGCATCCAGGGCTATACTCGTGGTACTGCATTTACTTCTTACTCTTGGTAAGCCCTGTTATTAATTCCGATAATATGCCTGTCTATTCTCAGGTTTTCCATGCAAACAACGATAATAAATACCTTAAAATCAGCTAGCAAACACACAAATGGTTAATGCCATAGTAAAGTGTGTAGGATGTGTGTGTGTGTGTGTGCAGAGTGTGTATGTATGGGGTGTGTATGTGTGAGGTATGTGGAGTGTGTGTGTGTGTAGAGAGTGTGTGGAGGGTGTATGTATGGGGTGTGGGAGGGTGTATGCATGTATTGTGTGTATGTGTGTGTGATTTGTATGTGTGAATGTGTTTTTGTGTGTAGTGTGTGTGTGGATGTTGTTTGGGAGTGTGTGTGTGGATGTGAATGTTTAGGTTCTGTGTGTGTGTGTTTGCGGAGTGTGTGGAGTGTGTAACATGGTGTGTGTATATGTTTGGGGTGTGTGTGTAGATATGTGTGTGTGAGTGTGTGTGTTATGGAGTGTGTGTATATGTATGTTTGGGTGTGTGTGGGGTGTGTGTATAGTGTGTGGGAGGTGTGAGTGCATATTGAGTGTGTGTATATGTGTATGTTTCGGGAGGTTTGTGTGTGGAGTGTGTGTGTAGAGTGTGTGTGTATGGGGTGTGTGTGTGTGGAGTGTGTGTGTATGAAGCGTGTGTGGGGAGTGTGTGTGTAGAATGTGTGTGTGGAGTATGTATGTTTGGGGTGTGTGTAGTGTGTGTGCATGTATGTGTATGGGTGTGTGTGTATATTTATATTTGGGAGTCTGTGTCTGTGGAGTGCATGTGTGTAGAGTATGTGTATAGGTGTGTGTGGAGTGTGTGTATGTTTGGGGGTGTGTGTAGGTGTGTGGAGAGTGTGTTTTGGGGTATGTGTATAAAGTGTGTGTATAGTGTGTGTATAGAGCGTGGTTGTTCCGTGGTATAGAATGTGTGTGAGTATGTATGTTTGGCTCGTGTGTGTAGTGTGCGTGCGGGTGTGTCTATGTTTGTGTGTGTGTAGAGTGTGGTTGTTTGCGATGTGTGTGGTGTGTGTGTAGAGTATGTATGTTTTGGGTTTGTGTATGTGGAGTGTATGTGTGGATTGTGTGCCTGTGTGTATGGGGTGTGTGTGGCGTGTGTGTAGAGTGTATGTTGGGATGTGTGTGTGGAGCGTGTGTGTGCACGTGTGTGTATGTTTGTGTGTGTGTGTAGTATGTGTGTAGTTTGTGTGTGTGTATTTTTGGATGTGTGTGTATGGGTGTGTGTGTAATGTGTGTGTAGTTTGCGCATGTGTGTGTTTATTTGGGTGTGTGTGTGTGGAGTGTGTGTGCATGTTTGGGTGTGTGTCTATTGTGTGCATGTGTATGTATATTGGGGTGTGTGTGTGTGGAGTGTGTGTGTACGTGTATGTTTGGGTGTGTGTGGAGTGTGTGTGCGCGTGTGTGTGTATGTTTGGGGTATGTGTGTGTAGCGTGTCTGTGTGTGTGTTTGGATGGGGAACGTTATAAAGAGCACCATTCTCAAAGCGCAGGGAATTCGCGAGCCCTGGGGATCGCTGGTCTACTTCCTAAGCAGCAAGGAATGTTATGCATTTCAGCGCTTGCTAAGTCAGTGCGTCCTCAGAGAGGGCTTGCAGGCTCCAGGGAGGCCTGCATAAGGAGTGAGGCCTGGGCCAAGCCCAACAGAAAGTGTCAAATAACAGGCCTGCCCCTTCCCCACCCTCCACCCCCAGATTTGGGCTGAATCAAAGGGCCATTCAAGCCCCTCCCTTTCACAGGCCGAGGCCATCAGCGGGCCATCCCCTGAGGCTGAAACGCAGCAATCCCACGGGCTTCTGCTCCAAACAGGCTTGTATTTGAAACCACAATATACTTGGCTCTAGTTTTACACACATTACTTTCCTGGTGCTAAAAAAAAAAAAAAAAAAAAAGGAATTACAAGAATGAAAGGGAGAGTTCTTGGGAGATAGGGAATTCTTTTTCCAGTCTAGTGAATGCGGTTAATAAGTGGAAAAATAAAACTACTCTCCGTGAAGGGTCTTTGGAAGGGTTACCAGGACACGACAATTAAAAACAAATTAAAAGGCTGTATCATTCACTCAGCCTCAGTCGCCTCCCACAGTCCTGAGGGAAATGAATCTGCTTCAGTGCATTGGAGGGGTAACCGCTCTTCCTGAATGGTGTCGGGTAGGAGGAGGGATACCTGTGTATGTTCCTCTGTGGCGTCCCAAATGCTCCTTCATGAATTGAGGAATTGACTGGACAGTCATTCCCCTAGACCTCACTACAAATTAGACTTTTGTTCACCTGTTTCAAACGAATGTTTTTTAGTGCTTTGCATAGTGTGAAAAACAATAACAAACCCCAGGGTTTGGGTCATCTTGGATGAGTCACTTGAATCTCTGTGGCTCTCAGTTTCCTCTCTGTAAAATGAAAGTGTAAACTAGATCAGTGGTTTTCAAACAGTACTCTCCTGAGTCCTCCCTGAAGCTAGAACAACTAGGAGGAAGAGAAATGGAAGAATTAACTGAGCAATTTAGCCCGTTTGCGTCTGTCGTCTTTGACTTCAGACCATTTTCAATACAATCTGGTTGAGCAGTTAATTCTAACAAACCTGGTTCTGGGATTTGCTAATCTCTCAACAATTCCAGGTGACTCCCAAAGCAGGAGCCACAGTCTCTGCACGGGCTTGACCCATATTGTCATGTTTTGGAAGGTGTGGAAGATTCCTGCCAACATCATAGCATCATGTTATTCTCAAGGAGACTAAGGAAGACTTAAAACAACCCATGTGGGTGCAGAAGGTGGCCCCGTGGCCTGTGTTGAAGTGGGATCTCACAGATCCACATTGTATTTTCACAAATACATGTGAGATTTTCCACGAGATTCTGCAAGAATTTCCCTGTGAGTCCTTTCTTGAGTTCCAAAGTTGGGTAATGATGAAACAGAAGAGTTCCCTGACCCCTCTCACAGGACGTGAAACAAGGGTGTGGCTTGTCTGTTAGATTGCTGACACCACTCAAACCCCTTACAGGATGGAAAGCATGCAGATGGGCAGGTGCAGGAGTCCAAGTGGGCACGTGTTACAATGTGCTCTTTTAGCCGTCTGCGAATGGCTTGAGTGTTAGCGAGCAAGGGCAGAGGGCCAGTGTGACAGCTTTATGTATCCCAAGCTCTTGTCCAGCATCCTGGAAGAACTGGGTCACACATGCACTTGAAGGATAAATGTGGGGGTCTTACTGAATGGCGGAGGTGGCTCTCAGCAGGATGGATGGAGAACCTGAAGGGAGGACGGAGTAGGAAGATGGGCTTCTCCTGGAGTTTGGCCTTCCGGCAGCTGAACCGCCCCGGGCTAAACTCTTAGTGTTGAGACATTCCTCCTCTTCTCTCTTTCTGCCGCAGCATTTTGACATTCCTCTGCTTGTCTCCTTGTCTGCCCATCTGCTTCTGGAACCTGGGGGTTTGGGGTTTATATGGGTACAGGATAGGGGGGCATGGCGGGCCAAAAGGCAAATTTTGCATTCAAAAACAGAAATGCCTGTTTCCATTTAGGGCCGAGGGTCTCTGGACTTCAGGGTGGGGCCTTTGCCAGGGAACCACCCTCTTCTACCCAGTATTTCCCTGTCTCCTATCCATATCAATGAGGCTTTTCCTGTTTTCTAAAATGCTTCAGTTATTCACTAGTCTAGAAGTTAAAATCATTAGAGTTGTTGCTTGTTAACCTACTCTATGGATCCTCTCTCTTGTCTTGAGATCAGAAACCATGGCTTTTCACTATGAATCCCCAGACCTGGCAAAGTCCTTGCCCTACAGAGGTGACTGTTTTCCAAAAATAGAAACAGCAGTATTTCCAGTTTCACATGTTTTTCCACAAACTTTCCATTTCCCATCATGAGGCAGAATCTATTCGTCTTCTCCAGAGACTCAGGATTGGGGAAGGGCTGACTCCGTGACTGTCTTGATAATTGGAATGCTACAGATTGCTTGACTTCCAAGGCTATGTTATAAAAAGCAATTAGGCTTCTGCCTGCAGCTCTCTCCCTAGGGATGTTCACCCTTGAAACCAGCCACTGGGTTATGAGGAAGCCTCAACTAGCTCATGTGGAGGGTGAAAGATGCCCCCAGCCAACAGCCAGCTTCACCCACCAGGATAGATGAGTGAATTAATGAGCCTTCAGTTGATCCCATCCTCCAGTTCTCAAGTCTTCCAGCTGAATCCTCAGACATTGCAGAGCAGAGACGGGGTATCCTTGGTGTGCCATGGCCAAGTCTTAACCCACACAGTTGAGTCTCTGAGCATAATAAATGGAGTACACCACTAAGCATTGGGGTTATTTGAATCCATAATAACTGCAACAATGGTGGATGACAGACACTGAATGCATTAATGAACGATTGGCCATGGGCTCTCTCAAATTCCTGAACCCACCTCGGGAGTAGAAAAGATAAGAGGTATCCTAGCATATCAGTGGAAGGGTACTGTGTTTTTCTAAAGTTTTAAGGCATAAATATTTATATTTATAAATATCCAATACTACAGTAGAAATGATTCTTTTAAAAGTCAGCGTCCTATTAAGCCGTGAAAAGACATGGAGGAAACTTAAATGCATATTACTGAGTGAAAGAAGCCAATCTGAAAAGGCTGCACACTGTGTGATTCCAACTATATGACATTCTGAAAAAAGCAAAACTATGGAGGCAGCGAAAATGTCAGTGGTTGCCAGGTGCTAGCTAGGGAGGACAGGAAGAGTTGGCGCACAGGGGATTTTTAGGGCAGTGAAACTATTCTATACGACACTGTAATAGTGAATACATGTTGTCATACACTTGTTAAAACCTGTAATATTTGGGTGACGATGATGTGTCAATGTAGATTCATCAACTGCAACACATGTCCCACTCTGGTGGGTGATGTTGACAGTGGGACAGGCTGTGCGTGTGGCGGGTGGGGACAGGGGAAATATGGAAACTCTCTGTACTTTCTCATCAATTTTTTTTCTACTCAATTTTGCTGTGAACCTAAAACTGCTTTAAAAAATAAAGTCCATTTTTAAGAGGGGTCATTTCAATATGGTCTTATTTGTCTAAGGACCTGGTGCTCTTCTTTTTCTCTCCTCCACCTTCTCACAAATAAACAGATTGTGCAGTCATTGGCAGAATTTTTGGTATTTGTATCACTGCATTGGAGCTTGAGGGTAAAGTTTCATTATGTACACCAGGAGTTAATTTACCTCGGGACTTATTCTTTCTTTCTTTTCTTTCTTACATGGAGTGTGTGTTATCTGGGAGCTAATTTATTTCTAACATAATTTAAGGAGTCGTCTGTTTTCGCCTTGAGTGACAGTGGAAAAACTGTCAGCCTGAAATGTGAATGGTTTAGGACGAGATGAAAACAAGGACTCCAGGGTAGTTTGAATAATGAGCTAAGCATTCATTATTCTTGGTTTTTCTCTCTCCAGCATTAATAAGCAAGTGTTTTCCAAAAAGTATCAGTGGAATTATCATTCTTAAAACTGACCAAAGTAAATGTTATGTTTAATTTTGTGTTTTAATTAAAACTAGATGTTATAATATTATTATATCTATTTGTTTATTTGATTTCTTCTCAGAAAATATAGCAAATGACCACATAGTTCTCAGCGGGTGTTTGAATGAAAGGTGATTGTTCAGGGCTTTCATGGTTTTTAAAGCATTTGTAAGGATGATTCTTCATGTTTTTGATTTAGGCTGAGTCTTTAATCTGATTTATGTGCACACACTTGCTAAACATCTTGGAGGAAGAGTGGTGCTCAAGTTGTGCCACAGAACTCCTCCAGCCTCCATGGGCGGAAATTGATGGCAGTTTGGTTGAACTGGGAACCTGCAGGCCAGGGAAAGTCATCACCAGAAGCCTAGGCTGACTAGAGGAATGTTCAAGGCCTGCTTTCTGTGAGTTTTTCACATAGAAATGATTACAAGAAGCATAGTTTTTTGTTAATTAAAAATGGTTTGTTGTGAATATGTATTTATTGATTGTATTAGTTCGTTCTCACACTGCTATAAGGAACTAACTGAGACTGGGTAATTTATGAAGAAAAGAGGTTTAATTGACTCACAGTTCCACAAGCTGTGCAGGATGCATGGTTGGGGAGGCCTCAGGAAACTCACAATCATGGCAGAAGGACAAAGGGGAAGCAAGCATGTCTTCACATGGTGGCAGGAGAGAGAGAAAGAGAGAAAGAGAGAGAGAAGGGGAAAGTGTCATACACTTTTAAGCAACCAGATCTTGTGAGAATTCTATCATAAGACAGCACTAGGGGAATGATGCTAAACCACTAGAAATCACCCCATGATCCAATCACTTCCCACCACGCCCCACCTCCAACACTAGGGATTACAACTCAACGTGAGATTTGGGTGGGGACACAAAGCCAAACCAAATCGTTCTACCACTGCCCCTTCCCAAATCTCATGTCCTTCTCACATTTTAAAACACAATCATGCCTTCCCAATGGTCCCCCAAAGTCTTAACTCATTCCAGCATTAACTCAAAAGTCCAAGTCCAAAGTCTCATCTGACACAAGGCACGTCACTTCTGCCTATCAGCCTGTAAAATAAAAAACAAGTCAGTTACTTCCAAGGTACAATGAGGGTACAAACATTTAGTAAATGCTCCCTTTCCAAAAGGGAGAAATTGGGCAAAACAAAGGGGCTACGGGCCCCATGCAAGTCTGAACCTAGCGGACAGTCATTAAATCTTAAAGCCCCAAAATAGTTACCTTTGATTCCATGTCTCGCATCCAGGGCATGCTGATGCAAGAGGTAGGCTCTCAAGGCCTTGGGCAGCTCTGCCTCTGTGGCTCTGAAGGGTACTGCCCCTGTGGCTGCTTTCATGGGTTGGCATTGAGTGCCTGAAGTTTTTCTGGGCACACAGTGCAAGCTGTTGGTGGATTTACCATTCTGGAGTCTGAAGGATGGTGGCCCTCTTCTCACAGCTCCACAAGGCAGTGCTCCAGTGGAGACTCTGTGTGGGGGCTCCAATTCCACATTTTCCCTCCACATTGCCCTAGTGGAGATTCCCCATGAGGGCTCCACCCCTGCAGAAGACTTCTGCCTGGAAATCCAGGCATTTTCATACATCCTCTGAAATCTAGGTGGAGGTTCCCAAGCCTCAACTGTTGCACTCTGCACACCCACAGGCTTAACATCATGTGGAAGGTGCCAAAGCTTCTTATGGCTTTCACCCTCTGAAGCAGAGGCCTGAAGCATATCTGAGGCCCTTTATGCCAAGGGTGGAGCTGGAGCAGCTGTGATGCAGGGTGCCATGTCCTGGGGCTGCACAGAACAGAGTGGGGGGCCCTAGGCCTGGCCCACGAAACCATTTTTCCCTCTTAGTCCTCCAGCCCTCTGTCTCTAAAATACCTTGGAGGCATTTTTATATTGTCTTGGCTATTAACATTTGGCTTATCTTTACTGCAGCAGGTTTGAATTCCTCCTCAGAAAATGGGTTTTTCTTTTTTACTATATGGCCAGGCTGCAAATTTTCCAAAGTTTTATGCTCTGCTGCTGCTTAGGAATTTCTTCTGCCAGATACCCTAAATCCTCTTTCTCAAGTTCAAAATTCAACAGATTCCCTAGAGCAGGGGCACAATGCCACCAGTCTTTTTGCTAAAGCATAGCAGAATGACATTTACTGCAGTTCTCAGTAAGTTCCTCATCTCTAAGTGAGACCTCATGAACCTGGCCATCTCTGTCCATATCACTATCAGCATTTTGGTCAAAACCATTCAACAAGTCTCTAGGAAGTTTCAAACTTTCCCTCATCTTCCTGACTTTTTCCAAAGCCCTCGAAACTCTTCCAGTCTCTGCCCATTACCCAGTTCCAAAGTCACTTCTACATTTTCAGTTATCTTTATGGGAATGCCCCATTTATCTGAAACCAATTTTCTGTATTAGTCTGTTCTCACACTGCTATAAAGAACTACCTGAGACTGGGTAATTTATGAAAAGAAGAGGTTTAATTGACTCACAGTTCCACAGGCTGTAGAGGAGGCATTGCTGGGGAGGCTTAGGAAGCTTACAATCATGGCAGAAGGGCTAAGGTGAAGCAAGCACATCTTCACATGGTGGCAGGAGAGAGAAAGAGAGAGAGAGAAGGGGAAGGTGCCACACACTTTTAGACAACCAGATCTTGAGAGAACTCCATCGTGAGAAACCACTAGGGAGATGGTGCTAAGCCATTAGAGACCAATTCCCCCATAATCCAGTCACCTCCTACCAGGCCCCACCTCCAACACTAGGGATTACAATTCAACATGAGATTTGGGTGGGGCCAAAGAGCCAAACCATTATCACTGATTGATTAATAAATTATTGAATTGATGTCTTTTAATTGATTCTTTAGTTTTATCAAAGTTTTATATGTACAAAGTTTAACAAGTCAAATGGTTTCAGGCCAAGCATAGTGGCTCAGCCTGTAATCCCAGCACTTTGGGAGGCCAAGGCAGGTGGATCATCTGAGTCAGGAGTTTGAGACTAGCCTGGACAACATAGTGAAACCCTGTCTCTACTAAAAGTACAAAAATTAGCCAGATGTGGTGGCGTGCGCCTGTAGTCCCAGCTACTTGGGAAGCTGAGGCAAGAGAACGGCTTGAACCTGATAGGCAGGGTTGCAGTGAGCCGAGACATGCCACTGCACTCTGGCCTGGGCAGCAGAGTGAGACTTTGTCTCAAAACAAAACAAAACAAAACAAAAAAATGGTTTCATAAGGTTTCGTCTTTTTTTTTTTTTTTAGACAGTCTCACTGCGTAACTCAGGCTGGAGTGCAGTGGTATGATCATGGTTCACTGCAGCCTGTATTGCCCAGGCTCAAGTGATCCTCCCACTTCAGTCTCCCAAGTAGCTAGGACTATAGGTATACACCGCCATGCTGGCTAATTTTTGTATTTTTTGTAGAGATGAGGTCATTATATTGCCCAGGCTACTCTTGAGCTCTTAGGCTCAAGCATTCCATTCACTTCAGCCTCCCAAAGTGCTGGGATTGCAGATGAAAGCCTCTGCGCCTAACCAAGGTTTCTATTGAAAACCAGCAGACCTCTACATGCCCTTTTCCATCCAATTTCCTCTCCATGGAGGCAATTACTTTTGTTTCTTATAGCTGTTGCTTCTGGAGTTTGCCCCCATATTTCTAAATTATATGCTTATATCACTATTTTTCATATTCTCATCCATTAAATGGGTTTTTAAACTTCATAAGGTTAGTGTGAGCATTAAAAGGAATTAATTCAGTCTGGGTGCGGTGGCTCATGCCTGTAATCCCAGCACTTTGGGAGGCCGAGGCGGGTGGATCACCTGAGGTCAGGAGTTTGAGACCAGCCTGGCCAACATGGTGAATCCCTGTCTCTACTAAAAATACAAAAATTAACTGGGCATGGTGGTGCATACCTGTAATCTCAGCTACTCAGGAGGCTGAGGCAGAGAATTGCTTGAACCTGGGAGGCAGAAGTTGCAGCGAGCTGAGATTGGACCACTTCACTCCAGCCTGGGTGACAGAGCGAGACTGTGCCTCAAATAAATAAATAAATAAATAAATAAATAAATAAATAAAACAAAAGGAATTAATGCATTAAAAATAAGCACTTTTAACAGTGCCTGGCACTACTGTTGTTATATTGACTTTTCAGTTTTTGTTATTATCTCTTGTCTTTTTATTATAAAATAATTATGATTCAGTTTTGTTACACCATTTACACATCTTTCCCTGAACACCTCCTCCTGTCATCTGACAATATATCTCTATCATAAATTAAGATTAATATTTAGTGTTTACATAACTATGATTTTAAAAATATCTATAGCTGAGCCACATAAAACATTATTATATTTTCTTTCTTTTTCAATTATTTGTTTTCACTGGAGGTTATCATCTCATTTTTTTCTTTTTTGCTTAGTTTTCTATGTACGACAATCCCCCTTATCCATGGTTTCACTTTCTGTGGCTTCAGTTACTACATATTCAACCCCAAAAATATTAAGTGGAAAATTTAAGAAATAAAAAGTTTAGGCCGGGCGTGGTGGCTCACGCACCCTTGAGATCCCAACACTTTGGGAAGCTGAGGCGGGTGGATCCCTTGAGGTCAGGAGTTCGAGACCAGCCTGATCAACTTGGTGAAACCCCGTTTCAACTAAAAATACAAAAATTAGCCAGGCGTGGTGGCGCATCCCTATAGTCCCAGGAGGCTGAGACAGGAGAATAGCTCGAACCTAGGAGGCAGAGGTTGCAGTGAGTCAAGATCACGCCACTGCACTCCAACCTGGGCGACAGAGCAAGACTCTGTCTCAAAAAAAAAAAAAAAAAAAAAAAGAATTATCCACAAGGTCTGTGCTCCCTGCCCATTGGTTGCTTAGTAGCCATCTTGGTTATCAGATCAACTGTTGCAGTTATCGCTGTGCTTGTGTTCAAGTAACGCTTATTTTACTTAATAATGGCCCCAAGAGTACTGTGCCTAATTAAATTTTATCACAGGTCTGTACATATAGGAAGAAACATAGTATATGTAGGGTTCAGACTATCTGTGGCTTCAGGCATCCACTGGGGGTCTTGGAACATATCCCCACGGATAGGAGGAGACTCCTTACCTCTACTGAAATCATCCCAAACCCTGCTTCAGAAATGGAAATCTCCTCTCCATATGTTCTGCCAGCGTAAACCCTTTTTTGGAAGATATCCTTCCTGGAGCTCTCTCTCCCCTTGCTGCAGTCTGGACTGGCTGCTCTCAAAATCTGCCACCCAGCTGTCACCCTGGGATTTCCTTTTCTTAACCTCAAAATTCCTTTCAGTTCTCCTCTGTATTGGATCCTCTTTTTTTTTTTTGGTCCCATGACATCCTGTTTCTCATTTTACACTTTCATTTTGGGTGAACACATCCTCCTGCAGCTTCCAGATCATGAATATCTATACAATTCTTTCAACCTCATACATGATTGATATTGGACTAGGTTTAGAATTCTAAATTGAAGATATTTTTTCCTTAGAAATTTAAAGATGTTGCTCTCCTAGCTTCCAGTGCAGCTATTGGGAAGTCTGATATTTTACCTGTTTAATGAGGCATACTATTTCCTTTCTGAATGTATTTAGAATCTTCTTTTTGTCCTTGGAATTCCAGCGTTTTATAATGATGTGTCTTGGTATGGGACTTTCTAAACCCCTTATGTAGGAGACCCTGTGATGCCTCTCAATATGAAAACTCATGTCCTTCAGCTCTGAAGAATTTCCTTTTTTTTTTTTTGGACACAGAGCCTTGCTCTGTCACCCAGGCTGGAGTGCAGTGGTGCGATCTCAGCTCACTGCAACCTCCGCCTCTTGGGTTCAAGTGATTCTCCTGTCTCGGCCTTCTGAGTAGCTAGAATTATAGGCATGCCACATCATGCCCAGCTGATTTTTGCATTTTTAGTAGAGGCGGGGTTTCACCATGTTGGCAAGGCTGGTCTCAAACTCCTGACTTCAGGTGATCTACCCGCCTTGGCCTCCCAAAGTGTGGGATTACAGGCATGAGCCACCATGCCTGGCCTGAAGAATTTTCTTGAATTATTTTTTGAATAGTTGCAACCCTTCTATTTTCTCTGTTCTCTCTTTCTGGAACTCCCATTTTATTTGAATATTATAGTTCTTCATCAGGTCTTTAATTTTTTCCTATATTTTCCATCTCCGAAATATTTTTTTACCTTCTCAAACTCTGAAAGAGTTTGTGTAAAATTGGTGTTATTTCTTATGGGTTTTGTGTGTGTGTGTGTGTGTGTGTGTGTATTTTCCATCTCTGAAATTTTTTTTTACTTTCCCAAACTTTATCTTCTGACATTTCTACTTCATGTAACTTTCTAATTTCCTTCATTTTTTTCCTCTGGACACATCAATTATAGCTTTTTGAAATTTTCTTCTGCTTTTTAAAAATTATTTCTGCTTCTACTGAGCTCTTATAAAAATCTTATTTGTTTTTATCTCAGTTTTTCTATTAGAAAATTTCTCAGATGTTTGGTCTTCCTTGACTCTTTTCTCATATTTAAAAGTGAAGCACTAAAAAGCTGATTGTAAGTTGTGTAGTGTGTGTGTACATGCATGTGTATATGTGTGTGCATATGTGTGTATGTGTGTGCATGCACATACATGGTGGTGTTGAGAGCTGGAGGGAGCTCGCCAATGGATGAACTTTTCTGTACAGTGATCTTGCTGGGCTGTTTCATTGGGAAAGTCCCATTTTGTAGTTTCTTTTGGTCTTTTCTCTTAATCTAGACAGTTTCCTCAAATCTTTTTGATTTGAGAATTATAAACCTGACTGCCATCATTCTGAGACTGGAGTGGAGGGAAAGGGATGAGCCCCACAGGGTGTAGAACTCCAGCTGATCCCCAGTTTTCTATATGGTGCCCTGCCGTGATGTCACTGAGGCTGGAGTCTCTCTGGCTAACCCTCTTTGGAGGGTCAATTCTGGACTTCTGAGATGGGAGATAGCGGTTGGCAGATCTGGAGGCATCTGTGCATCTCTGTTTGTACAGGCTTGTAACCAGTCTTCTGTTCTCAGCCTCAATTGCACCCTGGGCCACCAACTCCTGAGCCACAACTTTCTGAGGTTCTGTGTCTCAAATCATCCCGCTTCAGGCTGCCCCCAATTGGTTCTAGCTTCCTTTGGTCAGCTAAGCTGGTAATCACTTGTTCCGTATGCTCTCCAGCTTCCAAAATATTTCTTTTTCCTTTCTACTTTCTTTTTCTCTTTGTCCTTGTTAGTTAATATCTTTTTTTTTAAGCCACTCTCCGTTATTTTGGTGGGACTGGTGAAGCTGGGGGCAAAACTGTAAATGATGTTTTTATTCTTTTATTTATTTTGATTTAGTATTATTATTTTATTTTTCATTCGGAGTCTTGCTCTGTTACCCAGGCTGGAGTGCAGTGGTGCCATCTTGGCTCACTGCAGCCTCCACCTACGGGTTCAAGCAATTCTTGTGCTTCAGGCTCCTCAGTAGCTGGGATTACAGGCATGCACCACCATGCCTGGATAATTTTTGTATTTTTAGTGGAGATAGGGTTTCACTGTGTTGTCCAGTCTGGTCTTGAACTCCTGACCTCAAGTGATCTGCCCACCTCAGCCTCCCAAATTGCTGGGATTACAGGTGTGAGCCACTGTGCCCAGCCTGATGTTTTTAATTTACCAAATTTAATGGGTCTTTTTAGTGATGGAATTCAAATAATGTAATGATGAAATATAAACTGAGCTGCATTAATTTAATTCTAATTAGATCCAGGTGACAGAGCGCACGCCTGTAGTCCAGCTACTTAGAAGGCTGAGGCAGGAGGGTTGCTTGAGCCCAGGAATTCAAGGCTGCCATGTGCTTGATCACTGCTGTGAATATCTACTGCACTTCAGCCTGGACAGCATAGCAAGAACCTGTTTCTAAGATAAATAAATAAATCTAGCTGGACACAGTCTTAACTTTACATTTTTCTTGGGATGCAAAATTTGGTTGTTGTTATAGGATTGTATATTCCCATAAGTGTTCTATTTGTGTCAAGTATTTAGAATAAAAAAAAGGAAAGCTAAAAATCAATAAGCCTGAAGGAATTAGAAGACAAACAGAAAATTTTACTTAAAGAAAGTATAATAGAAGGAAGGACATAACAAAGATTTCTTTTAAAAAGCCAAATGAACTAGATGACACTGTACAATTCAGCAAAGTGAAAAGTAAAGCCTTCATGAGGATGATCATGAACAAAACAGAGAAGGCTTACATCACCAATGCTGGAAACGGAAAAGGAAACATCTCACCTTAGATGCTGAGATGGGAGGATTGCTTGAGCCCTGGAGGTCAAGGCTGCAGTGAGCTGTGATTGCACCACTGCACTCCAGCCTGCACAACAGAGTGAGACCCTGTAGTTGAAACCATGATGCTTTTTTTTTTTTCCAGCATAGGTGTTTCTCTAAAGAGCAAGGTCTGCTTCTGGAGACAGACAAACAGTTCTGGGTTCAATATCCATGTTGAAAACTCACCTGAGTCACTTTGGTCAGACACAGCTCTTGGTTCCTTCTATAATCTCAGAATAGATTTGAAACGACTCCCTTCCTCACAATTATGCTTCCAGGTTATAATTCTGCTACATTTATTTATGTAGTTGCTTGTTTATTTAGCAAACATTTATTAGCAAGCAAGTCCAGAGCCATTTCTGCAGCTGGTTCTTTAAGGCTAAAAGAAGCCCCAACTCTCTGTCACTTTAGGTGCTTCATCTACCACATTGCATGACAAGGTCATCCAAAGCAGACATGCTGAACCTTTAGAGACAGGATTCTGTTACCTTGACAGCTGGCATTGGATGGAGAGTGAGCTGTGATCCTCTGAGTCATGGCTTTACATGGAACCAGTTAGGGCTTTAGCCCAGAGCTATAGCTCAACAGTGAAGACTACAGGGGTCAAAGGTCATTATATTCTATTTGTGGAATTGTGCGAGTATCTGTAAAATACTTTAGCCAAGCCACATATTTTAAACACCTTTAACGCCCAAATTAGAGCCTATTTCTAAAATCCATCATGCTATTTGACAAGTCATTAGGATCAGAAATAAAAACCTGTGCCTGACATTCCCTATGCTGATTGGCAACACAGTAGCTGTTGGTCAAGATACAAATAACTGAAGCATGTATAGCAGCTGCTGCTTGGGCACAGACTTCCTGGATCGATTGCCCCATGACCACCTGGGTTAGAATTCTTGCTTAGAATTGACAACCTGGGCCTGGCACAGTGGCGTTTGCCTGTAATCTCACTACTTGGGAGGATGAGGCAGGAGGATCACTTGAGTCCAGGAGCTCTAGGACAGTCTGGACAACATAGTGAGACCCTGTCTCTAAATACAAAAAATAAAAAGAGAATTGACCACCTGGGTTGTGGCCTAATGAAAGCAACACATATGATGTCACACAGTATATATGGAAATACTTAAAATAAATTGGAGATATTGGAACAATCATCTCTGCCACATCTTAATTAATAATCTGGACAAGTTAGTCAACATTCCTGCGCTTTCGATTATTCATTTGTTCATGCACATAGATTTTTAGGTCAATAAAATAATGTACATAAAGTACTTAGAATCATGTCTGATATAGAAAAAAAAAAAACCACCCAATAAGTGGTAGCTCCTCTTACTAACCATGTAGTGCATACCACTGTACATCTTCTGCTTGCCTCTCAGAAAGCCTTGGCTCTTGTCCAAGTTTGGTCAATATGGAAAGAGAAAACTGAGGTCCACCCAGATATGCTACATGCTAGTACATGCTAAGCTGACACAGTGCAAAGGCAGGCCCTAGGCTTACAAACTGGAAAAATTCATTTTCCTCAGTGTCCCCAGAGGTTACGCATGATAAGCTCCTTAGAGACTGATGTATAAATCAAACTTTCAATTTATAAATTATCATGAGCAATTTAGTTACCAAATGCATTGGGTATTTTAGTTCCTAGAAGTAAATGCTAATATCTTTAGGATGAGTTTATTTTATACAATGAATACATTCCTGAAGACTGCATTATTCAAAACTTACGTAACTCAAAGCAATTTTTCCCACATTAATACATTTAAAGTATGAAAGAGTAGATTTCCAATGCACATAAATCTACACCAGTTGGGTACATAATTGCTTTTTAATGGTGCTTTTCATTTCTTCGGCATGATCTCTGATATTTTGCAGAAATCAATCTGCTGAATTATAAGCATATCATATCATAATGGCTGTCCGGTCTTCTGCAAAGCCTTTTTATGACATCTAAAGTGCAGAATAAATGCACTGCTTCTGGTGCTTTTCTGTGCCATCACATTATGAATGCTCACATGACATGGCCATAGGATGTTAACAAAGTATTTTCAATTATAACAACATTTCAATTGTCAACAAAATCACTTGGAGTTCTGAGCTATGCGAACAACAGCGTAGTCTATGAGATATCTGCAAAAGGAAGAGAGGATTTCTGTTTTAGAACTGAAGTGGCACGTTTACAATTCACTTGTCTGAGCAGCTTTGACATGAGCAATTCTTGATTTTATTTTAATTTGGGGGATTTGCACCATTTCTCATTTTGAGCACAAAATGAGACCTTATAAATGTTCTGTATTACACAATTTCAAATACATGTAACTCAAATTTACCTAAAACATGACTGTGTTGTAACTGACAAATTATTGCCCTTTCCATCTTTTCTTTGTCAAGGAGGATTGCGTAGGAGAGAGACCTTGGCTTGACCAGGGAGATCTGCATCTAATTTAGTTCTTTGTCACTTACTAGTTGGGTGGGACTTCGTTTCCTTATTTGAGAAATGGGAATTATAAATGCCTGACATAGAGGGTGATTCTGAAGATGAATGATACTATCAAACACTTACTAGGGACCTTCCTATAGGCCACCCAATTTATTTTTATTTTATTTATATTTTTATTTTTTTTTTTATTATTTCACTTTAAGTTCCAGGGTACATGTGCACAACGTGCAGGTTTGTTACATATGTATACATGTGCCATGTTGGTGTGCTGCACCCGTTAACTTGTCATTTACATTAGGTATATCTCCTAATGCTATCCCTCCCCCCTCGCCCCACCCCCTGGAAGGCCCCGGTGTGTGATGTTCCCTACCCTCTGTCCATGTGTTCTCATTGTTCAATTCCCATCTATGAGTGGGAATGGTGTTTGGTTTTCTGTCCTTGCGATAGTTTGCTCAGAATGATGGTTTCCAGCTTCATCCATGTCCCTATAAAGGACATGAACTCATCCTTTTTTATGGCTGCATAGTATTCCATGGTGTATATGTGCCACATTTTCTTAATCCAGTCTGTCACTGATAGACATTTGGGTTGGTTCCAATTTATATATATTATTGCATTAATTTTACTGAAATTCCATGGAATAGACATTATTATTCCATAGAGAAAATAGGGCTCATGGAAGTTAAGTAATCTCACTCAGGCCAGATAGCTAATAAACAGAAGAACTGAGATTCAAACTCAGGTATGAACGGACTTCTTTTTTTTTTTTTTTTTTTGAGATGGATTCTTGCTCTGTCGCCTAGGCTGGAGTGCAGTGGCGTGATCTTGGCTCACTGCAACCTCCGCCTCCCAGGTTCAAGCTATTCCCCTGCCTCAGCCTCCTGAGTAGCTGGGACTATAGGCGCGTGCCATCACGCCTGGCTAATTTTTTTTTTTTTTTTTTTTTGTATTTTAGTAGAGACGGGGTTTCACCATGTTGGCCAGGATGGTCTCGATCTCCTGACTTTGTGATCCGCCCGCCTCAGCCTCCCAAAGTGCTGGGATTATAGGCGTGAGCCACCGCGCCCGGCCAAACTGACCTCAAATCAAGACACACTCCTCCTTACTGGAACTAAATGAAATCATGTCTATATTATGCCCAAGAGTAATATCTGACATGCTAGCTGTAGGATCTTGTAAAAGAAGAAAGAAAAAAAAATTTACAAAGAATAATATCTGTCATAAAGCAGATAATAATAAATGGAAATTAGTATTACCATTGTTATGGAAACCTTCTTCCCCATGTCCAAAACACACATACACACACACACACACCATCTGTACACTAGATTGCTTTAATCTTCTTCTACTCATTTTCCCACACAGAATGTTTATATACGTACACATACATATACACATACCTGTACATACACAGTATGACGAGAGAAATGAAATTTCTCAAGGCCTTTCCAGAGAACTTACAAAGACAAATACCTACTGCTTTTCATCCCAGTCTCTGCCTTCATCTTCACGTGTCATTGTCCATTTCCCTGATGATGTCTCGTCACATCATCTTCCCTCTGTGTGTGCGTGTCTTTGTGTCTGAATTTCTCTCTTTCATAAGTCACACCAGATTAAGCCTACCATAATGACTTCGTTTCAACATGATGACCTCTGTAATGGACCTATTTCCAAAGAAGGTCACATTCTGAGTTACTGGGAATTAGAATTTCAATGTATCATTGGGGGGGACTCCCAGTGTGCAAGAGGGTTTGTGTGTGTGAGAGAGAGAGAAAGAGAGAGACAGAGAGAGAATACACGTGAGCAGAGCTAACACTGGACAAAAGCATTGTGGGAGTTGATATGGATTTGTTGTTGAAGCCCATTTACCTGCTAGAATCTCTTGGTGTCTGGCATGTTGGATGTGTTAACTCATAAATCTTAGGATTGCAAGTGACTCAACTTGAACTAGATTAAGCAAAGAGGGAATATATTGAGTTATATAATCAAACCATAGAAATGGCAGGGGTGGCTGGGTGCGGTGGCTCCTGCCTGTAATCCCAGCACTGTGGGAGGCTGAGGTGGGTGGGTCACTTGAGGTCAGGAGTTCGAGACCAGCCTGGCCAACATGGGAAATCCCATTTCTATTAAAAGTACAAAAATTAGCTGGACTTGGTGGTGCATACTTGTAGTCCCAGCTACTCAGGAGGCTGAGGCAGGATAATCGCTTGAACCCCAGAGGTGGAGGTTTCAGTGAACCGAGATTGCGTCACTGCACTCTAGCCTGGGCACAGAGTGAGACTCTGTCCAAAAAAAAAAAAAAAAAAAAGCAAAGGAGGAGTAGCCTAGCCTTAAAGAGCCAGGGACTTGAACACTGTCATTGCTGTCATTTCTCTCTTTCTTTCTCAGCTCTTTTCTACATGCTGCCTTCTTTCTTCTGGCTTTCTCCATTGAGGGTGCAGGCATGATGTCAGACCACTCCTCACTTCCATCCTTGCAGCCCTATAACCAGACAATTAGGAGCAAAGCGTTCTTGATTGGTTAGGGAAGCATGCCAATAGGCTCTTCTAGGATCACGTGACCTTCCCTAAACTGATCCCTGAATGCCCACCCTTAAACCTGAGTCATATGCTTACCTCTAGCTAGGGGTCTAAGAATACTAGGATTGGCATTATTGAAGCTCGAGAGGAACAGTTCCCCAAAGAAGGGGATACAATAAACAAGGCTTTAGGCATGTGTGCAGCCCAAGATAGAGCTTCAAATTTTGACTTCCTCCAAGCTTACCTACAGGGCTATTATACCCTAGTGGAGGGCTGAGCTGGGCTTTTGCTGTCCTGGAATCTCACTGCTGTCCCCAGTTGTTGGGTATGGGTTGTGGTGGAGATTGCCTATCTTCACCAAACTCATTGCCTCCTTTCTCCTGGCACAGAGCTGCACTGTATTTTGCAGGCTCTGTTGAAGTTACATCGCTGGTAAGCACTGGCCAAGTAATTGAGTTACAGCCAAAGGGTGATTAGAAGTGACGTGTGCCACCTCTACATCTGATCCACAAAACCTCCCATTCCCCCAGGCTCTTCCCTGCTGCCAGTTCGAAGCAGATGGGTGTGGCAGCTTGAAGTCACATGTGAAGTTGATGGTACCACAGGATGGAGGGAGCACAGGTTCCTGAATCTCTTCTTGGAGAAGGCCCATCTGCTCACCAGGAATCCCATTTGAGACTCTACATGAGAAATACACGTCTATTATTGGAGCAATTACAAATTTCAGAGTTTGCTACAGCAGTGAGTGTTTCTCTAACCAACAGAATTTCTTCCCTTTTTCATCAATCCTGCTTTCCCAAGTAGCCACAGGGGATACTGGAGCCAACAGAGCTGGTTTGAATCCTGACTCTGTACTTACTAGCCAGCCACTCCGCATCTTTGGGTGCAGCCTTCTTCTTTATAGAATAATCATGCCTACTTCATAAGGCCAAAGTAAGCTTTGAACACTAGAGGGAAGATGCATGCTGTCATCACAGAGTAGGTGTTGACCGTATTGTGTTTTTCAACTACCACAGGGTGACTTCATCCAAAATAACTTCCCATCTGGCTAGGGCTGCCTTGGAGAAATATCTTCTCAGCTAGGAGGTTCTTCAGTCTCAAGAGGCTTCCTGAATCAGAATGCTTTATGTCCTTGGGCTATGATAAAGTGCCATTGCTGCTGATCCATCATTCTACCAGGAGGCAAACCCCAGCAGATGGTAAATCCCCAGTTCTTGCTCTTGCTCTCTGGAGCTCCTCAGGTAGGAATAATTCCCAGTTCCAGGCTTGCAGACCTCTGACTCTTTTTTATTTATTTACTCACTTATTCATTTTTTCATTCATTCATGCATGTGTCCACCTGTCTGCTTATCCATTCATCCATGCAACAAGTATTTACAGTGTGCCAACTTCGTGCCAGGCAATGTATTGAGAACTAGAGATGCAGAAGTGAAAAGGAAAAGCTTTACTCACTCTCATCGAGCTTCCTTTATACTGAGAGGTCAGACAAGAGAGCGACAGACACTATGGTAGGAGTGAGTGCTACAGGGTGCTATGGAGGCTCAGAGAGGGCACTTAGTCTAGGGCTCGGAAGAGGCGTGCCACAAGTAGTGATGCCAAGCACAAGTTTTTCCTGGCAAAAGAATGGCAAAGCTGGTTCTACCACAACCACCAGCTACTCTTGAAATCAACTTTTTGGGATCTTCTACTAGCCTGCTGCATCATGTAGATATACCACCACCACCACCACATCTACCACCATCACCATCACCACTACCTCTACCACCACCACCACCTCTACTACCACCGCCACCACTGCCATCACCGCCACCACCACCACGATTACCAGCACCACCACCTCCACCACCATCACCACCACCTCTACCACCACCATCACCACTGCCACCACCACCATCACCACCAGCTCCACCACCACCACCAGGCCACCATCACCACCACCACCAGCACTACCATCATCACCATCACTACCACTGCCACCACCACCATCACCACTACCATCACCACTACCACCACAACTACCATGATCACCACTACCACCACCACCATCATCACCATTACCACCAGGACCATCACCACTGCCACCACCAATACCATCACCACTACCAACAACACCACCAGCACCATCACTATCACCACCACTACCACCATCACCACCTCCATTACCACCACAACCACCATGGTCACCACCACCACCATCATTATCACCATCACCACCAACACCATCACCACCACCAACACCACTACCACCACCATTGCCACCAACAACAACATCATCAACACCACCAACACCACCAACACCATCACCGCTACCACCACAACCACCAGGATCACCACTACCACCACCACCATCATCACCATCACCACCAGGACCATCACCACTACCACCATCAACACCATCACCACCACCACCATCAACACCATCACCACCACGACCAGCACCATCACTATCACCACCACTGCCACCATCACCACCTCCACTACCACCAAAACCACCACGATGACCACCACCACCATCATCACCATCACCACCAACACCATCACCATCACCATCACCAACACCAACACCAACACCAACACCACCACCACCACCATCACCACCACCACCATCACCACCTCTGCTACCAACACAACCACAATGATCGCCACCTCCACCACCATCATCGCCATCACCACCAACACCATCACTACCACTAACACCACCACCACCAACACTACCACCACCAACACTACCACCATCACCACCTCCACTACCACCCCAACAACCATGATCATCACCACCACCACCATCACCACCACCGCCACCACTGCCTCCACCACCATCACCACTACCACCAGTACCACCACCATCACCACTAACACCACAGCCTCCACCACCATCACCACCAACACCACCATCCCACCATTACCACCACCATCATCACCACCACCATCACCATCACCACCACCATCACCATCATCAACACCACTACCACCACCACCACCATCACCTCCCTTTCTGAGCTGTGCCCTGCTGAACTTCCAAATTTCTTGAGAATATCGTCCCCTGGGGAACCCTATGGCTATTTTTACTTCTTCCATGTGTGCCTTCCTCCCCACAACCACCAGTGTTCCACTCAAAGGGGCATAAACATCTATAAGGCATTCTGTATGTATGTGTTTATATAGTCTTTTTTTTTTTTTGACAGAGTCTTGTTCTGTCATTCAGTCTGGAGTGCAGTGGTGCAATCTTGGCTCACTGCAACCTCTGCTTCCCAGGTTCAAGCAATTCTTGTGCCTCAGCCTCCCAAATAGCTGAGACTCCAAGTGCCCGCCACCATATACGGCTAATTTTTTTGTGTTTTTAGTAGAGATGGGGTTTCCCCATGTTGGCCAGGCTGGTCTCAAGCTCCTGATCTCAAGTGATCCGCCTGCGTCAGCCTCCCAAAGTGCTGAGATTACAGATGTGAGCCACCAATCTGGCCTATATAGTCTTAAACATGCTCACAATATATATGTTTATGTATCTTTGTAAGCATATGCCTAATGCCTAAAATGGAATATGGATGTATACATGTTTGCACAAATACACATATGTGTGTATATACATAAGGCATATGCATACACGTGAAGAGACATATATATAATCTTCAAATTTTCAAGAAAACAAATTGTTAAATTGAGGGTACTACCTCAGAAACCAAACTTTATTAAATTTTCCCAAAAGCAGAAATAAAAGGCAGTCTATAGATTATTTTGCTATCAGAGACAACCAACAAGCCCAACAACTTTGGAAGTGCCTGGCTGATATGAAAGTTATTCTTTTTTCTTTTTCTTTTTAATTAAAAATTAATTAATTAATTAATTAATTAATTAATTAGAGACAGTGTTTCACTCTGTTGCCCAAGCTGCAGTGCAGTGGTGCAATCACAGCTCACTGTAGCTGCAAACTCATGGGTTCAAATGATCTTCATACCTCAGCCTCTCAAGTAGCGGGGACCACAGGCATGTGTCAATTTTTAAATTTTTTTGTAGAGGGGGAGTCTTGCTAGGTTGCCTAGGCTGGTCTCAAACTTCTGGCCTCAAGTGATCTCCCACCTTAGCTTCCCAAAGTGCCAGGATTACGGGCATGGCCACTGTGCTTGGCTTACCTTTTTTCTTTGAAGAAGATGTTTTTATTGGAATAGAGTTAGCAGTTTCTTCCCTCCTCTTAGTATCTAGAATAATGAGCCTAGTGCGGTGGCTCATGCCTGTAATCCTGGCTCTGGGATTGTTAGAATTTCTGATGCCCGTGAAAGTGACCCTTAGGGTTGAGAGAGAGGAGAAAAGCTTTCTCTTAGATTTTATTAATAACCAAGAGAATTATGATGATGATATTAATAATAGCAATAATTAATATATAATTAACACATAACACTCCCTATGTGCCAGGCACCATTCTAAGTGTTTTGACATTTGCTTTGTTTGTGCCTCAGTGTTTGAGATGTTATCTCGTTTATGTCTCATAAGTACTCTCTGAGGTAGGCTCTAATATGATCATCCCAACTTTACAGATGAGGAAGGTGAGGCACAGAGAGGTTTAATGACCTGCCAAAAGTTACAGAGCAGTTGCAGAAGCAGGATTCGAACCCCGGCAATCTGGCTCTAGATTGCCACATTACCCTTAGCAGTCCTGCTCTCACGCAAGGCCGCCCTGGAAGGACAGGAAGAAGAACCCTCTGAGCCGCGAGAAGGTGCTCCGAGAACCCTCAAGAGGACCCCGGCCCTGAACTAGAAGCTCCGCGTGCCTGGGCCTCCCTCTCCAGCAGGGGGCGCACACAGCCCGCATTTTCTGGACTCCTCTAACCACAGATACCTCGGCTTATTGAGAACTGGAACTCCTGACCTTTTGTGGGAAAGGCTCTGATCTCAAAACTTTCTCTAGCATTCTTGAAGTATTTACAGTGTACTAATCAAAGGAATGATCCGGTACATGGACATAACCAAGGGAATGATTCAGGACCGTTCTTGGAGGACCTACAATGTGTATCAATAAGCAGAAACCCAGGAAGCCTGTATAGGCCCCAAGCTTATAACAGCGCTGCCTGATTCCAGATGAACCACAAACACTCCAAGCCGGGGTTTTTCTCACCACACCCGAAGACATTCTATTAAAATAGCCCTGTTCGTGGGTGGCCTCCCATGCATGAGTCCTCTCACATGGTCTGCGTGCTGATGGGGCTGTGCTGAACTCACCGCATTGGCCTATGGAACACGTGCTGAGGTGTTTTCTCTCTAGTGACCTTTGTCACATCCTTTGCAAGAAATTAGCTCAGAGGAGCAATCCCTGAAGGCCAAACCTCAACCTGCACCAGAGGCAGACAGGAGACGAGGTTTGGTAGAATTTGTACCTCTCATGGTGGTGGGAGGAGGAGAATGGCTCTGTGAAGCGCTCCTTCCACCCTTTTAATGCTGTGCAATAAAGACTGAGTTAGGGGCTCAGGCCTGTAATCCCAGCATTTTGGGAAGTCAAAGTGGGTGGACTGCTTGAGCCCAGGAGTTCCACACCAGCCTGGGCTACATGGCAAAACCCTGTCACTACAAAAAATACAAAAATTAGCCAAGCACGGTGGCGTGTACCTGTAGTCTCAGCTACTCAGGAGGCTGAGGTGGGAGGATCCCTTGAGTCTGGGAGGTGGAGGCTGCCGTGAGCCGTGATTGTGCCACTGCACTCTAGCCTGGGTAAGATCCTGTCTCAAAATTTAAGAAAAAAAAAAAAAAGACTGAATGAGGGGGCTAACTTTGAATGGGGACCTCTCAGACTCAGAGCAGGAACAAAGTTGATTGCCCTGGGACTTTAAAAGTTTCTTCAAAATCCTATACATTTGTCAGCTGCTCTCAGGAGCCTTAGCAGGCTTCAGGGGTCTCTCATCCCCTCTGCTATGGTCTGAATGTTTGTGTTTCCCTAAAATCCATATGTTGAAATCCTACCCCCTAAGGTGATGGTACTGGGAGCTGGGTCTTTGGGAGGTGATTAGGTCATGAAGGCAGAGGCCTCCTGAATGGGAAGAGTGCCCTCATCAAAGATGCCCAAGAGAGACCTCCCACCCCTTCCACCTTGGGAGGACATGGTGAGAAGGCACCATCTATGAACTAGAGGGCAGAACCTCGCCAGATGCCAGCTCTGCCTGTGCCTTGATTTTGGAGTTCCAGCCTCTGGAACTGTCAGAAATGAATTTCTGTTGTTTATAAGACATCCAGTTGGCCGGGCCTGGTGGCTCACGCCTGTAATCCCAGCACTTTGGGAGGCTGAGGTGGGAGGATCACGAGGTCAGGAGATCGAGACCATCCTGGCTAACACTGTGAAACTCCATCTCTACTAAAAAAAAAAATACAAAAAATTAGCCGGGCGTGGTGGCGGGCACCTGTATTCCCAGCTACTCAGGAGGCTGAGGCAGGAGAATGGTGTGAACCCAGGAGGCGGAGCTTGCAGTGAGCCCGAGATCGCACCACTGCACTCCAGCCTGGGCGACAGAGCGAGACTCCGTCAAAAAAAAAAAAAAAAAAAAAAAAAAAAGACACCCAGTTTATGGTATTTTGTTATAGTAGCCAGAATGGACAAAGATACCTTCCAAAGTGGTGTCCTTTCTGTATATACTTTGGCATAAGACATCTGATTCAAAATTAAATGAGAGGGACCATAAAGGGAAATACTCCGTTGCCAGCTTGCAGGGGAGGGCCGTAAAAGATCGCTTGGGTTCAGACTCTGGTTCTGCCTCCTGGGGGCCGAGCAGCCCCTGGGGAAGCGATTTACTTTTCTCTGTACCATGGTTTTCTCACCTGAAAAATGAAAATAATAAAATCCATGCCATAGGGTTGTTGAGTGCATTCAACGAACCCATGCGTGTGGTCCTAAGTGCAGCACGTGGCCTACACAGGAAGCACTCACTGAATCTTAGCTGTTGTGATTTCACCTATTCATGCAGGCCAGGACTCTGAGGAAAAAAGGAGATCTCTTGCTATTGTCATCTTTATTGATACTGCCACACTTTTTTTCTGCTCTGGGTGGCGCTGGCAAACTTCCTGTCTTCCCCAGGAGAATTTGATACCCCTGCCCCCACCTCTCTCAAAGGCAAACACCCTCCTGCCAGGTAGCAACTGGATGCCATGCAGAAGTATTCTCTCCTGGAATCACGTTCCTGGGTATTTGTCCTCAGGACCAGCCAGCTTGGAGTTGAGGTCAGTTGAAGTTCAAGAGGGCATTTATTCTGAGTTTTACTGTTTATTGATTTGCAGTACTTACAAGCCAAAGTGTTTGTCCTCCTGGCCTTCAGGGCCAAGGCTAAGGCCACAACAATGCAGCCCTTCTTCAGTGGCCCTGTTACCTTCCGGGAGCAGGCAGGGTGTGGCAAGAACTTCTGGGTGGCAAGAGCTCCAGGGTGTCGTGAGAACTCTGGGTGTGGCTGCCCAGGGCAGGCCTTGGAGAAAGCAGTTAAGAAACAAGCAACAAGGCTTGGTACCCCAGATCTGAATGTTGGAGCCACCCGTGGTTCTGGCTCTGTTATGGAGTAGCTATGGGGACTCAAGTTCTCTGCCCCTCACTTTCCCCGGCTGTCCAGCACAATGGCAGCAGCAGTAACAGTAACAGTGTACTTTTACTGAGTACTTACTGTCCACACGTGGGACTTCGTAGCTCTCCCTTAACGGTTAAGACCAGCCACTGCATCTGCGATCTATACCCACTCTTACTAGCTTCGTGACCTTGGAGACACCGCTCCAGCCCTTGTTCCTCAACTTCTTAATCTGTAAGAAGTGGGGCAGTTAAGAGCGCCTTCCTCTTTGAATTGCAAGAGGATTAAATGAGAAAGCCCAGGAATAGTTCCCAGCCCAAGGTAGTAGTATGAGCAATACTATGATAAATTTCACATTCATGATCTCATGTCATTTTCATAGCAACAATGTGAAATAGGTTCTCTACAGGGGAGAGGCTCAGGGCACGCAGAAAGAAGCAAGCAAGGCTGAGATTTGACCCCAGGATTATATGGTTCTGAGTACCACAGTCTGGATCTGAAATCACTGGGCCTTACTGCCTTTCATTTGCCAACGTCACCTGAAGAAACACTTACTGAGCAG
Organism: Homo sapiens; assembly: GCF_000001405.40. NCBI lineage: Eukaryota > Metazoa > Chordata > Mammalia > Primates > Hominidae > Homo > Homo sapiens. The sequence continues at coordinate 38,728,007 of NC_000004.12, read as the reverse complement.
CTTACTAGGAGCCAACCCGTTGTGACCATATTGAATTGGTTGAAAGTTCCAATTGAATACAGTTCTTAAGCACTAATGGAGCTTCTTCTGACCAGGCACTGGGCTGGATCCTGGCTCTATTGCAGTGACAATGGGGAGTATGTAGGCCCACAAGAAGATCCCAGGCAAATCTGCAAACAAATAACAGCTCCTGTTAAGATCGAGCACCTTTGTAAGTCTCCATGATTCTCTCTGCTTGCAACTCCATTTGGAAAATTTCTTGAACTTCCTTATCTCCTTTGAGGGCCTTAAATAAAAACATCCACCTTCTTTTGCTTGAGATTCCCATTTCTAGATTGAAGTTTAAAATGAACTGTGGGCTGGGCGCGGTGGCTCACGCCTGTAATCCCAGCACTTTGGGAGGCTGAGGTGGGTAGATCACGAGGTCAGGAGATCGAGATCATCCTGGCTAACATGGTGAAACTCCGTCTCTACTAAAAATACAAAAAATTAGCCGGGCGTGGTGGCCGATTCCTGTAGTCCCAGCTACTCGGGAGGCTGAGGCAGGAGAATGGCGTGAACCTGGGAGGCGGAGCTTGCAGTGAGCTGAGATCGCGCCACTGCACTCCAGCCTGGGAGACAGAGCGAGACTTAGTCTCAAAAAAAAAAAAAAAAAAAAGAACTGTGAAGGCCAGGCATGGTGGCTCACGCCTTTAATCCCAGCACTTTGGAAGGCTGAGGCAGGCAAATCTTATGAGCTCACGAGTTGGAGACCAGCGTGGGTAACATGGCAAGACTCTGTCTCTACAAAAAATGCAAAAATTAGCTGGGTATGGTGGTGTGCACCTGTAGTCCCAGCTGCTCAGAAGGCTGAGGTGGGAGGATGGCTTGAGCCCGGGAGGCAGAGGTTGCAGTGAGTTGAGATTGTGCCACTGAACTCCAGCCTGGGTGATAGAGCCAGATCTTATCTCAAAAAATAAAATAAAATAAAATGAACGATTAAATGAAATGACACAAATAAAGAAACTGGAGAGCTGTGTATCAGTTTACCCTTGAAAGACTAGAAAGATTTGGCTGGGCACAGTGGCTCACACCTGTAATCCCAGCACTTTAGGAGGCCAAGGCAGGCGGATCACCTGAGGTAGGGAGTTTGAGACCAGCCTGACTAACCCCATCTCTACTAAAAATACAAAATTAGCTGGGCGTGGTGGTGTGTGCCTGTAATCCCAGCTACTCAGGGGGCTGAGGCAGGAGAATAGTTTGAAGCCGGGAGGCGGAGGTTGCGGTGAGCCGAGATCGCGTTATTGCACTCCAGCCTGGGTAACAAGAGCAAAACTCCATCTCAAAAAAAAAAAAAAAAAAAAAAAAAGACTAGAAAGATTTGATAAGGGTTCAAGGAAAGGAAAGGAAAGACCCTTATTGGGTATATACTGCTCTGTGTAAGGGCCTCCTTTAGGAAATGGGCTTTGGAAAATTGCTTCTAGATTCTGGAAAAGAGGTCAGGAAAATGTCACTCACTGAGAAACTAGGAAGAAAGCAGTTAATAAGGTGGACTATTTGCAGGTATAAACCATCCCCAAGATGAGTTGTAGACTGATGCCCAGAGGAGACTCAAAATACCAAAATCAAATCCATGCATTGATGAAACATGTATATTTACAGAACACCCTGTAGGTACTGTGTTAGTTAGGGTTCTCCAGAAAAACCAAATCGTGAGACTAAGGTGTGACTAAACTGCAGTGAGTGGCATGCCCAAATTTAGCACTGTCCACCTGGGATCTAGTGACCAGGGAACCCAAACCACGAATGAGGAGGCTCTTCTGGTGCCTGTAGAAAAATCACTAGCACTGTGGGTAAGAACACGGACCCGGCAGCCAGATTGCCTCTTACTGTAGGAAATGCTCACCTTGAATAAATGCTTTACCCTCCCAAGGCCTCACATTTTGGAGCTCTTGGGGCGGCGGGGGGTAAAGTACATCTACTCCATAGATTTGTCATGAGGATGAAATGGGCCATCAGGTGTAAAGTGCTTAGAACAGACCTGGCACATAGGAAGCCTCTATAAGCACCAAAGTGATAAAAAAAAAAAAATTTCCCATTTCTGGAGAGGTGTAACAAGCTGATATGGTTTGGTTGTGTCCCCACCCAAATCTCATCTTGAACTGTACTCCTATAATTCCCATGTGTTGTGGGAGGGACCTGGTGGGAAGTCATTGAATCATGGGGGCGGCTCCCCCATACCATTCTCATGGTGGTGAATAAGTCTCATGAGATCTGATGGTTTTATAAGGGGTTTCCGCTTTCGTTTCTTCCTCATCTACTCTCTCGCTGCTGCAAGAAATGCCTTTGGCCTTCCACCATGATTGTGAGGTCTCCCTAGCCATGTGGAACTGTAAGTCCATTAAACGTCTTTCTTTTGTAAATTGCCCAGTCTCCGGTGTGCTTTTATCAGCAGTATGAAAAAGGGCTAATACATAAGCCTAAAGGGGTTTCTCTGGTCCAGCTGGGGCTGGATAAACCTTGACCCATAGACCCACTGAGGATCAATGCCTGCTTGTAGGGCTGCATGCTGCCCACACGCTTTCGTGCTTACATCAAGGCTTTAGACCCTCATTTCAACGTGGACCATGTATGTAGGTTTCCCTGAGCCTGACAGCTTCTGTGTGCGCACAAGAAGATCAAAGTCCCTGCTAAGACATCAGAGGACCAACCCCCAAAGCAAATGACCCAGGTTTCCATCAGAAAACGGATGGTCCAATATCACATAGCAGCAGAACCAGGACCAGAATTCATTTTTCCTGGCTTCAGTCTTGGGCTTTTTACACCCGGAAAGGAAAATAAAATACTTCCAATGCACAAGAATAAAGTTTCGAGAATGTCAAGGTGCACTTAGAAAGACTCATTTTATTTTATTTTATTTTATTTGAAACAGTCTCGCTTTGTTGCCAAGCTGGAGTGCAGTGGCACGATCTCGGCTCACTGCAACCTCCATCTCCCGGGTTCAAGTGATTCTCCTGCCTCAGCCTCCTGAGTTGCTGGGAAAACAGGCGTGTGCCACCACTCTGGGCTAATTTTTGTATTTTCCTTAAAGACAGGGTTTCACCATATTGGCCAGGCTGATCTCAAACTCCTGACCTCATGATCTACCTGCCTCGGCCTCCCAAAGTGCTGGGATTACAGACATGAGCCACCGCGCCCGGCCTTAGAAAGACATTTTTAAAGTACCCAGCAACTGCGGACTTCCATTTAGATTTTTTCTCTCTATACGGTCTTCACTCATGGGGTGTGGGCTCCCCCTGGATGGGACCCCAGAGAGGGTGGGTGGTCCAGGGTCTAGTGAGAATGGGGAAGGTGGGCCCAGAGGCCAGGCAATAAGACTGAGAGTGGACAGGCCTGGTTTTAGAATCTGGGGCAGGGGTTTGAGAGCACGTGGACTTGAGGAACTTGCAGGGCTTTGGAGAGATTGAGAAATGGGGTTGAGTTAAACAGAAACTGGATGCCAGGTAGGCCCTCAAAACAGGAGTTCTTACACTTTTTCTGTTAGAGCTGCAAGGCATTCTGTGGTTAGGGAGAGAAGGGCCTGGAGGTGCTAGTTTGGGTGTGGCCTGGGAGATTAGAGGGTTGCTGATAAGGCTCGCAACCCCACCTACTTCCAAGCCCTGGAGGTGTTAGAGCAGGACTCAGAGGATGCCATTCTATCAGCAAGGAGCTTAGGTTTGGTCCTATTGACAAAGCCTTAAGGGAACAGAGCCTCTGGGGAGAAAAGGGGCCTCTAGAATCCAGGAAATCTGAAAGAGCTGGAAAGCTTTCACTGTTCATATTCCATTCCATTCATTCCAATCCAACCCAACACATATTTACTAAGCATCTACCGTATACCAGGCCTGGGAATGCAACAACGAACAAGATGGACAGACTCTTCCTGCCCACATGAAGGTTATAGCATACGCAGAGAGACAAATAAAAATGCAATGAAGCTGACATTTAATGACAAATTGCAGTGCAAGCCCTGAGACAGTTGTGATGAAGAATAAAAGAGGAAAGCTGGCCTTAGATGCGGTCATCCCAGGAAGTGACTTTTCCTCTGCCCAGTGGCAGGATGAGGGGCCCCCAGGGGATAAGTGGCTGCTAGTTAGCAACTCACCTCTCTGCAGTTCTCCTCTCTCCAGAGTGGGGCCCTTTCTAATCCTTTTTGCTTCGCCCAGCCCTCTGATGCATTTAAAATATTTTTTTTCTTTTTAAATTACCGTAATCTAGATTTTCCAGTTTTTCTTGGCAGGATCTTTCATTTGCTGTAGGTTACTCCATCCTACACCGAAGTGGTAGGTTTCTTTTTCTTTCTATTTTAACTATACAAATTGTACTTGAATACAGGATTTTTGCAAAAATTAATTTTAAACAGGAGTATATACAGTAAATGGTGACAGTCCTTTTTCTCCCTTTTCACCAGACTTCCTGCCAATATAGGTAACTAAACCCTTTCACCCTCCTTGGTGATTCTCCCCAGTGTGGAGTTGTGACACCCTGGCCTCTCTCTCTGACTTTCTGCAGTGGCTGAGAGAGGAAAAAGGTGGTTTAACCTGGTTGGCAAATTTGGGAAAAATACTAGGTGTGCTCAGCCCAAGGTTTCCCTTTCTTCCTCCTGGGAGTGAGCTGTCTGCAAAAAACACAAATGTTCCTCAGCCTCTACGGGCCCTCCCTAAAGGTTACCAGCTCAGCCCCAGTTCCCCAACCCCCAGTAGGGAAGGCCACTGCCAGTCCTACGCTGCCCTGACTGGGGACAGGTAGCCTGGCTAGATCCTGGGCCTCGGTTATTAACAGTAGGCCATCTGGACCTCACACTAAGCACGTCCTTCATCTTAGCCTTTATCAATAAAAAAGGGGAATATTTTGGAAATTATCTGATGTGACTTTGGTGGGACCGAATTCTCCCTCCAAATCTCAGCTTCAAGAGAAGCTAGGGAATGTAATTTTTAGTTTTCTAGACTTTGCAGTACAGGAAGGTAAAGGATAGCAGGATTTGCCACCCCAAAATATGCCACTTGGGCATAAGGATCCTTTTGAGCTAAAGACAACGGAGAAGATACATGAAAAGCTGTCATCCTTATCCCTATTTGCCTAAAATCAGGACATAAATTTGAACAACAGTTAATCACTGACAATCCTAGAACCTTATCAGTGAAAAGACAGCATCAGAACATTCATGTAACAAATTTTACTGACTGGTGCTGACCTTCCATATATTTACATGTCCACAATTTGCTGCCCTAGAAACTCAAAGTTTTCCTGCTTTGTCTTGTTATGCCTTTGAAATTTATTGTTTTTTTTTTAAAGGTGCTATTAAGTCCAAGTTCTAGCCACCTGTTTGGGTTACTCATCCCTGAATTTCTCCCATGTGTATGCACATGTTAATAAACCTCTGTTGTTTCTCTCCTGTTCACCTGTCAGAGCCTCAGCTGAGAACGTAAAAGGGTAGAAGGAAAATGATTTTTTCCTCCTCGACAAAGGTATATTTAGAAACAGTAGTTTGGCTGAGCACAGTGGCTCATACCTGTAATCCCAGAACTTCGGGAGATGGAGGCAGGCGAATCACTTGAGTCAGGAGTTCGAGACCAGCCTGGCCAACATGGTGAAACCCCATCTCTACTAAAAATACAAAAATTAGCCAGGAACAGTGGTGCGCACCTGTAATCCCAGCTACTTGGGAGGCTGAGGCAGGAGACTCGCTTGAACCCAGGAGGCAAAGGTTGTAGTGAGCTGAGATCATACCACTGCACTCTAGCCTGGGTGGCAGAGTGAGACTATGTCTCAAAAAAAAAAAAAAAAAGAAAAAGAAAAAAAGAAAGAGGTACCCAATTCATCATATCCGCCATGAGCATTAGTAGTATGTATGATAGTTTATCTTTCATCTCTACATCGTAGGGGCAGTTAGTATTTGAAGTGGCCTAATCAGGAGCCCACAGTTGAGGTGTGTGGCTCTTTGTGTTAAGGTTGTATCATCTACCTGTAGTCACTGCAGTCAGCTGAATTTTACCAAGAGAATCTGACAGTCGTTGCCCAGTCAAATTAGTTTAGATCCATCTGTAACAGGTTCCTAGAAATTAGATATGTACGGATTAAATTTTGGATAAACACTATCAACTTACTTCCTAAATGATCTTTGTCAGTCTTCCTATTCTCAGTGTTTGAGAATGTCCTGTAGGCTCAACAACCGTGGGCTCTCTTTCTTCTTCCCATTTGCATGTCCTTCTCATTCATTCTGAAAGTACAAATAGTAACATAGTGAAAATATTAACTGATTTGTTGAGCAAATTTCAAATATTACACTAGGCATTTTACAAACACAATTTCATCCAATCCTAACAGCCCTATCAGCTAGTTATGAATTGCTCCTGTTTTGCAGACCAGGTAACTGAAGCTCAGAGAGCTTACATAGCTTGCACGGGGGGCATAATGGTAAGGAATAAAACAGGAACGTGGACAAAGGCAGTCTGTTCTGAAGCCTGTACACTTAGGCACAAAGATGTCAAAAAGAGAGACAGATTTAATGACAAGGGGCCAGGCTGTAATCCCAGCACTTTGGGAGGCTGAGGCGGGTGGATGACCTGAGGTTGGGAGTTCGAGAACAGCCTGGCCAACGTGGCGAAAACCCGTCTCGACTGAAAGTACAAAAAAATTAGCCAGGAGTGGTGGGTTCCTGTAATCGCAGCTACTTGAGAGGCTGAGGCAGGAGAATCACTTGAGGTGGAGGTTGCAGTGAGCTGAGATCACGCCACTGCACTCCAGCTGGGGTGACAAATCGACTCTGTCTCAAAAAAAAAAAGATTTCATGACAAGGGCTGCTATTGTTTTTAGAATATTATTTAGTTAGTATTTGACTGTTCAAATGGTATCTCAGGCTTATAATTACAGAGTCTTACCCTCCAGCTGTGCAGAAATACTTATTTTTTAAATGGAAAGTTATTCTTAGGATTTAAGGAGCTTCCTGTGAACTCTGGGTGGAGTGGATTGATTTAACTTCTCACCTGAACTGTCTGCATGGGAGATGAGTGGAAGTATGATTGCCTCCGTTCTAGAACACAAAGAGAAGACCAATGATTCCCAGCTTCCAAGTGACCAGTTCCAGATTCCAATCAACAGGTTCAGCTCCTGATTTAATATTTGCCCTGATGGTAGTAATTTAGAGGAAGACACAGGTGTGTGTGTGTGTGTGTATGTGTGTGTGTGACACATACACATACTCATGTCCCTTATTTAAATACAGTCAGGGCCGGGTGTGGTGGCTCACGCCTTTAATCCCAGCACTTTGGGATCCGTCCGCTGAGGCGGACAGATCATGAGGTCAAGAGTTTGAGACCAGCCTGGCCAACATGGTGAAACCCTGTCTCTACTAAGAATGCAAAAATTAGTCGGGCGTGGTGGCATGTACCTATAATCCCAGCTACTCGGGAGGCTGAGGCAGGAGAATCACTTGAACCTAGGAGGCGGAGGTTGCAGTGAGCCGAGATCGCGCCACTGCACTCCAGCCTAAGCGACAGAGCAATACTCCGTCTGGGGGGAAGAAATTTTTTTTCATTAAGGCCAGGCGCAGTGGCTCACACCTGTAATCTCAGCACTTTGGGAGACCGATGCAGGTGGATCACGAGGCCAGGAGTTCAAGACCAGCCTGGCCAAGATGGTGAAACCCCGTCTCTACTAAAAATACAAAAATTAGCCAGGCATGGTGGCGGGCGCCTATAATCCCAGCTACTCGGGAGGCTGAGGCAGAGAATTGCTTGAACCTGAGAGGCAGAGGTTGCAGTGAGCCGAGGTCGCGCCATTGTGCTCCCGCCTGGGCGACAGAGCAAGACTCTGTCTTAAAACAAAAACAAAAACAAAAACAAAACAGTCAGAATAGGAGTGCAAAGGGAGAGGGAGGATGTGTGTGCTTGTGATGGAAGGGCAGCAATAGCAATTTGGAGAAGTTGGCCCTGGCCATCATTTCTTGAAATACCAGGAGACTTTAAAACAGGGGTGCTCAATTTTTTGGCTTTCCTTGGCCACATTGGAAGAAGAATTATCTTGGGCCACACATAAAATACACTGACACTAACAAAACCTGATGAGAAAAAAAAAAATCCAAAAACATCTCATAATGTTTTAAGAAAGTTTACAAATTTGTTTTGGGCTGCATTCAAGCCATCCTGGGCTGCATTAGGCCGGCGGGCCACAGGTTGAACAAGCTTGCTTTGAAAGATGATGGACAGGCCAGGGGTGGTGGCTCACGCCTGTAATCCCAGCACTTCGGAAGGCCGAGGCAGGCAGATCACTTGAGGTCAGGAATTCTAGACCAGCCTGGCCAACATGGGTGAAAGCCTGTTTCTACTAAAAATACAAAAAAGCCGGGCATGGTGGCATATGCACCTGTAGTCCCAGCTACTTGGGAGGCTGAGGCAGGAGAATTGCTGGAACCCAAGAGGTGGAGGTTGCAGTGAGCTGAGATCGCACCATTGCACTCCAAGCTGGGCGACAGAGCGAGACTCTGTCTCAAAAAAAAAAAAAAAAAAAAAAAAAGATGATGGACAGTTCACAGGGTACCAGGACCAGCTATGAAGAGAATGATTTTAGAAGGCTCAGTAAGTTCCATCTGTACTCTCCTCCCTCCCACCTCCATGCACACCTTACCCAACCCTCTTAGCTTCCAAAAGCACCACTTCCCTTTTCACTATTGAAGCAAAATCTCCAGAGGTGGGGCCTTTGGGTCCGTATTTCTCTAATAGGGCCTGCAGATGAGTTTGATTATCAGCCAGGTTTGCCCGCCTCTTGGGTCAGAGGCGGATTTACCCTGAAGCTAATTCATCTGCAGCTTTGGGTCTTTCCAAGTCCTGGCACGAGCTCCCATGCTGTGTTCCTTTGCCACTGAGGTTTGTGAAATCTAAGGAAGTACAGCAAGTCCTCACTTAATGTCATCAATAGGTTATTGGAAACTGCGACCTTAAGCGAAACGACTTATAATGAAACCGATTTTCCCATAGGCTCATAGATAAAAACAAGAATTAAGTTCCCATGGCATATGTCTGGTTAGAAGAACATCATCAAACTTCTAAATAAAGACCAAAACACCTCTAATATTAAACACTGAAATAAATGTGAGCTACACATGCATTTAAGAAATATGAATAAAACCGGCCGGGCGCGGTGGCTCACGCCTGTAATCCCAGCACTTTGGGAGGCCTAGGCGGGCAGATCACGAGGTCAGGAAACCGAGATCATCCTGGCTAACATGGTGAAACCCCGCCTCTACTAAAAATACAAAAAAATTAGCCCGGTGTGGTGACGGGCACCTGTAGTCCCAGCTACTTGGGAGGCTGAGGCAGGAGAATGGCGTGAACCCGGGAGGCGGAGCTTGCAGTGAGCCGAGATGGCACCACTGCACTCCAGCCTGGGCGACAGAGCCAGACTCCGTCTCAAAAAAACACAAAAAACAAAAAACGAATAAAACAATTGAAATAATTATTTACCTTATTATTCCAGCTCTGAGTTGCAGGTGGTTGAAGCTGGTCCCGGGAGGGTAGGGCACACACGGTGGGAACCGGGGCTGGACAGGAGGCCATCCCATGGCAGGGCAACTCACAACCTCCGACACTCACTTGATCTGGGACCATGTAGATGCCAGTTAACCCAGTGTGCACAGCTTTGGGATGTGGTGGGGAAGCAGCGTGTTCGAAGGAAACCCATGCTGATGCGGGGAGATGTGCAACTCCTCCACACAGGCAGTGGTCCCAGCCAGAAATCCATTTTTTTCTCTCAAAGTGATATGGAAACAACGTTGAATGAAATGGTGTTATTTGAGGACCTGCTGTTCGATATTGAAACTGCACATTGGTTACGACTGCCCTCTCTTTCCTTTCTGACTTCCCCAAGTGTGAAGAGGCCTGGAACAGCTGTGGGCAGTTTGGGGAGGTCATCTAAGGGAATATTAACCTGGAAATTTCATTTCGTTTGGGTTTCGCAGGATATATTCGTGTGTTTCACGTCACTTCCATGCTGAGTTCTTGTCAGTTCATCCTGGTGTGGGAATAATGTCCAGGGAATACTTTCATCGCCCACTGGGTTGACCTGACCTGACCTGATTGGAGACATGAAGCTGGAGGACCAGACGTGGTATGGTGATAAGAATGTGTCCTGTGACACCTCACCCAGATGTGCCAGTGGAAGAGAAACAAGGATTAAAACGTGCAGGGACAGAGGCCAACCCAGAGAACACTCTGCCAGGCATTAGGCACGTACAGTGGTAAGCAAGGCACTCAGTTCTCATCAGCGTCTGATTCATGCAGAAGTTCTTTCCTGTTAAGAATCTACTCAATAATGCAACACATATAATTAGAAATGAATCATATGAAATAGATTTTATCAGCATTTCTATATTTACAGGGCACAAACCTGTAGCAGTTCTATAAAAGTGAGTAAATCTATGTGTGAAATCATGTATTTTATGAATCTGATTATTAATAACAAGAAAGTGTACGCCAGATGTGGTGTTCATGCCTGGTATAAACTTTGGTGTTCATCCCACTGGCATGAAATTTGGGAGGCCAAGGTGGGAGGATTGCTTGAGGCCAGGAGTTTGAGACCAACCTGGGCAATATAGCAAGACTCTGTTTCTACAAAACACACACACAAAAAAAAATTAAAAGAAAGAGTAACAAGGATGGGCATGCTGGCTCACACCTGTAATCCCAGCACTTTGGGAGGCTGAGGTGGGCAGATCACCTGAGGTCAGGTGTTCGAGACCAGCCTGGCCAACATGGCGAAACCCCATCTCTACTAAAAATACAAAAATCAGCCGAGTATGGTGGCGTGCGTGTAATCCCAGCTACTTGGGAGGCTGAGGCAGGAGAATAGCCTGAACCGGGGAGGTAGAGGCTGCAGTGAGCCAAGATCACACTACGGCACTCCAGCCTGGGCGATAGAATGAGAGTCCATCTCAAAAATAAAAAGTAATAAAAAATAAATTTTAATAATCCATGCTAGGGAAAGATTAACTTGTCTTTGTATTCTCTCCATATAAAAAACATTATAAAATTGTTGTCACAGAAAAAGGCTATAAAGGCTGCACAGCCAAAAAATATGTAGAAAACAAATATTGTAGAGATGATCAGACAAGTCATTAAGAAACATTATGAGATTTGTCTAGATTTTGTTATATTTAACATATCTATCATCTTTTAAAATTTGTAGTTTATTAAGACTTTTTTCTCATTTGATATAATCATAACTGGTTTCATATTCATATTTTAATATTCTTTTCCTTAAATCTTTTACTCCTCTCACCTGCCTCCACCAAATATGTAGGCGTCAGGCCCCACAAAACCAGGACCTGTCCCTAAGTAAATTACTCTGTACTTCTGAAACTCATTTCCAGTGTGACTTCCCACCCATCTCCTTTCCTCCCACCCCTTCCAATAAAGTTGTGTTTCTCCTTGATTTTTTCATTATTCTCACTTAGCAAGATAATCTCTTATTGAATCCCAGCCAACTTGTGTTCCCATGTATTAAATTCTTGTAAAATCAGCGGAGTGATTTTTGCGATGCCTGGCAGGCAAAATACTTGTAAGCATATTATATTGGGTCTAATTAAAAGCTCAAATACAAGCAATTGTTCACTCCATTCTTTATTAGGGGAGAGAAGTCTTTAAAAGAAATTAGCCAGATGACGCCTGTCTCATTTCAAATACTCAATTCAGCATTTTGCTCAACCATTTTATTTTTAATAACAAGGAAGTTCTGACTGGTAAGGTTGAAAGCTTTTGCTTATTAAAAAAAATACAACAGATCGACTGGGCGCGGTGGCTCACGCCTGTAATCCCAGCACTTTGGGAGGCCGAGGCGGGCGGATCACGAGGTCAGGAGATCGAGACCATCCCGGCTAAAACGGTGAAACCCCGTCTCTACTAAAAATACAAAAAAATTAGCCCGGTGTGGTGACGGGCACCTGTAGTCCCAGCTACTTGGGAGGCTGAGGCAGGAGAATGGCGTGAACCCGGGAGGCGGAGCTTGCAGTGAGCCGAGATCCCGCCACTGCACTCCAGCCTGGGCGACAGAGCGAGACTCCGTCTCAAAAAACAAAACAAAACAAAACAAAAAAACAGGTCTAGGATGGGTTGCACAATGTGACATGGATTTTCACAGTAGTGTAGAAGTGTAGAAAAGCAACTAACATAACTATATGACTAGCATGTGACGGTACTAGATAGACATTTTACAAATGTTTTCTGGTCTAAATTGTTTTTTCTGCTGAGAACTGAGTTACTCATGGATAGACGAATGATGACCTTACGCTCTGAGCTGAGGTGTAAGTCTCTCTTATTTTCTTTGTTCCCTTCTTTCTTAGTCTCTATTCCCTTTTTCTTACCCCCATGCACACCAACTTTAATGTGTTTAAGCTGTGACCTTAAATATGCCTGTGTTCTTGTAAAGCATGTAGCTTTGTACATACATGTGTTTCCAATTTATATGAATGATGTGTGATATTAATACAATAGTCCCCCATTGTCTCTGGGGGATATGTTCTAAGACCTCCCATGGATACCTGAAACCTCAGATAGCACCAAACCCTATACATACTATGCTGTTTGTTTGTTTGTTTGCTTTTATGTTTTTTTGATCTGATAGCCTAAAGGGCTACTAAATTAATAACGGGTGGGTAGTGTAGACAGCATGGATAGGCTGAACAAAGGGATGATTCATGTCCCAGGCAGGACAGAGCAGGGTGGTACGAGGTTTCATCATGCTACTCAACATGGCATGCAATGTAAAATTTATGAATTGCTTATTTCTGGAATTTTCCATGAAATATTTTTGGGCCATGGTAACTGGAATTGTGGAAAGCACGAAACTATGGATAAGGGGAAACTATTGTATTTTTTTCTGTTTTCTTACTCAATGCCGTTTTTGAGGTCATTGATGTTGATTTACTTGTGTTCTTAGGACAGTCCTTGAATAGATATTGGAAACATCTTCTCCTACTCTGTTAGCTCCTGCTAACTTTTTCTGCTGAAATAAATTAATTTTGATATAGTCAAACCTATCAACATTTTGCTATGTGGTTTATACATTTTCAGCCTTGTGGATATCTCTCCCCACTTGGAGCTCACAAGGATGAATGCCTACATTTTCTTCAGCTAAGTTTCAGTTTATTTCTTTTACACCAGACATCCATCTTTGCATAGGAGATAAGGGAGCAAATCCAGCTTTGTTTTTCCCTAAATAGTGATCCAGTTCTTTTCACGTCATTTCCTAAAGCACTTCTGTTTTTCTCCATTAATGTTTGGCACCACCTCTCTTACATCTCAAGAGCCCAGAGGTGCAAGGGTGCACAGTATTTCTCAGTTGTCTACTCAGTCCTATTGGTCTATTTGCCCCTATCTAGTATATTACTCAAACAAAATCTCAGACACATGGAAACTGGATAAAATGCTACTAAGTAACTCCTGGGTTAACAGAATCATAAGACAAATAAAATACTTAGGGCTGAGTAGCAGACCCACCTCAGGACTCTCACTATCCTACACGGCATCTCTGTTTGAATCAGACAGAGGCACCTGCTTTGGACAGTCACAACCTTGAGGGCCTATAAGGAGAGAGCTAGAGGTCCTTTTCTGCAAAAAAAAAGCATTTCTTCCTTTCGACAGAGAGCTCTTCTCACCAGCTCATCCAGATCTTATGCAGTGAGCAAAATGGTTCACTCTGTGTGGCTGTTCTGCCTGCATGAATGACAAAATTTAGGGCGCCAAATAAAAGCAGAGCTTAGAAAGACATTTATAACTTGATATGGTTTGGCTCTGTGTCCCCACCCAAATCTCACCTTGAATTGTCATAATCCCCACGCGTCAAGAGTGGGGCCAGGTGGAGATAATTGAATCATGCGGGCTGTTTCCCCCATACCGTTCTCATGATAGTGAATAAGTCTCACAAGATCTGATGGTTTTATACACAGGAGTTCCCCTGCACCAGCTCTCTTGCCTGCTTCCATGTAATAAGTGACTTTGCCCCTCATTCATCTTCTGCCATGATTGTGAAGCCTCCTCAGCCATGTGAAACTGTGAGTCCATTAAACCTCTTTTTCTTTATAGATTACCCAGTCTAGGGTATGTCCTTATTAGCAACGTGAGAACAGACTCATACAGTAAATTTAAATACATTCGGTGCAGCACACCAACATGACACATGTATACATATGTAACAAACCTGCACATTTGCACATGTACCCTAAAACTTAAAGTATAATAAAAAAAACACAAAAATTCTAAATACATTTCTTAAAAAAACCTCATGAACCGGGTGTTGTCTGAAAAATAAATAAATAAATAATCCAAGGAAGTATGAAAACAAATGAGTTAGGAATTATCTCAAGAAATTAAAATATATAACAACAATGCAAACTCAAACAAGAAGAAAGAAAATATAAATTAATGTATTAGATACCAACAAACAAACAAACATAAAGCACTTTAGGATATTAATTAAGAAAACATGTGGTTGTTTGAAAAAAATTAGGAAGATAGACTTCTGGCGAAACTGATCAAGAAAAGAAGGAAGACATAAGTACACAAAATATGTAATAAAAAGGAAAACAGCTATAGACCTAGAGATTAAAAGAATTGTAAAATGCTATTATGACTGTTTTATAATAAATATGATAACTTAGATGAACCAGATACATTTCTGGAAAAATATAAAGGGCAACAATTGGTGGAAGAATAAGTAGAATATTTCAATAGAGTAATGATTATTTTAAAACCTCAAAGGGTAAGCAAGCACCCCTTCTGCCCAGAATTTGGCCCAGGCAGTTTTTCAGAGGAATCTTACCAAACTTTCAAGGAAGAATATCTGCCTTTTATAAGATGTTCCAGAAAACTGAAAGAGTGAAAGTTGTCCAACTCAGTTGAAATGGTCTATATAAACAGACAATGGCCAGGGTATATATAAAAATAGAACTCTGCCCCACAATCTGCAGCAACTAGCCCAGGAAGCTAACCCGTTACCTACAGTAACTAGCCTAGAAAACCAGCTTGCAATCTACAAATTAGACTTGGAAGAGTCAGACCACTATCTCTAGCAAACAGTCCAGGAAGCCAAACAATAACCCTTGTAACAATCAGTCCAAAATAGCCAGGACTTGATTAATAATTGACAGCATCCCTAATTTTTTTTTTTTTTTGAGACAGAGTCTCACTCTGTCACCCAAGCTGGAGTGCAATGGCACGATCTCGGCTCACTGCAACCTCCGCCTCCCGGGTTCCAGAGATTCTCCTGCCTCAGCATCCTGAGTAGCTCAGAGTACAGGCACCCACCATCACGCCTGGCTAATTTTTGTATTTTTGTAGAGATGGGGTTTCACCATGTTGGCCAGGCTGGTCTTGAACTCTTGACCTCAGGTTATCTGCCCGCCTTGGCCTCCCAAAGTGCTAGGATTACAGGTGTGAGTCACCATGCCTGGCCAACATCCCTGATTTTTGTTTCTGCTTCCAACCTACGACCAACCAGAGAAAGTTAAACATGCACCCTAACCAATCACATAGGATACGCTGCTTCGAGTTAACCTGCTTCCGAAGGCTAACAGCCTCCAATAAGGGCTTACCTGTAGCCTTCCCTTTTTCTGCTCTGAAGCTTTCTCCCTCTTTTCCCTGCCTTTAAATCTCTGTCAAAATGCAAATGCTGGTGGCCGACTCCCTTACTAGCAAGCTCTGAATTAATTGCCTTTGTCTGTTCTCGTTTGGTTGGTCTTCTTTCATTTGCACACGGTTTATGAAGCTAATGAAACCTTGATCAAGTAATTACAAGCTCATTTCAGTTATTCCCATGGATATAAAATCCTAAATAAAACATCAGCTAGCCAAATTTTACGTTTTATTAAAACTACATATTTATATATCCTGTGAACAAGCAAGCTTTATACAAGAAATGCAAGGATGGTTCTACATTAAAAAAATCTATCACTGTCATTTATCATATTAATGGTCTAAAGGAGAAAAATCCTATATCTAAATAGATGCAGAAAGAGCATTTGTTAAAGTTCAATACCCATTTACATGAAAACACTCAGAAAACTAGAAAAAGAAAGGAACCAGTTTTACCCAGGTAAATGTTATATGACAAAAATCCTGTAACAGAAATCATGCTTATTGGAGCCATTTTAGACACACTTCCATGAAGATCACTGTAAGACAAGGATGCCAGATGGTAGCTACTAATGCTTAATATGGTGTTGCATAATTTAGCCAATACCATGAGAAATGAGAAAAGCATAAAAGAAATGAAGATGGAGGGGGTTGGGGGAAAATTAAATAGTTATTACTGTAGTTATTACAGGTGTTAAAAACAATAACAGCAAACCAATAGCATCATCAGGCAAAGTAATAGAATTAATTAGACAGCTCAGCCTGTTTGCCAGATACAAGATGATATTATAAAACCAATAATGTTCCTCTATACCAGAAACTAGAAAATATAATAGAAATCAAGAAGGAAGGGCAGACTTACTCTAAATATTTGTGGGACCTGGGGCAAGAATACAAGGGAAAATACCATTATGTATTTAAATATCTACAATTTGAAATCAAAGATATTTAAAATAAATTATAAATTTATTGACACGTTTGTACATTTAATAATAGTATCTATCAGCAAGCTAACCATTTGCTTGTCTCACTATACCAACATCTGAAAGAGGAGGCAGGGGGCCGTTTCTTTCTACCTCTGTGCCAGTTGGCACATGTCTAGGTCAGGTTCCCTGGAAATACATTCTGAGACAGAGATTTGCATGCAGGTGGTTTAAAGGGGGGGAAACATCTGCAATAAATAAGTCTTGCATGAAAATGAGGGGAACAGGATTGGGCAGAGGGAGAAGCTAAGAAGTTTTATTTATTTTTTGGCAAAAATAAAATATTAAATGTTTTAATACAAATAAAACCACTTACAATTCTAGTATTTAGTATCTATCTAGTTGTGGATGCAAAAATTCAATACCGTGCTTCATGCAGGTTATGCCTGACCCCTCATTTTTTTATTTGTCTAGTTTTCAGCAGTTTGATTATGATATATCTGGGTAGAGATTTCTTTGGGTTTAATCTTTTGGGAGTTTGCTGACCTTCTTGAACCTGTAGTTTTTTTTGATCTTTCAACAAATGTGAGGAATTTTCAGACATTATTTCTTCAAAATTTTTTTAGCCCTGAACTTTCTTCTCCCTCTTTGGAATTCCGAATGTTAGATCTTTTGATATTGTGCTACAGGTCCCTAGCCTGTGTTCATTAATTTTTCAATCTATTTTTCTCTCTGTTGTTCGGATTGGATAATTTGCATTGATCTATCTTCATATTACTCTTTCCTCTGTAACCTCCATTCTGTCATTAAGCCCATCCAGTGGGTTTTTTATTTTGAATATTATACTTTTTGGTTCTAAAATCTCCTTTTGATTCTTTTTTGTGTCTTGTATTTCTTGCTCAGATTTTCTAGTTTTCCAGTTATTCCAGGAGTGTTCATAATTGCTTTTAGGAGAATTTTTATAATAGTTACTTTAAAACCCTTTTCAGATAATTCCAACGTTTCTGTCCTTTGAGTGTTAGTGTCGATTTCTTTTCTCATGCAAGGTAAGATTTTCCTGGTTCTTGGCTATGCTGAGTAATTTTGGATTATGTCTTAGAAACTCTGTGTGTACTGTTATGAGACTCTGGTTCCTGTTTAAATCTTCTATTTTAGCTGGCCATCCACCCATTTAGATTTAGAGCACACATCCTGGCCCACTTTTGTGGGCTGTGGTTTGAATGTTAACTTAAATTTTGAAGCTTTGTAGTATGATTCTGGTCAGCCACAGTGTGCACAGAGGTCATTTTGAAACATGGTGATATTCCATGCTGCAGTTCAATTCTCAAAGCTTCTTCTGTGTTGATTCTGGTCAGCTTGATGCTTGGGCTACCCACAGATGAGCCAGGGACTTCAGACGTGGGTTTAAAATATCTTTTCCTTCTGCTCCCTGCTCTCTATAATCCTCTCCCTCATTCTATAATTGAAAGCCAATGTGGTGGCTTATGTGCAGTAATCCCAGCACTTTGGGAGGCCAAGGCAGGCGGATGGCTTAAGTCCAGGAGTGCGAGACCAGCCTGAGCAACATAGCAAGACCCTTCATCTCTAATTTAAAAAAATTTTTAAAAACACTGTTGGCTGGGTACGGTGGCTCAGGCCTGTAATCCCAGCACTTTGGGAGGCCGAGGTGGGCGGATCACGACGTCAGGAGTTCAAGACCAGCCTGGCCAATATGGTGAAACCCCGTCTCTATTAAAAATACAAAAATTACCTGGGCCTGGTGGCGGGTGCCTGTAGTCCTAGCTACTAGGGAGACTGAAGCAGAAGAATCACTTGAATCCTGGAGGCGGAAGTTGCAGTGAGCCGAGATCGCGCCACTGCACTCCAGTCTGGGGGACAGGGCGAGACTCCATCTAAAAAACAAAACAAAACAAAAAAAACCACTTTTATACTCCAGGTAAACACTGTAAGAGGTGCAGCACTCCCCTCACCCATTGCCCAAAAGACCAGGAAGAGAATGGCTCTGTAGGCTGGACCCCTTTGATATAACTGTTATAGTCAGCCAGGTGCAGTGGCTCATGCCCAGAATCCCAGCACTTTGGGAGGTAATTAGCAGAAGGAATAGTGTGGAATGAATCCATTTATTAATATTGTGACTGGAACCCTTTTCCAGATACCCATTTTCTTAGGGCTTTGATTAATCCTGTTATGTCTTTAAACATACTTACAGTGTTCTGACAGTTCTACCATAGGAAATTCTGGTGTTGTGGTCTTTGCAGCATCTGTGCTTTTGCTTATAATATATGTTTCTTTATGAGTTTTGTTAGCTTGGCTTGTGAACTTAAAGTAGAGCTTTCTCTGTGAAAACTCTCTGTGTCATGGGTTAAGTATGTTCTTCCAGCAGTGTTTTGTGTTTGCTTATGTTCAGAGATTTATGTAGAGGGTCTTAGTTTTAACTGTCCATCTCATTCAAAGCCAGGACTTGTCATCTGTCCCTCTATGACTGCTAAACTCAATCCCTTGCACAGAACAACAACAGAAACCTTAAGTATAAATCTAATTAAATATGTCCATAACCTGTATGCAAAACCCATAAAACACTGATGAAAGAAATCAAAGAAGACTTAAATAAATGGAGTAATAGACCATGTTTTTACATGGAAAGATTCATTTGTTCTATAAATTCAATGTAATCCCAAGCAAAATCCCAGCAGTCTTTTGTTTTGAAAGACTGATAAACTGTTCCTAAAATTTAAATGGAAGCCCAAAGGAGCTAGAACAACCAAAATAATTTTTAAAAAGAATAACAAAGTTAGCGAATTCATACTAATTTGAAGACTTGTTGTAAAGCTACTGTAATTAAAATAGTGTGGTCTTGGTGAAAAGATAGACACATAGATTAATGGAACGCAACAGAGAATCCAGAAACTGACCCACACATGTATGGTTAGTTGATTTTTTGACAAACATGCAAAATCAATTTAATGGAGAAGGAAAGTCTTTTCAATAAATGGTGCTGGGACAATTGGACATACATATGAACCTTAATTCATAAATTATATCTATGTGCAAAGATTAAACCCAAATAGATCATAGATGTACATGTAAAGCCTAAAACCATAAGAAATCTAGAAGGAGAAAATAAGAGAAAATGTATGTGGCCTTGGGTTAGG
The DNA here is from genome assembly GCF_000001405.40 of Homo sapiens. Classification (NCBI taxonomy): domain Eukaryota; kingdom Metazoa; phylum Chordata; class Mammalia; order Primates; family Hominidae; genus Homo; species Homo sapiens. The sequence continues at coordinate 38,708,291 of NC_000004.12, read as the reverse complement.
GAAAGATTTCTTAGAACACAAAAATTATGATTCATAAAAGAAAAAAAATTGATAAATTAAACTTTATCAAAATTAAAAATATCTTCTATTCAAAAACCACTGTTAAGAAAATGAAAAGACAAACCACAGACTGGGAGAAAATATTAGCAAAACATGACGCATATCTAGAATGTGCAGAGACTTCTCAGAATGTAATAATAAGAAAACAAACAACCCAATACAAAATGTGCAAAAGATTTTAAGAGATTCTCCACTAAAGAAGATACAAGGCTGGCAAATAGGCACATGAAAAGATGCTCATCATAAGTCATGAAGGAAATGCAAATTAAAACCACAATGAGATACTGCCCCACCTATTCGGTTGGATAAAACAAAACAAAACACTTGACAATACCAAGTGTGGGTGAGGTTGTAGAATACCTTGGAATTCTCATACATTGCTGGTGGAAATGCAAAATGGCATAGCTGCTCTGGAAAAGAGTAGGGCAATTTGTTAAAGAGCTAAATATTTACTTAGCACACAATCTAGCAATCCCACTGTTAAGTATTTACCCAAGAGTAAGGAACACAAAACCCAAAAATTGAACAAAAAAGTTAATAATACCTGCACATGAATATTTATGGTGGCTTTATTCATAATTGCCTCAAATTGAAGATAATCCAGATATTCTTCCACTGGTAAATGTATAAGCATATTGTTGTATATCCTTATTCAATAATTAAAAGGAAAAACTTACTGATACATGTAACCTCATAGTTGAATCTCAAATACATAATGTGAAACAATAGACACCAGACTCAAAAAGGTGACACAAACATATGTAAGAGGTGAAATTACAGGGAAATAAAATAGGCCTGGAGGATGGGTGAGTATAAAGGAGCCTGAGGGAATTTTAAGAAGGGATGGAATTGTTCTATGTCTTCATTGTAATGATATGACTGAATGTACACTAAAAAGAATGATTTTTATCTAAAGATACACTTCACCTGACATAAAAAAAAATAAATCGAGACCAGGCACAGTGGCTCACACCTGTAATCCCAGCAGTTTGGGAGGCCAAGGCGGGTGGATTTCTTGAGTCCAGGGGTTCAAGGTCAGCCTGAGCAACATGGCAAAACCCCATCTGTACAAAATATACAAAAATTAGCTGGGCATGGTGGCACGTGGCTGTAGTCCTAGCTACTCAGGAGGCTAAGGTGGGAAGATCACTTGAGCCCAGGAGGCAGAGGTTGCAGTGAGCTGAGATGACACCACTGCCCTCCAGCCTGGGCAACAGAGTGAGACGGTGTCTCAGAAAAAATAATTTTTTAAATATATATATATGAATATACACATACACATATACATATATACATATACATATGTAGATATATATTCATATACATATAAGCATATATATATATGTATGGGATGCCCAGCTAATTTTTGCATATTTTGTATATTACAGGTGTAATCCCATATATATATGTACGCGTACATATATACGTATATATGTACGCATACATAGAGATACATATATAGACAAGTATATGTATGTATACATATATACAAGTATATGTATTTGTATATCTCAAACCTCTTATTTATAGAAACCAGCAAATTTCCCCCTTCCTTTACCCATTGGGGATTTCTGGCTTTACAAGTACTGAAGAATTAGCAGTATTTTTCTAGTGAAGGGGTGGATGAGTGTGGCCTGGGATGGAGGGGGAGGGTATCCCAGCAGATGGCTCAGTACAGTAAAAGTATGAAAAAAATTCAACCCATAGCACACCTGGGTTGAAATTTGAGAGGAAGCACGAAATGGCCTGAGGGCCACCAAGGCCAGAGACCCATATAATAGTTAAGACAGCAGGTTCTGGACATAGGAGGCCTGAATTTGAAGCTGGTTCTCCCGCTTCCTATCTTTGTGACCTTGGGTAAATTACTTAATCTGTCTGTGCCCCAATTTCCATCTGTAAAAAGAAAATGATAATGGTTACATGCTTTACAGTGTTGAGAATTAAACTAATTAATGGCTGCAAATTGCTTAGAATAGTGCAAAATATATAGTAAGTGTTCACTTAATGTTAGCTATTAGTACCCATTCGCTCATTCAACACACCTTCCGTAGCACACTTTCCAACACACACCCAGGCATGCTTTGTGCCTGGTGCTGGGGATTGGACACTGGACACCCAGAACAGAATCATATTAGGGTGATCTGAGATCTAGGGAGGGAAGGAGACAGATGGACAGACTGACCATGCAGGGTGATAAGTGCTGAAAATTGAGGGAAACTCAAGGATTATGTGGTTACAGAAAGAAGTAGGGAGAGAGGGCCAGGCGCAGTGGCTCACACCTGTAATCCCAGCACTTTGAGAGGCTGAGGCAGGTGGATCACGAGGTCAGGAGTTCAAGACCAGCCTGACCAACATGGTGAAACCCTGTCTCTACTAAAAATACAAAAAAAAAAAAAAAAAAAAAAAAATAGCCGGGCATGGTGGTGTGTACCTGTAATTCCAGCTACTCAGGAGGCTGAGGAATCGCTTGAACCTGGGAGGTGGAGGTTGCAGTGAGCCAAGGTCACGGCACTACACTCCAGCCTGGGTGACAGAGCAAGACTCCGTCTCAAAAAGAAAAAAAAAAAAAAAAGAAGTAGGGAGAGAGTATCTCCGCAGAGAGGGTGAGTGGAGTTCATTCAAGGAAAGCTCAAAGAATAGGTAACTTTTGAGTGGGATTTTGACAAATGAGTAAGAGTTTTGTATCTCCCTGAATGCCTTGTGCACCTATCAATCTCACTGAGTATGGGAGGTGTTTGAAGGTTCTTAGAAAAAAACAGGAAAATGAAAACAAAAGTTTAATGATAAACGATGAGGCTTTAAAGGGGGGTAGGGCTGAATTAAGAAGAACCAGCTTCAGTACAGTGAGGACCATGGAAGGATTCTAAGCAGAGGGGCATAACAGTCAGCTCTTAGTTTGGGAAAGATGGCTTTGGTGTCTGGTGGAGAATGATTGAAGTGGGAGAGTGAAGACACTTCTGTTCTAGCCCCAGTGAGAAACACAGGAGCTCAATGGCAATGGACAGAAGAGAAAAGACCCAGAAGTGGCCTCAGAAGCGATTAGCTGGCTGTGAAGGGGCGAGAGAGAGAAGTTAGGGTCAGAGGTAGGAGCAGAACTCAGGCTCACCTATTCCTTAAACTGAGATGGATCACCAACTTCTCTGAGAGGCCTGTTGGGCCCCCAAGAATGGAAATAAAAGAAATTCTGGAGTTCCTTTAAGGGGAATTCCAGGCACCTAGCTAGCCATGAGAAGTAAATGAGCAACCTGATAAGCAAGAAGGTAATAGTAGCATTAAACCATAGCCAAGGAGGTTAGAGTTACCAGATGTTTGGTTCCCTGTAGAAACTAAAGATAACATTTTAACTCACGTCCCTCAGTTGCTTTTCAGAAACCCAGAACTCCACCAAATGGAAAATGCCATCTGCTGGCATGTAGACCTCAGATAAGGGGGAACTAAGGACCGAGCTCTGACCATAGCTCTTTGTTCTAAAGTTCTTCCTGAGGATCCTGGAGGAAGTCACACCCATGGGCCAGACCTAATATTCGTTTCTGCTGACCCCAAGTCTTCAGATAAATCTTCCCTTCCTTAATCAATTGCAAATCAGAAAATCTCTGAATCTCCCTATGACCTGTACAGCCCCACTGCAAGATATCCCATCTTTTTAGGCCAACCCAATGTATAAACTCCATGGATACATTTAAGATTTTGCTTATAACTTTTGCTTTCCTGAAATTTACCTTTGCCTTTAAAACCCTTGCTTAATTAAAAGTCACGGGGAAGGTTGGGTTTTAAGCATGAGCTGCCCAGTTCTCCTTGCTTGGTGCCCTGCAAATAAATGCCCTCCTTTCTCCTGCTGCAAAACCTTGGTGTGGATGTTTGGTCTTACTGCACTGGACTAGTGGACTCTAGCTTGGTTTGGAAACAAACTACCATCTAACAATGTCTTCATAAAGACGAGCAATTCCCAGCTCAGCCATGAGGATCTCATTCTGGTGGTGAATGTGTGGGTGGGATATTATTTTAGTTGAGGGAACACATGAACATAGCTTTGGAGATGTGTAACTGACAGGCAAGCTCTTGTACTTTGCAGCAGGAGGTGATACCTCTTCTGGAGCAGATCAGCAAGGCTTGAAAGTCCCCAAGAGCCACCTTTCTGAGTTCTTTAAACACCAAGTTCTTAGAGTTCCTGAATCATGAGAAAAGGAAGAAACATCGAATTCATTAAGTGCATGCAGTGTGAAACAGCCATGATCCAGGAGCCTGAAGATCCAGCTTCCGTTTTCTATTCTTAACCCCACCACTCAGGGTGCCTGTAGGGAATGCAAAACCAGAGATATAATGAGCAGAAGCTCTCAAACCAATAAGCATATCTGGACTTGGTGAGAATCAACCTCCCACTTCCCCATAAGTTTAAAAATAATTCTAATTTACAGCACATGTTATTCTAATTTCGGAGTCACTCTCTCTACATACTGCACTATTACTAACTAGTGTGACTATGATCTGCTCAGACAATAGGAAATGGTACCAGGTTCCGTTTACATTCTTAAAATGAATGTACACTTGAAGGAAAATTCATTGTTGAGTTTTATGCATACACACCGGTAAGTCAGGTCTCTAGTAGTTTAACTTTTACATGTATATGTGTATGTATTTACTTCCATCTCAATCCATTGTTTTGATAATTGAATTGGGAGATCATTAGGCAGAGACCGCTCCCATGCCTTGGTTTCCGTGTAAGCAAACCAAAGCCCAAATGAGAGGGAATGATCATAGCCTAGGGAAACAATCTTAACCAATTAGAAACTGCCAACTAACCTCTAACTACAAACTTTCGACTTCAACCATCAAATAATTTGTTTTGCTTCTGAGAACAGCTTATTCAGTCTCCTGGAATCAGGCAACTGTTTGCAACTGGTACTGCCAGATTCATGAATTGCTGTCTGCTCAAATAAACTCTTTTAAGATTTTAATGTGCCCAAGTTTATCTTTTAGCAGTATCCGTCCCTGAACACAGCCATTTCTTCTCTTTCAGATTAGAATTGATAATCTTACTTGGCCCACAGTAAGCCTCCTAATCCTGCTTTCTTAACCTGATAGCATTTAAAATATAGTCATCCGTCGGTATGCATGGACCCCCAGGGACCAAAATCCTCAAATGCTAAAGTCTCTTACATAAAATGGCATAGTATTTGCACAACTGATGCACATCTTCCTGTATATTTTAAATTCTCTCTGGATTTTACACCTAATACAATGTAATGCAATGTAAATAGCTATTATACCGTGTTCTTTTTATTTGTATTATTATTGTAGTGTTTTTTTTTTTTTAATTTTTCCTGAATATTTTCTATTCGCCCTAGGTTGAATCTGTATTGCGGAACCCATGGACACAGAGGGCTGACTGTAATGGGAAATGGTTATATATATTTTTTTGTTTGGAACATCTTAAATTTGTTCAACCATTTTCCCCAAAGAATTTAGTTTCTCATAGAATCCACATTTGTTACCATCCTCATCATTCACCCGGGCAGAATCCAGCTTGTAACAATTCTTCCTAGAAGGATGGATCTTACTTTGAACTCAGCAAGTGTCAAGTCATGCATAAGAAATATAATGAAAGGGTTGGGCACAGTGACTCACGCCGGTAATCCCAGCACTTTAGGAGGCTGAGGTGGGTGGATCACCTGAGGTCAGGAGTTTGAGACCAGCCTGGCCAACATGGCGAAACCCCGTCTCTACTAAAAATACAAAAATTAGCTGGGCATGGTGGCACGTGCCTGTAATTCCAGCAACTACGGGGGCTGAGGCAGGAGGATCGCTTGAACCTGGGAGGTGGAGGTTGCAATGAGCCAAGAACGTGCCATTGCACTCCGGCCTGGGCAACAGAGCTAGACTCTGTCTCAAAAACAAACAAACAAACAAAAAAGAAATATAGTGGAAGGATTACAGCCAGTCAACTGGACTAATTCAAGCCAATATTCCATTAGGATTTATAGTCATATACACTTGCTTTTGATCTTGCAATCAACTATCTTGGTATAAAAACAGAGAAGTTCCCCAGAGAAGGCTGGAGAGTGCCCCAAAGGCTGAATTTAGCCTTCTCCCAACCTCCTTTCATCTCCAACCTGTGAAAGTAAGTCATGTGGGAAGTGCTGGCCAGACATTATCTTGTGTTTTGCTAAGATGAAGTCCAGGCTGGAGGAAACTGCTGAGATCTAACAAGCTAGCCTCAGTTTCAATTACATTGCAGGGATGCAGAGGGAAGAGGAGAGGTAATTACATTTTGCCTTAAACAAAAGAACTCTAAATCCTTGGCTGGGTGCAGTGGCTCATGCCTGTAATACCAGCACTTTCTGAGGCCAAGGCGGGTGGATCACTTGAGGTCGGGAGTTTGAGACCAGCCTGGCCAACACGGTGAAAACCCATCTCTACTAAAATTACAAAAATTAGCTGGGCACAGTGGCGTGCACCTGTAGTCCCGCCTACTCAAGAGGCTGAGGCAGGAGAATCGCTTGAACCCAAGAGGCAGAGGTTGCAGTGAGATCACAACATTGCACTCCAGGCTGGGCAACACAGCGAGACTGTCTCAAAAAACAAAAACAAAAACAAAAACAAAAACAAAACAAAACAAAACTCAACTCTAAATCCCTATCGGAAACTACTTCTTCTTCATGTGATGCTGGAGAATGCAGTGTCCATGAACATGGTTACTAAAGGCTTGAAAAATAATTACTTTTATCCAGAGTTATTTACTTTAATGCGTTATTGTTCTGTTCCTCGTTCCCCACTCCCCAACATGAGAGTCTTGATATTTTACTCTAAAAGTTTAAAGTATTATACACATGCGTCTTTTAATACAAAATGCTGCAAGTTCTTTTTGGAAGCAGGCAGGGGTTCATAAATAACAAATACAAGAAGTATTTCAAGAATGAACTAGGTGAGTTTGTAGATTTTTGCTGGATTGTCTGCAGTTTTATGATTTCAGCCTAGGAGACTTCCTGTTGGCTGTTTTCAGAAAACCAGGGACATAGCTTGAGGGCTGAGTTAATTCCGGTAGTTCATCTTCCAGTTAGATCTATTTTTCTGTCCCTCCATCAACAATAACTGCCCATCAGAGTAAGTAATGTTCTAAGCAAGGGTTCTTACATTGCTCTGTAAGTTTTGCTCTAGTGATCACTGCATATGAAGTAATCACATGATCACATTTAATATTCTGATGGTTTTATTAACAAGTATATAATATATATTGCATACTGTATATAGTATATGAGGACTGTACAGTACAAATTTATGTTCACAGTTTGACATGACAAAATGTCATTACTGAATTCCCATTGGACTACAGAGTAGAAACAGAGAAGGTACATTAAACATTCACATCTTTAGTAAGAAAGATTACCAAAATGTTTCAGTATCTGCAAGTATACTAATGCATGCTAAAAACCTTTACCCATTCAGTCTTATTAGCTTATAAAATATATTACACTTTATTAAAAATTTCTGCATAGTTTATACAAGTATTAAAGTACTGTAAATGTAATAATCCTGCTATATTTGCAGGTATGGTTTAAGAGATGCTAAGCAGAAAGATTATTTTGACCCTCTAACACTAAGTACATAACAGAAAAAAAAGTGCTAGTATTTGTAAAACAATATTGTTGTAGCCCTCGTTTAATGCATGTAAAGATGGCTTTGTAAATGTATTGTTTAGGTGAATTTGCGATCATTTAGCAATTGTTAACCTTGACCAAGAAGAGAATAAAGACAGCTCGGAGCAACTTCATGTATGACAGCAATTCCTTCAAGACAACTGTATATTTTCAAACCAAATTATTTTAAAACCTTAGATCTTTCAGATTGTCTTTACAACAATCTAATCAGGAATGATGCGCATATATACAGTATCAGCAAAATAGTCTTTCAAATTCCACATTAGTGCAATACTGATAGTGCAGATGGGTGTTTAATAAAATATACATATACATATATAGTTCCCCTGTAATTCTGTTCCAAGGCTCTTGAAACTTCTGTGTATTTAGCATCTCCCTAGTTGAATATAGCTATGCTGCTAACACATTCTCCAAACCAAGCAATTTAGAATGTTAATGCCCATTTATGATGTAGATTCACATAACTCTAAAATACGATGGATTCTGATTCTTCTGACTTCTCTAGGATGACACTTGGGTAACAACTGAAGAAACTCTATAACAAACAGAATTTACGTAATAGTAACTTCATGTTTACAAATCATTCTCATCAATTTAAAATATTGCGATTGAAATCACCATTGATAGTAACATGACACACATCATTAAAACATGTTCAAGGGCATCTAATCTTGTATTTGAGGTCTTCCACAATAACAGCTAAAAATGACTAAGAGGCTAAATTTCTCAACTATCATAGTAAAATACAAATATATATATAAGAAAAGTTTGGTAAGGGCCAATTGGTAATGAAAGCGTATTGACCAGCATGGGAATAGAGAATGGCCGCTCTGGGTTGCTTTTGTTCAGAGTTAAAACGGATCTTTGTTAAATGAACTGTTAACACAATCTAAGCAAGCTGAACAGTAATGTTAAGAGTCTTTGCAAGGTCTTGCTTCAAATCTTTTGAACAAAATTTAAATATGCCACAGCAAATGCATCAATTCCATGAGATGCCCATGAGGCTATTCACTGAACTCAGGCTCAAAGCTGATCCCAGATCAATCTGATCCTTTCTCGCCCTTTCCCCCACTTCTCTATGGATTGGAACACACATAAACTGGTTACCTCGGTCAAAACAAAAAGATTTTCCTTGCGTTCCATCTTGATTCTTGTGTGTTGTGAAAGAACCATCTCAAGAAATGAACACTTTGCCATGAATATGACTAAGCATTTACAATACAGACAATATCTACTTTTCAAAGAGCCATTTTATCACTCAATTCATGTCATAGTTGCAAAAAAGAAAAACTTCAGCTGAAAAAAAAATTATCTTTGCCTTTAGCTGAAAAACAAAACAAAACAAAAAAACAGCCCAATTAGGATGTTTTAGTATCCTAAAGAAGTTTTGCAGTGCTTTAAAAAAAGGAAAATCAAACCCAAGTGCCAAGATAACACATTTCTTTGCATTTCTTAACTACATTTCTTTACAGCTGGTTCACAGGGCGGATGAGTGGGACCTCTTAGCCTCTTAGGTGCACAGTCCCTACAACTTTTATTAACACAGTGCCATCAAAGCAAGCTCCCCACACAATTCACAGGCCTCCGGAATCACTCATTCACAGATGTTTTAAAAATGATCAAACAATGTATTCCTCCCAGTTAAAGTTGTGTTGGATCCTGAGTTGCGGCTGGGATGAATCTTCAGGATTTCATTCTTCTCTCTTCTCCTCCATTCTTGATGAAGGGGAATTTGGTTATATGCACCCACATTTAACTACTGTTGCTCACTTTCTTCAAATTCAGGACCAATGACATTTCTATGTATGAATTATTTTTATTGGCATTTAGACTATGGTGCTCAAAAGCCTGCTTTTGAATAACTTCCCCCAATAATGGTGCTATTTATCTTCAACATAAACACGAGCCATTATTTTCAGTTTGTTCTGACACTGAAATAGTGATAGGAAATTGCCAACTCTAACAGTAAACTTTTGGGAATTTTTGAGCTACATATATGAATCCCTGATCTGTGGTTTTCTATATTTTCTCATAAATTCCCAAAATAAAGGTATGTGTGCTTCACAACTAGTTATATTTACAAATAGTGTCACTCAGGTCTTAATTGAATCAATCCATTAAAGCATTAGCAGATGCTTTATGGTATGTGTCATGAATACAAATGACAGCCAATTTGGCACCTTAACAGCTCACACAGGAAGAGTTTCTGTATAAAAGCTATGTGATTAATTTGATAAGGGAATACAAGTACCACTCAACATTTCCCTGTTTACAAAAAAAGCTATAAGCAGATTGGGTAAAAGAAGAACCATCCATACTCTTACCCGAAAGATTTCTTACCATTACTGGGCAAATATTCCATGGAGTCCCTACTATCAATGTTTGATGATCTCATATTAAGGACATTGTAGGAATGGAGATAGTTGCATGGATAACCCCATCGGTATATGGCTTTGCAGCATGGTTCTACAAAGCTGAGTATGCACAGAGACTGAAGCTCTGGGAATGCTGCACACAGCTAACAAAATGTTGAAACCTCACTGACAACCCCTAGCCCAGGAGGAATTGCCTCTTCTGCTCCCCCTGCTAAATGGCCCTCTCCTCCGACTCCATGCTATGAAAACACAGCACCCTTCCCTTGAACTGCTACACATCACCCACCTAGATCGAAAGTTTGGGCTCATCTCCCATTGGTGGCAAAGACCTCCATATGAGCTGCAGGCACAAAGGAGGGCAAAGAACTCGATTCAGATGAAGTCTAAGATCCAGGTTGACAAGATTTGTGAAGAATGACGGAAGAGGTGACTGCACTAGCTTGAAATCTGGCTGTACTTCTAGCTAACCGGTGCAAGGGGCCACACTTGTTTTCACTGTCAAGCATAAAATATTATCACAGGGCAGAGGTAAGAATGTCTCTGGCAAGGACTAGCAGTCTGGATACTGTATTTCTAATACATTTACTCTGACATTCTTTTGAGGAATACATGGAGAACTGACAATTGGTTATGTTAGTTTACATGTTCCCTTGTTCTTATTACATTAAACGTATCTGTAAGAAGGGTTTGCTTAGCATCCCCAGAAAAAAAAAAAAAAGTGTTCACATTCTTTAGGTCTGACCCGTGGTAAGGAGAGGGAGGATTAGAGAACATCTACTACTGACCATATGGAAGTTTTGGATGATATAAATTCAGAGATTCAGACCAGCTGAATCAAATTAAAATGTACATGTAAAAAATGTGTTAGATAATGGGAGGCAGGACAGAGAGAGAGCCAGGTGAGTGGGGAGTCACGCTGAGGCAGGACACAGAGGCAATCAGACTAGCATGTGGCGTTTCCTATGGAGGGCAAGATGGTCAGAACGGGAGAAGCTGCGGTCACAGTCCGGGCACTGGAAAGGTTTGATTCCAGTATGTTTTCGGAAATGTCTTGTTAGTTCATCAGACCGAGCAAACTTCCATGTGCACCCTTCCCATGTACATTTGTAGGGTTTTTCTCCTGCAAAAGGAAAAAGAAAAGAGCTATTTTTTTTTTCTGTAAAGGTAGTAAAGATCTTTGAGTTAATGCTTGACAAATATTATTTCCAAGATATGTTCATACATTTGTTCTTCAATAACACAGTGCATTATAAACTACTGCAAGACAAGCAAGAAGAAAATGAACTAATACCGTAATGTTTCATTGGCTCTCTGCCAAAAAAACGGGAGGAGAATTTTAAGAGTTCTTAAAACACAGAGTCACTGAAATCCATTCTGAGGGACTACCAAATAGTGAATGAACACATGGTGATCTGTATTTGCACATCTCCCAAATCTTAAACCTGCTTGGGAGCTTAATTATATGCAGTGCTATTCATTTAATGAGATAATGAGAACTCCAAATTGAAAGTTTGTGGGATTTTCTTAAACTTTTCAATAGTTTTCCAAAAATATGAAGTCTCTAACAACTGAAGTATCTGTTAGGGATTAACATCTTATTTTCTTGTTTAGTCAATAACAATTAGGCCTAAGTATAATGCTTTAATTCAGGGGTACTAAAATATACGAATTCTTCCCCATCTGTCCTGAGCCAGGTTTTCACAACCCCCTCCTGTAGGATAAGGATCATTTACAGATGAGGAACAAAAGCTCCTTGTGAGAAAATGATGGGGAGAACCAGGATGAAGGGAGACCCTCACAAATAAAAAGGCTGTTATGGCAATCTTACCTTTTAAATTAGTCATAAGGGTCATGAGTATGACAAAATTAACTCCCATTTAACACCCTTTGTTCTCTAGAAGCCTTGAGGGATTACCATTCCTTGGCATTTGAATGAGATATGCAGGATTTCTATTATCTGCTTCCTGGTACAGAATACACACACAAAGAGGCGTTTTTTTTTTTTTTTTTTTTTTCCTACATCTAAACTGTCACCCAAATATTCAATGTCCTTTTAATTTTAGGCTGGAAGTGGGTAACATCCACCTCTTCGGTCCCACTAATGCCTCAAGGATGCCCTCAGTAATCATCGATTTGCACTGCTGTTTGGGCGTTGCTCTAGATACAAGGCTATCACCCTCAGCTCTCTCTGTGGGTGTTAGCTTCCTCTGCCTCCTCCCAGGATTCACTTAAAAACTTCACTTCCATTTTGCCACTTTCCTTCCCTTTTCTCTTCCAAACCTCAGATTCCTCTTTGTAAATTTTCTGAGTAAAAATGATTTGCAAGACTCAGAAAAGCAACCTACACTGCTAAGGAAAATGTACACAGATGCAAACTGCTGTCAAACTAGAATTCCACATCAAAGAGTTTGAGGTGAGATGAGCCTTACTGTACATACATCACCACTACTAATGGTCAATCAGGCTGTTAAAAGATGTCATTTTTAATATTTTTTAGAGACATGGCCTCCCTATGTTGCCCAGGCTGGACTTGAACTCCTGGGCTCAAACAATCCTCCTGCTTCCACCTCCCAAGGAGCTGGGACCACAGGTGCACGTCACTGCACCTGGCTGTTAAAACATTTTTGTATTATTTCCTTAAGATGTTTTACTACCAAAATGTTTGGCACTGAGACCAATTTCACATTTTTCTCGGCCATGTAATGACTTTTATATGATCTGGCTGCTCATGCTCTATATTCAGTATTGGGCGAGATGGAAGAAATCCTAGAACAAATATGGTAGGCAACGGCATAAGAGTTCCCTCAAGTTTAGAAGACAAATATTAACCACATTTCTTCACTTTTCTTTCCTTGAAGGACAGTCTTCTATTTGAATTGTTTGTGTTAAACTGTTGCATTAATTTGTGCTGCACAAAGACTGTTCGCTCTCATGAATTTACAATGCAGGTATGTGAAATAGCTCACAGGAAGGCCACATCCTTGACTGTGAAAGCACTTCCCCCATTCCAGCGGCGAAGGCTCCAACCCTTTCTCCCTCCTTTGCTAGAGAGCACAGAACTGCAAGTGATTGTGAGTGGCCTTGTTTTGGGGATTACTTTGAATCTATTCTAACTTATTACAAAGGCAAATCATTAGCAATATCTTCATTCTGCACAACTAATCTGGAGAAGACACATCTGGAGATGACTGTGGTGACTTTCAAGATGCCTGAAAACTTTGATCGTAACAACCTTTGCATTCCATTCTAATACTTCTTAAGAAGAAAGATGAAGTGGGTCTGGTGTTTCTATTACCTGTGTGTGTTCTTCTGTGTGCTTTCAAGTGGGAGCTTTTAGTGTACACTTTGTTGCATCCATCATAATCACATCTGTGTATCCTCCGCTTCCTTTGAGTATCCGGGGATTCCACAGGTAAAGGTCTCTTCCCAGGCTGCACGATGACCGAAGGGTGATTCCTGTGAAAGCCAAGGTTACAGGCCAAATGTTGAGAGCACGCTCTTCCTTTTTCATCAGTCTACTAAAAGCATTAACAACACTGGGCAAAAACAAACAAACAAAAAATCCCAACAAAATAAACAAAAAGAAATTAGCTGATCAACCCAAGAAGCACTGCTATATTCATTCAACAAACATTGAGTGAGCACCTACCATGAGCCAGGCACTGTGCTTGGCACCGGGACACAAAGATGAATAAAAACAGGGTTCCTGCCCTCGAGGAGCTCACACTCTAGGGGGAGACAGACATGGAGATAAGTAATGACAGTAAGAAGGGTTAAGTGCTATGCTAGAGGCAGGCACCAAGTGCTGGGGAGGCTCTTTTCCTCAGTCAACTTCTGCCTACTTATAGAATCTTGTGGTTCTAGGCAATGCTGAACACTATATTTTTTCACAGGCTGCTCTGATTTTCATTATTGTTGGCTAGGGAAAAATGGAAAAGATCAAACTCCTAAGTCTCAGGAAACCACATTGTAGGGTATATCTACGTTTTTATCCTTTATGTAATTGGCATTTAATTGGAGTCCCTTAGAGACTGCCAATTCATGTGCAATTTTCAAATGCCAGCTCTTCCAAAAAACAACAAAAAAGTTGGCATTGCTGTCTTCACAAACTCAAACCTCCACTGTCACTGTGATTCCTGTATGAGGGAGAATTTCAATGTAGTGTTGTGGTCACCCATGATGCTGGCTCACGTGGTGCCGGCTCCCCCATGGCATGCCTGACGTTCTCCCTACCTTCCTGATTTCTCTCTCATTCCTGAGTTTGCACCTTCCCTGGGTGGATTAGAAACCAAATCCTGTTAAAAATCTTACAATCTAAGCTTTTTTTCAGCAAGAAGGTGGTGGAGAGAAAAGGGAGATGGAGGAAGAGCTGGGAAAAGTCTGTTAAGTTCCTCAGGCTTCCCCTGCTGATTAATGTAAGTAATTATAATGTTCTAATCTGCTCATTCACTTTCCTAATGACTAATTACTTGATATATCACAAGTGTATGTCATTGGCCTCTAACTGTAATGAAAGACTTCTTTCTCTTTCATATTTGAATCTATAGCTCCTAAAATGTTCCATATAATACAGGAATATTTTGCCTAAGTGTTTGAGGAGAAAAAAGGTGTGTGAAAAGGAAAAAAAGAATTTGATGAGAGTAAACACTCTAACTCGTGAGCTTAAAAAAAGAATAAAAGAAATTTATCCATAAAAATCAAAAGGGAGTCTCTTGGTATAAAACTTGTCTTGGTAAATATTTGAATACACATCCCTTGTCAATCACTTTTTCAGGCATGCTAAGAAGTGACTAGAAAAAGAATAAAAGGTGTGTTTCTTAAGTGACCTTACTTCTCATGCTTTTTTTTTTTAAAAAAAACATTATTTATTTACTGCTCATGCTTTATTATGAGCAAAGGAAACTGTCAGTTTTGACTCTCACCTTCCTACTCTAATACCTGGAAGGGTGGTAGAGATGGATAAAATAGGCCAAGTTTAGATACATGGAAAAGTGAACATAAAGTAGTGAGGAGGGAGAAAAGAAAAATGACTTCAATTATATATATGTATATATATACACATATATATACACGTATATATATATGTATATATATGTACATATATATATACGTGTATATATATGTGTATATATATACATATATATATATGTGCAAACAGCAGAGAACACAGCAAAGTGAGAGGTTTACAGACAGAGTTTTTATAAGGCTGAATTATTCATTTAAAATCCTTCAATAGAAAGAAAAAAGTTCAGTTTATTTTTAACTTTCAGCTTTAATGCCATCTAATGAAAATATTTCATTTCCATTAAAAGAAATTCAGGAAATAAAGTGCTGGGGTAGAAATTTAATTATTAACTATAAAACTTTTATATGTCTTTGGGATACTGGGAGACTATCTTTTTCAGATAACTTTAGAAATCTCTCCCAATTATTGGATTTTATGGGTTGGGAATCTAATCGTTTCTGTGCAGTAATTCTGACTGCCCTTTCCAGTTGTTTATTTTACACATAAAGGTGCACCGAAAGGCTGTGGGCTCCAGTTACAAATCCAGCTCTGTCACTGACAGTCTCTGTGATCCTGGGCCAAGATCTCGCCCTCTCTGTGTCTTAGTTTCCTCTCTGTAAACTGGGGATGATAATAATGTTATCTCAGAAGGTTATATCTCGGAACAATGTCTGTTCCCAAGATAAAGCTATAAATGGTAGCCATGAATATTTTCAGGTTCAAAATAGTCTATTTGTAACTTTGTACCCTATGGTTGTTTAATTTCATGAGTTTTTTGAGGATGTCCCCAAACCAGGATATCTCTGCTTGAGCTGTGTCCCTCAAACATTCTGAGCACAGTTAACCTGCCGCATCTCTGAAGACGCTGATGTTGGTTCAGGCCAAGGCTAGATGAAGAGTCTTGGGATCTCACACTTTTTGGTCTCCACTCCCATTTTCAAAGAGATGGTTTGGGATTATTATAACCAAGAAGTTACAGAGCTAATACATATAAGATATCTTGTCCACTGTTTTGAGCTGAGACAGCCCCTCTTAAGTTTGCTATAATTCGCATACACAACTCAATAGGGAAATCTGATCCTTATGCTTTTTGTTCTAAATATAGTTTTGTATATTTAGAACAAAGAAATCTTTTTGTAAATCTGTAACAAATAGAATTTGATGTACCTTTGAGTGCCTTTATAAATAATCCTAAAGTTGCCACACCACAATCGAGCAAATGGATTTCAAAGCTGTACTTTTAAGTCTGCCTCTGGAAAGGAAGCGTTTCTTAAGGCAAATATTATTGGGGCTGCCTCACTGCAGTGGTACTGGGTGCCTAGTTTCAAGTGATTCTTTCCTGGCTAGCTGGTTTCCTACGTGGGCTGCTACTGGGCATACTCCAAGACGTTACTTAATCACATCTGTGAGAACATTACTTAAAGAGTACATGTCCCAGCTGTGGCTAATCTGTTGCGTTTTTTTGAGAAGCAGAATGTATTCTTAGGTCAGCATTAAAATAAGCATATTACTCATTAATCATTAAAAGCCACTGAGCTTGAGATCATCAAAAGAATATTACTTAAAATAAAAGTATTTTCTTTTGAGCAGCATTCAGAGCACAGAATATTGCCTTCAAATCTTCTTATGTAATGTTTTACGTTGCAACTCATAATAACCCAGACTTTGGAATAACACTTGTCCAGTCAACGGATCCCTCCCTTGGAGGCAGTTGGTTTTATTTAGTTTTATAGCATCTCTTTCATCACCCATGCAGGAACAACTATAAGTGCAGGCCACGTTGCTAGTTACCTTGCCAGAAACATCCCTCAACATAAAAAAAGAGTTAATTCCACCTCTAAGATGTGTCCATTTTGCCTAGTCATTTTTTCCTTTCACTTGAGTGCATGAGCAGATGCAATGGGTTGGATATGACAAGATGGCAGGAAAAGCCCTGATTCGGAAGCAGGAGATCAAGCCCAAGGCCCCTCAGTTGTTAGCAGGGTGAATATTGGCGAGTTATCTAATGTCTCAGGTAATCACTTTGCCTTTTGCTCCGACTCCCACAGGCTTGTTGTGGAGGAATAAAATAATTCCTTTGAAAACACCTGGGAAGGTTTTTTTTGAGGTAAGAGGGCACTATGCAATTGTGAGGAATAATGAAATATAACTCCATCAGAGACTCTCTCCCTACCTGCTGATGAAGTCGGCTAAGAGTTATTCTCTTCTTCATCTATTGGGGAGCATATGACAACCCAAACCAAAAATGACTATGATTGGGTGCAGTGGACAATTAATCCATGAGCTACTATGAAGGTACCTACCCAAGCTGAATGTGGATACAACTAGGATATATTTGAAGTTACCATAAAATAGTTATTCTAAAATCAGAGAATTCACATTCTGCTGTAGAGTTAATTGTGAGAGGGAGCGGGGTACAGGGGGTAGAGAAAATAAAGGAGAAAGGTGGGTAGAACATTTATTCAAGTTGGAGGAAAATGATGCAGGAGGACAATGGAAGGGACCCTGTGGAGGTAATCGTTGCCTTCGTACTAGGAAGCTGGCTGCTGAATCCAATGCTGAAGCACCATAACACAAGACAATCACAACTACAATCAATAATGAAAACAGAAATGGGGCAGCAAGATTAAGTGACTAGTCCAAGATCATACATATGGCAGAGAGCAGAGGTGGGATCCTTGTTGGACCCGAAAACCATCTTCTTAGCAACTACAAACCCAGCCTTCAGTGTAATCACTGGTGGAGGTCAAGGTTATCTACAGCAGGATCCCACAAATGAGGTTACTGAAGCTGTGTGTGGCAACTACCACATTATACCATGTTAGACCTACAAGAAACCACCATTCAGGTGCTTGGATGCTGACCAACACTGCACAGCCTTCCTACTGGATAGCAATTCTACAGGATACTATACACTCTGTAAGGACTATGTGTGTCCACATGAAAACTTTACATGATCCACAGAACACCAAGTTTAATCTATACAAGGATTCTCATAATGGAAAAACTAAGTATACATAGCCTGGAAGAATGGAAAAAAAACAAAAATAATTCATGTGGTAAGGTGCAAAATCATGGATGACTGATTCCATGAAAACTTGATGTAACTTTTGTCATAACGTTGTCAGTGTAACAGCATATTGTTTTTGGAGAGATTCTCCCATCTTGACCAGTGGTACTGGACCAGTGGCGGCCACAGATCACAAGCCGTTCCTGGTCATCCACACCACATCACACGTGTGAAATCTTGTGCTTCTGCTCCAGGTTCCAAGATGCACACTACTATGCAAATGCTGGGTAGACCTAAATATACTTACTCTTGCAACAATGCTTGCGGGGGGGACACTGAGTTCATTAAGGGGGGTGACATTTCTTCAGGATAATAATCTGTCCTCTGTGGTTCGATCCCAGGTTCTATTTTAATTTTTTTCTGTGATATAGGCTTCTCATATGATTCAATTACAGGTACTAAAAAATAAAAATAGAAAAGTCACTTCACGTACAGTTTACCAATTTCAGCTTTTAAAAGCTTACTGCATAGCTCCTACCTACAACACAGATATGACAGGTTTATTTGCCTTTGGCAGACTATAGCAGGAACAAATCTGTGGGAGATTCTCACCTCTCCTGACCATTATTTTGCCAGTAAGCAGCAAATATAGGGACCTAGATTATAAGACACCAGCCCTGAAATGATTCGTTCTTATAATTCTGGATTATTTCCTTTCAACCCCTTAGTCCTCTATGACCAGCTGATAAACAAGGTAGCTTTTGATCACCATTAGTTTTCACCACAATCAAAAAGGATTTATTAAATGCCTTTTGTACCTAGAACCATGTTGGTATTCAAGAAAGCAACATAAAGTCAAGATTCTTTCTATCCCCAAGTTGACCATTACATAGTGAAAGTAATCATGTCATGGTATCAAACAGACAGCCTGATTCTTGGGATCTCTTCCAGTATCAACACTTTGGGGGGGCGGGGGAAGGAAATGCCTTAGGCAGATGAGTATTTCCTTTGAAGAGTTCAACAGCTCTTGCCCCCATGCTTCCTCACCCACCCCATCTGGTGAAGCGCCAGTACGCTAAGCAAGTGCAGCAGCATGGAGCAGTGGCGGAATTTACCTTGCATGCTACTACTGGAATTTTCCATCTCCTCCGATAAGGAGACCATGAGAGGCTGCTGGAGGTGACTTGTGTACATAAAGGGGACGGGCTGCACCACCACCGGCTGGATGACGGGCAGGATCCCCGGGCTCCGTATTCCATGCCGCGAGAGGGCAGCTGCCATCACTGGTGGCATGGACAGCGGCACGCCGAAGGGCTGCACGCCTGGAGAAGGGGGTGAGTATTTTTTTATCGGTGGGCTGGAAGAAGGCATGCTCAACCCAGGCGAGGCTCTCCGGTGTGAGGACGGGAACTTCAGAGAGGAGGGCGAATTCCCAGCCGAAGGGGGTGAACTCCGCTTGTTCACCGTGAGGTCCACTGGCTCCATCTGTATTCCGTGCGACAGACCTTCTGGGGTCTGAAAGAACTTCTCAGGCAATGGTGTGGAGTAGATGACCCCATACTTGTTAGGCTTCATGGATTCCATGTAATTAGATGGGTATGACTATTAGAAAAGAAAAGGAAAACGTGTCAACAGCCAAATAAGTCCATTTACTTGAAACATGAATTAAGAAAAATATGCTAACAAGGCACTTAACAATTACATGGGCTTTACAAAATAGTTTAGATTTCGATATATATGTGACCTTAAAAAAATGCTCAAAGAGGTGGTCTCAACATTAAAAATGCTATGAGAGGCGGTCTCAAAAATATTAAAACTAAGATCAATGTGGTCACTACTGCAGATGAAAAATCTGAAATTTAATCCTAAGATGATTCCTGTGTCAAACA
The DNA here is from genome assembly GCF_000001405.40 of Homo sapiens. Classification (NCBI taxonomy): domain Eukaryota; kingdom Metazoa; phylum Chordata; class Mammalia; order Primates; family Hominidae; genus Homo; species Homo sapiens. The sequence continues at coordinate 38,688,297 of NC_000004.12, read as the reverse complement.
TTAAGGCCGATACCTGGCAAAATTCTAAGACAGGTGATAGCACAGGCTTGGGGGCCATTATCATTAGGAGTCAGAGGTGGGCATCACAAGAACCAGTCAAGCCAAACCAACCTGGTTGCTTTTCTGGTGGGGTTTCTTGATGAGCAGGAAATGCTCTCTAGCTTTGATGTCTAACTTCGGCAGGACAGCTCTTTCTCAGGATAAGTAGTGTCTTCAACTTCAGCAGGACATTGATTTCTCATCATACTTGTGTATAATAAGCAAGAATGGGGCTGCAGGATAGGCAGTACCTTTCATTTGATGGGCTTCAGCAGCTGTACAATCCATGCCTAGGACTGGCCAACAATCCTAGTCAGCGTGGAACTGTGCTAGTTTCAGCACTGAAAGTCCCACATCCCATGAAACTCTACAGTCTCAGGCAAACCAGGAGGGGGTCAGTCACCATACACACCTTTGTACTGAAGGCCACCCTCACTGCGGCAATGATGTCCCTGGCCCTAACTTGCTCAGTGTTCTTATTCAGAATCTGAATGAAGCTGTAGACTTGAATGGCAAGTCTGTGGATGACACGGAACTATAAGAAACAGCTAACGTGATATGACTCACATAAGGAAATGTGGAGCTCAAAGTCATTCACACAAGCTGAGGCCCTGTGTTCTCTCCTCTATACCCTGCTACCCACTCATCAAATGAGGCTGGGGCACAAACAAGGGAGTGCAGAAGAGACAGAAGAGTCTGTTTCCTTCCCAAGATCTGGTCCACAACTGACCTCATTTATCTTCAAACACCTTTCTCTCTTTAAATATCAGGATAACCTAACTTTCATCTGCCAGCTTTAAATACAAACCAGTCATCATAATTTCACACAATGGGCACTATCCTTGACCATGGAGTTCACCTAAATTACTTCTATTCCTTAACTAACATTTTGTTGTAAATTTTCTTTGTAGAATGCAACCTAATTTTTAATTTAAAAAAATTAAACTCAACATAAACCATCATCTTTACTAGGCATTTTAGGGAAACTGAAATTTTGCATGTCAAGCCTGCTTACCTGCAGAAAATTCTTTGTACTTGAATGTCTGACAGTGACAGTGATAAACAACATATTGTGCTTCTCTTCCAGCTCTAAAACCCTATGTGTTTAAGAGTTAGAGGCAATACTAACTTGGGATGCAACCAAGAAAACCCAATGGTGCCTTGTAATTAAACAGCGTAAATGCACTATTAATTTCTGGGTCTCCTTGGCCCCTCTGGTGGCCACTATTGTGAGTTATGACTGTGGGGCAGCAGTGGTTTTGATAGGGATTCCTACTGAGATCACCCTCTTTCCTCTCTGGGCTTGGTCTGGGCGAATCCTCGGCTGGTTATGCATTGGAATCATCTGTGTTGTTTTTAAAATTCCAGATGCCCAGTCCCTGCTCCAGGCCTGCAGAGCAGCCTGTTAGGGAGGAGTCAGTCAGTGAAACTTTATCACATAACTGTGTTTATCTTTATCTGGTTTGGATGTCAGGTCCTCATGGTTAAGATCAAGGTTATGGGATAACCTACACAACGAGCTTATACACATGCCATCCTGGAAATCCCTTCTTGTCCCTGCTTATACAAGAGATGCTCACTGTCACGGGCTCTACTGCTCCCAACCAGAGTTTCTCAAACTTTACTGTGCACATCCATCTCCCTGGAGCACTCGTTAAAATGCAAATTTTGAATTACCGGGGAGTGGACCAAGGGAACTTAGGCTACCTTTTGAATAGCAATGCTCTAAATGACAGAGATAAAAAATAAAGATACTAAAGGTCTATTTAAAGGAGGGAAAAAGAATTTTCTTTTCTTTTTTTTTTTTTTTTTTTTGAGATAGGGTCTCACTGTTACTCAGGCTGGAGTGCAGTGGTATGATCATAGCTCACTGCAGCCTCGACCTCCTGGGCTCATATGATTCTCCCAACTCAGCCTCCAGAGGAAGTGGAACTACAGGCACATGACACCACGCCTCGCTAATTTTTGTATTTTTTTGTAGAGACTGGGTTTTGTCATGTTGTCCAGGCTGGTCTCGTACTCTTGGGCTCAAGTGATCTGCCTGCCTCAACCTCCCAAAGTTCTAGGATTACAGACATGAGCCACCACGCGCAGCCAGTTTTCACTACTAATACTGCTTAAAAACAAGAACATGAAGGATATAAAATCAGAAAACACAAAATGCATAAAAACAGCTTTGAGTTATAGATCAAGGATCAAATGAAGAAAAGATTCTCTACCTTTCTTTAAAGCCAGGCACGCACAGTACCAACGCAAGAGATCCAAAAGATAGCAACATTAAGTATTAAATAGATTTAAATTTAAATATTAAGATGGGTATTATTAAAAGAGGCACAAGGTTCATTAACAACACAACAAAATAAATCCATTATAAATCATGTACACTGGAGGGTTTCAGGGAGTAATTAAATATAGGAAGGAGAATGATTTCGCCTAGTCCTAAAGTCTAATGTGCTTTATATAATTCTCCAAAGGGCAATGGTTCTGGTACTAGGAAAAAACTTTAGGAAATGGGAGGCAGCATTGTTTCTATTGACGAAAATGTAGCTTCTCCCTTATTTTCAGCCCTGTTCTTCCAAGACCTCCCTATGACCTAGATTTTAATGCCAATAGTTATTGGCAGCTAAATGGGAAGCAAAATGAGGACACAGTTTTATTGCTGTCATTGCTGGATTTTTCTATGCATGGGGTGAGTTTTGGGAGAGTAGGAATTTAGAACCTCCAGATTTGCAAATCTAATAATATTCTCAGGTTTCTCAAGCCATTAAGACAGAAAAAGCCACACATAAAGCTAAGCTTTATCAACATTATGCAGTTTGCTGATAAGTCTGTTCTCAAATGAATGCCCTCATTCCCTCTATTGGATGTGCGATTATTGTAAGGTACAAGACTAACTGTGGGGAGAGACACATTTGGACACAGACACCCAACTCTGGGCAGATAATTAACTGTTTCCAGCCCAACTGCCTCACAAAAGGGTGAAGACATGTGGTCCCTCAAGCTGGTTCACTTTATTTGGGTGGCACACACAAGCTTTTGCAATCAGCTTCCAACAATCTGGTGCCGTGTAGGGACTGACACGGCAGGGTGTGTGCTCTGGGCAGGTACAACCTGGTAACAGTCTTCCCCGCTCTGTTCCAGACAGTTCCTATGTTCTATCAAAGCAATGCATACAAGCACGGCTGTACTGGCCCCATATCCAAATCAGAGACAAATGTTGATGAAGCAAAAAATGTGCCTCTGGCCACGGATGGACCTCCAGTGCCCTCTGTGCATGCTGCTTAGTCCAAGAGACCCTGTGTCCTGGAACAGAGCAGTCCAAAGACAAGACACAGACATGGGTCTTTCCCGCTTCTGCCTCTGGCCCCCACTAGGGATCTTAAGGGCTTAAAACAATGGGCTGGGCCAGGCATGGTGGCTCACACTTTTAACTCCAGCACTTGGAGAGGCTGAGGCAGGAGGATATCTTAAGGCCGAGAGTTTGAGACCAGCCTGGGCAACATAATGAGATCCTGTCTCTACAGAAAAAAACAAAAATGTAGCGGGGCATGGTGGTGCTTGCTTGTAGTCCCAGCTACTGGGGAGGCTGAGGGAGGAGGATTGCTTGAACCCAGGCGTTTGAGGTTGCAGTGATCTTGCTACTGCATTCCAGCCTGGGCAACAGGGCAATACCTTGTCTCAAAACCAAAACCAAACCAAAAAAAAAAAAAAAAAAAACACAAAAAACCAAAACAAAAAAACCTCCACAAAACCACTGATCTGCTATAAGAGTTATTTCCGTCTGTAACATGTACTCAGATGTTCACACCCCTGCACAGTGTGCATTTACTTATTGACTGCTGCTTCTCACTGCACTGTGAGGTGATGAGGGCCTGCAATAGGTGCTCAATTAATACTTGATGAATGTGTAGTAAATTGACACACTCTCTTAGCAGGTTTTTATTACTGATAAGGTGAAGAATAATATACTAATTATTTTGAACTTTGAAAAAATGATTTTAATTGCAACAGGGAAAGAGGTACCATGTTTGGATAATTTCCCAAAGCTCTATCACTTTATGCTAAGGTGATAATTGCAATAGTTTCTCATTTTATGAGGAATAGTTTTGGCGAGCTTTCCATTATAAGACAGTTTCAGTGGACGGAATGACGGAAACATGGATGAAATCTCTATTTCACTATTCCTCAACATGAAAAAAAGTGAATGTCCATTACAGGTCAAGTCAAAAGAATCTTCATCCAAGAGAGGGTTCCAGGCACAGGAAGGCATGGTGCGTGTATAAACACACACTCTGGGAAGAGCAAATGGCATGCACCCCCATGCAAACAGAGGTAGAAAGCTCTCTTTCCACCAGGCTTGAAAAAGCCATGAAAAGTTTCTGTTAGAAAAGAGCAGAGGAAATTACTGATGTGACATACTTTCCTATCTATAAGGAGTCTGTTAGATGACTGAAGATAACAGAATATTATTAATCCTTTCTTCAAAAGTAATCTTTCCACAGGAATAGAAGAATACTTTTAAAGTTTGTTTTTTGATTTGTTTTGTTTTTTTACAATTTGTTTCCTTGCTCACTTCCTGAATTAAATCCTTTAATTTTCAATCTTTTGGGAAATGGTAAAAAAAAAAATTTATGTACATGCGCATTTTTTTACACACAGTTTCATATTTTATAATTTTTTCAAAAAAAAAAAACAGAAGCTCGGGGAGCTGCTGGTGATTTTGCCAACACTGGGTGGATGTAAGTAGCAGAGACTGAAGGCACAGACTTGGGGAGGGAGAGTCTCCTCTGTTCCTCATTCTAGCAAATTTTAACAGGGTGACCCCAAGCCTCAAAGCACAAGGCTAGTGGAGAACAGTATGAGGGCTTATATTTGATTAAGAGGGAAATGACATGTCCTCACTTTCTCTAACCTATAGCAAAAGCACAAACAAGCGATTGTTTCTGCTGTGCTATCCTTTTAGGGGGTGGGAAGAGGGGGAGAAATAAGTTACCATAAAATATTTTTATTCATCTATAGAAATTAAAAATACTTTTACAAATGTCCTATTGTGCCTTAATGTTTACAACGTTGACTTGAATAGCGAAAGACTTTTACCTTCAGATCAAAGACTGAATTAAAAAGAAAAAGGAATAATAAATTAGGTTCAATATACTTCACCTATGAAGGCAGGAAAGACGAAATTTGAACACTTAAGAGTGGAAACAAAAGCTTTTTAATTTGTTTAAGTAAAATCATTTTAACACCCCACTGCTCAAATGTTTCTGTTAACTGAGGTTGCACTGAATTAAGAAAAAAATACTTCCTGCTGAAGAAAGTTAAAACCAAAAAAAGAAAAAGAAAAAAAAACACCTTCATTTTAAAGGACTGACAGTAACTTTTGGTGAAACTAAATTCTAAAAGTGTCAGCTGCAGTTGAAATCTAGCACATGAAGGAGAAAAAGACCATTAACTGCAAAATCAGTTCTACATATTTTAACTTCATGTATTACTACGTTACAACAATACAAGTTTAACAGTTACTTCAAATTCATTTTATTCCACATTTTTTTTTTCGGTTAAGTGCATTTCCTTGCACTTAATTATATATATCACACCAATTTAGCAATGTGGATCTTCATTTTAGCTTTATATTAGACTCTTGAGCCTTATGTTCATGCTTGATTAAAAGCACTGGAGGTACATTGAACAGTAAAATGCCTCACTGATGGCTCTGCACCAATTGTAAAATGAATCATATTCTCCAGTGCTAAAAACCTATTCCTATTTCAAGAATATAACTAATGGGGAAATTTTATACCTTCATTTTCCTCTAACGTGATCATGTAGTGATGCCGGGGAGGGGGATTTGATGAATACAATGACAGCACTGAATAACATTCGAAGTAATTTAGTTTTTTGGCCAGGAGCGGTGGCTCATGCCTGTAATCCCAGCACTTTGGGAGGCTGAGGTGGGTGGATTATCTGAGGTCAGGAGTTCAAGACCAGCCTGGCCAACATGGTGAAACCTGGCCTATACTGAAAATACAAAAATTAGCCGGGCGTGGTGGCATGCGCCTGTAATCCCAGCTACTATGGTGGCTGAGGCAGGAGAATCACTTGAACCTGGGAGGCGGAGGTTGCAGTGAGCTGAGGTCACACCACTGCACTCCCGCCTAGGCGACAGAGTGAGACTCCATCTCAAAAAGTAATTTAGTTTTTTGATTAATAAAATCCTTATTGCTCAGTTGCTACCATATTCAGACACTTGGTTATTCAGTTATCATGCTGGAATGTAAATGTTATTTCCTTAAAGCCCCTCTGACTTAACTTGCATTATAGATACTGGTAAACACTTTACTGGCTTAGTAATATCCATGGCAACTCAGCTCCAAGGGCCTCGGCGTGACCCCCGTGTCTTGTATAAACATTTTTGGCAGGAACCTCCAGAGCCCATGCACAAGGATGATCTAATTTTGCAAGCGTGTCATTACCAACCTTCAGATACACACCTCGGGCCAAGTTTTCCCCCTTGTGAATATTTTCCAAGCCCGTGGAAGAAAAGAGCAAGACAGAGTGGGAGCATTGCCTTGTTATTCAATATTCACTCAACCAGAATCCTCAAGTTGAAACCACTCCCTGCTCTGAAGTCAGACACCTTCCTCTGTCACCATGTCTCACCTTCATGGCACTGGTGTTGTACCTGCAGAAACCCCAGACTCCTCACTAGTCCCTGGCGGCCTAAAAGCAGCCAGTGGCCTGGCTCCCATGAGGGGCTGGCTTAGCGCTAAGGTGCTGAAAAGGACAATGAACGTAATTCCTACCCAGCCAGACTCTTCCAAGTAAACGAGATTCCGTCCTCACTGCCAAGTCTTTCTCTCGCTGGCTTCCCTCAGTCATCTCATATAGTTACAGCTCCATATGGCTGTTGTCATTGGTTTTTAAGCAAATCATCCTATTCTTAATATATTTTTACACACAAAAGGGCTGAGGAATTTTTGTAAACTTACTTCTGTCATGAGAGGATTCACCTGTGGCCTAAGTTCTATGCTGATCATATCTTAGGGGGACACCGGGCACGGGTCTTAAGGAAGCGCAGATCCCATTTAAAGGATCCACAGCTGCTAGGACAGTATTTAGCTCACTCATACCTGGTGGCGTTGAGAAAAGTTTGCCTATGAAATGCCTGTCAAGCAATGAGTGATTTTTTTTTTTTTTTTGAGACGGACTTTCGCTCTTGTTGCCCAGGCTGGAGTGCAATGGTGCGATCTCTGCTATCTCGGCTCACTGTAACCTACATCTCCCGGGTTCAAGCGACTCTCCTGCCTCAGCCTCCCGAGTAGCTGGGATTACAGGCATGTGCCACCACGCCCGGCTAATTTGGTATTTTTAGTAGAGACGGGGTTTCTTCATGTTGGTCAGGCTGGTCTCAAACTCCCGACCTCAGGTGATCCTCCCGCCTCGGTCTCCCAAAGTGCTGGGATTACAGGCGTGAGCCACCACGCCCGGCCATGATTTCAAGGAATAATTCAACACACAATAATGTTATCATCACTTGGAAAAAATAAGGCGAGGTGTTCAATCTTGGAAAACTTACCACTGAGACAGGGTCCATGGCCTCTTGCTTGACAGGAACTGGGTCAAACATGAGCATTCTTTTAGTTAAACCTTCTAGGGTGCTCTGGTGTTTGGCCTAGAAAACAAAACAAGGTATCCATCTAAGTCTCAAGGTTACTTTAAATACAAACTAGTAAAAATAAAATATAGCCTGGGCAAGGTGGCTCACCCCTGTAATCCCAGCACTTTGAGAGGCTGAGGCAGACGGATCGCCTGAGGTCAGGAGTTCAAGACCAGCCTGGCCAACATGGTGAAACCCCGTCTCCACTAAAAATGCAAAAATTAGCTGGGCGTGATGGCACTCGTCTATAATCCCAGCTACTCGGAAGGCTGAGGCAGGAGAATCGCTTGAACCCAGGAGGCGGAGGTTGCAGTGAGCCGAAATGGCACCGCTGCACTCCAGCCTGGGTGATGGAGCGAGGCACTACCTCAAAAAAAAAACATAAATAAATAAATAATAAAATGAAATATAATACCTCACCCCACTTCTCTACTCCTTTTTCTCCCCTACCCCTGGAATGGCTGGAATTTGTTTCCCTTACCTATGAAAGATGCCATTTACATAATTAAAACCAGACTCCATGGTCATAACCAGATGAGAGCCAACCAGCATTTCTAACTCAATACAGAAACCCTGACTTTTCTGGAACACTATGTACAGCCCCTTCTGAGCGCCAAAGCTTGCTTGGGATTGCCGTGCAACTCTTTAGGGGTTCAGATTACATATGACCGTTAAACACCTTCCCTTTTCCCCGATGTTGGTCGCAGAAAAATTAGGGGAAAAAAAGACGAGCAAAAAGAAAACCTAGAACCAACCATCATTAAAATTTCATTTTTATTCTAACAAACCCTCTTTAAAACTGGGCTCATAGTGTACATGGTATTTAGTACCTATCATTTCACTGAACAATTTATGTGAAAATGTTTCTTTTACAGTAAGTATGGTTCTGCACCAAGTATGGTTCTGCACCATCAAATCCCCCGTGCCACTGTGTGAACACATCAGTTTACTTAACTTCTTCCTCTTTATTAGGCACTTAGGGTTGCTTCTAAGTTTTCGCCATTACGAACAGCAATGAGCCTCTTTAAATATATCCTCCTGCACACCATTAATTTTTAGGATAAGTTTTCTGTAGGGGAATTCCTGGGTGAGAAGTATATACATTTCCCAAAGCGCCTGATGCCATCACCTGGCAAAGACGAACTATTATTTTCATTAATAAAATACAACCTGTTTCCCCAAACCTCCACCAGCAACATGTGTTATCACTTGTGTTATAAAAGATAAACACCTTGCCAACTTGTTAAGTCTCAAGATGGCAAATGATTTTTATTCTAAATTGATTTGGTTATTGAAGTTATTTTTTTTCAGCTCTATTGACCATTTGGATTTCTTCTTTTGAGAAATGCCTACTTAGGGCTTGACAGCCTCCACCACTTCTTATTGTTTTCTAAGCACTTTTCACATATGAAGAATATTAGCTTGTTTTCACTCAGATTTCTCCTCATTAGGAAATGAGCCTATTGTAAAGGAAATGTCCACCTTGATCCTGTCCTGTCTTTTTCTTCTGTTGTTCTCTGCTTGCCATCCCTTCTATTTTCTTCTGTGTTCTGTACAGTCCACTTCTAACACTAATCTACATCAAGCCAACTGCTTCTTCACAGGACAAAATATTCAGTCTGCTCAATGTTCAAATGTGTCTCCTCAGTTACAGAAACACTGTCCTGCTACTAGACACACTTTCAGAAATCGACTTCAGGCACTCATTAGCCAAATTTGGTTTAAGTGCTCAGTGCTTTGGTTAGAGGTAAGGTCTTCATAGATCACCCTGGTTTGAGTGGCAAAGTGAACAAGTTCTAGAGTGAGTTCCAGCTGAAGAAGCTGCAGGAATCCCGGGTTCTGGATTCCTTCTTGTATTTCAGTGTTAAAAACCCCCATCCCCACCTCCATGATAGCAATCCTATAATTTGTTGTGTTGGTGCTCTACGGGTTATACTAAGATATCTTCATATACAATGATGGAAGTGATACTATGTCGTTCTTGTGCTTCGTTGATTCATTGAAGAAAGCCTGTTTTGAATCTCATGACAACACACGAATTTCATCAATAACTCGACATAAGGCCTTGACTTCAAAATTATATTTTCCTCCATCACAGGGTGTATTGTAATCTGCAAACACAATTTGATACCAAGCTGCTCAAATCAATAGTGCTACTACCCTCTTATGTATTCCAGCAAGAACTAACCGCAACAGCCAGTGAAAAATAGATGATTTCGTAATGAGGGATGAAAACGCTTTTGTGTCTTGGGATCTATTATTAAGCAGTTCCCAGACTAGCAGCTGTACGGATGAACATGGTTCTAAGAATTGTTGTCCAGTGCCTCACAGTGGACCATAAACAAAAGATGTGAGATCTCCTGCTTACATCAATGAGGTCAGATCATTTAGCAGCCCTGACTCACGGCTGGTCACCCTGTGGCAGCCTCCCACCTCCTCACCCCCAGCTTTTTACACTGAATTCACTCTTCCAGACTCATCTATCCCACTAGAGAGTATCTTGATGCAAATGCTTCTAAATTAAAGCATTCACATTCTCAGGTGTATAAGGAAGGAGCCATGGTTTTGAGACTCAAGCAGGCTGCAAACTAACGCAGCCATGGGGCAAGAGTGATCATTTGTAAAATGCAGAGCATGGCTCCCTATCTGCTTCTCAAGGATTTAGGTCTATCAAGTGAGATTAAAACACACACACACACACACACACACACACACACACACACTCCTTTTGCCCTCATTTATATCCATATGCACATAAAATCTGGATGTATATTCTGTACACACAACACTAAATGTGTTGGTTCCAACTTCCGGAGCAAAAATGTCTGGCGTTTGCCTCTTTGCTAACATACACTAGCCTTAGAGGTCTATCCCCCACCCTTAAATAAAACTCTGACTAGATTCAGTTTCAAAGTTAACAGCTGCCTACATCCTGTATGAGGTCTCATATAAGGCCTTGTCACTTCACAACTGTACCACTGCAACAACAGCTTCTGAGCGAGGCCAGCATCTCCCCACTTCATGTCATCCTGCACGCTTTACGACCACTAATTGCAGCACAGCAGAATAAATTAAGATGATGGGCTCTGGAGTTCCTTTTCGTTCAAATTCTAAGTCTACCATTTAGCTCACATAGCTTTCAATGACTTTGTCTAATGCCCACAGCAACGACTACTGAATCCTTTTAGAAATGAATTACACATTAATGTGCTACATCTTTTTATCATTAAGACATTATTTAAATCACTATTGTTCTTTAATTTTTTGTTTTATCTAAGTTTAAGGAAATGCAAGACTTGTAATCCTAAGAGAAACATAGTCTAGTATAAAACGCTGGCACTGACTGGGCGTGGTGGCTCATGCCTGTAATTCCAGCACTTTGGGAGGCCGAGGCGGGTGGATCACTGAGGATAGGAGATTGAGACCAGCCTTGCCGACGTGGTGAAACCCCGTTTCTACTAAACATACAACAAATTAGCCAGGTGTGGTGGCGCACACCTGCAATCCCAGCTATTCGGGAGGCTGAGGCAGTATAATCGCTTGAACCCAGCAGGCGGAGGTTGCAGTGAGCCCAAATAGCACCACTGCACTCAGCTTGGGCAACAAAAGCGAAACTCTGGTCTCAAAAAAAAAAAAAAAAAAAAACACACTGGCACTAACAGAACCTGATTTGCTTTTACTAAAAAATAATTACAAGGGTATGTTTATTTGCCCAGAAATGTACCTCAAAGTAATCCAAATGTTGATGAAGGGATGTTCTCATTACAGAAGTATTTAAGTTAATAAACAAAGAAGGAATGATAGGATTAGAATACCTATTTTTGAAATTCCTAACTAAATAATGCATCCCTGGACATTAAAAAAAAAGTCCGTGCAAAATTCAAATATCACAAAGAATAGAATCAAACTCACTATTTCACATGTCTACAAGCACTTTGTTTCCAATTTGGTAGCTTCTGATAATAGCTTTTAAATGATGATGCTTTTAGTGATAGTCACAGGATATAAAACAAGAAGATAAAGGACATGCAAAGAAAACGTCTGGAACCACACACCCGAAACTGTTAACAGGAGCTTCTTGGGAGTGGCGGTGGGTGGGACAGCTTTCTACACATCTGTGTTCTATTTTTAAAGTTTATTATTTATATGTATTTTTATTTTGAGATGGAGTCCCACTCTGTCACCCAGGCTGGAGTGCAGTGGAACGATCTCGGCTCACTGCAACCTCTGCCTCCTGGGTTCAAGGGATTCTTCTGCCTCAGCCTCCAGAGTAGCTGGGATTACAGGCATGCACCACCACTCCTGGCTTAGTTTTATACTTTTAGTAGAGACGGGGTTTCACCATGTTGGCTAGGCTGGTCTCGAACTCCTGACCTCAAGTGATCTGCCTGCCTCAGCCTCCCAAAGTGCTGGGATTACAGGTGTAAGCCACTACACCCGGCCAAGTTTATTATTTCCATAATCAAAACTTTTAACAAAGACAAGATAGGGAAGCCAAGCTAGGAAGGAACTAAATTTAGAAACAGAATCAAACACATGAACAGAAATGAGGCTTCTGTTTATGTATTTGCAAAAAATTTCTATACTTTGCACCCATATCTCTGACTACAGGGACCACTTTTGTCATTGGTACTAATTTGTTTACAGGTTCTGATCTACAATCATAAAAGAGTGACTGTACAGTCTTCAAAGTGCCTTCCACATAACTGAGAAGTAACTTAAGCCCTGGAAGAATTAGGGTCCCTAAACTTGGCAGTCTTTGGTACCCATGGGCGGCTCAGTGCACTGGGGTTATTACCATTCTGAAAGAATGCTAAGTAAACCACAAATGCTTAGAAAATCTATCATACAGTACTGACGGCAATCTGAAGCAGAACCAGTAGGTGGCGCACTAAAACAGGCATTAGAGACCAGGACACCGGCAGTAAATCAATCCAGTTGGCCAACCTCGGGGTCTTTAAACCTAGTGGGTTTTAACCAGGCTCAGGAATTCTATTAATCATTTTATGTGGGTATCACAGAGAAGAGGAGGCTCTAAATGTGGTTCTATTTTTTTCTGACGACTATTTTCCAATCATAAACACATTTACATCTTCATTATATTTAACTAGCTTAGCTAGCTTTAGAAATACATTAGCTAGTCTTAGAAATACATTCTAATGCTAAACTAAGCAATACCAGGATAACAAAACTGCATCCAAAAGGGGGGGGAAGGGCAAAATTGTTTTTATGAAAAATTCTAAGTTATTGAGGTGCTTAAAAGCAAAAATATACAGGAACATCACCACCGCCAAAATAATTTTCCATAACTGGAGCAAATGCCATCTTCCCCAGCTGTGTTATTTTGCAGAGAAAGGCCAATAAAAATGAATGGTCCTCAAAAAGGAGAAACAGATTTCCCTTCATGCTCTTTCCACCTGCACTTCTGACTTTTCAGATGTTAAAATAAGGGTCAAATTTCTGTCAAAATGCAAGACTGCGTGATTATAGATTAAAAGGGTTGGTGAATCATTGACATGAAGTTTCAGAAGTAATGCAGTCCTGCTTTGGAGCCCTATCCAGTGGTGTCTGAGACCTATGCACAATGGCTTTATGGAGTGGGGAGCGGGGCTGCAGGTGAGCTGCAGGGCTTAGAAACACACACACAGTCCTTCATGGAAGACGAGGTTAGGGGGTTACTAAACCTCCTCTGAAAGCAGCTTGCCTGGAGGCTAGAGCATGATTTATTACAGAAACGACCTTACAGACAACTGCCTGCCCCTTCCTGAGGGAGGAGGAAGGTGGAGAGAGAATGTGTACGTATCAGGAGCAGTTTCCTGTTTCTTGGGGTTAGAGCAAGACCTGCCTCTGACGTTCTCCCTTCTCATCTCCCTATTTCTTCCTTTCTCCATGCCCTCATTTCTTCCCACAGATCCTCAAAGGGTGCCTGCATTATCTTCCCCAACCCAGGACTGACCCCGAGGCTCCAAATCACCTGCCTTCCTCCAAGCAAACTTCCGTCTCCCAGCTGACCTCGGCTAGGCATACGGAGCAATACACTAACACACCATCGCTAAGCCTCCCTTTCAACTCTTCTAAGTTTTTGGATTTTTCAAAGAGAAAACATGTTATCTTCCCCTACCCTTACTCCCCAAAGGAACTTAAGGCAAAAAAAGAAAAAAAAAAAAGGCGGTGTGTGCATGTGTGTGTGTAATTCTTGGCTAGGAAAACTGGGCAGGCAAGCAACATCCCTGTAGCTAAACTTCCTTTCCAGAGAAACTTTTCTCTCTTCGTTTCTTTACCCAAATTCTTCAAAATCCCCCAATGGCTCAAGTATTATTTAAGGACAGTTGCCCTAGCCAGAAATACAGGGGACAGGCAACAGATGTCAGCAGGCATTTTTAAGCTGGAGGCTCCCTGAAACAAAGCTAAGCACTGGCACCTACCTGGAATTTCCTACCTAGACATTCTTGGAAATTTTCATGCCACTCTGTGATTTTCACCTGTCCTACTCTTCTATGACTGGTTTGAAAAGGAGAAAAATTCCATGGGGTGTTTCTAAATCTTCGCCCCTCATGAATTAGTTATTTTGCATTAATGTGTATTATAAATGGGAAAGAAGTTAATTATTTCATTTCAGATGAAATATAATGATCCAGTGAGCAAACAACCCACCCTCTCTCCTCTCTCTGCTAACAAGCCACCCAATTTTACTTTCCTGCCTCCACCCATCTGCTCCACCCTATGGAGAGTTGCCAAGGCAAGTCCAACTTGTCCAAACAGGACATGGCTTCAGATAAGATTCTGCCCACACCCTGTACTTCGGAAAGACCAAGTGAAGCAATTGATTTTGCATGTCAATAAGGACAGGTGCAAAGGTAACAACCAAGCAGAAGCCTGACAAGTTTCCAAACTGAGGCCTAGCAAAGCAGGGCTGGGGGCGGGGACACCCACACCTATGCTACCCTCTAAGTTCAAGGCCATCTGGCTAGTGGCATTCCACACCCTTCTTAGAGAAACTGCAGCAAACTCGAATCATTTTCCCTACTAGGGTTACACACTTGTTTATGCTCTCTGACAATTTTGTGTTTTAGTTTTAAGGGCAGGCAACCCAAGATAAATTGAAAAATACCCATAATGTCTAATCCTGCTGTGTACATATCTCACAAGGCCTCGCCTAAGCCCTCACAATTCTCCTCTATGAAGTGTTATATAATCAAATCCAGAAGGGCTGCGTGAGGCCACACTGCCTCTCATCTGCCTCTGCTCAGTGCCCTCCCTATCACTGGAGACCCACCCAACTCCACCCTAAGGAGCCTCCACCCATGGGGCCCCACCCTGCAGGGAGTGGGAGGTTGGGAGGGACCAGTTGGCGCTGGGCAGCAGCCAGTTCCTGGAAATTCCGGCCTGAACAGGGATGGTTAGAATCTTAAAAATAACCAGAAGGAACCATGGGGCTGTGATCATTCCTCTGCTCCTGAGGATTCTCCACTGAAGTTCCTCCCAGAGAGCCACTGAAACTTTGGATACAAAACCATGAGCGAAGCCTACCCTCTCCCTTTAAAAATAAGCAGAAAAGAAAGAGAAAAGCATTTTGAACCACTGCTATCAACGTGGCCCAAACCAACCCTACCCCTCCTTGTTCCTGCCTCTAAGGCTGCCCCCTCCCCGCCTCCCATTGGCCTTATTTTCTGGTCCTTCACCATGGAAACCTAGAGGCCATCTCTGAAGCCTTCCTCACCTCCTTTGCTCTCCCCTCCTGCCTTGGGGGCCAGGCCCTCAGCGCCTCCCACCTGCATTGCTGCAGCTTTTCCACCACTGGTCTCCCTCAGCCTCTCCAGTCCAGCCCTCACCCCTTGCCACCCACGTTTTTCACAGATCTCTTCTCATCCCATCCTTCTCCAGCTCACAACCTTCCCTCCCGTGCACTCCCCGGGTCTGACAGTGGGCTCAGGCACCCATGCTTGGCACCCCGTTACCCACGAGCTGCCCCCTGCTCCAACAAGTGCCCTTCATGCCGGCTGCCCTGCCCACCCCCAGGCCTTTGTTCATTTTTGGCCCTGATGCTGGGCAACCGGCAATGGAATGCCCCCTCCCCTTCCGGCTTATCTAAATCCCCCTAATTCTTCAAAGACCAGCTCAAGGCCCTCCCCACTCTGTGCAGCCAGCTGATTGCTCCCTGGGGGATCCAAGGCCGCCTCTTCTTACCTAGATAGTCTAGGCCTCTTAGCTTTCCCAGTGGTGCGTCCCACACCGCCACCAGTACTGGGAAGGACAGACAGGCAGGCCTCAGCCTTCCTGAGAGGGCTCCCTCCCCACTCCCCACAGGAGATCGGGCTTGTTCCCTGAATGAAGTTTTTATGTCAAGCCTAAGGAGCTAACATAAGAGCACTTAGCTTATAGTAGGAGTTCCACAATCATCTCCCTTTCCCTCTGAATGCACTTGAAATCTCCCTTAAACAAGTAATAGGGATGAAGGGCCTAACTCTAAGGGAGACCTAGTAAACCAAACTTCCTAAGGAAAAGTTATTGCCCCTAACCTTAGCCTGGCCCATCATGTGTACTCCAGAGACCTTATTAGTACCATCTTCAAATAATTTATTATTATCCACTCAGTGAGGTCTTCTAAACAAGTCTAGTGTCGAGGTCTCTACTGTACTTTAAAATCTAAAATAGAAAAAAGAAAGCGAGAAAGGGAGGAGAGGAGGCAGGTGGGGGGGAACTGCAAGGGGAAGGGGTGTGTGCACAAACACAGGTTTTTGAAAAGGGATCAAGGAAGGCAAGGGGCTAAGTGATGTCACAGGTTTCCTGCCAATCACCACCACCTTCGTGATTGGCAATCCCCAGGCGCTGTTTAATGTCAATGAGGTGGTTACTACCTTCCCGTTTTACTGAAAAGAACACTGAAACAGAGAGGTCAAGTAACCTGCCTAACATCACACAGCTGCTAACTCGTAGAGCCAGGACTTGAACCCAAGGTAGTCTGACTTAAGACTGGTGGCCTTGGCACACCACTCTTCCACCTCCCCAGGCAGAGGACAACATTACACCACCAACAGTAAGTACATGATAGTGATTTCTGTGAACAGGTTGGTCCCCGGAGAAGACAGAACGTGGGGACAGTCTGTTTACATTAGTGACAGTTTCCACTCCTTCCAACTGGCCCCTGCTGCCCACCCTGTCTCAGTACGCACACTTGGATGCAAGATCAAAAGACACATTCTGAAGGCCCCAAATTAGGCAATTATTCTTCCTAGCCAGTGCACCTGCATTGTCGATATAACTGCTGAGAAAAATTGGCAGCTTGACCCAAGTAAATACGGAAATCCTCATAATAACTGCACAAAGGTGGAAGGGTCAGGTCCTCATCCCCATTTTAGAAATGAGGAAATGGAGGAACAGAGGTGAAATGACTCGCCCAATTTCACAGAGCTGGTTGGAGCTGCAGCCAGGAACAGAAGCGTGTCTGCCTGCAGACCCGGGCACTTTCTGTTCTGCTTCAGAGCCTGTGCTGTGGGACCGACTTTTAGGTAAAATCGCCTAATGCTGGGGTCTTTCCCCAGTAGGGAGGGTGTGGGTGTGCACAGCCACACTGGCCCATGGGAAGCAGTGCCAGGGGGAGGTTCCAGCAGGCAATTAAGATTTCAAAATGCCTTTTCAGGTTAGATCACTGTAGATCTACTCCATCCTATGGCATAACTCAGAGTAATGATTGCACATAATTTGAGATTAGCTCTAATAAGTAGGTACTCAATAAATACTTGTGAGATGAATAAATGAATGGATGTCAAACTACACTTCTCACATGCTAGGATAAATTAAGGGCAAGGGCCCTGGAATGATGGTACACCAGGTGTCCTACATGGAAACTCTGTCCAGCGGCTGGTGAAGCCAGCCTGAAACCTCATCTTCTAAAATGCAAAGTAAATGTGAAAACTTTGGGAGCCTGGGAGAGAAAAACTCCCTGGTTTGGAAACTCAGCGGAACAGGAACTCGATCTTACAAATGAAAGAGGCTTTGGAGTGTGAAGCTTTGGAAGGTACCAGGGATGCAAAGTACAGGAACAGATAAAGGAGTGGATTTCAGTGATTACACTTAAACAACAGTGGTAGTAGAAAGAACAGCATATAGGCCAGAGAAAAAACCCCACACTTGATTTGCAGGTCGCTCTCCAGGGCAGAATCCGCTGACCTCAATACTCATTTGATCTCTTATGTCCAGATTTGGCCAAACTCCACTGATTTGGGTTGAGACTAGCTCTGGGCCATCCCTGGCAGGATCCACAAGCCTTCCAGAGACTGGCAACCATCCTGAGGATGTCCCAGACTAAGCAGGGCAATTCTGGGTCCTCCTGCAAAGGGTCTGCCTCAGGGAGCGCCCCCTTACAGGAAACAGGGTAAGAGCCAGACCCAGGGGTTACATGAAATGCATGGGCTAGAGGGCCACTTAACTTGCTCTCTTCTGTCTCCAGCCCTTCTAAATAATTAGATGGAGAAATGATAATGAATTCAGCCTGCCGACACAATGGAGTGAGTTTCAAAAACCTCCAGGAGCCTGTTTTGCTAAAGAAACAATTTTACTACAAACTCTCTGGCCAACGGATACAAAATGCACAGATCATTTTTTTATTTTCTTACTGTTCCAGAGAATATGGTCACATTCATTACAGAATAAGGACAAGGCCAGTTAAGAGGACATCTTTTTTTTTTTTTTTTTTTTTTTTTTTTTTGAGACAGAGTCTCACTCTTGTTGCCCAGGCTGCAGTGCAGTGGCACAATCTCGGCTCACTGCAACCTCCACCTCCCAGGTTCAGGCAATTCTCCTGCCTCAGCCTCCTGAGTAGCTGGGATTACAGGCGCCCACCACCACGCCCGGATAATTTTTGTACTTTTAGTAAAGATGGGGTTTTGCCATGTTGGCTAGGCTGGTCTCGAACTCCTGACCTCAGGTGATCCACCCACTTCGGCCTCCCAAAGTGCTGAAATTACAGGTGTGAGCCACCGCGCCCGGCCGAGGACACTATTTTTTTGCTTTGGAAGAAATGAATCCTAGTTTTGGTTCAGAAACTGTCAACAGCATTGTGCCTCTTCTATGACTACTAAATTTCAAGCAAAGAGAGCTGAGTTGGGGGTAAAAGCAGGGCTATTCCCCGCCTTCAGACAATGCTGTCCCTTATCAGGGCAGACTGCTGTCTGGTTTCCTGTCTCCAGCTCGGGCATGACTGCTTAAGATGAGAAACATGGTCTAAGAAAGGAACAGAGTGGTCTTGAAAATGAGAATGCTAGCGACCACCATAACCCTCTTCCAACTCACTCCCAAGAGGAATTCTGACTAGAATATCACATACTAGCAAACTAGATATCAATTGTTTTAAGATTCTAGGGATTTGCTTTTTTAAAAAGCTAGAACCAATGATAAATGATGCACTTCAGAAAGAATCCAAGTTCCAGAATAATGTAATTGTAATTCCTAGTACCTTAAAGAATGAGGTTGTGTGTATTTTATTTTTCTTAAACTCAACTGGGTGTGAAAACAGAGAACAAGAAATGCTGCCTAAGAAATCTGTCGTTTTATAGCAAAAATGTTGATTTGAAAATATTAAGAAGGCAAGTATCTCAAGGGGCGATGGAGACACAATGAAATTAAATTAGGAATCATGATTTATATGGTTAAGAAATTAAAACTCTTGTTCCCATCTTTCTGGTAATCATAGCAACTATAAGATAGGATAATTTTCCCCAACTATTCAGCTTAGCATTTAGAAGCTTGCAGAATTTTTTTCTGATAGAATATATTAGACCCTAATTATCTCTATTAACCACTTCATCTCCCTGCAAAAGAGAGAAGAAAGAATTTGGGGAAAGCCAAATAAAGACTCTGTTTACCAAACCTAGTTAGATTGTTAACAACTTTGGAACCAAAACAAACAAAAAAACCTGCTTCGATTGGAGTTACTTATGAATTTTAAGCTTAAAAGTCTCTTGTCCTACAGGTCAGCTAAGTATTTCCAGCTGCTTTTCCCAAAGGAGAAAGAAGTTATTGGGACTTCTAAAACTCCCAGCTTTTTTCATAGAAGGTTATCAGTAGCCAACTATTTGATACTAATAACTCTCTTAATATCATATTTTATATTTTCCATTTATACATAAAGAATGTGGTGGAATGTGACATTTAAAACGCACCATTATCATCAATTTTGGGGAGAAGAGAGCCTGATTTGCTGCTTCAGCAACTCTTTAAATTAATTCCACAGAGATGCTGTAGATGATTCCTTTTGATTAAAAAAAAAAAATCCCCAAGTAAGTTTACAAAAGCACTTTCCAAAACTTTTCTTTTTCAAGCAAATATTTCCTTAAATCTTAGTTTCTCAAGAACCAACAGAAAACTAATATTAAGGCAGGTCTTAAATAGTTATCCTAGAAATTCATTAACCCACAACTGATAGAATATTTTTAAAAAATGAAAAATATTATTGTAAAACAAAAATGAGAAGAGCATTCTTCTTGTTTTCAAAATAGAAGATTAAAATTTTCCAAACAATCTAGCATTAAATGAATTTGTTAATGCCAGTTCTCCTTTGAGCTTTTTAATTCTTAAAAACGGGTTGGAAATGAGGTGTAGAATATTGCACAGTGAAATCTTTGTCCTTAAAACATTATCCTGATATTTAAATCTTTGTCCTTAAAAAGAAATAATCCCGGGATTTTCTCAATGTCTTAGGCTTTGCTTCAATGATTTTTCTAAAGATTTCTCCTTCCAAACATAAGCAAGACTTAAACTAAAGCCAGGCTGCCAACATTGCTTAAATTCTCCATCCACGGAAGCCACCTGGAGCAGCCTGGGTTAAACGTGAACGAGGGTGGGCCACATCTTTCAGATAATGCTAGGTCTTCTAAACTGTAAGGTGTTAATCCTGATCCAAAATTGACAGCTTCAGGGCAAAATGCCTATCTTAAAACAAACGCCCTAACCACTTCAACACAAGAATTACAAACAAATACAAACAAAACTCCTTTAGGTTTCTTTGCCAGGATGGACCCACGTTTCCCCAAATCACAATCTAGCAATAAAAAATTTAAAAAGGTAAAAGCATTTATTCACCCAGACAAATGCAGTGGAGCAAAGGGTGTACGTAAAAAGGTTAACTGACTTCTCATTATGACATAACACAGGCGTCTTAAGCAATATCAAGTGTGTAGAGACATGATAACTCCATGGGTGGGGATACGGAGTTTAGGGGCAGGGACCTCAGCCTGGTCTGGGCTACTGATCTACCAGAAAACAGCCTGAAACAGGAAAGAGCACACATATGCCACTTGGAATGTATGACGCAAACCCCAGCCTTGAAACAAAGAACAGGAAACAGCTCTGCTGGCTGTGCTGGAGAGAAAGCACAGAGAAACATTTAGCCGGCCCTCCCTGACCCTATATTCATGAGCAGCTGGAGTTTTTTAAGACAACAACAGGGGGGTGGAGGTGTTTGTTCTACGGGTGTGAATAATAACACCAGCTTTATACAGGGGACCTGCCCTATTTACAAATAAGAGCTGCCACATACAGTAAACATCATAAGTGAAATGTGATTTTATCATATTCAAGCAGCAGAGACCTTCCTAATGAACACTAGCCTCCCTCCTGATTTCTTTTGTCCCTTTCTGCCCCATTCCAATGGCTAGTCCCTAGCTCAGATCAAATTCCGAGTTAGGGTAATGATTATGGTTCAGCCTCAGTGCATCAAGAGGAAAAAAGATAGAGCACTGCTGTTAGGAATTCAGATTACAATTGGGGTACCCCACAGAACCAAAATTGGAGCAACTGTAAGCCTCCTTTAGTCACAGAACTAAATTCCAAGACAGACTGTGGGACATCTACAGTAACCCAAAATTTTCACTGTCTTTTTCAAATGCAGTTATACACATCTTTGCAGAGCTGCTCATCTGTTCAACATATACACACGTTTATAGAAATTCGCCTTTTAAGAATGTGATTCTGTTCCTGACATTTATCTAAAAATTATTATGCAATCTGTACACCAGAGTACTAATTTCTAGAAGTCATTCTAAAATGTCTATTTTCCCTTTGGGTTATTTTTAAGATAGTAAAATCCATTCACAGTTCCTTTCCCATTATTTCTCTTTACTTTGTTAGCCAGGACTGTTTAACTCAAGCTTACGTTATCAGAGATTTAAGAATGTGGTGTGTGCAGACTAAGTACAGGTAAGGAAAAAAAAAAAGAAAAAAAAAGGAAAAAAAGAGCATCACTGTGCCCATAGCAACAAGAAGATTGGGTTTTAATTTAGAAACTTTGCAGTGAATAAAACAATAGCTTTCTGCAAAACTCTGTTGTCGTTTTGTACCTGACAAGGTTTTGTGGTCTAAGCAGTTACTTTTCTTTGTTATTCCCATGTTGAGATTTTTGTACTTGCATTCCCTTTCATGCAAGCTAAATGTTCTTTACAATGTATCATCATTGAACTTACCGATAGTACATTAGGTTTTTTTCTTCTAATAAATAGTTCTGCAGCAAAGCCCACTGACTGCAGAAATGAAGATACCAGTTTCTCTAGGGAGTTTAATTTAATCGAACATCTAATTTCAGGTTTCTATTAACAGCCTAAGGTCAACTAACATACCTCTTTTCAAACCAGAAGAAATCACTCGTGGACACTTTCCTTAAACACTATTACTAACTCCAAAAAATTTGTAGATATTAATGCTAGCAGATTGTTTTTTCCCCTAAAAGCAAGTCTTCTTCCCTAGGGTGAGGCAGATCATCCAGATGAATTTCTCTTATAAAAATGCTCCTCAAATTCGTACAGAAAAGGATAGCACAAAACTGCTGTGTGGAAAAACCTATAATGAACAACTGGCCTATTCCCCACTTGATTTTGCTGGCACATTTCAGGTACTTGTCAGAATACCACTTCATACTTTTTCCCATATACCAGACTCTTGTGAGAATATAATCAATATATTTAAAATGTCTTGGGTGATATTAATGGAAACATAAATTCTGAGTAAGAAATTCAGTGGTTAAGTGTAAAATGTTTATTTTAGTGAAATACAAGAAGGTGAGCAATTTCCAATTTCCGTTTAACTTGACTTATTAAAAATAAGTCTCATTCACATTCTTCTAGTATTATTGTATACTGCTATAAAATTTAAACCAGAAAAGTGCTTCTCCTTGTCAGTAGCTATCTGCCCAAAAAAATGAATATGACAATTCCAGATCTCATCTGCCATCTCTAAGAAAGCCACTTGGAAATGTTAGGTAGGTCCCATGGGTCCTGATCCAGGGATCTGTCCCTGGGTCCCCATCAGGCTCGGCTGCAGGCAGTTGCCTAAGGCGTCTTCCGCCTTCAGCCACGCTGCAATCCTTGCTCCAGGCACTGCGGCAGGTTCTCTCCATGCCCCCAGGAAGACTCTCCAAACCCGACCAGCTCATTTCTCCTGCCCCGGAGGATCCAGACGCCCTGGCAGCTCCTGGGCTCCAGAACCGAGAATGGGATGCTGCCTCCAATCCCAATTGCCCTAAGTTTCTTTCCAGAGGGCCGGGAGACTGCTCCAAGTTTGCTGTGGCGGGCGAGCGGCCGCGCGCCGTGTCCTGGGAGGGGGGCGGCGGGGGGCGCGGGCGGAGGGAGGGGAGGGGAAGGACGCGGGAGCCTGGGTTGTGGTGGTGGTGGGGGGGCACCGGGAGGGGGAGGAGCAGGAGCGCGCGGCCGCGGCGCTACCTTTCTCCAAACAACGTTGCCACACGCGGAGAGCACGGAGATTTCTGGGGCTTTGGAGGGAATCGTGAGCGGGCGGGAGGAGGCCGGGGACCACACAGGTGAGCCCCCGCCCGCGCCCTGCCCGGGACGGCGGCGGGCGCTGCCAGCCCCGCTCCCCCGCACCCGGGGTCCGCACGGTGCCTCGCCTCAACCCCTCACTTTTCACCGCGAACCCGTGACCCCCTCCTCCTTGCTTGCTCTCCGCCCCCACCCCGGCTAAGTGTAGCCGCCACACTTTCCCAAGCCCGCAGGCGCCCCCCCCAACACCAGCGCTGCACCCCCGACCCATTCCCCGCGGCCCCCTCCAGGAGAAAAAATGAAACCAGACTGGCCGAGGAGGGGGGCGGCAGGGACCAGGGTGCGGAGCAGAGGTGAGGGAGACGGGACTTACTTTGCGAGGCGCGGTGCAGGGCGCCGCCGACGAGAAATAAAGGCCCCGATACGGGCTGCCTGGAGCCCCCCGAGCGCAGCAATGTCAGGGCTCCAGTCCGGGCGGCGTTGGCGGCCGCAGGGGACGGGGACGGGCGCGCGTGCGGCGGGCGCTCTCGCTGCGCTCCGGCTCGGGCCCCGGCTCCGCGCGGCTCCGCTCCTGGCTCCCCTCTGGCTCCTGGCACCAACTCCGGGCAGTCACATGACGCCGGCGCCGCTCGCTCTGCGAGCCTCCCGGGGCTGGCGGGGTAAGTAGAGGCTGGGACCCGGGGTGGGAGGGTCAGGGAGGGGAGAGGGAGCCGCCGCGGCCGCCCGGGCTGGGCGGGTCCCCACCCACTTGGGTGGAGGCAGCCGCCGGAGGGGTCGGCCGAGTCACTCGCGCAAACACGCACCCCGCCCTGCGCCCTTCCCCCGCCACCCCCGCCTCCCGCGCCGCCTCCGCCCCGCCCCGCCCAGTCACCCGGGGACGGCCTGACAGACACTCATTATTCCCCGGAGCCGGGCGCCGCCCCGCCGGCCCAACCTGTCCCACGAGGCGCGGCGCGGCCGTGGGGCTGGGCGTGCGCGGCGCGGCCTCCGCCCCCCGCCCGCGTCCCCGCCCGCGTCCCCTCCCCGCGCCCTCCTCCCCGGAGTCCGCGCCCCGCCAGCCCTCCCGCCCGGCCCAGCCGCCGCGCCGCCGCCCGAGCCCGGGGGGAAGGAAGGGCGGCGCTGCCCGCTCCGGGCGTCACACGGCTGCGGCCCGCTGCGCTGCTTCCAAAACACACAGCCGGGCTCGCGGGCGAGCCGAGGCGGGGGGCGCGGGCTGCCAGGGCCATCGATCAGCCGGCTCCAGCGGGAAGGGCGGCCCCGGGCGCGGCGGGAAGGGCTGGGCCCCGCGGCCGGCGCGGCGCGGCGCGGCCCCTCCTCGGCTGAGCGCACTCAGCTCACTGCAAGAGAAAAGCCGAGCCGAGGCGGCCGCGGTGCAGGAGCGAGTGGGCCGGGCGGGTTCGGGAGGGGAAGAGCGGCCGCTGGGGCGCGCCGAGCCTCCCTGGCCCCGAGTCGCCGGGGTCAGGGGACACCCTGTAGGCGCGCTCTTTCTTTGTGCCCTGGGGCGACGGGTCCCCCTGGCCGGCGGCCCAGGCGGCGCCCCCCACCTCGTGGGACTTTTCTTTGAAGGCCCGGAGACCCCTGGGGCAAAACTCCCACGGGCCAGGCCTGCCGCTGGAGCTAAAAAGCGGCATTTGCGCAGTTGGGCTTGCCTGGAAACTTGGCAAACTTTGGTCGGATCCTCCCCTGCAGAGCGAGGGCCTGGCCTGGCGACCCCCTCATTTCAAGTCGCTTCTAGGGACCTAGCGCCCTAAGCTCAGTGGCCTTCAGGGTGCTGCGAGCGAGCGGGGCGGCACAAAAGCGCGTTCGGTCCAAGCCAGGCCCCTTCGAGGACTTTGTGTAGATTGGTACCTAAGTTTAATGCCTTTTGAGTTTCTTTTTAAACAGTATTAATGTAATAATTAATGTAATAAAAAGAACAAAGGACGAATTCGTTCGATTGTTTTAAGTTCTGTGTAATGTTTAAAACCGCCCCTGCTTCAGTGTATGGCTTATTATTGCTTCAAGATGTTTTAAAGGCCCTTTAAGTTGACCCATCTCGCTTTGATGCTTCATCCAGACATCGTGCTGCTTAAAACGGAGTGATAATAGTATATTTCGAGCCGCTTCATGTAGCTACACAGTATTGTAAAATTAGTACTCGGTAACCTCAAGTAGTGAAATCGCATATTTTAAATAACGCAAGTCCAGGAAAGGCCACGTGGAGGATACCCAGAACCGACGCCGGCTCATGGGACGTCGTGCTGTCCCATAAGCTTCATCTTTAAAATGTAAAGGGTGTGAGTTTTTTTTTTCTTCATAATGAATAAAAGACATTCCAGAAAAAAAAAGAGTTGGATTCGTGTCAATTACTAATTGCCATTTATTGATCACTGACATCATTAAATGGCTGATTGGCTGCCTTAAGGTTTGCATTAGCGGAACACCGTGCTAGGAATGGCTGGTGAAACTGGCTCATAGTAGGTGCTCAAAAAAGTACGTTTTTTTCTCCAGGGACACAGTGACGAGAACTTGAAGCACATAAACCATGTTTTTTACCTTGTTCATGTGGGTGTGGACGCAAAGGGGAAGAGCGAAATAGGCCTGTCGGAGAAAAGTGTGACCCAAGATAAGAAGGGAGTGGTTTTGATATGGAAGGGGCAGGCGGCAAAGGAGAAGAAAAGCCATTTTAAACAGTTAATTAGTGAACACTGTGTTCGGTGCCCTGTGGGAAGCTGCTCAAATGCAACTTGTCGGAAATGAATCTATCTAGTGCTGGGTAGCTCAGTGAAGGACACCATCATTCTTCAAAGTGCCCAACAGGGTGGGGCGCGGTCGCTCACGCCTGTAATCCCAGCACTTTGGGAGGCCGAGTTGGGTGGATCACTTGAGGCCAGGAGTTCGAGACCAGTCTGGCCAAGTTGGCGAAACATCGTCTCTACGGAAATTACAAAAATTAGGCATGGCGGCGCACGCCTGTAATCCTAGCTATGTAGGGAGGCTGAGACAGGGTGATTGCTTGAATTCAAGAGGTGGAGGTTGTAGTGAGCTGAGATCATGTCACCACTGAACAGAGTGAGACTCTGTCAAAAAAAAAAAAAAAACCAAAACAAAACAAAAAAAAAACAAAACCCCAACAGAAGCACCTAAGCCTTTCTTCTCGCTAGCAGGGCATAGCCCATGTTTCACTGAGTCCTGGACCTCCTTGGTCACTACCCACTCTCTGGCCACTATGCTGGCCCAGCCTGTTGCCACCATGTCTTGTTGGTCATCCTGTCATCCTGTTTGTAGTATGGGCTGAAGCATGAAAAAGGCATTGGAGCACGGGAGTAAGAGTGCCCTTTCCAAAATGCAAGCCTGATCGTGTCAGTCCCTTCAATGGCTTCCCATAGGATGAAGTCCTAAGCTTTCCACCCCTGCTGGCCTGGCCTCTGCCTGTCATTACAGACACTTCTTCCTCTTCTCTCTTCCTACTCTTTTCCAGCAACGCTGAACTTCTTTCCGTTCCTTTCTTCCAACTCTCTCTTCCCACCTCTGGCCCTTTGCACATGCTCATTTTTCTAGGTAGAAAAGCCTTGTCTTCTCAACCTGACCTCTACTCCCATTTCCCTAAATTCTATACATCGTTTCAGTCTTGACTTAAATGACATTTTCTCCAAATATGTATTCTCTCACTGCACCTTTGGACAAGTTGAGGTGCTCTGGTAACATCTAGTGGGGCGTGATGGGAGATGTTTGGGTCATGGGAGTGGATCCTCCTATTTCCCCTCTTGTAACACTTTCCGTTCTTGTAGTTGGCTATTTAATGATCTCTCTGTGGCACTAGACTGGAAACTCTATGAGGGCAGGGACCTTGTCTTTTCAGCAAAAATGTATTCCCAGGGCCCAGATGTTCAATGAATATTTGTCAAAGGAATAAATGTGGTTTATGAGTTGCGAGGAGGGAGGAGTCATTCTGAGCTGAAGAGGTGAGTGGGGGCTATAGGGAGGCAAGTGGCAGTGAACTATACCTCCATCAGTCCAGGGGCTTTGAAATGGTGAAGAGGAGGGAAGAGGGAGTTACCCCCCCTGAGTGCTTTTAAGCAACAGAGTGAGATAGTAAAAGCGATGCCTGGGTCTTTTTAAAATTCCTAACACTAGCACAGTGCCTGGAACATGGTCAGGTGTTCAGTAAATCCTACATGACAATCTCAAGTGTGATCTTTGTGGTAGCTGCTTTGCGCTTTTTCCTTGCTGACAGCAGGCCAGTCTGGTTTAGGTGTGGGAAGCCTATCCTCAGTGGAGGATACCCATGCCTGGTCCCAGCAGAGGAACCCTGGTTACTCCCAGCCAATCCCAGTGTCTTTTGCCAGTGACTGGTTGGAGGGTAGGTATGCAACCTAGTTCTAGCAAGTGGGACATGAAGGGAAGTGTGCTGGGGTTTTTTTCCTGATACAAGGAAATCCCCAGACCTGCTTTGGAAGCTGTTAGGTGAGGATGTGATGCTTGAAGCTGTAGTAGCCATCTTGTATTCGTGAGAGAAAGCCAACGTTTCCGTTTCCATGTGGATAGTTTTTTTTTTTTTCAAGTCATTCTGTTTTCAGCTCAAATGTTGCCTCCTCAGGAATGACTTCCTTGACCACACAATTTAAAACATACCCCCCTTCCTCTTTGCTATGGTTCAGATATTTGTCCTTTCCAAATCTCGTGTCAAAATTTGATCCTCAGCGTTGGAGATGGGGCCTGATGGGAGGTGTTCGGGTCATGGGAGTGGATCCTTCATGGATAGATGAACACTCTCCCTGAGGATGGGGAATAAGTGAACACTTCCTATGTTAGTTTCGGAGAAAGCTGATTCTTGAAAAGAGCCTGGGCTAGGCCTGGTGGCTCACGCCTGTAATCTCAGCACTTTGGGAGGCCGAGGTGGGCAGATCACCTGAGGTTAGGAGTTTGAGACCAGCCTGGCCAGCGTGATGAAACCCCATCTCTACTACAAATACAAAAAAAGATAGAAGCCAGGTGTGGTGGTGGGCGCCTGTAATCCCAGCTACTTGGGAGGCTGAGGCAGAAGAATCGATTGAACCTGGGAGGCGGAGGTTGCAGTGAGCTGAGACTGCACTGTTGCACTTCTGCCTGGGCAACAAGGGCAAAACTCTGTCTCAAAAAAAAAACAACCGAGCCTGGCACTTCCCTCCTGGCTCTCTTGTTTCTCTCTTGCCCTGTGATCTCTGCACACACTGGCTCCCCTTCACCTTCTGCCATGCAAGGAAGGAGCCTTCCAACCAGCAGAACAGTGAGCCAAATAAATGTGTTTTCTTTATAAGTTACCCAGCCTCAGGTGTTTCCTTTACAGCAACACGAAATGGACTAATATGCCCATTCATTGTTTAGTCATTGTCCTATTTTCTTTTCTTTTTTTGTATATCGTTAACTAAAAACCCCCTTTCTTTTTTTGTTTATTTGCTACCTTTTTTTCTTATTAGGATGTGAGCTCTGTGAGAGCAGGGACATTGTTTTATTCACTTTTTCTCAAGCTTCTAGAACAGTGTCTGACAAATAGAAGTAGAAGGTGTTCCATAAGTATTTGTTAATTAATGTATGACAGCTAAGCTACCCCAGGACAATAACACCATGTTGAAATGGATTCAGGGGCTAGTGGACACAAGCCACTGCAAACCTCCACTTTCTCTTTTGTGACTTACATCACAGTATATCCCATCTCAGGCAGTCTCTTCCTGCTACACAAATACATTTTCTTGAGATTTCTTATTTCTTTTCCAATCTACTTTAGAGCTTTTCTATTTCTTCCCAGGGCATTTCTCCTCCTCGTGTGATGACAGACAAAGCTACCAAGGCAGAAAAGTGTCATGTGCTTGTGAATTTACGAGCAGCACAGATACATTTACCTTAAAGGAAAACAAAGCTATATGATTTGAAGTAAAATTAGAAATGCTAGTCTAAGAATTATCCATCTCTAAAACATTACAAAAGGTGTGGAGATTCTCTGCATCATCTCTGCAAGTTTCCACCTTTATTATCTATCCATCCATCTAATTTAGAATTGCCAGGAAATACCGAGGTTGAGTTAGGTGACCATGAGTTCTGGTGAAGATCAGACTGGATGTATGATCCACTCCCACCTCCAGAAGCTCTCAGCATTTCTAGTGCAGGTGGACAGTTGTCTTGGATTGTGTTTGGCAGGACAGTGCAATCCAAGGACAGTGGCACAGTGGAAATGTTGGTTCTTGGGACCTAACTCAGAGAGGTAAAACAGAATAAGGCTGTAGAGAAATAGCCAAGGGATTGGTGAACTGGACATTCCAAATAGGTTGAAGAATGGGTGTCTTGGGAATAATGGAGTGAGTGACCTGGAAGGTTAGGAGGTGAGTTGTCAGAGAATGGGGACCTACCTGTAAGTTTAGTATTTAGAGGTGAAGCAGTCCTAGGGGATGGTGCGGTCCAGGGAGTGCCTGCGGAAGTGGGAGAACTAGAAGGGAGTGGAGAAGATCCCTGAAGATGAAGAGATGAGTGAAAAGAGTGACTGGGGTGTTAAACATGGTTCCTTGTGGATCCTGAAATTACTCAGAGCTATGGGCAGAGTAAGACTTAGGCCCTCAAGTCATGTCTTAATTCCATTAAAAAAAAAAAAAAATGTCTGAGAAACATGGAAGATAGCCACCAGGAGAGAATGGTTAGAAGATATCCTTTTTCTATAGTTAAATCTGCTTTCCTTGAATCATGATTATTCAAATTAAAAATAATCACTTGGGCTGGGTGTGGTGGCTCACACCTGTAATCCCAGCACTTTGAGAGGCTGAGGCAGACAGATCATCTGAGGTCAGGAGTTTGAGACCAACCTGGCCAACATGGTGAAACCCTGTCTCTACTAAAAATATAAGCATTAGCCGGGCGCTGTGGCATGCGCCTGTAATCCCAGCTACTCTGGAGGCTGAGGCAGAAGAATTGCTTGAACCCGGGAGGCGGAGCTTGCAGTGAGCCGAGATTGCATCACTGCACTCCAGCAGGGGCGACAGAGCAAGACTCCATCTCAAAAGAAAAAAAAAAAAAATCACGTGTATTTCATTGTTTATTGGTTATTTTGCAAGTAAAATATGTCAGTAGTTTTATTTTCTACTTTTTATTGAAAACATATTATTTCTTCTTTATTAAGAGTTTCAGTCAACTTTTGGAGACCTGTCAGAGACCTTAAAACATTATTTATACTATGACTTCAAAGCGAAATTATTTATAATTTCCAAATCAATGTCCTACACATACAAAGAGACTGCAACTTCTTGCTGAGTTGGAGACTACCTAGATTTTTCCTGTGCTGGTAGTCAGAGTAAGTAAAGAATGGGAGACCCACAAAGTAAGAAAAACTACCTCCCTTGTTTTGGAATGAGGCTGTTTTTCAACTATTTTGGAGTAAGGTGGACTCTTTATGTTTCCATCCCTCTCCTCTATGTTAAGGAATAATTATTGGCATTTAAATCTTGAATTTAATCTACTTCAGTTAGTATTGCTTGAACTTTTACCATAGGTCTCGGGTGGGGGTGATAGTGCAAGAAATATGTATGACATAATCCCTGCATTCAAGGAATTAGAGAGAATATATGTATTATTCTGCTTAATTATTACACAATGCAGAAATAATAATATAATGAATACAATTTATTTTATTTTATTTTATTTTATTTTATTTTATTTTATTTTATTTTTGAGACAGAATCTCATTCTGTTACCCAGGCTGGAGTGCAGTGGCACAATCTCAACTCAGTGCAACAACCTCTGCCTCCTGGGTTCCAGCGATTCTCCTGCCTCAGCCTCCCAAGTAGCTGGGATTATAGGTGTGTGCCACCCTTGGCTAATTTCTGTATTTTTAGTAGAGACGGGGTTTCACCATGTTGGTCAGGCTGGTCTTGAACTCCTGATCTCAAGTGATGCTCCTGTCTTGGCCTCCCAAAGTGCTGGGATTACAGGTGTGAGCCACTGTGCCCGGCCAAGAATATAATGAATAAAATTTAGAAAAGGACAATGATATGAGAATTAAATGGATAAAAAGGTAAATTTATTTGTCCAAAATATGAGCAGTAATGTGTGGTTTGGTTTTTGTCTTCAAGGAGCTTACAGTCTTGCAAAAGAAATGACATCTGGTCAGGAAATCCTCAAAATCTTCATGGAGGAGGTGATATCTGTGTTAGAACTTCATGGCTGCAGAAGGGGCTAGAAATCACATTTTAGGATCTGGAAAGGGCATGGAGGCAAAGGGTCCAACAGGAACCTGGGTCACTTAGGAGTGGAGTGAGATAAGGTAGGAGAGGTCAGTCAAGGCCATGTTGTGGAGAAAATTGGAATTTGACATCGGGAAACCACAGAAGGTTTTTAAGCAGGTGAGTGGCATGATAGCATATAAAAATGACATGAAGTTTAATGTCAGTATAAAGCTCCAACAGTGCAGAGCAGAAGGCAGCAAGCAAAGGGTGCATACATCTATTCATGTATATATACATATGTCATCTCTCTCTCTCTCACCCTGTACACACATGCACATGTACATGTGCACGTGTGAGCATTTTTCTACCTTAGTGACTAAGCCAGCAAAGAGGCAGGGTGTACACTGTGCTCTAGGGAAGTGGTCTTGCCACCTTTTCTTTTCTGCTCATTCCAAGTGCATTGCATGCCCACACTTCCAAAACCCTGAAGTTTGAAGCATTTCCCTCCGTGTAAAAGCTCAGTTGCACAGGCTCCCCTGGTACTTGGCTGGGAAGAGGACTTCAGCCTTTTATTCCTTGGTCTCCCAACCTGGCAAGCCATTCTGCCTTCACAAATGCTTTGGAAGTTTTGCTGATCTGTCCTAGAAAAAATTAAACACATGGTTCTCCCACATGAACAGTGGAGAGTTCTTCATCACCCTGGCAATTAAAAAAGATTTGCTAATACACAAAAACATGAAAATGATAATAATGCTCATATCCAAGTGATAGGAGTAGGGGGGATATTTTTTCTTTGCCTTTCAATATTCTGAGTTTTTTTCTTTAATGAGCATGTATTCCTTTTGTAATAAGAAACAAGTGTGTTTTAAAAAATAGCTAAAATGCCAGGCATGGTGGCTCACGCCTGTAATCCCAGCATTTTGGGAGGCTGAGGTGGTGGATCACTTGAGGTCAGGAGTTCGAGGCCAGCCTAGCTAACATGGTGAAACCCTGTCTCTACTAAAAATACAAAAATTAGCTGGGCGTGGTGGCACGTGTCTATAATCCCAGCTACTCCGGAGGCTGAGGGAGAAGAATCGCTTGAACCTGCGAGGCGACTTTGCAGTGAGCCGAGATTGTGCCACTGCACTCCAGCCTGGGCGACAGAGTGACTGTCTCAAAAAAAAAAAAAAAAAAAACCGCTAAGAAAGAAAGAAACGGGCAAGTTGTGTATGATTAAGTGTCAGATCTGAAGCACAGTTTTGCAAGTTGGCCCTTTGAAAGCACCTCAGAGCCAGAGGTGCAGTCCTTTGATTGGGATTTTGAAGGGGGCTGAGTCTAGCGGGGCAGGAGGTGGTGAAGAGGGAGGCTCTAGGAATCAAGGGCAGTGAGAGAAGGCAAACGTCTTTTATTGACTGTGGGTTTTTTTTTTTTTTTTTTTTTTTTTTTTGAGATGAAGTCTAGCTCTGTCGCCCAGGCTGGAGTGCAGTGGCATGATCTCAGCTCACTGCAACCTCCTCCTCCCAGCTTCAAGTGATTCTCCTGCCTCAGCCTCCCGAATAGCTGGGATTATGGGCATGTCCCACCACACCCGGCTAGTTTTTGTGTTTTTAGTAGAGACAGGGTTTCACTATGTTAACCAGGCTGGTCTCCAACTCCTGACCTTGTGATCCGCCTGCCTCGGCCTCCCAAAGTGCTGGGATTGCAGGCACTGCACCCGGCCGACTCTTTGGCTTTTTAAAGACTGCTTGGATAGTTGGACCTGTGCTGGTTCTTGGAACTGGAATTTCCTCTTCAAAATGACACGTAACAGTATTTACTTGACAAACCTTTCCAAAGAAGAAAAGCTAAAAACAAACACAAAAAACAAAACAAAACAAAAAAAACCCACCAAAACCAAAAATAGAAAAGCCAGCAAACTAGAATGAGTAGAGCCGAAGTTCCTATTTCTGAAGAGATAGGAATATATTAAAACTCCTGGATCAAGGTCCATTCATCCTCTCTGGGGGTCTTTTGCCAGGATCTGTTGATTCGACGGGAAACAGAGGTGTCAGCAGTTGTGGATGTGAGTATGTGAGAGATGACCTGCAGCCCCCAAACACCATTAACGTGTCTGGTGCGTTGTCTCAGCAGGAGGGGCTTCTAGCTGCTCCGCTGTTTCTTTCTGAGCTGCATCTGCTTGTCTGTTATTGTTCGTAGGTTTTCTGGGTAACTATAAGCAACGGCCTTGTTAGTTCCTCTTGAGATTGCCCACTACTCCCCACCCTTATTTCTCACCTCCCAGCATCCTGTTTGTCTCCCTGACTCTGTTCCCCGCCCTGTCCCCACCCTTACAGAGCTACCAGCCCTTTTAGCCATGTTTTCTTCCCTTAGCTCATTAATTTTAACCTTTTATTAAGTGTTCTCACATCAAACAAGGCACGTCATCTATCCAATTGTTTATTCATTAATTTGTGCTTTCTTCTATCGTGAATATCTTTAAAATATGTCCAGATGTATATTGCAGTGTGTCTTCCCTTCCTCCCCTTGTCTTGAAGATACTGTTATATACCTAATGTAAATGACGAGTTAATGGATGCAGCACACCAACATGGCACATGTATACATATGTAACAAACCTGCATGTTGTGCACATGTACCCTAGAAACTTAAAGTATAATAAAAAATAAATAAATAAAAATTAAAAAAAAATAATAAAAAAGAATGGAAGAGGATAAAAGAAAGTATGGACAGCTTTGAATTATGTAAAAGGCTTTTTTTTTTTGGTGTGCTTTGCCCTTAAAGTTACTTGCTTGTGATAGGAACAAGAAATCTACAATATATATTGTGTTCATGCTCACATCAATATGTTTAGTTTATTAGATTTTCCAGAATATTTTAGCCCGTCAATAATTGTTGGTTTTTTTTTGTTTGTTTTTTGAGACAGAGTCTTGCTCTGTCACCCAGGCTGAGTGTAGTGGTGCGATGTCGGCTCACTGCAACCTCCGCCTCCTGGGTTCAACAGATTCTCCTGCTTCAGCCTCCCTAGTAGCTGGGGCTATAGGCGCGTGCCATCATGCCTGGCTAATTTTTTGTATTTTTAGTAGGGATGGGTTTTCACCGTGTTAGCTAGGATGGTCTCAATCTCCTGACCTCATGATCTGCCTGCCTCGGCCTCCCAAAGTGCTGGGATTACAGGCGTGAGCCACTGTGCACAGCCCAGCCAGTCAATAATTTTATGTGACGTGTCTGGACTTAAATTTAAATTTTTCTCATTGCTGTTGCAAATGGGTCTATTAACTATGAAACGTTATAGAGTCTAGCACTTAAGTTTTGCAGGTTTATGAGGAATATTTAAACATTTAAAAAAATCATCATAAAAGAAGTCATCAGTGCTCTAGCACAACTAAATATATAATTCTGCCTAGTGGTCATGGTATCTTCTCAATAGAGAAAATTCACTTTCTAAAAAAGAGAAACATTTAGTTTTTTAAAAAGGAGGGAAACACTTTCAAAATTTGAGTACAACTTTTGCTACACAGTAATGTATCTAATCAGTTTCCTTTTCTGCACTAAAGATAAGGGAAATGGATTCAAAAGAAGCAGGAATGGATGATGGTATTCTAAACTCATCTTGTTTCTTTTGCTATTTCATCAATATCTGAAAAATAAGATTTCCCCTGAGATTCACACGAATGTGTCTCCTTTTCCATGTTTGTTTATTTTCTTATGTGGCAAATTGTTTCAAATGCAATTGATTTTCTTTCATTTGGTACTATGAAGATGAGGGCGTCTTAAAGGAGTTCCCAAGATTTAGGAGGAAACAGGAGAAGTCTTGAGGAGCATTTGTCACCACCTCCCAGGAGAGACACTCTTGGTAGGATATCAGCTTACTTTCTCGAACCACATATCTCAAGGTGTTCCCAGTTATGATGCATTTGAAAGTACCTGTCTGGAGTCCAGTCCTCAGGACTTTTCAATTTTCATTAGGTGGTAGTTATCAAATGAGTAGTGTAGTTTGGATAATGACAAAATTAGTCACATTTATTAATGTATTTCCCTTAACTTTCTTCTGCACCTGCAGAAGTACCCTTAGATCCAAACAAACAAACAAACAACAACGCCCCCCCCTCCAAAAAAAAAAAAAAACCCCAGTTAATCTAGACCATTTGGTACAGATGACTGACAAAGATGCATTGTATAATTCAGACACAGCAATTGCTGTGTCTGAGATCTCGGCTCACTGCAACCTCCACCTCCAGGTTCAGGCAATTCTCCTGCCTCAGCCTCCCGAGTAGATGGGATTACAGGTGTCCACCACCACACCTGGCTAATTTTTGTATTTTTAGTAGAGACGGGGTTTCACATGTTGGCCAGTCTGGTCTCGAACCCCTCATCTCGTGATCCACCTGCCTCGGCCTCCTAAAGTGTTGGGATTACAGGTGTGAACCACTGCACCCTGCCAACACTGTTGATTATGTTATTATTTCAATTCCAGATAACAGTCTTAATTTCTGTCTCTCTCTCTCTTTTTTTCTCTTTCTCTCTTTCTTTCATATGGAGTCTTGCTCTGTCTCCCAGGCTGGAGTACAGTGGTGTGATCTAGGCTCACTACAACTTCTGCCTCCCGAGTTCAAGCTATTCTCCTGCCTAAGCCTCCCAAGTAGCTGGGATTATAAGTGCACGCCACCATGCCCAGCTGATTTTTATATTTTTAGTAGAGATGGGGATTTCACCATGTTAGCCAGGCTGGTCTCAAACTCCTGACCTCAAGTGATCTGCCCACCTCGGCCTCCCAAAGTGCTGGGGTTACAGGCGTGACCCACCGCACCTGGCCCAGATAATGGTCTTTCTATTCCATCATCTTTAGAAATTAGGAAAGGAAGGCAAAAATTTTTAGCCTGTTTTAAAGAAAACCTTTCCTGTATCATTGTTTTAAACAGATATGTGTATCATTCACCTTTTCTTTTCAAATCTGAAAAACAAATTCTCCAAAAAATTTTAAATTGTTTTTATACTCTAGAATTATTACCAGCACTACCACTCTGTGCACTTTACATTTCTAGTTAGCAGCTGGGCACGGTGGCTCATGCCTATAATCCCAGCACTTTGGGAGGCTGAGGCAGGTGGATCATTGGAGGCCAGGAGTTGGAGACCAGCCTGGCCAACATGGTGAAATCCTGTCTCTACTAAAAATACAAAAATTAGCTGGGTGCAGTGGCACACACCTGTGATCCCAGCACTTTGGGAGGCCGAGCAGGGGGCGGATCACTTAAGGTCAGCAGTTCGAGACTACTCTGGCCAACATGGTGAAACCCTGTCTCTAGTAAAAATACAAAAATTAGCTGGGTGCAGTGACACATGCCTGTATTCCCAAGCTACTCAGGAGGCTGAGGCAGGAGAATCGTTGCAGTGAGCTGAGATCGCGCCACTGCACTCCAGCCTAGGTGACAGCAAGACTGTCTCAAAAACAAAAACAAAAACAAACACAAACCCAAATACATTTCTAGTTTGCTTGAACTCTTGTAGTTGTTTATAAGCTACTTAGAGCAAGGGCTTTGTCTTTTTTATAGTTTCTGTTACAATTTTTATACTTAACAGACAGTTCTATATTTTTCTAACAACTAATTTCCTTGGCCATAAAAATAACTTTTCTTATTCTTTTCTTTTTTCTTTTTTTTTTTTTTTTGAGACAGAGTCTCACTGTCACCCAGGCTGGAGTGAAGTGGCGCAATCTCAGCTCACTGTAACCTCTGCTGCCTGGGTTCAAGCCATTCTCCTGCCTCAGCCTCCCAAGTAGCTGGGATTACAGGTGCCTGCCGTCGCGTCTGGCTAAGTTTAGTATTTTTAGTAGAGACGAGGTTTCACCATGTTGGCCAGGCTGATCTCGAACTCCTGACCTCATGATCCACCCACCTTGGCCTCCCAAAATGCTGGGATTATAGGCGTGAGCCACTGTGCCCGGACATATACATGACTTTTAAAATTTGAATTTATTTCTCCATAAATAGGATGCTTATACTATTATTTATCTAGTATTGATTTGTATTTTTATATCTTATACCTTATGGCTTATCACTTGCTTTAGTACCTCTGTTATATTCTTGAAAGTATCAACTTTACTCAAAATAGTATAATTTAAAGCCATTTCTCAAGGAAAATATTAAATATAATTAAATTTAATTATAATATTTAATAATTACATATTATATTTAAAGTATTATAATTAAGAGTTTCATATAAAACGTCCTTTTATATCACATAAAAATGGATGTCCTATTGAAAGGAGAAAAATTCTCTTGTCCCCCTTGTAGGGCATGCGATGGGGTGTGGCTTGGACTCGCTTCTTCGGTGCCCTGCTCCTCAAAACCCCTAGGGGTGGCTGGGCTCCGTAGCTTATGCCTGTAATCCCAGCACTTTGGGAGGCTGAGCTGGGCAGATCGCTTGAGGTCAGGAGCTCGAGACCAGCCTGGCCAAGATGGTGAAACCCTGTCTCTACTATAAATACCAGAATTAGCTGGGCGTGGTGGCACACGCCTGTATCCCAGCTACTCAGGAAGCTGATGCAGGAGAATTGCCTGAACCTGGGAGGTGGAGGTTGCAGTGAGCTGAGATCACACCACTGCACTCCAGCCTTGGCAACAAAGCAAGACTGTCTCAAGAAAAAAAACAAAAAACAAAAAACCCTAGGGGGAGCAGGCAGATGGGCAGGTCATGGGGAGTGTGGACTCCAGCCCCATGGCAGCGTCTAGGGGTGAATGTTTACCGCTCCTGAAGCCCCAGTGGGCGTGTGTTACCATGTGCTCTTTTAGTTTAGCCATCCGTAGGTGGCTTGTGTCAGTCAGCTCAATGAGACCCCCTGCGTTATTGCAAGGACAGAGGACTTTCTGCATCTTGGGGTTTCTTGCCTTGGTGTACTAGAAAAATTGGATCACACATGGGCTTGGAGAATGAGTGCAAGGTTTTTGGTTTTTTGTTTTGAGACAGAGTCTCACTCTGTTGCCCAGGCTGGAGTGCAGTGGCACCATCTTGGCTCACTGCAACCTCTGCCTCTTGGGTTTAAGTGATTCTCCTGCCTCAGCCTCTCAAATAGTTGGGACTACAGGCATGTGCCACCACACCCAGCTCATTTTTGTATTTTTGGTAGAGATGGGTTTTACCGTGTTGGCCAGGCTGGTCTCGAACTCCTGATCTCAAGTGATCTACTTGCCTCAGCCTCCCAAAGTGCTGAGATTACAGGTGTGAGCCACCACGCCCGGCCTGAGTGCAAGATTTTATTGAGTTAAAATAGCTCTCGGCAGGTGGGGGAGCCAGAAGGGGGATAGAATGTGAAGGTGGTTTTCCCCTGGAGTCCAGCCACTCAGCAGCCTGGGCCCTCCTCCGACCACTCTGGCCAAACTGTGTTGTTCCCCCGGTTGACGGCCTGCCAGTGTCTGTCGGTGTACTCTTATGCCAGTGCGTTCCTCTTGTGTTCTTCCGCTGGTGCGTTCCTCTTAACGTCCAGCCGCTTGTGTCTCTGCCTGCTAGGGTCTCAGGGTTTTTATAGGCACAGGATGGGGGCATGGCAGGCTGGAGTGGTCTTGGGAAATGCAACATTTAGGCAGGAAAACAGAAATGCCTGTCCTCACATAGGTCCGTGGGCACAGGCTCACGGGTGGAGCTCTAGCCAGGGACCACACCCTTCCCTTCCCTTCCCTACACTTCCCTGCCCTCCTCTAGTATCATTGTTATGTCACATAAAAATATTAGACTGGGGGTTAAATGAAGAATGCTTACTGAAATAGCCAAGGACTGACATTCGTGCTTATGTGTGAGGTTAGGAACCACTCTCCTGCCTCATCCTAACTACCTTTATTTATCATATTGCTTGGATGCAATTATATGAAAAGAAATATAGCAACAAAATTTTTAAAGGTCATATGAAGATGGGATCAAGCAGCTAGAAAGCCACTTGAGGAATATTACACTGCTTTTT
This sequence comes from Homo sapiens, assembly GCF_000001405.40. NCBI lineage: Eukaryota > Metazoa > Chordata > Mammalia > Primates > Hominidae > Homo > Homo sapiens. Next base: position 38,648,733 of record NC_000004.12, on the reverse strand, counting down.
CCCATTAAATTAGAGAAAATAATTTTTTTTTTTTTTGGAGACAGGGTCTCCCTCTGTCACCGAGGCTGGAGTGCAGTGGCACAATCTCAGGTCACTGCAGCCTTGACCGTCCAGGCTCAAGTGATCCTCTCACCTCAGCCTTCCAGGTCGTTGGGACTACAGGCACACGCCACCGTGACTGGCTAATTTTTTGTATTTTCACCATGGTGCCCAGGCTGGTCTCTGAACTCTTGAGCTGCCTCGGCCTCCCAAAGTGCTGGGATTACAGGCGTGAGCCACTGTGCCTGGCCAAGAGAAAAGAATTTGTTTGACATTGGCTCATGTTTCATATCAAGTGAATCAGAAGAATCAGATATTTTTTAAAAAAGTAATTAATTCTTTATGGTATTCCTTCTACCTATGATTGCACAAACACACATTAACTGTTTGCCAAAGCCCACAAAACAGCTGAAGTGTATTTCTTGGTCCTGCTGCTGATCTGGTTATCTGAGGCAAATGCCTACTTAATCAAAAAAACAGCAAGAGGGGAGCCAGGTAAGGTGGCTCACGCCTGTAATACCAGCACTTTGGGAAGCAGAGGCGGGAGAATCGCTTGATCCCAGGTGTTCAAGACCAACCTGGACAACATAGTGAAACCCTGTCTCTACAAAAAATAGAAAAATTAGCCAGGTGTGGTGGTGCGTGCCTGTAGTCCCAGCTACTCAGGAGGCTGAAGTGGGAGGATCCCTTGAGCCTGAGAGGTTGAGGCTGCAGTGAACCATGATTGTGCCACTGCATTCCAGCCTGGGCAAGAGAGTAAGACCCAGTCTCAAAAACAAGAAAAAGAACAAGTGGCAAGAGGAATAGTATGAAGCCTTGGGAAGGAAATGCCCAGCATTAATCAAATAGATATTATTCAAAAGTAGGGCATGATGGATATTTATTATACTGGTGTTAACGGTAAAGCGATACCTTTTGGAAGTGACAGCATCACTTTGAACTATGTTATTGTAGTTCTTCTCTATTTCCCACTTTGAGTAGAACTTGTGCTCAAGTTGTTAATGTTAACAGACTTTGATTTGCCAGTGCCTTCTCTGGCTCCCTGTGCTTTCAAGGCTGGGGTTGTGTGTAAATGCTGACTGTGTATTTTCCAGTGATTTAATTAAAATCTCTTTATAATATTTGCTGGACTCCAACCTAGATAGGGTAGAATTAAGTCTTTTAAAAGTTCCTGTCCTCAAGGAGTTTTTAACCTAGAATAGAAACCAGATAAACTCACACAAATATAACTAATGGTATGAGGAAGTAAGTGATACATTAAAAAAAAAAAAGTCCCTAAAGAAAGTGGTATTACTTTATTACTTTGGCTTCAGAGGATGAAGAAGGCTTCATGTGAGAAGAGGGGTTTGAGCTGAGCCTAGCAGGATGGTATTTCTGGAAGTGATGCAGAGACCAGTGTGGTTTCAGCAGATGGATCCTGTGGGGGACTTGGGGAAATGAGGTTGGACTGGCAAGAGAGAGAGCTATGCAGTGCTTAAATTTAGGCCAAGGAGTTTGGATGTTAAACAATTAAGGATGTACTCTACCAAAATTGGATTTTCCAAGACCAGCATGGATTTCATGACATTTTGCCCTTTCCAATTAAGGTGATTTAAGTGTGACAATATTTAAAATTTAACAAAGCTTATATATATATATATTTAAAAATCAGGTAATACATTTTTTTTCAGACTGTGTTCTAATTTGGTATTTGGAAATAGAATCATTTATCCAGTCTTCAAATATTTGCTAAATATCTGTGCCAGGCTCAGGATTGGACATTTATGGAATAGGTCAACAATTATTTATTAGGTGCTTACTATGGGCCAGGCTGTGTCCTAGGCACTTAGGGTACAGTATAGAGCAAAAAGAAAAACACTTGCCCTCATGGAGCTTTTATTCTAGTGGTATGTTAGTTTGCTAGGGCTGCCATAGCTGGGTGGCTTAAACAACAGATGTTTATTTTCCTGCAGTTCTGTAGGTTGGAAGTTCATGATCAAGGTGGTGTTGGCAGGGCTGGTTTCTTCAGGGGAGCTGTGCGGGAAGGATCTGCTCCAGACTTCTTCTTGTTGACTTGTAGATGGCCCTCTTCTCCCTTTGTCTTCACATTGTCTTCCCTCTGTCTGCATCCAGATTTTCTCTTAAAGAACATCGGTCATATTACATTAGGTCCTACTCTAATGACCTCATTTGAACTTAATTACTTCTGTAAAGACCCTATCTCCAAATACAGTCACATTGGGCTGGGCATGGTGTCTCACACCTGTAATCCCAGCACTTTGGGAGGCTTAGATGGGCGGATCACTTGAGCCTGGGAGTTTGAGACCAGCCTGGGCAACACAGCAAGACCTTGTCTCTACAAAAAATACAAAAATTAGCCAAGCATGGTGGTGTGTGCCTGTAGTCCCAGCTTCTTGGGAGGCTGAGGTGGGAGGATTGCTTGACCCTGGGAGGTTGAGACCAGCTTGGACAATGTGGCGAAACTCCATCTCTACAAAAAACTAGCCAGGTGTGGTGGCGTGTGCCTGTAGTCCCAGCTGCCCAGGAGGCTGAGGTGGAAGGATCATCTGAGACTGGACAGTCGAGGCTGCAGTGAGCCGTGATCACACCACTGCACTCCAGCCTGGGTGATGGAGTGAGACCTTGTCTCAAAAAACAAGCAAACAAACACAACCCAAATGCAGTCATATTCTTGGATATGAAGGGTTAGGACTTCAACATGAATTGTGGCTAGGGACACAGTTCTGCCTGTAACAAGTGGAAATTGGTGATAAAGCAGTGAATAAACCCTAGAAGTTGGGTGGTCGTTTGCAATGTGGCAGGCACTGTACCAGGCATGTTCGTGTGCATCATTTCATTGAATGCTTGTAACCAACCTGTGAGATAGGTGTTGTTATCTCCACTTTACAGTGAGGAAACTGAGGGCAGACCACGTTTGTTCATAGGGAGGTTTGCTTTTGTGATAGTATGTTTAATGCTTTCATTGGGTCAAAGCCTTGGAAATAGAAATTGAGCTACAGCTAAATGTGTAGCTGAATTCATGGTGAATTCAGATTCAGAGCAGACCAAAGTCTGGATGTTAAAATAGAGCTGGGGGTGGGGAAGGTTGGTTTGTTTGTTTTACATTAGGTTCTAAGAATAAAACCAAAGATAGGAGGCTTTTGTTGTTGTTGTTTTTGTTTTTCTTTCGAGACAGAGTCTCGCTGTGTCGTCCAGGCTGGAGTGCAGTGGCACAATCTCAGCTCACTGCAACCGCCACCTCCCAGGTTCAAGCGATTCTCCTGCCTCAGCCTCCCAAGTAGCTGGAATTACAGGTGCACACCACCATGTCTGGCTAATTTATTTTTGTATTTTTAGTAGAGACGGGGTTTCGCCATGTTAACGAGGCTGGTCTTCAACTCCTGACTTCAAGTAATCTGCCCGCCTTGGCCTCCCAAAGTGCTGGGATTACAGGCATGAGCCACACATCTGGCCAGGAGTAATCTTTACAATTAAGTATGTTTTTTTTCTCTGTAGACAGTCCAGTATATTATATAATAACATTTTTATATATAATAAAACATTATTATACAAATTTATAATGATAATTCTAATAATTTATGGTAAATATATAATCATTTTACATATAGCCTACATTTTATATAGTACTGATCATTTCCTTTTGATTATCTAGATTCAAATAAGTTTATAGGTCATTTTTGACCTGTACCTTTTGATTTATCCCCAGATTAGGAGCCTGCCTGGGCACTCCTCCTGTGGGAGAAATCCTCTTTGCATCAATCAAAAGCTTTGCTTTTGATTCAACCCTGCAGCTCCTCTGGTGGGCAGATTCGGATTCAGCAAACACTTATGGAGGTCCTGCCCACCATGTAGCAGGTCATTTTACATCAATCCATGTTTCTCAAAAATATGGAAAAGCAAAGGATAATATGGTGCGTGTTCTATAAACATCCATTTTATACCATTATTTTATGAAATAAAAATCTAAATTAACTGATGAATAATTTAAAACAGAATTTCAACATTGAGACAATGTAGATATATATTATGGTATAAAATGAAGCATTTGCACGAACTTTTTAGCTAAAATTTGTTTCAAAGAAGTTGCTTTTGTTTTTAGTGTACCTTGAGTTCAACACAGATGTGAATGCCCGCTTTTTCCAGAAGGGTTCTTGGGAGAAAACACTGGAGAAGTTCTAAGCACTTTTTTTTTTTTTTTTTTTTTTTTAGAGATGGTTTCTTACTCTGTTGTTCAGGCTGGAGTGCAATGTTGCAATCATAGCTCACTGCAGCCTTGACCTCCTGGCCTCAAGTGATACCCCTGTCTCAGCCTCTCGAGTAGCTGGGACTACAGGCATGCGCCACCACACCCAGTTTGAACACTATTCATCCAAGTTTCATAACAACCATATGAGGTGTATAATCCTCATTTAAGAGATCAGAAAACAGAAGCTGAGATAAATTATCTTGTCTTAGTTAATACAGTAAGTAAATAGCAGAGGCAGATGTGAAGCTTCCTGGCTCTAATTCCAGGGCATTTTCTATTGCACTAAAGCCACTCCTTGGATGAATAGGCTCAGTCCTCATGGGGGCTGGGTAGGTCTCACAGCTCTGCATTTCCGCAAGTACCACCCTCCTTCATTCTTGAATTCATGCACTTACTTACATTTTACTCAACAAATATTTATTGGGAGGTAAATTTGGGCCACACTTTATTCCAGACCCTGATGACAAGGGGGTAGCAATGAAGGCATAGCTCATTCCCTCATGGAGCCTGCATTCTAGTGGGAGAACAGATATTCAACAAATAGTTACCAAAACATTTTTCAAAACTGTAATAAGAGTTATAAAGGAAAAATACATGGTACCAGAAGACAAATAAAACAGGTGAATTAATCTAGACTGATGCTCAAGGTCTCTTTCAGAAAGTTGACCTTTGAGATGAAGTTTCAATCATGAATTAACTGGGGGAAAACTTATTTGCACTTAAACTAGTTACAAATTACCATCCTACAAAACCCTTCATGACAATTCTGTCTATCTCCATTAGATTTCTTCTCTGTTCTACAAGATCAAATGCTCACTTTCAGGTATCACGTTTATTCTCTTCTATTATATTGTTCCTACTGTCTGTCCATCCATCCATCCATCCATCCATCCATCCATCCATTAGCTATCTAATAAACTTTCCTTGAGCACCTAATATAAGCCTGGCACTGTTGCACCCCAAGTTCTTTATTTTTTCCTCTCTCTTCTCCTTTTTTCTTTTTGACTTCTTTTTTTTATCTACCCCTTTATATGATTCTTGAATCTTCTATTTTTGACACCCATCTTTGATGTTATTCTCTTCCCAGTTCTCTTCCATCTCCTCCACCTTGACTAAAAGTATAACTACTCATTCTATTTTCAACAAATGGGTTCTTCACATTTTTATGAAATAAATATTTTTCTAATCAGGTGCGAGAAAATAGATGCTTGTTTGTTTTTACTTTTAATTTCCTTTTTGGTTTTATCGGCTGATTGTAGTTTCTATCTCTTAATAAAGAAATGCCACTAATATAAAACAAACTTTTTGGGGGATATCCATCTATCTATCTCTATCATTTATCTGTATTTTGGATCAGTTCTTTTTTTTCACTATAAATACCTGGAGGTATACAGCTCTATTTGTTTCACATAATATAGCATCTGGAGCTAATGATAATTGCTTCCTAAACTTTTCACATGCTTTAAAAAGAGGTACATCATGGCCGGGCACGGTGGCTCATGCCTGTAATCCCAGCACTTTGAGAGGCCAAGGTGGGCAGATCACCTGAGGTCGGGAGTTTGAGACCAGCCTGACCAACATGGAGAAACCCCGTCTTTACTGAAAATACAAAATCAGCCGGGCATGGTGGCACATGCCTGTATTCCCAGCTACTCGGGAGGCTGAGGCAGGAGAATCACTTGAACCTGGGAGGCAGAGGTTGCAGTGAGCCAAGATCACACCATTGCACTATCATCTTTTCTAGGCCTGCTAATATGCTTGTTCTACCTCTGATATAAATGTACAAATAGATTCAGAAATGCATAGCTCCAAGCTACCCTTCTTTCAGCTTCTTCTATCAAGTTCTCTTTGTCTTCTCTGTCGTAACCTGAACATGAGAAATTGTGGTCAATGATTATATAGCATATCAACTATTTAGGCAAACCGCAGGAAAAGTTCTACACTTTGTTCTCTAGCTACATACAAGTCAGTCAAATTTACCAAATCTTTGGAAAGTCTGAAGACCCAGAGTATACTACATAGTAAGTTCTACCTATCAAATGATAAGTAGAGGGGACATCACCTTATAGTCATGATGGAATAATAATAGCCTGACCTAACTGCCCATTATAAATTATTGTAATTAATAACTGCTTTTAGACATTGAGCAACAGTCTATATATGACTGTGATCCCTAAGAGAAGAGAAACAAAGTGAATTCAATGACTGCCCTGGTTTTCTGTCTGAAAGCAATTTCTAGACCATGGATCCAGGAAGGAGGGATATGAGCAGATCCTAGTAGCCTCGCTGAATTGATGAGATGAAGATCAGAGTTTGGGGAGGCTGAGGTGGTGAGAGGTACTGGGGCAGAGTTCTGAGAAGGAGGAAGCTATGCAGAAAAAGAGCTCCAGAAATATGCATAGGAATCTCTTGAATTTTTGCTGAGTGTTAGGATACAAGTATGTAGAATGATGCTCTACAAGTCTGGGCAAGAAAAGACTTTTTAGTTGTAAGCTGAATAAACCCAGAGCACACATGAAATGGGAAAGTGTTTTTTGTCTGACCAGCCAAAGGGGAGTCCTCATTCAGCCCTGAAGCATTCAGTGGAGTCCTTGGAGGCATCACAAGTTAGAAAATAGGGCTGAACTATCCTTGGAGTGAAGGGTACTCTAGACCGGGGGTGGACATTTTTTGTTAAATTTTCAGAGAGCAAACATTTTAGGCTTGTGGGTCATATATTCTCTGTCACAACTAATCCATTTTAGTGTGAAGGCAGCCATAGACAATAGATAAGTGAGTAGGTATGGCTGAGTTCCCATAAAACTTTATTAACAAAAATAGGTGGCTATCCTGTAGGCTGTAGTTTGCAGACCTCTGTTCTAGAACAGTGCTGTCTAGTAGAAATATAATGCATGCCACATATATAGTAAAAAGAAATAGATAAAATTAATTTTAGTAATATATTTTACTTAACACAGTATATCCAAAGTGTCACCAATATGTAATCAATATAAAATTATTAATGAGATACTTTGCGTTCTTATTCTCATACTAGGTCTTCCAAATCCAGTGTGTACTTTATGCCTTTATCACATCTCAATTCAGATTAGCCGCATTTCAGTAGCCACATGTAGCTAGTGACTACCTTATTGGACAGCACAGCCCTAGCCTCTCTCTAGTAAAGCTTAAAAACGGATCTTGAAGATTAGCACTTAACTTCACTGCCTAGCAAAAGAAAGTCCAATACTATTTAAAGGAAGACAACATAATGCAGACACTTAATAATGTAATGATAACAATGCCAGCATCAAACACAATCACTAGATATGCTAAAAAGCAGAAAAAAATACCTGTAACAAGAAGAAGAATCAGTTAAGAGAAACAGAACTGGAAGTAACAAGGTAATGGAATTAGCAGACAAGGATGTTACAACAAATTTTATTAGTGTGTATCAATATTTAAAGGAAAACACAAAAACAGTTGGGTATGGTGGCTCACGCGGATGATCCCAGCAATTTGGGAAGTTAGAGTGGGAGGATTGCTTGAGCTCAGACGTTCAAGACCAGTCTGGGCAACTAAGTGATACTCCATCTCTACCAAAGATAATTTAAAAATTAGTTGGGTGTGGTGGTGCATGCCTGTGGTCCCAGCTACTTGGGAGGCTAAGGTGGGAGGATCATGAGGTTGAGGTTGTAGTGAGCTGTGATTGTGCCACTGCGCTCCAGCCCGAGTGACAGAGTGAGACCCTGTCTCTAAATAAAATAAAATAAAATAAAAATAAACAAAAACACAATAATAATCAGAAAACAATGAAAGATAAAAAAGAACCATGATGAAAAAAATACAACATCTGAAATGAAAATTTCACTAGATGGGATTAATAGATTAGGCAATGGATTAGTGAACCTACAAATACAGCAACGTTACCTATGCAAGATGAATCACAGAGAGAAATAAAAAACTGAAAAAAAAATAGTGAACAGAGACCCAGTGATCTGTGGGATAATATCAAGCAGTCTATCATACATGGAGAAAAGGATAAGGGACAGAAAAAGTATTTGAAGAAATAATAGCTGAAATATTTCAAAATTTGATGAAAACTGTATTTCATAAATCTAAGAAGCTTAATGAACCAGGAGCTGAAATAATTTCATCAAAAAAAATTAAGGTCTAGGTATGGTGGCAAGCACTTTTGTAGTCCCAGGTACTAGAGAGGCTAAGGTGGGAATATTGTTTGAGCCTAGGGTTTGAGACCAGCTGGGGCAACATAACAAGACCCCATCTCCAAAAATAAAATGAAATAAAGAAACAAAGGCACATAATTAAGTTGCTGAAGACCAGTGTTGCACAGAAAATCTTAAAGGCAATCAGAGAAGAATACACATTATATACAAAACAGACAATGGAAGGATCACAGACTTCATTTCACCTCCAACTTTGCAAGCCTGAAGACAATGAAATAACATCTTTAGAGTGCTCAAAGAAAAAGGCAGCCTTGAATTCTATATTTAATGAAAACATCTTCAAAAACAAAGATGAAATAAAGTTTATCAGACATAACTTGAGGGAATTTGTTGTCGGCAGATATATGCAACAAGAAATGTTTAAAGGAAATTATTCAGGCCAAAGCAAAATGATACCAGATGGAAACTTGAAAGACACTATTTCAGAAGTAGTAAATATGTGGACAAATAGAAAAGACTTTGTGTCCTTATTTTTAAATTTCTTGGAAAGCTAATTGACTGCATGAAGCAAAAATAGTAACAATGTATTTTTGAGATATATCAAATATGTATTAATAGAAGTAAAATATTTGACCACAGCTTTAAGGACAGGATAGGGAGAAGTGGAAGTCTATATAGATGCCCTTTAATTTATGATGGGGTTACATCCTGATAAACCCATCGTAAGTAGAAAATATCGTAAGTCAAAATTGGCATTTTAGGGACACCATGGGATGCAAAACCATAAAACACAGTATCAAAAAACACTGGCAACACAGTACACTGTAGAGTATCTGTTGTTTACCTTCGTGACTGCATGGCTGGCTGGCAACTGTGGCTTACTGCCACTGCCCAGCATTGCAAGAGACTATCACACTGCATATTGCTAGCCAAGGAAAAGATCAAAATTTAAAATCCAAAGTATGATTTCTACTGAATGTGTATTGCTTTCCTACCATCATAAAGTCAAACCATGGTAAGCCTGTAGCTATAAGAGTTTTACATTACATATTAAGTAGCATAATATTAGTTGAACATGTATAATGAGTTAGAAATGTGTATTATAAAAAGTAGGAAAATTATGAAAAATAAAATAAGTTTTATATATAAAACATATATGTGTGTTTGTGTATATACATATATATATCCAGCAATAGAGATAAAATGAAATATTAAAAAGCACTAATTAAATCAAAAGAAGCAGAAAAAAAGAAACAAACAATAGCAAGGAGAGATGAGTCTAATAGAAAACCAATAGCAAATAATAGATTTAAATTCAGCCATACTGATAATTATGTTAAATGTAAGTGGTCTAAACACTCGAATTAAAAGTCAGAGATTGTCAGACTGGTTACAAAAAGTAAGATCCTATTATGTGCTGTGTACAAGAAAACCACTTTGTAGAACAGAAAGTTAGAATTAAAAGGATGGAAAAAGATGTACTATGCAAACATGAATTACAAGAAAGCTAGACTGGTTATGTTAGAGCAGACAATATAAAAAGGAATATTACTAGGAATAAGGAGGAACTTTTCATAATGATAAAGGCGTCAATTCATCAGGATGATATGACAATCCTAAATGTACTAGAGCTTCAAAATACATGTAGCAAAACTTGACAGAACTGAAAGGAAATTTTTCAAAACCCCACAGTTACAGTTACAGATTTCAATACTCTTCACTTAGCAATCAATAAAGAAGTAAGACAGAAAATCAGCAAGGATGTAGAAGACAGCACCAGTCAACTGGACCTAACTGGACTCTGTCCAATGACAGCAGAATACATTCTTTTCAAGTTCACATGGAACATTAACAAAAAGAGACTAAATGTTAATCATAAACAAGTTCCAACAAATTTAAAAGTATTGAAATCATAGAGTATGTCCTCCACCCATAATGAAATTAAATTAGAAATAACAGCTATTTGAGAAATCTCCAAATATTTAGGAATTAAGCAATAGACGACTAAACAACACATGGGTCAGAGAAGAAATCACAAGAGAACTTAAAAAATATTTTGAACTGAATAAAAATGAAAACATATCAAAAGTGTGGGATGTAGATGTAGCTACAGCAGTGTCTCAAGGGAAATGTAAAATATTAAATGTTTATATTAGAAAATAAGAAAGGTCTAAAATTAGCAATCTAAGATACTGCCTGAAAAAATCAAGACACGGAAGACAAATTAAACCCAAAGAAAACAGAAGGGAGAAAATAACAAAGACAAAAGCAGAAATCAATAAAATATAAAACAAAAATAATACAGAAAATCAATGAAACCTAAAGCTGGTTCTTGGAAAATTTCAACAAAGTTTATAAACTTGTAGCCAGATTTGTTAAGAAAAAAAGGGAGAAGACACAAAATATCATACTAGAAATGAGAGTAGGACAGATGCTACAAACATCACAAGGAAAATACATGAATATTATGAATAACTTCATGTCAATAAATTCAACAACCTAGATGAATGGACAGTTCCTTAGAAAATACAACATACTGTGTGTGACTGAAGAAGTTGAATAGCCCTATATTTAGTAAAGAAATTAAATGTGTAGTTTAAAAACCTCCCACAAAAAAACCTTGAGGCCCAGATGGCTTCGGTTGTGAATTCTATCAAACTTTTAAGAAAGAAATATACCAATGTTTCACAAACTCTTAGAAACTAGGAGGATGAAATACTGCCCAGTTCATCTTATGAGGCTAGCGTCATCTTGGTATGAAATCTGATAGATATTACAAGGGGAAAAAACTTCATAAACACAGATGTAAAAATCCTTAGCAAAATACTAGCAAATTGTGTGCAACACTCTCTTAAAGAAATAATGCGTCATGGCCAAGTGGGGGCTATTGCAGGAATGTATGAGCAGCTAGAGGAAGACCATCGAAGGTGGGGGGCGTATGATGATGGGAAGAACAAATAAAAGTAAGAAGAGAGCACCTTTGGCTCCAATCGTCTTGATTTCTATTTTGACTGTGGTCAACATTACCAAGCATTTACCACATTCCAGGAAACATGTTCAGAGCTTTATGTGGATTCTTTTGTTTAGTCTTTATTAGAACCCCATGAGGTAGGTACTGTTGTAGTGGGCATTTTATAGATGAGTAAACTAAGGCACAGAGAAATTTGAGAACCTGTCTGCAGTCCCCTGGCTGTTAAGATTTGGACCGATGCTTGTCTGACTTCAGACCCTGCACTCTTTATTAATGTGACACTTTGCACAGAACTACTCATTTTCTTTGCTTTTGCCTAGCAAGGCTTATTTCATCAATCTGAAACACTTACCCACTTTTTTGGTCCATAATTAAGAACTGATCTCTGAATCAAAATGCTAACTACTTTCAAATGCAGAATATTTCCAAAATAAAAGTATGTTTCTTAAATTACAAAAGTCATAACAGGACACTGGGAGATATGTTCCATTATCCCCTCCTCAATTTTGATGTGGTTACAAATATTGTGGTGTCCAAGAAGTGGAAAAAAATCCTTTCCCCTGCTATGTGTAGAACAAGATGCTTTTACTTTTCAGTGTGTGTAGACCTAGATTTCAATGCTGGCACTGTGGCTTGATGGCATATAGACCAGACCTGGGCAAGTTATTTAAGCCCGGTGAGCTTCATTCCCCATTTGTAAGGTTCTGCCTTCCACACAGGATAGTGTGAGGATTAGAAAGCTATCCAGCCACACTTCAATTTTCTTTTCTTTCTTCTGCTTTTCCCTGGCTTTTTCTCCTCGATGCTGCTTCCCCGGAGTCTCAGAAGTTTGAGTCTCTCAAGAAAAGTGTTTATCAAACTTTTAATTTTTTAATTTTTGTTTTCTATATTCACCTTATCTTACATAATTTCAAAGTTGTTTTGACCATTGTCCACTGTAAGAAATATGCTTTACTTCATAAACCAGTATATACATTATACACAAATGTATGTATAATGAACGTGATCACCCAATTTACAGTACACACTGGGAAAGTTATTATTTTGAAGGTAGCAACCATGCTGGGCCAATAAGAATAAAGCAGGGTGTTCTGGGCAAATTGGGCCACATGTCCCCAAATCACTTGACCTTATATATTTGGATACATTCTGTTTTCTTGTATTCTAGCTAATTTAAAAAATGCTTTTCAGGACTTATTACATTAATTTTGTAACCCACTAATGAGTCTAAACCAAGCATTTCTGATTACCTCTAGAGAATAACTTGTCTGACTACCAGTATTCTTGGATGCAGAAGTGCTGAAGATGAGCACACACACGTACGGAGAATTTCTGGAGAATTCAGCTGCTCAGAACAAGGTGCATTCCAATTGCCAGAGCTACACTCATTCTAACTCCCTTCATTCATTCTCTACCCATTCTTTCATTCACTGATTTGTCAAATGCTTTGAGCACATGCTGTATTACCAAATGCTGGGAGCTGTCAGACACTGGGTGCTGGGACATAGTTTCTGCCCTTGAGGAGTTCCTGTGTTCTAGTGGGGCTGACACAAAAATAATCATAGGACAGGGAGATGAGTGACACCTTAAAGGTGAACAGAAGGCCTTAGGAACATGGAAGAAAGATCCACCAGCCATGCCAAGGAGAAGGAATGGGTTCTGAGGAATAGAGTTAACATTGAAATTGAAGTTCTTGAGCAAGATGTGGATGGACTCGGGGAGTGAGAGGAGCTACTCAAACCGGCCAGCACGCTGCTCAAGGCAGCTCACAAGCCGGTGTACACGATATTTTACTACTAGAGTTAGTATGTATGTGTATCTATTTCTGTTGTTTTTCTCAAACTTAGTTTAAACTTCATGAGCTTATGTCACTTCATGACACCCCCTCTATGTCTATCTCCCCAACCTAGTTGGTTTTTTTTTTTTTTTTTTTTTGAGACAGTTTCGCTCTTGTTGCCCAGTCTGGAGTGCAATGGCACGATCTTGGCTTACTGCAACCACCTCCCAGGTTCAAATGATTCTCCTGCCTCAGCCTCCCGAGCAGCTGGGATTACAGGAGCCCATCACCATGCTCAGCTAATTTTTGTATTTTTAGTAGAGATGGGGTTTCACTATGTTGGCCACGCTGGTCTCGAACTCCTGACCTTGTGATCCGCCCGCCTCGGCCTCCCAAAGTGCTGGGATTACAGGCATGAGCCACCGCACCCGGCCTCCCCAACCTGGTTTTTTAACATACAACGAATGGGTGTGAGTTCCCTCTTCTTTCTTCTTTCACCCAACTTATCCAGCTCTCTTTTTCTTCACAGCACTTTTCGTCTCCTAAGTATACTATATAATTGACTTAACTGTGATGTTGACTATCTGTTTCTTCCAGAATGTAAGGAGAAGATTGGTCTGGCTTTTTTTTTTTTCTACTGTGATGTCTCCCGGTTCCTAGAAAGGTGTCTAGTACGTACATAGTAGGTTCCTGATAAATGCCGGGAATGCCTTGAAAGGGTTAGCAAATTTCCATATCCAGGACATAGTTACTATCCTCTCAGGTTGGAAGGAAAGTGTAAAGAAAAATAAAGGCCTACAAAGGATCATTTCTAAAAGCATCCTTTTCCTCTTCCTGCTTCAACAGTACTTATTGGTCATCTGCTCTGGGTTAGCCCTGCTCTGGGATTTCAAGAAGAGCAAAACAGATCCCATCCTATTTTCATGGACGTCTCCTGCCAGAGTGGAAGCAGATGTTAATGAACTATATTATTGAAAATTTGGGATAGCTGCTAAAGAAAACAAGTGGAGTATTTTATGCTTTTGTTATGAAAGCATGAAATAGCAGCACATGACTTGGCCTGGGAAGTCAGGGAAGTTATTTTTAAGCTGAGTAGAAGTCAACTCAGTGAGAGAAAAGAGTGGGAGAGACAGCATTCAGGCAGAAGAAATAGAATGACAAAGGTCATGGTATGGGAGAGAGAATGGCTGAGTGTCCCAGGTGTGGTGGGAGCCAGGGTGAGGGAAGAGGGGCTCAGCATCATAGAGGAGGTAGGTCAGGCAGACCGCACAGTTGGACACATGCACCAAGAGGTTGGCCTTTTAGCCAGAGAGCAAAGAGCAGCCATGGACAGGTTGAGAGCTGGTGAGTGAAGGGATAGTTTTGGTTAAAGCATGGACAGTGGATTGGAGAGTATGGCAGAGAGGATATGGGGAAGCCAGGTAGGAGAGTGCTGCCATGGTCAAAGCAAGATGCGATAGTTGGAGTGGAAATGAAGAGAAATGGGCAGATTAGAGAAATATTTAGGAGTTAGAATTGAAGTTAATGGCTGTCCTGATTCCAAAAAAAAATAGGTGACAGCTTGTCCGTATAAAGTTTTGAATGTGTCTATAAACCAAAATGTAAATAAAGCAGCATCTTGACTTGTTTGTCCTTATTCTCTGTGATATGTCAAAGATATTGGTAAAGAAATAAGCCCAATCTGCAGTAGATCTAGGAGCCTGCCTCTGGCTGGTGGGCCTTCTGGGAAGGAAAATGAGAAAATACTATTGGGAAGTCCTAGTGTAATTGAGGGAGAGATAATAAAAGGGTGTGTGTGTGTGCACACTCTGGTTTGGAATCATAGAAGCCTGCCTCACCTCTTTTACGCCCTTTCTTCTAGGCCTGCTTCTTTCTTTCCGCATATACTTTTCAGCGTATACCCGTTAAAATCAGTGGTTCTTTATTATTTATTTATTTATTTATTTATATATTTATTAATTATTTTATTTATTTTTATCCTTGCCAGCAGGAAGTCAAAAATCAGTGGTTCTTATTGTTCCTTGTCCTCTATCCTGAGAATAATGCACAACCAATAAGCATAGAACATTTTATATTACATGTCAGGGGCCTTGGGACCACAGATTGAGAATCTCGGGACAGCAGAGTTTATAAAAAGGCAATTCATAGACAAAAATACATTTAGTCAATAAATATGTGAAAAGCTGGTCAAGTGCATTAACAACAACAACAACAAAAAGCCAACAGAACCAATCATGAGATAGCATTTTTCATCTCTCAGATTGGCAAAGTTTCAAAGGCTTGATAATCCCCACCTTTGGCCTTTGTGGGCAGAGATGAGCACTCTTGTATAACCCTGGGCGAACATAAAATGAAACAACTTTTTAGAGAGCAATTAGGCAGTAGTTTTCAAAATTTTTAATGCATAGTTTCTTTAACCTACTAATTCAAAGTCTAAGAAACTATCCTTTAGGAAAACAAACATAGATATCCAAATAGTCAAGGATGTTCATTGCAGCAACAACTAGAAAATTAGGAACTGCTTGAATGACCACCAACAAAGAAATGGTTCAATTAATTTTTAAACATACCCATCCATACAGTGGAATGCTGTGTAGCCAAAAAGAATGAGATCTATCTGTACTGATAATTAAGTGAAAAAGGCAAGTTGCAGACCAACATATGTGGCACAATATATTCTGTATTAGAGAACTCACAAAACATTATTTGTGTTGGACATAAATGCTTTTTATTTATTTATTTATTTTTCAGACGGAGTCTCGCTCTGTCGCCCAGGCTGGAGGGCAGTGGCACAACCTTGGCTCACTGCAGTCTCCGCCTCCTGGGTTCACACCATTCTCCTGCCTCAGCCTCCCGAGTAGCTGGGACTACAGGCGCCTGCCACCATGCCTGGCTAATTTTTTGTATTTTTAGTAGAGACGGGGTTTCACCGCGTTAGCCGGGATGGTCTCGATCTCATGACCTCGTGATCTGCCAGCCTCGGCCTCCCAAAGTGCTGGGATTACAGGCGTGAGCTACCGCACCCGGCCCATAAATGCTTTTGTATATATTTGTATATGCTTAGATAAAATATACGTGGATTTCCCTGAAACTCATAATGAGGATTAACTCTGGGGAGTAGGATTTGGTTGAGGGGATCGAAATATTCTTATTTTAATTTTATGCACTTCTATACAGTTTGAACTTATTTTAACAGGGTTTACTGCATAACCTTTTTTTCTTAAAAAACAAAGATAACATAGGAGTTTCTGACCTTGAGATTCTTTTCTGCTATAAAGCTCTATTTTAAAATTTGAGCTGGGGGAAGAGGCAAACTGTGAGATGTGCCTCAGTCTCCTCCCCTGATTAAAATAGTTCAGTGACATCCCAGTGTTTTGGTGATCAAGTCCAAACTCCTGAATGTGGCACTGCAGGTTTTCTTGATCTGGCAATGTGTCTGCCTCTTCAGTATCTTCTGCAACCCTCCAACCCATAGACTGTGTTCTCACTGGAACTCACTAGGTTGTGGGGTTCTCCAGGTGCTCTGTCGCCCAGGCTGGAGTGCAGTGGCGCGATCTCGGCTCACTGCAACCTCCTCCTCCCGGGTTTAAGTGATTCTTGTGCCTCAGCCTCCCGAGTAGCTGGGAGGACAGGTGTGCGCCACCAGACCCAGCTAGTTTTTTAGTAGAGACGGAGTATTGCCATGTTGGTCAGGCTGGTCTTGAACTCCTAGCCTTAAGTGATCCGCCTGCCCCGACCTCCCAAAGTGCTGGGATTACAGGCATGAGCCACCGCGCCCGGCCAGGATTCTCCATGACTTCTGACACGCTTTCGCTTTTACAAAGGATGCTCGTGGCCTGTAGTGGCATCCTCAGCTGCCAAGCCTCAGTGTAAGTGTCACCTTATCCAGAAGATCTGGCCCACTCACCTTCTCTACCTGTTTGGGTACAATGCTGCTCCTAAATGCTCCCAGGTACCCCAGGCGTACCTTGTGTGTTCTATCACTTGTGTCCTCCTGGGTATTAGTCTCCTGTTGCTCCCTAGGTGACAGCCCCCTGAAGGCAGAGGCTGTGCTTTGTGTCTCTGTGTCCTTATTGCATGCATGGCTCACTGCCTGGCCCCAGGAGGCCCTCCCTCAGAAAGCATCCACCCCCGATCCCCACTTCATGGGATCCACTCATTGGCAGCCTCAAAGAAGTAAGAGAGACTGAATTTAAAAGTCCTTGCAAAGGCTGGGTGTGGTGGCTCACGCCTGTAATCCCAGCACTTTGGGAGGCCAAGGCGGGCCGATCACGGGGTCAGGAGATCGAGATCATCCTGGCTAACATGGTGAAACCCCGTCTGTACTAAAAATACAAAAAATTAGCCGAGGGTGGTTGCAGGCGCCTGTAGTCCCATCTACTCGGGAGGCTGAGGCAGGAGAATGGCTTGAACCTGGGAGGCAGAGGTTGCAGTGAGCCGAGATCGTGCCACTGCACTCCAGCCTGGGCGACAGAGTGAGACTCCATTTCAAAAAAAAAAAAAAAAAAAGGCCTTGCAAATGACTTCTTTACATAGAACCTAAATTAAAATTTGGAATCACAAAACACAGCATTTTATAATCTGGAAAGGATTTAGAAGTTATCTAGGGAGGTTGTTTTCAATCAAGAGTTGGGGGACTAGTACAAGTCTGAGGCACAGTTTTCACACTCCAGGGCAAAATGAGAAAAACATGAGCAATGGAGCAGACAAAAAAATAAAAATCAGGATAAATGCATTACATTTAATGATGGTTTCTTATTCAGAGAGTATGTTGCCCTCCTCCCATTTTAAGGTTATTTATGGATGATATGCTAGTATGTGGTGGTGTTGTGTTTTTATTTCCTTGGTAACCCTGCATTAGTTGTTAGTTCCTTCTTGATTTTTTTTTTTTTTAGTTTAATTGGTCTATTAATTCTAAAAGTCTGGAAACCCTAGCTCTTGTGTCTTTACCCTCAGAACTGAGATCCAGAGAGATGATGACTTTGCCCATAGACCAAACAAAGAAATACATGTTTCAGTCCTGTGTCCTCCTGCTATGGTATGTAGTGCAGTTGTGTACTTTAAAAAATATTGTCTATATTTGGTGTGATTGGTTTTCTGTTCAGCATTTTAAATTCAGAAATGAACCAGTCAGTTAACATATTTGTTGTATTGCAATTGGAAACAGTCTTGCTCTCTCAGAAGCGTCTGTAACCATATGGTATTACTGTCTGTCAGTATTTGGTGAGGTTTTAAGAAATGTCAGAGTTCTGAAGTTATATATTAAATATATGTAATGTTATTATTGACTTTGATATGAAAATAAAGACTGTTCTCTTTCAATTTTTGAATGCTTACTAAGTTTGAAGATGCTGTAAGCACCTTAAAAAAGAATTTAAATGACTGAATTTGGCTATTGCTGTAATTCTGCTTTTTAACATCTGAATACTGTTCAACTGAGAAATTCCACTTCTAAGAGCTTATCATAAGAAAATAATGAGAGATACATTATGCAGAGATGTATGTATAAAGCTGTTCATTAAAGCATTTGTGTTAAACATCAGAAATAAATGTCCAATAACAGGAAATTGGTTAAATACATTTTGTTACAGTAACTTAATGAAAAGTACTTTGGTTATTAAAATGGCTGTACAGTGGACCCTTGAGCAACATGGGCTTGAACTCTGCAGGCCCACTTACGCATGGATTTTCTTCCTCCTCTGTTGCCCTTGAGGCAGCAAGACCAACCCCACTTCTTCCTTTTCCTCAACCTGTTCAACATCAAGACTATGAAGATGACGAGTTTTTTTAATTTTATTTTTTGAGCGGAGTCTCACTCTATCTCCTAGGCTGGAGTGCAATGAAGTGGTCTTGGCTCACTGCAACCTCAGCCTCCTGAGTAGCTGGGACTACAGGCACGTGCCACCACACCTAGCTAATTTTTGTATTTTTAGTAGAGATGGGGTTTCGACATGTTGGCCAGGCTGGTCTCAAACTCCTGACCTCGTGATCCACCCACCTTGGCCTCCCAAAGTGCTGGGATTACAGGCGCGGGCCACCACACTCGGCCAAAGATGAAGACTTTTATGTTGATCCATTGCCACTGAATGAATAGTAAATATATATTCTCTTCTTTATGATTTTCTTTGTAACAATTCATTTTCTCTAGCTTACTTTATTGTAAGAATACAGCATGTAATACATATAACATACAAAATATGTATTAATTGATGGTTTATGTTATTGGTAAGGCTACTGGTCAGCAGTAGGCTGGCAGTAATTAAGTTTTTGGGAAATTGAAAGTTATCTACAGAATTCTGACTGCGGGATTTGTGCGGGATAGGTACCCCGAATCCCTGTGCTGTTCAAGGGTCAACTGCATTTTTATTTTTTATGTTCTTGTCTAAATTTTCTAATTTTATTTACCACAATTATATTGTACTTATATAACTAAAAAGTGATAAAATTTGACTAGCTCAATGCTTTGTACAAATAATGTTCCTTATTTGTTTTTCATTTGCTTTTTTTCAACTTGACATTGTTGATTAATATAATTTGACAGCCAATGAAAGTTCAGTATATGCAGATTCTAAGTTTTAATTTTTTGATTTCACTGTTATATCTTCTATTTTTATGTAGTTTTCCTTTTCTGAGACTGAACTGCTGTAAATCAGCACATAGTCCAACGGGAAGCTGTCATTTTCACTTTCAGCATCGTGCTCCCCTGCAAGTTCTTATTGGAGGTTCTAATTAAGTATCAATAGGGTCAAGCACCATAAACTCAAAGATCTAGAAGACATTTGAAGAAGCAATTGTCTAAATATTTCTTTCTTTTTTTTTTTTTTGAGATAGAGTCTCACTCTGTCTCCCAGGCTAGAGTGCAGTGGTATGATCTCAGCTCACTGCAACTTCCGCCTCGTGGGTTCAAGTGATTCTCCTGTCTCAGCCTCCCAAGTAGCTGGGATTACAGGCGCACGCCACTACACCCAGCTAATTTTTGTATTTTTAGTAGAGATGGGGTTTCACTGTGTTGGCCAGGCTGGTTTCGAACTCCCGACTTCAGGTGATCTGCCCGTCTCGGCTTCCCAAAGTGCTGGGATTACAGGCGTGAGACACCATGCCCAGCCAATATTTCTTTTTTTCTCTAGACCCAACTGCATCTTAGCTCAGAGTAGGAATATTGGCCATGGGATTTTCCAGGTTTGCAGCCTGTTGGCCTAACATCTAGAAAGAATAGCATCCTTAGTATTTCCAGCCCCAAAGTAGTCTTCTTGAAAAAGGAAGATAGTAGGAGCTTGATTATATTGTGACTGTGTATGCCTGTGTATGTGCCCACTTGTGTGTGTGCCAGAGAGGGAGGGAAGGTGAGTTGGAATGGGTAAAGGAGTTTCTGGTATCTTTGGCACTAGGTTAGTTTGCTTTTTTATAGCTCACAATCTCCAATCGTTCTTCCTAGTGTGTCCGGAATTGGTGGGTTCTTGGTCTCACTGACTTCAAGAATGAAGCTGCGGACCCTCGCGGTGAGTGTTACAGTTCTTAAAGGCAGTGTGTCCAGAGTTTGTTCCTACTGATGTGTGGATGTGTTCGGAGTATCTTCCTTCTGGTGGGTTCGTGGTCTCGCTGGCTCAGGAGTGAAGCTGCAGACCTTCGTGGTGAGTGTTACAGCTCTTAAGGTGGTGCGTCTGGAGTTGTTCATTCCTCCCAGCGGGCTCGTGGTCTCACTGGCTTCAGGAGTGAAGCTGCAGACCTTCGCGGTGAGTGTTACAGCTCATAAAGGCAGCGTGGACCCAAAGAGTGAGAAGTAGCAAGATTTATTGCGAAGAGCGAAAGAACAAAGCTTCCACGATGTGGAAGGAGACCCCAGCAGATTGCCACTGCTGGCTTGGGCAGCCTGCTTTTATTCTCTTATTTGGCCCCCACCCACATCCTGGTGATTGGTAGAGCCCAGTGGTCTGTTTTGACAGGGCGCTGATTGGTGCGTTTACAATCACTGAGCCAGATACAAAGGTTCTCCAGGTCCCCACTAGATTAGCTAGATACAGAGTGTCTATTGGTGCATTCACAAACCCTGAGCTAGACACAGGGTGTTGATTGGTGTGTTTACAAACCTTGAGCTAGAGACAGAGTGCCGATTGGTGTATTTACAATCCCTGAGCTAGACACAAAGGTTCTCCACGTCCGCACCAGACTCAGGAGCCCAGCTGGCTTCACCCAGTGGATCCCGCACTGCCCCTGCAGGTGGAGCTGCCTGCCAGTCCCTCGCGGTGCGCCCGCACTCCTCAGCCCTTGGGTGGTCGATGGGACTGGGCGCTGTGGAGCAGGAGGCGGCGCTTGCTGGGGAGGCTCCTGCGGCACAGGTGCCCACGGAGGGGGTGGGAGGCTCAGGCATGGCGGGCTGCAGGTCCCGAGCCCTGCCCCTTGGGAAGGCAGCTAGGGCCCCGGGAGAAATCGAGCGCAGCGCCGGTGGGTCAGCACTGCTGGGGGACCCAGTACACCCTCCACAGCCACTGGCTCGGGTGCTAAGCCCCTCATTGCCTGGGGCCGGCAGGGCCTGCCGGCTGCTCCGAGTGCGGGCCGCCAAGCTCACACCCACCCAGAACTCCAGCTGGCCTGCAAGCGTCGCGTGCAGCCCCGGTTCCTGCTCGCACCTCTCCCTCCACACCTCCCTGCAAGCTGAGGGAGCCGGCTCCGGCCTTGGCAAGCCCAGAAAGGGGCTCCCACAGTGCAGCGGTGGGCTGAAGGGCTCCTCAAGTGCCGCCAAAGTGGGAGCCCAGGCAGAGGAGGCACCGAGAGCGAGTGAGGGCTCTGAGGACTGCCAGCACGCTGTCACCTCTCACTAGTAGCTATCCTACTTTTAAATAAAGAATTAGGCTGGGCACGGTAGCTCACGCCTGTAATCCCAGCACTTCGGGAGGCCAAGGGGGGTGGATCACCTGAGGTCAGGAATTCGAGACCAGCCTGGCCAACATGGCAAAACCCCATCTCTACTAAGAATACAAAAATTTGCCAGGCATGGTGGCGGGTGCCTGTAATCCCAGCTGCTTGAGAGACTGAGGTGGGAGAATCACTTGAACCCGGGAGGCGAAGGTTGCGGTAAGCCGAGATTGCACCACGGTGCTTCGGCCTGGGCGGCAGAGTGAGACTCTGTTTCAAAAAAAAAAAAAAAAGAATTGATTACTTGTTCTACATCTGATTCTCTAGATTGGAAGAGACACTAGGGCAGAACCATGTCTTTCCCTCTCTCCCACTATTTCCCCAGGGCCTTTTGTATATACAGTGAAGATTTCATAAATATTTGTTGAATGAATGCCTGTATGGGTTTTAAAAACCTGTCTTTCCCCTCTTCCTTTTTTTTTTTTAATCTGGCTAACAGCTTCTGTGGCTGTTGTAGCTTGCTTTCTTCTTCTTGCTACTTCTTAAAGCCATTTCTAGAAGAGAACTACACCATCAGACTGAAAGAGGTACTTGGCTGCTTCTGCAGCAGAAGGTAGGCCCACCCTCCATCCATAGTGATCTCAGAAGGGTGGGATCTAGGCCTCAGCCTTGTTTATGGATTGAGGTTTGCTCCTCCTTTTTCTCTAGCTATTCCTATGCTCTAGGTAGTGCTGTGGCAAAAGCCAAGGATCTGTCTCAACGTCTGCAGTAACACAGGGCTGTCCTAAACACAGTTGCCTTTTTAGGAAAACTGATTTGGATGAGAACAACCATCTTTAATTTGTGCAACGTACTGTGTTTTATCATGGGAGAGCATGGTGAAGGCACAGGTTTTTGTTCACTGCTGTTTCCACCCTTTAAGGACCGTGTGTGAATGCCTGCTCTGTGAGCCCTCAGAATCTACTGGCTGAATGAGTGCGTGGAGGAAATGTGCTCAGAGCTGCTGTGTGTCATCCTGTGTTTGAAGTGCTCCTGCAGCTATCATTCATCCAGTTAAGAATTTGAAGAAGTGTGTGCACAAAGGTGACACTTTGCTTATCCTTTCCCCAAAATTACAGTTCTAAAATTTTCCTATACAATCCTTCTAAATTGGATGACAGTTGTCCCATTTTCCTTTGCAGGATGTACCAGACTATTAATATTGGTGACCATGGGCTAGGGAGTATGTTCTTGATAAATTTACAAAATCTTCTGATCAACTATAGACTTTAAAAATATAACATCAATTTTTTAATAAAATACTCTCTCTCTCTCTCTCTCTCTCTCTCTATATATATATATATATATATATATATATATATATATGTATATATATTTGCTTTTTTTTTTTTTTTTTTTTAGACGGAGTCTCACTCTGTTGCCCAGGCTGGAGTGCAGTGGCACAATCTCGGCTCACTGCAACCTCTACCTCCTGGATTCAAGCGGTTTTCCTGCCTCAGCCTCCAGAGTAACAGGGATTACAGGCATACTCCACCTTGCCCTGCTGATTTTGTATTTTTAGTAGAGACAAGAGTTTCACCATGTTGGCCAGGCTGGTCTTGAACTCCTGACCTCAAGTGATCCACTGCCTCAGCCTCCCAAAGTGCTGGGATTATAGGCGTGAGCCACTGCGCCTGGCCAAATGCTCTACTTTTTAATCAATGTTTTCCAAAATAGGGATTTTTGCTATGTGCTTTAGAAATTAGAGAACAAACGGTGATAATATATGCTAAACTTAAAATTAGTATGCCTCCTTTTATAGACAACAAGAACTTTGTCACTTCCCAGTTTGTCTTGTCATTCAGGAGGCTCAGAGCTACGATCTGTGCCCACTCGTGCTGCCTCTTCTTAACTTTGATTTCCTGAAGCAGCGATTTCATCTCCGTTTCCCCTCATCACCTGTTCTTTTAACTGTTTAAAAACAGCATTACATGTTGTTGCAAGTGGCCTCAAATTCTTTTTGGTAGAAGGGAAATTGTAATCCATGAGAAGAAAAAAATTTTCCTAACTATTCTCAGGTGTGTTTAAGGGCTGCATTCCATGATGCTATCAGTGCCTTCTTTCAGCTCACAGGATATCGGCCATGTTAATGAGTCTGATGTTGCTAGTATCACAGGCACCGGAAAATATGCACATTATGCTGGAGCATTAGAATGCAACAGAAAGAGCCCTGGGCTTGGAGTATGCAGAACTGGTTCTTGTTACAACTCCTCTTACTAGTGGGGTAAGTTACTTAGCCTCCTTGGACAAGTTACTTAGCCTCTCTGTGCCTCAGTTTCTCTTCTATTGGGTATAAAATCACATGCGGTACCTACTGCAGTGGGTTCTCATGATGTGAAATGACATAATGTATGCCAATGTGTTTTGTAAACATTGCAATTGTCTGCGCTTTTTTTTTTTTTTTTTTTGAGATGGAGTCTCGCTTTGTTGCCCAGGCTGGAGTGCAGTGGCACGATCTCGGCTCACTGCAACCTCTGCCTCCCAGGTTCAAGTGATTCTCCTGCCTCAGCCTCTCGAGTAGCTGGGATTACAGGTGTGCGCCACCACGCCCAGCTAATTTCTGTATTTTTAGTAGGGACGGGGTTTCACCATGTTGGTCAGGCTGGTCTCGAACTCCTGACCCCGTGATCTGCCCTCCTTGGCCTCCCAAAGCACTGGGATTACAGGCATGAGCCACTGCGCCCAGCCAGTTGTCTGCACTTTTGTGTCCCCCACAAGTCTGTAAGTTCCTCAGAATCAGGGGCTGCATCTTGTTCAGATGTGTGCTCCCAGGGCCTGGTTTTTTGACCTAAAGATGCACTTTAAGAGAAGGTCCTAGGCCGGGCGCAGTGGCTCATGCCTGTAATCCCAGCACTTTGAGAGGCCGAGGCAGGCGGATCACCAGAGGCCGGGAGTTTGAGATCAGCCTGGCTAACATGGTGAAACCCCATCTCTACTAAATACACAAAATTAGCTGGGCGTGGTGTTGCATGCCTGTAATCCCAGCTACTCGGGAGGCTGAGGCAGGAGAATCACTTGAACCCAAGAGGTGGAGGTTGCAGTGAGCCGGGATTGAGCCACTGCACTCCAGCCTGGGTGACAGTGAGACTCAGACTCCAACCAAAAAAAAAAAAAAAAAAAAAGTTCCTAAATGTAGCTGACACTGTTACTCATTGTTTTCTTGCAGAAAAGCCCACTGGTGTTTGTTTATTAACAAACCAGGTCATTGTTCAGCTGGGTTTCATTGAGTGCCTTCTGTGTGCTTTCTCTTGCCCCTGGGGTGTTCAGCTGAGAAAGAAGTATGGATGATAAGCAAAGAAAAATGGAAACCCACACATTATAGATTCATATGTGTCTGAGGTCACAAAATGGTGACTTAAGGGAAAAAATCTGCTTCTAGACATGCTTTCTTTGGCTCAAACACTAATTTTTAAAAATGTAAACCAACAATTTAAAATCCAGAAATTTGGATTTTGCTTTCTCTTGAAAATGTGCAGAGCTGGTCACACCAAGTCAGGCCCTCCATGGAGACAACGGAACAGTGCAGCACAGCTGCAGCCACTTCAGGGATGCCCTCACTTGCTTACCACGGGGGTGGCCCCGTCCCTCCTCATCCTCTCCTGAACACCAAGGCAGATAGGAAGTACCATTATCATCATATTTGTTATGCTTGCACTTAGGTAGCATTTATTGCATACCAGGCACTAGTCTGAGCACTTTGGTTAACTATCATCCATCCGTCTATCTGTCTGTCTATCTGTCTATGTATGTATCTATCTCTGTGTCTATCTACCTATCTATCTATCCATCCATCCATCCATCCTTCCATCTATCTACCTAGCTACCTACCTATCTATCTATCTTAAAGGTAAGGAAGGCTGGGTGTGGTAGCTCACGCCTTAATCCAAGCACTTCTGAAAGCCAGGTGGGTGGATTGTTTGAGTCCAGGAGTTCCAGCAGCCTGGCCAACATGGCAAAACTGTGTCTTTACAAAAACCACAAAAAATTAGCCAGGTGTGGTGGTACATGCCTGTAATCCCAGCTACTTGGGAGGCTGAAGTGGGAGGATCACTTGAGCCTAGGAGATCAAGGCTGCAGTGAGCTGTGCTGAGGCCACTGCACACCAGCCTGGCCAACAGAGCAAGAACTTGTTTCAAAGAAAAAATAAATAGGCTGGGTGTGGTGACTCATGCCTATAATCCCAGCACTTTGGGAGGCCAAGCTGGATGGATCACCTGAGGTCAGGAGTTTGAGACCAGCCTGACCAATATGGTGAAACCCTATGTCTACTAAAAATAGAAAAATTAGCCGGGTGTGGTGGCACGTGCCTGTGGTTCCAGCTACTTGGGAGGCTGAGGCAGGAGAATTGCCTCAATTCTCAGGAGGTGGAGGTTGCAGTGAGCCAAGATTGCACCACTGCGCTCCAGCCTGGGTGATAGAGTAAGACTCTGTCTCAATAAATAAATAAATAAATAAAAATAAAGGTAAGGAAAGTGAGGCACAGTTAGTGTGTGGTGGTCCGGGATTCAAACCCTGGCTAACTAGTTCTCCAAGTTCTTGCTCTTAATCACTCAGCTATATCAAATCTCAGTACTCCTGTTGTGGGGAAGATATGAGGCATCAAGCCTAATAGAAATGTAAACTTGTACCTGAGTCTCTGTTCCAGGACACCGTGTTCTGTTTAATTAGAGAGGGAGTCATAAACGAAGTGATTTTGTAGAATTTTTTTTTTTTTTTTGAGATGGAGTCTTGCTCTGTCGCCCAGGGTGGAGTCCAGTGGCATGATCTCGGCTCACTGCAACCTCCACTTCCTGGGTTCAAGCGATTCTCCTGCCTTAGCCTCCTGAGGAGCTGGGACTACAGGTGCCCGCCACTGCAACTGGCTAATGTTTATATTTTTAAGTAGAGACGGGGTTTCACCATGTTGGCCAGGCTGGTCTCAAACTTCTGACCTCAGGTGATCCGCCTGACTTGGCCTCTCAAAGTGTTAGGTGTTTACAGGCATGAGCCACTGCGCCTGGCCTGATTTTGTAGAATTGTAAAGATAGAGTCCAGTCCTGTTAAACACACCATGCAGAAACCTCTTTGGAGATCCAGGGGCAGCACACATTGACAGAAAGCAAGGTTAACTTCCCCGAAGACGGGTGCAAACAGAAGATAAACAGGAGGTGAGGTGCTGCAGCGGAGACCCATGACTTGTAGCTTGGATCAGATACCTGAGGAAAGTAGACTGACCTGGGTGCGTTAGGGAGGGCGGCAATAAGGCTGAAGTCCTGTTTGACCAAGGTGATGTGGGCTGAATCGGCATCCTTACAGGAGGCCTGCTGAACTTCATTCATTGCTTTCACAATATAAGAAAGTCAATTTTGTAACACAGGTGTCCCTATAATACTGGCCTGACTGTTTACTTCTGCTTCAGTCCCTGAGCATATGAGTAAATACTTCAGGCACTATAACGAGCAGAAACTTGAGACAGAGCTTATCTTGTAATGCTGGGTCTTGCATCATATCCAGGGTGTGGTGTTACTTTAGAAGGCAAGTTAAATAATTACGTGTTTTCAGATTGAGCAAACAGTGCATGTGCTCTGAGAAGGCTAAGGATTCATACTCTGAGAGCCCAGTAAATTAACTTATTCAGTGGGATGGTAGGCTCAGTACCTGGGTATGTCAAATGGTCTCAATATATTACATATAAAAACATACACACACATGCATATACATACATACACATATGTGTGTGTACATAGATATGCATGTATACATATAGATATATACATATGCATGTGTATGTATAGATATATACATATGCTTATGTTAAATATTTATGTATCACCTTGTATATAATCATACTTACTTACAAAACAGCCCGGAAAAGCTTGGAGATGTTAAGTGAATCAATTAAAGCTAATTCAGGCAAGCCTCAGTCATTGACCCACCCAATGTGTACTGTCTTTATGACATGTGATATATTTAGTACAGTACTTTGTGTTTTTGATGTTCCCTAACAACATAATAAAGTAAAAAAATTAATGTTGAAAAACATTAGGGTCACCCTAAACTGCCTTCTTTAGAAAATACAAATGTGACATTCTTTCATTAGTTACATTATTCTCTTATTCTATTGTTATTAATTCGTTACATTCTTTTAAATAGCTACATTTTTTATTCTCTTATTCTTTCTTTCTCTTGGACAGAGAGATTGGAACTGTGTCTAACTCTGTCATGTAGTAACTATTGTCATGTAGTAAATGTTCATAAGCATCAGTAGTGATGATCTGCAGCCCCACCCCTGCCTGGTCTCTGTTTCCTTGGTTTATTGCTCTTAGATAATTTCTTCCTTTTTCTATTTTTGCATTTTCAAGAACAATGCAAGGCATGATAGTTATCTGATTCAGGACTTTTAAAACACACTTGAAATATGACAACTGCTTGTTATTCTAGCTCGATAACAAATCTAAGGGCAAGCTATTGAGCACTGATTTGTCCTTTTCTTCCTCATTCCAGCTGCTATGGACCTAAAGTGGAGGGCTTTGAAATTTCCTGCTTAATTGGGCTGCATGTCATTGCTGTCCTTAGAAGTTGCTCTGGGATGCAGGTGCTGGTTTCTTGGATCTCCTTTGCTGGAATTTTGCATGTCTTGTTTTGTTGTTGTACCAGCTTTGTGGATCAGCCAACATCCTTGGCTTGCCCTGTGGGGAGTGGGGTGGGACACATCTTGGATTGCTCTATTCCAGGGATGTCCAACATTTTGGCTTCCCTAGGCCACATTGGAAGAAGAAGAATTGTATTGGGCTACACATAAAATACACTATCACTAAAATAGCTGATGAGCTAAAAAAAAAAATCGCAAAAAAAATCTCATAATGTTTTAAGAAAGTTGATGAAGTTGTATTGGGCCACATTCAAAGCTTTCCTGGGCCACATGCAGGCTGAGGGCTGTGGATTGAATAAACTTGCTCTATTCCCTTTGCAGTAGATGCCATCTGAGTATGGGTCTCCTTTGCTTGGGTCATTGACATGTTCTGGACTTTTTATGCTCCTTTTGGAAGGTCCTCAAAGGTCTGCATAAAGACTTTTGGTGCACTTAAAGCTATGCTAGCAGAAGCGTGAAATCACCTCCCAAAGGAAGTGGGTCCTGCCTCCTCAGAACCAGAAAAGGGAAGGCCATAACTGGAGCAGTAACCTACCGCAGCCAAGTCTCAGTTTCCTCATCTGTAAAGTGTGAGAGTCAGGCAAAATTGCCTCCAAGATCCTTTTCTGTTCGAATATTCATTGAGCCAAAGAAGGTTAAGAACACATATAAATTGAGAATTCTGTAATTTTAAGATTCATCTGGAAAAATGGCACCCTGGTACCAACCATCAGGACTAAGAGGGAGAGTTTGCAGTCAAATGAAATTAAGGTTGAACCCAGTTCTGCCAGTTCCTTGCTCCATAACCCCTAGAAAATTACTTCTGTCTGAGCCTTGGGATTCTCTGTCTCTTATTTATTTATTTATTTTTGAGACAGAGTCTCGCTTTGTCGCCCAGGCTGGAGTGCAGTGGTGCGATCTGGGCTCACTGCAACCTCTGCCTCCTGGGTTGAAGTGACTCTCATGTTTCAGCCTCCCCAGTAGCTGGGATTTCAGGCACGCGCCACCATGCCCGGCTACTTTTTTGTATTTTTAGTAGAGATGGGTTTTTGCCATGTTGGCCAGGCTGGTATTGAACTCCTGACCTCAAGTGGTCCGTCCTCCTCGGCCTCCCAGAGTGCTGGGATTATAGGTATGAGACACAGCACTTGGCTGGGATTCTCTCTTTAAAATGGAAATACTGCTATCTACAGAGCAGCACTGTTGTAAAGATTTAGTACATGTTCATAATACATTTGAGGTGCTACAAGCCTAGCTGGCACATAGCAGTCATTCTGAAAATGGCAAAAGTTACTAGGATGACAGTAATCTTATGATTACTTGTGGCTACATGGTTTTTGGACTAGCTAAGGGTTTGAAATAGATGCGATCTAAGGAAGATGACATATGCAGAATTCTTTGAAGTTAAAGCAAGGCTGAGAATGACTTTGAGGGTAGAGCAGCTACTGAAATAAATGATGCAAAGGATGTGATTTTAAAAATTCAGATGAGGGTCTGGGCACGGTGGCTCACGCCTATAATCCTAGCACTTTGGTAGGCCAAGGTGGGTGGATCACCTGAGGTCAGGAGTTCGAGATCAGCCTGGCCAACATGGTGAAACCCCATCTCTATAAAAATACAAAAATTAGCCAGGCATGATGGTGGGTGCCTGTAATCCCAGCTACTTGGGAGGCTGAGGCAGGAGAATCGCTTGAACCTGGGAGGCAGAGGTTGCAGTGAGCCAAGATTGCGCCATTGCAATCCAACCTGGGTGACAGATTGAGACTCTGTCTCCAAAAAAAAAAAAAAAAATTCAGTTGAGGGGCTCTGATGGGCAAGATAATTTATTCATTTATTACCCATGTATACACTTGTAATAGTGTCAATATTTTGATGAGAAAATCTCATTATCAGTTTTGTGCCTTGTCCATGATTTATCTCCTGGATACAGTCATTTTTTGTATTCAATGATGGTGATAGGCCAGGCATGGTGGCTCATGCCTGTAATCCCAGCACTTTAGGAGGCTGAGATGGGGGGACCGCTAGAGCCCAGGAGTTGGAGACCAAGTTGGGCAACATAGTGAGACCCCTGTCTCAAAAAAAAAAAAAAATTAGCTGATGTGCATGCACCTGTATCCTCTCAGCTCCTCAGGAGGCAGAGGCAAGAGGATCACTTGAGCCGAGAAGTTTGAGGCTGCAATGAGCTATGATTGTGCCACTGCACTCCAGCCTGGGTGACAGTGAGACTGTTTTTTTTGTGTTTTTTTTTTTTGAAAAAAGATGGTATATTGATGACATATTGTCTCAGTCCATTTTGCATTGCTACTCAATATCTGAGGCTGGGTAATGTATATATATATATATAGAGAGAGAGAGAGAGAGAGAGACAGAGAGACAGAGACAGAGAGAGAAAGAGAGAGGTTTATTTGGCTCATGGTTCTGTAGGCTGTATCAGAAGCATGGCACCTGTATCTGCTCTCATGAGGGCTTTAGGAAGCTTCCACTCATGGAAGAAGGTGAAGAGGAGCTGGAGTGCGCAGATCACATGGCAAGAGGAGGAGCAGGAGAGAGAGAAGGGAGTTGCCAGACTGTTTTTTAACAATCAGATCTGGAGGGAACTAATAGAGGGAGAAGTCATTCATTACCAAGAGAAAGGCACCAAGCCAAGATTCATGTTTGGGCCCCATGACCCAAACACCTCCCACCAGGCCCCACCTCCAAACACTGGGGATCAGATTTCAACATGAAATTTGAAGGGAACAAATGTCCAAACGATATCACATATGGTTACTTTTGTTATCCATATAGAGACGAATGTATCTGAAAAGACCAACCCAGGATAAGCAGTTCTTTTTTCCAATACTCAAATATGAAGTTTGGCTTTATTTTGCAGCTACTATCAATGTTTATTACACCCGTCAAGTTTATTGTTTCTGCAAATATCTGGACTCCTACCTTAGTTTAGATCTTCTTTACCTGGGCTCTCTCTTAGGAGATGTTTCATGTCCTCGAAATTCTTTGCAGAATTGCTTGTATATGAGCATATTTGTATTTTGGAAGAATGCCGGCCAGAGAAAAGGGATAAGACTCAAAACAACAACAACAACGACACACAAAAAAGCCAAGAACTGCTGCTGAGAGTGTCCCAGACTAGGGAAGAATAAAAATGATGTCACAAGATGGAAAGATGGAATAACACAGGCACAGGGATGTCCCTAAGTACCCATCTACTTCTGCAGCTTTCATACAACTTTCACATATTCTGCTCCCTCTAACACACAACGTAATGGTTAAATCTCTTTGGCAAGGTTTTCACGGTTTCAGATAGCTCTTTATAACATAACCCAGGGTCTGGTTGAATGGTCTGGAGGATCACTGGTGAGTGGATGTGGAGACTTTGCGTGTTTCCCTTTGTCCCTAGAAAGGGCACTTTTGCTGTTTTACAGGAAGCCTAAAGTGTCAGAGAGTAAAGTTTCCAGGGAAATAAATGAAAATGGATTGGCCGGGCGCAGTGGTCACGTCTGTAATCCCAGCACTTTGGGAGGCCAAGATGGGTGGATCACAAGGTCAAGAGCTCGAGACCATCCTGGCCAACGTGGTGAAACTCCGTCTCTACTAAAAAAAACACAAAAATTAGCCGGGCATGGTGGCATGTGCCTGTAGTCCCAGCTACTCAGGAGGCTGAGGCAGGAGAATTGCTTGAACCTGGGAGGCAGAGGTTGCAGTGAGCCGAGATTGCGCCACTGCACTCCAGCCTGATAACAGAGAGAGACTCCATCCCGAAAAAAAAAAAAAAAAGAAAGAAAATTGATTTTGACACCAACAACCTAAAAGTGTAAAGTAAAAGTGGCAGGAAGAGATTAAAAAAAAAAGAAGGAAAAGTGCTTGTTTTCCAGGTTTCATTTGCAAAGAGAATAAGTCCTTTGTGTCTGGCTTTGCCTAAAGGCCAGCAGGGGCCCCAGGGCCACACCCTAATGTGGTTTTGGCTCCATTCACTCTCTTCCTGCTCCTTTTTCCTCCTCCTCCTCCTCTCTCTCTCATGCACACACACACACACACACACACTCATCTTTAAAAGGCACAACCAGGGCTGGGCGCAATAGCTCACGCCTGTAATCCCAGCACTTTGGGAGACCAAGACAGGTGGATCCCTCGAGGTCAGGAGTTCGAGACCAGCCTGATCAACATGGTGAAACCCCGTCTCTACTAAAAATACAAAAATTAGCTGGGTGTGGTGGCACGCACCTGAAGTCCCAGCAACTTGGGAGGCTGAGGCAGGAGAATCGCTTGAACCCAAAAGTGGAGGTTGCAGTGAGCTGAGATTGGGCCACTGCACTCCAGCCTGGGTGACAGAGTGAGATGCTGTCTCAAATGAAAAAATAATAATAATAATAAAAGGCACAACCTTTATTATATCCCTAGTGTCAGGATGTGGAACATCTTAAGGAGATGTTGACTATCATAAATCTAGACTGGGAAAGGAAGTGGATTTTAGATGAACCTGATTTAAAAATACAAAACTTCTCTCCTTTTTTTTTTTTTTTTTTTTTGAGACGGAGGTTCACTCTTGTTGTCCAGGCTGGAGTGCAATGGCGCGATCTTGGCTCACTGCAACCTCCACCTCTCGGATTCAAACAATTCTCCTGCCTCAGCCTCCCAACCAGCTGGGATTACAGGCATGTGCCACCACGCCCAGCTAGTTTTATATTTTTAGTAGTGACGAGGTTTCTCCATGTTGGTCAGGCTGGTCTCGAACTCCTCACTTCAGGTGATCTGCCTGCCTTGGCCTCCCAAAGTGTTGGAATTACAGGCATGAGCCACCGCGCCCGGTCAAAACTTCTCTTTTAAAAAGGGAAAAAGATAAATAAATAAATAGAATTTGCTGAGCCTCTGTTGAATCCAAAGCTACTATTAGTCTACGAGGCAGTCAAAAACACAAAGTTCATTCATTCAAAAAATTATTCTGTAATGCATGTTGGACATGGAGGTCTGGAAGTTTACCTTCTGGTCTGGGAGACAGATCTCACTTACATGAAACAACTAAGGAGTAATCCGGTACAATCAGAGAAGGGGAAGTCAGAAGAATACATCAGATCATCAACAGACAAATATCCAATGTCCATCCATAGGAGGAATGGCTAGATGAAAGTGGTGGTTTCAAATGGTGGAATATTATTCAGCATTCAGAAGTAATCAACTAAATCTATGTGTAGTTACATGGATAGGTCTCAAAAATTATTTAGTGACTAAAGCAACTTTTAGGATATGTACACCATTATACAAAATATGTTTTATAAACCCACACATAATATTAT
The DNA here is from genome assembly GCF_000001405.40 of Homo sapiens. Classification (NCBI taxonomy): domain Eukaryota; kingdom Metazoa; phylum Chordata; class Mammalia; order Primates; family Hominidae; genus Homo; species Homo sapiens. Next base: position 38,614,741 of record NC_000004.12, on the reverse strand, counting down.
TTTTAGTATGTGTGTCTGTGTTTCCTTTTAAAGCTCTGGAAGAAAACACATTGAATTCATGATCATGGTTAACCTTTGGAGAGAGAGAGGAGACCAGGATGAAGGAGCCAGTCGAAGGTATCCTTAGTTTGACATGTTTTGTGTTGGTTTTGTATTTGGTGTTTTACTCTGGTGACTAGGAGTCTGGAAGCCCAGTTTTCTTCTGCAGAAAGCAGTTGAGGATTTTGTAAATATCCTGCCTTCTTCTAATAGACCACATGACTTCCTGGTAGTCAGAGGTCCAGAGAGCTGGGTCTTTCCATTTTTTGAAGTTTCCAGCATAGTAAAAAATGAAGAAAGCCAAAAGAATGTTACAGCCAGCACAGGCACAGTATATTTTTAATGTTTATATTTAGCTGTTAAAGTTGTGTGATGAATCCTTCCCCTTGACTCTTGTTGGCGTGTCTGTATGAGACCATCCAAAGACTACATTTTAAACCTTGAGCCAATGGTCGGCCCGCTCACTCCTCCAAGTGGCCCTGCTGCTGGCCCCAAGGAATCAGAAAAAGGCCTTGTATAAAACAGGCTGGCTGACTGGTGATGGGAGGGTGATAGAGGCATGTTCTAGTGCCTTCAGCTCTTTCCCCAGGGTGTAAATTCTCTCCTAGGCCTGACAGTTGGATCTAGAATTTCTCTCCTGCAAAATGGGTTTATTTCAGAACTATGTGCTGTTCTACAACAATGAATGGAAAAAATTTTTACCTTCCTAACCATCCTCCCCGCCCTCAATTCAGGGCATTTAAGGTCAAACAGGCTTTTAATACACACACTGTGCCCGCTCCACCCAACTCTCCCTCCCACCATGTCCAAGGAGAGAATTTGGGCCAAATGTATCACTACAGTTTAATAGACCTGTAAAATGTCCAACCATTTTATTTTTGGAGCAGGAAATGTTCATCCTGAGAAAAAGTTGCAAAGGGACATAAATATTAAAAGTATGCATCTATTTCACTTTATAGAAGGGAAATGGATCTCGTTTTAAAGTCTTTATTTCTGTACTTGGCGACATTTTTGCATAAATATGTAGAGAATTAATAGCTTCAGCCAATTACGAACACACTTTTGAGATGTTTTAAAGAAGTCTGTCCCTCCAGTCTACCTCTTTTTAATATTAAGAGTTTTATATAAAGTGTTCTCATTATGAAAGCACTAACTTGTCATTTGAAAGAATAGATTCATCTCAACAAATACACTCCAAAGTGAACCAAATGCTAATGCACATTTTATTGGATGAAAAGACAAACAACATAATTATACTTGAATTTCAGGGAATCAAAAGTAGTACAACAGCGTGTGCACCAGACTCCAGGGCAGGGTTCGTAAGTTAGCCATACACATGCTCATTTTTCCAAGCTGGGGAAGTTTGCTAAAATGAGCTGAGGGCTACTTCACCAGACTGACAAAAAGGAAAATGTCTATCAGTTTTTCTTTTGTTCTCTCTAGATCCTGTTCAAGTGTACACTGAGCCAGCAGGTTCACCAGAAAGCTATTGAGCGTTTGCTGGAACACATTATGCAGGGTGAATTTCTTCTGGAATGTTGCCAAGGATTTTTTATGCTTCTGTGGCAGGCATTTCTTGAACATTGTCATTTAGCCAAGCAAAGAAGATTTTCTTAAAGGATAGAAAATGTTTAAAAATTTTTGTTTGTTTGAAGATAGGTTAAATGGCTATATGATCTCAGGATAAGACAGAGAAAATCACTTATTTCTCTAAGTGATCTGATTAGGTTAGTGATGTTTTGCCTTTAAACAGATTCATCATTATTCCTAAAGTATTGCTGTATTAATACTGTCTTCTAGAAAGTATCCACCAGTGCCTACTTTTCTTCGATATCATTAGCTGTTTTTCGAAACTGAATTTGCTCTTCAGAGATTTCTCATATGTTTGCGTATAAGGAACTACTGGTAATAGCCAAGAAAATTTGGAGGTGCAGAGAACATGCTGAAACAGAATTTTTCACTTTCAATTCTAGAACTATGCCATAAAAAAAAAGGAAAATGTAAAAATGTCTTTATATTAGAGCAGATATTTTAAAAGTATTGCAAATTCAATGATAAATTCTAAGGTTAAAATTGGACACATAAAAAATACAATATATAAATATCTCCCCAGAAATTATTATCTAATGAATAGTAAAAGCTGACTACAAACCATGTCATTTTAACAAGGGTTTAAATAGTACCAAGATTCTCATCATATGCTCTGGGATACCCAGTGATGTACAAGGGTTCTCTCTAAACATGGGGAGGAAAAATTTCAAATATAAAGATTTGAATCTTGTCTTTGCCATTCACTAGCTGTGTGATCTTGGGTAAGTTACCTGGTTTCTCTGAGCTTCAGTGTCATCTGTAAAACAGGAATAATAATACCTAGCTCAGAGGCGGGTGTGGTGGCTCACGCCTGTAATCCCAGCACTTTGGGAGGCCAAGGCAGGTGGATCACTAGGTCAGGAGTTTGAGACCAGCCTGGCCAAGATGGTGAAATCCTGTCTCTACTTAAAAAAAAAAAAAAATAGCCAGGCATGGTGGCAGGCACCTGTGATCCCAGCTACTCAGGAGGCTGAGGCAGGAGAATCGCTTGAACCCGGGAGGCGGAGGTTGCAGTCAGCTGAGATCTCGCCACTGCACTCCAGCCTGGGCAATAGAGTGAGACTCCGCCTCAAATAAATAGGTAAATAAATAAATAAATAAATAAAAGTAAATAAATAAATAAATAAATAATAATACCTAGCTTATGGGGCTGCTGTGGGTGTTTGTAAAGTATCTCAATGGTGCCTACATATTGTAAAGGCTTATGAATATATTAGTTCCTTTCTCAACTTCCTCAATTCATTCCACCACTACAAGTCAATCTAGAGATTAAAATAGGCAAAACTGTGATCTACGTTAGGATGGGGTTGTTTGAGTGGTGGTTTATTTCTGACTGCTTCATTTTATACTTGTATTTTAAATATACAAGTTTTTGTAAACATTCCTAAAACAAAACAGATCTGTTTTTATTTTGAAGAAGATCGGACAGATTCTGATATAATGTTTGGAGAACTAAATTATACACAGAATTTTGTCTCTGAAGAGTTAACTCTATCATGAAAATGCACTCAGTGAAAAGCAAACATCATGCCACCTTTCCATACACGGTATTATGTGTATTTGAATGAACGCATATGGAAAAACATGGCAATTCTTCTTTTATGCCTAAATCCTATGGAATTTGCCGGCTCCTGTATTTAAGTCTGGGCTGTGATGGTAAACTTGGTTCCTGTCAACTGAGTGTTGTTATGTCTTTGGCACATTCCCACAGCCGAACCTCCCGTCTGTAACCTGCACCTGCAGTTCACAGGATTCAGCTCGGAGAGCTCTGTACTTCCGGGCCACTCAGGTACTTGTTAGTGCAGACTGTAAGTTTCTACCCCACAGTTTCTCCACCAGTTTAGATACTGCAAACATTTGGGTTTTGCAGTTTCTGCAATTTTTGTTTGGGTTCTTTAAAAACAGCTCTTCCCCCACCCCTGGCACACCACCATCTCTCCAAGGCACTCATTGTGAGATGGGAAGCCTGGCGCCTGTCGTTTGTATTCCAGATCGAAACTAGCAGAATTGAGATTTTCCTCCCTTTTTAGTGCCATGACAAACAAAAGAGGATATGACATGTATTTATTGTTTGGTAAAATGCAGAAGTATCAATTCCAGGAGACGCTGCAATTCCTTCATCTTTGCCTTGAGTTGTTTATGTGAACTATGGCCCTGTTTGTAGGAGACAGAGAGAAAGTATGAATTTGGTGGGAATGACGGGGGTTGGGGGGTGGGGGGTGGGGAGGAGGAGGTGGTGTGGGAAAACAACTCTCTCTTTTGCCATGAGGATCCAATTCCTGGAAAGAGCACGGTTAATGGCAAATAAAATTTCCTGGTCTTTGGGGCCAAGATTTGTGTTGTGTGAGTGTGCTTTATAAGCCTGTCACTGTTAGATGCAGGCTTATGCTTTTACGGCTGTCTTTAGCTTTAGCTTTTGTGGTTCTTCCGCCTGTACAGTATGCTCTTCCAAGGCAACTGTGGCTCATTGAGAGACCAGGCTAAAGCAGAATAGAGCAGATAAACAAATTCATAGGAGTCAATAATTTAATTTTTTTAATTTTTTTTTTTTTGAGATGGGGCCTTGTTCTGTTGTGGAGGCGGGAGTACAGTGGCATGAGCACGGTTCACTGCAGCCTTGACCTCTGGGCTCAAGCAATCCTTACACCTCAGGACCCCACACTCAGCCCCCCGAGTAGTTGGGACTACAGGTGCGCATCACCACACCTAGCTAAGTTTTAAAATTTTTTGTAGAATCCACATCTCCCTATGTTGCCCAGGCTGGTCTCAAACTCCTGAGCTCAAGTGATCCTCTGGCCTCAGCTTCCCAAAGTTCTGGGATTACAGGCATGAGCCACTGCACCCAGCCACAATTTAATTTCTTTAAAAAACCATTTCAAAAGACAATGGCAGAAAAACATGTGGCCAAAACAGCACCTACCCTTAAACGGACTCTTGATTGAGGGGTGGAGCTGGAGGCAGATGTAATACATCAATAGGGGTTCTTAAATATTCTAAAATAATTATTGGAAAGATAGTACTGAGGAGGCATGGGTCAGTCTGATGCTTCTTGATCACACTGAGGCTTGAGTTAAGGTCTAGGGAGTTTTCAGCACGGGCATCAGAATTTCTTTTTGATCCCTCTTCTCCTTTACAGTGGTTTGAGATATGTCTTCTTCGTGATGCTTGTGTGAGAGTAAAGGAGGACTCCAAACAAACAAATGCAGGTAGCCCAGGGTGGAAAGGGCAGTAGAAGGGGTGTGTACCTGCCACACTTAGGGCAGCCAATCCAGAAAGGCTTCATTGAGGAGGTGTTTTGCAAATAACGAGATAAACAGGAAGTGAGGAGGAAGTGGTGGTGACGGGATCCTGTGGAACTAGTTTGGGCAAAGGGAAAAAGCATATGAAAACTAATAATAATAAGAGTGACTAGCACTTGTTGAGAGTTTATTACAGGCAGCTGCTCTGCTAACTATTTTACATAGATGATCTCATTAAATTCTCACAACAAAAAAACTTTGGGTCCAATTTCATCCCCATTTTAATCCAGAGAAAATCAAGGCAGAGCAAGGCTATGCTACTTACCCTCAGTTGCACAGCTAGTAAGTGGTAGAAGCAGGATTTGAATCTCAGAGTCCAGTCTCTTAACCTGTTTTTGCAGAAAGGATCTGCTCTGTTTGGGCCCTATTAAGGAGCTTGGTAAACTTAGAGCCTAGCCTGCTTCCTAGGTGGGAGATTGTTGGATTTTTACCTGGGAAGTGATATATTTCCTAATCACAAGCCTGATCAGAATTTTGCAACTGGGGTTTCTGGAGTGGGTGGCCAATGAGGGATGGGAGGGTACAAGTGAAACTTTAGTGATTTAAAAAATTCTTTTGCTTATCTCTATATGGGAGTAAAATTTTTCCTAAAATTTCCTAAATTTTTCTTCTAGGCATATGTGTATGTGTGAAAGATAACTTGTAGGTGGCCTGGGAAATTAGTTATGTGTGTGGGAGGGCATGCTTGGGGGCGGGGGCACAGTTAGAAGTTAGAAGGCAAGAGATATCGATGATGTTGATGATGACAGCGAATATTTAATTAAGCACTTACGTACAGTGGAACTTATGTGCTACTCTGTTCTTTTTTTTTTTTTTTTTTTTTTTTTTTTGAGACGGAGTCTCGCTCTGTCGCCCAGGCTGGAGTGCAGTGGCGGGATCTCGGCTCACTGCAAGCTCCGCCTCCCGGGTTCACGCCATTCTCCTGCCTCAGCCTCCCAAGTAGCTGGGACTACAGGCGCCCGCCACTACGCCTGGCTAATTTTTGTATTTTTAGTAGAGATACTCTGTTCTTATTTAATCCTCTCAATGGCCTGAAGAGATAGATAATCATACTCTCAACTTTCAAATGAAGAGACTAAGGTTCTCAGAGGTGAAATAGCTTGTCCAAGGTCACGCTGCTGGTAAGAGGCAGAGCCAGGATATGGGTCTGTATGATTTCAGAATCTTTTTTTTTTTTTTTTTTGAGATTGAGTCTTGCTCTGTTGCCCAGGCTGGAGTGTAGTGGTGCGATCTTGGCTCACTGCAACCTCTGCCTCCTAGGTTCAAGCGATTCTCCTGCTGCAGCCTCCCGAGTAGCTAGGATTACAGGTGTGAGCCACCACACCTGGCCAATTTTTGTATTTTTAGTAGAGATGGAGTTTCACCATGTTGGCTAGGCCAGTCTCGAACTCCTGACCTCAAGTGATCCACCCGCCTCAGACCCCCTACATAGCTAGGATTACAGGCATGAGCCACTGGGCCTGGCCTTATTTCAGAATCTTAACCCTTAAACTCTGACCACATGCCCTAGTGAGGGAGGCAAGCATACCCAGAGAGGTCTTAAGATGCCTGAGGTGCCAGGAGAGCATGGAGATGCCTGGGAAAAAGTATCATATACATTTGGAAACTTGAAAATTGACATATGATAATGGACTTTAGGAAATGAATGTGTAGAGGAAGAAGTCAGGTGATGCTGGTGTCCTGGGGACCACTCCACGGAAGGAGAAGACACTGGGAATAGAAGACCTTTGAAAATCGTGATGGGCTTAAAGATCCCAGCGCAGGTCCCACCACTTATTCGCTCTCACCTGGCATCTCAATCTCTGCATCTGTAAAAATGAAGAAAATAATCCATCTCCCTGGATGACTTCATGAGATTTTTTGTAGTCATCAGTGAGGTACTGTACATAGACGTGCTGTAAGGACGAAAAGTTCTTCACAATAGGATGCATGGGAAAGCAAGCAGGGAGCAGTGGAGGAGGCTGAACCCAGAACGTGGGCTGAGGATGCTGGGAGGGAACAGGGTTGGGGGCTGAATCCTAACAGGAGGAAGCTACTGAGCTGCTTCTGTAAGTTGGGCCTGGATGGAAACCCTGGAAGCAGTAACTCCAAGAAAGATTCAAAAGTGGGACAAGAAGAGCAAGAACCAGGAATGGAAAAACTCCAAGGAACATGAGTGAAGAGGTAGGTGCTGCAGAGGAGCCCTGGTTGGGGTGTCTAAGTCAGGGATTCCTGCCCCAGCTCTGACCTGAACAGGTTCTTTGACCTTGAACACATGGCTTCCACTTTCTGGGCTTTGGTCTTCTCCTCTGTGAAAATGATAAAGTTGGCCTAGATGAACCCCACAGCACCAACTAGGAATGGCAAATAGTGCTATGTCTTAGCCCAGGTCCAGGGCTGTGTGGAAGTGATATGGGAGGGGTACAGGGATGGGTAGAGAAAGGCAGGGTCCCTGACAAGGGCTCCACCCTTGTGCCTGAGCCCACGGACCTAGGTGAGGACAGGCACTCCTGTTTCCTTGCCCAAATGTTGCATTTTCCAAGTCCACCCTGGCCCGTCACGCCCCCAATCCTGTGCCTATAAAAACCCCAAGACCTTAGCGGGCACATACACTAATAGCTGGACATCAAGAGGAACACACTGGCAGAAGCACACACAAGTGGCTGGACATCGACAGGAACACACTGGCAGAAGAACACATAGACGCTGACAGACCATCAACAGCAGAATGACGCAGAGGGTGGTCGGAGGAGAGCCTGGCTGCTGAGCGGCCCGACTCCAGGGGAAGACCACCTTCCCACTCCATCCCCCTTCTGACTCCCCATCTATCTGCTGAGAGCCACCTCCAGCATTCAATAAAACCTTGCACTCATTCTCTAAGCCCACACATGATACAATTTTTCTGGTGCACTAGGGCAAGAACCCGGGATACAGAAAGCCCTCTGCCCTTGTGATAACGCAGAGGGTCTAACTGAGGTGATGAACACAAGCTGCCGGCAGATAGCAAAGCTGAAAGAGCGCACTGTAACACACGCCCACTGGGGCTTAGGAGCTGTAAAGACTCAACCCTAGATGCTGCTGTGGGGTTGGAACCCACGCTCCCCGTGACCTGCCCATCTGCCTGCTCCCACTAGGGGTCTGAGTAGCAGGCACCGAAGAAGTGAGCCACGCCCTCTTCACACACCCTTTGAGGAGGACAAGGGAACTTTTCCTGTTTCAGAAAGTTGTGTTGAGAAGAATGGCAAGGCTAACAGGGCAGGTGTCCGGGCGGAGGGGCGGAACTGGCTGTTGGCATGTGGTGGGGGAGATGCTTCATCCGGGTCTTGCATTTGTTCCCTCTGACACCAGCCTCGAAAAAACAGGACACTCACAGTTCAGGAAACTACCAAGGGTCCAAGGAGAGGCCTTGCTTGGCCGTGGTGTGGTCCTGCAACTCCAGGGCAGACCTAGACTCATGGGAAAGTCCCTGCTTTGTGATGAGGCTGAAAGAGGATGAGTGGGGAGTGGCCGGAAGAAGAAAGGTGACTCCCAGGGTCTGGGCCAAGGAAGGGTTTTGGAAAGGAAAGGGGACTCACAACAGGGCATGCTTGGGAGGTATTAAGGCTTTCAACCCTCGCCAAGGCGAATAACATGAGACTGTAAGTTAGCTATATATAGTGTGTAACCTGAAAATGCCTCCCCTTGCACCACTTGCACTGTTGAACTTATAGTGAGTCCCTCTGTGGAGGGTGGAGTGGGGGAAGAGGTTCTGCTGGGGACAGACAAAGGTAGGGAAGCACTCACTGGCTTTGAAGAACTTCCTTGCTTTTTATGCCTAGGGTGTAACCAGAGACCAGTGTCAACAAGGAATCTGGCTTGGAACGCTTTTGTCTGCAGCCCTCTTTGGAGCGTGACTTGCTCTTTCAGAGGTCAGTGAATTGTAAATTGTGTAATTTCAGGATCTGCCTATGCAGGGTCAGGAGACTTTTGAGGGGGTTGGTGGGAGAAGCATGGGTGGTGTCACTCAGACACCTAGGAAACTCTTGACCTGGTCTATCTTTAAGACCAGGTCAGCCATATGAAATCCTTACGTTGACAGGAGGGCAGAAAATATATGTGGTTTTGGGTGTTAACATCTGAATTTGCTGTAGCAAACGGATCTCTGGCAAGTCTCTGAAGTAAAGTAATTTCCTAAGTTGAGAGGGGGCAAAAGCAAAACAGTCAGTTATTTGGTATGCTTAATCACACTTTTCTGGTTGTAACTGTGTGTTGTGGCCTATGAAAGACCACACTCTGTGCTCTGAGGAAGGGTACTAAGCTGGGAGGTCCTAAAGGTTGGGGCTAGGTCTTGATCATTTTCGATCTGCATTTCCTCTCCCCTACCTTCGGCTTAGCAAAGGATTTGACATTCATGCATGCACTCAGCAAAAATCGACTGGGTATTTATCTTCTTCCAGCCACTGTGTTAAGTCCTGGGGCCATAGATATGTACAGAACAAATCAGCTCTTGCTGTCTCCAGAACTTAATCTACCCGGGCTAGGGGGAGGCAAACAATGAAATTAACATATGATATGTCAGTTGGCAAGACTTGCTACCAGAAAAATAAAATAAAAATGAAGAGGATACAAGAGAGAGGGGTGGTATCTCTGGGGAAGGGCAATTGGAGCCGAAGTGAGGGAGCGAGCCTGCTGCCCGCTGAAGGAAGCTGTCCAAAGCAGAGGGGGTGTTCTGGAAAGGGTGGAGGGAAAGTGGCAGAAGGTGAGGTCAGAGGGGAATCAGAGGCAGAGGCCGTGTAGACCTTGTGGGCCTCATGGGTCACTCTGAGGATTTGAATTTTTTCTCTTTATGAGATGGGAAGCCTGTGGAGGGTTTTCAGAAGCAAGACAGGATCATTCTGGCTGCTGTTTTAAACAAATTGAAGAGGGCAAGGGTGGAAGGAAACAGGATACAATAATCTAAGCAAGAGATGATGGTGCCTCAGACTAAGGGTTTACCAGATTCTAAATATTTTGAAGGAAGAGCTGGCAAGATTTTCTGATGGATGGAACTGGAAGGAAAGAAGTAAAGATGAGTCAACATCTTCAGTCTGAGCAGCCGGAGGGATGAAGCTGTCCTTTACTAAGATGGAGAAAGCGGGTGGAGGAACAGGTTGGGAGGTAGGGGATTCAAAATTTGGTTTTGGAATTGTTAAGCCTGAGATGCCTCACAGAGTGGAGCTGTCTAATGGGCTGCTGGATACAGGAATCTAGAGTTCAGGAGGGAAGATGGGGCCATAGATACAAACTTGGAAGTGGGCAGTCCATCAAAAATTAAAGCTATGGATGGGACAAGGTCACTTCACAAGAAAGTATAAGTAGAAAGAAAAAGCAAAAAAGAAATCAGTGACTGGCCTTGGGTCCTCTAACATTTAGTGGTTTGTGGTATGAGAGGAAACCAGCCAAGGGGATGAGGATAACCAGTGAGACAGGAAGAGGACTGAGAGAGAATGGTGTCTTGGGGAACATGGGAAGAAGCTGTTTCAATGAGGGAGTGTCCAATTAGGTCAGATGCTGCTGACAGATCAAGTAGGAGGAAGACTTAAAATTGGTCACTGCATTTACAACATGGAAGTCATTGGTGAGTTTGTAATAGTGGTATTAGTGGAATTGTGAGGATGAAAGATGAAGTAGTTTCAAAACAGAATGGAAAAAGAATAGGTGGAGATAGTGAATATGGAAATTCTTTTAAGGAATTTTATATAAAGGGAAGAAATAAATGGAGGCATTTGCTGGTGGGAGAAATGACCAGTCTCTAAAATGGCTCAATAGCAATGCCAGGAGCTGGTTTTCAAACAGTGGGTTGTTCTATTTTGAAGCAGGTAGCTACGAAGAACTCTAGGAGCCTCGCCTATGACTCTACGATGGGCTTGCCAAACACTCTACATGGCATCCCTATCTGTCACAAATCCCTCTAGCATCATTGGATCAGCAGATCGTATGAGCTAGGGCATCTTGCGTGGCAGCTTGGATCTGCTCCAGAGCTCTCTGTTCTGGGCCCCACACAAAACTGACAGCCTCTTAAGTCACTCAACACGTTGGTAGAAGAAGTATTCCCCAATACAGCTTATAGTTCTCCAAAATCCAAAGAGGCTCACTAAGCACTGTATCTCTTTCTCAGCCCTAGTAAGTACAGGGTGTAATAACTTGTTTTATTTTTATTTATTTATTTATTTATTTTGAGACAGAGTCTCACTCTGTCTCCCAGGAGGGAGTGCAGTGGCGCGATCTCAGCTCACTGCAACCTCTGCCTCCCGGGTTCAAGTGATTCTCCTGCCTCAGGCTCCTGAGTAGCTGGGACTATAGGCACGTGCCACCATGCCTGGCTAATTTTTTTTTTTTTTTTTTGTATTTTTAGTAGACATGGGTTTTCACCATGGTGGCCAGGCTGGTCTGGAACTCCTGACCTCATGATCCACCTGCCTTGGCCTCCCAAAGTGCTGGGATTACAGGCATGAGCCACTGCACCTGGCTAATAACTTGTTCTTTATCTTACAGGGCATGTCCCAACATGCCTTAGACCATTGAACCCCTAAACACTTCACTAGTATGGGAGACATTGCAGGATCCTTTCACAAGAGGGTGCAGCCTGTGGGGTCTGAGAACTGGCTCGGATCTGGAAACTGTGGGTCCATCAACCTTCCTGACAGCTCTTGATTTTTTAAATTGTTATACAAGTCATGCAGTACCCTCATTGGCTGCTTGTCTATCTCACTCATAGGAACACCATGCTCTATTAGCCATCACCAAAAACTCGTGGACTGAAGCACTCTGGCCTTGCTGGCTGTTATGGTTTATATTCATCTTGACTCTGATGGTTAAGAGCAGACACCTGGTCTTTGTTATTTTGAAATGGAGCCCAGTTAAATGGCAGAATCACCTATTCTTATGCTGGCCTACAGTGGACAATCATTGCTAAGCTTCCCAAAGATGTTGTCACCCCCACACCGATAGATGTTCTTGCCCCTCACTTATATATTTGAAGGCAATGTCCCTGAACCCTCCCAGGAAGTCCAGGTGTCACATAATAAGTTTGTTCGAACAATCCTATCTCCCTGAGCATTCTGACCCCTTCCTCAATTTTCTGCCAAGGCACTGCAGCCTCTTCCTGTAACTTACTGTAAGGCATTATCATGTCCAAGCCTCAAGGAACCATTCAGAAACAAATTGATACTACCTCCAAGACAGTTCCTGAGTCAGTAGTTCCCTCCCTCTCCTATTTATCATCCTTCCAAACAGTCCCCACTGTGTCCCTCTAGTTCACGCTGATACCAAGCCAAGCCCTGCAGCTCTTTCTGAACATAAGGTGTTTTCTTCTGCATCCAGGTCTGTATTTCTCTACCTGGACTACCCTGAGAGCTAACCCCAGTTATTGGTCTGGAAGCAACGAATGAAGGCCGGGGCAGAGCTTGAGGAGGGCAACATCATTTTGTCACAGTCGCCATCAAGAATCTAGTTGCAGACTGGGCGCTGTGGCTCACGCCTGTAATCCCTGCACTTTGGGAGCCAAGGTGGGTGGATCACTGGAGCCCAGGAGCTCAAGAGCAGCCTGGGCAACGTGGTGAAAGCCCATTTCTACAAAAAAATGCAAAAATTAGCAGAGTGTGTTGGTGCATGCCTGTGGTCTCAGCTACTCGGGAGGCTGAGATGGGACGATTGCTTGGGCCTGGGAGGTCAAGGCTGCAGTGAGCTGTGATCACACCACTGCACTCCAGCCTGAGTGACACAGCAAGAACCTGTCTGAGAAAAAAAAAATCTTGTTTCACCTAGATCTGAAGAAGAAAACAGAAGCAACATTCAAATTAACATCAGTCAACTGATGGAATATTTTAGATGAAGTAAGAGAAGCCAAGGCATGTACCCTCAGGCTCTGGGCTTCTCCCTGCAAGGTTGGGAAGAAATTTGGAGGAGGCAAAGTGGGAGCAAGTCAGATGGAAGAGACATTATGGGTCAGGTGGGTGAGAACTGTGGGAGGGAGGTTCAGGGTGCTCCATTTAGCAGGTTTTTCATAGTGCCTGTGCAGTCCAGGGCTCTGATTTCTGTAAGCAGAACGATGTCATTCATTCTTTTATTCATCTATTTGTTAAGTCAACATTTATTGAGAGTCTCTTATGCTACTCACTGTGCTAGGTGGTAGGGCTCAAAGATGAATAAAACGCTGTTTCCTTTTTTTTCAGAAATTCATAGTGTAGTGGGAGGTGGACCAAAATGCCATTGACTTGATTGCCTGACACTGACAGGTGCTGAAATAGAGGAATATACGGGATGCCATGGGAGGCCAGATGAAGTGAAAAACCCACTCTTACTGGTGTGTGTGCACACACAGGAGGAGTTACGCAATGCCTTGTCTGGTTTCCTGTCCTGGCACATTTCCATTGCTTATTTCTAGAGCCACTTGACCGTAATAGCTGGTCAGGGATAATGTAAAGAATCTTCATTTGGCAGCTCTGAGGACTGCCCAGTCAACCTTCCCTTCTGTCCTCAGCACATATACCTAGTTTCTTACTCGCTTTTGTGACTCATCTCCTCTTGTACCCTAGACATCTTTTCTATTTTTATACCTCTTGCACCCTCAAAGATCCCTTGAGACTCTCTTGCCTAAACCTCTTTTAGGCAAATCCTACCTCCTTTTCTCTATACCTGCTTTGAGAGAAGGGGAAAATGTCTTAATATATGCACTAATTAGGCCCCTTGATGGTCTAATTTCAGCCTTACATTGTTTCGTTTTGTAAATGAGCCCCAGGGAAGTTAAGTAATTTGTCCAAATTCACACAACTAGAAAAGACAAAAGCAGGACATTGAATGTAGAGCCAATATTCAGAGTACCTGATTTTAGACCCAGTATTCAAAGCACCGACTGCTATGGTCTGAATGTGTTCCCTCCAGATTCATGTGTTGAAATCCTAACCCCCAAGTTGATACTATTAGGAGGTGGGACCTTTTCAGATGCGACTGGGTCATGAGTGTGCAGCCCGCATGATTGGGATTAGTGCCCTGTCAAATAGGAGAGACTGCAGAGAGCTAGCTAGCTCCTTTTCACCATGTGAGGGCACAGTGAGACAGCCCTGTCTATGAGGAAGTGGCTCTCACCAGACACTGTTGGCACCTTGACCTTGGACTTCTCAGCCTCTAGAACTGTCAGAAATAAATAAATTTCTGTTGTTTATAAGTGACGGAGTCTAAGATATTTTGTTAATAGCAACCTGAAGGGACTAAGACATTTACCAAAACCTTAAAGGCTCCCAGATAATCACCTCTAAAACACTCAGTCACAACATTTTTCTATTCAAAGTCTCCAGGGAGAAAAGACAAAGCACTACAAAGACTGCCTTGTAGTATTACAATCTCTTCACTTTTTCTATCAAATGTCCTGTTCCCCCTGTGCACCTAGAGACTCACAAGGCATTTAACATCTCTGCCTTGTGAGCCTAGAGGTACATGAGGGGCAGAACCTTTGATAGAAAAAGTATGTGCATGCGCACACACAGACATATATATATACACACACACGTATATTTCTGCTTAGTAGATACCACCAAACAATTTTCCAAAGTGATTGCACCAGTTTACATTTCCACCAGCAGCATAGGCAGTAATTATCCTCTTCAACATTTGGTATTGTCAGTCTTTTGAATTTTAGCCATTCTGGTGAGTTTGTAATAAAATATCATTGAGGCATTAATTACATTTACCTGATTATTAATGAGAATGAGCACTACTTTAATAAGTATAATATTTTCCATAGGTTTTTTGAAGACATTGTCTCTCAGATTAGAGATGGTCAAGGCCATACAGTTTCTTTTAGCACAGCTTTAGCTACATCAAACGAATTTTGATTTGTCATATTTTCATGATTATTCTGTTCAAAATGTTTTCTAACTTCCCACTGTGATTTCCTCTCTGAATCTATAGGTTTAGTTAGAAGTAAAGTTAGAAGTTAGTTTGAAACTTCCAAACATATGGCTACTTTGTGAATATAGTTTTGTTATTGATTTCTAGCTCAATTCCCCTGTGGTCAGGTAACATACTCTGATTTCAGTTCTTGAAATTTGTTGAGACTTGCTTAATGGCCCAGCATTTTGTAATTTTGGTGTATGAACTAAGTGTGTATTCTGCAGATGTTGGGTGCAGTATTCTATGAAGACCGATTAAGTCAAGTTTACAAATGTATACTCCTGTAAATGTAAACTGATTTTTGTCTTATTATTCTATTAGATCTCAGAGAGAGTAATAAAATTTGAATCTATGCTATTAGTTACATGTAAATTTAGAATTGTTGTATGTTCTTGACAAATCTAATTTTCATCATCATGAGGTCACTTTCTTTGTCTTTAGGAATGCTTTTAACCTTAGTGTCTAGTTTGACATTATTGTTAAATCTTTGAGAATTCTGATATTTTAGTCTTGTGTTTTGTAAGTAGCATATCAAATTCAGTGTTATTCGAGATAACAACCTTTGTCTTTTAATCACTGAATTTAAATATTTACATGTTATGTAATTTGTGATATTTTGGGGTTTAAATCTACCATTTTGCTCAGCTTTTCAATTTGTACTGCTTGTTCTATGTTCCATTTTTTTCATTTCTTGCCTTCATTTGCATTGATTGAAAATTTTTAAAAGTTATTTGAGTCCTATAAATTCTTGTGGTGATTACACCAAATATTGCAATATGTATATCTGACATAAAAATAAAATATCATTTGGTTGTTTTTTCTCTTCTGGGGAATGCATGTACTGTAAAACACTATCACTCTGTCTCTCCTGACTTAATGCTTTTTCAGTGTATTATAATTTTCTATATAATTCTCCACAAGATTTTACTTTTGGTTTTATATAGTCAATATTCATTTGTAGTTATCATGCCTTTCTGCATTTCTGACTTTCTACCTGAAACCTTTTCCTTTTGCCTGAAGACAGATTTATATATACGTAGATAAATAAATTCAAGTCTACTGGGGATGAACTCTCCCAGTTTTGGTTTGTCTGAACATGTCTCTTTTTACTTTCATTCTTGACATATATTTATATCTTGAGAGCAGAATTCAGGGTTGGCAGTAATTTTTTTTCAGCATTTTGGAGCTATTGTTCCATTGTCTTTTGGCTCAGAATGTTGCTGTTGAGGAATAAGCTGTGAGTCTGATTATTGTTCCATTGATGGCAATCTTTTTCTCTGGTTGTGTTGAAGATAATTTCTTCGTTCATTTTTTTGTTTTTAAATTTAACTAGTTTTTGATTTCCTGAATCCATCAATTGATGTATTTAATTAGTTTTAGAAATGATTCAGCTGATTACTCGTAAATGATGTTTCTGTTCCATTACCTCTCTTCGTTTAGTATTTCAGTTAAATATATATCAGAACTTTTCATGGATCTTTTATATCAGTGTCATGATTTGGAAAAAGAGAAGTACAAAATTGAGAATAAATATTCTGAAACCAACTGGCAGAGTAATTTTATGTCCTTTGAATCCAATAAAAATTTGGGCATATATTCAGTGTCTTTTTATTATTTCATTGTTCTAATAATTCATTTAAATTACATTTTACAAAGATATCATTTTATGACATTTTGGATTTTTTTTTAAGTTTGGAAAGTGCTTTACCAGCTTCCTTAACCTTCTTATAATTTTTTTTTAGCTTTGTCTTTTAGCTTTGTAGTATGGATATTTTCTTCCATACTACAAATTCTCTCTTCATCTGTTTGTAATTAAATGTGAAAGCTATTGTGTTTTAATTGTTATTTTTTTAATTCTAGCATTTTCACTGGCTCTTTTAAAAAATTAGTTTTCAGTTCTCCGCCAAAAGTCTCAAGGTTGACTTTTGTCTCTCTGAGCAAATTAAATATAGTATTATTTGAAGTCAATACACTTTTTTTTTTAAGTTGAAAAACTCTAATTTCTGAGCCTTTGTGATCTATGTCTGTGATTTCTTGGTTTTCATTTGTGTGGTCTTGTCTTGTTTTTCTGTTTTTCTTTTATTGTATTCAGATATTTGTACTTAAAACATTATTTGTAGACATAATTAGAATTCTATAATGATGTTGTCATTCTCCAAAGTGAATTTATATTTACTTCTGCTAGGTACTTGGGGCCTTAGCATTATGGGATCATGTTAATTCAATTCCAGGTACTGTGAAACTGAGTTTCTAGAACCTTCTTTTGGTTTATCATTGTTTTTAGGGTACTGTCCTTCAGTGGCCCATCCAAATGCAAAGAGATTCACCAGAGCTATCCAGGCTTGGTGATGCTGGGCCCCAAAATTGGCCTTAGCTCTGTGAGACACTTTTTAACCACCTTCCCGCTCAGCCACTTGGCCTCTCAGTCCTGCTTTTAGAAATTGGCATATGCTTCTAGGCACAGTGACTCACACCTGTAACCTCAGCACTTTGGGAGGCTGAGGCGGGTGGATCACTTGAGGTCAGGAGCTCGAGACCAGCCTGGCCAACATGGTGGCTGTCTCTACTAAAAATACAAAAAATTAGCCGGGTGCGGTAGTGCATGCCTATAATCCCAGCTGCTTGGGAGGCTGAGGCAGGAGGGTCACTTGAACCCGGTAGGCAGAGATTACAGTGAGCCGAGATCGTGCCACTGCATTCCAGCCTGGGCAACAGAGTGAGACCCTGTCTCAAAAAAAAAAAAAAAAGAAAAGAAAAGAAAAAAGAAATTGGCATATACCGTATTGGCATATACTGTAGAGAAAACTGCCCTACATGCCGGACTCAACTCCCTTGGTCTCTATCCTTTACCTGATACTAACCCAGTAATTCTGCACTATCTTGTTAGCTCTCTAGCACACCGGAGTAGATTTTTAAAGTATATTTTGTTTTGCTGATTGTCCTCAGTAGGTGGGATGGTATGAATTACCTAGTTCTCCATTCCTAGAACAGGAAGTCTTATATAATCTAGGTTTAACCAAATATCTCCATTAATGAGTAAGTGATTATGAAAATATTTTTAAAAAGAGGTTGATTCTGGAGATTTCCCTAATAATACAAATTTAATTGAACAACAAGAAAGGGCAGGGCTGACATTTTTCTAGCCCCTTATATAAGTACTTCTTTAGTTACATTACCAGAGAAAGCCATGAACAAAATAATTTGGCCAAAAAATTGTGAAATTATTCAGATAAATGTGATCTTTTAACAATAAATGAGGAAGTAACCATGTTTAATGCTATGAGTAGAGCATTTTGAAAATGGATATTTGGGAAATCTCCAATAGTTATGTATTTTTATTGCCAAAAATGCAGTGAATATGCCTCTTTAAAAACTCTCGTATCTACATACTTGGAAATGGAATTTTTAACCTTTTAAAAATGATAAATAAACAGTTCTAGGGGACTTTGAATCAACTTTTTTAAAGTTTGTATTAACAAGTAGTTGACATTAGGGAAGATAAAAATTTACTATCCAATTTTTATTGGAAACTTTAATTGATGGATAGGGTTGAAAAACAAGTATCATACTTTAGTGAGATAAGCAATAAAGTTCTTTTCTTGTTTTAATTAAAGTATTTTGGAAGTATCTTTTCCATGTCTGATAACTATTAAAACCAAGCACCAGGCCAGGCATGGTGGCTCACGCCTATAATCCCAGCACTTTGGGAGGCTGAGGCGGGTGGATCAAGAGGTCAAGAGGTAGAGACCATCCTGGCCAACATGGTGAAACCCCGTCTCTACTAAAAATACAAAAATTAGCTGGGCGTGGTGGTGCGTGCCTGCAGTCCCAGCTACGCAGGAGGCTGAGGCAAGAGAATAGCTTGAACTTGGGAGGTGGAGGTTGCAGTGAGCCAAGATCACACCACTGCATTCCGGCCTGGCGACAGTGAGACTGTCTCAAAAACAAAAAACAAAAAAAACAAAAACAAAAAAAACCAAGCACCAAAAGAAATGAATGTAAAATCAGACCTTTTATTCATAGAGGTTTAAATAGTGAAGCATATTCAATCACACAGCTCTCATCAAAATATTATTAATGAGAATTTCAAAGGTAAGCGCAAAATAGTTTTTGCATCATTAATAACATTATAAAAATGTGAAATATTTTATATTTCAACTTTCATCATTTTACTTTTTCTATATATTATATATACTGTGTTTTCTATATGTTAAGTGTACAATGTCTATATTATATATACATATATAAAATTTAAAACTGAATAAAATATATACATTTTAGGAATGCTTACTCAAAAGTTTTTATTGGTTAGTCCCAAAAATTTGGTGACCATTATTTAGGGTTGCCTCTGGAAAGTTGCCTTCTAAGTTTTACCAGTTTGGATAAGTGGTCTCTACCCGCTACCCTCACCCCATTTTCCTCCCACTGAACTCTGTTTATATTGTTCATAGTACTTATCACAAACTATAATTATATATGTATTTGTTTGTTTACTTATTTATTAGATTATGAGCTCCAGGATGGTAAGGGTTATGTTTGTTTCTTTTTTTTGTTTTTGAGACGGAGTCTCGCTCTGTCGCCCAGGCTGGAGTGCAGTGGCGCAAACTCGGCTCATTGCAAGCTCCGCCTCCCGGGTTCATGCCATTCTCCTGCCTCAGCCTCTGGAGTAGCTGGGACTACAGGCGCCCACCATCACGCTTGGCTAATTTTGTTTGTATTTTTTAGTAGAGATGGGGTTTCACCATGTTAGCCAGGATGGTCTCGATCTCCTGACCTCATGCTCTGCCTGCCTCGGCCTCCCAAAGTGCTGGGATTACAGGCATGAGCCACCGTGCCAGGCCTATGTTTGTTTCTTTTGCCAACAATACCCAGAGCCTAGGACAGCATCTGGAAATGACTGATCCTTTGATATGTACTAAAGGAATAATTCAACAGATTATATGTTTCAAAGTGAGACAGACATGGTGTGGTAGTCTTCCTCCAGGATGGCACCCAAGGGCTCCACCTCCTGATATTCTTCCATTTGTGTAGTTCCTTCCCACACTAGTAGGATTGGTCTCCACTACCAAAAGAGTACAGCAGAAGTGATAGCATGTTACATATAAGATGGGCTTATAAAAGGCACTGTTGCTTCTAATTTGATTGCTATCTCTCTTTCTTCTATCACTTGCTCTGGAGGAAACCAGTTGCTATGTCATGAACTGCTCTATGAAGAAGCCTGTTTGTCAAGGATCTGAAGCCTCCTGCCAATAGCTGCATGAACGAGTTTGGAAGATCCAGTTCTACCCTTCAGATGACTGTAGCTTGACGTCAACCTCATGAGAGACCCTGAGACAGAACCACAAAGCGAAGTCCCTCCTGGATCCCTGATGCTACACAACTATGTAATAAATGTTTGCTGTTTTAACTACTTAGTTTGGAGTCATTTGTTACTTGGCAATAGATACATAATACACTTGGGTTTGAATACCATCATTGCCCTTTACATACGACTTCATCTCTTGGAGCCTGTTTTGTTTTCTCAAAATGGTAATAATATTTACTTACAGTGCTCTTGAAGCAGCATCCTGATATTTAGTAACTTCTTAATACATAGCTACCTTCATTTTTATTATATTTATTATTAAGTAAAGTGAATGCTTAAGAACAGAGAGAGCTATAGAGCAGCTATAAAAAGGAAGCCTCTAAACCCCAAAAGAATAGCTACCTTGGGCCATTACGTTTAGGGGCAACTAGCTTTGTCGGCTTTCCTCGATACTAAGAGCCTCATTGTATCACAGGCCACGTGGGGGGTCATAAGTCAGCAAAGGCCAATCAAAATCTATGTACTGTACTGTTTATTTCCATTCTTTTACAGAGAAACCACACTAAAACATATAATACGCATATCTTTGTCTTCCTTAACAATGTGTTTGTGTTAAAGGATGTTTCCACAGCCTAGGAAGTCCTTTTTCTCTGGAACAGTGGTTCTCAAACTTCACCATGAATCAGAATCATGTGGAGGGCTTATGACAGGCGGATTGCCAGGCTCCCACCTCCTGAGTGTTTGATTCAGCAGGTCCATGTCGGAACCTGAGAGTTTGTGTTTTTAACCAATTCCCAAGTGGTGCTGATGTTGCTGGTCTGAAGACCACATTTTGAGGACCACTGCTTTGGAACATCATAGTCTCTGACAAATGAAACCTCATAGTGCTAAAGAATTAAGAGTAGTAGGCCAGGTGTGGTGTCTCATGCCTGTAATCCCAGCACTTTGGGAGACCAAGGCGGGTGGATCACCTGAGGTCAGGAGTTCGAGACAAGCCATGGCCAACATGGAGAAACCCCGTCTCTACTAAAAATGCAAAAAATTAGCCAGGCATGGTGGCAGGTGGCTGTAATCCCAGCTACTTAGGAGGTTGAGGCAGGAGATCACTTGAACCCAGGAGGTGGAGGTTGCCGTGAGCCGAGATCATGCCATTGCACTTCAGCCTGGGCAACAGAGTGAGACTCCGTCTCAAAAAAAAAAAAAAAAAAAAAAAAAAAAAAAAAAAAAAAAGGCTAGCAATGTTTAGGGAAAATGTGGAGTAAAATCAGTCCAAATTCCTTACTGTAATATACGAGGCCCTGCACACTGTAGCCCTACTTTTTCTCACACTGCACTCCTTATATTCATTTGGCCTTTGTTCTGCTCCTTAAAGACACCAGGCTTATCTCTGATTGTGTGCACTTGCTGCTCCTTCTGCCTGAGCCTCTTCTGTCTTAGATTATGGCTCTCTCTGTGTCATCATCGAAGGCCCAGTGAGGTGTTTTCTACCTGAAGAAGACATTCTCTATGATGCTTCCTGCTCTCCTAGTTTAGTCTGTTCCCATCACCTATCGTGATCTGAAATTGCCTTTTTATTTGCCTGTTGGAAAATTCCAATATAACAGACACCTCATCTCTTAGGTTCTTTGCTGTCTCCAGCACCTGGATCGGGGCCTGGTATGTGGAATGTGCTCAACTAGGTATCTGTTGGTTGCAAACGTGGGTGTCTGGCATGGGACTCTACTTTATAACCTAGTTTTGGAGGGAAATGAAGAACACCGAAAAAGGAACATGGGAGCCTGGGGAATATGGACGCACCCCACATGCCCTCGCCTGTGTCACCGCTGCCAGGATTCTGCCAGCTTGCAGTGTGAAGGAAAGGGGTTTGCACTTTTCCTCTCCCTGCAGAATCTTCTACGCCCTTGGTTGCCCCATAAGAAGACAACATGGGGACTTGGGCAATACATTTCACTCTCAGGATTCCAGAAAGTTGCTAAATGGGTTACTTTTTCATCCATCTGGAACACTTCTAACTTGTGTAAGTGATTCTCTTCAGTCTGGCTTGACTCTGTCAAGTTGTCCCCAGTGACAGCAAGGGAAGGACAGCTGCTTCCCCGTGCCTGTTGGTGTCAGGTGGGCTCTGTCTGCAGTTGTTTGCCCCTGGTGCTTCTAGCTGTTTGAGATCCTAGGTTAGGAATGAACCCAATCCATCTTATTGCCAAGGACATGTGGACACTAAGATGAACAAAGAAGCAAACCTGCATACTCAGTTTAAAGTTGTATTTGTTTTTCTCCCAATGGTTTGCTCATTAAAAATTAAGTGCCTATGCCAATGCTGGCTTAGGCAAGGCCTGGACATTCTCTCTGCAGACACTTGCTGGTGGTCTGAGCTGACTCACCCTCACGCCCTCACCTCACATGGCTCTGCCCTTGGCGCCTGGTCTTGGGAGGTTTGCATTCTTGCAGCAATCTCGGGCTGCTACCATGCCATAGGCAAAAACAACAGGACTGTCTTTAGGGAATTCAGGAGTGAGTCTCACGGTCTAGCCACTGGCTTTTACTGCATGAGGCTGGGGGAGGGTTTTCCCAAATAAGGAGACCTGAAAGTCCTCTTCGTTGGGGATGCTCTTGACCTGCACAGTGCTAGAGTTGGAAATGTTTATACAAATGCACTTCACATTTTATCTGTTCTTTGGATAGGCCTGTAGAACATTCCAACTACACTCATTTCTTTCGCTTCTGTCCTTTATCCATGTTAAAGCCAGTTAGAGACACCGGTACTTAATTAGTGACTTTGGCATTGCTCACACACCTTGTGCCAGGAATGAACTGAAGATGAATTTGACAAGAAGCAGAGGTTGTGGGCGGGGAGGCTTTGGCAGCTCCCAGAGGAGCTTCCTCGGGCGTTTTGTTAGAATGTCTCATCCTCCTCTAGAGCTTTCCTGTGTTTGTGTGGGAGTTCAGTTCAACAACTTGTTAAGCACCTACTCCATACCAGGCACTAGTCCAAGTTAGGTGCTGGGGATACCAAGACTAATAAATTCTGTCCTTGCCTTCAAGGAGCTCAGAATCTTAACAAGAGATGAACCTGTGGTGGTGGCTTCAAGATGGCCACACATTCTCTCTACTCCTTCCCTCGAATTTGGACTGACCCTCTCTCTCACTAGCTTTGACCAATAGAATGTGGTGGAAGAAAAGTGCAACTTCTGAGGTTGGGACTTAAGAGATCTACGGCTTCTGCTTCTGTCACTCCTAAAATGCTACTTGTAAGGAGCATTTGTCACCCTGTAAGGAGCCTGACTTGTAAGGAGGCCACCATGCTGTGAGGAAGCCCAAGCTAGCCACATGGAGTGAGAGTGTGAGAAGAACCTGAGGCACTGGGCATGTGAGTGAACACTTCATGGACCTAGACTCTAGCTGAATGCAGCTGAGTGAATGAACCTAAGCCAATGCCTTGTGGGGCAGAAGAACTGACCAGCCAAGCCTTGCCTAAATTCTTGATCCATAGAATTGTGAACAAATAAAATGGTTGTCATCTGAACCCAGTAGGTATTGGGGTAGGTTGTGACACAGCTAATAGATCATTCAAACACACACACATATTCTTAGATAATGATAGAGATACACATAGGATGCTACAGGAGCACAGACGAGGGGTCCCAGAGACAGCCTGTGGTGATGATGGGATGGGCATTGAATGCTTTCCAAAGAAGGCTGGCTTGAGTAGCAAACTTCACATCTCTATAGACCTGGATGTGAACCAGGCTTGAGGGAAAGTGAAGGCTGTCTGGGTACAGGAAAACAGAACAAGAAAACATGGAGGTGATGAATAGCATGATACATATGTGAGGGCTTTTCAAGCAGGAAGTAATGGGTAAGTTTGCAGGGGTGTCATCATCATCATCATCATTGGGATAGATGCCATTTATTGAACACTTGATATATGCCAGATGTGGATCTAAGGTTTTCTATATGTTAACTCATTTAAATAATTCTAACAGCAAACCTATATTATCATTACCTTTTTACATTAGAAGCAAATGAGGCACAAAGAGATTAAATAACTTGCTCATGGGCACACAGCTGTCAAGCACAGAGTAAGGATTTGAACTCAGGCAAGATCTCAAAGAACTTTCTGTGCCTCTTTGAAGATCTCTGTATTTGCTCTGTAGGGATACAGAGTAACCCAGAGGTTTTAAGTAAGGGAGTGGCATGGTCACATCAAAAGATTCTACTGTTTTGCAATTTTTCCCACTTCAGTTATTTTCATTGTCTGTTGTCTGTTTCTCTATAGTGACTAGCAATGAATCTCTTATAACAAGCAGAGCCTGTGAGCTCATCTTTGAGAGGATGTAAGGAAGGAGGGAGGGGCATGGGTCACGTACAACTCCACAGCTGGTCGTAGGGGTGGAGGGAAGGACAGAACGCCCAGGGAGAAAATGGGTGTGGTGGCCACCAAGAGAAGAAAGCTGGCTGCATCCTTGACCCCAGGGAAGAATGAGGACAGCAGCACATGGGAACCAGCCTGTGCTAAACTCTTTGGAGCTGAGGTACCGATGGGATCCTAGGCTTTGCAGACAATCTGCCTTTCTCTCTTTCCTTCTCTCCATGGCCCTTCAGGAGATTAGCATCAAAATATTAAAAACAGCTGTTGAGCTCCTAACAGCAATTAGCAAGGAAGAGAGCATTCCATGGAAATCCAGAAATGTTCTCCTGGCCATGGCTATTGGCTTCTGAAGAAGTCCTTGAGGGCAACTGTGGAGTCGCGGGACCCACATATACCACATCCATCTTCTCTCTGTCCCTTGCTCTGTCTCCATGTCTACGGGCATGGAGCAGACTCAGCGGAGTCTGAATCTCTGTGCAGATTTGTCAGATTCTTGTTCCAGCAGCTTTTCATGCAAGGAGGGAAGCAACAGAGTGTAGAATAAGAAAGAAGTGTGGCTTAGGGCCTAGGAGAACCTAGAAGACCTAGCCTCCAGCTTAGCTTGGCCAATACTTGCTTTGTAGGATATGGGCAAATGTCTGAAGTTCCTAGGTCCCAAGGTCCTCATCTGCAATATGAGGGTGTTGGATGAAGATTAATCTTACCACAAAGCATAAAAATTACAATAGCTGAGGTTTACTACACATGGACTAAAAACCTGACCCTTTGCTAAGGACTTTTTTTACTTTTTTAGTTAATCCTCACAATAACCCAAGTTTAATGAAGCTTACTGAAGCCTTCCCTCATCCAATCCAAAGCTCCCTGTATACATTATCTATTGCTGTGTAACAAATTACTTCAACTCTTCATGGCTTAAAACAATAATAAAATGTATCATCTCATAGTTTCTATGGGCCAGGGATTGTGAAGCAACTTGGCTGGGTGGTTCTGGCTTGACGTCTCTTATGAATCTGCAGGCTACAGTCTTCGGAAGCCTTGACCAGGGTTGGACGATCACTTTCAACATGATAGGTTGGCTCTGGCCATTGGCAAGCTTGGTGCTGGCTATGGGCAAGAGGCTTCATTCATCACCACCTCACCCTAGGACTGTCTGTTAAATTACTTGAGTGTTCTCTCAACGTGGCTGTTCGTTTCCCAAGAATGAGTGACCCAAGAGAGTGATTTGGTAGCTGCAATGTCTTTCATGACCTGTCCTTGGACATAACACCCTCCCATTGCCTTATTCTGCTGCTTCTAGTTTTAAATTTTAACCATGTTTCTGATGACAAGGAATGCTGCAAAAATACTCTAGTTCAACAAAGAGTTATGATCACAAAATAATTTTTATCCATTCTACAGTGTTTCAGAATTACCAGTTGATTTTTAAACACAAAGTAGATATAGATGCCAATGGTGGCTACATCTTATTGGTTACCTGGGTTAGCCCACTCAACATGAAGAGGAACACACAAGGGGATGAATATCAGGAGGCGAGGATCATTAGTGGCCATCTTTGAAGCTGCCTACCACATCTTCCCCTTAAATTTCTATCATATTATTGTGTTCTATTTTTAATAGTTTTTATCTGAAATCATCTTTTTTTGGTAGAGACCCATTTCCTCCCCATTAGAAGATAAGCTTCCCAAGAGCAGGAATTTCATCCTTTTTATTGCTGTACCCCCAGCACCAGAACAATGCTGGTTGCATAGTTGTTGCTCAATATTTAGCATGAGATAGGTATTACTTTGCCAATTTCAGACACAGAAACAGAGGCTCAGAGAAGTTAATTTGCCTGAAGTCACATAGATATTAAGTGGTGGAGCTGAGAAACCAACTTATGCATAGGGACTGATACCCACAGTCTACTTGGTTGGCCCTCAGCAACTCCATTGCTGCCATTATGCAAGTGTCTGCACATGAAGAGCAGGACAACATCCAGGAGAAGGGCCAGGAGAATTCCTGGGTAACTGGGAGATACCAGGAGGAAGTGCATGAGTGTCTATATGAATGGATGCATGTGTATGGTTGAGATGGTTGAGTGTGTATATTTGTGTGTATAGCAGACAGAGAGAAAGAGAGGGGGGACAGAGAAAGAGAGAGAGAGAGAGAGAGAGAGAATGTGTGGATGTGTGGGTAAGGTAGCTGGATCAAAGGGGAGATAATGTACTCTGGACAGCTTATATGACACAGACCTGGAGATAATATTTTGACCTTAGCCTTATTGGTTTTCTTTGAAAAATTTTTCTCCAAGGAATATTCTTATTAAAATGACTAAGTAAATTTTCCTTTAAAAATCCCACATGCAATTTAAGTCATTGGTTGACTAGCAAGTCTACTGCCAAATTACACATGGAATACTAACTTGATTATGTTTGCGGGAATTATCCATTTTCTGGATTATTGGCCAGAAAAAGAGAAATACTGTCTGTTGGCCACCCACTCTCCATTCTCCTTTCCACCCTCCTGAGGGAGGGGCCCTGATATTCATCAAATACTCAATGGGGTTCTTTTAGAACAAAGCCTTATCCACCCCCTCTCCTTGCCTGGGAGCTAGAAATTTGGGGGAGGAATGAAGGGAAATGGTTATGAAAGTCCCTCACTTACTCTCCCTCCTCTGAGGCATTCTGGGTGCTGAGTTTTGGAGCAAGGGGTATTGTGTGTAGAGTAGAGGTTTTTGGTCTTTGAGTGAAAGCAGAGTGGAATCCAGGAGAAAGCCCACATAAGTTGATTGCTGAGGCTGGCTCTGATCTAGTATGGAAGTGAAGGTGGTGGTGGGGTCCCACAGTTACTTCAAGGCCCAGCCCAGTTTACCAGGGTAGGAAAGCAGAGAAAGATTTTGTGTAGAAGGCCTGCTCAGGAAAAATGAGTTTGCATTTAGCTTGAAAGTATCCTCAGGAATCTGTGGGTGGCTGTGGTTAGCTGGACCAAAAGCAGACCTGGCTGAAAGATTGAAGTAAGCTTCCTCCTCAAATAGTGAGTTGGTCTCCATCAACAGTATCTAGACACAGACTGAATAGGCATGTGTGAGAGAGAATGGCATTCTCCCAGCTGGTGCTTACCATTTAGACCAAAGTTCATTCAAGGAAGGTTCTACTGGGGCCCTACCTTATCTTTTCCATGACTCCCTGATGAAGAGGATGTAGCACAGTGGTCAAGAGCACAGGCCTTAGAGTTTGTGTGCTTCTGTTTGTGCCCTGGCTCTGGCACTTGCTAATTATGTGACCTTAGACAAGTTACTTAATTTCTCTGTGCTTCTATTTCCTCAAATGTAAATGAGGATACAAATTGTTCTTACTTCTTAGAGTAGTTGTGATGATGGAATTGGGATAATACATGTAAAGCTCTTGGAACAGTAGGTTGCATTCAAGAATTTAGTTAACTAACGTATATGGAGTAATATACATTGCTATGTGCCAGGCATCGGAGAATGATGAAGGAGGCCCAGTTCTGCCCCTCATGAAACTTACCTTCTAGTGTTTGTGGGGTGGGAGGTAGAATAATGCCACCCCAAAAAGATGTCCATGTTCTAGCCTCCAAAACCTATGAACATGGTAGGTTACATGGCAAAGGGGAGTTAAGGTTGCAGATGGAATTAAGGTTGCTCATCAGCTGATTTTGCAATAGAGACAGCAGCCTGGATTATCCAGGTGGGCCCAGTGGAATCACAAGGGTCCTTAAAAGAAGGAAGAGGGAGGCAGGAGAGTGTCAGAGTGATG
This sequence comes from Homo sapiens, assembly GCF_000001405.40. Lineage (NCBI taxonomy): Eukaryota > Metazoa > Chordata > Mammalia > Primates > Hominidae > Homo > Homo sapiens. The sequence continues at coordinate 38,586,499 of NC_000004.12, read as the reverse complement.
CCATGTGAGGAGGACTCAACCGGCTGCTGCTGACTTTGAGGATGGAAGGGGGACCCAAGCCAAGGAATGCAGAATCTTTTCCTATGAGATTGGAAAAGAGGCTGCACGTGGTGGCTCGTGCCTGTAATCCCAGTACTTCGGGAGGCTGAGGTCGGTGGATCACCTGAGGTCAGGAGTTCGAGACCAGCCTGACTAATATGGTGAAAACCTGTGTCTACCAAAAACACAAAAAAACTAGCTGGATGTGGTGGCATGCACCTGTAGTCCCAGCTACTCAGGAGGCTGAAACAGAAGAATTACTTGAACCTGGGAGGTGGAGGTTGCAGTCAGCTGAGATCATGCCACTGCACTCCAGTCTGGCTGACAGAGCAAGACTCCATTTCAAAAAAAAAAAAAAAAAAAAAAGCTGAAAAGGGAAGGAAATGAATTTTCCCCTAAAGCCCCAAGAAGGAACATAGTCCTACTGAAATCTTAGCTTTAGTGAGACCCATTAAGACCCATTTCAGACTTCTGATCTCCAGAAGTGTTAAGACAATACATTTGTGTTGTTTAAGCCACTATGTTTGTGATAATTTTTTGCAGCCGCAACAGGAAACTAATACTAATGCAGATAAGAAGTAAGTGAACAAACAAATATAAAGTATGATTTCAGGTAATGAAAAGCGCTATGAAGAAGATGAAGCAGGATATGGATGACCGAGCCTTGGGAGATTAGAAAAATAAAAGATGAAGCAGGATACAGGGAACGATGGAGACGGCGGATCTCTTAGATGGTCAGGGAAGGCATCTCTGGGAAGATGACATTTGAGAAGATGTCTGAATGAAGTGAGAGGACAAGCCATGGGTCTGCGTTCCAGACGGGGGGATGGAGGCTACGAAGTCCTTAAAGAGGGGAAGAGCTCGGAGAATTAAAGTAGAATTAAAGGTCAGTGTGACCAAGGCACAGTGGGCAAGTGAGAAAGTCATAATGAGTGAGACCAGACGATGCAGAAGTTAGATACTACAAGCCCTTGGAGTTTGGATTTTACTCCCAGTGTGACAGGAAACCATTAGAGGCTCCCCTCCAATGGAGGGGTGACAGGACCTGATTTACATTTTATGAAGCTCACTTAGGCTGCTGTGTGAAGACTACACTGGAAGAGGTTAAGAGTGGAGGAAGAAAGCGAAGTCAGGAAGATACTATGGAAGAAGATGGATTACACTCAGCTGGTGGGGATAGAGTTGGTGAGCCATATCTTGGTGGTTAGAGCTGACTGGGCTTTATAATGGTTTGGATATGGGGTTTGAGGGAAGGGAGGAAATCAAGGATGCCTCCTAGGTTTGGGCTGGAGCAGCTAGGTGAAGGACAGGCTTTTTTTTGTGTGTGTGTGATGGAGTCTCTCTCTGTCGACAGGTTGGAGTGCAGCGGCGCCATCTCAGCTCACTGCAACTTCTGCCTCCCAGATTCAAGCGATTCTCCTGCCTCAGCCTCCTGAGTAGCTGGGACTACAGGTATGCACTACCACATCCAGCTAATTTTTGTATTTTTAGTAGAGATGGGGTTTTACCATGTTGGCCAGGATGGTCTTGATCTCTTGACCTCATGATCCACCTGCTTCGGCCTCCCAAAGTACTGGGATTACAGGTGTGAGCCACTTCACCCAGCCAGGGACAGGCTTTTTACTTACATGAAGAAGACAGGAGAGGAAAAGTGTGAAGGTTAAAATTCAGAATGCTTATATAATAAATGATGAACGTTATTATCAGCATTTGATACTCCTGACACACTGGTTTATTGTTTTCTATCTCCATACTATGCTCATAATTCCTCAATCTGGAACTTTCTGCTCCCTCTTCACTATCATGTGATAAATGCATATCTATCCCATCTCAACTCATTGCAACCTCTGCCTCCTGGATCTAAGCGATTCTCCCACCTCAGCCTCTCAAGTAGCTGGGGCCACAGACGTGTGCCCCCATGGGCAGCTAATTTTTGTATTTTTATAGAGATGGGGTTTCACCATCTTGGTCAGACTGGTCTTGAACTCCTGACCTCAGGTGAAGCACCTGCCCTGGACACCCAAAGTGCTAGGATTACAGGAGTGAGCCACCATGCCCAGCCCATATCCATCTTTATGGATGCCTCTTTTCCCATTCTACCTCTTTCCTATGTACACTAGGAGAGATCTCTTTTCCCTTGAAATCCTAGTATTTAGGTCTAATATTTAGGTCTCCTTAACAGTTTGCACTGGGATCTTATTTATGTAAGTCTTTTACCTTCACTATCAAATGGTAATCTCCTTGAAGGCAGGGATGTTCATTACTCTTCCTGAATTCCCTGCTGCATAGTCACTTGCACATAAGAGATACCCCATAAATGATTGCTGAATGGAATCAATGTTACAAAGAAGATGACTGCATTGAACTAGGGAGTGGGGAAGTTGAACTAGGCATTTTCTAAGGCTTTCTGCTCTAAAATTTTATAATTCATTTGATTGCAGGTTGCATGTCCCTACCTGTGAGACAATTTCTAAGCTGCGTATTCCTTACTTGATTACTGAGTGCATGGAGAATGCAATTTACCCTCATGCCAGTCCAAGGAAAGAAGAAAAGATTGGGTTCATGAACGCACACAAATACAGTTTGCTGATGCCAAATATGAATGGTTTCAGATTGTGCACAGTTTTATACTAGCCATTCTTTCTTTCTATTCTCTCCTGTCTCCCATTAACAGGGACAACCTTACAATAGGTCAAAAATAGGAAATGGTGGTAGGATGCCATTATTACCTTCAATTGTTCCATTTCCACACCTGTGAAAGAGTATCACCTGTACTATATATTTAATGATTTAATTTTGGCAGTACACATATGTATCTATTTCCAATTCCAAGATAAATATATATTCAATGATTACATAATGCAACATGCACTTAAGGGAAGTTGTTGCTCTTAGCAATAACCTAGAGTTTTGCTTTTATCTATGTATCAATTAGCTTTTGCTATGTAACAAGTAATCCCACAATATGATGGTTAAAAGTAGCAACCAGTTATTTCATTCTTAATTCTGTAGTTTGGCAATTGGGCTGGGATTCCTGGGCAGTTCTGGTCTGAGCTGGCTTGGCTGATCTTGACTGAATTCACTTAAGTATCTATGATCAGCTAATAAGTTGACTGGGGCTTTGTGGTTTGACAGCTCAGCGGAGACAGCTGGAAAAACTAGGTCACTCTCCACAGGATCTCTCTTCCTCCACAGTCTAACCTCGTCTTCTTTATATAATGGCATTAGGAGTCTACAAGTGAGAAAGGAAGTATGTAAAGCCTCTTGAAGCCCTGGTTCTGAACTTTTCACTGTTACTTCTGCTACATTTTATTGCCACAGGCAGGTCACAAGCCTCACCCAGATTCAAGGGATGAATAAATTGTCTCTTGAAAGGAGAGGCAGAGTTGCATTGCATAGGCTGTAGATACAGGGAGGGAAGAAGAATGGTGGCCATTTTTGCAACACGTCACAATCAGCTGGGGTGCTTTTGCCTTAAGTTACAGAAAATAACTCCAAGTTGTTTAAATGATGAAAACACATTATGTATCTCTTGAAATACATTTGGAGGAAAAGTGATTCCAGGGTTACTTCAGCTGCTTAGCAATGCCATCATGGCCCTAGGGTTTTTTTTTTTTAAATTTCACTTTCCACTCTGTCATATCCAGCATATTGGTTTTTGTCCACATTTTAACAAGATGTCCATGACAGTTTCAGGCTGTACTCACAGATGATAGAATCCAGAGGAGAAGAATGGAATGGCTCTGTCTTGTGTCTTCTTTTACAAATGAGGAACATCTACTCAGAAGCCCTTGCAGTACTCCCACTGGGTCCCATTACATCACATTCCTATGCCTGAGCATAGGAATTCATCTTCATCTGGGCTTCCTCTTCATGTTAGTGGCAGCCTGGCTACAGAAAAGCTCTGCTTGTTGACGTCATACTACTAGCTATTGAGGTGAGAAGGTGGGAATTGGGTGGTGAGAATTTTCCTCAAGAAATATAGCAGCTTAGGAAGGTTGAAAGTAGGGTAACTGGTTCTACTCAGAATAGTAGATTTGAGTTTATCCTTCTGGATGTTCCTACCATTTGCAGTGATTTCTTTAATAACAATAATAACAACAATAATGGATGGTAAACATCTGTGCAAACATAACACTAATTCATCTGGTAGGAGGTGATGTGGATCAATGCATTTCAAATAAATTAAAACAAATAATTTTCAAAATTTTCTCTTTATGTGATTATTTTGACTACTTATGTCTGCTCCTTGAGTCATGTAATAAGAAGTATATTTCTTCAAATCTTAGAGGCAACAATGAGCTCTGTGTTTCACAGCTTAAACAGTCAAAAAGTACAGGGTTGAAAAATAGACACCGGCTAGGAAACTAAAGCTTTTGTTTACAGAGTACATTTGTCCTTAATTTAATTAAGTCTCACAACATCTATTCGTTCTCTTGTCTTTAAAATTTGACCTGGGGTGGCATGTATGGCAAATGCAAGTATCATTTTTCTAGAAAGTCTCAAGTGAAAAGTGCTTATCCTTTAACTCTTCTCCGTAAACAAAGTGTCTTGTAAAAAGGCCATCACCTTGGCAACTGTCAACTGAATCAGCTTTATGAAGACAGAGCCAAACTACGAATAAACCTGCAGCTAAGGTGTAATTATTTTGCCATTAAAGAAAGTGAAATTTTTTAAAAAGTGACTTCTGACTATGCTTTGTGAAAGATGAAACTATTTAAATTTAAAGTAAACATAGTTTAAATTTAAAAAAAGAAGAAGTTACCCTGAATGGCCAGTTTGAACATTGCATTGTTCTACAGTTTCCTTCCATTTATGATTCGTTTGAATGTCTATTTTCTCTCCTTGTTAAACTGCTTACACTTCAAAAGCTTTTCCCCTTTCTATAAGTATTACTCTTAAAGTGAAATCAGCCAGTGGTTTAGTGCATTCCACACTCTGGGTTTTTAAAAAATAGTATTGGTGTTGATTCTCTGGTAGGATTTTGTCATTAGAATGTGTACGGGTTTTTGACTGTCAATCTTCTTGCCTATAATGACTTGGATATCCATGGACTTTCAAAGGCAAACCACAATGATTTTAGAAAATAATTAACAAAGTGTGTAATTGGTCACAGCTCAAATATTGGCAATAAAAGTATAAATTTAACATGTGATTGACTTAAATTATATCATTTTCTCGAGTCATGTATTGCAGGGGGTTACACAGTCAGACATCAGGGCATGAGGCTGGTTAGGAAGAAATTTGGGGGGGAATTTCACTTGAGAATGTTGTGTATTTTCTAAGCACCAAAAAACTATGCTAAGAAACATAAAGTCATTTTTGCATCCCAACCCCAGTATTATGCATGGAAGAAAGACTGGAGGAACAGCTCAGAGTCATTATCCCTGATGTGGCTCCTATTAGGGGGCAATTTCCCATTGTGTGTAGTTTGGCTAGAGTGCCTTAGTTGTATGTGGAAGCTGAAGAGGGAGACCCTTCAATGCTCACTGCATAGCAACATGGTTGTAGTCACATGAACTAGGCTTGGACACTGACGCTGAAATTCCGAAACTTGGATGATGGCACAGGAATGGGACTAAGTGAGGCAAAGAAGCATCTAGGGTGCTAGGGGGTAACATTTAAGGAGGCACTCATTCTTAGAGTCATGAGAGTGCTGATCTGCATTGGTACGACCCTGAGAGTGAGTGCCTCCTTTTCTTTCTTTTTTTTTTTTTTTTTTTGAGACGGAGTCTCATTCTGTTGCCCAGGCTGGAATGCAGTGGCATGATCTCAGCTCACTGCAAGCTCCACCTCCCGGGTTCACGTCATTCTCCTGCCTCAACCTCCCGAGTAGCTGGGACTACAGGTGCCCGCCACCGCACCTGGCTAATTTTTTGTATTTTTTAGTAGAGACGGGGTTTCACCGTGTTAGCCAGGATGGTCTTGATCTCCTGACCTTATGATCCACCCGCCTTGGCCTCCCAAAGTGCTGGGATTATAGGCATGAGCCACCCCGCCCGGCCATGAGTGCCTCCTTAAATGGTGTGCCATAGGCTGCTGGCTTGCCTCTCCTAGTCCCACAGCCTTGGTGTGATACTTGGAAAGTCTGGAAAGTCAGCAAGCAGATCATCACAGTGGTGGTGGCAGAGATGATGCCAGTGCAGTATGCAGTAGTGATAGTACTAGTGACAGCCGAAACAGTGAGAATGGTGGCCGTGGATGCAGTGTTGCTGATTCCAATGGTAGCGTGAACACTGGGATAAGCTTAGATCTGGTTCTCATGGGAAAGACTCCTGGTTCTCCTGCCTTTGGTTTTGTCAGTTCCTTGATAATCCATCCGATCCAGTATGTTTCTGCCTAAGTGAATCAGAGTTGGTTTCTGTTGCTTGCCACCAAGAACTCTCACTAACACAGTGGGATTGTGAGCAATTTATACTTTTTTTTCACCTTTATCCTTTTTCTTTGTTTTTATTTTTTTCATATTAATAAGCAGATTGATTTTTCACGGAAGGCCAAAACTTGTTGTCAATTTGTTTTGTCATCAAGTAGATCAAAGTGTGTAGGGCGGGCTCCCAACTGAGTCCATTAGGCAGTTCAGTGATGTTAACATCAAGAACCTGGATACTTTCCATCTCTCCACTGTTCCACCATTGATGTGGGCTTCATCTTCATGTTAGTGGCAGCCTGGCTATGCCAGTTCCAGGAGTTACATGCAGGAATGGCAATGCCAAAGGGAGAATAGGAGGGCCTCTTCCTATGGTGCTTTCTTAAGAATGAAGAATAATTTTCCAGGAGTCTCACTCCAGAATTCTCTTTAATTTTCTTGGCCAAAATGAGGTTATGTGCCTAAGCATGTCTTAACTGCTGACAAGGGCAATGGAATTCTCCTCAGATCAATCAGACCCATTCCTAAAGCTAGTGTTTGTTTACCCCAAGGAACATGACTCTGTAGGAAAGAGGAGATTATATGAATAAAACTAGGGTTCTCTTAGGAAAGAAGAAGGGTAGAGTGGAGGCTGGATAGTCAACCTGCAGTATCCATAATGTATTTTGATTGGTCTTTGAGTGTTTTTGCCCACCTTTGGATGTGTGGCTGCAATCTGAGTACTAATGTATATATTGGCTTTCTTAGGCAACTGTTTGTCCTGTCTTCTGATACAAGTTTTGTTTTGTTTTGTTTATTTTGTTTTGAGACGGAGTTTCACTCTTGTTGCCCAGGCTGGAGTTCAATGGCGCCATCTTGGCTCACTGCAACCTCTGCCTCCTGGGTTCAAGTGATTCTCCTGCCTCAGCCTCCTGAGTAGCTGGGGTTACAGATGCCTGCCACCATGCCTGGCCAATTTTTTGTATTTTTAGTAGAGACAGGGTTTCACCATGTTGGCCAGGCTGGTCTTGAACCTCAGACCTCAGGTGATTCACCCTCCTCAGCCTCCCAAAGTGCTAGGATTACAGGCATGAGCCACCATGTCCGGCCCTGATACAAATTTTAAAATGCTGACTATAACATAGTAAAACAGTAAAAAATTAAACATAGAATTACTATATGAGCCAGCAATTCCACTTCTGGACATACACACAAAAAATAATTAACAACAGGGATTTGAACAGAGACTTATACACCAATACTCATAGCAACATTGTTCACAATAGCCAAAAGGTGGGAGCAACCAAAATGTCCAGTGACAGATGAACAGAGAAACAAAATGTGGTCTATACATACAATGGAATATTATTCAGCCTTAAAAAAGAAAGAAATCCTGTCATATGCTACAACATGGATGAACCTTGAAGACATTACGGTAGGTATAATAAGCCAGTCACAAAAAGACAAACACTGTGTGATCCCACTCATATGAGGTACTTAGAGTAGTGAAATTCACAGAGACAGAAAGGACAATGGTGGTTTCCAGGGGCTGGAAGAGAGGAACATGGGGATCTATTGTGTAATGGGTACAGAATCTCAGTTTGCAAGATGAAAAAAGTTCTGGAGATGAATGGCGGTGATGGTTGCACCATGTGAATGCACTCAATGCCATAGAACTGGATACTTAAAAATGGTTAAGATGATACATTTTATTTCATGTGTATTTTACCACAATGTAAAAAATGAATAAAAGATAAAAAAGTCCATTTTAATAGTTAATTTTATGTGTCAACCTGGCTAGGCTATGATAACATTAGTTTGGTCAAACACTAGCCGAAATGTTGCTGTGAAAGTGTTTTTTACATGCGACTGATATTTAAATAAATAGACCTGGAGGAAACCAGATTCCTCTCCATAATGTGAATGAATCTCCTTTAGTCAGTTGAGGGCCTTAAGAAAAAAGACTGAGGTCCCCTGAGGAAGAAGAAATTCTACCCCCAGATTTTTTCTGAACTCAAGATTGCAACATCAACTTTTCCCTAGGTTTCCAGGCTGCTGGCCTGCCTTGCAGATTTCGAACTTGCCAGCCCCCACAATCAGGTGAGTCCACTCCTTATTTTAAGCTTTTAATCGCTCTCTTTCTCTGTGTGTATGTGTGTTTGTTTATTTATTTATATACATCCTGTTGGTTCTGTTTCTCTGCAGAACACTGACTAATACGCCCATGTTTTTCATAAGCCTTATATGATATTTATAAAAATTTTATAATTAAACAAACACTGCCTGTATTTTTGTTATCAGAGGATGTAGGATACCTGAAGATTCAAAGCTGTAAATCACAGTAAATGTCCAAGTAAATGTCCTTGGTGGAAGTTGTGTAGGAATAGATGAGGAAGTGTGTGGGAAGTATTTTGTCCTTGACCAAATAAATGTCCATGAAATGGGTGGAAGTTGCATAGGAATAGATGAGGAAGTGTGTGGGATGGGGAAACCCCACAGAGCTTTTCCCCTTGGCCTAGAATTCCCTTCTTCTACATAGTCCCTGGTGTAGTCTTTATAAAACCACTCAAAACTGTGGCTGGTCTAGCAAGCACTTGAAAAATGTTACTGGCTTTTATTATTATTTTTGAATGAGATGTGTCTTCCCCACTCATAGTATTTTCTAGGTGGAGGAAGCTCCACTTGGGGAATAATCTGTCCTTCCCCTCCTCTCTCCACTCACAGCCTGCTGAGTTTAGGAGAAACTGAGTATATGGCTACTGTAACAAATTACCAGAAACTGGGTAACTTAAAGCAACAGAAATGGATTTTCTTGCAGTGCCGGAGGCCAGAAGTCCAAAATCAATGTGTGGACTGGGTTGGTTTCTTTTGTAGGCTCTAAGGAAGAATTCATTCCCTGCCTCTCTCCTGGTTTTGGGTGCTGGGTTTCTGAAATCTTTGGTTTGAATCCAGGTTTCTTAACCTGTAGATGCATCACACCAATTTCTGCCTTCATCTTCACAAGGCTTTCTCCTGTCTGTCTTCTGCTCTTATCTTCTAAGAACACCTGCCATTTGATTTAGGGCCCACTCTAATCCAGGATGATCTCATCTCAAGGTCCTTAACTTAATTACATCTGCAAAGATCCTTTTTCTAAATGAGCTCACATTTACAGACTCTTTCTATATGTGTATGTATGTCTTTCTCTATATAAACGCATAGTATGTGTGGGTGTGTGGGGCACACTCAGCCCACCACATTAGGCGTGTGCATTTCAGCTTCTTCCTCTCCTTTTCTTCTTGGAGTAAGTCTGCCTGTTGAGAACACGTGTTCTCCTCTGATTCTGCTGTGTAGGTTTTCCAAGGGCCTTGCCCTCCATTATAAAGCTTGCTGTGGCCTAGCAATACTGGATGGATAAATCTGTCTATTTCTGAGTTCAGAATTGGAAACCCACTTACCTTACCTGAAGCTATAAAGTCTTCTTCGATATCAACTTTATCAAGTAAATGTGATAGTTTGGTCTCCCATCTGCTCTATTCTCTGATCTTATTTCTCAATCAGCTGATAATTCAAGTATGGAAGAAAAGTGCCCCTTTTTGCGGGACTCCCTTGAAAATTCAATAAATATCACTTAAGCCTCAGCTCAAAGGTTGGTAACCTTCTAAATTTTCCCCTCCCTCTCACAGGCAGAGTTAACCATGTCTTCTGGGCTCCCATACTCCTTTGTATTATCTTCTGTTATTTCCATTTTTTCCTGTTGGATTATAGTTTTCCGAAGGCCATCTCCCATGTTCCATCCACCAAATAGAATTGTACTTTGACAACCCAGACATCCTCCTAAGAGCTACAGCCCAGGGTTCATGAGTAGGCACTGTGCATCCTGTTACTCTGTCATGCTTTTGATTTCATTGTCATCTTTGTTTTCTTTGCTAATATAGTCATGAATAAGAAAGGAAATGTTGCTTCTTTACTGGAAATGGGATCCGAGATATCTTGTACTTTTTGTCAAACCAATTTATGGGCTTTGCCTACTGAAATAATGTGGTCTTATATACTGCTTTCTATATCTTATAATTGAGAACTACTTTTTTTTTTTAGCTTTTGAAAGGTTAATAAATACAATGAATGCATAAGAAAGAACATAAAACTCACACATCATCCCACCATCAACAGTCACTGTCAGCTTATCTTTCCAGTTTATTCTCTCTATATTCTATATGTGAATGTGTATAATTAATTCAGTAATGATACTATATAACTTGCATACACTGACTTTTATTGAACAGTATATCAGTGGGCATTTTCCCTTGTCACGATGTTCTCCAAGTCATATTTTTGAACAGTTGTATGATATTCCTTACAAATATATTAAAATTTATTCAAGTATTTTCTTTTCCTCTGGTATTCAAGTTGTTTTTAATTTTTGGTTATTTTATTTTATTTTTTGAGACAGAGTCACTCACTCTGTCACTCAGACTGGAGTGCAGTGGTGCAATCTCAGCCAACTGCAACCTCTGCCTCTCAGGTTCATGCGAATCTCGTACCTCAACCACCCAAGTAGCTGGGATTACAGGTGCCTGCCAACATGCCCGACTAATTCTTGTATTTTTAGTAGAGATGGGATTTCACCATGTTGACCAGGCTGGTCTCCAACTCCTGACCTCAGGTGATCTGCCTGTCTTGGCCTCCCAAAGTGAACTTTTGGTTATTTTAAATAGCTCTAAAAATGTGTTTTCAAATATCTGTCATAGCTCTGACATGATTTGTAGCAAAGCTGAATGGTTGACACAGTCAAAGTTAGGATGGCAATCAATACATTGGGACATCATGCTGGAGGAAAGTCAGCGCTGGCATGAGTGCCAGCCTCTGCCACACCACTCTTGGGATGAGAGCTGCTGCAGACAGTGCTCTCTGCGTGGGTGGATGTGATTTCTGCCAGGACCCTGCTTCCCTGGCTATGGTGCACTGAACTGAGAACTGATGCCCGACCCAAAGGCAGCCATCCATGGAGAGTCCAGTGGCCAGCGGCTGATGCCAGAGCTCCACCCAGCGAGGTCACTGTACCCTGGATGATGAGTGGCCAGTCAAACAAAGCCTCTTTCACACATTTTGAATTTGAGACTTATCAGAGGACTAAGCCAAAAAGTTGGGCCGAAAAAGGCAGACGTCCTGAGAGGAGTCTGCAAGCCATATCCACACGGCAGTAGGAGCCACAACTAAGCGGGAGCCATGGAGGAGAGAAAAGGAATGCAGAGAGGATTTAGCAGCACGAGCAGAGAAAGCAGGGCAGAGCGTGGCTGAGTCATCACACTGGCAGAGCACTAGAGAAGGAGCAACAGATGCTTGCCGTTGAAGCAATGTCAAGAAGAACAGGTGGCTGGAGGTATACTATGTCCTGAATGACATTCCTGGCTCTGCCAGACCCGCCAGGCAGCTGCTAAAACTGCTTCCTGTTCTTCCCTACTTCCTCATAATGAACCACATTAATGCAAGTCACCAGAGCACGTCTCTTTTCCTGGCAACCCGAAAGAGCCTAATCAACACCACGTAATATTCGTATCTCTCTTATGGCACACATCAGGTGGCATGATGATGATTTGAGTTCTATGATTCTCCCTGACTAGACTCCTTGAGGTCAAAAACTGTATTTAATGTCTTTCAGAAGATATCCTCAGCAATGGGGACAGTTTAATAGCATGTAGTAGGTGCTTCCTAACTGTTTGATGAATGAATGAGGAATGTAAATGGTCCTGGGGTCAAAATAGCCATTGCAAAACATTTCTGTAGAGGAGATAAGTTTTTGGTTTCTTGTTTTGTGTGCTATTTATAAGGGGTGTAAAAACTCTTAATCTCAAGAATTTTATTTGAGGCTGGGTGTGGTGGCTCATGTCTGTAATCTCAGCACTTTGGGAGGCCAAGAGTTCAAGACCAGCCTAGTCAACATGGTGAAACCCCGTCTCTACTAAAAATACAAGAATTAGCTGGGCATGGTGGCACATGCCTGTGATCCCAGCTACTTGGGTGGCTGAGGCACGAGAATCGCTTGAACCCAGGAGGCGGAGGTGGCAGTGAGCCAAGATTGCGCTACTGCACTCCAGCCTGGGTGACAGAGTGAGATTGTCTCAAAATAAAAAAAAAAATTAAAAAAAAAGAATTTTATTTGAAACAATGGCTTGGTGAAAATTTTCCTTTAATTTTTTTTGTAAATAAAACACATTAAATATACATACATACATACATACATACATAATTTATTCACCAAACATTTACAGTCTAAGCTCTGAGTATACATTAGTAAGCTCAATGGAGAGAAAGCACATAATAAGAGAGTTCCAGCCCTTGCAGGGCTCTCAGGCTAAGAAAAGAGTCATGTTAGCCCAATTAGGAAAATAAGGCTATGCAGAATGGGATGAAGTGGTGCAAAGTGCTGAGGAATTTTCTTGGTGAAATGTGATTTTGAATAAGACATGGCAAGTTGCACAGAAAAGCACTTGCTATTAAGGTGACATGAGCATCTCTTAAAACAGTGATTAGGCTGGGCGCGGTGGCTCACGCCTGTAATCCCAACACTTTGGGAGGCCGAGTCGGGAGGATCACAAAGTCAGGAGATGGAGACGGTCCTGGCTAACACGGTGAAACCCCATCTCTACTAAAAATACAAAAAATTAGCCGGGCGTGGTGGTGTGCGCCTATAGTCCCAGCTGCTGGGGAGGCTGAGGCAGGAGAATGGCGTGAACCCGGGAGGCGGAGCTTGCAAGTGAGCGAGATTGCGCCACTGCACTCCAGCCTGGGCTACAGAGCGAGACTCCGTCTCAAAAAACAAAAGCAAAAACAGTGATTAGCGATTTCCTTTACATTGTCAGTTTAATGAGACAGGAGATTCCAATTTCAGCCTTTTTATAGTTTTTGGGAATGTATTGGGTTGTGGGTTCCACAGTGTACTTTCTCCTGGGAAAGTACACTTACCAACTGTCTTGAGGCAAGGTGTTGTTATTACTCTTTCAAATGAGACAAGAAATCACTAAATATTGTATCCCAAATGAGACTTAGCAAATAGTTCTCTGATATAACAGAGTTGCATAAACTTGCTGATGTTTTTCAAGAAACTGAATGAGTTCAGTTTGGCAATGTGAAGTTGCAATATCACCATGCTTACATTTGCTGATAGCATGCCAGCAATTAAGTTGAAACCTAACTTTATGACTCAAAGAGCAAAACATTAATTTTATCACACTCAAGCTTTGAGCAATAGTTACTGAGATACTAAGTTTAAAAAATAAGTAACATTGTTGAATTTCTTGTTAGATATTATAGATACATTTGAGAAACATCTTCCCAGTGAACACTTAAATTAACAGAGGAGATTGTTTGTAGAATTAAACTTTGAAATAAAACTTCCCATTGCTCAGACTTTCAACCTACTTACACTTTGGCACAAGTTTAATTTAAGACTATTTTGAATGTTCCAGGTGTAATTTAAACAGGTATGCTATTTAAAAAACAGTTACCAGTAATGAATCAGAATTTTCTCAATACTGTGCAAATAAAATACAGAAACAAAGTGAGTGTTAAAACTGGTATAAACCTGCAATCCCTTATCCTAAATTTAAAATTTTCACATTGGTCAAAATAGAATAAACTGTGTTTTTTTTTTCCTGTGCATCCTCCTTCCGGTGACAGCAGCTCGATTTTCCTTCGAGACCTGGATGTATGCAGGACCCACCATGCTCATTTGGGATACACCATTGTGTTGGCCACAGGTTCAGGGATGGACATGTGAGGCGGGCCAGGTCGCTGAGGCTTAGTTCTGGGACTGTGGTGGGCTTTGGTAGGAAAGGAAGATTGCCGCTTGTAAAGGTGATTCTAAGCCCAGCGTTCCTGGGGACTACCAAGGATGCTCATGTTGAGAATGAAGCAGCTACTATAGAGGGGACATGGAGCTGAGAAATCAGCTGAAGCTTTGATAATATTCTTTCAGCCCCACAATCAACTGATTCCTGAATCCCAGAACCCCTCCTGGATTTATATGGGTAATAAATCTTCTTCCTCCCTTCCCCCACTTTTTTTTTTCCTGAGTTAGTTTGAATTGAGTTTTCAGTCACTTGCACAGAGTGCAAAATCTTGACTCATGTGCAGACGATTAGAATTGTTCTCATTGGTTAACTTAAGAATAAGCAAGCTTAATAAAGTTAAGATTATAAAAGCACGTTTGTACTAATGAAACATCACCCGCTTGTTTTTGTTGTATACATTCATGTTTTACATAAGAATTACTTGAAACAAGCTCTGTTGAAATATGAAAATTAAAAAATAAATGTATAAAAATATAAAACCTCTACAACCCCCCGGCCTACAAATAAAGTCAAATCCACGTGTAGCAAGTCATTCCAGACCATTCGTAGTTGGTCCTGACCTCCTTTCCCTCCTCAGACCTTTCATTCCTTCCATGCCACATTTCTAGAACTCTGTCCAGCTTTCTCGGCTCCTCTGCTCTTCTGCTTCTTGCTCAGTGTCTGTTCTCTGCTCAAAACACCACCTTTTTCTGCTCTTTTTTTTCACTCATGCTTTAAGGTTCAGCTAAAGAGCACATCCTTGTTAAAGCCTTCCAGAGTCTTCCCATAGAGAATTCCTTGCTCTTCCTTCTGCTCAGCCATCCTCACAGTCCGACGTGTATTACTGCTATGTGGACTTAAGTGCATTCTGTCCAGTCTGGAGTCTCACAGGCAGGGCCTACATTTGGTTCATCTGTGTATCCCTCCTGCTTGAAGGCTGTCTGCCACATAGTAGATATTCAATGCATATTTGTCAAATGAAATTTCAATATGTGGCATCAGGTTGCTTATTCTCTTTTTTACTCTCCTACATGCTACAGGCAGGCTTTTCTCATCTAGGGTGTAAAAGAAGCCATATATACTCAGTAGTAGTTTTGTTGGCATTCACAGTCATCAAACACCATAAATGACCCATGTTCCAGCCATTCAAAGAGTCCCAGTCCAAGGGTGAACTTTTATTAGCTCTATTTATTGGCCCAAACATAAACTCCTTGGTTTCAATGGGACCTTGAGCTGAATATAGAAACGCACAGATCAAAGAGGCTCCAAGGTCATTCAGTATTGTGCACATTACCATTCTTTATCAATTCAAACTTCAGTTGAGTGGTTTAGTACTTTTTCCTTGGTAGTGTTTATTTATCACAAGAATAGGAGATGCTTACCAAGGACTTTACAAGTATTTCAAAACACATCCAGCTATCAGGAGGCTTGCTTTGTAACCAGCTACACTGGGCGTGTCACCTTCTTTGGGCATCACTCATGCCTCGTGTCACCTCTTTCAGGCTGCTTAATTGACTTGCGTGTTTTGGACCATCTGACTTGGTACTGACTTCCCATATTTCCTGAATAACTAATGATAGATATTATATTTATGAGGATTAACCACTCCCGATTTCAGTTGGACTTGTTGGACAACATTAAATGCTCTTAAACTGGCCTTCTCCTATTCCTGATGGACTTTCTTGGGGATTAAGCACTCCATCCCACTTTACCCTGTATCACAGTCATGGCATCCTCACACTCAGAAGAGAATTCGTGTCCAGAAGAGTTCATGCTTTTAACTGGAGGACAATTTGTGGTGGTGACCTAGTTCCCCCTGAGTGATTAGGAATGCTTTCTTTGTGAAAACCATCTGCAGAGAAGTGAAGATACAAACATTAGGTTTGTTGGGATGGGATAGGGTCAGTGTAGAGCTATCAAGTCTAAACTCCTGTCTTTGAGACTGAAATCTGCTGGATTGTTAGTGGGAGGAAGAAAGGGGTTGGCAAGAGAGAAGACACAGTTCCACGCCCTTGGGCAGTCAGTCCTTCTTGACTGGACTATACAAGCAAATTATAGGTTGGAGGACACTGTTTGGGACATGTACTGACATGTTAAAAAGAGATGGCTGCTCTGATTTTCCGGCAGTCAATCCCATCTTAAACCATTTTATTTGCAAGTTTACCTTCTATGTTGATTTGGTTGTCTATTGGTAGCCCTTTCTGGGCTTATGCAATTGCTTCTTCCTAGCAGTCAAGGCTGGGGAAACATCACAAGAGTTGTAAACTCAAAGGAGATTTTTTTTTAATGTGTTTGGTGTGGATGTGTTGCTTTTAGTGATTAAAACCTGAACAATTCAGATAACTTTCCTCCTATTCTCTTTAGATCTTTTTGTTATTTTCCTGATAATGTACAATTATACATATTTTAGAACATAGAATAAAAAAAGAAATATGATCATACGTGACTATTTTCTGATCCCTGGAATCCATGCAGGGACAGTATGTTGTTAAGGAAAGGGCAGCTTTGGAATCTGTTGAACCTGGGTTCAAATCCTATCACTGGATCCTTCTCAAGTGTAGAATAGAATGAGGCTATTATGAGGTTCAGAGAGAATATGTATTATAATACCCTATTCTTTTTTTTTTTTTTTTGAGACAGAGTCTCACTCTGTTGCTCAGGCTAGAGTGCAATGGCACGATCTTGGCTCATTGCAACCTCCACTTCCCAGGTTCAAGTGATTCTCCTGCCCTAGCCTCCCAAGTAGCTGGGATTACAGGTGCCCACCACCACACCCGGCTAATTTTTTTTTTTTATATTTAGTAGAGACGGGGTTTCACCATGTTGGCCAGGCTGGTTTTGAACTCCTGACCTCTAGTGATCTGCCCACCTCGGCCTCCCAAAGTGTTGGGATTACAGGCGTGAGCCACCGCACCTGGCCAATACCCAATTCTTGATAGTGTACTTTGTTGTACAATAGGAATATTTTAAAAGGTAAAACTAAGTGGAGAGTATTTTTCCTGAACCTTTGGTTAGTATATATAACATGCAAGAATAGAATAAACTGCTTACTATTCCCAGAGATTCTGCCATTTCTGTAAGAGGTGGTGGTGGGTAACATCTTCTTTGCTTGCAGACTTCCTCTTATCACATTTTGATCTTGAGATTGGTGGATGTCTTCCTGTATCCTCAAAGGACTTATGGTTTAGTGGACACTGAGAGTAGCATCTACTTGTTCCTGCAAAGATTTGAAACAAGGGGCTTATTGGCCATCTCTCTCAAAAGGCCCTGGCCAGAGAGAAGGAGAAAGAGGAAGTCAAGAGATTTGGGAGTTGGAAAGAGATGAGTGCTCTCTGTATCTGCCTGGCAGAGTAAAAGCTCCTAAGTGCAGAAAACATAATGACTGCCTTTGTTTGCTGGAAGGTTGCTGGTGTCTTTGATTTTCAAGTTTCAGCCTGCTTTATAGAAGCAGGCAGAATGCGAGAGATACTAGATTCCCTTGAGTCCAGCAATTCGTAGTGTCGTGATATTAAAAAAATATTTTAATTCATTAGCATGCAAATTCAGGAGGAAAATAAGGAATTGTTGCATAAATGCATGATATTTTTAAACCTGATAGATCAAAAGCATTATAACTTTGTGAGAAAAACTACAGAATGTGAAACATATTGTTATTAACCCAGCAAAGTCATCTTAATCATGTAGTGTGCATTAAAACTATTGCAGATATTTATCTTCTCCCACCTCCACATTTCCGTTAAAAGTGGGAGAGGGTGAAAAAAGTTTGTTTCTTCCCTTCTATGCATTAAATATATTTTAGTAGCTACCTCTGTATAATTTATTATCATATAGGGGATAAAAGTATGAATGCTTTCTCAATTTGAATGCCAACTCCACCTTTTATTAACAAACCGCTTAACCTCTCAATGACTGGTCTCTTATAAAACAGGGTTGTTATGAGAATTAAATAAGTGAATATATATGAAATGCTTGGCAAGTAAGCATTATGTACATGTGATACTTCTTCCTCTTTTTTTTACATCATCAATTTATCCTCACAAAATTTTTGTGAAGAAGATGAAGCAGGGGTTATTAAAGTCCTTGTGGAGAATGTAAAGCTCAAAATGACAGAGTAGCTACTTGGGGATCAAACATCTAGCTACCTACAAAAGTGGCACTCAAATTGAGGCATCCCTGGCTTGCCACCATATCTCCTCTTATTTCAGGAAATTGTACACTTCTACTTGGTCTTCTCCTGAATGCTCGGTGGGGTGAATTAAGCACAACTCTTGATTGAGTAGGCCTTCTTCCAATATTCATTTATTGATTGAATAGAACAACTAAGAAGTGGGTATTGCAGAAAGTAATATTTGGCTAACATTCCTTGATATAGTATCACAAACATTTAAGCATTTTATAGAACTTTTCCCCCCAGAGTAACCAAATGTTTGCTATTATTACTCCTTCAGTTAGATGGGATAAAGACAATTGGTGCTTAAGCCATTATTATGCCAAATTCAATAACTAAGTGTGAACAGGTCCACATGCCTGATGATATAACACAAAAGTCATATTACCGATGATGTAGTCATTGAAAATGAAACATTTACACAACCGAAAGTATGATTAATCATACAAGAGATCTATTTCCATATCTTTTGTCCACAACATGGCTATCACTACTTTTAATCAAAACACTGAAGCCTGAATCACTCTGGTAGGGCTTGAACAACAGCAACTATGACAGGGAACAAAACCTAGGAAGAAACCCCTTCATTTCGTTTATGTGTCTACTGGAAGCTCCAGGAGTGGGAGACGGGGAGCAGCTAATGTCGATGCATGTGGAAGAGAGATAGGTGGTGAAATTGACCGTAACATTGGGGAGCAAAGCTGAGAAAAAAGGCTACCGGGGCAAAGTGCTTGTTAGTAATAGACAAACGTTGCTATAAGGAAGTTTGTTATATTTCTCTCAAGTTTTAAAAAATATTTCTAAGCCAATTTCACATAATATATAACTGAGAGAAACCTTAGGACTTATGTGCCGTATTGTTTCACGTTTTTTGGTGAAGTAGGCAAAGGAAACTCAGGGAGGTCGAGTAATTCTTCCAATGTCACACAGCAAGCTAACAAGCTTGGTAATTGCCAAGTCAACAGTAGGTTACCAAGCTAGCTTGATAATTGCCAAGTCAAAAGTAGGGCTTTTGACTCTTTTCATTCAGCAGTAGCTCCCTACTAAATCCTGTGCCTGTTACATCATTAGCACTCCACAAATATTTGGTGAATAAAAGAACAAATGGCTCCCTGTCTCTTGTGGCTTTTGTCTGTGGACCATTTTTGTACTCCAAATTGGTGAAAAGGCTAAAGAGATTGCAATGTGCTTTGTGGTTGGCCATGGAGTTTGAGAAAGCAAAGTTTCTAGTCTTGGCACAAATTCAGAGATATTGGAAAAATGATCCCACTTCTTTTTACTTTTGCATTTGCCAAGGGGGGTTAATTCAGCAGAGATGTGGCTGATGAGAGGGTCAGGTTCTAAAGTCAGCCCCAAGATGAAAATCACAGGTTATCAAA
The DNA here is from genome assembly GCF_000001405.40 of Homo sapiens. Lineage (NCBI taxonomy): Eukaryota > Metazoa > Chordata > Mammalia > Primates > Hominidae > Homo > Homo sapiens. The sequence goes on along the minus strand of NC_000004.12, from coordinate 38,566,756 downwards.
ACTACTCATGCAACTCTCTTAGGGAGGTGTCATGTCAGAGACTGGCACACTGTCTCTCAGCCAGTTTTCCCTCCATCATTGGAAAGCAGGGCTGTTTTCTTGTTTGAGTATCAGTGAAGCAGTTTGCTTGAATTTTGGGGTCATGTATATGAGAAATGTGTATTTTAAGCAAGAGACTGCATGGTGAGTTATCTATGAGCATGCAGTCAGTTCAGGCACAATAGATTCATTTCTCATGTTCACTCTGGGGCACATGCTTTTTAAGACCAACATTCATTCTCTCTCTCTCTCTCTCTGTCTCGTATATAATTGAACTTACAAAAGTTGAGTGCATGTAAGATTCAACTTCACTGTTCTACTTAGTCCACGAGGAAGACTGAACAAAACACTAATACAGGTACCCTAGAATCAAAATCTACATGGAAAGTATTTATTTTATTTTGTGGAGCTTCCTAGATAAAGATATGATTGCTGAACTTTAGAAGTAGATAAATTCCTTGGCAGTGCTATGATTTTTTTTTCTTTTTGCTGTGGTGGCTTAGAAAGAAAAAGGAAAATAAAATGTTTTAGTATGGATATGGCTGGAAAAAGGAGAATAAATTACCTGACTACTGAATTTAGAGAAATTTAAATGCAAAAGGAAGTCGTTTTCCAACACCCCTCCCCTCTGGTAAAAAAGCAAACAAAACAAAACAAAACCAAACAACCTTGGTTTACTCAGACTTACCCTTCGAGACTTGGTGCAGGCATCAAAACCTTCTATGGCTACCAATATCCTCAATAGGCTGTTTGTTCTTTCTGCACCTCTCTCTCTTCCCTTTTCCCTTTTCATCCTACACGTCTCTACTCTCAAATCTCCTTTCCCACTCCTGTTTATATTGGAGTCTCACAGCGGACACAGACCATGGTCTCATGGAGGCCTTTGTAAGAAGTTACTAAAGTTACTAAAACTAATGTGTTCCTACAGACATTATGAAGGAGGACTTCGGACAGAGACAGCAAGTTGATTTCCTGGAGCAATACCTAGGGAATTATTCTTTTGGCTCTGAGAGGATGATATTTTAAGTTGTTACATATTTGCTGATCTTCAGGAGATTGCTGGAACCATCCTGCATGTACAGGAAGCTTGGGCTCTTGGCCCAAATTGGCTCAGGGTCTAAATATTTGGAAGATGAATACTTGGAAATGCATTTAAACATTTAAAGCATTTTATTTATTTTTCCAGTGAGTCTCATTGTTAGTGCAGTACAACTTTGCAGCAAGACTGTATCTGCTGAAGACATGAACCTTGTGGACAAGCCCAGGCCTGGGCTCCACCTCAGGTCTTGGCGGGAAGCCAGAGGTGCATGTCTATTGGCTAATGTCCACACTCCTGAAGTGGGTTATTATTACAATCCCTCACCTTAAACGCCTGCATTCTAAAGTCATGCTAAGGGTCTGACCCAAATGGAACACTGGAACACACACAGACACACGCACGCGCGCGCACACACACACACACTTTTCAAACCAAATGTTGCACTATTTCCTTTCTTTTGTCAGTGCTGAATCTATATTATTATTGTCAGCTGTTAACTCTACACTGATGATGCACTGTGGTCAGTTTCCCTCTCTAGCCTTCCAGCCAAGGTATCTTTTGGCTGCTATATGCTTAGAGGAGGCAAACTAATATGAATGTATTAGATTATGTAAAACATAATTAGGGAGGGAAATTTGCTGTAAAAGCATCCTATGTATTTATAGAACTCAGAGGAAATTATAAGCAATGTGGGGGGAGATTTCATGTTCTTTAGACTCACAGATAAACTCTAGGACCTAAGTGATTGGAACTATTTCCCTATCGCAATCAAATTATCCAGATAATTACCAAATATCTACTTTGCTATGCTACAGAGTCACAAACGCACATTGTCTCAATGGCACGGGAGTAAGCATCAGCTTCATTTCTAATAGGTGAAGTAGAAAAGGGGGCCGGGCGGAGGGGCTCATGTCTGTAATCCCAGCACTTTGGGAGGCCAAGGCGGGAGGATCACGAAGTCAGGAGATCGAGACCATCCTGGCTAACATGGTGAAACCCCGTCTCTACTAAAAATACAAAAAATGAGCCGGGCGTGGTGGCGGATTCCTGTAGTCCCAGCTACTCGGGAGGCTGAGGCAGGAGAATGGCGTGAACCCGGGAGGCGGAGCTTGCAGTGAGCTGAGATCGCGCCACTGCACTCCAGCCTGGGCAACAGAGCGAGACTCCGTCTCAAAAAAAAAAAAAGAAAAGAAAAGGGGTGCGCTGGGGTGGGGGGAGTATGGGAGTACACCTGGCCTTGGTAATTGACACTGTAAGGTGTCTTAACAACAATGATAACAACCATCTCAATAGAATTTGGGATGTGGTAGCAACAGTAAAAATTATATTAAACTGGGCCCCATGCCCAGACTATCAGCCTCAAATAAACAAAGTACAAGAAAAACACTTCAAGAGGGACTAACTTGTGAATCAAGGAAGCTAAATAAGCCAGAGACGTGCTCGCCGGAGGAGACAATGCTTTCACCTCCTTGAAAAAGCTTTTGCCCAACCTAATTAAAATGCCCCATCTAATTAAAAATCTAACCATAATCCCACTGACAGCCCCTAGCTCCACCCCTTACCATTGTCACGATGCTCAGTTGAGCCCCCTTAGCTGAAAAATTATTGAAATAGAGTGGATTTGAGTGCGCAGGCATAATTCCCAGCCTACCACAGAGTTGGAGGCAAAGACGCTTAGTGATTTGCACAGTGGTTGGTGGTGTCTCACTCAGCAATGATGTATGACACGGATGAGTGCAGAGCGGCCATCTGCTGTTGAGGAGGGTGACAGAAAAGTCTGTTCTACTGTGGCAGATGACTCTCCCAGTGCTGGGCAGCTGGCATAGAGTGGACAAAGTTGGACAGGGCAAGTGATGCCCAGCAACTCTCTGGGGCAATAACTCAAGGTCTTCTCCCTTCTGTGGCTATATTCATCCCTGTCTTCTTCACACACACACACACATGCATAATAGAGTTGATATGATAAAATACAATTTGGAACATGCAGAAGAGGGAAGAAGCACACGCCTACCCAAAGGGTTAAAGTTGCTGGTCTGGAGCATGAGATGTATCTCTGAGTTTCCTAGTAGCCTGGGCAAAAAGAGAAAACCTGATAAATCATATGGCACATGTTACCTGGGAAAAAAAGCAAAAACAGGTTCCTAGAAGAAATAAAGTTTTTCTTAACAACCTTTCTAAAATCTGGGGTTTTTTTTTTTTTGGTTTTGGTTTTTTTACTTTTGACTTAATAGAAGGGAGAAATTGAATTTCTCAGAGTGTGTATAACAAAATGTCAAACTGCTAGAGTGCTTGGCCTATTGATAGGGAGAAGACTAGAACATGGCTTGCTCAATCATTAATGAGAAACAGGTAGCATTCAGCAGTACCCTGGGACTGGCTGATTGGATCTTACCTCTTCAGAACTAATAGAACATGATTTTTACCTTTTTATTTTTGCATATCTGTATTTTCTGAAACTTCCACAGTGAACATGTATGACATTTGTCATGCAAATATAGCTGGTTCTGGACTGTGTGATGTGAGATCCTCACCCTTCCTTCCCCTGTTCTGTATTGTGGGAGGGGCTTGACCCCTCCCGGCTGCAGTTCTCAGGGCCCTGTGTTAGCTGGCTTCTAGCTGAGTTTGGCTAATGGGAGGCTCTGGTGGGAGTTTGATGAGCAGGAGGAAGGAAGACGTCAGGGTATTTTTCCCTCTCCCTCTGTCCTGGGGTAGTATCTCTGGCAGCTGCTCCCTCTCTTCCACGACTCCAGTTTGCACAGGAAGTCTGTCATGGTTCCAGCTTCCTCTGGGTAATCCCAGTCCCTGGGCTCTGCTAGCATCACCTCCTCCCTTTGTCCCTCCAGCCTAGGAGTGGCGGCAACTTCCTGCTGCTGCTGGTCTCTGGATTGCCTCACCATCCCTTGTTTGGCTTTTAAGTTTCTTTCATCTCATTGCATTAACTTTCCTCTGTTTTAAATATTCGGAATGATTTCTGTCTTCCTGGTTGGGCTCTGACACAAAGAGACAAAAATGTATTTGAAACAAAAATGAATGGGGCAAAAGAATCTAGAGGAACATGAGTTAGAGAAATAACCAAAAAAGCAGAAGACTTCACAGATCATGGCAGCACACACAAAGAAATGTCCAGTGTTGGTGTGCAGCAGCTGGAAAAGACATCTGGTCACCTGAGGGCCTTTTAAGGCACATTTATAGGCAAAAATAGCAGCTTTACTTGGAGTCATAAGATCTACAAGTGAAGAACAACAACATGTAATGTATAGGAAAAAAACCCCTAGGATTTAGAGCCATAAGCTATGAATTCAGGTCCTGGCTTGTGGTGGATTGTGGTTTACTCTCCAGCATCCATTCTACCCCTCCCACTTGGTATAGCATCTGCAAGGCTTGGATGCTACTGGTCCAACCTTTAGGCCTCTAGGTTGTAGCCTTAATTGCCATGGGCATTGGCTCATGCATGGATATATACCCTAGGCCTGTTTTGGCATTCCCTGGCCACTGGTGCAAGAAAAGGGAAGTCTATGACTCTTGTTTGATAATTGGAGAAAGAAATATCCTTTCTCCTTCTGGACAGTGTGGTGGGTCCTGAGACTGCTTCAGTATTTTGCTATTAATAGAGAGGATGAGAATAAAGCTGGTACAAAAAGAAGGGTAAATCCAAGACAATTGAAATAAAACAGAGCTGAATTTCTGATCAAGCTATGTCTGAAGCCCACCATACCACTGGACTTTTTCTGTAACATATGTTTATACATTCCCATTACTGTTTAGAAAACATGGTTTGATTTGGAGTTTCTGTTACTTGCAACAAATATACAACGATGTCATTTTATTGGCTGTGTGTCCTTGGGTCCTGTTAGTCTGTTTTTGCATTGTTATAAAGAAACACTGGAGACTGGATAATTTATAAAGAAAAGAGATTTAATTGGCTCACACTTCTTCAGGCTGTATGGGAAGCATAGCTCTGGCATCAGCTTCTGGAGGGGCCTCAGGAAGCTTTCCATCCTGGTGGAAGGCAAAGCAGGAGCAGGCAGTTCACATGGCAAAAGTGGCAGCAAGATGATCAGCCTAAAAAAAAAAGAAAGCAGGAGCAAGAGAGAGAGTGTGGGTGGGGAGGTGCCACACACTTTTAAACAACCAGATCTCGTGAGAACTCACTTACAATTGGGAAGACAGCACCAAGCCACGAGGGATCTGCCCCATGATGCAAATCCCACCAGTCTCCACCTCCAACATTGGGGATTACATCCAACATGAGATGTGGGTGGGGACAAATATACAAACTATATCCATCAGCCACTTCGCCTTTCTGATCCTCAGTTTCCTCATCTATAAAATGGGAATAGTAAGATAATGTACCTTAGAACATTTTGTGAAGATCAACTGAAGTAATAAATGAGATGATGCTTTGTAAATTATAAGCAGCAACTTCAATCTTAGGATTACACATATAACTTATTTCCATTGTTAATGCATTTTTATGTCTCTCCTATATAGAAATAATTCATTTTATCAAGCATGCAGTTCTATAATACCTACTTCATTGCTGTGTCGTATTTATCAAGATTAATCAGCAATAACCACTATTTCACTCTGTACAGCTCTAAATAACTTACTTTTGAAGTCCCAGGTGACTATGCAAGCTTCAAAGGATTTACCTCAAAACTCTTAGTCAAGTGGAAACAGATTGAGTAACCCTTTGTGTGATCACTCATAACTCACTTGTAAAATGTGTGGTTTTCGCTGCCATCTGGAGCAGCCTGTGAAAGTGAGTGTGTGACTTTTCTCTCACATCGTGAAAGTTCAGGCGTGTCCAGAAAGGACCAACTGGTCAGTTCTGCCCTTGCCTCTTCTTGAGGTTGCTGCCCTGGGGTGGTTTGGTGACCTGGGAGAGTGGTTTAGGCATGAACCTTTCAAAGAGTAGACAACTAAGCACCATCAGGAAAACAGCATACAATGTTTAGCTTTTTAAAAAGACAAATATCTCACTATAATAACAAATTATTAAGAGTAATTAATTTACCCAGCCTGATTAGATAAGGTCTAAAAACACTGCAGAAGTATGCAGTATGTGTTTCTCTTCTAGTCATCGGTGCATATTAGGCCAAGTGTACTAGGCTGCGCGTGGGCTTACTAACTGCAGCAGATCAGGACAGACGGAGGATGACTGGGGCTGGAGCAGGCCCGGGGGCGTGGTGATCCTTTCCACCAAGCACTGTTATTCTACCTCCCAAGCAGACTTCCCATCTTTCCTTCTCTGTCTTGCCACTCAGCCAGGTCAGGTCCCCATCACAGATCACCTGTGCTAGCCTCTCTGCCTTCAACCTCAGCCTCCTCACTTTGCCTCTATTTACCCTCAACCCTGTTAATACTGGTTGTCTCTTAGAATTGCACCATGTTGTCCTTGCCCCCTCTCCCTACCATAAAACATTTCACTCGTTCCCTACAGCTCGTCCCATAGAGCCCAGACTCCTTAGCATGACAAGGCCTGTGGGATCTGACCCTCATTAGCCACCGACCCAGCCCCTCTGCCATCATCCCTGCACATACTCCCCATGTACCTTCCAAATCAAATCATAGACCTGGCACACAGCTCTGTAAGGTTGATGGTTATGACATTTTTGTGATCATAAAAATGACTTGAGCTTGTTTAAAATGCAGATTCCTCAGCCACATCCTCACAAGAGTATGATCCAGCATGTCAAGGCTGGAAATCTGAAATTTCTTAAGAACGTTGACAAAGTCAGTGCAGGTGGTCTTTGGGCCATCTTTGGAGAAACTTTGGGTGATCCCCCTCATCACGATGTAGTCCACTTTTTTCCTTTCACATTTGCCTCCACCTAGAACTCCTTAAGGGTGAGCATCAGGCTGTGTTCAGCTTTGTTTTCCCAGGACCTAGCACAGCTCCGCACACACCAATTTGTCCTACTGTGTTGATTACGTGGGAAAATGAATCACAGCAGAGCCGGTATCTTGAGGCCTTGGTAGGGACGGGAGCAGGCTGGGGCCAGGGGACCCAGCACCGGGGTTGGCTGGCCCAGAGAGCAGCAGTTCAGGAAATGTTAGAGAACCAAGTGCCTTCTGGGAGTGGTAGCAAAACCCTGGTCAAAGGTCAAAGGAGGATCCTATATGGTGGTGGGTGGTGGGGGAGGGGACGGAAGTTAACAAGAGGCCCCTCAAGGCAGTGGCTCATGCACAAGGAAGAAGGAACCAGTTAGCATAAGAGAAGCCCAGAAGCACTGCACTCTACAATCAGCATCAGACTGCAGAAAAGGGTGACTAGGTACTGAGTCCCAGATCGTTGCTCTAGAGAATAGCAGTTGCGAATTTTGTCTGCATATTAGATTTGTTTTTGAAACCAAATGAACAGGTGAATGTCAGATTTCCAAGTTCCAACCCAGAATAACTGAATGAGACTGGATATGTGTAGAGGGGATTTCAGAATCTTTATACCAGGAGCTCTGAAACTCTATCATTATGTGTCCAAGTATCATCCTCTCACCCCTAATTAATGCTGGTTGTTACCCAGTGGGCCATTTCTATTTTAAAAAATCACATTTTGGCAGGGATTACTGGCTCATACCTGTAATCTGAACACTTTGGGAGGCCGAGGCTGGTGGATTGCTTGAGGGCAGGTGTTCGAGACCAGCCTCTACAAAAAAATTGTAGAGGTCAACATAGTGAGACTCTGTCTCTACAAAAAAATTTTTAAAAATTTAGTCAGGTGTGATGGTGTGCAACTGTAGTGCTAGCTACTGAGGAGGCTGAAGTAAGAGGATTGCTTGAACTCAGGAGTTCGAGGCTACAGTGAGCTGTGATGGCACCACTGCATTCCAGCCTAAGTGACAAAGTGAGACCCTGTTTCAAAAAAAAAATACATATCACATTTGGGATTTTTTTTTTTGGCTCGGGAAAATATTTATTATTATTATTTCTTTGCTTATTTCTTCTCCTCTGTCTCTCTAGTCTCTTTGACTGTGACTTCTATTAGATGAATGTTTGCATTTCTGGGTCTAACTTTTATGTCTCCAAACTTTTGCTATAGTATTTCCATTTCTTTTTCCTTTAATATAGTGCTCTGGAACAATTTCTCAGCACACTCTGCAGTTATAGTCTATATTCTTCAGTTATGTCTATTCTATTACTCAACACATCTATTAAGATTTTTAGTTTGATGATTGTATTTTTAATTTCTAAGATATCTAAATGCTTGTCATCATAACAGCCTGTTCTTGCTTCAGGAATATGATAGCATCTTTTAATTCTCTAGAATGTTCAATATTTGGTATACCCTCAAAGTTTTCATCTCTTTGTTTTATTTACTCTGTTTCTTCAGGTGTTGGTTCTGAGATTTGTTTAGTTTTATTTTCCTTTCGTGATGTTGGTTTTCTGTAACTATTTGGTGGTTCTAGATTTTGTATTCATTTTTGTGATTGACTATTTTGTTTTCATCTGCATCAGGGCCAGCAAACTGCAGCCCATGGCTGCTGCCTGTTTTGAAAATAAAGTTTTTTTGGAACACAGTCACACTCATTCACATATTCCCATGTCTCCAATTGTGCTACCATGGCAAAGCTGAATGAACCATAAAGCCTAAAATATTGACTCTCCGCCCCTTACAGAAAAAGTTTGCCAACCTGCCTGGATCTAACCAACCATTTTCTTACAGGAAACAACTCACAGAGGAAGATGGTAAGCACTGCTTGGCTGATTGATACATCAGTTAGAAGAGAATAGGAGATATTCTATAAAACAAAAGACTTAGCTTCTTCATGAATGTATGGCATCAAAATAAAAAACAAAAAAGCAGAAATTCATGTGGATTAAGACATATTTAATAGAAACATCAGCCAAAATCGATGTGTGACCTTTGCTTGGATCCTAATTTAAACAGGTCAACCACAAAGGCAAATTTTTGAAACAATGAGAACAAATTGAATATGAACTGGTGTTTCTAATTTTTATGGATATGAAACCACATTACAACCTAGTAGCATAAAATAACAGCCATTATGCTCACAGGTCCTGTGAGTCAGGAATTTGGACAGGCCACATGGAGATGTCTTCCCTGCTCCATAATATTGGGAGCCTCAACTGGGAGACTTAAATGGCTCAGCTCTGCTGGGAATGCTGATTGGACACCTACATGCAGCCTCTCCATGTGACTGGGCTTCTCACAGCATGCCGCCTGGATTCTGAGAGAAACCATCTTGAGAGGAGACTTCTGGAGGGTAAACATCCCAAGAGACCCAGTGGAGGTTAGGTGGCTTCCTGACCTCCCCTTGGAAATCAGACAGCACCTCAAATCTCACATTCTATTGTTCTGGCCAGTGACTAAGCCCACCAGAAGTCAAGAGGAGGGGAGTTAGACCTCACCTTTTTATCTCAGAGTGGCAAGTTCACTTGCAGAAGATAGGAGATGCTGCTGCAAACATTTTTGGAAGGTACAATCTGCCACAACTGCTTATTAGATGATATTGATAACTTGTCATTGGAGGGAAGTTTGTGTGATAATTTTCAACATCCTACAGGCCTACTTTTTGGCACAGATCAGAGGAGAGGAGCGACCTACCAGCTTGGCAACAGGATTTGGTTATAATTTGGAGTGTGTGTGCATGTGTGTGTGTATGAAAGAGAGAGATAGAGAGATCATTTTTTAAAATTTCTTTTTGTGTTAGAGAGTCACACTAAGTATGAGTAAAATGAAATGATATCTGAGATTTCCCAATCCTACTGAAACTATTCTAAAAGATAGAGAAAGAGGGAATTCTCCCTAAATCATTCTATGAAGCCAGTCTCGCCCTCATACCAAAACCAGGAAGGACACAACAAAAAAAAGGAAACTACAAACCAATATCCCTGATGAACATAGATGTAAAAATCTTCCACAAAATACTAGCTGGCCGAATCCAACAGCATATCAAAAAGATAATACACCATGATCAAGTGAGTTTCATACCAGGGATGCAGGGATGGTTTAACATATGCAAGTCAATAAATATGATACACCAAAAAAACAGAATTAAAAACAAAAATCATATCATAATCTCAATAGATATAGAAAAAACATTTGATAAAATCCAGCATCCCTTTATGATTAAAACCCTTAGCAAAATCAGCATAGGAGGGACATACTTTAAGGTAATAAAAGACATCTATGACAAACCCACAGCCAACACTATACTGAACAAGGAAAAGTTGAAAGCATTCCCCTTGAGAACTGGAAGAAGATGAGGATGACCACTTTCACCACTTCTATTCAACATAGCACTGGAGGTTCTAGCCAGAGCAATCAGACGAGAAGGAAATCAAGGACATCCAAATTGGTAAAGAGGAAGTCAAATTGCTGCTGTTTGCCAATGATATGATTGTATAGCTAGAAAACCCTAAAGACTCATCCAAAAAGCTCCTAGATCTGATAAATGAATTCAATAAAGTTTCAGGATACAAAATCAATGTACACAAATCAGTAGCACTGCTATGCACCAAAAGCAACCAAACTGAGAATCAAATCAAGAACTCAACCCCTTTTACAAAAACTGCAAAACAAAACAAAACAAAACAAAACCTAGGAATATACCTAACGAAAGAGGTGAAAGATCTCTACAAGGAAAACTACAGAATACTGCTGAAAGAAATCATAAAGAACACAAACAAATGGAGACACATCCCATGCTAATGGATGGGTAAAATCAATATTGTGAAAATGACCATACTGCCAAAAGCAATCTATAAATTCAAAGCAATTCCCTTCAAAATACCATCATCATTCTTCCCAGAACTAGAAAAAACAATCCAATCCCACAATTCATATAAAACAAACAAACAAAAAGCCAACATAGCCAAAGTGAGACTAAGCAAAAAGAACAAATCTGGATGTATCACATTACCCAACTTCAAACTATACTACAAGGCTATAGTTATCAAAACAGCATGGTACTGGTATAAAAACAGGCACATAGACCAATGGAATAAATAGAGAACCCAGAAATAAAGCCAAATACTTACAGCCAACTGATCTTTGACAAAGCACAAAAAACATAAAGTGGGGAAAGGACACCCTATTCAACAAATGGTGCTGGGATAATTGACAAGCCACATATATAAGAGTAAATCTGGGTCCGCATTTCTCACCTTATACAAAAATCAATTCAAGATGGATCAAAGACTTAAATGAAACCATAAATATTCTAGAAGATAACATAGGAAAAAGTCTTCTAGACATTGGCTTAGGCAAAGATTTTGTGAACAAGAACCCAAAAGCAAATGCAACAAGAACAAAGATAAATAGATGGGGCTTAACTAAACTAAAACACTTCTGCACAGCAAAAGAAATAATCAGCAGAGTAAACAGACAACCCACAGAGTGGGAGAAAAATCTTCACAAACTATACATCTGACAAAGGACTAATATCCAGAATCTACAAGGAACTCAAACAAATCATCAAGAAAAAAAAAACATATAATCCCATCAAAAAGTGGGCTAAAGACATGAATAGACGATTTTCAAAAGAAGATATACAAATGGCCAACAAACATATGAAAAAATGCTCAACATCACTAATTATCAGGGAAATGCAAATCAAAACCACAATGTGATACCACCTTACTCTTGCAAGAATGGCCATAATTTAAAAACCAAAGAATAATAGATGTTGGCATGGATGTGATGAAAAGGGAACACTTTTACACTGCTGGTGGGAATGTAAACTAGTACAACCACTATGGAAAACAGTCTGAAGATTCCTTAAAGAACCAAAAGTAGAACCACCAATTGATCCAGCAATCCCACTGCTGGGTATCTACCCAGAGGAAAAGAAGTCATTATATGAAAAAGACACTTGCACATGCATGTTTACAGCAGCACAATTCACAATTGCAAAAATATGGAAGCAGCCTAAATGCCCATCAACAAACGAATGGATAAAGGATATGTGAGATATATATAGATATAGATATAGATATAGATATAGATATACCATAGAATACTACTCAGCCATAAAAAGGAATGAAATAATGGCATTTATAGGAACCTGAATGGAGTTGGAGACCATTATTCTAAGTGAAGTAACTCAGGAATAGAAAATCAAATATTGTATGTTCTCACTTATAAGTGGGAGCTAAGCTATGAGAACGCAAAGGCATAGAGTGATATAATAGACTCTGGGGACTGAAGGGAGGAGTGGGAGAGGGGTGAGGGATAAAAGAGTACACATAGGGTACAGTGTACACTGCTTGGGTGATGGGTTCACCAAAATCTCAGAAATCACCACTAAATAACTTATTCATGTAACCAAATACCACCTGCTCCCCCAAAACCTATTGAAATAATTTTAAAAATGAATGAAAATTTTAAAAAGCAGACAAAATACTCTGGAAGAAAATGAAAGGTTGTAATGGTGATATATATAAAACAAGAACGGCAGAATGCTGATAGTTGTTGAAGTTACTGGATGAAGATTGGTTGCTTCATAATATTATGTTTAATTTGCATATGTTTGAAATTTTCCTATGTAGAAAAAAAGAAAGAAAAAGCTGGTTTTGCCTGCTTCTGGATGTTCTTTGCTTTTAACCTCTGGAATTGTGAGTGAGTCAGAGTCCTGGCAAGGGGTAGGGAATGCCAGGAGCTTAACCTGGAGGTTAGGGGCTCCCTGTTTCTTCTGGATGTTGCCAAAGCCCCAGGCGCTTCCCTTCTGTGTACCCCCAAGTGCTACAGTTCCTGTTCCAGCCTGAGGTGAACAAGCCTACAGGCCTACTTCTTGGTGTACCTAGGCAGAGGGGAGGAACCTACCAGCTTGGCAACCAGGAATGGATTATTACAATGGCCCCATGGCTATCCATGACTCCCTCCTGCTCTTTGTATCTGCCACCTCTGTGTTTGGGGGACACCAGGAGCCACTTCTACATTGGCACAATGTATCTCTGAACATGCTTTAGGATATAATTTCTTTTGTCAATGTGGTCTTCTCTGCTTTCTCTATTTTAAGGATGACTTAAAATATCTGATCTGATGATAGCTTGCTCCCCTTTTCATTGTGTTATGAATTCCATCTTACCAACTGATATGGTTTGGCTCAGGGTCCCCACCCAAATCTCATCTCGAATTATAATCTCCATGTGTTGAGGGAGGCACCTGGTGGGAGGTGACTGGATTATGGGGGCAGTTTCCCCCATGCTGTTCTGTGATAGTGAGTGAGTTCTCACAAGATCTGATGGTTTTATAAGCAGCAGTTTCATTTGTGTGCTCTCTCTCTCCTTTTTTTTTTTTTTTTTGAAATAGAGTCCCACTCTGTTGCCTAACCTGGAGTGCAGTGACGTGATCTCAGCTCACTGCAACCTCTGACTACTTGGTTCAAGCAATTGCTCCTGCCTTAGCCTCCAGAGTAGTGGGGATTACAGGAATGAGCCACCACGCCCAGCTAATTTTTGTATTTTTAGTAGAGATGGGGTTTCACCATGTTGGGCAGGCTTGTCTTGAACTCCTGGCCTTAAGTGATCTGCCTGTCTTGGTTTCCCAAAGTGCTGGGATTACCGGCATGAGCCACCATGCCCAGTGTGTGCCCTCTCTCTCTGTCTCTCTCTCTCTCTCCTGCTGCAGTGGGAAGACATGCCTTGCTTCTCTTTTGACTTCATCGTAAAAAGTTTCCTGAGGCCTCCCCAGCCATGCAGAACTGTGAGTCAATTAAACCTCTTTCCCTTCTAAATTACCTAGTCTCTGGTAGTATCTTTATAGCAGTGTGAAAACGGACTAATATACCAACAATAAAAAAAATTGTTTCCTGTTATTTTTAGAGATATTGGTTGGAACAGAAAAAATATTCATGAGTGCTTAGCCATTTTGACTCAATACCCTCATGCTTTTTCAGTCCATTATAATCAAGCAATATGTATCCAACTTTGCACCTTCTGAGTTTTTAAAAATCTATATTAGAATTTACATATTTTTAATTTTATTAAAAACTGCTTGCAGTAAAAATTATTAATGCTTACATGATATATCTTATATGTATGCTATAATTTACAACTTCTGAACGTTTACATTTAGAGCATTTGTAACTTGATATTAAGCATATTTACTGGGATAAGTGTCTGTTTTAATATTTAGTCTCAATATTAATTTTGTTTCTTTAGGATGGGTTGTAAAGTGTGGAATTATAATGAAAGAGCTTGATCTAAAAAATGACCACTGATACATATTGCCAAAATTATTTGCAAAGAATTTCTGTCCACATATGGCTTTCTTCCCCATACCCAGCAATGTAGGAGTCTCCATTTAATCTCTCCTTTGGAACATTATTGGAACTGTTTGTTTTTGTTTTGTTTGTTTGTTTGGAGACAGAGTCTCACTCTGTTGCCCAGGCTAGAGTGCAGTGGCATGATCTCGGCTCACTGAAACCTCCACCTCCCGGGTTCAAACGATTCTCCTGCCTCCCAAGTAGCTGGGATTACAGGCATGCGCCACAACGCCTGACTCATTTTTTTTTTTTTGCTTCTTTAGTAGAGATGGGGTATTGCCATGTTGGCCAGGCTGGTCTCGAACTCCTGACCTCAAGTGATCTGCCCGCCTCAGCCTTCCAAAGTGCTGGGATTATAGGCATGAGCCAACGTGCCCGGCCTAGAGCTGTTTTCATCTTTACTAATTTGATAAACAGTACATGATATTTTATCCTCTCATGCTTTCCTATTATTTTTCCAAATGAACTTCAAAATAATTTTACTAAATACAAAGAAAGCAAAAGGGAAGAAGGAAAGAAAAAGAAAATGAAAGAATTTCCATTAGGATTTTTATTGGATTAAAAAATCCTACATTGCTTAGAAATTACATATATAATAAATGAATACACGATTACTTGAAAAACAAATCGGAAGTATATGGAGAAGCAAAAATTTTGAAGTCTCCTTTCATTCTTACATTCCCCTCCCCTCTTTCAATTGTCTTCTCCTCTCCAAAGGTAAAATATTTAGTGCCTATCATATTAGGTTTTAAGAAAATTCATATGAATTAATATTACATATAGATACAACTTCTGTTGGATTAATTTTTCTGTTTCTTTTTTCTATTTGTGCTTTGAAAAATTATACATAATATTTTTATTGCTCTAATAGTTACTGCTAAATATATAGTACACTTATTTGAACACATTCTCCTCACAATGTCTAGAGTTAAGCTATAGCTATACCTCCCCAAATAATAAGATAGAAGCCTTAGAAAATTTATATTTCTCCCTTCCTCCTATCTCCTACCATATGGAAATCATCTGGGTTTCAATTCCAGATTCAGGAATTTTTACAGTGTATTTCATTTAGACATAATCAGCCATCTTTCTGCCTAAGGATTTTCGTGCCTATCTTTTTTGTTGTTTGTTTGTTTTTTCTTCCCTACAGCAAACTTTCATTTTGCTGAAATATGTTCTCAAGTAATTCTTTTGGAAAGGAGCTGAGGATGATAAAAACTTCCTGAATCCTTTCATGTTCAAGAAAGTATTTTATCCTCCCATTTAAATGCTGGCTGGGTATAGAATTTTAGGTTGAACATTCTTTCACCTTATAATTTTAAAATTTGCTTTATTATCTTCTGTTGTCCAAGATTGCTGATTAGAAAATTCTTGCCAATCAAATTCCCAGGTTTATAGGAAATAGGTGACTTTCCCCTCTCTGTAATTATTTAGGCTTTATTCATTCTTATTGTGTGAATGCATGACTCTGAGAGTGAGGACCCTCTTGTGTCTCCACCCCAGGTGTCACTAGATACTGGCTCAGCCCAGGCCCCCTGAAGCCAGGCACTGTATATTCTCTAGAAATACCATGGCGTATTAGTCTGTTTTCACGCTGCTAATAAAGACATACCCGAGACTGGGTAATTTATACAGGAAAAAGGGTTTAATTGGACTTACAGTTCCACGTGGCTAGGGAGGCCTCACAATAATGGCAGGAGGTGAAAGGCATGTTTTACACGGCAGCAGGCAAGAGACAGAACGAGAACCAAGCGAAACAGGTTTCCCCTTAACAAACCATCAGATCTTGTGAGACTTCTTCACTACTGCGAGAACAGCACAGGAGAAACCGACCCCATGATTCAATTATCTCCCACCAGGTCCCTCCCACAATACGTGGGAATTATGGGAGTACAATTCAAGGTGAGATTTAGGTGGGGACACAGCCAAACCACATCACATGGAAAACATGGTAGGCATGGTCTCTGCCTATTTGGAGGTTAAATTTGAGGATTGAAACTGAGAGAGACAAGACAATAAACAAATGAATAAACAAAATAACCAAAGAAAATGAAAAGAAAGGAAGGAACATGTTGCAATAATAGATAAACAATGGACTGGGTATGCACCTCCTTAAAATGACGTGACATTTGGAAACTTCTAGAATTTTTTTAAAACATTATAATTGATAGGCTTTTAAAATTTGACAAATTGTGACTATCTTCAGGTTGGGGAATTTTCTTATTCTACCTAAGAAAATTTCCAGTTTCACTATGATATGTCTTTATTTATTCTATTCATGGCTTATTGATTTCTCTGTGTGACTGCCATTGTGTATCTATTAGAACTTTTCACTGTATCCTGTGTGTCTTATCTTGTCTCTTCTATTTTCATCCTTTTGCCTCTCCATGCTGCATTCTGGACATTTTATTCTTGTACATATTTTTAGTTCACAAATTCTTTGCTGCTTTGTCTAAACTGCTGTTAAACTTGGCCATTGAGTTCTTAATTGGGCCATTGTATTTTCAGTTTTATAATTTCTATTTGGTTGTTTTTCAAATTTGCGATGTCACTTTTATAGCTTATAGATCTTTGCCAAAAATTTGAAGCTTTTCTTTCATCTCTTTGAACATAATAAACATAGCTGCTTTATAGACTGTGTCTTTTATCTGTTTGAATCTGGAGTCTCTCTGGGTCTGTTTCTGTAGTCTCTAATTTCTGCTGGTTCTTGCTCATGGTGTTTTATCTTTTTCATGTGCCCAGTCATTCTTGTGTCCTAAACATCTTATTTTTAAAAATTATAGAAATAATTTGAAGCCTGGGAGGATATTATGTTTCTCCTGAGACAAGTTTTGTTTGTTTCTGTATCACATGCGTGGACTTAACAATCTGGGAACATTGGATGATAGAAAATAATAAAGCAGACCTTCAAAGTATATATTGATTGAAACTTTGGAGCCCTCTGGATAATATAAAACGAGGCTGCATTCTGGGTGAGGGCCAAGTTACTTCCGTTTACCTTTACACGTAGAGTGCAGTTCCTCAGGATCTCTACTCAAAGTAGGATTGGGAGTATATTTTATCAGAGCACTGGACTGACATTGTCTTCGATTTTTAAAAAATATGTCATCCCTGAGAGGTTATCATTAGCACACTCAGCCACTCAGCCATTTTTTCCAGATTGGCAAATGTCCCCTCTACAAAAGCAGTCCTTAGTGCCAGCTTCTTTCTCTGGATTCATGTCTTCTTCCAGATCCTGGCCCTGAAACTAGAAGTCTCTCTCTGTAAACTGAAAACAACTACTTTCTGCAAAAAAAAAAAAAAAAAGTATAAAATCTCCTCTGAAATATGGACTCCCTTTGCACCTTAAACAGGGGTTCTTCAACTTGGCTGATTAGCAGAATTACTTGGGGGAGCTTTCAAATGGCCCAACCCTGGGATATGTGGACCTTGGTAAAAGGAGACCCTTTAAGAGTCTGTGACCACTAATGGTTTGAAGGTAATTTCCAGATCCGTGATGTCTATGAGTGCCCTTTTCTAAGAAACTGCTTGTGGTGAAGGTATCCCGTCTCATACAACCCTTTTCTTACTAATGTAAGAAAGGCAGACTTTTCTCCTGTACAGGCTCTTACCTGGTACAATGGATGAATGTAGGTTCAGGAACCAAATTTACAGGGTCCAAAAACCTCTTGGGCACCAAACAGAGTGATTTAAAATATTGGTATAGTTATTGTAGAGCAGGGATCTAATGAAAGGGTTAAAAACTTCTTTGCAAGTCAGGTAGTTTCCAATTCTCTTCCAATAAAACAGAAGAACTGATCACTTTGAAAGCGCTAATAACACTATGTGATCTTTGGTTTTTAACTCATGAGGAATTCAAAGAATGGAGAGACATTGCCTTAAAAAAACCTCCATTGTTCTCCATGTACTTATATATGAGAACAAATTTTTTTAGAGTTTGCATGTATAATTACTCTAATTTGCTCATTACGCAATTTATACATGCATTGAAACATCATGTTGTACCCCATAAATATATACAATTATGTGTCAATCATGAATTTTTTTAAACCCTTAAAAAAAGAAATACAGTGAGGAACCTTGTTTCATCCATAAATACTAATTAGCGTAATTACTAATGCCATGTTTAACTACACAATTATTTGTTTAAATAAATTATTTAAATTTTATTTGTTTAAATAAATCATTTATTGAATCTACTTAATGATGCAATTAATTATTACTAGAAATACTAACATTAATTTTTTTAAAATATGCCCTATTCATTTCTCTAAGAGGTTTCTGGTAGTATTTTACTTTTTATTCTTGGCATTTTGCAACACTTGTGATATATTTATTTTTTAGGTAATCTGTGCACTAATGGTGATAGTAATTCAATCAAAAAGATTTTTTTAACACTTAGATACCCATTTATAGGAAAATTTAAACATTAAAATGACAATTTATATACAATTTTTGTGGTAGAATTATATTATAAGGCAATCAATGAAAGATGTACAAGTGGCTGGGCATGGTGGCTCACTCCTGTAATCCCAGCACTTTGGGAGGCTAAAGCAGTTGGATCACTTGAGGCCAGGAGTTCAAAACCAGCCTGGCCAACATGGTGAAACCCCATCTCTACTAAAGAATACAAAAATTAGCTGGCTGAGGTTGCAGCGAGCCAAGATCATACCACTGCACTTCAGCCTGGAGACAGAGCAAGACTCTGTCTAAAAAAAAAAAAAAAAAAAAAAAAAAAAGAAAAGAGAAAGATACACAAGCATAAATATATATAACATTTAGATAAAATTTTTGCAAGGGACATGGAATGGAAATACAAGTTCAAGGAGAAACAAGACCAACGTAAATTTTCTCATTGTTCAAAATGTCTTTATGTATTTTTAACAATGGATGATGGCAGATGTAACCTTGATAAGGCATTTGTAAACCATTAGACACATTTAAGAGACTACTGTAACAATTTTATTTTAAAGTGTTAATGTTAATAATATACCAGAAATTATGTTTTCTGCAGTGAATTTAACTAATGTTGAAAAAGTTTAGATGCCAAATTTAAAATGTGTTGAGGGTTGACATAGTTTAACGTAATCGTTTTAGGGAGTTTAGGGGCAGAGAAATTGAAGACCAGTGTCCAGGAGACTGAAACCTAGCAGGTCTGGGTTAGGGCCCCTGAATTTGCACATTTAAATCCTCCCCTGGGGATGCTAATGAGTAACCTGGTTAGGAACCTGGCTTTCTTTTGATTTAGGTAGGTGTGGTGATGACACTGCTTCTCCACTGCTTTTATTTAAACTCTTTACAATCTTGTCTCATCCATTTTTAGTAACTTGAAATTGAGGTTTTAAAAAATACCCTGCTATATTAAAGGTTGCACATAATTAAACTGCTTCATCCAGTCATCATTCAGCAAATTCATTTGGATTCCTTCCCAAAGTATCTGACTGATATGGTTTGGCTGTGTTCCCACCCAAATCTCATCTTGAATTGTAGTTCCCATAATCCCCATGTGTCATGAGAGGGACCAGGTGGAGATAATGGAATCATGGGGGTGGTATTCCCCATCCTCTTCTCGTGATAGTGAGTTCTCATAAGATCTGATGGTTTTATAAGAGTCTTCCTCCTTCACTGGGCACTCATTCTCTATCCTGCCACCTTGTGAAGAGGTGCCTTCTGCAGTGATTTTAAGTTTCCCGAGGCCTCCACAACAATGTGGAACCAAGAGTCAATTAAACCTCTTGCCTTTATAAATTACCCAGTCTTAGGTATGTCTTTATTAGCAGTGTGAGAATGGACTAATACACTGACTCTAAAAAACTGCTCAGGTGGTCTTTTAAGATGCTTTCTCCAAATGGCAATTTCAAGGGTGATAAATAAGATGCTTCCTTGCATTGCATGAATGCAAAAAGTTCAAATCCCCCAACTGGAGTACAAGAAGCTGGGGTTGCCACCCTCTTCTGGGTGTGGTGTCTTCTCTTACAGTATACTTCTGGGTCCCATTTCCAGGCTCTGTCACTTGAGTTGTTACCAGGCAGTGGGACAACAATGAACCATCCCCTTCTACAAAGGCCAAGAACCTACATTGGGGAAAAGACAATATCTTCAATAAATGGTGCTGGGAAAACTGGGTATCTGTATGCAGAAGAACGAAACTAGACCCTTATCTCTCACCATATAAAAAATCAAATCAAAATGGATTAAACACTTAAATCTAAGACTTCAAACTATGCAACTGCTTCAAGAAAACATTGGGGAAACTCTCCAGGGCATTGGTCTTGGCAAGAGTTTCTTGAGTAATACCACACAAACACAGGCAACCAAAGCAAAAATGGACAAATGGGATCACATCAAGTTAGAAAGCTTCTGCACAGCAAAGGTAGCAATCAACAAAGTGAACAGACAATCCACAGAATGGGAGGAAATATTGCAAACATTAACATTAACATGGGATTAATAACCAGAGTACATAAGGAGCTCAAACAATTTTATAGGAAAAAAATCGAATAATCTAATTTAAAAATAGGTAAGATTTGAATATACACTTCTCAACTGAAGACATACAAATGGCAAGCAGGCATATGAAAAGTTGCTCAACATCATTGCTCGTCAGAGAAATGCAAATTAAAAAGCGTTTGAAGCCCCTGACTTGGTTGCAAGAAGTTGGTCTTGTTCCCCTCTTCTGGGTGTGGTGCCTTCTCTTACAATGCACTCCTGGGATATCAGGATATCATCTCACTCCAGTTAAAATGGATTTTATCCAAAAGACAGGCAATAACAAACGCTGGCCAGGATGTGGAGGAAAGGGAACCCTCATACACATTGGTGGGAATGTAAATTAGTGCAACCACCATGGAGAAGAGTTTGGAGGTTCCTCAAAAAACTAAAAATGAAGTTATCGTATCATGCAGCAATGCCACTGTTGGGTATACACCCCTAAGAAAGGATATCAGTATATCAAAGAGATATCAGCACTCCATGTTTGTTGCAGCACTGTTCACAATGGCCAAAATTTGGAAGCAACCTAAGTGTCCCTCAGCAGAGGAAAGGATAAGGAAAATATGCTATTTATACACAATGGAGTACTATTCAGCCGTAAAAGGAACGAGATCCTGTCCTTTGCAACAACATGGATGGAGCTGAAGATCATTATGTTAAGCGAAATAAGCCAGGCACAGAAGGACAAACATTGCATGTTCTCACTTATTTGTGAGATCTAAAAATCAAAAAAATTGAACTCATGAGTGAGCATAGAGAATACAAGGTTGGTTACCAGAAGCTTGGAAGGGTAGTGGGAGAGTGGGGTAGGGGGAGGTGGGGATGGTTAATGGGTATTTAAAAAAATAGAAAGAATGAATAAGACTTCATATTTGATAGCACAACAGGGTGACTATAGTCAGTAATAATTTAATTGTACATTTAAAAATAACAATAAGAGTATAACTGGATTGTTTTTGACACAAAGGATAAATGCTTGAGGGGATGGATACCCCACTTTACATGATGTGATTACAATGCATTGCATGCCTGTATCAAAACATCTCATGCAACCATAAATGTATACACTTACTATGTACCTACAAAAATTAAAATTAAAAATCAAACAAATCAAAAATAAAAAAATAAATTATCCCTGTGGGATGGGCTTTCCCTGAAAAATGAATAGGAACAATTTTCAGAGAGGTTGGAGATGGCCAGATGAGGGGATGTGGGCAAGAACCTGCGAACGTGGAGGAAGCCCAGCGTCTGATAAGCAAGGATGACCAGTGAGCATGTGCTGAAGTGGCAGTGTCTGCGTGGCTCTGGCATCCTGTGCACCTCACATTCATTTAAAACTGTTGGCTGCATTGTGATGTGCCCATATCCCATTACCTCCAGTCTTCAGTGGATTCTGCAACACATGCTTATGTTAGTTGTACTTTGAGGAAAGAGAATTAAAGAAACAACTGGCAGCATGGCATGTTTCAGGTGACCTGGGGTTGGGAGAATAGAACTGCCACAGGAGGTGAGACGCAAGGCAGTTCTGAGAATTC
Source organism: Homo sapiens (assembly GCF_000001405.40). Lineage (NCBI taxonomy): Eukaryota > Metazoa > Chordata > Mammalia > Primates > Hominidae > Homo > Homo sapiens. The sequence goes on along the minus strand of NC_000004.12, from coordinate 38,544,422 downwards.
GGTGGAGGTGGGAAATCCGCGAAAGCGTTCACCGGAACAAGCACATGTCCTTGAGAATCCATGAAGATAAAGGGTGACCACGTGCCTTAAGCTGCAATATGTGAAATGAAGGGGTCAGCCAGCTGTAGAATGATATTGAACTTTTATTCTTTTATTTTTATTTTAAAGGTAACACACAAGGTAAAAAAAATTGAGACGTCACGCCTGTAATCCCAGCACTTTGGGAGGCCGAGACGGGCAGATCCCGAGGTCAGGAGATCGAGACCGTCCTGGTTAACACGGTGAAACCTCGTCTCTACTAAAAATACAAAAAAATTAGCTGGGCATGGTGGCGGGCGCCTGTAGTCCCAGCTACTCCGGAGGCTGAGGCAGGAGAATGGCGTGAACCCGGGAGGCGGAGCTTGCAGTGAGCCGAGACTGCGCCACTGCACTCCAGCCTGGGCGACAGAGCGAGACTCCGTCTCATAAAAAAAAAAAAAATTCAGACAATATGAAGAATAGGGAAAGGGAAAAAACATCATGAGTAAATGTATCTTTTTTCTTGAACAAATGAGGACATTATATATTTGGCAGGTTTTTTTCCCTTTAATATTAAGAGGAAGGATGATCCTAGAAGGCTGAAGGGCTTAGGGACGGGGGCAGAGCTGACACTTGGGGTGTCCCTACCTTAACTTGCTTAATCACATTTTATGAATGAAGAAATGCATATGTTCAGGGATGTTAAATACAGACACACCTTGTTTTATTGTGTTGTGCTTTGGTATGCTCCGCACATAGTTTGTTTTTTGCAGATTGAAGGTTTGTGGCCATCCTGCGTGGAGAAAGTCTATAGGCGCCATTTTCCCAACAGTACGTGCTTTCTTCATGTTTCTGTGTCACATTTTGGTAGTTCAAGCAATATCTTAAACTCTTTTATTGTTGTTATATCTGTTGTGGTGATCTGTGGTCTTTGATGTTATTATTATAATTGTTTTGGGGTGCCACCAACCATGCTCATATAAGACAGTGAACTTAGTGAATGAATGTTGTATACTTTGACTGCTCCACAGACTGGTTATTCCCCATCTCCCTCCTTCTCCTCAGGCCTCCCTATTCCCTGAGACACAACAATATTGAAATTAGGCCAATTAATAACTCTACAATGGCCTCTCAGTGTTCAAGTGAAAGGAGGAGTCACACGTCTCTCACTTTAAATCAACAGCTAGAAATGGTTATGTTTGGTGAGGAAGGCACGTTGAAAGTTGAGATAGGTCGAAAGGTAGGCCTCTTGTACCAAACAGTGAAGTTGTGAATGCAAAGGAAAAGTTCTTGAAGGAAATTAAGAGTGCCGCTCCAATGAACACACAAATGATAAAAAAGCAAAACAGCCTTATTGCTGACACGGAGAAAGTCTTAGTGGTCTGGATAGAAGACCAAACCAGCCACAACATGTCCTTAAGCCAAAGCCTAATCCAGAGCAAGGCCCTAACTCTCTTCAATTCTGTGAGGGCTGAGAGAAGCGAGGAAGTGGCAGAAGAAAAGTATGATGACAGTAGAGGTTGGTTCAGGAGGTTTAAGGAAAGAAGCCACCTCCATAACATAAAAGTGCAAGGAGATGCAGCAAATGCTGATGTAGAAGCTGCAGCAAGTTATCCAGATGATCTAATTAAGATCACTGACAAAGGTGGCTAAACAGCAGATTTCCAATGTAGATCAAACAGCCTTCTCTTGGAAGAAGATGACATCTAGGACTTTCATAGTTAAAGTGGAGAAGTCAATGCCTGGCTTGAAAGCTTCTAAGAAGAGGCTGACTCTCTCTCTTGTTAGGGGCTAATGCAGCTGGTGGCTTTAAGTTGATGCCAGTGCTCATTTACCATTCTGAAATTCCTAGAGCCCTTAAGAATTATGCTAAATTTACTCCATACATGAAAAAACAAAGGCTGGATGACAGCACATCTGTTTACAGCACGGTCTACTGAGTATTTCTGTTTTCTTTTGGTTTGGTTTGTGTTTTGAGACGGAGTTCTGCTCTTGTCACCCAGGCTGGAGTGCAATGACACGATCCCGGCTCACTGCCACCTCTGTCTCCCAGGTTCAAGCGATTCTCCTGCCTCAGCCTCCCAAGCAGCTGGGATTACAGGCACCCGCCACCACACCTGGCTAATTTTGTATTTTTAGTAGAGACGGGGTTTTGCCATGTGGCCAGGCTGGTCTCGAACTCCTGACCTCAGGTGATCTGCCCGCCTTGGCCTCCTAAAGTGCTGGGATTACAAGTCTACTGAATATTTTAAGCCCACTGTTGAGACATACTGCTCAAAAAAAAGATTCGCTTCAAAATATTACTGTTCATGGACAATGCCTCTAGTTGCCCAAGAACTCTGATGGAGATACTAGGAGATTAATGCTGTTTTTATGCTTATGGAAACAACAGCTATTCTGCAGCCCATGGATCAAGGAATTTCAACTTTCAAATCTTATTCTTTAAAAATATATTTTGTAAGGCTATAGCTGCCATAAATAGTGACTGCTTTGATGGATCTGGGCAAAGTAAATTAAAAATCTTCTGGAAAGGATTCACCATTCTCAATGCCATTAAGAACATCTGTGATTCATGAGAGGAGGTCAAAATATCACCCTTAACAGGAGTTTGGAATAAGTTGACTTCAACTCTCACGGATGCCTTGGAGGGGTTCAAGACTTCAGTGGAAGAAGTCACTGCAGATGTGGTGGAAATAGCAAGAGAACTAGCATTAGAAGTGGAGCCTGAAGACGAGACTGAATTGCTATAGTCAGATGATAAAACTTGAACGGCTGAGAAGTTGCTTCTTATGGATGAGCAAAGAAACTGCTTTCTTGAGATGGAATCTACACCTGGTGAAGATGTTGTGAACATTGTTGAAATGACAACAAAGGATTTAGAACATTACTTAATTGATAAAGCAGTGAAGGGTTTGAGAGGATTAACTTCGATTTTGAAAGAGGTTCTATTGTGAGTAAAATGCTATCAAACAGCATTGCATGCTACAGAGAAATCATTTGTGAAAGGAAGAGTTGATCAATGTGACAAACTTCATTGTTGTCTTATTTTAACAAATTGCCACAGCCACCTCATCCTTCAGCAGCCACCACCCTGATCAGTCAGCAGCCATCAACAAGCAAGACCCTCCACCAGCAAAAAGATTACAATTTGCTGAAGGTTCACATGATTTGTAGCATTTTTTAGCAATAAAGCATTTTTAATTAAGATATGTACATTTTTTTTGATATAATCATTGCACCTAATAGGGTACAATATAGTGTAAATTTAATTTGTTATGCACTAGGAAACCAAAAAAAAAAAATTGCCTTATTAAGGTGGCCTGGAACCAAAAATGCAATCACTCCAAGGTATGCCTATAATTTGTGCAAGGTCACATGGCTAGAAAGTAGAAGTATCCGAATTTGAACCCAGATATAGCTGGCTCTAAGTCAAAGTTTTCCCCACTTCACTATGCTTAATCCCTTTCTCTGGCATGGGGTGGGGCCTGTCACCCTCTTAAAATTCAAATGTAGTAACTGGGAGGAAGCCATAACAGCAGGCAGGACCTAGCATCAAACATATGGCATAGGAGGTAGGACACAGAACACTTGAACTTTTGTTAGGGGGGGTACATCTTACAAGAAGTTATGGGTGTTCTATTCACAGAGTTGAGAAATCAAGGCAGGCAGACAGGAACAGAGAAATCTATCAGCACATTAGGTCCCCATATACTTGCTTGGGGATATGGGACAGGATACCAGATCCTAATGATAACATTTGGCTAGAGTTGGCCAGGATGTGGGGAGCCTGGTTCCCCCTTCCTTCTGGAAATAGACCCCTCTCACTGTGGAGAATGCATTCCACATGCATCAGTTATCAGAGGGTGCTTATTCTGGCCTTCCTCTCTTAGCTACCTGAGTGGACGTGAAAACTAAATACCGCCAATCAGAGTACACAGCCCTCCTGGCTTTAGTTATCAGTTTCAGTATTTACATGTAAGGGAGTCAGGGACAATTAGAATCCTACCTGGGATTTTTTATTTCCCAAGGGCTATTAGAAAAAAATGTGTACCTTCCACTGTGATTGCTGAGGTGGGGGGATGTGAGTCTGGCATTGCTGGTGGCCATCCTGCCTTCTCTATAGAAAGCCTTTCTTTTTTTTTCTTTTTTCTTTCTTTCTTTTTTTTTTTTTTTGAGACAGCGTCTCATTCTCTTGCCCAGGTTGGGGTGCAGTGGCGCAATCTCGGCTCACTGAAACCTCTGCCTCCTGGGTTCAAGCGATTCTCCTGCCTCAGCCTCCCCAGTAGCTGGGATTACAGGCGGGTGACACCAGGCCCAGCTAATTTTTGTATTTTTTAGTAGAGACGGAGTTTCATGATGTTGGCCAGGCTGGTCACAAACTTCTGACTTCAAGTGATCTGCCCGCCGTGGCCTCCTAAAGTTCTGGGATTACAGGCATGAGCCACCGCAAACGGTCAGAAAGCCTTTCTAAGAGACTAAGAAAGAAAGAGAGAGAAATGGATCCCTGGCGACATGATGCAGCTTCTGAATCTTGCTGTGCTGGACACCAGTGGCACCCCTGGACTTCATAGTTAAGTGAACCAACAGTTCCTATTTTTTTGCTTTGGCTGGTTGGAATTGGGTTTGTATCACTGGCGAATGATGAATACGCTGTCTTCATTCAAATACTGGTGTGACCAGGTCCAGAGAAGGAAAGCAGATGTTCAGCTGTGATATCTGGGACATAGGGTCTGATAGGACCAGAAACGCAGTATTGGAGGTTGAGAACATGAAGTACAGTCAGAGCATAAACCAACCATCCCTATCCTGAACTTGCAGAAGATATTGTTGGTCTATCACACTGTTTTTTCCTCCAGAGTCAGGAGAAGCCATTGCAACCTTGTTCTTCTTAACATAGAGCTTCAGGGAGTCACTGTCATTGATTTGAGGTTGTTTGTACATTTTCCACTCTGGAATTAATACCTAAAGAGTGTGATGCATTTGTCCAGGAAGAGTCAATTTGCTTGGACGTTAACGCAATCTTATGGGAATTTCTTCCTTGTGGATTCTTGCAGATGACTGCATGGTTAGTTTATCAAAACTGCTATGAATGTGAATCATGAGAAATTATTGAGCTTTCTTTTTATATATTTTTATTAATTAATTAATTAATTAATTAATTTTAAGACAGAGTCTCGCTCTGTTGCCCAGGCTGGAGTGCCGTGGCATGATCTTGGCTCACTGCAACCTCCACCTCCCAGGTTCATGCAATTCTCCTGCCTCAGCCTCCCAAGTAGCTGGGATTACAGGCTCCCACCACCATGCCTGGCTAATTTTTGTGTTTTTGGTAGACATGGGGGTTTCATCATGTTGGCCAGGCTGGTCTCAAACTCCTGACCTCAAATGATCCACCCGCCTCTGCCTTTCAAAGTGCTAGGATTAGAGGCGTGAGCCACCGGGCCCGGCCTCTTTTTATGTATTTTAAATATCTACGTGTAACTGTAAATTTGGTTCCTGAACCTACATTCTTCCATTGGTGTCTTTGCATCTCTTAGTTGTTCCAGAGTAATGTTATTTTCATCTGGTTTTGAGCATTGTCAAGCACTCCTGTTTTGGGAGCTGTCTTTGTCATTTACAGAGAAAGCCCAGGAGATCTTGAAGCTGACACAGTGGCATTTCATTTGGCAGGTACAGATTTTCCTCGCGTATGGAACAATGCCTCCTTTTGCTAACCACCTTAATTTCCTGGCCTTATCAATCTGAAAGTCAATGATTATAGTTTATTATGTGGGTTTTCATTTAACCTTTTATGTTTAAGTTCAACCATTTCCCTATAACCAAGCAAGCAAATTTCCTACTCAGGTAATTCAAGTGCAATTGTTAAGAGAATTTGTAACAGAGTTCCATGGGCCTTAGCTGTCAGTCAGAACAGCCTAACATCATTGAAACCTCTACCTATTTTCAAAGCACCTTAAAATCCATTAAATATGACAAAAGAAATGTAAATTGCATTATTGCTGTGGAAAGAGTAGCTGTTTTGTCTTGAGACTTTAGTTGACCCACAAATTAAATTTAAGATGGTTTAGGACAAATATAAAAATCACCCAATGCAATGGTAAGGTTGAAAGTGCCTTCACTTTGGCCAATTACAGTAGTTACTATTATTCATCCTTATCAACATTAATTCTAATAGCTAACATTTATTTAACATTCACTCATTCCACTGTACCAAGTGCTTTGGTTGCATTATTACATTTAATCCTACCATAAGAAATATACACTTTTATTCTATTTTACAAATGAGATACCTGAGATGTGGAGAGCCTGAATAATTTGCCCACTTTTATAACTATTAATTAATTAATGTGCAGCCTGCATTCAAACCTAGATTTGTAGGAGTCCAGAGCCCATGTAGATTAAATGTGACTATAAAGACTCGCCTATATATGCATTGGGATCAGATGCAAGTAACAGAGAACCTCAAACTTGCAGTGGGTTAGTTTATCCATTTCCTTTGTGTTCAAGGGCCTGGAGAGAATCCATCCAGAACTGGTATGACATTCTCCTGGCACTGAATGGTATAAATAGCAGTTTCTGCTGATGTTCTATTTTCAGCTACTTTTGTATATATGTCTGAATACAAGAATTTTATATTTTTGCATCCAATAATATTCTTATCATTGCTTTATAAAATCAACTTAGAACTTCATTAAGATGTTGTGTATTATTGTACATTCAGACATTTCATGAGACAAATTGGAGCCCCAAATCAAACATTATGCAAAACAAAAGCTTGACATTATCATTTGTCTACTGCACAAGGGTCAGTCCTGCCTTTTAATATGAACACAAGAAGGGGCTTCTGCCATTGAGGAATATTCTCACAGCCAGGCTTTTATGTTCTTGGTAATTATTTTCCTACCTCACTGTTTTGACCAGAAACCATGAGAGAAAAACTTTTCTAGCTGCTGACTTCTCTCCTTTATACTGTGCCAAAATCTGAGCTGGAATGCGTATCATTCAATTACAAATGCCAGGTACTGTGCTAGGCGTCTCATTAGTAACACGAATACTAAGATAATTCACTGTTCTTGTTTACTGGTCAAAGGTTTCATATGCCTGTCAACTGCTTTGATTCTCATCTCTGGGAATATACATTTACATAATCACAGAAGTCCTAGAGGAAGGATCGGGTATATTTTTCATTTGACAAAGTATCAAGCTCTCACTATTTTAGGCACTGTTTAGATGTGGAGAGGAGAGATCCAACAAACAACATCTCTCTTTTCACTGCCCAAGTTCAGAATCAATTCACAGATAAAATAAAGGAGGGGGGCAGATGATAAAGGAAAAGCATCTTTATTTCTGATACTGGTTGTGTGAAGGCGTGACTTGGGTGTGGAGCACAGTGGGCTTCCTAATACTGAAGGCTTGAGTTTGGCAAGCCTCTCATTCAGCCTCAGGCAGTGTTAATGACCATAGGTTGGTGTCAGTTTGGGCTGCTATCACAAGGTGCCATAGACTGGGTGGCTTATAAACCACAGAAATTTATTTCTTACAGTTCTGGAGGCTGGAAGTCTGAGATTAGGGTGGCAGCATGGTTGGGGTCTGGTGAGGGCCGTCTTTTGGTTTGCAGGCTTCTTGCTGTATCCTCACATGATAGAAAGAAGGCAAGAGAGCTCTCTGGGGTCCCTTTTATTAGGGCACTAATCCCATTCATGAGGGTTCCACCCTCATGATCTAATCACACCCCAAAGATTCCACCTCCTAATACCATCACATTGGGGGTTAGATTTCAGCATATCAATTTTGGGGGGCACAAACATTCAGTCCATTGCAGGTGGTCAACACGAGGCCTGCCCCGGTAAAACCTGGGGGATGAAGGAACCGAGCAGTGGTTGAAAAGGGAGAAGAGAAGGAGTGAGAGAAATTTCCTAGGGGAAAGCTGAGGCTAAACTGAGGGCTGTGCCTTCCGATGGAAGGAGACCTCAGGAGTGAGCCATCGTGTCCTCCTCCGACCAGTCTCTGCCCCCAAAGAGATCAGACCAGAAACATCAGAGTAAGCTCCCCTTGATCTGCAGAGAAACTCAACTTTTGGTTTTTCCAGCTTTTCCCTTCACCAACCTCCTGCTCCTCTGGTAGAGGCAAAGGCTTCCTTGAGGCTGAAGTCCCCTCTTTTGCCTTCCATATATCATCATGTGACTGTCCCTGCAGTCCAGTCAGATTATCAGAATCTTGGTACCACCGTTCTCCCTGACTGCCTTTCCCTGAGAGGGGGCTGTGGGCATTTTTGGTCTAGGATACTGAGATGTATGGGGATGTTTCTGGGGAGAGTGCCATTCTCAGCCTAAAAGGTAGATCCTTTCTAAAGGACAAAGTTTTTTTGGCCCTGCGCTCTTCTTTCCTCTTCAAGCCTGAGGCGGGGTGGGTGGGGAGGGGAGGATGGGGCCCAGAGGGACATAGTCATCTTGTGATGAGAAGGCAGCTGATACAAGGATGAGAAGGAGGGGCCTCCTGCCAACAACATGAAGCAGAGCTGGAAAGCACTTGGATCCCTGACGACATTGTCCCTGATGATATCATGGAGAGCCCAGACGGGACCTGGACCAGTGTCCCAAAGATCCCCAAAGGGTGTGATCCTTGTGGTGTATCGGAACCTAGGAATATTACATTTTCATTATCAGGTGCTATACTTAATTTTTGAAATATTCTTTTGGAGACAAATATTTTGCTCAACATATTCTGATGTCTAAGGCAAATTAACGTTTTTGTGGTTAAAATTATTTAATTTTCTTTTTCTCAAACATGTATTAATATAGCTTAAAGATCAAATGGAAGTGGCGGATCAATGGGCTAGAAGACTGAGAACAATTTGAAGGACAAACCTGTATATCCAGCACTAACAATTCCTAACCACCCAAGCTAGGAACTCAGGGAGCTTCTAGTTCAGAGGTTCTCAGACTGTGTTACTCAGTGCCTTGGACCTCCCTAGAGGTGATTCTAGGCTGCCCTAGGGGGCTGCAGGGAAGCTGAGTGGATGGGCTCCAGCCCCACCCCTGTTCAACCAGAACACCTCCTCCCCACCTAAATCTCACCTTGAATTGTAATAATCCCCAGGTGTCAAGGGTGGGGCCAGGTGGAGATAACTGAATCATGGGGGTGGTTCCCCCGTACTGTTCTCATGGTAGTGAATAAGCCTCATGAGATCTGATGGTTTTATAAATAGGAGTTCTCCTGCACAAGCTCTCTTGCCTGCAGGCATGTAAGATGTGCCTTTGCTTCTCCTTTGCCTTCCACCATGATTGTGAGGCTTCCCCAGTCATATGGAACTGGGAGTCCATTAAACCTCTTTCCTTTATAAATTACCCAGTCTTGAGTATGTCTTTATTAGCAGCATGAGAACAGACTAATACACACTTGTAACAATTAATTCAGGAGAAAACTATGGGGAAGGTTTATGTTGTCAAATTAAATTCAAAATTTGTTGTTAAGTCAAAATTAAATTTTAAAACCATGTATCTGTTCTAACATCCTTATTTTATAAATAAGGAAGCTGACACCCAGCAAAATTCAAATGATCAAATGATTAAGTGGCAGACTCAACTTAGTTCCCAGTACCTCCCTTCCTGTTCCCACTATATTGTTATTATACCTAACAATGAATGCTCAGTTTTTACAGATAATGAGAGAGGGAGTTTCTGTCAAATGTTCATCTCTGTAAGACTAGATTTCTCTGGAATAGCTCACCATCCAGGAGCCTCACAGTAGACATGCCACAGGGCTTTAAGCCACAGCCACGAGAAAAAGGACATAATACAAATGAAAATTCCAGACATAGATGGACATCAGGTTTGGCTTGATCAGGGTTCTTACTCTGTAAGCTCTGTTCTCTTCTATAGGCTAACTCATACCGGTTTCCCTAGTTGCCTGTAGGGACAAGCATGGGAATCCTGAAATCCTGAAATAATCCTGACCTTTGTTCTGACTGGCATATCTATGAACTGATAACTACAGCAAGCCGTTTTCATTTATAAGGACAACTGTCATGGGTTCTTGTTGCCTGCCTAATATTCTCTTTGTCTTACCTGTGGTTATTCACAGTTTTAAAAGTATCTCTCTAACTGAATTATCTCATGTGATCTAGTGATAAATTTCCTGATTTTTCCCCATCTCTTTTTTCTGGGGAACCATAACCTGAAGTGTTTCTTCCTACCGCTGTGTGATTCTGGAGTTCCATGTTATGCCCCTTCAGTGCTGGCTTAATTTTTGACCTTGTCTGTATTAGTCAGGGTTGCCTAGAGGGACAAAACTAATAGGACAGATGTATGTTTATGAAGGGGAGGTTTATTAAGGAGTACTGACTCACACAATCACAAGGTGAGGTCCCACAATAGGCCATCTGCAAGCTGAGGAGCAAGGAAGCCAGTCTGAGTCCCAAAATCTCAGAAGTAGGGAAGCCAACAGTGCAGCCTTCAGTCTGTGGCCGAAGGCCTGATAGCCCTGGCAAATCACTGGTTGAAGTCCAAGAGTCCAAAAGCTGAAGAAGTTGGAGTCTGATGTTCAAGGGCAGGAAGCATCCAGCACGGGAGAAAGATGGAGGCTGGAAGACTCAGAGAGTCTGTTCATTCCACTTTCTTCTGCCCGCTTTATTCTAGCTACTGGCAGCTACTTGGATGGTGCCCACCCAGATTGCGGTGGGTCTGCCTCTCCCAGTCCACTGACTTCAAATGTTAATCTCCTTTGGTAACGCCCTCACGGACACACGCCGGAACAATACTTTGCATCCTTCAATCCAATCAAGTTGACAGTAGTAACCATCACATTGTCTAACCTGAAAACTTGAGTGGATTTGCTCAAAACTGCATTCACCATCCAAGTGATCTGGAGAGTGGCCTGTTTATCTTTTCTGACGGACGGGGTTGAGTTTATATTGCCTCAGCAGCATTTCTTGGGCATCCTCTCCGTGGAGATGACTGTGATGTGTGAGGCTGAGGTGTAGGGAAATAAGGAAAGCACCAGAGTGAGCTGATGTTGCTCAGGGGAACAAGTAACACCGGATCTCTCTGGCTTCAAACACTGTGTTTGCAGTCCCTCTACATCTTTGGCCAGGAGTGAGGAATTGGGAACAGAGCTGTGGATTATGTCCAGATTCTGAACTTTTGGAACATCCCTGTGCTTTCTATTTTGTCTGGATTAGTAGCAAATCCCTTAAATCAAAATGACCTGTGTCTTTGCTTCCAAAGGACAATACAAAAGGATAAAGTTGGCTTGGGGAAAGGAGACCTAAAACATGACTCAGGGAGGATGAGGAAGCACAGAAAAAGGGCTGAGAGCGGCCCCAGTGGAGGACTTAGAAACAGAAGGCCCGGATTCTCGACAGAGTTCCTGCTCCAGAGGGTATATAATGGGAGAAAAAGAGGGGAAGAGAGACAGATGGAGCCTCTTTGAGGATTTTAAGGAATATTTCAGTCAAAACACTACGCAGTTGGAGTTTCATTTGCAGGAAGTTAAACAAATAAATCAAAAGAAGAAAACCACACAAGCAATTTTTTTATGGGAGTGTATATATATATCTGTACATAATATTGTATTTGCTATAATAGCAAAAGCAAAAAGCATTTTGAATGAGGACAGAGGAATAATAAATAAACCAAAATATCAATACAATTGAAATTTTACGTATCCATTGTAAGAAACACAATGACTCTCTAGAACTGTGTTGGCCAAGTGGCATTGAAATTTGTGTTTGAATGAATTACAATGAAATAAAATAAAAGATTCAGTTCCTCAGTTACGCTAGCCTTATTTCAAGTGCTCAAAAGCAGCATGTGACTACTGTCATAGGTAACGAGCATTTTCATTATCGGAGAAAGTTCTATTGGATGGCCCTGCTCTAGAAAGCTGGGGAAGTGTTTACATGTGGCTGCTGTTCACATGAAGCAAAAAGTAGCATGAAAGGCAGCACATGTACCAACATACAAATTACATACATGCATACATAAAGATTAGTCGAGGCCAGGAAGCATTCAAATTATTTCCACCAGGGAGATCAATGCATCAGGTGGATTTACAAGTTACCTTTTAGCGTAGTCTAGGGTTCAATGACTAATACATAACGTTTTTGAAAACTTTCTTCAGGAAGCCAGTTGTAACTGAGGCTGCTGGGATGGACATCGAGAAGTGGTAGAGGAGGCATCAGGGGATGGAGTAAGGTTCTTGTGCTGGCTTTGTTGTGCTGGCTTTGTGACTAAAATAGCTCTGTGACCTCGTGAAAGTCACACTAACTCTCCTGGCCCCTTTTGTCAGATGATCTCTAAGGTCTCTTTCAATGTAAAGAAATGGGTATGTTTCTCTGTGTTCTTACTCACAGGGAGGGGAACATCACACACCGGGTCCCGTCGGGGGGTGGGGAGCAAGGGGAGGGAGAGCATTAGGACAAATATATAATACATGAGGGACTTAAAACCTAGATGATGGGTTGATGGGTGCAGCAAACCACCATGGCACATGTATACCTATGTAACAAACCTGCACGTTCTGCACATGTGTCCCAGAACTTAAAGTAAAACAATAACAAAAAAAGGTGTGTAGCTCCTCTCACACTCTCTCATGCTCCTTTTCCCACCGTGTGGAGATGCCTCACTCCCTGTTTTCCTTCTGCCATGATTGGAAGCTTCCTGATGCTTTCCCAGAAACAGAAGCCAGAAGCCGCTATGCTTCCTGTATAGTCTACAGAACTGTGAGGCAATTAAACCTCTTTCAGTTATAAATTAAAAAAAAAAAAAAGAGATGGATGTGTTTGTTTTCAAGTGGAGTAGGTTGTTCACAGGAGTTGGCGAGACAGGGGCGGGTTATCAGGTAGCAAGGGTCTGCAGTCTGGTCACAACCATGAATCCCAGGGACAAAGGAACAGAGGTAGAGGGATTCCAAGGACAGAGAAGCTGGTCAGTGACAAGATGGGAAATTTGTATTCCAGACACTTGGGGGCTGTAAGAAAAAGTGCATCTGTTTTTATTAGATGCTAGAAATGGCTTTGAACGGTATCTAAGTGAAACTGCAAACACAGCTGAGAAAATCCCAGCTCTGTCTGGTTCCTCAGAAACTCCACCCCCTCTTTCTCCGGAGGGCTCTCTAGTTACAAATGGCTCACTGAACACCCTCCCACTGGCTTGTTTCTAATACTCTGGAGTAAGACAATTCTTCCATTTGTTCAACTATTTCTCAGATGTCAGATCATAAAATTATACTTCTTGAAAATCACTTATTCTTGAACATTTCCTCTCTGAATTGATTTTACAGTTACAGCATTTTATGTAAATCATTTTACATTTCTTTCTTTCCTTCTTTTTTTAGAGACAGGTCTCTCTCTGTCAACCAGGCTACAGCTGGAGTGTAGTGGCACAATCATACTCACTGCAGCCTCTAACTCCTGGGCTCAAGTGATCCTCCTGCCTCAGCCTCCCAAGTAGCTGGGACTGCAGGCATGCACCACCATGCCCAGCTGCTTTTTAAAATTTTTTGTAGAGAAGGGCCTCTCTATGTTGCCCAGGCTGGACTCAAACTCCTGGCCTCAAGTGAGCCTCCTGCCTTAGCCTCTCCAAGTGCTGAGATTACAGGTGTGAGCCACTGGACCAGGCCTATTTCTTTTAAAAGTTTGAAGATAGATAGTATTTTAAGCCTTTGCCTTCCTTATATATTTTTCTATTAAACGTTGCATGGAGAAATGCTTCTGCTGAATAATCAAAATAATCATCCACCTTTATGATTTTTGATGCATAATAACATAATCTTCACATCTTAGATATGTATCATATATACTATGGTACACTTTCCTATTTATACTTTTCTTATACATTTAAAAAAACTACTGAATATGTACCTGTAAAACCCTTTAGTAATGCAAAGTGTATGTGTGAATTGGTGTACATGGATGTATGTGATCTATACATTCATTAAATAATGAACCACTTACTATACACCATGCCCTGTGGAAACTCAATGCTAAAAACTCATAATCCTTGTCTGCTAGGGATACTATATCAAATGGACATTGCCTTGATCATTTCTGAAAAGTCCCAAATTAGAAAAATATTGGATGTCAAAAGCATATCTTAAAGCCAGAGGCACAGAACTCAAAGGACTTTTCTCTTATAAAAATTTTATATCTTTAATACAAGTTGTCTTCCCAAAATGACTGAATGTATACTATACCTCAGATATAACTAGATTTAGTATAAGTTAATTCAGTTTACCAATACATTTATGGTTTACTTTGTGAGAAACTAGAATCCAAAAGTGAGTAAGACCTATCTCCTGCTCGCAAGCAACACATAGTCTGGTAGGTGAGGCAAACCGGTAAACACATGACTGCCAGCAGGCACAGTGGGCGCAGAGTCACTCAGGAAGGCTTCATGGAGAGTGCTGGTCACCTATGCACCAAGTACGTGGTGTTGCTAAGCGACAAACCAGGAAGCCCGGAGCACATTTCCCACTGACTGAGCTCTCGCAGTAGAAGAGGAAGGTTCTGCCTGTCCTGCTCTTCTGATCTGCTGATCAGGTGTGGAGTAGCACCAGCTTCAAGGTGGTAGGTCCATGGCCCAGAGCACAGGCTGAATGACTTGTCAAACCAGGACTTCCTGCCAACGCAATTCTGCAGGCTAACTTCCTGTTTTTGTTTTTGCTGTTTTTCTTTTTTCATCAGGAACCAGGCAGGGGAGCTTGGTTTTCTTCCACTGACACCACCATCGATTTCTTCCCTTCTTTGGCCCATTGTGCAGCTGAGAGAGGCCCAAGAAACTCATTAAGAGCTTCCCACTGCCTTCAGGATACCATGTAACCTCCCTTCAGGGCTGGGTCTCATCCACCTCTTCATCTTGCCCTCAGCCAGGCCCCATAATGTTCTCTGTGCTGCAGCCATGCCACACTCCTTGTGGTTCCTCAGACATGCCACACTCTTCAGCCTTTTCTCCAATCTCTTTTACATGCTCTTCCTTTGCCCGAAAATAATTTCCCTCCTACTCTTGGCCTGCTGAAGCCTCGTCAAGCTTCAGGCCTCAGCGTGCATGTCATTTCCTCAGGAAGGTCTTTGCTGGCCGCTACGATGAGGTAGCTCCTAGATGACCCAGCACTTCCCTTATCTGAGTCCTCATTAAACCTCATGGTGACCTTTCTTCTCCAAGCTGCAGGGGAGGGCACAGACCACATCTGACTGGCTCATCCTTGTATTTCCAGGGCCGGCCTATAATTTGGTGGATTCAGGTCCAGCTTCCTGGGTGGGGGACCTGTGGAGTTACACAGGGACTCATGCTTAGACAGGTGGCTTTAATGCTTGGCTTAATGCTGCTGTCATCTAGAAAGTTCTTTTTTCGTTTTCTTTTTTTTTTTTTTTTTGAGACAGGGTCTAGCTCTGTCGCCCAGTCTGGAGTGCAGTGGCACCATCTCGGCTCACTGCAACATCTGCCTCCCGGGTTCAAATGATTCTCTTGCCTCAGTCTCTCGAGTAGCTGGGATTACAGGTGCCCACCACCAGGCCTGGCTAATTTTTTGTATTTTTAGTAGAGACGGGGTTTCACTATGTTGGCCAGGCTGGTCTTAAACTCCTGACCTCAAGTGATCTGCCCACCTTGGCCTCCCAAAGTGCTCAGATTACTCGAGTGAGCCACTGTGCCTGGCTGCTATCTAGAAAAGTCTTAATTTTTGAACAAGAGGCCCCATATTTTCATTGTGCACTGAGCCTCACATATTATGAAACTGATACTACATGGATGAATAAATAAATCAATGGATATGTATTAATCCTTACAATATATTGAGCCAAGGAAATTAAAGCTTCTGAAGGTCTCATTTTGAACAAGATAGAATAATTTAGCAAAAGTTGCAATGTATTATGCAGATGCCTTTATGATCTATTTTGCTATTTTTCACATACTATTTGTTCATATGAGAAAAGAGAAGCTTTACCTGAAAGATATGTATTGTCTGTTCTGTGAGATGTATATCCATTAAAAATTATATTTTATTCAACTACAACCATTATGAATTTAAAAAAGAGAAAAAAGAAGTCCAGAATGACTTGCTTTGTCTTATTCATTATAACTGGAAAGAAAGGTACAACTTCTTAAGAAAGAAAAAGAAGCAGGAAAAATTTTGCAAATAATGTTACCTAGATGTCTATCTCTGTAGGATTGAATGAATATCAGCAGAAATATCTGTTTGGGTAGTAAATGCAATATTAGAAAAGAATGAATCTCAAAGGAGAAAGATGCAAGATATGGCTATTTCATTCATAAACCCAAGGATGTCATTCAAGAGAGGCCATTTCTGGGCTTTGAACTTTTAAGGCTTGCAGAGAACTTCCTGGTAAGCATTGTGAAGGCAGCCAAGGAGTGTCTTAGTTAGTTCAAGCTGCTGTAACAAAGTGCTATAGACTTTAAAATGGTAGAAATTTGCTTCTCACAGTTCTGGAGGCTGGGAATTCCAAGACCAAGGCACTAGCAGATTTGGTGATTGGTGAGGGCCCATCTCCTCACAGATGGTGCCTTCTCACTGTGTCCTCATGTGGTAGAAGGGGATATGGAACTTCCTCAGGCCTCTTTTCTAAGGGCATTAGCTCTATTCATGACAGTTCCACCCTCATGACTTAATCACCCCCCAAAGACCTCACCTTCTAATACCATCACTGTGGGGTGGGGGGTGCGGTGGGTGGGGTTAGGATTTCAACATGTGAATTTTGGAGAGACACAAACATTCAGATCACAGCAGGGGTCATCTAATAATTTTTTAAGGGTTTCTCTGAGCCACCACTACCATCTCTAGCAGGAAGCAATGGCTGTTTTTACCTTCTTTGATGGATTGTGAAGAAGGCAGCTCATTGCACAGGGGAGGGTGGGAAGGTAAATTCCAACACAACTGGGCCCGGAGCCTCTATACCATTTGAGAAGCTGATTTATTTCTCATTCGTATGGTCAAGAGGACCAGCTCCTCCAACTATGATGATCTATCTATGCTGATTACTTGCTGTGTGATTCCGCTCTTCAGCTCTCAGCTTTCTCATCCATAAAACAGGGTAGATAAAGGCTTTATATAACACCTCCCACCTGTCTTTCGAGTACCCAAGTCTCCACCAAAGGACAGGTCTTTCCTTGTTCCTGGGCATGTGGAAACCCACATCCTGATCTCATCCTCTGGATTTATCCTCACCAAGTCCCCATTTGCCAATTCCTGAAGCCATTATTATTATTATTATTATTATTTTTGAGACACAGTCTCGTTCTGTCACCCACGCTGCAGTGCAGTGGCATGATCTTGGCTCACTGCAAGCTCCGCCTCCCGGGCTCACGCCATTCTCCTGCCTCAGCCTCCCAAGTAGCTGGGACTACAGGTGCCCACCACCATGCCTGGCTAATTTTTTTGTATTTTTTTTAGAAGAGATGCGGTTTCACCGTGTTAGCCAGGATGGTCTCGATCTCCTGACCTCGTGATCTGCCCACCTCGGCCTCCCAAAGTGCTGGGATTACAGGTGTGAGCCACTGTGCCCGGCCTCCTGAACCCATTCTTTCTTGTACATGCTGTTATCTTTGTCTGTGTGTCCTACTGAACACTCTCCCTTCACTTTCCACACTTCCTTGATTTCCCTACCTAATCCCTCTCATCCTTCAAGAGGTTAAATTCCACCCTACCCAGAGCTCTCTGGAGCGGCACCCTCCACCCCACGTTCTGCAAGATCAAGCATGGAGACACCTGTGTGCTCCCACATCACGTGCTTGCTTCTGCCCTGGCTCTCATTACACTGTATTGTCATTGTCTATTTCCTTGTTTGTTTCCCTCAGGAGTCCCAGGGTTCTTTGCGGGCCTGGACTCTGCCTCTTCAACATCTAACACAGTCACTGGGACATAATAGGTGTCCAATTCATGTTTGTAGAATGAATGAAGCAAGGAAGGAGTGAATGAAGGCCTCGTTTTCACCAGTTGTCTTTTAGAAAGCCTCCTGGAGGAATAGGGAAGGTCAAGTGGTAGAAGCTGCCTGACTGGTGGGAGAAAGGCTGTCTCTGCCCTCAGCTGGCCATTCTGCATGGCCTAAGCCCAGCTGGCCCAGTTCACAGTGCCCTGTGGGCAGTAGCACCAGAAGGCATCAGGGAGCTCCTTGTATTTTATTGACCTCCTGTGCATTTGCTGGGATGTCCTCACCATGTCTTGGTGGGATTGGCAGTAGGAAGTAGGGGAGGGGAGTAATTCTCCTCACTTGATGTACCTTCTGCCAGGCTGACAGGATTCTTCCTGCAGATAGAATATGATAGAGACATGATCACCAGGCTTGGCCAGGACAGTGACGTACATGGTGAAGTCACGTATCCAGTGAATGTTCATTGAGTGCCTGCTTTGAGCTGGACATTCAGCTGGTGCTAACTGGTTATAGAGTAGCCAGCACAATACCTGGCCTCAAGGAGCTAATAGTCTGTTCAGAGAGCCGGACCGTGAACGGAATATTATAGTGAAATTATAATTAGGTAACCCTTTTTCCCCCCTCAAGGTCTAAACAGCTAAAGAAGCCCAAATCCCTGCTTTTATGAAAATAGAAACATCAAGCTGAGATCAGGAATTTTAAAATTAACCAAGTCCTTTTATTTACATGATCCTTAGACCTCATGAGTCAAGTATAATTGTCTTCCTTTCAGATAAGAAAACTGAGGCTTAGAGACATTAAGCAATTTGCTTAAAGTCACCTAATTTTCAGGGGTGTCTTGGGACCAGTACCATTCAGATTATTCTCCTAAACCTACTCCTGTATTTTCCATTTTCCAGAAGGCTTGGTGCTTAGGAAGCCAATTCTGAGGCTTTTTAAGGTCCTGAGTTGCCTTTGAAATGATCAAAGAGACAGTTAGACTCAATATGGTTAAGTTATAAATGCGTTTTCTGAGTTTTGATTCTTTGCAAATTAGCCATCCATGGAGGGCACGTGACATAACGGGAGCAGGTCTTGGCACAAAGGCAGGAACTGCAGCAGGGAGGTGGGTGGGCAGGGAGCGAGGGAGATGAGATGCGGGGCTCCTCTGAGCATGGGGAGTGACCTGAGGCTCTGCTCGGGCTGCAGAGGCCAGGCTGGGGAAGGAGGCCCGGTGGCCTGAGGCATAGTGGTCAAAGGACAGTGCATACTCAGGCAAAGTTAAGACCAGCATCGGCACCAATTGGCATTAGTGAGTGTAATTCAGCCATTGGGAACCAGCCAGGATACTAATCTGTGGCCCCAAGCTCAGCAGCCAGTGCAGCCAGGTGAGCTGTACAGCCCAGTGGGAGGAGAAGCTCACCCTCCTTCAGAGGAGATAGGCACCAAGGCGGGGAGAGACCATCCTAGAAGGAGGAAGAGAGATTGGGACATGGCTCCGGATTATTGAGCAGGCTGTGATGTGGGGGATGAGGACACAAGAAAAGAACCAACATTCACTGATCACCTACTCTGTGCCAAATGATTTTACATGCATCATCTCCAGTTCTTTCAACAGTCCTGTGAGGGGGTATTAGTGTCCCCACTTTACAGGTAAGGTCACAATTTGCCAGCGGTCACAGAGTAATCAGAGGCCATAGCAGAGGCAGAATCTGAGCACAAACCTTCCTGACTCTTTGCCCCCAACACAGGGTGGGCAGGAGTTCCCCAAGGGGCTCCAGGACTCCCAGGATGCACACAGTCCAACTCTGGTTGACTTTGTGCCTAAACTCTTCTTTTTTTTTTTTGAGACAGAGTTGACCTGTCACCCAGGCTGGAGTGCAGTGGCACGATCTTGGCTTACTGCAACCACCGCCTCCTGGAGTCAAGCGATTCTCCTGCCTCAGCCTTTTGAGTAGCTGGGATTACAGGCACCCGCCACCACGCCCAGCTAATTTTTGAATTTTTAGTAAGGTGAGGTATCACCATGTTGGCCAGGCTGGTCTTGAACTCCTGACCTCAAGTGATCTGCCAGCCTTGGCCTCCCAAAGTGCTGGAATTATAAGTGTAAGCCAGTGCGCCTGGCCTGTGCCTGAATTCTGAAGTCCCACCTACCATGGTGTATCCCAGGCCACTGATCTATTGCCCCACCTAGAAAAGGAGACAAGTCTGGACCCAGCCAAGCGGGTGAAACTGACAGAGGAGCTGGCGCAGGGAAAGGAAGAAGGGCTGTAGAGAGTATGTGGCAACTTGCAATTAGGTAGAAGAGTCAGTTACTCAGAATACCACATGCCGCAACCATGCCGAAATGAGTTTACTGTAATTCCAGATAAAAACAAAACTGTCGGAGCAGAGACTTAGAGACTCGAGGCAGGGTTGGCTTATTTTTTTTTCTATGGTTTCGATATAATTCAGCACTTTCACTTTGTGAAGATAGACCTGACCTTTATGTGGTCTGGAGAATGCTGACTCAACATCAGGGTAACCAATGGTGCACTCATGACCCGAAACAAGACTGGTGGTTGTCAGGGTTCTTAAAGCTCCACACTTGGGCTCTCCACGATCTCGGAAAACCGTGCCTTTATCAGAAATGACAGCCCTTGTTCAAACAGAGATCTGGATAGGTGCGCATTAATTTCAAACATTTTTTTAAAAAGATATTTTCCTGACTTTGTAAGAGGTAGAGTAGGATGCTGATTTAGCGTAGGTCTTTTTCCCATTTCCTACAGTAGTACAGATGGTGACTGAAGGGCAGATGAAAAAAGAAAAGGGGAAGGAAGGGAGGAGAAAAGAGGAAGAGGGTATGGGGGAAGAGGGATGGCCGGCAAAGGAGGCCCACTTTTACTTCCTTGGAAATATTTCGTTCATTTTGAAAACTCAAACTCAAGTTTCTCCTGGAAAAGAAAAAGGCTTGGGATCTCCCAATTGCCTATTGGTATGATTTTTATCTAGCTCCACTTTTTGATTCTTTAGGAATCAAACCGTGAACTTAATTTTTCCTCCTATTTGAAAAGCATAGGCAAAAGTCCTGCCCTCTTTTCCAAAACAAAATGCAGCATCCACCCCCGACCCCCACCACACCTCAAAGCCCCAAAGTGACATTTTCAACAGACTTATCATAAATCAAATCTGCTGTGCACACCAGTAAATAGTGCCAGTAAGCCAGGTGAACCAAATCAGATTTTTCAGCCTTGACTTCCAGTGGTGAGAACAAGGATGTGCTGACCTAGGAAAAATGACAAGTCATGGGCGCCCTGCACCGGCCCTTTCAGAAGACGTAGAACACTGCAGGGGGTGGAGTCTGGAATAAGGAGAATCTGGAATCAGTGATGACCTAGTTGTCTTGAGGGCCAGGCTGAGGAGAAGCCTGATGGGTTACGCTTCAGAATTTCATGTGCTCATGGTAGGTCCTCTGCATTTTCCCTGTCAGAGTGGATGTTGAACTCTGGTGAGGATGAAAGGGAAGGTCCCAGAAATGACCTATGCTCTTGCTGGGGAGATCCAACATCTGGCTCAAGCCTTAAGCAACAGCCCCCTTGTCCCAGTCTTGATTTTGGACTCTCCATGAAGGCAACCTATCACAGACAGCCTAGAGAAAGCATACCACAGCTCATAAAATGTTGCTAGCATTCTGCCTATTGTAAAATTATCTGTAGGAGCCAACCTGTGTTCTGGAAAGTTATGGGTATAAGACGACGTGTTATAGGTGATTTTGATTTTCTTAATTTGTTTAACAAGCTTGAATTTGAACCCCAACCATTGGATCAAAAATGTCACATTTCTGGCCAGATGTGTTGGCTCACTCCTATAATCCCAACATTTTGAAAGGCCAAGGTGGGAAGATTGCTAGAGGCCAGGAGTTCAAGACCAGCTTGGGCAACATAACAAGTCCCCGTCTCTATAAAAAAAAAAAAAAAGTCACATTTCTCAATTAACTGTGGGTCTGAGCCTTTGCTTTTAAGGGTTGAAAAATCTTATCACAATTACATTTTAGGGAAACCATTCTCTTTCATAAGGTTATAATAACACGCTCCTTGGGACTTATGTGGTGCTTAAAAAATGAGAGAGGAGGCCCTTTTTTTTTTTTTTTTTGAGACAGAATCTCGCCTGTCGCCCAGGCTGGAGTGCAGTGGTGCAATATCAGCTCACTGCAAGCTCCGCCTCCCAGATTCATGCCATTCTCCTGCCTCAGCCTCCCAAGTAGCTGGTACTACAGGTTCCTGCCACCACTCCTGGCTAATTTTTTGTATTTTTAGTAGAGATGGGGTTTCACCGTGTTAGCCAGGATGGTCTCAATCTCCTGACCTCGTGATCTGCCCACCTCAGCCTCCCAAAGTGCTGGGATTACAGGCGTGAGCCACCGTGTCCGGCTGGCCCCTTCTCCATCACTTGTGGTCATTATCCTTCTTGGTGCCTTTGGGACACCGAAATCCAGGGGATCTCCTTTCCTGGTGGCCTGATTTACTATCTGCAAGCTTTGTCACAGACATTCTTCCAGGGTTTGAGGCTGCAGCTTGCAGAATGTAACCATGATAACACCCCAATGTCTGGGAAGCCCTGTGTAAGTGGGGCAAGGATTTCAAAGAAACTCCAAGCCTCCACCCCGCTTCATAACACTGAGAAATCAGCTTACATGGTTTAGGTCTTTGCCCCTTCCAACTCAAAGCACCAGCTCCTATATCCTTCTGCTCTGGTGCAAATGAGTTGAACCCCTCCTCTTTGGCCCCTTTATTAGCGTGCAAAGACTGCCGTAACAAAATGCCACGAACCAGGTGGCTTAAACAACAGAAATTTATCATCTCCCAGTTCTGGTGTCTGGAAGACCAGATCAAAATGTTGTCAGAGTCCTTCTGCAGGTTGTGAAGGAAAGATTTGTTCTAGGCCTCTCCCTTTGGCCTTGTAGATGCCCATCTTCTCTCTGTGTCTTCCCTCTGTGCATAGCTCTTTTTTATAAGGACACTAGTCATAATGGATTAGGGCTCACTCTAATGACCCCACTTTCACTTGATTGCCTCTGTAAAGACCTCACCTCCAAATAAAGTCATACTGAGGTCCTAGGTGTTAGGACTTGGACATATGCATTTTGGGGGTAAATAATTCAACCCATAACAGGCCCTAAACATAAGATGTGGGGAGGGGAAAGTGAGAGCTCAAACTTTTTTTTTTTTTTTTAATAAACTTTACTTTTTAGAACAGTGATAGATTCACAGGAAAATTGAGAAGATAGTATAGAGTTCCCGTGTACAGTACACTCTGTCACCCAGTTTACCCCATTGCTAATATCACCTTCCTTATGGTGGGTTTGTTATGACAAATAAACCAGTATTGATACATTATTGCGAACCAAAGTCCATAGTTTGCTCACATTTCCTTAGTTTCTATTTAATGTCCTTTTTCTCCCTCTGGATCTCATCCAGGTTCCATGTGGCACTTATTTGCCGTGTCTCCTTAGGCTCCTGGTTGGCTGTGACTGTTTCTCAGACTTTTTGGTGACTTTGACAGTTTTGAGGAGTACTGATCAAGCATTTTGTAGGATACCCCCCTACTGGAATTTATCTGATGGTTTTCTCATGATTAGACTGAAGTTATGGGTTTTTGGAAGGAAAATCACAGTGATAAAGTACCATTCCTGTTACTGTGTATTGAGGGTCTGTGTTCTCAACGTAATTCATCACTGTTGATATTGGCTTTGATAACCGTATTAGTCCGTTTTCATGCTGCTAATAAAGACATACCCGAGACTGGGCAATTTACAAAAGAAAGAGCTTTAATGAACTCACAGTTCCATGTGGCTGGGGAGGCCTCACAATCATGGCGGTAGGTGAAAGGCACGTCTCACAGGTTGGCAGACAAGAGAAGAGAGCGTGTGCAGGGAAACTCCCCTTTTTAAAACCATCAGATCTCATGAAACTTATTCACTATCACGAGGATGGCATGGGAAAGACCTGCTCCCATGATTTAATTACTTCCCACCAGGTAGGTCCCTCCCACAACACATAGGAATTCAAGATGACATTTGGGTAAGGAAACAGCAAAACCATATCAATCACCCTGCTGAAGTAATGTTTGTCAGGTTTCTTGATTGTAAATTGACTCTCCCCTGACCCTTTCCCTACTGTACTCTTTGCAGGGAATTTACTATGTGCAACTTACACTAAAGGAGTGAGGATTTATGTTCTCCTACCTTGAGCATGGAGTATCTACATAAATTCTTCAGAATTCTTCTGCATGGGAGATTTGTCTGTCCTCCCCATTTATTAATTTATCTAATCACTTATTAATATCAGTGTGGATATATGGATATTTATTTTATACTTTGGGTTATAATTCAGTACTACTTTGTTTTGTTGCTCAAATTGTTCCAGCTTTGGCCATTGGGAGCTCTTTCAGTTGGTTCCTGTGGCCTTTTGACATACCACTGTCAATGTAGGGTTTTTTTGTTTTTTGCTTTTAGTACTTCCTTTCTTTCTGGAACTCCGAGATGCCAAGCTTGCCTCTTATTAGTCCTGACTCTGAGCCCAATTTTTATGTGTAAACTTTGAACCTGTTCCTGATGCCCCTGCCCCACCTTTTGTCATTGTTCAAGAAACTCAGTTCTGCCTTAGTGCTTAATTCCCTCCTTGTATCTACTTACATCCCATCTGCTGACTGCTGAGCCACTTCCTTGTGTTGGTCACAGTTCTGCTTTGATTTTTCCAGTTTGGCCTCCTCTCTGTTCCCTATTTCTGTGCTGTCTTTCTTTGTCAGCCACTCATGCTCCCCAAATTCAGCCTCAGACCTCCCTCCAGCTGAGTCTCTTTAGGGTCATGCAGGTCCATCACCACCAGATCCTCTCAATCATTACCCCTCCCAGAAAATTCATTTTATCGTCTCCATAAGGAAACCAACCTGAAACAGCATTTTCCACAGCATACTTCACACTTTCATCTGTAAAAATAAAACTCTAAAGTCAAATCATGTGATCGCCATCTCCTTTATTTTCTTAATTTACATTAGCATATTACAGACATGTCCTTAGTAAGAGTTTTACCCTGTAAATCTGACCATGGAATCTTTTTGCCATTGTTGCTGGTATCATGCCTGTTGTTTCTAGTGTCTACTTGGGGAAACATCACCCTTACTGCTAAGAGCAGTGGTTAGCCCAGAGGTTAAGTGCCTTGATAGGGCACCGCACTGTCTCTTATGAGACATGTGACCTTGGATAAATTATTTAATCTCATATTCATTTGTAAAATCAGGCTGATCATAGTATATTGCCTTATAAGGATAAAATAAAATAATTAAAGCAAGGTGCTTAAAATGGTAAGCTGGAATATTATAACCACTCAATAAGTGACTTTTGTTATTATTATTATTTTTCTTATGCATCTTTGGGCCACTTCCAGTTCTGTAGTCTACAATGTCTTCAAGGTACTCTTTCTTGGCAATAACGAATATCCCAGAACCCATCATTC
The DNA here is from genome assembly GCF_000001405.40 of Homo sapiens. Taxonomy (NCBI): domain Eukaryota; kingdom Metazoa; phylum Chordata; class Mammalia; order Primates; family Hominidae; genus Homo; species Homo sapiens. Next base: position 38,519,051 of record NC_000004.12, on the reverse strand, counting down.
TGTGCAATCATTTTAGAAAACTTCCTTATAATTTATGATCTTACCTGTATATATATTAAGGTCCCTTTGCCATATTTTTGCTCACTCTTGCAACCTCAAGAAGTTTTCCTGCACTTTGTTTAGTCACTTCAATTGTGCCTGAATTAAAATAAAATCTCCATGATGGTTGGGGGAAAAATCAGCTTGTATCTCTCCCACAAAACAGATGGGAAAAATTATTCAGAACAAGACAGTCTCTAAAGGTACAAATAGTGCCCCTTCTTTTAGGAGAGAGAATGACTTCTTGTTTTGGGCGTATGCCAAAGTCTGGGATAAAATTAAGTTACTCCTTGTTTATTTCCATTTTCCTATATTATCTTCAGCTGTCTGATGACTCGGCCCATTCTTAGTGCAGTCTCCTTTCTCCACCTGGAGGCTATGGCCCAAAAGGAATAATCTCTTTTAGAAACAAACCCAAAACAATGAATTATAAAATCTACTTTATTTATAATTACAAAGTAACACATCAATATATTCTCTTACATGTAATGCTGAAGTCTTCATTGACAACCAGCCCAATCTCAGAGTGCTTATAGTGTGCAGTTACAGTCAGGTGCACATGTGCACACGCACACATACACACACACTATAACATTGTTTTGTGTTTGCTTTTGCATAATTTGCATATCTTTTTATTTTTCAGTCTATAGTCTTTGTTTAAAAAATATCTTTCATAGTGATTCACATTAGCCATTATCATTCCTAGCTATAACTTAATTAAAACGTACCCCAAGTACCAATAGTTAATATCATCAGTACATCTGTGGAAATCTTTTCTGATTAGATTGCCTAGGTTGGTGGTTCTCAGACTTTGCCACATATCAGACTCACCTGGGAAGCCTTTAAAACTCATGATGCTGGCCAGGTGTGGTGGCTACGCCTGTAATCTCAGCACTTTGGGAGTCTGAGGCAGGTGGATTGCCTGAGCTCAGGAGTTCGAGATCAGCCTGGTCAACATGGTGAAACCCTATCTCCACTAAAAATACAAAAAATTAGCTGGGTGTGGTGGTGTGCACCTGCATTTCCAGCTACTCAGGAGGCTGGGGCATGAGAATTGCCTGAACCTGGGAGGCAGAGGTTGCAGTGAGCCGAGATTGCACCACTGCACTCCAGCCTGGGCAACAGGGCAAGACTCTATTAAAAAAAAAAAATTATGATGCTGAGGCTTCACCCTGAGCCAATGAAATCAGAATCTTGGGAGGAGGGGGCACATACAGGCATCAGCAGTTTTAAAAAGATGGCCAGGTGATTCCAACATGCAGACAAATTTGAAAACAAGAGGCTTAGGAGGTGTCTGGATCCCATCTCTTCAAACCTGCTTCCTGGAGATTTCTTGTTCAAATCCACGTGTAAAGAGAGGTTTTGAATTTGTCATTCATCCCAGCTCTGCAGGGATGAAACTGCCCAGGCAGATCAGGGGAACCTGCTTTTCATATACGGCCACTGTCAACAAGAAAAGCTGGTAAGTACTACTGTAGCTTTTTATTGTAATCTCTTCTGTGATATTTTGGAAATATTGTAACAGGTTCCTTTGAGCAGTCAATACAACCTTAGGGAACAATTGGAATCCCTGTGGAGGCTCAAAACATTTATTTTTTCTAATTTAAAACTTTATGTTTAAAACTTATTGACCAAAAGAGATTTGTTTTGCAGAACTCTGTGACAAGTCCATAGAACTATCTTGTAGATGCTGTGTTGGTGATAATACCAGGGGCTAAAGTAGCACTGAGGTATGAAATTCCAGGTGCTCAGCTCATGTAGGAAATAAAGGGGCAATGCTTTAGGACATACGGGAGGTAAAAGAGTGAAGGGTGAAAGCCAGGGGCTTACCTTTAGACAGACTCGTGTTCAAATATTGGCTCCACTGTTTTGCCTATACCTTGGTCAAATTACTTCACCTTTTTAAGGCTGTTTCTCATCTGTAGTATGAAATGAGTACAATATTGCCTATCTCATATGTATGTTCTGTTGATTGTTGACATTTTTATTTAAAGCACCTAACAGTTGTTGGCACCTAGTAGGCATTCAGCAAATGCTATCTGATCTTTCCATATCAAAGATGGAAAATAATCCATTACCCAGCTGTGGGTCGTATACACAGAATTTAAATATTGATTTCCCCTTATTTGCATTCCACAACTTTAAGAGAGGTAAAATATCCATGGGACAGGAAATGGATACATTTTAAGGAGGAACTTAGCAGAGGAGACCGGGTAGAGGTGAAACATTTATACTACCATCAGTCCTCCTTTCGTCTGGTTCTGATATGTACAAATTTTTATTTGGCACAATTTAGTTAATTAGCACTAGACTTCTATTGCACTTGACCTCAAATCTAAAGGCAAATCTAAAGAAACGCTGGGAAATACTACAGTAGATTTTAATTGTAATCTCTTCTCTGATATTTTGGAAATATTTAACAGGTTCCTTCTGAGATGTTGATAAAACCTTAAGGAACAATTGGGATCACAGTTTATATTCCGGTTATCATGACATATTAATTGTGAGCAATTGGATAAATACAACCAATCACAGACATTGCTGCTAGCTCTTCAGTCCACAAATCCCTACACAAATAATAGATGTGCAACATAACCATGACTAATCACGTCACTTCTTTCAATGTCTGTCCTGTGCATCTGTTGTTAAGTTCATATGCAGACTGCAAAGCCTGTAGTTGTGTTGCTTCCTTGTCTCCTGGTGATAAATCCATGTGACATTTTACATAAATAGAAAATCAAAAGAAGGAATTGGCCAATAAAAATAAAAGTGAAGCAAGAAAACAAAAAGGGAGAATGTTAAAAGTGATTTTTTTCTGTAAAAAAATTTTTAGTTTTTTAGAGACAGGGTCTCATTCCATAACCAAGGCTGGAGTACAGTGGTGCAATCATACCTCACTGTGGCCTCAAACTACCAATTCTTCCACCTCAGTCTCTTGAGTAGCTAGGACTATAGGCTTTCACTTTGTGTGTGTGTGGCGGGCGGGGGGGGGGGGTGTTGGGGAGGGGTGTCTCACTATGTTGCCAAGGCTGGCCTTGAACTCCTGGCCTCAATTGATCCTCCAGCCTCAGCTTCCCAAAAGTGCTGGGATTACAGGCATGGGCCACTGTACCCAGCTCTAGAAGTGATTTCTAATTGAATGTCAATAGAAGAAACACCGAAGTGTGAGAGTTTCCAGCCATGAAGCCAGAGAAACTTAATGAAGGTAAAATTATTGACAAAAATGAGGAAAGTGGTTGTGATTAAAAAGATGAATGAAGATGCCCTAGAGAAAATAATACTGGCAAAAAACTTCACATCAAAGATATTCTTGGATATATTTTACAACATTGAAAATGCAAAGGAGAAAATGTTGGAAGCTGATCCAAACTTAGAAAGGAGCATGACAATTTGCCAAGATGTAGAAAAAATGCTTGCTCTATATCATAAGTTGTAAGATGAGAAGCAAGCATTATTCACACCACTCATGATGCATTTTTTACAAGGAAATAAAATACTTCAATTCTCAATGTTTCTAATGTTTTAAATTACCATCTACTATATAAATATTAGTTTTACTCTTTTTTTCATTTCCCTATATATTTATAATTGACAGTAAGAGAGTTTTTAACATTTTGAAAAAAAACTCTTAATTTTCATTATTTTAGAGACTGGGTTTTGCTTTGTCACCCAGGTTAGAGAGCAGTGGCATGATCATGGCTCACTGCAGCCTCAGACTCCTGGGCTCAAGTGATTCTCCTGCCTCAGCCTCCCAAGCAGCGGACGACAGGCGCGTGCCACCACATCCAGCTAATTTTTAAATTATTTTGTAAAGACAGGGTCTCGCTATATTGCCTAGGCTGGCCTCAAACTCCTGGCTCGAATGATCTTCCTGTCTTGGCCTCCCAAAGGAAAGGCATAAACTACCATGTCCAGTCTGAAAAAAAAAGTTTAAATATCATAAAAGAAATGTAACTTTTCTCATTGATGAGTAAGACTGCTTAGCATGGTTTCAGCTTGCACAGTCATTTTGATGGTCCTGTGCTGCTGTGCAAATCAAGGACTGCCTATATGAAGGGTGATGTAGGATTTATGAAGATGTATAAAGGAGAACCTGTAGTTGAGTGAGATTAAAAACAGACAACAGGAAGCTTGGCTCCTCCCTCTGCCACTTCTGGGGAAAGCAAATATGAACACCTGCGCCCCTCCAATGCCACATGTGAGAGGAATCTATGGAAAACTATTTCAATTCTTTCTGAAGGTTAATCCTCTCCTAAGAATTTCCTTAAGGTCTGTGCTGTGAACTGTTACATCTGCTTCCACAGAATCATCAGCTTCTAGAGTTGCAGGCAGAATTGGGTTGAAAGTCCACCTATAAAGTATATGCATCATACTTGATATGCAGTAAGTATTCAATCAATTATTGTTATATGATCATGAATCTTTTTGTTCAACTGTAGGGTGACCAACTGTCTCCCAGTTTGCCAGAGCCTGAAATCCATCTCAGGGGTTTTCTGGGCTGAATTTTTTTTTTTTTTTTTTTTTTTTTTTTTGAGGCAGAGCCCAAGCTGGAGTGCAGAGGTGAGATCTTGGCTCACTGCAACCTCCACTTCCTGGGTTCAAGTGATTCTCCTGCCTGAGCCTCCCAACTAGCTGGTATTAAAGGCATGTGCCACCACGCCCAGCTAATTTTTTTTTTTTTTTCTATTTTTAGTAGAGACAGGGTTTCACCATGTTGGCCAGGCTGGTCTCGAATTGCTGACCTCAGGTGATCTGCCTGCCTCAGCCTCCCAAAGTGCTGGGATTACAGGCGTGAGCAACCACGCCCAGCTGACGATTTTCAGTTCTAAAACTGAGACAGACCCAGGCCAACCAAGGTGGTTGGTTACCCTATTTGACTCTAGCTCTGAGAAAGACAAAATATTAACAGTATTGCATGAAATTCTCTTGGGATTTAGGAAGTAATTGGGAGAGAGAACATTCTCCATGAATAGTTTCTGGATTAGAATGTCAAAGGCCACTTTGGGAGGCTGAGGTGAGTGGTCGGGAGTTCAAGACCAGCCTGGCCAAGATGGTGAAATCCGGTCTCTACAAAAAATACAAAAATTAGCCAGGCATGTTGGCAGGTGCCTGTAATCCCAGCTACTCAGGAGGCTGAGGTAGAGAATTACTTGAACCTGGGAGGCAAAGGTTGTAGTGAGCCGAGATCGTGCCACTGCACTCCAGCCTGGGTGACAGAGTGAGACTCCATCTCAAGAAAAAAAAAAAAAAAGAATCTTAGGTTAGAAGAGATTTTGTGTCCCATGCTTCAACCTAGCCCAGGATGGCCTGAAATCCATTTCAGAAAGACTCTGTTTTTAAAGCCTATTAGGGAAGAAAATAAATAATGTGTTCCATTGGTAAGTATTGTGCACCAATCACTCTGCTACGGGCTGAGGGAAATACCAGATGAATAAGACTCATTTTCTGTTCTGTAGAAGCTTACATTCTAGAAAGGGAGACCACCAGTTATATGCACCATAAATTATCAAGACAGCTCACACTCTGCAAGGTATTTTAGACAAGTAATCTCATTTAATCCTCATGCTAACCCCAACAAGGTACTATCATTCCATTTTACAGATGACGAAAGTGAGATTCAGAGAGATGGAGTTATATAAAGTTGCAAAGCAAGTAACTGCTATAATTGATCTTAGGACCCAAGTCTGTAGTGGCTGAGAACATGGGCTCTGGAGTCATGCAAATCTGTGTTTGAATCCTGACTCTTCCACTGTCTTGTTATGTGACAAGTGTCCATGAGCTGCTATTTCCTCCTCTGTAAAATGGGACAAATAATAATAGCCACTTTCGAGGGTTATGAAGGATAAATGAGAAATGCATTGAGTAAGTGCTTGATGTGTAGTAAATGCTCAGCAAATACTCCTCATCATTGTCATCGCACCAAAACGCATTGTAGTTCCCCTTTAGCAGGTGGTCTCTTCCATTTCTATGCAAATCTTTCAGGGAAAGAGGCATCAGTGAAATACACTGAGAGCTCTGACTGGGGGAAGACTTCCCAACTGTGATGATGACTAAAGGCTTCGTGCAACAATAGAACTTGATCTTCATGAAAGGATAGAATTTCAATAGGTTGAGGTTGGGGCAGAAAAAATATTCCACACAGAGGTGAGGATTTCAGCTGAGGCAAAGAGGAAAGCACAGTGAGTTTGGGGAATGATAACTACTATTGGTTAGAGTGTAGGTTTTTTTTGTAAGGAGGTTGGTGGAGATATGGCTGAAAAGAAGCAAGATCCTCACAACTCAGGTGATGTTTCTAGAAGGCTTTCCTACAACCTTTGCTCCATAGGGGCTGCTCTGGCTGTCTTCTCTATTCTGGGCTCTCACATCAACTTACTATTTCCTGGGGCTACTCTTCTTCTCAGCCCTGTGAATTGCTCTGTCATCTTCATCCTTCTTTTTTTTTTTTTTTTTTTTTTTTTTTGAGACAGAGTTTCACTCTTGTTACCCAGGCTGGAGTGCAATGGTGCAATCTCAGCTCACTGTGACCTCCGCCTCCCAGGTTCAAGTGATTCCCCTGCCTCAGCCTCCCAAGTAGCTGGGATTACAGGCATAGGCCACCACGCCCGGCTAATTTTGTATTTTTAGTAGAGACGGGGTTTCTCCATGTTGGTCAGGCTGGTCTTGAACTCCCGACCTCAGGTGATCCACCCACCTCTGCCTCCCAAAGTGCTGGGATTACAGGCATGAGCCACCAAGCCTTGCCATCTTCATCCTTCTTTATGCCATGTGCTGTACATGGTGCTACACAGTTGTGTGTTCTAACCCTTCCAGGGTGTTCTCAGATAAGTTCCCAAAGTCTTACTGGATGGGTTGGATTGGAGGTGGGGCGGGGGCTGAAAGAGGGTCATGACAGGTTAGAATGTCTGAAAGATGTAAAAGACAGTCCTTTTTTTTTTTTTGCCGATATAGGTTTCAGGTTTCTTGGCTTTTTCTAGAGGACTAAATGAAATCACAGTAAAACAACCTGTAGCATGTAGGGGAGCCATGCATTTCTCAGGAAGTCTGTCTCTGAAAAGACAGTCTGGAGAGGTCAGATAAGATTTAGAAGAACATGTTTTTTACCTTCATAGAAACAGAGGATACAAGGGAGAAAATATCTGGAAAAATCTCAGATATCTGCATAAACAGATGCAGGGTTTATGATCTAGAGAACGACAACGGTGTTTTCCAGGAACTTAGCAGAAAGAAGATGCTGTGCGTGGAGGATGTTATGGGTTGAACCGTGTCTCCCCAAAATTCAAATGCTGAAGCCCTAGCTCCCAGTACCTTGGAATTTGGAGATGGAACCTTTAAAGAAGTAATTGAGTAGCCGGGCACGGTGGTTCATGCCTGTAATCCCAGCACTTCGGGAGGCTGAGGTGAGCAGATCACACGATCAGGAGATCGAGACCATCCCGGCCAACGTGGTGAAATCTCATCTCTACTAAAAATACAAAAATTAGCTGGGTGTGGTGGCACGTGCCTGTAATCCCAGCTATTTGGGAGGCTGAGGCAGGAGAATCACTTGAACCCAGGAGGTGGAGGTTGCAGTGAGCTGAGATCGCGCTACTGCACTCCAGCCTGGCGACAGAACTAGACTCCATCTAAAAAGAAAAGAAAAGAAGTAATTAAATGAAAATGAGATCATTAGGGTAGTGTCCTTATAAGAAGAGGAAATTTGGGCACAGACACAGACATGTCTTCCTTCCACACAGAAGGAAGACCATGTGAGGACACAGGGAGAAGACAGCTATCTGCAAGCCAAAGAGAGGGGTGTCAGAAGAAATCAGCCCTCTTGACATCTTAATCTTGGACTTCCAGCCTCCAGAATTGTGAGAAGAATAAATTTCTATGGTTTGAGCCACCCAGTCTGTGGTACTTAGTTACGAGGCAACCTTAGCAAACGAACACACAGGACAAGAGAATATGGTTGGCTCAGCTTCTGACAGCATTTGGTGTATTTTCTTTGCCCTTGCATTTTCATTTGTCTGTCATGAGCTCCAAATGAGCTGCATACTTCATAGATTGATCTATTTAATTTTTAGGATTCTGTCAATGTTAAAAAATGGAGAAAGTGGATTTCCTTCCACAAAGTGGATCCCTGTGATTTGTGTAATCCATGTGTAGCTCCACTGTGGCAGCCTTGAAGCCCACAGGGCTCAGCCTCCCATTTTCTCCTCCAGCCAAAGGAACCTTCTAGACTTTCCTGAGGCTTGTAAGAGGCAGATGGCACAGGGTGGCTCCATCATGTACCAGACAGTGAGCAACTTAACCAATAACCCTTTAAGATTTCCGTTCCCTTTGAGTCTCCTTACCTTGGTCTTCCTTTCAACCTTTTCCTCCACAGTCAAGGAGAATCTAGGAGCCTTCCCGGTTGCTGGTGAAGCCTAAATTTTTCTTCTTGCTATTTTGCTATAAACACTCCCCTAGGCCTGATTTTCAAAATTGTATTTACCCAGCTTATGACTCTCTACAAGTTCCTCAAGTCTGACACAGAGGGTCTTTGACCCCTCTGTTGATGTGTGGTCAGGAGCTTGCCACATGGATCCCAGCATCTCCCCACACCACCATATGCCTGTGTGAGGGCTGGCTGGCGTTCGACCACAGAGAGGCTTTGTGACTTTGAGGCCTGGTATAATTCCTAAGACCAAAACATTGCAAACATTCCACTGATTTGTTGCTTCTTCACCCCTGGGCCTGGCCCACTCTGTAGCATTTCTGCTGCTTAGTCTACTCACAACACAAGGCTGCCTAAGTAGTCCTCACCTTGGTAGTACTCACCCCTTCCCTAAGTGTCTACAGCTTCGGGCAGTGCTGGCTGCACTGTAAGCCCCACAGAAGGACTCCAGGCTCCAGGTCAACCTGCAGCAGCAGATGAGGCTGGAGCCAGGGAGTGAAATTCACTCAGGCCTCTCTGCAGTGGTCCTGTTTCCCCTTCCAGGAAATAATCCAGTTTCTCAAGAGCTTAAGTGTCTCCATCAAAACTAGCTCAAACACCATCTTCCTGTGGTTTTATGAGGGAGTTTCTTGGAGAAACTGCTCCTAACCTTATATCCTTGAGCACTTCTCATCCAGTTCCAGATGACCTTCAGAAGGTGGTCCCACAAAAGCCAGGGCCATCTCACAGCTCGCCTCTGCCAGGGTGGTAGATTTGAGGACCTCCATGGTGGTGCCAGGTTGGCCTCCTCCCTCTCTGGCAGTCATGATGAAGGCATTCACCTGTCTTGTGTCTGAGCTGAAAGTGGCTCCTCTGCCTTAAACATCCTGGGTGGGACTCAGAACCATAGCCCGATATGGTTGACTTCTCACAGGAAGCCTCTAGTTTCACCCCACAACAACCACAAAATAGGAGTCTACCTTTTCATATCTCCAAAACAAAGTCCACCTCGTAGAGTGCATCGAGTAATGTAGACATTTAACGAGGAGAAGGAGAAAAGGGCTTACATCGCACTCTCTATTCAACACTTTGGTTTTCCACACTTCCTACCAGTTAAATTTCTTCTTCAGCCATCACCTGCTTGGTCTTCCTTCCTCCAGCGTTCCTTCTCCTCTCTGAACCCTTTCTTAGAATGTGTGTGGTCTGCAGATGTTTAATGTAGTTAGTATTTCACGCATGTTAATAAGGTCAAATTGGTTGGTAGTGCTGTTCAAATCTTCTATAGCCTTTCTGATTTTTCATTGTCTACCAGTTTTATCTAGAAGTGTTAAATCTCCAACTATGACTGTGATTAATCAATTTCTGCCTTTACGGATGATTGGGACTCATCAATGTTTTCTCCATGTATTTTGATGCTTTGTGATTAGGTTGCATACATGTTCAAGATGTTAGACCTTCTTGGTTAATGAATTATTTGATTATTATGAAATGTCTCTCTTCATCTCTGGTATTACTCTTTGCCTTGGAGTCTACCTTGATATGAATATAGCAAGCCAGCTTTCTTATAACTATCTTTTGCATGTGCTCTTTTACTTTATATGTCACAAGTCTGAGTCTTTATACTTAAAATATTTATCTTGTAAACAGTATACAGGTGGGCTCTGCTGTGTTATCCAGATTGACTATTTCTGCCTTTTACTTGAATTGTTTAATCTATTTACATTTAACCTAATTATTGATAGTTTGGGTTTCAGTCTGTCATCCTAATATTTGTCTCCTTTGTTCTTTGTTGTCTTTATTTCCTGCCTTCTTTTGAGTGAACCAACTATTTTTTAACTGATCGTTTCCTTTCCTTTATTATATTTTTGTTTTACTCATATCTTTGTGCTATTTTTTGGTGGTTGCTCTAGGATTTAGACATCCATCTTTAAGTTGTTATGGTCTACATTCAAATATTCTGTTACTTCTCAAACAATGCACGGATTTTACCATCATGTACTTCCATTTAGCACCTCTCCTATGAGGGGCACCACCTTCTGTCATGCTGATCGTGTGTGTGTGTGTGTGTGTGTGTGTGTGTGTGTGTGTTTTGGGGTGAGGTCAATCTCATGTGTAGTTGTTCTAGGTCTGGGTTCGTTTGTAACTTCAGTTAGATATAAGTCACCACTGGCCTCCGATATCATTAAGACAATATGAGGACTTCCCCTTCAGCAGATCTCTAAGTGCCAATGAGACTCCAGGGATCCCTTTATGCTCTGTAGTTAACTGGTCAGCTTTCTAAACTGCAAGTGATCTCTTTCTGCTTTATAACCTGACTGCCAGCTTTTGGGGCTGCTGGGGAATTCTCTTTGCTGGTCAGTCTTACCCCTGGATGTTCATGCCTTCAAACACCTCTCTCTCTCAGACCTTTCATCTTGTCCCAGCCCCTGAGGGTTGCTGTGGTGCACTTGGGAGAGTATAGCAGTGCCCTGAAAAGATTTCTTTGGTCCCGTCTCAGCCTGCTGCAGACAGGATGGTGAAGGCTTAAAGATTGGTGAAGGCTCAGAGGGCTTTGGAGAGTTCTATCTCAGTTCACCTGCCCTGCTTCTCCACAGGAACAATCTCTCTCAGCTCTCCTGCTCTGTCCCCAGACATCGACGTGCTAACCCCATGCACTTGATGTGGAAGGAGCTGGCAGGTAGGTGCAGCTCTGCTGTAAGGCTGAGATCCTGGGGTTGCTGCTGTCTTGATAGTCCATATGCAGCTGTTCAAGTTTTGTTGACAATTCAGCTAACTTCTTCTCATTCCTACCTATGGCACATTCTTCCTCCTCCCACCAATCCCACGATGGTCTGAATGCCCATAACCCCTCAGAATTCATATATTGAATCCTAACTCCCAAGGCAACGTATTAAGAGGTAGGTTTTTGGGAGGTGATTAAGTAATGAATGCAGAGCTCTACTAATGGCATTAGCACCCTTATAAAAGAGACTGGAAGGAGCATGTTAGCCTCTTCTTGCCTTTCCATCATGTAAGGAACAGATGGTGCCCTCACCAGACACCATATCTGCTGGTGTCTTGATCTTGGACTTTCCAGCCTTCAGAACTGTAAACAAAAAAATTCTGTTGTTCACAAATCACCCAGTCTAAGATATTTTGTCACGGCAGCCCAAACAGACTAAGACAGATCTCCTGGGATGTAAGCAAATTATGAAAAACTTAGTGCTTTCTGGAATTTAGTTCAGTTAGGTTTCTTTGCATTCTCAGCTCTAGAGTGGGTCTAGTAAATGATCGTCTTGTAGTTTTCCTGGCTTTTTCTCATTGTTAGTATAAGAGTAACCATGTCTTGCCACTTACTACATTCTAACAGGAATTGAAACTCCCTAAAGTAATGTTTTATCTTTTATATGTGACCAAGTTTTCCTTTCTGATAATTTCTAACATCTTTTTTTCTACCCACAGAACTCTGAAATTTCACAATGATATGTATGTTGGTAGGGGTTTTTTGTTGTTGTTGTTATTTATTGTGTTAGGCACTGAGTAGCCTCTTTAAATATATCAGTTCTGCAAAATATTCTTGCAGTATTGCCTTAATAATTTTCTTCCCTCCCTTTTTGCTGTTCTTTTTTTGCTAGAACTCATATTACTTGGGTGTTGAACCTCCTTTCTTGATCCTCTGGGTCTCTTAGCTTTTCTCTCTTCCGTCTATATCTTTTTATTCTACTTTCTTGGAAGATTTTTTCAACGTTATTTTCCAATCACTTACATTTTAAATGTTCATATATATGTATATAATTTCTAAGAGTTCTTTTTGGCTGTTCTCCATTTTTTTTCCTTCCTTTAAAAACATAAACCTTTTTTTGCTTAATGGAAACAAATTCTCTTTGAGAATATAACTTGGAATCATTCTCAAGTTTTCTTTTGTCCCTTCTACCTACATTGTCTATTTCTTCTGAGTTCCTTTTCCATTTCTTTGTTTCCTCGGTTTTTGGGCTCTATCTTTCATGTTTGCTTCTCAAATGTCTGATGATCCTTGGTTGTCCTTTTAGAGTTAAAAGTGAGGCACTAAAAAGCTAAACAAGCTCTGTGTATCTATCTGCACAGGATTTATTGATTTGTGGGATGGACCAAAAGGTGGCTAGATGGGACCCTGAGTGCCAGTATTTCTACATTTATTTTTTTAAATGGTAAGTTCTATAAAGTGGGGGAAGGCAGTTGTGGGTCTCATTGTTCAGAATGCACTTGGTACCCTTTTGACTTCAACAAGATGCTCCTGCTTCCCTTCTGTCCTCCACAGAACCCTCTGGTTTGGCTACTCTGGAGAATAAGCCTAGTGGGGGAGCTTCCTGACTCTTTAGGGTGAAGGTAGGCATCTGAGGATCTGACTACTGTTCATTACAATTTGAACCAATCCTAATATTCAGTCCTACCCTCACTACATAATTGCCAAGGGGGGCTTCCAGTTTCAGAGCCTTTCCAGGGTGCTGCCATCTGAGTTGGCTTGCTTTTTTGACACTTTCTCCTTGCCCTAAGATCCCACTTTCTTTAACTTTTCACTTTCATTTTCTTCGTCATTTTTTATTGGATGTCTAGAAAAATAAATTTATCAGTGGATGATAGAAAGAAGGGAGAAAAGGGGGCTTTGAAAGATTTACAAGGGAATTGACATTTTGACTGGTCTTGAAGAAACCCTTGGATTTTGATTATTGAAAGATTGGCTGGAATATTAGAATGTAGAGGGAAATTCTAGGTCAAAGAAACAGCATGAGCAGATAGGAATCAAAGTGATTTAGGTTAAATGGTTTCTTCACTCTAAGTCAGTTATCAATTTCACCATCACTTTCCATATGCAAAAATTTGTGCATCTCTGGCTCACTGGTGTCTCTTCTCCTATACTTTGGTCTTTTTCAAATTTTGATCCTTTTTAATACCTTTCAGTTTAGTGGGCCTTGGAGGTGGAGCAGTAGTAAGCGCATTTGTTTAACCCAGAGTTTCTCAACTGTGGTACTGTTGACATTTTGGGATGATGGTTCTTTGTTGGGGGGTCAAGGGGTGCTGTTCTGTGCATTGTAGGATGTTTAGCAGCATCTGGAACTCCACTCACTAGCTGCCAGTAGCTCCCACCCCCAGTTGTAATAGCCAGACAGGTCCCTAGACATTGCTGAATGTCCTTTGGAGGGGGACATCATCCAATATTATTGGATTAAAAACAGATTCATCAGTAAATGATGGGGAGAGAGGGGAAAAAAGGGGCTCTGACAGATTTATTAAGGAAATGACATTTTGACTTGGTCCTGAAGAATCAGTTGGATTTTGACTAGTGGAAGATTGGCTGTAGTGTTTGAAGGAAATTCTTGCTGAAAGAAATCACATAAGCAAATGAAAGCAAAGGGATTTGGGTTAAATGGTTTTCTATAATCCCAGTGTAGGTGCGTGTGATGGGGGCAAAGGCTACAAAGGTAAAAGGTGGGTTACGAAGGCCTTGGATGGAAACATATGGAACCTGGGTATTATACTGCAGTGATACGGTCACATTTTTTACTTTGAGCAATAACTCTAACTTTAGGAAGTAGAACCTAGGCCAGGTGTGGTGGCTCAGGCCTGTAATCCAAGCACTCTGGGAGGCTGAGGTAGGCAGATAACTTGAGGCCAGGAGTTCGAGACCAGCCTGGCCAACATGGTGAAATGCCATCTCTACTAAAAATACAAAAAATTAGCTGGGCGTGGTGGTGCACACTTGTAGTCCCAGCTACTCAGGAGGCCGAGGCAGGAGAATTGCTTGAACCTGGAGCTGGAGGTTGCAGTGAGCAGAGGTTGTGCCACTGCCCTTTAGCCTGGGTAACAGGTGGCAGAGTGACACTCTGTCGAAAAAAAAAAAAAAAAAAAAACAAGTAGGACCTGAGGACCTGAGTGCTGGCAGATCGTTGAGGTATCCATTGCGGTGGTGAGGGATGATGAGGCCTCACTGGGGCAATGGGAGTTGGAGATAGAAGCTTCAAGTGTCTTCATTTCTGTCATAATTAGTTAAAGGAACTGAAGAAGATCCAGTAGATAAATAATGGGTTAATAAAGCTTTCTGACATACATATTTGCACATTTAAAGAAAAACTGTGCCTTAATTCAAGGAAAGTACCTCATCAGTGGGATTTTCAGAAGGTGGATACCCTTATAACTACACCCATGAAACAACCGCCTACTTTATTGGTGTATTGTCAGCCTAGGATCCAGTTATAGCAATTGCCTATGAAAAATGGCATTGATGCTTGAGGTTAAAAAGGGAACTAATACTTCCTAATGAAGACCGTTTAAATTTGCATTAGATGGTGAGGTGGTCTAAGAAGAGCTGAAATGCTTTCAGAGGGAACATCTCTGCTTGCTACCCTTAACACCTCGGTTCCTAATCTTAGTAAGAGAAACGGAACTACCCTTTCGTCTCAGGTCTGCTTGGAAGATCAAGCCAATTTGGTTTGCTGACAGCTACTGCTGTTTCTTAAGGAAAAAAAAAAGTAATTGTAGAAACTGTCTTTGAATAATTTTGTTTTACAAGTAACAAATTCATTGACAGCAAAGAAGATGAGAGAGAGAAACAAAGAAAGAAACTGTTCAGAGATATTGGAATTTGGGGGATTAAAGAGGAGGTATTTATAGATGGAGACTTCCTAGAAGTAAAATAGCAAATAAAAAACTGAAACTGTGGTTGTCCCCCCAGGGGATAGGTGAGGTGCCCCCACCATAACGGGGGCAATTTCCCCCTCCCTACTTTCAATTTCTCCTTACTACCCTATCCTCTTAGTGAAATGATGGGGAAGCTTTGGTGTGACCTGAATACTTCCTAATTTGAGTAACATAAGAAAAAAGTACAGAAAGGAAATATGGTTTTAAGAGCAAAGGGAAACTGACTAAATGTGAAATCTTTAGTGACTATATTAACTTGGGAGTGTCCGTTTGAAATTCATTGTGCTAAAAGTTCTTGAAGACCCAGGTATCGAGATCCTCACATCTAGCAATGGAGTGAATCAGGCATGATTTGTGTGTCTCCATGTGATATCTTCAGCTTGGGTTTTATTTGGCTGGCTTCCCCCTGGAAGATGTGTCACATAATTGACAACTGCAGGGATAGAAAGTTTTTCTGTCGGCTGCGCATGGTGGCTCATGCCTGTAATCCCAGCACTTTGGGAGGCCGAGACGGGCGGATGACCTGAGGTCGGGAGTTTGAGACCAGCCTGACCAACATGGAGAAACCCCGTCTCTACTAAAAATAAAGATAAAAATAAATTAGCTGGGCATGGTGGCACATGCCTGTAATCCCAGCTACTAGGGAAGCTGAGGTAGGAGAATCTCTTGAACCCAGGAGGCAGAGGTTGCGGTAAGCCGAGATCGTGCCATTGCACTCCAGCCTGGGTAACAAGAGTGGAACTCCATCTCAAAAAAAAAAAAAAAAAAAAGTTTTTCTGTCAATATCAAACAGTGATATCATGTTTGAAGATTCTGGAGGTACAAAAAATAATGCTAACAGTGACTTGCTGCTTGAAAGGATAAAATTTTATTAGCTATTGGAATATATGTGTTAATTTCATATTATTTTCTCTGACCTAAACAGGATGTGACCATATACATTTTCTTTTTATTGAGATGAGGGCTCAGTCTGTTGCCCAGGCTGGAGTGCAGTGGTGTGATCATGGCTCACTGCAGCCTGGAACTCCTGGGCTCAAGCAATTCTCCTACCTCAGCCTCCAGAGTAGCTGGGACCACAGGCACATGCCACTGTGCCTGGCTAATTTTTTTTTTTTTTTTTTTTTTTTTTTTTTAGAGATGAGGTCTTACTATATTGCCCAGACCGGACACATTTTAACAAATGATTCTCAATCCAAGCTTGTTCTCTTTCCATACAAAATACCCAACACAATTCTAATGAAAGAGGTAGTTTTCTACTAGTTTTCTGTCCTAGTTTCAAAGTTCATCTTCGCTTTCAACTCCGCGAAAGCTTTTATTTTAGTGCACTATGCCATGTTAATGGTACAATGCTCTGCTCGTTGCAGTTGGGTGGAGGTATGATAGTGTACATCCGTAAACTGCCCAATGTGTGTTGGTTTTTGGTATTATAAGGGATTATGCCCATTGATATGTCTGTTTGCAATCATAGTTTGCCTATTGAAAAGGGTGCTGTTTTCTAAAAGCCACTAAGAAAAAAGTAAACCTTATATGAATTTGACTCAGGAAGAATAGAACAAATGTTGGCAAACTTTATCATGATCAACAATTGCTCTTTTAATGTTCTCTCGGTTGCTCTGAAGGAGAGTCATTAGTTAAATAAATAAGCTAAAGGATGAAAACCCTAATATCTACATGGACTCAATCTATGATTTGCTAATCATTGCTACAGTTTAGCTGAGTCGAGGACAGTGGTTTTGATAGATACCTCAAGGGAAGTAGTGTTGCCAGATGGCCAATGTCTTCCTTTATTCTTTAAAATTCTCTAATTTTTTTTTCTTTAAAATTCTCTAAATGTTAATCGTTCACTAAAATCAGTAAGCCTCTTGAACTGTGTTCTTGTTTTTGTGATAGAGTAGGGTGCCTGATGGGGAGAAGATCTTAACTTTTTGCAACCTGAAAAGCTGCCCTGTGGAGGATTGAGAAGTACTTTCTGCCTTTCTGATGAGCCTGTGATCTATTTTTGGTACAGACTGGTTGGGGAGGGGCTACTTTGTGGGACTACTTGGCAGGCCCAGATACCAACAATAATGGATGACTAGCGTTTAGGTGGTGCTCACCATGTGCCAGGCACCCTTCTAAGTGCCTTACCAATGTGCATTCATAGATTCCTCAAATGGCCCTATAATGCGGTATTCCTATCTTGTTGATGAGAAGACTGAGACACAGGAATATGAAATACACTTTCAAACCTAAGTTGTCTGATGCCAAAGTCCATGTTCCCAACATTGTGATTCCCTTTTAAATGATTTATGCCAGGGTAGACAGGGATGTGCCACTCAAAGGGACAAACATCAACCAGGACAGGCCTGTGGAATATGGAATTCCAGGGACTCACAGAAAGAAGTGGTCAAGGGTAAGACACAGGGAAGAGAATCTGGCACCTCCAATGTTTAAGCAACGTGATGATTCAGACTATTTGGGAATCGTTAAAGAATGGGGAGGTTAAGGGTATCTGAACTGTGTATGTTTTTGTAGTCTACAATCTGAACTAAGCTACTTATTTTTGGATGCAATTACAGGGGGTGATGGTGATCAATGTAGGAAAAGGGTACAATTTATTATTTAGTTTATTTACTTATTCAATACATATTTATGGAGTGTTTACTGTTCCATCTGCACCAGACAGCTACAAAAAGCTGAGGATGCTGTAGTATTCCATTGACAGGCCAAGCATCCCTGACCTGTAATTCTGGAGGCAGTCTCTCCTACAACAATAGTTACAGTACTTTCTGGGTGCCTATAACCACTATTCCCCACATCCTTTCAGGCCAATGAATTACTAATGTGCTAAGATGTTTAAAATGTAAGATACAATTATGGGACATAAGGTATTGTCTAAAACCTATCTAGGTTGTTGAGGGTAGGGAAATAAGAGGAATTACGACTTAGAATGTGGAGATGGTGCTTTATGTGCTCAGAAGAAAAAGGGCAAAAAAGGAAGGGGAGAGTCAATTAAATGCAGAGAAGGACCATTTATTGAATGTCTATTATAAGCCAGATCAATTTGCAGGTGTCGTCTTGTGTTATTCAACCAACAGTTCTGTGATATCTGTTATTATTTGTATTTTAGTTTTTTACAGACTCGACTGCGGTTACACAGCTGGTAAGCACTGCTAATTAAGTGGCAGAGCCTGGATTTTACTGCATACCTCAGGAGGGAATGAAAATTGGTACTTCCGCCTGAGGCACCTCCTAGGAATAGGAGGACCTTCCTTGGTACAGTCAGACTAGGCAAAAAGGGGATAGGAAAAAGGAAGCTGGGATGTCATAGATAATGATGGTTTCCAGATGTCAGATTCTTTTCTATTTTGGCAGAGGATGAGTCAGTAGGAAAGGGCCAGGGTGCCAGGACAAGGGGAAAGATTACCTCTGGGAGGGATAGGAGGGTGTAGCAGTTGGCAAGCCACCTAATGCTAACTGCAAATAATTTATGTAAAGTTTTCTACCATTTCACTTAATATCCCATTGGCCAGATCTTAGCCGCATGTCTGTACCTGGCTGCAAAGGAAGCCGGGAAATGTAGTCTTCATTCCGAGGGGCCATGTGCCTAATCCAAAATCAGAGGTTCTATCACTATGGGATCTGATGAGTGACTTTGAGTTGGTTAATTAACTTCTGTGTCTCACTCTACTTACTTTCAACTGTATCAAAAAAGAAAAAAAAAAAGCAAGGTCTTCAGATCCTTTTGTTTAATGGAAGCCATGAATATGAACAGTTCAAGAAGACCATCAGCCAGCCCTACTGATACCTGTGAATGCCATGCAAACTTTATTTTATAGGAGCTTCATACTGAGAGGGTCCTTTAATTGGGACACCATTATCCTTTAGAATAAACTGGTCAAGAGTGGTCTTATGTTTGGAAGAAGGAATTACGAATACTTCTTCCATTGTGAATGTATACTGTTCTTCTGATGATAGCACCTAGAACTATAACCATGTGGTAGATAAGAGCATGGCTTTGCAATTAGACAAAACTGGGTTAAACTCCAGCTTGGCTATGAAGCAGGTTAGGATATAGCTTGCTACATAAAAGAAACCTGAAATAATGGAGGTTTGAACAAGATAGAAAGCTATTTTTTTTTTTTACTTAACAGTCTGAGATAGGTGGCCTAGGACTGAGAGAGCTGCTCCACACTGCATGGCTGTCCAGGAACTTAATCTTGTTGCACTGTCCATAGGACGAGGTTTTCAAATGTAAGGTTCAAGATGCCTCATTTCTTCATCAACATTCCAAGTGGTGGTATGGAAGAGGGGAAAGTGGTGGTGGGGGAGCACTTTCTACTTAAAGGTAAGTCCAGGAAGTTACCCATACCATGCCATTTCACTTCATATCCCATTGGCCAGATCTTAGTCTCATGTCTGTACCTGGCTGCAAGGGAAGCTGGAAAATGTAGTCTTTATTCCGAGGGGCCATGTGTCTAATCCAAAATCAGACGTTCTGTCACTGTGGGATCTGATGAGTGACTTTGGGTTAGTTAATTAACTTCTGTGTCTCAGTTTCTGCCCCTGTAACATGGGATAATAAAAGTCTACCTCATAGAGTTGGTGTGGTGATTAAAGAGGAAAATATTCAAAGTACTTACTAAACACTCAGCAGAGATAGCTGTGATCCTTATTGGTTTACTGAGGTTGGGAGCATTTCCAGAACCATCTACCCAGCATTCCAGGACCCTAAGCTTGTCACTCCTTTTCTATGTAGGCTCATGTTTGAAACTTCTCAAGCAGAGGTGTCCAATATTTTGGGTTCCTTGGGGCACATTGGAAGAAGAAAAATTGTCTTGGGCCACACATAAAATACACTAATGATAGCTGATGAGCTAAAAACCAAGTTGCAAAAATATCTTATAATGTTTTAAGAAAGTTTACAAATTTGTGTTGGGCTGCATTCAAAGCCGTCCTCGGTCGCATGTGGCCCACAGGCTGCGGGTTGGACAAGCTTGCTCTAAAGGCCTTTGTGGTTAGAATTTAGCGACCAAAAAATTACCTACCAATAACGGAAAGCAAGAGGTCCATTCCACATAGTCCCCAAGAGAAAAAGAGTTGGCAGTGGCTATGACTCCTTTCCCCAGCCACCAGCTCATGAAGGATAGAGGTGGCTGATGAAGATGAGGAGCAGAGTTTGCCTTTATCTCTTGCTGCCCAGGTATGCCCAAGGCTTACCTTTCATCTCCAAAACCCAGCGCTCCAGTTTCAGGCTGAAGTATGCCAGCCTTTGTTTCCATTCTCCACAGCCTGGCCCCTGTCCAGTCCACCCCGGGAGCCAGTCACATTTAGATGGAAGTTAGCAATGAATGATTATTAGAAAACAATTTTTACAATTGCCCTGTTTTCTTTTTGCTGGATTTGCTTTCAGATGCTGGGTAATAATGCAGGTGCTAAGTCAGATGAGAAGACACTTCTTCCTTCCAGAAGTACATAGGTCTCAGAAACTTGTTAAGAATGTATTTGCACCATGAAGTGGCCAATCCATTTAAAAAGACCCTGTAAAATATCTGCCATTAACAGAAGTTACCTTAACCTCTCTGAGAGGTAATTCATGCTGTGGCTTATAAAATACCAGCTCTTTCCTTATGTGTGGCCTGAAAGACATTCTTTTGTTTCAGGGAGCCACAGATTTGCTGAATACCATCTACTCAAAGTCAGAAATCGTTTGTTGAAGGCCTACTGTGTGCCAAACACCTTAGCTCTCCCACCTTCTCAGAGTGGCATTATCTGCCTGCTTTGTGGATGAGCAAACTGACATGTAGCACAGTTCAACCTCAGAGTTCTGGGGTGATTCTCACTGCATTTCAAGATGTGTTTTCTTGCCCTGATTCCTCCTCATGGAAAGAATTATCTCTGTAACTTCATCACTATATCTGGCAGCAAAAAGAGAGAGCCCATGGTAGTTGAAAACAGGCATATATTTTAAATCAACAGGAGTTTGATACTCTTCTTCTTGGCTGTAAATCATCAAAGAATTCCTCAGCTGCAAGGGTTCCATTATTAACACAGAAAGATGCTAATAAAAGCTCTTATATACCAACATATATACCTCTCTCCCTTCCTCCCTTCCTCCCTCCCTTCTTCCCTCCCTCCTTCCCTCCCTCCCTTCCTTCCTTCTCCCCATTTTTCTTTGCTTCCCTTCTTTCTTTGGATGATGGAAACCACTGTGATTGCAATAAACAGCCTAAAGGTTTTAGGGTTTCAGTGAACTAAGATTTACAGATCACAGCTAATCACTAGTTTGTCCTTACTACAATAAACTTAATTGTTGCCCTCTGCGCAGTTAAGGGAACCAAAATGAATTCAACTCCACACTCTGGTTATCCACAGTGAGGTCCTGTGCCTTGACATGCATCACTTACAGTAAAAACTTTGGTTTTTCAAATTGATTCAATGTCCCTCAATTCCATCTGGAGAGTAGAAGTTGTAACGTAAAACAAAGACAACTCCAGTTTCTGCATAGAACAAAAGCCATGTGTGGAACTGAAGGCATTAGTTTTCAATGTAGCTTGTTTCCAACAACAGCTTTGGGAGTCTCCTTTTGTGATAGCAAGAAAAGTTAGCACAAGGAAGCATAGGTTCCCCTGCCAACCACTCAAATCCTTTAATCTTTTTATGTTGAATCTTTGCCACTGAAACCTAAGGAAATAAATTGGGTTAAATATAATAGTTATGCGTTACCATAGCCTGTTGCTAGGTGGGGTTTCAAAACAGTTTTTATTTCCAATATATGCCCTTTGATAATAGAATAAAATGACCCCTCTAGTAATTAGTAATGCTTTTCAACAATTGATCTCGCAGAAGAAATTGGCCTATTTTTGCAAGTGTGATTATGTTTCATATTAGTATTTCTTCATAGATACAGGGAAGATATTATAGACATGCAGAAATATACTTAATAACAAGACATGCAGAAATATTATACTTAATAACATAGAAACCAATAAAGCTCCAATTGGAAAGCTTCTCATTCTCCTGTTAGATTGAAAAAAACAAAAGCCTAGAGAACTATGGCACTAGGTATTTTTAATGGTTTGCTTATTAAAAAAAATGTCATATTTCTTTAAAGAAGTACAGAGCAGACCATAAAGGTTCTGGTAACTTGAAAAAACTGCAAAATTTCTAAGCTCACAGAAATTAGCTTTAACTATTTTCCTGGTAATTCTGAAAAAAAGAAGACCATATGATGTGGTAAAATAATAATAATAGTAAAGCAGCATCATTCAAGGAATGGGGAGAAACATTTTACTTTAATTGATTTTAATATCAAAAGGTTTGCAAGAAATGCTCATAATTTAAATTTTAGTAAAAGCAAAATACAAAATATTATGAGCCAAATGTTATAAAAGCTGGGAAAAATACATATAAAAAGATTAAAAGGATACATACTAGAATGTGAGCATTTGTTTCTCTGCATGTTGAGATTAATTATTGGCAATGCTTACATTCTTTATTCTTTTATGCTACTTTCCATTTCTACAGTGATTAGGTTATATTCTTTTTAAGAGAAATATATTATTTTTAAAAAACACAAATTAAAATAATGCAAGGCCTTCTCTGTCAGTAGAAATCAAACTGGAAAAAGGTAGAAAATAATGTTGCTTTGGGAAAGTCAAACTTTGGGTTTTATTATTTTTTTTCCTTTCTTTATTCCAGAGGTCAGCAAACTTTTTCTGTAAATGGCCAAGTATTTTGTGCTTTGTGGTTCATACGATGACTGTTGCAACAATTCCGCTCTGCCATTGCAATGCAAAAGTAGTTAGATCACACATAGTGAGTGGGCATTGTGTTCCAATACAATTTTAATTATTAATACAAATTTGAATATTATATAATTTCACATATTGTGAAATATTATTCTTTTTTTGACTTTTTTCCCCACTATTTAAAAATGTGAAAACCATTTATAGCTTATGGGTCATATAAAAACACATCATAGGCCAGATTTTGACCTCAGGCCACAGTTTGCCAACCCCTGCTCTATTCTATTATTCCACATTTTCCAGAAAATTAAAAAATATACATTATCTTTCAGTTTTCTGTTTAATAACATCAGAAAAATTTAAAATGGGTGCATGTGCTCAAATCACTCAGATTACAAAACACATTCCGGTGGGGAGGAACCAGGTTGGGTTCTACTCCTCTAACTAAAATCCTGAGTCTGTGGGGCTAGGTCTGCACTAGGTTAGAATTCCAATCATGCTGATGAAAACAAAGGGGCTCTTTCCATGAAAGCCTGGCAATTCCCTAGCTGTCAGTCACCACGCGGCTCCAGGTATCTGGCAACTGTTTCCACATTTTTCTGAGCCTTCACCAGGCTTTAGTGTGGAGGAGGCAATGATTCTCCCCTCTGGCTACCACAAGGGCTGAATTGGAGGCACTTTTCCAGGGGTATGCCTCAGAAGTAAACCCACACTGGTACCTTGCTGGTTCAAAGAGGATGCTGTTATATCCACAGGAGGTGGGTATACAAAGCCAGAGACCATTGCAGTTCAATGTTAGTGATCATGTGGTCCTTTTGAATGACTACTGTAAGCTGCAGTGATTCTGGGGTGGGAGGGAGTGGAGTTAGACCCTGCTTGTCTCTTTCAAGTGTTAGTGGACTGTTTTGTTGAAGTCTTGCTTATTCCTGGAGACTTTTATTATTGTTGCTTTTGTTATTTTTTTTTAATGCTTTTTTTGGTCTTTAACTCCTTCATTATCTGGTTCAGAAATGAACAGGTTCACCAAACTGCATTTAGTGGGAGGCCGAGGTGGGCAAATCACTTGAGGTCAGGAGTTCGAGACCAGCCTGGCCAACATGGTGAAACCCTGTCTCTACTAAAAATACAAAAATTAGCTGGGCATGGTGGCATGCGCCTGTGGTCCCAGCTACTCAGGAGGCTGAGGCAGAAGAATTGCTTGAACCTGGGAGGCGGAGGCTGCAGTGAGCTGAAATTGTGCCACTGCACTCCAGCCTGGGCGACAGAGTGAGACTCCGTCTCAAAAACAAAAACAAAAAACCCTCCAAATCGCATCTAGACAAGTCACAATAACCGAGGAGATAGGGACAGTGGGTGTCTTGGGGATGTGCACAGTCGTGGGAGATGTAAATGCCATAAAAACCCAACATAGAGGCGGAATCAAAGAAGGCAGAATGTGGAATTCAAATAATCAATCAATCAATCACAAAGCACTTATTAAATACCTATCATTTTCTAGATCTCTATGGTCCCTGTCGCATTTTATTTATCATCTATACTTATGATTGGACAGACACAGCGTGCTTCCAGGGCTGAGGGAAGGTCAATGGAGGAGTACAGGGAACATTTTCTTTTAATACAACTTTACAACTTAATGAAGACTCAAAATTTTGTTTATCAGAGGACGACTTTATTCAGATGACATAAGAGTACCTAATTAGGATCCTTTATTTGTGTAAGCAAGTGTCCTTTATTTGTATAAGGATGTGTTTCTTTTTCTTCCTTTTTTTTTTTTTTTTTTTTTTTTTTGAGATGGAGTCTTGCTCTGTTGCCCAGCTTGGGACTACAGGCACGCGCCAACACGCCCGGCTAATTTTTGTATTTTTTAGTAGAGATGGGGTTTCACCATGTTGGCCAGGCTGGTCTCGAACTCCTGACCTCGTGATCTGCCCGCCTCGGCCTCCCAAAGTGTTGGGATTACAGGCATGAGCCACTGCACCCAGCCTTGGAATTGTTTCTTAATAGTTTATGTTAAAAACCCAAAAGCATGTCTATAGATTTCATATTTTATTTGGTAGAGAAAGTCCCACTGTACAAGGCTGACTTTAAAGGATTTGAACATAAGGAGAAAAGTCTGATTCATTTGCTTTTCTTCTCAGGGAGAAGAGTCCCTGACTGCAGAACCCCTGAGGTCCTGAAAGTGATTTGTATTAGAACATCCATGCAGTTGACTTTCTGTCAGTCAACCGGATGCTGGATTGATCTGTGAGTGCTAGAACTGCACAAAGATACCACTCCAGCAAGAAAGGGGTCTGGGCTAGAGTGTGACTCCAACACCCTGAAGGACTGGAAACATCATAAATATCCTCCATCTTTGACAGATCTGCTGTTTTATTCCTTAGAGTAAACCAGCAAGGGCTATAGGTAATCACCTTGTTGAAGAAATGGATTTAGGTGCCAGGACTCCTTCAGATCTGGGCGGAGCTGGGGTGGGTTGGGTGGGACATAGGATGTTAAGAATGCTTCAGATTTTGACAGGCTGAGCATGGTCTCTCAATGACAGGGGGCAAGCTTCTCACTCCCTATCAGAGACGAAGGATGTTTCAATTTTAAACTACATAGTTTTTCTTGAGGTCAAAACATTTTGTAAGCATACATCTCTGGAATCACAAATGGAAAAATTTAACTTGTTTTGCAGAAATTGATTTTACAGTTTTTTCAGGAACTTTTTTTTCCTTTTAAAGTAAAATAAGTGTCCTTGTATTATTCTTCTAGCTTTAATGAACCTCTTGTTTTCTGGGATTTTAAAAATTCAGTGAAATTGACCTGGAAAAGATGATCAAGAAGAAAGATAGCAGTCTATGTCTCTGTCTCTGTCTCTGTCTCTCTCTCTCTCTGTGTGTGTGTGTGTGTGTGTGTGTGTGTGTGTAATTGTTTAGGTGTGATGAATGAGCATTGCTGCTATGTAACAGGCAAAATATAGATTTGTGTATCAGATAGGCACAGCTAAAATTCTAACTCCAGCATTATTAAGTAAGTGTTTTGGTGCAAGTTAGATGACCTCAGCTTTCTCTCCTGTAACATGGGTGTAATCTTATCTGTTTAGCACAGTATTTGGTACTAGCACACAGAGGAGGTGCTCAACAAATGGCAACTTTGATTATAATAACAATTATTATTATTATTATTATTATGCTTTTTAACTTAATAGGCTCAGGAAAATGTTTATGAAATTCATAGTCCACGTTCATAGTTTTAGAAGTTCTATAGCTTTTGATTTTTGCTATTTCGCTAGTGAAACTTCATGCCTGTTAACTTCCATTTCAGGACTTCAGACTTTGAAATGTATGTAGATTTTATGCCAAGAGGATTGAAAACCAGAAGCTGAGACTCATGGGTTGTGGATAAGAGGGCTGGCCAATCCATTTTGTGTATCATTCGCAAATCTTAAATTGGTCATTCTTAATGTCTAATAATGCTGCTGATCAAGATAACTTGGAGTCATTACAGTTAACTTATTTGTCAAATAAATGAATAAAAAAGAGTATACATTGCTGGAACTTTCCTTCAGCTCAGTCTCACCACAATTGAGTGAAATTTGGTAGAATGGGACTCAGATAGGAATGTTTTTGGAAAAAGCATCTCAGGTGATTCTCCTGCACACCCAGGTTTGAGATCCACAGCCCCCAAACATTTTAAATTTAAGTTATTTTTAATGAATTGATTGCCACTTCTGAACAGCCAGGACTATAAGTCTTTTATTTGTTATTTAAATTTTTTCTTTCTCTGTTGTCCCTATCAGCTGTCCTGTCTCTGGGAACTGTTTGTCCTCTCTCCTCCTCTCCTGTATTCTAGTTGGAAATGTCTAATGATGTTTATAATATCTAGGGAAGCAGCTAACCAAACTGTTAGAATTGTGGTTCATGATCCTTCTACCCATTTGGCTAGTGGCTTTTGGTTCTCTGAACTTCCTGTTTCAAGGTCGCCAGGTATTAAAATGTCTGTAGTTCTTAGGTCATGGGGACTGAGAACTGGGAGCCCAGAAACATGAATCATGGAGAAGAGAGCAGGCCAGTCCATTTGACACGCAGTGGCTTCACAATTCTTAAATTGTGGAGCTTGATCAGGAACCCCAGGGAGTGCACTAAGTACTGAAAAGCAGAGAAGAAGCCACGGAGAACATGGGAGGCCTGTGTTTTAATGCTACCTCCAACATTAGCTGTGTGACCTTGGACCAGTAGTTTACCTCTCTGGACCTCTGTTTCTTTTCTTGTAAAACTAGTTTAAAAATTATGAAATATTTCCAGCTGAAAAAATCATAGTGAATAATATAACAATTCTATTTGTACCTACCACTCACTCTAATATATCCTATTACTTTTCCATGATTGCTTCTTTATATGTTTGAAGATAATTTTGAAGCCTCTTCTGAACCCCCTCCCTAACTTTATTCTCTTTCCTTCACCCCTGGAAATAATCATTATCCTTTAATCATTTCTGGAGTTTATCATTCCCATGTACATTTTATGTTATATCTATACCTGTTTACAAACAATGTATAGCATCATTTTACTGGTTTTTACACTTGAAATGAGTGTTATGACTATTCACATTGTTCTTCAATTTACCTTTTAAAAATTTCCTATCATGTTTTTGAGGTTAATTCATGTTGATGCATGTGGCTCTGGTTTGTTCTGCATAATGTTCCATTAAATGAATAGACCATTTGATGTAGCCCATTCTTCTGTTGGTGAATCTGAGGTTGTTCAGCATAGAGAAATTTCAAGGTCCCCTCCAGTTTGAACTTTCTAGGATCTGGCATGAAAATATGATTTTTCTGAAGAAGTTTTGTATCAACACCTTTGGCCTTTCCCACTGTCTCCTGTGTCCACTTTTTCAAGGCGCACCTTGTGAGCATGTGGGAGATTACTGGAAGCCAGATCTTTGGCTGCTGGGGTCAACCCTGTGTTTGCTGAGCACAGAGAGGCCATTATCATGCAGTGGATCAAAAAGCACAGACTTTGGAATCAGTCAGACTTTGTTTTGCATCCTAACTTTGCCACCTGTGAGTTGTGTAATCTTGGGCAAACTATGTAACCTCTCGGAACTTGAATTTTCTCAACGGGAAAATTAGGAAAACAATTTCTACTGCATATTGTTGCCATGAGGATTAAAAAAGATAATGTATATAAAAGGATAATGTATATAAAGTACTTGGCAGCATGCATGCTACCTAGTAAGCGCTTGATAAAGTGATAGAACATATAGTGTGTGTGTGTGTTTGTGTGTGTGCATGTGTGAGAGAGAGAAAGGGAGAGAGAGAGAGAGGATAAGAGAATGCCAAGGCTCTGCCAGGACCAGTGGGCATCTTCCCAAGTTGTTTCCCACTTAAGATGCCTAGCATGTAGTTCATACTTAATAAATATCTCATTACAAAAATGAATAAGCAAGTATGTAAATATATAAATGAGACAATTGGAAAAGTGCATTGGCTGGTGGGATCAATGGAAGCTAGTCTATGAAATGACCACTGAGCAGTTTTTCAGTAGTTTCTATTAGTAGGTGGTGACTCAGAAAAGTTGAGAACATTTTTCCTGAAGATCAAATATTCTATTGTACAAATCAGTCACTTCTTTAAATTCCCTAAAACAATCCTGCTGAAGTTTTAGGCAAATGGTGGCCCCAGAAGCAGCCTACAGCTCAGATATGACCCAAACTTTCCTATTTGTCACTGTCAGAGCTCTCTGTCCTAATTATTCCATCCTGTCTGATCAGCGTTCATCCTCTAGACAGCCTGACTTCTTAAGTGAACGTCCACGTTTACACTAGAGCAGCAGGCACTTCCTGCTGGCTCCTTCCAGACAAGGAGCCTCTGTTCGCCTTGGGACTGGGGAGCAAACAGCCTCTGACTGTCCCAGCTGGTAAGCAACAAGCCCTGGTCCTGGGACAGGATATTTCACGTACATATTTTTGAGCAATAGATGGGAACCAAACCAATCGGTTATGAGATTGCCAGCCTTTTAGAAAGCAACACTCAGCAATAGCATTTACAGGCTAATGTTTAAGAAAATAAAACATGTCTATCTACCAGGGATTCCTTTTAAGTGGTAGAGAGTTTGCAAAGGTGTATCATTTCTAAAGGAAGTGCTTTTGACAGGAACTCATGCTGAATGATAGCAGAGTGTTGTTACGGTTGTGTTTTACTTTGGAGGCTGTGTTTATGTCCTGCTTCAAGCCTTTAGAAATACTGTCTATACATCTGAGAAACCAGTTTACTTGACTCCTATTAAAAAAAAGAAGGAAAAGAAAACTCAGGTTTCTGCTTGACTTAGAGGTTAGTAAATTGAGTGTGGCCAGTTTGTGGTCATCGGGTTTGCTTAGCTTAAATGGATTCAAATCCCTGCTTTGAATCCGCTTTGGCCTGTCTTGGGGGTCAGATTGGGGCCTTTTGTTCAGGGCCATCTTGAGTGGCAGGAGGGCCAGGGAGGTGGAGGAATGACAAGTATTATAGGATTGTAGGTTGCTTTTGTCTCACACTCTAAGCTTCCAGAGCCCAACTATTTTCTTCTGCTGAGGGGAAAGCTGGAGAGAGAGAGAGGACAGAGATTGGGAGAGAGAGAGAGAGAGAGAGAGAGAGAGAGATAGAGAGAGAGAGAGAACGCATAAGCAGGAACTAGCTCGGGGGGCAGGGAAGAGAGGAAAGGAGAACAGAGTAGAAGGAGGAGAGGTGGAAGGTAAGGGCGGGAGCAGCCCTAGGCCTGGCCGTCCCTTACTGCCCCCATCCCCCACCCTACTAACCCATCGCATCCTCGCTGACCCAGAGACAGAATATAAATGAAACACTTTGCCGGTGCAGGACACTAACTGGCAGTGGCCTGCTGGAGCTAAGGGCATTTTCTAAGCAACTCACTAATCAGAAGTGACTGAAGCTCTGAAGAGAATACAGCCCAGCCAGGGATCCACCCTCCATGCTAATGAAGAAGGCAGTGAGGTGGATAATTAAGGGCAGTGATGTGAATAATTCCAAACTGATAATTCAAAGGTAATGAAATGCATTAGGAGTTTGGGGGCAGCAGATTTTCCTTACCGGACAGGGCTGTTTTATGATAAAATGAGCTTGCCTTTTCTAAGCACATACCAGCTGACTCTGGGTGGAGCTGGACTGGGAAGGCTGGGGTTGCAGGGAGGAGCTGATGCAGGATTAGGAATTTATGCAGCCATTCAAGACAATGTTTAGGAAGCTTACATAACCACATAGGGGGACACGTGTGTTATGATTTTAAGTGAAAAAATAAAGAAGCATGCTAAGTGAATATTTTGGCTAGCTACTGCAATGTATAAAACAAACAAAACCAATAAACCAAAACTTTATATACGTGGAAGAAAGATCAGAAAGGACCCTATTACAGACTGAATATCCTTATCCAAATGCTTGGATTGGAACTGTTTTGGAGTTTGGATTTTTTCTTTTTTAAATTTTGGAATATTTGCATTATACTTACCCGCTGAGCATCACTGAAAAATCCAAAATCCAAAAAACTCAGAATGAGAATTTCCTTTGAGTGTCACATCAGTGCTTCAAAAGTTTCAGATTTTGGAGCATTTGCATTTTGGGTTTTTGAATTTTGGATGTTTAACCTGTATTAAAAAGTTTAATAGTAGTTATCTGGGTAGTGGAGGCCAGGCTAAGTGGCTCACGCCTGTAATCCTAGAACTTTGAGAGGCTGAGGCAGGCACATTGCCTGAGCTCAGGAGTTCAAGACCAGCCTCAGCAACATGGTGAAATTCCTTCTCTAAAAAAAAAAAAAAAAAAAAAAAGTGGTTATCTGGATAGTGGGACTATAGGTGATTTCTTTTATTCTTCTCTCTACTATTCTAAATTTTCTTATATTAACTTGAACCATTTTCATAATGTAAAAGGTGAGCACACTAAAAAAAGAATTTGCTGTGGCATAATTCTTCCCCAGAATGGACAGCAGAGAACTGACAGATGCTAACTTTTTGACTAGTGTGGGTGGGCTTGCAGTCTAGAGAGGCTACATTTTGCTGCATAAGTTGTTAGAGGTCCCAGAAGCCCTATTCTGGATAGAAATATTTCCTCTATGAGATTCAGACTGTGGTCAGGCATGGTGGCTCATGCCTGTAATCCCAGGGATTTGGGAGGCTGAGGCAGGAGAATCACTTGAGCCCAAGAGTTCGAGACTAGCCTGGGCAACACAGTGAGACACACATCTCTACAAAAAAAAAAAAAATTAAAAATAGCCAGCCATGGTGGTACACTCGTATAGCCCCAGCTACTCCAGAGGCTGAAGCGGGAAAGTCATTTGAGCCTAGGAGTTTGAGGATGCAGTGAGCCATGATCACACCACTGCACTCCAGTCTCGGTGACAGAGTGAGACCCTGTCTCTTAAAAAAAGAAAAGAAATTCAGACTGTCTATGAATCTTCCTGGCTCCGCTTTTCTAAAAGCTTATGAGATGTTTTCAGAGACAGGAGCTTTTTGGCTACTGCGTTTCTGTGTTCTCCTTAGGGTATAACCAATTTCTACCATATTTAGTAGCTTCATGGAACTTCCTTCTAGTCATGTGTCTTTCTCCAGTCTTCTAGTTTTAGAACTAGTTATGAACCATAACACTATCAAAATTAAATGGACTCCTTAGTTTGCTAAATTATGGGGCTGGCCAAGCTGTAGGGTTTATGAGACAATGGGTTTATGGGAAGCGATAACTGATTATTCTCATTCTTACTGATGAGACAAACGTAGGGGACTTGGTAGTGAATTACTTATTTTACAAAGATTTTTACTTAATGGAGGTGATCTACTACCTCAAAATAAAATCCATACTTCCTTCTGCAAATTTTTGAATTTTTAAACATAAAATCTGTTATGGTCTAAATGTTTGTGTCTCCCTCACAAAAATTCATATGTTGAAATCCTAACCCCCCATGTGATGGTATTAGGAGGTGGGGCCTTTTGAACATGATTAGGTCATGAGGATGGACCTTTATATTATAAGGGGCTGAAGAGACCAGAGTTCTTCCTTTCCATCATTTGAGGACACAGTGACAAATTGACCTTCACTGAATCTGGTAGCACCTCGATCTTGGACTTCTCAGCTTCCAGAACTGTGAGAAATGAATTCCTGTTGTTTGTAAGCCTCCTAGTTTATGGCATTTTGTTATAGCAGCCTGAACGGACTAAGAGGACACCCTTAGGAACTCTTTGATACTTAATCTCACAATTTTGCTTTTGGTACTGAATCTGCTGGGTGTTTGTGCTGCTGTTAGCCATGACCTTGTTTAGGGCTGGTTGAGTGTTAAAATATTGTGCATTGCTGGAAAGTTAAGATGACTCTGTCTCACTGAATTGAGTTGACAACAATACTTATTGTGATCTTACAATACCAGCCAGATTCTAAAGTCTTGTCCTAATAGTTTAATATATATATTTGCTCTCATGTGTCTTAGAAAATGAGAACAATGAGCCTCAGCTCAAAAGCTATTAAGACAATTAAGTAAAACAGTATGATTAGTATAGTTCTTGGCAGTTTGTAAGTGACATATTGGACCTGTTAAGCAGGTGCATGCCAGTTATAATGCTCACTCAGACAAAGCCAAAGGATGCCTACCATACCCACAGCCCCTTCTGAGCACTTCCTCATGTGTAGGCCATCATGCCTGTATTCCAAGGCCCTGGCCCTGTTGACTTCTGAGGATTAGACTGAGGGAGGGCATTGGACCTAAGAATATTCATTCTTTAGCTGGTCAATAGCTTATGTAGTTATACCTGTCTCTGCCTCTCTGGAATAATAGTGGCTAGCCCACTCAGTTAGGTCCTCTCTTACAGAGCTGAACTCATGACATACTTGAAGACTCCAGCAGCAGGAGCAATACTGATCCTATCGTATTACAGGAGCAATACGATAGCTCTCCTTTGCCTCACTCCTTTTCCTCTCTCTCTCCCCTTTCTTCTGGAAACAGACCCCAACCTTCTAGCCATAGCTACCTAAGCTGGGTCAGAGTACTTCCCTCGGATTTTTCTGATTGAGTTCTGTTTCTTCTCTGGTCAGGAGGTCCTGTGCAGCCAGGCTTCCTATGCACATGCCTGCAAGGGCCAGGTGGGTAACTTCGGTGGGAAGTGACCAGGTGCAAAAATAATGGGGCTGGGGGCCGGGTGTGGTGGCTCACGCCTGTAATCCCAGCACTTTGGGAGGCCGAGGCAGGTGGATCACGAGGTCAGGAGATCGAGACCATCCTGGCTAACACGGTGAAACCCCGTCTCTACTAAAAATGCAAAAAAAATTAGCCAGGCATGGTGGCGGGCGCCTGTAGTCCCAGCTACTCGGGAGGCTGTGGCAGGAAAATGGCGTGAACCCGGGAGGCGGAGCTTGCAGTGAGCCGAGATCGCGCCACTGCACTCCAGCCTGGGCGACAGAGCGAGACTCCGTCTCAAAAAAATAAATAAGTGAAATAATAATAATAACAATAATAATGGGGCTGGGAGGGCCCAGGGCCAAGCACAAGACATGTCTGCCAAAGGCAACCAAATTAAAGGAGAATGTATACCTATCTTGGCCAATAAAATAAGTGAGGTTTTAATGTAGTCCCCACTGCCCCAGATAATGTCAACCCAGAAGCCTAGGGTGAGATCTACTCACCTTAAAGATGGACTTTCTCCAGGAAGAGAGACCATGGCTACAAGCACTTTATGGAAGGTGGCTTTTTATTTGGTGACTGTCTGTCTAAACAATATCAAAGATGGAAACCCTAAAGAAGATGGGTCTATGTGTCTGAATAAGTAAAACTTCCGTAAGTTAAAAAATAATTGTAGGCCAGGCGCGGTGGCTCACACCTGTAATCCCAGCACTTTGGGAGGCCGAGGCGGGTGGATCATGAGGTCAGGAGATCGAGACCATCCTGTCTAACAAGGTGAAACCCCGTCTGTACTAAAAATACAAAAAAATTAGCCAGGCGTGGTGGCGGGCGCCTGTAGTCCCAGCTACTCGGGAGGCTGAGGCAGGAGAATGGCGTGAACCCGGGAAGCGGAGCTTGCAGTGAGCCGAGATTGAGCCACTGCAGTCCGCAGTCCGGCCTGGGCGACAGAGCGAGACTCCGTCTCAAAAAAAAAAAAAAAAAAAAATTGTAAATATAAATATATGTATATATTAATATACCATATAATAAATAATATACAATATATAAATAAATAAATATAAGTATAATAACTAAATTATAAGGCAAATGATAAGCTTTAAAAAGTACTTACATTGGTCTACATGTCTGTTTTTGTATCAGTACCGTGCTGTTTTGGTTACAGTAGCTTGCAGTACAGTTTGAAGTTGGGCAGTGTGATTCCCCCAGCTTGGTTCTTTTTGCTTAGGATTGCCTTGGCTGTTTGGGCGCTTTTTTGGTTCCATATGAATTTGTAAATAGTTTTTTCTCATTCTGTGAGAGCCCAGAAATAAAGAGACACACCTACAACAATCTGATCTTTGACAAAACTGACGAAAACAAGCATGGGGAAAGGACTCTCTATTCAGTAAATGGTGCTGGGATAACTGGCTGGCCATATGCAGAAGATTGAAGCTGGACCTCATCCTTTCACAGTGTACAAAAATCAACTCAAGATGGATTAAAGACCTAAATGTAAAACCTAAGACTATAAAAACCTGGAAGATAACCTAGGAAATACCATTTTGGACATAGAAACTGGCAAAGATTTCATGATGAAAATGCCAAAAGCAATTGCAACAAAAGAAAAAATTGACAAATTAAACTAAAGTGCTTCTGCACAGCAAGAGTAACTTTCAACAGAGTAAAAAAGGCAACCTACAGAATGGGAGAAGATATTTGTAAAATATACATCTGATGAAGGTCTAATATCCAGAATCTACAAGGAACTTAAACGTAAAGCAAAAACCAAACAACCCCATTAAAAAATGGGCAAAGGACACAAACAGACACTTTTCAAAAGAAGACATACATGCGGCCAACAAACGTATGAAAAATGCTCAATATCACTAATCATTACAGAAATGCAAATAAAAACCGCAGTGAGATACCATCTCACAGCAGTCAGAATGGCTATTGTTAAAAAAGTCAAAAAATAACAGATGCTGGTGAGGTTGCAGAGAAAAGGGAATGCTTATTCACTGCTAATGGGAGTGTAAATTAGTTCAACCATTGTGGAAAACAGTGTGGTGATTCCTCAAAGAACTAAAACCAGAACTACCATTTGACCCAGCAATCCCACTACTGCATATATATCCAAAACAATAGAAATGATTCTACCATAAAGACACATGCATGCATATATTCACTGCAGCACTATTTACAGTAGCATAAACATGGAATTAACCTAAATGCCCTACAACAGTAGACTGAATAAAGAAAATGTGGTGCATATATACCATGGAATACTATGCAGCCATAAAAAAGAATAAGATCATGTCCTCTGCAGGAACCTGGATGGAACTGGAGGCCATTATCCTTAGTAAACTAATGCAGGAACAGAAAACCAAATACCACATGTTCTCACTTATAAGTGGAAGCTAAATGATGAGAACACATGAACAGAAAGAGGGGAATAACAGACACTGGGTCCTCCTTGAGGGTGGGAGGTGGGAGGAGGGAGAGGTTTAGATAAAACAAACAACAAAACAAAAAAAACCCTGTTGGGTACTATGCTTAGTAACCAGATGATAAATTAGTTTATACAGCAAACCCCTGAGTCATGAGTTTACCTGTATAACGAAACTAAGTATGTACCCCTGAACCTAAAATAAAAGTTACAATTTTTTTAACAATTACTTAACAATAGATATTTTTGATGCTGCTCACTATAGCTGATACTAACACTATGTCTCATTTATTTATTTTCTTTCTGCAGTTACTTTATTCAGGTAGACAGATCCAAACAACCTTTTCCATGAGGCGACAGGGTACCAATTAACCCATGGGTCTTATGTACTACTCCATCTGAGCAACCAACCCCCTAAATCAGTCTGTTTTAGACTGCTGATTTAGACTGATTTAAGACTGCTGGGGGAGGTTAAGTGCTTGGTTTTTGAACTTTTTCTTATTTCTATGATATGTTATTGTCAAACTGGACTCTCAGGTAATGTATAGTGAGGGGAACTTTGAAACATAAATTTGTTTTCTATTGTTTGTGATTCTTGGGGCACAACAACAAAACTCCACTGCCTGGTGGGGAAGGATGACCTCATCTCCTGTGTGTCCCTGGCTCCCAGTCACACCATTGGAAGGATGATTATACCTCCTTGCACAAATGAATGATTCTCTACAAATATGTAGTTTAAATGAACTCAGTTCAAAGAAACTGCCCACATTTCCTGTTGTTGATACTATCTTCTAACCTGTGAATTAATTAAAACACCTGGGTTTTAAACTGGCGACATCATTCCCCAGCTATAATTTCCTTTATGACCCAGGAAGTCCCTAAGGTATAGATCTACTTCATAGAATTAAAAATCCTTGTGAATATTGAATAGTACAAGCATGTTGCTCTACTTAAAAAATGTGCTAGACTTTGCAACTTCATCTACATCACAGAACTTGGTCAGCTTTGGGAAATAAGCTATAATTGGAAGACAGAAACACTGTTTTTCTGGTTTTTTTTTAAATATGTTATCTTGTGGATGTATCATGTTTATTTACCCTTTCTCCCACTGTTTTTTTTTATTATATATATATATATTTTGTATTATACTTTAAGTTCTAGGGTACATGTGCACAGCGTGCGGGTTTGTTACATATGTATACATGTGCCATGTTGTTGTGCTGTACCCATTAACTCGTCATTTACATTAGGTATATCTCCTAATGCTATCCCTTCCCCCTCCCCCAACCCCACAACAGGCCCCGGTGTGTGATGTTCCCCGGTGTTTGGTTTTTCGTCCTTGCAATAGTTTGCTGAGAATGATGCTTTCCAGCTTCATCCATGTCCGTACAAAGGACATGAACTCATCCTTTCTTATGGCTGCATGGTATTCCATGGTGTATATGTGCCACATTTTCTTAATCCAGTCTATCATTGTTGGATATTTGGGTTGGTTCCAAGTCTTTGCTATTGTGAGTAGTGCCGCAGTAAACATACGTGTGCATGTGTTTTTATAGCAGCATGATTTATATTCCTTTGGGTATATACCCAGTAATGGGATGGCTGGCTCAAATGGTATTTCTAGTTCTAGATCCCTGAGGAATCGCCACACTGACTTCCACAATGCTTGAACTAGTTTACAGTCCCACCAACAGTGTAAAAGTGTTCCTATTTCTCCACATCCTCTCCAGCACCTGTTGTTTCCTGACTTTTTAATGATCGCCATTCTAACTGGTGTGAGATGGTATCTCACTGTGGTTTTGATTTGCATTTCTCTGATGGCCAGAGATGATGAGCACTTTTTCATGTGTCTGTTGGCTGCATAAATGTCTTCTTTTGAGAAGTGTCTGTTCATATCCTTCACCCACTTTTTGATGGGGTTGTTTGTTTTTTTCTTGTAAATTTGTTTGAGTTCATTGTAGATTCTGGATATTAGCCCTTTGTCAGATGAGTAGATTGCAAACAGTTTCTCCCATTCTGTAGGTTGCCTGTTCATTCTGATGGTAGTTTCTTTGCTGTGCAGAAGCTCTTTAGTTTAATGAGATCCCATTTGTCAATTTTGTCTTTTGTTGCCATTGCTTTTGGTGTTTTAGACATGAAGTCCTTGCCCATGCCTATGTCCTGAATGGTATTGCCTAGGTTTTCTTCTAGGGTTTTTATGGTTTTAGGTCTCACATTTAAGTCTTTAAGTCTTTAATCCATCTTGAATTAATTTTTGTATAAGGTATAAGGAAGGGATCCAGTTTCAGCTTTCTACATATGGCTAGCCAGTTTTCCCAGCACCATTTATTAAGTAGGGAATCCTTTCCGCATTTCTTGTTTTTGTCAGGTTTGTCAAAGATCAGATAGTTGTAGATATGTGGCATTATGTCTGAGGGCTCTGCTCTGTTCCATTGGTCTATATCTCTGTTTTGGTACCAGTACCATGCTGTTTTGGTTACTGTAGCCTTGTAGTATAGTTTGAAGTCAGGTAGTGTGATGCCTCCAGCTTTGTTCTTTTGGCTTAGGACTGACTTGGCAATGTGGGCTCTTTTTTGGTTCCATATGAACTTTAAAGTAGTTTTTTCCAATTCTGTGAAGAAAGTCATTGATAGCTTGATGGGGATGGCATTGAATCTATAAATTACCTTGGGCAGTATGGCCATTTTCATGATATTGATTCTTCCTATCCATGAGCATGGAATGTTCTTCCATTTGTTTGTGTCCTCTTTTATTTCATTGAGCAGTGGTTTGTAGTTCTCCTTGAAGAGGTCCTTCACATCCCTTGTAAGTTGGATTCCTAGGTATTTTATTCTCTTTGAAGCAATTGTGAATGGGAGTTCATTCATGATTTGGCTGTTTGTCTATTATTGGTGTATAAGAATGCTTGTGGTTTTTGCACATTGATTTTGTATCCTGAGACTTTGCTGAAGTTGCTTATCAGCTTAAGGAGATTTTGGGCTGAGATGATGGGGTTTTCTAGATATACAATCATGTCATCTGCAAACAGGGACAATTTGACTTCCTCTTTTCCTAATCGAATATCCTTTATTTCTTTCTCTTGCCTGACTGCCCTGGCCAGAACTTCCAACATTATGTTGAATGGGAGTGGTGAGAGAGGGCATCCCTGTCTTGTGCCAGTTTTCAAAGGGAATGCTTCCAGTTTTTGCCCATTCAGTATGATATTGGCTGTGGGTTTGTCATAAATAGCTCTTATTATTTTGAGATACATCCCATCAATGCCTAATTTATTCAGAGTTTTTAGCATGAAGGGCTGTTGAATTTTGTTGAAGGCCTTTTCTGCATCTATTGAGATAATCATGTGGTTTATATGCTGGATTACGTTTATTGATTTGCGTATGTTGAACCAGCCTTGCATCCCAGGGATGAAGCCCACTTGATCATGGTGGAGAAGCTTTTTGATGTGCTGCTGGATTCAGTTTGCCAGTATTTTATTGAGGATTTTTGCATTGATGTTCATCAGGGATATTGGTCTAAAATTCTCTTTTTTTGTTGTGTCTCTGCCAGGCTTTGGTGTCAGGATGATGCTGACTTCATAAAATAAGTTAGGGAGGATTCCTTCTTTTTCTGTTGTTTGGAATAGTTTCAGAAGGAATGGTACCAGCTCCTCCTTGTACCTCTGGTAGAATTCAGCTGTGAATCCATCTGGTCCTGGATTTTTTTTGGTTGGTAAGCCATTAATTATTGCCTCAATTTCAGAGCCTGTTATTGGTCTATTCAGAGATTCAACTTCTTCCTGGTTTAGTCTTGGGAGGGTGTATGTGTCCAGGAATTTATCCATTTCTTCTAGATTTTCTAGTTTATTTGCGTAGAGGTGTTTATAGTATTCTCTGATGGCAGTTTGTATGTCTGTGGGATCGGTGGTGATATCCCCTTTATCGTTTTTTATTGCTTCTATTTGATTCTTCTCTCTTTTCTTCTTTATTAGCCTTGCTAGTGGTCTATCAATTTTGTTGATCTTTTCAAAAAACCAGCTCCTGGATTCACTGATTTTTTGAAGGGTTTTTTGTGCCTCTATTTCCTTCAGTTCTGCTCTGATCTTAGTTATTTCTTGCCTTCTGCTAGCTTTTGAATGTGTTTGCTCTTACTTCTCTAGTTCTTTTAATTGTGATGTTAGAGTGTCAGTTTTAGATCTTTCCTGCTTTCTCTTGTGGGCATTTAGTGCTATAAATTTCCCTCTACACACTGCTTTGAATGTTTCCCAGAGATTCTGGTATGTTGTGTCTTTGTTCCCGTTGGTTTCAAAGAACATCTTTATTTCTGCCTTCATTTCGTTGTGTACCCAGTAGTCATTCAGGAGCAGGTTGTTCAGTTTCCATGTAGTTGAGTGGTTTTGAGTGAGTTTCTTAATCCTGAGTTCTAGTTTGATTGCACTGTGGTCTGAGAGACAGTTTGTTATAATTTCTGTTCTTTATATTTGCTGAGGAGTGCTTTACTTCCAACTATGTGGTCAATTTTGGAATAGGTGTGGTGCTGAGAAGAATGTATATTCTGTTGATTTGAGGTGGAGAGTTCTGTAGATGCCTATTAGGTCCGCTTGGTGCAGAGCTGAGTTCAATTCCTGGATATCCTTGTTAACTTTCTGTCTCATTGATCTGTCTAATGTTGACAGTGGGGTTTTAAAGTCTCCCATTATTATTGTGTGGGAGTCTAAGTCTCTTTGTAGGTCTCTAAGGACTTGCTTTATGAATCTGGGTGCTCCTGTATTGGGTGCATATATATTTAGGATAGTTAGCTCTTCTTGTTGAATTAATCCCTTTACCATTATGCAGTGGCCTTGTCTCTTTTGATCTTTGTTGGTTTAAAGTCTGTTTTATCAGAGACTAGGATTGCAACCCCTGCCTTTTTTTGTTTTCCATTTGCTTGGTAGATCTTACTCCATCCCTTTATTTTGAGCCTATGTGTGTCTCTGCACGTGAGATGGGTTTCCTGAATACAGCACACTGATGGCTCTTGACTCTTTATCCAATTTGCCAGTCTGTGTCTTTTAATTGGAGCATTTAGCCCATTTACATTTAAGGTTAATATTGTCATGTGTGAATTTGATCCTGGCATTATGATGTTAGCTGGTTATTTTGCTCGTTAGTTGATGCAGTTTCTTCCTAGCCTCGATGGTCTTTACAATTTGGCATGTTTTTGCAGTGGCTGGTACTGGTGTTCCTTCCCATGTTTAGTGCTTCCTTCAGGAGCTCTTTTAGGGCAGGCCTAGTGGTGGCAAAATCTCTCAGCATTTGCTTGTCTGTAAAGGATTTTATTTCTCCTTCACTTGTGAAGCTTAGTTTGGCTGGATATGAAATTCTGGGTTGAAAATTCTTTTCTTTCAGAATGTTGAATATTGGCCCCCACTCTCTTCTGGCTTGTAGATTTTCTGCAGAGAGATCAGCTGTTAGTCTGATGGGCTTCCCTTTTGGGTAACCCGACCTTTCTCTTTGGCTTCCCTTAACACTTTTTCCTTCATTTCAACTTTGGTGAATCTGACAGTTATGTGTCTTGGAGTTGCTCTTCTCGAGGAGTATCTTTGTGGTGTTCTCTGTGTTTCCTGAATCTGAATGTTGGCCTGCCTTGCTAGATTGGGGAAGTTCTCCTGGATAATATCCTGCAGAGTGTTTTCCAACTTGGTTCCATTCTCCCCGTCACTTTCAGGTACACCAATCAGATGCAGATTTGGTCTTTTCACATAGTCCCATATTTCTTGGAGGCTTTGTTTGTTTCTTTTTATTCTTTTTTCTGTAAACTTCCCTTCTCACTTCATTTCATTCATTTCATCTTCCATCACTGATACCCTTTCTTCCAGTTGATTGCATTGGCTCCTGAGGCTTCTGCATTCTTCACGTAGTTCTTGAGCCTTGGCTTTCAGCTCCATTGGCTCCTTTAAGCACTTCTCTGTATTGGTTATTCTAGTTATATATTCGTCTAAATTTTTTTCAAAGTTTTCAACTTCTTTGCCTTTGGTTTGAATTTTCTCCTGTACTCAGAGTAGTTTGATTATCTGAAGCCCTCTTCTCTCAACTCGTCAAAGTCATTCTCTGTCCAGCTTTGTTCCGTTGCTGGTGAGGAGCTGTGTTCCTTTGGAGGAGGAGAGGTGCTGATTTTTAGAATTTTCAGTTTTTCTGTTCTGTTTTTTCCCCATCTTTGTGGTTTTACCTACCTTTGGTCTTTGATGATGGTGACGTACAGATGGGGTTTTGGTGTGGATGTCCTTTCTGTTTGTTAGTTCCTTCTAACGGTCAGGACCCTCAGCAGCAGGTCTGTTGGAGTTTGCTGGAGGTCCACTCCAGACCCTGTTTGCCTGGGTATCAGCAGCGGAGGCTGCAGAACAGCGAATATTGCTGAACAGCAAATGTTGCTGTCTGATTGTTCCTCTGGAGATTTCGTCTCAGAGGGGTACCTGGCCGTGCGAGATGTCAGTCTGCCCCTAGTGGGGGGTGCCTCCCAGATAGGCTACTCGGGGGTCAGGGACCCACTTGAGGGGGCAGTCTGTCCATTCTCAGATCTCAAACTCTGTGCTGGGAGAACCATTACTCTCTTCAAAGCTGTCAGACAGGGACATTTAAGTCTGCAGAGGTTTCTGCTGCCTTTTGTTGGGCTATGCCCTGCCCCCAGAGGTGGAGTCTACAGAGGCAGGCAGGCCTCCTTGAGCTGTGGTGGGCTCCACCCAGTTCGAGCTTCCTGGCTGCTTTGTTTACCTACTCAAGCCTCAGCAATGGTGGGCTCCCCTCCCCCAGCCCGGCTGCTGCCTTGCAGTTCTATCTCAGACTGCTGTGCTAGCAATGAGCGAGGCTCCGTGGGCGTGGGACCCTCTGAGCCAGGCACGGGACATAATCTCCTGGTGTGCTGTTTGCTAAGACCATTGGAAAATCACAGTATTAGGGTGGGAGAGACCCGATTTTCCAGCTGCCATCTGTCACAGCTTTGCTTGGCTATGAAAGGGATTTCCCTGACCACTTGTGCTTCCCGGGTGAGGCGATGCCTCGCCCTGCTTTGGCTCACGCTTGGTGTGCTGCACCCACTGTCCTGCACCCACTGTCTGACAAGCTCCAACGAGATGAACCCGGTACCTCAGTTGGAAATGCAGAAATCACCCATCTTATGCGTCGCTCACACTGGGAGCTGTAGACTGGAGCTGTTCC
This sequence comes from Homo sapiens, assembly GCF_000001405.40. Taxonomy (NCBI): domain Eukaryota; kingdom Metazoa; phylum Chordata; class Mammalia; order Primates; family Hominidae; genus Homo; species Homo sapiens. The sequence continues at coordinate 38,476,509 of NC_000004.12, read as the reverse complement.
TATTTGGCCATCTTAGAAACACTGTTTTAAGGAAAGCAGAATATATATACAAGAGAAATTCTCATTGATGGGAACTATTTGTTGAGATATTCTTGTAAAATGATTTTTTAAAAGACACAAAGCAAAAAAAAAACTAGAGAGCAAGCAGGGGAAATCATCACTTTTGTGGGTAGATAAGATAGGGTTAATTCATGGTAGAACCCTTAGGCTGCACCCGTTTAGTTTTAGGGCCCTTAAGGCCAATGTCCAGGAAGATCTCTGGAAGGGGGAAAGGAAACAAATCATAAAGCTGAAAAACAAAAAGGCCCATCATTCTGGTTATTTTGTATAATAAAGCACCTGAAAACATAGTGGTATAATACAGCATTCAGTATTCTCCCATGATTCTGAAGATTGACATGGCTGGAAGACCTGAGGGCTGGTGGATCATCACTCTTCATAGTGGCCTCTCCACATGGCTAGCTTGGGCTTTCTTACAGCATGGAGATCTCAGGGTGGTCTGATTTTTTACATGCTGGCTGGCCTCTGCCAGAGCAAGTGTTCTAAGAAGCCAAGGTGGAAGTTGCCGGTCCTGTTAAAGGTGAAGACCAAACCTTGCATAGTATTACTTCTGCCATTCTGTGTTGGTCACAGGCCAGCCATGATTCAAGAGCAGATGAAATTAACCATACCTCTTGATGAGAAGTGTCAAAGAGTTTGTTGCCATCTTGAATTCACCACTGTCATCAAAGAGATCTTGAAGGGCAGGAGAAGAACCAAATTAAAGCCCAAAGGAGCTATGTGGAAGGATGGCTTTTCTTTTCCATTGTGCTCAACTTTATGGTATGTGGTTTTTGCTTCAGTAATTGGACAGAGATATAAGAAATTTGGAGAAGTTTCAGAGAGAAAAGGACCCCACAGAGATGATCAAAAAATGTTGGGAAGTAGGATCTGTACAGAGGGATTAAAAGAAGTAGGATCAATTTGGCCTGAAGCAGGGAAGGCTGAGGGGCAGCCAAATAATCATCTTCGAATACATGAGGGTTGCTATGAAATTGATGCATGACCGGAGAAAGCTGAGCTTAAAGGAACTGGGCTGGAAACACTGAAGAATTTCCTAATCAAGATATGGGCATCTCTGAGATGTGAAAGAAATTCCCTTTTCTGAAGCCATTTCAAAGAGGATACATGTTATGTGCCTATGAAGGATTTAGGATTAGCTTTACTGGAGATGGAAATGGTGGAACAGATCATCTCTTTTTTTTTTTTTTTTGGTAGCTGAATTAGTTTTTCAAGTGAAACCTTATATAGAACTCATGAAAAGTGATGTTGTTTGGTTGAGGTGAGGGCACGGCTGAAGCCACATTTCTTCTCTTTTCCATTCCTTATCTTCCCAAGTGGCTCCAAAGTCACTGTAGGAGCCACAGAGACCCTGCTAAAAATAGTTTGAAAATCATTAAAACCAAGAGTGAGTTTCCTAACTGTTTTGTACAACAGCTGTGGGTGCTTGGAGGTTTTTACCAAATTACGTCTAGGCCTTGAAAATTTTGTAAAATTGCTGAATTCTTTTCATGGATCAAATTGATGAGATTAGGTTATTTCTGAACTTAGGTTCTATTTTCTTGTGTATTGTCAAATAGCAGTCTTATATTCGTTAGTAGTACATTTGTTACTAAGTCTATCCAAGTATAGGAAAAGCAATGATTAACATTTATTTATCTTTTCGTAAATTCATTTATCTAATTTACTATTCAATAGTAAATGATGAATAGTAAACTATTCATCTAATTTACTAAACTTCATTCAAGTAAATTTACTAAACTTGAATAAAGTTTAGTAAATTAGATTAATTTACTGAATTTACTAAATTGAAGTAATTTACTAAACTTGAATGAAGTTTAGTAAATTAGATGAATAATTTACTATTCATCACTTACTAATAAATAGTAAATTAGATAAATGAATTTACCAAAAGATAAACAAATGTTAATCATTGCTTTTCTTATACTTGGGTATACTTAGTAACAAATGAATATAAGAATCCTATTTGACAGTACACAAGAAAATAGAACCTGAGTTCAGAAATAACCTAATCTCATCAGTTTGAATTTAATAAACTTTTTTCAACTTTAGTAAGTTTACTTGAGTGAAGTTTAGTAAATTAGATGAATAGTTTTACTTCATTAGTGGTTTAATTTCATTAATGGTCAATGAAATTAGCAGTTTGCTTTATTAACCCTTAAATTAAATCTCTGTAAAAAAGTGAAAAGCTTATTATAACCTCCAAGGCTATCACCCTGATGTTCTTATCTGGATAGCTTCATGAATAATTCATTTACTTTGGAGTATTCTAGCACCACTTTAATACGCACACATATTATTACAACTCAAAACATGTAAATATACAAAGATTTCATGGTTGACACAACTCGTGGTTTCAAGATGTTGAATTGAGTGCCTGCTGTATCTCTCCTCTTTTCATACCAAGGCCATATAATTGGGAGAAAATATATTTTAAAAAGATACACAACTGCATTGAAAATCAGATACAGTCAGATTGGATTAAAAAACATAAAGATATGGCTGAGCACGGTGGCTCATACCTATAATCCCAGCACTTTGGGAGGCCGAGTGGGGAGGATCACTTGAGGTCAGAAGTTCAAGATGAGTCTGGCCAACATGGTGAAACCTTGTCCCTACCAAAAATACACCTGTCCCTACCAAAAATACAAAAATGGTGGTGCACACCTGTAGTCCCAGCTACTCAGGAGGCTGAGACAGGAAAATTGCTTGAATCTGGGAGGCAGTGGTTGCAGTGAGCCGAGATTGTGCTATTGCACTCCAGCCTGGGCAGCAGAGTGAGACTCCATCTCAAAAAAACAAAACAAAACAAAAACAAACAAAAAAGATAAGATAAAACTGAAAAAAACATAATAGCCCATCAGTTGGTGGTTGGCTAAATAAGCTGTTGAATATTAACACTTCGAAATACTTTGTAACAGTTACAAAAAACAAAGTTGATCTATATACTAATATAACTACCTCTCTAAAATGCATTGTTGACTGAAGAAGCAACTTAACAACAATATAAAACCACTTACATTAACACACATACAAACAATGCTATGTATTTTCCTTGGATACAGATATCTATATAAGTAAATTAAAAATTATAAAAGAACACATACAAAAGATGTACACTGTGGTTACCTCTGGGGATGGGGAAAGAAGTGGATGAGAACTGGAGATGGTTAATCAGAAAGGACTTTAACCTTATCTAAAATGTTTTCATTCTTTAATAGGAAAAATTCAGTTTTTTACTCATGTTATTAATAATTTTTAAAAAAAGATTCCATGGTTTCAGAAAGTTTTGACAGCCCTATACTAGTTTTAATGTGTCAAGTTGATGCATTTGGCTGCAAGTAACAGAAAACTTAATCCAAACAATAAGACTTGAACAGTAATGGAGTTTCTAATCCTATATGACAGGCTGCATAGCAGGGTAGAGGGTCGAATGATCCTGACAGCCACATCACTGAAGACTTAGGTTCTTTCTTTTCTTTTTGTCTTTTTTTTGCTTCAGTGGATTTTTTAAGAACGTTGCTTCAAATTTCCTTGCATCCTTGGAGTTTATGTAATCCTGAGTTTATGTAATCCTCAGGCTTATAGCAAGATGATGCTAGCAGTTGTAAGCAAACAACATTCAGAGCAACATAATAATTAGCAAGAGTCATATGGTGCTTACTATGTGAGTTTATATACATTGCATACATTAACTCATTTGTTTTCTCCCTCAAAACTCATTTTACAAATGAAAAAAGCTGAGGCATTGAAAGACTAAGTAATTTACTGAAGGTACATAATTTGTAAGTGGTAGATTCAAACCCAGGCAATCTAGCATAAGAACACGTGCACTGAATCTCTAGGCTGTACTCTATGCCTGTTTTTCCTTGTTGCTTCCCCTCCCCACTTTCACCTGCCCCTCTTTCCTGTCTTTTCTTGTAGTTCTTTCTAAGGAGTAAGGAAAGTTTTCCCAGAGCCCTTCCAGCAGACACCTCTACAACTGTCATTGGCACATTTGGTTCAGTCCTGAACAGATCAGCCTAAACAGATCACCCCTGGAGTTGAGAGTGGGGTCAGCTTCCCCTAGGGACATTGCTGGGTGGAGAGGCATACATACATGAACCAAATCTGTGTTCTCTTTGGAAGGAAGAAAATGGAAAAGTGAAGGGAAATTAATACTAAGGAGATAACCTACAGTATCCAATAAAGGTAATTTCTACTAGTCCTTTGTAGCTCAATGACTTATGCATTTGGATTCCTGTTATGTTGGGCACCCAAGTGAAAATTCCCAGGAAGCAACTGGATACATGGTTCAAATCTTGAGAAAAATCTGGGTTAGAGATACATATCTGGACTGCAGATGTAGATCTGAGTGTCACCAACACATAGATTGTAACTGAAGTCATGGATAGTCAGAAAATTCCCATAGGAGAAAAGTGTAGAGGTTTGAGAGAAGATGATGTAAAATAAAATTTAGTGCTTTTGTCTTACATGATGTTAGATAAAATGTTTTCTTTGGACTTTAACAACACTATAACTGTGTTTACTATATGTAACTGTTATTCATAATATGATGACATGTTTGATTATAATAGTTTATTCTAAACATCATAAAGACTCTTTTACTTTTCAAATCCAACATGTTAAAGGGTCTAATAATGAAATCTTTGAAAGAACAACTTAAATTTGTCCCTGAATAAATATAAGAGGTGAAGCAATCTTGTACCATCAATGGTAACAGAGTTCTGCCCTGGCGTACATAGCCTATCAATTTGCTTTGGATGTGTCTTGTACTTGCAATCTAAGAGATCACTCCTCAGTGTGTGTTAGCCCCATATCTCAGTGGCTTGGCCCAGTAGTTATCTCTTGTTCACCTTGCAGCCCAACATGGCAGAGGGTCTTCTCCTTTACCTAGCAGCTCCACTTTTTTGAGACAGAGTTTTGCTCTTGTTGCCCAGGCCGGATTGGGAGCAATCTCGGCTCACTGCAACCTCTGCCTCCCGGGTTCAGGCGATTCTCCCACCTCAGCCTCCTGAGTAGCTGGGATTACAGGGACCCACCAATATGGTTGGCTAAATTTCTGTATTTTTAGTAGAGACAGGTTTTCACCATGTTGGCCAGGCTGGTTTTAAACTCCTGACCTCAGGTGATCTGCCTGCTTCAGCCTCCCTAAGTGCTGGGATGAACAGGTGTGAGCCACCGCACCTGGCCTCCACTATACTCTTAAGCCTCGAAGTCCTCTGCTGGATTCTCAGCATTTAGCTAGTAGATGAGAAAAGAGAGAAAAGTCATGGTGGATTGCATGAGAGGCACCTGGCCAAGCATGGAGTTGGTGAACATGGCTTCTGACTCACATCCCCTTACCAGAACTTAGGCACAGGGCTAAAGCTAACTGCAGGGAAGTCTGGGAAATGTAGTCTAGTTGTGTGTCCAGGAGGAAGAGGAAAATGGATTGGTGGGTGCCTGGCTTGTCTCTTACACACAATGGATTGAGTGTGTTAAAAGAAAAACCTCAGACAAATCAAATTTAAAGAATTTAGTTGAGCAAAAAATGATTCATGAATTGGGCAGCCCCCAAACCAGAATAGGTTCATAGAGATTCCAGTGCTACCTTGTGGTTGAAGATTTATGAGCAGAAAAAGGACAGTGATGTACAGAAAATGGAGGTGAGGTACAGAAACAGCCAGATTGGTTACAGGTCGGCATTTGCCTTATTTGAACACAATTTGAAGAGTTGGCCACATTTGATTGGCTGAAATTCAGTGTTTGGCATAAGAGTAGGTTACAATCTGTCTACACATCCAGTTAGGTTATAGTTCACTATGTACAGAGACATCTTTAGGCCAAATTTACAAAGAGGCCACTTTAGGTTAAATTTAACAAGTGAAACATTTTCATTATGTCAAATTTTAATGTTTTTGTTTGGCACCTATGTGATAGCTCGTTCCTGTTTATAAAAGACTTTGCTTATGCTATATTCTTTCTCACTGATTACATCTTGGGAATTATTAATATTTCATATTTCTGTTTATTCAGAATCCTCTCATTTTTGCTCTTATTATTTCTGGTTATTCCATTCTTTTTTCAAAATTCTCTGCCTTCTATTTTGCAGACTTGCATTTCAGTCAGAATGAATTCAATCTCTCCTCCAACACCTCAGTGGATATTTTTTTCTGTGTTTCATAGAGTTCTTACAGCTATTTTTATGTAACGTAAAACTCTTAAACTTTGCAATAAGAGATCAAACATTAAAAAAAAATGAAATTATTGGATTCATTAAATAAAACCCCAGAAACACATACAACTCATAGAAACACTTCAATGTACTATGTTAAGGTCAAAGCAGGTAACTTTTGTTTAAGGAGTTACCTGCTTTGACCAGGAGTTGCAGAAGTCATAGCTTAATTTTTACAAGATTAAGTAAATAAATGCTCGGAAACACATATAATTCTTGACAGTCATTATGTGCCCATCAACTGTCATTGTTAATGTTTAAAAGTTAACCAGCATGGTTTTCATGTGATCCTGGCATGATTAGGTCAAAACCACACCCAGCTGAACCTTGGGGAAACATCCTTGAGCATTTTAGATATATTAATATTATTTTCTCTGTTGTTGTCTTTACCATCAGATCAAAAAGGTGCTTAGGGACACATTAGGCCACAGCTGTTGCAATTAATTTCCCCCTTATAGCCTCAAGAGACAAGCCCCAGCAGTGGCCAGCTTAGTCCCAGGTGTGACAAGCCCTAACAGGACACTTTAGCATAGCATTCTGTGGATCCCTCCCTGAAGACAATCGGTAGCTTCATCAGGTGGGGCTGGGGCCAACCCTGTCCTAGGGCTGGGGCTGGGCTGGGGCTGGCCTGAGTGGTGGCAGTCTCTTAAATGCAAGCCTTTCCATTGGCTTGGCTGTACCCCATGCAATTACTCTGGCTAGGTGACTCGACTTTAAGCAAAGTGAAACAGTCTGGGAACCACAAACAGGATGCCTGGCAATTAGCTGCCATTTTACAAGACTGGGTCTTAGGGCCATCAGTTAGCATTTTCTAGGAAGGCGACTACCTGCCCACCATCACCGCCAGCAGTGAATGGTGGCCAAAGCCCTTCCATGGTAGACCAAGTGCTGAAATGTTTGATTTTGCTGAAAATCGTGACCCTAATCTGCTTGAAATTGGATCAGTGTTTTACTACTCACATCATGTCACACAAGTGGTGTGTAACAGCCTAGTTGTTTTTTTCAGCTTTGTTGAAGTGACCTATTTTATGGCTTGCTTTGAGGCCAGAATTAGACTCTTAAGTGCTATATGAAAAGAAATCTAAGCAAAATTAATCTGATCTGATTTGATTATCTGCTGAATCTAAATACGTCTTTCTTACACTGTTCTTGCTCCAGTGGGGTAATTAATTAGTGATTCCATTAGGTGTTTGTGGAAAAACAAGGTTTGGAGGTAATCCCATGCCAAACAAATGCCCAAAATGAAATATAAGAGCTCTTCATTTTATAACCTGTCTCTTGGTAAATGTAAACTTTGCTCTAATGTAGCCAAGGACCTGGGGCAAAGTAGGAAATCAGGGGAAATGGAGTGTGAGATTTTAGCAAACAGGTTCACAATGTGTGCCAAGCTCTGAAGGAGAGGCGGTGGGGAGGAGGGTACCATGAGTGTTGGGAGGTTGGACTTAAACAGATTTCCTTTTTGCTGTTTCTTTCTAGATGGATTCTGCTTGCTCTGCCTCTAGATTGTACGACACAGTCATTCAGCTCCCATTAGACATGTCACTGCTAACAGTGAGCAAAAATAGAAATCACTCTCAGTTGAAAAGGGAGGGAGATGAGTAGGAAAATTTGGGTTGGTCTAATGGAACCTCACCCACTCCTAATGTTCTCCATGCCAACTGAGCAAATGTCTGTAAGCAAAATGCTGTGAATATGGACATACATCAGGAATGGGCACAGGATTGCAGGTCTGGCTTTAAAAGTACATGATACTGTACGTGACCCCAGCTTTTGGAAAAAAAAAAACATGCATAGAAGGAGGAGACACACCAAAGTATTAGGTGATTATGAGTGGGATATAAAGTAATAGGTTTATTCTTTATATTTTTCTAAGTTTCCACTTTTTCTATAGGAGTACACACACACACTATAGCAGTACACACACACACACAGACTGGCTCAAAAGCAATAATGAAAATGTTAGAAAGCTATCTGAGAATAAATAAAGAGAAACTGTCCTTGAGGAATCTTGGCTTTCAGAAGCAAAAAGGTCAGGGAAAGATCTGTTCTTCCCCAACCTGTGAATAAAATCTTCATCCAGTAAAGCAGTACTGTGATGAAAGGAAACAAAATAATGCTTCTGGTTTTCCTCTAGTCAGATTAAGTGCACAGACTCCGGAGCCAGATTGCCTGGAATGGAATCCAGCACTACCAATTACTAGCTAATTAATCCCTCTGAGCCTCAGTTTCCTCATTGGTAAGATCAGGGATAAAAATAGCACCAAATTTATAAAGTTATTGTGAAGATTAAATGACTAATTTGTGTATCTTTAAAATAGTGGCTGGCACATGATAAATGGTAAATAAGTCTTAGGTATTTATTTTAATAATAATCTTATTAATATTATCATTACCAAATAGAGCTTATTGAAACAGTGCCACAGTCTACTACTTTACAGATATTGCTAACTTATTAACATTGAATTTGGGAAAATGGGTACAATAATATTTACCTTGTAAGCATTGATCAGAGCTAATGCAAGTCAAGTGCCAAGAACAGTCTCAATGGATTTTGAGAAATGGTTAGTATCATTTCTAATTTGAGTGAGTATGTTTTGAGCCAAAAGTTTTCAAGCACTTACTATGTGATGGGCATCATGTTCATCTCTTTATGGCCTAGAATGTGGTCTATCTTACTGCATGCTCCATGTAAGCTTGAGAAGAATATGTATCCTGCTGCTGTTGGACAGAATATTCTGTAAATGTTAATTAGATCAAGTTGATTGATAGTACTGTTCAGGTCAACTCTGTCCTTACTGATTTTCTGCTGGCTGGATCGTCAATTACTGACAGAGGAGTGTTGAAGTCTCCAACTCTAATAGCAGGTTTGTCTATTTTATCTTTCAGTTCTATCAGTTCTTGCTTTGTGTATTTTGATGCTCTATATTAAGTGTGTTCATCACTTTTTATTCATTTCCTCATGTAATTTCCACAAAATCAATATGAGGCATTGGTTAGTGGAAGATGTACAAATTTAGGTTAGAGAAATAAAGAGTTTGTCCAATGTCATTATAGGTGGTAAATGGCAGAGCCACGTTTTGAACTCAGGTCTGTCATAGACCATGGCCATCTAAGCTACCAAGTCCATCACTCAATATAATGCCATAGGCCAGAGATTTTAATTGCTGAGAAATGGAAAATAAAGTTTGTGACATATATATAAAGTATGTGCTGTATTCATACAATGGTGGTTATTAAAATATGAAATAAGGAAAAAAATATGAACCTGCTAAGTTTCACTGATTTGGATTGAGGATCAAGGAAGCTGATGAGAGATGCAACTCTCAACATGGAACTGAGCGTGTGTGGTCCTGTATGCATTTTTTTCTCCTACTTGGCTCAGATGTCTTCAACTGACTTTGTGTTCACTGGGTCCTTCTTTCACACAGTCTCAGGGAACTGTCTAGGTTCATGGGGGAGACCCATTAGCTCCAGTGGGGCTGGTTGCCTCAGGAAGTGGAAGTTCAGCTATGGCAGCTAGAGACAGTATCGATATGTTTTTTTCCCCAAGGGTTGGCCTACTTGGTTGGACTGCTCAGGGAAATTCTGAGTTTTTTTCTTTTGGGGGCCACAGGGTGGAGTTGGAGAAGGAGGGTCATGAATCAGGATTTGGCTGGGCAGGTGCTGAGTCACTTATCTTCTATAGATAGCACCCAGCATGCCTGGGGACTAGGAAGCTACATCACCAACATTTCTAGCTGTCAGCATCAGGGTGTTAGCTGGTTGTTTTCCCTTTAGCACCAATTAATGTTCACCTGGATGTTTTAATGTGAATACTTTTGAAATCTCTACTATCAAGGTACTACTTAGCAGTTTAGGTGCCATAAGAAACTGGCTATATTTATGTCTAAAAAGTTTTACAGTGCCTTTTAAAATGTTCTCACCAAAACACTCAAGATTGTATCAGCACTAAGTATGTCATCCACATGAATATCCTTGGAGTCTCACCGTGAATAACGTGATTAAGGAGCATAATGTGTGGCCGCCCAGCCCATTGGGAGCTTCATCAGCCTGACTCTTTAGGTGACTTCCTGGGAGGGAGCAGCATCAACACCCTTCCAGATGGCCTCTGTCTTGGTCCAAGTATTTTTTCTGCCAATAGTAGGACCTACTATGGGGGAAAGTGGAAAGATTATTATTTTTTTAATTAATAAAATTTCTTTTTTTAGAGCAATTTTAGATTCACAGTAAAATACAGCAAAAAGTACAGAGATTTCTCAGAGACCGTTGTTCCCACATGTAAACCACCTCCCCAAATACAGACATCTCATATCACAGTGGTACATTTGTTACACTTGATCAGTCCAGATTGGCACATCATCACCCAAAGTTCATAGTTTTCTTCAGGGGTCCACTCTTGATGGAGTACCTTCTATGGGTTTTGATTAATGTGTAATAGCATGTACCCATGATTATAGTATCATACAGAAAGTTCCACTGCCCTAAATGTCCTCTGTGATCTGCTAATTCATCCCTCCCTCCCACCTACAGTTAAAGGATTTTAAAATTTTATTTAGATTCTTTCTTTCTTTCTTTCTTTCTTTCTTTCTTTCTTTCTTTCTCTCTCTCTTTCTTTTTTTTTTTTTTTTTTTTGAGACAGAGTCTCCCTCTGTAGCCCATGCTGTAGTGCAGTGGCATGATCTTGGCTCACTGCAGCCTCCACCTCCTGGGCCCAGCAATTCTCCTGCCTCAGCCTCCTGGGTAGCTGGGATTACAAGCATGTGGCACCACGCCCGGCTAATTTTGTATTTTTAGTAAAGGTGGGGTTTCACCATGTTGGCCAGACTGGTCTTGAACTCCTGACCTCAGGTGATCTGCCCGCCTTGGCCTCCCAAAGTGCTGGGATTATAGGCGTGAGCCACCGTGCCTGGCCGTGAATATATATATTTCTTTAATGGGCTAAGGAAATTTCTCCCTAGAGAGAAGACCTCAGGTGTGTTTCTGGCTGCCTATCTCCCTCTCCTTTCAGCCGCAGAGGAGGAGGTGGTGGTGGTTGGTGGTGGTAGAGAGAGAAGATGAGAATCTCTCACCATTTTCCCTAACTGCTCTGCTCCCTCTGATCTCTCAGCCATCTTGGTCCAGGGAAGGCAAATCCTTATCCCCTGGAAAATGTGAGATGCAAACAAAGATAAACACTCCAACCTCTCTCCAACTCTCTAGAACAGAAAAAAAAAAAAAAAAGTAAACTATCAAGATTCACACATTTGCAAGAACCGGATCCTGTTTACAAGCACGGCTAAGTCTGGACGGGGCCTGGCTCCTCTGGCTCCCTTTATAAAGCTTGTCCCCACAGCCCCACCCATCCTCATCCTCTTTTGTATAAATTCTGCTTCCTTTGAATGTAAGATAAAAAACTCAGGCACCTATTACTACAGATTTACAATAAAAAACAGCAACAACAACAAAACATTTAAACCAGCAGCAACAATAGGAGGTCAGAAGAAGTAGGTCACTCCTCATAGGTCCTTCTCTGGGTTGAAAAAGTGAAAGTCATCAGCATCTGCCTTTTTTCACAATGTGACCCAAGTTTTCTGCTCTTGTCATAGTCTCTCTATTCAAATGCCTTATGGCAAAACATGTAACCTTACGTTTAAAGCTGACATTCACAAGCACTCACTACATGAGTGCACTCTGCTGTGCACTCCGTTCTCATTTCCTCATTAAGTTTCACAGTATCCCTCTGGGGCTTGGGAAGAGGTGCCTGTGATTGGTTTTGCCACTTTATAGATGAGCAAATAGAGGCATAAAGCAATTGGGGAACTTGGACAGAGTCGCCAGGGCTGATCCATTGTAGACTTAGGTTTTGAACCAGATCAGTCAGTCTTTTTGAACCGAACCAGCCTGAGTTTGCACTCTTAACTACTACAAGATGGCAGCATGGTCTATTAAGGCTGTGCTCTCCAGGGAAGGTCATTGAGGTTAAAGTTGAGAATTCAGGACCTAGAAGAAACTGATGGAGATCTTGACTAGCAACTCTGATTTCCGCTTCTTTATTCTTTTGTTCCCCCACCTCCAACTCAGACATTTTAGCAGGACCATCTTAGCAACGTAATTCATGGAGCCCTGTGAGCTAACAATGCAGCACTCCTTGTTCAAAAATGATTAAACATTTCAAAATGGTGACTGTGAAGGTGGTCTTGCATCTAGCCCTGATTGAATTTGGTTAGTATGTTATTCCAGCATTTTGTCTCTGGAACGCTCTAAATAAACCTCGTTTGGGATGCCCCCCCAGCCCTCAAGCAGGAGGGTCCAGGAAGTGGGTCTGTAGATATTGCCAAGTTCCTATTGGTCCTAGTTGCCTGTGGCCCAAAAAATGAGGCCCAAAAAATGTTGCCATAATCACGCCTGCAGAAAAGTGATGCTGCACACATTTTAAACGGAAACAGTTAATAAAGTTTTTGTTTCAAGTAGTCAGCAATATCTAATTCAATGGACTCTGTAGATAAAATGGCCCAACTTAATCTCTTCCCCAATACAGTAGTCCTCCTTTATTTGCGGTTTCGTTTTCCAAAGATGTGGGGGGTGGCTACTGTATTTGGGGAGACATTAAGTTGGCCATTTATCTGCAACCAACCACAGTCCAAAAATATTAAATAGAAAATTCCGGAAATAAACAGATCTTAAGTTTTAAATTGCACAGTGCTCTGAGTAGCACATTGAAATATCTCTCCATCCTTATCCCTCCTGCCTGGGAAATGAGTCATTGCTTTGTCCAGCGTATCCATGCTGTCTATGCTACCCACCTGTTAGTCAATTAGCAGCCATCTCAGTTATCAGATCAACTCCCTGGTGTCAGAGGGCCTGTGTTCAAGTAACCCTTATTTAACTTAACAATGGCCCCAAAGCACAAGAGTAGTGATGCTGACATGTTGTAATTGTTCTATTTTATTATCAGCTATTGTTGTTAATCTCTTTCTGTGCCTAATTTATAAATTAAACTTTATTATATGTACGTATGTATAGGAAAAAAACAGTATATATATATAGGGTTCAGTATTATCTGTGGTTTCAGGCAACCACTGGAAATCTTGGAACATATCCCCCAAAGATAAGGAGAGATTACTATAGCGAAAAGAATAAAATACACATCCACTTATTATATTTAGTTTATGCAAAACCTCTTTGGGTGCATAAAGAAGGAACAGTTTTGGGGGCAGTGGTCCTGGCTCTGAATTCTTCTGTAGGGCTGGGAGGATGGTTTAAGGCACACAGAGGCATTTTCACATGCAAAGCCTTAGGCAAACACCAGCTTCCTTCCAAGGAAGGGCGTCTTCTGCCAAGACAAGACCCGGGAAGGGTGTGGGCCCCACCCAGTAGGCGATGCTTCAGGGCAGACTTTGGGCCTAGCAGGCAGCTGGGTCAGAATCTCCCTGTGCAGGGCAAACTGGTCAGGGGAGATTGCAGAAGGCCTGCAGAGACGTGCTTCAGAGCAGACAGTCCACATTGTCAGGGTGGAGACCCCTAAGGGTCTCAGGAGAGCAGGGCAGGACCTGGGTGGGGTCAGATCACAGATGCAGATCTGTAGGCCCTACAGCTAATAATAATATTTAACACTGATAGAGCAGTTAGTATGTGCCAGGCACAGTTCTCTAAGCATTTGATGTGCATCAAATAATTCAGTGGCTCTCAAACTTGAGTATGCATCAGAATCGAGGCTTGTTAAAACACAGATGGCTGGGCCACCTCCAGAGTTTTTGATTCAGTAGCTCGTGCATTCTCCCTCTCTTCTTTCTAAAGCCTATCTATTACCATGTCTTGTTTGGGTCACTCCCCTTCCAGGACATCTTCCCTGCCTGTGCTAGGTCTGTTGTTTCTCCTCTGAACTCTTCTACCTCAAAGTGTATCAATTAAGGGCATGACTAGATCTGGGTTTGAATCCTAGCTCTACCATTTACCAGTTCTATGACCTCGAACAAGTGATTTTATTGCTCTGTGCCTCCACTTTTCTCATATGAAAAATGGGAATTATACTACCTACTTCATAGAATTGTTATAATGATTAAATCAGTATATACATGGTATAATAATAGCAGAAGAAATGTTTTATATGTATGTGTATATAACATTTATATATGTATAATATATACATGCATATAATTTGTAGAACAGTGTAAGAAGTTAAATTTTACTTCTAATTTAGTTGTGATGTTATTTCCTTATTCGTGAAAATTAGAACTATAATAGTTAACACATATTTAAGTGTCTTTACTATTGTTTTTTTTTTTTTTTTTTTTGAGGCGGAGTCTTGCTCTGTGGCCCAGGCTGGTGCAGTGGCGTGATCTCGGCTCACTGCAACCTCGCTTCCCAGGTTCAAGCGATTCTCCTGCCTCAGCCTCCCGAGTAGCTGGGATTACAGGCACCCTCCACCACACTCAGCTAATTTTTGTATTTTTAGTAGAGACGGGGTTTCCCCATGTTGACCAGGCTGGTCTCGAACTCCTGACCTCAGGTGATCCACCTGCCTTGGCCTCCCAAAGTGCTGGGGTTACAGGCGTGAGCCACCGTGCCCAGCCGTGTCTTTACTATTAAATCCTATGGTGGTGGGATCTGAGAAGGGAATCCAGGATAAGAAGTGATGGAAAGGATGCTGGAGAAGGGGGTGGAGCTGCTAACCCAGACAGGAAGGCCTTGGCCATTCATTGGTTGAAGGAATGCCAATCATGTCTGCTCTGCCAATGAGCAGCTCATTAGAGGCTTCTTTCAGAAAAGACAGGGAGCAGATCCTGGAGCGGAGACTTTAAAAATGAAGAGGTGGAAAGTCGTCTGGCAGACAGAGGGGACGATGTATTGCAATCAGGTTCTGGAACATAGATGTCAGTCAAAACAAGCCTGTGCTGCCACGTGAATGACCAAACCAAGATTCCAGCTTAGAAGAATATGGGGAAAAGCTACCTCCCTCTGAAGAGTAGAAATTAGATTAATAACCATTTCAGGCCAGGACATTTGTTCTGGCAAATCCAACAGACAAGAGAAAAACAAGCCGGGGACTTGTCATGGACAAGGTCAATGCCTAGAGTTCATTTAACATCATAGAGCCCACAAGGTGTGATGGGTCATGGAGGCTGCCACGTGGTCACTAAACACTGGCCTGGAGCTCAATAGGGAAGACTTCTTGGGGACAAGATAGGGCAGTGTTTTTTCATCCCAAGGATAAGTATCATGACAGGAAGGGTGTTACAGGCAGGACCGGCTACATAATTTGTAGGATCCAGTGCAAACTAAAAATGCTCTTGTTCAAAGAGCAGGATGAAAGATGTGTTAAAGGTATTAAAATATAAGACATTTTTCTTCCAAGGTCGCTCTGTCAACCTGTCGTAATGTTTTTGTTTCTGTTTTTTGTCATTTAATATTGTGTTGTGCACAGGGACACTTTTATTAGGGCAGTTACTGACTGTCAGTTACCTGTCCCCTGACTCGGAACACTTGGCCCACCTGTTCCCAGGTTCTCCCTCCCAGCCACCACGACACTAACACATCATCCCTGGCCAGGAACAGGCAGGTCGAGGCAGACATCTCCCCTTCCCACAGATCTGCCACCTCCACCTATGGTGGATAGGCTGATCCCCAAGGGTATTGCAACCTCCACATGAGATGTATGGTAGGAATGTGGATCAGGGCTAGGTGAGAGGCTCATCCTGCAGAATCACCTGCCCAACGCATGTATTGTAATGCTGCCAACCTGGGGCAGGGATGGCTGCTGCAATGCTCAGCCCCAAGACTTCGCAGGGCACATATGCAGACCCCCAGCCATTCCCACATCAATGCCCAGACTCCTGCTGGGCCAGAAGACAACAGTGGTCGCTGAGTGGGTGCAGCCATAAGGAGGCCAGATTCAGCTGTTGCTCTTCTGGTCTAGGTGGGACCCAGGGTACCAGAGGAAGAAGTAGGTGGCTGGGCACCCATCTCTGGGAGGCGGTGGGGCATTGGGAAGCTGGATGGTTTGTGAACAAATCCTCTGAGCCACCCTCTTTCTTGTATTCTTCATTGTCCCATTAAACTTAAGTTTCATAATACAAATTCAAAGATAACATTTTTAAGAATTTTAATATAGTGACTGTAGAGCATTAAACCCCAAGCTCCAGGCCCTTCTGAGCATGGGGCTCTCTGCAACTGCACTGGTCAAATGCCCATGAAGCTGGCCCTGGTTGCAAATGAGGGGACTTAGCTCAGGGCCAGAGAAGAGAGTTTAGGGTAAGCAGGGGGACCAGGGAGTGGTTCTGAGAGAGACTTGGTCTCTCACCGGATAGGAAAGATGTATCAAGCCACATCTACTTTGGAGGAAAAAAAACTGAATATTTTACCTTAGCATCCATCCCAGATAGGCAGGGTAAAGGGAGAAAATTTGGGAGTTTACCTTGTAAGCTGTGCTATTAATCTCAGTTCAGGTAAGTATGGCTTAGCAACATATATTCTCAGTGAGCTCATCAACATTTAGTCTCCTGGGAAACTGTTTTTTTGTTTCTTAGTTTGATTAGTAAAAGTTTCTTCAGAGGATTGCCAATCTTGATTTGGGCAGACAAAAAGGACAAGGATTTTTTCCACATTCAGCTGGGTATACAGGGCCTCAGTGTCTCTCTGGAGGCCACGTGCAGGGGAAGACGGGCACTGAATCATCCCTAGCACTGGGAGATCGGAGTGGCTGGATGGATAGTGTGGGAACCCTAGAGGCTATGAGTGCTGCTCTGTCTGGCCTGGACAGCTTGCTCCCACTGGCACATACAAGGGGCAACAATCATGGAAGAAGAATGGTTTTCAACATTCCCAAACAGATCACACATGGGTGAGCATTTTCCTTCCCAGAAGTCATCTTGAGGCTTGTGCACACACTCTAATATCCTGAAAGTTAGTGTGGTAGAGGAGAAAGCTTATGGACTTTTAAGGGAGTCAGACCTAGGGTAGAATCATGGCTTTGATGTGTTTATAATCCCTCCCTCCTTCCCTCGCTTCCTTCCTTCTCCTTTTTGCTCCCTCCCTTTCTCCCTCTCTCCTCCCTCCATACATTCACCAAATAGTTAGTGAATTTCTGCTTCATACTAGTCTGTGCTAAGTGCTGTGATACAGTGGTGAACAAGGCAGACACACAATCCCTTTTCTGATGGAGCCTACCTTGGGGAGGGCATTGGACAATTATGCAGAGGATGCGTATAATGACAGGCAAATAATGGGTGCTATAAAAGGATGTTGTGAGGGGATTTAGCTAGATGGAGGCATCATGGACAAGGTCCTCATCTCTTCATTGACCTCTACCCTAAATTGTGAGAATTAAAGATAATGTAACATCTCTACCACCATGCCTGGTCCCTGATGACATGTGAGTATTCAAATCAGATTTGGGATCCTTACTGGGGAACTGTCACCAGAGTCCATTTCAAGCTGTACTGATGGTCATTTCTTTATTATCCTCCATTATCTCTTTTTGTACCAATTATCTTTGCACCTTGCTGCCCCTCTAAGATTTGGATTCCCTGGAGGGCAGAAATAGGTAGTTACCCTCTTTGAGTCTCCAGAGTGCCTATAACAGTGCCCAGCATATAGTAGCTGCTCAGTAAATGTTGCTGGATTAAAATGAATTGAATAATAAAAATGAGAAAGAATCCCAGAGAAAGGGAACCAAAAAGAGAACTTTTTATAGGGAGACACTGTAGCCAATTCTGCCATTCTGACATTTTCTTTATAACCTCTTGGGAGAATAAAAACTAACACATACCACACTCCTTGTTTCATCTTTTCCTCTGCTATTAGGCAGAGAGAATTAATGAAAGGAAGAATATTGAGTTAGGGTTTTACTCCAAGGGCTTCTTCTTAATTATGTGGTGAGGCATTAATTAAAAATCTAATTAATCATAATAAGCTTTTGCTGTTGTACTCACCGGTAAGGTGCAGGTTTTCTGAGAAAAAGAAGCTACAGGAGCTCTGAGCTGTGTGCAAAAATATATCTAAATAGATGGTGAATCTCTGAGCAGGAAATCCTTCTGGTGGGCCAGTTGGGATTACCTCTTCCAGGCTCACATACAGAGATGGGCTTGTCGTGGAGTGAATGAAGCTGGAGCTTTGGGCCCCTCACTTATGTAGGTCTTTCCAAGACTGTGGTAGGGGTCCTCCAGGGATATTTGATCATATATGTATGATATGGTTTGGTTCTCTGTCCCCACCCAAATTTCATCTTGAATTGTAATCCCCACACGTTGAAGGAGGGACCAGTAATCTCCACATGTTGAGGGAGGGAGGTGATTAGATCATGGGGGTGGTTCCCCCATGCTGTTCTCGTGATAGTGAGTGAGTTCTCACAAGATCTGATGGTTTTATAAGCATCTGGCGTATCCTCTGCTTGCACTTTTCTCTCTTGCCACCAAGTGAAGAAGGTCCTTGTTTCCCCTTTGCCTTCTGCCATAATTTAAGTTTCCTGAGGCCTCCCCAGCCATGTGGAACTGTGAGTCAATTAAAACTCTTTCCTTTATAAATTACCCAGTCTTGGGCAGTATCTTGATAGCAGTTTGAGAATGAACTAATACTATATATATAGTATTAGTACTTGTAAGATATTTTCACACAATAAAACTGGGATTTCCCTTACTAATGTGTCTCCTAGGAAAAGTCTAGGGTAGAAGATGGAGCCGAGGAGGTATGATGTGAAGAATGAGGATAATCTCGATGATGATAATGTAGGTGTGACTGGATGGAGAGAGAACGGAAAGAGGAGCTGCACACAGCCAAGAGAATGTGTTGGACAATTGTTTTGAATCAAAATAGATGATCCAAAAAGGCCTGGTGAAAGTGTCTGAAAGTCAATTCCTCAAAGTCAGAAGGCACATACTAACCTCAGGGGCAGGGTGGAGTTCATGGAGGGGCTTCAGGGCTCCATGAGCATCCTGAAACTGTTTGCAAGTTGTTTGTGTATATGCACTTTTTTGTCTGGGAAGAGAAATTGTGCTCACAAAGTTGGGAAGCTCTGAAATGAGCATGAGAAAGAATGGATTCTCTAAGGTTTTAGTATTTAGGGAAAAAACATATAATGGTAAGAGGGAATAGAATTTATAAGCAAAAATAGTATGTGACATAATTTGGTTGTCTCTTCACTAGTTCTTGTTTGAGTCCATGTCTTGGGGCAGGTGCAGTGAGACAGGCTGGCAGCAACCTCCCACTTGGTGGGCAGCCTGGTGTAGGGGAAGGGATTTGCTCCTTCAACCTGTGGATCAGAAAGAAGGAAACTTAGAGAAGCCTCTTAGGCTGCCTCCATGTGAGGGTCAGCAGGCTCATCTGTGTCCAATCCAACTCACAGGGAGGAGGCCAGAGAAGTACAAGGGACAAAGAGAAAGGCGTCCCCTGGGGATCTTTTGTGGTCTGAGTTAATTGGAGATTCCAAGATTGAGGATCCTGGCCAAATCTCCTGCATATCATGATTTCTTCCTATGCGTCAAGGCCAGAACCAGGGATTGAAAAAATGGACTGTAAGAAAGATTTTTAAAAAATAAAATAAAATTCTTAGTAACAACGTAATGTTGGTTGCCTAGAGATTCATTTTAACTAGAGGTTGAAAATAGCAGGACTGGGTCCCAAAGAGGAAAGAACTCTACTTCTTCTGTAGCCAAGAAGGGGATAGGGTCCTTACCAGCCCTATCAGGACCAGGAAGGTTGATCTTAGACACAGGGTGAAGTTAGAACCAGTCTAGGAACCATGGCCAAGCTGAAGCCACAAGGTCAAGGTCAGACTGAAAAGTGGGCTGGGAAGAAGGATCCTTGGACTCCAAGGAGGGAGCCAGGGAGTTCATCTTTCATGAGGTCAGGGAGTGGCATTGGATCAGAACCCAAATCTGTAGCCAGAAACCAGGTGCCTGCCTGTAGTTTCCACCTACACACCCACCTGAGCCAGGTGCAGCCACTTCCCTGCCTGCACCTGCACAGCCTGGGCTGGCGGGGCTCATAGTTTGGTCCCACCCCACTTGGAAGCAAGCAGGAGCTTCCTGCCCATGGGCAAACATGTGGCTCAGAATCAAGTTCTCTTTGCTATTCTTCTGGTGTCTGTGCCTGGCCAGCATGGCCATCTCTTGGACCACCTGCTTCTCATACTCCTGACCCCAACCCAGTCCAGGCCCTCACATTTTGTCTTGACTTCTCCAGTGCCAGCCTCTTGCACTCTCCCTGTAACCCTGCAGTCCCATCCCCATGTCAGGAAACACGGCCAGACTCCAGTGCTGAAGGAAGAGAATGGCATTAAGGCCATGACTCAGGCAATGTTAGAAAAAGAAGTCACCCCTTCATTCATTCCCTAGTAGTGTCAATAACATGTTAATTCAAAATCTAAGAAGCCAAAGAGGTGGAGGAAGCTATCAGAGGTACAGATTTTGTCACTTTTAGCCCCTGAGCAAAGAGCAAGGACAGCCAAAAAAATCCCTCTAGTGTTCTGAGACATCAGCCTATTTACCCAGATCATGTGTACACTTCTGAAGAAAGAGTTATACATAAAGAGAGTCTATTCTCCTTCTTCAGCACGGGAAGTATGTGCTCAATCTGGGCAAGGGTTAACCACTTCAGATTATATCAAGCTTGGGTTTAACTTTTAAACAAGATGCTAGAGGGCATGTTTTAACTGTTGTGTTGCATTGTGAATTTAGAGTTTGGGTGTGGAAGACCAGCCTCTCTGCTTTATAATCTACACAGGTGTGCAGAGGACTTCAAAGCCTCGTTCTAGAAGGAGGTTATTGAGAATTACCTCTGGGGAAGAAAGAAAGGAATCCCACAGAACAGATGCCGAGAGAAGCAAACTAAACTCTCCTTGAGCGGTTGCCTTTGCATTCATTTTAAAATTTCAAAATCTTTTTCTTGAGATCTTCTTGCTCAAGAATGGGGACTTTCCCATTCCACAGTATGATTTCACATTCGAAAAACCTCTATTCTTTTCTGAAAGTGATTCTAACAGAAAGTTGACCCAGGGAAATTTTAGCAGCATGTTAGGCTGCTGGGTAGAACCCATTTTAGTTCTGTCTTTCAGCCTAGCACACTCCACATTCTCAGACATCGCTTCTTGAGAGTGTACTAACCATCAACTATCATTTCACAATGGAGAAGGTAAAATGCGGTCACTTTAGCATTGATTTCTCTTCTATAATAGCAATGAAATAAGTGAGCATAGTATTCTTTTTAATGAAATGACAGTGCTGCCTAATTGACTAATATTCCGCAGGGCGTACGGTTGTGTTTTTCAACAGTGATGTTGGGGATGATTGTTGTTAGCATGTGGGAAAAAAAATTCCTCCTTCCAAATGTCAATATTTGAGTCCTACTAAAAGCTGAGGGGCATGTATGCATTTAGTCAAAGGCATATTTTACTTCTTGGTATTTTCAATGATTTGTGGCCAATGGATCATGAAAATGAAATCTTAAAACCCCAAGAAACCATCAGAAACCAAGCTAGGCATTTAGCGTATTTCACGGTAATTATTTCTACCCCACTCCATGATGAAAATGTTTGTTTTCCCCGATTTATTTGCTTTTTCATTTATTGCCATTTTGAGAACTTCCAGATTAAATTGCCTGTTCCTCTGAGGATAGGATAACTGAACCTAGAGCTTGGAAAGTCCTGTTTAGTTCAGTCAATCCCACTGTTCCTCGCAGAACAGGAAAGAGAGTAATACTTCTCATTTCACAGAGGTTTCTCACTTTTTTTTTTTTTTCTAGGAAAGGCTATTTCCACTATGATGATGAACCACTGTTCATCATTGTAATACATAGTACTTTAAACAATTACAACTTGTAACTCCAATTTCTTGTTAAAGCATCCACCAAGTTTAGTCACGTATTTTCTGGGCAACAACTATAGCAATTGAATTGGTTTAATCATGTGTCATGTTACCTTCTAGCTTGCTATGTAGCCGAGCTATAGATATCCTACTTATTCTTTTCCCTCATTTCATCTTAGCAGTTTTTCCTATTCTTGCTAGTTATTCCTAATGCCTTTTAATTGGGGGTACTTCTTTCCTTTGTTTTGCATAGTTTCTCATGGCAGAGATGCTTAATCAATTGTCCTGTGTCCATTTTCCACTTGTCCCTAGTAACGGAACCCACTGCCAGTTTTAGCAAAATACATTGTTCCACTGTCCTCCTAGCCTCCGAAATAGAATTGACACCCCCTTGTCTCCCTTGCAGCTGGCTATGACCATGTGACTAAGCTCTCACTAATGGAAGGTGAGCAGAATTGAGGAGTGATGGGCATAACTTGTGTTCACTGCCATAAAAGAATGTCATTCCACTTCCTCTCCTTCTTCCTCCCTATAGGGTAGGCTGGAACTTGGATGTGCATTGGCAGGTCTGCATTGGCAGACCAGATGTCACCATACAGACAACAATATCCTACAGGACAGAAAAGCTTGAAAGTAAAAGAAACTTTGGTGTTTGAATAAACCACACATTTGTCCTGGACAACCTGCCTATCGTTGAACTGTTACATGAGAGAAAAAGAGATTTCTCTCTTATTTGAACAATTGCATTTTCAAGTCTTTTTGTTACAGCAGCATAACTGATACCCTAACCCTGACAAATACATTTTTAAACAAAAGGAGGAATGCTACTATCGTACTCTATGCTGGTCCAGTCTTACTTGGGGTGCAGTATTCTCATCTGTGAATCACATTTCAAGGGGCCTAAAGACAAAGTAGAAGTGTTCAGATAACAGCAACATGATTGGTGAGAAATTCAAAGTTGAAGAAACTGGAAGAGCAGATTTAGAGTAAGTAGGAGTGCCACTTTCAAATGTCTGAGGAACTGGCCTGTGAAAGAATGATTCACTTTGTTCTGTGTAGTTTCAGTAGATAGAAGTATGGTTCAACGGGAAAACTGATTTTGCTGAAGAGAAAGATTTCTGGCTGTCAGGTCTGCATAGACATTGGAGGCACTGAGTTCCCTGCTCATGGAGATATTTTTCACAGAGCCTGGATAATCATTTGGCTGGATTTGTAACAACTGTGTATCATACAGGTATGTTACATAAATTGCCTCAAATTCTTAGAACAATGCTGATAATTATATATTTTAATTTCCATTTGATAGAAAGGAAATATTAATCTAAGACCAGTTAAAACTGCTCCAGGATCACAGACCCAGTTAGTAGCAGGGTCCAGGTTCTTTCTACTGACCACTGGTAAAGCTAATTTACAAAATGGCCTGAACATTTCTCCCAAATCTGAATTTGATGAGTCCCCTAGAAAATTGTGTTTCCTAAATCTTTCCTTGAATTCTGAAGTATCTGAGCCAGCAACATTTCCTGAAATTGGTGTGCATACTCTCCCAAATTTTAACCTCATAGCCAGTTTACTTTGGGCCCTCCTTTATGTGTCAGAGATTGCCAGCTGGTCACCGAACCATTTTCTTTCCTTCTTGGCACAGCATGAAAATGCATTTTCTAGCTTCCCTTGAAGTGAAATGTGAGCAAAAATGATGCCAGCCACTCCCAGACCGGCCCATAGAAACCTCCCATATTCTTTCTTCTTCTGCTGCTGGATATTGACACAGGGGATGACTTTGAAAGCTGAGTATTGAAGATGGCAGAAGCTGTCTTTCAGCCTTGGTCCCTGAACAACATGTTGAGCAGATCCCGTGGTAATCTGGAACTGCCCTGGACTGTGTAAGTGAGTGAGACATAAACTCTTACTATGCTTGAGCCATTTTACATGTAACAGCAGTTAGCTTTCCTTACTTAATGCTCTTTATACCCTGCTACTAAATAGCAAGAATTGTAACTTTAGATCACAGGACTATGTGAATAGTCATTATATTTGTCAACAACTCTAACAGGCTGAACTTTTTATTCCTCAGTTATTTAAAATTGTGGTAAAATACACATAACATAAAATTTACCATCTTACCCATGTTAAGTATACAGTTCAGTGGTATTAAGTACATTTGTAGTGCTATATGTTCATCACCACCATCTACCTCCAGAACTCTTTTCATCTTGTAAAACTGAAACTCTGTGCCCATTAAACAGTAACTCCATTCCCTCCTCCACACAAGCCTCTGGCAACCACCACTGTACTTTCTGTTTCTATGGTTTTGATTATTCTAAGTACCTCATATAAGTGGAATCATGCACTATTTGTCTTTTTTTGTTGTTGGCAGATTTCACTTAGCATACTGTCCTCAAGTTTCATCCATGTGTCAGAATTTCCTTCCTTTTTGCAGCTGAATAATATTCTATTATATGTGTGTACCACATTTTGTTTATCCATTCATTCATCAGTGGACACTTGGGTTGCTCCTACATGTTAGCTATTATGAATGATAGAGTTTGGGTGTGTGTCCCCACCCAAATCTCATATGGAAATGTAATCTTCAATATTGGAAGTGGGGCTTGGTGGGAGGTGATTGGATCATGGGGGTGGATTTTTCATGGATGATTTATCACCATCCCCCTTGGTACTGTCCTAGTGATAGTACGTTTTTGTGAGATCTGATCATTTAAAAGTGTTTGGCACCTCCCCCGCTCCTTGCTCCTATTTTTTTTGCCATGAAATGTGGCTGCTTCCTGTTTGCCTTCCACCATGACTGGAAGCTTCTTGAGACCTCCCTGGAAGCAGATGCTGCTATGCTTCCTGCACAGCCTACAGAACCATGAGCCGATTAAACCTCTTTTCTTACAAATTACTGAGTCTTAGGTATTTCTTTGTAACAATGCAACAACAGCCTAATACAATGAACTATGCTGCCATAAACATGGATGTACAAGTATTTATTTGAGATCCTGTTTTCCATTCTTTTTGTTGTATACTCAGAAGTAGAATTGCTGGATCATATGGCAATTCTATTTTTAATTTTTTGAGGAACCTAGGTTAAACTTTTTGAAACTGCAGATATTGAACCAGTTTTATGTTTACCAAAAAAGCAGAACTTTAACACAATCTAATCTGTTTATTCCATCTCTCACTCTCTTGACTTCTCCATAACCCTATCCAACTGATAAAGAGGAATCAACTTCTTTATACAACAATGGCAGAGAAGTTCTACAATATGGAGTCCTGTGATAAAAGGTAATGCCAAAAGTTTGTCCAATGGTGACTTATGGTTCAGTCCACTCATTTTTGGTTTTTAGATTCTTCAGTGTCCTTCTTTTATCTGTTTCTAAAGTTACAAACTACCAGGAAATTTCTCATGGGAAAAAAAAATCTGTATCTTCGGATTATTTTACAAATCGGAAGACTAGAACATGTATATCAAAACCAGCTGGCGGCCCAGCACAGTGGCTCATGCCTGTAATACCAGCACTTTGGGAGGCCAAGGTGGGTGGATCACCTGAGGTCAGGAGTTCGAGACCAGCCTGGTCAACATGGCGAAACCCTGTTGCTAAAAATACAAAAATTAGCTGGGCTTGGTGGCGCATGCCTGTAGTCCCAGCTACACAGGAGGCTGAGGCAGGAGAATCACTTGAACCCTGGAGGCCAAGGTTTCAGTGAGCTGCAATCGTGCCACTGCACTCCAGCCTGGGTAACAGAGCCAGACTCCATCTCAAAACAAACACACACACACACACACACACACACACACACACACACACACACACACAAACCAACAACTGGCACCAGGGGGTCTTCCTTAGACAGGTCATACCTTCTCCAGTCCTACAGACACAGAGTCCCTTTTGATCTCTAATGCTGATGTGCACGTCAAATGCCACGTGTCTTTGTGACATGGCTTTTTCTAAAGCTGGTCCTACAGGCTGTTTGCACCTGCGATCCCTGGAATCACTTCAGTAAAATCAATGATTAACAAAGAGCTACTCTCCGGCCCTTTCCTGAGAGCTTGTTTTGAAGAAGTTAGAACTCTTTGCAAGGCAGTAAACCCTTCCTGGGAGTTGGCAGGAAAAGCCAGGAAGTCTTCTCATTATTATTGAGCACTGATCTTCCTTGTAGGGGCATATACCTAGCATACCAAAATTTACTCTCTGCAGCCCCCAACTTCCTGTCAGTAACACAAATGTAGGACATAAGTGAAGCTTTGCGAAAAAGGAGGATAGGATTTATTGTTCTGTTTTTAATTGAAAGCCCAAATAGCGATATTGATTGGTTTGATTCCACCAGAGAGTTAAACAATTTCCTTCCACATCCCCAAATCCCCAACTATGCAGAGCTGCAGCGGTCACCACCAGCCTCCTCAATGTTGTGCAGGTCCAGCTGACTGACCCACCAGCTGGTGACCAGCAGAGCAGAGGAGGAGCAAGCACAGGACCTTCACCTTTCCTGCCAGGTGTGGGCGCCAGTCAAGGTGGGCTCCAGGCTCTGATGCAGGCATGAGAGGATGTTGCAGCAGATGTGCTGCTTGCTTTTAAAGCTCTGGAACACAACAAAGATGAGGTTTTCTGTAGATGTGTACATGATTTTCATATAGAAAGATTTCCTTTTTCCTAAAGTCTAGAAAACAAGTAAATACCAAGTGAATCACTGACCTCCCAGAAACTATTTTATGCTCATGGTATGCACTGGTGGAGGGAGGTGACTAACGCAGGGCAGCCGAGCTGAGTACTTAAAGCTGGTTTTGCTCAATCTGTGGTACGGGTACTCATAGGGTAAGCATGATAATTTGGGGGTGATACACAGATATACATTTACAAATGTTAATAGTGTGATGTTGACACATGGAAACAGAGAGGGGAACAACAGACACTGGGGCCCAGCAGAGGGTGGAGGGTCGAGGAGGGAGAGGATTGGGAAACGTAATTAATGTACACTAGGCTTAACATCTGGATGACAAAATAATCTGTACAACAGGCCAGGCATGGTGGCTCATGCCTGGAATCCCAGCACTTTGGGAGACTGAGGCAGGCAGATCACGTGAAGTCAGGAGTTCGAGACCAGCCTGGCCAACATGGCAAAACCCCGTCTCTAGTAAAAATACAAAAATTAGCCAGGCGTGGTGGCATGTGCCTGTAATCCCAGCTACTCAGGAGGCTGAGGCAGGAGAGAATTGCATGAACCTGGGAGGTGGAGGTTGCAGTGAGCCGAGATCACACCACTGCACTCCAGCCTGGGTGACAGAGTGAGACTCCATCTCCAAAAGAAAAAAAAAAAAAAAAATCTGTACAACAAACCCTCATGACAAAAGTTTATCTAAACAAACCTGCACATCTACCCCTGAGCTTAAAATAAAAGTTTAATACTAAAAGAGAAAAAAAAAGATGTTTTTCAACGTAATATTACCTTTCACGCCAAAACAGGTGAATATAAATAGACATAAAAAATAGTGTGATATTTACGTTAATGTGCATTAGAATAAAAATTTAAGGGGGGTGGAGTCAAGATGGTCAAATAGGAACAGCTGCAGTCTACAGCTCCCAGCGTGAGTGATGCAGAAGATGGGTGATTTCTGCATTTCCAACTGAGGTACCAGGTTCATCTCACTGGGGAGTGTCAGACAGTGGGTGCAGTGCACCGAGCATGAGCTGAAGCAGGGCGAGGCATTGCCTCATTCAGGAAGTGCAAGGGGTCAGGGAATTCCCTTTCTTAGTCAAAGAAAGGGGTGACAGACGGCACCTGGAAAATCGGGTCACTCCCACCCTAATACTGCACTTTTCCAATGGTCTTAGCAAATGGCACACCAGGAGATTATATCCTGCACATGGCTCGGAGGGTCCTACGCCCATGGAGCCTCGCTCATTGCTAGCACAGCAGTCTGAGATCAAACTGCAAGGTGGCAGCGAGGCTGGGGGAGGGGTGCCCGCCATTGCTGAGGCTTGAGTAGGTAAACAGAGCAGCCAGGAAGCTCAAACTGGGTGGAGCCCACCGCAGCTCAAGGAGGCCTGCCTGCCTCTGTAGACTCCACCTCTGGGGGCAGGGCATAGCCCAACAAAAGGCAGCAGAAACCTCTGCAGACTTAAATATCCCTCTCTGACAGCTTTGAAGAGAGTAGTGTTTCTCCCAGCACGCAGCTGGAGACCTGAGAACGGAAAGACTGCCTCCTCAAGTGGGTTCCTGACCCTCGAGTAGCCTAACTGGGAGGCACCCCCCAGTAGGGGCAGACTGACACCTCACACGGCCAGGTACTCCTCTGAGACAAAACTTCCAGAGGAACGATCAGGCAGCAACATTTGCTATTCACCAATATCCGCTGTTCTGCAGCCTCTGCTGCTGATACCCAGGAAAACAGGGTCTGCAGTGGACCTCCAGCAAACTCCAACAGACCTGCAGCTGAGGGTCCTGACTGTTAGAAGGAAAACTAACAAACAGAAAGGACATCCACACCAAAACCCCATCTGCACGTCACCATCATCAAAGACCAAAGGTAGATAAAACCACAAAGATGGGGAAAAAACAGAGCAGAAAAACTGGAAACTCTAAAAATCAGAGTGCCTCTCCTCCTCCAAAGGAACGCAGTTCCTCACCAGCAATGGAACAAAGGTGGATGGAGAATGACTTTGACGAGTTGAGAGAAGAAGGCTTCAGACGATCAAACTACTCTGAGCTAAAGGAGGAAGTTCGAACCCATGGCAAAGAAGTTAAAAACTTTGAAAAAAGATTAGAAGAATGGCTAACTAGAATGACCAATGCAGAGAAGTCCTTAAATAACCTGATGGAGCTGAAAACCACCACACAAGAACTACGTGATGAATGCACAAGCCTCAGTAGCCGATTTGATCAACTGGAAGAAAGGGTATCAGTGATGGAAGATCAAATGATTGAAATGAAGCGAGAAGAGAAGTTTAGAGTAAAAGAATAAAAAGAAACGAACAAAGCCTCCAGGAAATATGGGACTATGTGAAAAGACCAAATCTACGTCTCATTGGTGTACCTGAAAGTGACGGGGAGAATGGAACCAAGTTGGAAAACACTCTGCAGGATATTATCCAGGAGAACTTCCACAATCTAGCAAGGCAGGCCAATATTCAAATTCAGGAAATACAGAGAATGCCACAAAGATACTCCTCGAGAAGAGCAACTGCAAGACACTTAACTGTCAGATTCAGCAAAGTTGAAATGAAGGAAAAAATGTTAAGGGCAGCCAAAGAGAAAGGTCGGGTTACCCACAAAAGGAAGCCCATCAGACTAACAGCTGATCTCTCGGCAGAAACTCTACAAGCCAGAAGAGAGTGGGGGCCAATATTCAACATTCTGAAAGACAAGAATTTTCAACCCAGAATTTCATATCCAGCCAAACTAAGCTTCACAAGTGAAGGAGAAATAAAATGCTTTACAGACAAGCAAATGCTGAGAGATTTTGCCACCACCAGGCCTGCCCTAAAAGAGCTCCTGAAGGAAGCACTAAACATGGGAAGGAACAACCGATACCAGCCACTGCAAAAACATGCCAAATTGTAAAGACCATCGAGGCTAGGAAGAAACTGCATCAACTAACAAGCAAAATAACCAGCTAATATCATAATGACAGGATCAAATTCACACATGACAATATTAACCTTAAATGTAAATGGGCTAAATGCTCCAATTAAAAGACACAGACTGGCAAATTGGATAAAGAGTCAAGAGCCATCAGTGTGCTGTATTCAGGAAACCCATCTCACGTGCAGAGACACACATAGGCTCAAAATAAAGGGATGGAGGAAGATCTACCAAGCAAATGGAAAACAAAAAAAGGCAGGGGTTGCAATCCTAGTCTCTGATAAAACTGACTTTAAACCAACAAAGATCAAAAGAGACAAAGAAGTCCATTACATAATGGTAAAGGGATCAATTCAACAAGAAGAGCTAACTATCCTAAATATATATGCACCCAATACAGGAGCACCCAGATTCATAAAGCAAGTCCTTAGAGACCTACAAAGAGACTTAGACTTCCACACAATAATAATGGGAGACTTCAACACCCCACTGTCAACATTAGACAGATCAACAAGACAGAAAGGTAACAAGGTTATCCAGGAATTGAACTCAGCTCTGCACCAAGCGGACCTAATAGACGTCTACGGAACTCTCCGCCCCAAATCAACAGAATATACATTCTTTTCAGCACCACACCACACCTATTCCAAAATTGACCACATAGTTGGAAGTAAAGCACTCCTCAGCAAACATAAAAGAACAGAAATTATAACAAACTGTCTCTCAGACCACAGTGCAATCAAACTAGAACTCAGGATTAAGAAACTCACTCAAAACCACTCAACTACATGGAAACTGAACAACCTGCTCCTGAATGACTACTGGGTACATAACGAAATGAAGGCAGAAATAAAGATGTTCTTTGAAACCAATGAGAACAAAGACACAACATACCAGAATCTCTGGGAAACATTCAAAGCAGTGTGTAGAGGGAAATTTATAGCACTAAATGCCCACAAGAGAAAGCAGGAAAGATCTAAAACTGACACTCTAACATCACAATTAAAAGAACTAGAGAAGTAAGAGCAAACACATTCAAAAGCTAGCAGAAGGCAAGAAATAACTAAGATCAGAGCAGAACTGAAGGAAATAGAGGCACAAAAAACCCTTCAAAAAATCAATGACTCCAGGAGCTGGTTTTTTGAAAAGATCAACAAAATTGATAGACCACTAGCAAGGCTAATAAAGAAGAAAAGAGAGAAGAATCAAATAGAAGCAATAAAAAACGATAAAGGGGATATCACCACCGATCCCACAGAAATACAAAGTACCATCAGAGAATACTATAAACACCTCTATGCAAATAAACTAGAAAATCTAGAAGAAATGGATAAATTCCTGGACACATACACCCTCCCAAGACTAAACCAGGAAGAAGTTGAATCTCTGAATAGACCAATAACAGGCTCTGAAATTGAGGCAATAATTAATAGCTTACCAACCAAAAAATATCCAGGACCAGACGGATTCACAGCTGAATTCTACCAGAGGTACAAGGAGGAGCTGGTACCATTCCTTCTGAAACTATTCCAATCAAAGGAGAAAGAGGGAATCCTCCCTAACTCATTTTATGAGGCCAACATCATCCTGATACCAAAGCCTGGCAGAGACACAACAAAAAAAGAGAATTTTAGACCAATATCCCTGATGAACATCAATGCAAAAATCCTCAATAAAATACTGGCAAACTGAATCCAGCAGCACATCAAAAAGCTTCTCCACCATGATCAAGTGGGCTTCATCCCTGGGATGCAAGCCTGGTTCAACATATGCAAATCAGTAAACGTAATCCAGCATATAAACAGAACCAACAACAAAAACCACGTGATTATATCAATAGATGCAGAAGAGGCCTTTTCAAAATTCAGCAGCCCTTCATGCTAAAGACTCTCAATAAAGTAGGTATTGATGGGATGTATCTCAAAATAATAAGAGCTATCTATGACAAATCCACAGCCAATATCATACTGAATGGACACAAACTGGAAGCATTCCCTTTGAAAACTGGCACAAGACAGGGATGCCCTCTCTCACCACTCCTATTCAACATAGTGTTGGAAGTTCTGGCCAGGGCAATCAGGCAGGAGATGGAAATAAAGGGTATTCAATTAGGAAAAGAGGAAGTCAAATTGTCTCTGTTTGCAGATGACATGATTGTATATCTAGAAAACCCCATCGTCTCAGCCCAAAATCGCTTTAAGCTGATAAGCAACTTCAGCAAAATCTCAGGATACAAAATCAATGTACAAAAATCACAAGCATTCTTATACACCAATAACAGACAAACAGAGAGCCAAATCATGAGTGAACTCCCATTCACAATTGCTTCAAAGAGAATAAAATACTTAGGAATCCAACTTACAAGGGATGTGAAGGACCTCTTCAAGGAGAACTATAAACCACTGCTCAATGAAATAAAAGAGGATACAAACAAATGAAAGAACATTCCATGCTCATGGATAGGAAGAATCAATATCATGAAAACGGCCATACTGCCCAAGGTAATTTATAGATTGAATGCCATCCCCATCAAGCTACCAATGACTTTCTTCACAGGATTGGAAAAAACTACTTTAAAGTTCATATGGAACCAAAAAGAGCCTGCATTGCCAAGTCAGTCCTAAGCCAAAAGAACAAAGCTGGAAGCATCGCGCTACCTGACTTCAAACTATACTACAAGTCTACAGTAACCAAAACAGCATGGTACTGGTAGCAAACAGAGATACAGACCAATGGAACAGAGCAGAGCCCTCAGACATAATGCCACATATCTACAACTATCTGATCTTTGACAAACCTGACAAAAACAAGAAATGCGGAAATGATTCCTTATTTAATAAATGGTGCTGGGAAAACTGGCTAGCCATATGTAGAAAGCTGAAACTGGATCCCTTCCTTACACCTTATACAAAAATTAATTCAAGATGGATTAAAGACTTAAAGACTTAAATGTGAGACCTAAAATCATAAAAACCCTAGAAGAAAACCTAGGCAATACCATTCAGGACATAGGCATGGGCAAGGACTACATGTCTAAAACACCAAAAGCAATGGCAACAAAAGACAAAATTGACAAATGGGATCTAATTAAACTAAAGAGCTTCTGCACAGCAAAGAAACTACCATCAGAGTGAACAGGCAACCTACAGAATGGGAGAAACTGTTTGCAATCTACTCATCTGACAAAGGGCTAATATCCAGAATCTACAATGAACTCAAACAAATTTACAAGAAAAAAACAACCCCATCAAAAAGTGGGTGAAGCATATGAACAGACACTTCTCAAAAGAAGACATTTATGCAGCCAAAAAACACAGGAAAAAATGCTCATCATCACTGGCCATCAGAGAAATGCAAATCAAAACCACAATGAGATACCATCTCACACCAGTTAGAATGGCGATCATTAAAAAGTCAGGAAACAACAGGTGCTGGAGAGGATGTGGAGAAATAGGAACACTTTTACACTGTTGGTAGGACTGTAAACTAGTTCAAGCATTGTGGAAGTCAGTGTGGTGATTCCTCAGGGATCTAGAACTAGAAACACCATTTGACCCAGCCATCCCATTATTGGGTATATACCCAAAGGATTATAAAACATGCTGCTATAAAGACACATGCACATGTATGTTTATTGTGGCACTATTCACAATAGCAAAGACTTGGAACCAACCCAAATGTCCAACAAACATAGACTGGATTAAGAAAATGTGGCACATATACACCATGGAATACTATGCAGCCATAAAAAAGGATGAGTTCATGTCCTTTGTAGGGACATGGATGAAGCTGGAAACCATCATTCTCAGCAAACTATCGCAAGGACAAAAAACCAAACACCGCATCTTCTCACTCATAGGTGGGAATTGAACAATGAGAACACATGGACACAGGAAGGGGAACATCACACTCTGGGGCCTGTTGTGGGGTGGGGTGAGGGGGAAGGGATAGCATTGGGAGATATACCTAATGTTAAGTGAAGAGTTAATGGATGCAGCACACCAACATGGCACATGTATACATATGTATCAAACCTGCATGTTGTGCACATGTACCCTAAAACTGAAAGTATAATAAAAAATAAATAAATAAATAACGAATGTGTGAATCAATATGCAACTGTAAGAGAAAAAAAGAATAAAAATTTAATGCCAATGTCTCAAATCTGTGATTATTATTGTAACATTATTATAAATGCTTAGGGTGAGTAAAGGAAACGTTAGTCTTTTAAAAACGGATATGTTAGGTTAAATGACTATGGGGGATTTCCACTTCCAGTCCCCTTTGGAGTAACCAGATCCAAATTTAGCCTCCTACCTGAAAGAGTCAAAAATGTGAATATACATATGAAGCAACAGTACTCAAGATTATGGGTACCAGGCAATGAAGAATAAGGATCCCTAATTGATGAGAAGCAAATGATGTGAACCCTGTAACCCCCTGAGCTCTTATTACCTGGAGAACATTTCTAGATCATGATGCAGTGTTGGGGAATGCAGGCAGAGCTGAGTGGTGGTTTTCCTGATTCCAGATCCACATTTGGGAGCCCAGGGAAGCCAAGATAGCTGGAGTTCACAGGGCAGACTAAGAGAGAAAAGACCCGCACAGACAGTGTTCCAGATAACTGACTGTGTATAGAGGAGCCTGACCAGTGATGCATGGGAGGAAATGATCACAGGCTGAGAAAGGAGCAGCTGAAAAGATGAGAAGGAACACGCCCTGGAAACTATAGTTTTTTTTTTTTTTTTTTCAACAAATGGTGCTGGAAACTCTACTATCTGTGAGCACAAACATACAAAACCTTTGATCTAGATCTCATCCTAGATACAAAAGTTCATCCACAATGGATCAAAGACCTAAATGTAAAACATAAAACTGTAAAATTTCTAGAAGAAAACCTACGTTCAAGTGATTCTCCTTTGTAGCTCTGGGTTAGACAAAGACTTTTTAGACACAACACAAAACGCACAACTCATAAAAGATAAAAAATAAATTGAGCTTTATCAAAAGAACTTTTGCTCTTAGAAAGATGCTCTTAGAAGAATTTTTTTTAAGTCACAAACTGGGTAAAATACTTGAAAATCTCTTATCTGCTAAATGACTTGTCTTCACAATAAATAAAAAACTCAGCACTAAGAAAACCAACAACTCAATACTGGACAAAAGATTTGAGGAGACATTTTAGCAAAAAATATTTGTGGTTAGTAAATAAACTTATGAAAATATGCTCAACACCATTAGTTATTAGAGAAATGATATTGAAACCCTAATGAGATACCACTAAACACCTATTAGAATGGCTAAAATTAAAAAGACTGACCATAGCAAGTGTTGACAAGTGTATGGAGCAACTGGAACTCTCATACATTGAGTGTAGGAACAAACTATGGTAAGTCCATTTGAAAAACAGTTTTCCAGTTTCCTAAAAAGTTAAATATACAACTATGCAATGATTCAGCCCTTTCACTGTTAGATATACAGGAGAAATGAAAGCATGTGTTCATATAAAGACTGGTACAGATATTCATATAAGCTTTATGTATAATAGCCAAATATTGAAAACAACTCAAATGTCCATCAAGGCAAATAGATAAACAAATTGTGATACACTCATACAATGGCAAACTTCTCAGTCACAAAAGGAAATACGTTACTGATACACACAACAACATGGATGGATTTCAAAATAATCATACTGAGTGAATGAAACCAGAAGAATAAAAAAAGATGAAAATGGAGTGTATATTGAATGTGTCCATTAATATAAACACCTGGAAAATGCAAACTAATCTGTAATGATAGAAAGAAGATCCGTTATTGCCTGTAGATGAAAGTCAGAGAGAAGTGTGTGGGAGAGACTACAGAGTGGTACAAAGAAATTTTTTGGATTGGTTAATATGTTCAGCATTTTGATTGTGGTAATGAGTGTATATGCATGTCAAAACTCATCAACCTGTATACTTTAAACATGTTCAGCTTACTGAATATCAATTATACCTCAATGAAGCTGTTAAGAAAATATGAATATAGCTTAATATGGCAAAAATTATGAGGGTGGAATGACTGAATTTTGCAAACACATCATGAAATTGTTCTATTTCTTATAATTTTCCTATCCTTCTTTCTTATTCTCTTTTTCTTGCACCTCCTTCTTTTTTATCCTCCTCTATTTTCTCTAAGAATAGGTGATAATAGTTTGGTACTACCAGGTATGAGAGTGTATAAGATGCCCCTGGCCTCAATAGAAGAAAGGGCTTTCTGACAGTTTCTGTTCTCTAAAGATTCAATAGAATAATCTGTTTCATAAGATAGGGAGGTCTCCTTCCCAGGGATCCTGCAGCATAGACTAAATGAATGCTTGGCAGGGATACAGTAGCATTGGATGAGATGTTGGGCCAAATCAGTGGCTTTCAAACTTGTTTATTTGCTTTTGTCTTTTTTTAACCCATAAAACTCTTTCTACAAATGAATGAAATCTTAGGTGGAAGACAAATACATAGAGAAGAAAAAATGAGGCAGTTCCTTGTTTGAAAAAAGTTGGGGCTCAGATCCTAAGTACTTGGCCCCATCTTAGACCTACTGTCGTGTTCCCACCCACATTTTCTTGGGTAGATGACTCTTACTTGTTCCAACTCTGAAATTCTATAAACTTTTAGTTGCAGTGGGAGTAATTGAGGGCTATGAATAGGAAGTTTTTGCCCAAATGATCCCATTAGAGCCAGGAGTTGAGGTGAAGGTTTGACCACATCTTAGTCATCTGAGAAAAAGTGGATGCATTTGCAATAAAAAGGGCAGTTAGGTTCTTTTCAACTGAAATATGTAATTATAACATTGATAATCTTTTTCCCAGATGGAGTATAACACGGCTACTATTTATACAAACATACCAGCCCATTTTCCTTTTCACTTTCTGAGAAAGAAAGGGTTTTAAATAATGGGTTGGTTTAATAACAATTTGGTCTTTCTGTCTCCAAGTATTTTTTTCCCTCCCTTTAACCCTTAGCATCCCAACTGTGTTTGACCACACTTGAGGCAACAGGAGAAGCCATGCTGTTTTTTTCTCTTTTTTTTTTATTATTATTATACTTTAAGTTTTAGGGTACATGTGCACATTGTGCAGGTTAGTTACATATGTATACATGTGCCATGCTGGTGTGCTGCACCTACTAACTCATCATCTAGCATTAGGTATATCTCCCAATGCTATCCCTCCCCCCTCCCCCCACCCCACAACAGTCCCCAGAGTGTGATATTCCCCTTCCTGTGTCCATGTGATCTCATTGTTCAATTCCCACCTATGAGTGAGAAGATGCGGTGTTTGGTTTTTTGTCCTTGTGATAGTTTACTGAGAATGATGATTTCCAATTTCATCCATGTCACTACAAAGGACATGAACTCATCATTTTTTATGGCTGCATAGTATTCCATGGTGTATATGTGCCACATTTTCTTAACCCAGTCTAACTTTGTTGGACATTTGGGTTGGTTCCAAGTCTTTGCTATCGTGAATAATGCCACAATAAACATACATGTGCATGTGTCTTTATAGCAGCATGATTTATAGTCCTTTGGGTATATACCCAATAATGGGATGGCTGGGTCAAATGGTATTTCCAGTTCTAGATCCCTGAGGAGTCGCCACACTGACTTCCACAATGGTTGAACTAGTTTACAGTCCTACCAACAGTGTAAAAGTGTTCCTATTTCTCCACATCCTCTCCAGCACCTGTTGTTTCCTGAGTTTTTAATGATCGCCATTCTAACTGGTGTGAGATGGTATCTCATTGTGGTTTTGATTTGCATTTCTCTGATGGCCAGTGATGATGAGCATTTTTTCCTGTGTTTTTTGGCTGCATAAATGTCTTCTTTTGAGAAGTGTCTGTTCATGTCCTTCGCCCACTTTTTGATGGGGTTGTTTGTTTTTTCTTGTAAATTTGTTTGAGTTCATTGTAGATTCTGGATATTAGCCCTTTGTCAGATGAGTAGGTTGCGAAAATTTTCTCCCATTTTGTAGGTTGCCTGTTTACCCTGATGGTAGTTTCTTTTGCTGTGCAGAAGCTCTTTAGTTTAATTAGATCCCATTTGTCAATTTTGTCTTTTGTTGCCATTGCTTTTGGTGTTTTAGACATGAAGTCCTTGCCCATGCCTATGTCCTGAATGGTAATGCCTAGGTTTTTTTCATATACATAAGAATGATAGAAACATTTCAGTCAGAGGAGGGGCCAAGATGGCTGAATAGGAACAACTCCAGTCTGCAGCTCCCAGTGAGACCAATGCAGAAGGCAGGTGATTTCTGCATTTCCAACTGAGATACCCAGTTCATCTCATTAAGACTGGTTAGGAAGTGAGTCTGACCAATGGAGGGCAAGCAGAAGCAGGGTGGGGCATCACTTCACTCAGAAAGTGCAAGGAGCCCAAGGCCCTCCCTCCCTCAGCCAAGTGAAGCCATGAGGGACTGTGCTACTCAGCAGGTTACTACACTTTTTCCACGGTGTTTGCAATCTGCAGATCGGGAGATTCCCTCATGTTCCTACACCACCAGGGACCTGGGTTTCAAGCATAAAACTGGGCAGCTGTTTGGGCAGTCATTGAGCTAGCTGCAGGAGTTTTTTTTCATACCACAGTGGCGCCTGGAACCCCAGCAAGACAGAACCATTCACTCCCCTGGAAAGGGGGCTGAAGCCAGGGAGCCAAGTTGTCTCGCCCAGTGCATCCCACTCCCATGGAGCCCAGCAAGCTAAGAACCACTGGCTTGAAATTCCTGCTACTAGCACAACAGTCTGAAGTCAACCTGGGATGATCAAGCTTGGTGGGGGGAGGGGTGTCCACCATTACTGAGGCTTTAGTAGGTGGTTTTCTTCTGATAGTGCTAAGGAGGCCAGAAGGTCTGGACTGGGTAGAACCCACCAGAGCACAGCAAAGCTGCTGTAGCCAGACTGCTTCTCTAGATTCCTCCTCAATGGGCAGGGCATCTCTGAAGGAAAGGTAACAGCTCCTGTCAGGGGCTTACAGACAAAACTCCCATCTCCCTGGGACAGAGCACCTGGGGGAAAGGGTGGCTGTGGGTGTAGCTTCAGAGGATTTCATCCTTCCTGCCTGCTGGCTCTGAAGGGAGCAGCTGATCCTGACAAGAGGGATTCTCCCAGCACAGCACAGCAGCTCTGCTAATGGACAGACTGCCTCCTAAAGTGGGTCCCTGACCCCCGTGCCTCTTGACTGGGGGAAACCTCCCAACAGGGGTTGACAGACACTTCATGTAGGAGAGCTCTGGCTGACATCAGGCCAGTGGCCCTCTGGGATGAAGCTTCCAGAGGAAGAAGAAGGTGCAATTTTTGCTCTTCTACTGCCTCCACAGTGATACCCAAGTGAACAGTATCTGGAGTGGACCTCCAGAAAATTGCAGCAGACATGCAGAAGAGGGGTCTCACCATTAGAAGAAAAACTAACAAACAGAAAGCAACAACATCAACATCAACATAAAGGACCCCCTACAAAAACCCCATCCAAAAGTCATCAGCCTCAAATGTCAAAGATAAATCCACGAAGATGAGGAAAAACCAGTGCAAAAATGCTGAAAATTTCAAAACCCGGAATGCCTCTTCTCCTCCAAATGATCGCCACTCCTCTCCAGCAAGCACACAAAACTGGACAGAGAATGAGATTGATTAATTGACAGAAGTAGACTTCAGAAGGTGGGTAATAATAAACTCCTCTGAACTAAAGGAGCATGTTCTAACCTAAAGCAAGGAAGCTAAGAACCCTGATAAAAGGTTACAGGAACTGCTAACTAGAATAACCAGTTTAGAGAAGAACATCAATGACCTGATAGAGCTGAAAAACACAGCATGAGAACTTCATGAAGCATATACAAGTATCAATAGCTGAATTGATCAAGTGGAAGAAAGGTTATCAGAGATTGAAGATCAACTTACTGAAATAAGCCATGAAGACAAGATTAGAGAAAAAAGAATGAAAAGGAATGAATAAAGCCTTCAAGAAATATGGGACTATGTAAAAAGACCAAACCTATGATTGATTGGTGTGCCTGAAAGTGACAGGGAGAATGGAACCAAGTTGGAAAACACACTTCAGGATATTATCCAGGAGAACTTCTTCAACCTAGCAAGACAGGCCAATATTCAAATTCAGGAAATACAGAGAACACCACTAAGATACTCCTTGAGAAAAGCAACCCCAAGACACATAATCATCAGATTCTCCAAGGTTGAAATGAAGGAAAAAATGTTAAGGGCAGCCAGAGAGAAAGGTCAGGTTACCTACAAAGGGAAACCCATCACACTAACAGTGGATCTCTCTGCAGAAACACTACAAGCCAAAAGAGAGTGAGGTGCCAATATTCAACATTCTTAAAGAAAAGAATTTTCAACCCAGAATTTCATATCCAGCCAAACTAAGCTTCATAAGTGAAGAAGGAATAAAATTCTTTACAGACAAGCAAATATTGAGGGATTTTGTCACCACCAGATCTGCCTTACAAGAGTTCCTGAAGGAAATACTAAATATGGAAAGGAACAACTGGTACCAGCCACTGCAAAAACACACCAAAATATAAAGACCAATGACACTGTGAAGAAACTGCATCAACTAATGTGCAAAATAATCAGCTAGCATCATGATGACAGGATCAAATTCACACATAATAATATTAAGCTTAAATGTAAATGGGTTAAATGACCCAATTAAAGAACACAGACTCGCAAATTGGATAAAGAGTCAAGACGCATTAGTGTGCTGTTTTCAGGAGACCCATCTCATGTGCAAAGACACACATAGCCTCAAAATAAAGGGATGGAGGAATATTTATCAAGCAAATGGAAAGAAAAATAATCAGGGATTGCACTCCTAGTCTCTGAAAAGACAGACTTTAAACCAACAAAGATAAAAAACAAAAGAAGGGCATTACATAATGGTAAAGGGATCCATGCAACGAGAAGAGCTAACTCTCCTAAATATATATGCGCCCAATACAGGAGCACCCAGATTCATAAAACAAGTTATTAGAGACCTACAAAGACACTTAGACTCCCACTCAATAATAGTGGGAGACTTT
Source organism: Homo sapiens (assembly GCF_000001405.40). Lineage (NCBI taxonomy): Eukaryota > Metazoa > Chordata > Mammalia > Primates > Hominidae > Homo > Homo sapiens. The sequence goes on along the minus strand of NC_000004.12, from coordinate 38,435,804 downwards.
AACACCTCACTGTCAATGTTAGACAGATTAATGAGACAGAATATTAACAAGGGTATTCAGGACTTGAACTCAGCTCTGGACCAAGTGGACCTAATAGACATCTACAGAACTCTCCATCCCAAATCAAGAGAACGTACATTCTTCTCAGTGCCACATAGCAATCATTCTAAAATCAACCACATAATTGGAAGTAAAACACTCCTCAGCAAATGCAAAAGAACAGAAATCATAACAAACAGTCTCTCAGACCACAGTGCAATCAAATTAGAGCTCAGGATTAAGAAACTTACTCAAAACTGCACAACTACATGGAAATTGAATAACCTGCTCCTGAGTGACTACTGGGTAAATAATGAAATTAAGGCAGAAATAAAGAAGTTCTTTGAAACCAGTGAGAACAAAGAGATGATGTACCAGAATCTCTGGGACACAGCTAAATCAGTGTGCAGAGGGAAATTTATAGCACTAAATGCCCACATCAGAAAGGTGGAAACATCTAAAATCAACACCCTAACATCACAATTAAAATAACTAGAGAAGCAAGAGCAAACAAATTCAATCAAAAGCTAGCAGAAGACAAGAAATAACTAAGATCAGAGCAGAACTGAAGGAGACAGAGGCATGAAAAACCTTCAAAAACTCAATGAATCCAGGAGTTGGTTTTTTGAAAAGATCAACAAAATAGGTAGACCACTAGCTAGACTAATAAAGAAGAAAAGAGAGAAGAATCAAATAGACACAATAAAAAATGATAAAGGGGATATCACCACTGATGCCACAGAAATACAAACTACCACCAGATAATACTATAAACACCTCTACACAAATAAACTAGAAAATCTAGAAGAAATGGATAAATTCCTGGACACATACACCCTTCCAAGACTAAACCAGGAAGAAGTTAAATACCCAAATAGACCAATAACAAGTTCTGACATTGAGGCAGTAATTAATAGCCTACCAACCAAAAAAAGCCCAGGACCAGACGGATTCACAGCCAAATTCTACCAGAGGTACAAATTGGAGCTGGTACCATTCCTTCTGAAACTATTCCAAACAATAGAAAAAGAAGGAATCCTCCCTAACTCATTTTATGACGCCAGCATCCTCCTGATACCAAAGCCTGGCAGAGGCACAACAAAGAAAGAAAATTTCAGGCCAATATCCCTCATGAACATCAATGCAAAAATCCTCAATAAAATACTGGCAAACTGAATCCAGTAGCACATCAAAAAGCTTATCCACCACGATCCAGTTGGTTTCATCCCTGGGATGCAAGGCTGGTTCAACATACACAAATCAATAAACATGATCCATCACATAAACAGAACCAATGACAAAAACCACCTGATTATCTCAATAGATGCAGAAAAGGTCTTCAATAAAATTCAACATCCCTTCATGCTAAAAACTCTCAATAAACTAGGTATTGATGGAACATATCTCAGAATAATAAGAGCTATTTATGACAAACCCATAGCCAATATCATACTGAATGGGCAAAAGCTGGAAGCATTCCCTTTGAAAACCGGCATATGACAAGGATGCCTTTCTCACAACTCCTATTCAGCATTGGATTGGAAGTTCTGGCCAGGGTAATCAGGCAAGAGGAAAAAATAAAGTATATTCAAATAGGAAGAGAAGAAGTCAAATTGTCTCTGTTTGCAGATGACATGATTGTATATTTAGAAAACCCCATCATCTCAGCCCAAAAATTCCTTAAGCTGATAAGCAACTTCAGCAAAACCTCGGGATATAAAATCCATGTGCAAAAATCACAAGCGTTCCTATACACCAACAATAGACAAGCATAGAGCCAAATCATGAGTGAGCTCCCATTCACACTTGCTGCAAAGAGAATAAAATACCTAGGAATACAACTTGCAAGGAATGTGAAGGACCCCTTCAAGGATAACTACAAACCACTGCTCAAGGAAATAAGAGAGGACACAAACAAATGGAAAAAAATTCCATGCTCATGCATAGGAAGAATCAATATCGTGAAAATGGCCATACTGCCCAAAGTAATTTATAGATTCAAGGCTATCCCCATCAAGCTACCATTGACTTTCTTTGCGGAATTAGAAAAAAAACTACTTTAAATCTCATTTGGAACCAAAAATGAGCCCGAATATCCAAGACAATACTAAGCAAACAGAACAAAGCTGGAGGCATCATGCTACCTGACTTCAAACTATACAACAAGGCTATAGTAACCAAAACAGCATGGTACTGGTACCAAAACAGATATATAGACCAATGGAACAGAATAGAGGCCTCAGAAATAACACCACACATCTACAACCATCTAATCTTCGACAAAACTGACAAAAACAAGCAATAAGGAAAGGATTCCCTATTTAATAAATGGTGCTGGGAAAACTGGCTAGCCATATGCAGAAAACAGAAACTTGACCCCTTCCTTACACCTTATACACAAATTAACTCAAGATGGATTAAAGACTTACATGTAAAACCCAAAACCATAAAAACCCTAGAAGAAAACCTAGGCAATACCACTCAGGACATAGGCATGGGCAAAGACTTCATGACTAAAACACAAAAAGCAATTGCAACAAAGGCCAAAATTGACAAATGGGATCTAATCAAGCTAAATAGCTTCTGCGTAGCAAAAGAAACTGTCAGAGTGAACAGGCAACCTACAGAATGGGAGAAAATTTTTGCAATCTACCTATCCGACAAAGATCTAATATCCAGAATCTACAAGGAACTTAAACAAATTTACAAGAAAAAAACAACTCCATCAATAAATGGGCAAAGGATATGAACAGACACTTCTCTAAAGAAGACATTTATGAGGACAACAAACACATGAAAAAAAGCTCATCATCACTGGTCATTAGAGAAATGCAAATCAAAACCACAATGAGATACCATCTCACAACAGTTAGAACAGTAATCATTAAAAAGTCAGGAAACAGCAGATGCTGGCAAGGATGTGGAGAAATAGGAACTCTTTTACATTGTTGGTGGGAGTATAAATTAGTTCAACCATTGTGGAAGACAGTGTGGTGATTCCTCCAGGATCTAGAACCAGAAATACCATTTGACCCAGCAATCCTATTACTGGGTATATACCGAAAGGATTATAAATCATTCCACTATAAAGACACATGCACACATATATTTATTGCAGCACTATTTACAATAACAAAGACTTGGAACCAACTCAAATGCCCATCAATGATAGACTGGATAAAGAAAATGTGGTACCTATACACCATGGAATACTATGCAGCCATAAAAAAGAATGAGTTCATGTCCTCTGGAGGGACATGGATGAAGCAGGATGCCATCGTTCTCAGCAAACTAACACAGGAGCTGAAAACCAAACACCACACGTTCTCACTCATAAGTAGGAGCTGAACAATGAGAACACATGGGCACAGAGAGGGGAACATCATACACTGGAGCCTATCAGGGGTTGAGGGGTAAGGGGAGGGAGAGCATTAGGACAAACACCTAATGCATGCAGGGCTTAAAACCTAAATGATGGGTTGATCGGTGCAGCAAACCATGGCACATGTATACCTATGTAACAAACCTGCACGTTCTGCACATGTATCCCAGAACTTAAAGTAAAAAAAAAAAAAAGAATGATAATGTAATCATAATCATTTGATACTTTGATAGAAATGATGAAGTGAGCATTTACTGAGATCTTACTAAGTGCCACACATGGTGTGATGGTTAATTTTATGTGTTACTTTGGCTGGGCCACTGTCCACAAATATATGGTCAAACATTATTCTGGATGTTTTTGTGAGGGGGCTCTTGGATGAAATTTATACTTAAATCTTTCGATTTTGAATAAAGCAGATCATTCTCCATAATGTGGGTGTCCTCATCCAATCAGTTGAAAGCCTGAAAAGAACAAAAAGCAGATCTTTCTTGAGCAAGAAGGATTCTCCAACAGACTGCCTTCAGACTTCATCTGCAGCATCGGCTCTTCCTGGTTCTGCAGTAAACTGTTCCTGGACTTGACTACAGCTCTTTCTCGAGTCTCCAGCCTGCTGGCTTCGTCTATGAGATTTTGTACTCACCAGGCATCCACAAGCACATGAGCCAATTCCTTAAAATAAATCTCTTTCTATACAGATATGCAGCCTATTGGTTCTGTACCTCTGAAGAACACTGACTAAATACACAGTGCGAAGAGTATTTTAAATGTATTGATGCATCTAATTTTCTCAACAATCCTATGAAGTCCGAACATGGTACTTTAAGAGGTGTTACAATTTCACAGGTAAAGGAATGGAGGCTTAATAAGATATGGCACCCAAGGTCTTCCAGCTGGTAGGTGACAGAGCCATGATTATATTCCAAAGTTCAGGGACCAAACCATTTTGCCTTGTTGCACTAACCAGCCTTTGATATTTCTTGGCCTTGGTAATTCTGCATAGGCCTCTGCACCAGCCATCTGGAATCTGACTTTGACCAGACTCTTCCTTCCTGTCAGGGGACTCCTGAGAGACTACTTGGTGTCTGCCTTGGAGCCAGAAACTCCTGACCACTCTCTGGCAAACTCAGGCGTGATTCTTTCCTTGCTAAGCCTCAGTTTCTTCATCTACAAAGGGAGGGTAAGTCACTTCACCAGCCTGTTGTGAGGGTTGAATGTGAGTGTATATAGTGTCCACCTCACCACCTGCAGGCACTGGGTACTCAAATGCAAACACCCTCCCCTCCCACCATGCCCTAACATGTATCTAAATGACACAAGTTCACTACAGTTGGATCTTATACACACCAAACTCCTTAGAGAGTGAGTCTTTCTGTATGCCATCTGTATTAGTCAGCCAGGGCTGCTGTAACAAAATACCACACACTGGGTGGCTTAAACAACAGAAGTTTATTTCTTATAATTCTGGAGGTTGGAAGTCCAAGGTTTGGTTTCTTCCGAGACCTCTCTCCTCGGCTTGCAAGTGGCTGCCATATCCTCTGTGTGTGTGCATTCCTTGTTTCTCTTTGTGTGTCCAAATTTCGTCTCCTTATAAGGACACATATTGGATTAGGACCCTCTTTAATGGCTTCATTTTAACTTAATCACCACTTTAAAGGCCCTGCCTTTAAATATAGTCACATTCTAAACTGCATGAGGTTAGAGCACATTCAGTCTATAACATCATCTTACCCCTCAGGTTCCAAGGACATGCTGCCCGGGAAACCCACTGTGTCCCACCTTTCCTGCTTTTCCTTACTGAAATTGATGCACAGCACTTTTCAACATGGTTGTCCCTTCAAACTGTCCACCAATTTGGCACCATTTCTTCAGGATTATGCTAAGAGACTAGCCAAGCTGATCAGAAATGAAAGGGAAGTGCTGTGGTTCCTCCAAATTCTATGAACTTGTCTTTGTCCATTGGTTATAGACAGTTGACCAGAACAAGTACCAGGCACTTTCATAGAAATTGCTTTAATTCTTAGTAAAGTGCACAGCCTGTCACCACTACCATCAAACACCCCCACAGCCTACTAAGAAAACTGCTCCAGGGAGCAAGGAGGCATTGTGAAGTATATTTCAAACAATAGTTATAGTAAAGAACATGATCTCATGAGAACCATTGCTGTTGACTCCAGGGACTCTTGCATTCTTTACATTGACTCCTATCTGTCTCTGAGGGAGCTACCCCTGCTCATGCCAAGGTGCCTGTTAATTCTGAATCTATGTTTCTGAGCCCTAGTGTTTTTGCTTTTGTTCTTCCTAACATCTATTGGTCGACATCCAACATCCAACATGGAACACCCTTACTGATAACAGTTCTAAGGCCAGATACCTCATGGGCCACAAGACTTCCTTAACTCTAACCTGCTTCTGTCTGTCTTTGACTGAAGCACCCATACTAGGTCCAATCTGGGGTGCTTAGAGAAGTAGGGTCTCACTATACAAAGACAGTGACTTATCTAGAAGAAACCCGTGAGAGCAATTTCTGAGGAAGAGCATGTGGGCAGCCAGGCACCACACCTCTGCCCTCCCTCTGGGGCTCCCCGAGATCTGTTGTGCAGACTCATATCACACCAGCAGAGTAGTGGCCATATTGGCAAATCTCATTTCCTTTTGCTGGTAGCCTTCTCCAAAATATTCCTGATCCATTTTAGAGAATAAATGGGCTTCCCAACTCTAAGAGTTGAATTTTATAAAACTGGATAAAACATGAACTTCTGTTTTTAAGTCATTGGAAATCATTTCAAATATATATAAAACCAAGTTACTAATGGGTAAAACATGAGCAGAAAGGATAATTTGATATTCCAGGGGAAAAAGAAAACCTATAGGAAAAAGAAATCCAGAGTCAGAGAAGTTGTCCCCACCATCCTTTCTTTTCATCTTTTAAACAACACTTTAGATAGAGTATGAACTTCTATAGTTGAACCTAAACAAAGCAGAAAGAGAACAGGAAATCAATGGGAATCACATCTTAATGCAAGCTTTTCTAAAATAGTCCAGGAATCCATAAGGGACTCATTCTGTATTGGATTTCTGAAAGGACTGGAGCTTGTAACCCAGTGATTGATGCCTGCCATCAGCAGCACGTCTCTCTCTTTCCTCCCTCGAAGCCTTAGACAAATTTTACCTCATTCAACAAGCTCTCAATCATATTCATGAAGTCAAGACTTCAAATGGGGCATGATTACAACTTTAGTAGCTATTTCAGGTAGAACAGATTCGCGTGATGTGGGATCTTGGCAGCAGTTTAATTACTTTAGGGTAATGATGCGAATCTCGGTGAGGGGCCAATTTTGGCTTTGCTGACTATTATGTGCATTAATTAATATGATGAAGTGTGCTGCTTTCCATGCTCTTTTATTCCCCTCTCTACTAATATTTGAGGCTTGTCTTCTGAAACTGTTGTTGGTCGAAGTTTCCTTCCTCTCATTTTCACTGGTAGAGCAGGATGTATTCCTGAGAACGTGAGTGCATTTATTTATTGATAAAGAATGTTTTCTGGAAATCTTTTGCAGAGATGAAGCAAAGGAGGGACTTTCTTGCCTTCTTCATCCTCTTTCTCTTGTCTCCTTCTTCCTCTGCTTGCTTATTGTTTGTTTTTGCTGCCTTTCCCACTTTATGTGATTTTATGGCTCTTGAAAATGAATTCACCTTTCTAAGCTTTGATGCAATTACTTAAGCCAATGATAACTTATGTTTGTTGATTGTTTACTGTGTACCAGGAATTGCTATAAGTGCTTTACTTGTCTTATTTCATTATATCAAAATAACAACATTATTCCTGTTTTATGGAAAAAACAGCAAAGTGTGTACAAATTAGGTAACTTGCCTGAGATAACATCCCTGGTAAGTGATGGCACCAGCATTTTAATCCAGGTGGTCTGTGACTCCATAGTGGGAACTTTCCCATTTAATTCCTACTGAAATCTGGTAGTCGTGAAAATAATTTCTCTATCTCAAAATAACAGTCATTCCCACAACTAGTATTCTGCACATATATATGTTGGAGGTTTATTATATGCCAGGACCATGCTGGAGGCTCAGGGGTATAAGAGAATACTAGACAGAGTGCTTGCTCTCAAGGTAGCCATGCCCTTCTGGAGGTCATTCGTGTAGCATGTCATAACTGCTGTGGAGTGACGTCACACAGAATGTCTTCTAAAATTATAGCAGCATGGTCATTCAGAGGGATTTGACATGTGCTGGGAAAATCTCAGTTAATCCTAGCCACTGGATTACTTCCTGCAAAAATGTAAAAAAAAAAAAAAATACAAGGGATAGGATGTAGATGACAACCTCGCTATCATCAAATATTAGCAATAGCCAACTATATCCCTTGGTCAAATGAAAAGCCTACAGATTTTGGAATCACACAGACCCAGCTTCAAATTTCTGCTGGGTCCCTTATTAGCTGTGTGACTTTGAGCAATTTACCCAAACTCTCTGAACTTCTGTTTGTTCACCTATACAAGCAGAAGAAAAAGATCTCACCTCTTCTAGTTGCTTAGACCAGGGATTCGCCAACTTTTTCTTAAAGGAACAGATAGTAAATATTTTGGTTTTTGCTTGGCTGTATAGGCTCTGTCACAGCTACTCAGCTCTGCCATTGTAGCACAAAAGCAGCCATGGACAACATGCAGATGAGTAGGTGTGGCATTATTACAATACATTTTATTTACAAAACCAGACAGGCTGGATCTGACCCATGGGATATAGCTTGCTACCTTTTGGTTTAGAGCATTAAATGAGATATTGAAAGGAAAAAGTGTATAAAGGTCTCTGATCTACTGTAGACAATGATTGTTCATTTTCCTTCCTTCCTGCAATTTATTTAATTAGACTGATAGGACACAAAGGTGGACACTCTACCTCTCTCTTGAAGTGCTCATGGTCCACTTGAGGTGACAAGATATAGAAAATATAGAGAGTAATACACTTTTGCAAGTGCCAAATGCGAAGGAAACAGAGTGAACGGCAGAGTCATAGGAATTGAGTGAATGGAATAACGACCATAAGAAAAATGGTTAATGTCAAATGAAGGAAGAAGAAAGGATTTCCAGGCAGGAAATCTAAAGAAGGAGGAATGCTATAAGTAGTTAGAGGAAGCTCAGTGAAACTATTTGTCTGGAGAAGAGAGGGTGTATATAAGAAGAGTGAATGGCAATCAAGCTTAGCCACAGCAGTGTAGGGCTGAGTGATGGGTTCAGGAGTTTACATCTTGATCTGTAGATATCATTCAATGTGCTACTGGGTTTTTTTTTTTAATAACATAGTAGGCACTCATCAGATAATTGTTGGGTGAATAAAGTCATCTGGAAGTGATTTATGGGATGGTTGGGCAGAAAATGGCAGCTGAAAGATCAGGGATTGATGGCAACTAGCATCAGCCAGAAAGGACAGATCAAAAAGACACTGCACAGGAAGAATGGACATGACCCAGTAACCAAACTGCAGGCAAGAGGGAGGTACTATATAGAGATGATGCTGAGGTTTAAATCTGGTGACCAGAAAAATACTATTGTTGTTGATTATCTTAGTCTGTTTGTGCTGCTGTAACAAAATGCTTTAGATTGAGTAATGTATAAACAATGGAGATGTATTTCTCAGAGTTCTAGAGGCTGGAAAGTCCAAGATCAAGGTGCTGGCATGTTTGGTGTCTGGTGAGAGCCTGGTCTTTGCTTCCAAGATGACACCTCAAATGCTGTGTCCTCTGGAGGAGACAAATGCTGTGTCCTCATATAGCAGAAGGTATATGAGGTACTTATTCCATCCTTGAGGGTAGAGCCCCTATAACCTGCCTCCTAAAGGCCCCATTTCCTGATACTGTTGCATTGGGTCTCAAATTTTGGAGGGTCACAGACATTCAAACCATAGCAGTGATATAATGAAGGGTGTCACGGAAGTTGCTTTCTGGAGGAAACATTACAAATTTAGTCTTAAGCACTTGAATTTAGCATACCTGAGAACATCCAGGTGAACAAATTTGGTATGATAAGGTAGGCTCAAGAAAGAGATTGAGCATGGAAGCAGACAGAGATTAGACATCAGCCTCATAAACGGATGTCTCAGGAGAATGACTGAAGTCTTGATTCTGGCTGAGATTTGCGGACCAAAATGAGGATCTTGTGTCGAGACTGACTCAGTGACAGGGCTCTCCTTAGAAACCTCAAAGCAGCTCTCTAATTCATCCTAAGTATTATGGCAATAGAAGTGCTGAGAAATTGATAAGGTCTCATAACATGTTTTAAAATGTAAAAACAAAGATCAGAAAAAGAATTAAATAAACCTTGGGATTCTGATGTCCAGAACCGTCTTCCATACAATCCAGAAGAAAAGCCTCAGAATGTGAACTCCTACACTATGTAAATTCAATAAGTACACCTAGTAAGAGTAATCCCATTGAGTTCAGATAATAGAAGACATGGAAATGTGTCACCAATAATAATCATAAGACATTCTCAGCACTTTTCCACATGTGGCTAACGCAATCATAACTTAGCAAAGCTACTTTCAGATATACATCAGAATTTCTTGCTCTGTTAAATACAATTTTATGGCAAATCTTTTGCAATTTTCAATAGATCTCAACTTGATCTACTTCTCTTGTCTTGCACCTGCCTCAATTTTCTTGCTACTACTGTGAGGGAGGGGTTTTCTGTTGACTAGAAAGGGAAGTGATTTATGGGGCAAGAGGCAAAAGAAATGGATCCATCTAGAATAGCATTTTTATTATATTTTCTCTAAGTAAAATCAGAAAACTGTTACCCAGAGGTATTATGATCTGGCCATGTTAGACTCCAGCTCCTTATTAAATTGGTGAGTTATGGAGAAGGTGTTACCATCCGAGACAGTTTTTCATTTTCGTCTTTCCATTTAACTATTTCTTGAAGCTGATGAAATACATAGTACTTAGGTTATTGCAGGGTCAGGCAGAACGTTCTTTTTAGGGAATACATAGCAGTGAAAGAATTGTAGGATTTTTAAATCTGGCATCAGAGCTTGGCAAGTTTAAACATCCAAAAACATCCCTTTTTGTGTAAAAAGGGAAAACTCTAATCCAGAGAGACTAAATGACTAAAAGACTCAGAGTGTGCTGCAGAACCAGGTCTGGAACCCTAGAATCCTGGCTCCCAGTCCGTTACTTCAAGTACAACTTTTTCGAAATTCACATTGGCCACGAGTAGATTCTCCTTCCATTGTAAAAGAGCATTTAGGCCACAACCAGCAGAAACACTAAGCTGCCGATTTCTGTTCATGATGCGTCCACCTGGTCATCTTCTGACATTTTCCAAGGGCTGGGACAGCTTTGGAAAGCCCTGTTAGAGACCAGGTTATTTTAAGGTGGAAAACAGAAATCCTAAAAAGCCCAGGCATATACTTGCTTTTTTTTTTTTTTTTTTTTTTTTAATGGAGAAGCTGAGGGACCCAAGAGCCAGCCCTGAAACCTTGATATTTAAAGCAGTTGTCTGTAGACATAATACCCTAGTTTGATCAAAGGGTTGGGCCACACAATCCCAGGGAACAGGAAGGCTGACAAGGGGGGAAGGGCCCTTTGTCCAGGAGGCCTGGAATCCGGATGCCCTGGTTGGCGAGGCTGCTGGCCCTGCTGGGGAGGGGCTGAGGCCCAGTCTATGCCCGCGTTCCTCCCCCTGCCCTTCTGGTCCCTACACTGAGAGATCAGACAGAGCCTGCTGTCTCCCCACACTCAGTATCTGATCAGTTTTCTTCAGGACATTAATAAAATGAATCTATAGGCTTTGCTTGTATTTTTGTTGTTGTTTAATTCTACAATCAGAAAAGGTAAGCACCCCAGTTTAACTCTTTGAGTCTTTCTCCCAGCATGTGGCTTCCTAAACAAATATTTCATCTATCGTTCAGGTCACATTCTTGACCTTGTTGTTTCAGGTGCCTGATAATTCTGGGCTAATGACGGCCTGGCGAGCACGTTGGTTCCCCCACCACCACCCCACCACTCTCCAGTGCACCCTGCCCTCCCTCCTGTCCCCAGCAGCTTTCCCTGGGCTCATTTTAGTACCAGCCCCTTCCCCATTAATTGCTTTTCCTTCGGTAGCCTTTCTTTTCTTTATCAAAGTGCTTGCTCTGAAGGCTTCTACTTCAGATTCCTGCCCCCAGTGCCCTTGGCCTGTTCATTATTTAATTTTGCTTTCAGTCCCCTGCCTGTCAGGCAATGTCTGCACCCTGTGATTGTTTTCATTTTTGAAAGTCTCCAAAGATCACAGCCTTGTAGACACACTTTAAAAATATTATAATGATTTCTGGTGTGCGCACGCGTGTACACGCACACAGACATGAATGAATTAGAAAAATGTGCTTTGGACCGACCTAGGTTCTCTGAAGCACAGAATTTGACTGATAAAAGGGCTTTATGCACTGCCCCCTGGCCCTGCTGACAACACTACCCCTAATGCCTCTCCTTCTGCTTTATGAGTTGCTGAGATGGGTGTTTTTCTGTAGTCAGTCAAACAAATACATAAAGTAACTTCTAGAGCTTTTCGGCATTGTACTAAGCTGGCTGAAGGCATTTTAGAGATCCAATCTTGCTGAGGGGCTTGCATTAACATGGAAGGAAGCAACACTCTCTGATAGCAACTGACATAGGTCTAGTCATGCAGTAAAGCATTCAAAATAATCCGGAGAAAGGGTAACAGATCGAGCCTTTGGGGATGAATGATAACTGGATTCAGGAAAGTTCTTCTGATTTTTCTTTTTGACCCCTAAACGTCAGATGTGTTCAACATTATTACGGACTGAGTTCTATTCCCCCAAAATGTGTATGTTGAATCCCTAACCCCCAGTGTCTCAGAATGTGACTGTTTTTTGAGACAGGGTCTTTAAAGAGGTAATTAAGTTAAAATGAGTTCACTGGGGTAAGCCCTAATCTGATCTCTGGTGTCCTTGTAAGAAGAGATTTGGACAGACCTGCAAGGAGGGAGATGTATGTGGGGCACAGGGAGCAGAAGGCCATCCTCAAGCTAAAAAGAGTGGTCTTAGAAGAAGCCAGCCCTGGCAGCACTTTGAGTTGGGACTTGCAGCCTCTGGAACTATGAGAGAAGAAACTCCTATTGTTTAAGCACCCACTGTGTGGTACCTTGTTATGGAAGCCCTGGCAAACTAATGCAAACATCGGTATTTCAAGATGGTGTTAGTTCTAGATGAACAATGAAATTAATCACAGAGCAATTTCTGGGCAGGAAGTGGCTTTTCTGCCCCTGTTTGGGTTTCCAGGCACTTAATTCTTATTTGCGGACAAGCAGTAGATATTCAGCATGTGTTTATTGGGCACTTCCTTCATGCCACACGCTGCACTAGGCCAAGCAACAGAGATTCAGAAGCCTATGGCTGTATCTAGAGTCCAGATGAGATGAGCTTCTCAAACTGGCAGTGGATGCATGTTGATGACGGTTCCCCAAGGTAATCTTCTTCCTAGGACCTAATGGCCATGTTGTAATAAGACTTTTCTTCTTTAGTTGCTAATTTGATTCCTAAAGTATTAGGTACATGTAAAATAGCCTTTTTGTGTAGATCAAAATGTTGAATTAAATGCAATATGGAACAGAAAATGATTAGAATGCATTCTGGAACAGAAAAAAGATATTAATGAAAAAACCGATGAAATCCAAATGAAGTAGTTCAGCTAATAATAATGTGCCAATGTGAATTTCTTAGTTTTTCTACATGTATCTTGGTTATTTCTATGGTTTGAATGTGTCCCCTAAAGTTCATGTGTTGGAAACATAATCCCCAATGCAACAAAGTTAGGAGATAAGACTTAATAGGTGATTAGGTCACGACAGCTCTGACATCATGAATAGATTAATTTCATTACATGGAAGTGGGTTTGTTTGGTGAGAGTAGGTTTGTTAGAAAAGTGAGTTCAGGCCAGGCATGGTGTTTCACACCTATAATCCCAGCATTTTGGGAGTCTGAGGCAGGAGGATTGCTTGAGGCCAGGAGTTCCAGATCAGCCTGGATAACATAGTGAGACCCTGTCTCTACAAAGAACGAAAAAAAATTAGTCAGGTATGGCCTGGCACCGTGGCTCATGCCTGTAATCCCAGCACGTTGGGAGGCCAAGGTGGGTGGATCACGAGGTCAGGAGATTGAGACCATCCTGGCTAACACGGTGAAACCCGGTCTCTACTAAAAACACAAAAAATTAGCCGGGTGTGGTGGTGGGCGCCTGTAGTCCCAGCTACTCGGGAGGCTGAGGCAGGAGAATGGCATGAACGCAGGAGACAGAGCTTGCAGTGAGCCGAGATCATGTCACTGCACTCTAGCCTGGGTGATAGAGAAAAACCCTTCCTCAAAATGAACAAACAACAACAACAACAAAAGTGAGTTGAGCCTCCTCCTGCTCTTGCACTTTCACTCTCATGCTGTCTTGCCCTTCTACCTTCAGCCATGTGATGACACTGCACAAAAGCCCTCACCAGATGCTGGACCCATGCTCTTAGACTTCCCAGCCTTCACAACCCTGAACAAAATAGACTTCTATTGTTTATAAATTACCCAGCTTCATGTGTTCTTTTATAGCAATATGAAATGAACTAAGACCATTGTGTAACATGCTAACATTAGGGGAAATGAGGTAAAAGATGTGTATAGGAATTCTCTCTATAATCTTGGCAACTTTTCTATGAATTCCAAAAATCTAAAATTATTCCAAATTAAAAGCTTATTTTAAAAATGTTGGAATATTGGCGATTTTACATGGCTTAACCTAATAGGTAAAATCCAGATATTTAAATATAAAGCTGTCTGATACAACCTTTTAATGATACAGTAGTAGGATTTATGTTTGAAATTGAAGTATGTTTTCCTTATAGATGTTTTTAGATAATTGATAGGCTTTTGTACCTTGGCAGCCCAGCTCCTGGATGCCTAGCCAGTATATGTACAAGTAAGAACTAACTGAGCTTTCAAAGATAAAGGACCCTATAGCCATTACTGAGGGACAGCTTGGGCTGAGACCAGCTAATGGAGCTTCTTTCACTTCTTTGACTAGGCAAGGATAAGCTGGGGACTATGTGCTGATGGAATGACTGATTCCTTCTGTTCTTGGGCATCAGTGGACACCCAACACAGCCTCATTCAAGGAGAACTGGTCACTTTCAACTCCTTTCTTCAGCAGAGGATCCTTCCTTCCTTCCCTCCCCACTGGGTCATGTGAGGACAGAAGGATTGTGCTATATCAGTTTTGGGGGATTCCACATTCTCATTTAGAGGAAAAAGAACCTGCTTCCAGTTTTACCCCTGGAACTAGAAAATTAATCTTTGATCAGACCAATCCCATTTAAGAAATTTGTTTTGTTTGGCTGGCAAGTATTTGAAATTTTAAATAATTATTTGCCACACTTCTAAATTGGGAAGTTTTACAAAAATATCTGGATATATGACTTCTCTTAAACCATCAGAAGTTCCAGCAACAGTTCTAAGTATATTCCACATAGAAAAGACTGATTGGAGCTGAACAGTTGTTGTGCCCTTTCAAAGGGTCATATGCTCTGTGTTTACTCATAGTCTCCACACAGCCCTCTCCGCTCACTCATCCAGCCACTTTCAGCATTTGAGTTTACAACCCCCAGTCTAGATCAGTGTTTTTCAAACTATAGGTCATCCCATTGTGGGAGTCATTAAATCAGTGTCTTGGATAACCAGTATGATATGGTTTGGCTCTCTGTCCCCACCCAAATCTCATCTTATAGTTCCCATAATTCCCACGTGTTGTGAGAGGGACCCAGTGGGAAATGGCTGAATCATGGGGGTGGGTCTTTCCCATGCTGTTCTAGTGATAGTGAATGGGTCTCATGAGATCTGATGATTTTAAAAATGGGAGTTTCCCTGCGCAAGCCCTCTTTTTGCCTGCTGCCATCCATGTAAGATGTGACTTGCTCCTCCTTGCCATCTGCCGTGATTGTGAGGCCTCCCCAGCCACATGGAACTGTGAGCTCTCCATTAAACCTCTATCCTTTGTAAATTGCCCAGTCTCGGGTATGTCTTTATCAGCAGCATGAAAACAAACTAATACAGTAAATTGGTACCACTAGAGTCAGGCACTGCTGAAAAGATACCCAAAAATGTGGAAGCAACTTTGAAAGGTAACAGGAAGAGGTTGGAACAGTTTGGAGGGCGCGTAAGAAGATGGGAAAACACAGGAAAGTTTGGAACTCCCTAGACACTTGTTGAATGACTTTGACCAAAATGCTGATAATAATATAGACAATGAAATCCAGGCTGAGGTGGTCTCAGGTGGAGATGAAGAACTTGTTGGGAACTGGAGCAAAGGTGACTCTTGCTATGTTTTAGCAAAGAGACTGGCAGCATTTTGTCCCTGCCCAAGAGATTTGTGGAACTTTGAACTTGAGAGAGATGATTTAGGGTACATGGCAGAAGAAATTTCTAAGCAGCAAAACATTCAAGAGGTGACTTGGGTGCCATTAAAGGCATTCAGTTTTATAAGGGAAGCAGAGTGTAAAAGTCTAAAAAATTTGCAGCCTGACAATGTGATAGAAAAGAAAATCCCATTTTCTGAGAAGAAATTCAAGCTGGCTGCAGAAATTTGCATAAGTAATGAGGAGCCAAATGTTAATCCATAAGACAATGGGGAAAATGTCTCCAGGGCATGTCAGAGATCTTCACAGCAGCCTCTCCCATCACAGGCCTGGAGGTCTAGGAGAAAAAAGTGGTTTCCTGGGCTGGGCCCAGGGTCCTTGTGCTGTGTGTGGTCTAGGGACTTAGTTCCCTGCATCCCAGCCTCTCCAGCCATGGCTGAAAGGGGCCAATGTAGAGCTCCATCCACGGCTTCAGAAGGTGCAAGCCCCAAGCCTTGGCAGCTTCCATGTGGTGTTGAGCCTGGGAGTGCACAAAAGTCAAGAATTGGAGTTTGGGAACCTCCACCTAGATTTCAGAGGAGGTAGGGAAATGTCCAGGAGAAGTTTGCCACAGGGCGGGTCTCTCATGGAGAACCTCTGCTAGGGCAGTGCAGAAGGGAAATGTGGGGTCGGAGCCCCCACACAGAGTCCCTACTGGGGCACCACCTAGTGGGGCTGTGAAAAGAGGGCCACCATCCTCCAGATCCCAGAATGGTAGATCCACTGACAGGTTGTACTCTGCACCTGGAAAAGCCACAGACACTCAATGCCAGCCTGTGAAGGCAGCTAGGAGGGAGGCTGTACCCTGCAAAGCCACAGGGGTGGAGCTGCCCAAGACCATGAGAACCCACCTCTTGAATCATCATGACCTGGATGTGAGACATGGAGTCAAAGGAGATCATTTTGGAGCTTTAAGATTTGACTGCTCCACTGGATTTCAGACTTGCATGGGGCCTGTAGCCCCTTTGTTTTGGCCAATTTCTCCCATTTGGAATGGCTGTATTTACCTGATGCCTATACCCCATTATATCTAGGAAGAAACTAACTTACTTTTGATTTTACAGGCTCATAGATGGAAGGGACTTGCCTTGTCTTGGATGAGACTTTGGACTGTGGACTTTTGAGTTAATGATGAAATGAGTTGAGACTTCGGGGGACTGTTGGGAAGGCATGATTGGTTTCAAAATGTGAAGAGTTGAGATTTGGGAGGGGCCAGGGCAGAATGATATGGTTTGGCTCTGTGTCCTCACCCAGATCTCATCTTGTAGCTCCCATAATTCCCAAATATTGTGGGAGAGACCTGGTGGGAGTTGGTTGAATCATGGCGGCAGGTTTTTCTTGTGCTGTTCTAGTGATAGTGAATGGGTCTCACGAGATATAATGGTTTAAAAAACAGGAGTGTCTCTGCATAAACACTCTTTTTGCCTGCTGCCATCCACATAAGATGTGACTTGCTCCTCCTGGCCTTCCACCATGATTGTGAGGCTTCCTCAGCCTTGTGGAACTGTGAGTTCTCCATTAAACTTCTATCCTTTGAAAATTGCCCAGTCTCGGATATGTCTTTATCAGCAGCATGAAAACAGACTAATACACAATACTACAAAGAGGAAAAGAAAGAGAAAGAAGAAGTGAAGAAAGATGAGGAAGAGGAGGAAATAGAAAATATCAGAATATTTACATGTAGTAAGGACTAGTGTTATTTTGTGAAACCTCTGTTTCAATTGTGTTTATGTGTGCTTGTACTGGGTTACCATATAAACTAAGTTTCTTTCTATGAGTTGCAATAAAATAATTTTGAAAGCCAAGACTAATAAAAATTTAAATAATCCAACTCTTGTTAATCATTTAGTTTGGCATCTTTGCTTACTGTTTTTGTTTTGTTTTTCTTTAAATTACCTGAGAGGGTAGGTATTTGTTGTATATGCATATCCATGGAATTCACACATGCGTGATGTGGATCTCCATGAATGCCCGTAGAAACTTTTTGGTGTTTCTCAGACCTATGATTCATCCAATTACCAAGTTGTATAGTTATCCATTAGCAAGTTAGATCATACTAAATAATAATCAGATGTATTTACATAGGTTATTTAGGGCAACTAATAGTCTAAAATAGACCAGCACTGTCTCACAGAACTTTCTGTGATGATGGAAACATTCTATATCTGCACATTCAATATGGTAGCCTCAAGCCACATGTAGCTCTTTAGTACTTGAAATGTACCTAGTGTGACTGAGGACCTGTATTGTAAATTTAAATTTAATTAGTTAAAATTTAAGTAGCTGTACATGAGCAGTGGCTACCATGTTGGACAGCATAACTCTAAATTCTAGAATTAGTATTTTGAAAAACAGATGGCTATATTTCTTGTTTTCCAGACTAGACAGTCAATTGGTCTGATAGAATTATTTTATTCTGGCATCGCTCACTGAAGAGTGAGAAGAGCTAACATTCCATTGGCTGGGCAGGGCTTACTTTTCTTGGTCCAGAGTATTACTAGAGACAAATGACCCAACTTCTACATGTAGAATTTTAAGTTCTTATCCCCACTTATTTCTGGTTTTTCATATTGAAAATTGCTTGATGCAAGTTATTTGAACTATATGGATTAAAAGCTATAATAATTATTTGATAATTATAATAGTAACTATAATAACAATAATACGGATCTATGTCCTCACCCAATCTCATGCTGAAATGTAATCTCAGGTGCTGGAGGTGGAGTCTGTGGGAGGTGATTGGATCATGGGGGCAGAGTTCTCACGAATGGTTTGGCACCCTCCCCCCTTGGTATTGTATAGTGAGTGAGTTCTCATGAGACCTGGTTGTTTGAAAGTACGTAGCACCTTCCCCCTCGCTGTCTTCCTCCTGCTCCCAGTCACGTGAAGTGCTGGCTCCTGCTTTGCCTTCTGCCATGATTGTTACCTGAGGCCTCCCCAGAAGCAGAGGACATGGTGCCAGGCTTTCTGTACAGCCTGAAAAACTGTGAGCCAATTACACCTCTTTTCTTTATAAATTACCCTATCTCAGGTATTTCTTTATAGAAGTGCAAGAAGAGACTAACACTAGAAATAATAAAAGTAATGAAAATAGCAGCAAGAATAGCAGACACTTAATAAGTGCTTACTATGTACCCAGCACTGTGATAAGCCCTTTGTATACCTTATTCCACTTATTCTTCACAATCATCCTATGAGATAAGAGAGATATTATCCTATATGAGGAAACTGATGTTTGTAAAGGTTAAGTAACTTACAAGGTCACTCAGGTAGTGACTGAATGAGCCAGAATGTGAATCCCATTCTGTCAGGTTTAAAGTCCCTTGTGGTAACCACTATGGCATTCCTACAGGGTGTGAATCAGTTAGTTTTTCCATCAATCCATTGTTTCCTTGATAAAAACATGTCCAAGATGAATTACTAGTGACTGCGCTAGGACTAGGGCCTGGGTCCTGTGATTCTGATGTGGGTACTCCCCACTGCCACACTCTTATTATAAATTTATCATTAATGCTATTTCGGCCACATTTGCAGGTGCATGCTGGTGGGCTTCATTGGGACCAAGAGTTTCACTCTTGTTGCCCAGGCTGGAGTGCAATGGCGCGATCTCCGCCTCCCAGGTTCAAGTGCTTCTCCTGCCTCATCCTTCCGAGTAGCTGGGATTACAGGCATGCGCCACCATGCCCGGCTAATTTTGTATTTTTAGTAGAGACAGGGTTTCTCCATGTTAGTCAGGCGGTCTCAAACTCCTGACCTCAGGTGATCCACCCGCCTCAGCCTCCCAAAGTGCTGGGATTAGAGGCGTGAGCCACCGTGCCAGATCAAAGTGGGGAATTTTTAAAAACAGAGAAATTACAAAAATGAAAACAGACATTGACAGAAGAGAAGTTAGAAGTAAGTAAGCAATTTGCAATTTTGAAGCGACCCAGCAAGAAAGGCAGGCGAAGTAGAGAAACAAAAAGCAAAACCCACGGTGGGCCTAAAAGCAAACTTCCTTTCTCTTTGTAACTGACGTTGGGTGCAGAGCTGAACTCTACAGTCCAGAGGCCATCTGAGGCCATCAATCCAAGCCCTGCACTGCTGCCATGACCAGTGGGACTGACACATGTGGGACAATGGCAGAATGCAGCCTGAGAAACGAGGGGTTCCTGTCTCAGCAAGGGCTGCATTTCCTCTGCTTTCTTTTCACAAAGCTGCTACTCACATCAAAGTGGGTCCCTGTGACCCACGATGCCCACAGCCTAAACTCAGAGCCCTCTCTCCCATCTCAGTCTCAGGCCTTTTTTGCAGTTGTTTCAACCACTTATCTTTAGGGACTAGATCTTATGCCCAAATTTATAGATAATTTCTATGTTTATTAGGGTGTGCGTTATTTTCTGGTTTAATGTGTATAGCCAGTTGGCGCCAGCTGATGTTTTCCCCTCTTAATATCACATCCTCAAGCACTTGAAAAACAAAAAAAGGAGAAATTATTTTTAAAAATGCATATGCACACAAACATATATATGTATACACTGAATATGAATATATTGAATATAAAGATATTATGTAGGCATACTTACATACACATGTGCATGCATATATACCCACATAAGGCTTCTGTATTCAAATTTCTAGGAAATAATAACAGAGCATTGCAGGGTGCTTTTTAATAAGCCCAGATTCCCTCCTTCGTTTCCATTTTTATTTTTTTAAAGAACACATCTCACAAAAGATGCATTTCTGAGCTCTCTAAATGATTAACAAGGACTGCTCTTAGATGAACCCTTCTCTTGGTTTTTAATTTCAGTTAACTTTTACATATAGAATCACTTGTTTCTGCAGGCTTTATCCAAAGAATTTTTTCAATACAATTTTTCCCCATGCAGCTTTTGATTGTTCTAACCCCAAATTGTGTTTAGTACATTGATATGCTCAGGGGGTTGGGTTTTTGGCTTACACGGTTCTCTCTTCCTGGGCTGACAGTGGGTGGTCTCTCAGCCATGTCTGGTTTTTAGGTATCACCAACAGCTCTGTTTTATGTTTTTCACACAGTTCCCTTTTCCACCTTAGTTTAGGGATGGAGATATTCTCCCTTGCTCTTTCTTTTTTAGTGGCTTGCTATTTTTCATGGGGGAGGGCACTTAAACACTGTCACCCAGGGTATCAAATCTGTGTATACATGAGCAGACAAGATGGTGAGTGATGTGACTTCTTCAGTCTTATTTAAAAAATTAATTTCTATTTTCCCTGCCCTGAAGTTGGAGGACAGAAGTGTTGATATGCTTTAATCTTTACTTAGACAATTTATTTAACAAGTACTTACATTGTGCTTATCATGTATCAGGTACTAGTGCTCAGTGATTTCCAAATATTGACTGATTCAATCACAAGAGCAACCTTCTGAGGATGGTGTTAGAACTCTTCATATTTTGTAGATGAGGAAATGGTGGCATGGAGAGGTAAGTAACTAGCACAAAGCCACACATCTGGTAGGTGGGGCTGGGGGGTTGGGGCAAGGATTCAAATCTAGACAATCAGGGTCAGGATCCAATGAATACATTAGAAAAAATAACGGGGCACTGATTTCCCACTTTAAGTCTTCCTTAATGGGTCAGTTCCTTGTTCCCAGGACCGACACTGATTTTGTTTCTGTTCACGTCAGATTCAGATTGCTTTTTGTTTTTTTTAAAAGTATTATATTAACAGTACTTCAACTCATAGGAAATGAGTCCTATTAACCTGCTCAGGTATTTTATTTGGATCTTTCTCTGTTTTAGGCAGTCAGATGGGCTGAGTTCATGGTTCTGGGAAGTCTGATGGCATTTGCACCTCTTTTCACCAAGTTATTCCCATCACCTCCCTCTGGTAGCATTTCAAGAGTTTTTCATCAACATGTAAGGGCTGATTTATGTTTTGAAAGCCACACCTTTTTCAACAAAACACACACAGATGCCATACAGAAATAGAAAGTGACCTTTACCCATGAAAAGAATTTTGATGAATTGCAGGAAGTAATATACTGTGCAAGGAAAATAGTCTTTTGATCTTTTTTTTTTTTTAATGTAAATCAGTTCCCATGAAGAACAGTCTGAGTCTAATGAGGTTCTTTAAGTGGAGAGTACAAAGACCACCAGAGTATTAGAGAATAATTTCACTGTGTTGGTGTCCAATCTACTCCTACTAATGGGTGTATATACTGGGGAGGAAGGAGGAAGTTGGGGGCTATTAGAGGGAATGACCAAAAGCATTTGGAGTAGTCAATCAATATTGCTTGGTTGTTGAACATGGGCTGGACTCTCTATAGCAATGTTTTCAAACTATGGACTGGGACTCATTAGTGGACTCTGAGACCATTGTTGAAAGAAATAGGAAAATTTAAAAAATAGAGGTGAATAAAAAAACATCAGAGTGTATGACACAGCATAAGGATAGACAGTGTTTTGTGAGATTTTTCTAAAGATATGTGTTTACAGAATGTCCATACTAAGTTGCAATGTAAAATGTACTTCTTACTGTGTATCATGTTCAAAAACAGTTTGAAAAACACTACTAAATAGAACCAACTCTAGGCATTCTTTCTGCCTTCTGAGAACTTAAACTACACGGCAAAAATGACAATTCTTAAGGTTTTTAAAATGTTAGGGAAAATTTTTCCAGGTGATTTGGAGAGTAGGAGTGAGGAGGTTGTCTCGGGAGTACCAGGAGGGGGCTATTGCAATAAGAACAAATGACTCTACGCTTTTTGTTAATGAAGGTGAATTTTTGAGATAAAGTCAAAGAATCCTGAAGGCAAAACTCAGAGTCTAAGAGATATGAAGTGGTGGTGGTTCCAACTTCATGGGCTGGGAGGAGAGGCCCAGGAATCTGCATTTTAAATGAGCCTCCCATAGTATCCTTTTGCCTACTACAATGTGGGAACCACTGATACAGGGCTTTTTTTTTCTTTTTTTTTCTTTTTTTTTTTTTTAGCAGATTAACTCCTACCATGTGTACAAATGTGAATGTCTTCTGTTTTATTCACTGAAACATAACATTGATCCTAATTCTTCTTCTTCTTCTTCTTCTTCTTCTTTTAAATAAAGAAATGGAGTCTTACTAGGTTCAAGCGATCCTCCTGCCTTGGCCTCCCAAAGTGCTGGGATTACAGGTGTGCACCACTGTGCTTGGCCACATTGATTATAACTGATGCTTTAAGATAAAGATTGATTTTACAGTTATCATGATGTAGCTCCAGTAAAAAGGACATAAGATTTTTATACTTCTCAGAAGGGAGGCTGATCCAGTGGAAGCCCTCCATCCACCTGAGTAAACAGAAACTCATAGAGGCTAAAAGAGTTGCCTAGGGTCACACATCTGAGGCAAGAAGGCAGCTGTCCCCACCCCTGTCCTGGGCCCTTTCTCCCACGGATCGTCTCCCATAACACACCAAGGCATGGAGCGTTTGGTCTTGACTGCAGGAAGGACTGATAGAGTTGTACACAGGGACTTTGGTTCTCCATTTGTGAGCCTATTCCCAGCTCTTAGGGACATTTTTACTTCCCTTGTCAGATGGGACACAGCCACACTTTCTAGGGGACTCTAGCACAAGTTCCAAGAGGTAGCCAGCCAGGAAAGCACTGACTATCCCCAGGCCTGGGCTCCTGCCAGCTGTCTCCCGCACTAGTCTGACCCTATTACGGGTGCTGAATCCTTTGAAGCCAAACTGACTTTTTAAACGCTGACTTCCTGAAGTGAGGAATAATTATTTTCATATGTGAACCTGGAGAAATGTAGATAATGATGGCAATGAACAAATGCAGGTTAAAAAACAAAATTTTTTCACTGCCAAAAGAATTCTTTCAAGATTCTCTCATATTTTCCATGCATTCACACAGCAAAAGAACTTAAGGCAAGGCAAGTTAACTAAGCTAGAAGAAACAACACTTCAGATGTGCTAAAATACAACGTGGATCCCAAATCTGGTAATATGCAATACCTAAGAGTACTGAGCTTCCCTCTCAGGTCTCCTGGAATCTACGTTATGACCTTATAAGTTAAAGAGGTTTTTTTTGTTTGTTTGTTTGTTTGTGTGTGTGTGTGTGTGTGTGTGTGTGTGTGTGTATTATCTTTTACTGGGCTCAGAGGTGACTATTTAATGATTGTACCTACACAAATGGTAGAGATATTTGTGCTTATCTGATTAATTTAGAATTGTCCAGCAATTCATGGCAAATGATTCTCCAAGATCTGATTTGCCTCAACTGACTTTGGTCAAATAAACACAATCACTATCAGTTCTCCCTTGTATAATGTGATATATGGGCAGAGCTAGAAGTTATCCTATCCACATATATCCTAAGAGGATATTATCTGGAAAGTTATTTGTTGCTTTAGTTTAGATTTGCTCCACTTGGTTCTGTTCTGCTCACCCTATGGGGTACCCATAGTTGTAGACTATAAATAATAAGATTTATTTTTCTATAGCTTTTCCCTGTAGTGAAGGACTCTAACTGAAATCCACTTTTCTTCTATTCTAATAACTTTATATGTCACTCCTTACTTTGCAACACACACACACACACACACAGACACACACGTACTAAGTTCAAGATAGTGAGTCTGTGGTTGAAACAGGTTTCATTCTCAAGATTTAGTCATAGAGCTTTTCAGGCGACCTATTATAGTATTTATAGTAGTTGCAAGAAATGCCTCAAGGATGAGACAGGTCACAAAAAGGAGTAGAGAAAGCAGGAGGAGAAAGCAATGAATAGTGGGGCCACAGGGTCTGACAGCAATGCTGTCCTATTGAACTCTCTGTGATGATGGGCGTAGTCTAGACCTGTGCCGTCCAGTGTGGTAGACACTAATTACATGTAACTACTGAATGCTTGAAGTGTGGCTACTGTAATGGAGGAACTGGATTTTAAATTTAATTTTAATTTAAAGAGCCAGCTATGCTACTGGCTCTCCCATGGGACAGCTTGGGAGAGAACTTTTGCTCTTTGACTCCAGCCCACTGTTGCCATGTATGATTGCCGGCTCAGAGGTGCCAGGTCTTCTGATTTTTCTAGAGAAATTGGAAATCACTATTTTTATGGGAACTTCATAATTTTTAAAATACCAGACCCGTCAAATCTGACACGACCGTGGTTCAGTTTTGGCCAACAGGCATTGCTAATCAGTGTAGGTCCATTCTCCTCACCCTATCGCCTCTTGTATCCTGTTCCTTATCCCCTACCGGCAGAACGTTTTCTCCATCCACCTTCATCGGCCATTTGCAACTTAGCCCCTCTGCTGCTGCTCCTCCGCCGTCACACACCACACTCTATTGTCAACATTGCTGACTTGTTTCCTGCCTTCTCATCGTCATTCCCATCTCTCTCACCCCAGGGAAGCAATTCCAATTTCTCCAGCTGTGTTCCCAGCATCAAGAACAGTGCCCAGTGAAGGGTGAGGAAAAGCCACATTGGAACAACATGGAGGCAGAAGGTCAGGGAGAAGGCAGAGTGGGGATGGGGAGGACACTTGCCCCTTGGCTAAATCCTCCTCTTCCTTCAGACTCAAAGAACGCTTTCTCAGAGAGCT
Source organism: Homo sapiens (assembly GCF_000001405.40). Taxonomy (NCBI): domain Eukaryota; kingdom Metazoa; phylum Chordata; class Mammalia; order Primates; family Hominidae; genus Homo; species Homo sapiens. The sequence continues at coordinate 38,410,400 of NC_000004.12, read as the reverse complement.
CTTCCTTGTCCCTCAACTAAATTTTCCCACTTTTATTATTCTCCCAGAAAACACTATTTTTTTCCATCATAATACATAACAATTGGTAATTACAAGTTTATTGGGCTCCCTTCTTGCTTATTGTCTGTTTCTCCAACTGAATTGTAAACTTCAAGGGGGCAAGAGTCTGTTCTGTGCTCCATTCAAAATCCCAAACAATGCTTGTAGGTGCTCAATACATATTTATTAAACAAACGAATGAATGCTAAAGTAAGCCTAGTAATTTCCATGGGCTGTGATTGCAGATCCCTGCTCTAAGCAGAAGTTTTGTTCACGCCACTCACCCTTTCCCCCAGTCTCCTGCCAGAGTATTCCCACAGCTGTCAGGGAACTACTATGCCAGGTCAGAGTGACAGCTCTGATTGGTATTCCTGGGGACACCTGCCAACTGATATAAAAATATAAAAGTGTTTACTGGTTGACATAGGGTCTTAAAAAATGAGACCATAACCCCATATAGATGAAGATGGTTTTATCTCAATAATTCATTTTTTAATGAATTAATAATAATAATGGCCCTCATTTTTTGAACCAAGTACATGATGGTACCCAGTCTTTATGGAGCATGTACCACGTGCCCAACATTTAAAATCACTTCATGTATTATTTCATGTAAGCTTTGCAACAATGTAAAGAGCTATAAATGTCACGTGGCAGCTAAAACTGAGCTCAGATAAGTTGCATCTTTTGCTCAAGGTTTCACAAATGGTAAGTGGTCATGCAAGGTCAAGGCTCTCTGTCTGCCCTCAAAACCCATTGATACATTTCCTGCCATCCATTCTCAAATCTGCCCTGAGGAGGAGGAAGAGGTACACTCATTCCTAGGTGGGAGGGATGAGCAGTTCTCCCCTTTGTGAAGGTGAAGGAGGGAAGAGGTAAGAAAAGGAATATAGGTTAATTTCCTACTTTGTACGAGGCACATGTGACACTCATAGTCAGGAATTACAGTCTGTCTTTTTTTTAGGGGAGGAAGAAAAACCCCACAGGAATCGAATGACTGTTTCTAAGGAGCAGATCCAGGCCTTCCTACATTCCTCTTTCACATTTGGATTTACCCTAATGTGAATCCCTGTGCCCAGCTCAGGTCTCAGACACTTTAGGGACAGTCTGGGCCTGAACCTTCTAGTCCCTTTCATGCTTCCTTTGACAGGAGCACCCTGCAGCAATGTGGCTGCGTATTGAACTCTGCTTAGCAAAGTGACCAAAATATATTACAATTCTGACTCCATCTCTTAATTCTAGAGTAAATTCTTTGTTGTATCTCAAGGAAAGTTGCTATTATCCAAACATGTCCCAGAATATACAACTTTGGTAATGCTTTTGTTTCTCAGAAACCATGGAGGTGAGACAAGTACTGTTAGTTACAGGGAACAAATCCTATTTGCTTTGCACCTATTATGTCCCTTAAAGTATGGACATTTTACATTTACATCATATCTTTCCTCTCTTTCTCTTTCCTCCCTCCCTCCTTTTCTTCCTCCCTCCTTTCTTTCCTCCCTTCTTCCCTTCCTTTCATCCTTCCTCTTTCTCTCTTTTTTTAAAAAGATATTATTAAAAGTTAGATATTGTTTGCAGAATATTTAACTTTGAACTGTCTTGACTTATTGAAAATAGTTATTATTAAATTATTGATTTGACCATGTACTGTTAGAACTTTTGACAAGGGCTCTGGCTGAAGTTGATTCTAGATGCACTTCTTTCTTTCTTTCTTTCTTCTTTTTTTTTTTAGACAGAGTCTCACTCTGTCACCCAGGCTGGAGTGCAGTGGCGAGGTCTCGTCTCACTGCAACTCCACCTCCCAGGTTCAAGCGATTCTCCTGCCTCAGCCTCCCGAGTAGCTGGGATTACAGGTGCCTGCCACCATGCGCAGCTAATTTTTGTATATTTATTAGAGATGGGGTTTCACCATCTTGGCCAGGCTGGTCTTAAACTCCTGACCTCGTGATCCATCTGCCTCAGCCTCCCAAAGTGCTGGGATTACAGGCGTGAGCCACTGTGCATGGCTGCACTTATTTCTTAATAAAGCCACTTGGCCTGCAGTCTAAGGTGGAGTTCTTAATGAGTCCCAAAATCATTCCAAAGAGTTTCTTCTCAATAATTTAACTTTTCAATGTTTCCTTAGAAAGTTCAATTCTCAGATGGGATATCTTATCTTTCTGCTCAAATATTTCTCTGTGATTTCAGAAGGAACTCAAACCATGCAAGAGAAACAGCAGGAAGAACAGATCACCCAGATCTGTTCATCTCAAGCTATTCCTACTATACCTTGTCCCCAACCCCCCATCTATCTCCCAAGCTTGATTTCTTCGCTGTGTTTCACCCAAGAGACAGATAATCAGCCGGTGAGCTTTCAGTCCTTTAGGCTTAACCTGGAAGCAAGGGACTACCTGCCCCTGAGTTGGTAGCTAGCAAGAGAGATGAAAAGGGAAATAATGTCTATTTTATAAAACATTCACACCCCAGTTCACATGAATACTAATCAAAGCATGCACAAATTCATAGCACATCATGTTTGAGAAAAAGATGTGAGTTATAATAGATCCCATTTCCATAATTCTAACATGCTGTAATTTCCATCTGATGAAATGTGACTATAAAATTAAAAGTGCCATTTTATGTGAGAACGTTCTAAACCTAGGCTAAAACCGGAGGAAGATATCTTTTAGAGTTTTGAAAAGAGGGTAGAAATATGGCAGAAATATGAGATACTCTCTAAAATGTATCAAAAATTTAGATGATATAGTAAGAAAAGAAACCAAAACTTTTCATGATCACAAAGAGAAAAAAAGTCTTTAAAGATGTTACCATGTCACTAACTCTTGGAATAGTGCCTGGCATATAGTAGGACCTCAATATATACTCAGTGAATGAATTTGTTGAGCACAAGTTGGGGAAGAAGGCGGAAGGGAAAGGACAGAGGTCTGAGAACCAGACTTTCTGAGAATCAACAGGAAAGGTCTTTTCGGGAACTGAAGAGGATATGAGAGTTGGACTTCAGAAGTAAGGTGGATGTATTAGTTTATCAGGGCTGCCATAATAAAATACTCTGCTACAAATTGGACGGCTTCAAAAAACAGAAATATATTGCCTTATACTTCTGGAGGCTACAAATAAAAAAATCAAGCAGGGCTACGCTCCTTCTGAAACCTATAGGGGAATCCTTCCTTGCCTCTTGCTAGCTTCTGGTAGTTTGCCGGCAATCTTTGGCATTCGTGGGCTTACATCTGCATAACTCCAATCTCTGCCCTTATCGTAACATGATGTTCTCCCTGTAGACAGAGGTCTTCAGATGCCATCTTCATGTAAGGACAGTAGTCATGTTGGATTAGGGGCCTGCTCTACTCGAGTATGACTTCATCTTAATTAAATACATCTGCAGCAACACTATTTTCAATCCAGGCCACAATCTAAGGTACTGCAGGTTAGGACTTCCGTGTATCTTGAACTATCTTTTTGCAGGCAACATAATTCAACTTATAATAGTGGGCATTAAAAAGTCAAAATGAGACCCACATTAGGATGGCTATTATTTTTTTAAAAAGAGAATAACAAACAATGGCAAGGATGTGAAGAAATTGGGAATTTCTTCCCAATTTCCTTGTGCATTGCCGGTGGGAATGTAAAATGTTGCAGCCACTGTGGAAAATAGAATGGAAGTTCCTCAAAAAATTCATTGTAGGGCTGGGCACAGTTGCTCACAACTGTAATCCAAGCACTTTGGGAGGCTGAGGCGAGAGGACTGCTTGAGGCCAGGAGTTTCAGACCAGTCTGGGCAACACAGCAAGACCTGTCTCTAAAACCTGTGCCCTTCGGCTGGGTGTGGGTTCTCTGATTGAAAGTTGGACCACATGACTTTCAAGATCACTTTTGATTCTTGGAGATTCTATCATTTTAGGGAACTTATCCAAGGCTACACACACTAGGCCCAAACTGGGTGTATTGTGGTTCATGGAAAGAGCCCAGGACTTACATCAGAGCCCTGGTTTGGGTCCATGCAGCAGTTTCTCTGCCTTTAATAACCCTGTGTTTCTAACTGTGAAAGTACGCTAACAATTCTTAACTTCTCAGGGATTGTGGGACACAATGATATATATGAAAGCAATTTTCTACCAACTCAGGAAGCTATTTATTAGACCTTATTTGGAACTATTCATAATTCACCTCAAAAGTTCAGGACATCTAGTAATATATAGCAAGGACAGCAATCTTACTTTACTGAGTGGCTGTAAAGGTAAAATACATATAAATTATATGGTGAGAAACACAGGCAAGCCCTAGCCCTCCACCAGAACCCAAATCTCACATTAGAGGGCTTAGGCATCCTCACAGGTTTCTAGCTTCATTCTACTTGTATGCCATGGATCTATAATTATTCTTTACAGTATATGGCCCAATAATACTTTTTTGTTTTGCAAGAATAGAACAATGAATTTTCTTCCTAAATGAGTTTTGAGTGAGCAGTCAACACAATGCCTCATCATGTTCATCTTCAGTGTCTGAGAGTGATTTTCTAAGAGCCAACTACATGATCCTACATAATCACAACACAGCCTAAAAGTCAGAAAATTAACATTGATGTGTCACTACCGTCTAATCCTCAGGCCCACTCAGGGCTTGCCAGTTGTCTCAATAATGGCCTTTATAGCAAAAGAATTCAGCCCAGGATCACATGTTATATTTAGTTGTCAAGTCTCTTTAGTCTTCTTCCATTTGGAACGATTCCAAGGTCTTTCCTTAACTTTCACGACCTTAATACATTTAAACTTTGAAATAGGACAAATCCAGCCTGGTCACTCATCTTTGGAAATAAAATTTTATTGGAACACAGTCATGTCCATTCATTTACACGTGGCTGCTTTTGTGGTACAACAGCAGAACTGAGTAGTTGCAACAGACACTGTAAGGCCCTCAAAGCCTACAATATTTACTATAGGGACCTTTACAGAAAATGTATGTCAGAAATGAAAGGCATAAATGTTGGAAAGGAAGAAGACTGGCTTTAATTTGTTTTCTTGCTTAAGTCCTAGGAATCTATAAAATAACTATTAGAACTCGTAAATAAATTTAGAAAAGTTGGAGGGTATAAAACCAGTATTTAAAATATCTATTTCATTTTTGTATGTATTAGCAACAAACATTTGGAAAGTAATATTTTAAAAATATCATTAAAATTGCATTAGAAAACATAAAATACTTAGAAATAAATTAATGAACAATGTACAGTACCTCTACACTCAAAACTAAAGAACATTGCTGGAAGAAATTAAGGGAGAGCTACATAAAGAGACACATCATGTTCATCTATTTGTCAAAATAGATATCAATTTTTCCCAAATTTATTACAGACTTCATGCCATCCCAGTGAAAATTCCAGCAAGACTTTTAAAAAAAACACTAACAAGCTAATTCTAAGATTTATATGAAAATGCAAAGCAGTCAGGCATAGAGGTGTGCACCTCTAGTCCCAGCTACTTGGGATGCTGAAGTAGTAAGATTGCTTGAGCCCAGGAGTTTGATGCTGCAGTGTGCTGTGATAGTACCACTGCACTCCAGCCTAGGTGTCAGAGCCAAATCATCTTCAAAAAAAGAAGAAAGAAAGAAAAATAAGGAAGAAAAAAGAGAGAAAGAAAGAAAAAAAGGAGAGAGAGAGAAAGAGAGAGAGAAGGAAAGAAGAAAGAAAGAGAGAAAAAGAGAGAAAGAAGGAAAGAAAGAAAAAGAGAGAAAGAAAGAAAAGGAAGGAAGGAAGGAAGGAAGGGAGGGAGGGAGGGATGTAGGGCAGCCAAAACTATCTTGAAAAAGAAAAGCCAAGTCAGATGTCTTACACTACATGATTTCCAGACTGTGGTAGCCAGCCTACAAGATGGCCCCAATGACTGATCCCCACTTCCTGATATTCACATCCTTGTTTAGTGCCTTTCCACACTGCATCAGGGTTGGTCTGTGTGAACAACAGAATATGGCAGAAGTGGTGGTATGTTGCTTCTGAGATTAAGTTATAAAAGACATGGTGACATCCATCTTAGTGTCTCTTTCTTTCTCTCATTCTCCCTTTCTGGCCACTTGTTCTGAGGAAAGCCACATGCTCCGTCACAAATAGCCCTGTGGACTGCGGAGAGGCCCATATGATGAGGAACTAAAGCCCCTGAACAATAGCCGGCAAAGAATTGAGTCCTCTCCCAACAGCTACATTGGAGGGCTTGAAAGCACACCCTCCAGTTTCAGTCCAACGTTCAGATGACCGCAACTCTGGGCAATAGCTTCACTGCAACCTCATGAGACCCTATGAGAGAACTACCCAGCTTGGCTGCTCTCAAATTCCCAACCCTGAAGAATGGTGTGAAATGATAAGTGTTTGCTGTATTGCACTTTTGAGGATAATTTGTTACGTAGCAAATAGATATATTTGCTATAGACAATGAATATAAAGATTTACTTTTAACCTACAGTAGTCAAGACGGTGTTGTATTGAGGTAAGGCTTGGCAAGTAGATCAATGGAACACAAAAGAGTCCAGAAATAGATATCACACACATATACTCAATTGATTTTTGACAAAGGCATCAATATAACTCAATGAGGAAAGAATTGTCTTTCCAAAAAATGACTTTAGAAGACAAATGGTCTTCACGATAAAACAGAAAGAATATTTTGAAGTAAGCAAAGGTTTCTTAGGATAATAAAGGCACTGTGATGGTTAATTTGGGGTCAACTTGACTGGACCATGGGGTACCCAGATATTTGGCCAAACATTATTCTGGTGTGTCTGTGAGGGTGTTTTGGATTAGATTAACATTTGAATGGGTAGACTGAGTAGAGCATACTGTCCACTCCTTGTGATGCCTTTCATGCAGTCGATCGAAGACCCGAATAAAACAAAAAGACTGAGTAAGAGGGAAGTTTTTTGACTTAACTGCTTGAGTTGGGACTGGTCATCTTTTGCCCTTGGACTAGAACATAATGCCATCAACTGTCCTGGTCTCCAGCTTCAAATCTTGGAACTTCTCAACCTCCACTAATAACATGAGCCAATCCCTTATATTAAATCTCTGCCTCTCTGGCTGTCTATATATGTGTATACACACACACACACACACACACACACACACATATGCGCATGCACACACACACACACAAATACATAAATACGCTATTGGTTTTGAGAACCTTAATACAGATACTGATCATAAAAGAAAATAAAATTGCCATATTGGATCTCATCAAAACTAAAAACTTCTACTTCTCAAAAGCACCATTAAAAAATGAAAAAGAAAACCACAGAACGAGAAAAACATTTACTTAACAGGAGATTTGTATCTAAAATATATAAGGAATTCCAATAACTTAATAGTTAAAAAGATAAAACATTGCATTAAAAAACAGAAAAAAGATTTGGACGGATACTTCATAAGACACAGAAACTGTCAGAAGCATTTGAAAAAGTGCTCAATGTAATTATTCATCATGAATATGCCAATCAGAACAACAATGAGAAATTATTTCACACTGATTAAAATGATTAAAAGTACGCACGCAATGTTCAAGCACCCAGACTGATAAAACAAGTACTTCTAGACCTACGAAAAGACAGTGGAGGACCTCAACACTCCATGGAAAGCATTAGACAGATCATCAACACAGAAAACTAACAAAGAAATTCTGGACTTAAATTCAACACTTGACTTAAATTCGACACTTGACTAATTGGGCATAATAGACATCTACAGAATACACCACCCATCAATCACAGAATATATATTCTTCTCATCTGCACGTGGAACATACTCTAAGATCCACCATATGCTTGACCATAAAGCAAGTCTCAATAAATAAAAAAAATCAAAATTATACCAAGCATACTCTCCAACCACAGTAGAATAAAAATATAAATCAATACCCAGATTTCTCAAAAACCACACAATTACATGGAAATTAAACAACTTGCTCCTGAGTTACTTCTGGGTAAACAACAAAATTAAGGCAGAAATAAAAAATTATTGAAATAAATTAAAAAAGAAACACAACATATCAAAATCTCTGGGATGCAGCAAAAGCAGTGTTAGGAGGAAAATTTATAGGGCTAAATGCCTACACCAAGAAGTTAGAAAGATCTCAAATTAACAACCTAACATCACACCTGGAACTAGAAAGGAGGAACAAACTACCCCAAAGCCAACAGAAAGAAAGAAAGAAGTAAAACCAGAGAACATTGAGACCCAAAATGTCATAAAAATAATCAATGAAACCAAAAGTTATTTCTTGGAAAGGATAAACAAGATTGACAGACTGCTAGCTAGATTAACAAAGAAAAAAAAAGAGAGAAGATCCAAATAAGCACAATCAGAAATGACAAAGGTGACATACAATTGACCACACAGAAATACAAAAGATCTTCAGAGACTACTATGAACATCTCTATGCACGCAAACTAGAAAATCTAGAGGAAATTGATACATTCTTGGAAACACACTCTCCCAAAATTGAACCAAGAAGAAATTGAAACCCTAAACAGACCTGTATCAAGTTCCAAAACTGAATCTGTAATAATAATAATAAAAACTTACCCACCAAAAAAAGCCTCAGATGAGAGAGACTCACAGTAGAATTCTTCCAGACGTACAAAGAACTGCTGGTAGCAATTCTACTGAAATTATTCCAATAAATCAAGGAGGGACTCCTCCCTAACTCATTCTATGAAGCCAGCGTCATTCTGCTACCAAAACCTAGAAGAGACACAATGAAAAAAAGAAAACTACAGGCCAATATCCCTGATGAACCTAGTTGTGAAAATCCTCAACAAAATACTAGCAAACCAAACCCAACAGCACATTAAAAAGTTAATTCACTGGCCAGGAACGGTGGCTCAGGCCTGTAATCCCAGCACTTTGGGAGGCCAAGGTGGGCGGATCACGAGGTCAGGAGATAGAGACCATCCTGGCTAACACGGTGAAACCCCATCTCTACTAAAAATACAAAACATTAGCTGGGCTTGGTGGTGGGCGCCTGTAGTCCCTGCTACTCGGGAGGCAGGAGAATGGCATGAACCCAGGAGGCAGAGCTTGCAATGAGCCAAGATCACGCCACTGCACTCCATCCTGGGTGACAGAGCAAGACTCTGTCTCAAAACAAAAAGTTAATTCACCATGATGAAGTAGGCTGCATTCCTGAGATGCAAGGTTGATTCAACGAACACAAATAACTGTGATTCACCACATAAACAGAATTTTAAAAACAAAAACCACATGATCATGTCAGTAGATGTGGATAAAGTTTCTGAAAAAATTCAACATCCCTTCATGATAAAAGAAAACATCAAGAAACCAGGCACAAGAGGAACATACCTCAAAATAAGAGCCATTGATGACAAACTCACAGTCAACATCACACTGAATGGGAAAACTGAAAGCATTCCCCTTGAGAACTGGCACACGACAAGAATGCCCACTCTCACCACTCCTATTCAACATAGCACTGTAAGTCTTAGCCGGAGTAGTCAGTGAAGAGAGAGAGATAAAAAGCATTCAAATAGGAAAAGAAGAAGTCAAATGATTTCTCATCATGGACGATATGATTCTATACCTAGAAAACCCTGAAGTCTTCACCAAAAAGCTCCTGGACCAATGATAACATGCCAATAATATTCAAGCTGAGAGCCCAATCAAGAATTCAATCCCATTTACAATAGCCACAATGAAATAAAATACCTAGGAATACATCTACCCAAGGAGGTGAGAGATCCCTTCCAGGAGAACTACAAACCACTACCAAAAGAAATCATAGATGACGCAAACAAATGGAAGACACTCCATGCCCATGAGTTGGAAAAATCAATATTGTTAGAATGGTCATACTGCCCAAAGCCATCTACGGAATCAACACTATTCCTTTCAAGCTACCAATGTCATTTTTCACAGAATTAGAAAAAAACTATTCTGAAATTCATATGGAACAACAACAACAACAAAGGCCCGAATAGCCAAAGCAATTCTAAGCAAAAAGAACAAAGCTGGAGGTATCACATTACCCAATTTCAAACTATTCTATAAGACTACAGTAACCAAAACAGTATGGTACTGGTACAAAAACAGACATACAGACCAATGGAACGGAATAGCGAGCCCAGAAATAAAGCTGCAGATCTATAGCCATCTGATCTTTGGCAAAGCTGACGAAAAAAAATCAATGGGGAAAGGACTTCCTATTCAATAAATTGTGCTGAGATAGCTGTCTAGCCATATGCAGAAGACTGAAACTAGACCCCTGCCATTGATCATATATAAAAATTAACTTGAAATAGATTTGGATGTAAGACCTCAAACCATAAGAATCCTAGAAGAAAACCTTGGAAATACCATTCTGAACATTGACCTTGGGAAAGTATTTTTGACTAAGTCCTCAAGAGCAGGGGTCCCCAACCTTTTTGACATCAGGGACTGGTTTTGTGGAAGACAATTTTCCATGATGGTGGGGCAGGCCGGGGGTGCTTTCAGGACAAAACTGTTCCACTCAGATCATCAGGCATTAGATTCTCACAAGGAGCAGGCAACCTAGATCCCTCTCATGTGCAGTTCACAATAGGGCTCACATTCCTATGAGAACCTAATGCCACTGCTGATCTAACAGGAGGTGGAGCTCAGGTGGTAATCCTCTCTTGCACCTCCCCTCCTGCTGTGCGGCCAGGTTCCTAACAGGCCACAGACTAGTACCAGTCCACAGCCCAGGGCTTGGGGAACTCTGCCCAAAAGCAATTTCAACAAAAACAAAAATTCACACTATGGAATACTATGCAGCCATGATAAAAAGAATGAAATAATGTCCTTTGCAGCAACATGGATGCAGCTGGAGGCTATTATCCTAAATAAAGTAACGCAGAAACGGAAAACCAAATATTGCATGTTCTCACTTACAAGGGTTAAACACTGGGTCCTCATGGACATAAAAATAGCAACAAGAGAAACTGGGGATTACTAGAGTTGGGAGAGAAGGAGGCGGACAAGGTTGACAAGTTAACTATTGGGTACTATGCTGAGTACTCATGTGATGGGGTCAATTGTACCCAAACTCCGGCATCACACAATATATCCAGTAACAAAACTGCACATGTACCCCCTGGATCTTAAAGAAAAGTTAAAATTAATGAAAAAAAATGGTTAAAAGTAAAATACCTAATACCAAGTGAGGATGTAGAACAACTGGAAACTTCACACATTATTGGTAAGAGTATAAAATGTTACAACTCACTTTGGCAAAAGTTCTGGTAGTTTCTTATAAACCTAAACATACACCTCACTATAATTCATCAACTCTACTCCTAGGTTTTTACCTAAGAGAGATAAAAGGCATATATCCACAAAAAGATTTGCATAATAACATTTATAACAACTTTAGCATAATAAACAGAACCTGGATATAAGACACATACCCATCAATAATTGAATAGATAAACAAATTGCAATATATTCATACAAGGGAATACTACTCAGCAAAAAAATAAAAATAAGAAGAAGCAAACAAACCAAAATCCCCAAAACATACTATTAATATATGCAGCAAAATGAATGAATCTCAATAATATTATGTTGCAACAAAAAAGCCAGACACCAAAGAGTATATACAGTATATACTATGATAAGACATTATCTCATGGCTATTACCAAAAGACAAAAGATAAGCATTGGTAAGAATATGGAGAAAAGGGAACTCTTGCACACTGTTGGTGGGAAATTGGTACAGCCATTATGCAAAACAGTATGCAGATTTCTCAAAAAATTAAAAATAGAACTACCATATGATTTTGCAATCTTACTTCTGGGTACTGATCCAAAGAAAATGAATGCATGAAAATGAATGAATGAATGAATGAATAGAGATATCTGCACCCCAGTGTTCATTGCAGCATTATTTACAATAGTCAAAAGATGTAATCAACCTAATTGTCTGCTGATGGGTGAATGGATAAAGAAAATGTAGTATACATAATGGAGTGTTACTCCATCTTTAAAAAGAAGGAAAAGAAGAAAATTCTGCCATTAGGGATAACATGGATGAACCTGGAAGAGATTCTTAGAGGTTAAGGAGAGTGTAGAAAGAGAGCAGCCCAGCTGGGCGTGGTGGCTCAGGCCTGTGATCCCAGCACTTTGGGAGGCCGAGGCAGGCAGATTACTTGAGGTCAGGAGTTCAAGACCACCCTGGCCAACATGGTAAAACCCCGTCTCTACTAAATATACAAAAATTAGCAGGGTGTGATGACTCGTGCCTGTAGTCCCAGCTACCTGGGAGGCTGTGACAGGAGAATAACTTGAACCCGGGAGGCAGAGGTTGTAGTGAGCCAAGATTGTGCCACTGCACTCCAGCCTGGGTGCTAGGGCGAGACTCCATCTCAAAAAAAAAAAAAAAAAAAGAAAAGAAAAGAAAAGAAAGAGAAAGAAAGAAAGCAGCCCAAATGGAAAAGAAACACAAATGAAAGAGAAAGTTGAAAGTTGAATGTTCACTTGGCATTGGATCTTACGCTGCCTTGGATCGTTTATGCTTCACCTACGTCTTCTCTTTATGATGAGATTCAAACTCTTAAAGGGTAGTGATGTGTCTCATAAACGTTTGCATTTCCCAAAGTTACCCACGCTGTCTGATATACAGACAGATAGAAATGAGAGGGAGCTGTGATTTAGCGTATTTTCCGCTGGATTTTACATGTCATGCCTAGAATGGCTGACTGTAAATTTCATGAGAACGAAGACTTCTATGTTTCCCATAGCCTAGCACAGCGCCTGGCACATAGAATAATAAATATTCATTGATTAACTGAAGGGTACACTAGAGAGAAAAATAAATGCTCTCTTCTCAAGGCCCTATTATCTCCCCCACCACCATCTCCTAGCAGTGGAAATGTTTAAATATGCTTTTTGTTGTTTTACAGCCTTTTGCATTTAAATTGGGCATGTCATTATCACGTTTCATTAGCTATTCCTCATACCAGCCCTGTGAGGTTGGCTCTGTTATCTGCATTTTACAGGCAAGGGCACTGAGAGGTGAAACAACTTGCCTGGGTTCAGATGACAAAGTGAGCTGCTGGAAGAAGTGGATTTCAGTGTACAACTTTGCCTTCCAGCCTGCTTGGCTGGTTCACAGAGGTCTGTGACTTTGAACATGATAACAAAATGTAGATTTTCTAATATTAGACTTTGAAAATCATTTTAATGACACTAATTCCAGAAAAGAGAATTGAGGTCAGATTTTAACTATTTGGCTTGATTGTTTTTTATGAGGAGATTTGTTAGATACTTTAACTGGACTGCCTAGACCCGAGGTCCTTGAAATGTTCACCGTGTCCAGAGATGTAGCACCGTTATTTCCTGCTCAACTGCACTGCCTCTCAGAAGTCCCTCTTTCTTCAGCAACCTTCCAGGAGAGCCCAACCATATAATGGAACCTGTAAACAATATTTAAATAGGAGTAAAATACTTTTATGAAGCTGGAAGGGATTCAGGGCTTATCTATTTAAGAAAAATGTACCATGGCCCATGAACTTCCTAAAATTCTATGTATAAACATGAGTGCAGATGCATATGGCTTTTCTTTTTCCTGAAAAGCTTAAGCTTTTGGACCATTCTTTTAAAAAGTGGTTATGTCCCTAACAGACTGGGAAATTGAAGCTCAGTGAGTTTAAGAAACTTGCCTTAAGCATCACACGGCAAGGCAAGAACGTGCTCAGTCCAGAACCTCAGCTCTCCCTTGTGACAGCAGAACTCTGGCCATTATCTTGATTCCTGGAACATGCATTTACCTTGAAGAATTACACCTATGGGCTCTTTAAGCCATTTACTTTATTCTAAAGAATAGGTTTCCCCAAAATGGTATCCCCTATCGAGATAAAACCGCTGGCACTCCCCTGGAGGACAATTGGCTGAGGTAGCTCTTTTTATTAAGGGAAAGGTTACCCATTATTATATATCTCATTATTAAGGGAAAGGTTACCCTTTCCCTTGATAGCAGAAGGGAGCAACCGCAGTTTCCAGAATTCCCATTTCTGATAACTCTGCCCAATGTGATTAACAATTCTATTATTGCATCACCCACTAACTCCCTATGTGATACCAGGTGATTCAATGAAGACAAGTGATTTTCGACCTTGGCAGCACTTTAGATTCACCCAGAAGAGCTTTTAAAGATCCCCATGCCCATGGCCAGACCACACCCTGGACCAATTAAATCCAAATCCCTGGAGGAAGGACTCAGGCAAGAGGGTTTTTTTGGTTGTTGTTTTTGTTTTTGTTTTAAAGATCCTCAAGTGACTCCAGTGTGCAGCCAAAGTTGAGAACCACTAATAGAAAGAAGTAAGAAAGGAAAGGAAATCATATTTCTAAGGCACCTATTACAAACCAGGTGCTTTACATGTGTTAGTTCATTTACTCCTCATTGACTCAGAGAGGCTGTATAACTTCTCCCAAATCACACAGCTGGAAAGTGGCAAGGTCCAGTTTTAAGTCCAGGTTATTATAATTCCTAAGGCATGCTTTTATCACAGGAACAGATGGTTTCTTGAAGGCTATTTGTAAAACATAGATTTAGTGAGGATTAAATGAGGTGCCACCCATTAAGCACTTGGCACATAGTCAGTGGACCTGAAGACTCTTTCTGTCTCCATCTCTCAGCCTATGCATTTTTCTTAAATGCTCCTCTTGACCCACGCTATGACATGACACCAAGACACTAAGGTCAGGGAGCTTCATGTTAACCCCAGCAGCTATGCAGTTATAACACCTTCTTTATACACAAACCATGTTATATCAGAATTTCTTTTTTTTTTTTTTGAGACAGTCTTGTTCTGTTGCCCAAGCTGGAGTGCAGTGGCACAAGCTCTGCTCACTGCAAGCTTCGCCTCCCAGGTTCATGCCATTCTCCTGCCTCAGCCTCCAGAGTAGCTGGGACTACAGGTGCCCACCACCACGGCCGGCTAATTTTTTTGTATTTTTAGTAGAGACGGGGTTTCACCGTGTTAGCAAGGATGGTCTCGATCTCCTGACCTCGTGATCCGCCCGTCTCAGCCTCCCAAAGTGCTGGGATTACAGGCGTGAGCCACCAAGCCCGGCCTATATTAGAATTTCATTGTATGGGGATGTTAAGTTTTAGGGGACATAAATTGATGGAATGTGTAACTGAAAATATGTCCTGCCTTATTACATGCATTTTATAGAAGCTCTTGGGTTTATATACGTTAATGTCCTGTAGTCATTACTTCCCTCTCTTGCGATTGTGGGATAAATGGAATTCTTCATTTAACTGATGGGAAAGTTAGCAACGGTGGCATGGCCCTGTTATGCAGTTGAAACCTGGTGTAAGGTTTCATCCATCCATCCATCCATCCATCCATCCATCCATCCATCCCTCCATCCATCCATCTATCCATGCATCCATGACCTTCACAGGATAAGGGCAGGGGGCTGTTCCCCACCAATTGTAAATATTTTCTGTCTCTTCCAGTCTATACGTGAGAGTCATAAACCATTAAATTTGTTTTTTTCTGAATTAGTGGTACTCAAACAGTAATGGATGGAGCAGGGTCCTCTTCAGGGTGAGACCTATTTTGGCATCTGAGGAGTGGAGGCAATGACTTTGTCCACCATGTCTCTCTGTGTTAACTAGTGCTGAAGGAATCACAGGCCAGGCATTGTCCTAGATGCTTTGTGGCAGGTGAGTCAGTATTCAAACCAGGCAGCCTGGATCCAGAGTATGGTCTCTATGTACAGTGCTAATCCTTGGGAGCCACAAGAGATCTGGGGGACTGTCACAGAGGGAGAACCTCAGAGAAGAAGGGCATAAGGCATGTGGCTGATCATGTCCATGCCCCTTTCCTTCTTTGTCCCCTGTTCCTCCAAATCACTGTTCACCAACCTCCTTCTGAGAAAGAAGGAACCACGAAGAGTTAGAGATAGTCTTCTCTGAAGAGAGGAGAGGAGAAGGACCAACAATCTCTCTCCTCTTCACACTTTATTCATTTCTTCAGCCTGCATTGAGAGCTGGCTATGTGTGTGACATGGTTTTCAACTCTTTGCACACATTAACTCAGAAAAGTGCAGTCACTTGCCTAAGGTTCACTGCTATGAGGGGTGAGCCTGGAGGGGACCCAGGCAGTCTGACCCTACAGTTGTGCTCTGAGCACAGGCTAATGCAGGCACCAAACCTTATCAAACTGATGACATGCAGTGCCAGGCTTCTGACTTCTGGTAGTTTCTATTCTTTTAAAGGAATTTTTGGTAGAGATTTTTGGTAGAATATAATAATTCATGTAAACTGAAATTAAATTTTTATCAGAGAAAGATCAGTGGCCTTATGTATTAGTCCATTCTCACATTGCTATAAAGAAATACCTAAGACTGCATAATTTATAAAGAAAAGAAGTTTAATTGGCTGATGATTCCACAGGCTGTACAGGAGGCATGTCAGCATCTGCCTCTGGGGAGGCCTCAGGGAGCTTTTACTCATGGCAGAAGTCAAAGGAGGAGCAGGAGTCTTACACAGTGGGAGCAGGACAGTGTGGGGGAGGCGCCACCCACTTTTAAACAACCAGATCTCATGAAAACTCACTTATTGTGCCATACCAAGGGGGGATGGTGCTAAATCGTTCATGAGAGCCCCACCCCCATGATCTAATCACCTCCCACAAGGCCCCACCTCCAACATTGGGGATTACAATTGAACATGAGATTTGGGTGGTGACACAGATCCAAATCACATCATTCCACCTCTGGCCCCTCCCTAATCTCATGTCTACCTCAAATTCAAACTACAATCATGCCTTCCCAGCAATCCCCCAAATTCTTAACTCATTCCACCATTAACTTAAAAGTCCAAAGTCTCATTTGAGACAAGGCTAGTTCCTTCTACCTATGAGTCTGTAAAATCAAAAACAAGTTAGTTACTTCTGGCTGGGCACGGTCGCTCATGCCTGTAATTCTAGCACTTTGGGAGGCTGAGGCGGGTGGATCACGAGGTCAAAAGATTGAGACCACCCTGGCCAACCAACATGGTGAAACCCTGTCACTACTAAAAGTACAAAAATTAGCTGGGCATAGTGGTGCATGCCTGTAATCCCAGCTACTCAGGAGGCTGAGGCAGGAGAACCGCTTGAACCCAGGAGATGGAGGTTGCAGTGGGCCGAGATAGCACCACTGCACTCCAGCCGGGGTGACAAAGTGAGTCTCCATCTCAAGAAAAAAAAAAAAAAAAACAAGTTAGTTACTTCCAAGGTACACCAGAGATATAGGCATTGGGTAAACACTTCCATTCCAAAAGAGAGAAAGGGGATACAGGCCCCGTGCAAATCCAACATGTGGTAGTGCAGTCATTAAATGTTAAAGCTCTAAAATAATCTTATTTGACTCCATGTCTTACATTTAGGGCACATTGTTGCAAGGGGTGGGCTGCCAAGGCCATGGGCTGCTCTGTCCCTGTGGCTTTGCAGGGTTCAGACCCCAAAGTTGCTCTCATGGGCTGGTGTTGGATGCTTGTAGCATTTCCAGGCTCAGGGTGCAAGCTGTTGGTGGATCTACCATTCTTGGGTCTGGAGGAGAGTGGCCCTCTTCTCACAGCTCCACTAGGCAGTGAACTAGTGGGGACTCTGTGTGGGGGCTCCAACCCCACATTTCCCCTCTGCACTGCCCTAGTAGAGGTTTTCCATGAGGGCTTTTCCCCTGCAGCAGGCTTCTGCCTGGACATCCAGGCATTTCCATACATCCCCTGAAATCTAGGTGGAGGCTCCCAAGCCTCAACTCTTGCACTCTGTGTGCCCTGGGGCTTAATACCACATGGAAACCCTCTGAAGCAGTGGCCTGAGCTGTATCTGGGCCCCTTTGAGCCATGGCTGGAGCTGGAGCATTTGGAATGCAGGGAGCAGTGTCCTGAGGCTGCACAGGACAGTGGGGCTCTGGGCCTGGCTCATGAAACCATTCTGTCCTCCTAGGTCTCTGGGCCTGTGTTGGGAGGGGCTACCAAGTAAGTCCCTGAAATGCCTTCAAGGCCTTTTCTTCATTGTCTTCGCCATTATCATTTGGCTCCCTTTTTATGCAAATTTCTGCAGCCTGCTTGAATTCTTCCCCTAAAAATGGGCTTTTCTTTTCTACCATGTGGCCAGGCTGCAAATTTTCCATATTTTTATGCTCTACTTCCATTTGAAATATAAGTTCCAATTTCAGGTCATTTCTTTGCTCACACATATGAGCATATGTTTTTAGAAGCAGGCACGTCACATCTTGAATGGTTTGCTGCTGAGAAATTTCTTCCACCAGACACCCTAAATCTCCTCTCTCAAGATCAAAGTTCCACAAATCCCTAGGGCAGGAGCACAATTCAACCTAGCTTTTCCCTAAGGAATAACAAAAGTAAACTTTTCTCCATTTCCCAATAAGTTTCTCATCTCCATCTGAGACCACCTCAGCCTGGTCATCTCTGTCCATATCACTATCAAAATTTTGGTCATGATAACTCAACAAATCTTTAGAAAGTTCCAACCTTCCTTAATCTTTCTGTCTTCTTCTGAGCCCTCCACACTCTTCCAACCTCTGCTCATTACCCAGTTCCAAAGTCACTTCCACATTTTCAGGTATCTTTATAGCAATGCCCCACTCCTTGGTACCAATTTTCTGTATTAGTTTGTTCTTGCATTGCTATAGAAAAATACATGAGACTAGGTAATTTACAAAGAAAAGAGGTTTAGTTGGCTCATGGTTCCACAGGCTGTACAGGAAGCATGGCAGCAACTGCTTCTGGGGAGGTCTCAGGGAGCTTTTACTCGTGGCAGAAGGCAAAGCAAGAGCATGCATCTTACATGGCAAAAGTAGCATCAAGAGGGAGAGAGAGGAGGTACTAAATACTTTTAAACAACCAGATCTCATGAAAACTCACTCATTATACAGTATCAAGGAGGAATAGCACTAAACCATTCATGAGAGCCCCACCCCCATGATCCAGTCACCTCCCACCAGGCCCCACATCCAACAGTGGGGATTACAACTGAACATGATATTTGGGTGTGGACACAGATCCAAACCATATCACCTTAAAACAGAAGGGCTCCTTCTAGAGAAGCCTCATTATGCACTTTTTTGTTTCTGTCAGTCCTGCTCTGGGTCCTTGTCTGAGCTTTGCACTCATATGTTTGTTCCTTGTGTTAATGAGGGTGCCACTAGCTGCTATTGCAAAACTCTAATATATAGATTGCTTAACAGCATCAGCTTTTATTTCACATTTCCATGAACAGCTAAGGCAATTTCAGGTCAGATAGGGTTGGATGGAGCAGGCACTCTGCTCAAATACAGACAGACTGGAGTTCCATCTTTCTCAGAACAGGGATCCTGAGGGTGCTGTATTAGTCTGTACTCACACTGCTATAAAAAATACCTAAAACTGGGTAATTTATTTTAAAAAGTGGTTTAATTAGCTCACGGTTCTGTGGGATATACAGGCTTCTGCTCCTGGGGAGGCCTCAGGAAACTTACATTGATGGTGGAAGGTGAAGGGGAAGCAAGCACCATCTTCACATGACCAGTAGGAGAGAGAGAGTGCCAAGGGGTAGGTGCTACACACTTTCAAACAACCAGATCTTATAAGAATGCTATCATGAGACAGCACTAGGGGGATGGTGCCAAATAATTAGAAACCACCCAATGATCAAATCACCTCCCACCAAGCCCCACCTCCAACACTGAGAATAAAAATTCAACACGAGATTTGGGTGAGGACACAGAGCCAAATCGTATCAGATGGTCTGTTCATTGACATTGAACTGGCAAAGGGGAGACAGCCTGGGGGAATGCACAGGAGAAGTTTATATAGGCCAGGCCTAGAGGTTATATAGGCCAGGCCTAGAGGTTGTGCTTCTCACTTCTGTTCACATTTCATCAGCTGGCATTTGGTCCTAGGACCACACCTTAGAATGAGGAAGGCTGGCAAACATGCCCAGCCATGTGCCCAACAAGGAAAAATGTTTCATTTTATCCCCATTCCTTTTCTTTCTTTTGTTTTGTTTTTGGATTTTATGGTTGTTGTTTTATGGCCAACAGTTTGAGGGCTGAAAGTTGCCAGTAGAAAAAAGGATAAGTAGAATCTCCTGGTATGATTTGTGTAGAATATTAATTCTAAATATGAAATAATCATAACTCATTTTTATTGTGTGTTTACTATGCACCAAACTGTACTAGGCCCTTCCCCTACATGGCTGCATTTAATTCTATAGCAGCCTTGCATGTGGGTTTTGAAGTACATCAACAGTTCATTGTGGGAGGATATGGCTCTGCTCTTCTAAAGGGAATAGGGAGCAAACGGGCTGGAGCACTGCAGGTCCATTCTCCACCCTACTTTCCTTTCTTGTGTGTCCAGGAGGTTGATTTTCATGGACAATACTTCCAGACTTCATTGTCCTCTGGCTTCTGGTTGGATTTGGCTAATAGGAGGCACCAATAGGAGATCAGAGTTGGGTATAATGTCTGTAGGCTGCTCTGTGGTTTGACAGTAGCTGTGACTCTATGGTCACATAGCTGCCACTCTCCCACTGCTGCAGATCTCACCAGATTGCCAAAGAGGGCCCTCTTTCTACCCCTCCAGGCCTGGGATTACAGCAGCTTTCTGCTGCTGATACTGCCTTGGTGTTTCTCTACCCTTTGACTGGTCCCTTCTTCCTCCCCACACCTCCACAAATAGTGCTTTCCATGAACTCTCTTCAATTACTCCTTGGAGAGAGCTGTCTTTCTCTCACTGGTTCCTGATTGATTCAACCAGAACCTGAAGAACTTATGTAGCATCTTTTTTAAAAACAAACAAACAAACAAAAACCTTTATTATAGTTTCTACTTTGGAGTCAGGCAGACCTAGTTATGGACCCTAGTTTGATCACTTACCAGTTTGTGTGATCTCAGACAAGTAACTTAGCCCCTTACTATGAGTGAGCCATAGTTTACTCACTCAAAATAAAAGATAATGGTTTGTGAAGATTTTTAAAAAAAGAATATGCAAACTGCCTAGACCAGTGTTTGGTACATAATAGGTAATTCATAGAATTGAAAATGGGAAATGATGTCATGGAAATATGTCTGATATGGTTTGGCTGTATCCCCACCCAAATCTCATCTTGAATTCTCATGTGTTGTTGGAGGAGCCCAGTGGGAGGTAATTGAATCATGGGGGCAGGTCTTTCCCCTGGTGTTCTCCTGATAGTAAGTCTCACAAGAGCTGATAGTTATTATAAGAGGGAGTTTTCCTGCACAAGCTTTTTTTGCTTGCTGCCATCCATGTAAGATGTGACTAGCTCCTCCTTGCCTTCCACCATGATTGTAAGGCTTCCCCAGCCATGTGGAACTGTAAGTCCAATTAAACCTCTTTCTTTTGTAAATTGCCCAGTCTTGGGTATGTCTTTATCAGCAGCGTGAAAATGGACTAATACAATGTCAAACAATAAATTATTAAATTAGTTTAAATTAATCTATACATTGCGTATTGAGCTGACAGACATTTTTAAATCCCAGTGTTGATAGTGATGTAACAAAAAGGCACACAATATAAGTGAATGCAGAAAATCTGGTAAAACCTTTATGAACGGCATTTTATCTATAGGTCCGTAAAGCCTATAAAATGTGCATTCCCTTTAATCCAGCAATTCACAGCAATTTTAGGAATTTATCCTAAGGAAATAATCAGATAAAGATGCATCTACAAACATGTTCACACTATTACTGTTTACCATGGTTAAAAATGGAAAATAACAAATATTTGACAATAGGGAATGGCTAGATAAACCTTGGAACATCCATGCAATGATAAGTAGATGAATAATTGTTATAGAAAAATGGCCATAGCACATTGGTAAGTAAAATAATCAGTTACAAAACTATTTCTGGAGCGTTACTCCAAATTTTTGTAAAACAATAAAAAAGAGGAAAAATTGAAGGAATATATGTTGAAATATTGATTTTAGTTATTTCTGGATGGTAGGATTACAGATGCTATTTTCCCCCATTGTTATTATTTTTCCTGTATTTTCTAACTTTTTAAAATAATGAACTTTGTAAAGATAAGATTGTCCTTGGCTGTAAGTAACAAAAATTCAAACAATAGTGGTTCAGCAGCTCAACAATGCCAAGACCAATGTCTGAAATGTTTATGGCTTTTCCTTCATGGCCTTCATGTGGTCATTGTACCCACCAGTTATCACACATTCATTCAAAGAGAGAGGAAAGGAACAGGAAGGACTGTCTCAGGAAAACACAAACGAGAACGCCATCACAGATTTAACATTAACTGGCCAGATTTGTGTCACATGGCCATCCCCAGCTGGAAAGTGGAAGGAGGGATGGGGATGTGTGTGTTAGGAATTGGGGCTGAGTCAGCCACTTTGCAATGTCTGCTATAAAGAGGTATTGCTGGGAGGCTGAGGCAGGAGAATCACTTGAACCCGGGAGGTGGAGGTTGCAGTGAGCCGAGATCGTGCCACTGCACTCCAACTTGGGTGACAGAGTGAGACTTTGTCAAAAAAAAGAAAAAAAAAGGTATTGCTTTGATAATTTTAAAAATTAGAGTTATTAAAATGTTAAAACAAGTTATTTCTTTTTTTCTTTGACTACTTGAATGCTCTCCGTCCTCCAGCCACCCTTCCACCCACTTAGGCTGCAACAGCCAGCAATTTCACATTCACTGAGCCAAGAGAGTGAGGAAGAATGAAGAAACCTGAGAGGAGTCTGCACCCTTTTAGGTGGTAGGAGTGGAGAGAGGGCAGTGTGCCAAAGGACTGGAAATCAGCTTGCTTATTCAGTCAACTTCATCTAGATCTCTCTGGTCTGAGGTTCTGGCAGTGAAAGCTTATCAGCAGAGGGTTTTGCAACTTCAGTACTTCTGGCCCTGCTGTTATTTTTTAGTCTGTGCAGAACTGGCCCTGGTATTTCATTTGGCTGCTTTGGTTTCAGCAGGCCTTCCAAATAAATAATACACCCATGAGACCTACTGAGGGAATGGACTAGATTGTCTGGGTTCAGTTCTTGGCTGTGCAGGTACCTGTTATGGTCCTTGGACCAGTTACTTAAGCTCTCTGTGTTTCTGCTTCCTCAAATGTAAGATGGGAATAATAAATAATACTATATATTTCATAGGGTTGTTATAAAAGATTGGATGAGTCGGTATTTGCCAAGTGCTTAGAATATGCCTATCACATAGTAAGCATTATACAAGTATTTGTTTAAAAAATAAATAAATATGAGAAAGGCAGAAACAGCCATAAGCTCTCTGGGTCCCATTTGTTTGAGGTTACAACTTACTTGGCATAAAGCTGAGGCATCTAAAGCTACAAAGTGGGTCAAATTTTCTTTTGTTCCATGCTGGCTGAACCACGTGGTCCCAGAAGTAGGAAGGAAAGAGAAGGCTTAGGAAGCTAAGAGCCATGAAACACCTGCTGAGTGGCAGGACTTCCTCATGGCTTTCTGTGTAGCAACTCAGTTAAGTCTAATCAGGCAGGTGCTATCACTGCCCTCATTTTACAGATGGGGAAACTGAGGCTCAGAGAGGTGAAGTAACTTGGCCACAGTCACATGCTATGAGTGGTGAAGCTGAGGTTGAACCCCAGCAATGTGTGACTTTCAAGTGTGGATATTCCACATTAAGAATGATATTTACATGGGAGACTTCACTTTACGTGGTTTTAAAAGGTTAAAGTGTACATCAATCTCTAGTTTAAAGATACTGAGGGCGCTTTTATTTAACATGTCCTAGTAGCAAATTTTCCTGTAAAATGTTTAACTTCTCTCTGTTTAGTTTGGCAAGTTTGAATTTTTACATGTTGTGTTTTCTTACAGTATAGTGCATCTCTATTGTTCAAAAAAATAAATTTCAGGCCTGGAACTTAGTTAAATTCTGAGGTTTTGTGGGTTGTCCTTTAAAAAAATTTTTTTTACTTCTTTTCTTCCTTTCTTTCTTTGTTCCTGCCTGCCTCCCTGCCTTACTTTTTCCTTCCTTCCTTCTTTCCTTTCTTTTCTTCTTCCTATTCCTCCTCCTCCCCTCCCTCCCTTCCTTTCTCTCCCTCCCTCCCTCCCTTCTTTCCTTCCTTCCTTGCTTCCTTCCTTCCTTCCTTCCTTCTTTCCTTCCTTGCTTAAGTCAGGAATACATGATCTAAAGATCTCTCTGTGTCCTTCTAAAATAGCTGAAGCTCAAAGCCAGTAATTACTAGCAAAAAAATGACCATTTTTGTTGCCAATTCTGAGCACATTATCTTGAAGCTCAAAGCCTGGCCTAAAACAACTGAAATTATAAATAATTAACATCATGAATATCTCACAGGTCCAAATTCCTCCACGAGTAACCGCAGAATTCCTTTCTGTTCTCTGATCTGTCAATGCTACCTTTGCAAATGCCAGTTCCAAAGACATAGAAGCAAATATTGCTCAATGTTTTTATTAATGACTATGATCATGTTCAAGCAAATTGTGCATGTTCAAGGCACATTCCCTGTTCTCTCTCTTTAAGAAAAAAAATCACTAAGCCCCACCCTACCCCACCCTTAGCTTTGAAAGGTCTGAAGTCAGTGGTGCCTGAGATAGAGCCAAGATAAAACGAATTGAAAACAAAATGAGCTTTTTTTTTTTTTTTGAAACTTTTGTTTCCAGCTTATAGACACTCCCACCTCAAGTTGCAGAATCCTAGGGATCTGACCCAGTGTCACCTTCAGCCCCAATGGGGCCTTTAGGCCTGTCCTATGTAGGCTGAGGCCCCTCCCAGGTCAGTCCCTACCCCCATTGGAGGCGAATTAACTCTTTCAGGGGAAGACTTGTGCTGGCTTCCAACAACCCAATCTTCCTACTCTGGAGGCTAATCTTTTCCCCTTTTATGCTTTTGCCTTCATAATAGTCCTCATTCTTCTTCCAGAGGGTTAGAGGGTGAAAATAGCCAAGAAGCAGTTGCAAGAAGGCTCTGAAGTTCACATCTTGTGGGTAGGGCCGGCAGTAGGCAGGAGAGACCTGGGAGAGAGATTAGGTGAAACATTAGCCACAACCTTTTGGATTCAGTCCAGTGTCTTTCAATTATTTCTTGATGTGCTTTGGGTACTGGGCTTATTTGGCATGAGACAGGCATCCATTAGAAGATTTCACAATGATTTGCCATGTTACAGTTCTAAACATGCGAACTCATCACCAAAGAAAATTTATGTTTTTACCGCCTTTTCCTCCCACCTCTCCCTGGGGAGCTGCAGGAAAAAGCAATCCAAACGAATTAATCAAAATGACTAGGTTATGCTCTAAAAATAATAAACGTTGCCGTAGTCTGGATCTTTTTCAAGTTTGAGCTTATTTTGTGAGCTTGAATATCGATACGTCAAAGCGCATGTGCATGTATATATTTTTATTAGAGGGATGTGGACTATTGCATGAGGACAGGTAAGTTATTAAGATACACAAATGCAATTGCTCTCATAATACTAGACTGCATTTCAACTAAGTTAATTAAGCTACTTGGCCAATGAAGAGGCAAAGGGTAGGTGCCTTAATGATTCCTTAACTTGTCTCATAAGCCAGCCTTGCAAATTAGGATAGGCTACAGAACTTGAGCTCTGAAAACAAAGCAGGACAGAAACTGAGGTGCAGACTTAGAACAATAACAAAAAGGAAAAATGTCTCCTTGAGCTTCCCTTACCTACTGCATAAGACATTGCTAGACAAAAGCAAAAGGACTGGAAAAAGTTGAAAATTTATTCAAAAAAGTTAGTAAATAATAACAGAAAACAAGCAAACAAGAAACTGTTATTATCTTCATATTTTCAAAATATCTTCTAAGAGATCAGCTCCAAAAGAAAGTTTTAATATAAAAAGAAACCTGTAGCTGAATCCCGAGTTTTCAAGGCCTTCTTGTATTGTGAGAAGGCAATTAGATCAACATTAGGGCGAGGCCGAGAGGGAAAAATCTGTATTGGGAAAAAGGAAAGTGGTGATGATCAGGGTAGAGTCTCTTCTTATTTTAAATGATGCAGTTATCTGATTTTTAATTGACCTTTTTCCCTAATGTATACCCCAAATATCCTCAAGCAAGATGTTTAAAAATCCAGATCCAAACCATCCACAGCCCTTGATGATAATTTATCCATGTTAGGCAGGGTGACGAGGCCCCTGTGATTGTCAGAAAAAATTAGGAGCAAGGATTCCCCAGCTTTATTGTGCATGTCCTTTGTCTCTGGATCTGATCCCTGATGTTATTGGGCTGAATCACAAGGTTATTTCCCACCTAAGAAATCTCATCTGGCTTGAGAATGCTCCTTAGATAATTTCAGCGTCTTTATTCTCCAGAGAAGGTTGATTTCAGTGTTACTAACCCCATCCTACTTTAGCCAGCCTCCATTAATCATGGCTGGCAGGAGAGACTAGAGGGTCATGGGTAATTGAATTCCAGCCAACCTTCAAACCTAATTCAAGTCAACCCTTTGACCTCTTTGCTGACCAAATCTGCTGCCAGAGCTAGTAAATAAATATTGCTTTTTAATTAGACGAAGCCTTTTTCGAGAGCCTACTATGTGTTAGCTTTGTGAGAGAGGCAACCATTATCTCACTTCATTCATTCATTCTGTCCACACTTCCATTGGAACCCAGACACAAGGAATTAACAGATAGTGGAGAGGAGTATAAAGGTCAACTTGGGGTCAGCCCAGTGGGAAAATATGTGCTTTGCAGACACCCTGACTTCCTATCTTTGAAAGAAGATAGATCTTTAGCATTGACAGAAAGGCTGAAGTCCTTTCTGCACAGGAAAATGAAATGATAAACATTTTCCCTTCTCTCGTGAAGCCATGTAGGATCTTCCGACTCCAAAGACTTCTATTCAAGTCCTCCTGCCACCATATTTGACATGGAATGTCGGGTAGGTGATTTTACCTTTGTAGGCCTCAGGGCCCTCACCTGTGACATGGAACAGGGTGTGCACCACTAACCTGGCAAGGTCATTGTGATACAATGTGTAGGGAAGCTCCTTGTAAACTGCTAGGCTCCAACCACACAGGAGATTGCTGCCAATGGCTCTTGCACACTCTCTGTTAAAGATGCCACCCAGCAATGAGACCAGTCAAAGACAGGGCTGGGGAACAGACACCTAGACAGAGAGTACACACTCATTTTAAATAATGAAATTTTAGCTGGATTTTCTCATGAAATTTGCTTCTTTTGTTTTGCTTGGTCTCTGGGTCACCACCATGCCTAAGTATACACATGATCTGGATTTTTTCTTTTTTCTTCCTTTTTTTTTTTTGGCCAGAATTCTTTTGTGGCATTTAGAAGTCTCCAGAAAACATGAAACTTACTTTTCCCTTTCAGAGGAGGCCACCTTTTCACCTATTTCTCATCCTCAGACAATTAGAAACCAGCTCACCAAGGACTAGCAGTGTTCCACTATCACCAACCCTCAAATTTCATAATAAAGCTAGCACTGAGTTGCTACAATTAATATTCTCAGCAGCAATGCTTTTGGGGGGAAATGATGAGTCAAGGATGTGCAGAGGTTTGCTTAGGAAAAAACCAAATGTGCTTGAATAATTTACTCTGTCATTTTAATTCCAAAATGATATGAGGCCCCTAAGGCTTAGCAAGCAACCGGAGGACCTGAGCAGCCTGGAGAGGCTGTGTTTAAGTGGTAATGTTAATGGAATTATCCGTTGCTGCTGGAGCACTGTCTGCTGTCGAGAGATAATTACCCAGGCAAAGATGAGGTATCATTGAAGATAAACGCTGAAGCAGGGACCTCAATGTTTATTTTCCATGCTAGGGCGTAATCTCCTCCGTTGTTTAACTTCATTAGCATCCCTGCTAACCCCGGGCCACACAATTTCACTTAAAAGAAAGAAATTAAATAACCCGAACATACATGTAATTGTAAACAAAGTGGCAGAAGATGTGGGTTGGGCTGCTTTTGCTGCTACAGTCAGTGGCAAACAAGCCTTCTCTTTTACCCTATCCTTCTCCCTGTGCAGTGAAAATGAGAGCAATGTTTGTTGAGTGCTCACTGTGGGCCATATCTTGTGTTAAGCATTTTATATATGTTGTCCTATTTAATCTCCACACATAACAATTCCAGGAGATGAGTACTAGCAGAGGAAACTGCGTGTCAGAAATGTTAAGTGACTTGTCCAAGGTCACTAGACTAGTGAGCCATTGAGTGAGGGTTTCAACCCTGGCAGACAGGTCCCAGCTATTCACAGAAAATCACTGGACCACGCATATTCCACATGGAACTTCAGCTTGGTCTTCTTGATTTTACAGCAGAGTCCAGGCGATTTTATCACCACTACAGCTGCCACTGCTAACTTTATTGGAAGGACTGCCAAATCTCCCATCCAGTACTTGAATCCTTGGTCCAGTTCTGTGTTTCTGTTTTATTGAGAAAGAATTTGCATTCAACCCCATGTGGTCAAGACCGAGCTTTTTAACTCATCCCCGAAGGCCTTCGCATTGGCCAAGTTCCCGGCCTTCTTTGGCCAATCTGTAAGCAATCACTGTCTCCTCACCCCAGGCTCTTTCACCCAAAACTTATTATTATGAAAATTACATGCAGAAAACCTGAAAGAATATTTCAGTGCACAGCTGTCTAGCCTCTACCAGATTCAACAATTGTTAACATTTGCCATGTTTAACTTACAAACCAATCTTTCTATTTTTCTTTCTGAACCATTTGAAAGTTGGTTTCAGAAATCATGACACTTCAGCCCTAAAAGCTTCCCCGTGCATCTCTGAAGATTGTAGGACATTTCCTGCATGACCACATTAGCATTATCAGAGCTGAGAAAATTAACAATAATTCCCTTGCTATTATCAATTATCCAATTCATAATCATAGTCATTTCTTAACTGTTCTCCAATTATCTCTTATAGCTGTTTTTTAAAAAAAGAAGTATCCGCATTGTGTTGGTAGTAATGTCTCTTTAATCACTGGTAATCTGGAACATCTCCCCAACACCTTAATTTTTCCCCACCATGTTTAATTTTTAAGGAATCACTAGTTTTTGAACAGTTGAATTGCTTTCTGTTCTGAAGGGTCTCAAGTGGTCTTTAACTCTCAACCAACCCTTAGCAAGATGGTGGCTCCAGAATCTCTACATGGGAAGGGCTTGAGGAGAGATGCAATCTGGTTAAGGAGTCCCGGTGAAGGCCTTTTGCATAAGAAACATATGTTTTAAAAAACTTAGATTGTTGAATTTTTTTTTTTTTGACATGGCTGCTGCCCTAACATAGAGGCAGTCTGTGCTATAGGAGAGGTGATAAATGGCAATTTGTGAATGGTGCAGATTCTGAGCAAATTGCCTAGGTTCAAACATCAGCTTTGCTACTTCCAAGATGTGTGACCTTGAACAAGTTACTTAACCTCTCTGTTACTCAGTTTTATCATTTGCAAGATAGTGATGATAATAATAATAGAATCTAAGTCAAAGAGTTGTGCTGAAGTGAATTAATAAACTCAAAGCAGTGAGAATCCTGCTTGGAACAGAATATTATCTATAAATGGTAACCATTATCATTATTAATATTCTTTCCCTACTTTCTATCAACTTCCTTCTCCAGTTACTTCTTAGAACTGGAGCACCTAACATTTCTGGCTGCCTGCTAGTTTTGCCTATTGCCTTTTTACTTTATGTTCAATTTATTCGGGTTGGCCCAAGGAATTCTTGTTCGCCTTCAACCTCATCTTCATTCCTCTCTCTAATCCCCTGTTGTTGTTATTTCCAATCAAATTATTTTAAAAATATGCATTTGGTTCTAGTTTCTTCTATTATCTTGTATGCCTGGTTTAACTTCTGCCCTTTTTGCACTGAGACATAGATTCATCCTTGGATTTAAGATGCGATTAAATCTGGTGATTCTAATCCAGGAGCACTTCCCTACCGAAGTGACCCATGAAGTTTCTGGTTCCTATTCATTCATTCACTCACTCAGTCAATTATTCAACACACTTCTGAGCCCCCATGAGGAACTGGGCCCTTGGCTGGACACCAGGGATACAGCAGTGAACTAAACATGGTTCTGGCTGTGGAAAAATAACCAACAAATTGCTAAAAGTGAATCTGAACCAGGTAGTTCTGAAAACTCCCTGCACCTCACCACATATGATAATTCTGGGAGAGTGATTGAAGGGGAGGTGAACAGGTTCCTTTCCCCAAAGTATCCTCCACAGTCCTGAAATTTCTCCTAATAAAGTACGGTCATGCACTGCATAATGACATTTTCATCAACAATGGACTGCATGTACCATGGTGGTCCCGGTGGTCCCATAAGATGATAATGAAGCTGAAAATTCCTATTGCCTAGTGACTTTGTAGATGACATAGTGTGGTAGCGTAATCATTTAATTTTTAAAAATATATTTAGTGTAGCCTAAGCATACAGTGTTATAAAGTCTACAGGAGTGAGCAGTAGTGTCTTAAGCCTCACATTCACTCACCATTCGCTCACTGACCCACCCAGAGCAACTTCCAGTCCTGCAAGCTTCATTCATGGTAAGTACCTATACAGGTACACCATTTAAAAAATCTTTTATACCATATTTTGTTGTACTTTTTCTGTGTTTAGATACACAAATACTTAGCATTGTGTTACAATTTCCTACAATATTCAGTACAGTAACATGCTGTCTAGGTTTGTAGCCTAGGAGCAATAGGCTCTATCATATAACCAAGGTGTATAGTAGGCTATGCCATCTAGGTTTATGTAAGTACACTCAATGATGTTTGCATAAAGATGAAAAGGCCTAACAATGTGTTTCTCAGAATGTATCCCCATCATTAAGAGACGCATGACTATACTACTAAATAATAGTAGCTCGGGTCACTTCTTGTTTTCCTCACAAGTCCTTTAAACATTTCTAGGCCAGGCACGGTGGCTCAATGCCTGTAATCCCTGCACTTTGGGAGGCCGAGGCAGGTAGATAACCTGAGGTCAGGAGTCTGAGACCAGCCTGTCCAACATGGTGAAACCCTTGCCTCTACTAAAAAAAAAAAAAAAAAAAAAAGAGATTAGTCAGGTGTGGTGGGGGGTGCCTGTAGTTCCAGCTACTCGGGAGGCTGAGGCAGGCGAATCGCTTGAACCTGGAAGGAGGAGGTTGCAGTGAGCCAAGATCGCACCACTATACTCCAACATGGGCAACAGAGTGAGACTCCATCTCAAAACAAAAACAAAAACAAAAATAAAACAACAACAACAAAAAATGTCTAGAATCATTCTAGAATCATTTAAAACTTTAGCAATGACTGCTTATTTTCACAAAAGTATGTGTATCGTATTAGAATAACCATTACTTGGCACAATTTTCTCATCTGAAGAATGGGTATTATAATAGTACTCACCTTATAGGGTGTTAAAAGATTAAACGTGTTAATATTAGTAAAATGCTTAAAACAGAGCATGGATTTGTGTTTGGTAAATAAATAAAAATAAGTTTGTTGAGAGATCATGATGGAATCAAAAGAGAATAAGACTCGGAGAAGATGAGCTTTGAGAGGGGTAAAGGGAGGAAGGTAGAAGCTTGGGCTTCACTCAACTGCCAAATGAGTTAGGAATCATTTGAAGAAATTCTGGAGAGGTCAGAGGGAAAGTAAAGATTAACTGACTACTTTATAGTTTTTAAAAAATGACCGTCTTTATTTTCTTTATTCTGAGTTCTGGACTCTATAATCAGCCAATTCCAGAACAAGCATGCCGTCATGTTGTGCATATTGGGAAAGAAACTTGTTGGGAGACAATTTTCTGTGAGTTTCTCTAGTTTCTACACATCTCGTAAGCAGAGACACTGAGTATCTTTGCTCTGAAATATCTTTTTGAGAATGTTTGTATAGTGAACAGCCTTGGAAGATGGAGATAGTCCCTCTCTCTCCAGGCAAAGGGCAGAATTTTTACTGCTATTACAAAAGATTCAGGTTCCCTAAGTTCAGGTTCCTCTTCTGTAACAAAACTCCCTGTGTGAATGGTGTCACCTGGCCCTTTTCTCTTCACCCTGTGAGAATTGGGTATCAAGAAGCTAACAAATGTTGATAGTGTGGCTTCTACTATTGGTGTAAGTACTAAGGGAGATTTCACAATCATATAAAGGAATTACTATAGTCTTCCCCATCCCTTCTTTCTCTTCCTCACTCAGTTAGGCTATTACCTATAAATAGTAACTTTTTCCTCTCTTCTTAATCTCCTCCTTACCCTCACCTTACCCCAGTTCCTGCATAATTTCAGCCCCATGCCCCATTTCAACAAGAACACAGACTGTACATTTGACCTCCCAACAAATGGGCCCATTTGTGATCCTGGACTGGGAAAAGGAACGTCACAAGGGAGTCCCTCCTTTTTGGCTTTTTCTCTCCCTTTCTGGCTTTCCAAAGTATTCCTATTTAGTGACTTCCAAATGGGTATGGACTTAGAAGGTCTCCATTTGCTGCCCTTTTACTATCTTCTTTTTTTTGCCCTAATCCTTCTCTCTGTTGTCTTTGATCTTTTCTAAGCCTTCCCGAGGCCTTTTTCATGAATGGGGAGTGTATCCCAGCACCTGGCCCAGACTCTGGCTCATGGCAGATACCCAGTCACTCTAAATTCCCAAACTCTTATGCTCTACCCTTCTCGTTTTCTGGACCATCCTAACCTTTCTCTCCTACACTGTCTGCATCTCTTTTCACTCTTAAAGCACTTCAAGGAAGAATCTAGAAGATAAAAATAAAAGCAAAAACTGAAACACATTAAACACAACATAACTTTATTTTCAAGATAAACAATAAAAATACAGAATGTGTGCATTTTTTTGTAAATGGTTTTCCACAGATGACAGTGGTAATCTAATAAATGTTTACAGGACAAACAATTGTGGTTTCACAGCCTTCTACTCCTTGAGCATTTAAACATTTCTACAAAGCAATTTCTGTCACCAACATCCAGCACAAGGGTTGTTTTGGATGATTAAGTTTGGACCTGTTGCACAGCATTTTGGGACTGATATAAACACATTGCTGTGGTAAAATGATCTTTCCAGCTTGGGTGGTTGTTGAAGTATGAGTCAGTTGGGGGAGCTTGGGGGAAAAGACTGGGAGATACCTGGATGCCCATGCATGTGGCAAACTCTCAGGGGAAGGGAAGAGGGAGGATACAGACCCGGTATGCACAGACCACTTTCTCAATATCAGACAGCTGGTTCATGGGGTCTCTGGGCCAACAGCAAGACCCAGCCCACCTAGGGACCAGGAATTAGAAACAGGGAGCATCATTTTTTAAAAAAAGCAAAATCCACATTAGGAATTTTTTAATTGCATAAATTATGTGTGAACATTGTGAAGACATTAGAAGATATAACAAGGAAATTAATAAAATTATGCATGATTTTGCTACTCAGGTGTAATCACTGTTAACATTTGGACAATAGTTTTATTTTCAATGTGTATGTATATTTTACACACCTATGTACACCACATAACTGGGGGACATAGCACACATTCTCTCATAGATTCTTTTTTGTTTTGCTTACATTGTCTTTTGACCAAAATTATATATCAGCAGCAAAGTTTTCTTTCATGTCACTGTCCCAACCACCTCACTAGATAGGTGTTATTATTTTCCCCTCTTTTTTCAAATTTTTTTTTTGAGGCAGGATCTTGCTCTATTGCCTAGGCTGGAATGAAGTGGCATGATCACAGCTCACTGCAACCTCAAGCTCCTGACTCAAGTGATCTTCCTACCTTAACCTCCCGAGTAGGGACTACTACAGGTGCATTCCACCATGCCCCAGCTACTGCAGCACAGTTTTAAATGGCTACATGGTATTTCATTGTGCTGATAGTTTCTAAGTTATAATACCTACTGCCTATTTTATCCATTTTGGTTGTCTTCAAGTTTTAATTTTTTACTGTCATAAACAATGCCATAAGAAAAGCAAATTTAAACTACAATGAGATATCATCTTATACCAGTTAGAATGGCTATGACTAAAAAGAAAAAAAAAACAGATGTTGGCAAGGATATGGAGAAAAGGGAATGTTTATACACTGTTGGGAATATAAATTAGCACAATCTCTATGGAAAATAGTATGGAGATTTCTTAAAGAACTACAAATAGTACTACCATTCATTCCAGCAATCCCACTACTGGGTATCTACCCAAAGGAAAAGAAATCATTATATCAAACAGAAACATGCACTCATATGTTCATCACAGCACTATTCACAATAACAAAGATATGGAGTCAATCTAAGTGTCAATCAGCGGATGGCTGGATAAAGAAAATGTGGCATATATACACAGTGAGATACAATTCAGCCATAAAAAGGAATGAAATCATATCTTTTGCAGCAGCATGGATGGAACTGAAGGCCATTATCTTAAGTGAAACAACTCAGACACAGAAAGATAAATATCACATGTTCTCACTTATAAGTGGAAGCTAAAAATGTGTACACATGAACATAAAGTATAAAATGATAGACAGTGGAAACTCTGAAGGGTGAGGGGTTGAGGGGGAAATGGATGATGGAAAAATTACTTAATGGATACAGTGTACATTATTTGGGTTATGGATACACTAAAAACCCAGACTTCACCACTACACAATATAGCTATGTAACAAAATTGCACTTGTATCCCTTAAATTTATACAATAATAATAATGATAACCCAATGCTGTAGTGCACATCCTTATCATACTTCTTTGAATGCTTGTCTGACTATATTCTTGAGATAAATTTCGAGAAAGGGAATTTTTAAGCCAAACAGCATGCATATGCTTAGAGCTTAGATATGTATTACAACCATGCCCTCCAGAAAGTTTCAATCAATTTACAGTCCCACCAGCAGTCAGACTGGGTTTTTGAACAAAGTTCAACCTCCATTCTAAGGAGGAGTGTGAGAATTACTTGCCGCTGCAAATCACAAGATGGCTTGAAATATGGGCAAATTGAGAAATACTGTTGTTCATACAAGGCTCTTCTTTATTGCTGTGACCTAAGTCACTTCTACAATAAAGAAAAGAGTATCCTTGTGTAGGTGGATGTAATATATATTGGTCATGAAAACAACAAAAGACCAAGAGTTTTCAAACTTGTGGAGAGATAAACTCAATACAAGAATACTGGGTCAGAAAAGTAAGTTAGCAAAAGCAAGTATATCCATTTTTTAAAAATTCTGGCTACATAACAAATTACCACAAACTTAGTGATTTCAAACAACACACATTTATTATGTCACAGTTTCCAGCACAGCTAATCTTGGTCCTCTAAAAGGCTGCAATAAAGGTGTCATCCATGGCTAGGTTCTCATCTGGAGGTTCAGTTGGGGAAAGGTGTGCTTCCAAGCTTATTTAATTTATTTAGTTGTTACTCATTTTTTTGCAGCTATACAACTCATGGGAACTTGATTCCTCAAACTCGTCAAGGAAAGCAAGACACTATAGCATGTCTGCTAACAAGACAGTCTTACATAATGTAATGTGATTAGAGGAGTGATATCCCGCCAGTTTTGCCATATTCTATTGGTTAGGAGCAAGTCACAGGGCCTAACTATGCTCAAAGAGAGGGAATTATACAATTGTACAAGAATGTGGCCAGGCGCGGTGGCTCACACCTGTAATCCCAGCACTTTGGGAGGCCGAGATGGGTGAATCACAAGGTCAGGAGATGGAGACCATCCTGGCTAACATGGTAAAACCCCGTCTCTACTAAAAATACAAAAAAATTAGCCGGGCGTGGTGGCGGGCGCCTGTAGTCCCAGCTACTCAGGAGAGTGAGGCAGGAGAATGGCATGAACCCAGGGGGCGGAGCTTGCAGTGAGCCGAGATCGCGCCACTGCACTCCAGCCTGGGTGACAGAGCGAGACTCTGTCTCAAACAAAACAAAACAAAACAAAACAAAACAAAACAAGGATGTGAATTCCAGGAGACAAGGATCATGAGGCTACTTAAAGTCTGTTCATCATAGTAAACAACTCTGAAATCTCTCTCCTTAGAATGCTTTCCGCGTGAGTAATCAAGGAAGTTGAAAACTTGGGAAAATGTAAAATCCAAAACTCATTGACCAAAAAATATTTATTCTAGGTCTCTCATTTCAAGTGGCGGTAGATAACACAGCATTCTATAAATAAAATGTGGCCTATGATAAATGTGGTATTTTCAAAGGTGTACAGGGGAGCATGTGTTTTGTTTTTTGGGGAATTCACTTCCACATCCCTATGACTAACATATTTTCTCCCAGCTTTGTCTTGTGGAATGAGGTGGCGTATTCCCAAACCCATGTCGTGATGACCACAGTTGAGACATTTTCCATATGAGAAATTGTGCTAGCTATTCTTATGTCTCTAATTACTATGTCTCCCCAAGACCTAGCCATACGTCTCCATGGCCTTTTAAAAAATACAAAGGGAGCCAGGCAGTTAAAAATATTCTTTTAAAAAAGTAATATGAATCATGTTATTCAAAAGGAACCGTAAAGGAGTTCCCTACCGATATCCGCATTTTTCTCTTTTTAAACCTCTAAGGAAAGTTCATGCTCTGTATTTCATACATTCCCCTTTAGTCCACTTAATTATAGTCTGAGTTGTAAAGTAGCTATAATACATTTTCTTAGGAAAACATTGTGCATTTGAAGCACCTTCATATTATTGTTTGTAATTAACATTATTTGACATAGCATCAAACACTTGGAGGTGAGAGAAGAGAAGGGGAGAAGATTCCTCTTTCAGTATTTAATCTTTAGTCCCCTTCTCCTATTTCAACTGATTTCCTTCCTAGACCTTCAGTTAGAGGAAAGCAAACTCTGATGGTCCATGAATGAGTAATAAATGACCAAGAAGGAGTGTGAGCTTCTCATTCAATGAATACTGCAGAGGTTTCTGAAGGCTTGAGCTCTATGTATCTGCTTCATCAATTAAATTATTCCTTCAAAGGAAACAAAAAAGGTAATTTTTTAGTCACAGTGAAGATGGTGATGGTTGGATAAAAATGTTTCCTGGGTGGTGGTCAGAGCTTGTCTTCTTCCCCTTCCTGCTTAACTTCCGCCGCCCCACCCCCCCACCCCCACCCGCCCATTCTCTAAGGCAAGGAAGCTGCCTGGCAGTCAGATTAGCCTGAGAAACCCTGAAAAGGAAGTAAAGGAATTACATTCCCCAGGGGACTGGCAGTGCAGAGTGGACCTGGCCAGGAACACTGTTTTGGGTGTTGTGCTCTTCTTGGACAGGAGAGGTGAAAGAGGAACTAAGGAGGGGAAACAATGTGCTTGGATTAAAGGGTCTTGGACTGGGAATGTGGTAGGAGAGCTGCAGAATAGGTCAGGGGCAGGCTGGACCTTCTAGTAACAATTGCTGTAGACTTTACGCTTGGGCCCCTTTAAATGTTAGAGGGTGTTGTTGTTGAAGACTGGTGTTCCCATTAGCCTGGGCTTATTTAAGTGTTCTATCATTCTGACCCCTTATAAGCATGTGGGAGTTCCTCAGAGCTGCTGTAACAAAGTTCCACAAACTAGGTGCCTTAAAACAACAGGAATTTATTGTCTCAAATTTCTGGGGGCTAGAAATCTGAAATCATCCACCCTGTGAAACTAGGGAAATCCTTCTTTGCCTCTTCCTAACTTGTGGTGGTGGCTGGCATTCCTTGGCTTGTAGACACATCACTGCATTCTCTGCCTTTATCATCACGTGCATTCTGTGCATATGTGTATTTTTGTGTGTGTCTATGTAGGTGCGCGCATGTGCGTCTTCTCTTCTTATAATAAGGACACTAGTCATATGGAATTTAGGGAGTACTAACCCAGTATGACCTCATCTTAACTAATTGCATCTGCAAAGACCCTGTTTCCAAATAACATCACATTCCGAGATTCCGGGTGAACATACATTTTGGAAGGATATTCT
Source organism: Homo sapiens (assembly GCF_000001405.40). Lineage (NCBI taxonomy): Eukaryota > Metazoa > Chordata > Mammalia > Primates > Hominidae > Homo > Homo sapiens. Next base: position 38,372,502 of record NC_000004.12, on the reverse strand, counting down.
TCAATCCAGTGCAAAGCAGAACATATATATGCACACAATTAAAACTACTAGCCAATTAACTTGAGTTTTGATGCCTAATGAGTTAGACTTGGAAAGAAAGCCAGTAGTACTCCTCTTGGGAAAGGAACTGAGCTGAAATTTTCAACTGCTGTAGGTTTTTCCAAGCCAGTAGACCTCTCCTTAAGCAATGTGCTCTATTTTCTGCTGATTCTATTCTCCAATCACCTCCTTCCTACACACACTTATGCTGCACCGCTAGCAAGGAGAAGGAAGACTTTGATGATTATCTCCATCTTTATCTCCAACACCCATAGACAAGGCATTTTGCTTGCCCTGTTTTGAAGAAGCAGGACACTGGCCCCATCAGCGTCCAGCATCACAGAGGTAAGCCTGGCCAGAAGCAGTGCTGGGGGACTGGAAGACCAGGGGCTACTGGGCTATCTTGCTGTAGGAGCCCAGGAAGGTGAAAAGAGTACAATGATGTTGGAATACAACTCCAGTAGTTGAAAACTCCCCACTCCCCTTAGTTAAGGAAGACTTACAAGAAACTAATTTACCAAGTGCCAGAAGATGTTTAGGGCCATATTTTGCCCAGAAAAGCAGTCTGCATGATTCAGTAGAGTTCAGTCTCAGACTTACTCACTCTAGGCTCAGAAGTGCAAAGAAAATGTAGCTCTATAATTTTATGGTCTTTAAATGTTTCCTAACCCCCACACCACTGACTAATGAGAGATTCTGGTAAACTGAATTTTAGACCAATCTGGTATACTCAGGCTATTCCAGTAAGCAGTCTCTTTGGAGTGAGTCAGTTTTTCCAATTTACAATATTCTTCCTGGTTCTCTCTAAGATGGTATCTGGGAATGTGGAAGGAAGGCACTTTGGGCCAGTGGGGGAGAGGGAGGCCCCTCAAATTGTGCTAGTGCATAGCTGTGAGCTAGCTGGCATTTGTGGGGGTGATTAGACTGCTATTCACACAGGCTGTTCAGAGGAAGTGTCCTGCTGATGTATGCAGCTGGGGCACTTGTGGTCTGTTTTCTCCTGGCTTGGACAGGGTTCAGGATCCTCCCAGCTGACTCAGTTCCATCTCAGCCCTCTCTGGCACTCTGGACTCTCTGGGATCTAGCTGGGATTCCTTTTCAGGTGCCAGCTTGGTGGACAGATCCACAATATACCCTAGCATGGCCATTCTTCCCTCTAGGCCAGGGGACAGGTATAGCAGGGCTCTTGAGAGCAGAGCCTATGGCCCCATTTGTCCCAGTCTGAGCTTCTTCACTCTGTCTTTGATATTCTTAGTTATATCCTCTGGTCTAGACCAAGATAGGAACCTGAGAAGGATGCAAAGGAGGTACAGCGTTGCTGGACTGCCCTGGCTGGCTCCACTCTCAGAATCAGGGAAAGGTCAGGGATTGGAGATGGAGTAAAGGTTTAGATGAAAAAGGAAAGCAGCAAGAATCTTAAGATAAAGTCACTTTGACCCCACCCCATCCCTAATATTACTGTTTGAATATGTAGTCCATAATATTGGGCATGGAGGAGAGACAAATTATGGCAGTAAAAAGACAAATCAGAAATTAAGCATTGAACTCCAGAATATGATGGGCATATTCTGAATCTGCACTGCCCTCCATGGTAGCCACTAGCCACATGTGGTTATCGAGCACTGGAAATGTGACTGGTGTTACTCAAGATTGAAATTTTGAATTTCATTGAATTTTAATTAATTTAAAGTTAAATTTAAATAACTGCATGCGAGCTGGGTATGGTGGCTCATGCCTATAATCCCAGTGCTTTAGGAAGCCAAGTTGGGAGGATCCCTTGAGACCAGAAGTTCAAGAGCAGCCTGGGCACCATAGTGAGACCCCTGTCTCTACAAAAAAACTAAAATATAAAATAAATGAGCAGGGCATAGTGGTACAAGGCTATAGTCCTAGCTACCTGGGAGGCTGAGGCAAGAGGATTGCCTGAGCCAAGGAGTTCAAGGCTGCAGTGAGCTATGATCATGCCACCCACACTCCAACTTGGGTGATTGATTTATATTGATTATATGACTTATATTGATAATAAAGTAATGTAGTGAGACCTTGTCTCTAAAATAATAATAATAACAACTTTTAAAAGTACATGTGGATAGTGGCTACCATATTTGACAGTTCAGTTCTATACATTAACCTTTTACATGCCCTGTTTTGGTGATCTGGCAAGGCCCATAGATACCTCCTAAGATTGTGAGTTTTTAAAATTATTACTATTATTATTATTATTTTGCGGGGAGGAGGTCTCACTCTGTCACCCAGGTTGGAATTCAGTGGCGCAATCACAGCTCACTGCAACCACTGCCTCCCAGGCTCATGCAATCCTCCCACCTCAGCCTCCTGAGTAGCTAGGACCACAGGCAAACGCAACCACACCTGACTAACTTTTTGTATTTTTTGTAGAGATGAGGTTTTGCCATGTTGCCCAGGCTGGTCTTGAACTCCTGAACTTAAGCAGTCTACCTTGGCCTCCCAAAGTACTGGGATCACAAGCATGAGCCACTGCACTCAGCCAGATCAATGTTTTTAAATGCATAAAATAAGTATATAGGATTACAATGGAAATCAATTAATTTAATATTTTTATTGTTCTTTGGTTTTTTATTAGATTTTTAAAATTAATTAGAAAGTTCTTATAGTATAATACTCTATGTTGTTCTTTATTAATGCATTAAATATCAATCTAGCAGTGAACCTAATAACTATCACAATTTTGAAGTAACAATGAACATAAATGGTATCTTGACATATCTGATACATATCATAATGTCTTGTGAAAATGCCTATGATTTACATTAACAATAAAATCATGTGTACTGCTAATACTACTGTGGTTTAGGTTCAGTTAGGAATTAGTGAAATAAACATGTGATTTTTTTTTCCCATCTAAGTTCACAAGGTCCCTGAATTCTCTTCACAGGTTGGGGGTACATGGACCCAGGTTAAAAAGTCCCACTCTAGATTTTTGTAGATAAGACAGGTTGATGAATAAGGTTAATTCCTTCTAGAAATATATATGGAATGCCTCCTACATGCCAGGTACTGATCTAGACACTTGGGCTGCAGCATGAACAAGAGAGACAAAGTTGGAGTTTTCAAAAAGTTTGTATTTAAGTGAAGGAGGACAATAAATCAACATTCAGATAGTTTTAAATGGTAGTAAATGCTGTGAAGAAAATATAATAGAGTGATCTAATAGAAAGTGACCGGAGAGAAAGTGGCTATTTTAAATTGGGTGATGGGCAAGTTCTCTCCAGGAGGCCATTTGAGTTGAGGCTTGATTGAAAGATGGAGCCAGCCTCGTACAATCTGAAGGCAGCACCTTCTGAGCACAGAAGGCCCTGTAGCTAAAGGCCCCATAGCTAAAAGGGATGGGTGTGATTGGAACAGGCTAATGGACAGAGGGAGCACTGTAGAAGATTGAGGTCAGAGAGGTGGGATGGGGTGGCAGGGGGAGGCCAGGTCAGTGCTGGAGCACTGGGTTTGTGAGTACTCATTATAGACAGCTGGGAATTTAGATTTTATTCTAAATCCACTTAGAGTCAAAGGTGGATTACATGATGCTCTTGGTAAAGGATGGATTAAACGGGGAAGTGGAAGCAGGGAGTTCATGCAGAGCCTGATGTAATAGTGCAAGTGCGATAGTGGCTGGTGACTCAGGAGGGCATAATGCAGAAGGAAAAAAGTGAATGAATTTAGAGAATCTTTTCAAGTAGGGCTTATTAGCCACAGGAAGGGAGCATGAAGCCCCAGCCTGACTCAGGGCAGTGTGAATTTCTGAAATGAAAGAGTGGTGGGGGAGGCAGATTTGGGGGCAGAGTGAAGATTTCTTTTTTGGTTTAATTAATGTCTTTTGGGTATTAAAGGGGAGAGGTTTGAATCTATAAATCTGAAGTTCAGCAGAGAGGTTAAGGCTGGTGCTATGAATGTTGCATTCACCATCATCAAGATAGTATTGAAGCCAGGGGACTGAGAAAGATCAACTAATAACAGTGTTGTACAGAAAAGGGTGAGTCTGAACCGTAGGGAAACTGAGTATTTAGGATTCATTTTTTGATTATCTACTGTGCATCTATTCTTGGTCCAGACTTTCTGCTTCCAAAGGCAGTGCACCATTCTCCGACCAAAAACAGCCCTTCTACTGATCTGGTAAATTGACTGTGGGTTAAGATTATGACCCCTACAAAGACCTCTAATAAAGTATAATTGTACTTTTGCAAGAATCTATTACCAAATATTTCCATAACTAACATCACAATGAGGCTTCCCAGGCATTTGCCTTTTCTTTTGTTGTTGATTCCAGTATCTGAATCTCCTTCCTACATTTGAAGATATCCCCCACTTTATGAGTCCCATCTTTCTCTGTAGATTTCCCAGGGAGCTATCTTAGGGAGTGATCTGAGGCTTTGTTTCTTAGAACGCGTTCTCCACGCCTGGCTTGCTGGCCTTCCTAGAGATCCTATGAGCTACTTATTATCCTTTAATAAATTCCTTTTCTGCTAAGCCAGTGTTGATGTTTGGGTTTCCCAGGAAACAGAATCCCAGACAGAAATTTTTGTGCAAGGAGGTTTTGGGAGGAGTGTCCTCTGGATCAACATCTGTCCCCTGGATCACAGGGCAAGGTACACAGGAGAGGGCAGAGAGAGAACTTGAACTGTGATGATGTTCCAGTAGAATCCTCATCTGATACCACGGGGAGCTCAAGAGCTGGAGGGCCCTTTAGGGGACTGAGATATTTGTATCCCTTCTCTTCTCCCTGGTCATTGAATACAGGCTGCCCCAGAAAGAGGGCAAGCCCTTGGATGAGATGACTTTCTTAGGCTAAGAGCCACATCAGGTCAGGGATACAGCTGAGACCTATCATCCACTTGCACTCCCAGTCTCTAAAGCAAGCGTTACAGTTTACAAATCCATTCTTCCCCTGGATTCTAGCAATAATCCAATCATTTTCTTCATAGTTCAAATGAGAAACTGAGGCTCAGAAATAATAAATGAACATCTAGAACAAGCTTGTCCAACCCATGGCCCACAGGCCACACGCAGCCAGGATGGCTTTGAATGCTGCCCAACACAAATTTGTAAATGTTCTTAAAACATTATGAGGTCTTTTTTGCTCATCAGCTATCATTAATGTTAGTGTATTTTATGTGTGGCCCAAGGCAATTCTTCTTCTTCCAGTGTGGCTCAGGAAAGCCAAAAGGTTGGACTACCCAAAAGCAACCAAAGTTCCACACTAGATATTGCTGACAGTAAACATCTACTCCTACCCTCCTAGCATCTGGAAGGCAGCCAGGGTTCTGAGTGAGATTTCAGTTCTGCCAGTGAAATGCCTTTGATGTAGAAAGAGGTAGAGGTGAAATGCAAACCCTCATCTTATGATTCCAAATGCTGTTTCTTTGCCTACACCATATTGAACATTGTTGCAGAGAAAAAACAAACCTTTGAGATGGGCAAGATGTCCAAGAGCCTGAGTAGAGCCTGGGCAGTTCAAAAATCTTGAGCCATATTACTTTTGGATCTTTCCTCAGGAGTTCTCAGAATTTGGGACAATGAATTCCAGTTGGAGCCACCATTTGTGAAGGAATCTCACCTTATCCTCCTATGGGAAAAAGAAAAAAAAAAAAAGTCACTAAACAGCAACCAAAGTGCCATACTAGATATTATCTGCTGACAGTAGACATCTACTCTTACTCTCATTTGTGTTTCCTCCAAGGGTCTGGAAGGCAGCCAGGGTTCTGGGTGAGATTTAAATTCTGCCAGTGAAATGAACTTTCATGCTATTTGGAAGGCAGAGGAGAGGTGGAGACTGTTTTCCCACAGCTGTGACAGCAGACAAGATGTGCCAACAAAAGCAAGTAGCAACAACTGGGCTCTGCACTCCACTCCCTGGTCACCAGTGTCTGGAACAGAGGTGGCAGGAGCTCAGGTTTTCTGACCTCTAGCTTATAGCAACAGTGGTTGATCTTGAAACCAAAACACCAGAAGCTGATTTTTACTACTCCTTCTCTTCTAAAATGTTGTGAGCACTGAATTTCCTAGATGAAGCCAATCTCTTTCTGCTTGAAATATTATATTTGTAATGGTTTTCTTTTTTCTATGCTGAACCTGAGCTAGCACCCCAAGCGTGAAGCCAGAGTCAGTGACTCCCCTTTCCACACCCAGACATGATATAACCAGAAGAAAAATGCTCTTTTACCCAGAGAGCAACATGGAGAGTACCGTAAAACAAACTGGATCTCAAAGTGCTGAGATGACTCCTCCGGGGAAACTAGTGACTGTTGGCCCATTGGGGATTGCTTCTTAAAGTAGGTGGGATGAGAGCCTTGTCTTGCTGTGTGGACTGTAATACTCAACCTTTACCACCATGCACTTAGTCCCAGCACAGACCTATCTTCTACCTTTTTCATCCACCATCCTAATGTCACAGAGAGGGAATGCATGAAATCTCACCAGTACGCTTGCTGGCCCACCATGTTGACAAGATGCCTCGCTAATAGAGCAGAGGCACAAGAGCCCATGACCATGGCATGGAGCCAAGTGTCAGCTAAAGTCCGAGACAGCGAAAGAAGTGTAAACAAAGGAAGAACGCTTTACAGGCATCATGAATCCCACGCCCAAAAATGCAGACAGGCAGTGGACTTTTGGAAATGGAGTCTCTTGGATTTGTAGCCATCAAAAACAAAAAGGCTTTTCAAACAAAGATGTCATTTTACAGAGGCAGAAAGAGCCAATGCTGCAAAGTGTCTTTAGCCCTGCAAATTCAAGCATGAAATGGATATTCAAGGATAGCTTGCCCACAAATGCAGAAGCTGGGACACAGAAGATGCATAAAATATACAAGATACATCTTGAATGAAATAAAATGTAAGAAGGAATCCAGAGAATGTGCAAGCACCTTCATTTTTAAGAAGAATCACTATAATATCCAGTTTCTACCTCATAAGGCTGTTTCCGTGTTCCAGGCAACAGCTGGTCCCACTTTATTGCTGTGGGTACAAAGAGTTCTAGTAAATCCTGTGTAATAGATGTATTCATATGCTCCATCCTTTTAACAATCTTCTTAATTAGGGTGCTGTCCTTTTAAGCAAAGCATTTATATAGTTATTTTATTGCATTTGAATACAGTGTTAGCTTCAATAGACTTAATATAATTTTATGGGTTTTTAAAAAATTGCTTTACAATGAGGGGAATTTATTTTATCATCATTGTGGAGTTATTCCCATGGACTTTTAAGAGCCTTTGGTACAGAGGTTTATGAATCACTGTAGAGGAGAAAGGATCCTAAAGATGTGGTAGATGGTGGTGGTTCTGCCACTTACCTTACTTCTGAGAACCTCAACTTTCACGTCCATAAAACAGAATCAGAATATTCCTCGCCTGCTTCATGGATAAATTGTGAACATCAAATAAGCTATTATATATGAAAGGGCTTTACAAGGCATTGAGAGTTATGTACATTTCAGGGGCTATTACTACCCCCTTGGAAGGTCCCGTCCTCAGTCCCATGAGGAGATGGTGCTAGTGCATGGGTTTTAGGGTAGGCTTGGACTTTCAGGATGCATGGACAGGGGAGAGCAGAGAGAGCCTGGATTGTTTAAGATGCTGGGGTATACAGAGGAGAGCCTCAGGCATTGTGGGAGTAAGGGCAGAGGGCCAGGAACAACAGAGGACAGATGTGGAGTTAATTAGGTGTTAGCTATGGGTACCTGCTGACATTCTGGTACCTAAGGCTGGGCCTCCTCTTCATTACCAACAACCACCAAGTTACTTTCCAGGCCTCTACCTAGTCAGTGTCACTCAAAACCTCATTCTCTCTTTCATTAGAGTTCAGACAAACGATTCTTCACTTAAGCGACCAAATGCTCTGGAATATCCTCTATGTACCCTAGAGCACTAGGATTCCATTTATTGGGGTCAAATGTCTAATCCCCACTTAAATGTAGATAAAATGGAACGTGGCCAATATCAGGTTTCAGCTACCCATGCACAACACAGACATATCCTCAACAGTATAATTTTCAAATGTGAATGACAAAGATTTATGAAGTAAGCCCTAATGTCTTTCAAATGATACTACATCACCATTATTTTCTTTTCCTTTTTCTTTTTCTCTTTTCTTTATTTTTTTTATTTTTTTATTTTTTTATTTTTTATTTTTTTTTTGAGACAGAGTCTCGCTCTGTCACCCAGGCTGGAGTGTAGTGGTGCAATCTTGACTTACTACAACCTCTGCGTCCTGGGTTCAAGCGATTCTCCTGCCTCAGCATCCCAAGTAGCTGAGACCACAGGTGCCCACCACCACTCCTGGCTAATTTTTTGTATTTTTAGTAGAGATGGGGTTCCAGCATGTTGGCCAGGCGGGTCTCAAACTCCTGGCCTCAGGTGATCTGCCTGCCTCAACCTCCCAAAGTGTTGGGATTACAGGCATAAGCCACCACACCCGGCCTGCATTACTTTTTTTATCGTTGTGCATCACAGAACCAAAGGAGTGTTAGTCACCTTTCAAATCACGTCATGAAATCCATTATGTTGTCCACCATATATTCAATAAGAAAATTCAATTATGTCAAGCCCAGCTGTTTTATCTACTCCTTTTAAAATATATTAATGTTTCAGTTTATTCTCAAGTATATAGGCTGAGAGGCAGTAGTAATAGAGTAAAAAGACCACCGTACTTCAAGTAAGAAAACACAGGTTTTGTAGGGGAGTGAAAAATTTCTCTCTTTCAGTTTCCTTGGCTGGGCTACAAATTAAATGGACATATGACAGATTAACAGAAGGAAAACCATATTTAATTATGTGCATACCCATGGGAGTTCTACAAAATATGTCTCGAAAAAGGGTCAGATGATTGATGCTTATATAGCATCCAGAACCACAGAAAAGAATAGAGGCTTGGGGCTTCTGGGGGGTGGTGGAGACACAAGGAATGAGGTTCCTTGGCTGGGCTACAAATTAAATGGACATATGACAGATTGACAGAAGGAAAACCATAGTTAATTACATACATACACATGGGAGTTCTACAAAATATGAGTTTCAAAGAAGGATCAGATGATTGAAGCTTATATAGTATCCAGAGCTACAGAAAGGAATAGAGGCCTGGGGCTTCTAGTGGGTGGTGGAGACACAAGGAATGGGAAGGTGAGGGGAGGAAATACAAGGTGAACAAAGCTTGTCTTGTTATGCAGATTACGAGACTCTGCACCCCTCAGAAGAACAGGCTATCGTCAGGGCATGGAGTTAATCCGTAGTCTCTTTTCTTGTGATTGAAATTAATCTTACCTGGTTGATAAGATTCCCAGAGAGAGGAAATAACGGTTGCGTTCCTTTTGGAGGATCTGTCTTTAGGCGGATAAGGAGAGCTCAGAGAAGACCTCTGCCTGCACCACTGTTCTCCAAGTGCCCTCCAGTTCGAAGTAATCAGCATACCAAAATGTATTTTGTGGTGGCGTTTCCTGACCTCCTTCAGTTTGAATCTGATTTTAACACGCTGGAGAAATTTGAGCAAGTTACTCTATCCCACTGGGCCTCGGTTTGCCAAACTCTTAAAATGGGGATGATATTGTCTACCTCACAGAGCAAGGATCAAATTTGATAATGTGGATGAAAAAGTTTGGGAACAATTAATGTTAGGGCCTTACTTTATCGATTATGTGTTATGGTCATGGACACATGTCCTAATTTGTTGGTATCTCATTGATACTGTAAACTCTCAACAATATTCTTCTGCAAATACTGATTTACAAACTTCTTAGCTGCAGATCAAGGGGGTTAGAAGCTGACTTTCCCTTCTTGGCATCTCTCTCCTTCTCTCTAGTTTTAATATTCAATTTAATCACGGCCATGCCCTTCTTGACTGACCTCGCAATTAAAGATCAAAGCAGAGTCTCATTGCCAATTTCAAGTCCATCTAACTGCTATCCAGATAAAGAAGCTTTTATTTTTTTTTTCCATCTTTTTTTAGAGGTGGGGTCTCACTCTGTTGCCCTACTGGAGTACAGTGGCTATTCACAGTCTCAATCACAGCACACTACAGCCTCCAACTCCTCAGCTCAAGTGATCCTCCCACCTCAGCCTCTGGAATAGCTGGGATTACAGGTGTTTGCCACTGTGCCAGGCTTAGACACTTTAATATTCTCTAATACAATCCTGAGAATGTACACCACAGGAAGAATAAAAGGAAATGTGGACAGTCTTGGACCTCTGAGTGAATGAAGAGGAGTGTGCAAGGCCTAAGGCAAAATGTCAAGGCCAAATGATGTCCCATGTCATAGTCATATGATTCTGCAGCCTATTTGTTTACATAAGTCCAAAGCTGAATACCAAGATGTTTCTTTTAATCCAGTGCAAGGTGAAGGAAATGCTAACGTGAAAGATAAGTAGAAAACAATGTGAAAACATATTTCCTATCAGATGAAATTGGCTACTGGCTGAGCATCTGTTGAGGCTTGTAGGGGGCCTATATTAGTCTGTTTTCTGTTGCTTATAACAGAATATTTGAAGCTGAGTAATTTATAAGGAAAACGAATTTGTTTCTTACTGTTATGGAGGTTGAGAAGTCTGAGGTTGAGGGGTCATATCTGGTGAGCGCCCTCTTGCTGGGGGGAGATCTCTGAAGAGTCCTGACGTGGCTCAGGGCATAACGTGGCAAGGGGGCTGGGCGTGCTAACATCCTCGCTCAGGCCTCTCTTCTTCTTCTTATAAAGTCGCCAGTTCCCCTCCCATGTTAACCCATGAATCCATTAACCCATTAGTCCATTAATCTATTAATGAATTAATTCATTCACAAGGACAGAACCCTTATGATTCGATCACCTCTTAAAGACTACATTTCTCAACACTGCCACACTGGGGATTGAAATTCAACATGAGTTTTGGAGGAGACAAATATTCTAATCATAGCGGGAACCACTAATTAACACCTTTTTTCCTTGCCTATGTTTTTGTTTTGTTTTGTTTTGTTTTTAGAGACAGAGTCTGTCTGTGTCACCCAGGCTGGATTGCAATGGCAAAATCTCAGCTCACTGCAACCTCTGCCTCCTGGGTTTAAGCGATTCTTATGCCTCAGCCTCCCAAATAGCTGGGACTACAGGTGCACACCACCATGCCCGGCTAATTTTTGTATTTTTAGTGGAGACAGAATTTCACCATGTTGGCCAGGCTGGTCTCGAATTCCTGACCTCAGGTGATCCACCTGCCTCGGCCTCCCAACGTGCCGGGATTACAGGCATGGGCCACTGTGCCCTGCCCTTGCCTATATTTTGAACCAATTGAGAAATAAAACAGGACCCAAACATCACCCTTATTATTGATGATGTTAATATTATGAACATGGCTAATAGGTACAAATAAGTGGCTTCCTAATGCTAATATTTTAGAACATGCCTTATAGGTACAAGCAGGTGGGCTTCCTACTGTAGACACACATCTAGTCATGGCCAGGTCTCCCCAGCAGGCTTCTCCCATGTTTGGGAGCAATGGAGACTTATTCTCTCTGCAGGTGGGCTCACTCCCAGGAGAAACAGAAGAGGAAGAAGCTCAGGAATGCATGCCCAGGTCCTCCTTCAAACCCACCCTGAGGAAGAAAAAAGGTTGGAAAGCAGAGAAAACCCAAGAATATTATGTTAGTAGAAGTCCTTCTGCAGAGATAGAAGCTTCAATTCTGGGAGAGAAGCATTTCTGTACAGCAGAATAGTCTTTCTTTCAGCCTAAAAGTAGATTCCTGTAAGAGCAGTTAACTCTGAAAGTCCACAATATGTAGCAATTGTGTTTCTTACAGATGATAACTTGGATAGAACATCCATATTTTAAGAATATTTGTGTATTGAAAAATATTTGGCTGCCACATCTTTCATCTCCCTTCTTACAATGGTTTCTCCTCTGGGCCATCTACCATGCTAATTATAAGCCCATCTATCAACCCAAGACTGGGAAGACAATAGTTGATGAGCAGTTGGAAATAGAGGGATTGAGAGCAATGGCTGTTTTCCAGATCACAGAGTCAACGCTATGAAACACTTTGCAAGATGGCATGTTGTTTTTTTTCTCCCTCAGCCTGGATTATTTCTTAGTGTTCCTGATTCTGCTGGCAGGAATCCTGTTGAATTCAGGAAAACCATATGAAACCCATCCTGGGTGTTGCCAAAATAAATTGTTAATCATATCAGATGTAGCACCAAAGAGTCTTCCATCATAGTCAATTTTCTGTTTTGCAACTGTTCCCCTTGGCTCCATTCAGGATCTGCCAAGAGAAAAGGAAGCTTCCATTGTGCATGCCACATCTTGTTATCTGCTGGAGGAGAGAGGCCAGTGGGGAAGGCTCACTGGGTCAGGATGAGGGTACCTCTAACGCTAACAAGAGGTGTTTACTACAGCCCAATTTCAATGATCCTTCTGGGCATACTAAGAGCGTGTGATCCTCAACTGTATCCATTAAAGCCTGGGAGCATGACAATCTCACGAAGGTTCAATAGGCACAGAGTGGGGATGGCCTGTAGGATTTGTACCTGAATATTTCTAAATGGCTTCTTTAGATGCAAAAGTTATATAAAATGACTACAATTGCCTCCACTATCTGGTTCAATTAAATGAAACCAACTTACCTGAGCACATAGTTATTTGGACTGTTGTCTAGAGGAGAAGGAAAGAAGCAAATGACAACCAGGGAAGCCGTGATCCAGATTTTTTTTAATGGAATGAAAGCCAATAGGTAAGCAATAACTAAAATCTGTCCTAGAGTAGGTCACATCAACACATTGAGTCTAGTCATAATAGATCCTTGGGAAACACACTGAATTCCTTTGAATTGAATCTGCGCCCCCTCCACATTTACAGTATTCTACAGGTGTTGACATGAACATGCTGGAGGGCTAAGCAGTTCTTGAATGTTAATCGTGGCATAGGTCCTTTATATGTACCAGGGCTAGAAAATGAACTGATATGGTTCAAACAAGAAGGAGATTTTTTTCAAACCTCAGATATTCAGATGAACACATTCAGCATCCCTCTCTGGCCTCCATTTAACTGAAGTTCATTTGCTTTGCAAGATAAACACAAAGGTTGTTCTGCTGTCATTCTCAAAGCATGCCAGTTCTAGTGGCTCTCATCAAACCTACTTCTGGATGTAAATCTTAATTTCAGTCTTAATAAAGCAAGTTCTAGTCAACAAGCTTCATTTCCCATGACTCATTTAGAGAATGGTTTTTGCGTGCCGATTTGTTTTGATCTATATATCTCATTTTTCTTCTGAATTCAGAAAGCCATCTTACCTGAGCAAGGATCAAGCATCCAAGTCTAGAGCTAAACTGTAATATTAGAACATTTCTGACACCATAAAGTCAACCTAAGTGTATTAGCATACCAAAGGGTTGAAGATGTGACACTTGAAGATGGTTAGCTGTTATGTGAGGAGACATTTATTTATTAAAACATAAAGGAAAAATGAATCCCAGAAAGCAATGTGGATACCACTTTCCTGTATTTTTAACTTGAAACTTCCAAATATGAAGTTTTAATCCACCAGTTTAGGTTCTAGCAATGATGTTTCTGAATATCTGGTGTGTATGTGTGTGTGTGTGTGTGTGTGTGCGCGCACACCCATGCCTGTGTGTGTGGTGGGGGGGAGTAGGTGTACATTTTCTGTGGAGAATTTGAAAACGATAATAAAGCCAATTAAGAGATGGTTACTTTTTATTATCACCACATCATGAACAGTCTTCAACCATGTCAGAGATAAAATGCCTTTCCTCAAAAAACTTGTATTAGTGTAAGTTCTACACAATTATAGCTGTTACCTTTGGATTTAATAATATATAGATAAGCCTCAAATTAGCAAATTTTATTATTTATCCATTTCTCTTCTGGCTATTATTATTCATTTTATTTCACAATTATTCCTGAAATAATGTCATCAATATACTAAGTACATCACTAGGTTCTAGGTAAAAATACAGAGTGTTTCTACTTTGAAAAAGTACAAAAAGTGATCAAGGGGAAATATGACTTAGTTGCAGATGAAGAAATGAATGAATGAATCCTGCCTTTTTATACAAATGTTTGAGGTAGCTTTTAAGCAATGCCCACATAAAATAGCAAAATGCAAACAAAATATCAGATCTACAGGAAATATGTCCGAATAAGGAGGTGGCCTAGGATAGAGGAGAGAAACACACATGTGCATGTTGTAAAGTCTTCTATGGTGGCTGACATGAAGCCTCTATTTTGGCTCTGGGATTCCTAGCAGCCAAAGAAAATATGCAAGCAGAAACATACACACTACAACAGGGTGTGATTGATGTAATACAAAGTGACAGCACTGGCTGGAAGTATGCAGCAAGCAAGTATGTTCCTTGAGGTACTATGATCAGTAAGCTGTGATCACATCAATGGTTAATTACAGGTCAATTAATGAATAGTTACAATGCAATGGGGTAAGTGTTGCCAGTAGCTCATATGGAATGGTCTGCTGTCCATGGGAGTTTGCTAACCTGATAATGGAATGAGAAAAGATGGAGAAAGGCATGCAAACAAAACATATAGACTATGCAGAGGCTCAAATAATTAAAACAGCATGTGAATTTGAAAAGTATAAGAACTTCAGTGTGACTGAAGATGGAGTATACAATTTAGGGTGCAGCAGCTTTTGAAGAACTGCAGGGGTAGACAAACTATGGCCCTCAAGTCAAATCTGGCTCGCTAGTTGTTTTCGTAAATAAAGCTTTATTGAAACACAGCTGTGTCCATTCTTTTACATATTGTTTATGGCGGCTTCCTCATTCTTTTTGGTGGTGGTGGTGGTGTTTTTTTTTTGTTTTTTTGATAGAGAGTCTCACTCTGTCGCCCAGCCTAGAGTGCAGTGGTGCAATCTCTGCTCACTGCAACCTCCGCCTCCCGGGTTCAAGCAATTCTCTTGCCTCAGCTTCCCAAGTAGCTGGGACTACAGGTACATGCCACCACACCCAGCTAATTTTTTGTATTTTTAGTGGAGACAGGGTTTCACCACGTTAGCCAGGCTGGTCTTGAACTCCTGACCTCAGGTGATCCACCCGCCTTGGCCTCCCAAAGTGCTGGGATTACAGGCATGAGCCACCATGCCCGGCCTGCTTCCTCATTCTTTACTACAAAGGTGAGCAGTGGACAGAAACCCTATGGCCAGCCTAAAATATATACTCTGTGATCCTTTACAGAAAAAGTTTACCAACCTCTGGTATAAAACATACCAAGGAGTTTGAATTTTATCCTGTAGATGAAAGGGAAAGAGTGAAGGATTTTTAAAAGTTAGGGAAGTTAGGAAAACCAGAAGGGTGGCCCTGGCAAGTTTACTTCACCAATATTCATCTTAATTCCTTAAAGGTAAAAATGATTTGATGTGTCACCTAACCCATGCACCTTAAGGAAGACAATGTCATGGCTGAGTACATAACAACAGTCTCAAAAAAGGTTAACTGGACACCAAGACTTGAGTTGTGATCAAATGATCTACCAGGCTCATTTGAGATATGCTCTAGGCCACTGGGTAAGGATGTGAGGAGTGAAGAGAGTGTCTGGGATATTTTTATCTGCATAAAAGAATCATTTTGTATAGCTTTTTGTATGTTCAAAAAAAAAAAAAAGAAAAAGAATGGTAATAAAAAAAATTCCTTTCCTATATCCTGTTTCCTTCTAAAAGTAGTATTGTTTTACATTTTACATTTGAATGCATAAATCTATGACTCATTGTGAATTCTTTTTTGTATAAATTATAAAGTTTAGGTCAAGATTCTTTTTGGAGGGCTGTGTGTGTGTAATGGTGGCAGCACCACAACGTTGAAAAATGAAAAATGTTGCTTTTAAAAAAATTAAGACATGACATACTTCTGCTGATTTATTTTCTTGTGGATAGTTTTCTATGCATATGCGTCTGCTCTGCCGCTTTATGAATTGAGATTTTTTCCCCAGATCTTAACTTGCCCATATTATATTTCAGCAAACAGAAAGAATAGTTTTTTGTTGTTTTTTAAAGAATCATTTTGCGTGGCATTCCCATGTTTACGAGGCATATAGATAACGTAGTGGTTAGGAGCACGAGCTCTGGAGTCAGTTTCTTGGTCAAATCCTGTCTTTGACCATTTACCAGCCATGTGCCTTTGGAGACAAGGTTCAGTGTCCTCGTCTGTCAAATAGTAATAATAATAGGACCTGAGCTGGGCACGGTGGCTCATGCCTGTAATCCTAGCACTTTGGGAGGCCAAGGCGGGCGGATTGCCTGAGCTCAGGAGATCGAGAAAGCCTGGGCAACACAGTGAAACCCCGTCTCTACTAAAATACAAAAAATTAGCCAGGCATGGGGTGTGCGCCTGTAGTCCCAGCTACTTGGGAGGCCAAGGCAGGAGAATTGCTTGAACCCAGGAGGCGGAGGTTGCAGTGAGCAGAGATCACACTACTGTACTCCAGCCTGGGCGACAGAACGAGACTCCATCTCCAATAATAATAATAATAATAATAATAACACCTACCCTATCATAAGGTTGTTGTGAAGGCTGATGAGTTATACAGTTCTGTTCACACAGGAAGCACTCAATAAAGCTTCATCGTTCCCATTACTAGAAGCATTTAGGTGGAATTTAACCCTGACTTTAGGATATGACATTACATCATATCACATTACTTTACATTGCATCTCACGACATTTTAATGTAAAACGAGAGATTCTCCTCTGTTCTACTCTCTTGGCAGCTACAGAAATAAGAAACTGGTTATAAAATTCCCTGAGAACAGAGGGGACAGGAATTGATATTTGAAAACAAATGATTAATCTTTTTTGATCCAAGACCCAGCTCCCAGGGTTTTTTTTTTTTAGCTATTGGATTAGTTTCCCAGAGTTGCCATGACAAATTACCACAAACTGTGTGCCTTAAAACAATATAAATTTATTCTCCTGTAGTTCAGGAGGCTAGAATCTGAAGTCGAGGTGTTGGCCAGGCCCTACTCCCTCCAAAGCTGCTCGTTTCAGCTTCTAGTGGCTTCCAGACATCCTTGGTGTTCCTTGGCTTTTAGCTGCATCACTCCAACCCCTGCCTCCATCCTCACATTCCCTTATTCCTTTCTTTGTGTCTTATAGGAACACCAGTAATTGGATTTAGAGCCCACCCTGATGCAGGAAGACTTCGTCTTCTTTGATCCTGTCACTCATGTAGTGAGCATAGTATCTGATAGTTTTCCAACACTCGCACCCTCCCTCTAGTCATCCCCAATGTGTATTGTTTTCATCTTTGTGTCCATGTGTATTCAGTGTTTAGCTCCCATATGTATGTAAGAACATGTGGTATTTGGTTTTCTGCTCCCGTGTTAATTCACTTATGATGTTAGTGTCCAGCTGGGGTATCCGTGTTGCTACAAAGGACATGATTTTGTTCTTTTTCATGGTTGCATAGTATTCCATGGTATATACATACTATTTTCTTTATCCAGTCCATCACTGATGGGCATCTAGGTTGAGTCCACGTCTTTGGTAGTGTGAATGGTGCTGGGGTGAACATGCAAGTGCATATGACGTTTTGGTAGAATGATTTGTTTTCCTTTGGGTGTATACTTAGTAATGGGATTGCTGGGTGGAATGGGAGTTCTGTTTTTAGTTCTTTGAGAAATCTCCCAAATGCTTTCCACAGTGGATGAACTAATTTACATTCCCACCAACAGTGTATAAGTGTTCACCTTTCTCTGCAGTCCTGGCAATATCTGTAATTTGACTTTTTAATAACAGCCATTCTGACTGGTGTAAGATAGTATCTCATTTTGGTTTGGATTTGCATTTCTCTAATGATTAGTGATGTTGAACATTTTTTCAAGTTTGTTGCCTGATTGTATGTCTTCTTTTGAGAAGTGTCTGTTCATGTTTTATGCCCATTTTTTAACAGGGTTATTTGTTTTTTGCTTGTTCAATTGTTTAAGTTCCTTATAGATTCTGGATTACACCTTTGTTGGATGCATAGTTTGAGAACATTTTCTACCATTTTGTAGGTTGTCTGTTTACTCCGTTAATAGTTTCCTTTGCTGTGCAGAAGCTCTTTAGTTTAATTAGGCCTACTTGTCAGTTTTTATTTATGTTGCAAATGATTTTGCGGACTTACTCATAAATTCTTTGCCAAGGCTGATGTCCAGAATGGTGTTTCCTAAGGTTTTTTCTAGAATTACTATAGTTTTAGGTCTTATATTTAGATCTCTAATCCATCTTGAGTTAATTTTCATATACGGTAAAAGGCAGGGGTCTAGTTTCAATTTTCTGCATATGGCTATCCAGCTACCCCAGCACCATTTATTGAATAGAGAGGGAGTCCTTTCACCATTGCTTGTATTGGTTGACTTTGTCAGAGATTAGATGGTTGTAGGTGTGCAGCCTTATTTCTGGGTTATCTATCCTGTTCTTTTGGTCTATGTGTCTGTTTTTATGCCATCACCATGCTGTTTTTGTTATTCTAACCTTGTAGTATAGTTTGAAGTCAGATAGTATGATGCCTCTGGCTTTACTCTTTCTGCTTAGAATTACATTGGCTACTTGGGCTCTTTTTTGATTCCATATGAATTTTAGAATAGTTTTTTCTAATTCTGTGAAAAATTATATTGGTAGCTTGATAAGAATATTATTGACATCATAAATTCCTTTGGGCACTATGGCCATTTTAACAATATTGATTCTTCCTACTCATGAGCATGGGATGCTTTTTCATTGTTTGTGTTGTTGTCTGATTTCTCTTAGAAGTGTTTTGTAATTCTTGTTGTAGAGATCTTTCACCTCCTTGGTTAGATATATTCCCAGGTATTTTTTTGTGGCTATTGTAAATGGAATTGCATTCTTGATTTGGCTCTCAGGTTGAATGCTATTGGTGTATAGAAATGCACTGAATTTTGTACATTGATTTTGTATCCTGGAACTTTACTGAAGTCATTTATCAGTTCTAGAGGCCTTTTGGTGGAGTCTTTAGGGTTTTCTAGGTATAGGAATCATGTTATCTGTAAAGAGACATAATTTGATTTCTTCTTTTCCTATTTGGATGTTTTATCTTTCTTTCTCTTGCCTGACTGCTCTGGCTAGGACTTCCAGTACTGTGCTAAATAGGAGTGATAGTAAGAGTTGGCATTCTTGTCTCCTTCCAGTTCTCAAGGGGAATGCTTCCAGCGTTCAGTATGATGTTCCACCATTCAGTATGATGTTGGCTATGGATTTGTCATAGATGGCTCTTATTATTTTGAGGTATGTTCCTTCAATGCCTAATTTGTTGAGGGTTTTTTCAACATGAAGCAATGTCAAATTTTATCAAAAGACTTTTCTTCATTTATTACATTGATCATATGGTTTTTGTATTTAATTCTTGTATGTAGTAAATCAACTTTATTGATTTACGTATGTTAAACCAACCTTGCATCCCAGGAATGAAGCCTACTTGATCATGGTCAATTAACTTTTTGATGTGCTGTTGGATTTGGTTTGCAAGTATTTTGTTGAAGAATTTTTGCCTCTATGTTCATCAGGGATATTGGCCTGAAATTTTCTTTTCTTTGTTGTGTCTTTGTCAGGTTTTCATATCAGAATAATGCTGGCTTTACAGAATGAGTTAAGGAGGAGTCCCTCCTTCTAGATTTTTTAGAATAATTTCTGTAGGATTGGTACTAGCTCTTTTTGTACCTCGAATAGAATTTGGCTGTGGATCCATCTGGTACAGGACTTTTTTTATTGGTACTTTTTAAAATTACTGATTCAATTTTGGAACTCAATATCGGTCTGTTTAGGGTTTCAATTTCTTCCTGTTTCCATCTTGGGAGGTTGTTTTTTTTGGGGGGGCAGAATTTATCCATTTCTTCTAGGTTTTCTAGTTTGTGTGCCTAAAGGTGTTTGTAATAGTCTCTGAGTATTTTTTGTATTTCTGTGGGATCAGTTGTGTTGTTAGCTGGTTTTTATGTAGACTTGACTGTGTAGTTGCTTTATAATGTCAGTGGGCTATATGCTAAAGTGTGTTTTTGTGGTGGAATGTGTCTTTCTTTTATTTCAATGTTTAGCACTCCCTTAAGGACCTCTTGTAAGGCAAGTCTTGTAGTAACAAACTCCCTGAGCATTTGTTTATTTGATAAAGATTTTATTTCTTCTTCTCTTATGAAGCTTAGTTTGACTGGATATGAAATTCTTGGTTGGAATTTCTTTTCTTTAAGGAAGCTGAATATAGGTCCCTAATCTCTTGTGGCTTACATGGTTTCTGTTGAAAGTCTGCTGTTAGCCTGATGGGATTCCCTTTGTACATGACCCAACCCTTCTCTCTAGCTGCTTTTAATATTTTTTTTATTTCACAATCACCTAAGAGAGTCTGATGACTATGTGTCTTGGGGATGGTCATCTCATATAGTATCTTGCTAGGGTTGTCTAAAGTTCTTGGATTTGCATGTCCGCTTCTCTAGCAACGCTGGGAAAATTTTCATGGACAATATCCTCAAATATGTTTTCCAAGTTGCTTGCTCTCTCTCCCTCTCTTTCTGGGATGCCAATGAGTCATAGGTTTGGTCTCTTTACATGATCCCTTATTTCTCAGAGGTTTTGTTCATTTAAAAAAATACTTTTTCTTTATTTTTGTTTGCATTGATTCAAAGGAACAGTCTTTGAGCTCTGAGATTCTTTCCTCAACTTCTTCTACTCTGTTGTTAATACTTCCAATTGTATTATGAAATTCCTGTAATAAATTTTTCAATTCCAAAAGTTCAGTTTGGTTCTTTCTTAAAATGGCTGTGTCATCTTTCAACTTTGGGATTGTTTTACTGTTTCCTTTGGATTGGGTTTCAACCTTCTCCTGTATCTCATTGAGCTTCCTTGCCATGCAGATTCTGAATTCTATGTCTGTCATTTAAGGCATGTCATCTGGTTAAGACCCATTGCTGGGGAGCTAGTGTGGTTGTTTGAAAGCAAGCAGGCTGGTGGATGGGGTGGTGTGCAGATCAGATTTGCCCCAGTCCCATGGAAAAAATAGCCCTGCTCTCTCTAGATCTGGCAGTTAACAAAGGTCAGAACCACCTAGAGGAGTATGAAGAGCCTTTGGGGATGGGTGCCTATGACCATGTTCCTTTGTACCTGTCCCTGTGCCAAACTCCCTGGGCTCCATAGAGAATTGTGCTCTGTCTCTACCAACTCATCAGTTAATTCTCTCTGCCAACTCAAATATCCATGAGGCCATGGGATCTCCTGCAACTAGATCCCAGAGGTTCACGGTGAGAGTGGGCTGCTCTGCAGTTACCTCACTCACCCCTTCCTCAGGAGGCTTTTAGGGCCAGAAATGAGTCTCAGTGCTTGGCAACCCCATGCAGTGTTCCTAGCTTCCTCCCACTTCAGCCGTGGTGTCTGTGTGGTCTCTCCATCCACTCTCAATGCATTCTCTCAAAAGATCTGTTTGGTATATGCTGGCTGACTTGATATTCTGGTCTTTCTTGGTGGGAGAAGCTCTTCCTGGCTGTGTCTATTTGGCCATCTTGTCCTGCCCCCAAACTTCATCATAATTTAAGGAATTACATATGCAAAAGCATTGTCTCCAGATAAGGTCACATTCTAAGGTTCTGGACAGACATGAATTCTGAGATGGTGGGGGGCTATCTAACCCAGTACAGTTATTTATAGACTTATTTTCCGTTTTGTAGCTTCTGGACATCACTATCATTTATTGTCCTCTGACATTGGCTCTCTCTGTCCCTCTTGCTCCTGATGCACCTTGAAGCATAGCCATCTCTGCCATGGAGAACTCCCAAAGCCCAATCCCTCTTGTTTCATCCCTTCCTTGGCAAAGCAGAACATGAGTGGATAATTCTTTGCATTGGGGCTATGCTTGGCTATTTGGAACAGTATCTATTGGAAAATGCAATATTTTCTCTTAGAAAATACACGAAGTTGCAAACAGTCAATTTAAAAACTATTTTCAGGAATGCCGTCAGCTTGATGTTGGGGGATGCATGCATTGTTAATGAGATATCATGCAGGGTTTTAGATTGTGATTGGAGTCACAGTGGGGTTCCTGCTTTAGGATAATCCATACAATTAATGTCTGTTTGATGTTTAAGAACTGAGTATCATCATCAAATATCAAATTTTGTTTTTGAAAGACCCATAAAATTAAGTCAATTTATTCAACAATATTCTGACTTACATGGAAATGATTTAAATGTTAGATTTCTTGGTGTGGGTTCTTCTAAAGAGTCTGGAATAAGATCTTGGGTCTAGATGGTTTGCTTGGGAAGTGATCCCAGGAAGTAGGCATGAGTGAGCAGGGAGAATGAGAGAGACACACTGAAGGAAAAGTCACAATGAGGACGCAAAGTCAAGATCAAAGTCACGACTGTGGGCAATGGAGGCATGATTCCCCAAGACTCTGGAAAAATATAGAGAAAACCCTCCCCAAATCATCCTCCTGAAAGACTGGAGGCTGGAACATTCCCTTAGCCTCCTCTCTCCATGAAATGAGGACTGCCTTTGGGGACGTTAATTCTCTCACACTTGCTAACCTGTGCCTGCCTGGGAGAAGATGCTACAGCAGAATGTTCTTAAGATGAGGTGCTGGCAACAGGTGATAAGACTGAGCTCATGTCTTTTTAACTTTTTATTTTATTTTATTTTTGTAACAGGGTCTCACTCTGTTGCCTAGGTTGGTATGCAGTGGCACAATCACACCTCACTGTAGCCTCAACCTCTTGGGTTCAAGCAATCCTCCCACCTCAGCCTCCCAAGTAGCTGGGACTACAGGCATATGCCAACACGCCCAGCTAATTTTTTTTTTAGAGACAGTGTCTCACTATGTTGCCCAGGCTGGTCTCAAACTCCTGTACTCAAGTGATCCTCCTGCCTCATCCTCCCAAAGTTCTGGAATTACAGGTGTGAGCCACCATGCCTGGCCCAAAACTCATATTTCAATGTCCACCAGAGCTGTAGTTTCAGTCAGAGGTGGACTGAGGAAAGGTGGCACAGGCACCAGCAACATCTGCTCTATTAGATTCCTTCTTTTTATAGAGGATATGATCTTCATTGTACTCATCTCTAAAATTTAACTGCCCTATGAATTAGGAATGGCATACTATATGTTTCTTTTACAAGTAAAATATAATTAAGGCATTGTAACCTGAACATAATTTATGTACTGTTATACCAGCTAGTATGCTTTAGGCTGCAAATACAAAAAGACTCACCTCAAGATGGTATAAAGAGAAGGCTACAGTCTGCTATGGTACCCTGTGCTGTGAGAACATGATCTCTCATCGTTGGGTAGCCAGATGATAGAATCCTTGGGCAGGTTGTCTCCTACTACAAGCAGCCCTTTGGGGGCTTATCACAGGGTGGCCTAAGTGGGAATGTTTTCTAGACCTCCACCACAACATGTTAAGTGTAGCCAAGGAGGCGTTCTACCAAGACATGGACTTCTCCAGTGATGCTGCTGGGAATTTTCATGTGCTAGGTTCCTAAAGAATGTGGCATGGAGTCCAAGCTTTGGGGAGTGGAGTAGAGGGTGATGCAGACACTCCTGGCAGGCACAACTCCAGATGGTGGTGCTAACATTTGCCTTTACGTACATTAGACACTTATGTCCTTTTATAGCTGATATTACCATTTAGTGGCATCTGAGCTAGCTGTAGTGTCCCTATTTTAATAGTGAATCTATAAATTAGAATTTTAAATTGTTTTGACATATTTGATGTATAAAATTACATTAGATGAGAAATTCACTTGCATTGATATAAGAAATTTTAGCATTAAATTAATGAGAGAAAAATTAGTTATTGAACTTGTCAAATATATTTCAACAATTATATATTTTAATAGTTTTTAAATGTTTAACTTCTTACTTTTGCAGTTTCATGTTGACAGTCATATTCAAGTATTTGAAGCTATCATCATCAAAAATTTTCATCAGTAATTTCAGGTAGCCATTTCAAGCATAAATCTCTGATTTAGTTATGTTGTATTCACAGATGCAAGCAGCTCAAGTTCCTCATTAAGGAAATTTGAAATTTTTGAAATTTTAGTTGGAAATTTTATAGAAATTCTGTATTCTAAATATTCCCTAGTAATTTGCATTTTACTTTTCCTAACTTAATTGTATAGTATAAACTTCCACAGTGCACCTATGCCAGTGTGACATGCAAACATTATCATCATGCAAACATTATCTATGAGCAGTGATATGATTTGGCTGTGTCCCCACCCAAATCTGGAATTGTAGCTCCCATAATTCCCACCTGTTGTGGGAGGGACCCAGTGGGAGGTAACTGAATCATGAGGGCAAGTCTTTCTCATGCTGTTCTCATGACAGTGAATAAGTCTCACAAGATCTGATGGTTTTATAAAGGGGAGTTCCTCTGCACATGCTCTCTCTCTTGCCTGCCACCATGTAAGATGTGACTTTGCTCCTCCTTTGCCTTCCACCATGATTGTGAGGCCTGCCCCACCAAGTGGAACTGTGAGTCCATTAAACCTCTTTTTCTTTATAAATTACCCAGTCTTAGGTATGTCTTTATTAGCAGCATGAGAACAGACAAAAACAAGTGCCATGTCATAAAACCAAGTGAGAACCCTTGAATAAATATTTACCTCACATAAAAAGTTTTGGAGAAGTGCATTTCCTGGATTAAGTTAGATGCCTACTGACATCTTCATGTACCCTCAGTTCTTCCCTCTTTGGCTCTGCCATCCCCTATGCTTTAGCCTTTGTCCTCAGCGTGTCCCCTCATGGTTGCATGATGGCCATAGCAGCTGCAAATATCCTATCTTCATGCAACAACATCCAAAGTTTGGAAGAGAGAATTCCTCTCCTTGGGCACATTCTAAGGGCGAGGGAGGCCTTTGTAAAAGTTTCCCGGCAAACTTCCCATCACATCTCAATGGCCAGAATGTACTCATGTACATTTTCAGGAAGGGAATCACCACATAAATTAGTCAGATCTCTTCACTGTAGACCTCAGAAGCTGATTCTAGCTGATAAAGACAGTTTTCTTTAAAAGATAGTGGCCAAAGCCCACTAATCAGTGTTAGCAGCACTAAAAGGAAGACCCACCAATGTTCATATTGTGATATGAGGCAATACAAGCACTTAGCACTTCCTAGAAAGTATTCTTGCCAAAACATAAAATTGAACCTGAACCTTGTCAAGTCTTCAGATCCAATTACCGTTTAAAGGAAATGCTGTGGGTAGAGGAACTAGCTAAGCATCAGTGCAAGGGGAAAATTCTCTAAATCTGGGATGTAGTACATTCTATAGAGCAAATCATCTGTTTTTTCCAACAAATCAATGGTTTCAGAAAAAAAGGGAGGGCAACTATTAGCATAAGAGAGAATTAAGAGACATCACAATCAAACACAATAATGTGAACCTTTTTGGATCAAGCCAGACAACTATAAAAAGACATATTTAAGACAATCAGGCCAGGCATGGTGGCTCATGCCTGTAATCCCAGCACTTTGGGAGCCCAAGGTGGGCAGATCCCCTGAGGTCAGGAGTTTGAGACCAGCGTGGCCAACATATAGTGAAACCCTGTCTCTACCAAAAAATACAAAAATTAGCTGGGTGTGGTGGCACACACCTGTAGTCCCAGCTACTTGGGAAACTGAGGCAGGAGACTAGCTTGAACCTAGGAGGCAGAGGTTGCAGTGAGCTGAGATCGTGCTACTCTACTCCAGCCTGGGTGACAGAGCAAGACTCCCTCTCTCAAAAAAAAAAAAAAGACAATCAGGGAAAATAAAATATGGAATGGATATTAGATAATATCAAGAACACTGGATACTGTTAATTTTTGTGTTTAAAATGGCATGGTAAGATATTTATTGGTGAAATGGCATGATGCCTGGTATTTGCTTTAAAATAAGCAAAAAAGTAGTGAAAGGGACCAGATAAAGCATGAATGACAAAATTGTTGATAATTTTTGAAGATGGAAATGAGTATATGGGGTCTTATTTTATGACACTTTCTACATTTATGTAGCTTTTAAAGTTTCCATAATACAGTATAAATATTAAACAAATACTAGAAAGCTCTCATTATTTGGTGGAGGGCCTTGTGTTAGTCTGTTTTCATACTGCTATAAAAAGCTGTCTGGGACTGGGTAATTTATAAAGGAAGGAGGTTTAATTGACTCACAGTTCAGCATGACTGGGAAGGCCTCAGGAAACTTACAATTGTGGCAGAAGGAGAAAGGGAAGCAAGGTACCTGCTTCACAAGGTGGCAGCAAGGAGAAGTGCAAGCAAGGGAAACGCCAGATGTTTATAAAACTATCAGATCTCATGAGAACTCACTATCACAAGAACAGCTTGGGGGAAACCATCTCCATGATACAATTACCTCCACCTGGTCCCACCCTTGACATATGGGGATTGTGAGGATTACAATTCAAGATGAGATTTGTGTGGGGACACAAAGCCTAACCATATCAGGACTGAACACTTTGCCGGAAGGTAGACTTCCATCAACAAAGTCTCTAAACGATGCCTGAGAACAGGCCTACTGAGGAGGCAGCCCCAGTGATTCCATCCACTGAGCACCAGAGGAAACTGCTGCCCCCAACCTGTGCTTCTTCTGCACTACGAATTCATCTTTGAGACCACAGAGAAACTGATGCTTCTGATGCAGCAGCCCTTGAAAGCCAGACACCTTGATTACTCCTTTAAGCCTGTAAAAGATGGAAATGCCAAACAGAGCCCATTTCCCCACACTGCTCCCTTCTCAACTGAAGACTTATACAGGTGCGTCTGAGAGATGGAGTCTGTATTGTGTCTTAGCTGCAAGGGAGTCTGTGAATTTCTATTCTGGATTATCCATGAACAAACCAGAATTTATAATACCACCACGTATGTAGCATGTCCCAATTTCCTCCAAATATAAAAAAGTTATCCAAAAGATGATGAGCAGCCATATGCATGACAGATATCTACAATCCACTACACCCTAATCTTAATCCCTGGAGCTTGGGAGGGACTCAACCTTCCCTGAAACACATGGATACCCCATACCTGATTAATACAGGGTACTGATGGAAAGGAATAAAAGGAAAGGGGCATGGAGGGCAGGACAGGGGTGGCTATTGGATAGGAGCCCAGAGCATGTGCCACAGATGGTAATGCATCTGCACGACACAACCGCAAGTGCCCTGGTCAGGAAATGGAGACTTGTTAATCTTGAATTAGTGATAGCCTTGGGTTAGTTATTTAACCTGTCTGCCCTCAGGCCCAATAGGAGAGCTGACTTACATCAGTGGTTTTCCTTTCTTTCTTCCTTCTTTCCTTCCTTCTTCCCTTCTTCTCTTTCTCCTTCCCCCCTTTCTCCCTTCCTGTCTTCTTTCCTTATTTCCTTTCTTCCTTTTTCCTTTTCTACCTTCCATCCTTCCTTCCTTTTTCCTTCCTCTTCCATTCATTCCTTCTTTCTATTCAGCAGGACATGCTTTTTACATTAGCTAACCATAGATAAAACCACAATCTACAAACAGATCATAAGCAAACTGTCATAGTGGAAGTTGAAGGGCAGAACAGGGTGAAAGGGGAAGGTCCCACGGTCCTGTTCTTTCTCCCTCTCTCCTTCACTTCAGAGAAACCCTTGGAAGTTACATCGACTTCTAAAAAACTTGCTATACTAGGTGATATTTTAGTTATTTTTCCTCCTGTTCTAGCATTTTATCACTCAGTGACTCCCCCTTGGATCAACTGATAGTTTATACTTTGCTTTACATTAAAGACAATAGAGTAACAATAGAGCTAATTGTTCTATTAAAATAATATCTAATAAACTAGAGGGCCACAGCAGTTCAATTTTACGCTGTCCTGACACTGCTTACTGTGATGAGTCATTTCTCTGTTCTGTATCTCAGATTTTCAGGCAGTAAGGTATTCAGGTCCCCAAATTGTCAGAATGTAGACTATACATATATATGCTCTCTGTCCATACTCTCAGTTTATAAACTCCTTGGGGAAGAGGTTCTACCTTATGCAGAAGAAAGATAGAGCCTCTCCCTATCTGTCAGTCCTCCGTAATGACTTATACACAGAATATGCTTAGAACATGTTGGCATATCATTTGATAACATATAAATATAATATTGATGTTCTGGGTAGTTAATATCCTCTTAAATTGTCACTAGTACCTGTATCTATGGAGATTGCCTTGGGAGAGGGTTCCTCCAGGCCACGGGAGCAGAGCCAGGAGTCCATTTGAAGCCACTGACACATAGAAGCATTTTCAACGCTGGAGAGGTGGCAAGCAAAGCTGCATCTCTGACCATCTCCCTCGCCTCCTACCCTATCCCTTGGAAATCTGATTTGTAAACTCTTTCGCCTATTTCCCCAGATCCTTTTCTTTTTAGTCCACACATCTTCCATGAACAGCACGGCATTTTTCCTAGTTAGAATCAGTGAAAAATTACACAGATGGGTGAAATTCAAGGAAAGATTCTTTTCATCCCCAGGGTTGATATGGCTAGCATTTTTCTTACAAGAATCAGACATGTCAGGAGGCATTAAGATGCTATGATGTCTCTTTGATAGTCTTGCCTATCACAAAGAAGGGAGCAAAGGTTATAAAAAAACTACTTAGCATTCTGCAATAGGTAGTCCTTTCAAATACAATTAGTTTCACACAGTATTCATCTGTTCTTGCATTTGCTAAAAGACAAAGTGGCCTATTAGTCCATCGTGTCTCTCCTCTGCCTTTCAAATCACGTTGAATGTTTTAGCAGAAGAGCTGAGCTGCACTCTCCCCTATAAATTGTATAATTGGAAAGCAATAAATTTAAAGATCTAAAAGGAGCAGAATAAAGAAAGTGTCAAACAATGACTTACTCTAATTAATAACAATTTAGGTCTCCCATTTGGTAAAGTGCTTTGCAATTGTCATCACCTTTTACCTTAAAGCATATTCATTTTGTGAGTATAATATGATTTCATTTGTGAGTATGGGAATTATATATGGCTTTTAAACAACCTGGAGCTATTTAGTATTTAAGAGCTCACTTCTGAAAATTACAGCGGCACAATGAACAGTTAATTTGCTACATAGTTATAAAAATCTAATCTCACCATGGAAGTTAATGTTTTATTTATTTCTAATTCATAAAAGAATTAAATACATACACACATTATACAGTCGATCCTTGAACAATAAGGGGATTAGGGGAGCCAACCCACCACACAGTCGAAAATCCACATATAACTTTTGACTCCCCAAAAACTTAACTACTAATAGCCTACTGTTGACCAGAAGCCTTGCTGATAACATAAACAGTTGTATTTTGTATGTGTATTGTATACTGCATACATATAACCTACATGTAGACTGTACACATTGTATACTGTGTTCTTCTAATAAAGTGAGCCAAAAAAGAAAATATTATTAAGATCATAAGGAAGAGAAAATATATTTACTATTTATTAACTGGAAGTGGATCATCATAAAGTGTTCATCCTCTGCAGGCTGAGGAGGAGAAAGAGGAGGGGTTGGTCTTGCTGTCTCATGGGTGGTGGTTACTCTGCAAGTTTTTTGAAATTGTCACAAATATCCATACCATTTTTTAATACATTTATTGAAAAAAATTCACACGTACGTTGACCTGCACAGTTCAAACCGATGTTGTTGAAGGGTCAAGTGTATACTAAAACTGTTTCAGTGCCTAAGGTTCTCAAACGCTAGTGGTATTTTGGTAAGTCATATCTTTAGTCGTGACTTGATTTTTGTGATTTATTGTTTTAAGTACCAAGCTGCTCTAATTAGAACCAGTCATACAATTACTGAGTTCCAACTAAGGAAAATTTCTAAAGATATTGCTAATATGAATAGTTTCACATTAACGGCATGAAACATTTAATATCTGTCCTACCAGGGACAAAATATCATTTTTTGAGAAGGTTAATGATATTTTTTCTAATTTATAACTGGCTTGCAGAAATCTTTGTTTGAAGTTTGTTTGTAAAAAGTACGGGCTGGGCGCGGTAGCTCACACCTGTAATCCCAGCACTTTGGGAGGGCAAGGCAGGCGGATCAGTTGAGGTCAGGAGTTTGAGGCTAGCCTGGCCAATATGGTGAAACCCCATCTTTACTAAAAATACGAAAATTAGCTGGGCGTGGTGGCACAAACCTGTAATCCCAGCTACTTGGGAGGCTGAGGCACAAGAATTGCTTGGACCTTGGAGGTGGAGGTTGCAGCGAGCCAAGATCGTACCACTGCACTCCAGCCTGGGCAACAGAGCAAGACTCCATCTCAAAAAAAAAAAAAAAAAAGTATGTACTATGTTGGAGTTGGGAAGATGTGGCCACCTGAATGCTGGAACAGTGGCATATGGGAAGGGCTTTATAAGCTTTCCTAGATTCTCATAGCTAGTGTGTTCCACGCAGAAGGAAGAAGAATTTCCCTTTTTCCCTTCAATGTTTTATTATTAAAATCTTTAGACATACAGAGAAGGAGTTTTACAGTAAATACCTACACACCCATCTCTATATTCTAACTAATATAATATATTCACATAACTATATTAGAACCATCTAATATATTCACATAACTATCCATCTACTCATCCCTCTCACTGTTCATCAATCCAGTTTAGTATTTTGGTAAAATTCAAAGTAAGTTGCAAATGCTAGTGCACATCGTTCTAAATACTTCAGCATACATGTAATTAGCTAAGATTCTATATTTATTTACAGTTCTTTATGGCTGTTTTCTGTAAGACGTATGTATATTGAAATAAACATACATGTTAAGTGTTTCTTTGATTAGTTTTGACAAGTGCCTGTACCTGTGTATCTGAATAAATTATCAAGATAAAGAACACTACCATCACTCCAGAAAATTACATCTTGTCCCTTTCCAGTCAATTCCTGCCTATACTCCCCAATCCCAGGCAATCATTGTTTGGATTTCTTTTCACCATAGTTTTGTTTTACCTACTCTAGAACTTCATATAAATAGAATCATAGTGCACATATGTTTCTGTGTAAGGCTTTTTTACTCAGCATAATGCTTTTGAGATTAATCCATATAATTGCCTATTTGTAGTTTGTTTCATTTTTATTACATTGTAGTATTTCTTTGCATGAATATACCAACTTTGTTTATCAATTTTCCTGTTGATAGACAGTTAGATTATCTCCAGTTTGGGACTATTGTGAACAAAGCTGCTGGTACAAGTTGGGCTTGTTTTTGTGTGTGTGGACATAGTCTTTCATTTCTCTTGGTCCTCTAGAGCAGTGGTCCCCAACTTTTTGGCACTAGGAACTGGTTTCTACATTATACAGAAATAAAGTGCACAAAAAATGTAATGCCCTTGAATCATTGTAATATGCAATGAAATAATTATTCATTGCATATTACATTACTCACCATAATGAAGAATCAGTGGGAGACTTGAGCTTGTTTTCCTGCAACTAGATGGTCCCATCTGGGAGTGATGGGAGACAGTGACAGGTCATCAGGCATTAGATTCTCATAAGGAGCATGCAACCTAGATCCCTCACATGTGCAGTTCACTATAGGGTTCGTGCTCCTATGAGAATCTAATGCCATCGCTGATCTGACAGGAGGCGGAGCTCAGGAAGTAATGTTTGTCTTACTATTGAGTTGAAAAAGCTCTTTATGTATTTTGGGTACATATGCATGTGGTGAATTGTTTTGTCATATGCATGTACTGTAAATTTTTTCTTGGAATGTGTCATTTTTATTCAGTTAAAAAATATCTTTAATGAGCAGAAGTTTAAAAACTTTCTCATGCTCAGTTTTGTAAACATAATTTATTGAAAATATTTTTCTTTCCTCATTGTGTTGTTTTAGCATCTTTTTAAAAAATCAAATGACCACATAAGTGTTGGTTCATTTCTGAGGTCTCTATTCTTTTTCACTAATTTATTTGTCCCAGTACCACCCTGTCTTGATTACCACAGTTTTAAAAAACATCTTAACATCAGGTAATTAAAGTTCTCTAAATTTGTTCTTTTTCAAAATTTCTTTTAATATTGTAGGTCTTTGGAATTTCTATGTAAATTTTAGAAATAGCTTGCCAATGTTTGCAAAACTCCAAGTGGGATTATGATTTGAATTGAATTATATCACTAGAGCAATTTAGGAAAAGTTGGTATCTTAACATTATTGAATCTTCTAATCCATCGACGTGATACATCACTCCATTTATTTACATCTTTAATTATTCTCAGCAGTGTTTTAGTATTTCAGTGAAGATCATGTGTATCTTTTGCTAAATTTATTCTTGAGTGTTCTTGAACTCTTTTTTTGAACATGTTTTTGAAACTATTGAAAACAGAATTTTAAAACTTATTTTCATTTATCTGCTTTTGATATATGAAACCACATTGATTTTTGCATCCTGGTACAAACTAAATCCATCCCTGTAACTAAATCTGTCTGTTAGTTCTAGTAGTCATTTTGTAGATTCCTGAGGATTTAATTGTGAACATTCAAGTAATCTGCAAATATAATAATTTTTAATTCTTCCTTTCTTATTCGTATATACTTTATTTTTTTCATTGCCAAATTGCACTGGTTTCAACCTCCAGTACTATGTTGATTCAGTTTTAAGACCAATCAGCTGGGCACAGTGGTTCATGCCTGTACTCCCAGCACTTTGGGAGGCAGAGGCGGGAGGATCTCTTAAGGCCAGGAGTTTGAGACCAGCCTGGCCAACATGGCAAAACCCCATTTCTACTTTAAAAAGAAAAGAAAAGAAAAAAACAACTTAGCTAGGTGCAGTGGCTCACACTGTTGCAGGAAGTCAGGGACCCCGAATGGAGGGACTGGCTGGAGCTGAGGCAGAAGAACATAAATTGTGAAGATTTCATGGACATTTATCAGTTCCCAAAATTAATACTTTTATAATTTCTTACACCTGTCTTTACTGCAGTCTCTGAACATAAATCGTGAAGATTTTATAGACATTTATCACTTCCCTAATAATACTCTTATAATTTCTTATGTCTGTCTTTACTTTAACCTCTTAATCATGTTATCTTTGTAAGCTGAGAATGTACATCACCTCAGGACCACTATTGTATAAATTGATTGTAAAACATGTGTGTTTGAACAATATGAGATTAGTGCACCTTGAAAAGAACAGAATAACAGCGATTTTGAGGGAACAAGGGAAGATAACCATAAGGTCTGACTGCCTGTGGGGTCGGGAAGAATAGAGTCATATTTTTCTTCTTGCAGAGAGCCTCTAAATGGACTTGTGAGTAGGAGAGATATCACTGAATTCTTTTGCCAGCAAGGAATATTAATAATTGATACCCTGGGGAAGGAATGCATTCCTGGGGGGAGGTCTATAAATGGCCACTCTGGGAGTGTCTGTCTTATGAGGTTGAGATGAGGACTGAAATATGCCCTGGTGTCCTGCAGTACCCTCAGGCTTACTAGGATTGGGAAATTCCAGCCTGGTAAATTCTAGTCAGACCAGTTCTCTGCTCTCAAACCCTGTTTCCTGTTAAGATGTTTATCAAGACAATATGTGCACAGTGGGACATAGACCCTCATCAGTAATTCTAATTTTGCCTTTGCCTTGTGATCTTTATTGCCCTTTGAAGCATGTGATCCTTGTGACCTACTCCCTGTTCGTACACCCCCTCCCCTTTTAAAATCCCTAATAAAAACTTGCTGGTTTTGCGGCTCGGGGTCATCATCATGGTCCTACCAATATGTGATGTCATCCCCAGAGGCCCAGCTGTAAAATTCCTCTCTTTGTACTCTTTCTCTTTATTTCTCAGACTGGCTGACACTTAGGGAAAACAGAAAAGAGCCTACATTGAAATACTGGGGGCTGGTTCCTCCAATATCACACGTCTATAATCCCAGCTAATTGGGAGGCTGAGGCATGAGAATTGCTTGAAGCTGGGAGACAGAGGCTTCAGTGAGCCGAGGCTGCATCATGCCATGCACCCACACACCCCAGCCTGGGCGACAGAGCAAGGCTCAAAAAAAATATCTTGCATTTTTGCTGATCTTAGTGGGGAAGATTTTAGTAGGCATGAAACTACTTGTAGGTTGTTTTGTAGATGGCTTTATCTGTTTATCTATTACTTATTTTCTGAGAGGTTTTTTGTTTTGTTTTGTTTTTTTAACATAAATTGGTGTGACTTTTGTTAAATGATTTTTCTGCATCTATTGATGACTTTTCTCCTTTACTTTGTTAATATGGTGAATTAAATTGATTTTAAAAAGGTAAACCAACCTTGCATTCCTAGGACAAACCCAACTTGGTCTTAATGTATTATTCTTTTTTATACGTTATGGAATTAACTTTGTCAATATGGTGTTAAGAATGTTTACAAAGGATATTTGTCAGTAATTTAATTTTGTTTCTCATGGGGTTTTTGGAAGTTTTGTTTGTTTTGTTTTTGTTGTTGTTGTCTGGGTTTTTTTTTTTTTTTTGGAGACAGGGTCTTGCTTTGTTGCCCAGTCTGGAGTGAAGTGAAGTGGTGTGATCATAGCTTACTGTAGCCTAGACCTCCTGGGGCTCAAGCAATCCTCCCACCTCAGCCGCCCCAAGTGGCTGGGACTACAGATGCATGCTACCACACTCAGCTAATTTTTGTACTTTTTTGTAGAGATGGGATTTTATCATGTTGCTCGGGCTGGTCCCAAACTCCTGGGCTCAAGTGATCTTCCCACCTTGGCCTCCCAACGTGTAGGGACACAGGCATGAGCCACCCCACCCAGCCTGTTTCTCATGTTTTTTAAATCAGGTTTTGATATTAGGGTATGCTTGTCTCATAAAACAAGTTTTTGAAAAGAGTTTATTTAAAATTGGTGTTATTTCTTCCTTAAATATTTGATAGAATTCACCAGCAAAACATCTGGACCTGGAGTTTTCTTGTTGTAAAGATTTTAGATAAAAATTTAATTTTTTTAATTGACATAAAGCTATTCAGATTTTTCTATTATATCATGTGTCAGTTTGGGAAAGCTGTATTTCCAAAAAAATGTTTTTGTTCTACATTGTCAAATATATTGCAAAATTTTCTCTGAAATATTCCTTTCATTCTTTTCATGTCCATAGGCTCTCTACTGGTATTCCCTTTTTAGCTCCTGATATTCACAATATGTGTCCTTGCTCTTTTATTCTTGATCAATTTATCTATAGTTTTATCAATCATAGGAAACTGTGAAGATAAAGATAATGCATAATTCAGAGAGCTTTAGCTTACTTGAGGACTAAATCCTGACATGGACTGACATGGATTGCTTCCCAAAACTCTCTACTAGATGGTCATATCATGAGACATTTGTTGTATGTAAAATCATACAACGATTTCATTATTTCACAGCATGTATTCATTTACTAATCCATAGATAATGATGCATGAACACATGAGTTATGTGATTAAAAAAAAAATTCAGGTTGACCAAAGTCTATCATAGCATCAAGGTTAGGTAGTATATCTTAGTAATTAAGTGCTCAGCCTCTGGAAATCGGACAAAATTGTGTTTAAATCCAAGATATTTGAAGTGAGTGGATGGCTTGAGCTCAGGAGTTTGAGACCAGACTGGGCAACATGGTGAAACCCCATCTCTACAAAAAATACAAAAATTAGCCAGGCGTGGTGGTTCACACCTATAATGCCAGCTACTTGGGGGGCTGAGGCAGAAGGATAGCTTGAGCCCAGGAAGTGGAGGTTGCAGTGAGCTGAGATCACATCACTGCAGTCCAGCCTGGGTGATAGAGTGAGACCCTGTCTCAAAAAAAATTCTGGATATAGTGCCTACCAGCTGGGGATTTTAAACAATTTACCTTATTTTTCCAAGCATCTAATGTTGTTAGGATTAAATACGATAATACATTTAAAGTATTATGCAATTATTGACTCAGTGTGTTCAAAAAAATTTTGGCTGTTATTTCTATCATCACTACCACTATTACTACCTGGTCACATTTAATCTTAGATAACAGAGTTTGGCATATTTGTGTGTATCTTAGTCTGTTTTCTGTGGCTTACTATAGAATACCTGAAACCGGGTAATTAACAAGGAAAAATAACTTCTTTCTTATTGTTATGGAAGCTGAGAAGTCCAAGGTCAAGAGGCTGCATCTGTTGAGGGCCTTCTTGCTGGTGGGGACTCTCTGCAGAGTCCCAAGTCAATGCAGGACAGCACATGGGGAGGGGGCTGAGTGTGCCTTCTTAGGTCTCTCTTCCTCTGTTTATAAAGCCACCAATCCCACTCCCATGATAATCTATGAACCCATGAATCCATGGATGAATTAATCCATTCATGAAGGCTCTGCCCTCATGACTCAACCACTTCTTAAAGACCTCACCTCTCAATAGTGCTACATTGCAAATTAAATTTCTTTCTTTCTTTTTTTTTTTTTTTTTTTTTTTGAGACAAAGTCTTGCTCTGTCGCCCAGGCTGGAGTGCAGTGGTGCAATCTCAGCTCACTGCAAGCTCCGCCTCTCGGGTTCACGCTATTCTCCTGCCTCAGCCTCCCAGGTGGCTGGGACTACAGGCGCCCTCCACCACACCCAGGTAATTTTGTTTTTGCATTTTTAGTAGAGACGGGGTTTCCCTGTGTTTGCCAGGTGGTCTCGCTCTCCTGACCTCGTGATCCATCTGCCTTGGCCTCCCAAAGTGCTGGGATTACAGGCGTGAGCCACCGTGCCTGGCCTGCAGATTAAATTTCAAAATGAGTTTTGAAGGGGACAAATATTCAAACCATAGAAGTGTGTGTGTGTTTGCATGGTGTATGTGTTTGCATGCCTGTGTGTGCACACGTGTGCACACACGTGCACACTTTCTCCAGTTGCATTATCTCAGGAGTCTTTACTTCCTGTCCTAAACTTTGTAAAATGCTACTCGGCATCCATTATTTTACCAGTACTGTGGTTGTAAATTACCTCCAGAGAAAGTTTTGGTATCAAATGGAATGCAGTCTTTGTTGATTGAAATGATTTCTCCACCATTTTCATTTTTGCATAGTTCTTTGCAATTCTTTGGGGATGACGGGGGTATTGCCAAGACTTTTTCCATATGTTCTCAACAACTATCCAACCAAGACCAAAAAAGACTTTAAAATATAACCCCAAGCAAACAGGAAACTGACTTTTTCTTTTGGGAACTTAGTCAAAAGCCAACTCTTTGTGGTTTATGTGAAGGTTCCTCCCACAAAGTTCAGAAATTCATCTTACATTTTCAGTCTCTTATTTTCCTCTTTTTTCAGGCTACCTGTGAAGATATTATCTCTTCTTTTACTTTACATAAGCCAACTCCAGAGATAATTGCACAGATTTTTTAAAAAACACTTTCTCTTCTTCTTACAAAACTTCTTTATTTCTTTTTGAGATGAAGACAATCCCATAGAAATAGCAGACAGCCATACTGTCTTTACACAACTATAAATAATTTCTCCATCCAAAAACAAATACAGGTACCTGGCACATTGTTTATATAACCTATTAATCATTATTTAGTCAAGGAAAAGTCAAGCAATGGACAAGCCCGAACAGATGATGTGTCTTTTGTGGAGAGAGTCTTTTGGCTTATTTATGAAACAATGCACATTTTGAAGCCATCATGTTATAGTATAAGACTGTCAAGCTATGCATGAAACTCATGGGAATTTTTTGACTTTAAAAAAGTGACAGAGCTGGGCAATTTTATTTGGGGAAAGTGAGGACTTAATAAGCACACATATCTTGTTTTCCTCATTCTTTTCCCATCTTTAAAAATATGTATTCGTATGTTTTCATATGGCTGTAATCTGGGTGTGTGCATTGTTTTGTGTTCTATTTCTTGCATGCCAGTACTTTCTATGCACATTTCCATATAATGACATAGACTATATATTTTCCATCATTGCCTAAGTAGCATTCTATCACGTTAAGATAAATGTAATGTGCTTTTCCATTTCTATAGTTGAGAATTTGGATTGTTTCAAATTAGCTACGTACACTAATAAACATTGAGCAAATCAGGATTTCACTACCTGGATTATCCTCTTTCATTTTAGTGGTTATTTTCCTACTAAATATTATGAACAGTTCTGTGTATCATATTAAAGCTTTCTTTGGGAGGAAAGTCGGAAGGAAAGCTTTATTCTGAATTAATTCTTTGTAAGCAAATTTTAATTCAAATATAGAAGCAGCAATTACTTTTCATAACCACTTTATTTTTCAATCTATGGGGCATTTCAGAATCACAGAGTAAAAGCAAGAACTTTGGAAGTAACGTATCGTACACTTATTACATACCAGATACCAAGTTAAAGAAAATGAGCCCTGTAACAGGAACTCTGCGAGCGAAATACTAATACTTTGCACTTGTATTTGCATATGACATTTTGCATTTCAAATGTTTTATCTTTAGTTATTATCTTGAATTATTCCTTTATATCATCCAGGTGGTTTTGTAAAATAAAAGAGGACAAATCCATTGACTTTTGTTTTATATTACTCTGCCTTGTGGATGAGGCACTGAAAACATACGGAACTTATGCAAAATCACATGGTTAATTCTTGGTCAAGCCAGAATAAAAACTCATTTTAGTGACTTCTTTTCACAATTTTGTGCTTGAGACTATATCAATCTCCCCAAATTAGGAAGGTAAACCAATTCACTCATGTGAAAGCTTAATTTGTATGCTACTTATCATAATCGGATTAATAAACTCCTCTTAGTCTTGCCAGCATAGAATCCTATTATTTTCAAATATCTTGTCATTAAAAACATTATTTCCCAATGGAAAAATGAGGAAAGGCCATAATTTAAAATTTCATTTTAGAAAATATTGGGTGTCTCCTATGCATCAGGCACCATTAGGGATCAAGCAATAAGCAAAATAGTCTCTGCTCTTGTGACTAACATATATTTAATTAAAATGTTCAACCTTATTAATGATCGAACACATACATAAAGAAAAATAACAATCATATGCTTTTTCTTTTAACATCAAATCAGTTCTTTAAAATAAAAAAAGAAAATAGTCCAGGTCTGCAAGCATGTGTGAAACTGACACTTTTATACACTACAAGAGGAACTGTGATAACAGAACCCGCTTCTGGGAAAGAAATTTTGCAATATTGAGAGAGGGACTTAGAAATCTTTACATGTGTTGATTCAGAAGTCTCACTTCTGGGAACCTTTCCTAATAAAGAAAAGGGTAGATTCACAGATGTTCATGTCAGAGTTCTTCATAATAGTTTTTTTTTTAAAGGAAGAGTGATGATGAAAATAATGAAGAGAAGTTCATGAGGCATCCAAACAATAGAATAAAGCATAGATTTTGATATATGATGTTTGATAAGTTTCCTGCGTCCATTATCCCGCCATCATACCCATCTAGGGAGAGTGGAAATGAATTCTCGCAAAGGGCTCAAGAAAACCTTCCAGAAAAACAGAAATTTCCTCATTCAGTCTTGCCTTTCCATGACTTTTCCATAAACTGTGTGTGGTTTATCTGGACAGAAGGCGCTGTGCTTGCAATGGCAAGGTTAACTCAAAGTTAAATTTGGCCAGGTCAGGAGAGTTCTGGGGAGGGACCTGAGTAACAGGGGGGAAGGAGCGGGGAGGTTATGATGCTGACCAGCTGCTCTCAGGGCCTTGAGAGACTTAAGATGACCTTCCCCTCCTCTTTGCTGGTCGCTTCTGCTTGTCTCAGTGCCAGGAGCAGTGTGGCTGTAAGGATTACTGATTTAAATGGATG
Organism: Homo sapiens; assembly: GCF_000001405.40. NCBI lineage: Eukaryota > Metazoa > Chordata > Mammalia > Primates > Hominidae > Homo > Homo sapiens. Next base: position 38,332,796 of record NC_000004.12, on the reverse strand, counting down.
GAATGAAACAGTGGAACAAACTGGCTACCGGTGGAAATACCACCAAGTATCAATTTGTTGCTGATCCATGTTGAATAGAAAAGCCTTTAGTAAGCCACTTTATCTTTAATATTTCCCTATAGTTGGAAATATGAACTAGAAAACTCTGGTTCCAAGGGCTTTAGATTATATATGTTTATATATGTTTATTTCTTTTTTATGAATCCATGTTTATATATTTATATGAATGCATCATTTAGCAATCATATTTAGAACAAAATGTTATTATACTATACTACATAAAACCTTTAAGGTGAAACTAATCCAGAATGCCCCAGTGTTTTCCAAATAAAATATTTAATTTAATTCAACTCAGGATTCTAACAATATGCAAAAGTTCTGTGCCTCACATCAAGTATGTTCTACTGAAATGTTTGTATTCAATTCAAAAATGTGCAGCAGGCCAGGCACGGTAGCTCACACCTGTAATCCTAGCACTTTGGGAGGCCAAAGCGGGCGGATCACCTGAGGTCAGGAGTTCAAGACCAGCCTGGCGAACATGGCAAAACCCTGTCTCTAATAAAAATACAAACATTAGCCGGGTATGGTGGCACATGCCTGTAATCCCAGCTTCTTGAGAGGCTGAGGCAGGAGAATCACTTGTACCCAGGAGGCAGAGGTTGCAGTGAGCCGAGATCATGCCATTGCACTCCAGCCTGGGCTACAGAGTGAGACTCCATTTAAAAAAAAAAAAAAGTGCAGCAAAGAGGGGCAGGGACCCATGGGACACTGTGCAAAATACTCTGGACTGGCTTACTAGCTGTAGAGTTTGAGAGAGGTGATTCCCAAACTGTAACTCTTTACCTTTGAGTTACGGTTTCTGTACCTGTAAAATGAGGGTGCTGAATCAGTAGACTTCTAAGTCCCTTTCCAGTGCTCTAACAGAGCTGATATGCTGGGCTTCTAGGAATCCATGCATCACCCATGGTAATTACCAGGAGCTTAAGGGCCCAGACTCTTGCCTCTTTCTCTATTCCAGATCTCTAAGTATGTGCTGTGATTATGGGAGTGTTTGCGTCCACAACTCCAGGCAAACACACATGTTCCAAGGCCTAACAATAGTGAGACACAAGGGAGGGACAGGAGCCAGAGAGGAAGAAGGTGGTTCTGGTATTGAAGGCAGGACCAAACATCATGCAATAGACAAACAGCACCATAGAGAAGCAATCCTGAACACTTCCAGCCAGGGCTGGAAGAGCCTCCCTTGGGACAGACTCTAACGCTGCCATCCCTTAGTAAGGACCACTTTAGTCTGCTCTCACTAAGAGTAACCAGTCCCTTTAATCCTCCACACTTCTGAGTCAGGAATAGAAGAGCCCCTAGGGTTCAGAACTGGATCTCAAAACTCCAGCAGCAAAACACATACAGCCTTATAACAGCTTATAGCATTAGAGTTATTCCTTTCTTTAACTGGCCCCTGCTGAGCATCTTTCTACTACCAGGAAGGTTTTGGAGACAGAGGCATGAAAAGAACATAGTCCCTGCCCCCAAGAATATCCAAGTTCAGTAGCAAGAGCCTTACATACAACCATTAACTAGTTTCTCAATTCCAGAGTATTTATAATCCATAGAGTCATCAGAGACATGATCATGCAATACCTACGATGATGTTTTCTTTGATCTTGCCTCCTGGGCTAGTTAGCAAGTAGCTGTCATTCAGTTCGAAGTCTACCTTCTCGACTCTGTTTTATGATGCAAACCATCTTTCTGCTTTGCTAGCTGAAACTATGTCGGGCGCTGCCAACAGAATGGCTACAGGTAGGCTGTGAGGCTGAAGAAGGAAGCAGAGACTTACTCTTTCCTGTCCGCGTCCTAGTCCTGTGAGTGTCACCCAACACCGCTTCTTCACTCTGGCAGTGGCAGTTCCTTCCCATTGCAGTGGAAGAATCCAGGTGACAGTTCTCCCAAACACTTCAGAACCAGCTTGGTTGCACTGCCCTCCAAAATGTGGACACCAGGCTTCTCAGAGTCTGAGCCTCAGACTCCTTTGAGCTCAGAGACATCAGCACTAGCAAGCGGCATCCACTCTTCAGAGGCCCAAGCTCCAGCTCCATAGGGCCCACCCTCTACATTCTAAGTTTTCATCATTGCAGCTTCTCCCTTTTTACTTCCTCAGCCTTAGGGGTAGTAGCTGCTTCCTGCAGTTGTTATCTTCTTGACACCTTAAGAGCTCTCTTTATACTCTTTCAGTTACCTAGTGAGCAGCTTAAAATAAGGGGTCTGGTTTCTGTCTCCCGATAAGACCCTGACTGATAAACATCCCTGGCTAAATGGAGAGGTGGCATAGAGTAGTGGAAAACAGAATGAGCTTTGGAGTCATCCACACCCAGATGTGAATTCTGACTCTTATGATCTGCTAGGTCTTTGACTTTGAAAGCTACCTAATTTATTTGAGTCTTAATTTGCTGGGAATAAAGATGGGTTTTCCAGCTGTTGTGACGGTAGCTGAAGTGCTTGGCACACATGACCTGCTCAGTGAATAGTAACCATTTATAATTACCAGATTGCTATCTTCTAAGGCCCAGGCCTAGTTCTTATGTGTCTATCATTCCCAGCAGGGCATATCATAAATTTATTTATACAATATATGCTTAATAAGGATCTGTTGAATAGAAAAAGTGCTTAAGAACATTGTGGCACACCGGAGTCATTAACTTTTACTGATCTAACATGAAACCCTCCATAGTGGTCAGGTTTTTTCCTATAAGTTATGGTTTAAAAATCTTTTTTAAGCCATTATTTTAAAATGAGGAGCAACGAGTTTACCTGCGTGATAAGAAAAGAAAATCTGTGTCATTCATTCTGCTTCCTGCCTGGCAAACCTTCTGGGAGACTGCATGATAATATGTGGGAATGCACTATCTTTTCCAAAAAGAAGTGAAATCTGGCAGGTGCATGATATACTTGTGACTCTTTCCAGCTATAAAGCAGACACTGGTTTTGTTTTTTTTTTTTTTTTTTATGGAACATTTCATAAAGAGAAAGGATTTTGCCTACTCTGAGACAGTGACATCTCTTCTGAGTGCTGAATTCAGGATTGTAATGTAAATCCTGAAAATGAACAAGGTCCCACAGGAGCATCCTGGGCCTTCACAAGTCAGTGTGGATAAAAGTTGTTCTAACTCGAAGTGTGAGAACAAAGCATCTATTCTTTCAAGTACAACAGACAGACAGACAGACACTCAAGCTGGATAACGGCTGTGTACACAGGAGAAGGAGGAAGAGGAGGAGGAAGTCAGCAGTGCCTCCTTGTTGCACATTTAGGGTTATGTGGGGTTGGGCCTGATAAAGGCATTTGTGTCTGAGGCTGGAAGGTGTACGGTCCAAGCCAAGACTTTTCCAGTCTGAAAGGTCTGAATGGGGATGTGGAGGAACTCAGTTCATTCTAGAGCATTTCCTTTGCACAAAAACCTGAAACTTCTATAAAGAGAAAAACAGCTGCACAAGATCCTAAATCATTCATTTCTTTGGCAAACAAACCCTGAATCATGCAACTAACCAGGGAGGCAGTTTCAAGAGAACCGGAGCTCATGATCGTCTTCAGGTGGCTTTGTTAGCTTCAAAGTAGCTGTTCATTTCCTTGCAGAAGGGTGGTGGCTCCTAGACACAGGCAAAAAGACTGGTGGTTTGATAGAAGAGCCTGAGAACAAATCATTCTGTTTTCAAAAGTTCTTGTCTCCATGCTTATTTGTTTTGGTGTCCCCATGCCACGTCTTCCGAGAAGGCTTTTCCGAATGCACTCTCTTTTTCTAGTTCAGGTGAAGACTTTTTTGCTGGGTATCATTTAAAACACTGAATCCCATTACTGGCTGGGTGCAGGCACTGTGTCTGCTCTCTTACAGAAATACACACATGGGTTCTCAGCCTTTTGGCTAAGATCAAGTATAGAAACACACACACACACACACACACACACACACACACACACACACACACAGAGACACATGCACCCTGCAAGAAAGCAAGAGAGAGAAGAAAAGAGAAACCAAGAGGGTGAAAGGAATGGGAGGAGGGAGGAAGGAAGAAGAGGGAGGAAAAAGAAGGAGGGAGGAAAAGGAAGGAAGGAAGGAAGGAAGGAAGGAAGGAAGGAAAAGAGGAAGGCCAGGATGGAGAAAAAGAGGGAGAGAGGGTGGGAGAGAGAAAATCACTCAGAAACAAAAATGTGTCTGGTTATAAGAGAGCCGGCCTTCTGCAGAGACCACTGTACTATATGGACTAAGACTGATTTCTTTGGTTCATTATTCTCCTGGCTGGAGAGGAAGTGCCAGAATTATCTGCAGAAAGCATCTGGGGAAATAAGAAGTCTTCTGTAACCTGAGAAGAGAAAAGGCTTTGACATTCCTCAGGCTGGGGTGTGTCTTTCGCCTATGCTATGCTAATTAGCTTCATGATGGAGGTTTTCTATAGGCCTGGATGCTGGACTGGTGCTGGTTCACTTAGGACATCAGATAGAGGCTGCAGCATGCAGTGAGCCAGCTCCAGGGTGGACCCACTGGCTGGCATGAGATGGCAGGGAGAGGAGGCCCAGGTACTAGCCTAGATCAAAGCCAAACATCACAAAAGCTGAGCTAGTGGAACCATCTGTTGATGAATACTCCTCACCCTGGGCAAGTTTAAGAACAACTGGATGAAGGCCAGGAGAGGCACCGAGGCCTGTGTGCCCTTTAAGGTGAGCCTGCGCATCCTCTACAGCCTTGGCCGGGCCTTCATGATTTCAGGACACTAAATCTGTGCTCTCTAAGCCCCGCCATTTCATTACATTGTGGTTTCTGTTTCTCCTTGGTTTCCTAGTCACACTTATTTTGGAAAATGTTAACACTTTCTCAGTTGAATTAAGGTATAAAGGGTATGTCTACATCTTAGTTAGGAAAAATAAAAACACTCCCCCTGCACCCAATAAAAAACCCATGAATATCAATTCAATACTTGCACTCTGTGTCTAAGGTGTAGGGGTGAGGACCGAACATCTTTAGAGCCAGATAAACACACTTCAGTCCCAGCTCCTCCATTAACAGCTTGTGTGACCTTCGATAAGTTAACCTCTCTGAGACTCAATTTCCTTATCTATAAAGTGAGGATACTTGTATCCAACTCATAGGATTGTATGATAATAAAGATCAAATAAGTTAATAGATTTGTGGCAGGAACTGCTCCATGTCTACCTAAATATGTATTCTCTCTTTCTTTTCTAGTAATGGATTTTGACCTGGGCACATGGCAGCCTGAAATAAAGACTATATTTCTAAGTATTCTTGCAGCTAGTTGTTCTGTTTAACTACATTCTGGCCAGTGACTTATAAATGGAAATGCTGTGATCAGCTTCTAGGGAAGGCCCTTAAATTGAGAAAGCAATGGTGTTTGACCTGCTTCCTTTTCCTGCTGGTTGGAGAACAGAAGTGATAGCTGGAGCTCAAGCAGCCATCTTGGTCCAAGAGGCAGCAGAATAAAGATGGTAGAAGACTAAGAAGAAAGGAGGCAGGGCCTCTCTGAAGCTTCATGAAGCCATCATACAGCCCTTACACTGCTGACCTGTGGATTTCTTTTAAGAGAGGAATGAACTAACCTTTACAAAAATCCATTTTGAGAGAATTTCCTGTTATTTACTGTTGAACTTAAATCTCACTGGAGCCATATGACATGTAGAGTATATAGCACAGTGCAAGTCAAATTCCATTATTATTTTCCTGCTTTTTAGAAAATACATATCAAAGATATCAAAAATACAGACATAAAGCAGAAGGACCAAGAAGGCCAAAGAAGAGATATTGGCCACCCCTTCCTGGTTTCGGTACCACCCCCAGGGCCATGTGAGTGGGAGAAGAAATATGGTCCTTGCCAGGCAGTGGCTACAGGCAGCATGGGCAGGATGGGACACTTTGCCTCCTGGCCTCACTTTATTCCCTCTGCTAAGCCTCTGCTGCAAGGAGGAGTACGATCTGGAGAAGTGAAAAAAAGGACAAAAAGAGCTCCCAAGAAACACATAAACTTGGACACAGGTAGAACTGGGTTTGCCTTTTGGCTTTTCCACCTACTTGCTGTGTGACTTTGGGCTACTTACCAAACCTCTCTGAGCCGCAACCTCCTCATGTTACAATGAAACACGAGATAATACTGATCCCTTAATGTTGTTGCTATACTTAAACAAGAAAATGTCAGTCAAGGGCTGAACAGAGTGCCTGACACCTTATAAGTACTTAAGAAATGAAACCTGAACTTCATCTTTTACTATTTCCAACCCTCACCCAGGCTTGACTCTGATCCCTGTGCTAATTACCGCCAGCATGGATGGTTTTCTTTCCCAGAGCTGTGCCTTTTGCTCAGTAGGTTTCTATCTAAAGAGCTCCATCAATCCTTTCGGTCTTTCCTTATCTCCTGCAAACTTTGAGGGCAGCTTTAGGCCCTCTTTGACTGCAAGCCCTGGGTGATCTCTCTCCCTCTCCTCTGAACAGCACCAGCATTTGATGTCCAACCACTCATTAACATTTACTGCCTTGTATTGGTATTTAATGTTGAGGTGCATGTGTTGACTTGCCAGCCGTACAGCATACTCTGCAACGGTGTGGATCATGGCTTTTCCACCTTTACATCTCCTCAGCCCTTAACTCAATGCTATGTTCAGAACTCAATGAATACTTGCTGAACAAGTAAACCAAATCCAATTATTCAGAACCCCCCTAGCTAATTTATTTTTCAGAATCCTTTTTGAACCTGTGTGTCTATTGCCTTTTTATGTTCCTCAGAGTTCAAAGCACCTTGATGATGTCGCCTTCCTGTAATATCATGAGGTGCTCAGTTAACTTTGCACAGCAACAAACCTAGTTCAGCCAGCACAGATTGCTTTGCTGGCCTTGGTCAGTCATTGGGCACACAGGGAAAAGGTGAGGGAGGACCCAACTTAGAAGAAATCCATTCCTCCAACCAAGAAAACAATTAACAAAATATTTTGAGTGGTAAGTCGATATCACTATTTGAAATTTGGGAGTACATTTTATTTGTCTTTTGAAAGAGGTGAGAGGTGAAGCCAGCTGGACTTTCTGGGTCAAGTGAGGACTTGGAGAACTTTTCTGTCTACCTAAAGGATTGTAAATGCACCAATAAGCACTCTGTAAAAATGCACCAATCAGCGCTCTGTGTCTAGCTAAAGAATTGTAAACGCACCAATCAGCACTCTGTAAAATGGACCAATCAGCACCCTGTAAAGTGGACCAATCAGCAGGATGTGGGTGGGGACAAATAATGGAATAAAAGCTGGCCCCCCCCAGCCAGCAGTGGCAACCTGCTTGGGTCCCCTTCTGAGAGGTGACAGTGTGCTGGCAGCCCTCGCTTACTCTCGGCTCCTCCTTGGCCTCGGTGCCCACTCTGGCCATGCTTGAGGAGCCCTTCAGCCCTGCGCTGCACTATTGGAGCTCCTCTCTGGGCTGGCCGAGGTCGGAGGCGGCTCCCTCTGTTTGCAGGGAGGTGTGGAGGGAGAGGCACGGGCGGGAACCGAGGCTGCGCGCGGCACTCATGGGCGAGTTCCAGGTGGGCATGGGCTCAGTGGCCCTGCACTCGGAGCGGCTGGCCGGTGCCACCGGCCCCAGGTGGTGAGGGGCTTAGCACCTGGGCCAGTAGCTGTGGAGGGTGCGCTGGGTTCCCCAGCAGTGCCGGCCCACTGGCGTTGTACTTGAATTCTTGCTGGGCCTCAGCTGCCTCCTTGTGGGGCAGGGCTCGGGACCTGCAGCCTGCCATACCCAAGCCTCCCCCCACCACTGTGGGCTCCTGCACGGCCCAAGCCTGCCCAACAAGCACCACCCCCTGCTCCGCAGCACCTGGTCGCATCAACCGCCCAAGGGCTGAGGAGTGCGGGCGCATGGCACAGGACTGGCAGGCTCCGCCTGCGGCCCTGGTGCAGGATCCACTAGGTGAAGCCAGCTGGGCTCCTGAGTCTAGTGGGGACTTGGAGAACCTTTATGTCTAGCAAAGGGCTTGTAGATACACCAATCAGCACTTTGTGTCTAGCTCAAGGTTTGTAAATGCAGCAATCAGCACTCTGTATCTAGCCAATCTGGTGGGGACTTGGAGAACCTTTATGTGTAGCTAAGGGATTGTAAATACACCAATCAGCACTCTGTGTCTAGCTCAAGATTTGTAAATGAACCAATCAGCACTCTGTGTCTAGCTCAAGGTTTGTGAATGCACCAATCAGCACTCTGTATCTGGCTAATCTGGTGAGGACTTGGAGAACCTTTATGTCTAGCTAAGGGATTGTAAATACACCAATCAGTACTCTGTGTCTAACTCAAGGTTTGTAAACGCACCAATCAGCTCTCTGTAAAACAGACCAATCAGTTCTCTGTAAAATGGACCAATCAGCAGGATGTGGGTGGGGCCAGATAAGGGAATAAAAGCAGGTTGCTCCAGCCAGCAGTGGCAACAGGCTCGGGTCCCCTTCCACACTGTGGAAGCTTTGTTCTTTCACTCTTTGTGATAAATCTTGCTGCTGCTCACTCTTTGCATCTGCACTGCCTTTATGAGCTGTAACACTCACTGTGAAGGTCTGCAGCTTCACTCCTGAAGCCAGAAAGACCACAAACCCACCAGAAGGAAGAAACTCCAAACATGTCGGAACATCAGAAGGAACAAACTTCGGACACGTCACCTTTAAGAACTGTAACACTCACCGTGAGATTCCATGGCTTCATTCTTGAAGTCAGTGAGACCAAGAACCCACCAATTCCGGACACACTTCCATGGTGTGGAAGTTTTGTTCTTTCACTGTTCATAATTAAATCTTGCTGCTGCTCAGTCTTTGGGTCCACGCTACCTGTATGAGCTGTAAAACTCACCGCGAGGCTTTGCAACTTCATTCCTGAAGTCAGCGAGACCATGAACCCACCAGGGAGGAACAAACAACTCCGGATGCACCACCTTTAAGAGCTGTAACACTCACCATGAGGTCCTTGGCTTCATTCCTGAAGTCAGCGAGACCAAGAACCCACCAGAAGGAACCAACTCTGGACACAGAGGAGCATTGTAATGGTGACCTAACACTATCATTTTGCGGATGAGAATGCGTTTAATTTGTCTTTTTAAACAGCTATGTTGGACTTATTTTATATGCATGTGCTTAATTTGCATGCTGCCCCCCAGGCGATGCAATACCTCGAAGAAATGAACAGAACAGCAGTAAGCACTGATCTGGTAAACTCTACAGGGTGCTTCCTTAGGAAAGGAAGTACTGCCTTCCTCCAAGCAGGCTACGAAGGTCTAGAACTGTGAAGTCACCCTAGCTATATAGTGGGTTGAGAAATACTACAAAAGGAAATTCTAGCACTTTCATTATTGCTTTTCAGTAGGTAAATTAAGATTCACTTGGGAATGCTTATAAAAAACATGCATCTCCTGGTTTCTAATCTCACCCCATCCTCTGTGATTTGGTGAGTCTGACCAAAGCCACCAGCTATTTTGATGCAGGAGGTGGTGCACTGACTATTCTTTGAGAAACACTGCTTTGGAAGAAGGAGATGTGCCATGCCATTCTCAGAGTAGCCATCATCCCTTTCCCTCTTACAATCTTTTACTTTAGATGTGGCAACAGTAAAGTCATAATGAATTCATGATCTGTGTTCCGGGGTAGACAGAGCAATAACTTCAGTGTCATTTTGGAGTAGAGATCCTCTGATCCTGGAGAAGTGGGTGGCTGGTTCTGCTAAGAGAGCTTGCATTAAAGGGTAGGTCAAAATTTTGCTTGTTTTTTTTTTTTTTTTTTTTTTTTTCGGGGAATGGGACGGGCCCTGGAAGGGTTCCCAGACTGTGGAAGAGAGGAGAAGCACATTGGCCACCAGCTGTTCTGGAAGAGTGACTCATCCGCCTATGTGGCATCAACAGAGGGTGGTGGAATCACTCCCTTGACCATGGGGGGCGATGGGGAGGTGGTGGGTGTGGTTAGAGAGTGCAGAGCACTGTGAGGAGTGGTGCATTCCAGAGGGGAACCAGACCCCCTGCAAGGGTGCCAATCTGTGCCCTCAGTCTCCTTGGCAGCTGATGAAGGAGGGAGAGGGAGGGGGCAAAGGAACAACTTCATCAAGACCACAGAGGCACTATTTAGTCATTGGTACTAAAAGTCTTGTGTCCGCTATCCTTGGACTCACCCTTGCCTCCTTTTCCTCACCTCTAAACCCAGTTGCTAAATCTGGTCAATTCTACCACTTCGATGTCTAGTAGCTATTCCCTTTGTCTCTCTTCCCTTTCCCCCATGACCTATCATGTACCTTCCCCTATCTCCATATTCCCACCACAATGACTTGAGCTCAAGGCCCTATCATTTTTCGTTTGGACCTAGTAGGCACTTCACTTTCATTGTTCTGCTGCTTATCTTCCTCTGTCCACTGCGTCCTTCATCCAGCCACCAATGCGTTCTCTCCAAAATTCAAATCTAAGCATATGATTATCTTAAAATCCACAGCTTGCCATGACTCTGTGGTTCTTAAACCCTAGTGTGCATCAGAATCACCTAGAGGGCTTCTTAAATCCCAGAATACCAGGCCTCATCTAGAATGCTCTTCCCTCTTCCACAGTTCCCTCTTTCTCCTGCTGAATTCCTCAGTCAAGCCTTCTCTATTTCATCCACCTCCACCTCCACCATCATCATCACCATTATCATCACCAACACATATTGAGTGATTACTGGCTCCATCCCACCGAATCCTCAAAAAAAAAAAAAAAAACCATGGCAATAGGGAACATGATTCTCCCTATAGCATATAGATAATAAAACTGGGGCTCAGCTAGGTCTAGAAACTTGCCCAGAGTCACATAGCTAGTAAATGGTGGAGCCAGGATTCAATCCTGGCAGGCTGACTCCAGTATTGAGGCTCCTAGCCCCTGAACCTACTGCCTCATCCAAGCAGAGCCTTCCTTCCTCAAAACACTCCTCCCTGTCATTTACATATGGAAACACACATACCCTAGAATGTGATGTCTCCCTTACCAGAGTGAGTTATTCAAGGGTGGGTCTTTCTTTCTTTCTTTCTTTTTGAGAATCTGGCTCTGTCGCCCAGGCTGGAGTGCAGTGGCATGATCTCAGCTCACTGCCACCTCCATCTCATGGGTTCAACCGATTCTCATGCCTCAGCCTCTGGAGTAACTGGGATTACAGGTGTGCGCCACCATACCCGGCTAATTTTTGTATTTTTGTAGAGACAGGGTTTCGGCTTGTTGGCCAGGCTGGTCTCAAACTCCTGATCTCAAGTGATGCTCCCCCACCTGCCCGCCACGGCCTCCCAAAGTGTTGGGATTACAGGCGTAAGCCACAATGCCCAGCCTCAAGGGCGGGTCTTTATCTTTATTTCCTATGCCTAGCACCTAGAGGGTACTAATCAATGTTAATTGTTAATTACTTGTGCTAGAGTGTTTGCAAATAAAAGGTAAATTTTCTGATGGGTTCTTGGGCCATACGAAGTGAGAACTGTACCAGAAGATTGTAAGTTCCTTATATAGATATCATTTTATATTGCAGATACATAGATACCTCTATGATGATATATACCAATGATACACAGGTATCATCTTATATTAGGGGAAATCCCGTGAGGGGTGGCGATCCAAAGATTATTGCCATCTCTCTTAGTGGGTCCACATCTTATCCATTTCCATCTCAGCTACTCTGAATACTTCTCTAACTTATTCAGAGTGAAGGGAGTTTTTACCCCAGAGCAGAATGAAAGCAGAGATGCCTAAATGGTAGTTTTACAGGAAGCTTTGGTTAACGTCTTTTCTACTGGTCTAGAAAAATACCCTAGGAAGTCACCATTTTAAACAAACAAACAAAAAAAATCACAGGAACAGGTGCATTAGAATACAAATCTCATGTGTATTTGGAACCAAGACCAACGTTTTCTGTACATAACCACCATCAAAAAAAGAATATCAGTTGTCTTCTATATCCAAATCCAAAGTGCAGGCAAACATCAGCTTTTGGTTCTTCTCTGTTTTCCTTTGAATGACACTATTGCCAGCCAGCCCTCGGGGTTCTCCACTGCTGCAGTTTTGAAACTTTTCTTTCCCAGGTTAAGAAACTAAAGTTGTAATGGAGAAAGAAATGGGAGAAAGCTACATCCCAGAGCAGAGGTGACCTGCCAGCACTCTAAAGTTATTCTAGACCTAGTACAGGCTCAAGCTTAGGACATTTGTTTCTTTTCCACCTGACTTCAAGGAGCTTGTCAAAGCGCAGCCTAAGTTAACAGGCTCTGTCAATGTGAGTACCAGAAGCCAGGCCGCCACCTGCGCTGTTCCAGAAGCCAGGGATACAATGAAAAAACACAAACGTTTCTCCCCATTTTGCTGTATACATTCCAATTCTTTCGCTAGGGACTGTACAAAATCCTGTCTTCTCTGGCAGGTTTCAGGTGGAGGTCCTGGGATGCTTGGACCCAGGACGGCCCATAGTGCGGGCCTCTGCGTCCTCTCCCCCTCACATAGGGGCAGAGGCCAGGAGGCCTGGATCCTTCCCCAGCAACCGTGTGGAGGTTTTTACTTCCTCTGATCCAGGGGACACATGTAATCTTTTTCTACAACTCCCTGAGGCTGGTTTTTCCCACCCTACAAATCAGTAAGCATAAATTTTTGCAGAGAAGCCTGGAGCCATGGGTCCTAAGCATTCAGGCAGCCAAAAAAATTAAATTTTCAACCGGAGCCGGGTAAGGACACATGGTCTCAAACGTTTCCTGCCCAATTGGAGCCGCTTTCCTCCTCTTGCACACTTGCTCCCCCTACTGCCTGACGCTGGAAGTGCAGGCCTGGCTCCGAGGCAAGCTTGAACGCCCCAGCTCGGTCCTGGGATGGCCAGGGTGAAAGCCAGCAGAGCAGAGAGGTTGCCAAAAAAAAAAAAAAAAAGCAATAGTACATCTTTCATAATTCTCCCACTGCTCTGGGGAAGGCACTAAGCTAAGTCTTTTCTTTACATTTGAAGAATAAACTCTGTAATAAAGATTGAATAAAAGTCTTCCCTGAATAAAGTTTTGCCAAATAAGTTAAAGTTAGGTCTCCCTTAAGGGTTCAATAAATGAAAAGAACTTCAGTTTTAGATTCAGACCTCGTGAAATCCCCAAGCCCCTTTGGATTTCAGACCCTTGGAACGCAGATCCAGGTTTTGCGCCTTTATGTGATGCGTGAACTTGGACATCTTATTTAATCTTTTTGAGCCTGAGTTTCTTTAACTGTAATTTGGGCATAATCATATTGTTGGTCTCATAGTGTTGCTGTAGAACGTAAATGAAAGAATGTGAATGCATGAGAAAAGACTTTTACAACATAAAAATAAATGTGAGCTGTTTCCCTTCCAATCCAACGCACACACACCCCTTTTCCATCTATCTAAGTGGAAATGGCCGTCGAGGCAACCTAAACCCCTAAAAAAGGAAGTAGGGCAAGGAAAGCCCGGTCACAAACAGGAAGTAACAGAAATGCCACTGAGAAACATTCAGGCAGAAGAAAGAAAGAAAAACAGTCCTAGGCTGTGTTTTTGAAGATCAAGTTAGATTTAGTTAATGATTTGGGGCGTTGCCAGCCCGACTTGACCCCCTAAATAGGGGGTTTTCAGAGATGGTTAGGAAATTCTTGACCTCGATTTGACCTCACGAATGGGAATTCTCACTCTGCAGTTGGTAGGTTCCTGCCTTTTTAAATGTAGGTCTCTCCTCCTTTTCCCCTGCGGCCATAGGAGGGGCCGAGCGCTCAGCCGGCTGGGAGGAGCTGGGGCTCCGCCTGCCCTCCCTCGCCGTGGGGAGCCGCCCTGCAGCGCCTCTCGGGTTACTGCCTCCCTTCCTGGCTTCACAAACTCGCCACATGGTAGGTTGGCTACTTAAGGGAATGTAAGAAAAAGCACTCAAGTGACGGCATACAAAGAAGTTTTACAGCTCTGGAGATTATGTCAGATTTTCCTTCCTAATTTCTCCTTAGAGGAGACAAAATCCTAGATTTTTTTTTTTTTTTTGAAGGAAAGGGGAAAAAAAACGCAAAACGAAAGGGAAACATATTAACATATCAGGACACATTGTGCTGTTTATTCTCTTGTTTTTCTTTTCTCATTTTTGAAAGCTCTTTCAAGAATCTTACCGCCTTTCTTGTCTTTTCCTTAATTTTGTGTGTTTTTAAGGTGGGGAAGGGAGAGGATTAGAAGCCTGTGAATTTTGTCAGGACAAGGCCTTCCTAAGCTTTTCATTTGTTTGCAGAACCAGAGTTCCTTCTCTGGTCCAGATGAAGAGACTAGTTCCTACCTCCTTCGCCTATACCTCTTATTAAAGGACCCCTCCAACCCTTGTCAAAATGCTTGGTGAAAGTGAGAGTTGGAAAATCAAGAGATCCACATCCATCCTTTGAGTGACCCTAGTCTGCAGACAGTGTCAGAGAGACAAATACAAATATTCTTAAGATGGTATCATGTCCCATCTTAGGCTTGGTTGTTTTTCAATGGCCTCCAACTGTACACTTGTTACAGGAAAGGGGTCCCCATCTAGACCCCAAGAGAACGTTCTTGGATCTCACACAAGAAAGAATTCAGAGTGAGACTGTAGACTAAAATGAAAGCAAGTTTATTAAGAAAGTAAAGGAATACACTTTGGGAGGCCGAGGTGGGCGGATCATCTGAGGTCAATAGTTCGAGACCAGCCTGGCCAACATGGTGAAACCCATCTCTACTAAAAAAAAAAAAAAAGAAAAAGAAAAATACAAAATATTCGGGTGTGGTGGTGCACGCCTGTAATCCCAGCTACTAGGTGGCTGAGGCAGGAGAATTGCTTGAGCCCAGGAGGTGGAGGCTGCAGTGAGCTGAGATCATGCCACTGCACTCCAGCCTGGGTAACAGAGCCAGACTCTGTCTCAAAAAAAAAAAGACAAGACAGGAAAGGAATAAAAGAATAGCTACTCCGTAGACAGAGCAGCCCCAAGGGCTGCTGGTTGCCCATTTTTATGGTTATTTCTTGATGATATGCTAAACAAGGGATGGATTATTTATGCCTCCCCTTTCTAGAGCACATAGGGTAACTTCCTGATGTTGCCATGGCATTTGTAAACTGTCATGGTGCTGGTGGGACTGTAGCAGTGAGGATCCTACACTCATTGCCATCTTGATTTTGGTGGGTTTTAGCTGGCTTCTTTATTTACTGCAACCTGTTTTATCAGCAAGGTCCTTATGACCTGTGTCTTGTGCTGACACCCTATCTTATCCATTGACTTAGAATGTCTTAACTGCCTGGGAACACAGCCCAGTAGGTCTCAGCCTCATTTTACCCAGCCCCTATTCAAGATGGAGTTGCTCTGGTTCAAACGCTTCTGACACAATGGCTTCCAGTTGTACATGCACAACTGAAAACTCCACCATGAGGATGATGATAATGGTGATTTCAAAGTGTTTTCACAGTTGAGCCAGATAACAGCCTATGAGCACACAGAACAGGTGAATTAAGCTTGTGTCACAGATGAGGAATTGAGGAGCAGAAAGGTACAGGGTTGAGTCCAAGGCCACTCAGCTGGTTCCCTAGGAAGCCCAGACTAAGAGATCAAGGTCCTGTGAATGACGCTACATCATTGAATGCCCATTATAGCACTATGACCAGCAGGTTCTACAGGCCCTCGTTCATGCTAAACAAATAGACTATCACCATTATTAAAATAGGGTAATATGGCATTTAAAGCAAGCTACCTTTGGACACATTGCCTAGGATGTGTTTCCAATGCAAAAATGGGACTCTGGGCCCCTTTTCATGAATAGTACACTTTTTAAGTTAAAATTTTATTTGAGTGGGTCATTCACTTACATGACTCAAAAGTCAAAATTCTAAAATATAGTATACCTGAGAAGTATACTAGCTGCCACTTCTTTCCGTTAATCCAATCTTTCCTCTTCCTTTTCTCCCTTGTTGGTAAATCATTTTTATTACTTTTTTTTAACCCTACCTATGTTTCTTTATGAAAATACAAAGTACAAAATGTGTATTCTTATTCTTATTTCTTTGTAGTCTTACAATAAAGAGAGTGTATCTAGTGCGTTTTGAATTGGTTTTCTGGAAGTGGTGGTGGGCTTTGCTATACCATCCCCCTCTTACCTGGGAACCGCAGGGATTGTAGAATTGATCTCCAGACAGCTCAACTGTGACAGAGAACACAAGAGTTCTAGCCATGAAGGCTCCAGTTGGATCAGTTTGCCCCGTAAACCTAGGTCCCTCGTGAAACCAGAACCAGACATGGCTGTAGCCAAGGGAAGCCTGGGATTTTCTGCCAACCACTGACTGAGGCAGCCAGTCGATTCACAGGGAAAAGCTATCTAGAAGCTGCTCTGGACTTGAAAAGACAGATCAGACCAGCACAGATGGTCTCCCCACCCACCGATTATGGGTTTACCACAGTGGCTCATGCGGAGGAACTGGAGACAGACCTGGGGCCCTGCAGTCTCCATGCTGTTGACATGGCAGGTCCCAAGGAGAGGGCTGGGGGGTTGGGGGACAGTGTGCATTACAGAATCACTGTTGTCCCTGGTATTCATTTGCCAGGGCTGCCTTTAAACACAAACTGCGTGGCTTAAACAACAGACATTTATTGTCTCATGGTAATGGAGGCTAGAACTCTGAGATTCAAGTGTCTGCATGGTTGGTTTCTTCCAAGAGCTGTGAGGGGCACGTCTGTTCCAGCCTCTCTCCTTGGCTTGTAGACGGCCCTCTTCTCCCTGTTTCTCTTCACGTTGTCTTTCCTCTGTGTGTGTCTGTCTGTGACCAAATTCTCCATTTATACAAGGTCATCAGTTACACTGGGTTAGGGCCCACCCTATGGATCTCATTTTAACTCGATACTTCTGTAAAGACCCTATCTGCAAATAAAGTCACATTCTGAGATGCTGGGGGTTAGGATCCCAATATATCTTTCTTTTCTTTTCTTTTCTTTCTTTTTTTTTCTTTTTGATAGAGTTTCACTCTTGTCGCCCAGGCTAGAGCGCAGTGGTGCAATCTCGGCTCACTGCAACCTCCGCCTCCCAGTTTCAAGAGATTCTCCTGCCTCAGCCTCCCAAGTAGCTGGGATTACAGGTATGTGCTACTACGCCCAGCTAATTTTGTATTTTTAGTAGAGATGGGGTTTCACCATGTTGGCCAGGCTGGACTCGAACTCCTGACCTCAGATGGTCCACCCACCTCGGCCTCCCAAAGTGCTGGGATTACAAGCAAGGAGACCTAATCCAGCTCATATCATTCCTTTTCAGACCCACAGTCATCCTCTCCCGAAGCGCTGGCCTCACATCCCCATTCCACCGTTGAGAAAAAAACCACAGAGAGCCTGGGGAAGTGTTGTATTCCTTGAGTATATTGTGGAAGGAGGGAGGCAGTGTAAAACCTCTGCTTTAAAATGTGTTGCATATATTCTCTCTATACTAAATATAATATGGTTCTCATTATGGAGAGTAGGCTCTGTCATTTTCAACAAATCCTTTCTTTGTCTTTATTAAGTCGAAGGCAGGAAAAAAATCCCCCCAACTATTGTGCTATAGACAAAGCTCTCCTCACCAGCCTCTCTCCTCACGCACAGCCCTGACCATTGGAGCTGAGACCCCAATGCCCAGATCTTCAAAATCACATACTCCTTTTACTCTGAAGTAAGATTTTTCTTTATCTTACATTTTCAAATATATACTAAGCCGAAAGATAGATCACTCCCTATAGCTGGGCTTTTGGTGGTGTTGATCATTTTAGCTTTGTTTCTGTTAAATCCAGCCTGACATCTTTGCTGAGATGCTGTGACAAACACTTTGGACCCATGACTTGGCACAACTGGGTGTGGCTTGGCCTGCCGCCCATCAGGCAGGTGAAAACAGCCCAGCTCAGTTCGAACATGCTCCAGGGATTCGGCACCTGGAAATCCCCACAAAGCTAATTCCATTCCAGATCTTTCTCAACACCCAGAGGAGGGAGCACAAGGCCCAATTGTCCTTACAACTTTCCCTGCCCACAATTCTATATTCTGGGGAGGTCACGGGGACAGGGGGTGAGGAGGACCGTATATTAATGAGTGTGGGTTCTTAAGTCATAAAGTAGATTTGATGCCTTAACAGAGCCAGGGACCAAACATCCCCACCCCTGTAATTCGGAGGGAGGACACTGGGTAACCCTAGCCTACATCAAGCCCCTCCACCAGGCTTAGCTCAAGAAAAATTTTTCACAGGGCTGTTGCCTTTGTGATTTGAATCCCTTGTTGTTTCCCATCCTTCTTGTTTTCTTGGGTTCCATCCTTATTTTCCACGTGTCTTGGGCTCCATCCAATGCTGAGTAATGAGTCAGAGTCAGAAGCTTTAAGGAGTTAAACCACCGCTCCAAAGAGGGGAGTAACTTACAGCTCCAGGCACCAGGTGGTGGGGCCCCTTCCTGACCCACAGTTTGTGGCCTCAAGGTGCCCATAGGAGCAGTTGGGTGTAGCCAGGGTGGGGTGATTCATTCTATTTTTCCAGCCTCACCTCCCTCTCTGGTCTTCCTGGGGGAAGTCACTTACTTCACACAAGACGTGACAGCCCATAGGGCGTGGCTGTCCTTCCTTCCCTCCTCCCTGTCCCATCCTACCCCACCCCAGGTTCATCTTTGGAAGGATTACAGTCCAAAGTGCCTTGGGGCAAAGGAAATGTCTGAAACTGGGATGGGTGTGACAGTGTTTCTCCTTGCATGACCTTGGTCTGTGACACATTCACTGTACACCCTGCTGGCCCCAACTGCTGGTGGGTGGATGCCTGGGCTGGTCTGGAAATAAAACGGGCCTGAAAGAAGGGCTTGAGTGAGGTGCCAGGCACTGGAGTGAGCTCCCAACATGCTTTGTGCAACAGGATAGCAAGATGAAGACAGTAACAACCACCAGCATTTGCTGATTACCTTCCCTGTGCCAGGCACTGTTCAATTTAAGCCTCCCCATAATCCTATGTGGTAGATCCTGTTACTATTCCCATTTTCCAATGAGGAAACTGTGCCACAGTGAAATCCAAAATCACGCCATTAATACAAGGTGGAGCCAAAATTCTAACCTGGCTCTGGAGTCTGGCTCTGGAGTTTACACTCTTAGCTTTGTATTAACAAAAACATGGGTATTATTGTCCCCATTTTACAAAGGAGCAAAATCAAGTGCCTTGCCCAGTTCCACACTGCCAGGGAGAAACAGTTGGGCCAGGCACCCAGGAGTCTGACTCTTGTCCACTGCCGAGCTGCAGGGTGGGGAAGCTGGGGAGGCATGCTAAGAGTCAGGATGTAATTGCATCCTGCGTGCCCTTCTCCACTCCAATTTCTACCCTCCTCCTGAAGCTCTGAGCTCTCCTTTCAGGTAACAGGAAGCTACAAGAAAAAGAGCCAGCTAGGGAGTGAACAGGTGAAGAAATCAGAAACCTGCACCTGCCAATCCAGGAGTCAGTCCAACACGCCTTATGGAACTGACACCTGCCCGCCCAGGTGAAGAGTCCAGGTGCCTTGGGCAAAGGGAGGTGAACGTTAGAGGAAGTTAGTTTCCAGAAACATGAATGTGGAGTAGAAGAGAAAATAAACAGGGCCAAGCAAGACATGATGAAATAGGTTGGAAATCAGAGACCCTTTTAGTTGAAAAGAACTACAGAAGATAATGAGTCTAAACCAAATCTCTTGTTTTATTAATAATGACAGCTAACATTGACTGGTCACTTATCACATGCCAGGCATGGTGACAAGTGTTTTCCTTGTACCTAGAGCAATCCTATGAGGCAGATGCTATTTTTTTTTTCCTTCATGAGGGAGCTGAATTAGAGGTTAATTGGGCCAATAAGAGTAGATCCAAGCAGTCTTCCTCACTCCAAAGCCCACATTCTTTCATACCTTTAACCTTTTATGATGGAACATTTTAAACATACACAAAATTAGAGAGAATATTATAATGAGAGAATATTATAATTAGAGAGGATATATCATAAGTCCATTGACCAGTTGCAAAAATTATCGACACAAGACAGATCTTATTACATCATCGCTCTCCCTATCTGTCTTCTATTACTAAATTATTTTGAAGTAAATGGCACACATACTATTTCTGTATCATATTATTCTGTTATTATCCATACATACTTTAGTATGTATCTCCAAGAAGAACTTTCACAATGGCACTACCAGTGTTACTTCCAAAGAAAATAACAGTAATTTTTCAAGTCATCAAACATCCAAACCCTTTCAAATGTCTCAGATTTCCTGTAAATGTATTTCTACAGTTGCTTTGTTTGCATTGGAAGAAAAAGCAGTTCACACATTGCATTTGATCAACTCTCTTAAATCTCTATCAGCTATATAGGCCTCCTTGTCTCCCTGACATTCTCTTGTTAAAGAAAGAGAGTGATTTGCCCTGTAAATTTCTCACCTTTTAGATTTTGCTGATTATATCACTGTGGTGTCATTTAACATGTTCCTCCATTCCCTGTATTTTCTGTAAACTGGTAGTTAGATCTAGTGGTCTGATTAGAATCACATTGAATTGTTTGGCAAAGATACCTCATAAGCAAGACACAATCAAGGACCCTAAGCTTAAGATTACTTCTTTCTAGAAGATGAAGTCTCTGTTCCAAGCTCACAAAGCTAATAAAGGACAGAACAAGGCCTGGAATTCAATATTCTGCCTCTAGGTTCCTGTCCTTCCTCCCCATCACAGGATTTGAATCTAGTCTCTCCTCCTTGGAATGGAAGGTTGTCATTAAATCTTCTACCTCCATTATGACAGAAGGAGCAAGAGAGGAGCAGTGGGAAGGTTCAAACCTTCCTCTGACATACGGCAATATTTTTATTTTAAACAGATGCTGTGGGGAGAAGTCTCCTCAAGCCTGGGTGGGGCTATGCACAGTCTGCTTTTGCCAGAGGACTGGAAGCACTTAACACAGAACTCTGGCACAGAGCATCATTCTTGTTCCCCCTCTCTCCTTTTAAACACTGAGAACCAATTTACCTGAGTGAGTGCCGAAAGGAACATTTCATCCCTTTGCCTTACTCATTTTAATCGGAGGGAATGAGGTGTGTGTTCTTGCTCGCTGGCGGTGCTAGACGCCCGAGGAGATGCATGGAATTCCTCTTGGGTGAATAGGAAATAGAAAAGGAATAGCTAACGAAGGTGGCAACTATTCTGTGCCCTTTAGAAGTAAGTGCTTCCTCCTCCCTTCCTGCTACACTCAGCATGCAAACCCCAGAACCAAGACTGTATAACACAGGTAAATGGAAATATTCCCATCACAAGAGGAAGAAACCCACTCCCTACCCAAAACAAGGGGTAGGAGGCAAAGGTGGCTCAAATGCACAATAACAGTGAGAGCCCACCTTTATGGAATACTTAAAACACACCAAATACTTTATGCACAGTGACTCATTTAGTCCTCAAAACAACCCTGAAAAGTGGAAAGCAGGTGCTTCTATTTCCTGAATCTGCAGATAAGGAGGAATGTGAGATCACACAGATATTATTTTAGTGAAGGCAGAATTCTAATCCAGGCTTTTCTCATTTAGCGTCTGTAGCTTCACCATTAGGCTACAAAATTAGCTAAATTAAGATACTTATTTGGGAGCGGATAGCAATTTAGAAGGGAAATTTTGTTGGGTTTAGGAGTGGCTCAAGTAATACACCTTGGGATTCCTGGCCTTTGAGGACTATCATCTTCCATCTTACCGTAGGTCTCCAAAATCCATTAAGCACATTTCACAGGTGCAGGGACAGAAAGTTTCCACAAGGAATTGACTCTGGAGAAGCAACAGTTAAGCACTCTCTAGCTGTCTTCCTGTCAGATCAAGGCTTCTCACTCAAAGGAATGTCAGGAACCTATGTGGCACACACAGCCTTTGTGTGAATTCGAAAGTAGCACCTCTCCTGGGTAGATGAGTGGCAAAAATCTGCTCTTTCTGGGAGGATCCTTCTGGAAGGGTAATATCCACACTAAGCTTCACTGCTTGGCAGGGGTTGGGCCAGATTTCAGCCCCTTTCATACCCCTGCAGCCAGGTTCAAGAGTGCAGCAGAGCCCTGGTAAGCCAAGCTCCCTTTCCAAGCCAGGACTCTGCACCTGTTAAGCCCAAGTCACTCTTGCTGAGCTGTTACCATCTTTGGTGGTTGTTTCACGTGATTGTGGTCTCCTGTCAGCTCATGAGAGGGCAGAACCCAATTACTAGATTACTCAGAGTGCTGGTTTTCTTTTTCTTTCTTTTTTTTCTTTTTTCACCGCACTCAAGGCTGTGGCAGCCAAAATTTCCCTCCATCTCCCTGGTTTGACTCAACGAAGCTAGGCTGACATTGCTGTACATAGACTGCTAGGAGACTGTGACCATACTACACCATTTTTTCAATAGCGCTGACCAATTTCAATGGCTTGATTTTGTCATCGGATTGTATAAAAGAGCATGAAAAATAATTGGCAGTGGATAAACATTTTTCAGTCCACACTAAAAACGTAAATGTGAATCGATTACAAACCATGGGGAAATAAATTTGGTCAAAACTTAGTCATTTCGCTTTTGGAAATTTGTAGTAAAGAAATAATGCTAAATGTAGAAGAAAAACAAAAACCTCTGTCCACAAAGATAGTCACTACTGCGTTATTTGTATTAATACTAGGGAAAGTTGGAAATTAGCTGTCTTTATGGGAGAGCTTGTAGGTTAGGTAAATTATGGTATTTACCACATAATAGAGTTTTACAGCATTTTTGGAATTTGTGTTTCTGAAATGTTTGTTGGAACATATATAATGTGTATGTTGTTACAAGAAAAAATGTCAGGAAGCAAATAAATGTAAATTATAATCACAACTGTGTCAATAATGCTTAGAAAAATTTAGAAAGAGGACACACTAAAGCAGTCTTATTAAACCTAATGAAAATAACTACTATTTGTTGAGTTTTTGCTGTGTGTGAGGTACTGTGCTCAGTGTTTTTACATACATTAATTCAGTTTATCCTTCTATTAACAACTTGTGGTAAGTACAATTATTATGATTCCCATTTTATAGATGAAGGAATTGTTGCAGAGCTAAGTTAAATAACTTGCCCAAGTCATGTAGCAGAAAATGTAAAAGCTGGAAGATGAATCCAGGAAGCCTCAACAGCCACGCCTCCTAGCTGTTTGTCAGCTAGTTGAAAAATAGAACAAAAGATAATATGGAGAGATATCATTAAAAATATTACATAGAACAGGTTGAGCCTAGAATATGATGGGGTAGTGTTACAAGTACCCAATAACTAAATGGAGGAAGTTCTGTTTACCCAGGTAAAGATAATACAGTTCAAGCATCAATAACTGCAGTAGACTGAAGCACATCAATATTTGTGAAGTTACAGGTTTAAAATTACTCAGGAAAAAAACCCTCATCGGACACGTTTAGAGAAGCTAGGAAATAGCTCATTTCGCTGAAAACTGGTAAATAGAAAATAACCAAGCATTTTTCCTGCTTTTACTGTGCAAAATTTAGGGTAACTAAAGAGTTGATGAGGACAAATTTCCTTTAATGGAAATATTCCACATAACGAACGAAGCAGGAATAGTAGAATAGCATCCCCATAAAATAAAGGATCAGGCAAGAGATATTAACATTACAGAAACAGACATAACCAGACGGTATGTACTCCTGGTGGGATTATCACACCACTGCCTATGACACTGCCTATGACTAATGACAAAAAAATCAAAACCTGAGTCAGATTGTACCTCTATTTATGCCTCCCAATTTATAAGAAATGCAGGAGAGAGACAGAGAAATGGTTTAAATGACATCAAAGGAGACAAAAATCAGCAAAATTCAGAGTGTGGAACACTTGGTAGGACAAAGGACCTGTTTTCTCTCGACTTTGAAGGGGGAAAAGGGAGGGGAGGGGACATGTAGATGAAAACAGAACAACTACAGTGATCTTACTTGGATTCTATTTGGGGAGAAAATCCCTCAAAACGTTTTTGAGACAGTCAGAGAAACTGAAATGCTGTCTGGATATTTGATTAAATTCAGGAATTTTTCTCTTTTTTAAGGTGTGATGGTGATGTTGTAGCTATGGCTATGGCTATGCTTTTTAAAAGAAGTCCTTGTCATCGCTTCTTGGTCTTTTGACTAAGATCAAGTGTAATAAAAAGAAGTCCTTGTCTTTTAGAGATGCATTCTGGAATATTTATGGATGAGAATATATGATTTCTTATATTTGTTTTAATATATTTCAAGAGCCAGGAGGAGGTGAATGAGGAGAGATACAATAAAAGATTGGCCATGAGTTGATAATTGCTGAGGTTGAGTAGTGGGTAAGTGGGGTCTCATCACGCTCTCCTCTCTACTTTTATACAGGCTTCAGGATTTCCAAAATAATTTGTTTTTAAAGATACAAACATATATCAATTGAGTTTTTACTCAAAAATTTAAAAGATTGCTGTAGAATCAAAGGCTAGTATAAGGCAATGGCTGAAGTCATGGACTAAGGACCAGGTTGCCTGTGTTTAAATGTCTGCTCTATTACTTACCAGCTGGGTAATCCAGGGTAAGAAACTTCATGTTGCTGCACCTCAGTTTCCTCCTTTGTAAAATGGGATAACAATACCACTTACTTTCTACTTCATAGAGTAATTATGACAATATTATTTATGACAATAAAATGAATAATATTTCTCCAGGGCCTGGAACAGTCCACGGCACATATTAAACATTGCATGGATTTACAGTTTTATTGTTGTTGGGTTTTTATTTTTGTTTCGTTATTTTGTTTTTGGGAGCATCTTCGCTCATTTTGTATTTCATACCTAACAATTCAGTCTCACATCCTTAATGCATCAACTACAATTTTCTAGTTTCTTTAGAATGTAGCAAGAACTTAAAGATACTCTTGAAGCAATCTGAGGACAAATCTTCTAGATTTTAATGATTTGTTCTCAATCTTTTATAGTTGCATGTCCATACCTAATCTGACAGCATTTGGTGATGGTGGGGAGAATGTTCTTTGCTATATTTTCATCCATTTACATAATTCCTAATTACATATTTTTTTCACTGCAAACTTTATAAACACATCTGGGAACAAACAAAACTGACTCCTGGTAAGTAGACCATGCAACTGGTGGGAGATGTGTTTAGATGCACTGTGAGAATGCCAGTGTCACATCTTGAGCCTACTGAGGACTTTGCAGATAGAATAGAGGTTGTATCCATTAATCTAGTGGTTTCCTTAAGTGGAGATGAGTTAAGGGACTCTATTGTATACAAGTCAACAATGATTGTGTTTGGGTTGCATAGTCTTCCTTCTCATCTTTTTTTTTTTTTTTTTTCTGGCAGGGTCTTTCTCTGTCACCGAGGCTGGAGTGCAGTGATGCAATCATGGCTCATTGCAACCTCAAACTCCTGGGCTCAAGAGATCCTCCTGCCTCAGCCTCCCAAGTAGCTGGGACTACAGGTGCCTGCCACAACACCCACTTGATTTCTAAATTTTTTGTAGAGACAGTCTCTCCATGTTGCCCAGGCCTCCCAGAGAGCTGAGATTACAGGCGCGAGCCACTGCACCCGGCCCTATTCCAATTTTTTAAAAATGATGAACATGTATTATGGCTCTTACCTGACAAAGAAAAAAAATCAACACTTCATTTTTTGGAAAGTATTTTTTTAGTAAATCCATTTCCAGAAGACTAGAATGCAAACACAAAGAAAATGAGCAGTGAATATTGTTAATTCATGCACCCTTGTATCCAAACAATGGGTTGCTAGATTCTACAGAACACTAGGATCTGAGCATCAGCAGTCATTGTTGTTACTTGATGAAAGGACAATGTATTATTGATTGCTGCTATTATAAGGCACAATTTCCTAAATGCTACAGAAGTCAGAGGGGAATCCAGCTTTATACTAAGAAGGTTCACATACTCTAATATTCACATTCTAGTTTCATTTTGACTCTAAAATTGCACAGAAACCAAATGAGCAAATCTGCATTTCCTCCTAAATCTATATGCAAACGGTGAGGCAGGGATTCCCCTTGTAGTTGGCATTCGTTAGCAGAAAGGATTCTGGACAACCTCAAGCTCAAACTGCCTTAGCACCAATCCAATCTAGCTGAATTGGACACTTCCTGTGCTTTGCCAAATTTCACAGATCTCATTGCAAGCTCACTCCTCTGTAACATATCATTGTTACTTTGCTTTCTGATCAACTCTTAATTCTCACAGTCTTCCTTGATCAAGAGAGAGGAAGTGAGAGAGGTGTGCAGTTATTGCTGCATTGATTGTCATCACTTGACAGATGGAGAAGCCAAGGTTACAAGCCACGTTTTTTTTAATCACAATGGAGCATGCCATATCTCTCCTCTGTCTCAGAAATTTGATCATAGGACACTTCATGGGGTGTTTTTTCTTTTCTTTTTAACATTTTTTGAGATGGAGTCTCACTCTGTCGCCCAGGCTGGAATGCAGTGGTGTGATCTCGGCTCGCTGCAACCTCCACCTCCTGGGTTCCAGCGATTCTCCTGCCTCAGACTCCCAAGTAGCTGGGATTATAGGAATGTGCCACCATGTCTGGCTAATTTTTGTGTTTTTAGTAGAGACAGGGTTTCACCATGTTGCCCAGGCTGGTCTCGAACTCCTGACCTCAAAGTGATCCACCTGCCTCAGCCTTCCAAAGGCTTGAGTGTTGGTATTACAGGCATGAGCCACTGCACCTGGCCCATGAGGTGTATTTTCAAGCAAACTATATGTATGAAGCTCATTTCATCACAGGGACAATGGCAGGAGAGTGTAAGAATGCGAGTACAAAGCCTTGGCTAGGCCCCACCTTCTGGTCTTGTCCCTCAGCCCTTCACTACATGCTTTCAGAAGTCTCAGCCTGAAGTCCTTTCAAAAGAGTCCCCCCACTTAAAAAATTGTGCAGAAGAGGCCAGGGGTGGTGGCTCACGCCTGTAATCCCAGCACTTTGGGAGGCCGAGGCGGGTGGATCATGAGGTCAGGAGATCAAGACCAACCTGGCTAACACGGTGAAACCCCATCTCTAATAAAAATACAAAAACCAGATTAGCTGAGTGCGGTGTCAGGTGCCTGTAGTCCCAGCTACTTGGGAGGCTGAGGCAGGAGAATGGTGTGAACCTGGGAGGCAGAGCTTGCAGTGAGCCAAGATCGTGCCACTGCACTCCAGCCTGGGTGACAGAGTGAGACTCTGTCTCAAAAAAAAAAAAAAAATTGTGCAGAACAACCAAACCGAAAGCCTGAGAACCGTGTTCCCAGGCTCCTTAAATGTAATGATGTCCCTCATACTAGTACATTTGCGTCCGGAATTGGTGGGTTCTTGGTCTCACTGACTTCAAGAATGAAGCCATGGACCCTCGCGGTGAGTGTTACAGTTCTTAAAGATGGTGTGTCCAGAGTTTGTTCATTCTGATGTTCGGACATGTTCGGAGTTTCTTCCTTCTGGTGGGTTTGTGGTCTTGCTGGCTTCAGGAGTGAAGCTGCAGACCTTCGCAGTGAGTGTTACAGCGCTTAAGGCAGCACCTCTGGAGTTGTTCATTCCTCCCGTCCAGAGTTGTTCATTCCTCCCGGTGGGTTCCTGGTCTCACTGGCCTCAGGAGTGAAGCTGCAGACCTTCGCAGTGAGTGTTACAGCTCATAAAGGCAATGCGGACCCAAAGAGTGAACAGCAGCAAGATTTATTGCAAAGAGCGAAAGAACAAAGCTTCCACAGTGTGGAAGGGGACCCGAGTGGGTTGCCACTGCTGGCTTGGGCAGCCTGCTTTTATTCTCTTATCTGGGCCTACCCACATCCTGCTGATTGGTCCATTTTACAGAGAGCTGATTGGTCTGTTTTGACAGGGTACTGATTGGTGCATTTACAATCCCTGAGCTAGACACAAAAGTTCTCCAAGTCCCCACTGGATTAGCTAGACACAGAGCACTGATGGGTGCGTTTACAAACTTTGAGCTAGACACAGGGTGCTGATTGGTGTGTTTACAAACCTTGAGCTAGACACAGAGTGCTGATTGGTGTATTTACAATCCCTTAGCTAGACATAAAGGTTCTCCAAGTCTCCACTAGACTTA
Organism: Homo sapiens; assembly: GCF_000001405.40. NCBI lineage: Eukaryota > Metazoa > Chordata > Mammalia > Primates > Hominidae > Homo > Homo sapiens. The sequence continues at coordinate 38,304,731 of NC_000004.12, read as the reverse complement.
GGAGCCCAGCTGGCTTCACCTACTGGATCCCACACCAGGTCCGCAGGCGGAGCTGCCCGCCAGTCCCACACCATGCGCCCGCACATTCACAGACCATCCCATCCTATTCACATTTAACCTGAGGAATGTGTTTCCTAATTACATCAAAGTTCCACAGGACAGCAAGATCAAACAGAGAATAAAAAACATAATGGAATATACAGCAGCTCCTTCTGAAGAAACTTCCTCAGTCAACACATCTCCTAAAACTTGCTCCCCTCATTCTTTTGTCAGCAGATCACTCTTTTATGAACTGAAAACCCATTGGCATTATTCATACTAACTCTAAACCACAAATTTTGGGGGATGGGTTCTCTATTGACATATAATTGACAAAATAAAAATTGTATATATTTAAGATGGACAATGTAATGTCTTGATATACATGTATATTGTGAAATGATTACCACAAGCTGATTAACATATCCATCATCTCATATAAGTTACCATTTTTTTGTATGTGGTGAGAATATTTAAGAGCTATTCTCTTAGCAAATTGCATGTATATTCTACAGTAATATTAACTATAATCACCATGCTGTATATAATATCTCTAGAACTTATTCATCCTGCATAACTGAAACCTTTTACCCTTTGCCAAACATCCCCCCATTTCCCTCCCTCTCCACCCTCCAGACCTTGGAAATCACCATTCTAATCTCTATTTTATGAATTTGACTTTTAGAATCCACATGTAATTGAGATTGATGGCAACAGTGGGCCATCTGGAGCAACCGCTGCCATCACACTGGCTGCAGCAGGGAGGTGCAGCAGGGGGCTGCATGCTCCACAGAGTGGGCAGGAGCCAGGGATAAGTGGGAGCCCCATCCCTTTCAAGTTGGGGCAGGAGTTCTCTGGGAGCCACTGCAGCCACCCAAGATATGGCTGTGAACCCAGGCATCCCTGTGCTCTCATGGTCCAGGAGCAGGCGGGAGTCCCACTCTTTCAGGTGCAGCTGCAGCCGTTCAAACTGCAGCTGCAGACCTGGACCTCCTGCTCCATGGAGCAGGCAGGAGCCCTGCCCCTGGCACAGTTGCAGCTGCCCAAATTTCAGTAGTGGACCCAGGCATCCCTGTACTCTTGGGGGCCCAGGAAGGACCCACACCCCACCTTCACAGGCTTATAAATGCCTGCTTCCACTGCCTAGCTTCTCCTTGCTGTCAGTGCCCACTGTGATCTTGGAACAAAGTTGAGACTGAGCCCAGGCACTGTCACAGCCCAGCCAGGTGTGCAAACACTCAGGGCAGTGCTGACACACCAGCCCCCTGCCACCTTGGCCCCCTCCAGGTTTGGGGGGTCTGTGAGCATAGTAAGGAAACTATAGGGGGAGCTGAGGGCAGGGAGGGCCTGAAGGCTGGGGCCAAGCTGCCAGTCCCATGGACCAGAGTGGGAACTTGTGGTGCCTTTTCCAGGACTGCCCATGGCCACCCATGGACCAGTTGGCCTGCACTTCCTCCCCTCTAAGGCCCATAAAAGCCCCAGGCTCAGCCAGAGCTGAGCAGACTTCAGGATGGCTGGCTGCAGAAAGGAGCTACCAACCCCAGGGCCTCTTCTCTGCTGAGAGCAGGAGATAGAGGATGACTGGCTGCAGAGATGAGCTACCCACTCCAGAGCCTCCTCTCTGCTGAGAGCTACAGATGACAGGACAACCCGCTGCAGAGAGGAGCTACCCTTTCTTTTGAGAGCTGGAACAGACAATGGGGCAACCAGCTGCAGAGAGGAGCTACCCTCCCTGCTGGGAGCGAACACTTGTTGAGACAACTTGCCTAGCAGAGAGGAGCTACCCCTGAATGTAAAACAAAGGTTTAAATAAATAAATAAAGCAGCTGATTTTTGTATCCTGCAACTTTATAAAGTTTATTAGTTCTAATAGAGTTTTTGGTACAGTTTTCTACATATAAGATTATTCCATCTCCAGAGACAATTTTATTTCTTCCTTTCCTATTAATATTTGGATGCCTTTTGTTTCATTTTTGTGCCTGAATGTTCTGGCTAGGACTGCCAGTACTATATTCAATACAAGTGGCAAGTGTGGGCCTTGTTTTCATCTTCCTGATCTTACAGGAAAAGCTTTCAGCTTTTCACCATTGATTCTGATGTTAGTTTTGGGCTTGTCATATATACCCTTTATTATGTTGAGTTAATTCCTACTATGCCTAATTTGTTGTGAGTTTTTATAATAAAAAGATGGTGAATCTTATCAAATGTTTTATCTGCATCTATCGAGATGATCACATAATTTTTATTCTGCATTCTGTTACTGCAATGCACCACATTTGTTGATTTGTATATAATGTACTATCTTTGTGATGGGGTTCAGGACATGCTACTCAACAATATGGCATCTTGACATTTTGAATATTTAAGCTGAAAGAATTTGAGAAACAGCTTGTGTAGGAAGGTCTCTCTGACTCTCTCCCATCCTTCTCCCCTGAAGCAAGCTATAAAACCTAGAAAAGATTTTCTGACTTTCCCCTGAAGTAGGTAATAAGACCCTCATGTGAGAGATGCCCTCTCTTTATCTGGAGGAAAGAAATATCCTTATCTTCATTTGTCACGGAGAAGAATCTGAACAAGCAGGCCTTACTAAGTTTCCTCTAGTTTGTTACCATTAGATCTTACCTCTTTTGCCCTATATTTTTCAATGACTATCCACTCTTCATCAAACATAGCAAAAATATACAAAGGTTTAACTGTTTCTTCAGATCTCCATTTCCTTATGAAGCCTCCCATGTCAGATAAAACATACATTAAATAAATGGGTGTGCTTTTCTCTTGTTAATCTTTCTTTCGTTGTGGGGACATAAGCAATGAAATTAGGGGAGAAGAAGGAAGAGATATTATTCTTCCCCTATACTTGCATCCTAGGGATAAAGGTATATGAACCTTTTAATGTGTTTGCTAGTATTTTGGTGGGGATTCACACATCTATGTTCATTGTGGATATTGGCGTATAATTTTCTTTTCTTGTAGTGTCCTTGTCTGTCTTTGATATCAGGGTAATGCTGGCCTCATAAAATGGGTTTGAAAGTGTTCCCTCCTCTTCAATTTTTTGGGAGGATTTGAGAAGGATTGGCATTAATTTTTTTTTTTTTTTTTTTTGCCAGAGAGTCTGAATATATTTGTATGGCATTAATTCTTTTTCATATGTTTGGTAGAATTTACCAGTGAAGACAACAAGTCCTAGGCTTTTCTTTCTTGGGAGCTTTTGATTACTGATACAATCTCCTTACTCATCATTGTTCTGTTCATATTTTTTATTTCTATATAATTCAGTCTTGGTAAGTTATATGTTTCTAAGAATTTATTTATTTTAGAGTATCCAAATTGTTGGCATATAGTTGTTGGTGGTAGGTTTTTTTTTTTAATGATTCTGTGTGTTTCTGTGGTTTCAGTTGTAATGCCTTATTTTTCATCTATAATTGTTTTTATTTGATTCTTCTCTTTTTTTCCTAGTAAGTCTAGCTGAAGGTCTGTAAATTTTGTTTATCTTTAAAAGAACACAAAACTCCTAGTTTTATTGATCTATTTTATTGTTTTTCTGGTCTCTAGTTCATTTATTTTTTTATCTGATCTTTATTCTTTCTTTTTTCTTAATGTAGACATTTATTACTATTAACTTCCCACTTGGAACTTCTTTTGCTGCATCTAATAACTTTTGGTATGTTATGTTTCTATATTTGTTGGTCTCAAGATATTTTTAAATTTCCTTTTTGGTTACTTCTTTGATTCATTGGTTGTTTAAGAGTGTGTTGTTTAATTTTCACATATTTATGAATTTTCCAATTTTCCTCATGTTATTGATTACTTGTTCATACCCTTGTGGCTGAAAAAGATACTCGATATGATTTTAATCTTATTACATTTGTTAAGACTTGTTTTGTGGGCCAACATAAAAACTATCTTGGTGAATATTCCGTTGCTATTGGATGGAATCTTCTGTGTATATCTGCTAGGTCCCTTTGATCTATAGGGTTGTTCAAGTCCACTGTTTGTTTATTGATTTTCTATCTGGATGATCTATCCATTATTGAAAGTGAAGTAGAAATCCCCTACAACTATGTATTACTGTCTATCTCTTCCTAAGTTCTGTTAATATTTACTTTGTATATTTAGGTTCTCCAATGTTGGATGCATATATATTTACAATCGTTGTATCTTCTTGATGAATTGACCTCTTTGTCATTTTGTCTCTTGTGACACATTTGACTTAAAGGCTATTTTGCCTGATGTAAGTATAGCCACCCTGCTCTCTTCTGGTCGCTGTTTGCATGAAATATTCTTTTCCATCCCATTACTTTCAGCCTATATGTGTTCTTAAAGCCAAAGTGAGTTTCTTGTAGGCAGTGTATAGTTGGAACCTGTTTTTTCTTTTTCTTAATCCGTCCAGCCACTGTATGTCTTTTGATTGGAGAACTTAATTTATTTACATTTAAAGTAATTGTTAATACATAAGGACTTACTATTGCCATTTTGTTAATTCCTTTATGATTGTTTTGTAGTTTCTTTGTTGCTTTCTTCCTGTCTTGCTGTCTTCCCTTGTGATTTGAGAAAATTTTGTAGTGATATGCTTTGATTCCTTTTCTTTATTTTTTTGCACATCTATTACAGATTTTATCTTTACGGTTATCATGATGCTTGCATAAAATATCTTATAGTCACAACAGTCTTTTTAAAGTTGATAACAACTTAACTTTTACTGCATACAAGAACTCTCTACACTCTAACTTCTCTTCCTACACTTTGTTTTTGAAGTCACAATTTACATCTTTGATATTTATGTATTCATCAATACATTATTGCAGCTTTTGTTATTTTTAATACTTTTGCTTTTTAACTTTTATACTAGAGTTAAAAGTGATTTACATACCACCTATATGATATTAGAATATTCTGGATTTGACTTTTTTTTTGTTTTTTTACCTTTACAGTGTTTTATTCTTTCATATTTTTCCTGGTGATAGTCTCCTTTTATTTTAACTTGAAGAATTCTCTGTAGCTTTTCCTGTAAAGTAGGTGTAGTAATAATAAACTCCTTCAGGTGTTTTTGTTGTTGTTGTTGTTGTTGGTATAGGAAAGTCTTTATCTCTTTTTTATTGCTGAAGGATAGCTTTGCTAGATATAGTATTCTTGATTGACAGCTTTTTTGTTCTTTTAGGACTTTGAGTATATATCCCCCTTTCTCCTGGCTTGCAAGGTTTCTGCTGATAGTTGTGTGTGGCTTCTTTTGTATGTAACAAGTTGCTTTTCTCCTGGTGCTTTCAAAATTCTCTCCTTGTCTTTGACTTTTGAGAATTTAATTATAATGTGTCTTGGTGAAGATCTCTTTCTGCTTAATTTACTTGGGGTTCTTTGGGCTTCATGGATTTGTAGGTTCGTTTTCTTCTCCAGATTTGAGAAGTTTTCTATCATTACTTCTTTAAATAAGCTTTCTTCCCCTTTCTCTTTCTCTGCTTCTTTTTTTGACTACCATAATGTGTTTATTGATTTACTTGGCAGTGTCCCATAAGTCCTATAGACTTTCTTCACACATCTTTATTCTTTTTCTTTTTGTTCCTTTGACTACATAATTTCTAATGAACTCCTTTACAGGTCACTAATTCTTTCTTCTGCTTAACTGAGTCTGCTGTTGAAGCTGTCTATGAAATTTGTTAATTCAGTCATTGTATTCTTCAGTTCCAGGATTTTTGTTTGGTACTTTAAAAAATGATTTCTATCTTTTTGTTGAACTTTTCATTATGTACATATATTGTTTTTCTGATTTTGTTTACCTATTTATTTGTGTTCCCTTATAGCTCACTAAGCTTTTAAAAAATAAATATTTTGCAATCTTTGTCAGGCAGTTTGTAGTTCTACATCACTGGTGCTTTACTTTGTTCCTTTAGTGGTGTCATGTTTCCCTGATAATCCATGATCCTTATGGCCTTGTATTGGTGTCTATGTATTTGAAGAAATAGGCATCTCTTCCAATACTTACAGACTGACTTTGGCATAAAAAACTCTTCACCAGTTAACCTGTCCAGAAATTCTTGGTAGGCCAGCTGGTGGGGTCTATGGGAGTGCTTGCTGTTGGAGTCCTCAGGTGGGCTGTCCTGGTGCCTGGGTCCACAGGAGCCAACCTGGCACTGGGACCTACTAGAATGGGCCTAGTGACTAGACCCATGAGGGTGGCCCTGAGGGTCTGCAGAAGACAACTTAGTGCTGAGGTAGGCCTAGTGCCTGGGTCCTTAGGGGTAAACCTGGTTTTGAGTCTGTAAGAAATGGCATGGTTGCAAAGTCTACTAGGGCAAGCCTGGGCTCTGGGTCTGCTGAAATCTGCATCAGGGGGCTGGCCTGATGCTAGGGTTGTCCTAGAGCCTGGGTCTTCAGGGTGAGCCTAGAGCCAGGGGTTGCAGGAGCTGACCTGGTATTAGAGTCCACTGAGACAGGCCTGGTGCTAGAGTCCATGGAAAAATTGGGTGCTTATTCATGCTTATTCCTCCACGTGGAGGGAATCTCTCTCTGCACTGTGCTGCATGGGCTTAGAGAAGGGGTGGTGCAGTTTATGTGAAAATGTCCTTCCTACCCTCTTCAATGCATTTTTCTTATTTCTGTGCTTCAGCCGTGTGCTGTAGTCTCTCAGCTGGGTTTCTTAGATCTTGTGAAGATATTTTCATGCATGATTGGTTGCTCAAATTGATGTTTATGTGAGGGAATGAGTGCTGGATATTTCTATTCCACAATCTTACTCTAAACAACAAATATTTACCTAGCATTAGATTCAGTCACTTACTTAATGATTGTTTAAGGATCACCAATAACTTTGCAAAATGCATGAGAGCTATGCTTTGAAAAGAGAGATTATCATGGCAACGCTATTTTTGAAGTCTAAGAAAAATAGTATCTGATTTTGGCAATCAGACATTTCTGAAATTATTGTTATTCTCATTGGACTCTACATATATCAGCATAGTGAGCATATGTATGTGTGTGAATTTCTGCAATACAGAATTCTAATTAAAGGCAAATGTGAAAATAATAGGAAATATATATACTGGTCTTTGCACCCACTTCCTGATGTAGAGCACTTAAAGTCTTTTTAGATAGGAATGCTAGGAGAATCTTTTGTTAAATATTTTGTCTTTGACCCTGGCTTCTGCCATAGAGCTCCTAAGAAATTTGTAATTCTCTGAGTGATAGAAGCATCTAGTGCAGAGTTCCTAAATCCCTTTTAGGAGCATCTTTTGATAGGAGCATCTTTTGTTCTAATGAGGCAACTCAGTGGGCTTCAGGATCACCTCAGGATCAGGGCTGATTGCCAGGGGAACAAACCATGTGGTTTGAGGGTTGGAACTTTCAGCCCCACCCCACCCTGATTTTCAGGGAGGGAAGAAGGGCTGAAGATTGACTTAATTACCAATGGCCAATGGTAATCAGTCATGCCTGCATAATGAAGCCTTCATAAAAAAACAGAAGGACAGGCCAGGCACAGTGACTCACGCCTGTAATCCCAGCACTTTGGGAAGCTGAGATGGGCGGATCAGAAGGTCAGGAGATCGAGACCATCTGGCTAACATGGTGAATCCCCTTCTCTATTAAAAAAAATATATATATACAAAAAATTAGCTGGGCATGGTGGTGGACACCTGTAGTCCTAGCTACTCGGGAGGCTGAGGCAGGAGAATGGCGTGAACCTGGGAGGCAGAGCTTACAGTGAACCGAGATTGCACCACTGCACTCCAGCCTGGGCGACAGAGCGAGACTCCATCTCAAAAAAAAAAAAAAGGACAGAATGTAGAGAATGTCTGGATTGTTAAACACATGGAGGTGCCTGGAGAATGGTGCCCTCAGAGACAGTATGGAAACTCCTCACCCCTTCCCTCATACCTTGCTCTATATACCTCTTCATCTGGCTGTTCCTCTGTATCATTTGTAGTATCCTTTATAATTAACCAGTAAGTGTAAGTATTTCTCTGAGTTCCATGAGTCATTCTAACAAATTCTTCAAATATGAGAACAGGATATGGGAACCCTGATTTATAACTGTTCAGTCAGAAGTATATGTGACAACTTAGTATGTGTGATTGATGTCTTTGAGGGGTGGGGGGCACTCTTACAGGACTGAGCCCTTTACCTGTGGGTTCTGACCCTAACTCCAGATACATAGTGTCAGGATTGAGTTAAATTGTAGGAAACCCAGTTAGTGCTCATTGGAGAATTTCTTAGTGTGTGGGGAAAACTCCCCATATATCTGGTGTCAGAAGTAAAGTACTGAGAGTGGTGAGTGATTTGAAAGTGGGAAAACAGTTTTTTATCTCTTACAGCAAGTAGCCTAAAGCTATAAGAGTATGGAGTATTACTATGGTGTCTTTTGGAACCAGGGAGCAAGAAAGAATCCAATAGAATCCCAACTATGTAACTTGCTTTAAGCCAAAGCCGGAAAAAAGTGATATGTTCACCATAAATGTGTTCCTCAAAATGCTAAGTATTTCTTTAAAGTGATTTGGTTTTAATTTCATAATTTGTCTTAGCACAAAATGATGATTATGATGACGTGATAATCTACTAATTAAAAGGTGAGAATGGGGCAAATTCTACTTGTAGTAGATTGTTTTCAAAGATGGCTAGTTGAACTAGTTTACAGTCCCACCAATAGTGTAAAAGTATTCCTATTTCTCCACATCATCTCCAGCACCTATTGTTTCCTGACTTTTTAATGATCACCATTCTAACTGGTGTGAGATGGTATCTCATTGTGGTTTTGATTTGCATTTCTCTGATGACCAGTGATGATGAGCATTTTTTCATTTGTCTCTTGGCTGCATAAATGTCTTCTTTTGAGAGGTGTCTGTTCATATCCTTCGCCCACTTTTTGATGGGGTTGTTTGATTTTTTTCTTGTAAACTTGTTTAAGTTCTTTGTAGATTCTGGATATTAGCCCTTCATCAGATGGGTAGATTGTAAAATTTTCTCCCATTCTGTAGGTTGCCTGATCACTCTCATGGTAGTTTCTTTTGCTGTGCAGAAGCTCTTTAGTTTAATTAGATCCCATTTGTCAATTTTGGCTTTTGTTGCCATTGCTTTTGGTGTTTTAGTCATGAAATCCTTGCCCATGCCTATGTCCTGAATGGTATTGCCCAGGTTTTCTTCTAGGGTTTTTATGATTTTAGGTCTAACATTTAAGTCTTTAATCCATCTTGAATTTTTGTATTAATCCATCTTAATTTTTGTATAAGGTGTAAGGAAGGGATCCAGTTTCAGCTTTCTACATATGGCTAGCCAGTTTTCCCAGCACCATTTATTAAATAGGGAATCCTTTCCCCATTTCTTGTTTTTGTCAGGTTTGTCAAAGATCAGATGGTTGTAGATGTGTGGTATTATTTCTGAGGGCTCTGTTCTGTTCCGTTGGTCTATATCTCTGTTTTGGTACCAGTACCATGCTGTTTTGGTTACTGTAGCCTTGTAGTATAGTTTGAAGTCAGGTAGTGTGATGCCTCCAGCTTTGTTCTTTGGCTTAGGATTGACTTGGCAATGTGGGCTCTTTTTTGGTTCCATATGAACTTTAAAGTAGTTTTTTTTCAATTCTGTGAAGAAAGTCATTGGTAGCTTGATGGGGATGGCATTGAATCTATAAATTACCTTGGGCAGTATGGCCATTTTCATGATGTTAATTCTTCCTATCCATGAGCATGGAATGTTCTTCCATTTGTTTGTGTTGTCTTTTATTTCCTTGAGCAGTGGTTTGTAGTTCTCCTTGAAGAGGTCCTTCACATCCCTTGTAAGTTGGATTCCTAGGTATTTTATTCTTTTTGAAGCAATTGTGAATGAGAGTTCACTCATGATTTGGCTCTCTGTTTGTCTGTTATTGGTGTATAGGAATGCTTGTGATTTTTGCACACTGATTTTGTATCCCGAGACTTTGCTGAAGATGCTTATCAGCTTAAGGAGATTTTAGGCTGAGATGATGGGGTTTTCTAAATATACAATCATGTCATCTGCAAACAGGTACAATTTGACTTCCTCTTTTCCTGGTTGATACCCTTTATTTCTTTCTCCTGCCTGATTGTCCTGGCCAGAACTTCCAACACTATGTTGAATAGGAGTGGTGAGAGAGGGCATCCCTGTAGAAGCCACAAATTTTTAAAAACTTAGCCACTGAAGTCACATACCGTCCTTTAAAAATATCCCATTAGTTACATAGTTAAGCCCCATTCATTTTGGAAGAAGGCTGACAACACAGAGCATAATTTCTAGGAAGAAAGAATCACTGATGGCCATCAGAGATTACCTATCACTGTCCACCTTCTGGCTGTCAATGATTTATGCCCTCTAACATGCAAAATATACCCATCCCCTTTCAAGCTTTCCAAAACTCTCATCTCATCAGAGCATCAGCTCAAAGTCCAGATGCTCATTATCCAAATCAGGTCCATGTGCAGATGAGGCTCTTCAAGTCCAATTATTTGAGCACAGTTACTGTTGATCTGAAAGCCTGCAAACTAAAGAAATAAGTTATATGCTTCTCCAACAAACTCAATCTACAATGGTAGCCTAGGAATAAAATAACCATGTAGGAGAGAAAGAGAGTCACACAGGAGTCCCTGGCACATAACAATTCTGAAATTTGTCAGCACATGTTCTGGTAGTTCCTTGATTGGGAGTGAAGTCCTGAGAATAATTCTCCATGGTTCCTGCCCCCACCTTCTGGGATCATGGTTTTGCCCTTTGAGGCATCCTTCATTTTCTATGAAAGATAGCCCATGTTTATACTTCAGTAGTTTTTTCACACTTCTTCCTTCCCATAAATTTTGGGGTCAAATGTCCTCTTCATTTTTATTGTCCTTGTCTCTTTTAGTTCATGCTAGAGATAGTTTTGCTAATACTATTCTTTTAAAATTTTGTGGATCTCCTTTAAATATTATTGATGCTTACTACATTAGTCAAAGGCCACATTTACAAATCTTTTTGAGATAAGCATTTCTATATCTTGGGCTTCTGCTGGGACTGCTCAGGGATATCACCCTTAAGCTTGTTAGAAGCCCTGTTGTTTGACTCAACAATTCTCTAAGGAGACACTGTCTTGGATCTTTCTGAATCTTCAACAAAGTATTTTACAGTCACATTGTATGTTTCATCTTTATACCATGATTCCCTGAGAAAAAAAAAGGGTTTCATCTTTGCCCAGAAGTCGTTGCTATATATTAGTATCAGTTGACATCCAGAAAGGCTAGAAATTTTCAAATCCAGAAATTCCTGGGTTTTACTTTAAATTAAGAGCTACTATTTTAGCTTATTTGTCTCCACTCACATTTTGAAGCAAGACTTAACCAGGGGGCACCTTCAATACTCTGCCTGGAAATCTCCTTAGTTAGATTCACCAATTCAATAGGTGAATTTCCTTCTTTTAATATTATCACAGATGACAGCACTGCTAAACTTTTTCCCACTACATAACAAGGATTCCCTTTCTTTCATGGCCAATGACATTTTTCTTACTTTTCATTAAGCTCTTAATGGCAGCCTCTTCAAAGAACATTGGGTTTCTGCTATCAGTCTCTTCAAAGTCCTTCAGTTTTTCACTTAATGTTCTCCTTAAAATTCTTCTGGATCCTAAGAATTCCAAAGCTTCTCCCACATTTTGATTTTTGTTACAGCATTCCGGGTATAAAATTTAGGTACAAAAATCCATATTAATTACTATTTCTGTATAACAAATTTAGTCAAAATTACTGGCTTAGAGCAACAATAAACTTCTTTTTAATCTCATACAATGTCTGTGTTAGGAATTTGGGAGCAGCTTATCTTGGTGGTCCTGGCTTGGAGTCTCTCGTTAAGTTGTAGTTAAGATGTTGGCCAGATCTGTAACCATTTGAAGCTTACTGGGGCTGGCAAATCCATTTCCAGCATGACTCACTCACATGGCTGGCAAAATGTTATTGGCTGGATGGAAGTCTTAATTACATGCCACATGACCCACTCCACAGGGCTGCTGAGTGTCCCCATTGTCACTGGCTTCCCTCAGAGTCAGTGATCCAAGAGAACAAAATAGAAACTGTACTATTTTTTACAATCTAGTCTCAGAGGTCACACAACATTACATAATCTATTGGTTACACAGATTAACCCTGATACAATGGAGAGGAGGACTACACTAATTCTTTAGCAGCAGGTAAAGATCATTGGAGAACATATTGGAGATGGATACCATTGTATTTATATTTCATTCATGTGCCTATGTATTTTTATCATGATACACTGTTACTTTTTAAAGCAAGGATTTATTGAGTGTCTGCCATATACACTGTTCTTGTTGCTAAAGAAATACTAATTTCCAAAGCCTACAAAACCCCCACTCTCACGAACCCTAGTTCCTAATGTGAGGAGACAGAAAACGACAAAATACATAAGCAATCTCTATGTCAGTTGATGATAACAGCTACAAAGGAAAACTAAAGCAGGACAGAGGCATTGAGATTGCAAGGAGTGGAGCAGAGCATTGTACTTTAAATAGCATGGCCAGAGAAAACTTTGGGAGCAAGGTGACATTTGATCAAAAATCTGAAGGCAGAGACAAAATGGTATTTGGGGAAAAGCTTTCCAGGACGAGGAGGCAGAACATGCAAAGACCTTCAGGTGACAAAATCTTTGGGATGTTTGAGGAACAGCAGAGGAAATTGTAGGCTGTAGCAGATGATTAAGTATAAGAGTATTAGTGATGAGGTTAGGGATGGTAGGTTGGGGGAGAGTATTATAAGTAATTAGAGGGACTTTGGTTTTTGTGCTGAATGATTTGGGAAACCATTGGAGGGTTTTGAGCAAAAACGTGACATGTTTGGACTTAAAATTTAAGAGGATCGAGGTGGGCGGATCACGAGGTCAGGAGATCCAGACCATCCTGGCTAACACGGTGAAACCCCGTCTCTACTAAAAATACAAAAAATTAGCCGGGCGTGGTGGCGGCGCCTGTAGCCCCAGCTGCTCGGGAGGCTGAGGCAGGAGAGTGGTGCGAACCCGGGAGGCGGAGCTTGCAGTGAGCCGAGATCGCGCCAGCCTGAGCAACGGAGCAAGACTCTGTCAAAATAGAAAAAAAAGAGGATCAGTCTGGTCGTTGTGCTGAGAAAAGTCTAAGAGAGACGAGAGATAGGAAGTCCAGTAATTAGGCCATGGCAATAATACAGTAGAGGGATTACAGAGCCTTGGACCAGGAAAGTGAAGGAGGTGGTGAGGTTGGCAGATTATATTTCAAAGGAAGAGCCCTTTCAAAGGAAAATGGGATTTGCTGACAGATTGAATACGGAGTATGAGAAAAGAAGAACAGTCAAACATAACTTTGAGGATTTGGCCTAAACAAGGAGAATAAAGAAATTCCCTTTTATTATGATGGGAAAAACAACAGGAGTGGTGAGGTTGGGATGAGGGGTAATAAATTAAGAGTTCTGCCTTGGACACACTCAGCAGGAGATGTTTGTTAGACATCCAAATGGAAAGTTAACTAGGTAATTGGACACACAAGTCTGAAATTTTAGGAAGTGAGTATAGCTACATATAAGGTCCAAAGATTAAACCCTCCTCACTCTGATGCTCAGAGGTTGGTCAAAAGAGAAGGAACAAGCAAAGGTGACTAACAGATGGTGCAGTCCCAGAGGCAGAAGGAAAGCCAACTGCAAGTAATGTCTGGCAGCAAAATGAAGGAAGGATGTATCAGTTGTATCTAGTGTTCTACTGATAAGTCAGGTGTGGTGATAACGGAGAATTGACCACTCCTTGTATCCCCAGAATTGGAACTTAAGTTAAAAATTTTTTAATGGTATAGTGGTTTTTTGCATTACTATATGTGTGAATATTTTTATATTTAATTTAAATTCTATGTATGCTTAAAAATAAATGTAACTATATATACAAACACATCCAGACATATAATTATTTATAAATACTTCCCCAGCCTATTTCGTGAATTGAAATTATATGCGTCTTATTATAAGCTAAAGTGGTGCTTCTCAACTGTAAACCCCAGCCCACCCCATCATCATTCAACTCTAAGCAAACTGCAATTTATAACATTCTTCGAAAGAATAAAACAATCAACTTGAGTGCACCATCAGGAAATGAATCAGCAGAGTACCATCTGTAGGAAACCAAGCTAAAGATATGGCCAAGAAAGTTAAAGGCATCTTTTTGCTGGAGTATTGGGAGTATTAAATTTCCAACCTTATGCATACTTTGGAAGTGAATGCTTGCAACAGTAGAAAAAACAGCATGGAGATTTCATGCTTATATAAGCTAATACCTGGAATAAATGTAGGACCAATATTAACCTGGCTTAAAGTAGATTTTCACTTAGAATGTGAGTCATATGACTTACATCATTTGCAAAGATTGACTATTAGTTCACAAGATTAGATTTTTAAGAAACATTCTGAATTGAGATATTCACAGGAGTTTCGTCCTTCAGGAGAAAAATTATATATTAATTCCAGTAGTACAAGTATTTAACAACTGGCATAGCAGAGTACCAATGAATCAATGAGACACTCAGCCAATAAAAATGGCTGCCCGACTGGTTGGAACAAGAGCAAGTTGTAAGCAACCTGTGAGTTCATTCAGGGCAGCCTGGCTGTGATATCTACCATCACTGCAGAGAGTATTTTTGAAACGCTGCATCTAATGCCACGGATGCATTTATGACCCAAGCCAGAATGCCAGCTGTGATGTGTGTTATAGTTATATGTAGCTTGATCCTGAACAGTAATTCTCCCACTTGATCATAAACCAGAATCACCAGAACTGGCCCCAACTGGCCTGGGTTTTTTCTAAATCTATTCTAAAAAAATAATCATAGGCAATGCAGTGAGCCTAGAAGGAAGGTCCCACTGGTAGGCATTATCCTGCTGGGGGTCTGCCCTTCTCCAGGCTCCTTTTCTTCTCCCTGCCAGAGGCAAGGGGAGTGGAGGCAGGTCCTGGGAGACAGGCTGAGTGAGGAGGGGGCATCTCCCCAGGGATCCCAGGAGTGAGTCACCCAAATAAACAGATAAAGACTGTAATTCAGAGGCTTCTTACCAGGTCCCTTGGATGGATGCAAAAACATGCATCCATGTCAAGGGACTGGTAAGAAAATGCGGGCAGATCAGAGTTTCTCAAGGGTGCTTCTAAAATGCCTAACACTAAAATGCAGTGTTTCTTAAAAATGCAGATTCCTCGGCCCTGCCCCACATCTAATGAATCAGAATCTCTGCGAGAGAGGCTGGGTTCCACAATTTATACCAGTTTGCAAGGTGATCTCTTGCAGACTAAAGTTTGAGAACCATTGAGACTACACAGTGTGACTTGGGAGAGGAATGAGACAGAGAGAAGTACTAGCTGCATCAGGTAAGACTGCATGCCTGGCGTCACGTAACAGGGCCAGTGTAAGGGACTGAAGGGTTTCCTAAGGAATAGAATCTATCTTTTTCTTCAATTATCATAGATTGCATAGAACCTACATAGTTTCAGTATAAAAGTGGCATCATCCAGCAATACTTTCCAAATCACTTCTGAAAGCAGAAAGCAGGAATGAAAAGATAACATTTTACAGCAACTCTTCAAGGGAGAATAAAAATGCTTTTAATAATATTCTTACTTTACCCCTACTCTGATTTTTTTACCTGCTATATTGCAGGTAAACTATATTAAATTAACTGTATTAAGTTTACTGTACTAAGTCAACTATATTAAGTAACTATATTAAGTTAAAAGATGATTGTGCATAGGAATGAACTTGAAGGCGTATTTCAGAGCCACCCAAATAAATCGGCGTGGCTAGTATAGAGAACGAAAATACTAACTGCTCTTCCCTAAGAATTTACCAGGACTGGTGTCCAGGTTGTCTACACCTCCCAGGAGATGGGTAGCAAAGTTCTGGGTTCCTATGACAGCTTTACAGATATGCAACACAGAATCTCCTACTTTAAAAAAAATAGTCATCCTTTATAAAAGCCAAAAGTTGTAAGATAATGTTAATGTAACATCATCAAAGCTACAACCTGATTGTGCCAACTTAAATCACTTATGAAAGTGACATGCTACAATGAGAGCATATAGAGCAGGGAACAAGAGCCCCGAGAGTTTCGAGAAGCCTGGACTGCTTCTATTTTTGTAGATTTTAGAATATTTTTTTTAAAATGAAGAGAAGATAAAAAAATTTTAAATGCCAAAACAAGATAACAGAAACTACGGTATATTGTAAATATACACGTAACAAATTAACTTTTCATAGCAAAAAAAAAACAAAAAAAGAATAAGTAGATGACACAATATAATTGTTCACACAATAATGGAATTTGTTTTTGAAGTATTCATTTATAATGTTTCAAAGGTGGTGTAGTCTGGTTATACAGTCATGGGATATAGGTTAAAAGTTACATGAAAGACAATCTAAATCTGTGGGCTTACTGCTTTGATCATAGCCTGTAAGTGTGTTACTTTGACTATATACATCATAGACCATACATGTCATTTGAGGGTAAAGAAAAAACACCAGAATAGAGCCCCTTTTTAATGGGAGGTCTAAGCCAAATGCCCCACCACTCACCTTCAACTGGGCCTGGTAGTGATGAGTTCTCTGGGCTGAACTGATTCGCAGGACACCAACTAGAAGCAGAACCTTAGGCAATTCATCTATGCACTGTTACCTGGGTTTCCCAATCTGTAAAATAAGGGAAGATAATTATAGAGGTTCCTTCTAGCTCTATGTGTCTGTTACATTTTCATCCATTCTAGTTTGTTTGCTATGCATTTCTACAGTACCTCTCCTCTTGCACCAGAAGAGTGAGTTGCTAGAATTTCCTTGGTGCCAGTGAACTGTGTAAAAGCGTATTCGTTCCTTTTATTACCCTTCAATTCTGTCTCTTGCCCTGGGTTCTTTTCTTTGCCACTGGACCAGCTCTTTAATAAACATTTCACGAGTTGTCCCAATAATTAACAACTAATTAACAAGAAGGCCTTGCTGCTAGGGGTTAGTGCTTTCAAAAAGAAATGAGCAGGAAGGCTGCTTTGCTTTCTATATTCACAAGGCCCCGCCATTGTCATTGTAATCTGCTGGAGATGGTGGTGCCTGAATAGTGTGAACAATCTCATTAAAGATCTCTGCTGGAACAATCAATTCACTGTCACCAGACCATATCGATCCTCGAGAACTGTCATTGAGTTCCAGGGTGTTTGTAAAAAATTGACAATCAGAAGTGTGCTTCCATTTGGGCTATTTATTTCTCTGAGAAACACATTATAATCAAATGGTATCTAAGTGGCTCTCTTGGTTGCTCCTGCATGCTGGAAATGCTGATGAGAAGTTTCCTGACAAACGTTTTAGCGGGATGCCTTTTCCAGACACACCAGACCAGCATGCAAAGCACCTGCTGGTTACTCTGCCCCCTCCTGAGATGCCGCTGAATGCCCATCATGGCCCCCTCTTTGAAATTCCTTAGGTTTCAAGCCTTATCTCACGGTCTTGCTCCTCTGATCACAGCTGACTGGGCCAGGGATGAGCACGTGATCCAAAGGGACCATCTATCCAGTGACCTAGGAGAGAAAGAATATAGTTTAGCCGGAGGTGGTAAAGGCAATGGAAGCAGAAAGGAGGGCATGAAGTCTCCCCAGTAGTGAATTCACTAAACTGGGTAGCGACAAACCCGTGTCAAGACAACTGGCACCTGAGCTGTGCTGTGCCTGCAGCCACAAGCTTGTTCTCCACTGAGGCCCTGTACAGTGCAGGGAAGCAAGCATTTCATGTCTTCATCACAATGGGGGTAACTTGGGCATGCTGCTGTCCTGCATGACCACCACTGAGAGAACCCACTGCCATGACTCTGCCACCCACTAAAAGACCACTCTGCAGTTTTGAGGATGATGCACTGGAAGTTTCAACTTTATTCTCTGCAATAATGATACTAAAAACAGGTCCATACTGATTAACACATGGAATTTGCCTTATTCTATCTATACTGTGGTACTTTTTGATTGAGAAAAATATAAGTTGATGGCTGGGTGTGGTGGCTCATCCTGTAATCCTAGCACTCTGGGAGGCCAAGGCAGGAGGATCACTTGAGCTCAGGAGTTCAAGACCATCCTGGGCAACATAGCAAGATGCCGTCTCTAAAAAAAAAGAAAGTTTTTAAAGAAGAAAAATTTAAGTTGAAAACTCTGCCATTTCAGGGGAGCTGATTAAGTGGTAAAAATGAAGAATAATGACCAAAATTAAAGCAGAAGCTCAGCTTCTGGCAACGGCGCTCCTGACAGCATTGTTTTTCATGTTTACAGGTGGTCAAAAGACAGATATGGAATGCCATCACTTTCCACATTAGGTTCTTATGAAGCAAACATATCTGCAATGCTTGAACTACTGTACAAGGAGATGTAAACAAGGGTGTCACCGTTTATAAAAGCCAAAATTTGTAAGATAATGTAAATGTAACATCATGAAAATGGTTGACTAAATAATGGTCCATCCATGCTATGGATTACCGCGCATCAGTTTTTAAAAGTGAAGTTGACTGATACCTACTGATAGGGAATGAGTTACAAAACATATTGTTAAGTAAAAGAAGACTATGTGTCATTGTCACTTCACTAAAAATAGAAGCAAAACTACACCTTTGTTTAGTTTTCACATACATATGTATATAAACATATAGAAAATAATCTGGAAGGGTATACCCTAAACTGTTAATAGTGGTTATATCTGGAGGGGAAAGTATGATGGTAGGATGGGGTATTATGATGGTAGGATGGGGTGTAAGGCAAGACAGAATTTTTCTTTTTACTATATATGTTTGTGTTGTTGAGTATTTGTAATAAGAACATATTCGTCTATTTTTATTTTAATTTTTTGTAATTTTAAAAAAATTCATTAATATACTGATTTTCCTCAAATTTCTGCCATAGACATCTATTTGTCTCAGGTTTAAGATTATCAGCATGAATTCAAAGAAAAGAACATGCAGTTTTTGACATTCAAAAGACATTTAGTGGTCAAGACAGTAATCTTGAAGACCAGTCTGAATTTCCTTAACTCCCAATACATATCAGATTCAAGCTTAGAAGACTCTGATCTAGTTTCTTTCCCAGTGCAGAGAAAATACCCCATTCACTTATGAGCCAAGACGGGGAGAGAAGGGGAGATGGTGGTAAAGAAAGTAGGTCAGAGACAGCAGCTCAGGGAAGAAAACTCAAGACGAGGCTGGGATGCTTCTGAAACATCCACTCTCTGGGGGAGATAAAAGATACTGGGATGAGACAGTGGATGAGAATTTCTCCAGGACTCATGCAAGGAGGTTGTAGGCTTTAGTTTGAGGACATGTTTAACACCATTGAAGAATAATGATGTGGAGGTGATGGAAGGCAATGAATGGATGAGTCCAAGGCCATATTTCCTGTTACTCACAACCGAAGGAGCCCTCATGCCCCTGAGAGAGGACCCAGAGCTTATGAGGAAACAAGTGGACCAGCAAAAACTTGGGAGTGGCAAGAGAGGCCACAGTGAGCCAGGAGAAATGATCAGGACTATGGGCTCCAGCAGTAGGGTCAGCACATGTGGCTTCTCAAGAAGCCAGACAGAACCAGGCTCACTCAGCAGTCACTAGTCCAAGGAGCTGGTCTGTCCAGACACAGTATGAGGGAAGAGACCCCCTCATCCCCCATGGTATGCACCATCCTGGGAAAGGAAAGAAAAAGGCATGCTCTGAAAACATTATTTATCTAAAGAGACTTCTTATACCCCACCAGATGATACCCAGTAGAATAGACTGAATGGTTAAATGGAAAGGAGACTTTAAATCAGAAGAGATCAGAATATTGCTTCTTGGCAATTCTAAGTTTTCCTGGATTCCCCAGGGAATGAGGCTTACACAAAGCTCAGAGCAGTTTTGAAGAAAATAGAAGCTACTCTTTTTTTTTTTTTTTTCATATCTTGGTTTTGGTGAGAGAATTTTGTGACTCACTGTATTCATATTTTTTAAAAATCTGCTTTCACACTAAGTCACAGCCGCTCTTTGAAGGATAGTCCAATAGATAGCCTAACTTTTTATTTTATTTATTTTTTGGAGACCCTATCCCATCTTTTTAAAGGAAGCCAACCTGCTTATAACTCTTCTCTTTTCAATTCATCTGTGCTTCCTGCCCCTCTACCCACAGCACTCCCCACCCCACCCCCATCCCCCTTTCATTTCCATTGTTCTTGGAAGAGGTCGTTTATCTCTACTGGAAAACTGTGTCTCTTCTGAGAAGTAGCATGAATCCCAAATAGCACAGAAATTAAATTTCAACACAACCCCCCTCCCCACAAAATTGAGCAAGTTCATTTGGGATTTTAAATTGAATGCATTTATTTTTCTTTTAAATTGGATGTATTTCTGGGCTATTGGATAGAGCATTTTGAAAGAAAAAGATGTATATGCATGTGCATACACACATACATATATACGTATGTAGACATACCTGGGGATTTCTGGTAATCTTATTTGTTACCATAGAATTTGATCTATAGTAAAATAAATGAATATGACAGCATTGATCTTTAAAATACTTCTTGAAAGAAGCAGATATTCTGTAAGGAAGTGAAAACGTGAGAGTGAAATTACGTATAAGTTAAATATTCAGAAATAAGACAGAATCATTATTTTATGCCTGACAACATGAAGTGGCAAAAAGACTCTCTGGATCTAGAGTCATGAGCTGTGTTCAACTCTTTCTCCATCCACAGATTAGCAGTGTGAATGGGGGCTAGTCATCTGACTTCCTTGAGTTTCAGTTTCCTCACCAGATGACAACATGTAATCCACCATCCCACAGAGTTGCTATGGCTGAGAATGAAATGAGACAATGTCTATGTAGGAGCATGGTAAATGGTGATAGGATGGTGACCATCATCCTCCTCTGAGATGCTGACTTAAAATACCGCAGGGAGCTGGAGAGTGGGGACAGATCTGGCTGCCTTTGCAGCAAGTTTCCCACTTTTTTCCTTCAAAACCCTGGGACTATACTGTAACAATTAACCAGTTCTGGAACACAGGTAAGATGATGGCAATATGGTCAGTGAATAAAAGACTTGGCTAAGTGAAGTCAGGTCACCAACTTCTACCCATATTTTTCTCCAAATTGGCCCATCACCTTGTTTTCACAAATCAGCTAGGAAGAGTCAGTAGAAATGTTAGCTTTTCTTTTTTTTGTTTGTTTTTTCTTTGTTTGTTTGTTTGTCTGAGACACAGTCTTGCTCTATTGCCCAGGCTGGAGTGCAGTGGCATGATCTCAGCTCACTGCAGCCTCCCCCTCCTGGGTTCAAGCGATTCTCCTATCTCAGCCTCCCGAGTAGCTGGGATTACAGACACATGCCACCATGCCCAGCTAATTTTTTTGTATTTTTAGTAGAGACAGCATTTCACCATGTTGGCCAGGCTGGTCTCAAACTCATGACCTCAGGTGATCACCCGCCTTGGCCTCCCAAAGTGCTGGGATTATAGGCATGAGCCACCGCACCCAGCCATAAGTTAGCTTTTCTTGAGTGCTTTCTGTTTGCCAAGCATTTTACATACACAATTTCATTTCTTTAATAATAGTCACAATAAGATAGGTATTCTTTTTATTTCACAGATGAGGAAACTGAGGCTTAGAGAAGCCTGGTCAAGATCACTAGGTAGTGAACAGAGGTGTCATTATTCAAACCTGGAACTGACCAAACAGCTGTACTTTTCTCCTTCTACAACATTGTCTGCCTGAATACCCAGCAGCTGACATAAAGGCAAATCTTAATTTTACACAGAAACAGAAGACTGTGACAACATGGCCAATTGAAATCACAGATGCATATTGGTCAGTACTTTCACTCTTTTCTTTCACCCTTAATTAATAACAAATAATAAATTTGATGGATTGATTCTCATTTTCCATCTTCTGATATTCAAAATCCCCCTTGAATTTTGGTGGAAGATTTCCACTGCCTACTAATGTCCTGGCAGAGACCTCGAAGAAGCGCCATGTCCTCTGGCTGAATGGGGATGGGCTGTAGAGCTGGAGAGGCCTAAGGAATCACACAGACCAATCAACTCCTTTTACAAGGAAGAGGCTTGGAGGCCTTCTGAGGCAGGAGCATCTACTTAAGATTACTTAATTAAGTAGAGCCGTAGCTCAAAGCGGAATACAAATATCCTTCTTTGGGTCAAACACCTGAAGCTGGCAATGATGACTTGCAATGAAACAGGCTTACTCAAAAACTTAAAAGGAGAGTGTTAAGAATATTGGTAAGGGCTGCATTAGGTCATAAATCTCAAAAATAAAATTCTTCTGCCTGGCCAGGCATGGTGGCTCAAGCTTGTAATCCCAGCATTTTGGCATTTTGGGAGGCTGAGGCAGGTGGATCACTTGAGGTCAGTAGTTCAAGACTAGCCTGGCCAAACTGGTGAAACCCCATCTTTACTAAAAATACAAAAATTAGCCAGGCATGGTAGCACATGCCTGTAATCCCAGCTACTCGGGAGGCTGAGGCAGAAGAATAGCTTGAGCCTGAAAGGCGGAAGTTGCAGTGAGCCAAGATCACACCACTGTACCCCAGCCTGGGTGACAAAGCGAGACTTCATCTCCAAAAAAAAAATTCCTCTGCCCCAAAATAAAAATATCAAATGCACAAGCATTGCAGGTCTAAAGATAATCTCAAGATTCACTCCCCACCTTTATCCCCCGATTTGACAGAACACCAGCATGTGTAGGCACATGCTGCATGACAGAAATAATCAGTGAACAAGAGAGACAGGAGGAGAGAAGGAGAAAGGAAGTAGAAGGAGAAAGAAAGAGAAGGAGGAGGAGGAGGAGAAGAAGGAGAAGGAGGAGAATGAAGAAGAGGAGAAGAAGAAGGAGAAGGAGGAGGAGGAGGAGAGGAAAGAAGGCAATCAGGAGAGGAGAGAGAGGAAAGAGGAGGGAAGAGATAAAACTAATAGTCATATAAACAATGAAGTGCTTTGAAGAGAAGATACAGGCTTCTAGGAGACCATGTAACAGGCAGATTAAACTAGAGAACGAAGCAGTTTACTTTTTGGCTTTCTTCCCATCCCCAGATGAGTTCTCAAGGGTAGAACATTCTCTTACAATAATGTTTGTCACCACTGTGAATACCACACCCTAGAAACCAGAGACTTACTAAATCCTTGAGGTATTACCTCAAGGATAGACTCCTAGAATCCTTAGGGAAAACTTTGACAACTTTTCAGAGACACAGGCCACATCTCCAGAGCAACCCACAGCTCACTTTCACAGGGAATGCAGTTTCTAAAGTCCAGGAAAATGTTACTTACTGGCAACACATTACTCTGTTCTTTTAACACAAATACAGGGACATACGGTGGAATGTAAGCCCCAGGAGGCTGGAGTTTTTACTGTTTGTTCGAAGTTCTGTCCTTAGCACCTGGGATCTGCCTGGCACACAGTAGCTGCTAAAACACTACTTTGTACAGCGAATCACCTATCATGAAGAATTCCCCTATTCTGACCAGATCATGTCAGGAAACCTACAGTCAGGAATGAAAGCACTCACTATGTGCCCAGGAACCAAAAGAAAGCAGGGGGCATCCAATGGGACTTGGGCAATGGAGATGGACGTATAAAATAGCCACGTGAAAACTCCCCGGCAGCGCTTTCATCATTAACCCACACAGGCCAGGTCTTAAGCTCTGGCAAGTCAGGTCAGGCTGCCAGAGCCCTGCTGCCTGCGACTTCCCATGCTTATGGAAGGAAACCATGGGTAGGACCTGGAGGTTTGCAGGCAAGGATGAAGTAGCACCTGAGCTGAGGATGATGAGCCCAGAGGGGAAGTGCCCCTACAACGTTGCAGGCACTGGCTGGCACCAAGGATGCAGGAGCAGAAACACAATCTGGGTCTTGGGGAACTTCGTCTATGGCGGAGGGGGTGGGGGGGAAGATATTAAACAAAGAATCCAAGAATGACAGTTGTGAGCAGTGCCAAAGGGGGAAAGCACAGGATGCTATAGAGATGGGTGTTCCACGGAAGCACTAACCTTGTGTACTTGTAAAGGAGTGGTAGGGGAGGCCTGGGAGCCTGCATTTCTAGCACATTTCCAGATGATTCTGAAGCTTCCAGTCCAGGGACCACACTTTGAGGCCAGAACAAACGGAATTATATGCATGAAAGTAATTCTGGCTGGGGGTGAGGGGAGGAAGGATTTTTGGACGAATCAAAGCCTGAGCAGGGTTTTGAGGGATGAGTAGGAGTTTACTAGATAAGGCAAAAAAAAAAAAAAAAAAAAAAAAAAAGCTACTCCAGGTGTGGGACAAAGCATGAAAAAAGAAGCCAGAGGCAGTGTGGTGGGTCCGAGGAGACCTAGGTGGAAGGATGGGGCTGGCAAATCCCAGAGTAAGCCCAGCAAACAAGATGACCTGGCAGGAGGCTGCCACTGTCCCCAAGGGAAATAGTGCTAGTTATACCAACTCTTTTGAGCAAATGTCCATCCATGTGTATAGGTCAGAGCATTTCCCTAATCCTAGCCACAAGCCGAGAGAGGGGCAGGCTGCAGGCACGGCTGGGTCTCTCCCGCTCTATTTCTTTGGGATTCTGTGCAGTGTCATGCGGGGTAAGCTGCAGCTGCATACCATTTTTTTTTTTTTTCCTCTCCGAATAAAGCTCAGGTCTTTTTTTCTCTGAGTGGCTTAGCTGAGTCCCTTGGAACTGGTTTCCTATTGACTCGGGCTCTTGACTCTGCCAGCCTGGGAGAAATCAGGTCAGTTTAATCACTGCTGATGTCATAAAACCAGCTTACTTAATGGAAGCCTTAATAGAGGGTGGGGTAGGGAAGGGAGCTGAGATCACCCTGGAGGAGAACTCCAAGGGTGGGCGGCTAATGAGGGTTGGAGAAAGGTGGACCCATGGGCGGTGGCTGCCCACGGCCTTTGAAGTTTCATTTGCAGTGTTTTATGAGCCCATGCTGGAGTAAATTGTACCTGCAGGCTGCTGCACTTTGCCCTCCCCAGCAAAAGGAGGTGGAATTCACACTAGTAATGTCTGGCTGGAGGTGAGAGCTTGGGATCCAGAAAGCAAGGAAGCCATAGAGTTTAGCTGGCCCTGACCCTGCAGTGGGAGCTCAGTGTCCCCCTGCTCAGCCTCGCAGGGGTCTCTGTGGGGCTCCCTCTGTGGCCAAGCCACCTTCTCTGGGGGGTTCGCTCAGGCTTTGAAGTGCTTGAGGTCCTAAGATGAGGAGGAAAGAGGAGTGATCAGGGGATAAGTATTTCATATTTCAGATAATGGCACTGATTCTGTACAAACTCAGAATGGAGGTGCAGGTAATCTGTTGAGGAGTTGTTTGCTTTTGTGATTTCAAGCAGTTGTGTTCAAACACCTGTGCATAAACCACTGGCCTCAGAATGGAGGCGCCCAATAGACTTGTAGATTCCTGGTTCTGCAGGCCCGGGGTGGAGTCCACCCTTTGTTGACAGGCGCCCAGGTGAGGCTGACGACCCATCCGATTTTGAAAGCCCTCACCTAGACCCGTAAATGCAGAGGGACTCTGAGGAGGTGGTGGTCTCTGATGAGTAGGCATCCATGGCTTGCTATGCACGTGCCCCTGACAGCCAATAACATCACCCGGTGGGAGCTTGTTAGAAATGAAGAATGCCAGGCCTTCTGAAGCGGAACCTACATTCTTTTTTTTTTTTTTTTTTTTTTTTGAGACAGAGTCTCGCTCTGTCGCCCAGGCTGGAGTGCAGTGGCGCGATCTCTGCTCACTGCAAGCTCCGCCTCCCGGGTTCACGCCATTCTCCTGCCTCAGCCTCCCAAATAGCTGGGACTACAGGCGCCTGCCACCACACCTGGCTAATTTTTTTGTATTTTTAGTAGAGACGGGGTTTCACCATGTTAGCCAGGATGGTCTCAATCTCCTGACCTCGTGATCTGCCCGCCTCGGCCTCCCAAAGTGCTGGGATTACAGGTGTGAGCCACCGTGCCCAGCCTCGGAACCTACATTCTAATCAGCTTTGCAGGTGATTTGTATGCACATCACAGCCCGAGACCCACTGGTTTAGACTCCATGTCATTGAAACCGCTATTACCTGTTAGCTTCCTTGTTGGAGAAGGCCAAGTTGGCCTCCGTGGATGGTGGGTCTTTGGACTATTAATAGCTTTCTGATTCAGCAGTGGAGAGGTCTGGTTGCCAGGAACAAGGCTGCTGCGGGCATTGGCTTTTGTAGCTTGAAGTTGGATATTTGCCTGGATCGAAACACATTAACCAATCAGATACAGTGTATCTGTTTCCTGTTGCTGCTGTAACAAATGAATACATTACCACACATAGTAGATTAAAATAACACATTTATTATCTTACAGTTTCAGAGGTCAGAAGTCCAAAATGGATTTCACTGGGATAAAATCAAGGTGTTGGCAGCTCTCTCTCTCTGTAGGCTCTAGGGGAGAATTCATTTCCTTGCCTTTCCCAACTTCTAGAGGCTGTCTCCATTCCTGGGCTCGTGGCCCCTACTTCCATCTTCAAGGCCACCAGTGTAAGCATCCTCACACATTCTCTAACTGACTTTCCTCCCTACCTCTTTCCTTGATAAAGACCTTGAGATTTTGTTGGCCCCCCTTAGAGAACCCAAGATAATCTGCCCATCTCAAGATCTTTAATTTCATCACATCTGCAAAGACGCTTTTACCATGTAAGGGAACACCTTCACGGTTCTGGGGATTAGGATTTGGACCTTTTGGGGATGCCATTTTCTGCCTACCACAATCATATAAAACAGCCTAAATGAAGCCAATCAGCCATGTGCCTGGCACTTACGTAGCTAATAAATGTCAACCTGCCTGCTCTCAGGCCTGGCCCAATTCATGGATTCCAGAACTTTGGCCACAGTCCCCTTCTGCTACTGTAGCAGAGTTTTTGGTTCAGTATGTGTGAGGTGGGGCCTGAAGCTTTGCATTACTAACAAGTTGCCAGGTGATCCTGGTATCACTGGTTCCAGGATAATAGTTTGAGAACTACTGGCCTAGTGAACAGGGAGAGGGTTTCAAAACCAGGCAGACCAGGGTTTGAAATCTGCTCTACTGTTTGAGAAATTAAACACCTTGGGACTCATTTTCTCATTTGCAAAGGGTTCTCATAAAGTTTAAATGATTCAGAATGGAGCATCGTAGCTTGTACAGAATAGAAGTTTAATCACCAATTATTGAGCCATATGTTACAGATTTTTTTTCTCTTTATCGCAGTCATAAGATTTTCGTGTTATTGTATGACATAGGCCTTGCAGTGACACAGAGCTCCTGCTCTAGGTTGAATTGTACCGCCCCCCCACCACCTCTAAAGTTCGTATGTTGAACTTCTAACCCCTGGTACCTCAGAATGTGAGGTTGCAACAGGATCGTTGCAAGTGTAATTAGTTAAAATAAAGTGTTTGGGGTAGGCTCTAATCCAACGTGACTGAGTCCTTAATAAAGGGGAAAATTTGGATGCAGAGACAAACAGAGGGAAGACAATGGAAACAAACAAAGACAACATCATCTGTAAACGAAGGAACTACCAGAGCCAGGAGAAGGGCCTGGAGCAGATCCTTTCCTAGCACTATCAGAGGGAGTATGGCCGGCCCACATCTTGATTTTTGGATTTTGGCCTCCAGAACTGTGAGATAATAAATTTCTTTTTTTTTTTTTTCTTTTTTGAGACAGAGTCTCGCTCTGTCACCCGGGCTGGAGTGCAATGGCGCAATCTTGGCTCACTGCAACCTCCGCCTCCCAGGTTCAAGCGATTCTCCGGCCTCAGCCTCCTGAGTAGCTGGGAATTACAGGCATGCACCACCACGCCCGGCTAATTTTTGTATTTTTAGTAGAGACGGGGTTTTACCATGTTGGCCAGGCTGGTCTCAAATTCCTGACCTCAGGTGATCTGCCTGCCTCGGCCTCCCAAAGTGCTGGGATTACAGGTGTGAGCCACAGCGCCCAGCTGAGATGATAAGTTCCTTTTGTGTAGGTCAGTCTGTTTGTGGTACTTTGTTACACCAGCCCTAGGAAATTTATATAGCCCTGATCAAAGGAATTTCTTTGTTTCTTCATTACTTACTAGAACACCCTAGATGATGAATCCAGTGAGGGTCAACAGCAGAGAGGAGCTGCCCAGCAGAGAGGAGCTGCCCACCACACCCTCCACCCCATCTTCCTGAGCCTTCTGTGGAAGCACTGGTTTGCTAGCCTCTGAAGGGCCATGGGCCCAGCACCAGGTGCCCTCAGCTCTGAGGCCAGGCCGTTACCTGCATTCAAGATGGACACTGGCTAGAGAAAGCATGTCCACAGGGCTGGTCAGTAGGAAAGGGGTTGTGTTTCTGGAAGGGTGCATCTAACCCAGGGGTTGGTGAGCATTTTCCTAACCCAGGGCCAGGTAGTAAACATTTTTGGCTTTGCCAGTCATGCAGTCTCTGTCACAGCCACTGCACTCTACTACTTTAGCACAAAAGCAGCCATAGGCAATACATTTAAAAAGACGAGCGTGACTGCGTTCCAATAAAATTTTATTTATAAAAAACAGACAGCAGGCTGGATTTGACCTGTGTGTTGTAGTTTGCTAACCTTGCTGAGTAACATCCCCTGACCCTCACTGGTGGGGCCTGTGTTTTTGCTTTCACATTTATTTCACTTGGCATTCAGGGTAGCCACCATACACCCCATGCAAATGACAATCCATATTGGTCCAGACTTAGTTCCAGATGAAACTCATTACCAGATAGTTCCCAGGCTCAGGGATATCAAATGGGATCCAGCAGACAGCCACTTCCCACTGATAAGCAAGGATTCCAGGTCTGAAGGGCAAATGACGAAAGGGAACCTTCAGTCTGCAGAGAAAAGTCAGAATCCTTGGCTCCCAATCAGCAGGTCTTGCAGCATCTCAGCCCTCACACAAATCCCTGGGTCTCCATGATTGGGTGAGTCACTAATGGGTTAACAGCTGAGCTCCATCCTGAAGTTTGGCTCCAGTGCACCTTTAGAATAACAACCTGGGTCTGGATTAACATTCAAGAAAACAACCCCTCAGGAAAGTGTTCTGTAATAAAAGGATCCTATTTCCTCTCTGCCAGCTCCCACCTTTTTCTTTCAAGTCAAGTCTGAAGCAAGCTCAGAAACCTGTCAAGCTATGAATGATGAGTCAGACATTTAACCAAACAAATTTGCTCTCCTGGTGCCACTTGACACCTGCATGAGCCTGCAGTGGTGAAGGTGGGGTTTGTGAAGAGGCAGCAGCCTCCATGGATGAGGTCTTGCACAAACGCTCATCTACATTAAGGAAGTAGCGTGGCCAGCCACAGCTTCAGCCCAGGTCTGCGCACCGTGTTCTTTAAATCTTTGACCTGAACTATGTCATTGCTGAAATTCCTTAAAGCAACTACTTACATCTATAAAATGTTCATTGCCACCAGCCAGATGCTTAGACAAAGGGAAGCCCTGGTCCTTGTGTCTTGAGAGGTCTGAGACACTTGAGGCCTAACGGAAGATTTACTCTACTTCTCCCACGCCTCTTGCCAGCTAGGAGTTGTCCTCAAATATTAAAGCTGGGAGTAAAGGGAAGGGGTTCTTTTACTGTATTATATTACACCATATTACATCAAATCCTCATCTCGACTCCATGAGGTAGGGATTATTCTTTCAATTTTACAGATGAGGAAACTGAGGCTCAGAAAGATGACGATTCTCTAATGACACAAAGCTAGTCTATCAATCTGTTCTCACACTGTTATAAAGATATACCTGAGACTGAGTAATTTATGGAGAAAAGAGATTTAGTTGACTCACAGTTCTGCGGGCTAGACAGGAGGCATGGCTGGGGAGACCTCAGGAAACTTACAATCATGGTGGAAGGCAAAGGGGAAGTAGGTACAATCTTCACACAGTAAGGAAGGAGAGAGAGAGAGAGAGAGACAGCAAAGCAGGGAAGTGCTACACACTTTCAAACAACCAGATCTCATGAGAACTCTGTCACAAGAACAGCAAGGAGAATGTTCACCCCCATGATTCAATCACCTTCCACCAGGTCCTTCTCTCAACATTGGGGATTACAATTCAACGTGAGATTTAGGTGGGGACACAGAGCCAAACCATATCAGCTAGAAAGTAGCAGAGACGGGGTAGAATCCACTCCCCTGTCTCCCAGGGCACTGCTGCCTCTGCTCTGCCAGCTGGAGAGTCCTTCTACTCTGATCCGGATCACTCCATGAGGAGCTAGAAGAGAAGGTGGAGACGGTATGAATATTGGGGTATAACCTGGAGTAGCTCCAGAGTAATTGTAATTTGATTCAAATCAAATCCAGATACTGATACTGCCTTCCCAGAAATATGGTCTACCAGACTGGGCCATGAGCAAAATGGAATCCTTATACCCACGTTAGGCAACCAGGTTGAATTTGTTGAGGTTGAATTTGTTGAGCTATGCATTGCATGGATTCACCTCATAGGCACTTCAGGCAAGTGAGGCTCCAAGTGCATACTTCCTATAATTTTATTAATACTCATGATTGCCCCTAGGGATTTATGCCCAGATGGAAATGGAGGGCAGCCTATTTACACTGAGTGAAATTCTGTCATATGGGAAAAAGAGGATAAAAGAATGAAGGCCTGGTGCAGTGGCTCACGCCTGTAATCCCAACACTTTGGAAGCCCGAGACGGGAGAATTGCTTGGGCCTAAGGAGTTCAAGATCAACCTGGGCAATGTAGTGAGGCCTTGTCTTCTTGAAAAATAAAAAAATTAGCCAGGCATGATGGCATGTGCACCTGTAGTCCCAGCTACTCAGGAAGCAGAGGTAGGAGGATAACCTGAGCGCAGGAGGTCAAGGCTGTGGTAAGCCAAGATAGCACAACTGCACTCCAGCCTGGGTGACAGACTGAGGCCCCTATCTCAAAAATAAATAAATAAATAAAAAATAAAAGACTGGAAACCTTCCAGTACATACTAGGAGCTTATAAAAGTTCATATTCTTTGACTTGAAGTTGTAGATTGCTTTCAAACTGGCCCTGCATCTCTGCCCCTCCCTGTGTTAGGATGTCATTTATATAGCTCCTCTTATCAAAGGATGGAGTCTAGTTCCCCACTCCTTGAATCTGGGCTGGCCTTGTGACTGACTTAGACAATAGAATGCACCAGAAATGAGGATGTGCCAATTTTAAGCCTTGCACACTTCTGCTTGCTCTCTTGGAACCCTGTCCAACTCTAATGTGACAAGCCAGTGCCAGCCTGCTGAAGGATGAGACCACATGAAGCAGAGACAAGCTGTCCTAGCTGCCTCCAGCTTAAACAAGCTAGCCCCTGCCCCATCTAGCCCCTAACTACAAATGCATGGTTCAGCCCTGTCTAGATTGTAAGAACCATCTAGATGAAGCCAACCTAAATTACTGACCCCAGAACTGTGAGGTAAACAATTGTGGTTATTTTAAGTCAGTAAGTTTTGGCCTAGTTTGTTTTGCAAAAGCTGTGTGATGTACTCAGTAACTTTTTAGATAGAAACCCATTCTAGTGATATAGTCAGAAGTTCAAGCAGAATGTGTATATATTTAAAACTCATCTCAGTGTTGATTATGAGCAAATACAATTTCTGTAAAAACCTAAATAACTTATAATAAGGGATTGGCAAAATAAATCTTGTATCCGTATAATGCAATTGTGTAATGTAGCCAGTTAAATGCACAGAAATGGAGTAATTTATACTGCCACACATTGCATACACTGCAGAGGACTCTAAGTATAAAAAGAAATGGGGGAGGTCTCAATAGCCTGCAGTGATCTCCAGGTTGCTGGGTTTTAAAAAAAAGGTTTATAAAGTTTGCATAGCTGAGTTAGAGAGAGAGAAGAATGAATAGCTGGAACACAGAGGATTTTTAGGGCAGTGAAACTATTCTGTACGATACTATAGTGGTAGATACATGTAATTTTACCTTTGTCCAGACCCATAGAATGTACAACACCAAGAGTGAACCCTAACGTAAACTATAGATTTTGGATGATAATGATGTGTCAATGTTGGTTCATCCATTGTAGCAAATGGTCCACTCTGGTAGGGGATGTTCATCCTAAGAGATATGCATGTGTGGGGGTAGAGGGCATATGGGAACTCTCTCGTAAACCTAAAACTGCTCTAAAAAATAAAGTCTATTTTTAAAAAAAGTTTGCATAACTTATCTGGAAAAGGGGAATATAGCAAATATATATTTGCTTATGTTTTAAAATGGAAGGGAAGAACAAAACTATTTTTAAATGGAAGGGGAAAGAATAGGGTAAAAAAAATACAGAAATGGAAGCTAGACTTTTCTAAATGCACCGTGGTTTATAGATTTGAGTTAGGGACTATGTAAATATTTTATGCAATTTTGAAATTAAAATGTTTTAAATTCCTAAAGATAAAAACCAAAATGAAATAGAAGAATTTGACACTGTATGGAATTGGTGGCATAACCACATAGGAGCTATTTCTTTTTTTTTTTTTTTTGAGATGAATCTCACTTTGCTGCCCAGGCTGAAGTGCAGTGGTGCGATCTCGACTCACTGCAACCTCTGCCTCCTGTGTTCAAGCGATTCTCCTGCCTCAGCCTCCAGAGTAGCTAGAACCACAGGCATGTGCCACCACACCTGGCTAATTTTTGTATTTTTTGTAGAAACGGGGTTTCACCATGTTGGCCAGGCTAGTCTAGAACTCCTGACCTCAAGTGATGCACCCGCCTCAGCCTCCCAAAGTGCTGGGATTACAGGTATGAGCCACTGAGCCTGGCCAAGAGCTATTTCAAATGACTTTAAAATACAGTACATGTGCTAGGCTGTTCTTGCATTACTATAAAGAAATACCTGAGACTGGATAATTTATTTTAAAAAAAAAGAGGTTTAATCTGCTCATGATTCTGCAAACTGTACAGTCATGGCACTGGCATCTGCTCGGCTTCTGGGGAGGCAGCAGGGAATTTTTTTTTTTGAGACTGAGTCTCTCTCTGTAGCCCAGGCTGGAGTGCAGTGGCGCCATGTCGGCTCACTGCAAGCTCCACCTCCTGGGTTCCCGCCATTTTCCTGCCTCAGCCTCCCAAGTAGCTGGGACTATAGGAGCCCACCACCGCGCCCGGCTAATTTTTTTTGTATTTTGTAGTAGAGACGGGGTTTCACCGTGTTAGCCAGGATGGTCTCGATCTCCTGACCTCGTGATCCACCCGCCTCGGCCTCCCAAAGTGCTGGGATTACAGGCGTAAGCCACCGCGCCCGGCGGCATCAGGGAACTTTTACTCATGGCAGAAGGCAAAGCAGGGGCAGGCACATCACGTGGGAAAGCAGAAGCAAGAGAGAGAGTGGGAGGCGCCACACGCTTTTCAACAACAGATCTCACAAGAGCTCACTCACTATTGTGAGGACAGCACCAAGAAGAAGGTGCTACACCATTCATGAGAAACCCACCCCCACGATCCAGTCACCTCCCACCAGACCCCACCTCCAATAATGGGGATTGCAATTCAGTATGATATTTGGGCAGGGAGAAATATACAAACTTTATCAGCAGGTTACTAGACACCCAAGCAAGATATAAACTATGACCAGAAAAAAAAAAAAGAGAGAAAGAGCTGCAAAACATCTCAAATTGTTTATTAGTCATCATATTGTTGATGGTAATGCTGGTGTAGGTATTTTGAGACTGGGTGTGTGTGTGTGTGTGTGTGTGTGTGTGTGTGTGTGTGTTATGGAATACAGCCTCAGAATAAGTTTCTTGGTATTGTTAAGATTTAGGACTTTTGGCCTAGAAAGAATGAGATACAGATGTAAAATCAATGAGGTTAGGTTAAACACTGTAGTCTTGGATTGAATTGCAAGTATCAGTATGAACTTCTGATGTATTTTTATCTTTAATTTTTAAAAAGTTTTTCTTAGTGCTATTGAAAAGACCTAAAAATTAGTGACTAATCCAACAGCATTGAACACCCTTAGTGCCCACATTGTTGCCTCTAAATACTGTTTTGTACTAAAAGGACTCCTTGAAGAAATGGCTGACTCTAGGTCTAAGGCAAGAAATGTCAAATAAGTCTGAATATCTTATTAGAAAAACAAGGAAGCTACCAGATTCCAAGAGTCATGTCAATGGACCCAGAAGCCAATCTGAACGGGATCCCACTTGTTTTCCCATCTTTTTTAAAAGATGGGAAAATCTGAGCATTAATAAGCATTTTTTACTGCATTAATAAGCATTAATTTTACTGCAATGAACTAGATTCATGAGTTCATAAAAATAATGACTTTTGAAAATTTATTATTCCTGTTGACAAATACTAGGAAACCAGCTCATTTAAAAATAATTGGTAAATAAAGATACAGAATCAAGCATTTATCTTGCATTTTCCTTTTCTTCATTTTACCATGTAAGATAACATAGTCACAGGTTCTGAGGATGAGGGCATGGACATCTCGGAGGAGGGCATTTGTCAGCTTCTGCAGGTAGATCATTCCATAATCTACTCTGTGCTCATGTGTCGCAGGGCGCTGTATGTTCCTGGGTGATATTTTCTAGATACAGTAGCTAAAACCTCTGAAACAAGGTCTTAACCAAATGGGAAAAGTGAATAGTGGGAAAAGTACACTTTGTAGAAGGGCAGAAGACAGAAGATTAGCCAGCAAGCATCCCAGAGAAGTGTGGAGTCCTGGGAGGTCCCATCCAGTGTACAGAGTCGGTGCTTCCTGGGAAGCAGTGAGAATAAGGCCGTGGATAGGCACAGAATTCACAAGAGAAGGCCACCTTCTGTCAGGCGCTCGGTAGCCCTGCCCAGGTCAACTGAGGCTGAGCACTTTGTCAAACAAACAAACAGAAGCAGCCCTTCTGTAACTGCAAGTATCACAACATAAAGCGCTTTTGGAGTGAGGAGCGTAAAGCAGAAGCAAGGGTCTTCTCACTGACGGGAACATGACGGGAGACTCTTAGTGCTTGAGGCTTGGAAAGTGGGTGTCTGGGAGCCAGGAATTCCTCTGAAATAATCATACCACTGTGATGGCCCAACTGAAAGACATGTAGCAATTACCCAAATGTTAAAGTATTTGGCTGTTTGGGGAGCCCAAGCAATTGTTTGGCTCTATCCCACGTGAGTGGTAGCACTTGTGCCTCTACATCTTCTGGGGGTTCTTGGGTCAGGAGGGGGCCCTCTGGATCTTCTCTTCTTCCCCATCACTTCCATCTTGAAGCACACGCTCCCTGGATTAGTGCGGTGAATGGGTCGCCTTACTATTCCACTCGGACTGCACCCACCAGCAGCACGCAGCTGCTTTCCATTGATTTCCTTCAAAACACCCCCTACACAGGCTCAAGTGAGGTTCTGAAAAGAATTACAGAGGCCCAAAGTCTAAACATTTCCAATCAGACGGTGGACTTTCCTTTTGCCACGTTCCCAGTGACCCCCCTGCCACGCCTTTGACACCTCCATCTTGACTGAGACCTTCTTATTCTTTGTTTTCTGCCTGCTTATCCTTGGTTTCTTTTCATCCCAAATTCAGTTCAGTTTTTAATGCAGATGAATTCATCTCCATCTCCCCTAGATGGTTCTTGACACACCACTGCACAACTGAAGATTCATTACTGTGCCCTGCCAAGCCCTGGACAGGCCAGGCCAGGTGCTATCCTTTTAGTGGCAACAGAGAACCAGAAATAGGCTTGAAAATGTAACCTCTCTTTTCTCTCTCCCTCTAGTACTGCAAGAGAAAGGAAGCACTCGAAAGGTAGATTCTTTGTTTGAGTTTATGCCACATCCCTTAAAGCAGTTTGGGTTTCAGATAACAGTTCTCCTCCTCATATTACATAGCCAACAAGGTAGAGAAAGCATCAATTTATGGACCAAAATACTCAGTTTCCATTCCCAGGGTTGCCAAATGACCTTGGATAAGTCACTTTACTTCCCTGAGACTCGGTTTCCCTGTTGGTAAAGGGCCACAGTTATGTCTCACAGAGCTGTTGTGAGGCGTGAGAAATCACACAGAAATCTTTCAGAATGGTAAAAGACTATATAAATAGGTGATTGTTAGTCATCATTAGCTAGAAAACTACTATTTATGCAATCGATGATCAATCAATGGGGTAAGCTGTTGGTTGGTTAATGGGTTTTCCCACACTGTGCCTCAGAGAGCTGAGTGACAAGGAAAACCCAAATAAGTTGACTCAATGGCCAGTTCCACTGGCCTGAGAGTCAGGCTGTCCTGCTGCCAGGGGCAGACAGGCCGCACACCTAAATGCAGAGGATAATGGGGCAACTAGGGGTGATGCTGAGAGGAAACTGGCATTTTTCACAGTCTTAGGAAAAAAGAAGAGAGGGACAATGTCACCAGTGGATCCATGTGGGGGCTGACATCATGGGGGAACTGGCAAGGCCTTCTGTATGTGAGGCCTCTCACTCCTTCGTGTTAAAGCCAAACACAGAGAAGTGAAATACAAGGTGACTTTCCCTTTTGGTTTGGGGTGACTTTCCATTAACTGCTAAAAGTTATGTTATTGTCTATAACTTAGCAACAACCATTTCCAAGATCTCCTGATTTCTTTATCATTATTATTTCAGTCTGTTTCTTTGGATATCTTTGCTGTAATCAGTGAGTTTTAAACTAAAGCAAGTTCTTAGTAATGCAAGTCCCTGAGATACGTCTCTGAATAAAGGACTGCAAGACCCACTACGTTTAGGAAATAGACCATTTTCATTAAAGAACCACAACACACATTTGCATTTTAGAGCTCCCAAGAAATACTGAAGAGACCTGTTTAACTTTATTTAACTATGATTTTCCATGCTGAATCCACTCCTACAACTCTCTTTATTTTTGTTAAAGAACATTTGTTAACAACCAATAGAAATAGTTCCCAAGCAAGAATATTTGAGGAAAGTCGCTTTGCTGGACATTTCTATCTACCAGCAGGTTCATCTTCACCTTAATTCACACTTCCCTGTGCCCAGAAAGGCTGACTTCTATGGACTGCATCATGAGTTACTTGCCCTCTGGCTTCTGTGTCCAGCCAATAGAGAGTGGGGTCAGGGAATTGATTTCCCTAGCTCCTTCCTTTCAAGGTGAATTTCTGTTTCTACCCCAAGACCACAGTGCCCTCTGTGTGCAGTTACTTTCTCTAGGATCCAGTAACCAATCCTTCTTCTTGCCCCTTCAGGCCAGGGTGGTACCTGTGCCCTGGTGCTGCTAACCCCAGGTTCCTGCTCTGTCCATGGTTGGTTTCCCTTAACTCTGCCCATTCCCATAAAAGTATAATTTACATACCTTTTTTAATCACTTTTTTTTTAATGCATGCACCTTTAGTCCCAACTACATGGGAGGTCAAGGCAAAAGGACTGCTTAAACCCAAGAAATCTGGGCTGTAGTGTACTATGCTGATCAGGTGTCCACACTAATGTTCCAATGGTCGGCGTCAATATAACAACCTCCTGGGAACAGGGGACCACCAACCACACTGCCTAAAGATGGATAAACCTGCCCAGATTGGAAATGGAGCAAGTCAAAACTCCCGTGCTGATCAATGGTGGGACTGTCCCTGTGGAGAGCTACTATACTCCTCAGCAGCATCCCAGTCTCTAAAAACAAAAATATATATATATATATATTTTTTAAAATACTCTTCTTAATTACTCCATTAGCATACACTCCCATTTTCCCACCAGGATCCTAACACACTGCTTTAGTCAGTGTCCATGAGGGGATAGCAAAAAAGTCTAACCTGGTAACATAAGGGAAATAGTTTTAAAATCTAGTTTATTACCACTTGCAGTTCGAATCCTGTAAGATATGCAAAACAGGGCATAGACTGTCTGTGTC
The DNA here is from genome assembly GCF_000001405.40 of Homo sapiens. Taxonomy (NCBI): domain Eukaryota; kingdom Metazoa; phylum Chordata; class Mammalia; order Primates; family Hominidae; genus Homo; species Homo sapiens. Next base: position 38,266,901 of record NC_000004.12, on the reverse strand, counting down.
ATATTTAGATCCCTGCAATGGCTCAGCCTGATGTCACTGGGCCATTAGTCCCCGTCCTGACTCATCATGCATTATGATCTCACAGCCTTGAAAAGGGCTTTGACAAGGCCAGAGCCACAAGAGCCCAGCCATATCCTCAGCTGTTGACAAAGACTTCCAGTTCCTTTTAGGATATTCAGAATTCTAAGCTGGAACACTGGTCGGGAAAAACTTCGTTTTTGAAAAAGCAGTTTTGATGCCAGATGCCAAATGCCAATCTAATGAAAGGCATCTGCAGTGGGTTCTCCTTTACAAATGGGAAACACTCTCATGGGCTTTCTTGCCAGGATTTTTGAAGACTGTGAAAAAGCAATTTCAATAGACAGGTCCCATGTCCTTGGTCAGTTTTGAAACATGTACTGAATGGCTACTGATGCAAGTGCTAGGGCCTGGGGACTGGTGAGAGGAGGAATGGAAATGAATGAAAATGTGGTCCCTTCCCTTGAGGAATTGACAATATCATTAAAAGAAAATATATAATCTCAATATTTGACCCCAACCATATACAGCACAAAATAGTCATTATAAATAGTTTGGATATCTAATACAAATTTAAAAGGTAAAAGTCTTTATATGTAGTTCAGTGTTGAGAACAGCTTTTGTATGTCTGTCCGCTCATGCTTGTGTCTGTGTGTCTATCTATGTGCATGCCAAAAAAATCTCCATTTTTTTTTTGTTTCGTTTTGTTTTGAGATATAGTCTCACTCACTCTGTCATCCAGGCTGCAGTGCAGTGGCGCAATCTCAGCCTACTGCAACTTCGGCCTCCCAGGTTCAAGCAATTCTTCTGCCTCATCCTCCTGAGTATCTGGGATTACAGGCACCTGCCACCACACATGGCTAATTTTTGTATTTTTAGTAGAGATGGAGTTTTACCATGTTGACCAGGCTGGTCTCAAACCCCTGACCTCAAGTGATCCACCCGCCTCCGCCTCCCAAAGTGCTGGGATTACAGGTGTAAGCCACTGTGCCCAGCCTCAAAGAAATGGAGTTTAGAAACAGCATGGTAAAAGGAAAAGATTATTGTCTACGTTTGCAGTTAATTAATAGCTACATGAGCAGAGGGTAAATTACTTAATCTTTCTAAAATTTCCTCACCTGAAAAGATAGGCATAAATGAAAGATACCAAGTAAGTAGAAAACAAGCACCATTCTCATGAAAATTCATAAAATAAGATAAACAAAGGAAACTAGACCAAGCTGGCACTTAGGAAGAACTCATAAATGTCAATTCTCCTCCCTTCCTTCAGACAAAAAGGGGTTCTGAAATCTATTTCTAGTTTGTTTGTAAAGGCTTTGTAGAGAAGGTGACTTTTAAAGGATATGATGAATAAAAGGGAAAGGCCAACAGAAATCATGCCCCTTTCAGGTCCTGTGCCAGGGAGTAGGGATCAGAGAATTGGAAAAAAAGAAAAATCAGTGTCCATATAAAGGTCATGCAATTCATTCTGTTGCCTCTAGAGAGAATTAAACTTAAGCCAGTCTAGAAAAATACTTTCTTTTCTAACAGAATTTCTAGAAAAAATAGTTCAACAACTTGCATAGATAATGTCTCCCAGGGCCACTCCAATTTTGTATCCAAACTTTTACATTCAAGAACTTCTCTCTACTTTTTAATAGCCTCTCATCCGCAATTTCATCTCCACTGCCCGACCCCGATCCTATGCTCCCTGAGATAGCATAAATTTACCCAAAATTCATCTGCTGGCACTCCCTATTTTTTTTAGGCTATCATTTGTACTCCCTTTTTCCAGTCTTCAGGAAAGTGTTATGTAGGTACCAGCCTGACATGGGAAGGAGACTGGAAATAAATTTAACTTAGGTCCTGAGGTGCCTTAATCCCAGGTAAACTTTAAAAATCACCTGGAGAAGAACTGACACTTTGTTTTGAAGAGTTGGAAAGCTTCTGAAGCCAATTCACACACCACCGCCACCACCACCACCACCACCACCACCACCTTCTTCTTCTTCTTCTTTTTCTTCTTCTTCTTCTCCTTTTCTTGACAGAGTCTTGCTCTGTCACCCAGGCTGGAGTGCAGTGGCGCGATCTCAGCTCACTGCAACCTCCATCTCCCAGGTTCAAGCAATTCTCCTGCCTCAGCCTCCCGAGCAGCTGGGACTACAGGAGAGTGCCACCACACCCAGGTAATTTTTTTGTATTTTTAGTAGAGACGGGGTTTCACCATATTGGCCAGGCTGGTCTCAAACTCCTGACCTCATGATCCACCCGCCTTAGCCTCCCAAAGTGCTGGGATTACAGGCATGAGCCATTGTGCCCTGCCCAATTCACACATCTGTGAACATTTATGTGTGTGCGTGTGTGAGTATAGTTTCTTTGCAAACTCCTTGCTTCCTCAAGGACTGTACCCCTCTAGCTCTATAACAGCCCATGAATCTCACCTAGGTAGCCTCTGATAATTGCAAATGCTGTTAAATGCAGAGCCTCAAAATATCATTTAAAAAGAGGTGACAATTAATTTCCAAACCCAAACACAGTTTATTTTGGAATAAAAGACAGTGCCACTCCGTAAACTGGCAGAAAACTAAGGAAGAGCTGGTGGAGAAGGACTTCCTTGTTTGTTTCTGGGGTTGTGCCCTGTGGACTGTTGTAATTAGGGGACTGGGTGGGGCCCTATGGGCTGAAAATGATAGGAAAGGTAGTGCCCTAATTAGTGGATTTTATTGGGATGATACTAGAGGTGTGGTTATTACTGTCTGTTGAAGTTCATCAACTAGACCTCATAAAGGGCAGGCTAGGGCTCTAAAGGGAAATGGGTATTTAGCAAATTGTCAGAAGCCTTTTAGTGGATGCCACTCAAAAACCAGGTACAGGCTGGGCACCGTGGCTCACGCCTATAATCCCAGCACTTTGGGAGGCTGAGGTGGGTGGATCATGAGGTCAGGAGTTTGAGACCAGCCTGGCCAATACGATGAAACCCGTCTCTACTAAAAATACAAAAATTACCCAGGCATGGTGGCGCACACCTGTAGTCCCAGCGACTCGGGAGGCTGAGCCAGGAGAATTGCTTGAACCTGGGAGGCAGAGGTTGCAGTAAGCCAAGATTGTGCCACTGTGCTCCAGCCTGGGTGACAGAGCGAGACTCCATCTAAAACAAAAACAAAAACAAAAAACAGTTACAAAGTAGTAATCTTCAGGACAGAAATGTGCTTGGTGTTTTTCTCAATGAAACTGTGTTTGGCAAGATGACACCATTGAATGCATGGTCCTTTTTGGTCTGTCCAATGAGCACTGAGCACCAGGGTACAACTGTGTGATCCTGAGTAATTAATTGCCAGTTGAATGGTCTGCTCTGCGTGGCTGTAAAATGTGACACTTGGTATAACTGGGAAGTGTGGGGTGCTCTGAAATCACAGGACAAGGACAACTGCAGGAATTATAAAGTCATGGGAAGCTTCCCTGAGAAGGTGACATCTCAGCCAAGAGCCAAGGTGGTGGCAATCTCTCTGCACCGAAAGATAAAGATCAAAATCCCACCTCCAGCATGGTTCACTGCATTAGCACTTCTCAAACTTTCATGAGTATCCAAATCACCTGGGGATCCTGTTTAAATGTAGATTGTGATTCAGCAGGTCTTGGGGTCCTGATGATTCTACATTTCTAAAAAGCTTCTGGTCTAAGGATTACTCTTTGAGTAGCAAGATGATGACATTCTGAAGTACTCAGCTGCTTCTATGCCACAGTTTGCCAGTGTGTAAAATTGGCTCCCAAGGATTGGAGAAACATGAATATGAATTCACCTGTAGCATCTTTTGACCTAATCACACTACTGACCAAATAATTGCTGATTAATTTATATATTTTGTGAGGAGCGTGGGGAGGAGGGAGGATCCCTGGAAGACTTACCAAACTGCTTTTCCCTAAATCTTAGGTTTTTCTTTACCAATTAAATATTTTTTTAAAACTCCTTTTCCTACTTTAGTTTTTGTACTATTATTAGTCAGATAACAGCTCCTAAAGCTGAATATATTATACAAAAGAACTGCATTATTTAAAATAATAGGCCAGGCACGGTGGCTCACGCCTGTAATCCCAGCACTTTGGGAGGCTGAGGCGGGCGGATCGCAAGGTCAGGAGATCGAGACCATCCTGGCTAACACAATGAAACTCCGTCTCTACTAAAAATACAAAAAAATTAGCCGGGCGTAGTGGCGGGTGCCTGTAGTCCCAGCGACTCGGGAGGCTGAGGCAGGAGAATGGCGTGAACCCGGGAGGCGGAGCTTGCAGTGAGCTCAGATCGTGCCACAGCACTACAGCCTGGGCGACTGAGCGAGACTCCGTCTCAAAACAAAAATAAAATAAAATAAAATAATAAAGTTCTTCAGCTAAAATTCAAAAGCTGTAGGTATCTTGTAGTTTTGGTATTTAACTGATTCCCTAATACATGCAATAATCTATGAACCAAGTCAGGGCCTGTGTATACTGATTTTATAACTAAGAAAACGTACTGCCCTAATTACTGGATTTTATTGGGATGAGTACCTTTCTGGTTAAACAGCATAACATTAATCTCAAAATTGCAATATTTATATTTGCAATCAAACAAATGTTAAAACCAGAGGCTTCGTGAATAACCATTAAATTCACCGATTGTACCATACCTTGACATCTTGGTTTTCCACAGCACCTCATCAAGAGACTAAGAGCGAGGGTATGGGGGAGTTTTTGAGAAAGCACCCACGATTCAGGGAAACAAAAATACGAGCTGGGTTCATCTCACATGTGTTAACAAAACATAAGCTAAATTCAGGCCAAGTAGACTTAGTTATTTTTAAAAGGAAATTATATATTCTGTTGATTGGCTCATCAGAACTATTCTCTTTGAGAAGACCTTGTTAATATCATTCTTTTCTTACCTTTAGGACATTTGGGATCTTTTTGAAAACTCCCTGTTCCTAACTTCTGCTGATTGCTTCTTTGTCTAATTCACACTCAGAATAATTTCTTAAGAAATTAGTGGTATGAGAGTAAGGACATGTTTATGCTCTACAGTGAGAAGATACCATCCCTCCTTATTTACCGAGCTTCTACTATGTGCTAGGAGCCCTGAATGCCCTAAGCAAACAGTGATGAGTAAAACAGATGTGTGCTCTGCCTTCTTGGACTTTTTGGTCTAGCTGGGGAAGCAGAAACTACGTAAGCAAACAAACAAATACATACATCAACAGGGTTCAGTGCTCGAGAACAACACGATGGGGGAGAGGGGTTGGATTCATCAGGATGGGCAGGATGGATCTGGCTCAGGAGGTAGCACTTAAACCCAAACTGAAGAATGAAAGGAAGCCACTGTGCAATGGCAGAGAACAGTGTTTTCAGCTAAGGGAACAGCATGTGCAAAGGCCTGGAGTGTTAAAGAAACGGAAATGAGTTAATATCTGCTTCTTAATGTCCAAAACTAGACCCTGGAGGGCTTAATGTTCCCTCTGCAGGAAAACAGTAAAACTATAGAATGTTCTGTGGTATAGAGGTTAAGAGCATAGACTCTGAAGACCCACTTATTCCTGGCTGTGCCATGCACTACCTGTGTGCCCTTGTGCAAATCCTTAAGCCTCTCCTTGCCTCAGTTTCCTCATCTGTAAAACAGAGAATAATAACCATCTCTACCTCATAGGGCTGTTGTGAAAATAAAGTGATGAGCAAGTTAATACTTGTTTGGCACATAATAAGCACTTTGTAAGTGTTAGCTCTTATTATGGATGAGTTATCAGGATCCGAGAGAAATGTGACAAGTGCTACTAAAACGGTGGTGAGAAAAAGTGCTGCAAAAGCACAGAGACAGGAAAAATAGAATTTCCATTGGGGGATATGGGTTTTAAAAGACTTGGTTGAGGTAGTTTTTGAACTGGATTTTGAAGGATGGAGAGAATTTCAGTGTCTAAAGGTGGTGAAAGCAAAACCAACTACCTCAGGGTCTTTTTTTCACTCCTCTTTTCCCTCATGTTCCACATCCAATTGATGATCAAGTCCTTTCTCTAATCACCCGCCTCTGCCTATTTTATTTATTTATTTATTTATTTATTTATTGAGACAGACTCTCACTCTGTCACCCAGGCTGGAGTGCAGTGGCACGATCTCAGCTAGCTGCAACCTCCACCTCCTAGGTTCAAGTGATTCTCCTGCCTCAGCCTCCCGAGTAGCTGGGATTACAGGTGTGTGCCACCATGCCCAGCTAATTTTTCATATTTTTCGTAGAAACGGGGTTTCACCATGTTGGCCAGGCTGGTCTCGAACTCTTGACCTCAGGTGATCTGCCTACCTCTGCCTCCCAAAGTGCTGGGATTACAGGTGTGAGCCACTGCCCCCAGCCCCACCCCTGCCTTTGCTCAAGCTGTTAATATGGTTTGTCTGGACCCTTGCAATCACAATGTCCCAGTCACTGGTCTCCTTTCATAGACTTCTGTGGTGCACTTACTACAACAGCACATGGACATGGTCTACTTATGTGCTTGTTTCCCTCAGGAGGCTGTGCCTGTTCCCTAGCTTTTAATAAATTCTTTCGAACCCAACTGCTATCTGCTATGGTTTCCCTCTGTATCCATCTGAGTCCAATTAGGAAAACAGAAGCCACTCTAGGTGTTTCCAGAAAGGGAATTTAACACAGGGAAATGCTTTGCAGGGGATGGAAGAGCTAAGAGGCCAACAGGGGGCCTTAGGCAATCCAAAGATTAGCATCTGCAGGAAGTACTGCCACCCCTAGGGCTGGGAGGAGTGGAGCCCAGAGGCTGGGGCTGTCTGACCAGGACTAGAACCACAGCCAGAGCCGCCTGGCAGGAAATGGGATGGTGGAGGGAGAGGCTCTTGGGCAGAGGAAATGAAGAAATGCAGCAGGAGATGCTGCCAAGGGCAGAGGGGATGAGAATACCCTGGCTTCTCCCCAGCTCCCTCCCCTCTAGGCTTCTGCCAGTGCATTACAATGGCCCATCCATCTGGAAGCCAGTTGGTAAGGGAGCCTGGGAAACGTGGTTCCTGTGACACAGGACAGAGCCAGGAGAGGTGGGGGACATGGCCGGAAGCAAACTGGTAAACTATGGGTGTCAGAGGCATGTGAACCAGGGCAACTCCGCCTTGAATAGGGTCTAGGTCAAATGAGGCTGAGACCTACTGGGCTGCATTCCCAGACAGCTCCGCATTCTAAGTCACAGAATGAGATGGGAGGTCGGCCCAAGATACAGGTCATAATGACCTTGCTGATAAAACAGTTTACAGTACAGAAGCCAGCCAAAGCCCACCAAAACCAAGAAGGCCATGAGAGTGACCTCTGGTGGTCCTCACTGCTACACCCCCATCAGCACCATGACAGTTTACAAACGCCATGGCAACGTCAGGAAGTTACTCTATATGGTCTAAAAAGGGGAGGCATGAATAATCCACCCCCTGTTTAGCATATCATCAAGAAATAACCATAAAAACGGGCAACCAGTAGCCCTTGGGGCTGCTCTGTCTATAGAGTAGCCATTCTTTTATTCTTTTACTTTCTTAATAAACTTGCTTTCACTTTACTCTATGGGCTCACTCTGAATTCTTTCTTGCACAAGATCCAAGAGGCCCCTCTTGGGGTCTGAATCGGGACCCCTTTCTGGTAACATGGGCAGCCCTCTGATTCTTCCCCATACTGTCACCAGCATTGTTTCTAAAATGTGGATCTGACCTTGTTGCTGCCCCAATTTCCCTAAATGTGATCAGAACAGCTTTTTGTTAACTCAAGGATAAAGACCAAACTCTGCAGAAATTTTAAAAATGGCAATCGAAGTACCATATCTCAGAGGCTGGTCAGAAAGGACCTCCCTGAGAACACCACCCCACAGCACCCAGGTACGACCTGATGCCCAGCGAGAGAAGGAATGACCTCGCTCACCTCTACGTGGGGGTGGAATTGAGGATGCTCGAGCACCTGAAGCTAGTCCTGTCAGGAATGGTCCCCAGGGTCACCATAACAAGAATAAAAGATAGTAAAGATACATGTGCATGCTCAGATCACCACTGATGCTCTTGAAATGCGACTGGAAGCATCGTCTAATTTTATCCTCATAACAACAGGAAGGAGAGACAACTCTGTACTTCACTAGTTGTAATTAGTACCCACATGAGACCGCAGAAAGGAGAAATGATATGATCGAGGGCTCAGAACCAGCCAGTGAGGAGGTCATCTCTAGAACCTGGGGCCTTTCCTCCTGGTCAAAGGCAATTTTCATTAGATCCTCGAGCCCAAACCTGGGGTCCTAAATCTCTAAAAAGTCCTAGAAATGAGGAATGGGTCTTGACAAAGCGTTTTTGATGCACAAAATGTTGATCAGAAATTGCACATTAAGTTGGTATGCTAAATTAAATGTGAGGTTGATTTTTTTTTTCATTGAATTTCAGTTCTCTTAGCTTGGTAACTGAACTGAAATTATTTGTGAAAATAATTAATTAATTAATTAAGTCTATTTCATGGGGAAAAAAGTAAGCTCCAACACACAGGAAATGAAGAAGGCAGAGGGGCAGAAGGAGAAGGCTGAGATCTATTATTATATGATTCTTGATCCCTGCCGCTACATGTAGCCCTTCATAAAGTCCTCTATGCTTTGTTTCTTGGCTAGAATTTTTCTATTAAGAAGGGTCCAGATGAATTTAGAAGGAAGGTTGTAAATTATGGATAAAATAAAGAGAGCTTAAAAATGAACTTAGATAAATTGGTGCAAACTCTCAGTAGGGCAATTTGACAATATCTATGTAAATATCCCTAAAAATGTACCTTTCCTTTGAGCCAGCAGTGTCATTCTTAGCAATTTATCCTAAAGAAAAAAATCATGGTTATTCATGGATATGTATATAATAATGCTTATTGAAACATTAATTTGAAAGTGACAAATTATATATAAACTAAATGTCCAACAATAGAGGATTATTTAAATAATCTGTGGTACATTTGCACGACAGAATTCCACGAGACCATGGAAAATATTGGTGTAGGAGAACATTTATATAAGATGTTAGGAAGTCAAAGCAAGCTTTATATTTAAAAAATGTATTGCATCAAGCTGGGTGTGGTGATGCACGCCTATAGTCCCAGCTAATTCTGGGCTGTAGCACTCTATACCAGTCGGTGTCTGCATTAAGTTCGACATCAGTATTGTGACCTCCTGGGAGCCAGGGACCACCAGGTTGCCTAAGAAAGGCGAACTGTGGCCAGCTGCGGTGGCTCATGCCTGTAACCCCGACACTTTGGGAGGCTGAGGCAGGTGGATCACAAGGTCAGGAGTTCGAGACCAGCCTGGCCAATATGGTGAAACCCCGTCTCTACTAAAAATACAAAAATTAGCCAGGCATAGTGGCAGGTGCCTGTAGTCCCAGGTACTCGGGGGGCTGAGGCAGGAGAATCTCTTGAACCCGGGAGGTGGAGGTTGCAGTGAGCCGAGATTGCGCCACTGCACTCCAGCCTGGGCAACAGTGCAAGGCTCTGTCTCAAAAAACAAAAAAAAGAAACAAGAAAGGTGAACTGTCCCACCTCAGAAACAGAGTAGGTCAAAACTCCTGTGCTGATTAGTAATGGGATTGCACCTGTGAATAGCCACTGCCATCCAACCTGGGCAACATAACAAGATGCTGTTTCAAATATATATATATTACATCAAGTTGTTAACATTGGCCATCTGTGGGTACTGTAATTATGGGATGATTAAGGTTTTCTCTTTTTATTTATTTCTTTTTTATTTTTAGAGATGAAGGTCTCACTATGTTGCTCAGGCTGTCCTCGAACTCCTGGGCTCAAGCAATCCATCCGTCTCAGCCTCCCAAGTAGCTGGGATAATAGGTCACCACACCTGGCTCTGTTATATGTTTTCTAAACTCTCTAAACTGAACACAATTTGGTTATCTTGCTGTTTCAAATTGTAAATGCATCTAGTAATGTTCTGGTAATGTTCAATGATTATTTTAAAATCAGGTTTATTAAGGTATATTCTGAATATACAGAAAAATACACTTTTTAGTATATAACCCTATACATTTGACAAACATGTGAAACACAATTAATGTATAGATATCCCATCACCCCAAAAAGTCCCCTTGAACCCCTCTGTAATCAACATCCTCTCTGCTGTCAATCAAATGCCTGGCAATCACTGATCTCTTTTCTTTCCCTCTAATTTTGTCTTTTCCAGAATGTCATATAAATTACATCATATAGGATGCAAACTTTTGAATCTGGTTTCTTAAACTTATAAATATTTTAAAAGTAACTCATACTTTTGTAGGAATCAGTAGTTCATGGTATGGATAGACTACAATTTATATATCCATTTAAGAGCTGATGGACATTTGGGTTGTTTTCAGTTTTTTTAAATTATAATTACAAATAAAGCTGCTATAAATATTCTCAGAATTTGTTGTAGACATGTGTTTTCATTTCATGTATGTTTCATAAATACTTAGAAGTGAGAGTGCTGGGTCACATTCTAAGTGCATGTCTGACTGTAAGAAATAGCCAAACTGTTTTCCAAAGTGGCTGCACCATTTTACAGACGTTGCTCTGAAGTCTCATCAGCGGTTGCTGTTGCCAGATTTTTCACTTATTTGCTGTTTTTAAAAAATTTTTTAAAGCCATTATGATAGGAATGTAGTGGTATCTTGTGATTTTAATGAAACTGGCCCAATTGTCTCATATAACTGATATTTATGAGTTTTTTTGTTTTTGTTTTGTTTTTTATAGAGACAGGGTCTTGCTATGTTGGCCAGATTAGTCTTGAACTCCTGGTCTCAAGCGATCCTCCTACCCTGGCCTCCCAGAGTGCTAGGATTACAGGCATGAGCCATTGTACCTGGCCCAAGTTTTTTGAATAAACATAGAATTTGACCCTCCAAATCTTAAAACTTACATTTGTCTCATCTGAGTCTCTTTCTCAGGAAACTGACCCTCAAACAAGGGACTGAAACTCACCAGATTGCCATATCCAGACAATTAGAGGCCATACCCCCATTCGTTGAGATGGCTTCCCTACCCCTCCCTAATTCCTTCCCACACATAGCTAATTTGAACTATTAAACTATTTAAACACCCCAATTTTAGTCAGTTGGGGAGACAGATTTGAAACTGATCTCCCATTCTCCTTGGCTGTTGCACCCGATTAAAGCCTTCTTCCCTGGCAATACTCATTGTCTCAGTGACTGGCTTTCTGTACAGCAAGTGTTTGCATTTTCTTTAAAGATGCATTTCATTTGCATCTTTTCATGTGGTTATTTGTATCTACATCTGTTCTTTGGTGAAAAGTCTGTTCAAATCTTTCACCCATTTTTAAAGGGATTGTTTGTCTTCTTATTAGTGAGTTACAAAAGAGTTCTTTATTTGTTCTAGATAAAAATCTCTTATCAGTATGTAGTTTGTAAATATTTTCTCCCAATCTGTGGCTCATTTCTTAACAGTGTTTTTCCAAGAACAAAAGTTCTTAATTTTGCAGAAACCGAACTTGTTAGTGTCTTATGAGTTGTGCTTTTGTAATTAAGTATCTAAGAAATCTTTCCTTTCCCAAGGTCACAAAGATTTCTTTTTATGTTTTCTTCTAGAGTTTATAGCTTTAGGTTTTTAATCAGATATGTGTTTGCAAATATTTCCTTCTAGCCTACACCCTGTTTTTCCATATTTATTATGTCTTTTGAAGTTTTAATTTTGATGAAGTCAAATTAATCAATTTTTATGGTTTGTGGGAATTTTCTTTTATTAGATAAAAACATTTTTCTTTTTCCCTCTTTCCTTCCTTTCCTCCATCCCTTCCTTTATTCTTTCTCTCCTTCCCTCTTTCCTTTCTCTCTCCTTCCCTTCTTCCCTCCTTTCTTCCTTTCTTCTTCCCTCTCTCCCTTCCTCCATTTCTTCTTTCTGTCTTCCCTCTCTCCCTCCTTCTTTCCTCTTTCCTTTCTTCCTGCCTCCTTCCTTCCCTGCCTCCTCCCTTCTTTAGCAAAGAAAAACCTGAGAGTATGCAGAGGGCAGTATAAGATAAAGTCAGTGAAGGCCCAACTCCTCTTTGGGGTTTCTGTTCTCGGTGGTTTTCAGGACGTGAATCAGAGGCATAAGAGAGGTAGATGAGCAAACCTGGTAAATAAAAATCACAAAAATATGCAAACACCAGGATTGTGGATACAGGGATTATTAAACCCACACACTTCATATCCACTGTTTCAAAGTGAGATGAGCATATGTGTTTCTTCTCAAGTCTCAAAATTTAAATAAAATGAGGATTGCTCTGTAGACATAAGTGAATATAAATAAACTCATAATTACTGTTTCTAAGGGCATATTTCACTACCTCCAATCCAAAAATTTGACTATAGAAATTAGTTGAAACATCAGTCAGTGTAGCCCATTTTCCAAGGTAAGGGAATATTTGGACAGGTATCTTATTTTATGGATCAAATAAAGCCAGAGCCACTTCAGAAGTGTTTTATGACTTGCAAGTATCCTAAGGTCTTAGGCTAACCTCCATATTACATAGTGTTCCATATGGGTTAAGGACCAATAAAAAAAAGCAAGAAAAGTATAATGTGTTTGAACAAAAACCTTGAAATCAATAATGAACTGGATGAGAGAAAATTCAAAATGAAAAAAAAAAGCATTTATCCTTCTGATGTTATTCAAGGAGAAATACCTGAGGCCAAACATAATTTTTCATAGTGCTCATGTTTCAGGAATCATAATATCCCTCTCTCTACCCAGCCTTGATTTAGACATGGAATTGGCAAAAACGCCAGGGCAATGAAAATAAATTAACTTCCAGATTCTCTTGCCATTCCCCACATGTGAACAGAAACCACCTTGGGACCCTTGGGAAACAAAGATATCAAGACACCAAACTCAAAGGGGGCAGATGGTATGGCAGACATAGGTTTCACAGCTTTGACCAAGCATCTTCTACTTTTACTGGGCTGCACTCTTTTTTGGTACCTCAAAATAGAGAATGGAAGATAGAGAAAGAGAAAGATCAGTTACATCAAATAAGTTCACCAAATCAATAACATGTAAGGCGGTTTGTACCCTGTTTCTCTAGAAAACTTTTGGAGCCTTTTGGAAGTGATGCAATGTATGACGATTCACATTTCTTGTGAATGTCCAAAACAAAAAAACCTTCAGACAGGAAATAAGCTACATGATTAGGTACAGGGAGAAGCCCAGGGGTTAGTGGACCCTTTGATCACAGGACTTTAAATATTTTCGCAGGGCGAAGGCATGGGCTAGGCCTTCTTCCCCTGAACGCCCATGGTTCTTACCACTGACATTTGGCACTTGCATTTATTTACTGCCTTAAATTATTATAAGTCATGCTTATGGAAATGCCTTTTCCTCCTGGCTGATTCTTAAGTTCCCCGACAGCAGAAAGCCCCACAGTAGAGCACAGAAATGCAATACATATTTACTGATTGATATTCTTTGATATAAATACCAAAGGCATATATAACTTTTAGAAGATAAAAAACATGATTGAAATATTCTCAGACAATTCCTGAAATAACAATACAAAATATTTGTACTCTCTCTGAAATGAGGGGTTCTGTAACATAGAGTTTTAAAATTTCAGTGCATTTTGCATATTATTGCATATGTAACTTTCAGTTTCCTTTGTAACCCTAGAAATCTAAGCAAAAATCAATCTGAGATGTTATGTTTTCATCCATCCTTGAAGCCATCAAAGAAGGCATTATTAACCCTGAGCTATTTGCACATATAAAGTGATTAGAACAGTGCCTGGCACACAGATTTGTATGTATTTTCACAATTATTATTGAAGGCATCTGTAATAGATTGAATTATTGTTCACAGCTATTTACTGTCCCTTTGTGATGGGAATATAATGGGAATTATATAGCCACACTCTTTGCCGTGTGGCTTTGCTATGACTCCTAGTAGAGCAGACTGGGTATACAGCCTAATTTGGAGCTGTTTTCTTCAGAGTTTATAGCTTTAGGTTTTTACTTGCTTTGGCCAGTGGAATGTTAGTAAATATGATGCAAGCAGAGGCTTTTCCTATACCTTTATGGCTTGGCTCAGCCTCTTAAGTTTCTAAGTCCACCATGAGAAGTATATGCCTCTGCTGATTCCACAATGAGAGACTCAGACAGCAGACCTGAACCCCAACTCTGTAATTGAAATAGAGCTATGAATACAATCCGCAGGTCCGTGACCCACTGACTCTTGAGAAAAAATAAATGCTTGATGTAAGCCAGTAAGATTTTTAGAGTTGTTTATTATACACTATCATCATAGCAATAGCTGACTAACACATATCCTTCAAAGAAAAGGATATGGCCATAGTAACCAATCTAAATAAGCCATGAAGTAAGAGTCCTAGGCCGGACACAGTGGCTCACGCCTGTAATCCCAACACTTTTGGAGGCCAAGGCAGGTGGATCACTTGAGGTCAGGAGTTCAAGACCAGCCTGGCCAATATGGTGAAACCCCATCTCTACTAAAAATACAAAAAAATTAGATGGGCGTGGTGGCACATGCCTGTAATCCCAGCTACACAGGAGGTTGAGGCAGGAGAATCGCTTGGACCAAGGAGGTGGAGGTTGCAATGAGCCAAGATTGCACCACTGCATTCCAGCCTGGGTGACAGAGCAAGACCCCATCTCAAAAAAAAAAGCGGGGGCAGGGCGGGGCGGGGAGAATCCTTTTGACCTGTGACCGTTACTTCTCAAGGTTAGGCATTTATTCATTCAGCAAATCCTTCATGAACACTTATTATGTTTCACATGTGATAATAGAAATTCAAAGTTAATAATATTGAGAGAAAAGGGCTAATTGAGAGCAATAGATGGCTTTGGCTTGATGTTCCTCCCATCGTGACTGGGTGTCCAAATCCTTCTCTCCCATCTCACTCACCAAACACCTAAATCCCTATACACAGCCCTCCAAAATCCCTAAGGGCTACCTGTCACTTGTTACAGGCTGGAAGATTTCCGCCTGAGGGTGTAAACTGCACAGCCTCCTTCATCTTCCTGAGTGTCTGCAGCTGACTGTGATATAAGCCTACTTTGGGGAACTGCAGGACACTTGGGCGCTATATGCCCAAGTACAACTTACTGCCCTGCCTGCCATAGATCTCAGCATCCCTGTCACCAGCTCTTACTCCAGGTAGCCAGGGCTGTAGCCCCACTGTTACTGAAATATCTCACCAGTTTAGCTCTAAGAGCCAAAGGGCATCTCTCAACATTAAGCCTGCTTTATTTAGCTCATCTCCCTCAGAGGACTTAGGGTGCCGGGAAATGCTTGAAGAGGCCACATCATAAAAATGGAGACAGAGAGAAAGATTTTGGAAGGTTGCTGTTAGTTCCCTTCACACTTGGATCTTAGTGCCTTGGGGTTGCCAAAACTCTATGAAGCACAGACTTCAGAGGAAGGATTATGAGCAGGGAAAAACAGGACATTCACAGAATCATAAAGAGGATGAATTTACCAGGGAGACAAAAAATCCCAAGTGTGCATGCATCTAAAAACAGAGCTTCAAAATACATAAAGCAAAAATTAATAAAACAGAGAAGGGAAACAAATTTCAACACTCTTCACTCAATAATCAATAGAACAAGCAGACAGATCATCAGTAAAGCTATAGATCAGATGAACACTGTCAACCAACTGAACCTACTGACATTTATAGATGACTTCAAAATGGCAGAATACACATTCTTTTTTTTTCTTTTCTTTCTTTTTTTTTTTTTTTTTTTGAGACGGGTTTCGCTCTTGTCATCCAGGCTAGAGTGCAATGGTGCGATCTCGGCTCACTGCAACCTCTGCCAACCTCTCAAGCGATTCTCCTGCCTCAGCCTCCCAAGAAGCTGGGATTACAGGGCACATGCTACCATACCCAGCTAATTTTTGTGTTTTTAGTAGAGACAGGGTTTCACCACATTGGCCAGGCTGGTCTCAAACTCCTGACCTCAGGCAATCCACCTGCCTCGGCCTCCCAAAATGCGGGGATTACAGGAATGAGCCACTACACCTGGCCTACACATTCCTTTTAAGTATACGTGAAACATTCACCAAGGTAAAAAATGTTCTGGCATAAAACACATTTCCACAAATATTTAAAAATCAAAATCATGCAAAGAACATTTTCAAAACACAGTGGAATTAAATTAGAAATCAATATCAAAAAATAAACTGGGAAAATCCCCAAATACTTAGAAATTAAACAACACACTTATAAATAACTCATGGGTCAGGGAGGATTTCACAAGGGGAATTAGGAAATATTTTAAATTGAATAAAAATAAAAAACAAAACATAAAAAAATTGTAGGATGCAGCCAAAGCAGAAATCTGAGGGAAAATTATAGGATTAAATACTTGTATTATAAATAAAGTCTTCAAATAAGTCATCTAAGCTTTCACTTTAAGAAGCTAGAAAAAGAAGAGCAAATAATTAAACCCAAAGCAAGCAGAAACAAGGAAACAATATCAGAAATAAAATTGAAAACAGAAACAACAGAAAAATTAATAAAACAAAAGCTGTTTCTTTGTAAAAATCAATGAAATTAATAAACGTCTAGTCAGACCAATCAAGAAAAATAGAAAACACACAAATTAGCAATACCAGGCATAAGAGAGGAGATATCACTACAGGTCCTACAGACATTACAAGAAAAGTAAGAGAATGTTATGAACAACTTTATACTAGTGAATCTGATAACTTAGATAAAATGGACCAATTCCTTAAAGGACACAAAATTCACCAAATGAAACATAGGTAACCTCAATGGTCCTATATCTATTTATAAAACTGAATTCATGGTTAAAAACCTTCCCACAAAGAAAACCCCAGTTCATATGGCTTCACTGGAGTTCTACAAAACATTTAAGGAATAAATAATGCTAATTCTAGACAATCTCCTCCAGAACACTGAAACTGAAGTGGAGAAATACTTCCAAGCTCATTCTATGAGATCAGCATTACTCTGATACCAAAACCAGAAAAATATATTTTAAGAAAAGAAAACTATAGACCAAATTCCTCATGAAGATGGATACAGAAATTTTACAAAAACTTTTAGCAAATCAAGATCAACAACATAAAAACGTCACAATCTTGTGGAGTTTATCTTGGGAAGGCAAGGTTGGTTTAACATTAGAATAAAAGAAAAAAGAAAAACTATGTGAGCATTTCAATAGATGAAGAAAAAGTACTTGATTGTCTCCAACACCCACTCCTTACGAAAACCCTCAGAAACAAGAAAACTTGATTTGACAAAAAGCAACCACAAAAATCCTGCAGCTAACATCATATGTAATGGCAAAAGATAGAATGTTTTCTCCTTAAATTAGTAACAAAATGAAGATGTCCACTCGCACTTCTCTTCAGCATTCTACTGAGGTTCAAGCCAGTGAAGTAGGGCAAGGAAAATAAAAAGCATCCAAATTAGAAAGGAAAAAGTGTACTGTCTTTATTCATGAACAACATGATCATCTATGTAGAAAATCTGAGGGAACCCTAATAAGTACTAAAATTAATAAGTGAGTTTAGCAAGGTTTCAGGATACAACATCCAATATTCAGAAATTACATTTTTATATATTAGCAATAAACAATACAAGATTGAAATTTTTTTAAATTATCATTTACAATAGTATCAAATATATGAAATACTTAGAAATCACCCTGACAAAATCTGTGCAAGACAAATGCTGAAAATTACAAAATATTGTTGAAATAAATTAAAGAAGGCATAAATAAGTAGAAACCAACACTGTGTTCATGGGTCAAAATATTGTTAAAATGCCAGTTCTGCCCAAATTGATCTTTAAATTCACCATAATCCCAGTCAAAATGCCAGCAGGGTTTTTGTAGAAATTGATAAGCTGATCCTAAAATTCATGTTGAATTGCAAAGAACCCGGAATAACCAAAACAACTTTAATTTTTAATTTATTTTATTTTTATTTATTATTATTATTATTTTTTGAGATGGAGTCTCACTCTGTCGCCCAGGCTGGAATGCAGTGGCGCCATCTCGGCTCACTGCAAGCTCCACCACCCAGGTTCACACCATTCTCCTGCCTCAGCCTCCTGAGTAGCTGGGACTACAGGCGCCTGCCACCACGCCCAGCTAATTTTGTTTTTGTAGAGGCAGGGTTTCACCATATTAGCCAGGATGGTCTCGATCTCCTGACTCATGATCAGCGCGCCTTGGCCTCCCAAAGTGCTGGGATTACAGGTGTGAGCCACTGCGCCCAGCCTATTTTTATTTTTTAAAACAGGGTCTCACTCTGTCACCCAGGCTGGAGTACAGTGGTGCAATCAGGGCTCACTGCAGCCTTGACCTCCTGGGCCCAGGTGATCCTCCCACCACAGCCTCCCAAGTAGATGGGACTACAGGTGCATACCACCACGCCCAGCTAACTTTTTGTAGAGATGAGGTTTCGTCATGTTGCCCAGGCAGGTCATGAACTTCTGGGCTCAAGAGATCCACCCGTCTCAGCCTCTTAAAGTGTTGGGATTACAAGCATGAGCCACTGTGCCCAGCCCAAAACAACTTTTAAAAAGACAAAACTGTAGGGCTAACATCACTTGATTTCATGGTTTATTATAAAACTACAGTAATCAAGGCAGTGTGGTATTGGCATCAAAGTAGATAAATAGATCATTATAACAGCAATAGAGAATCCAGAAGTAGGCGAATCTATAGAATGACTGATTTTGACAGATATGCAAAAGTAATTCAGTTGAGGAAGGATGGGGTCTTTATCAAATGCAAATTTTATTTAGGCAAAAAAAAAGTTCAATTCATATCTTGCATGATATAAAAAAAGGAACTCAAAATTGATCAGAAACCCAAATATAAAACCTCTTACTATGAAATTATAAAAGAAAAATCTTTGTGACTTTAGCTAAGGCAAAGATTTCTTAAATAAAACACAAAAGCATAATCCATAAATGAAAAAAATTGATAAATTGGGCTTTATCTAATTTTAAAAACTTCAGCTCTTCCCAGGACATTGCTAAGAGAATGAAAAGACACATTACAGATTAGGACAAAAATATTTGCAAAGTGTAATGTAATTAAGGATTTATATCCATAATATCTAAATAATTTTCAAAACTCAGTAATAAGAAAACAAAACCCAATTTTAATAAGTGAACAGATGCTTTGAACTGAATGTATGTCACTTTACCAAGAAAGACATACAAATGGCAAATAAGCACATGAAAACATGTTTCATGTCATCAGTGATGAGGACATGCAAAATAAAACCACGATGAGATACTACTTCATATCCAATAAAATGGAAAAATAAAATAACTGGCAATACCAAGTGCTGGTGAGGATGCTGAGCAAGTGCAACTTTGAAACATTACTGTCAGAAATGCAAAACGGGACAGTGTTTAGGAAAACAGTTTGGCAGTTCCTTATAAAGTTATTTTCTATATACTTGGCATATGATCCAGGAATTTTACTCCTAGGTATTCATCCCAGAGAAAACAAAGTACATGTATGTATGTGAATATTTATAGCAGCTTTATTTATTTATGTATTTATTTATTTATTTGAGACGGAGTCTCGCTCTGTCGCCCAGGCTGGAGTCCAGTGGTGTGATCTTGGCTGACTGCAAGCTCCGCCTCCTGGATTCATGCCATTCTCCTGCCTCAGCCTCCCGAGTAGCTGGGGCTACAGGCGCCCACCACCACACCCAGCTAATTTTTTGTATTTTTAGTAGAGACGGGGTTTCACCGTGTTAGGCAGGATGGTCTCGATCTCCTGACCTCGTGATCTGCCCACCTTGGCCTCCCAAAGTGCTAGGATTACAGGAGTAAACCACCACGACCAGCCCAGCAGCTTTATTTTTAATCGTCAAAAACTTGAAAGAGCCCAAAGGTTCATTAACTGGTGTATGGTTAAACAAATTGTGATACATTCATGAAATGGAAAAGTATACACCAATGAAAAGAAACCAACTACTGGGACATTCAACAAGATGGTTAAATGCATTTCAAATACATTATGATAAGTGACTAACCCCAGACTCAAAAGGTACAGACTATGTACCATTTATATGTCCATTTATATGTCTATGTGTACCACTTATATTCTCCATTTATATGTCCATCTGAAAAGGCAAATGATATAGGGATAAAAACAGATCAGCAGTTACCGGGGGTTTGGAGGAAGAGTTGATGGCAAATGGAACATGAGAGAATTTGGAGTAATGGAAATGTCTTTTATATCAATTGTGGTGGTTACCCTGACTGTATGCACTTGTCAAAACTAACAGAACTGTTTGTTCGTTTGTCTTGTTTGAGACAGGGTCTCACTCTGTCGTCCAGGCTGGAGTACAGTGGCACAGATTGGCTCACTGCAGCCTCAGCCTTCTGGCCTTAAGTGATCCTCCTGCCTCAGCCTCCTGAGTAGCTGGGATTACAGGCATGCACCACTGTGCCCACCTAATTTTTGTATTTTTAGTAGAGACGGGGTTTCACCACGTTGGCCAGGCTGGTCTTGAACTCCTGGGCTCTGGCCATCTGTCCACCTTGGCCTCCCAAAATGCTGGGATTACAGGTATGAGCCTGGCCCTGTTTGTTTATTTTTAAAGCATGTAGGCAGGGCTAGAATTCAAACTCTGCTTTCCACTTTTGAAATATCTAAATGGGTTCCTTGAGAGCTGTCCACAGGAAATCTATCAGTGGGATTGTACAGATACTCCTAAACCTCCAAAGAGGTTACACCCCAGTAAACCTATCAGAAGTTAAAAATATCATAAGGCGAAAATGAATTTGGCACACCTAACCTACTGAATAGCCTACCCTGCCTTAAAGGTGCTCAGAACACTTACATTAGCCTACAGTTGGGCAAAATCATCTAACACAAAGCCTATTTTATAATAAAGTATTAAATATCCCATGGAATTCATTTTAATACTGTACTGAAAGTGAAAAACAGAATGGTTGTATGGGTACTCAGAGTTTCTACTGAATGCAGGTCATTTTCACACCATTGTAAAGTAGAAAAATTGTGAGTGGAAGTATTTTAAGTCGGGGGCTTCCTGTACTGGGATCTCTTCTCCCTTTGTGCCCTTCTCTGTGTCATAGGTAAAGAAGCACACACTGGAACCCGGGTCCTGACTCTCACTGAACAGCTGTGTGGCTGCAGGCAGGTCACCTCCTCTTTCCATCATGTTTTCTCAGCTGTAAAGTGCCGGTCTTAGTCCATTCAGGCTGCTGTAGCAAAAATACCATAGACTGGGTAGCTTATAAGTCACAGAAATTTATTCATCACAGTTCTGGGGACTGGGAAGTGCAAGATCGAGGTGCTGGAAGATTTGGTGTCTGGTGGGAGAGAAATTTCTGGTTCATAGATGGTGCTTTCTGTACCTGGTAGGAGGGGTGAGGTTGCTCTCTGAGGTCTCTTTTATAAGGACACTAACCCCATTCGTGAAGGTTCTGCCCTTATGACCTCAATACTATCACCTTGGGGGTTAGGATTTCAACACATGAATTTTGGGGGAACACATTCAGACTGTGGCAGTACCTCACTCGGATCATAACCTCAAGATTAGTCCAGCTCTAATTGTCTATGATTTTCCCCAAGGCTCTTTCCTTGGGTTAGAGAGGGTAGCCTTAGCCGCTCAATCCCAACCTGTCCGGCTTTAGAGTTTTAAAGCTCTTTTACAGACATCAGCTCATTGACCCTTACAAAACCCCGTGAAGCATTTAATGATCCCTATGTTATTGTTTAAGAAACTGAGACCAAGAAAAATTAATTTGCCCATCACAAAGTTTTCACAGAAGCCAGATACAGTACTCTCATCTCCTTTTGAGTTGCCTTGTCCCAAGTGTAGGTCCCAAATCTTTCTAGGTGTCTCCTCTGTCCCCTATTCGGTAAATTATTTATGTGGTCCAACAGTTCTAGAGTAAGATAAGCAAAAAAAAGGACCAAACAGAAAATGGCATTTGTATACTGTGATAAAGCCTGAGCTTTAGGGGTCTAGGAATCCAGGGATCAAAGCAGGACCCACACCTGCTTGCCTCTGGTGCCTTGCTAATGGGGAATCCTGCAATTGTGCGAATGTTCAACCTTACGGAGTCCTGAGGGAGTCGGACACTGTTCCATGCATCCAACGCGTGCTATTTATTTAATCTTCCCAACAGCTTTTAACGTAGTACGATAGTCAACCCCATTTTATACATGAGGAACTGAGCTCTGAGAGGCTCAAATTCAGGCTCCGTGGCCCACACTCTTCCTACTGTCCATCAGCTAAACACGTGTTTTCTAAGATCACAGAAAGATCTACCCAACTGAAAGTGGAAGCAAGGGAAGGAGGAGGGGGCCGGGCGCGGTGGCTCACGCCTATAATCCCAGCACTCTGAGGGGCCGAGGTGGGTGGATTACGAGGTCAGGAGTTCCAGACCAGCATAACCAACATGGTGAAACCCCGTCTCTACTAAAAATACAAAAATTAGCCGGGCATAGTAGCAGGCGCCTGTAATCCCAGCTACTCGTGAGGCTGAGGCAGGAGAATCGTTTGAACCAGGGAGTCGGAGGTTGCAGTGAGCTGAGATCGCACCACTGCACTCCAGCCTGGGCGACGGAGCGACACTCTATCTCAAAATTAAAAAAAAAAAAAAAGAGAAGTGGAGGAAGGGAGGGCAGGAGGGCAGGAGGGCTGGAAGGCAGACACAAATGGAAACACAGCAGGATGAAGGTGAGCAGCAGTGACCTATCAAGGCATGTGATGGGTGCTTGAAAGACACAAGAAACAAAGAGGCCCAGGGAATAGAACACAGGAGAGAGGGGCAAAGGGCTGGGGGCCCAGGAGTCCCCACTACCCTTCCCCTCATATTGGCGCGCACACATACAAACACACCACACACACACCCCACACAAACACACACCCCACACACACCACACACATAAACACACACCACACAAACACACACACACACCACACAAACACACACCACACACACCACACACATAAGCATACACCACACAAACACACACCACACACACACCACAAACACACAAACACAAACACACCACACACACACTCCACTCACACACACCACACAAACACACACCACACACATAAACACACACCATACACACAAACACACACCACACACACAAACACACACCCCACACACATACCCCACACACACACCACACACACACACACCACACACACCACACACACAAACACATGCACACACACCACACACGCACCACAAACACACACCACACACACCATACACACACAAACACACACACAGCACACACACACACAAACACACACACTTGCCCAAGTCCACTGAGCTCACTGGCTACATCCTTCACAGCCACAGCCCTGGCTTGTTTCACTTGTGTGTTTATTTAGCTTAAGCGTCTGCTTTAAAGGGCTCCCTAAGAGAGGCAGAGCGGGAGGAGTGGTGGGAACCACCCTTTAGAAGAGGACGTACTGATTAGAAAGGAGCTGGGAAGAATACAGCTGCCTGAAAGCTGACAAGCCCTAGAGATGGTCTCCCTTTATTTCTCTTCCATAGCTGCTGGTGAGCCCCCCACTTCCTACTTCCCGTCCTCTCTCTCTGTCTCTCTCTCTCTCTCTCTGTGTGTGTCTCTCTCTGCAGTAGGTGGTGGCCGCCCCAGGCTTTTCCTGCTGTAGTTGATTATGTGTTGAGTGAGAGAGTCTCTTTAAGATGGTATCTACAGCGACCTCAAAGCACAAGTCATTGTTTTTAAAGAAAAAGAGCCTCTGATGGCGGAGAGCATGGTGCACTGGGACTCCACCTGGGTGCAGAGATGATCAGGAAACTGGGTTCCAGCCCCAAGTCTGTCCTTGGCAAGCCATGTGATCTCATGCCACTCAGCCTCTCAGATTCCTGCCTGAAAGAGGGTGACATCTGTCCTACCCACCTGAGGATAATAAAAAAGATAAGGCATGTGAAAGCACTTTCCACAATGCCAGGGAGTGATAGGTCCCCAGAAAGCTTTTGCTGATTGATTGACTGCCAGAGTGATTGATGATGCCTGGGGAGGACAAGGCCTTCCTGTTTATTTAAGATGTTTTTCACCAAAAGCTACTGGATGATGGATACAGTCTTCAGGGGCAAAGACATTATTGCAAACATAAAACTGATTGAACATTGTGTCCTGGCCAAGGAGTTTCCTACTCATTCTCTCCTCTAATGGAATTCCTGTCCCATTTAACACGATGCGTCTGTTATGGAGTCCCTAATTAAGGACCTGCAAGAAAGGTAAAAAGTCATTATCGCTCACCTTAGGAGACACTCATATTACTCAGGGTTTTCAGAGCAAAGCCCTAGGGAATGTCTGTCTTCCTAGACTTGGCAAACCTACCAGCCTTCCTAGACTTCTCTACACATGGTCACCAAGATCCAGACATTCTGAGGTTCTAAGAGCTCCTTTCAGCAACTTTACTGTGCAAATTGAGTTTAATTCGTTGAGTTTAGTTCAGAAGGAGCTAAGAGAGGAAGATCAAGATCCATGAATCTAGTATTCGTGAGCAGGCATGTCACGCCCTGGGAAGGTGAGTCAAGACACGGCATTAAAATAGGGGTGTGGAGGGATTCAGCCAAGGAGACAAAGTGAGGCTGATGGGGGAAAAAGAGGAGGAGTCCTTATGGTGATGTTTGACTTGTGTCTTAAAAGGATAATGTGGCTGCTGAATGGAGAATAGACTTGGGAGTGGAGCTAGGGCTGGGGGTGGAGTGAAGTAGGGAGAAAAGGTAGGAAGCTATAGGGAAAGTTTAGTGGAGAAATGACAATGGCCTGGTTCAAAGTCAGCCATGAAGAAGGGGGACATGGTTGACATTCTTGGAGCCCCATGTAACACCTCCCTGGAAGCATCAGTGTGTTAGGCACTTTTTTTTGTTGGTTTGTTTTGAGATGGAGTTTCACTTCTGTTGCCCAGGCTGGAGTGCAATGGCGTGATCTCAGCTCACTGCCACCTCTGCCTCCTGGGTTCAAACAATTCTTCTGCCTCACCCTCCCAAGAAGCTGAGATTACAGGCCCCTGCCACTATGCCTGGCTAAATTTTGTATTTTAGTAGAGACAGGGTTTCACCATGTTGATCAGGGTCAGGCTGGTCTCAAACTCCAGGTGATCCACCCGCCTCAGCCTCCCAAAGTGCTGGGATTACAGACATGAGTCACCGTGCCTGGCATGTTAGACACTCTTTAAGTTTAAATGCTTTCCTTTTAAGATCAGGAATTACACTAACCAGTTTAATAAGGCCAAAATAAAATAAAATACATCAAGAATGGAAAGGAAGAAAGTAAAATTTTCTTTATTTGCAGATAACATGACCATGTTTCTAAAAACTCCTAAGGAGTCTATTGTTTAAAAGTTCCCAGAACTAATACTTGAGTTTAGCAAAGCCCCAGGGTGTGAGGTCAACATAAAAATGGTGTTTCTATATACTATCAAAAAACAACTGGCGAACCGGGCGTGGTAGCTCATGCCTGTAATCCCAGCACTTTGGGAGGCTGAGGCAGGCAGATCGCCTGAGGTCAGGAGTTCGAGACCAGCCTGCCCGACATGGTGAAACTCCATCTCTACTAAAAATACAAAAATTAGCTGGGTGTGGTGGCAGGCACCTGTAATCCCAGCTACTCGGAAGGCTGAGACAGGAGAGTCACTTGAATCCCGGGAGGCGGAGGTTACAGTGAGCTGAGATCGTGCCACTGCCCTCCAGCCTGGGTGACAAGAGTGAAACTCTGTCTCAAAAAAAAAAAAAAACCCAAAAAACTGGCAATGGAAGGAAAGCAATCAACTTACAATATCACCAAAAACATGATATATTTTGAAATAATTTTAACAAAATATGTGCAAGACTGGTACAATGAGAACTACAAACATTTACTGACAAAAGTCAAGGAGAAACTGGACAAATGTAAAACATAGCATGCTCATGAATTGGAAGACTCAATAGTGTTGTCAGTTACCCAAACTGATCTACACATTCAACAAAATATCAATGTCCAGGTAGCCATTTTTTAGGAATTAACAAGCCAATTATGACACTTATATGGAAGTAAAATACAAGAGATCTAAGATGGCCAAGACAATTTTTTAAAAGAAGAGCAACATCAGAGACTTACAGTATAAGATTTCAAGACTTAAAATCAGTAATCAAGAGAACCTGGTATTGGCATAAGAATAGGCATGCGGATCAATGCAGCAGGATAGGGCTTCCATAAATAGACCCACACAGATATGGTTGATTGATTTTAAACATTGATTTTCTTTTTTTTTTTTTTTGAGATGGAGTCTCGCTCTGTCACCTAGGCTGGAGTGCAGTGGCGCGATCTCAGCTCACTGCAACCTCTGCCTCCTGGGTTCAAGCAATTCTCCTGTCTCAGCCTCCAGAGTAGCTGGGATTACAGGCGTGCGCCACCACGCCTGTCTAATTTGTATTTTTAGTAGAGACGGGGTTTCACCATATTGGTCAGGCTGGTCTCAAACCCCTGACCTCAGGTGATCCACCCACCTCAGCCTCCCAAAGTGCTGGGACTACGGCATGAGCCACCACGCCTGGCCTAAACATTTGATTTTCTATGGTGGAAAGGATAGTATTTTAAACACGTAGTGTCAGAACAGCTGGACAGCCATATGGGAAAAAAATGAACCTGTACCCCATACTATACACCAAAATTAACTAGAGATGCTAATAGATGCTAGAAATATAAAACTTCTAGAAAAAGTAGGACAAAATCTGCAATCCTGATGTAGACAAACATTTAT
The DNA here is from genome assembly GCF_000001405.40 of Homo sapiens. NCBI lineage: Eukaryota > Metazoa > Chordata > Mammalia > Primates > Hominidae > Homo > Homo sapiens. Next base: position 38,240,128 of record NC_000004.12, on the reverse strand, counting down.
TAGGCAAGACACAAAAACTATGAACCATGGGGAAAGACATTTATAAATTGGACTTTATCAAAATTAAAAACTTTGCTCCTTTCATCATTAATGAAAAGGCAGACCAAAGTTGGGAAGAAAATTTTTGTAATACATGTGTCTGACAAAGGACTTGAATCCTTCGTATATCCTTTTAATCCTTTGAATATCAAAAGAATTCTAAATTATAATAAAGTAAACAAACCAATAAAAAGTCAGCAAAAGACTTGACACTTTACCAAAGAAGATATGCAAAAAATTGTCATGCCTTGCTCAGTCCTGGCAAGAAGTTCATTGTCCTTCACACACGTGTGCACACTCACTCACTCACACACACGTATTCTTTTCCTTGACCACTAAAAGTTCGCCTGTCCTTCAAGGCTCTGTTTAAATATCCTTCTTCTTAAGTCATACTTTACCCTCAAGGTTCTTCTGTTCCTCTGTGTTACTTATTACTTTGTATGAGCCTTTATTATGAAACTTGTCTCATTCTATTATGATGATCTGTTTCGAGTCTGTTTCCTCCACTTGAATGTGAAGACTGTCTTCTTCATCTTGTTCTCTTCACCACCAAGCACAATGCCTGGCATAGAATAGATGCTAAATAAATGTCTATAAATAGAGGGAACAAAACATTTCTTCCTGAAATCTTGGAATGCAAATTATATCCCATTCCTATAATTTCTGTTAAATTAGGATTACTAGGGGAATAAGGAATCCTAGATCCATGAAATCAAACCATTTTAGAACTCAGAAGATCTCAGTTGTTTACAAATTGTATTCTGCAAACCTGAGAAGCCACCTGCAAAAGAGCCTCCTGCAAAGGCTGAGGTTCCTCTATAACCTCATTTTGGAGGTAATGCAGTAACAATGTCCAGGATTTCCTCTGTTGAGTCTTCTAAAAGTTACTTTTTAAAAATCCTCTTTTATTAGAAATTTAGATGTTTACCAAGTGATTGCTTCATACCTGTTATTAGAGGGCCCTCTGGCATGTTGGACTAATGATTTTGATGATCCTTTTCAGTCCTAACAATCTACTATTAGGTACACCCCAACCCCATTCCCCCCAAATCGACTGTGGTATCATTTTTTGTTTTTTTTTTTTGAGATGGAGTTTCACTCTTGTTGCCCAGGCTGGAGTGCAGTGGCACGATCTCAGCTCACTGCAACCTCCGCCTCCCGGGTTCAAGTGATTCTCCTGCCTCAGCCTCCCGAGTAGGTGGGACTACAGGCATGCACCACCATGCCTGGCTAATTTTTGTATTTTTACTAGAGATGGGGTTTCACCATGTTGGCCAGGCTGGTCTCAAACTCCTGACCTCAGGTGATCCGCCCACCTCGGCCTCCCAAAGTGCTGGGATTACAGGCGTGAGCCACTGCGCCCGGCCTGTTTCATTTTTATTCAAAGCTAAAGTATTATGTTGGTGCAAAAGTAATCGTGGTTTTTTCCATTAAAAGTAATGGCAAAAACCGTGATTACTTTTGCACCAACCTAATAATAAATAGTGTATAAAGCAGATGACCTTTCTCCTTGAGGTTCAGAAATTCACTACCTTCCACTGGTCTTCAGACACACTCTTCTATGTTGCCACAGAATGCACCATGACCTCTGTTGTGCTCCTTCAATCCAACCCCCGCTAAGCACCTCTTCACATCTGTCTCTATCTCACCTCACTGATTCGGATATAAACACTAGAGAGCTAACATTCTGCAGGAGAGACAAGAAAGTACTCTCTGTGGGTTAAAAAAAAATTGTTTTCATACCATAAAGTAATACACCTCCACTGTAGAAATGTAGGGAATTTGGATGAGAAAAAAATTGAAATTACTTTTAGTGCTACATTACACAGTGGATCACTTTTAATCATTTCACAGCAATCTTGCCAGTCTTTCTGTATGTAAGTGTGTGTGTAACCAAAATGGGATCATAGTGTTGTAGAGTCTCTTTCTTCTGCCTTAAACCACATATTGGACATATTCCAATGATGTTAAAATTCATCTCTAACATTTATTTTTATATTTAGCAAAATATCTCTAACAATCCCCTACCATTGAGCAGAGAGGTTATTTCTAATTTGAAGCCATTATAACAAACTCTACAATGAAAATCCTATTTCCTACAGCTCTAAGAATTGTCCTCATTATTTCTTTAGCATAAATTCCTTGAAGTAGAATTCTGCATCAAAGGGTATGTTAAAAATTTGAAACAACTTTTATTTTTATTCCGCAACATTTAATATTTTTTATTATTTTACTATTATTATTATTTTTGAGACAGTCTCGCTCTTTCACCCAGGCTGGAGTGCAGTGGCATGATCTCTGCTCACTGCAATCTCCACCTCCCTGGTTCAAGTGATTCTCCTACCTCAGCGTCCCGAGTAGCTGGGATTACAGGCACCCGCCACCACGCCCGGCTAATTTTCGTATTTTTAGTAGAGATGGGGTTTTGCCATGTTGGCGAGGCTGGTCTCGAACTCCTTACTTCAGGTGATCCACCCACCTCGGCTTCCAAAAGTGCTGGGATTTCAGGTGTGAGCCACTGCCCCCAGTCAACATATAATATTTTAATGTAGGTTTTGCAAGAGGCTTCCACTAGCACACACAGCTCGTCTTGGATTTTGGACTGTGCAAGTTTCTGGTTAATTAAATAATTTTGGTTGTTGAACTCATGGTTGCCAAATATGTATATGCTGTAAATGAATCATCCAGCATGGATTTTTCCTTCCACCAAAAGTCCCCAGCAAGTTGGCATTTCCTGTGAACTGTTTCACTCTAACTTAGCTAAGGTTGCTCACATCTGGCCCTTCCTGTTTTCTACCTCCTAGTGGATGTGTGTGCTTTGAATCACGCTGCCCTCGATTGCTAACTCTCCTTTGGCCAGATCCTGCCTTTAAATCCAGGAGCATTTGTCACTAGCAAGTCTTTCATTCATTCTTCTTTGCCAGTTTGTAACACCTTGTCATTAGGTGACCTTGGTCAATTTCAACAAGGTGTTTGTATCTTATAGGTCATTAATAAAGATTAAAGGGGCAACGCCCAAGCTGACCTCCCTGGCCCCACCCATGCCCCACCTTGTCAGTTTCATCCCTGCGTTTCACGACACTTCCATGCTTTCTCATTTCAGCCCACATGACCACACATTTGGACTCCACCATCAGAACCCCCTGCAGTGCCTTAAGCAGTGAGCACACTGTGGAACTTGAAGACTCCACCTCCCATTTGATTTTCCTCAGGCTCATTTAAGAGCCCCCCCTCCCACGTACCTTTTCATATCCATTCTCCACCTTCCCTAGCTTGCTCTGTACCCCAGGAGGCTGGCTAGGAAGGGTGCCTCAATGGACTCCACAGCCCCTGCCTTCCAGTTAGGTTCAGCCTATAGGGAGCACTGTAGGAGGTGGGAGGGATGTTGGTGTGAGGTCAGGGTCCCTCACTCAGCTTCCTCCCCGGGTTGCTGCAGGATGGCTGAGTCCTTCTACTGAAGGCCCAACCTCTTTACACAGCTATCCCTCCAAAGTCTCCCACCCGCACACTCTCCTTGCCCTTTCAGCCCCAGGGGTGTGTGATGGTTAATATTAGGTGTCAACTGGGCTGTACTGAGGGATGTCTAGATAGCTGGTAAAGTCTTGTTTCTGGGTGTGCCTCTGAGGGTGTTGCCAGAAGAGATTGACACGTGAGTCGGTGGACTGGGAGAGGAAGACCCACAATCGATGTGGGTGGGCACCATCCAATTGGCAGCCAGCATGGCTGGAATAAAGCATGCAGAAAAAGCTGGAGGAGCTTCGCTTGCTGAGGTCTCTGGCTCTCTTTCTCCTTCCCACATAAAAGCTTGCTTCTGCTCCTCCTGCTCTTGGACATCAGGCTTCAGGTTCTCTGGCCTTTGGAATCTGGGAGTTGCAGCAGCTGCTTCACGGTGGGGGCTCTCGGGCCTTCAGCTGCAGACTGAAGGCTGCACTGTTGGCTTCCCTGGTGTTGAGGCTTTTGGACTTGGACTGCGCCACTACCGGCTTCTGTTTCCCCAGCTTTCAGGTGGCCTTTCGTGGGACTTGACCTTGTAATCGTGTGAGCCAATGCTCCCTAATAAACTCCCTTTCGTATATTCATATATCCCATTGGTTCTGTCCGTCTGGAGAACCTGACTAATACAGGGTAGGAACAGTCTCCAGTGGCTCCCCTACAACTCGCCCATCTCATGTGAATAGTCTATTAAACCCTCCTCCGTCTACTCAGTATGAGAGTGGCATCTGTTCTTTACTGGGATCCTGATACACCATATAATATGACCAGCTCTAGGATAATGCCACCACAGGGCTGGGCTGCACACAGTCCAAGCCCATCACCTCTGCCTCCAGACAAACTGCAGTTACCCCTAATCTGCCTCCCATCCTTCTCTCAGATCCACAAATGTTTAGTTCTTTTGGAGCTCTCACATTTGTTAATATAAAAGACTTAGAAACTCTTTTAACAAGAGTTATTTCAGATGTTTCAGAATTTTCCATTTATTCATTTAACAAATATTTATCAAGCGCCTCCTATGCGCCAGACACTTGAGCTAGACACGGAGCACACATCTATGAGCAAAGCAGACATGCTCTGTGCTGTGAGAATGTGCAGAAGCTGTGAAACTAGTGACCCAGAATGTTCTGAAGAGGCACAGCTTTTTGCAAAAAGAGTGCCTTTTATTATATGCATTTCAAATGGGTGAAAGTGTCTATTTTTTGCTGGGGGCTTAAAGTAATATTCCATGATATCCTATTTTTGTGGAAATCCAAGAAAATAGGAAGGCAGTTGTTCCTAAGAAAAGGAACATTTTGAAAGGGAGGGGAACCTTCATGTCCTTGTAATCAAAGGCTTGCCCCCAGCACCCAACAGTCCCTTCAATCTTGGCATGGCTGAAGCAGTGTTGTCACCTTCATGCCATCTGCCCTGCCTCTGCTCTTCCCAAGGCTGTTGTCTTCACACACCTGACCCATCCCAGCCTGTTAGGCAAGCTGTGCATGTCCCAAGATGCTCACATGTACCACCCAGGACCCCTTTTCCTCCCTGACATGGTCTCACTCCTAGCCAATTTCTTCTAGAGTTTACACCTTGGACATGGCTACCTTTACCACCACCACCTCTGGACCCATGAAATTGGTGCTTCTTCTAAACTTTCCAGGCTTTCAACTCTTGTTTATTCCCAGTGAGTATGTTTGAGCTTATCCTCTGGTTTTCTGTATCCCACAAAGGAGCCCCTCTCTTGGTTCTGGTCCCTTAAATCCCAATTCCTAACATAAGCTCTGGACTTTCTCTGTCTCCTCCACCAACTCTCAAAACTCAAGAGTTCTTTTCCAGTCAATTCTTATTAACTTTTCTTCAGATGCCTCAAGATCAGTCCCCTTCCTTTTCTTTCTTCTGTACTCTCCCTTTGTGCTTCCCTTTGTAACATTTTTGCTTCTCACTCTTCCTAAGAAGAGCTAAAGGAGGTCCTTGCCTTGAAAAACAGATGTTTTCCTGGGGAATTGTGTCATGAAGTTTTTATAACATTTGAAATTCAGTCAATATGTTTAAGATAATGATGTTGAAAATAGTAATAATAGCTTCCGATTACTATGTTCTCCACATACTGGGCAGTGTATTGAGAATTTTGTATGCATCAGCTCACTGAATTCCTATAGGAGACCTTGAAGTAAATATTCTCATTCTTCCCAGTTTACAGTCAAGGAAACTGAGTCTGAGAGAGGTGCAGGTGCAGTGGCCTGCCCAAGGTCGCACAGCAAGTGGTAGAGCTGGGACTCCAAGGCAGGCCTGCTCAATTCCAAAGTACAACTTCCTTTTTTTTTTTTTTTTTTTTTTTTTGAGATGGAGTTTCACTCTTGTTGCCCAGGCTGGAGTTCAGTGGCGCAATCTCGGCTCATTGCAACTTCTGCTTCCTGGGTTCAAGCGATTCTCCTGCCTCAGCCTCCCAGTCCAACTTTCTTGACTTCACCACTACACTAGTTGGAGGAATCCTGTTTTAATTCCTCTTAAAAGGAGCTTGTTCCTAGCATAGAAATATCCCCTCTTCAGCTACCCACTTTGTTAAGGTTAAACTTATATAACAAGCTTCCCTCTGAAGGGCACAGCCATCCTACTTTACCAGGTGGTGGAAGTCTCGCCAGATGAAACCTCCTATTTACTCTCCATCCACTGCCTGGCCTGTGCTGGGTGTGGCAGTGGGTGGGGAGCCACCCAAATGGCCTCTTTACATTTGTTCACCCACAGGTTTTCCCGAGGATGACTCTGGCTGCCCTGACAGCCCCACCACAGGGGACAGCAGCATTTATTTGACTTGACTAGGATTGGAACTTCCAGTGATCTACAATCTCCATATGATCTCTGTTTCTACAAGGAAGCACCTTCTCCATGAATATTATGCACTTAGTTAAACTGAGCCATGGAAAGCCAATCATTCATTCAACAAATATGTACAGAGTGTCAATAATGTACCAGGCAAGAAACAAGGAGCTGCGCTCTTTCTTCAAGGAATCCATAGTTCTATCAGTAGAAGGAATAAAATATTCTAAGTGTCTTTGTAGTAGATTGAATTATCATTTCACAAATATTCCCTCTCCCGTCTCACTCTCCTCTTCCCTGCCCCATTGATTTAGGACCTGACTATGTAAAATACTTTGGCCCATAAAATGTGGGCAGAAATGATAACATGCCAGTTTCAAGTGAAGCCTTGAAGAGGTGTTGCGAGTACTTGCCAGCTCTCTTGAACTCCTTCTTTTTAACATGAGAACATTGTTTGCTGATGGGGGTGTCCCTATAGGCTGGATCCCAAAATAAGAAGACAGACAGAGGCAGCCCCGAGCCACTGCACCTAACCCATACCCACTGATGAACACATGAACAAACAGTGCACATTTGTTATTGAAGGCTACTGGGACTTTGAGGTTGTTTGTTACACAGCATCATCACAATAATAACTGACTAGTCTAGTCTCCTACAGAGTTAGATTTCAAACCAACCCTGTGATGTTTTTCTTGGACTTTGAACTGAATTATTGTTCTACTAGGTGATGACTTTCACTAATTCATCCAGGATATCTGTAGGGCCACCAGTTGGGTGGGGGGAGCTGTCTGAACAAAACTTACATCTATGTGTCATATAAAGTGCCTGCAAAAACCCCAGATACCCAGGACCTGTCCTTCAACAGAGAATATTACTAATCACAGCTACCCACAGACACCTTATTTTCTATTGCTCATTATCCATTTCTGATGTTAATTTAGCCACATCAAGGGCAAGTTCTTGTTTAAACACTATGAAGGCTCAAAATGAGTTTAATGTTTGCAACCTAAGACCAAGGCAAGTCTGGAAGACTTATGAAACCTAGGACTGGGGCTTTAGATTCCCTTCCCTTCCAGTCACCATCTGGTGCACTGTGCATGTTTAACCACATTCTGTTAACATCCTCAGTTCAACAAGTATTTATTGAGCACACTCGATGTGTAAGGCACGGGGAATACAACTGGGAGTAAGGTATGGTCCTCACCGTCACCTCATTAGCTGGCCGTCTTGCAGAAGAGAGGAGATGAGTGCTCACATAACTATAAGCAAAGACAACATATATATTTTGAGAGAGGTGCCCAAAATTTGCCAAAAGACTGCATCCAATCCGAGGGGATAGAGAACATTTCAGACAGAAAGAACAAAGGCACCGTGGCTGAATAGAATAGGATGTGAAACCTGGAGAGATATAATGGGAAACTTGGTAGGGGATACGTTGTGGGCAGCTTCCAGGGCCAGGCTGGTGAGTTTATTGTTGAACCCAAGAATGGCTGAAGACTTGATGAAATACATCACATCCATGTTGGCCACCCATTTCACTGGGCCCGGAGTTTGAGGTTTGCTGAGAGGTTAAAGTCACTAACAGCTTGAACATCCTCAAAAACAACTAGAGGTAAAAGATGCCCATGAAAAGTGGCTATGACTGCAAGATGGTTTCTATGACTATCACCAAGAAGAGGTACTACAAGGAGCCTGAGTGCGTGGGGAAGAGGAGGAAGAGCTGTTCAGCAACTGGTGCAATTGCAGGCATCTCGCGTTGCAGACTACCTCGTCAGCCCTGGCTAGATAAAGAGAGATTAAGTAGTGTCATGGTCCATCTTGGCCGATGTTGATGATGAGGTTTTGCCTCTCCAGGAAGTAGCATCCCTGTAGGCTGCTTATGGTAGGGCAAGGCCCTGTACACCACACCTTACCTCACCCCCACACCTCTTCCCCAGGCTGCACCTGGCCTTTGGCCTCATCTGCCCCACCTAGTTACACCCATGACTCCAACTGTGGCCAGAAAACACGTTACTATCAGGCAATTACAAACAAAAGAAACAAGGAAATTCAAGTAGTACCAGATTTCAGCTGGACTCACATGAGCTCCTCTAGCACCATCTGCGTGCCTCTGGGTTTCTGCTCCCCAAACCCTCATGACATGTGAAATGATCTGTTCATGGGTCCGACTTCCCCACGGGGCCATAAGCTGTGTTGTGCCTTTTCCTGGGTGTACCCCAGTGCCTAGTTAGTCCACTGATAGCACACATTAAGTAGATGCTACAGCTTTTCCAAGTACTGAAATGCTTCTCTTCACCCACACTTGACATACTATCTCATTTAATTCTTCCAACAACCCAACCCTCCAGGATAGGTGCTATTAGCCCACTTAATAAGTAAGGAAATTGGAACTCAGAAAGTTTAAGTAATTCCTCCAAGGTCACACAGCTAGGAAGTAGAAGAGAGAAACTAATATCTGTCTGATGCAGCCCCTTCTTGTAGGAGCAGGTTTATATGCATTGCATGGAACTGAAAGCCAGGTTTCCAGAATAGATAAGGCTTCTGCCTTGAGAAAGGTTCCTTCCGGGGTAAATGCTTGGGAAATCTACCCCGGACTGGTGTGTGGCAGAGACATACCGGACCTTTGTTTATTGTCTTAGAACTCTGTTTGAAACTGAATTTTAATATCTAGGCCTGGGTTACTGGGAATTTGTGGAAGCTGCTCTGTAATTCTTTCATCTGGGTCACACATGCCCGGCCAGGTGAGAGCTTCTCCGAAAGCCAAGACCAGGGGCCTGGACAAGTGGGAGGGACTTGCAGATGGGCCTCCGATACCTGTTGGCCCCCAGGAGTGCCCTCAGCCACAAGCATGATTGCAGAGCACAGCAGCATTGGAAGAAGGATAGAGCTAGCTTGGAGGTTAATGAGAGTTTGAGAGTAAGAATATCGGCCTAGGAAAATTCACATGAGTATGGGGTCATCTGTCACAGGGAAGTCTTTTCTAACTCACCAGGGATTGAATCCCACAACCCCTTCAGATTTTTCCAAGAAAGAAAATTGAGCCTCAGTCACTGCCGGATGATGACCAACATCTCCTTTTTCCAGGACCACATCCCACAGTCCAGCGCCCAGACATATCACGAGGCATGTCTGAAACGGCCTGGTTTATTGGCACTCTGACCCCAGGTCAGGAGCCAGAGATAAAGAGTGTGACTCCAGGCTCTTACCTTGGGCTTGAGTAAGAGCAAGCAGGGACCCGCCCTGCTGACACCAGTCCCAACCATCTGGTTCATCAGGATGAAATTGTTTTTGTTTGCGGCCGCACCCACTGCTGCACCTAAAGAAACAGCAGGTAGCAGCATCAAACCTGGTTTGAACCTGGCCCAAAAGCATGCACTCAGAGCACAGGAGACCCAAGAGGGACCCAAGAGAGCAAAACTTCTGTGGAAATCCAGGTGGCCGCAAAGGACAGAAATGAGAGGCCACCAACCTAAAAGCATTTCCTTTTGTACCTCCATGAAGACCAGTTAGGGAACTAGTGAATGATTTACAGCTACGCTGTTTATACAAATGAGCACATTAACTTTCTGGATCGCTCAGTGGCAATAAATTAAGAAGACACAATTGCAATGCAAAATTCCAGGAGGCTTGAAAGTTCTATCAGGCAGTAGGTTCTAACTGTGACTTCTTTTAACCTTTGCCTAAATTCAGACTTCAGCTAAATAAATCAGCCCCGTTAATTAAAGGCTGGCATTTTCTCAGACAAGCCTGATGTTCATTAACATCAGGTGAGCAGTTCAGAGTGAGCACTCAGGTAATTAGGAAGGGAAGAGCTAGATGCCTTTTTATATGAGAATTCTAGGTCCACCCGTCTCTCTTCTTCCTCCCCCGATCCTGTCAAGCAAAGGAAAGTTGCGCATTAGATCACTCATGTGCAAACAATATTGCTTTTAAGAACCTAGGATAAATGTTAGAATAATTAATTTAGCAAACACTTTGGAAAAAAAATTGTGTTTGTGAGTTTTGCTGAGTTAAAGTGTTTTCAATTAACATCAATTTTCTACTACACTGATTTGGAGACGGGCTTGGAATATTTATTTTTCTTTCCTCACCAGGAACTGCTTCTTGTGCTTATTTCATTAACAATTATGAGTCCAAAATCAATTGACTAATATGAAATGCCACAGGGAAAAAATAGACTAGCAGGGTGACCATGCTCTGGGGCCTGTGTTCCCAATCTTGGAATAACCAATCACAAAAGACATAATCCTGACAATATCCTAGGCCCTACCTGTAAGAAATTCAAGTCAAATTAGAAGTAAGGACAGATCACCTAAACCTAAAACTAATATTCAGCTTATATGCTCTGATTTGGCCAGGACTGCTGCCTACAATTGTGCAGTGCACAGCCTGCACAACCACACAATGTAGGTCTGGGTATGGCCTTGTCAATTGTCTATATCTGGCATCTTTCTGATTTGTTAATGCCCTTGCTGATTGAAGACATTGTGAATATCACCTTGTCAAGACCCAAGTCCCTGCTGATTACAGAGGCTCATTCACTGGAGTCTAATTTTGCTTATTTTTCGTTTACCATTTGGGCCTTGCTTAAAGCATCTCCTGCCAATTTGGGGGGGAATCTGTACCATCAGTGTTCAATTTGCATGCAGTCAATTGCCTTATGTTGGACAGGGCACCCATCTACCTGGTGTCTCCCAAACAGAGATCCCTTGTTTTTCCAGAGAAAAACCCTCCAGGAGTAATCACTCTGTGGTTCTCCCCAAGTACATGTTGATAAGTTTGTATACCTTTTCTCTTAAAATAATAACAATAATAAACCTCACAATGTCTTTCAGCCATATGAGAAATAAACCCTCAGTGGCGTGGATTGGGGGAAGGTGATCTAGAGATCTAATGATTTCTCAAGCAACGTTCATTTCAGTTGCTTCTTATATTAGCTCCCCCTCCACCCACAGTTCCAGAAGTACTCACACCTTCTGGGCAGGCAAGTTAGCCTCTGTCCTCACTGGCACCATAAGCTATGGCTTCTTCCGATCCACTGAGGCAGTTACTATGTGTCCATCTCTCGTCCAGCTTTCAAAATTATGTTGCTGCTATCTCCTCTCCTGTTCTCCCTGTCCTTATGAGTTTATGCTTTAAAAAAAAAGTTTTTGCAGCCAGGCATGGTGGCTCATGCCTATAATCCCAGCACTTTGGGAGGCCGAGGTGGGCAGATCACCAGAGGTCGGGAGTTCGAGATCAGCCTGGCTAACATGGTGAAATCCCATCTCTACCAAATATACAAAGTTAGCTGGGCGTGGTAGTGCGTGCCTGTAATCCCAGCTACTCAAGATGCTGAGGCAGGAGAATCGCTTGAACGCAGGAGGCAGAGGTTGCAGTGAGCTAGGATTGTGCCACTGCACTCCAGCCAAAAAAAAATAAAAATAAAAAAGTTTTTGCTATAATTTTAGTTGAGTTTGAGTTGAGATAATATACTTATCTAAGCTAACTTAGATAAGTATATATATAAGCTAACTTAGATAAGTATATAGATAAGCTAACTTAGATAAGTATATTAAATTCATCATCTTCAGTTTTTAGGTGTAAATACATATAAGATTTCCATACATCCAAGATCCCTAATAAGATATTTAATAATTGGTTTTCTGAAATAATCTTCAAGGGTTTTAAAAATTGTTATTGCTCTGATTGTTGTAAAGAACATGAGAATCCCCAACAAACGTGAAATGCAAATTAGAGATCCTGAGCCAAAGCTCCAAAACGGTGTTTGGAACCTCATGAGAATGAGAATATTGGCTCTTCTTTGTGGTGTCCAGAACAGATTGTCAGCCTCTTGATTAGAGAGCGTAGGTCATATCAGGATTGTAGCCAACAGTAAGATTGATTGTATGTCTAACCAAGCTAAAATATGAAATGGTTGTTGACTGGGACACAGTAGGGAACTGGGAAAGCTTGTTAGGATTTTACACACACAGAAATATGTAAGTGGCATGAGTTATTGAGCTACTATAAGAAAACACTAACTTGATGAGCCACTGAAGTTAACTCATTCTCTCTCTCTTTTTTTTGAGATGGAGTCTTGCTCTGTCGTCCAGGATGGAGTACAGTGACACCGTCTTGGCTCACTGCAACCTCGCCTCCCAGGTTCGAGTGGTTCTCCTGCCTCAGTCTCCCCAGTAGCTGGGATTACAGGTGCCTGCCACCATGCCCAGCTAATTTTTGCATTTTTAGTAGAGATGGGGTTTCACCATGTTGGCCAGGCTGGTCTCGAACTCCTGACCTCGGGTGATCCATTCGCCTCAGCCTCCTAAAGTGCTGGGATTACAAGTGTGAGCCACCGTGCCTGACCAACTCATTCTCTTGAGAAAATAAAACAAAACTGCTGAACTATTCACTGAAGAAAATAGAGAAGTACTTAATTTCCATCTGGGTTCACACTACGCATGTGTTCCTTGATCTTTTCAGTCATTTCTTAGACTCTGACAGCTGCCTCGGGAGTCATCAGCCTGTAATGCCATTCCAGGTGTTTCTCTGTGGACCTCATGGAGTTCATTCAACTAGTATTTGATGAGTACCTACTATGTGCTAGGCATAGTTCTAGGTGAAGCAAATTTTTAAAAAGTGCCCGCTTTCATAGAGCTTTTATTCAAATAGGAGGTGAAATAATATAGCAGGCCAACATAGATGTAGTAAATGTGAAGGACCAAGAAGGAATTTAAGAAGATTAGGGGACAGAGAGCGGCAGAGAGCCACTGTTTTGGATAGGGTGTTCAGGGAAATCCTCTCTTATTAAGGTGACTTTGAATCACTGGAGAAAGCATATTCCAGGAAGATGAACACAAAGTATAATGTGAGACTTGAGGCAGACGCACAGCCAACATGTTTAAGAAACAGCAAAGAGGCCGGGTGCAGTGGCTCATGCCTGTAATCCCAGCACATTGGGAGGTCCAGGCGGGTGGATCACTTGAGGTCAGAAGCTCGAGACCAGCCTGGCCAACATGGTGAAACCCTCGTCTCTACTAAAAATATAAAAATTAGCCAGGAGTGATGGTGCACGCCTGTAATCCGAGCTACTTGGGAGGCTGAGGAATGAGAATCACTTGAACCCGGGAGGCACAGGTTGCAGTGAGCTGAGATCGCTCCACTGCACTCCAGCCTGGGCGACAGAGCGGGACTCCGTCTCAAAAACAAAACAAAAACAAAACAAACAAACAAACAAAAAGCAGCAAAAAGGTCAGAGTGGAGGGGAGAATAGGAGATGAGATCAAGAAGGCAAGTGGGTAAATCAGGTACAGTTTGCAAGGCAATAGAAAGAGCTTCTGGTTGCATTCAGAGAGATTTTGGAAGCCACTGGAAGGTTTTGAGCAGGGGATGGCATGATTTGGCTGACCTTTTAAAACCTTTGGCTATTTAGAAGAGAACATGGGGAGCAGGCCAAGAACACAGCAGGGAGAGCCGGCAGATACTATTGCAATAGTCCAGGCAAAGATGGCAGGGGCTGGAGGTGGGAGAGTAGTGGCAGAGATGGGAAGAGATGAGGAGTCGGATTCAGAATATATTATAAAGGTAGAGCTGATGGATTGTATGTGGGGTTTGAAAGAAAAAGAGGCATCAAGATGATGCTAAGGTAATTGGCCTGAACAACTGGAAGCTGGATCTGCCATTTATTGAAATAGGACAAACAGGAGAGAATCCAATTTGCCCTGGGCAAGGTCATGAGTTTGGTTTGTATATATTAAGTTTAAGATGCCTACCAGACATCCAGGGAAAGATGGCAAATAGGCAATTGGATATAAGAATCTGGCATTCCAAGGCTGGGCATGGTGGATCACACCTGTAACCCCAGTTTGGGAGGCCAAGGTGATTCAAGGAAGATTATTTGAAGTCAGGAGTTTGAGACCACCCTGGCTAACTTGGTGAAGCCCCATCTCTACTAAAAATATGAAACTTAGCCAGGACTAGTGGTGCATGTCTGTAATCCCAGCTACTCGGGAGGCTGAGGCATGAGAATTGCTTGAACCTGAGAGGCAGAAGTTGCAGTGAGCCAAGATTGCACCACTGCACTCCAGCCTTCTAGCCTGGGGGACAGAGCAAGACTCTGTCTCAAAAAAAGAAAAAAAAGAAAGAAAAGAATCTGGCATTCCAGGAATACATACAAGATGGATATATAAAAGCCTCCCTCTTTGGGAGAGCCACAGACATGGGACTCCAACCTGTGAGAAGTGCAGAGGCAGGACCCCAGCCCCAGGGGACCCAGAAGGCAGAAGGTTGTTCTCAAGCCTTAGAGTTTAATGTCATTTATTCCACTGGGCTTTCGACTTGTCTGGGATCTTTCACTCCCTTCTTCTTTCCTGTTTCTCCCTTTTGCAGTGTGAATGTCTATCCCGTGCCTGTCCCACCATTGTATTTTGAAAGCACATGACTTGTTTGGGTTCACAGGTCACAGCTGGAGAGGAATTCACCTCAGGATGAGTCTTACCCATATCTGATTTAAGTGATATTTAGACGAGACTTTGGACTTTAGATTTTTTAGGTAATACTGGAACAAATTAAGACTTTGGGGGTTGTTGGGATGAGATGAATGTGTTTTGCATGAGAGAAGAACATGAATTTTGAGGGGTTAGAGGCAGAATGCTATAGACGGAATATTTGTGTTCCCCCAAAAGTCATATGTGGAAACCTGTTCCTTTCATGATTGTATTTGAAGGTGGGTCTTTTGAAAGGTGATGAGATCATGAGGATGGGGCCTTCATGAATGAGATTAGTGCCCATATAAAAGATAGACCCCAGAGAGCTCCATTACCCTTCCCTCACGTAAGGACAACCATCTGTGAACCAGGAAGGAGAACCTCACCAGACATGGAACCTGCCGGAAACATGATCTTTGACTTCTCAGCCTCAAGAGCTGTCAGAAATAAGTTTCTATGTTCATAAGCTACCTAGTTTATAGCATTCTATGCTAGTAGCCTGAATGGATTAAGACAGGCTCATTTTCAAAAAACATTTTAAAAAGCCACATCCTCATTTAATGTTATGTAAATCTCAAAAGAAACTAAATAACAACCCAAAGCAAATTGAAGCAATGAAATAAAACAAAGTCTTTAACTCCTTTCCCACACAAATACAAACCCCTGCCCCCCACCACAGGATCCTAATTCCCCATCCAATTCTCATTAAGAGATTCTTTCCTAACCCAGACAATTATGAACTAAGCGTGCCACCCAACCACTCCCCTTCTCCTCCTCTAATGCCTCGTTTCACTGGCATTAGAAACAGTTAAAAAATACCATTTCAGGCAATACAATGAAAGCAGCTGGGAGAGAGAGGGCCAGACTCAACATTGTTTCTGGCAGGAAGAGAAGTTCCAGAGAATCTGATAATCAGAGGCTTTCATTTTCTTGCTCAAACCTGAGATGACTTTATCTAAAACTAATAACTTGGCAAGAGTACATCTACAAACTGCCCCGCCTCCACCTCCATTAAGTATGGAAAGAGTTCAAAGAGTAAAAACATACATAATATTTGCTGTAAGAAAAGTAGATCTTTAACACAAAA
This sequence comes from Homo sapiens, assembly GCF_000001405.40. Classification (NCBI taxonomy): domain Eukaryota; kingdom Metazoa; phylum Chordata; class Mammalia; order Primates; family Hominidae; genus Homo; species Homo sapiens. The sequence continues at coordinate 38,224,243 of NC_000004.12, read as the reverse complement.
AAGATGCCGGAATTCATGAGAAGTGTGAAGCCGCCTCTGCTGGATCTAGTTTTGGTTAGTGATGCGCCTGCAAGCCACCCAGACCCACAGCCAGACCCTGTGGCCACCGCACAATCAAAGGGACTTTTATATCAGACACTGAAAGGCTTCGCTGTGAGCAGCCTGAGTAAGGGAGCAAAGAGAGGCAAACAGAGCTGCTTCCTCAAACCAGAGGACGGAAGGCAGGACCCCTGTTTCTCTTCCTGGAAAAGTCCTACTGATTGCACAGTTCCCTCACTATAAAGTAAACAACAGGCATTAGAACTCTGCCACCCAAATAAATACAGGGCTCATTTGTGTGTCTAATGGTTAACACAAGGTGCAAATGCCACGGGTCACATGGGTTAATTCAGAAAGAAAACAAATGCAATTAATAATTGACTTGGGCTTTTAACTCCCACGATGGGATGAATACTTCGACTTTCTACAGAAGAACAGTAATAAAGAAGAGTGGCCCCAAACTGGGCTCCCAGTGGCTTTTTAATCAGAGAAGATTGCCAGGGCCATAGATTTAACATTGGCAATTAAGCTTCATGGGCCAAACAAATGCACTGGCCTGGTGTATTTCCCTGAAACCCTATCTTCAATAATGCCATAAATTGGAATTGCATTGCACAAAAGAAGCTGATTCTAACTGCTGCAAAGAAAGTTCACAAAAGTTCACATTTAACTTGGCAGGCCAAGGCAGGGCACTTTGGCAACTGCACAGATTCTGATTTCAATTCCCTAAATCTGCCCTCAGGATTTCATTCTCCAGAGGATGGGTTGGCAGCAGGAAGGTCCCTTTGTGATTGATTTATTAGTTCCAATGCTTTATTTACAATTTTACAGGATATTGTAGCAGGGGAGCAAAACCAGTTCCATGGAAGTGAATCAAGTCTCATGTGGTTCGATGTTTTCTTCTGACCTTGTAAACCTCTTCCCCTTACCCCATTACTTTTTTGGAGTTTGTGTGAGCAAACCTAGGAAAGCTGGTTTGTAGCATGTAACTGGGTGAGAAATAATTTTGGTTTAATTTTTTTTTAAGCTCGCATCACCTTTGTTCTCCAGGCCTCAAAACATGTGGAAAAGACTGCCTTTAAGAAAGGAGGTGTGGGTGGGATTGGGGTACAACTTCAGGGAGTGGCACCAAATAGAGGTATCATAAACACATGAGTCTACAAGCACAGGATCTGGTCATGTTTTCCAAGACCTGAGAGGACTTTCTAATCATCAGATCCACAAACATTATTGGCTCCTGTTTCCAACAAAGTAAAATCTAAGAGTTTTCAATATTGGATTCTTATGTAGCTTTCCAGTCGTATGTCCCAATACATCTTCTTCCCCTCATTTTGTCAACACCACCCACCCATACACACAGTCAGCCACAGCCCTCCCCACCTCTGCTCCCTGAATTCCTGCCCACCAACAGATACTCTCCTCACACACACGAGCACTCACACACATGCACACACACGCGCACATTCACATATGCACGCATACACACATGCATGCACACACACGCATGCACACACGCACATATACACATGCACACACACTGTATTTGGAGCATTTACTGAGACCCTTCAATGTGCTAGACACTGGCCTAAAATCTTCCCAACAAACCTATCAGTTGAGATTTTCTTTTTTTTTTTTTTTTTTTTGAGACGGAGTCTCGCTCTGTCGCCCAGGCTGGAGTGCAGTGGTGCAATCTCGGCTCACTACAAGCTCAGCCTCCCAGATTCATGCCATTCTCCTGCCTCAGCCTCCGGAGTAGCTGGGACTACAGGCGCCCACCACCATGCCCGGCTAATTTTTTGTATTTTTAGTAGAGACGGGGTTTCACCGTGTTAGCCAGGATGGTCTCGATCTCCTGACTTCGTGATCCACCCACCTCGGCCTCCCAAAGTGCTGGGATTACAGGCGTGAGCCACCGCGCCTGGCCGAGATTAACTTCTTAATCGCCCCACATTTTACAGGTAAAGAAAGAGTCTCAGAGAGATTCAGTCACTTGCCTAAAGTCACACAGCTGGTAAGGATTATAGAGACAAGGCTAGAACCCAGTTTTCATGACTCCTGAATAGAACTGTTATTTTAATAACAAAAACCACAATTACTTTTACACCAACCTAATACTATCCTCTATACCCTCCCCCACCAACTCCTTCAAACCTGCCTGTTCAAACATGATGTTTTATATTTTTTATTAACGCATCACACTAAGATGGCTTTCCGGGTGCCTGCCACTGAAATTCACTTTTCTGTCTCCTACATTCCCTTTGTATTTTGATTTAACCTCTTAACAAAATCGAGTTTGTGTCAAAGTTAATATGTGTCTGTCTCCCTAAGGATATTGAGTAGAGGCTATGGCTAATGCAGTTATGAGTCCCCAACAATACCTAGCATCATGCGTTGCACATAATAAATGCTTTAAAATATTTGTTGACTCAGAAAAATATTCCTGAAAATTTTTCTTATTGAAAAATTTTGAAATATTGAAAAATTTTCAATAATGTGAGCATGCCAACAGAGAATGGGAAAACCTTACATTGCATTGGTTTTTGTTGTTGGGTTTAAGACTTTATTTTTTAGAGCAGTTTTAGGTTCACAGCAAAATTGAGCGGAAGGTACAGAGATTTCCCAAATAGCCCCAGTTCCCACACATGCAGGTAAGCCTCCCCCATATGAACATACCCTACCAGAGAGGTACATTTGTTACAACTGACAGATATACTCATGCATCATAATCACCCAAAGTCCATAGGTTACATGAGGGTTCACTCTCGGTGTTGTGCACTCTATGAGTTTGGGTGAATGATAATGACATGTATCCACCATTATGGTATCATACAGAATCACGCTGTGTTTTGTTTTAGATCTTTCCCTTTAATCTTGAGTGAAAGCCAGCACAATGAATGCTCAGTACCCTGACCAATGCTGTTTAATCTGGGATAAACCAGAAGGGTCTGGGAGAAATTCCGGGAGCCCTGCATTTCTACGTGAAGATTGAGGGCCGATTCCATGATGTCTCAGTTTCTACAGCTGGTCCCTCCTGTCCAACTCTTCCTTTGTATTTGGTTGGTTTTTGTGACCCAGAATATCCACAAATACATTTCATGAGGTCAATTTTTCCATCAATAACTAAAGCCTGGCCTAGGGACAATTCCCCACCCAACTAATTTTATTCAACCAAACTCACTGTAGTGACAGAAAAAACAACCCTAAAAACGGCACACTGGAGAAAAAACAGCAAACATAATAAATATACACACAAATAAAATTTGTCTTGCAAAGGGCAGAAAGCAAAATAGAGGAAGACAGGCAGAGATCCTATGTCAAAAGTCTGTGTAGTATAAGGTAAGTAGTATAGATTTTTGGACCTAGACTAAGTTTCAATCCAAGCTGTACCACTTTTAACACGTGACCTTGGATGAGGTGTTAAATTTATCTATGCCTCAGTTCCCTCCTGGAAAAAATAGAAAAAATAATAGCTCTACTCTAACAGACTTTTTGTGAGGTGAGATATGCTGTTACGTGCTCAGTGTTTAGAAGCATGCTTTCAAAGACACTAATACGGTTATGACCAAAATTCTACAAGAGTCATGTTTATGGAATCCTGGGAAAAGCACAGATCTTTGAGTTAGAAGACCTAATATAAATTCCAGCTCTGCCATTAAATAAGCTGTGTGATCTTGAGCCAGTTCTACATCTCTCTGAGCTTTAGTTTCCTCATCTGCACTTGGACTTAGACTGTCATGAATCTCTCAAGTCCTTCCCTGTTTCTGGAGATGGGAAAGGCCCTTTGATATGGTTTGGCTCTGTGTCCCCATCAAATGTCATCTCGAATTGTAATCCCCACGTGTCGAGGGAGGGACCTGGTCAGCGATGATTGGATCACGGGGTCGATTTCCCCCATGCTGTTCTGGTGATATTGAGGGAGTTCTCACGAGATCTGATGGTTTTAAAAGTGGCAGTTTTTCCGGCACTCCCACTTCTCTCCCTCCTGACGCCTTGTGAGGAAAGCTCCTGCTTCCCTTTCACCTTCCACCATGATTGTAAGTTTCCCGAGGCCTCCCCAGCCATGCAGAACTGTGAGTAGATTAAACCTCTTTCCTTTATTGATTACCCAGGCTCAGATAGCATCTTTATAGCATACAATTGGAGTTTAGGCATGTCAGTGCTTAAAAAGAAAGGTCATACCACTACTGATGGCATAGCCAGGATTCAACCCTGGGGGCTAAGCTCCAGTGCCCATGGTCTTATTCATGTTCTACATTTTGGAGTGAAAATTTTATATCACAAAGTTATTAATTCTTTAATAATTAGTATACCTTTAAATGTAATGCAGTTTTGAATCAAATTTCAAAATAACTTTTCTTGAAATTGTATATGACAATCTTAACATACATATGGAAGAAGAGATATGGCAGAAAAAAACAAGAAAAATGAAAAAAAGGAATAATAAAGGGAACTTGCCTTATCAGATAATAGCACATACTATAACTGTTATCCTTATCAGGATATCCATACTATTATTCCCATCAGATAATAGCACATACTATAGATTTTATTATAGATTATATTAAAATACTATTATACCTCCATCTTAAACAAAATGCATAATTAAATTCCAATTTGACTAGACTTAAATATAAAAAAAAATAATAGAAATACTACAAGATAGTTTAGGATACTACATATAATCCTAAAATTGACAAATACTTTCAAAACTGAGATCAAGAGCCAGAAGCTTGAAAATAAAAGATAAACATATTTAACCATGTAAAAATTTTTAGACATTTGTGGGAAAAAAACATTGTCATACACAAAATTAGTAAAAAAATAATTATTTAGTTAAAAAATAGTAAAGAATTGTAGATTAGTAAAAAAAGTGAAAAATATCAGACTTGAAATGAATTTACAACACCTATAATATAAAAAGAGCATTTACTAATTGGGAAGAAAAAGCTCAGAAAAGTATGCAAAAGATTAATAGCAAAATTATCTAAATTAATTATGATCAGGGAAATGCAAATTTATGCAACAATGAGGTATCACTCTACTCTCATTATATGCCAAAAGGTTTTTATATTGAAAATATCAAGTGACTACTGGATTCAGCGAAGAGGGTACTTTCATATACTGCTGATAGAAATGTAAATTGTCATGGTCTTTTTGGAAAGCAATCTAACAATGTGTATTACAATTTAATAAATATCATATATCCTACTACCCTTCAGTTCCACTCCTGGGAATCTATCCCATAAACATAAAACCACCAGTAGGAAGAACATGTTTACAAGGATATTTATTGTAGCCTTGTTTGTAGTGGCAAGCTTGAAGCAATATTCATCCAGTAGGAGAATGGTCCAATAAATTATGTATAGTCACACAAATGGAGACTTTTATAACCCTTAAAAGAATGAATTAAAGCTATATCAGTTGGCTTAGAGGGAGTTAGTTCCATGAGGCATAATTGAATGTAAAACAGGGCCAGGTGTGGTGGCTCACGCCTGTAATCCCAGCACTTTGGGAGGCCAAGGCAGGTGGATCACGAGGTCAGGAGTTCGAGACCAGCCTGACCAACATGGTGAAACCCTATCTCTACTAAAAATACTTAAAAAATTAGCTGGGCTTGGTGACGTGTGCCTGTAATCCCAGCTACTCAGGAGGCTGACACAGGAGAATCACTTGAACCCAGGAGGCAGAGGTTGCACTGAGCAGATCACACCACCACACTCCAGCCTGGGCAACAGAGCAAGACGGCATCTCAAAACAAACAAATAAATAAATAAATCACAAATATGTATAACATGAACCAACTCTTGTAGAATAATGGCAAGTCTGCATTTGTATGATTGCAGGTGAATGCAGGAAAATTGGGAAGAAAACATCCTGAGCTGCAACATGGTTACTTGGTGGAGGCTGAGACCTACGAACAATGAAGGCGGGGAGAGGATGAGGAACTCAGGAGAATCAAGCACAAAATGACAGGGAAGATAAAAGACTGGAGGATATACGCTCACATTTTTGAAATATTATATGTGTGTGTGTATATAAAGAAACTAATTTTTTATTATTTACAATCTAATCAGAAAAAAAAAGAGAGGATCTTTGATCATTTTAGTCTCATCATCAGGGAGAAGTTTTCCCTGTAAAGCAAATTTGATGGGTCCCTCCTGTGTGTGTGGAGTAGCCCTAGGACTTCTCAGCTCTGGGCACTTGTGGTGAGGCAAGGTTTTGTTTTACACTCACCTTTCTTATTCCTTTTCTGTCCTGAAAATCCACTCCACCTGCCTTTCCAGAGTAAAAGAACAGGGACAATGTGAGCATAATAATATCTCTAAGTCAGATAATGAGGGACCATCATCAATCTTAGCAAAAAAAGGATAGTTCATTGTGTAGAGATACATTCTGAAGTATGTGAAGCCACCTTAGAAGATACTCAGGACCCAGGGATCACATGCAGACTCTGGAATTTGAAGCCAGAAAACTGGGAACAAAACACATTTGCGACACAGGGAGGAAAAGAGAGAAAGAGAAAACTGGAACAACCTCTATTTCCTGCAATATAGCTAATCAGATACCCAGAGCAACCCTCCTACTGAAAACAGCTAATATGGTTAATAAAACGTTAAAAACTCACCTTTCTAAATGTATCACTGAGCTGCTAATAAAGGAAAGACTCCTCAGAGACCAGAAATAAAATAAAAGTAAGAATTTAAGTAATCCACTTTGCTCTTGGGTGCTTGAGCCAAACTGACATTATTGAACTTTTGACAAGGAGAATTTATAAGCCGCATCTCATCTAAGGTAAGAAATATAAGGAGATTTGGTCCTCTGAAGATCTGGGTCCTCCAAGATCAAAACTGTGAGTGTTAGAGTTAACTAGAAATAAACCCACCCAACCAAAGAAGAAATAATGTTAAGAGCAGAAATGAGGCCGGGCACAGTGGCTCATGCCTGTAATCCTAGCACTTTGGGAAGCCGAGGCGGGCGGATCACGAGGTCAGGAGATCCAGACCATCCTGGCTAACAGGGTGAAACCCCGTCTCTATTAAAAATACAAAAAAAATTAGCCGGGCGTGGTGGCAGGTGCCTGTAGTCCCAGCTACTCGGGACGTTGAAGCAGGAGAATGGCGTGAACCTGGGAGGCGGAGCTTGCAGTGAGCCGAGATTGCGCCACTGCACTCCAACCCGGGCGACAGAGCGAGACTCTATCTCAAAAAAAAAAAAAAAAAAAGAGTAGAAATGATGAATAGATTTAAATATAAACATACAATAGAGAGGATCAATAAATCCAAAGTTGGTTCTTTGAAAAAGTCTTATAAAAAGCTGGGCATGGTAGTATGTGCCTGTTAGTCTCAGCTACTTGGGAGGCTACGTCAGGAGGATCAGTTGAACCCAGGAGTTCAAGGCTGTATTGAGCCATGATCATGCTACTGCACTCCAGCCTGGGCAACATGCATCGTAAAAACCTGACTCTAAAATTTAAAAAATAAACACATTAAAAAAAATGGAAAGCCTCATAAAGTTAACTAACTTCTGGCAATACTGATCAAAAAAGGAAAAGAGCAATCATTTTTTAAAACTATATCATGAATAAAAAAAGTAAACATAATTGTAGTTGCTGCAGATATTACAAAGATAAAATGTTATAAATATTTATGCACCCCCAAGTGAAAACAGGTGAAAAGGGAAAATTCTTAGAAAATATGAAATATTAAAATTTTTCATGTATAAAATACTAAAATGTAGGAGAAAAAATAATTGTTTTAGGAAAATTTAAAAAATTGAACCCATAGTTTAAAATCTTTCCTCAAAGTAAACATATCATTGCAGTCTTAGATAAATTATTCCATGAAATAGAAAAATAGATAACTCTTTCCATTTTATAAGGCTAGAATAAACAACTAATACCAAAAACCAAAGACAGTTTGAAAAAGGAAAATTACAAAGTGATTTCACTCATGAACATTGATACAAAATGTATCAATCAACAAAACATTGGCAAACTAAATCTATCAATAAATAAGAAAAGAAGATAGGCTGGGCAAAGTGACTCATGCCTGTAATCCCAGCACTTTGGGAGGCTGAGGCAGGTGGATCACCTGAAGTCAGGAGTTCGAGACCAGCCTGGCCAACATGGCGAAAGCCCATCTCTACCAAAAATACAAAAATTAGCTGGGAATAGTGGCAGGAGCCTGTAATCCCAGCTACTTCGGAGGCTGAGGCAGGAGAATCACTTGAACCCAGGACACAGAGGTTGCAGTGAGCCGAGATCATACCTCTGCACTCCAGCTTGGCCGACAGTATGAGACTCCATCTCAAAAAAAAAAAAAAAGAAAAGAAAATAATAAAACATAATGAATTGACTGCATTAACAGATCAAAAAAAATCACAAGATTATTGTAAGAGATGCAGAAAAGCAGTCAATAAAAATTGACACCTATTTGAAATAGTCCCATAGACAATTGTTTTTAGACAAACATAGAAATTGATGCTTCTGCTGTTAAAGCTTGAAACAGGTATTTGTTTTATCCAAGTTCCTTCCTCAGGAAGCCACCTTCAGGCCTCTCAAAAAAAAGTGTCAAAGAACTGGAACTCACCAAATCGTTCTGAATGCCTCCTTGCCCCTCCTTAGTTTCTGTTTTCTTATACATTGTTACATTTTTTTCCCTGCTATATAAACCCCTAGTTTTAGTCAGTCAGGCAGATGGATTCACTGAGCTCCCTTCTCTGTGACTGCAGCACTGGATTAAAGCCTTCTTCCAGCTGGGTGCTGTGGCTCATGCCTGTAATACCAGCACTTTGGGAGGCCAAGGCGGGTGGATCACCAGGTCAGGAGATCAAGAACACGGTGAAACCCCATCTCTACTAAAAATACAAAAATTAGCCAGGTGGGGTGGCAGTTGCCTGTAGTCCCAGCTACTCAGGAGGCTGAAGCAGGAGAATGGCATGAATCCAGAGGTGGAGCTTGTAGTGAGCCAAGATCATGCCACTGCACTCCAACCTGGGTGACAGAGCGAGACTCCATCTCAAAAAAAAAAAAACAAAAAACAAAACAAAAAAACCCTTCTTCCTTGCAATACTTGTTGTCTTAGTGATTGGCCCTCTGTGCAATGAGCAGCAGGACCTAGTCCAAATCCCTAGTGTTTGGGTAACATATTCATGATTTTAAAAATTTTTCATAGTCTAGGAAAATTTTAAAGTGCTATTTTTAAAACCTACCACAAACATAATAGTAAATGGCTAATGCACAAAACTTGTTGGTCAAGAGCATTTCCTTCAAAACTTGGAACATAACAACAATCTTCACTATCACCATTTCTCTTCAGTGTCACCCTGGAGATCCAGGCCAGCACAATAAGATGAGGAAGGAGGCACAAAAGAGAAGGACCCAGCCAAGGCTCCTGAGGACCCATCCAAGGCTGATTTTGTGTAAAAACAGGTGACTGGAGGGAAAATGCTTTTAAAACTTCACCTGTGTGCTATGTAAATTCAAGTCCTGCTGATTGTAAGACATTTGCACATAGCATAACATTTTTAGAGAGACATATATCTAAGGCCCACATGTCCTGCACTAAAGAGTAACAATGGAAGAAGACAAAAGTCTCCCAGAAACTGTTGAAATTTCAGCATTACCCAGCCATAGTGAATCACAACCTATATAGGGCCAAGTAAGGAACCACATGGCTTATTCTCACTATACTCTCAGCATCCAGCAGACTGCCTTGCATGTAGGTTAGAGCTCAGTAAAGACCTGTTTAACTGGCCAGGTACAGTGGTTCATGCCTATAATCCCAGCACTTTGGGAGGCCAAGGAAGGCAGATCACCTGAGGTCAGCAGTTCGAGACCATCCTGGCCAACATGGTGAAACCCGTCTCTACTAAAAATACAAAAACTAGCGGGGTGAGATGGCAGACACCTGTAATCCCAGCTACTTGGGAGGCTGAGGCAGGAGAATCGTTTGAACGTGAGAGGTGAAGTTTGCAGTCAGCCAAGATTACGCCATTGCACTCCAGGCTAGGTAAGAGAGCGAGACTCTGTCTCCAAAAAAACAAAACAAAACAAAAGACCTGTTTAACTTACTAGTCAAGGTGGAAGACTCTTCTCCTTACCATGCACACATGACCTCTGCTCTAATTTCTGCAAACGCTAGAAACAAAAGAAACACGCTATGCAAAATACAACCCTTTTTCAAGCAACAGATCTGGTCTCATGGGCCTGAGATATTTCCAATATCCCAGTGGAGTTTAAGTTTCTCTGTCTAAGATGACAGGATTCCAGCAGGGGAGCAAAAGTTTGGAGGATAGACTCCTTTGGCCATAAAACAATTATGAGTGTTAGGTGATATATGAGATAATGCAAATAGAATTGTTTTTAAGCTTCAAAGCAGTATGCTATCTTATTTCTATAACTGTATTTGTTCCATCTTGGTATCTACTTCAAAAATGGAACTTCCCCTTTCCCCTACCAAGTTACAGTTTTTAATCCTCCAACTAAAAAAAAAACAAAATTGTGATTTCTAACATTTAAATGTGAGTCCACAGTTTCTCAATTTTGACAGTCCCCAGGCTCTAGAATAAGCAAGGTTTTCTGTAATAATTGGGTTCCCAGTTCAGGGGAATTTTGGCACTTCTGACTGCTGAAATACTGGGGCAGCTTGATTTTCCTTCCCCTTTCCCTTCCACATTTTGCTTCCTTGATCTTTGTTTTGGGGGATTTTTTTTTCCTCTCTCTCAGTCCTAAGTCACCATCTCTCACTGTTAAAAACAAAAAAAAAAATCTTACCCTTCCTACCTCTACCATCACCTTTACTTTCCCTTTCCAATTTGTATTTCCCGCCATCCTTGCTGCATCCTAGCATTCCAGGGATAATAATGAACACACTCAACTAGAGGCAGGAAATAAAGGTTTCACAACAGTCTCTCTTCTAGGTGTGGAGTGAAGAGGTTGGGTTGGGTTGGGTATGAGAGAAACTGGGTTAAAGTCTCAGCTCTGATAATTCCCAATGTATTTCATCTTGGGCAAGTTAAATCTTCTCACCAGGAGGCAATAGCAGGCAGTGGGGACTGTGGAGACAGGACAGATAGAAGCGCCTCTGGAAGTGAGTAGCTTCTTTTTTTTTTTTTTTTTTTTTTGAGATGGAGTCTCGCTCTGTCACCCAGGCTGGAGTGCAGTGGTGCGATCTCGGCTCACTGCAACCTCTGCCTCCCGGGTTCAAGCAATTCTCTGCCTCAGCCTCCTGAGTAGCTGGGATTACAGGCACCCACTACCACACCCAGCTAATTTTCCTGTATTTTCAGTAGAGACAGGGTTTCACCATCGTGACCAGGCTGGTCTTGAACTCCTGACCTTGGGATCCACCCGCCTCAGCCTCCCAAAGTGCTGGAATTACCGGCGTGAGCCACTGCACCCAGCTGAGTAGCTTCTATTTAACTGCAGCCACCCAAGTCAACTCATATACCATGGGAATGTGAGCTCTGTATTGCCAGGTCTTCTGAATTTTCAAAAACGCCCTCAAATATGGATTTTCATTTGAACTCTCTTGATTTTTTATTGTTACCTCAAAATTTTATAAAGCAGTGTGGGTCTTTTTGTTTCGTTTTGTTTTTCTTGAGGTGGAGTCTCTCCCTTTCACCCAAGCTGGAGTGCAGTGATGTGATCACAGCTCACTACAACCTCCACCTCCCGGGTTCAAGTGATTCTCATGCCTCGACCTCCCGAGTAGCTGGAATTACAGCTGTTTACCACCATGGGTGGCTAATTTTTGTATTTTTAGTAGACACAGGGTTTCACCATGTTGGCTAGGCTGGTCTCGAACTCCTGACCTCAAGTGATTCGCCCGCCTCGGCCTCCCAAAGTGCTGGGATTACAAGCATGAGCCAACGCGCCCAGCCAGGTCTTTTCTGTGTAGATTCCTAGGGCCTCTTTAGCATCTAATGTTACATGACCCTAAGAGCATGCCTGGTTGTTCTGCTGCCCTGGAACATTCTGAGATGCTTCCACAATCCTCCCTTCAGTTCTCCTGAATGCTCTTGGAGCTTTGTTTTTGGGTGCCCTAGCCTCAGGCTTTGCTGCAGTTCTGGGAACTGATCACCTCATCTTGAGGGGATAAACTTTTTGGAGCTGGGATTTCCCTCACAGAGATAGGGTTCCCCTAATTCTCATTTCTTGGGCTTAGAGTAAGTAAAAGGGTGAATTGGATATTGAAAGTCCGGCTGGCAGATCAGTCTCACCTCTTGGAATGTCCTATTGGCCGGGTCTCTAGGCAAGTCTCCTCCCACCCAAAACACAGTTTTTGGGTCTAGAGTGTACCTCTTATTCCTTATCTGAAATGGGAGGATTTCTGGGGTGTAAGACTCTTTGCCATCCCATCCATCCACCTTCTTAGATGTCAGGGTTCCTGGCCTTTTTCTACTTCATTTCTCACAAGTCACTACTCCTGCCCAAAATACTGGCCTCTGGTTCTCAAAACCATCTGGCTCACCACTGGAAACCAGCCAGCCAACGTCTGGCACGTCTGAGCAGCCTCAATTCCTCAGATTCCTCTCCTACTTGGTTCCTGAGGCACTCAAAGGCCTTCCTCTGGCCAACATCTCTTGGCCATTTACCCCTGTTTATCTTACGGTCAGATTGGCAAGAATCTTAAGTCCCTCCCCTGCCCACTCGTGCAGTCTCATCAGGCTTAGGGGACCTAGGAAAGCCCCAGATCAGCTTATCAAGGACCGCCAGGAGTTAGATCCACTGCAGAAATGAACACTAAACAAGAGGACCAAATCCTGTACCCTGTCCACATATTCAGACTCCCTGACCAAGCTACCATCAGGCCAAAAGTAAAAGCTGTCACAGTATGTGCTAAATCAACAGAACATAAGAGGAAGCAAAGGAAATAGAAACATATTTTCTTTTTTTTTTTCTGAGACAAAGTTTCACTCTGTCACCCAGGCTGGAGTGCAGTGGCGCAATCTCGGCTCACTGCAACCTCTGCCACCCACGTTCAAGCTATTCTCCTGCCTCAGCCTCCCATGTAGCTGGGATTTCAGGCACGTGCCACCACACCCAGCTAATGTTTGTATTTTTAGTAGAGACGGGGGTTTCACCATGTTAGCCAGGCTGGTCTCAAATCCTGACCTCGTGATCGTCCCACCTAGGCCTCCCAAAATGCTGGGATTATAAGCATGAGCCACTGCACCCAGCCTAGGAACATATTTTTAAAGTGAGCCCTTGCACATTCTAACGGCCCCTCTCAGCATCCACTCTTATTTACTTAGTCAGCAAATGTGGCCCTGTGAGGGATTTGGCTGGCCAAACACAGCCTCTGCCTTCTCAACAGCTCTCCTCTGTCTAGCATAGTCCTTGCTTGAGTGGAACAGTTTTTCAAAACGTTCTGCACTTCTCCTGGTGAGCTGCGGACTGAGAGTGGCTGCTATGGGTTTCTGCCCAATGGTTTTTTGCTTAAACAACCTATGCTTTTACAAACACACCCTGACCGCTCTGAAGTCGTTTCTGTCCTGGATCTGTATCCCAAGCCACTGTATTGTTTTCATTTCCTGTGCTTCTTAACTTCCTTGTCATAATATTATCTTACATTCATGGCGCCACTAGTCCGCAGGCAGGGTGATATACCACCATTTGGCATCAGTAGAAGTTGTTTCATCCAACTTCAATCGTGGTCACTCTGAGGCGCCCTGCAGTGGCTATTTAGCAAGTCAGGAGTGACTTTCACAGGAATGCAAGGCATGACTTTAGGAATGGTGCATATTTTTCAGATGGGCTGTTCCCTGTTGAAATTGGTTTGTGAAGAATCCTGTGTGCCCAGCAAGGATTTAGAAAGAGAGATGTATACCATGCTGTAGTGTAGACAGTGTATATGGAGTCCTGAACCTCTCTTTCACCTGGCTTTCAAAAGTCAGGTAAGGCCGGCTGGACGCAGTGGCTCACATCTATAATTCCAATGCTTTGGGAGGCTGAAGTGGGAGGACGGCTTGGGGCCAGGTGTTCTGGACCACCCCTGGGCAACATGGGGAGACTTCGTCTCTACAAAAAATTTAAAAGTTAGCCATGCAAAGTGGTGTGCGTCTGTAGTCCCAGCTACGCAGGAGGCTGAGGTGGGAGGATCACTTGAGCCCAGGAGTTCGAGGCTGCAGTGTGCTGTGATCGTGCCACTGCACTCCAGCCTGAGCAACAGAGTGAGACCCTGTCTATTAAAAAAAAAAAAAAAAAAAAAGTCAGGTAAGCTATCAAAACCCCAAGAGTGCACTGCCACAGGGCTGAGCCCACCCAAGACTCCTCCTACCCCGCACAGATAAACTGCCCACTCAGCTGCTTCCACTCAGTGACCAGGAAACCCTAATCCCAATTGTTGCAACAGACTCACAGCCTCCCTGTGGCGCTCAATACACAGAGTCTAGCAGAGGTGAAATCCATAGTCCACAGTTCATATTTTATCTAAGACTTCCCTGATTATAAGATTTCAGAGCTGTGAAAATGGGGGAAAATAGCTAATAGTGATTTTACAATGTCACTATATAAGAATGAAATATAATATAAGAATGAAATATAAGAATGAAAGAAACATTCTTATATTAGAAATGTTAAAATATATGGCTGGGCGCAGTGGCTCATGCCTGTAATCCCAGCACTTTGGGAGGCCGAGGGGGGCAAATCACTGGAGGTCAGGAGTTTAAGACTAGCCTGGCCAGCATGGTGAAACCCTGTCTCTACTGAAAATACAAAAATTAGCTGGGCATGGTAGCAGGCGCCTATAATCCCAGCTACGTGGGAGGCTGAGGCAGGAGAGTCGCTGGAACCAGGGAGGTGGAGGTTACAGTGACCCGAGATTGTGCCATTGCACTCTAGCCTGGGCAACAGAGTGAGACTCGGTCTCCAAAAAAAAAAAAAAGAGAGAGAAATGTTAAAATATGGAGGGGAATGTGTCTAAATGGATAAAATGCAGTATTACGGACTTGTTAGTACTTTGGTAGCTAAATTATTTGCCTGGGGCACAAGGCATACCTATTCTTTCACCTTATATTATTAATAATGTTGATAACTATGATAATAACACTAATAACTTTTATTTCCATTGTGTCTTATACTTTATAATGTATGTGAAAAGTTTTAATATTCAGATTTCATCCTTCATCCATCCAAGAGATACCCTGAAGCTACCAACCTGGTTTCTCTCCTCTGTCAGGGAAAAATTCTTTCTTCCTGGGCAGGAAGCTAGGTTAATTCACATAAAGAATGACTGAGAAAGAAAGGAGAGTGTGAAGAGGAGGAGAAAAATCAGCAGCACAGGCAGAGAGATGAGAAGGATTTGGGGGGTGGTGTGAATTGAGGAGGTGAGGTTGTGATGCACACATGTGAGGAAAGGGGACTTTCTATTAGTATGGACCACATGCTCAGCTCCTCTTCACTATCCTTCAGGAGACATAAGAAAAAAATTGAATTACTTTTTCATTAATTTTGCCTATTGAAGTGTACTTCTTAAGTCTGATACCATTTTGAGACTGAACTCTTGGTTCCAGGTTTTTAAAGGTTACAAGAAGCTTGATGTTGTAATGTATGTAGCAGGATAAACACCATTATCATTCATTATATTCTAAAGACAGAGTCTTGCTCTGTTGCCTAGACTGGAGAGCTGTGGCATGATCACAGCTCACTACAGCCTCCACCTCCCAGGCTTAAGTGATCCTCTTACCTCAGCCTCCCAAGTAGCTGGGACTTACAGGCACATGCCACCAGGCCTGGCTCATTTTTTTGTATTTTTTGTAGAGATGGGTTTTTGCCATGTTGCCCAGGCTGGTCTTGAACTCCTGGGCTCAAGCAACCTACCTGCCTCGGCCTCCCAAAGTGCTGGGATTATAGGCATGACCCAACGCACCTGGTCAACCCCTCAGTACTAAGGAGAAAATCTCAGAAACATTAAATGATTTTGTTCAAAGGCTTACATGGATAGTAACCAACAGAGATGCGAATCAAAGCCATTTTTTTTTACTCCAAATTCAGTGGTCTTTCCCTGTGCTCCTGAAATAAAGTATTTCAACTTTTTAAATGTTTATATTAATTAAATTTTACTGAGTAAATACATAATTCTTGATATGTTCAAAATGGAAGAAGGAATAGTGTCAGTTCAGAGATGTAATTAAACATCTTACTACAATGAAGATCTTACAACTAAATTGGACAAGTGTTCATACATTTGTACCAAATGGCCAACTGACTATCCATTGTTCAGAAACCTTCGTATATCTGCATATTGTCAATCGTGAAACTATTAAAAGTGCAATTTTAAAAAGTTGTGCCCATCAATTCCCCTAAGGATTTACCCAAGAAAAATGAAAACATACCCACACAAAGACATGTACGCCAATGTTTACCGTAGTCAAAAGTGAAAATAATCCAAATGTCCATTAACTGGTGGTAAATAAGCAAAAGGTGGTATATATCCAAACAGGGGGATACTATTCAGCAGTAACAAGGGACAAAGTACAGATATGTTCTACACCAGATGAAACAGACACATCGAGCTAAGTGAAAGAAGCCAGATAGATACAAAAGATACATGTTCTGTAATTCCAGTTATGTGAAATATCCAGAAGAGGTGAATCTATACAAACAGAAAGTAGATTAGTAGTTGCCTGGGATTGAGGTTGAGAAAACAGATTGTTGCAAAAGGGGATGGCGTGATAGAAGTGTTCTTAAACTGGATTATAGTGGTGGCTGCTCAGCTTCACTCATTGGCTAAAAATAATTGAATTACAGACTTAAAATGGGTGAATTTTATGTCATGTAAATTACACCTCAATAAAGCTGTTAAAAGAAGAAAAAAGAAAAAGAAGAAGAAGAAATGTGCCATTATGGTGAAGCCCAAAGAGATTAATTAGATGTAAGAAATGGATGAAACTGGCTTGCATGTATGAAAGGGTTTGTTGACTGTAGGAACAGTTTTGAAAAACAAACAGTGAATGCTGAAATATGTGAGGAGTGCTACGGTTATGCAATTGACGATAATCAATAAAAGAGGAGGAGAAGTGATTGACAGAAAGTTGTTTTCTGTGCTAGGCCACATGACCAACATCAAGGTTTTTTTTGTTTTGTTTTGTTTTGTTTTGTTTTGTTTGTTTGTTTGTTTGTTTCTTGAGACAGAGTCTCGCTCTGTCGCCCAGGCTGGAGTGCAGTGGCGCAGTCTCGGCTCACTGCAAGCTCCGCCTCCCGGGTTCACGCCATTCTCCTGCCTCAGCCTCCCAAGTAGCTGGGACTACAGGCACCCACCACCGCGCCCGCCACCACGCCCGGCTACTTTTTTGTATTTTTAGTAGTGACGGGGTTTCACCGTGTTAGCCAGGATGGTCACGATCTCCTGACCTCGTGATCCGCCCGCCTCAGCCTCCCAAAGGGCTGGGATTACAGGTGTGAGCCACTGTGCCTGGCGACCAACATCAAGTTTTAACGCCCATTAATGTGAATTTAAGAGAGTGGGAGTTTACAGAATCCACTGTCAGGACCTGACCTGCAGATAGGATGAAGATACATTGGTTCTGACCATCATGCTTTGCTGACCTCACCACACTATTGTGGGGAAAATCCCTACCATAGCAAGCATTGGGTAAATTATTATCTACTCTTGCACAAAATAAATCAATCAGCTCTACAATCTATTGCTCCAGAAGAGTTCATCTTTTGCCCTAGGTGAGTGTTTGTTATTTGGATATAATTTAAAACACACTGCTTTCAAAAATACTTAATTTGTTTTTATTTTTATGATGCATAAAATTGTGTATCCTGTTTAAAGCAGGGTTTTATGGTGCCAAATAAGTAAACTCCTATTGATGAGAACTTCAAAAACCAAAAGAACACCTGGTCCTGGTAGGGATTAAAACAAACAGAAAAGAGTATTAAATTCTAGGCAAGCAGTACCTTCCTTGTATCACCCAGAAGATAGAGAAACTCAGAAAGAAAACAAAATGCAACAGTGAGAAAGAGATTCACAAAGGTACTTGCTCCCCACAAATTCTGCACCTTCCTCCATGCTTCCTGTTCCCTCTACCAAACCTCCAAGAAGTGAAGGAAAACAGATGAGTTGCTCAATCCATTCGTCTACCTGACTGGGGAATCTAAATGGTAAGTTCTCATGATGTTCCAACCTTCTGAAATACTAGAAGGTTCTATTATCATTATTATTTTCTGCACAATTAAAAGGCACAGCAGAACAAGCATGGCTGGCCATGTGTTAGGCATTCTCTTATCTCTTGAATAGGGAGGGCCTCCTATCAGAAGAATTAAAATCTACCCACGTTTGGATCACTGAAGCCAGGACTTAGATCCAGAAAGGGCAAGAGTACCATGATGGTGCAGAGGGTACGACAATCCTGGTTCAATCCATGCTGCGACTTATGAATTCCCAACTCTGAAGGTGAACTGCAAGTTATTGAGATTTTCTATCTGCCAGGCCCTGTGCCAAGATTTTTACATGCATCATCTCTTGCAGTCCTCACCACTGTCCACTAAGATTTGTATCATTAGTCTCCCCTTTTACAAAAAAGAAACTGAGGCTTGGCCAGGTTTAGTTTACTTGCCCAAGGCAAGTAAATTTAATTTACTTTTAAAAGTAAATTAATTCACAGGACTTGTAAGCTCATGTCTTTTCCACCATGCCACAGGGGCCCCTGAATCAGACCAGCAGTTGTAGCTTTATGAGACTAGGGGGCCAAGTCCACATTTCTGTTCTTCTGCTCCAGCTGGATGGGCTTACCAATTGCCTGGAAGAGGCCAGGTTGGGGAGGAGAATGCCAGCTCTGTCACAGTGAAGCAGTGGGCAGCTGTCTCAGAGCTAGGGAACGAGGGAGAGATGCTGAGGGTCATTCCCATGGCGGTTGGTACGTTAGGTTCTCCCAACCTGTGCTTGTGTATTTTAAAAAATGTTTCCATTAATTTCCTCTTGTTTATTTTGGCCAATTTTAAAGGGTATAAAATTTGGAATCAGAAAAATAAGTGTTTAAACCTGGGTTCTGCAGTACAACGTTGCGTGATTCTGGGAATTGACTTAAGCCCTGAATCCAATCTGAAATGAGGCTCATTGGTCACCCTAACTACACAGAGTTGTTTAGAGACTTAGATAACATCATTCTCTAGAGAAAGGCTTTGTAAGGTGTTATAGATATTATTATTATTTTAATCTTGACCTTCTCATTTTTATACTAGCTACTCCTCCTTTGTTTATGCCTGCCATCAGTTTTATAAAGCAGCCTCTTGTGTCTTCATCCAAGTTGTTCAAAGAGAGATGGGGTGGCTATAGAGAGAGCGAGAGTGAGAACCCCGGACAGGACCTGGCTGAGGACAAAGGTCTATTGTTCAACACCAGCTGCCTCCCTCTGGCTGTCATTAATCAGCACATCTGATTAATGACAGCATAATTTTTTAACCAGCCAGCACTAATCTATTTGTCCTAAATCAGCCAATGTTTCTCAGTCTTCTTCGAAAAGAGATCATGAAAGGGTCTGTCAAATCCCTTGATGAAATCTGAAATTCTAACCTCATGACCGCCCCTTGATCTGGCAGTCCAATTTTCTAACAACGGAAATCAGGTTTGCGGAGCCATGTTCGCCCTCACTGAGCTCATGCTACCCTCCAGATTACCGTTAGCACTGCCCATGAGTCACTTGTTCTAAATGTGTTCTAGAATGTTCCTGGGGGAGTATCCCTCCTCAGGGTGAGAGGACACAGGAGTCCTGATGGCGTGCCAGCTTGGTGAGGAGAGCAGGGAGTCAGGTGCCAGGCTTTGTCTGAGAATCATATACAGGACAGTATGGGTGAGCAGCAGAAATCTACAGACATTCATTTAGGGAGACCCCAAGCTATCAGTGAGGGGACTCAAATCAAAGGCCCAGGGTATAGGCAAGTTGAGAATTAAGGCAGTAGGATTAAGCTATAGGCAAGTTGAGAATTAAGGCATTAAAGAATAGCACCACCACAAGGATATGGAACCAAGACTGGGAGTAGATGGAGTAGCTGAATATATCCATCCAAGCTGAGGGATTAACATGAAGTTCAGATGAATTCCACTAGTCTACTACAGTTCTAGTGTCCAGCCT
The DNA here is from genome assembly GCF_000001405.40 of Homo sapiens. NCBI lineage: Eukaryota > Metazoa > Chordata > Mammalia > Primates > Hominidae > Homo > Homo sapiens. The sequence goes on along the minus strand of NC_000004.12, from coordinate 38,204,122 downwards.
GATTCATTAGCCCAGCCACAGAGATGGTGGCTTTTTCTCTAGAGTTTGGTTTTTGTTTTGTTTTGTTTTGTTTTTTGTTTTTTTGTTTTTCTTGATAAAGCAACCATCCTTGACACACAAAACTCAAGCTTATCTCATTTCAGAAGTTCACTTTCTCCCACCCCTTGAAAAATGCATCCATTTGCGTGTATCTGGTCTTCCGATGCCTTCCCTATCACCTACAGCTTTTGAAAAATTACTGGCAGCTTTTCTTTCATCACAGCCAGTTCTTTCAGCAGAGTTGAGTCAGGGTTAAGAACATGAGCGTTCCTGCCAGGCAGACCTGGGCACATGCCCCTGATAGTCCATTTATTTCAGTGGGACCTTGAGTCATGAACTGCTTTGAGCCTAAACTCTCTCATTGAATAATAGGAATAATAATAATCTACTTCATAGGATTGCTGTGAGGCTTCAATGAGATGGTGCATGTACAGCATAAGGCCTAGTCCCTGAATACCATGCATGCTCCACATATATTCCTATGGTCAAGTGCATCATTATTCCCAATTGTTCACTGCTGCCAGGATCAACACCCTTTGCCATGGGACTTTGCAGTTCTCATGGGACCTTGCTAGAGATGGAGTGTACAGCCCATCCCACTGGTTTTGGGCTTGAGTGGCTTGTGACTTGATTCAGCCAATGAAATGTGGGCAGAAGAAACAATGTGCCCATAATACACACAGGCCTTATGTATTGTGTATTTCCATTCATCTCATATGTGCTTCTGGCATTGCCAAGAGAAGAACATGCCCCGGAACGCCCACTGGTACCAGAATAATAAAAGACTCCTAGAGCAGACCTCGACCCAATCCACAGCCTAGAGCCATGCCCGGCAGAGCTCAGCCAAGATCAGCCAAACCCCAGTCAGCCCACAAACATATGAACAAGAAATAAGTGTTTATTGCTGCACACCACAGATTTTTGGAAGGGTTTTAAGTGGCATCCTTGTGATAAGAATTTATACTTACCTTGTCCACTGCTTAGAGATTTAAGTTTATTTAAAGCTTAATGGGCTCATTTCCCTTTTACTCCAGTTTCCACCAAGCTTCAATTTAAGGGTAAGAGCATGGGTTTTGGAACCCATGGGCTTGGGAGCAAAGGCTCCCAAGAAAAATGAGCTGCTCTTTCCTTTTCTTGATAAGCTTATTATCCTTTGTGCAATTTGGAGAGCCTCATCTCCAGATCTTTACAGAACAGACAGAGTGAATAGAGTTCATAGGGGTTGAGGCATTTGGCTTTGTCTCAGACTTTTCTGTTCATTCATTCACATTTATGTGGCACCTGGCACACACCAGGCACTGTTCTAGGTCCCAAGAATCTGGTGGTTAATAAGGCAAGTGAAGTCACCCCTCTCATGGAGCTTACATTCTAGAAGAGTTCAAAGTAGGTAATGAATAAGGCAATAGTAAACTAGATAATTCCACATAGCAATGAACATTGTGAAATACATTCAAAAGGGTGATATGGCTAGAGAATGACAGAGTATAGAGTGCAGGACAGGCTGATGATCAGGGAAGGTCTCATGGAAGCAATGACACCTCCCATTTTCCAAATGAGAGAAATGTTCCTCTTTAATCCTCCTTGCTCCACACTTACCCAGAGTAGCTCTTCTTGTTTTTAACACTGTAACAAGTTAGGATTTCTTTACAGCACGTAACCACCTGCCACTCTTGGTAGAGATCCAAGCAAGTCTTTTGATCTTGTGTTCCTCCTTCCTCCTTTTGTACACTGGACTCTGTAAGTTACCCTGGGCAGCCACACCTAACTTTTCAGACACCTCCTCTTCTTCCTCGCAGGAACCATTTTTAGTGTTATACATGGTAGCAGTTGCATTTTTAAGGGCTCCCAGTTTGTCAACGCCATCTTCTGATAAAACTCTTGCATCTTTCCATCCCTACACATTTTGAAATCTGCTTCTCTGAAGCCTACAATATTTGACTGTGCCTTAACTTTCCATCTCAGCTCTTAAGAACTTAAAGTTAAATGGGAAGATTATCTTATTTGTCCCAGCACATGTCAATGTCAGCCTTCTTTGTGGGCCAGAGTAGAGCTCACACAAGAAGTTTCCTTCATTCCCGGGCCAGGCGTGGTGGCTCACGCCTGTAATCCCAGCACTTTGGGAGGCCAAGGCAGGTGGATCACAAGATCAGGAGTTCGAGATCAGCCTGACCAACATGGTGAAACCCCATCTCTACTAAAAACACAAAAATTAGCCAGGCATGGTGGCACACACCTCTAATCCCAGCTACTGGGGAGGCTGAGGCAGGAAAATCTCTTGAACCCGCGAAGCAGAGGTTGCAGTGAGCTGGGATCACGCCACTGCACCCCAGCCTGGGTGACAGAGTGACAATTGAAGTCATAGGGAACACACGCTCATAATTTATCAAAGGATTCCTCTGCTGTTAGCAACGTGAATTGTCAGGCAGTTTCTGGAATACGCTAGTGATTCTCAAATTCTACATAAATGACCTGAATGGCCTGTCAAAAATACTGATTCTGACTGCATTAGGCCCAGGGCCAGGCCCAAAATTCTGCATTTCAAACACGCACCAGGTGCAGCAGGTGCTGCTGATCTGCAGAGCACATTTTGCATAGGTAGCTTCAACCATCCAACCAACCCTGTGGCTAGATTTGTAATTGGTGTGAAGATAACATCATCTTTTTGCCTTTAGGTACCTCTATCTTGAAGGTAGTCTGCAGCACATGCCCATGGCACTATTTCTTCTCTCTTACATTCAGTCTCAGTTTCAGGCCCCCCAACCCCCAGTTTCTTCCCTTCTACATGTTTCTCTCTGTCATGTCAATTTTCCCAGTTTCATCTGAACATTTTATTCCAGTATGGTAATCCAGGACACAGAACACCAAATCTTATTTTTGAGCTCCAAGATGATGGCTGACAAGGGGTAGGATATGTCTTTCTAGGGCAGGGAAGAATAAAACAGAAGATCTCATTTGTGGTTCAGAGAGCATAGAATGACTCCTGACTCTTAACGAAGAAAAATGCACAAATAAACCCCAAAACTACATTCAAAAGGAAATGATGTAAACAACAGTTACAGAAGAATAGCAGTGAGACAGTGACAAGTAATTTTCAAGAATAGAAAAAGGAGGGGAAAAGTGGCTCACACCTGTAATCACAACACTTTGGGAGGCCGAGGCAGGCAGATCACCTGAGGTCAGGAATTCGAGACCAGCCTGCCCAACATGGTGAAAGCCCATCTCTACTAAAAATACAAAAAATAGCCGGGCTTGGTGGTGCACACCTGTAATTCCAGCTACTCAGGAGGCTGAGGCAGGAGAATTGCTTGAACCCGGGAGGCAAAGGTTTCAGTGAGCAGAGATCACGCCACTGCACTCCAGCCTAAGCAACAGAGCGAGACTCAGTCTCAAAAAAAAAAAAAAGCAGGGGGAGAAAAGAAAAGTACTCATTCAATTGTTCATTCAGTCAGTCATCCACTCAATTCAACTAAGAATTGTTGAGAATCTACTCCGTGCCAGGTGCTGGGTATATGGGGTGAAAACAATAGAATCATCTGTATCCTTGCGGAGCTGACAGCCTGGGGAGAAAGACAGACACGGAACAAGACAACAGACAAATGGATACATAATGGCAAACAGTGATTGGCTATGAAGGATACAAGGTGTAGTTACAAAGAATGAAGGGGGAAAGGACACTGTGGATACAACATGGTGAGAAACGGCTCCCTGAAGAGTTGATGTTCAAGCTGAGAGTTGAAAGACGAGAAGGAACTAGACCTGCGAAGAGTCAGGCTGGAGATGGAGGGAGGAAAGATCACTTCAAGGAGAAGGAATTAGTTTATCTGCAAGGGCCCTGAGCTGGGAAAGAATCTAGAGGGTTTGAGGAACTGAAATGCACCTGCTTAATGGCAGCAGAGTGTGATAAGTGGGGAGAATGGCATGAGAGGGACTTGGAAGGTTAGGCTTAGAGTCTTGGATATTCCTACACCCATGGGTGAACTATGGCAAGTAAACAAAATGAACTTGAAATCTTCATGGAAGAGCCAAATCCACAATTTGGTGGAATGGGATTTGTTCTTTCAACAGGTATTCCCAAAGTGCCTACTTGTTCCAGGATTGGTATATGGAAAGAAGGGATGGTAAACAGAGGAAAAGGATCTGACTGATGGGAAGGCCCATCAGTCACTGTCCAGAAAGCTGTTTGTTTGCTTGGGTAGCTAAGGAAGGAATATGGTGGAGAGTGTCTGGTGGAGAAGTTCAGGCATCAGTGTAGTCCTGCAATGGTCTGGTTTTGGATCTTGGAAGCAGGAAGGGGAGAAACATACTGCACACATATATGTCTCTGCGTGTGGTGGGAACGGGGGTGGCCAGGGATGGGAGAGAGAGCAAGAGCAGTGCAAAATCAAACACAAGCCCCCAAGAAAGCAGGCAGACTGGAGAAAGGAAAATAAAGACACGCTCACACCCACACCACAAGCAATCCTATGACTCTTGGCAGTACAGGCAGATGAGGGTGCAGGTGCAAGGATGGCTGTCACGGGAAGGGAGCAAAATGTATTGTGTGGGGCTCAATCTGTGTAGCTCACTGGGCAGAAGATGTCCCTATGACCTCACACAACAAACACGAGAGCTGCTAAGTCACCCATTAGATTTAAGGGAATCAAGTCCACTGTGGCCTGGACAAGACTCCATGTTTTAAAAGTCTCTTAAAGCCTAAAGTCACGGCACAAAGCTCTCTGAACTCCCCAAGTTCAGACAGTTCCACAAAGGAGCCCCCAAGCATCCCAGCTCCTGGAGCTGCCCACCCTGGCATCATTTCCTTTCTCTTGGGAGCCTCCCCAAGAGAGCAGAGAGAAAATACACTCAATCCTCCCATTGCAGGGCTTTTTAGAGACTCTGTGCGAAACCAAAGAAAGTGAGAGATTTGGTGAATGTGGCCGTAACTCATTCACACAAGCTCCCTGCCTCCACACGGAGCACAGTGAGTTGACAAACCATTTACCGACTCAATTTGGATAAACCTTAAGCTGAAATAAGACATTTTCTATGCCCTTTAGGAAGCAGTTCCAGTGTCTCTGACAAGTTCTAATTAGAAATATGTATCAACAATATTAATGAAAATTTCGGAAGAAAAGTCCCTCCTCCATAATCTTACCAACTTCACGCCACCTCCCCCCACCAACATTTTTCATTTTCCCACATCTTTCTAGAACCTGTTCGCATGGGTAAGTGGCTTCCCCTGCTGCAGCCGTCTCTGGGTAGCATTCAACTCCCTCTTCCTTGTCATCGTAGCACACATTGCTACACCGTGCCACTCCTCCTACACTCCTGTGCTTTATAATCTCCATTGTCACTATCTTGAAGAAGACCCCACATTTGTTTTTTTCCTCTAAATAATTATCTGCTCCTTTAGTGGTTATGAGGCCAAGTTTTACAGTCAGACAGGCAGGCCTGGGGTCAAACCCTCACTTCGCCGTTTACCATCTGGGCAACTTTGGGAGAACTGGCTTCTCATTGTCAGTTTTCTCGTCAGTGAAAAGGGGACAGTGACCACTGCCTCCTAGAATGGCTGTGAGGTCTACACTGAGATACTAAATATAAACCAAGCATGGAGACTGGCACATAGGAAGGGTTTAACAAATGGAAGCTATTTTGTTAATACTATCATTTCTTCTTATTTATTCTCCTTTGGAAATTCAAAACAGGATATGGCGTAGCACAAGGTAATCTGGGAGTGTAAGTTTCTTATAAGTTTCTTAGCAACAGATAAGGCCAGTCGTCCCCCTCACTGGGAAGAAGGGCCAGTAGGTTGTAGGGAAGGTGTCCCCTTCCAGTCAGGCCCAGACAGTGTCCAGGCACTCAAACCACACTCTTCTGCTCCCCATCCTATCTTCCAAACAGGGAATGACCTGCCCAAAGCCCATCACTATTCCCTTGGGTTGATACATCACTCTCTTTTGTAAAACTAAGTTAAAACATTTTAGGGACATCAAAGCACTAATCAGTCCCCTGAAGCAAAAACATTTACCAAAGCACCTCTGGCCAGGCTAAAAGAATTAATGCAGCTTAGAAAAAGCAGCTTTTTAAGCCAAGCGCAGCGGCTCACGCCTGTAATCCCAGCACTTTGGGAGGCCAAGGCAGGCAGACCACTTGAGGTGAGGAGTTTGAGACCAGCCTGGCCAACATGGCAAAACCCTGTCCCTACTAAAAATACAGAAAAATTAGCTGGGTGTGGTGGGACACGCCTGTAGTCCCAGCTACTCCAGAGGCTGAGGCAGGAGAATCGCTTGAACCTGGGAGGTGGAGGTTGCAGTGAGCTGAGATCGTACCATTGCCCTCCAGCCTGGGTGACAGAGCAAGATTCCATCTCAAAAAAAAGAAAAACAAAAAGCAGCTTTTTTACAGACAGGAGGCACTCCCCTGGTAGGTGTGTTTCGTGTTTAAGGATACTGCATTCCTAAAGGCCCTGATGCACGTGAACCCTTAAGCCTAATTTAAGGGTAAATGTTCTTCTTAATGTACTCAAAGGTATTTGCTACCTAAAGAGAGCAAGTTATATATGTTAAAAAGAAAAAAAGGCCAATATGGCAGTTACTATTTCTGGCCCATTTATTTCCCCCAGCAAATCAATTATTAATAATTATTATTTGACCCCTTTTATTGAACATCTATCATGTGTTAGATGCTGAGAGGATATAAATACTGATCATGCATAGAAGTGCTTCTGCATGCTGATAGCCTAGTAGGAGAGCCAACAGTGAAACAGATAAATGTGATTTATGTGTGTGTGTGTATGTGTGTGTTGTAAGTACAATGAATAAGACAGGTTCTATATGGTGGCTCACACCTGTAATCCCAACACTTTGGGAGGCCAAAGTGAGAGGATTGCTTTAGCCCAGGAGTTCAAGATCGGCCTGGGCAACATAGTAGGACTCTATCTCTACCAAAAAAAATGTTTTAAATTAGCTAGGCATGGTGGTACGTGCCTGTAGTCCCTGCCACTTAGAAAGTTGAGGTGGGAGGATCACTTAAGCACAGGAGATCGAGGCTGCAGTGAGCTATGATTGTACCACTGCACTCCAGCCGGGGCAACAGAGCAAGACCCTATCTAAAAAAAATGTATTTTTAAAGAATAAAACAATATTGCCAGAGGAAAGGTTCAGACAAACTATTTGAGGTGATCAGAGAAGGGATCCATTTACTCCAGCAGAGTCATGCCCTGATCACCAATTTTTTTTTTTTTTTTTGAGACGGAGTCTTGCTCTGTTGCCCAGACTGGAGTGCAGTGGTGCAATCTTGGCTCACTGCAACCTCCGCCTCCCGGGTTCAAGTAATTCTCCTGCCTCAGCCTCCAGAGTAACTGGGACGACAGGCATGCACCACCACGCCCAGCTAATTTTTTGTATTTTAGTAGAGACGGGGTTTCACCATGTTGGCCAGGATGGTCTCAATCTCCTGACCTTGTGATCCACCTGTCTTGGCCTCCCAAAGTGCTGGAATTGCAGGTGTGAGCCACCACACTGGGCCCTGACCACCTACTTAATACCACAACCTGCCCCAGCCCCGGCCCTCCAACTCCCCCTTCTCCTGCTCGATTTTTTCCTATGGCACTTATATGTAGTATACTATATAATTTATTTACTTATTGTTAGTCTGTCACCCCTGCTAGAATATAATCTCTGTCCATAAAGAAAGACATTTTTCCAACTTTGATGTATCTCAAGCCCCTGGAATGGAGCCTGCCTATAGTAGGCATCAGTAAATTTCCCTAAATGTAGGCAGGACACGTGTGGCAAGAGGCACATTCATCCCTCTCTCCATTCGCTTAATATACCTTTATCAGGCATCTTCTCTATGTCAAGCATTATCCTAAAGATGTAAAGATCATAAACTTCCCGTCTCCTCCAGGGTCTGGCAACCTGGGCAGAGGGCAAGAACTTCCTGCTTACAGTAACAGTGTGAGCAGAACCAGGAGCAGGGTCCACGCTCTAGAGCAGGCACAGAGCTGGGTGTGACCCCCACTGCCCCGGGAATGAGGCTGGAGAGACACTGTGGGCGCCAAGTCTAGAGAGCCCAGACCCTGGCTGAGCAGATCATGGCTTACAGCTGAACCCTTACAATACCAAGACACAAGCTTCCTTTGTAAATAACTCTCGTTAGATACAGAGGTAAGACTCCATTAAAGCCAAATAAATCAGACTTAACCTAAGAGGTGGAAATCCAGACAGGAGGAATGCTTAGAGCTCTCTCCTCCTTATGACCCAGATATTCTTCTTCATGCTTCATACTTTGCCTGTTTTCAAGTCACAGAGGAACAGGCTCACACGTGCAGACATACACCGAACACATGCAGGCTGTTTCCAATTTTGCACAGATTATTTCAGTCCAAAGATAAGAAGACCAGGTGGGGTGGACACACCTGCCTTGCTCTTTGATTCCCTGCCACCTTGAGAGGAAGAAGAATCGTTTGTTTAAGCAGCATATTCCTGGGAAGACCTGGTAAAGGCTGCAGCTCCAAGACACCCACACACCTCCCACTAGGGAGTACAACTAGCAGTCAATTGTACCTTTGTTGGGCCTTGCTGAGTACCAAGCTCAGTGCCAGGCATTGGAGAAAGTCACAAAAGAAGTAGAGTCTGAAGAGCTCATGTCTGACCCCAGGAAGGAGAGAGGAGATGCTATAAAAATCAATGCATATAGGCATAATTAGATTGGATGGTTCTCTGAGCTCTGCGGAAAAAATAGCACATAAAAATAATTATGTTATAAACTGACTCTTTCCTATATATAGCAAAGACAAATAATCACCCACTTCCCCAGTTGATCTGTTTTGTGAGTCCCTGTTTTTAAATATTGAGTTTTCTGAAAAGTTCACCTCATTAGCAGAAGTTCTAATGGCAGCCATCAAGTTTTATCCAGGCATAGGGGTGACCTGGAGGTCCCTGCAGAGAGAGGTGAGGTGGGGGAAGGGCTATTGCAGGAACTGGGTGATTCCTCCACAGGGGAAATCTGGCCACTTGGGCAAAATCAGAAGCACAGATTCCGGATTTCTGCTCCTGCTGCTCTTCCAGTCCTGTGCCTTGCATGGCTGGAGGATTTTGGAGGAGAGTAAATCTCAAAGCTCTCTCCAAATCTTCCTGCTCTGCACTTTCACACCTGCTTTGGAATTCTTTAACAGTCTCACTGCAAAATGCCTGGGATCAACAGTGGGGCAGAAACCACCTAGATTATATGGGTATAACGGTAAATGAAAAACAGAGATCTCCAGATAATTAGATGGTCCCAGGTCTGATGTGTTGATGTCAAGGGTGCTTTCTATAAGTACAGGTATAAGTGAAAAAAAACCAATCTCTCTTCCTCTAAACAGCTCAACCAAAGAAATAAGCCCCTACCAGATATCAGCTCTGATGAAGTTAGACCCCAACAATGACCTTTGACATTCTCTCTCAGGAGCTCACTGCCAGCAATGCATGGAGGGGCAGATGGATTTCTCTCAGAGACCACTTTTCTAATTTGCTAAGAGACTGTTCCAAGCCGAGTCATGTCAGGAAATGCTACCTGGTGGCAACCCTTGTCCTTCTACCCAAGAAACTTCACTTCCCATTTCTTTTTAATTGTTTCCTCCCTCTGTCCATGAGAGCAATTTAAGTCACTCTGATTCCCCACTAACAGCCTACTGGATGACAACAGACCAGAACGGAGAAGACATTCCAGAAATAGGAAACCACTGTGAAAAATACCTGCTAGAGTTCCATTAAGCCTTGGGAATCAGGACCACTCCCTGGTAATTTAATTGTTCAGAATGGAAGGGGAGTATATTTTTGATGGTCTTCTAGCAGCTTCAGACAGGGACTGTGAATCCATCATTTACTCAGCAAGCATGTATTAAATTGAATGCCTGTACTAAGTTAGGTACAGATGGTGTTTAATAGCTGATATTTAGTGAACACTTACAGGCCAGGTGCTGGGTTAGTGCTTACTTGGGATGCATTATCTAATGTAATCTTCACAAATGCCTGTGAGTGTCTTGCTATTATAATTCCCAATTTATGATCAAGAACATGGAGGCACTGCTGCAGGGCGCCATGGCTTGTGTCTATAATCCCAGCTACTTGGGAGGCTGAGGCAGGATGCTGAGGTGGGAGAATTGCTTGAGACCAGGAGTTCGAGACCAGGCTGAGCCACATGGCCAGACTCCTATCTCTAAAAAAATTAAAAATTAAAGACCATGAAGGCACTGAGAGGTTAAGCAATTTTCTCAAGATCACAGCTAAATCATGGAAAGGCCAGGACTGAACTCAATTCAGGCACTAGCCTTAACCACTAAGCCCTGTAGCCCCTGAGAGAGATGTACAGAAAAGATTGTGCAACCTGCTCTGTTCCAGGCTTTGCCCTCAGAAAGTCCCTTATAGTAAATTTGAATTTCTCCTACTTCTGTTACAGTCCATTTCCTCTTGCACTGCTCCAGGCTGGAGAAGAATTCGGTGTAGCAGCTTCTGAGAAGTTGAAGGAGGGGCCAGGCAGAAACTGTCCTAGAGTAAGCACTGAGGGGAGCAATGCACTTGGCATACTCAGAGCTGAAACACTTCCAGTGGAGGTCACCTGCAGCCACTGGCAGCCTTATTTGCATTTTCTGAAGCCCCCTCTTTTCCCCATCCTTGGAGTCAAGGTACATTTACCTGCTGAGAAGTCAGAAGTCTCCCTCTGATGCAACACATGTGGCATTTTCTGAAGCTGATAGTGTTCATGGAAAAGGGCAAAGAATGCTTTTATGCCCATTCAGAGAAGAAGTCCCTTAAATAAACAGTGTTTTCTGTGCCTTGGAACCTGCAAACCCGGGGACTCAGTCCTACTCATCACAGGCTAATTCCCCGGCATGACATAGCCTTCTAGCTCAATTGAGCATGTCCAAAATGTGAGCATGTTAGAGGCTTGTTAAAACACAGATTGCTGGGTCCCACCCCACGGGTTCCATAGGTCTGAGATGGGGCCCCCAAAACATGCATTTCTAACAAGCTCCCAGGTAATTCTGATGCTGCTGGTATGGGAAAAACACACACAAAGCTCCAGAGAGAGCTTTGTAGAATTCCTGCCGCTCTGTTAACACATGCAACACCATTCCTATACACCGGAGCTTCAAACATTCCAGAATACCATATTATTTAAAATCTCAGATGCACAAGTAAGTGTTCGAAGTTAGAGGTAGTGGGAGTGAAGAAATAAGGACAGGTTGAGCCCAGACTGAACAGTAACTTAAGAATAAACCTCTTGAGGACTGGTGGATCCAATAAAGAGGAAGCTGAGAGAGCTTGTTTATAGTCAGGCTTTCTACCTGCTTTCTGAGAGCACCAAAGTTGGTCTGGGCAAAGCCAGTCTTACCCTGCCCTGCCCTGCCCTGCCCGGACCTGCCCAAAGTGTTTTCTCCTTTCTCAGGAGGGAATAGACTTATATCCCAGGCACAGGATAGTGGCTGTATTTGCATTCCCTTCCCAGGAAAAGACAGGAGCATCTCTCCTGCCTGCCCTATGGACCCGTTAGCATCTCCTCCATCAAGTTCCCATTTGGACCCTAGGAGTTCAATATCAACAGCTGAAAGGAAGGTATCCTGAATCTCATATGCAGTCACAGTTCTGGAAAGTCTGGAGGTCAGGAGCTACAAAGTGGATGAGGGACCTGACTCTTGTCTTATCCAAATGACTTTACCCATGTCATTCTCTCTAAATGGATATCCCTTTCTCCTGGGTCTCTTGGTGAACTCCTAGCCTTCTTTCAAATCTCCACTCAGGCATTTCGTCTCTGGGAAGCAATCCTCAGCATCTTGGGTAGACTCCGCAGATCTCCTCTGTGCTTTTGCTCGAGGACATCCACACTTCAGTACTGTGTGAGTCTAAGAGACAGGACCAACGTTCTTAACTTGTGAGTATCCCTAGCCTGTCTCCTCTCTCCTCACCATCGAAAGAGGCCTTTTCCCATTGGTTTTTGCCACTCTCCCTGGGGATAAAGATTTCCCTTGCAGAATTATTCTTTTCTGTAATATAGCATCAAAAGTTAGGGAGAGAAAAATGAAGAGGCAGAAGGAAAGGAGGATATTTAGTAGAGATGAAAGGCATGTGGACTCGGGCTAGAAAGATTTCTTTTCTCTCTACAAGGGTAAAGGGAAAAGTGCACAGGCCAGGGCAGTTTTCTGCAGCGTTTTGAGGAAAGAGTGCCAGGGCAGACTCAGGGTGTGAGGAAGTGGATAGAAAATGGAAGGAGGCTGAATTAAGGGTAGCCTGTGTAGATTCCATTTACAGAGTTTGAAAATACAAGGTTGGGCACAGTGGCTCACGCCTGTAATCCCAGCACTTCAGGAGCCCAAGGTGGGCGGATCATGAGGTCAGGAGATCGAGACCATTCTGGCCAACATGGTGAAACCCTGTCTCTACTAAAATACACAAAAAAATAAGCGGGGCATAGTGGTGCGCACCTGTAGTCCCAGCTGCTCGGGAGGCTGAGGCAGGAGAATGGCGTGAACCCAGGAGGCGGAGGTTGCAGTGAGCCGAGATTGCGCCACTGCACTCCAGCAGCCTGGTGACAGAGCAATACTCTGTCAAAAAAAGAAGAAGAAGAAGGAGAAGGAGAAAGAGCAAAGAACTTAAGTTTTTCTGAAATATCTTTCACTCCCTCTTTCTTTGACTGCTCTGGGACTATATGTTTTTGTTGGGTTACATTTTAGTCCTTCTCTAAAGTCCTTTGATTTTGCCCTTCTCAGTGTTGGGCACAGAGGCTGGCCCATGATATTATATAAGGTTGATGTAAAAGTAAATGCAAAATCGAGTAATGGCAAAAACCACAATTAACGTTTGCACCAACCTAACAGATGTGCAGACTGGGTTAGCCTCTCTCCTCCCTTCTTTCCTCTGTCAGTCTTGAGAAGCCCATCGTGCTGAAAGGGCGACAGCATGGATCAGGGGCTGACAGGACAACTGGAGGGAGAGAGGCCAATAAAACATCCCCCTAAGCCTCCCTGGACCGAATACCAGCCACATAGTGCTGATCTTGGCTGGAAGCCCACCATTTACCAACCCCCTACGGGCCTCTGGGGTATGGCTAATTAAAGACATGGTTACTCATTTCATTCCCAAGTCACTATTTAAGGAAGCAGAATCATGCCATTCCTACAAGGCCTCTGACCCTACACTAGAGGCAAACAATGCTAAGGCTTGTCCAAGTGGCTGTAAGTACAAGGCTATCCAAAGAGCACGGGAGGGGGCAGAGGAGGGGAGACCACAGGCCCCACAGCTGGGCCAGCTGCTGGACTGTCCCTTCTTCAATGTCCTCCTCTCTCCCTTTCCCCAAGGGGCCAGGATCTAGTGACAACCCCTCTATAACCAACCCCCCTGCCAGGGCAACTCCTGTGTTTTCTGGGCATACTCAGAGTCACACAGCTGACTCAGAAAAAAGCACCAAAACGATCTCCTTTTGAATTTCAACTAGCAGCAATTTGGAGCGTTTGGGATTTTTCAGTTATTCTTTAAGAAGTAAAGAAAAACATGGCTTTTAATCAACTAACTCTTGTTGAGATCTGCTCTATGCCAGGCCTGGTGCTAAGATGAGGAAGAACAATGTATGAAATGTAATTCCTGCCCTCAAAGAGTATCTAGTCTTATAGATGAAATAGACACATAAACAAATAAATTACACCAATGCGGAATAAGCATAAACGCAGATATGTACTAAGCACAGTACAGAGTAGGTGGTGATAACCTCTCACTGACAGGAGAAGAAAGGTATGCTAGAAATCTAAGGCGGGCTTTGAGGGGCAAATGGGAGTTCATCAGGTAACCAAGTGAGGGAAGAACATCCCCAGCAGAGAAAAATCCTATGCGAATTCATTTAGATCACAGAGAAATAGGTTGAACCTACTAGTTCCAGTGGGTCTCAAGCTTTTTTAACAAACAACTCTTAATACAAGATAAATGGGGAATGGGGATGCCTGTTCTGAAACATCCAGTGCAAGCATAAAATGTCTTAGACTGGCCAGGTGTGTTGGCTCATGATTATAATCCCAGCACTTTGGGAGCCCAAGGCAAGAGGATTGCTTGAGGCCACGAGTTTGCAGCTGCAGTGAGCTATGGATTCCACCACTGCACTTCAGCCTGGGTGATGGAACAAGAACCTGTATCTAAAAGTAAAAATAAAAATAATTGATTTTCATTTTTAATTATGCAAGTTATGCATCATGGTTTACAATATTCTCATGTATTATGATATTAAAATAAGGTTGTGCATTTCTAGTCAGTAAGTTTACTTGACTTTCCAAATGTACATTGTCAAATAAAATTGATACTCCACGGAAGAAGCAGCTCCATGTTGACCCCTTGGCTTCACATTTGCCTGACTCATCCCTGGGGTCAGAGAAAGTCAGTTTACACTGCAGCCTGAGAACTAAAAAGCCTCTAAAAGGGGTTGGAGAGCCAGGCTCAGTGACTCACGCCTGTAGTTCCAGTGACTCAGAAGGCTGAGGTAGGAGGATTGCTTGAGCCCAGGAGGTCGAGGCTGCAGTGAGCAGTATCTTGCCACTGCACTCCAGCCTGGGTGTCAGAGCAAGACTCTGGCTCAAAAAAAAAGAGGGGTGGTGACCAGAGACCAGAGCTTTGTCTCTGAATGTTCAAGTGACTTTTCACACTCATATTTAGGACTGTTGACCAGGTGTGACCACAGTCCCAGTATTTCCACTCCTCTGGAGGTTGAAAGTTTTTCCCCATTCCTGTTAGCCCTCTCTGACTACCACGCTGGTTGACTTGAGGAAGATGCCACCTGTGGGGTCAGGGAAGCCAATCAGGCAATGAAAGAGTGGGCAAGGGGAATCTCTCCCACAAAACCAGCATCCAGGGGCCTTCCAAGCTAAGTGTGCAACTGATAGCCAATCAGATGTAGGGCACCACTGGAGGTTTTAAAAAACCACCTCAAATGAGAGGTCATTGATTCTCCAATCCCAATGCTAGGTTACACCCCAGACCAATTAAGTCAAAACTCAGGGAGTGGCATCCAGGCTTAGAATGTATTAAACCTCCCTGGTGATTCCAATGTGCCAACAAATTTGTGAGTCAGTGAGCGAGGTCACTGTGGTTCTCAACCTGGCTGCACGGGAGAGTCACCTGAGGAGGTTTTTATACCTATGGTGGGGGAGCCACGCCCCAGCCCCATAGATCAGAATCTTCCGGGTTTGCGGCTGGGCAGCAGAATGGCCCTTAGACCCGGGAAGGGAGCCAGCCTATCCTGGCCTGTGCCCTGGGGCACCTTCCTTGAAATTTTCCAGGTTGCACATCCGTGCCTACACCTGCAGGAACTGTCAGAATCGTCCCCGGGGGCACCCTGAGCAAGGATCAGGATGCAGGTACCCACAGAGCTTGGTGACTCGTGCCTTTGCAATCGTCACGACTAGGAGGGTGGCCTGGGCCACTCCCACTGCCCAGAGCAATGTTTCTTGCATGAGAGGTGAGGCCACCAGTGGTGCTGATTTGGGGCAATTCACTCACATGGCGTATAGGGCATGTTCAGGGCCCTGGCTACAGACCATCCACCGCAGACCCCACTTGAGTCACATGTGTGGGTTGTGCATGGCTCTCGCCCTCCATGCTGGGATCCTCCTAAGGTCCTCCACACTGAGCAGTAGGGGCTGCGACATTAGCTGTGCACGCCTGATTGCGGCCACCCAGGCCAGCCACCCACACCTGCTGCAGGCTCCACAGTCTTCCCAGGGTGGCTGTCCAGTCCATTGCTCCTAAAGGCAAACAGACCCTGCGGGTCATTGTCCTCTCATCTCCCACAGATGCAGTGATGTCCCGCAGTCGCTGTCGGTCTCAGGCCGTGCCTGATGAGGGTAGACAGTTGCAGGAAGAGGCCTGCTCTTCTCACTCTTTCCACAAGCCACTACCCTACAGGCTGGTGGCACTGCCTGGCAGGCAGGAATGCAGTCCCTATGGAAATATACCACATTTCAGGAAGGTAGTAATTACTGCCTGGTGGATTCAGAACATGGTTGGAAGGTATCTGTATTAGTCTGTTCTCATGCTGCTAATAAAGACATACCCGAGACTGGGTAGTTTATAAAGGAAAGAGATTTAATGGACTTGCAGTTCCACGTGGTTGGAGAGGCCTCACAATCATGGTGGAAGGCAAGGAGGAGCAAGTCAAGTCTTATATGGATGGCGGCAGGCAAAGAGAGCTTGTGCAGGAAAACTCCCCTTTATAAAACCATCAGATCTCATGAAACTTATTCACTATCATGAGAATAGCATGGGAAAGACCCGCCCCCATGATTCAATTATCTCCCACAGGGTCCCTCCCACAACACATGGGAATTACGGGAGCTACAATTCAAGATGAGATTTGGGTGGGGACACAGCCAAACCATAACAGTATCCTACGTTTGTGCTAGAAAACTTTAAAGAGTAAGTTTCACATCACCAAAAAAGAATTATCCTTCACACTTTCTTGCATACTGGGAAAGACTTGCATTTTCTGTTCACCAAGGGGAAAGCACCTTTAACAGACCATTGAGAGCTGATAATCACATCGAACACACCAGATGAGACAGTTGACCCTTAACAATGAAACAACCCTCAAATTAACAGTATTGAGGCAAAGCAGAAACAAAATCTATTCTTTCAATACAAACTGTTCTGAAGAGCCCTGGCATTGTAATAACAGTGTTGCTATCTTTCTCTTACAGTAGGAGATATGAAATTAATCAGGAATGGTACATTTGATGATAAAGAACAGGAAGAGATTCTGTCTAAACCCCGCGAAGAATCTCTATGTGCACTAACTGGACAATACATAAATCATAAGTAACTCTCTTCTACCCATTCTAATTTTTCTTCAATGCATCACTGTACCTCATATGGGCCCATAAATTTTGTCATGCATTTTCTAGTCAGCTTATTTTTATAGATAAGTGCCCCAGCAAACAATGTGTACCGAGGACCCTGCACATGCTAGGGAAAATCCCACTGGGCATCTTGGGTATTTCTTTCAAAATCTTCCAGGTGATTTCCATTTTGTACCCAGGGTTGTGAGTCCCTATGCCAGAAGCGAGAAGGTGGATGTCCACATGTCAACCAGCTGGTTTCAGCCAGCGACAGAGAAGGGCTACAGGGAGTGTTACAGGTGGGACTGTATCCCCCTAACATTCATATGTTGAAGTCCTAACCCCCAGTAGCTCAGACGGTGACCTTATTTGGAAATAGGGTCATTGCAGATGTACAGATGCTCCTCAACTTACAATGAGGTTATGACCTGATAATCCCATCATAGGTTGAAAATGCTGTTAAGTCAAAAATGCATTTAATATACCTAATCTACTGGATGCCATAGTTTAGTCTACCTTAAACATTCTCAGAACACTTACATTAGTCTACACTGGAGCAAAATCACCTAACACAAAACCTATTTTATAATAATGTGTTGAATATCTCACGTGATTTATTGAATACTGAACCGAATGCATGTCACTTCCATACAATCATAAAGCAGAAATATTGTAAGTGGAACCGTCATTAGGTGGGGGACTGTCTGTAATTCGTTTCAAGATGGGATCATACTGGAGTAGGGTGGCTTCTAATCCAATACGAATGGTGGTGTTCTTATAAAAAGGAAGAAATATGCACATGCAGACATGCACACAGGGAGAATGCCAGGTGAACATGAAGGCAGAGATCAGGGTGATGTGTCTACAAGCCAAGGACTGCCAAAGATGGCAGCAAATCATCGGAAGCTAGGAAAAAGGCCCCGAACAGGTCCTTCCTTCACCACTCTCAGAAGGAACCAACCCCTCTGCTACCTTGGTCTCTGACCTCCTGGCCTCCAGAATGGAGACAGTACATTTCTGTTGTTAAGTCACCCAGTTTGCTGTACTTCGTTTCATCAGCGCTAGCAAACTAATGCAGTGAGGCCCCTCAAAGGCGCCCAATGGAAGTTCAATACACAAAGATTAAAAATGAGTTTTAAAAATAAATGAACAGAAAGTTTCCAGGTGGCAAAAGAATTGGAAAGCATTGGAAATTATTTTCTTGAGTTGCTCTTTTTTAATGCACTTAACACTGCTGCAGGAAGCATCATCCGTCTCCCCAGTGAACATCCTCAATCTGCTGATTGCTAGTGAGAAAATAACTGGTTCGATTTATGTTAAGTTCCTTGAATCCTTTCACTCCTTTGCTCATTTCAACCTGTCAGGCCAAGGAGAGATAATTGCATTAAATCACCTGGCAATTTAAATGTTCCTCTTTGTAGTGTCAAAGGAGTCTTTCTCTTTAATCAATGAAAAACCTGAGGTCTCCCTGGCGAATAGTAAAGCCTTACAATTAAGAGCCCACAGGGAGCTGGATTGAACAGGAGAGATTCTGGGTGCAAAGAGAAGCTTCTCATGGATCCTAATCAGGCTCCCTGCTGGAGGAACCCAGAGATGCCCCATGGGTACCGGACAACAGTGGCCTGTGTGTCTCCCACTGGACACTAAGTCCCTTGAGGGGGAGGACTCTGCCCCTCCCATCTTACCACAGGGCCCTGTTTTCATGATTGTTTAACTGAATCCTCCTCCCTAACCCCCTCTTGGACCCAGAGATTGTGCTTCCTTGCCTGATTACTGTATAAGAGGCGGAAACAAACATCTTAATCAGACATTCATGGCACACAAGCCAGTTAAAAAGGGTCACACAAACCAGTTAAAAAGATGACAAATAGAAATTTAGTTAAGGTCGGTAAAAGGAAATGGGGTTTGAACCTAGAAATAAATTTTTCTTTTTTCTTTCTTTCTCTTTTATTTTCATTTTTATATTTTTGAGATGGGGTATTGCTGTCGCCGAGGCTGGAGTGCAGTAGTGTGATCATAGCT
Source organism: Homo sapiens (assembly GCF_000001405.40). Taxonomy (NCBI): domain Eukaryota; kingdom Metazoa; phylum Chordata; class Mammalia; order Primates; family Hominidae; genus Homo; species Homo sapiens. Next base: position 38,185,227 of record NC_000004.12, on the reverse strand, counting down.
CACTGTAACTTTGACCACTCGGGCTCAAGTGTTCCTCCTGCCTCAGCCTCCCAAATAGCTGGGACCACAGGACACACCACCAAAACTGCCTAATTTTTTTATTTTTATTTTTTGTGGAGACAGGTCTCACTATGTTGTCCAGGCAGGTCTTGAATTCCTGGCCTCAAGTGACACTCCCACCTCGGCCTCCCAAACTGCTGAGATTACAAACATGAGCCACCATGCTCAGACTAAATTTTTCTTTTTGAGAATGTAAATAGAGTTGAGAAATTCTTTGGCTCTTTTGACCTATGGAAATAATTTTCTGATTGAAGAGCCTGAGACTCACCCATCTTCTTGTGTAATACTTTAGTGGATCTAGAGAGCTTTAGGTAAGTCCCTTTTAAAATAAATGCCAAAAAAAAAAAATTAGTATTTTCCATCCTGGCAGTTCTTTTCAAGTCCGCTCCTACTCCAAGGACTTTTCAGTGGATGGATTTGGAGGGGAAAAAACATACTGCAACCTGAAATTGATTGATCGGTCCCAGGCCAGTTGCATTTTCTAGCTGTCTGGCGGGCTTCCTGCCAAATCAACCGCTTGTCCACTAGTTCCCTAAAAATGCCTTTGTTCAAAAAGTTGCAAACACCTAGTGCCATTTTAAGGTGAGCCCTAGCTCCCCTACTGGCTGCATGAATCTCTGCTGTTGAGAGGAAATTTGACATCATTCTTCCATTCTGAAGTCCCGGATTTGAATCCCAGCTTCTTCCGTTATGCAGGTTATTTGGCTAAGACTTGGTTTCCTCATCTCTAAATGGGGATAATAGAAGCGATGTCGGTGTTTTCACAACCTCTTGCGAGGATTAAATGGGAGAGTGAATGCAAATATCCTGATCTATATAGCAGGTGCTCAATAAAAGAGCATCCACCCCAATTGTCTGACCTGCAGCTCAGCTGAGGCTATGAACCTCTTCCCTCGTCCATATGAAAAGTCCAGACGGGGATAGAATCTGTGTCTTCAATTCCCTCTGCCCTGACCCCTTTGTAGTCGCTCTGAGCTTAGGCTCCTGTGCTATAATTTCTGATCGGGGCGCCAGTGCTGACAGTGGATTAAAAGGTCAGAAGACTGGCCCTTTTCATCTCAAGGAATCAAATAAATGAGAATCCGCATGCTGGATTTTAATTCTAACCAGTAAACATCTGTTGATCAAAGACCCATGTCAGTCCTATGCTGGAGACCGAGAATAATGAAATGAGTAAGATTTGGCCCCTTCCTCCCAGCCTGTCTACATCTGGATGTGCAGTCATTCTACTGAAGATAGTTCTAGATACAAGAACTAACTCAGCAATTTCCCGGTACTAATTTAACTGAAATTCACAAGTGTTGTTCAAATACAAGTTTGGGACTTTGAGGGGATGTATTTATTGGCTCCAAAGAAAGCCCATGGTAAATATCTTTCCACACATCCATTTTCCAAGGAAATCATAATGATTCTGTGTCCGGAATTGGTGGGTTCTTGGTCTCACTAACTTCAAGAATGAAGCCGTGGACCCTCGCGGTGAGTGTTAACAGTTCTTAAAGGTGGTGCGTCTGGAGTTTGTTCCTTCTGATGTTCGAACGTGTTCAGAGTTTCTTCCTTCTGGTGGATTCATGGTCTCGCTGGCTTCAGGAGTGAAGCTGCAGACCTTCCCCGTGAGTGTTACAGCTCTTAAGGCGGCCTGGAGTTGTTCGTTCCTCCTGGTGGGTTCGTGGTTTCACAGGCCTCAGGAGTGAAGCTGCCAACTTTCGCAGTGAGTGCTACATCTCATAAAAGCAGTGGAGACCCAAGAGTGAGCAGCAGCAAGATTTATGAAAAGACTGAAAAAACAAACCTCCCACACTGCTGAAGTGGACCCCAACGCGTTGCTGCTGCGCCCAGGGCGCCTGCTTTTATTCCCTTATCTGGCCCCACCCACATCCTGCTGATTGGTCCATTTTACAGAGAGCCGATTGGTCTGTTTTACAGAGAGCTGACTGGTCCGTTTTGACAGGGTGCTGCTGGGTGCGTTTACAATCCCTGAGCTAGACACAAAAGTTCTCCAAGTCCCCACTAGATTAGCTAGACACAGAGCACTGACTGGTGCATTTACAAACCTTGAGCTAGACACAGAGTGCTGACTGGTGTATTTACAATCCTTTAGCTAGACATAAAGGTCCTCCAAGTCCCCACTATACTCAGGAGCCCAGCTGGCTTCACCTAGTGCATCCCGAACCAGGCGGCAGGTGGAGCTGCCCGCCAGTCCCGCAGCGCCAGCCTGCACTCCTCAGCCCTTGGGAGGTCGATGGGATCGAGCGCCGCAGAGCAGGGGGCGGAGCTCATTGGGGAGGCTCAGGCCGCGCAGGACCCCACGGCGGGGGATGGGGGGAGGCTCAGGCATGGCGGGCTGCAGGTCCCCGAGCCCTGCCCCACGGAAAGGCAGCTGAGGCCCAGCGAGAATTCGAGCACCAGCACGGGCTGGTCTGCACTGCTGGGGGACCCGGCGCACCCTCCACAGCTGCTGGCCCTGGTGCTAAGCCCCTCACTGCCCGGGACGGGCTGCTGAGTGCGGGGCCCTCCGAGCCCATGCCCACCGGGAACTCATGCTGGCCCGTGAACACGGCGTGCAGCCCTGGTTCCCGCCCGCGCCTCTCCCTCCACACCTCCCCACAAGCAGAGGGAGCCGGCTCTGGCCTGTGCCGGCCCAGAGAGGGGCTCCCACAGTGTAGCAGCGGGCTGAAGGGCTCAACGGCGGCCAGAGTGGGCACCAAGGCCGAGGAGGTGCTTAGAGCGAGCAAGGGCTGCCAGCATGTTGTCACCTCTCAATTCTATATGTTATTATATTATTTTGGGTCATTTTAATTTTAATAAAAATATTTACGTATGAAGGAAAAACACATTATTGTTTCTTGACTTTTCTTTTTTCTTTTTCTTTTTTTTTTTTTTTTTTTGAGACAGAGTCTTGCTCTGTCACCCAGGCTGGAATACAGTGGCGCAATCTCAGCTCACTGTAAGCTCCGTCTCCTGGGTTCAAGCCATTCTCCTGCCTCAGCCTCCTGAGTAGCTGGGATTACAAGCGTGTGCCACCATGCCTGGCTAATTTTTTTGCATTTTAGTAGAGACGGAGTTTCACCATGTTGGTCAGGCTGGTTTTGAATTCCTGACTTGATGATCCGCCCACCTCGGCCTCCCAAAGTGCGGGGATTACAGGCGTGAGCGACTGCACCCGGCCTGTTTCTTGCCTCTTAATCCATAAACTTCATTGACCTTAATTTGTAACAATATAAACTAGAAGTGACTTTTTTTAGTTACTAAATAAAGCCAACTATATTTTCATTGAAATAATTTGACAAAATCGTTTTTAAGTCCTGGAGAAGAAACTGTTCTCTAATTGACTAATTAAAACCCACTTAAACTAATAAAGTAGATCCTCTATGGACCTTCTGTACTAGAGAAAACTTTATTAGTCCGAGTTGAGCTACAGGATAAACTTAGAGGTAATAAACTGCATTGGGGGAAAGAAATCAAACATGCTATAAGTGGGAACTTCCACTTATCTACGCTGATCCCTCAACTGATGCCAGGAACTGTATTCACGAAGAAGACTCTAAACTTTTGAACTGTAGCTATCTTCTCCAGTTGAGAAAACCAGATTTCCTCCCTGGATGGCTAGTGATGTTTTTCACTGGGGAAGATAGCATTTGCCTTCTGCTCCTTCTTGCAGCCAAGGTCAAACTGATCTTGTCTGATGCATCCTCTCTTGTCCAACTGCATCCCATTGAAAACTGAGACCATTTTGGCCAGCTAGCTTTTCCTAGGCCAGCAAAGGGAGCTCAGTGCAGAACAGAGAATGACACTGTCAGACCATCCTCCCAAATGAGCTCTCCCTGGGGAATCCCGGAAGTGCAGTGGACACAAGAATGGACCATAATCTTGGTCCTAGTGCCCACAAGTAAGAACATGCTACTTAGAGAGTCACATATATGAGCTATGTGTGTATGGATCTGCAAAGGTGCAGCCATGAATATCTCCCTATATTTTCAAGAAAGAAGCCTCAATTGAGGCCAAAAAAGATTTTCTTAGACCCTAGAGGTCTCTATGGAACATTGCTTTAATTAGATTGGAATGGTTTGTACTTAAGCTGTCAAATGGATAGATGATAGGCCAATGATAAATTGATTGATTGATTTAGAAGTCAGACAGATCTAAGTTTATACCAATTCCTGGCTGAAGGAGAGCTGCTAAGGTACTAAGTTTCCTTAAATCTTAGTTTGTCTGTAAAATGGGTTTGCTTACTTCTCCAGGTGGTTTTGAGACATGAAGGAACCTGTGTCTGTAAAGTGCTTATTAAAGTGACTGACATAAAGTAAGCCTCAACAAACAGGAACTATTATCAACTCATTGTTATTGAAGGATAGTTAATTTGGGGCATCTTTGTGAGTTCAGGAGTTCAGAACAGTAAGGAGACAGACTGGACTCATGGAAAGGTTCCAATACACATCCTTGTAAATTGATACTTTCCACAACAATGCATAGTTTAAGTGGGATCAGTCACCTGGTGGTCAGATGTGTACAAGTCACAGAGGGTGAGACAGTTCTGCTCAGGAGCCCGGGAACCCAGCCTGATTTCCTGTTTCAAAAATCACACCTGTGAAACTCTATCCAGGTGGGAAACTCTTCTGGTCCAGTCTCCTCGAGCCATGGTTCATTATCAAGTTATTTCTCTGGGTCACCCTGAGGTCATCTCCTTAATTAATGCAACAGCCAAGGGAGGCCAGGCCCAGGAATTTAGCTGGACAGGCTTTGCCTAAAAGTCCATAATAACACCTCATCTTTGTTGAACACTTACTATGTGCCAGGCACCGTGCAAACAGCCTTATGTGCATTCGTTTATTTAATCCTCTAATGGCCGTCTGGAGGAGCAGCTACAATCATCCCCATTTAAAGATGCAGAATCTCAGGCTTGTCAAAGCCCAGTCATTCATCCAAGATCACAGCTAGGAAGTGGTGGAACCAACATTCCAGGTCTTTCTGACTCAAGTGCCTGAGCTGTTACCAGGATATACTTCACAGAAAATCATTAATCCCACATTTCTCTCCCATGTCACATGTGTTTATATTGCATCTGAGAACAAAAGGCGGTTTAAAATTCTCCCTTTTCTCACCTGCTGAAGAGCAGCACAGCCTGTGGCCGGCCACTAATCAGGCCCTACCTTGCTCCAAGTTTTCCAGAACACTCCTCAAATACTCTTTATATCCCATCATTGTTTACCCCAATTCCTGCTCAGGATTTTTTTCAGCCTTTCCAAAAAGAAGCACAATTTAACAATTAGTTTAAATCACTCTTAGCTAAGAATCCTCTTTTCAGGGGCACGTGGTTGGAGCAAGAGTGCCACCTGGTGGAAAATTTGGGTCACTGCCAACACACATTTCTTGGGCAAAGGTGGTTAGGCTGGACCTGAGCAGGGCTCCCACTGCCTGGAAAATTTCCTGGAGAGCTACAAGAACTAACTCAGCAATGCCCAGGTACCAGTTTTACTGCAATTCACAAGTGTTGTTCAAATACAAGTTTGGGACTTTGAGGGGATGCATTTCTTGGCTCCAAAGAAAGCCCAGAATGGGGATTAGGATTAAGTGAGGCAGAGTCTCGCAAGTACAGGAGTGCATCCTGTCTTTACTTAAAATTTTAATGCTTTATTTATTATGATTTTTTTTTGCATTTTGATTTTTTTTAACTGCATTAAAATATTATTTTTCTTGATTACTGAGTTTTGGGTACCCGCTCGCATTTCGTACCCACGACAAAGGTCTCACTTGCCTCCCCCTAGTACTAGCCCTGCCAAAGCCCTCTGAAAAAGGATTTCGCTTCCTTTCAAAGCTCTGGCAATAAGAAATTGACCCCTGGCTCCTGTCAATTTCCCACACATCTGTCTCCACTCTTCCCCATCTGAGAATGGTCTTGGTCCACTTCTGTCATCACCGCACCCCTTCCTGCTCTAGTTGATACACCAACCCCAGTCGAAAGAAAGTACACAAACCAGCATATACACTCGAGTATAACAAGTGAATAAATGGCAAAAAAAAAAAAAAAAATGTGCCAAACAAACCTCATCGCAGGTTACTGCTCCTTTGGCAGGCAACTAACAAACCAAGCTATAAAGCTGCTTCTGCTTTTCCCAGATCCAGGACCACCAAGCCACAGGAAATCAGGGCAAAGGGCACTTGTCAACACTCTGCCCTCACCCAAACTTGGCCATAGCCCACGAAAGGTCAGCCTAGTAACATTTCTTCCTCAACAATGTCCAAACTTAATGCCAACATCAGGCCAGGTCGCCATAAAGCTCTATATCTGGGCTGGGTTATTCCAGTCCCCTGGTTCACAGCCTAAGCCTGGTGGAAGGTCTTTACCTGTAATGCATGAGTGGGCATTGGGGGTTGCGAACATGGTTCTGGAAACCTCTGAAATTTTACGCAAATTATGTGCTTATTATTTTCCTCCCATTTTCGAAGGAGGCTTTGACTCTATAAAGGGTAAGAATCACAACAGTCTTAATAAAGTCTTCAGCCTTTATCAAAGGTCTATGCGAGAAATAGCAACAAGAAATACCTTCCTCTGCGTAGCCTGGTAAAAACAAGCATCAGTGGCCTGCTCTGTAGTATATAAACAGTGTTGGGCCATCCCAATGCAAAGACCCAAGCGTTTCTTAGTGTAAAGAAAAAGGGAGACTTTTTCTCTCTTGATAAACTGGAATCTCACCTGGATATAGAACAGGATAATCCAATATAGAACAGGATAATCCATGTTTCCTTCTCTGCCTTTTGCTGCCTCCTTAAACTCTTTTTCAGCCTTACCATGGCTCTCAGGTAAAGTTCTTTTCTGCAAGCTCTAGACTTTCCTCTGAAATATGCTTTCACCATCTGGGCATCCTTACTCTTCCTGCAAGACCTGGCCCTCGTGTCAGCCTTCTCAACACTACCAGGCAGGGCTGAACACAGTACACACACTTCTGTTATTAAGCAGATTGTTTTTCTGGAATGATCTGCATATGTATCTATCTTCCTCACAAGACTGTGAGCCCAGGAGCACAGGAAATCCAGTCTTATTGGTTTTGGTACCCTCAGTACCTAGCACAGAGTCAGTGTGTAAAAACAAAGTTTCAGTGAGAGGATAAATCAATCCATGAATGAATGAACAAATACCTACAAAATGTGTTTTCCTAAAACATTCTTTGACTTTTTCAACAATGTGTGAGCCTCAGTAATAACGATTGACGGACAGAGCAGACAGACTCCCCCACCACCCCCAATGCCTTCATTTCCCAGATAAGGAAAGTGAGGTTGCAACAGACACCAGCGGCACCGAGCCCAGCAGCTCCCCTCAAGAGCCACACCCAGGCCAGCTGCCAGCCATGCCGCAGCTGTGTTCTGAGAACATGTAGCACCCCCACGTCACTTGGCAGGTATTGCCACAGGCGTGCCACGTCGCCTTGCTTTTCCTTTTCCCTCCTTTTGCTGCTCCCTGGTTTAGGGTCCCCGTCACCTGTGCTCAGAGCACACAGTAGGGAGACAAGTGATTGGGGGGATTCACAGGAGAGAAAGTATGGTGGCTGGGAGATCCTCACTGTATCCCTAGCAAGGTCTGGAAACCTCAATCTTCATGATCCTTTGTCATTAACCATACTAAGGGTCCCCATTACTATGGGAACTTGGTTAATTCCCATTAACCAAGTAATGGGAAACCTGTTGACTCTTTCAACTTATTTCAACATCAGGATACAGAGAGCTGAAGTTCATGCCCAGAAATGCATCACCCATGAACCTAAACAGCTAGTTTTACTCTGCCTCCTCTCACTTGAATTAGTCTGATAAAAACCTCAGGGCGGCTGCTCCAAGCTCTGCTTGTCCCAAACCCATTTCAGAAACTGGAACGTGAGCTGGGCAGAGGGAAGGACTAACCCCCTGCTATTGTTCCGGCTTTGGAGAAAAGACCTACAAGGAAACTCTCAGCCCAATGCAGCTGTGGTGGTTGCTGAATCGTCAGACTTGCCACAAGCAAGATAAAAACTTTAAACAACAAAGGACTTTTCCGTGTTCTGCTGCACGCGGTTTCTTGTTCTGTTTTGGTTTCTCCTGGTGGTGTGGCCTGGCCTGCAGGGTTTCCTGACACTCTGCCCACCGCAGTCAGGAAGGTGCAGAAGCAACGGAACCCCTCACACTGCTTCTCAGTGGCTCTCCTTAACAGGCAAAGGAAACAATTTTTTTAATACAGGTAAATCCAGAAAGGACCTAAGGCTTTGATTCATTGGGGTTTGGTTTTGTTTTTATTTTTATTTTTATTTATTTATTTATTTATTTTATTTTATTTTGAGACAGAGTCTTGCTCTGTCGCCCAGGCTGGTGTGCAGTGGCGCGATCTCGGCTCACTGTGAGCTCCGCCTCCCGGGTTCACACCATTCTCCTGCCTCAGCCTCCCGAGTAGCTGGGACTGCAGGCACCGGCCACCATGCCCGGCTAATTTTTTGTACTTATTTTAGTAGAGACGGGGTTTCACCGTGTTAGCCAGGATGGTCTCGATCTCCTGACCTCGTGATCTGCCCGCCTCGGCCTCCCAAAGTGCTGGGATTACAGGGGTGAGCCACCACGCCCGGCCTATTTTTATTTATTTTAGAGACAGGGTCTTACTCTGTCATCCAGGCTAGGGTGCAGGAACACCGTTGTAGCTCACTGTAGCCTCCAACTCCTGACCTCAAGGGATCCTCCCGCCTTGGCCTTCCAAAGAGCTGAGATTACAGGAGCGAGCCACGGCACCCAGCCTGATTCGTTGTTTGTGAGCAGCAATTTGACCTTCTCTTGTCCACGCCTCAGAATTTAGGTCTCTCCTCTGAGGAACACAAAAACCCACATAGGAAGAGAGAGGAATATTTCAAATTTAGAGCTGAGAAAAGGGAAGTCCCTTTACTCTTCATCCTCAAATGTTTACCCAGTTCATGTGTCTCCCCTCTTCCAGATATCTAGTAGAAATGGGCCACTTGGCCCTGATCACGTGGTTTTCTGTTCTATGTATCTCTTTTCTGTCACCCCAGATTTTAGATATTTCTGTTTCCTTTTGTACCTATTAAGTACAAAATAGATACTGATTAATTGATAATAGCCACCGAAGTCTAAAGCCAAATTAGAGCCATTTTTATTATATAAAAATATAAAGCATTTATAGGCCGAGCGTGGTGGCTCATGCCTATAATCCCAGCACTTCAGGAGGCTAAGGCGGATCATTTGAGCCCAGCCTCGGCAACAAGGTGAAATCCTATGTCTACAAAAAAAGACAAAAAATTATCCAGGCATCATAGTGCACACTTGTAGTTCCAGCTACTCAGGAGGCTGAGGTGGGAGGATCAGCTGAGCCCCGGAGGTCAAGGCAGCAGTGAGCCATGGTTATGCCACTGCACTCTAGCCTGGGCAACAGAATAAGACCCTATCTCAAAAAACTAAAAAAATTATAAAACATTACTACAAGCCAGACCCTTTATTTTACATTTAATCCTCACCCCAATCCTATAAGGAAAGTGTTTTTATTCTGTTTTACACATGGAAAAACCTGAGGCTTGGAGGGGTTAGTGTTTTTTCTGGTAGAGCTACAGATACTAACCAGGCCAAAGTCTCATTCCTAAAATCCTACCATTGCCTCCTAAACCAGCCCAGCTCTTCTCACTCTTATCTACCTTGGATGGGCATCAGGCTAATCCTTCCTTCATCTCCTCCATTTAACCAGCTCTGGACTGGGAACATGGCACAGTGAGATATTTCTCAACATGAGAGTGACGGCTGGCACTCCCTACCATCTTGTCTGTAGCTGAATCCCTGATCAACTCTACTTCTCGCTGTAAAAAACAGACCAGACCTCAGAATCCTTCTCAACACAGCACTCCAGGCAGCCACTAGCAATCAATCAGCATTGCCTTTGATGACATAGCCAGTGACTAATAGAATTTAATTTCCATTTCTTTCCCATCCTTCCTGCCTGATTTCCCCAGTGTTTCTGGGGCAGATGGATGGATGGATGGATGGATGGATGGATGGATGGAAAGGAAAAGGAGTGCTCCTCATACAGGAGAATCCTTCTTGGCACCACTCCTAATTTTGCTGACTTCACTCAATGCCAGAGCTTCCTTACAAAACTTGCTCTTCACATGAGGCATCTGTGGCGTTTGTTATAGGAACTGGTGAGACTCACAGGTCATTCTGAGGCCATATGGACCCTCTACATCAGCACTTTGCTTCTCCCTCAGTCTCATTTCCTCCCATCCAACATATGCCTGAGCTTAAAAACATCCATTCACCCCGTACTTCCTTCTTCTTTTTAAAGCTCAAGCTGACAAGAGAAATTTCTTTCTCCCACTCACTTTTTTTTTTTTCCTATAAAGGGTAAAAAAGATTTACAGCTCTGCTGTGGGGTACGCAGGGAGGAAGAGTGATTAAAAACTCTTTGGTGTCTTTGGGGCCATAAGTCCCTTAACCTGAGCCATTAGGTACTTAGAGCTTCGGAATCAGCCCGTAATTTAGCTTTGGTCAGGAAAGCATGTTTTCCAAGCCCCCTTAAGTCCCAACGTCAGTTGAAAAACTATCTAGTTTTGATGCTATCTGGATATTCTTTCCCTCAGCAAAACACTGCTTGGTGGTTGAGAGGAAGGAAATGTTAAAAATTTATATTCAGGAGAGTTTAAAGAGGAATAAAATAGCTCTTATGAAGCGACATTTTGGTGACTTGAGTACGAGGAAATCAAAAGCATATGGATTGTATGCTGTTAAAACATACTTTTGTTTCCTCCAAATGGAAAAAAATACTAGGGAAAAATATATTTTACAAAATGGCATACATTGGAAGATAGCTGGAGATTTTTTTAAAAATCCAAAATGTGACAAGGATGGCCTAGCCCTAGTTATTAATATCTTGGAACCAGCTGGAGAGTAAAATTAGGTTGTAAAATGGTTGTACCATTTGTTACTCCAAGCTGGAAATGACACATTTCTCATGTATTTCTAAAGGAGAAAAAATTCCATATTGAGGTACATGAGATGAGGTTTTGTTTCATTGTCTCTGTTTTGACATTAGTCATAATAATTCCTTTCACTGAACTCACACCTGGGCAAGGTCAAAGTGTACAGATGAGACCAGGTCCTGGAGTCAGACTCTTACTGGTTTTGCTTCTAATAGTGATGGGATCTTGGGCAAGCTCATTCACCTCTCCGTACCATAGTTTCCTCATCTGGAAAGTAAGAATAATCATCATCATCGTAGCTGCTCTATGGAAACATCCAGGTGAAGCCCCTGTAATAAATGCCTGGCACACAGGAAGTTCTCCGTAAATGTTTGCTGGGATGATCTGTCATCCTGCCAGGAATGCCCTGCCACTTGGTATCTCCATGCTCAGCCACTGTCTTCAAAAACGGACCAACATTTAGCTACACTGACCAAAAAAAGAGAAGACACAAATAACTAAGCTCAGAAAATGAAAGTGAGGACATTACTACCGACCTTACAGAAAGAAAAAGAATTACAAAAGACTGTTATTAAAAACAATTGTACACCAACATATTAGATAGCCTAGATGTAATAGCAGTTTCTAGAACCACACAAATTACCTCAATTAACTCAAGAAGGAATCAAAAATCACAATAGACCTGTAACAAATATAAATATTGAAATAGTAATCAAAAGCCTCCCAATGAAGAAAAGTCCAGGACCAGATGGCTTTACTGGTGAAATCTACTAAACATTTAAAGAATCCTTGTCAAACTCTTCCAAAAAATAGCAGAGGTGAAAACACTTCCTAAATCACTCTATGAGGCCAACATTACCTTGTTAACAAAATCAGTCACTTCTTTTAGGACTCTGACCATTAAATATAACATCACCTTTCCTCTTATTCTCTCACCCTGATTTATTTTGCCTCCCAGCACTTAGCACCACCTGATATATTATATACTTATTTGCTTATTTATGTATTCCCTGTCTTCTCCCACTAGAATAAAAGCATCATCGGAGCAGGGAATTTGTTGGGGGTTTTTTTTTGCACTGTTAAATTATCAGTGCCTAGGAAAGTGCCTATCACATAATAGGTGCTCAATAAAAATTTATCGAATGAATGAGCAAATAGTCTAATCATTCTTTCACTAAGAGGTGGTAGAGTGAAAACAGAAGAGGACCTAGGTATTGAAGAGCTCCAAGAAATAGCTGGCTAGAAGACCAATGCAACTTCAAAGGCAGATAACCAAGAAAGTGTTGTATTGGAAGACAAATGAAAAGCAGGGAATGATCAACAGTGCCAATTAGTGCTGAGAAATGAAGTACAGGGAGAATGGAAGTGTCCACTGGATTGAGCTACATGAAGATCATTGGCCACCTTAGTGGGAGTTATCTGGGAAGAAGCCAGGTTGTGCTGCTAATGGGCTGAATGAGCACAGGCAATACATTCAGACAACATTTTAAAGGAGTCTCTCTATAAAAAAGAAGGTGCAGAGGCCGGACACGGTGGCTCACGCCTGTAATCCCAGCACTTTGGGAGGCCGAAGCTGGTGGATCACAAGGTCAGGAGATCGAGACCATCCTGACTAACATGGTGAAATCCTGTCTCTACTAAAAATACAAAAAAAAAAAATTAGCTGGGAATGGTGGCGTGCACCTGTAGTCCCAACAAGTTGGGAGGCTGAGGCAGGAGAATGGCATGAACCCGGGAGGCAGAGCTTGCAGTGAGCTGAGATCGTGCCACTGCACTCCAGCCTGCGCAACAGATAGGGAAATTGCTGGCAAGGATGAGAGACAAGTGAGGATATTGCTTTTAAGTGGGAACAACTTGTGTAAGCCTAAAAGCCTATGGAAAAAAATGCAGCCGAGAAGAAAAGACGTTGAATATGCAAGAGAAGGCAAGGTTCCCAGAGTGGGTGGAGGGTACCCAAACCACAAGACTGGCTTCAGCAAGGGGGAGCAACCTCTCCTACACCGTCAGAGGACATACGAGGAACACAAGACTTATGACACTGATCTGACTTGCCCACCAGCCTCAACTGGGTCCCAGTCTCCCAAAACCCAGTCAGGCACCCTTTTTCACTATGCAGTCTTTTCTCTGGATCAGCTGAGAATGTCAAGGGACAGTGAGGAGGCAATAGGGATAGAAACCAGAGACCATGAGTGGAAAATACCCACAACAGACTTTGCCATTTAAGCCAAAGGTACTTCACAACCACTCACCACTCTGGGTGTTCCCTTCTCTGTGGTGTGAGAGCCCATTGGCATAATAAGCTCCCTGCAGTCCTCACTCCCCCCACCCAGGAGAGGGGACAGACTTAGATGATTGCTGATGGGCATGCATAGCCTAGCCCCTTGCCATCCCTTTGTCTGCAGATATCTTCCACTTTCTCTAGTGTCAGCTTTATCAGTAGAAAAGGTGAAATTTTGGTCTCCATCTGCCTTTCTCCCTTGCCTTTTTTTTTCTTTTTTTTTTTTTTTTTTTTTTTTTAAGGAGGCTGGAGTGCAGTGGTGCAGTCTTGGCTCACTGCAACCTCCGCCTCCCTTGTTCAAGTGATTCTCCTGCCTCTGCCTCCTGAGTAGCTGGGATTACAGGGGCTCACCACCACGCCCGGCTAATTTTTGTATTTTAGTAGAGATGGGTTTCACCATGTTGGTCAGGCTGGTCTCGAACTCCTGACCTTGTGATCCACCCACCTCAGCCTCCCAAAGTGCTGGGATTACAGGCATGAGCCACCGAGACTGGCCTTTTTTTTTTTTTAAGTAGGTTCAGAAAGAGATGAGGAAGAAGGGAGACAATTGCTCCAATGGGAATTATACTATCAAAGGTGGCATATGAAACTTGATTCTCAAATTGTTCTTTTTGAAGTACAAAGACAAAAAAAACATAAAGCACAGTATGAATATTTCGGATGTAATTTGTAATGAAAGTACATTCTTCCTAGAGAACAATCACAGTGTAGAATGAGCCCCTGGTTCCCTTTATAGATGCGTAAAATGCAAAGGATCTGCTTTCAAAATTCACTTGAACCAAAGTGCAAAATTCGAGTTGATAGTTTCTTCAGCTCTTTCCAGGATTCCACTGTTTTCTATCTGGAAATAGCCATTGCCACATCCACAGTTTCAAACTCGAGAAAATGACCCAGAATCCTCACAATATGTGAAGAGACAGCACAGCAACAACCACTCTGCAAAGGGAGTGAGAAACCTGCCAGCATACATTCTTTGTTGATGAGAAAAATGCATCAGCAATTGTAAAAGCAGGTGTTGGCACCATATTTAGCCATGGATCCAGCCTTCAACTCGCTTCCCTCCAACTTTTTCAGTGTCAGATTTTTTATCCTAATAATCATTTTAGGATCAGAACCAGTGACTATCACCTTCTCCAATTACTTCAATCTCCATATTTCAAATTGAATCATATTGGCCTTGACAGTGCAACTTCTCTCTCCTGCTCCCAAGTTACTATTTGGAAATTTACCAAATAATCTTTAAGCCTGTTGGTGAGGACAAAGACTATCTGTGAAATCTCTCTAACAATTTAGCTTACATGCTTTCTTATGAAACTAAGGGATAGGACTATTCCAAGTATTTGCAGGACATCAGAATCTCTGGAGGGTTAGAAGTCCAGGGTTGGAAAGCGGGCAGGGCCTGAGAGTGCTGGTGAAGAAGAGGCTGAAGTTAGCATTGCCAAACTCAGAGCAGATGCATATGATCCACATGCTACACCAGCCCTGCAGTGAATGGCCTCCAACCAATCCGCATTCTTGCAGCAGTTGTTCAAAGTTTCCAGAAAGAGCATCTGGCCCCTTTGGTTTCTAAGAGGCAAGCGCTCTCCTCTCCCACCCCTAGAAAACAACCCACAGCGTAAAACTCCCTAAAGGGAAGATGAGGGGCTTTAGAATAGTGGATTGCATGCTGGGGGGCAAAGCTGGGCAAATGCCCACTATAACTGGGCTCGGTGGGGAAGTGATTAGCATCAATTTGATGGCTTATGTCATCCATGACTGTTTATTGCATGGTGATCCTGAAAGCGCCCGTTCATTCAAAGTTCATTCAACACATATTGATGGAGCCCTTCTGGGGTAAGTGGTAGGGATATATCAATGAATAAAACAGACACAGTCCCTGCCTTCATGGAGCTCACAGCCTTGTTCAATAATCTTCTTTGACTTAAGGGCCACTGATATCACCCTCTTTGTTATAAGCCCATAGTTGATGTAAAACAATTCACCTCAGCCCTGATCTGTAGAAAGCCTGGATGGGAAGGACACCATTGGCACAGATTTGGAAGATTAGAGACTATCTCTGAGCTCAGCTCATCTGAAAATTTAAAACCGAACTCAATAGAAATGAAGGAAATGGAGAATGTGATTGTGTGACAGAAGATTGCATCATAAGCCAGAGATCCTGAGGGATAAGGGAACAACAGCAACACCTATTGGAAACTTTGTATACCAGGTAACGTCGGTGCATATTAGTTCAAATAAATAAACATTTCTATTTCAGCAGATTCGTTTGTAAGAGATAATAATTTTACAGTCAAAGAATGAGTCACATACAAAGTGCATGTGCGTATGTGTCTGGGTGTGTGTGTGTGTGTGTGTCTGGGTGTGTTAACTAGCAAGCTTACAAAGCAGCTAACTTTTATGTTCTTGTTTTTCATGATGACCTCTGGGCATCCATGGTGGTCAATGTCCCAGAAAATCACAAGCTTTGGGGACTTCCAGGTCTGACTCTCAATCATTTATCTGTGTGGCCTTGGAAGAAATTTTTTAACTTATCTGAGGCTTGTTTCCTCATACAAGACAACATCTACCTTGTCTCATGCATTTACCATGTGCCAAGTTCTATGCTGAAAATTTTAGATATATCATATATACCTAAACTTGTCACAAAATTCAATGAGGTTTTACTTCCACTAATTATACAAATAAAGAATCCGATACAGGATGGTTAAGTTACTTGCCTAAGGTCACAAAGCTGATAAGTGCAGAAGAAGAATTTTAACCCTGGTGCATCTGACCCCAAAGCCCATGCTCTCCAATACCTCATTCTATTACCTTCTTGCAGAGTGTTTCTAGTAAGATACGTTCAGCTGCAGCTGCAAAAAAACTCAAAATTCTCCCTCACAGTCATCAGGGCCTGAAGCTCCTTCTTGTTGCTTTACCATCTTCAACAAGTGGCTTCCATCTCATGGTCTGAGACGGCTACTCATGTCCAACTATTATGTCCACATTCCAGCCGGTGAACAAAAGGGCATGTTTTGTGGATTTGGGTATATGCAAGGGTCCTTGACCCAATCTGCTGTGTATACTGAGGGACAACTGTACTTGCACATTTCTAAAGATATGTGTTTTAGTCCCCTCTATTTCTAGCATTGTCATATCAGAATAGATGGTTCCTTTATCTATGCATTACGTGACCATTATCATATAGAAAATCTCCATATCAAATCTTAATTTTTATAATAAAATAAAGGATGTGTGCGTTTAAAAGGCAGAGGGAGGGCAGCATGTTCCCTCCTGCTGAGGATATGTCCCGAAAATTGCACACGAAACTCTTACATCCCAGTGACCACATGGTCACACATAGCTGCAAGGGCGGCTGGTGTGATACATGGTTCGATTGCAGGAAATCATGTGCTGAGCTGAAAAACGTGGGATTATATTATCAAAGGAAGAAGAAAAGGATGGATACTAGAGGACAATCTCTGGCACACCAGGCTATTCTAACTATGTGGAATAATGTATACAAAGCACTTAACTCACGGCGGGGCATATAGCTCGTTGGAAAATAAGTTTGTTATTTATTCTTATTGGTGATATCTGGCATCTGAAACACATGCAGAAAATCATAAATTCAAATCAAGCAAGGAAAGGTCATAGAAAAATGGGAGAAGAATCATTTTTTATATCACCATGATATTATGAATTGGCTCCTCCTTTTTCATGCACACAAAAGCACTGCCTTTGCTCACATGCAGCATCCCCCGGGCTTCAAGGAGGGGGATAATGAATAGAGGCTTCAGTAGCCACCCCTTGCAGAGTCAGTCCACGCCACATAAACTACGGGACAATGATATCACAGGTGGCCATTGGTAAATAATTTCTACTGCAGCAGTTAATGGAAATGCAGTTTTCATTACAGTAAGGAAATTGAAATCTCAGCTGGCCTCTGTGGGTTCCATCCAACCTATCCTTCGTTGCTCATAAGATTGTGTGTTGTTTTCATTCCCCTCGTGATTAACCTCTGTCAGGAAGGGTAGGGGGAACTGGGTGATTGAAATCCCCAGGAAATCTCCACGTCGTGCTGCCAGTTTAACAATCTTCCGCAACCATCCTGACACCAGGGCTCTGAACAAGTAGGAAGGAGACTGTTTTTAATTTGAGGTAGAGATATTATCTAGTGGGGAAGGTTCTGGATGGCCAGCCTGAATTGAAGGGGTGATAGACATGCGGCCAATATGGAAGGGGAAAGAGAAAAATGAGAGAAGGTGGTGGCATCGAGGGACCCATGTCATTAAAATTTTCTCAAATGTATTGGACAACTTTCTTTGGGTGAGAGATTTGGGCCATCAATACTGTTAATGCCTCTTGCTACGGTTTAAGTGCCTGTGTTCCCCCCAGATTCATGTGTTGGAATCCTAACCCCCAAGGTGATGGTCTTAGGAGGTGGGGCTTTTGGGTGGTGATTAGATCATGACAGTAGAGTCCTCATGAATGGGGTTAGTGTTCTTATGAAAGAGATCCCAGAGAGGTCCTCACCCTTTCTATCACGTGAGGACACAGAAAGAAGAGGCCATCTATGAACCAAGAAGCCAGACCTCAAATCTGCCAGCCTTGATCTTGGACTCCCCAGCCTCCAGAAGTGTAAGAAATAAATTTCTGTTGTCCGTGAGCTACCCAGTCTATGAGATTTTGTTATGACAACCTCAATGTAAGACACCTCCCTACATAAAATATGTTTTCAACTCAATACACTTGGCTCTCTGAATTGCAATAATTTGTGGCTGTGCAAATTTTGTCTCTTGTTAGAGAAAAGTTCATTGAACAGGAACCGTGAAGACTTGTTCCTTCAGATTCTCCTTTTCTTTTATTTCTGGGTCATGTCTCAGCTCCTAATCTCTCAGAGGCCCCTCACTTCCTTTCCTGTCACTGCCAGCTTCTTCCTTGCAGATTTTATTTTTGCACCACCCACTCAACGGAGGAGGCAAGGAGCTAATAGATTTGAGAACATCTGCTGAGCCACATAAATCAAGGCGTTCAATCTTATAATTTTGTTGAGAAAGCAGAAGAGCAATAAACATCTTTATTTGGCAGAGGCCCACCCTGCTTACAGCTTAAGGTTTTATCTCTTCCCTGTTTTTTTCTGTCACTGCTCATCTTATGACTGAATGGTTTCTGGCTGCCATTTTGTTAGCCCAGAACTGAAACTGTATCTACCATGTGCAAGTAATTTATAGAAGGAAGACTATGGTAAAATCAGGAAGGAGGGAAAGTTTGAGTTTAGCAGACAGCCAGGATTAAAGGCTTCCCAAAGACCCCTGTACTCTGGCGTGTTTCAGGCGCAATCAGTTCAACAGGGAGTGGCGTTGAGGAGATCCATCTAAGCCATCCTGGAGAGCTAAGTATCTTTTCTGTCTGATTGCCCAAGGCATTCACAGAAAAAGAATTGCCATATCCTTCATTTATTCATTCATGCATCCCCAAATTCTTCTTGTTCAATCGCTCTTTTGGAGGCTACCTCTTTTTGCCATGAATGACAGAAGTTCATGGGCACGGGAACTAAATTCATCTAAGTCTCTCAAAAGACAAGCTACCAACTTGCAAGTCAACTAGGATTCGAGGTCAACAACCACTTCCCTCGTGAGTCAGTTGGGTTCAAGTTCCTCTTTAAGCCTAGAAGTTGCTCTGCTCCTACGCTTACCCTTTCACCTTGCTTCATTTCCATCTGCATTTCAGGGAGACATTTAAGCCTGCGGATGGCAGCACCAACTAGGAGACCAGAGAGCCTGACTTTCCTCACCTTCTCCTTTTGCCTGTCAAAATCGGCAAGACCACATAATGCTCCTCTCAGGCTCTAAAGAGGGAGCTGATTCCTGCCCATGGGCTTCCTGGGGAAAGGCAGGCCAGCAGTGCCAAAGGACAGATACCAGGCTGAGGAAGGAAAGAATTATATCACAGACTTTAGGGCTATGAGGAATCCTAGAGGTCATCATCCATCCCTGCACTGACAGATGGGAGTACCATGGTCAAGGACACATGCACACCTGTGGCAGAGCCAGATCTGGAAACTAGACTACTGGCTCCCAGTCCAGGGCTCTCTCCAGTGTGCCCAGTGTGCCCAAAGAGATGCTGGACTGATTGGTACCGAAGGACATTCATCAAATGCCAGAGTCCTTAATATCCCATGAAGACACCAAATAGACATAAATGTGGAACAATTGACAGAGAGAGGCAGGAACCTCTTTTTATTTATAGCCATTGGGTGCCCCTATTGGCCTATTCATGATGGAGGGGAGTTGAAGGGATCTGCAAGAGAGGAAGGGAGCAGAAGAAGCAAGACAAGAAGAACAGAGCATGGTGACCGGGAAAGTCAGTTATGGGACCAGCCTTCCCGTGTCCACATCCCAGCCCTCACACTTACTTAGGTGGGTTGCTTACACTTTCTGTGCCTCAGTTTGTTCATTGTAAAGTGGAGATAATACAACTATCTACTCAAAAGGTAAGGATTGAGTAAATTATTTCATGGAAAGCATTTAGCACAGTACCAGACTCACAGCCATTGTTCATATTACCAGGGAAGAGAAGCATTGGGAACAGCCAGGAGAAAACCACACAGCATCTCTCAGGCCTGACGGTAAATAACTCACTCGCCCTATTTCTAGCAGTGTTGCTAGAAGGCAGTAGAATGCACTGCAAAAGGCCTGAGTAGAAAAACTGTATTCATTATCATTTGTCAATTTATAAAAATAGATAAATAAAAATAAGTAGACTAATATGAAATAAATACAACTTTTAATTTGGGAAAAAGAAACTGTAGACTGGGGGCGGTGGCTCACACCTGTAATCCCAGCACTTTGGGAGGCCAAGGAGGGCCGATCACTTGAGGCCAGGAGTTTGAGACCAGCCTGGCCAACACGGCAAAACCTTGTCTCTACCAAAAATAGAAAAATTACCCAGGGCATGGTGGCACATCCCTATCATCCCAGCCACTCTGGAGGCTGAGGCAGAAGAATTGCTTGAACCCATAAGGTGGAGGTTGCAGTGAGCCAAGATCATACCACTGCACTCCAGCCTGGGTGACAGAGTGAGACCTTGTCTCAAAAAACAAACAAACAAACAAAAACTATTGGCACAAGGCTAAGCTGCTGTAACAAAGAGCCCAAAATACCATGACTTAGAGAACAATAAAGATTATTTCTCTGTCACATCACAATCCTGATGTGAACTATGCAGGTCAGGGAGGAAACTCTGTCCTTTACCTTCAGGAAGACTGGTTCTTTCCAATGTATTGCTTTACCATCCCCCTCAGAATCTTGTCCAACTAAGTCATCACCACATCCAAATTGTATCCAGCATGGAGAGGAAGCATACCCATGGTCTTAAGACTGAGGCCAAGAAGTGGCATCATCATTTCCGGTCACATTTAACTTGCAAGAATTTCATCACATGGGCACACCTAGCTGCAAGGGAGGCTGGGAACGGAGTTTGGCTGGGTAGTCACAAACTCAAAAAGAAGGAGAGAACAGATCTGTGTTCAAATCCAGTTCTTTCAGTTGCTTATTGTGTTTGAGGTCAAATTATATAGGCTCTCTCCTCCTCTTTTGCTCGTTTATTTAACCAGTTCTCTCTTTTTGGGCACTCTTTCTTTCCACAAGTATTTCTTGAGCACCTACTATGTGCCAGGTACTGTTTCAGGTCATCAGGATGTAGCTGTGAAAAAGACAGACCAAGCCTTTGCCCCTCTATGGCAGAATCACCACAAGGCTAATGAATGACAGACCTTTTCTTCCCTTTCTAAATCAGTGTTCATTCTCATGTCTAATTTTATATTCTTTTTTAAAAATTGTTTTTCTTAAAACAGGCCTCAGATTTATATGTGCTTCGGGTCACACAAAACTTGGATCTTCCCCTACTGCTCTCATGGGGCTGACATCCTAGTTGTGAGAAAGAAAGCAAACACATTAACAAATAAATATATACTTCATCACATGGTGATCGTCTTATGACATAACAAATAAAGGCATGGTAAGAAGACAGGGGCCACTTTATTTGTCCAGGTCAAGACCCTCTCTAAGGAGGTGTCGTGTGAGCAGAGATGGAACAAAGGGAGTTGTTTCTACCTTTTACTACTCTAAAGATCATGGTGACTCACTGTCTTATACACAAACCTTTGTGTAAGCTTCTGATTATTTCTTAGAATCTATTTCTGGTAGTGGAGTTAATGAGTCAGGCAGACAAATGTTTTTAAGTTTCTCAAAACCATGGACTGAAACCTCTCTTTTTAATGAGATTTCTCATTAGAGTTGTGAAAGAAGCAATTGACAAAGCCCTAGATTCCAAGGCATTTTAGATCCATATTTAAGTTTGTTCAATATTGAAGGATGCTTAGGACCTTTAAGGATTACTTAAATCCTTGAACCCCACATCCTAACTAGCCTTTCCCCTCCTATCCCCAAGCCTACACGCATTTCTTTATCCTAGAATTATTTCTTAAATCATGGACTTTTACTGTGAAAAGGAACCTTGGGGCTGGGCACCATGGCTCACACCTGTAATCACAGCACCTTGGGAGGCCGAGACAGGTGAATCACAAGGTCAGGAGTTTGAGACCAGCCTGGCCAACATGCTGAAATCCTATCTCTACTAAAAATACAAATATTAGCTGGGTGTGGTGGTGCACCTGTAGTCCAACTACTTGGAAGGCTGAGGCAGGAGACTCGCTTGAACCTGAGAGGCACAGGTTGCAGTGAGCCAAGATTGCACCACTGCACTCCAGTTCAGGCGATAGTGCGAGACTCTGTCTCAAAAGAAAAAAAAAAAGAAAAGAAAAGGAACCTTGTAAGGATGAATCCATTCCACTTCCCTATTTTATTGCTGTGGAAACTGAGGCCCAGAGATATGGCTGACTTGCCGTAAGCTTTACAGTGAGTTCATGGTCAAGCCAAGATAAAGCCTCAATCTCCTGATTCCTGTTTCTGCAGCCAAAATCAATGACAAATGAAATGTGCACACAGTGTTTCATGATGGCAAAACCAGGGACAGAAATTTTACAGGAAATACCCATGGATACAGCCTGCCAAATGTACCTACTTGGTTGTGAGCATTATTAATTAGGTAATAAATGCAAAGGACATAGGACAGCGCCAAAATATTTTAACCGATGGATACTATTGTGGCAGAGCAAGCAGCATGTCCCAAGACCAGATGAGGGCCCCGTGGGAAAAGAAGCAGGTGTGGGGTAGTGTGGGGTGGTCTTGGGGCTTAAAGGCATGGACTGAAGACCTCAGCAGAGGGACTGGACGTGGCACCTCCAGAATCCCAGGAGCTGGGGAAAGAATCACATGAGACCACCTGAAGGGACAGAGGTGCTTCAGCCTGGGTCAATGGAACCACAGGCGAGAGCAGCCCAGCTGGAGGCCTTTGTGGAGCTCATGGCAGGGTCAGCTTTAATCATCAGCCAGGCTGCTCCAGGGAGGCCAGCTGTCCGGCCCAAAAGCCTTAGGCTGCCCAGCCACATGAGAGCTGTTTCATCCTCATACCTCTCCCCTTTCTGGGCTTCATTCCAGGAATGGAGGGAAATAGCAGCAAACAAAGGGAAGGAGGTGAGCAGAGGGAGGGGAAAGGAAGAGGGCCATGACCCCTTCCCAGGGCAGACTTCCTGGGTGAGACAGGTCCCAGCCAGGGAAGGAAAGAAGATTTAAAGCTAAATTGTTTCTGAAGTTTTAACTATTATCTGCAACTTGGAATGCTAAAATCTGAATGGAGGCCATTTTGTGCAATTCAAAGGATATTTTATTGTCTGAATGTGACCTTGAGATCTCTGGTCTACCCAAGTCATCAGCAGGGGTAGAGGAATGCTGCCCCTACCCAATAGAATTAATTTAAAGAGGCAATGAGAGGCCCCACAAAACTTAGATCTGCCCCTACTGCTGTCATGGGATTTATAGGTGATGATAGAAGATAGATAGATGATTGATAGATAGATAGATAGATAGATAGATGATAGATAGATAATAGATAGATTGATAGATAGATAGATAATAGACAGATGATAGGTAGATAGATGATAGATAGTAGATAGATGATAGATAATAGGTAGATGATAGATAGATGATAGACAGAAGATAGATAGATAATAGCTAATAGATGATAGATAATAGATTGATAGATGATAGGTAGGTAGATAAATCGAGAGATGATAGATAGGTAGACAGATGATAGATAGAGTTGCATTTTGTTCACAGTGTCCTTTCCACCTTTTTGTAATGTGCCAGTTACACGTGATCTTAATCGTCATTCTGGCTGTTACACATGTGCAGTGTTGTTTCCTAAATAAACACTCTCCACTAACAGGACCCACATTGATTCCACTCTCGTGCACTCACTCATGAGTCATAATTAATTTTTAGACACTCTTTGAAGAATCACCTTCCTGATTGTATGTATGAAAGTTTTATTTTCTATAGTAATACACATTATACAGGCCAATATGAATTCAACATAAGCTCAAAATGGCAATTATTGTCTTCTAATGTCTGCAAACTATAGAGTCCCATACAGTGTTTTCACTGTATGACCCAGACCTCCCCCATCATGCTCAGCCAAAAGCCTATTCTGTACAGATTACATTTAGTCAGTTTTTTATTCATTCATCATTCATTGGATTGGGTATCGTCTGTATGCAAATCCTTCTGTGGGGTGCTGGAGATACAAATTTGATAGCTGGATGGACACACAGTCCCTGCCCTCAATGCACCCATGATCTAGTACCATATGAATTGATGGATATTAAATTGTTATGATAACCAGCGATGAGGATGATGTCAGCATTGTTTACAAGTTGCCATGGGAGCACAGGAGGAAGTAGTTAGCTTTCTTTTGCAATGACTCAGATCAGGTTTCACAGAAGAGAAGATCAATGGGGCTGGAATGATCAGTAAGACTTTCCCAGGCAGCTGAAGGGGGTCATGTTAGGCAAAGGGAAGAGCTTGTACAAAAGCATGAGTCAGGAAAGCCTAGGTTATGCTTTGGTAATAATATGACCCTGAAGCCTTCGTAGCTGAAGATAGCTGAAGTTTATTTCTCACTCAGGTCACCTGCCTAATCAGGTCAGCTGGACAGGAGGAGTAAGGAGCAGGGCCCTGCTCCACACAGTCACTTGGGGACCCAAGCTAGAGGGTCCAGCTGTACCACCTGGAACATGTGGTTTGTAAGCTGGCATTGCAGGAAAACAAAAAAAGCTGGAATTTAGCACACTGGCTCTTCAATGCTTCAGCTCAGAGGTGACACATAAAATTTTCATCCACAGCCCATTGGCCAGAACTAATCACATGCCTCCCGGAGTTGCAAAATGTACAGGAACACATGGCTATTCCATGAGTAATAAATGTCTCTGCTACAAGCACAAGGCATGAAACTGTTTCCTGGGTTTAGGGAACTGTGAATGGTTCACAATGACTGGAGAAGAGATTGCAAGAGGAAATGTCTAAAGAGGAGCTCGGAAAAGTAGGGATGAGATGATGAAATCTCATGTGCTCTGCATAGGAATTTGGACCACCTTATGTGCAGAGCAGAGCTTGAGAAGAGTTCTAAACATGGTATCATGGTAATACTTGTGTTTTAAAAATGTCTCAGCCAGGCACGGTGGCTCACGCCTGTAATCCCAGCACTTTGGGAGGCCGAGGTGGGCGGATCACCTGAGGTCAGGAGTTGGAGACCAGCCTGGCTAACATGGTGAAACCCTGTCTCTACTAAAAACACAAAAATTAGCTAGGCATGGTGGCGGGCACCTATAGTCCCAGCTACTTGGGAGGCTGAGACGAGAGAGTCACTTGAACCTGGGAGGTGGAGGTTGCAGTGAGCCGAGATCGCGTCATTGCACTCCAGCCTGGGCGACAGAGCGAGACTCCATCTCAAAAAAAAAAAAAAAAAAAAAAAAAAAGTCTCATGCAGCAATGCAGAGAATGAGTTAGAGGGGGTTGAAACAAGAGATAGAAAAACTAGTTTGATTCTTATAGTTGCATAGGTTAAAAATGATGAAGAAACTAAAACAGGGATTTGGGGGATGAATATGAGAACTCTTAAAGAGATACTTGTTAGAACATCATGACTATGTAGATATAAAAGAAGGAGAAGAATAGAATGACTTCCAGGTTTCTGCTTTAGGGCCTAGTGCCCCCAATCAGGATAAGGAGTACAGGAAAATGAGTGAGTCCGGGGAAAAGACATGGAGGCCAATTTGAGATCTGGTGAGTTTGAGTTACCCACTGCCTATTGCTATGTGTTGAACTGTGTCCTCCCAAAAGATGTATTCAAGTCACAATCCTCAATGTCTCAAGATGTGACCTTATTTGGAAGTAGGGGAGTTGCAGATATAGTTTGTTAAAATGAGGTCCTCTTGGAGTAGTGTGGGCCTTAATATGACTGGTGTCCTTATAAGAAGACAGTCATGTGATCATGGAGGCAGAGATTGGAGTGATGCACCTACAGGCCAAGAAATATCAAAGATTGGCAGCAAACTCCAGAAGCTAGAAGATGTCAGAAGGATTCTCCCTAACAGGCTTCAGAGGGGGCATGGCCCTGCGGACTTTCCAATTTCAGACTTCTAACCTCCTGAACTGTGAGATGGTGAATTGTTGTTTAAAGCCACCCAGTTTCTGGTACTTTATATTGGCAGCCCTAAGAAACTGATGCAGGTATCCAGGTGGATCTGTCCAGTTGAAAGATTTGGATGAAGGCAGACCAGTCTTCTTCCAAAAGCCCAAGAAGGGAATACTAAGGAACAACAGAGCATGCTGGGGCCTGCGCTGGAAGAAGGTTATTCTGTCCAGGGGTGGAGAGGAGGAAAGGGGATTGCACAGGGAAACCTCACGATGAGGATGACATTTGAAAAGGGCTTTGGGGAATAAAGAGCAATCTTTTTCTCTCCTAGCTGATGATAAACTCCTGGGAGCCAAGTTCACATATCTATTCAAGTAAAAGTATTTGACAAATATCTATTAATAACGCATTTTTGTGTTGGGCTCTGTGCTAGGTATTAAGGATATAATGGTGACCAAAATGGGCACAGTCCTTATTCTCATGTCACTTATAATCTAGTGAAAAGACAGACATTAATCAAGTAGTCACCCAGAAAAATATATAAGCAGTCATTCTGATCAATGAAATGGAAAGAAACTACCAAGTGTTAAAAGAACATATTGCAAGGAAATTGTTCTAGCCTGGAGTTTGTGAAACGCTTTTACAGGAAGCGATGCTTGAGCTGAGATCTGAAGTTAAAGGAGTCAATTTCAAAGAAGGAAAGGCAGGAGAAGCAGTCCAGACAAAGGCTCTGACAGAGGAAGGAATGGGTTTGTGCAGATTTGGGAATCTGAAAGACAGCCAGTGTCATTGCAGGACTGAAAGTAGGTGGAGTTCAGCAGTGGTGGGGAGGGACAAGGTCAGGTGTGTGTGTGTGTGTGTGTGTGTGTTTCGATCACCTGGATGAGTATGGTTGGAGAAGGGCTGGAAGCAAATAAAACCATTGAAAAAGATTGCACTGGTCCAGCCCAAAGAGAATGGTGGCCTGAACCAATATGGTAGCAGTGGAGATCATGAGTTCAAGAAGTATTTCTTTGGCATCTAATGAAGAAAAACATAAGTTAAGAATGAAATCACCTCTCTGTAGATACAGCTTTTCCATACTTCTCCCTGCCTTGGGGTTTTAAAAGACCATCTGTCTGAAAAAGTGACGTTGATGCTTCAGTAAAAAACACCTTGACATCTGGTAATAAAGACTCAGTCTACAATGAAGTGGAAATTGAATGGTGTTCTGGGGTTATAGTGAGACTCTCTCAAGTTGGGGAGAGGGAGGCACATAAAAGAGAGAACAAGAGGTTAGACCCTTGAAGACTTTCACAGGCCATGGAGGACCCAAGGCAAGGTCCTGTCTGAAGAAAGGGATTCCTACAGCACCTGCCAGCAGTAAGCTTCTCTCATCAGATACCCTCTAAGGAGCATGACACACAGGAACTGTGTTCATAAGGAATGTAATGTACAATTGAGCTCTCCCAAGGCATTCTGCAAGGCAGTATTAACACCTGGAAAGCACTTAAGCTTCTAGAGTCAGGTTTTACTCCTCTGCTGCACTTAAACTCTGGATATGAGATAGGAATGAAGTCCGGAGGCTGTGGCTGTTGCATTACATAAGAGGGTGTGCCTCTTCCCAGGGGTGTGGCTTGCAGTTGACCTTCTCCTGAGTATTACATGCCCAGCTCCTGAAGGTGGGTGCTATAGTTTGGATGCTTGTCTCCTCCAAATCTCATGTTGAAACTTGATCCCCAATGTTGGAGGTGGGCCAAATGGGAGGTGTTTGGGTCATGGGGATGGGTCTCTTGTGGATAGGTTGATGCTCTCCCTGGGGGAGGGTGGTGAGTGAATTCTCATTCTTTTAGTTTCCTTGAGGGCTGATTGTTAAAAAGAGCCTGCACCTCCCTCCCCTTGCTTCCTCTCTTGCTATGTGGCTTTTGCACACGCTGGCTCCGCTCTGCCTTCTGCCATGAAGGGAAGCAACCAAAGGACCTCATCAGAGGTAGGAGTTGGCGCCATGTTTCTTATAGAGCTTGCTAAGCCATGCACCACATAACTTCTTTTCTTTAGAAATTACACAGCCTCAGGTGTTCCTTTGTAGCAACACCAAATGGCCCAAGACAGCTGACAAAGCCATAGTTCATCATGGGTGCTGGCAGGCTTGGCACGTGGTTGCCGACTTGGGATTTGTGAAGTTCAGATTGTTTCCTCAATTGGGTACCAAGTTAGATCTAAAATGCTGCACTAGGTGGGCCTCATGTTCATTTTCCTTTGCCATCATGCCAAGCAAGGATGGACTTTGGAGAAATAAAGGGTAGCCAGCCGTCTTTGTATACCTGAAGTGTCCTACAACTGATAGAATCTGAAGAACACTGTGGAATTCCTTTGAATCTCATCTTCTTATTGTTGTTCGATAAATGATGGAATGGACTCTATGAACATAATTTAAATTAATGTTTTCATCTTCATAACCAAACAATAAGTTATTATAAAATAAATGAGTCAATATTTGTTTAATAAGAGCATCCAATTTATATTTATACCCAAATTCCCATGACTCTGAGCTCCCCAAACAGCAGAACCGGAGTCTCCCTTTAAAATCTTCCTGTTTTTCCCAGCAGTCTCAAAGGGAGTTTAGTGTCTAAACCACTAGAACCCGCGACTGTTCTCCATTTTGTTCATTTGCAGTGAGTAGCCCATTAAACAAACTTTCAAAGAAACCCATTGTCACTGCAGGTAATGGTGCCAACATCAACCCCCTCCCTGATTCATCTTGTCATTTGGTCCTGAAGCAGGATCGTCTGTGCCCAGACGCTCACAAAGTCTGTCATAAAACCAGTTTCTTTAGCCTGTGGCCCTTACCTCTCTCCCCCGTGAAAACTCAAACTGGGTTCCCAGGCAGGTTAAGGACAAAGGCCGTGACATCGCTTTACTTTCCCTGTCATCCCTGTTTCTCAATAGGGCCAGTGCACCCCCAGTTCCATCTCTCCCTCCGTCACACAAGCTCCAGGCCACATCAGTGACACCCAAAGAACCATAGGGGCAAAAGCGCCGTCACTCCTTTACAACCCTCACTAACAGCATCAGAGCCTCCGCCCCATGTATATGCAAGTACAAATTAATATATCCATAGAAAAAGAGCCCAAAGATCACACATCATAGTGTTTTAATAATGGCCATGACCGCTGGAGGGTGAGTGTATGGATGTTTCTTATTTTTGCTTGCTGAAATATCTACTTGCATGGATTTTTAAACTGTTGCAGTCATTTACTTTGTGATGCTTTAATAATTATGCAATAACATACACTTTACATTGTATGATGCAATGCTTTCACTTTAAAAAAATATCATCTTACATATTAATATTTGGCTAATAACTAGAGGCCCTTCAATTTATGTTGGTCTTCCTATAAATTGCATTCAACCATTCAGGAATTGTTCTTTGAGCGTCATCTGGCTGTGTATGTCAAGAGAATACAGAAGCCGATGAGAGCTAATGTCTGTAAGTCTTACGGTATGCCACGCTCAGGTACCACAAAACCCACCCTGAGCTCTGGGCAGGGACTGGAATCACCACACTGACGAGGAAATAGTGACTTAGAGCACATAGAAACTACAACTGATGCCAGATGAGTCCTGGAGAGGCCCAAGTTCTGCAGGAGCCAAGAGCCCTAGCACCCTCCCGGTGGGGATATCTGTTAAGGGCTTCCTCAGTCACCAGTCAGCTGGACTCCCCTCTCTCAGGGACACATCTTTCCTCTTAACCCAAACTCCTGCATCTTGGAAGTAACAGGGAAGAGCTGGGCCCTTCTGTGGCCCCTCACCCACCCCCACCCCCACCCCCTAGGCTCTTACCGAAAGTCAGCAAAGCTCAGCCAGGCCACGTTCAAAGCAGCTGTGGGCGCGCCACGCCCGCCCCACCCAACCTCCTGTAAGAGCTTAAGTCAACAGGCACAGAAAATCAGACAGGCCGTCTTGGGATAGGGAAAGAAAAAAAAAAAACAAATCCAACAGCCTCTGCCTAATTGGCATTCTAAATAGCTAGAGGCTTCCAAGTACAGAAATGAATTAAATAAGCTTTTTTTTTTTTTCCTTTTCAGGGTGGAGTACAGGCTCCAGGTCTCCACCCAAGTCACACCCTCACTTGCAGCTATTTCTAATATCTAAATGCCAGATGGAACCTGCGGGGTGAAACGGAGGACTGGACAAAAGGCAAAGCCCAACAAGCCCAGATCTCCCTGGAGCAGATACAGACCCCTAGGGGACCCGGGGGCACTGCAGCGGGATGGGAGGATGCAGAGCCACGGGGAAATGGGGCAGCTGGCCCTTTCACCCAGGTCAGCTTCCCCAGCCAGCAGAGAGCTCCGGGAGCAGCTTCTGAACGCTTCCCTTCTATTCCACGGACCATGGCAAAGGGCTGGGTGCTGGGCCTGGACTCAGGCTGTACCTGTTGGCTTAGGAGCAGCCAGCAGAGTCCAGGAGCACTCGCCAGGCAGTACAAGTCAGAGCAGAACGACCAGCAGCCAGATGTGGGGTTGTCTGGGGCAGGCAGCTGGGGTGGGGGCCCTGGGGCCAAGTAGAAGTTGGCACAAGGTGGCCCATGCTGGTCTTGAGTGCAGAAGCAGGGGTGTGGAGGGCAAATCCTGACTTCCTCTTTTATCTGATGTGGCTTTATGGCTGTCAGTAACCCCTCAGAGACTTTATTTCCTTATTTGTGAGATGCAGGCTGTAATCAAAGTAGCCGGATGGAATTTTTGAGAACATTGAAGAGACAGTGAGTGCTTAAGATATTTCTGCAGCATTGAAATGGCAGCTGTTACTATAGGACCTTGTGCTGAAATGCAAACCTGTCTCTACGTAGGCTACTGTCTGTACCAATGACTTGCAGGACAAACAGTTCCCTTCCTCCTGAAGGGCCGAAGGGGCTTGGAGACACATTGCATCTCGACTTTCCATTTCCTGCCCCTGATGTGCTATGGCAGAATGAAAAGCTGGCTTGAGCTAGCAAGTCATTTGAAATATGAACCTGATAAAACCCGACTCACCTCCTGCCCCCCCGCCAGCTGAGCTGGTCTGCTAGCAAGTTGAGGTAGTTTCTCCCCACACAAAAGCCCTAAAGCCCTCCTCTCATCCCCTGATGAAATGCCCCCTCCTGTCTCAGCACAGCCCCAATGTCCCCTCTCCAGGAATTCTCCTGACCCTTAGACTACATGGGTGTTTCTCCCAGCACTTCTAAAGCAATGCCATCCAATAGAAATAAAGTGTGAAGCACACATATCATTTTAAGTTTTGTGGTAGCCACAGGAATAAAAGTAAAAACAGGCTGGGTGCGATGGCTCACGCCTGTAATCCCAGCACTTTGGGAAGCTGAGGTGGGCAGATCACGAGGTCAGGAGATGGAGAAAATACTGGCCAACATAGTGAAACTCTGTCTCTACTAAAAATACAGAAATTAGCTGGGTGCAGTGGCGCATGCCTGTAATCCCAGCTACTCGGAAGGCTGAGGCAGGAGAATCGCTTGAACCCGGGAGGCGGAGGTTGCAGTGAACCAAGATGGCGCCACCGCACTCCAGCCTGGCAACAGAGTGAGATTCCGTCTCAAAAAAAAAGTAAAAACAAAGAAGGTGAAATTAAGTTTAATACTATGCTATGGTTTAAATGTGTCCCCCAAACTTTATGTGTGAGAAACTAAGTGCCAAATTCGTATGTTATTTCAAGGTGGGTCTTTTGGGAGGTAATTAGGATTGGATAAGGTCATGAGGGTGGGGACCCCCACTGATGACAGTAGCAGCTTTATAGGAAGAGGAAGCTGACAGGCATGCTCTTGCAGTCTTGCTATGTGACACCCTCTACCATGACACAGTACAAAAGCCCTCACTAGAAGGTGTCACCGTGCCATTGGACTTCCCAGCCTCCAGGCCATGAGCCAAATACACTTATTTTCTTTATAAATGACCCAGTGTGTGGTATTCTGTTACAGCAACAGAAAGTGGACTAAGACATGCTATATTCTATTCAACACAATGTATCAAAAATAAGTGTAACCAATATAAGCATTAATAACATATTTTACATTCTTTTTTATACAAAGTATTCAAAATCTGGTGTGTATTTTATACTTACAGGGCATCTCAATTTGGATTAGCTACACTGCCAGAGCTCAGTCACTCCCGTGGTCAGTGGCTACCACATTAGACGGCACAATCCTAGAGCATTTACTTGAGCTTGTGTCTTTTAACACTTGCTGCTCTGTGGTTCAGACCTGGGTAGTCGTTAAGGAGGTAGTGGGAACAGTATTCCATATGCAGGCCAGTCTGAGAAGCCTGGGAGGAGAAACTGCAATCTGAGGTTGAAGCTAGGAAAAGTGGTGCTACGGTTTAGATGTTTGTCCTCTCTAAATCTTTCACTGAAATGTGACCTCCAATGTTGATGGGGGGGTCTCATGGGAGGTATTGGATCACGGGAGCAGATCCCTCATGAATGGCTTAGTGTCATCCCGTTGGTGATGAGAGTTCTTGCTCAGTTAGTTCACACTAGATCTGGTTGTTTAAAAGAACCCGTGACCTCCCTCTTCTCTCTCTTGCCTTGTGATGTGCCTGCTCCTGCTTTGCTTTCCTCCACAAGTAAAAGCTCTCTGAAGCCTTACCAGAAGCTGTGCTGATGTCAGCTCCATGTTTGTACAGCCTGCAGAACTGTGAGCCAATTAAACCTCCTTAGTTGATAAATTATCTAGTTTCAGGTATTTTGTTATAGCAATGCAAGAACAGACTAACACAAGTGGGATCTAGGCTCAAACCACGGCACTTCTCTCTGGTCTTCTAGGCAGTCCCTTCATGTTTGCATGTTAGTCTTGGGGTGGAATGTATTATGGCTACTGTGAATAAAACACAAGAAGCATTTGCCTGCAAAGAACAGCAGGACACTGGAACACTGAACAGCTCTGCTTTCAAACCTCTCTGTCAGAGGAGGTTGATTTCTTCACTTCCCTCCAAGCTCTCACAGATGTAGTGAAGCTTTTGAAAGGAGCCTCCCAGGGAAAGGGGTCTGATGGGGTAAGAAACAGAAAAAAATAATAATAAAAGGGGAGACTCTTGGGGCCACCAGCTGTAGGAACACTGGCAGCCTTGTCATGCAGCCTCAGGAACTGGGAAATCTTCCTAGGCTTCCAAAGTGTCTGTAGTATTTTCGGGTTTGTGGCCTTTGAATGCTTTGTGGACCTCTGCATATGAGAAATAGTTTCCAAATATATTACACGAAAAATATTTTCTTTTGGTGCTTTGAGTTCATTTCTGATCCTACCGGTGATCCTACGGAGGCACTTTCTGACTAATGAAGTGTTTGTGGTAGCAGCCGCACTCAGCCCCACTAAACCACAGGATTATGATTCCTGCCTTGTGCATAGAATGCTAGAACTTTCTGGAAAACCTTGGAAAGGGCCAAGATGTGACTTTGTGGCTGGTGCCTACCAGTCCTGAAGCCAAGGAGGTGTCCTATGGTTTCTTGCATGTCCCCACCCTGCCGGGGTGGCTGGTTCCATTTCTGGAACAGCTTTGGAGCCTTCCCAAGCCTGGAATTGGCTACCTTTCCCAGGTGTTCACTCCTCCATGTTGACTGCCCATAATGCACAGACCACTGATACGATCTGGCTGTGTCCCCACCCAAATCTCATCTTGAACTGTAATCCCCATAATCCCCATGTCTAGGGAGAGACCTGAGGGGAAGTGATTGAATCATGGGGGCTTTTCCCCCGATGCTGTTCTTGTGGTAGTGAGTGAGTTCTCTGGAGACCTGATTGTTTTATAAGGCAGTTTTCCCTGCTCTTGCTCATACTTTCTCTCTCACCTGCCACCATGTAAGACGTGCCTTTGCTTCTCCTTCACCTTCTGCCATGATTGTAAGTTTCCTGAGGCATCCCCAGTCATGCAGAACTGTGAGTCAATAAAACCTCTTTCCTTTATAAATTACCCAGTCTCAGGTAGTATCTTTATAGCAGTGTGAAAAAGGAATAATACAACCACCAAGCTAGTTACCAAGAGGATTTAGAGACTGGGCAATATGAGAAATCATGACATTTGCTCCAGGGGAAGGTATGGAGATAGGCTGAACCAAATAACATCTTCTGGCCAACCTGTCTTGAGTGAAGCCCTGTTCTCAGGGAGGTACCAGTTGTCTCAGAATTGAGCCAGCAGGCAAAGCTGGGCCTCCCTGGTTTTGTCTTGGCTACTATTATGTCCACCAAAAAAAGACCACATGGATGCCTGGCCTCAGAAGATACAATTTTCCAGAGAAATTGTTAGAATGCACTGCGTTGAAAAATAATTTGTTTCTTCTTATCACCATAAAATCTCAAAAATTAAAATGCTAAGGAAATGAGGTTCTTCTGATAGCTGACCTTTTCTGGCTAAAAGGAAACTATTTTTATTTTCACCAGTGATGCTGAAAATCTCTGTCTCATGAATCAATGCCTGGGCCTGCTTTTAATCATCCAGGACACTGCTGGGCTGCAGGGCGCTGTAAGTCCAGATGATGTAGTCTGTAGACATGCAACACGTAAGCCACTGAGTCAAACCCGATTTCCAGCCTGCTGCTGGTCGCTGGTATCTTGTTTCTCTTTGGTTTTAATCAGACCCTTTCTATGTGCAATATTTTGTTATAGTGTATTCCCTTTCCCTAAAAATCAAAGCATAAAAATTCAATTTGAGGACCCAAGTTAACTGGGTTCCACTTGAGGAATGGCTGTAGCTGCAGCAAAATGTTTTGGCTCACACTTAGCGCCTGACCACATTTTGACTATGGGATGACTTTAGCATTCACTTGGCAAGGGCATTTCCATTTGGCTCCCCGTGAAGTCATAGAAATTCTAGTTATTTCTGCAGTGTGTGATTGCCTGGTTTATTTATAAGAACCATCCATCAGGATTGAGCTGTTCTTTCGTCTGGAGCCACTTGTATTATCACAATTATGAAATGTTTATTTTCTTAGATCAGCTTGAGCTGATAAAGCACTTTTGAGCCATTAAGAATCTTGTAAGTCAAGATAGTTTAGATAAGGATATGATTTTTTTCTGGGGGGCTAAATCAGATGAATCTATGGCCTCTCCCTTGATTGGGCTATCACGTTAAATGGGTGTGACCATCACACACTCCTCTGAGAGGTGGGGTCCCCTCCTTAGAAGGATTTGCAGCCAGACCCCCTTGTTTCCTCTGGCTCACATCCCAGCTGGGAAGTGCAGCTTCAAGGAACCTGGGGAGATGAGGCCACCCCAGCGAGGCAGAGGCGAGTGATGAATGTTCCAGGCCCGCAAGGCCTATTTGCAACCACACTGGGCACAAGAAGCTCAAAGAAAATATTCCATATTAATGAGGGTTGAGCAGGCTCATGGATTTACATTCTAAACACCAATCTGGCAGCGTCTGTCAAAAATGAAAGATGCACTTTCATTTGTTTACTGAATATCTGATTGCCTCTTATGTCCAAGTGCTGCCCAAGATATAACAACAGTGAGGAAGTAAGACCCTTTCCTCACAAATCTTACTTTCCTGTGGCAGGGACAGACAGATAAGCAACCAAACATGGACTATACTGTCAGAGAGCAGTAATTAGCATGGACAGGGCTGGATAGAGAGTACAGGGCAGAGGGGGCAGGGGCTGCCTATTAGACAAGGTGAGACCACAGTGAAGTGAGGAAACAAACCAAATGTCTGACCAGGACAGGAGCTTCCAAAGCAGATGGAGCAATGAGTGCAGATGCCCTGAGAGGGAGCATGGGGGTTGTCAGCAGAGCAGAGGCCAGAGAGTTGCAGTAAGTGAGGAGGAGAGGTAGGAAGCAAGGTCTGAGAGCAAGGAGGGGTGGGGGCAGATCTTGGCAGAGCCTTTCAGCAGAGACTGTGAACTGTCTCTAATATCCACATTCCCTTCTTCCCTTTGTAATAAAATCCCCCCATCTTTTTTTTTTTTTTTCCTGAGACGGAGTCTCGCTCTGTTGCCCAGGCTGGCAATCGAGTGCAGTGGCGCGATCTCGGCTCACTGCAACCTCCGCCTCCCAGATTCAAGTGATTCTCCTGCCTCACCCTCCCGAGTAGCTGGGACCACAGGCGCCCACCACCATGCCCGGCTAATTTTTGTATTTTTAGTAGAGACAGGGTTTCACCATGTTGGCCAGGCTGGTCTCGAACTCCTGACCTCAGGTGATCCACCCGCCTCACCCTCCCAAAGTGCTGCGAT
This sequence comes from Homo sapiens, assembly GCF_000001405.40. Taxonomy (NCBI): domain Eukaryota; kingdom Metazoa; phylum Chordata; class Mammalia; order Primates; family Hominidae; genus Homo; species Homo sapiens. The sequence continues at coordinate 38,149,191 of NC_000004.12, read as the reverse complement.
TACAGGCATGAGCAACCATGCCCAGCCAAAATCCCCCATCTTTGTGGGGCTCACATTGAGACCCTATCTCCCAGGCTCTTGTGCCACTTGGTGTGGCTACATCAGTGAGTTCATGCTAATGGACCATGGATGGAAATGGTTTCTGCTACTTCTTGGTTCTGTATTTATAAAATGGGCAACGGGCAATAAATGGGCAATGTTCCCCTCTCTTTTATCCTTTCTCACAGGCAGAGCAAAGACCTGGTGCTGGTAAGCCTATTTCTTCCCTGTGGACAAGGCAAAGTCTCCAGGGCAGAGTTTCTTAAAGAAAGTGTGGTCCTTGGACCTGCATCCTCAGCATCATCGGGAAACTTACCAAAATGCAAATTTTCAGGCCCCCCTCCAGAACTACTGAATCAGAAACCTTGGGGGTGGGGCCCAGCCATCTGTATTTTAAGAAACCCTCCAGGGGACTCAAGCTTCAAAACCACTGCCCAAGAACAGGGTTGCTCAACATCAGCAATACTGACATTTTGGACCCATGATAACTTGTTGCGGAGGCTGTTCAAAGTATTGTAGGATGTTTAGCAGCCATCTCTGGCCTCTACCCACTAGATGACACTAACACACACCCTTCTTCATTCCCCAGTTGTTAAAACCAAAAATGTCTCCAGACATTGTCAAATGTACCCCAGGGAACAAAATTACCCCTAGTTGAGAACTACTGCCCTGGATGTTGGAGGAGTAAGAAGACAGAAGGAACCTGGGTCTTCAGTTGGCCTTGTAGAACAGAAACACTCTCCATCCCAAATGGCCCACCTGCCCTCTGGACTGCTATAAAGGTTTGAGAAGTTGCTATTTTGTTTGAGCAACTCTATTTTGAGTGGCTGTGCAGAAGCTTAAATTGCATCCCAACAACTGCCAGCCTTTCAGGGCCTCATAAGTACTTAACACTTTGTTTTAATGTGATGGGAAACCACTAGAGTTTGGTTAAAGCAGGGTAGTGACATGATTTGTTTTGAAAGGTCCACTTTGGATGCTGTGTGAAGAACAGACTGAGGGGATGTAGAAAGGATGTGTTTGATGGACTGGATGTAGGATATGAGAAAAAGAAAGGGGTCAACTAAGCAACTGAGTGAATGACAGTGCCATTGACCAACACGGAGATCTGTGGGGGACAGGGTTGATCTGAGGGGATGGGGATCAGGACTTCAGTTTGTGCTCTTTGCTGCTGTGATTCACTGAATTTATCTTTCAGATACATTTACAGATTCACAAAGGTATTATGTGCAGATATGCTCAAGGCAGATAAACTCAAATGTCCATCAGTGTGAACCTGGTTCAATACGTTGTGGTGCATCCAAGCACAGAAATATTATGTTCAGGTGTTGAAGAGTGAAGTGGGCCGGGCGCAGTGGCTCATGTCTGTAATCCCAGCACTTTGGGAGGTCAAGGCAAGCAGATCATGAGGTCAAGAGATCGAGACCATCTTGTCCAATGTGGTGAGACCCTGTCTCTACTAAAAATACAAAAATTAGCTGGGCGTGTAGTCCCTGCTACTCTGGAGGCTGAGGCAGGAGAATTGCTTGAAGCTGGGAAGGTGGAGGGAGCCAAGATCATGCCACTGCACTCCAGCCTGGTGACAGAGTGAGACTCCATCTCAAAAAAAAAAAAAAAAAAAAAAGATAAAAGAAAAAAAAAGACTGGAGTGGATTTGTATACTGCAGTGGCAGTGGTCAAGAGCATGGGCTCTTGAGTCTGAACTGCTGGGCTTGGTGGCCTTGGGCAGTAGGCATGACCTCTTTAGATAGCTTCCCCAACTATAAATTAGGATAATAATGGTACCTCTCCTATAGTTTTGAGATTAAATGAAACAAACTTACACAGTACTCATCAGTACTTGGCTCATTCATTAGTTATCTCTTTATGAGTGTGAACTATTATTTCTATCATTATCTACATGTACTGATATGAAAATATTCCCAAGATATTTTTAAAGAGCAAGGTAACTGATTAGTGTGTATAGTGTTATCATTTATGTGAAAAAAAAAGAATATCTGTATAAACACACACACATACATACATTCTGTAGTATGCATATCAATTCATCCTGTAGTATGCATATCAATTTTTGGAGGAAGAGATAAGAAACTGCTAAGTGATTACTTTTGGGAAGTAGGATATAGGTTGAGGGGACTTTGGAAAACTTTGTTTTGTATGTTTCTGTTGTGTGTGCAAGTCTTTAGCACATGCAACATATCAAGGAAAGATATCTTTTAGAAAGACCACATACTGAAAAGGTGGAAACTAGGTTGTTGGTTGTTGGTTTTTTTTTTTTTTACTGTAGGATTTTCTGGCATCCTTAACACATGCTAACATATTTTTAATCTCTCAGAGGAGCAAAATCCTTGAAATGGTGTGCCTCAGAACCTCCCCAGTCTAGGAAACAGGGAGGGCTAAGGCTGGCCACAGCCACAGAAAAATCTAGGCTAGGCATTTTGAGGTAGCCAGACTGCTCCTCCCAAGGTGCCTTAAGTCATGACAGCTCTTTCAGACAACTTTTGACTGGTCCCCAAGCAACTCATTCTTAAGCCCCACAAGTTGTCTTCTTCTCTCTGGTTTATGCCTCCCTTTGTAAATGAATGACCTGCAACTTCCCCAGGAGCTGGAGGAGGGGGAAGTATCTGTGCTCTACCACCCTGGGCACCTTGTTTCCCACGTGTGTCCTTAGATGGTTGCGTACCTGTCCCATGCCCTGGAACTGGGTGAGCTCTCCTGGCATAGTCTCTCCCAACTTCTTTACCTTCTCTTGTTCCCTCAATGTGTGGAGGCAGATTTTTCTTCCTCCTCTCACCTGCCTTTTTGGGGGTGGGTGGATACTGAGAGGGCAGAGCAAGCAAGGGATCATTCATTTTTAGTATTTACTAGTTAATATTTTACTAATTATCAAAAAGATTCTCAGACACACAGAACTCCTAGTGACCTATCAAAAGCATTGGAAGTTAAATGAGCCCACTTGTCAACACTTGCTACCCAACCAATAACCATGACCATGTCTTTCCTCATTCAATGAGTTAATATTCGTCTAAGGGGCTCATAATGGTGCCTGGCATATGGCAACTGCTGTTCTTCTCAGCTATTTCTGTGTCATTATGCTCTAAACTCAACATTTCTCACTATGTAACAGTCTCTGGAATTACTCAGATTTTCAGTAAACAGTTTTATACAATGACTGTAGAACACAGAGATAAGCAAGTGACGTGATCTGCCAAGTATGAGGTCTTCATCGCAATGGGAAAGCGAGAATAAAACAGAACTATAGATCAAGAATAAACAGACTCTGTCTTCAGTCACTGCTGTTGCTAATGAGATGTCTCTGATTCTGTACTTGTCCAGTGGGATTCCCCCTTCTATGTGAGTGGTTCTTAAACTTTAGCACACATCAGAATCCCATGGAAGGCTTGTGAAAAAAGATTGCTGACCCCACCCTCCAGAATTTTTGAATTAGTAGGTTGGTAGATCCCATTAATACAATTCTAACAAGTTTCAGAAGATGCTGAGGCTATTGGTCTAGGGCCTATACCCTGAGACCCACTGCCCTATACACACATTTAGAACCTGACATTCAAAAGTGCATCTTGCTTGAATCAGGTCATCTGGCCAGCTTGTCAACATCAATCAAGGTCCTGTCTGTCATTCATTGCATTTAGTCAGTGGCATCCGTGCATCCAAGAGCATGGTCCCTAGGGCCTCATACAGATCACATGACACACATGTGCACCGGCTGGCTAAGGAAAAACCCTCAGTGAGACTCCTCCTTTTTAGGCTCACCACAATCCATTATCCATCACAGCATTTTTCAATCCTAGCTAAACTTTAAATTCACTGGGGAGCTTAAAAACTAAAAACCGCCCAGGCCCTACCCCAGAGTGCATGAGTGTGTTAGCCTGGAGCACCCTTGGGCCCTGGTACTTTGAAAAATCTCTCTGGGTGATTCTATTGTGCAACCAGGGCTGAGAACCACAACCTAGAAGTCTTTCTGGTTTTATTAAATCAACACAATCGAACTCTCCTACTGCTCATGTCACTTTAACTCATTTAAGTTTTAATAAGACTTTATTTAAGGTATTGTGAGAGATGTCAAAAGCTTTGCTGACATCAAGGTATATTTTCCTACAGCTTCCCATCTTCCATTTGGTCACTGTGCTTTCAGAAACATAAAATTACATTGGGCTAGCATGACATGATCTTAAGGAATCACCTATCTTATATGTTTGCACTGTTGAGGAATTTTGCCTGGGTCCAATCTCAAGCTCACATAACTGATTTAGTTCACGTCATCATAAGTAATGATAACATTTATTGCTTGTTAATTTGGTGTCCACCACAGTACTCAGTGCTTGTCATAAATATTTGCACAATAATCCTATGAAATAGCTGTTATTTCCATTATACAGACAAGAAATCAGGGTCGGATTCCAGCTGACTCCAGGGCCTGCGCTTTTAGCCATGAGATGTCGCTTCTATTTATATTTACCTGGCTCCATCTTGTTCCTCAAATGTTTTACAGTGATTTACAAGGATATTAAAGATTTAAGAAAGCATGAAATAACTGGAATAAAGTAGAATCGGAGAGGGTCAAAATGAGTCAGAACCAAATGCCTGCACATTTGCTAATGGGAGGGCCACCAATTTGGTTTTGAGTGTTCCGGAAATGTCAAATTAAAATAGGGTCACCTGTTCAATTACACAGTTGACATCGGATTAAAAACAAACATTATTTGGGAGAAATACCTGAACAGTTCTGGGGCTTTCTTAGAGAAGGCACTGAGAATTAAAGGGAGGACTGCAAGAATATCCTCATGATCCATGCAGACAAGCTTTTCACTGGGCTCAACGAACCATAACTTACATCATCCACTTCCTACCTCATTAAATAAAGTGGGAAGTTTGGCTAGCTCTATATTTCTTCAAAGATCTCTGTCTTCCCATTTCCAGTGCCTCTTTCCACCATTGTCAACTCATTCCAAAAAAATACTAATAGCAGTTGAGCAATTTTTTTTTGCTCAAATTTTCTCAGTACCCTGGAATGCAATTTGAACAGTCAGGATTTACTTTTGTAGAATTTCACAAAAGTCTCTTTTAGGCTGTCATGCCATGAAATCACACCTAATTTTTTCCTGAACTTTAACGAATGTCTTCCCGATGCCTAGGTTCCCTTTGCAGATGATCACAGCAGGAAGTTGATAGGGCTGTGTCCACTGGCTGTCAGATCTGTAGGGGACATCATCATAAACTGAGATAACAAGGTCACCCCCTGCCAGGTGCCCACTACAATGTCCATTTCACCAACTCATTCCTCCTCGCAGTTTAATGCTAAGTTAAGAATAGCAGATTCCCTTGTGTCCATTAAAACTGTAAGTGGATCAAGCCAAGAACTTATTTATACTTATTGGACTACACAGTAATGGAACATTTATCTCTAAAAATATTGGTGTTTTCTTGCCATCTGAAAGAGACATGGTGTTAAGTGGGTGCTAAGTGGGTTAGTTTGTTTGGGCTACTCAGACTGGATAATTTATAAACAACAGTTCTAGAAGCTGGGAAGTCCAAAATCAAGGCACCAGCAGATGTGGCGTCTGGTGAGGGACTGTTCCTCATAGACGGACGGCGCCTTCTTGCTGTGTCTTCACATCTCCAGCTTCTAAGTGCACTGATCCCATTCATGAGCGTAGAGCCCTCATGACTTAATCATTTCCCAAATGCTTTGCCTCTTAATTCTATCACATTGGATATTATATTTGAACACATGAATGGAGGGGGGATGGGGCAACATCAACATTCAGACCACAGCAGTGGGTGTGTGTTTTTTTTAAGGTCTTGGCACAAGACTCAAAGCTAGGATAGAATCATTTGTCATTTGGAAGAGACTCTTCCACTTTCTAATAAGTCACCCAGAACACTCTCACCCAACTCCTCTGTTAGCTGTTCCTTCCCAGTCTCACTTGAACACCAGCTCCTCAGCTGAGTCTTCTCTGAATATTCTAGGTAGGCACCCCCACCTCATGATTGATTTTTCGTTTACTTATTCCAATTACCTATCTCCCTCACTAGAATAAAAGCGCAACGATGGCAAATACTTACTTTGTCATCTCAGGACCTAGAACAAGGCTTGGTACATAGTTGAGGGCTGGAGAGTGAAAGCAGGGGAGACGTCATGCTCGCCGAGCTGGATATGGAGAGGCAGGCAGGTGAAACCACACTGTGCAAAGACAGTGGGGCTATAGTGAAGAGAGACAGATCCAGAGTGAAAAAGCTAATATCCTTTCTAATAACCAACCCATTTAGATGATTTGAACATATGAAATTTAGGAGTAAATTTGATATTCACTTATTTCAAAGAAAGAAAATAAATAGATCATGCCCTCCTTGGTAAAGAGTACCAAGCACAGATAGGCATTCGGTATCATTAAACAGACCCACATGCAAACTTGCCTCTATCTCCCTAACATGGTACTTCACCATCTGCACAGTTTCCACACGATGGCACCTCAGGAGGTCACCCTGCAGGGTGCTGAGAGCCAAAGCCCGAGTTTAACAGTAATCAGTCACCTCTTCCAACAGTTGGAAGAGATTAGAAACATAGTTACAGGGTTTAGAAAGATTTCTGGAAGACCAGAAAGGAGACACCCCAAATTGGTCAACATCCATCCAAATATGGAATAAGAGAAAAACAAGGGCAGGAAGATGTAGTCAGAAGAGTGAGGAAAGCAAGCAAATGACTGGGAAAAAGGATGTACAAAGCTGTCCCCCCACCCCTTGGCCATGCCAGGTTGTCCAGGCTGTCTTCAGTAGGTCTAAGGAAAGGGCAGTGATAAAGTGCCGTGATTCACAAGGAGTGATTCACAGGCTCCATTCTTAACACACACTGTTCAGTTCCTCTCTGCTCTGCTCAGCCAAGCACTTTGCAGGCTCAGAACCACAAGTCTTCGGTGGCACTGCGGGGAAGGGCTGGGGGCGAGATGGTTGTCTACAGCAGGACCATGCAGGTGAACAGGTAGCGGTGTGGCCAAAGGCCTCAGACTAGAACTTGCTACCTCTGTCCGTACCACGATTATTCAGAGCAAAGGCTCCAAATGGGGTGGGCCCAGGAAAAGATGATGGAGAAAGTGCTAGAGAGAGTGCTTTTCAGAAAAGGGTTTGGAAGTGTTTCTATGGGTTAGGTCATGTTTTGGCCAAAAATCATGTGAGGGTGTTACTCAAACAAACCTGGAAACTGCTTTTATAATTTGTTCAAAACTTTCCAAATGAAGAGTTTTGGTGTATTAAAGTCTTTGGTTAAAAAGTATAAAAACCTTAATACATTTGTGTCATCGGCCATGAGAGAAGATGGAAATTCATTACTCAGATTTCCACAAAAACCTTTGCATAACTGATGAAGAAAAATGAAGAATGAGCAATTATGACTTAATGTGACTAGTTGTGTTCTTCTTCCATTTAGAGTTACTAAATTTTGGAAGTCAGTGCATTAAAAGCAACCATAAAACTAAGCTGAACTTGTAACCGACATCTGAATTACTAATCACAGTTTTAAAGCATTTACAGTAATGAAGTGCTCATTATTCTTAAAAATACTGAATAGAAATTTTATCATTAATATTTTTAAACATTGTATTTTAACCTCATTCAAAACTTCTATAATACAATTTAGTCATGCACAAAATTGATTAATAAACATACATCTCATGGTAGAAATCTAAACACTTTACTACTAAGGTTTACAACCAAGGCAGTTGTATGGTTATTTTTACAGATATTAAGAGAGATATCTATGAAGCCTAAATACTAAGAACATTCTTTTAAAATATTTTGTTATCAATTTCAAATTGTCCAAATAACCGTTGTGGCTGCTCCATACCATATAACTCTTGAATTTCTCTAATCATTCTAATCATTTCTAGAGATGGCAGCAAAATAGTTTACATGATGGAATTTCTCTTTTATAAAACCAAAGGGAATTCTGTGTTGATCTGTTTCTTCTAAAAACATTACAATGCAAGTTTTCAAAAGTCCAAAGGTAAAAAAGAAATAGTTGTCAAGAACAAACATTATATCTAATCATGTCAAATCCTGTTGCAATAGAATTTCTCTGCCTCTGGGTCCATACACAGGGGTCACTCACTGGAGAGCCTCCCAGTTTTAACTCCCTATCAATTAAAGCTGCTAGAGGCATTTCAGGAGAGAAATCGATTTGGGCTCTTTAGAATACAGGTTAGCTTTGTGAAAATGAAGCAAACATCTCTTTGCTTTGTAAATTGATGTCATCAGAAATGGTTCCCAAAACTCACTGAAGTAAAGCTGGGTGGTGCCCACTATTAGGCAGCCAGAAGGCCAGGGATCTACTCTGATCCTGTAGCCAACCATCAGGTGATTCTGAAACTCTCTACACCTCACTAAGCATTTTCATGTACAAAATGAGGTGGGAGGTGACTTTCTAGTATGAAGAGAAGTAAGTTCCCTCCAGTCTTCCCAGTCTAGAATTATTTTGAGCCATGCCAAACCCTTAAAGCAGAGTTTAGATTTAAGACAATGTGGCTTGTAAATTATTTTCCCACAGTTGCTGGATTTTAATTAGCAGAATTAAATAGTAATCAGAGTCAGCTCTTCCTACAGCTGGCAGAGCAGGGCAGATGAAAGCTGGGAGGCAGTCCCAGAAGCCAGAAGTGGTCCCTGAAGTTTGTCATCTCCAGTGGTGCACCATCAGTGACTCTCGATGCCAATGTCAATCTGAGTCCGAACTCTACGGATCACTAATTGTACACTTAGACGAAGGGCCTGTATAAAAGGACTCATACATGCATGCTGTCATTCAAAGTAGGCAAGTTCCAAAACTAAACAGGGCGGCTTATACTATGTTAACGTGGTTAACCCAGAACTGTGTTTCCCAGAGTCCCCTTCCCTGGTGGTCTAATTCAGAATTGGCTCTAAGACCTGCTGGCATGAGATCTGGAGGGCCAAAGTGAAACAAGTGCCATTTTTATCTGAGATCACCATTGTTCAATGTGGTGTAGCAACGTGACAGACACAAAGGTGCCTGGCCAGTTCCAGCTTGTCCTCATTCCCTTCTGCTTCACCTCCAGCTCTTCTTCCTGAGTGCTGACTAGGGTGGCCCCAGGCACACCACTAAACACCTGGCTGCAGACCCACAGAGGTGGTCACAGAGCCCCCGCCACGTCACCTGCCCAGGCCCACTTCTGCAGTGGCCTTGTGCTTTGCTTCTGAAAGACGACCTGGTGACTTAGCCTGATTCAAACACCTTCTGAATCTTCACTTCTCCAGCGCTTCACACAGTTGAGTTTGGTCTAATTCTGTAACAAAATCCAGGATCCCATGGCACTTGGAGCAACTCTTCTCCTGTTTACCAAACCAGACACACAAACCTCCAAATGGACATTGTTGTTCTATCTACAGGCCACCCCTGAGAGGGAGCCGAACCGAGTGTGCAAGCTGAAGAGAGTCCCATCCTGTTCCAGGTAGTAGTACACTTCTTGAGGCCTCATAATGTCTTAAGAGACATAAATGGCATCTAAAGATTGACACCACCAAGTGCACAAATGAGTGTTGGGGGAAATATAACCCAAAACATGGCTTAAAAATTTGGCTCTGAGAATCCTCACACAGTTGCCTCTCCGCTCCTTGCCTAGTCAGTCACAGGCTGAGACTGTCCAACCTACATCCACAGGCTCATGTCAACAGTCCTTTCTGCCCAACCCAATCTCGTAACAGGACTCACTGCCACATACAATGATGGAGCTGGTCTCATCAGTGCTAAACTCACACCCTGTGTAGAGGTGTTACAACTTACGTAATAAACACTCAGATAACAACACTGGATGCAGACACCAATATCTCAAATAATCTCACTGATGGTTGGGTCATGACCACACGTAGGCCACAGGTGTTCATAAGGCATTCCTTTACTCCTGGGCTGAAAAGCAAAAATCCAAAGTTAAAAAAAAAAAAAAAACCACCATAAAAATGTGAGCATGAATTATTTCTTGTTTTATTGCTTTCTTGTTTCTTTCTTGATGCAGAGTCAATGTTTTTGAGTAACAGTAATAAGATGCCCAAAATCCAACAGTAAACATTCAAATAGTAAGATCTGATGCAGAACAAAGTCCTCAAATGTTAACTCCTATAAGTTACATCTAGCGGAACCACGAGGGATAAAGGCTGAACTCATCATCTTGGTTTATGATGGAAACCGCTATCCTCTGACCCAGGGAACAGGAGGAAGTCTCGAATGCCAGCCACCTGTTTAGGCACTGGTGGCAGCACTGTGGTCTCCTCGTGAAATGGCCGGGGAGACTCACAGTGAGTCTAAGTATGGCAATCTCTCCTTTTACCCCAGGATTAAGAGATGCCCCCCGCAACTGAGAGAATCAAAAGAAACTCCTATGGAATAGAAGACGTGGTTACAGTGATAAAGATCAGAAATGATTGTGTTGTCAAGGAAGTGACCTGTGACTGCACAGAACCCCATCTTTGTGAGAAAGCAACCCACTCTTAAGTGCACATCAGAGAGGCTTTACACAGTGACTGGCTGCAAGCAGGACAACCGTGAGCAGCATTTTGCTTGTTGAAGGCACAGGTCCTCGTCATCCTGAGAGAGGAGAGTCACTGTGTGCGACCTCTGAAAAACTGTCAGCTGTCATAAATCTGACTGCAGTTTCAGCCTGATCTTTTTTTTTTGAAAGTCCCAGACTCTTGGGGCACCCCTGAATATCTTGATGTGCCTACTCCTTCTGCAAGAAGTCAGATTTCCAAGGGATGGAGACTCAAAGGAACATGATTGCATTACATCACACAACAGGCAAAAATAAATACATGACTCTATAGTATGGGTATGAAACTACCACAAAGAAATATCTCAGACCCCACAACTGCAGCTCACATGCTAGCAATACCTGGTAGGGTCTAAAAGGTGTCAGCTGTCCCATAAAGCATTTACCTACTATGACTTTGATCAACTGTACTTATGGGATAAGCAAAAATGTATGAAAACACTCTATTTTTTTTTTAAAGACAAACTTCCTTAAATACCAAAGAGAGAGATCCATTTCACTTGACAGTGATCAGGATATCCAAATTAAATAAATCATTTTATTTAATTTGATGATCTTCAAATTCAATAAAGTGATCTTAAACATTCAAATAGTAAAATCTGATGTAGAACAAAGTCCTCAAATGTTAACTCCTTTAAGTTACATCTAGTGGAACCACGAGGGATAAAGGCTGAACTCATCATCTTGGTTTATGATGGAAACCGCTATCCTCTGAGCCAGGGATCAATGACCCAAGATCACTGATCTTCCCAATGATCATCTTAGGTTTCCATAACAAGAATGGGCGAGAGCCAACTGCACCTTGCCAGGGACGCTGAGGGTGTAGTCGCCACACAAACCCTCTCGGAAGAACGATGGACCCACGCCTTTGCCTGAGGCATGATCTCGAGCTCTTCCAGCTTTTGAAATTCCACCGTATTGTGAATGCTCTTTACAAACACAGTGACACTCAAAAAGGAACCAACAAGAAAACATAAGTTGCATTTATTCACGTCCACGCCATCTAAAGCTACTGTGTACAGTAATCAGGACTGGAGAAGGGACGATTTAGTATCTAAAAACAACAAAAAAAACACTGGGACATGCCCCCTGAATTGCAAGTTGGAGTTCGTAAGAATCTACTTGCTGGCAAGCCGGTTTCCTCCCTGAGAAGCACACTTCCCGCTTCCTTCTCTCCTTCCAGCGTCTTCTGTCCCTCTCAGTTAAGGCCTGGACAGTGTGGGATGGTGTTGCAATCTCTCCTGCAGAGCTGTCAGTCGCCCGTGGGCTCGGGCTGCGTGCACTCAGGCTCCCGGTCGCTGGGCTCTGCGCTCCGCCGCCGCAGCTCCTCCACCGTCTGCAGCAGGGCCGACCGCTCCAGTTCTAAGGTAAGCATGGCCTGCTTCAGCTTGCTCTCACTGCTCAGGAGCTTCTCAATGGTGGCCTCAAGGCTTTGGATCCTACCATTTGCCACCTGGAGAATAAAAGAAGAAATGAGAATACAATTGCCAGTGCTAACACAGGTGGGATCCAGTGCCCACACGCTGTCCAGCCTTGGGAGCACTCTGGAGCCGAGTTTCAGCAGGGATGAGTCTACAGTTTATCATCAGTTCTGGCCACACAGGAAGGCAACTCGCACCCCTTGCAGGTCGGTGGCCAGGCCCTTAAAAGCACCCTGAGAGCCCCCAGCATTTTCTTCTCCTGCTATGGCTGCTGTGGAAGCCGATGCTGAGATGGTGGATCACAACACAGAGGGAACCCAAACCCCCAGGCACCACCACCAGAGGGACAGCTTGGATAGGGCCAAAGAATGCTTCAGCAACACAAAGCTGAAGTGGGCGTCAGTGACACAAAGACTTCCGTTGTGCCAAGCCTCGGAGACTTGTAAGTTTGTTACTGCAGCAGAGCCTGGCCTGTTTTGATGAGCACATATACTTAAACGCACAAATCGATTTCGGGCTGACAAAAACTCAAAACAGTTTCCTCCTGAAGGCCCACGTGGTAACAATCCTCTAATCTGAAATTCTTTACAAACACAATGATACTCAAAAAGAAACCAACAAGAAAACCTAAGTTGCATTTATTCACGTCCACGCCATCTAAAGCTACTGTGTAAAGTTAGTGATGTCTAGAGGAACAAGACATCACTACGTCAAGAAACACAGGCATTTACCCCGGAACACATATGGAGTCCTTAGAAAGGCCAAGTGTTCTGCTAAGAGGTTTATGTGCCTGGTCTCACTGACTGTTCACTACGAGCCATGGAGACAAGCAATATCCTCTCTTCCACCCTACAGAGGAGGAATGAGGATCTCACTCAGTCTACATCCTCAGCACCTAGCACATAATTAATGCTAGTTAAATAGAACTTCCAGGTGTATCTTTCTAGCAACTGTCCCTCGTCTCTCTAATTTGCTCTGGCAGGCTTGCTTCCCAGGTGACAAGTGTGTTAGCTCTAGTGACATTAAAGGGTTCCCTAAGAAAACTGCAGAAACTCCAACATGTATGCTGATGTCCCTGAGGCCTTTCTGACCTGTTCCCCAGCTCACAGCTGCATCCTGGAGTGCTCTGTGACTTGGTCTATCTCACTAATCCAGTCCAGATTTGCCATGCTCCATTTTAGGTGGGAAAAATGGTATATATATACACATATATACACACACACACACACACACACACACACATATACACACACACGTATATATACACACACACATATATACACACACACACACATATATATACACACACACATATATATATATTTTTCATTTTTCAAACAAAGAAAATACTTTTTTGAATGTGACAACACTTGTGCCAGAAAATTCATGACTCGAAGTCTAGCTCTGGCTGGGCCACTAGAACACCCAAAATATGAAAAAGGGACCAAGAGCCTTAGTTTGTCAGCCTACTGGGCAAGGGGTGGTCCCACTTGGGGTATCTCTCTAAGCTGTACTCTCTGATCCTCAAAATCCACCCATCGTCAGGGCCTGGCTCAGGGCCTACCCTCATCACTTTGAAGCCCCTCTGCATTCCGAGGTGCAACCTGCAGCTTAGTTAGTAGTGAATTAATTTGCATGGTCATTTGCTATTCTGCATTAATGTCAGGTCTCCTCAATAACACCGATGCTTTTATAGAAGCAAGCATGTCTTCTCTTTCACACATGGTCCTGTCTCCCACAGCACCTGGCTCAGTGTGGGCGTCAATGACTTGTACGGATTATGACAAATCCATGTGCATTATTATTTGGTTCCATCTGGCACGTCTATGCAATCGTCTGATGTACTGCTGAACAAAAGAGGTGGTAGAATTTGCTCTCCAGCGTCTAGACAACGTTCACATGTATTTAACAGGGAATGAAATGGGATTTTGATATTTCTAACAATTTTATGGACAGAATAAAGGTAGGAAATGGGTTGATTTTGGTATTTTGGCCCCCCCAGAAAAGCTATATGAAAATTCAGTACTGTATTGAACACCCTTCCTTGTCAGTGTCTGAAAAGTGTACACGGAGGAGGCATGATTCTTACATATGAGAGGCATATTTTCGTAGGGGATCATGGAAAAACTATATCCAAACACCACAAATCGATACAATACAATCCTAGATCCAACTCTTTGAGAGCTGCAGTGTCTTACTCAACTTGGTGGCCCCCAGCACTCAGCACTGCAGGGACTCAGGAACTACTGGTGGGTTGGCATAGACCACAGTTCTGAATGATCCTTCCAGAAGTGTAGGACTACTTGGTCAAGAGAACGACCATTCCAGGGAGAACATCTGTAATCACCAATTACTGTCTGATGCCTTTATTGAGGAATGTAGGTAGCTAAGCAGTTTTTCACAGCTCCCTGTCTTCACAAAAACAATAGCACAGGAGCAGCATGAAATTACTTTCTATGCTCTGTCACCAAAAAACTACAAGGTCATTTACCCAATAAAACAAACCTTTTATTTGAGAACTGCCTATCTTAACAAGCTAAACACTTCAATGCAAATGTGAGCTTTATTAGAAGTTTCCACCATGTTATATTTCAGGGACCTATCATTGGCTTGGAAGCCATTTAAAATGACCACCTACACTGTGTACCCCTACAGGCCAGACAGGCTCTTCACCCTCTGGAGACTTCCCTTGAGTGATGGCTGAGACTTCCAGGGTAAATTGTATACAGGCATATTTTCAGTTAGGACATCTCAGGGGAAAAAAAGAAGTTAAATTTCAGAATGTGAGTGGTTATTAGGGCTGGGCAGGAATAGCATTCGGTCTTGGTTCCTCTCTTTCACATATCTGATAGGGTATGCTGGGATGGAATGCCCGCTGGGAGGAATGCATTTCAGATAGCTTGACTCACTAGGCTGGCCTTTCTCACCTTGCTGCCAAGCTTGTGTCTGCAAAGCTCATCTTTCTATGAAGAAAAATCAGAGGCTTAGATCAGAATGGAACTTATTCTCAGGACAGCCCAGGAACACCATAAAAATTTCGGCAAAAATATGTATTTTTATCCACAGCCACTCAAAAACAACTTTTAAAAACACCCTCAAAACAACTCCTTAACAGGGACAGCACTGCTACACACTTGTGACATTAAAAAAAGTAGAAAAAAGTAGAACATATGGTTGCTTCATGCCATCAGATTGACAAAAGAGCTGCACTCCGCAGTTAGGTGTTCTTTTGGGCAGTGTGCCTGGGTGATGTGGGGGTGGGGGTGATGCTGGACCTGGCCAGCTCTGGTCTCCGTGCTGCACCTCAGTGCTTGCTCTGCACACCCTCCTGCGTGCACAGTCTCAACTGGTCTTTCTTCTGTATGTCCTCACCTGAGTATATCCGTGTTGAAATGGAAGTTTCTAGAGGGGAGAACTGAGACCTTCATTAATCAAATCTTTGTATATGCACCAAGGACTCACAAAGAATTATCATCTCTTCTGGTTTGTTATATTTATTTCTGTGTTACTTTCCTCCTTTACCATCCCTCTGTGGACCTAGCTGGTTTTGCTCATAGAAGTTAAAAGCTCTTAGATTCTCTTTGAGTAATGACAACGGCTGGCATTCAGCTAACAGGCCACGGCATCCTGAATCCAAGTTCATCTCTGGGCCTGTCCCCTAAAAGAGTTAAGTGCAGAAACAGCCTCTCAGAAAGCTCTGGGACTGCCTGACCTTAGCAAAGGACAATCTGTCTGCTCCATAATAAAAAGGACCCATTCTCCCGGGATACCTTTGATCCCAACTATAAACAGATCAGGGTGGGAAAGGTCCTCTGGTCATGGGAAAGCCCAGCCTGCTGTTGCCTTTGGTGAGTTAATGAACTACCATATATTTGTGATTCAGGAAGCTGCTTTATAAATATGCTCTACCTGCAACTGTTCAAGGAGGTCAAGGTTCTGTTTGCGTAAGCTGCTGTTGGTTTTCTCTAATTTATCCATTCTTTGGTTGTCACTGAGAGGAGAGGAATCGATAAGTTCTTCTTGAAGGACGTGGTACTCAACTTCATAAGCTTGTAACTGTTTAGCGATGTCCATTTCAAATACCTGTTATAGAAAGAAAAGTCATCACGTACTAAAACTGAGAAAAACCCCACAAGTACAGGCAGGCGTCTGCAATCACGACAATGCGCACCTGTGAAGCGTCTCCTCTACGCTTAGCTCTACACTTGGTACTAGAAGTAATAAATAAGAAAAACTACGCACTGAGAAGGTAATAATTTTACTTGGGACAAAAGGATATAAGAAACATCTAGAAATAATTCCAAGGTAACATTAAGTACAGGTTTTTGATACTCACCTTCCAAAAGCCAAAAAAAAAAAAAAAACCTCTCATTTTTAAAGACATAAAAATTTATTTTTAGTTCTTATTTCACTTCTTTTCTCTGAAAATTCTGTTAGGTTAGATACATCAACTATGGGTTAAAAGGAGAAAAGAAACAAAAGAATCATAGCCTGTTTGCAGAGTCACCAAGTCAAAGTTTAATTATAGTTCAGTTGGGTTTTCAGAGTTACAAGAACAGCTAAGTAATGGGACTGTTTACTAAAAAACTCTCCTTTGCACACAAATATGCAGAAATGAGCCAAAACCCACATGTCACCCACACAGATGAGTGAATACGAAACGATGCCTGAGTTGTCTTCTTTCCCACAATAGTAATGGTGACGAAAACACCACACGTGTGAAAAACAACTCCTAAGTGCCTAAGTGACTCAAGCCGTCCGTGTCTGTACTTTCTCTTGGTAAGGAAGGCAGGGCGGAAAGCAGAATCAGAAGACAGCTGCTGCTGCTGCTGCCCAAGGCATTTCCTTTCTTTCCAGTTGTTTCTATGAGAGAACCCCAGGGGCTGGGGCCTCTCAGCACAGCAGTGAAGCCCTAACGTTTATCTGATGGATCTGAGAATGCAGTCAAGCTGGGACCATCTTAAAAGAAAAAAAAAAAAAACCCTGCTAGATCAGAACACACATTCAGAAAGTGAAGTCAGGCTTTAAAAGGGCAGAAACTGCCTCTCTATTGCATTGCCTTAAGCAACTCCAATATTGTTAAAAATCAGTGTAAAACTACTTCTTCTGATGGCTCCCTACTGGCATTCAAACTAGCCTATCTTCCCTGGAATCAATTTTCAAAAACCATGTTTCCTTTCTCACCATTCCCAACAATCTTATTTTCTCTTCCTTGAGATGAATTTTTCAGCTTGCTGTTTTTGATTCAGTGGATAATATTAATAAGGCACAAAAGTCATTTGATGCCTAAAAACTAAAATCCATTATATCTGTGGGGTGTGTGTGCATGTGTGCGAGGGGAGTAAGAGGGAGAGAGAGAATTGTTTACTGGATTGAACTGATTCTCTTTTGTCCTTCAGAGCGACCGTGAGGTCAGCAGGGATTATTATCTCCATTTGACAGCCGAGGTAACTGGCTCAGAGGCTTTGAGTCAGCCTTAAAATTGCGGCTCCACTGGCGACTCTATGAATGACTTGAGCTCGGTACTTAACCTCTCTCAGCCACAGTTCCTGGCCTCCCACCTGGGGCAGACAGCGCCTACCTCCCAGGATGGCTGTGAGAATTAAACGAGGCAACTCCTGGAAGTTCCCAGCACACGCCTGGCAGGTTGAGCAGGCGCTCTCTTAGCTAAGGGATCTGCTTCCACACACCTGCCACAAAACCCTCACATTTCAACCTCAGCAAAACCATCATCAATGGATGCCACGTCATGGAACTTCTGAATAGTCTGAACAGTAAAAACCACAAATGTTAAAACTGAGATTGTTTGGCACTCATGTATAATTATAAATATGGTGCTGAATAAATGTCATGTACACTATTACTTTTTTTCTTTCACAAAGATTTAAGTGATCTCCTAACCTGGAAAGCCTGGGAACAAAACCTCTGGCTTTTCCTACGGATTGATGTTCTGTGTTAAGTTAATGGCTCTCAGCAGTACCCAAAGCCATAAACTCTTCCAGGCCTCCATTAATCCCTAGGAACCACCCTGGGTCACAATCATCTCTGCTTAATTGCCTGATGATCTCCTGACTGCCAAGACTCCTAGGCCCTTCATTCTGCAGTTATGCCCCTGAATTTACCCCAAACCATGGCAATATGAGGCTGGTGGTCAAAGGAGAACCCTGGTCACTGAACGAGGGCTTCAGCCCTTGGGCTAATTACTTGGGGAAAGAAAAGAATTGGGAGGGGCGCCTGTCCTTGCACACTTAGACAGCACAAGTGATCCACTGCCAGGAGCAGTTCTCAGCCAGAGAAAGAGCAGGAAGGCCTAACATTAAAAACCCAATCCTTTGGTATGTTGTCTCAGATGAATAAAACAGACGAATATTAAAAACTAGGTGTTGATAGGAAAACAAGATATATACACTTTAAGGTGTTTTCATTTCTGGTCTGAGTCACTCCTGAGGCTGGACAAGTGCAGTGCCCACCTCCCCCAGGGTCTTGCCTAAGCCGTTCCCTGAGCACTGGTCACTACACAAAGCTGCAAGGTACCTGGCCCCTCTGCAAGGGGGACTGGCTCTCATCTTCTTTCTTGCTGGCCCATCTCAGAGCAATTCCACTAGAGTTGTAATTACTGGGGATCTAGAGCCTTCCTGTCATCCTGGCTCTTAGGTTCTTCATAGTTTTCAGTCAAGTTCCAGAATTTTGGTACTGAAGAAAATTTCTCTTCTGTTTGCCAAAGTAGGAATGACTATTTCCATACTTTCGATGTTTTGCCGAAAAGATAAAACTATTTTAAGTTACTGAAGCAATAGAGCTACATTATTGGAAGCTTGAAAAATAAAAGAAAAATCACCAAATACAACTTTTATATCTAGCTATATTTCCTATTTCCTAAAAGCATGTTTTTCTAGTTCTAAACATAACCAACATAAAATTTCCTATCCCACTTTTCCTTTACTTAACATTGTATCAAATAAGAGCTTTTTCATGTCGCTATATATAACTGGCTTCATGATATTCTACCAGCTCAACCTACCATCATCATATTAATCCAGTCATCAAGTGTTAGACATCTAGTTCCAAGTTTCTGTTATTATAAGTGACAAGTCTAGGAGAATAACCTTATACATATGGCTTCCCTCATATTTTGGATTATTTCCTGAGGATACATTCCAAGAAACGGGATGACTGAGTCAAAGGGTATGAATATTTTACTGGCTTGGGATATGTTTCGCCAAATTGTCTCCCAACAGCCACTAATCAATGTGCACTGCCATCAGCAACATGCTAATGTTCTGCATACAGTATACCCTTGGTGCTGGGTACTGGCATCAAGAAATGTCTTTCTATTATCTAGTAGAGTAAAGCATTATATGTTACATAAGTTTAAATTACACATGAAGCCAAATACTTTCCCAGATATTTGTTTACTAGATATCTCCTCTTCGGTGAATTGTCTGTTTATGTTCTTGGCTCATTTGCTATTGTAGACTCAGCATTTCTCTTCACAGTCCATGGACACTGATTAATAAAGTCATGAACCCTGATGGTTTGCAGAACTCGCCACAGAGCTTCCGCCTTCCTAACCCCCTGCCCTCCAATCTGCTGGTCCCATTGTCATACCAAGGGCTGGAGAGTGGGAACAGTCGGCCTGGTATCAGCAACAAGGGGGCACACACTATCTGTAGTGAATTACAAAAAACATCAAACCCACTAAAAGTCCCTCTGCTTGTTATTACCACTGCATGTGAGCAATTTTCAACAACGCCAGTGGTAAACCACTTCTCCCCGCCACGCCCCACCCTCCTGGTATGGCACCAGTTGTCCTCGTACAAAACTACTCCTTTTCCACGGTGCAAACTGCCCAAGAAGTGACGGCTCCCCCACAGGCAGAAGAGGCACCTTTGCCCCTGATTTGAGGTGTGTCTTCTGAATACAGGAACCCTGGTTTCTAACCTACAAGCTCAACTGGAACAGGGGCTCCTTTGTTCATTGTGTTTCTAACAGAGTTGCCCACAGCAGGGTTTCTCAGCTGTTTGTGTGTATGTGAATCCCCTGGTGATCTCACTGAAATGCAGATTCTGATTCAGCAGGTCTCGGGTGTGGCCCCAGATGCTGAGTTTCTAACAAGCTCTGACATGATATGATGACAATGCTGGGCTGAGGCCATGCTCTGAGTGGAGCCTAAAGGATGCTGAAAATAGGCTATTTGCCCTGCCTCCCACAGCCACCCTTCCTCTTTTTCTTCCTTAAACTGAGCTGAGACTTCACAGCCACAGAGCACCCACTGTGACAAGAATACAACACTGACCTCCTTTCCTTTGTTACTAATTATTCCCAAAGTTTCCATTCTTCTTGGGTCAGAAGATGTAGATGGTTTATTCAATGGACAGGTCCTTTGGTAAGTACACTGCCACAAAGGCTTCAGACACCCTTGGTCTTCTGTCCTGGGCTCTGTCACCTTTGGAATTGCCCTCTCTGGCTGCTTTCAGCCTGTCCACATTGAGCCAGAGCTCCAGAGCCCTGTCCTTGGCCACCTCTTCCACCCAGGATCCAGCTGTGTCCCAGTTGCTCAGGCTGAGACTATCTATACAGGGAAGGCATTTAATGAAATGGAACCACAGCTATCACAGAGGACCACCCAGATGCCCTCACTTCCTGCCCCACCCCATCTGTACACAGGGCAGTATGCTCCACCATCTGCAATGGAAGCATCCATTACATCTACTCTGAAGACCCCCAAGATTTGGGCCTGGGGGATCTCTAAGGCTGCAGAGGAATCATGCTGGACCCCATGTCTGCTTTCTGTGTAGAACTTAAGACTACAGCACCCTCTGGATGGGAGGGGGCAGTAGGAAAGCAGAAAGCCTGACAGAGAACACTCAGATGTCAAGTTCAGATAGAAACACCAGAGGGAAAGAGGGGAGAGATGCGGGTAGATCTACTTTCTATAAGGACCACTGATAAAAACCCGGGCCCTAAATGCAAATTTTTGTGCTCCCGATACCCCCAAAATGTTGAACACCTCAGGTTCTGAGAATTGCTCTCTGCTCTCATTCCTGTACCTTCTCACATGCTGTGATCCTTTAGTTCAGGGATCAGCAAACCACCACCTGTGGACCAAGCCCATCACGCTGCACAGTTTTTAAAATAAAGATTTTTGCAACATGACCCATCATCCCCTTACATGCTGTCATGGATTGTTTGTGCTGCAAAGGCCGAGGTGAGTAGCTGTCGCAGAGGTGAGTAGTTGTGACGTTATGACCCGTGAAGCCTAAAATATATACTGCCTGGCCTTCTTTGGAAAATGTCTGCCAGCCGATCTTAGGTCATCTTTTAAGTCCAGCTGGACTCAAACACCTCAGCTCCAACCTCACAGCCCTGGCTCCCACAGACCCTGCCTTTCTACAAGGGGCCGGGCATGTTACTCTCTGCTCAGCTTCATCTATAAAAATAGGAATTATAATACCTATGTCCTAGAGTTATTAAGTCAGTGGAGGTCGGGCACAGTGGCTCATGCATGTAATCCCAGCACTTTGGGAGGATGAGGCAGGTGGATCACTTGAGGCCAGGAGTTCAAGACCAGCCTGGCCAACATGGCGAAACCCCACCTCTACTAAAAATACAAAAATTAGCTGAGCGTGGTGGCACATGCCTATAGTCCCAGGTACTCAGGAAGCTGAGGCACGAGAATGCTTGAGCCCAGAAGGTGGAGGTTGCAGTGAGCCAAGATCACACCACCGCATTCCAGCCTGGGTAGCAGAGCAAGACTCTGTCTCAAAAAAAAAAAAAAAAAAAAAGTCAGTGGAAAAATGAATGGCAACTTCCAAATAGCCAGATAGCGGCTTGAAACAAACCAGGTACACGCACAGCTATTTTCTTCCCATGCTGTGTCCATTTCCACTCTTCCAGCACTGAAACAGCACCTGATGTATCCTAAGTATTCTCAATACGTTTTATTTTTTGTTTTTTACAGAAAATAGGAGACAATGGGATTTTTTTCTGAGGCTCAATACTTAGGAGGTAAACAATGTCAGCTGGGATGGCCTGAGGGACAGGAGCAAGGTGACATGTCAGGTAGTGGATATAGCCCTCAGTCTAGGTAACCAAGGCTCTCGGGGGTCTGCCCTAGAAGCTGTAAATGTAAGTAAGTACATGCAACAAAAGCTGTAAGAAGAGAATGAATGAAAGAAAGAATGAATGAAAATGCCAGAAATCAAAGAATCAAAAGGGTGGAGAAGTCAGTATTAGAATCCTGGTAAAATAGGGAAAAACTCTAAATTAAATGACCTCCAGAGGCTCTTGGCAGTGTAGGAGAGCTGCTAAAGCACTTTGAGGTGGGAGGGACTTGAGTTTGAACCCCTACCTTTCCACTTTGCAGCAGAGTGAGTGTGGGTCAGTCAGTGAACCACTTTATATCCTCTCAGGAGTGCGGCCTGCACTGAATGGGATCATGCGTATATTTCGATGCCCACCCAACCTGGCAAAAAGCAAGGCCCCAACAAGCCAAAGCTATCCACATCAAGAAGAGTGTTCCAGGGAAGGAAAAGAGATGGAGAGGCTCTCAATTAAAGATGAGTGCAGAACAGACAAGAACTGTTCTTTCATAAGGGCATATGCAATGTGCAAACAGAAATCTAAAGTTAACAACTGGTATGAAACCTCTTTCTTTTGCAGGCCAAATTTGCATCTTTTTCTGTGCTTAACACCTAAGGTGTGGCTGCAAATGAAAATCACAAACACTGCATGTGGATGCAATCCACTGGAATCATGGATTCCTTTTGGACTACAGAAATCTCCAGAGTAAGGATTTTTCAAAAATAGCTTTATTTCACCATTTGTTTTTGCCTGATTGCTCTATGCTTTCGTTACACAGTTGTGTGTTGCATTACAACATTTTGGTCAATGGCGAACTGCATATATGATGGTGGTCCCATAAGATTAGAATACCATATTTTTATTGTACCTTTTCTATGTTTAGTTATGTTTAGATACACAAATACTCCACCTTGTGTTACAACTACCAACAGTATTCAGTATAGTCACATGTCATACAGATTTGTAGGGCCTAGGAACAACATGTGTAGGTGTGTAGTAGGCTATACCACTTGGGTTTAAGTACACTTTATGAAGTTTGCACAATGATGAAATCACCTAATGATGCAGTTCTCAAAACGTATTGCTATTATTAAGTGACACATGACTATCTGGAGCAGATTCTAGGCTTATGAGAGGCTTGACTGCTGACTCTGCAGTGACTCAATGATGAAATCCCTTCCAGTGCTTTCGTAGCTACCCAGCCTCTAGACACTTCCAATGATGCCCCTTTCTCTACTAAGGAGCATAGTCCTCCATCATCAGCAGCCATTACTGGCAGGTTCTTCCTTAAACTGTACAGGATCAAAATCTGCTCCCATGCCCAACCCAGGGCATTCACCATCTAGTTTAGTTGTAATTCCCAGTAAAACTCACCTCTCAGCCTCTAACACTTCAGAGGATAATGGTTCTATTGTATACTGAAACCAGAGGTAATGAAGCCACAGATATTGAACTGAATTCAGTTAAAAAAAAACCACACACACACATCATGAAACAAATTCATAGAATATATGTTCCCTATCATAACTTTGTTATCAAAGAATTATTTGGAGAAAATTCCAATTAAAACCATTCAACATACACACACACAAATCAAAGCACTCAATGTACAAAACCCTACATTGCATCATTGCATAAATATATATATGTTTCAGAAGAACAAGCTACTAGAGCTGAAGTCTCTTAAATGTAAGAAACTACTAATAACCTGTGCTGGTTTCTACAGCTAAACATTGCCACCATGTTTCCATGTGGCATTTCACCATGACGCTCACAACACACACACTCACGATCATTCCACACGTTTGTGATATGCCTCCTCCATGCCAGGCATCATGCAGAATGCCGTTCAGAACACAAAGTGGTAGGAAACAGTTCCTGCTCAAGAGAGATTTAAGTTTCTACATATCTAGGATGGCTTAAGCATTTGCAAGGTTTGGACTGACTCATACCTGATTGATGGTCTTTTCCATCTGTACCAAGCCAAGGTTGGGTAGCGTGCTTTTTATAAAGTCAACTATGGTTTCTAGGTTTTCATGCTGCAGAATCAAGGGCTTATGGCTTCCCAACAGACTTAAAGCCACTTTAAATATGACCTCTGTTCCCTGAAGAAAAATCATATCTGAGAAAACACAGAAATGCAGAAAGTTAAACCAGACCAGTTTCTCACGCAATACCATTCCATTGCCTTTTCCACACATCACAGAGCAGGAGTGTGGGAGACATAGCCCCACATTGCAAACTTTATTTCATTTTTAAGAGCCTGATATCTCAGACAGTGTTGTCAAGACAGTATTGCAAATAAAAGTACATAAACATTAAAAATTATGTTTTACTCTGAAAATAAAATTCAAACATGCTTCAAAAGTTAAACTGGGAAAGGGAAAAAGGTTTTATTAGTCTATTTTTCCAGGAATGCTCCTGGGTTTTAAAGGAGATACTAAAACATGTTTTTATGGGTCACACTAAAAGATTTTTATAGATAAAGCATCAGAAATTAAGATAGAGTAAGTGAAAAAGTGTCTCTGTTTCCTCTGTTTTGAAACAAGGAATAGAATTCAAAGATCTTTAAAAACTGTACAACAGCTGTACAACTGCAGAAGTACTTTGTTAAATACAAGTTTACTGATTTTTAACATGATAATGGAATAAAGAACATTTTTCCCTCTGAGGAGTTCAAGAACTCTGTCAAGGTTACTTCCTAGTTCTGGCCATATTTTGTTCTTAGAGTGGCTGGCAAATGGATGCAACTTCTATACAGACTGCAGAATAAGAGGGAGGGCACCGGCCAAGGCAAGCGGCCGAGCAGCAACCCTAGCCCTGTCTCACCTTCCTCATAGAGTTGAAGCTGCTGGGGAAAAAAAGAGTCGATGTCCTGGGGTTAAAGCAGAGCCACGATAACTAATTATTGGTTGACTAAACTGAGGCAGGTTACCTAATAACTAGAATAATAATATAAGAAAAAAACAATTTTAAAAATCAGAGTAGAAATATAATTGGAGGCAAGTGTCAGTATTTCTTTTCTCTGTTTCTTTTGGCTGAAAGATAATGGAAGAGAGAAAGAAGCTGTAAATTTCATCAAATCAAGGAAAGCAAAAGCAGGTGAGAGGAATAACCTTGCAGGGTGCCTCTCTAGATGGTTAATATGATAACATTTAAAAGCCACGAAGAAACAGAAAAGCAAAGACTGGGTGCTGCTGTGCAAATGGGAAACTGAATCCCTGTAGTTTCTGAACAAAGCACAGGCAGAGATGACAGACCCAGGAGCCCGCTGGCTGGGATAGCCCTCGAGATCCTCTGTAACCACCACAAAACCCTTAATTAACCATGTGAGCTGAGATGGGTGCAGCCCTAAGCCATGCCAGCGCTGAGATCAGCCTGCTTCTCCCACCCAGCTCAGGGTCCACACTCTTTCCACAAACATCACAACTACTGATGGCTCAGGGTGGCCGCAGGAAAGTGGGGAAGATGAATCCTTCACTTCCTTCTTAAGTCTGGTTGTTGAGGCTGGGAAGATATACTAGAGAACTAACTGTGTCTTTGAAATCAGAGCTTTTCAGGGTAAGTGTTACATACACCAAGGCAGGCCAATTGAAGAATATTCCTCTGAAATATCTGGTTTATAAAATGTAGTCTACCTGTATAATTCCCCACTACAGAAAATAAAAAGATCTAAAATAATACTATAACAAAGATGTATTTTTAAACAGAAATGACATTTCCAGAAACAAAACTCTAAAGTAAATTTGAAGTTTCAGTGGTTTACACAGTGAGACTTCCTAGACCTCCTTTCAATATATGAACTTTTATAGCTGAACAAAAAATGAGGGCATCTTTCAGAATAAAAATCAAGACCTTTTTTGCAGGGATCCTGGGGAAAGGCTTTCCCTACAACACCAGTGATTTTCTATAGCTTGGTCTCTACTCTCAGAGGGACAAGTGCCTTAAATTAGGTACAGTACCACATCTACGCCAATTAAAATAAACAATTACTGGGAAACTTTTGTCAGCACAACCAAATACAGAATCCACATCAGTGGTCTCTTTAGGTTAACAGGAGATCTTCTGAGATTTATTAGGATCTTGGTTTTTTTACAATAAATCAACTTAGTAAGTGCTTCCTATGATTCCAAAAGGAGACTTTCCCGGAAAGGAAATTTGGAGGGGAGAGGGTGGTGTTATGTGTTTTAAAGTCTCTTTATTGATATGTTAAAAAATTAAGACATAGCACTGGGCATATGATTTATTTTATTATATCTGTTTGTATTTAATGTAATTAAAAAATAAATGTTCTTTCCCAATGCTATTCACAACACCTTAAGAGAACTCTGCTGAGAGGTGTCTTCTACTTTAACTTAATGAGCATCTATTGAGCATCTAATACACATCAGGCACTGTATTAGGCTCTGGAGATTAAGCCATGAGCAAAACACAAAGAACACGCTGCAGAGACACCAAGGAGTTCTGGTTCGGTAGAGTTATGCCCAGGGTGTTACGAGAACAAAGAGGAAAGAAAAGGCCCACAGAAAGGTGACTGCTTGAAGAACCAATGAAAATTTCCTAGGTCAGACCTCAGGATTAATACTCTGAATAAAAGGAAAATAGGGTGTCAATACAGGGAGGTGTGCAGGAGCCTGAAAAACAGTCTGGCTGGCAAGGCAGGGGCACTGGTTGTGCAGGGCAGAAGGTGGGCAAATGGGGGCACGCAGGTCCAGATCACCAGGGGCCTCTGCCCCAGCCAAGCAATTCTAACTTCCCCTGGAGCACCGCAGGAGTCGCTGAATGCTTATTGTTCCTTTTCTCACTAGGTCAGTGCACTGGTAAGGAGATGATGTTAATGAGATGCAGGTTATGGGTATGACCCCTGCAAGGGCTAGTTAGTGTCAGAGAAAGGCCACCTTTGGAGACTACGCTGATTGATTCCTGCCAGAGACTCCCAAATGCCTGCTGCCAGAGATGCTCCACTCACCACCACTCCTCCCATTCAAAGCGTCCAACCCTCCAAGGCCGGAGAAAGTTCAGCCCCAGAAGCTTCTGTGAGACACAGGGGGTCTTAAATCGGGAGATCATTTGGGTGCACAATGCAGGAATGTGCTTGAATTCAGAGTTGAAGGAAGGACTGCAGGAAGCTTTGCTTGGGAGGAAGGGCCTCCTAAATTTGTCTGATGACACTTGGGGACAACATCTTCATCCTTTAAAGCATTTGTACCGTTTTTTGGCTTTGGAAATTTTTTTAAATCACATCTAATTTTAAAACAATAGTAAAGAAAAATGTTACCTATAAACCCACTGCCCCAAACCAATTATTTTTATTTTGCCTGTCTTCCGGTATCTTATACATTTACATTCTGGAATTTTTTAAAACAAAACAAAACAAAACAAAACAAAAAAACAATAACTCTCCTTGGAAAAGTGAGCAAATGTCCTGCATTTGAAAACCTCCCTAGGAGACAGTGAACTGTTGGAGCCGCCCAGCGCAGTGAGGCAGTAGCCTAGCTCACTACACTGTAGCCCACGTCCTTTCAGTGGGACTTTTCTCCTGCCTCTTCCTTCTCTCCTCTCCTTTTTCAAGCCACCTAGAAACAGGCAAGACGTTTTATCCGGCAGGAAATAGGAATCTTAAATTCAGCTGACTCTATTACTTTGCACTGTATTCGCTGGGAACAACACAAAGGAACTGCTTTTCTTTGAGGACATTTCAGCAACCCTCTTATTGCGTTACTGTGTATTGGAACTCTATTTGAAACTAAACTTCATGATCTCAAAGTGCAATCTTCCTATGTGAGCTTGCACTGCATCTCTTTTTCCAGCCACCTTTGTCTTTGTCAAGGCTGAGCCTTCTCAACTTTCTTCTGGAAGGCTGCGGTCCTCCAGTCGTGGCTCCGCTACATTCTATGAGTAACGGGTAAAGGGGACGCTGAAGGCTGATGACAGTGCTGTGCAGAACAACAGCACAGACAGACTGGACACACTCATCATCACGCGGCATCATGTCACCTGAATAGCTGGAGATTTTCCTGGCCACAGAAACAATCTTGTTTTCAGTCTATTTTCATCCTAAAGTCTCTCTGAAGCCTTCACTATATTGCAGGTGGCTTCTGTGTTTTTTGCCAAACCCTTAGTTTTTATACTCCTCCTCCTCCCTCATCTATTTGGCAGCATGTCCTATAGAAAAACATCAGAGGCTGAACACTGCAGCCTCCTCCTCCATCAGGAGCAAGCCAGGTCCTGTTTTTTAGATTTTTCTTCCCCCAAAGGTAGATGTGATGAGAAAGTGAACAGAGCAAGCGTCTCTCCCAGGGCCCTGCTGTACTCAAGCTAGAAAAATACAGGAAGGGGCTATTGACATTATGTGACACCAGGTAGAAGAACTGCCATTCAGCAAGGTGTGAGTATCATGTGAAGGTTAAGGCGCACACATCACTGGCAGCCGCCCCTCCAAGGAGCAGATACATACTTAATGCCAGGTAACCTATTAACTAATATATGAGCTAAGGTGGTGCAAACTGAAATATTTTACTTAGTCAACAAAGTTCTACATGTTTTTAGAGTTTATCCAGACTTAAAGGCTTATAATGAAATGGGCCCTAGGCCAAAAAAGACTATAGTGACTGAATGGCAGGCTTTGAAATATAAAACTAAGCTATCTCCATCACCATTCTCTAAGTCATCAGTGCTAAAAATAGAAATGGTTTGTAAAAACCTATCTTTTCTGTTTTTAAGTACTGAAAGATGGGATGGACTGTGGAAAAAAAAGCAGTTCTTGCAAAGTGACATCACAAGCCAGTGCGGCCTTGAGATCCCACTTCCCGCCTCTAATCCCAGGAGCCCTTGGCCAGCTGGACAACGACCCACTTAGCACAGCAGGAGTCTGTGGGATCCAGGAATGATGTAGACACTGGCATCTCTATGCATAATGTTTATGAAACTCCGAGTCTCACCACTGCCTACAAAGTCTACAGAAAAATATCTTACCTTTACAAGCTGCAGCTTTGATTTATGAAGTCATTAGAGTGAGCTTCAGAGAGCTTCAAATTACTCTGCAATAGAAGGGCTATCATTTCCAAAGTGGAGTCTGCTTGTTTGTTAACGTCTTTTTACCCATTTATGAGCCGAAGGAAAAATTTCTCTTCCAGAGCCCCAGAACTTTCTGCAAGCAGCAGCTCCAGTGCCTGGGGCCCCAGGGCAGAGATGACTCAGTGATGACCCCTCAGCCCTCCAGTCTGTGGTCAGCCTGGTTGCCTTGGTAGAATTTTCTTCACTAACCAAGTAATTTAATGCCTGAGCTGTTTACAAACCATTAACAAACAGCGCTCCCTCCTCCCCATTTCCATCCTCACTCCTCTTCATGACCCTGTATGAAAATCATAGCTAAAATGTGGAGAAAATGTAAGGAAGGTAGATTAATAATTTTCTTTTAATTTCCAGTGTTAGAGAAGTCAAAAACATAGAAGTTATTGGCAAGAAAGCTTAAAGCCTAGAGCTTGAGATTTTAGTTTCTGTAACTCTTTTGTTAATAAACTAAGCACACAATTTTGAGGCTTTTAGTTAATCTTTTTTTTTTTTTAACCATGGTATAAACCTTCATGAACTCTCACTAAAGATATGCTCAACCAGGAGATAGCTTTTTGTATCTATTTTAATTTAGTGATTTTATTTTTTCAGGGACAGAAAAGAAGGAATATGAATTCTTATAGTAAAGCAAAATGGGAAACTCTTTAAAGGTTCTTGTAGATAAAAGTGAATAATAAAAATCTAGTATTTGGGGGGAAAGGAAAAGAGAGAAGAAGGGTAAATGCTCACTTATATTAAAAAGCAAATTTTAGGATTTCTAGAATTTGGATATTTAAGATGTTTACCCAAAGCATGTCTGAAGTAGTATCAATGTCTTTGAACATTTCCCTTAAGATGCTCTCTAATCATAAAAACAAATTTTTTAAAGATCACATGTTTTTAAGCTGTCAAGTGATGCTTAAAAACATTTGATATATAATAACTATCATTTTTTTAGTAGCCTCCTCCTTTACAATAAAAAAAAGAACCTGAATTGTCAAAAATATCACTTTTATTCTGCAGTAGGGAAAACAAACTGTGCCCGAACTGACCATGCTCACAACATTCCACTCGGTTCCTGATGCGCACGTGGACAGCCCTATCCCTGCATATGAAGGCAGGTTGAAGGCTTTGTGTATGAACACTCACCTAACTTTGACAATGTTCTCAAAAAGTAAATCAAGAATATAAAGGCAGGTTTTACATGTGAACCACCCAAGGTTAACAGCGGGGGCACGGGAGTGGCAGTGGCTGTGACATGTGGGCTCAGGGGCAAGAGGCCTTCATGAAGTGTCAAGGCTGAGCGGGGAGAGCGAGCCATCCACACGGAGGTGTTACTCAAGGTCCTGACACTGGTCTCCAAGACAGTGACTTGGGAGAAAGTGTAGAGCCAAGGGCAGGGCAAGAAGAGAAAGGGGAGGAAGAGATGCCAAGGGAATCTAGAAAGGGCCCAGAGGCCCACAGTCAGCATCAGTCAATACTCACAACCCAGAGTGGCTGAGGAAGGCAATTCATGAGAAACATACACCTGTGGCTCCTCAGCCAAGTCCTCCAAATGTCTGCTCTAGGGAGACCCTCATGGTGAGCGATCGGATCTACACGGATCGGATCCACATCCCACAAGATGAAGGCATCTAGGGAAGCCCCGTGATTATCAGAAGTTAAGGAGGACTCCAAAGTCACAAAACCCACCCCTGACTAATCTTAGACTATCAAACAATACCCTGTTCTGGTAAGAGCTACAGGTATAAAAATAAGAATCACCACGGAGAGACAGGAAATGTTTCCCCTCTAATAAGAGAAGGCTGGTTCTGGCAAACAGATTTACTAATGCTCACCAAAGACTCTGGCTACGAATCCCAGCGGGAACTGTGAGGCAAACATGGTGAGGAACCAGGGGGCAGCGTAGAGGCTGGGGCCGATCTCGTGCTCCTCCAGGTGATTGTAGAGGTCTCTGTGGTAATCATGAAGCAACCTCGAGAGCTGGTACATCTGGATCTGCAGGAAGACAGCCACAAGGGCTGAGAATTAGGGATCTGCCACAGCAATAAAGTTATGCCTACTGCTCACAGGGTGGGTGTAAGAGAAGACTTACTAGAACTTTAAACATTCGATTTGGCTTGCGATCCACTGAGCTCAGCTACTAATTCATCCAACAAGTGCTTCCCAAGTGCCTGCTGGTGCCAGGCACTGGCTGGGTGTAGGCCCAGGACGCTAACGCTGGGTCTTCTACTGCCACTTCCTTTTTATTGTTCCCTTGTATTCCTCCACTAAGAAGATCTAAAAATCTGTCTTGTGCAAACATTTCATAAATTCTCTTACAAATACATACTCTTTGCACAACTCAAGCCTGGAGGAATTAGAAATAAGAAGCCAGTCTCTTTACTAAGACTGAATTAGGGGCATCTTATGATTCCATAGGAATCCATTGTACATGTTCACTCAGCAAGTTCCCTCTGGACCCCTGAAATTACTCAATAGGCAGGAGAAGCATAATTTCTTTTGGTGTATAATATATGGAATATCCAGATACCTGGCAAGTTAAAACAAGAAGACAAGTGTGCATCTTAAGATGAAATAAAAACTTTTTCCAACTAAAGTGGAACTCCAACTTCACAGAATGACATGATTCTGGCAGAAATCTCATGCCAGTTCCTAGTAGTGCCACCAAGAGTTACAGGCTCACAGAGGCCCGAGAGCCAGCCCAGATCTGAGCAGTGCCACGGCCTGAGCCTAAAGAAACAACAACCTACAGAGGGTCAGAATCCGCTAAGATCCACCAAGTTGGATATGTCCTATCTAAACTGAGAGAAAGAAAACAAAACCGTTTTCAGAGGCTCAGATAATATAATCCCATAAGCACCAGCTGTGGCTCTCCCATATCGAAGACTGTCTAATCAACCAAAGGCACCACCCCAAAAGAGTTGTGTGTTACATAAATTATAGAAAACTCAAAAATTCCACTGCCTGGTGACCACTGTCTTTAAAGTTAATAAAGGGAATGTAGGAAGAACCTCACAGTACATGTGGAAAGTGTTATGTGGTCAAAATCTTTCAGTGAATGAGTTCCTTCTATGATATTTGCATTCACGTGGTCCATGTTCACAGGTCAAGGTGAAAAGATTTTGAATCACATAATTTGGTGCTCTCAAAGCAAGTCCTTGGCTCTAATGTATTCCCTCCCAGGATACTCTCTAGAGCTCTGAAGGCATAGTATCTTACTGGTAGTAAATGAACATATCAACATGTGCTGCAACATTTAGGAATATTCCTGAAGCAGGATCCAGAGTTTTCCCTCTGACAGGCAGCAAGAGCAGCACGTGGTATTTGCAATACGCTACTGTGTTTGGTTTTCTCTGACAGAATTGTTCATTCAACAAATACTTATGGGGTGCCTACTTCAACCCACGCACTGTTTCAGAAACTAGGAACTCGGCTCCAAGACCCGTAAGATCCCTTCCCTCTCCTAAAGTTCACAGGCTATGAAAAATCAGAAAATAGACAGGGAGATGATTATGGAAACAAGATCATTTCTGGCAGTGGCTGTGTTGTGCAAAAGAAATCAGCCAGGATAACGTGACGCAGTGTGCCCAAGGTGGAAGTGGGGAACACAACATCAGGGTAGTCAGAATGAGCTTCTCCCAGGATGTGATATTTGAGCTGAACCTGAGATGACAAGGGTGGGGGTGAGGCAGAGGAAGAGCAGATGCAGAGGCTGGGAGGTAGGTCTGAGATCATCTGATGGCTGATGGGGGCAAGAGGGAAGGCCCTAGAGTCAGAGAGGCCTGGGTTTCCAGTCCAGCTCTGACACTTGCTAGCTGTGTGACTGGGCCCAATTTATAATCTCTTGGAGACTCAGTTTTCCAATCTACAAATTGAGACGATGAACAGTGTCTTCCTTAGAGGGAAGTGCAGATGAAGCGCTTGGAATAATGCCTAGCACAGAGTCCTTTATCAGCAGTGACAGCTATTACAATGTTACCTGACGGTGAAAAAGCTCCTGAGGCACATCTGGAGAGGGATAAGAAACATTCTTAGCATTTTGTTGTATTAAAGACATAAGGAACACTCTATACCTGTAAAATAATCATGTCTGGCCGATACTGTTTCCGCAGCCCCATGTCAAACATCAGAAACTTGAGCATTTTAAACGCCTCTTCCTCACTCATATGAAGAAGCAAAATGCCTGCTACAAAGCTGAGACCTTGGCAATATCCCACTTCCTGGTCTAGAAGTGAGTAGGCCTTCAAAATGTTGTAAAGCGATAGCTGTCCTGCTCCAAGCTGGGCAGAGAAGTATGGGTGTGTAGGAAAGGTTCGCCCTGTGAAAAGAATACATATTAGTTGTAATAATAAAAACAAAAAAAGAAAGCCTATTGAACCAGAAATCCAATGTGCTTCAGATTAAGCAGCAAAATCTTTAGAAGCTGGATCATAATATCAATCAGTCTTTGCCACTTCCTCTGCAAACGAAGTCCACCAGTTATTCCTGGAATAATGCTTTCAATTAAAAATCAGCAATTACTCATGGTTGTTTTATTTATTTTTTGGTGGAAGTACAGGTGAAAGTAATCAGAACTACCTTCGGTCCTGCAAATAGCTGAACTTCAATCGAAAAAAGAAAACTGTTGGCCAGGTGTGGTGGCTCATGCCTGTAATCCCAGCACTTTCAGAGGCCTAGGTGGAAGGATCGCCTGAGGTCAGGAGTTCGAGACCAGCCTGCCCAACATGGCGAAACCCCATCGCTACTAAGAATAGAAAAAATTAGTCAGGCGTGGTGGCAGGTGCCTGTAATCCCAGCTACTCGGGAGGCTGAGGCAGGAGAATTGCTTGAACCTGGGAGGCAGAGATGGCAGTGAGCTGAGATCATGCCACTGCACTCCAGCCTGGGAGACAAGAGAAAAACTCCAACTCCAAAAAAAAAAAAAAAAAAGAAAAAAGAAAACTGTTAATCCTCTAGACATAACCCCTATTCTCAAGAGGAACACACACAGTTCTTCCTCCCCACTGCTGCACCCTGCACCCACCCCAATCCCAGCATCATCTAAATGCAGCTAAAAGGCCTCGCCTTACTACAAGCACTCTCTGGATCTGCTTTTCCCAGACTACACATATTATGCCTGCAAATGCTTCATACCACATGCATATCTCCGTACTTTCAAACTATAGGCAGTGTTTTGAAACAGCCTGAGGAGCAGCAGGTGTTTTCTTTTCACAAAAGTTACCTTCCAAAAAGAGTTTAAAAGAAAAAAAAAAAAGCTCTCAACATCCTGATTATTTTCACAAAAAACTGTTATTCAAATAGGCTTAAAGGATTTCTTTTGTTCAGGAGGCTTTTGTAGCTGATACTTGTCAAGTTCCTCTTCCTCCTCCTCTGGAATGTGACTGATGGGAGTGCCTGTTTCCAGGGAGCAGAGAAGTACTTGAAACGATTAAGAAACATCTGGAGCCAGGCAGCTGGCAGCCAGGGCCAAGCTTGGGCCCAGGCAAGAATTATGAACCTGCTTGGATCAGCGAAGGCAAAAGGTGGATCTAGGCCACACGTTAATTGTTCACTGCAATTATTCGGTCTCAGCACAGGGAGGAACATATTTTCATGGGCTCTTCCTCAGCTTCCTGAAAAAGAATTTCATCAGTCCAGATGTGTTATCTGAACTTGACTCAAGAGGAAAGCTACGGTCTCCTAACCACTGTCCTGATTTCTCGTTCTGTATTCACTTCTTGCCTCCTCTATCTCTTCCCCCAGTAAATCTCCCCCAGATATACCCTGCACAAGTCACCTTGCTGCTAGTAAGCAATCCATAGCTCCCCAGTGCTCAAAGAACAAATTATCCACTCTGTTAGCCTGGAGCTCCGTGCACTCACCTCCTTACCCACCCTCCCAGCTTTATCTTCCACTCCAGCGCTTAGCCTGGGCACCAGAAGCAGGGGCTCCTGGGGTCTCTGACCCCTCTAGGTTGTGTGCAGGTGTGTGTGTGTGTGTGTGTGTAGAACAATGGGTAGCAGCACATGCAACTGAACTGGAATGTGACCCCCATGCAGGATGTAACAGTTTCTAGCACCCACATTAGAAAATAACAGGTGAAGTTAATTTTAATTAGATATTTTGTTACACCCAACATACACAAAATACTATCACTTCAACATAATCAATATAAAAATACTGAGACATTAGGCATTCTTTTTTCATGCCAAGTCTTTGAAATCCAGTGTGTTCTTTATACTGACAGCACGCCTCAATTTGGAGTAGCCACATCTCAAGTGCTTAACAGCCACATGTGGCTTCTGTACTGGGCAACACCAGTGTACTGGTTTCCTCATAGTCTCAAAAATATTCACAATCTCTTTCATTCCATTACCCTTGCCAGCTCAGCTTCCAAGAAGATGGAGCACTTCCCCACTTCTGCATTTCTGCTGATGCTCCTGTCCCATCCCAAATGGACCCCTCCGTCTGGTATCAAACAGGTGCTGGTAGCAGAATATGCAGGAGTCATGTGGCATAAAGGAACACAGGGAAGGTTTAGTTATTCTGAATTTAATCTGTCAGTGTTATCGTTTTAGCTAATCAGATACCCTCTCATGTTAGCAAACTACCTCACACAGAAACCAGAGCCCATGCTAATTGACACCGCTTGTAGAGTGGCTATTTCTTATTTAAGCCTCACAACATTCCTAAGAGGGTGGGCCTAGCAGGGTGGGGAGTGACCTATGCTAATTGGCCACTCAAGAGTGGTCAGATGGTGGGGGCAGAGCTGGCTTCACGGGTGTGTGTTCTGTGCGGTCACACTGGCTCTGTGCTTAGAAGGACCTTGCACAAGGCTTCATGCTCTGTTGTCTCTGTCTTGAAATTCCTAATAATCTTTCAAGAAAGGGTTCTGCATTTTCATCTTGCAATAGGCCCTGCAAATTATGTACCAATTTAGGGGGAGGCAGCCCCCTAAGCAGCTTCCAGAAATAGCTATAGCCACCTTCCTCCCAGCCTTGCTACCGAGTGGTATGTTATGAGAAGGCAAACCTTGGGCCAAATTTTGCCAAACCAATGACCTTTATCAGCAAGCTGACAGGCAATAGGAACCACATAGAGCTTCTCACAGGCTCTGCACTCAAGCCTCCAACAAGCACTTCTCGAGAAAGGTTCAACCAGAGGAGGGCACCGTGGCAATCTAACGGCAGAGCCAGGCCATCCACAGTCAGGTCACACAGATGGAGTGTGGGGACCCGCTCGACAGGCACTGGCCTCCAGTTCTGCTCCATAGTCCCTGGAGCCAGGGTCTGGACGCCTTTCTAATCAACCACAGCCCTTGAACATCATCCATTTCACTAATAAAAAGTTACATGTAGCGCCCCTTATGCTAAGAACAATTCTCTGATGTGCATTTATTTCAATGGCATTTGAAGTAAGTACAAAATGGCCTCTGGCACGTGAAGCTCAGAATGGACTACCTAGCTTCTCTGAACCTTAGCTTCCTCTTTTTAAAAAGGGACAGAACACATAGTTTGCAGAGTGGAGAGTACACGTACAATGCCTAATGCAAATGGTTGCTATGAATGGTGTTCAATAATGGGCAATAATCTTCGGATAGACCACACACATTATAAAAACCCAGTTTCCAAACAAGAGGACAAAAGGGCACACTTATGACCGTTCTGTAGCACAAATGCAAAATAAATTACATTTAAAGTAAAGGAACAACTTTGCAGAGCCATTACTCTATTAACTATAACACTGCACATAAGCTGGGAAATCTCGCTTTCTGACAGCCTTCCAGAGGCAAAGAAAAGTTTCGTCCAAGCAACTAATTTTCACAAAGTTTGGAACTCACAAGCAGGTAGAACTGAAAGCTGAATTCCAAATAATAATAATCACCACCACCACCTAGATTCAGCAAAACACCTGTACACCCCACACTTTCAAATCTCTTGTTATTACCCAAACTGGTCAAGGCTTCCAGGATGCAGTTTCAGAAACTGTCATTGATTTTCTTTATGCAGAAAATCTGTCCTGCATGAAACTGGCCAAGCTAAAACACATCTTCCAGTGTGTTCTATGAGACTCCCAAATGCAACTTCCTGTCCCACTGCACAGCAAGACAGGCCTCTGGGTTCACTACCAGGCTGGGGAACAGCTGTGAGTCTCTGGCCTTCAGCTCCTGATTAGCGGTTAAGCAGGACAACTGCACCCATCTGACTTTGTAACACAGTCCACGTTTTACACGAAATTCTATTGGGGGAGACACTGTTTTCCTATTTTACATTCTTCCAGGTCAATAGTTCTCAATGTTTGGTCAGCCTGAGGACCCCTGGAGGTCGCTGAGATCCTTTTAGGGGTCCATGAGGCCCTCCCCCTGCTTTTCCTACTATAGATCTGTGCAAGGTCAGCTTTTGCTTTATATGCTTCAAATAACAAGCAAAACAGAATGAATGAAGCAAATAAAATTCAGCGGATTCTATTAAATCAGACATTAAAGAGATTTTTTAAATGTAGAAACAATGTCACATTTCTAACTAATTTTATTTTGGAAAACAGTCATTTTTTAATAATTTTTTATATGTATGAGTTTATTATAGCTATGTAAAAATAAATACGAATCAAATAAATACTAATCTCAGTTTTAATTAATTGGTAATATAGTAAATATTGATAGGAATTATCCATGGAAACAGAAGCTCTTTGGGCTACTCGATAATTTTCAAAGTGAATGGCATCCTTCCATCAAAGTTTGGGAATGGCTGTTCTAGGCTAACACGACAACTCACCCACATTCCTGAGTAAACACCAAGTAAAGAGGGAGAGGCAGGTCACGTGGGTAGAGAGTGGATGAGGGGGATTAAAAGCATTTCCTGGACAATCCACATTCGTATAATCCAGTGTTGAGCACTGTAGCCCTCCAGCTCCCATTTAGGAGGTACTAAGCTAGTGCTGATGGCATTCCACAAAGACCACCCATATGATGCGCACCTGCAGCAGTTGGCCGGAGCCGTGGGCAGAGCACCCCTGAGAACACACTCAGCCCCTCACACCCAACTCAAGGCACCTTAACTATGAGCAAAAGACTGTTTACTGTTTGTTGCATTTGTTCAGTTTGTGAACAGATTCTAGATTGAAGCTCTGCCTCAAGAAGACAGGAGAGAAGGCCACACACCCCATAGGAGAAGCATGCTAGCTCGGGAAGACACCAGCTCAGGGAAAGCTAATTTCTGCCAAACTCGAGGGAAGCTGGGTAAAACTGTGCAATCCTTCCTACAAATCTATCAGGATATGAGGCCTGCCTCTTTAAACTGCATTTTACAACTTACCACAAAGCAGAGAAGTGCAGGTCCTTTACATTTTTCTGTAAAGCAGATTACCTTCACATATAAAATGAGAATGGGACTGTTAAGTGGAGAGGGTCAAACATGGGCATTAAAAAACCCCTTTATAAAAAGACATTCGATGTGTCTTGTGGATCTAAGTGGAGAAATATGCCAGAAAGGCCTACAAGATGATCCACAATTCAAACATATTTCTAAATGACCTAGTAATTCCTCTTCATGAAGTGCTCCACAAAATTTTGCTCATCTAACGGATGTTCTTCCAGGATCAATCTTTTCCTTCTTTATCACTTGGAGGGGGAAGAGCCTTCACCCAGCAATTTTCAGGCAGGAATCCTATTAGGATCATCTGGGGGCTTGTTAAACCTGCACATCCCAGGCATCAGAAACTCAATAAGCAGCAGGTCAAGAATGGTGACCTCAGGGATGTGTTTTTCACAAGCCCCTCAAGAGATCTTGCAGGTGGTCCCTGTACGGTGCTGTGAGAAACCCCATCCCATCTCAAGAGTGTCCTGCCTTCCTCTATTCAGAGCCCATCTGACTGCATTTTCAGCGAGACTCCTGATATCTCGGCTCTGTTTACCATGTGGCAGCTGCTACAAGAGGCCAGAGGTCTCTTGCAGCAAACACGGGGCCACCCACAAAGCTATTCAGTCTCACGGTGGCTCTGCACAGTTGACTAACAAGTTTCTTTCTTTTGCTCTTTTCTCCAGGGAGTGGTACTGGCAAACCAGCAATCTGACACCGACCCTCTATCTCCTCTGCAGAAGAGAAACCCTACAACCTAATGATCTCTAAGATTCCTTCCTGGATGAAGATCTGGGATACTAACATCTTCTCACATTGTTGCATTTAGCTCTGAGCAGAATCTGAAATGAGACACTGAGGATACAAACACCCTTTGTAACCCTCAGAAGTTTAAGTCACTTGGTTATCAGTTGCCCAGTATCAGTCTTCCCACTAGAACGTGTGCTTCCCAGAGTGCAGGGAATCATCCTGAATGGCAGGGTTAGGAGATTAAGGGAGAGTCCTTCTAGGAGCAGATTGTTTTTGGGAAACACTTGAATGAGTCCAGTGGCTGCTCCAGTTGACTCCCACTGGCTCTGTGAGCCCAACTCCATGACCAGTGACATCAAGTGGGTAGTTTAAAATGGGGTGTGGGAGGACTAGTTGCACAATGGAAATCTGCAAACACTGAACACCAAGGGCTTCCTCTGAGGGGTGAGAGGAGCTGGTTATTAAACATTTGCCAGCACCACCGACTGACTTGAAAAAGGCAGGAAGATTCCAGACCTCTGTGAAAGGAAATCATACCCCACTTTATTCTTTCCTTTTATCAACGACATTTAGTTATTTCACTTTGGACTTAAAGGGTATATTCAGAATGACCAAATAAATATGATCCCACGATGTGATCCTGATAAGATCAGAGACAATGGCTCACTCTTCAGAATAATGTGTGTGGCTGGTGGTGCAAGAATTCATTAGGCTCCTCAACTGTGATTGTTCAACTGACCTCCATACAGCAACGTCCCCAACTGGACAGACAGGTGCGTGAGATAACAAGACTGCTGAATGTTACATTCTAGGTCCCTTTCTGTCTTTTGCCATGAAGGTTTCTCATTTCTCACACAGGACTTCAACTCAAAGATGGAAGAGAACACTGTGGTCCCCGCCAGCACCCCTGCTAGTGATGAGCAGCTCCACCTGCCCCTCAAAGTGCACGATGCTGCTCTGTGTGTCCTGGCCGAGCGAGGCAGCCCACCGCCTGGGAGAGGAGAAGGGGAAGCGCTCCCCTCTGCCTGTTTGTACTTGGTCATCTTCAATACTCTCAGCTGATTCCTTCCTTTTGGAGGTTCTCCTACTTCTCATCTTTTATGGATTCTAAAAAATCCAACCGTTCTCCTACTTCTCATCTTTTGTGGATTCTAAATGTTCTCCTACTTCTTACCTTTTATGGATTCTAAAAAATTGGATTATAGTTTCTTTTCTTCTGGACACCAGGCAGGCTTTATACATTTAGTAGAAGCAAACAATCAACATGACAGCTCTGCTGCTGGACCCGTGACCCACACGTGTAGTCTGGACACACGCTTAGCGTCTCGCGGCAGCACAGGCATGCCAAACATGTCTGGTATCCCTGATGGAGGATCTCTAGAAGCCCATCAAAAAATGGCACTTCTGGTCACCAAAAGATCATCAGACTCTTGCAGGGATTATAAACTGTGCCATCCCCTTACTGACCTATAATATGCAGATTAATAAAACTATAGCAATTGATGTGGGGGAGATTAGATGCATTCTTGCTTCTGCTTTCTGATCTAATGGTGCTCCTGGGTTTCTGGGCCTGTTGAAGTGTTCTTTCGGCTGAAGCCCTCCTATCATGGGAGAGGCTGCACGCCTCACTGGGGAATGCAGCTGATGGCTGGAAAGTGTTCTAGGCTGGGATGCTAGGGAGGGAGCAGATGATGTGAAGCCTGAAGGGGGTCCCTCAGGAGTTTCCCAGTGTCACTGGCAGCCCCCAGCGTGGTCAGGACGACAGTGGGAGCCCCAGACAGAAGACAGGATGCTGGGCAGTCCATGTTGTCTACCCAGGATAGAGAGTCAAAGAATAGACATGAAAACAGTGGCAATTGTCTGAGGGCTGG
Source organism: Homo sapiens (assembly GCF_000001405.40). Lineage (NCBI taxonomy): Eukaryota > Metazoa > Chordata > Mammalia > Primates > Hominidae > Homo > Homo sapiens. Next base: position 38,108,071 of record NC_000004.12, on the reverse strand, counting down.
ACAAATGGATGCAGATGGGTGGGGCAGGCTCCTGACCCAAGGCTTCAAGAATAATGTGATGAGTACCATCTGCTAAGCTGAGAGCAGTTGCCTCTGGCTGGTGTGATCTACCCCAAAGGAACATGATTCCACCAAAGCAGGGGTGGGGAGAGTTGTGCTGGCATGGAGTGGGCAGAGCCAAGAAACACAGAAGCAACATGGTGCCCTAGAAGGGATGTGGTATGGAGACTGAGGAGACCTGGGTTCCAGAACTCCTTCTGGCACTGAGTAACTCGCAATGTGGGCAGAGAACTCAAGCTCTTAAGGGCTCATTCATCCCCTCTAAGTTGGAAATAACGGCACGTGCCCAATTTCACACAGGATGTGTAAAGATGAAATTTGACAAAGGTTGAGAAAATATTCACAAACTGTAGAACACGACCCAGCCATGAGGCCTATTATTCTTACTCTTTGGAGGAAAACACATTGCCAAAAAAAAAAAAAAAAAAAAAAAACCTGTTTAGACTAAAAGCCAATTTCAGAAAGTATAACAAGAGGCAGGAAAACAAAAACCCATGAAAACTCAAAATATATCCAACCAACCATTCTGTTCTTCTGGCCAGAATATGAAGGTCACTTTTTAAGGAAAACTGAAATATGGATTTGATTTTGCTTTATACTACACACCTTCACTGGGCCTTGAGGTAGCCATGGTGTAGACTAAACAGAAAGTGTAGACTAAACAACTGACTTGGCCACAGCACAGCCTTGGGTGAGAGGAGTGGGGGAGGTAACAGGTGGAGTCTGGAGGAGCTTCTGTGGGAGGCCTCCCTGGGCGGAGTCAGCCGGGCAGGCAGGGCACCTGGGACTCCACTGCCGGGTCTAGGCCAATCCCAGTTTCCCCGTTCCAGTGGGGAGAGGAGACTGACCCCGGGGAGTCCCTGGAAAAAGCCTGGAGAGAGACACAGAGGTGACCTGGGAAATGCATTGCCTCACACGGAGGTCCTCTCAGGCCCTCGGGAAGTGTGTGGACAGCATCCAAACCGGAGGCCAGGCGAGGATGGGAAAGAGTGGGGAAGAGAGAGGGGGGTCAGCACTGTCAGAGAAGGGGGCAGCAGAGGGAGAGGGTGGGGAGAGGCAGGGATGGAGAGGACTTGAATGCAGCCAGCCCTGCCAGTGGACCGGGCTCCCACAGACCTCATGCCAGCTCAAGGAAGGCTGCCTGAGCCCTGCAGGGGAGGCCGTGGTGGGGCTCAGGCACACACAGTGCCTTCGGAGTGCACAGCCACGCCGAGGCCCTTGTTCTGATCTGGTCTCTTCTTTTCCCTCTGCAGAAAAGTGATGACATCTGAGCAACAAGAAGCAGGGGCTGATCGTGTCCGTGGAAGAATGAGGGGATACTGCAGGGGAATGAAGAGAAGAAGGTGACTGAATCCAGGAGGGGAGACACCTTCCCGTTCCTCCTCCCAGCCTTGGAGCAAGTGTGGGGAGCGGGGCTGTCTGCATTCCTCCCTTTCAGCCTCCCACCCTGAACCTATTTCTCACTTTGTTTCACATGATAGGAACATGATGGCATTTCCTGTAACTCACCATGTCAGCAAATGCAGCTACTGCCAATTCACAAAACTGCTTTCCTCAGGTCAGTGGGCCAAATGGGCCCCAGCTCCACCAAGGCATTGCCTTGGCCTGCCACTGCACAGCAACACGGGCCTCCTGCGCTCAGAGGGTCCCAGGGAAACACAGAGTGACAGTGGGTTCAGTTCCTGTCACCTCCCCTCAGGTGACTTTGTGACCATGGTCAACATGTGACCTCAGTTTCTTCATTTCTTAGAGAGGGTGCAGGCCACCTTCCCAGGGCTGTTGTGAGGGCCCATGAGATGGCGGTGCTAGTGCAGTGTCTCACACTCTGAATCTTAAAGATATTCTTTGAGCATCTGCTGTGTCACAGCCACTGTCCTAGAAGCCGAGGGTATAATGGCCAAACAGCCCCAGCCCAGTCCGCAGAGGGCTGTATCCTATAAGGGAAAAAGGCAATAAAGAGCCACTGCTGTATACTAAGGACAGGCGGGGGAGGTGGAGTAAGAAATACAGGTTCTGCTAAGAGCTGAATTACCATTCGACCCTGCAATCCCATTACTGAGTATATACTCAAAACAAAATAAATCATCCTACCAAAAAGACACATGTACTCACACGTTCATCACAGCACTATTCACAATTGCAAAGACATGGAACCAACCCAGGTGCCCAGTAACAGTGAACCGGATAAAGAAAATGTGATATATGGACACCATGCAATACTCTGCAGCCATAGAAAGGGACAAAATCATGTCCTTTGCAGCAACATGGATGCAGCTGCAGGTCATTACCCTAAGCAAACTAATTCAGAAACAGAAACCAAGCATCACATGTTCTCACTTAGAAATGAGAGCTGAACACTGGGTACACATGGACATAAAGATGAGAACAGACACCAGGGACTCCTGGGGGGTGGAGAGGGAGGGAGGAAGGCAAGGGTTGAAAAACTACCTATTGGGTACCATGCTTGGTTCCTGGGTGACAAGTTCAATCACACTCCAATCCTCAGCATCACACAATACACCTTTGTAAGAAACCTGCATACGCAATCCTGGAATCTAAAATAAAAGTTGAAAAAAAAGTGCAGCTTCCGAAGTCACACTGATTAGCGGCAAATCGGCTGTGTCACTTTCAGCAAGTTACGTAACCTGTCTGTTTCTATTTTCTCAACTCTAAAGAGAAACAGAACAACATCTACCTGATCATGTTGTAAGGATTAAAGAAAGGAGTTTAAGTCCCTTTGCACAACATTTGGCCCAAGGTGAAGTTAGGCAGCAGCAGTGATGATAATAAGCAGATAACGGTGATGATGAGAAATGTGATACGCACCATGGGGAGAGTGTGGGGTGCTACAGGGGGCTTAGCAAGACACCTCATCCAGTCTTGAGGTGGGAGAGGAGACCACAGTCAGGGAAAGTTTCTCAGAGATGATGTTCAAGCTAAAGAATAACCTTAAGTGGGGCCGGGTGTGGTGGCTCACGCCTGTAATCCCAGCACTTTGAGAGGCCAAGGCGGGAGGATCACGAGGTCAGGAGATTGAGACCATCCTGGCTAACACGGTGAAACCCCGTCTCTACTAAAAATACAAAAAATTAGCTAGGCATGGTGGCGGGCACCTGTAGTCCCAGCTACTTGGGAGACTGAGGCAGGAGAATGCTGTGAACCCAGGAGACGGAGCTTGCAGTGAGCTGAGATCACACCACTGCACTCTAGCCTGGGCGACAGAGCGAGACACCGTCTCAAAAAAAAAAATTAAAAAAAAAAATAACCTTAAGGGTTATGAAATTAACCTTTAAGGCTAGCTACGTGGCTTGAGAGGAAAGGACTTCATACTGCCTGATGCGGCTCACACTGCATCCTCTGTCGTGGCTGCAGGAACAATCAGAGAACCGGGCCACCGCAGGGCCCCAAAGCACTGTGTGTTCTGTGGAGCCTTCAGCAGCAGCAGCTGCAACCAGAACAGGTATTCTGGAAGCAGGGCCACATGCTCTAAAAGCAGCAGGGCCCATCTCCTACCACATCGAGCCAGCTCACCACCAGTAGAGACAGCAGCTTGGGTGATAGGCGGCAGGCAAACGGGAGTGCATTGCCACCTGGCCCTGTGCATGGCCACTGACAAGTCAGGAGGGCCCTCTGTGCATCATAATCACACCCCAGTTCAACAAGTCCTTCACAGTGGCAACTGCAAATCTATCCAATACAGTCATCCCTTGGCATCCTCGGGGGATAGGTTGCAGGAGTCCCCACAGACACCAAAATCCACGGTGCTCAAGGCCCTTCTATAAGATGGTGCTATGTTTGCACATAACCTACACACATCCTCCCATACACTTTTTTTTTTTTTTTTTTTTTTTTGAGACAGAGTCTCATTCTGTCACCCAGGCTGGAGCGTAGTGGCATGATCTTGGCTCACTGCAAGCTCCGCCTCCTGGGTTCACGCCATTCTCCTGCCTCGGCCTCCTGCGTAGCTGGGACTATAGGCGCCCACCACCATGCCTGGCTAATTTTTTTGTATTTTTAGTAGAGACAGGGTTTCACCGTGTCAGCCAGGATGGTCTCGATCTCCTGACTTCATGATCCACCAGCCTTGGCCTCCCAAAGTGCTGAGATTACAGGCGTGAGCCACTGTGCCCGGCCACATCCTCCCACACACCTTAAATCATCTCTAGATTACCTATAACACCTAATACAATGTAAATTCTACATAGATAGTTACTATATTTTAAAATCTATATTATTGTTTAGTTTTCATTGATTTTTCTTCCCAAATACTTTCCATCTGAGGTTGGTTGAGTCCCCAAATTCAGAACCCATAGATATGGAGGGCTGACTGTATATTGTTCCCATCTTCTTATTTTAAAAACTATTCAAGAGACAAGGTGCCACCCAGTTTCCAAAATAAAATCATTCAAGGCACACACACAAACTGCTTTCTACAATTTTTCTGATGAATTCTGTTTGTGAGCAGTAAAAATGAGGGAGTGGCTCCTGTAATTAAACCAAGCCTCGGTTCTGAACATCTATACGTTTTCCAGGATGTTCCTTCGGTTGACTGTAAAAACCTCCTATCAATATTTGAGTTACTGGACTGAACCACAATTATGACTGCAGCCTTAATGAACACCCTCCCTCCATGCCAAGCAAAGTTAACAAGCTCCCCAGTGAAAATACAGAGATTTTTATATGCTTGAAGATGACATTTGTGATTACCCTAGGGCTTTTTAAATTAAAAGTCTCAGTAGTAAATTTTGATTGCTAAACCTAAAGGCAGGTCAATACATAACTTGGACAGTCTCTTCAGATTTTTCATGTGAGTGAAACTTCCATTGTCATCTCCAATCGATGGCACAGACTTACCAAGGTCAATAAGAATCGCATGCTGCTGGGAAGTCAGCTGCTTTAAGAGTTCTTTGTATGGCACATCCTTTGGCTGCTGTTTGCTGGGAAACTGGTGTTTAAGGTGGAATTGCTCAGCTAGAAATTTCCAGATTTCACCTCGGTGATGACGTGGCACACCTTTAAAAGGGAGAGAAGACATGGAAATAATTTATGCACAGAATACAACTTAATAATAAAAATGAATTGTGTTTCATGTTCCATTTATCCAAATTCTTGTTCCTTTTTTTTTTTTTTTGAGACAGAGTCTGGCTTTGTCACCCGAGCTGCAGTGCAGAGGCACAATCACATCTCACTGCAGCCTCAACCTTGTGGGCTCCAATGATCCTCCCACCTCGGCCTCCCAAGTAGCTGAAATTATAGGTGCCCACCACCATGCCTGGCTAATTTTTTTTTTATTTTTGTAGAGACAGGGTCTCACTATGCTGTCCAGGCTTGTCTCAAACTCCTGGGCTCAAGCGATACTCCTGCCTCAGCCTCCAAAGTCCTGGGATTACAGGGATGAGCCATCATGCCTGGCCACTGGTTCCATTATTAATTAACAGCATAAGAACAGAAGGGAGGCAACTAAAACCTTGCCCTATTTGCTTCTTCCCCTACTTCCACCCCCTATTCTCCCCTCACTTCCCTGGCCCCTTCCTCCCTTCTTCTCACTTCTCAAATGTGTTATCATGTTCTGACCCTGTCAGACTCTGCAAGGAATAAAGAATACGACCTGAGCTCCAACCTGGTGCCAATTAACAACATTCTAGGGAAATAAAGCCAAGTATGAAAAATTGTCATGTAAGATGTGATCTCAGAAAGCAGAGAGAATCAAAAGGAAGTAGAGCTCAGATGAAAGAGAAGCTGGCTCATTTCTTTTTATTATTATTATTATTATACTTTAAATTTTAGGGTACATGTGCACAACGTGCAGGTTTGTTACATATGTATAAGTGTGCCATGTTGGTGTGCTGCACCCATTAACTCGTCATTTAACATTAGGTATATCTCCTAATGCTATCCCTCCCCCCTCCCCCCACCCCACGATAGGCCCCAGTGTTTGATGTTCCCCTTCCTGTGTCCAAGTGTTCTCATTGTTCAATTCCCACCTATGAGTGAGAACATGCGATGTTTGGTTTTCTGTCCTTGCGACAGTTTGCTCATTTCTAACTGAGCAATCAAGGTTCCACAGAATCCTTCATTTGAGTCGAGCCTTAAGGATGAGGGAAAAGGAAGAGAAAAGTACAAGAGAGAGGGAACCGAGAGTGATTCAGTTTGCCTCAGGCACAAGGGTGCATGTGGAAGAGAGCAGCTGGCAAGAAGGCTGGAAGGGTTATTGTGAGAGGCAAAATTGACGGCAAGAAACCTGCCCCACGTTTGGTAGCTCCAGGGAATCATGCATGTTTCTGAGCTGAGGTGGAGTAAGCTAATCATAGCTGAGATTCTGGAATTCTGATGAGGCTTCTTTCTGCAAGATAAGCTGCAAGAAGAGCCCAGAGGCTGGGTAGGAACTGACTGCACAGACATTGCCATGTGAGCATCCAACAAAGCTCTAAAAACAGAAAATGTCCAAGAGCCTCTAACTAATGCTTTGCATGTGATTAATTTGAATACTCACAGTGATTAAAAATGTCTAAAACTTAAGAAAATTCTCTTAAAGTCAAGGATGTTATTTAGGGCAAACCTAATTTTAAAAGGTGACAGTTTTGAACCAAAATTCTTTAGCTCATTACTCAGCTATTACAAGGCCAAAAAGGTGGAAAGGGGGAGAGCAAGAAGACTGAAGAATAAGATGCCAAGTCTTTCTTGTCTTTTGGGAGAAAGGAAGCCTCCAAGTTAGGCATTGATCTTTCTTTCCATCCGGGAAAAAAAGTGGCCGCTTTGTACCCTGCCCTGCCACTCAGACAGCCTGTCCAGAAGGATGGTTTCTCTGGTTTCTGTCTCTGGCCACCTTTGGGAAAAGTTTCTGCTCTGGCAGGTAGCAGCAGCAGATAGCACTGATTGCGAGGCCACTATGCACCATCGCCATTCCATGCACGTTATGTGTATTGGCCCATACCATACTCATAACCCTCTAAGGGAAACATGATTATCCTCATGGTAAAGAAAAGAGAGGCAGTGAGAACAGGTCCCTTGCCCTAGGTCATTAGGCCGGTGAGTGACAGCCCAGGGATGCTGACTGCCATTTTCTCTTGGTGTCCTCCATGTCAGAAATGTCAAACAAGGCTGCTACTCAAATGGGGACTAGAGAAAAAATATTTTGTGTTCCTATCTTGCAATTAATGATAAAATAACCATCTGTGGATTTGAACCAAATAGTAATCATTTTATTAACAGATTCAAAAGTCTCACTGGGCCACCTCTTGGAAATACTTACTGTGTAGTAAGTACTTTCTTCTTTCCCTTTCACGTATCATTTTTTTTAAGTTGGCCTGTAGAAGAAATACAGGGCCCCTGTAAACCATGACCACATCCTATACCTTCTGTAATTTTATCTCAGCATTAATATAATGACCCTGTAGAGTGAGTTGAATGGTGTCCCCTCAAAAGAGATGTGTTCACTTCCTAATCCCTGGAGCTTGTGAATGTTACCTTCTTTGCAGATATAATTAAGTAAGGACTTTGGGAGGAGGAGAGCATCCTGGATTATCCAGATGGGCCCTATATCCAGTGACAAGCATTCTTATAATAGACATACAGAGGAGGAGATGAGAAGGGGAATCAATGTGACCAAGGAGGCAGAGGCTGGAGTGCCGTGACCACAAGTCTAGGAAGCTGACAGACACCAGAAGCTGGAAGAGGCCAAGTACAGACAAGCTAACGGCATGGTTTTGGAGCTATGGCCTCCAGAACACTGAGAGAAGAATTTCTGTTGCTTTAGTCACTATTTTTGTAGTAACTTGTTATGGTAGCAACAGGAAGCAAATATACCCTGATCTCTGCTTTCTACTATTATTCTATTTCTTGTCTCCCTCTGCTATTCCAGCTCATAGATATATCCTGGGTACATACACACACACGCACACCCTCCCCACAAATACTTCAAATGCTGATGAGAAGTAAATGTGGGCTAGAAAACAGTCAGCATGATAAGTGATTTATAGTGGGGCTTTTTTTCACAAAATACTTTTTCTCAAACTGGGAAATTTTCCCAAGTTATGAAATGTCCAATTTCCTATTACTAAATCATTCCCATTGTCTTATCAGACCTTTATTTTTTGAAAGAAAAGAATATTGGCTGTGTCACTGGACAGTACCAGATATTGTGGTATTCAGGAGTAAGCTTAGATTCTGTGATTTAAAGCACAGGATCATGCAGGTTGGACCCAATGTTTTTGCTAAGAATGGCCTGGAATGCCCTTCCCCACCATGGTGCTGCCTTCACTCCTAACCCAAGAGAAACCTGGCAGTGGAGCCCACCTACGGCTTGCAGGCAGGGTCTGGGAGGGCAGGAGGCCATTCCTCCATCCCCCATGTAAATAGCTTCTTACTCACTTAAAAAATAATATACACTCACTGTTTAAAAGTGGTGCAAAAAAACCTCTGAAATGCAAGAGGTATAAAGAAGAAAGTGAAAAACCACCCATAACTAGAATAAGCATATATTTACCATCCAAAGCAGGAAGCTTTTGACAGTGAAGAGGAGGAAGGCTATTAATAATTTTGCCAGGACAGGAGTCATAAACCAGGGCTATGCCAGGTTGGGCCCTATGGTCATCCTGTCTATAACCTGGACATCTGCATCGTGGGTGTTTTTCCATGTATACGCACATGGAAATATCAACAGTACAGGAGACCATGCTGTACTCTTTTCATTTAACAACTTAGACATCTTTTACGTCAGTAAATACAGATCTACTTATGGTGTCATTTTCAAGGAATATGACATGGGATAGTCACATGTTGGGTTTTTTGTTTTGTTTTGACTATTAAACAATGTCACAATAAGCATTCTTACTGCAGTACATTTTTGGCTGATTAGTTTCTAGAGTAAGTTTTTATAAATGGCATTGCCGGGTCAAAGGCAAGCAGAGTTTGCATCTGGCCCCTACTGTCAGCAGCCCAGGCAGCCCCTCTGCAATCCCATTCCTAAAAAAGACATTCCAGCTTATAAGGTTCTATCTAGATATCTTTAGAGAAATCATTTTGATGTGTACTAAACTGAATTATCTATAATGTCATAGGATTATGTTATCTTCTCCTAAATTGATACCCTAATCCTGGCCCCTCATCTAATTTTAACTGGGAAAATTTTATAAATTCCTTTATTTCCATCACTTCAGGGTCTTTTATGTCACTATGAGGAAGGGCCTCTTAATCCACACAACTGTCCTCTCTTACAAGGTCTCTGAGGTGAGTTGGCCTCTACTTCAAAGGTCAAAGATATGATTCAAATTTAGGCTCAAATTTTTTGATTCACATTTTTATTCTGAACCACAAAATAGACCGCCCTCATTTGTTTGGAGTTGTTAAATCTTAATGTGTTAAAACCACCTGACTGACAAAGCCCCCTTTATGGTTAGAGCTTCTGCAGTAAAAAGTGATGTGGCAAAGTCAGGCAACACATAAGGAAATTCCAGGTCAGCCTTAGCTCACTCCAGTATACAGAATGCTCAATCATCTGTGCCCAACTTTCACTACCCAGGGTCCAGATTCCTAGAGTATTTCTATTAGCCCCCACAAAATATGCCCAGTGAAAAACAAATATCCAGGTGCCAGGCTTCTAAGAAGCTCAAATATTTGGAATAGCTGTCACAGACCCATGCAATTTGCCTTTCGCAGAAGCAAAGACACCTGAAGGTGATCATCTAGGCAACTGTGAATGGGGGAAGAACAGACTCATTCTTTTCTCTGCTTTCTCCCTTTTCAAAACAGCAATTTGGGGTCATTTGGTGTAAAGGTAAACCTCAAGAAAAAGTACAGGTGCAAGGAATATTAGAACTCCAAGACAGCTCCAAGATCCTCTGCTCAGTGCAAGTCTCTCCTTCTATCAGTAAGGGGGCAAGAGCCCAGAAAGAGGGTACCTGCTAAAGTCACACTGAAAGCTGGTGTCCATCCAGAACTTCGGTCTTCACCACTGCATACGTGTTCTGAGATAAGCACCTGGAGATCCTGTTCAACAGGAGGCAGTGCAGTACGGTGGTGTGAACCCAGCTCTGTGGCCCTAAGCCACTATTCAACTGCTCTAAGCCCAAGTTTCCTTATCCATAGAAAGGGAAAATGCGTAACAAACAATAACTTCCCATGATTACTAAAATTGATGTCAAAATTCAGAAAAGGTTAAAAATGCCTAAAAAACTATAGTAAAAAACACTGCTTTGTTCCATTTATGCTCCTAGAGATGAAAAATGCATATGCAGGCCGGGTGCAGTGGCTCACATCTGTAATCCCAGCACTTTGGGAGGCCGAGGCAGGCAGATCACCTGAGGTCCAGAGTTCAAGACCAGCCTTGCCAACACAGTGAAAACCCGTCTCTAGTAAAAACACAAAAAATTGGCCGGGCACGGTGGCTCACACCTGTAATCCCAGCACTTTGGGAGGCCAAGGTGGGTGGATCATGAGGTCAGGAGATCGAGACCATCCTGGCTAACATAGTGAAACCCCATCTCTACTAAAAATACAAAAAAAATTTACCCGGGCATGGTGGCGGGCACCTGTAGTCCCAGCTACTCAGGAGGCTGAGGCAGGAGAATGGTGTGAACCCGGGAGGCAGAGCTTGCAGTGAGCTGAGATCACGCCACTGCATTCCAGCCTGGGCGACAGAGCAAGACTCTGTCTTAAAAAAAAAAAAAAAAACCCACAAAAAATTAGCCAGGCATGGTGCCGGGCGCCTGTAATCCCAGCTAGTCAGGAGGCTGAGGCAGGAGAATAGCTTAAACCTGGGAGGCAGGGGTTGCAGTGAGCTGAGATCGCGCCATTGCACTCCAGCCTGGGCAACAAGAGTGAAACTACATCTCAAAAAAGAAAAAGTGCATATACAACGTTTTCCCACTGCACAACTGATAAACTCAGGAAAAACCCATTCTATACATACTTGAAACCCTTATTCAGAACACCTGGTTATTCATGATGAGCTCAACCAGAACTCAGTAGCATAGAATCAGATTAGACTCAGGCTTTTACTCTTGCCAGAAGACATTAACATATATTTTTAAAGAAATCATTGTTTGACTAGAACACTAATAATGACTGAAGGTAAGCTTCAAAATAGCGGTTCTCAAACTATCTGTGAAGCATCAATTTTTTTTCTTTTTAAAAATTTTCCAATCTACTACAGGCTGATATTTTTATACGATACAGTAAAAATAAATTAGTAGAAAAACAAAATTTAAAAAAAAACAGATGGACAAAATATAAGTCCACATTTTTAATTAGGATCACTGTGTCACATTGCTGGAAACATTTCCAAAAGCTTAGTTTCAAGTTCTGTACTTATCTCTTCTTGGACCAGTAACAGTTTGGGCTGGCAGATCTCACTGAAAAAACAGTGAATCCTGCCCGCTCTCTAAGGCCTTACAGTATAGCAGACACATGCTGTGTGCTCCTCACAACATCCACTGTCAGCACCCACATCTTACACTTGTAGAAACTGGAGCTCAGAGAGGGTGAGGCATTTGTCTAAGATCACACTGCAAAGTAAGTGGCAGGCCTGAGATTTAAGCCCAAGACCACCTGTCTGAAGTCTGTGCTCCCCACACTATGTTGTCTCCCTAGAGTACCCAGAGACAAGCCATACAATTAGTTTCTAGTTTATAATTTAATTCAAAGTATATCATCAAATCATTATCTAGTTTATAGGCAACAAAACCCTTGGGTTTTTCTGTCTTCTTCCTATTTCCCGGCCTTCTGGGAATTTTAATTAAGAGGAATCATGAAAGGTGGTGAAACTCATGTCTATTAAGTAAGGTATATGGAAATAGATTAAGATGTGATGAAAAGAAGGGAGATGGCCACTAAAATTAGACTTGACTTTTTTTTAATTCCACACTTCTCCCCAATCACCAATGAGGGGTGAGGTTGACTAGATGCTTCCCAATGAAGCTTACCTTGCCCAACAGCCGAGTGCATTTTTTCCATGTCAAACTTAATTTTTGATCTTCCTGGAGTGCTAAGCATCTTTTCCCACACTGTAGTTACTTCTTTAAGACAGGGAGTAATTTCTTCATAATCGAGCTTCAGGCGCTTGTTCAGCAAATCATTTTCAGAGGCTGGAATAGACCATTCCAGAGCGCATTAGTAAAGGCTACAGCTATGGAATTTCCATTACACAACATGGCTGCCTACTTGTTATCCCGCTGAGACGTCAAGCAGTTACAACTGGCTTAACGCGTCTAAATATAAGTCACTGTCCATGCCTCTACCCATTTTCCTCATTTTGGAAAATGCTAAAAACCTAGGAGGTATGTGATTTCTCTTACCCCTTCACCCCCAACATACTCTGTTGGCTCTACTGCTAAGACATAATCCACATCTGCCCAATTCTTTCCATCTTACCCCTATCAAACTATGAGCCTCCCCAGGACAGGAGCTACGTGTTGTTAATAAAATTCCCAATGACTAGCATGGTTACAACTTGATGCAATTTTTTTCATCTAAACTAGGAGAGGCACTCCAAAGATCGTTTTCTTATTTAGAGCCAAACCTCCATTTGGTAGCTTCTACCATGGGTCCCATTTCTGCTTCTTGGAGTTAAACTGAATAAATCTACCCCTTTCAAATGACATCTCTCAAATATATGAAGAGAGCTACTGTTTCCCACCAAACTTACTCAACCTAAAGCTGCATGAAGAATTATAACTAAATTATCAAGCCCAGGGGGGAGTAATATCAATAAAGGGAAATGTTAAATTGACAATTTACATTGATTCCTGGACCCAACCTCTTATTTCATGGCCACAGAAACTGAAGTTCAGGAGGATCAGGTGATTTGGTGCTGGTTATTTACTAGCTAGAGGGAAGCCAAGTGACTCTAAGCCCAGTGCTGCCTTCCTCTCAGCTTTTATGGTTTTCCATCCACCATCTTTAATCTTTTCCCTCGTACTCTGTTGAATACATTTTTAAAAATGTCAACCCTAGATTTTTTAGCTAAGAGGCTGGGAGGCTCAGCAATTAAATGACCCCCACACTTGCAGAGATTTTAGAACTGCAATGAATATTTGATTTTTAAACCATCATGTATTATTTAACCAAGAAAAATGTTTTTTAAAAAAATTTTTAAAAATGTCAACCCTAGATTTTTTTTTTTTTTTTTTTGGCTGTGATTTGGGCTATGAGAAAACACAATAAATGTCACTAGAGTTGAGCTAATCCTTGCAGCAAATCAGGTTTGGGGCTAGCCTTGCTGCACTGCAACTGGCGGCAGCACTGGACTCTGGATGCCAACGTACGTTCCTCTGGCAGTAAGGCTGCTACAAGCACGTCTGGCCACCCTAACAGAGCCCAGCAGGCAACATGAGCATCCTGCTCTGTAGTCGACACAACTTCACACAGCCAGAAAGAACTGGCCAGAAGATTCAGCTGAAAAGGCTCAATCCACAAACATCCTGCTGTTTCCGTATCCTAACAACACTGCTGCCTAAAATCAGTGGCCTCCAAAATGCCTTATCAACCAAGGCAGATGGTGCAGAACTACAACAAACACCCAGGCTCCAGGGCAAGAACTTCAGATACAGGAACCAGCTGTTCGCAATATTAAATAAGACCCCCACACACCCATGCGGTTTGTAAGCTTGTAGAGATAGGGGAAGAGGACTGACTGAGATCAAATGTAAATTTGCAACCAAGTTCTCTAAAATATTTATTATGATTTAACACAAATGTCTGAGCCAACTTGGACTTTGTGATAACGTTCAGGTCTGATTTGTGCCTACTCTGGTGGGTGGGCTATGGCTGCTCCATCCCCAATTCTGCTCTGTTAACAATGGCTTTCCCAGACAAAACTGCCTTGCCAGCTGCCACCATCTCTTGAAAGCTCAGAATGGAAAGCTAATAGGCTGGGAGGCTCAGCAATTAAATGACCCCCACACTTGCAGAGATTTTAGAAGAATTGCACTGAATATTTGATTTTTAAACCATCATGTATTATTTAACTAAGAAAAATGTTTTTTAAATAAAAAACATCAACTGTAATTCAAAATTTAATGTTATCACATCATTTTAATCTTAGTAAAGCATAAAATGCTGAGTTACATGGATTAGCTCAACTGGTAATAACATGTCAACACCAAGCCACGGCTGTATTGAATCACATGTTGTGATCTTACATTAGGCTGCTCACATCTTCATTTAAAAATACAGAAAAATTGGCTGGACACAGTGGCTCATGCCTGTAATCCCAGAACTTTGGGAGGCCAAGGTGGGAGGATTACCTGAGGTCAGGAGTTCGAGACCATTCTGGCCAACATGGTGAAACCCCATCTCTACTACTACTACTACTACTAATAATAAAAATTAGCCGGGTGTGGTGGTGGGTGCCTGTAATCTACTCTGGAGGCTAAGACAGGAGAATCGCTTGAACCCAGGAGGCGGAGGTTGCAGTGAGCCGAGATTGTGCCACTGTACTGTAGCCTAAGCAACAAGAGCAAAACTCTGTCTCAAAAAAAAAAAAAAGGGGGGGGAAAACGGCCTTGCAGAGGAGGACGGTGGAGGACTGGTGTCTTCAAAGAGAGGCAGCGCTTTTTGTTCTAACACCAATGAAAATTAGCTATCTAATTTTGGAGAAATCACAACTTCAGCTTCCAAGTGCCTACAATGGAGTGAGGTAGACTGAGATGACATAGTATGGTTCTTTCCAGAATGCGATGCTTCCAGAATAGTAAAAAATATTTGATTCATCTATTCAAGTCAGGAAACAGGCTTAACCATAAGAACTTCCTCATACACATCCTTCTAAATTCTTTCCCAAAGAGTATGCAAGTCAGCTTGAACCCCTGATCAATTTCAAGAGCCATCTCAGATGCAATTTAACCTTCCTTCAAGAAGGGAGAAAAAAAAGGAACTCAAGATAGAATGCCTATCTCTCTAAGTACATAGTACAGCAGGTCCTCAAATAATGTCTTTATGCTCAATGTCGCTTTCTTATAATGTTGACAAGAAAAAAATGGATTCTTAGCCCGGGGCCATTATCTGTGTGGAGTTTGTGTTCTCTTCATGTCTGTGTGGGTTTTCTCCAAGTGCTCCAGTTTCCTCCCACATCTCAAAGATGTGCACATTAGGTTAATCAGTATGTCTACATGGTCCCAGTCTGAGTGTGTGTGTGAGTCACCCCAAGATGGAATGGCATTCGGTCCAGGGCTGGTTCCTGCCTTGCATCCCAAGCTGTAGGGATAGGTTCTGGCCCCCTGAGACCCTGAAGTGGAATAAGTGGAAAAATAATTACTTCTTTCTTTTTTTTTTTTTTTTTAAGATGGAGTCTCACTGTGTTGCCCAGGCTGGAGTGCAGTGGCACCATCTTGGCTCACTGCAACCTTCGTCTCCTGGGTTCAAGCGATTCTCCTGCCTCACTCTTCCAAGTAGCTGGGATTACAGGTGTGCACAACCACACCTGGCTAATTTTTTTTTGTAATTATAGTAGAGACAGGGTTTCACCACATTGGCCAGGCTGGTCTCGAACCCCTGACCTCAGGTGATCTCCCTGTCTCAGCCTCCCAAAGTGCTGGGATTACAGGAGTGAGCCACTGTGCCAAGCCAATAATTATCATATTTGTATTAATCTTGCTTAAATGTTTGCATATCTCACGTTTACATCAATATTTAATATTAGAAGTGTCTTGGGTCTTTATTTAGAAGTTTGGTGATGTTTTTGTGCCCAGAAATATGCCATAGGAACTTAACTCTTGTTTTTATCAATAAACCCTTAGTAAAATTTGTTTCATTATACATCATTTTGCTTAAATTCGCAGTTTCCATGAACCTATTGGCAACATTAAGTGAATACTTACTGTACACTCTGGCTGATTCTTATCAAATCTTGCATCTATATTTAATGTAAAAGTTCTGCCCTGCCCCAATCCACCCCGACAAAACTTACTAAATATTTTTAAGCAATCAGGCTGTTATTGCTAGTTATTTTTTTATCAGCAATCCAGGTCCTGTACACACTAATACAATGGATTAATACTTCCAACATTATATTAAGCAAGTTTATTGTGTTTTCACCACAAAGATAAACACATGTGGAACTTTACAGAGCTAAGAAGAGAAATGAAGTCAAACAGTAAAAATAAAAGACCACAAAAACTGAACACTGCCAAGAAGCCAGATGAAATGAGGAAGCATTAGAAGAATGTTGGCAAGGGCCAGTAAACTTAATGCAACACCTGGCAAGGGGTTCCAGGTAACCTTAGGAAACTCTTGCCTTTTCATTCTAGTCTGTCTGGTCATTGCTTGCACAGCAGAATGTATTCTGCTTTTGTGGCACACTGGTTTTGCCTCACCAATTATAGCTGTCCTCACCACAAAGAAGCCAGCTGTGAGCACCGTTCCCATTTTATAGCTATGCCCTGATTTTACATGGCTGTCATTTGCAAGAATATTGGCCAGTATTGGCATTAAAGTTTGACCTACATGATGAACATAACTGCCTTTTTCCTCTTCAACAAAAATCCCAAGATACACACGAACATAACTGCTGTGCTCCCGAGCTGTCATTTAACTGATGACACATGCAGTAATGCCATCACTACCAAACATCTTTTAGACATCTGCTTTTAAAATTACCTTCACAAAAACATAAGAAAGTGGCAGAAAAACTGGGTTGGAAGAAAACAGCACTCACCTGCTCTAAACGCCCCCCAGTGTGCTATCATCTTCCACAGCACCCTGATGAGAGGACCCGTCTTTCTCAGCTTCAAAACTGCATGTTGGAAAGCTTACTAGCCTATTCCAACTGTGGGGTTACTTTCATGTCGAAAGGTCTTATTCCTTTATATCTCATTTTCTGTTTTCAGTCAAAAGATATAGACACTATCTCTTTACATTCTATGAATTCGTACTTTTCAACTGCAGAAACTATGTTGCTCGTACACAGTGTTGTCATAACTCACAAGCATTGTAGGGACATGCACAGAGAACGTCTATCCACTCGCTATGACACTAGCTATGCAACTGAAACTCACAGATGCAACACATTCTCAGGAGCTTATTCCTCAGAGTTGGTGTCTTAATGACTTTTTAGCTCTATACAAGCATCAAGGTCATTTTAAAAGATCAAAATTTGCAATCAAGAATGATGCTGAATGAAATGTACTGTAATTCCAAAATTGTTCTGGGGCAATGGCAGGGTGACTGAACCATCTGCTACATCTTCCCTTTGAAAGAGATTATGCAGACTTCCTGCTCAAAATCTTCACTACTTTATCACCGGGCAGTTCTCTAGATACCCTAAGACTCATGCTCTTTCCAAAGAGTATGTAAACTTTGCATCTTAAGCTACTTTGAAGATAACATTAATTGGTTCCAGTGTCAGCATGGAAACAGGAAATGAACAAAATCTAAACTTTCAAAGTTCATGTCATATTTTGACACTATTGATATCAGTACAGGTAGAACTCAGCTAATTCTTTTTTTTCAGATTACTTGCAAATCACTGAAAAAGCACACAGAGTGAAGTTACGTATGTTAATGACTTACACAAGAAAAGTTCATACCTAACACACAGGCACAGACCATGGCTGAGGATAAAGTAGAGAGAGAGAGAGACAGAGGGGAAAACAAAACAAAATGAAAAGCACCTTTCAGCGTGTTAGAGCTTAGATTTAAAGCTTGGATCTCAGAAGTTCTAAACACTGTACTAACAGTGACCATAGAGGAATAATGAATATTGTTGGTGAAACTATCATTAGATCACCAGAAAGTAAACAGTGTTAATATTACTCTGAAAAAGTAAACAGATATAGATAGATGTATACATTAGACTATCGTGCTGCTGTATTTTTAAGACAGCATGCTTATGTCTGATGTGATTAACTTCAGAGCCAAGATAAGACCAGGCCTGTTCAATATCAAGATGGCAAACCAACCTTGGAGCTTCTGATTTTCCTTCTCCATTCTAAGCAGCAGTATCTGTTGAAGAATAGCCTTTTGCCACAGCTCTCGGAGCTCACGAGATGTCCTTTTCTTTTCCTCTGGTGGGGGGCCAAAGGGCCCATCTTCACAAACTGGTTCTAAAGGAGATCGTGGGGGAAGCTCTCCCAGCTCTGAATAATCTGGAAAGGGAGACGGCATTCCAGAATTGTCATTTTTCAACAAAAAATGCACATTCAAACACAGTGTCAAATCAGCAAATTCTGTTCATTCAGATAAAATATAATAATATCACCAAATTTAAAATTCCTGTGTTAATATGCATTGGCATAAGCCACGTCTGAGCCACAAACGTGAAACAAATGATATGTCAAATAGTAAGCAAAACTTCAGTAGCTGAGGAAGAATTTAAAGATACCTGCTTTTTAAGGTGTAATATTTTTATCTCCTTCTGAAAATGTTATTTAATAATTATATTATTGATAATTACAGAAAATGTTCATACAGTGCCTACTGTGTACCAAACTGTTCTCAGAGCTTTATATACAATAATTTACACTCACAAAACTCTAAGACATGGGTATGATAACTATGCAGTTTTAAAGAAATGCAAACTGAGGAACAAGGAGTTTATGTAAGTTGCCTAATGTCACATAGCTAGGAAGGAGTCGAGCCAGGACTGGAACCCAACAGTCTGGCTTTCATGTGCATTCTTAACCACTGTGCTATCTGGCCAGGTATTCTGAAGGAAGATTAAAATGTATTTAATAGCCAGCAGTAACAGTAACCACTAGCAGACCTTCTACCACGTGCTGGGCACTGCGCTGGGCATTTTATATAGGTAGACTCATTTAATCCTGATGACAAGTCCAGAAGGCAGATATTAGCCTGGAAAGGAAACTAAAGTTCAGAAACTTGCCCAAGGTCATACAGTGAGTAAGGAGGTACACCGGCATACTCTAACTCATGTCTTCCTGATTCAGAAGACCATTTGTTCCCACTACATACCACTATAATCCAAATGTTTCCTATATCTAAATTACACAGCTTTATAGAGTCTTATTTCATTATGAGCCTATCAGACAAATGAATAAATTAAAATTCTACATCTTTTGGGGGTTTATATGCATTATAGGAGGATGTTACTGTGTACTGTTCAATAGAAAAGCAAGAATTGAAATTATAAAGTATCATCTCAATTTGATACATATTATGAAAGGCAGTACAGTTGCACTGCACTTAATAGGGCAGGTTCTGGAGACAGGCTGCTGGGATTCTAATCAAAACTCTGTCATTATTGATTTTGTGATCTTTAACAAGTTGCTTAACCTCCTGATGCTTCCACTTCCCGATCTGTCAAGTGGGTATGACAGAGCCTCCCCTCAGAGTGGTGGTAAAGAGACTGAGTTAATAGGCTATAAACCACTGAGAACAGGGCCCAACACAGAGTAAGAACACAATAAAAAAAATAGCTCTTATTGTTTGCTATCATATCTTTACTAGGGGCACAGAAAAGAAATCAAAATTTCAGCTACTCAACTGTAAGCCCTAACCAGGTTAGAACCTTGCTGCCTTGTTGACAAGGGTTTTGGTCACCACACTGAGCACAGCTGCTGACACCCAGCAGGTGCCTGAGAAATAGCTGTTGAACAAAAGAAGGGACAAAATATTGGTTTACATGTACTGTTATTTATGTTTTCCCTGTATTTTCTAAATTTGTGGCAATAAATATTTTAAAAATAAAAACTAAGAAAAAATAATGCAAATCTATTCTAATTAAAATGAAAGATGGAAAAAATATTTTCCTGCAAAACACTTACAAATCCTTTCACCCCCAAACCCTGTATACTTAGGATTAGTCATTACTGAATATGATGCAGTTCAATTGAATCCTTTTATTTAATCTTATTCTGCAGCTTGAAGTCTTTAATTTGAGCCCTTTCCTTTCTTTTTTTTTATTCTTTTACCATCTTGGCTCTTGGAATTCTGTGGAACACTGCAGCTGTGATTAAAGTTCTGCTTTACCTCACATTGGAAGCATATCTCTCACTGGTTTGCAAAAGAGTTTTGCAATTCCTATGATGTGTTCTGGCTGGCATGGCAGGCGCTGTCCTGATAGCGAGGGCAGTGTTTCCATACACTCTCACAATCTCGTGTGCGTCAAGAGAACCCAGGACCCACCCAGGCAACAGAAGGGAGCCCCGCTGAGGGTTAGGTGGGGTTGACCTGGATATTCTTTTTTTTTTTTTTCTTTTTTTTTTTTTTTTTGAGACGGAATCTCATTCTGTTGCCCAGGTGGGAGTGTGGTGGCGCAATCTTGGCTCACTGCAACCTCTACCTCCCAAGTTCAAGCGATTCTCCTGCCTCAGACTCCCGAGTGAGTAGTTGGAATTACAGGCATGCGCCACCATGCCCTGCTAATTTCTGTATTTTCAGTTGAGACGGGGTTTCACCATGTTGGCCAGACTGGTCTCGAACTCCTGACCTCAGGTGATCTGCCCACCTCGGCCTCCCAAAGTGCTAGAATTACAGGTGTGAGCCACCATGTCCAGCTGACTTGGATATTCTTAAACCCTACTAGTAAAACAAGGGCTCACCTCACCTAAACTCCTTCTTCTAATCTCATCCTTCCTGTTTACCACAGCCTTCCTCTTCCCAGGGTCTTGAAAATTCCTACTGTGTTCCTTTCAAATTCGGAATCACAATGAGCAGGTGTAACTCAGGCCAGGAGGATGGAACATTCCTAACAGTAGAGGCTGTTTGTCCCCAGATCCATGTACTCTCTGCCACTTGGGCTACTGACAAGGACCACTGTCTATAGAAGTTTATGAAACTCCGGTTTTATTTTAGTATTCAGAGAAACTGGATCTGCAAAAATACAAGTATTGTTTGGGGACGACAACTGTGAGATTTAAGACCTAAGCTGTCTCCCTAATGTTTTCTACTTTTGTGATCTTTTTCTTATTATCACTAGTGACAGTTTGTTGAGCTTTTACCATATGGGTTCTTGGCATAAATAAGCTTGTTTGATTCTTACAACAATCTCATAGGACAGGTGATATTATGATCTCCATTTTCCAGCTAAAACAAATAAGGTGCAGTGAGGTTTTATAACTTGGCCAAGGTCACACAGCTAGTAAGGGTCAGAGCCATAATAAGAAAAAAGGTGTATTTTCCTCCAAAGTAAAAAAAAGAAGAGTTTACCCCGTGCTTCTCTAACTTCTACATGCACAAGCCTCACTGGGGATCTTGCTAAATTAAAGATTTTGATTCAGCAAGTCTGAGGGGAGCATTTCCATCAAGCTCCCCAGTAATGCCTCCACTGCTGTTTCTCCAAGCACACTCTGAATAGCAGGGCTCCACGCTGCAGCTTTACTCTCTATTTCCTCATGCAACCCTATGCGCTTGCTAGCACGTCGGCTCATCTCCTTCACTCCCACCACTGAAAACACAGTTCAAATACTGTTGTTAGCTGCCTGAATTCAGGTCCTCAACACATGGCAGGAGCTTGTCCCAAATTTGGTCGGGGGATCCAGGCCAAGTCCAGAATACAAAGACATATTTGAGCACTAGTATTAATTTCACCTCTACATGAACTAAATAAAAGCTGATCCACTGTAAAGGTCAGCAAATAAACCCAAGAGTTTAAAGGAGGGTTTCTCAACCTCAGCACTACTGACATTTTGGGGCTGGATGATTCTTTGTCAGGAGGAACAGTTTTATACACTGTAGAATGTTTAGCAGAGGGCATAGTAGCATCTGCCCACCATCAATGCCTCTAGGCATTGCTAAATATCCCCTAGGGGTCAGGAGGAACAAAACCACCTCTAATAAGAACCTCTGATTCAGAGCTAAAATCTCACCATTTCGTCTCTCCTAAACCCTGGGAAGGGGCAAAAACGTATCTCTTTTATCCAAATTCATTTCACGTGGTAACAATTACTGATTTTTTTATAGTTTACGATTAACAACAAATTTGTATAATATTTTTTGTTCATATTAAGAGTAGCCTGGCTACAAAATAGCTCAGTAATTTATAAAGGGAGATAGTTAAAAATCTTTGTTCTAAATTTGGCCTGCTGAATCAGTCCAAAGAAAGTAAGCTGCTTTCTCAACAATGCAAAAAGATCCAGACTGGGCACAAGGCTTTGGTTTGTAATCAGTCCTCCTTCAGGCGTGTGCAGTCTTGAGAGATGTGGACTCGAGTGGAGTGGCAGGTCAAGGAGAACAAAATCAAAGTCTGAGGCAACTGTCAGCTAAGAACCTTGTTCTAATGATAAACCGGGGCACTGTTTTCACTTGCATCATTCCTAAGCCAATCCTACCAGCATTGAGTCCCTTACATGTATGCAGCGATGCAATGCGTTAGGTGGTCTAAGGAGGGCTACTCTGAGGTTTCTACTCTCTAGAACAATCCCAGGGATCCGGCTTCTCTCCCCGACTTGCATTCTTGCTGAGAGACAGCTGCACAGAGGCCAGTGTAGGAAGCTTGGCTTGGCTCAGTGCAGCGGAGGCTGAGCCGAAGGAGGGGCTGCTCTACCTCATGGGCCAACTGTGTTGGTGCCTCTTGGGAAAACATATGCCTTCTGGGTTCCAGTCCCCCAGTGTAAAATGTGAGAAATGATATTCACCGCCGACTGCCCAACTGTAGAGACCACAGGCACTGACAGGCATATTTATAAAGTCGGCAAAGCCACCAAACCAAAGGGCTGCGATAACAACTTAGTCCAGGATTAGATTTTACTATTCTGACATCTCCTATAATGACGGATGTGGAGCACTTAAATTATGTAGCCTTTCAGAAACAATAGCCTCCAATGGGTTCTAAGAATTTTAAAACCAGTCATAATTCAGGAGGCCTTGGAGACAACTGCCTCCTATTAAATCATTGCTGTGACACTCCCAACAGAGTCATAAATATGATCTATGCTGGTATGTCGATATTTTAGATGCCAAATTATTCCCCAACAACTC
The DNA here is from genome assembly GCF_000001405.40 of Homo sapiens. Taxonomy (NCBI): domain Eukaryota; kingdom Metazoa; phylum Chordata; class Mammalia; order Primates; family Hominidae; genus Homo; species Homo sapiens. The sequence continues at coordinate 38,085,139 of NC_000004.12, read as the reverse complement.
TGTGCTGTTGCATTCTTTCTATCTGCACACAAATGTGTGGGGAAGAGGATGACATTGCATCATTGTTATGAACAGAATCAATGCCATGATCGAGAAAGACAAAAAGCAACGTGCACACCACCTCCTATCTGCCCAGTATCTGGCTCTCTCAAGTGCAGAATACAGGGCTTCTTTCTTGCACTTTCACAAAGCACTGACATTAAGTTCTGAACTGCAGTTCTCCTCCTTTTAAAGACACGACATTAAATCACATGTTAAGTGCCCTGTAAGAAAGAGGAGCTCTAGAAGGAAACGAGTAGACAGATCCTTATTCTCCAATTTTCTGGCTTTTTCTGTGTGTTACCCACCATAGAGCATTTTATAACTCTCTTCATCCCTCTTGAAAATTCTGAACTCCATGCGAAAAAAAAAAAAGAAGTTAAAAAAATTCCAGTTATTCTCAAACCTCTGTTTGAACAACATAAATCGATTCTGGAAAGGAGAAAATTGAACATTAAATCTCTGGAGAAAAGTTAACAACAACGGGATTAACATCTGCAGCGTCTGTTGTTACGAACAGCTCAAAATTTCTTAGAAAAAAACAAAGTAAAATGACCATGTAGACTTAATGTTGTCATATTGTTTACAAAGTATGAGCAGCTTTACCTCTACTACAACAGAAAGCAGAGCCCAGGAGGCAGAGATTTCTGTGTTCCCTGCCATATCCCATGCCTGGGAAACAGCAGATATGCATGGAATATTCAATGAATGAACAGATTCATTTGCCCAAGTCCACTCTCAACCCTGCCATGACTTCTGTGGATCTTTTATGGAAAATACTCCAAAGAGAACCTGATTATTTCCTACAGTTGCATTATATGACAGTCTAGCTAGAGGAAAACAGAATTTTTTAAAGACAACATTCATGGCCGGGCATGGTGGCTCACACCTGTAATCCCAGCACTTTGGGAGGCCGAGGCGGGCAGATCATGAGGTCAGGAGATCGAGACCATCCTGGCTAACACGGTGAAACCCCGTCTCTACTAATACAAAAAATTAGCCGGGCGCCATGGCAGGCGCCTATAGTCCCAGCTACTTGGGAGGCTGAGGCAGGAGAATGGCATGAACCCGGGAGGCGGAGCTTGCAGTGAGCCAAGATAGTGCCACTGCACTCTAGCCTGGGCGACAGAGCGAGACTCTGTCTCAAGAAAAAAAAAAAAAAAAAAGACAACATTCATTTGGTATAAAGAAATACTGTTAAGTTGTTGCCTCATGCCAGGCATGCTGCTAGAAATCCAAGTATGAATCAGGGTAGCAGAGAAGTACAAGACTACCAAAATAAGGGAAATACAAAGAAAGTGTTCTGGAAGTTCAGCAAAAAAAGATGAATTTCAGCCGTTTATAAGGTCAAGAGCATGGGCCCTGGAGCCAGGTATCTGGGATTGAACCTGGCTCTACCATGATCTAGCTACTCAACCTCAAACAGGTTATCTGATCACTTGCCACCTTAGTTTCCTAATCTGCGAAATCTGCATAAAACTGACTAGTTCATAGGATTATTGTGAGCATTAAGTAGGTAAATGTGTGGAAAAAAACAAGCCTGCACACAGTAAACATTTAATAAAATGTCAACTACCATTCTTCTTACCATCATTGTTGTCAGTTTTTGTGGAAAGTGGGGTGGTTCTGGAAGAACAGGTAAAATCCATACAGGTTTAATTGATGGGAGCCACTTTAGGTAAAGAACCAGCATAAACAAGATGTGCAGGTAATTATTAACTCATCACTGATAATGACCCATTTTGTCTAACGACCAGATAGTATGCGCCTGAATATAGAAGACAAGGCTGGCTGACTCTTGGTTGCTTAAGGTCTAGTCAATCCACATATTAATTGGTTAGAAATTGGGAATTCCAGAAGATTGGGGGTTTTTTAAGCAAAAGTGATCTCATATATACATTCTTTAGCACTTTAACCATATCCTGGCAGGCAGGGAGTGCACAGCCTAGTGGATCAGACACACATGAAAGGCCACTACCAAACAGTGAGAAGAAGGGCTCGAAAAAGAGCTATGGACACAGAACAGAGCACCTAACTCTGCCTGAGATGGGAGCCATACGGAGGGGAAGGGTGTGATGAGGAAAGAGGTGCACACACACTTAAAAACAGAAGCCAAGATAAGCAGAAACAAGGACCAGGAGCAAGAGGCCTGCAGATCTTTATCCCCACTCCCTCCCAAAATAGCCATTTAGGGTAAACTTCCAAGGCTGTGTAAGGATGACTTAGAGATGAGGAAGAAAAAAGTCCTGACTCAGTCTGGTTAGAGGTCATGACAACAGCTCAGAGGAGCACTGAAGACCACACGGCAGTGGGAAGTCCAGGGAAGAGAACCAGGAAGAGGCACAGAGAACAGGCCTGGGTGGGCGAGCCCAGGGCACAGAGCACCAAGAGCTCTGCGCAGCCCCAGTGATGGGCGGCTGGTGGCTCTAAATGGGAGGTCTACAGGAGCTGGAGAAGGATCAAGAAAAAGCTGTAGACAGGAGATAACGCATGGGAGAAAATTATGCTTGGAAAGAAGTGGCGTTTGTTTTTGCATCTGCAAGGGGAAGGAAGCTGTATTTTTTGAGGAGCTGAAAGTCAGGGCTCTCAGTTCTTGATTAAAGACAACAAAACTAAAGAGAAACAAATATTCCGCCTCAGCCAGAATCTTAAGTGCTGATCTTTGTAACAGTTTGCCCTATCCTATTACCATTTCTGTAACACTGATTTTCAACTGTGGTTCTTGTAATTTTATGAGACATGGTGGGGTGGAAAAGCCCACCATGGCCCCTGGTCAGTGCCACCAGGATGAGCACCTGAGGGCTGTGTCTGGGAAGCTGGGCCTTGCCTCCCCAGGGACTTCCCACCAGCAGCCACGTCACAGTGGCGACCTTCGCCACCCCGCCCTTATTTTCCTTCTTTCTTCAGTATTGTGGGGAAACTGTCAGTGCTCACAGGAACATGGAGCTGAAAGGGACACTGGAAAATGACTTAGCTCAACTCCCCCTCTCTTCCCAGATGTGGAAACTGAAGCTTAAAGAGGTCCGACGTCACATTTTCTGGGCACTTACTATGTGCTGGGCAGTGTGCTTTACAAGTACCCCACTGATTTCATCTTCACCACCAACGGATAAGCTAGGAATTGGTTTTATCCCTCCACGGCAAGACATGGGACACAGAGCTAATTAGGTGGTGAATCCAGGACTAGAACTTGGCTGGCTCATCCTAATGCCTTGGGGTAATGGACACAAAAGCAAAGAGGAAAAGGAGCAGGCAACTGATGATGCCAGCCCTGGTACTAACTACCAGGAAATGGGCAAGCTCCTCGACCACCCCTCTGTGTCAGTTTCCTCATTCATAAATCACCGATAATAATAGCATCCACCCCCCACAGCTTTGTTGTGGGGATTAAATGAAAAATCCTTGAGAGCACTTAAAAACAGTACTTAGACAAGAGTAAGTGCTGAATTCCTATTAATATCATGATCTATTTTGTTCTAAAAAAGATAATCTATTTGGCAAAATCTTTCTGTTGCTTAGACTTCTTCGCAATCAGACTGGGGTTGGGGATAAAAAAGAAAGTTGATTTACTGAAGAATACTGGAGAAGAGAAACCTGTTCTATGAAGAAAATGCCAACATTTTCCCAGGGGCTCCTCGCAACAATAGGAGGCCCGGGGTCACCGTCTTGCTGTGTCCAGGGCCCATGGTCACGTAGAAATAGGGTGGGAGAGGGGTGGGGTTTTGGCCTTTCTTTGTCTGGCTGACTCTCCTCTGTCAATGCTCAGTTCCAAGGTCATGCCCTCGGAGACGGCTTCCTCCTGCTGCACCTGCCCCGAGGGACCCCAGACGCCTCCTCTGTGGCCTATAGCACCATGGCGCCCTGAGCACAGAAAACAAACACAAGAGAAGCTCCGAGAAGCAGGAGGCCAGGGAGCCTGGAGCGTCTCAGGGAAGACTGGGCAGAAAGGAGAGAAGTCAAAGAGGTCTGGGACAGCCTATGAGGGGCCAGCAACGAACACGCAGAGTGGAAGGAAACAAGCAGGCCCCGGGAGCCACGCAACTCTCGACCCAAGGGATTGGGACTCAGCTCCTTTAAAGAGTTTATTCTTAAATTATGCAAAACTATCATAAAACTTCACATATACTTCATATATAGATATCTGACACTTTCATATAACTTTCTACATATAAAACCTTATAAGAAACATATCATAAGGTGTTTATCCCTCCCCTACCTTCCTGTGACCAATCATGCATTCAATTCATCGCAGAACAGTGATGAAAGAAAACCAAGCTCCACCCCTAAGGAGACAGCTGAGCAGGCCAACTTCCAGGTCTGTGTGCCAAGGGGTCAAGGGCAGCCCATAAGGTGGCGAGAGTGCAGAGGGCGGCTGTGCAGGTCCAACCTCAGAAGAGATGATCCCAAGTGAGACGTTCGTCGGGGTGAGGAGGGGTGGGAGTGGGGAAAGGGGAAAGGTCCAGTGCTGAGTTCTGACACACGACTGGGAAGGAGATGCGGGGCAGTCCCACCTTGGCAAGTGTGGGAATTAAAAGAAAGCAGCATGATGAATTTGATGACTGCAAGTAGTTCCCCACGGGGCCCAGCGAAGGGACAGGGAGTGCCTGCAGATGCTAAGAGGTGGGTCAGGTCAGGTGGTCAGAAGGAAAAGGGCCTCCTGTGCTGGGCAAGGCCACCATCCTGACCACACTCTGAAGAAGAGGTGAAAAACAGCAGAGAGTGCATGGGCAGTAACCACATGGAGTTACCCTGACTGCTGCCCACACTTAACCCTGTGATCTCATCCACGTGGATTTTTTTTAAAAGATGTCAGACCACCCAACATTGGTCGTTTACATTGTTCACTCTGTGATTACAGCTGCTGGTCAAACCTACTCAGCTTGGACCTCACTGTGGGCACAGAGGTCAGGACATCTGACCACTCCCTCCAGCAGCACAGGGGTCACAGCTGACAGAACCTAGACCATGAGTTCAGTCTACGGGAGAAGTTCTCAAAATGTGGTCCCCACACGAGCTTCAGCCTCAACACCACCTGGGAGCTTGTTAGAAATGCAAATTCTTGGTCCCACCCCAAACCTACTGGATCAAAAACTCTGGGGTAGATCCAGCAACCTGGATTTGAACAATTGGGAAATTCTAATGCACACAAAAGGTTGAATCTCTGGCCTTTGGCGTTCAGCACTTTTTTAGCCACTTACTTTACATTACAGTTACCTTAATTGGATATTTCACGTTATGTGACACTAGGGAACAAAGGTACCTTTTAAATACATTGTTTTAAATTAATTAAGCAATGACTCTACCCATTATGGATGGATGACCTGACCATTAAATAGAGTTTTAAAATGTAATATAACTTGCTTTTTTTTTTTGAGATGGAGTCTCGCTCTTGTTGCCCAGGCTGGACTGCAATGGCACAATCTTGGCTCATTGCAACCTCCGCCTTCCAGGGTTCAAGTGATTCCCTTGCCTCAGCCTCCCAAGTAGCTGCAATTATGGGTGCACACCACCACACCTGGCTAATTTTTTTGTATTTTAAGTAGAGATGAGGTTTCACCACGTTGACCAAGTCAGGTGTCGAACTCCTGATCTCAGGTGATCTGCCCGCCTCGGCCTCCCAACGTGCTGGGATACAGGCATGAGCCACCACACCTGGCCATATCACCATGTTTTTCAAACACCAGTCAAGTCGCACTTTCATCTTTGTCAAAGGCAAAGTTCAAAGCCAAAGACTGAACTAAATACCATTTTCTTAAGAATGTATTAAGGGGCCGCTCCCTGCTAATCCAGATCAACAACCTACACTATTACAGCAATAACAAATTTCCTTCCAGAAAACTTCCAGATCTGAACATAGTCAGAGACAGACTGATGACTCACCTAACATAAACAGAAAAATATACTACTAAAAGCTAAGATCACGATTTCTCAACCCACATCATTTAGGCATCTACAGAAAAGCAGCTCATTACAACCCAGCTTTCAACCCCTCCACCGTGGGAGCCTCCCCTCCAGCCCTGGCCTCCTCAGCCCAGGGTACTCCGGGCTGTCACACCCTGCTGAGAAAGGTGGGCTCAGTATCTCAGGGCCTTTCTGCTTCTGTTTCTACTGAGACATGGTGAAAAGAAAAGCAAGCCAACTTCCTCACCCTCAAATCTCCCCTAACAAAGTGTTATGAGGGTCAAAACTAGACCTGGAAAGAGAAAAGTGGCTATGTTACAGAGAAACAGCTATTAAACTATACCCCGTGAAGCTCTGGTTGCAAAGTCCATGCAGGAAGCCAGGGAGTGGAGAATGGAGCTCGGGCTGCTCTAATAAAATCATAGGGACTGGGTGGCTTAAACAACACACATTTGTTTCTCACAGTTCTGGAGGGGAAGTCCAAGATCAGGGTGGCAGTACAAGTGTATTCTAGTGAGAGCCCTCTCTCTTCCTGACTTGCAGAGAGCTTCCTTCTTGCTGTATCCTCACAGGGTGAAGAGAGAGGAAGCTCTGGGGTCTCTACCTCTTTTTGGGATGACAGTAATCCCATTCATGAGGGCTTCACTCACACAATCTCATCTAAACTTAATCACCTCCCAAGGGCCTCCCTTCAAACACCATAACACTGTGCATTAGGGCTTCAACATAGGAATTTTGGGGGGACACAAATGTTCAGTCCATAGCAGGAGCAAATCTGATTCCAAGCTACCCCATCCCTAAAACAAAGCAGGTTTGATTTAACGTTTTACAGAGCCTCTGACAACTTCCCTTTTAAAAAAGTTCAATCTGTACCTAAGAAAAAAGGAATATGTTTAAAGCCCAGGAAACAAGGCTTTATTACGATGGAAAGGCATGGGATGGCCTTGAGCTGAGCCTCAATGGATTGGCACAATTCAGAATTTTTTTGAAGCGGGAGGGAAGGCCTGGGGGTGCCAGAAAGGGATTTGTTTGAGCAAAGTCACCAAGTACTCTGGCTCAGAGCTGTCCTTTCTTTTGAATTCACAGCACTTGCTTTCTATGTCATTAACGTGGCCACCGACCTGTGCTGCTGTGCGGCACCTTTCATCTTTGCTGTTCTTTAACTTTAAGCCAGGTCCTGGGATCGGACTTGAAAGTGGACTCTAGCGTCTGGTCTGCTTTCATCCCGCTTCCTCACCCAGACTTCTTCCTTGTCAACACAGGACAACCTGACCTACCCCATCGCAGGAAGCAGATTTAGAATACTACTTCCAACCCACCCCAGTTCCACTGCACCAACCCAGGGTGACGCATAACATGTGCTTCCGAGTCCCTGGATTATCATGGAGTGCAATGCCAGCACTTGACATAAAAGCCCAACATCTAATTAAAATCGCTTGAACATCCAGAAGACAAGGGAGAGGGGAAAAAAGGATGACGACGGCTCCCCAGACTCAAGACTTGAGAAATTACAGGCTTTTAATGTAAAATCAGACAAAATTCATTGAAGGCAAAAAAAAAAAAAAAAAATTAAGGTTTTGTGAAAGAACCAAAAGTCAAGGTATAATTTCTGCCATATGACATTTATAATATAGATGGGCAGATTTCATATATTTAATTTGTACTTAAACAATATTTATTAAGCTTGGGATAGAAAAGGATCATTTTATCCTGATAAGAGTTTCAACCCCAAAATTATTAAGGTTTATGCCACAAAATAGCATTTGCATCAATAAAAGATAACAAAAACCCTTTAGGAATTTTAAAAGACTCTTCTCCTCAATAGCTGCAGCTTTCCAATTCAGAACCTTGAACTTAGTAGACGCAGCATTTCCCCATCCTTTCTTCTCTCTTGGCAGCTGTCTTCCTTACAAGACTTGTACGCTCCTTTGTCTAGCATTTGATCCACTTTCAACCCAATACCTAGAACAATGCTTTTACATACAACTGCACACTCAGTATAGTTGTATGTTAAATAGCATGCAATACATCTATCTCATGTCAGAGGCAGGGATATCTTACCTGCAAATTTTAGATCCTCATTAAGAGCTATCATCCTCTGATGATGTGATGACAAAGGCTATTACAGAAAGAACCATCCTAAGAGGTAGAAGGAACAGCTATTACAGCCACTGAGGTCTGAAAAACGGAGCCTAAATCTGAGTGGCAGCCAGGAAACAGGAAGGTATGAGCTCCACTGTGGAAGGAGAGAGAACTCAGATACAGGAGCCTGGAATCTGGAGTTACTGGTAAAATAATACAACAGTGGCACAAATGGCAATTTCAAGAAAAGGAGCCCAATTTTTCCCTCTCGGGCCCAGGAGATGGTTTTTAGGTATGTTGGCTGGCTGGGGTTTTTTTTCCTCCTGAAAAAAATATTTTGGTTGGTGGCAGAGAAACTGTAAACACTAATATATCTATCTATATATTTATCTAAGGAAAAAAAAAGTTACCTATAATCCTACCTCCCTAAGATAAGCATTCTTGATATTTTCATATCTTCTCTCTGGTCTATTTTTGGATTTTCACTCTATGAATAAATGTAACTTCCATTCTATATTCTAGGTTTTCATCAGCAGTGTGTCGTGTGTACCTCCAAGGTCTGGAACCACCCTTAAGACATCAATGGGATGCAGATGCTGAAGTGCCTAAGCATGCCCAAGTAGGAATAGGGCTCAGAAGACGGGTGCGGGAGGATCATGACCCCAGTCTCACATAAAGGGATCAGGGCCAGACATGCGCACTTGGGATTTAATGTGGTTTGGCTATGTCACCACCAATTCTCATCTTGAATTGTAGTTCTCATAATCCCCATGTCATGGGAGGGACCAGGCAGAGATAATTTAATCATGGGGGCAGTTTCCCCCATCCTGTTCTCATGATAGTGAGTTAGTTCTCATGAGATCTGATGGTTTTATAAAGGGCTTTCCCCCCTTTTGCTCGGCACTTCTCTCTCCTGCTGCCATGTGAAGGACATGTTTGCTTCCCCTTCCACCACGATTGTAAGTTTCCTGAGGTCTCCCCAGCCATGCTGAACTGTGAGTCAACCTCTTTCCTTTATAAATTACCCAGTCTCAGGTATGTTTTTATTAGCAGTGTGAGAACGGACTAATACAGGACTTATCTCCAGAGAAGTCCCATTGGAAACTATTCAACCAGAAATAATCAACAAGCAAGGTGCCATCACAGCTCTGTAATTTACAGAGAAGAGCTGGTTAGACATTTAGTAGAATGAAACATGTGACCAAGGGAAAAAAAACAAAAAGAGAAAGGAGGAGGAAAGGTCCCAGAGGCATGTACAGGTGACTGTCAAAGGCATCAAGAAAACCGTGATGGGGGTTCTGCTTGCACAGCTGTCCTGAAGTGAGACTCTGTGACCTGGCCGATGACAAGAGATAAACTACTATAGGCTCCAGTTATAAACTTTGCTGTCCTCCACCCTCCCTCCTCTCATGCATCTGTGACTAAAATATCTAACCCCACCCATCCCATTACACAATGCTTATCTGGACGTGATCTGAGTTCAGAATCCATTAAAGGAAGCCCATGACTTAAAAATTAGGAAATACTTTTGTGCTTTGCGGAGGAGAGGGGATGGGGAAGTCCTCAAGATGAAACAAAAAGTTTAAAATAGTGAACCAATTCTTCTCCCAACCCAACACAATGTTCGCTGAGTTATATGTGGAAATGTGACCTTTCCACCTGGAAAACCCCAGCCTCACTGCTTTCCTTTGAAGGGCCCATATCCTGAAAGAAATCAACTTGGGAAGTAGCATACTTTTTAGGTATCCATGACTCTTAGGCAAGTGGGGAACTCGGGTTTGTGTTAAGTTTCAGGCTTCAATGTTCTCATGTAGTAGAAAATGAAAACAGACGACATGATCATCAAGATCTCTTGAAAGTCAGTACACTGACATAAATTTACAATCCCAATAGATTTCAAACACTTTAATCCATTTTATGACTTAAAGTGGACAAGTTCAAATGCTCCTTGAAAACTGTTTTTGTGGTAAGCAAATTTCTTAAACATTACCACAATTTACTTGGACTAAAAACATCATTAAAGAGGTAATATTTCCTTTCAAAAGTCTCTACTGACTGTGGCCAGGCGCGGTGGCTCACGCCTGTAATCCCAGCACTTTGGGAGACCAAGGCAGGCGGATGACGAGGTCAGGAGTTCAAGACTAGTCTGGACAACATGGCAAAACCCTGTCTCTACTAAAAATACAAAAATTAGCCAAGTATGGTGGCGCGTGCCTGCAATCCCAGCTACTCGGGAGGCTGAGGCAGGAGAATCATTTGAACCCGGAGGCAGAGGTTGCAGCGAGCCAAGATTGGGCCACTGCACTCCAGCCTGGGTGACAGAGCAAGAATTTGTCTCAAAAAAAAAAAAAAAGAGAGAGAGACTAAGAAAGTCTCTACTGACCATAACTGAATATGGCAAATCCCAGCACACACAGCTTCCATGTGGCATCATTAAGAATCAAGAGTTGTTACATGGGACCAAATATTCAACCCCAAGACAGAAACAGGGGAGGCAGGAGAAGTCGGCTGCTTTGATTAAATGAAGTAATTCAGTAAAAAATTTGCATATTTACCACTCTGAAGGAGAGATACTTTTCTAAACATCCAGGCCCAACATAGAAAATCGAGTGCTGCACACTCAGCTTAAAAGTTGTGCCTTAAATTCTGAGGGCCAGCACAGGGGAAATCGATCCTTCCAAGCCTGGTCATTGTGTGCTCAGATGGCCACGTTTCACCTCACTGCACTCGTCGCTTTCTGGGACATCGTGAAAACTGCATGTTGTTTAACCTTGTGTTGGGATGATTGTAAAGAGTGAAGCATCTATGACTAACTTCTTTACAATGATTCCCAGTCTTTGGTCTCTCCCCATCATGAGTTTTGAAAAGAACCTTCCCCTAAAGCCCCCAATGCCTGCTTTTCAGTATGGTTGGTTAGAGGTTTTTGCTGTCCCTCAATTCAGAGCCAGAGCTGCCCAGTGAGGTGTGCACCTGGGATGGGGCAGGAGCATCAAGCTGCTATCTCAGGAACCAGGTTTCCTCTGGCAGTGACTTCAGGATTTTACATGTACTTTGCCAAAAAGCTGAAGCAATTGTGCAAACTACCAGCAGCACACTATCCAAGAGGTTGAGAGAGATCCTTGGCAATGTGACCATCCTCCCTCTGCCACAGTCTCTGGTCATCCAAGAACATCCTTTTGGTTGTCTTAAAAGTCCACTGACATTAAAAATGAAGGCAGCCAAGGTGGATTTCAAGAATGGCTGCCATTCATGGAGGAGGCTCTTTTTACTTCCTTCAGCCCTTCTTCCTTCCTTCAGACCCCTATTAGGAATGGACCGGCTGCCTTCTCCTTACGTAACAAGCTCCTGTGGAGTGAGTGCTTCCTCACTGACTGCCCCAACACTCTTAACTACAAGGTGGGGCTATCATTATGCCGGCATTACACCGAAGAAACCAAGGCACAAATGGGACACACAGCTGCTTTTGGTCAAAAATGGAAGGGCCATGATTTAAGTTCAGGCCAGTCTGATTTAATAATCCATACTCAACAGTAGAAAATCAAATAACTCAATTAAAAAATGGGCAAAGGACTTGAGACTTGAAAAGACATTTCCCCAAATATGAAACATAAATGGCCGACCAGGACATGAAATGATGCCCAACCACATTAACTATGAAGGAAATCAAAACCACAATGAGATATTACCTCACGCTCACTAGGATGGCCATTATTTTATAATAAAAACTTACATATTTACCACTCCAAAGGAGGGATACTGTTCTAAACATCCAGGCCCAACACAGAAAATCAAGTGTAATCCAGAAGATTGATCCAGAAAATCTGCAATCCAGAAGATTACAAGTGTGGGTGAGGGTGTAGAGGAACTGGAGCCCTTGGGCACTGTTGGTGGGAATGTAAAATGGTACAGCAGCTGCAGAAAACAGTATGAGGGTTACTCACAGAACTACACTATGATCGATCCAGCAAACCCACTTCTGGGTACATATCCGAAAGAACTGAAAGCAGGATCTTGAAGAGACATTTGCACACCCATGTTCATAGCTGCAGTCTTCACAATAGCCAAAAGGTGGAAGGTGGAAGCAGATGAATGTCAACAGATGAATGAAGAAAATGTTAAATATACATACAACAGAATATAACTCAAAAAAAAGGCGGAAAAAAAAGAGAGAAATCCTGTCATATGCTACAACGTGAATGAACCTTGAGGACATTATGCTAAGCGAAATAAACCAGAAATAAGAAGACAAATACCATATGACTCTACTTAAATGAGTTATCTACAGTAGTCAAACTCAGAGAAACAGAAAGTAGAATGGTGGTTGCCAGGGGCTGGGAGAGGGGGAATAGGAGTTGTTTATTGGGCATAGAGTTTCAGTTTAACAAGATGAAAAATTCTGCAGATCCATTGCACAACAATGTGAATATACTTAACACTACTGAACTTTATACTTAAATATGGTTTAGATGGTAGTATTATGTTTATGTTTTTTACCACAATAAAAAATTTTTTTTAAATCTATACTCTTAACTGTGACACTACACTGACTCTCCAGCCAATCAGGCCTTTCTGAAATTTACATGACCCTTTTTCCTCTCAAATGGCTAAAAAGCCATTCACAGAAATATACATTATGATGGGAGTTATTAACCAGCACTGAGTTTCATTTTATTTTGCCTCATGACATACCAAGAAAACAAAAGGCCACAGGCCAAAATGAGGCAACAGAGAAAAGCTCACGGGGTCCACATTTAAAACTCTGGCCTCTCAGAAAATGTGGGTGGGCAGGAAAGTCATGATGTAAACGAAGCTCTGCGATTCCAAGGATATCCTCCCAAAGGTCACACCAATTCAAAACATGAAATCAGAACATTCCCAAACCCTGCCTCTCTGTCATACAGACGTGTGTCTCTCTCTCTCTCTAGGTGTACATAGTTTTCTGAGGGCTTGCACTTGTGCCTAATTTAGGCCCCAGCTCTCATTCATTATGCAATACTGCCTCTGATGAAACAAGACAGTTACTGCTAGCCCTATCTCACAAAGGAAGGAACAGGGGTGGGTAGCAGGCCCAAAGTCCCAGGGGAGGGAGACTGCTGTGGCACCAGCAGCCCAGACCCGCCCAACCCCAGGGCTCCTAACCAGGCTGCTCTGCAGTCGGCCAACACCAGGTGCTGACCCTAGACACTATTCCTAAATACAGTGCAAATCATGGCTCCTGGGGGTATGGTCTTTGAGCCTCAGTCTTCTCATCTGTAAAACGGAGCATTGGATTAAGAATCCCTTTTCTAACATAAAAGGCTCCAAATAATCTATCAATAATACCAAGTAGAATTTATTGAGCTCCACAGACTCAGGGTATTATGAGAGATTTAAGCAAACAGAAGAACTTTTCACCCTGCCATCTGAGAACCTACAGTGTGCCAAGGACTACAGAGACAGAACCACACCACTTCAGGAAGAGTAAAGCAGCAACGGCATGAGGCAGGAACCATTTCTGCCCTACAGTGGGTAACACAATGACAGATCACAATCAAAGTAGCTGTGGCAGTGGGCTGGAGTTTACATAAATATGGGGTGACCTAAGGCTAACTTACCTATTACAACTTCAAAAAACAGGTTTTAATTGTATAGGATGAGTAATGGGAGAAGATAACTTTGATGTCTTTTAAACCATCAAATATCGAAAAAGAGATATAAAAATGATGGGCTTTTAAATTTTTTATTAAATCCATTCCCAAACTATTCCTGAAACTATAAATATAACAAACTGAAATTTTACTTCTGCTAGATCTAGAGAAATGTAGACTCTCAACAAGCATTAGGCAACACAGTGCTTTTGGACACTTGGGGGCTCTTTCCCAGGGGTGGGTGGGGAGCAGGCAGGAAGTGACCATGGATGGCAAGGCTTCAGAGGCACCTGCAGCTGCAGCTGCCACAGTAAGAGCAGGGACAGGAGGGCCAAGAACAAAAGAAACCCTTCAGACAATGACCACTGTATCTGTACCTTTGGGGGCTTGATTTCTGCAAATCAAGGGTTCCATGTTCTCAGCTCAAATCACTGGTCATGCCAAGTTGAATAACTCCATAGAAGAAAAGGGGAAAAATCCCCAAACAATCATTTGCAGTTCCAGCCCACAAGAGAGAAGCAATTTTAAAACTGAGTCCATTTCCAACAAATCTGAATACTGGTTAGCATCATGATTCACAATGGAAGTATGTCTCCATCTTAAACTTCTATGAGAAGATGAGGTTTTCTAGAAAGACTAAATGTACTTCAAATGTTTCTCCCTTAATTAGAAATTAGTTTTTTCTACCAAAAAAGTCACTACAATACAAAATTGAAACAAAAGGCAAAAATATCACCTATCACCACATCTTCTTGCCACTTCTGTAGAATATCAATGCTCTCTTTGTATTCTTTCTCCATGTGTATGTTTTTTTTACATACTATAATCTCAGTAGATACAATAATTTTTATAGAAAAAATGCCCACATTTGGTAAATATTCCAAAATCATATACCCCTTTATACAAAAGAAACCAAGCACCATCTATGACCCAAACTCTGCACCAGGCCACTGTCCTCACCAAGCTTAAACTAGGATTTAGATATGAATCCCAAGTGTTTTCCATGGCTTGGCAAGATGTGGGCGATGCAGGAGCGTGTGAGGCCTCCCCATGGCCGGGTCATGCCGAAGGTCCACGTGGGAACCTGGCAACAGCTCTTCAGTCTCTCCTCTTCCAGCGACACCTGGACCATCTTTGGTTGTGTAGTCAGCCACATGACAACTATTTTGCTTTAAGAATCCCAAATTCTTATTACAGGATAAATATATTAATCAAATGTTGATCCTAGCAGAGGGATCTTTGACAGAAAGTTAGCCAGCTATCTGAGCACTTTAGTAATAAGAAATTCATGCCACTCACTCATGTACAATTTCACCTACTTTTAGATAACCACTAACTGTTACAAAGCTAGGGATTCTCATTACTTTCATTGTCCTGATTCTGCCTTCGGTTGACAAGCAATATAATTACCAAGAACACACCAACTTATGGTGGCTGGAGGCTATGCCCTCCCCCTCCAGCTCTGACCCTGCTCCACACCTCCCACAGCCCAGATAATGGCCTAGGACAGGGGTGGCCAATCTTTTGGCTTCCCTGAGCCACAGCAGAAGAAGAATTGTCTTGGGCCACACATAAAATACACTAACAATAGCTGATGAGCTGTAAAAAAACAAAACAAAACAAAACAAAAAACAGAAAAAATGAAAGAAAGCAGGCCGCGGGTTGGACAAGCTTGGCCCAGGGGTTCCCTGATACCACGGTGCCTCCATACTTCCCCCACCTCTCCCTGGGTAAGTGACCCTGAGCTGGGCCAATCATTTCTCCCTCTCGAAACCTGGAAGAAAACACAGATTGGCAGCCAGCTACGTGGGTGCCCCTGAGGCTAACAGGTCATACAGATCTGGGGGTTGGCATGACTGCATATAGTAACAAGCAAGCTGGGTGAGCTGGTGTGCAGAATAAAGAGACCGAGAGGAAAAAAAAATTACATGGCCTCAAAGAGAGATCCAGAGAGACAGCCTTGGTTCCTGACAACTTCCTAGTTCCCAGCCTTTACCCTTATCTTGCTGTTTAAAAGCCTCCTTTTGATTAAGCTAGTTTGAGTCATTTTTTTGTTTCTTGCAACTAAGCAATCATTGGCTGAGACAGGCTCACATGCATCTGCTTCCTGAGCGTTCCCAGAGCACCGCCTACAGGTAGGGGGCTAAGAAGCTGAAAACAACTTCCTCTCACAAGGAGCTGAAACCTGATTAAACAGGCGAGAAGGGAACATAATCAGGGAAAACAAACAGGTTGGTGATACTCAATCAGTTATGGCTTAATGGAAAGGGGAGTGAGATGAACAATCAAGATTCCAGTCCATTCTACCACTGACTGTATGACCTTGCCTGTATGACCTTGAGTGGACCCCTTTCCCCTAAAGCCTCTATTTCTTCTTCTGCAAAACAAGGAACCTGGATACATGACAGTCCCCACTTGCTTTTAGGATTCCTTGAAAGCACTGGGCTCAATAGCTTTTACATATCCAGTAACACTAGTTTTAGGAGCAGTGTGGGTTGTAGAAAATCTTGACTGCCTGAAGTTTACTTCTTTAGTCAGGAGACAGTACAACACAAGCACCACCCTGAAGGCTGATGGTGCCACATTTGTGGTTCTGAGTGACGGAGCTGGGGGGACTGGAGATCTCAGAGTTCACCACCTTGAGCAGCATGTCCAAGAGAACTTTCTGGGATAAGGGAATGTTCTAGAGCTCTGCTCTCAATATGGTAGCCACTCTCACAATATTGCTGAATGTTCTTGAGCTCTGCTTACAATACGGTAGCCACATGTGGCTCTTGAAATGAGGCTAATGTGAGGGGCTACATTTTTATTACATTTAAGTATAATTAGTTTGTATTTAATTTTAAATAGTGATATGTGGCTGTTGGTTACTGTACAGGATAGCACAGATGCGAGGTTGAGATAAATAACCCGAAGACACAGTAAGACGCTCTCCATCGGGGCATACACAAAGCCATAAAACATCAGGCACAGAGAGGCTGACTACGCCTGAGGGGTAAAGAGAAGAAATGGTGACATCCAAGTGGCCTGAGAGGATGAGGAGAAGTCTGTCGCTGTTAATGCACTGTGGGTTTGGTGAGGAGGGGAGAAAACGAGCAGGAGTGTCCTGGGCAAAAGGAAATGATCTATGCAAAGTCATGGCTGCCTGAAGAAACAAAAGCTACCAGGGAATGCTAGAACATTCCACACAGGCAGAATCACTACCTTCCTGCCTCTGGTGGCTGCACGTGACCAGCCAGGTAACTCGGTTTCAGATAATGAGACACAAATGGAAGTACACTAGGGATTTCCGCGACAGTTTTGCTCTCCAGATATAGAGGGGTCACCCTTTCCTCCTTGATATCTCCTGTTTTGTTCTGCTTGGAACTGGAGGGGAAGCCAAAGGCGAAGGAATCCAAGCAGAGGAAGCAGAAGAACAGAAGCAGCCAAGCTCGAGGGTGTCACCACTGAGCCCCAGGGCCAGCTCTGCTCTCTCATCATCCAGACCTCTCGTCAGGCGAGAACAATCCCTCACTGGTACATCCGCGTATTGGCAGGCAGACACAATCTCTAAATGATGTGAATTTTGGTACCTGGAGGTGAAAGCCTGGAAAATGTGAAAACGGCAGGACAGAGAAACCTGGGCCATGGGAGGTAAGGAGGGCCATACCTGCCACCCACAAGTGAATGGAAACTCGGTGACTTTTCGTACTACAAGAACATCTGGTCTAACTGTATGCAGCCTGCTGTACACTGGGACCTGCACCAGGGGCTGAGCCTTCGGTGTTAGGGAAACAGAAGAAAACTATCAGAATGTGGTCCATATGGGTTTCTCTGACGGAGAATGAAGAACTGAAACTTCTCTGGCAAGCAGTGCCAGGCAGAAACACCACTTTGTCCGGAAAGGTATCCCCACTGACGGCCTCCAATCTACAACCTGCAATCTGAATCCTTGCCAGGCTGAAGAAACCAACAGCTTCTGTTTTGTCTCCCAACCCTCCCATACTGCCTTGTCTGCAAGAGAAAGGCTGGTACCAGTAAGAAGAAGGAAAGCCGTCCCCTGGCAACTGTTTGAGGAAGATGCTGCTGCAAAATAAAATCCTAAAAACCACACCAGCTGTGTACATCCATAACTTATCACCAGAACTGCTGTTCATCGAACATTCTCCAGCAAAAACACCTGAACAGGAAACAAACCATAATAACTTCAACTTTCTGTGAAAAACCCATCATTCTTTCAAGTATAAAATTCATAGTTTGGTACTAGAAATCATTTTCAGAATTATATAAGACCATAATTACCACGTTCCTACTTTGGTAAATAATGTTTAAAATCTTGGCCGGGAGCGTGGCTCACACCTGTAATCCCAGCACTTTGGGAGGCCGAGGCGGGCAGATCACAAAGTCAAGAGATAGAGACCATCCTGGTTAACATGGTGAAACCCCATCTTTACTAAAAATACAAAAATTAGCTGGGCGTGGTGGTGCGCACCTGTAATCCCAGCTACTCGGGAGGCTGAGGCAGGAGAATCGCTTGAACCCAGGAGGCGGAGGTTGCAGTGAGCCAAGATTGCACCACTGCACTCCAGCCCGGCGACAGAGCGAGACTCCATCGGGGTAAAAGAAAAAAAAAATCTTGTTAGTACTCATGCTGCAAATATTTTCATTTATATAGAAGTGATATAACAAATTCACTTGGAAAAAGTTCATTTAGAAGCAGTTTAATGCATCCTTTGGCTTTATCTCAGGATCTCACAAAGCGGAGAGCTCCCTGAATGTGCCATCACTGTAACCCCAGAGCCCCCAGCTCCCCTCCAGGGGGGGCATGCATAGCTTTGCCACCTCCAGGAGATGTCTGCTCTTTCATTCAAATACATGGAGGCCTGGCGCAGTGGCACAACCTGTAATCCCAGCATGTTGGGAGTCTGAAGCAAGAGGATTGCTTTAATTCAAGAGTTCAAGACCAGCCTGGGCAACATGGTGAGACCCTGTCTCTACAAAAACTGTAAACATTTAGCAGGGCGTGGTGATGCGCACCTGTGGTCCCAGGCACTTAGGAGGCTGAGGCAGGGGACTGCTTGAGCCCAAGAGGTCGAGGCTGCAGTGAGCTATGATTGTGCTACTTACTGTACTCCAGCCTGGGTGACAGAGCAAGACCCTGTCACAAACAAACAAATAAATAAATATAAATAACATAAACCACTCAACTAGGAAGCCTCTAATTTTGCTAAAAAAAAAAAAAAAAAGTTGCTAATAATGCCCCAAATGTATGCTTTATTAGCAAGAGTTAACATTTAATTCTAGAGTACTTCCAACATAAGATACATTCCTTCACACTAACACAGCCCATTACTGTACAAGCACTAATTTAAGTGAGCAAACCTATCAAAACTCTTGATAATTTACTCGTAAAACTGTCAACGGTTCATTACTGTGATTAAGAGACTAGATTTAGAGCTAAATAGATTGATACGAATCCTGGCTATGTGAACCAAGAGCTGCAGGAGACATAACTGTGTCACTCAATCTTTCTGTCCTCATCTCTTAAAAGATGGGCAGTAAGTCCAGTTGTGGTGACCCACGCCTATAATCCCAGCACTTTGGGAGGCCGAGGTGGGCGGATCACCTGAGGTCAGGAGTTCGAGACCAGCCTGCCCAACATGGCGAAACCCTGTCTCTACTAAAAAAGATACAAAAAATTAGCTGGGTCTGGTGGCAGGCGCCTGTAATCCCAGCTACTAAGGAGGGTGAAGCATGAGAATAGCTTGAACCTGGGAGGTAGAGGTTGCAGTGAGCCAAGATCGTGCCACTGCACTCCAGCCTGGGGGATAGAGCAAGACTCTGTCTCAAAAAAAAAAAAAAAAAAAGGCGGTAATACCTATGGGGATCATCTAATTGTGTAAAAGTGAAAAACACAAAATGCTTAATACATGATAAAGATAATTACAATGGCTATTATTAATATCTGATGCGCTTCATTGCAAAGAAAATAGGCTTTGTTGCCTGTTTCATCCCCTGCCATAGAACTCATTTCTAATTTTCAATGTGCTGTTTATTAATCACTCAGGACTTTTTTGGAATTTTTATCAGAATAGGAGGTCCCCATGCTTATCAGCTGCTGCGGCTTGAGGGCTCCACCCAAGATAATTCATCTCCAGCATCAGACATTTGGGGGCGTAACCCAGTAACTGGTGGTTCTACAAGTCCTCCAGGGGATTCTGGGGCACAGTTTGCAAACAGCTGACAGAAATGTAGCTACGGGCTGGGTGGGTGCAGTGGCTCACACCTATAATCCCAGCACTTGGGGAGGCCAAGGCGGATTGGCCTCTTGAGGCCACTTGAGGTCAGGAGTTCGAGACCAGCCTGGTCAACATGGAAAAACTCCGTCTCTATTAAAAAATAAAAATAAAAAAATTAGCCAGGTGTGGTGGCAGTTGCCTGTAATCCCAGCTACTCCGGAGGCTGAGGCAGGAGAATCACTTGAACTCAGGAGGCGGAGGTTGCAGTGAGCAGAGATGGTGCCCCTGCACTCCAGCCTGGGTGACAGAGCAAGACTCCATCTCAAAGAAAAAAAAAAAAGAAATGTAGGCTGGGCATGGTGGCTCACGCCTGTAATCCCAGCACTTTTTGGGAGGCCGAGGCAGGTGAATCGCGAGGTCGGGAGATGAAGACCATCCTGGTCAACGTGGTGAAACCCCGTCTCTACTAAAAACACAAAAAATTAGCCGGGCATGGCAGCGCACGCCTGTAGTCCCAGCTACTTGGGAGGCTGAGGCAGGAGAATTCCTTGAACCTGGGAGGTGGAGGTGGCAGTGAGCGGAGATCGCACCACTGCACTCCAGCCTGGGCGACAGAGCAAGATTGTCTCAAAAAAAAAAAAAAAAAGAAATGTAGCTCTGTGTGAATGCTACCAACCTGTGGCCCTCTGGCTGCCTCCCAGCTGCAGGGTCCCTGATGGAGGCACCATGGAGACTTGGCTTCCCCCAGCCTTCCCACACACTCATGAGGGCAGTGCCAGAAACCAGGGCAGCCTCCGTTTCAGCCTAGGCAGAAGAAAGGCACATGGCAGCCTGCAGGAAAGCCTAGGGCCAGCAGGACCAAACCCTTCCCATCCCTGCTGGCTTAACCATCCCCGTGGGTAGAATCACAGGTAAGGCCCCCCTGGAGGAGGAGTTTCCACACCAGCTCACATTCAACACACAAAAACACATACATCAATGTTCACAGCGGTATTATCCGTAACAGCCAAAAGTGCAAACAATCCAAATGCCTCTCGACTGGTAAAGGATAAACCATATGTGATGTCTCTATACAACGGAATATTAATAAGTCATTAAAAAAGAATGGATTACTGGTATGTATTATGACATAATGAATTTTGAAAACATGTTAAATCAAAGAAGCCAGACACAAAAGACCACATATTATATGATTGCACTTAGATGAAGTGTTCAGAATAGGCAAATCTATAGAGACAGAAAGTAGATTAGGGGCTGTCTATGGTTAGAGGTGGACGGCAGTAGATTGGCAAGTGACAACTACAGGTTTTTTTCTAGGGGGACAAAAAATGTTTCAAAATTAGACTGCGGTGGGTCGGGCTCACGCCTGTAATCCCAACACTTTGGGAGGCTGAGGCAGAAGGATCACTTGAGGCCATGAGTTGTAGACCAGTCTGGCCAACATGGTGAAACCCCGTCTCTAGTAAACATATAAAAATTAGCCAGGCTTGGTGGGGCATGCCTGTAATCCCAGCTACTCAGGTCGCTGAGGCATGAGAATCACTTGAACCCAGGAGGCAGAGGTTGCAATGAGCCGAGATCGCACCACTGCACTCCAGCCTGGGCGACAGAGCAATACTCCGTCTCAAAAAATAAAAAATAAAAAAAATTAGACTGTGGTCATGGTCACACAACTCTGTGGATATACCAAAAAATAACCTCACAACATTGAATTGTACATTTTAAATGAACAAACTGTATAGGATGTGAATTATATCTCAATAAAGCTGTTTTTTAAACAAAACAAATCTATCCTTCTAAAAAAACTCCCTCCTCAGAGCTGATCCAACCCTTCCTTCCCTTGCAGGGCTGCCTGTTTACTGAAGCAGGCAATAGGGTACACAGAGGACCAGGGACCAGGATGAGGCAAATAGGCCCCCAGGGTGTAATCCTTAGGAGACACTCACTCTCAAGGTCCTGGAAGTTCAGGGTCCACACCTGCCAGGCCCTGAAAGTGAATGCCTCCTTACATTTTGCACCCTGGACACGTGCTGGCCTCACTCTAGTCCCAGCCCTGATTTTGAGGCTGCTCATGTTCATGTATGTCCACAAATTCTATCCACCTGGAAATATTTTCAAACTACTCGTCATTCACTTGCTTTAAACTCTTCAATGGCTCCCTGGTATAGGTTAAAATTCAAAGGTTAACAGATCAAGATCACTCACTTTGGACATTCTCCTGCAGGCACACAGGCACACACTCTAGAGTTAGACCAGCCCTAAGGAGGAATCTGCTGTCAGGTGCTGTAGCATCGTCATGGGTCAGCTGGTATCAGAACAGGAGGGCAGGGATTCAAATCCAGGCGATGTGACTCTAGCATCTCAGCATCCAAGCCCTCAGCCCTCTTCCCCTCAGCCCTCCTACCAAGCAGCACTGGCTCAGGTGCTATCTTGTGTCACCAATAACCTTAGCTCCAGCCCTCACACAGTGTTATGGACTGGCTGTTTAAACGCCGGAGGTTCACTAGGAAAAGCTCAGTCAGTGTTAACTCACAATTGTTAACAGGCACAAAAATAGCAAGTCGAGGTAAAATCTTGCCATTCACTGTGACTTCCTTGACTTTTGAAATGACAAGCCAAGAAGCACAATGGGGTGTGGGGGCGGCGCAGGGTGGGTGGGGTAGGGGGCGGATGGGGAGGTGATCAAGTATCTTTAACCATAGAAATCCATGAACAATCAGATTCTTGGCTTGCAATATTTTATCTTGAACCTGGTCTTTGTTCACCACAGAAAAGCAAAGTTATACAGAAAGTAAATTAAGAACAATCTTAAAAATCCACGTCTCTGCCAACTGAAGACAACTTTTTTCTTCCGTGTTTTGCCCATGCCCTAAAACCCTGTAGAAAAAGAAAAACATCTAGATTTCAGAAAGTAGCTCTCCATTCAAATAAGTTGCAAATGAGCAAGGAATATAAATATTATAGCAAGATCAAAAACAAAAACACGCAGGGAAAAAAAAAAAAACAAGCACACTTTTCCGGGATTGGAAAGAAACAAGGGCAATCAAGATGCGGGGAGCAACACTGCCACCAAGTGGTGACAGTTTCTCAAGTCACCCTCTGAGGTCCGAATTGAGGTCAACCCTCTCAACGTGGCAGCAATCAGAATCCTGAGGAGTCTAAAAAGAAAGAATTCAGGCCCAGACCCCATCCCCACACTCACTGACAGTGAGGGAGACAGCCAGGAAGGCATGTCTGGCCCATGTTTTAAAAAATCTCCCCAGGTGCTTTTGGTGCACAGATGTCACTATGCTTGTATTTTCCAGCAAAGTTTCACCTGCAGTTTATTCCACTTATCCACTAAAATTTCCTGCTGGTACGTAAATTATTGAAAACTATATATGACACATGTAAATCATGTTTCATGTAAAACATGTAAATCATGTTTCAAATCAGTTCCTAAGTTTTTCACAATAATATAAATTGGTCATCATAAAGATTCAGATTATATACTTCAGTTTAGGCATTACTGTTTATTACTGCTTACATCTCAATTGATATCTAATATCTAATCCACTAGACTTAATGTTACTATAAACTAGGCATATTGACATAGCTACATCCACAAGACAAAAAAAACTTTGAACTTAAGTTTCACTGGACTATTTCTTATACAATGGGTTTCAAATCAATAAATTATTCTTATCTATATTAGGCTTTTTTTTACAAGACATATAAAGTCTGAAAGCTTCTATTGTTGGTGAAATGCACAATATAATCTGAAATGCTTAAAGGAAAAGTATAAAACTAAATTTAATATTGTTCCCTAGCACATAGAGGTAAATAAAATGATTTTTCCCCGTTTCAAAGTTGGGAGTTGCCTTAAAAATTGTTTCTTAATAACAAAGGATTATCTTTTGCATAATACACCCAGAGAGAAAATTATGGAGATTATGTACTACCAGATATCTAGTCAGAAGTTGATTTTCAGCATTTTTTTTTTGTAGGCTTGACAATTAGGTTAGAGCCCACGGCTGAGAAAACAAACGCCCACACTGTGTCTCCTGTGCTCCATAAGAGATAAGGCCTTGCCTCCCTGGAAAACCAAAGGGCAGGAAAGACGCAAAGCACCATACATTTGGGTTCACCTGGCATATGGTCAAATCTTTCTTTAAACCTTACCATGTTTTTAATCACTGCATTTTCCCCATCACACTCACTCTTTGCTTCTTCAGACAGCACAACTCTTCTCAAAAAATATCCCTGATGACTCAGACTTATTTGAGACTTGAGAGACTCCTGGAGTCCATCACTAGAGACCCAGGGCAGCCTGACAGACAGGCCTAACCTAGGATGCATCAAAGATCTGGACTGGATTTCCCACGGTTGTTTATTCTAAGCCCTGCCTCCTCACAGTGGACCTGAAACATCAGCCTCACTGGGGAGCTTGTTAGAACTTCAGAACCCACCCGGACCTACTGCAACAGAGTCTGCCTTTTAACAAGATTTCCAGAAGACTCCAAGCACATCAAGTTTGTAAAACACCGCTCTAAACCATGATCTGAAGAAAGCCTCTTAATCAACAGGTGTATGAGGTCTTCATCTGACAGATGAGACTGCCTCTATCTGCTTTACCTTCAGTACAGGCCAACGATGGCGATCCACAGTGAGGTTCTGAAAAAGAGAGAAGGCTGTCACACAGACGTAAGCATCCTTACCCTTTACTCAGAGGAGCAAATATGTCTCTCTCATGAACAGACACTTCTCAAAAGAAGATATTCATACAGCCAACAAACATGAAAAAAAGCTCAACATCACTGATCATTAGAGAAATGCAAATCAAAACCACAAGGAGATACTGTCTCACACCAGTCAGAACGGTGATTATTAAAAAGTCAAGAAACAACAGATGCTGGTGAGGTTGCGGAGAAGTAAGAATGCTTTTACACTGTTGGTGAGAATGTAAATTAGTTCAAACATTGTAGAAGATGGTGTGGCAATTCCTCAAAGATCTAGAACTAGAAATACCATTTGACCCAGCAATCCCATTCCTGGGTACATAACCAAAGGAATATAAACCACTCTGTTACAAAGATACATGCATGCATATGTTCACTGCAGCACTATTCACAATAGCAAAGACATGGAATCAACCCAAATGCCCATCAATGATAGACTAGATAAAGAAAATGTGGTACATATACACCATGGACTACTATGCAGCCATAAAAATGAATGAGACCATGTCCTTTGCAGGGACATGGATGAAGCTGAAAGCCATTATCCTCAGCAAACTAACGCAGGAACAGAAAACCAAACACCACATGTTTTTGCTCATAGATGGGAGCTGAATCATGAGAACACATGGACATAGGAAAGGGAACAACAAACACTGGAGCCTGTTGGGGGGCGGCAGGGAGCAGGGAGAGCATTACGAAAAATAACCACATGCTGGACTTAATACCTAGGTGATGGGTTGATAGGTACAGCAAACCACCATGGCACACGTTTAACCATGTAACAAACCTGCACATCCTGCACATGTACCCTGGAACTAAAAATAAAAATTAAAAGAAAAATAAATCCAAATCTTAAACACACCCAACCTGCAGTAGCTTCGCTAACGCCACCCTCTGCCTAGTGTATAGTTACCAAGAATGAATGGTCCTTCCACATACTCAGCGTCACACAAGGCATTCACCCTAAGAACCCACAGCACCAAGAGAGAATGCACTTTCTATAGTTTCTGCGGCAGCCAGAAGTGACTGCCACACTTAAAGCATCACTAAAGCCATTTGCTTTACATTTAAACAGGCAGCTTTCAGGATTCTATTTCACGATCTATTTTTATTACAAAAACATTTGCCTTGCCAAGTCTCCAAGTAAAAATCGCTGATTTCCTATTTATCATACAATTTCCCTTCAATGTAGTACCTGCTGTGCACGTGACCTACTTAGTATTTGAGAAGCAGGGACCCTCTGAGGTTCAGGATTAAAACCAGCCCTCTTAGACTTTGCTAACTTAAGGCTGTAATTCTTACAAGAGACCAACTGGTCACTGTTGAATTTAAAAAGAAAAAAAAATAGTCTGGGATTTGGGAATATTTGTCCTGGAGCTACTAGACATATGCAAGCAAATTTCTAAATATAAATTAACTTCCTACCTACCTCAGATAGGTTTCCAAAATATAAAGTTCAGATTCTTGCAACTTAATTATTTCATGGGGATTTTGTGCATAGAAAACAGTCACACATCCCTGAGTAAACAAGAGGCAGACTAATTTTGTTTGAGACAATTTTGCCCATTATACTATTAGAGATTAGACTATCCACCTCTATCCACTGTGCCTGACTTTGTATTTTCTTCTCTTTTTACACTATATTTAGTTAGAGACACACTCCTTACTCACTTAACACCCTTCTCTCCAGATTTTTTTTTTAGCCCACCTATAAAAATTAGAATCTCCAAATTACAGAAAGTTTCTATTTTTCCTTCACTAGTAACATTATCACTATTGCAAACACCATGGTTTTTGTATTACTGTTGGTGTGTTTTACTAGTATCTTCCAAGTGGGATGACATGGATGGAACTGTATAAACATCCCTGCCTCGCTTTTTCACCTGGAAGAGAGGTTGTAAGATTTCCTGTCCAATTGAAGTTTGCACTGCCAGAATATAAATGTAAAACAGGCAGTCATTTTGAGCACCTGAAATAGGTGTTAAAAGGTACTGTTAAGATCTATTTCTCACAAGCACACTTGTGTGTCTTTCATGCCAAAGTCAGAGTGGGAATGCAGTGAGTCCAGCGGCTGCAGGCTCAGCTGCCCATGGCTCAGCCGCCCAGGCAAATCAGGAACAGAGTCTTGTGCACGCTTGGCTGGAGACAGTTTGCACAAAGCAGGGACCTCTGGGGAAAGAAACCTCAGAGCTCTAAACTGTCTTTGGATGTGATGTCTCTCAGCTGGAAGGAACATATGGAGACCTGCTAGTGTGGGTCAAAGTGGTCACAGACCACAGTGGAGGGCTCTGGCATCGTGCATCCTAAGGATGGGGAACAGACAGTGGCAGAGGACAAAGATGCCTGATTTGTCCTCTCAGACAGAAATCAGTTGCCATTCAAGCTCCAGTCCCACTGCTAACTATTAGGGAGGCGGTCAGGATGGAAGGGGGCGGAGGAGATTGACTGAAGGCAAGTACGTACATTAAAATGCCCAGAAACATGTTTTCCATTCAGTGTTGGTGTCTGGCCAACAGGGAGACATGCAGGTACACTGAGAGTCCACGCCCAACACAGATGCCTATAGGGAGCTTCCTGTGGGAAGAGGGAAGCACAGGCAGGACCACCTCCAGAGGGTCCCGCAGCGTCCTGCATCTCTGGCTGCAGCCCAGTGCTGTGCACAGTTCAGAGAATGAGCTTTGGAGCTCAGACCCGCGAGCTCAGGTCCTGCCTCTGGCTCCCACTAACTCCCTGGTTTGGGGAAAGTGATTTAAGCCACTCCCAGCCTCCACTCACCCACCTGTAAAATGGGCTTCATAAAAATGTCGATGTTCTTAAGATTGTCTAATTAAAGGAAATAATTCATGTAAAGCACTTAGCAGAGTATAAAAAGAGCATAATATGTGGCTATTATTATATTAATTCTTCCTTAATAATCCTTTTATTCTCGTTTTTCTTTTGCATACACAGAACACTTAAACAATGTTATTCAGAAATTCAGGCGGCTTGGTTCTGAGAAGAGATAAGAAATAATATGTGCCTATAGAGACAGAGGAGGCATGAGGAGGGAGTTGAGAAATCACTAATCACTAAGTTTGCAAGAATCTGAGCCACTGACTTGCCTGCCTTTAGCAGCCATCAAGCCTGCAGGAGCTGCCGGAGATGGGTGACAAAGATGAACCTGTGAACATGTGTTACAGGGAGAGAGCTGCTATGGGAGAGTCAGGATACAAGGGAAGGGGAGGGAGGGAGCCATGGGGATACTGACGAAGAGCATTCCAGGCAGAGGGAATAGCCTGTGCCAGGGCTCGGGTGGGGCATGAGGGTGAGTTCATGGCTGGCATGGCACAAGCCAGAGGGGCTAGTGGGAACCTGCATCAGAGGAAAGGTGGACATGGATGGTGATCTCTGCCTAGCGCTGACAGGGGTCTCTAGACATCTTCCTGCAGGAGATTGGGTGGTGGGGCACAGGAGGGAGAGGAGCTGACTTGTTTGGGGTCTGATGAATCAGGGGTGATTACGGCCTAGGAACAGGAGGAGCAGCATCTATGCCAGGCCCTGTTCTGTTTGGTACTTTTAGCCATTACTTAAAGGCACAAAGGCCATGTTTGTCCACTTGACAGGCAAATATATACAACTTACTGGTCACCAGACTCAAGACTCAAAACAATCGCAAAAGGACTGCTCAAAACTGATGAATACTTTATAGGTACAAACTATGCGAGGGAAAAAAACTTCTCAAGTATAGACATGACTCCCCCACCCCGCGAGACAAGGTCTCACTCTGTTGCCCAGGCTGGAGTGCAGGGGTGTGATCACAGCTCACTGTAAACTCAAACTCCTGGGCTCAAGTAATCCTCCTGCCTCAGTCTCCCAAGTAGCTAGGACTACAGCTTCACAACACCACGCTCAGCTAATTTTTATTTTTTTGTAGAGACAGGGTCTCACTATGTTGCCAAGGGTGGCCTCGAACTCCTGGCCTCCAGGGATCCTCCTGCCTTGGCCTCCCAAAGCACTGAGCTTACAGGCATGGTCAACTGTGCCAAGCCAGGAAACCAGTCCAAATTTAAATAATGGTTCATATCCCAAAGGACAAGATAGAATAAGAGCCAAGAATGTTTGAGTTAATCACTTAAAGCAGAAACAGATTATGAAGATCAATCTGCATTAACAGAGCAGTGGCAGGTCAACGGAAGGAGCAACACACTGCCAGAGCCAGAGGCCAAGTGAACACCAAGTTCAACTCAGGACTCCAGGAGGGGCAGAGGCTCTTCGGAGGACAGGACTCGGACCAGGGGTTCCCAAACAGTGACGAGGGCAATTCCCCTGGAGAAGAGAGCTAAAGGAGGCAGCAGCTTCCATGGTCCTCTGTCATCTGAAGGGCAGGAAACAGATGCAAACACATTTCCGTGTGGCTTCAGAGACCAGAGAAGAAGCCAGGAATCAGAGGACAGGGAGGCAGGATGCGGCTCAGTCTG
Organism: Homo sapiens; assembly: GCF_000001405.40. Taxonomy (NCBI): domain Eukaryota; kingdom Metazoa; phylum Chordata; class Mammalia; order Primates; family Hominidae; genus Homo; species Homo sapiens. Next base: position 38,056,097 of record NC_000004.12, on the reverse strand, counting down.
TGAATGCTCGTTTGAAAACTTGGAACTGTTCTATGATGGAGCAAGCAGTCATCTGTGGCCCCTAACGCATCCTGGCCACTGCACAAAGCATTTCCGAGCAGAAATTTCCAAGCGACCATGCCCTGTGAGGTATGGCCACCGCAACACCGAGGCACTCTTTATTAAACACCGAAACTTGGGTTCTGGCACCCCTTTCAGACATGAATCAGCTTCGTTCCTCCTCCAGGGCCTCCCTCTGGTGGCTCTGGTTCCCACTGCTCCACTCCACACCCTCTAACAGGGTGCTACAGGACCTGGGAGGAAGAGCCCTTCTTTGCGGTAAGCAGACCTCTCCACGGGGCAGGGGAAGAGAGATGTGGCCATCTGGCTCACACTGGCAGGAAGAGAAATCAAACCCTGGCTAGGCTCAGCAGCTCCACCGAGGGGCCACCCACGGCAGGAATACTTTATAGGTACAAACTACTTGAGGGAAAAAAGGTGCTGGTGAGTGGCAGCTCCATGGTGCCCCCACATAGAAAGGCTGGGGCAAAAGAAGCAAGGGGCCAGGCTCACCCGAAGGACTTCCACAGCATGGGAGGTGACATTACCCTGGAAACATTCGCATCACTGATTTTCTTTCCAGTACTATGAATTTTGAATGCTTTAAAAAAAATGTATCAGTAATGATATCATGCTGCCTTGTCTCTATCAGTGTGGCAACAGGCATAATTAATCCCAGGTTATAGGTGGTAACTTTAGACAGTTTATTCTAGTTCACAGCTCCTAAGGGGAAAAGCTGGGATTTGAAAGCAGACTCCGAAGCCCACGCTTTGGTTACAGCGGGTAGCTCGTCAGACATGAGGACGGCAGGAGAGGGCCCTTTCCAGATATGCACCAGCAATGTCAGGCGACCATCAGGTGTTGGTCAGGCAGTTGTCAACTGTTTCTCTAAAGTGATCGTTGGTCACAGCGGGCACCAAGGAAGGGCGGGCTCCCAGTAGATAGAAAACACCTAAAACTGGGGAGCTGCAGCTTCCCAATAAGATCTCGGGAGCTGGGCGAGTGGGCTCAAGCATGCGCATTAAGAGGCAACATGGCGGAATTTACCTGGTGCATGACGTTCCTCTAGGAATGCTAGACTGGACAGGGAAGAACGCCTCAAGTGAGCACGCCTACAACTCCAGTAAACACCCTGCGCACGCTCCCCCACAACCCCCGTGTGCTAGCACGCCAATGCACATGCGGACAGCCCACCCCAAGGGAAGAATCAGAGAAGAAGGAACGCAAGACCCCGGAAGTATGGCAGCATATAAAACCCCAGGTCAAAAGGCCAAATCTCACACTTCATCTCTCAAGTTGCCCGCCTAACCACCTTCAAAGTGTACTTGACGTCCTTTCATTCCTGCTCTGAAGTTTTTAATAAACTTTCACTGCTGCTCTAAAACTTGCCTCAGTCTCTCCTTTTGCCTTATGTCCTAGGAGGCAAGAAGTGAGGTTGCCGCAGACCTGTCTGGATTCACCGCTGGTTAACACTGTGACCACTCTAAACATCAGAGCTCTGCTCCTGTTTATGGAGAGGTTACCCTAAATTAGCTTTAAATTCCTTCCCTAAGAAATGGAGGGTAACCTCTAAATTCCCTCCCTAGTTACCTTTGTGATTGCCTCAGACCTGCCAATACTGAAGAGGACGGCGCTCTGCTTTCTTACCAATATGATGGGGCTCCCAGGGTCCTCTGTCAGCGTGCTCTCTTTGAGGTTTCATTTCAGGTACCGGCCTTACCTTCATATCTGCTGGAAGAATCGCACGCCTTCTGCGGGGTGGCTACTCGGAGGAATATCTGCTGCCTCCAGGAATGCCTCCGGGTCTTCACAGGAGTCCCACCAGAATCACCAAGATGGTTTGCTTTGGATTCAAAGTCCCTAAAATTATAAGATGATTGATTTATGACTAGTGGGGAGGAATTCACGGGATTTTGTTAGCTTAACATTTTTTTAAACAAATCACTAAATTATCAACTATCTTTGTATAAACAAATAATCAATCACAGAAGTTATATCAAGCTCACAGTGGGTCATCATTCCTAAAGAACTGCTTTCTTACAGAATTCTTTTCATGAAAAGAGAAAGATTACATGCCCTTAAGTGATTTCGATTGTAACAGAGATTAAGAAACATGTTCCACATATCATAGTTCCAATTGGGCCTCTCTTGGTGCCACTTTGATAAAGAGAAACTGCCTAAAGGGGGAAAGGGGGTGATGCCAAGGGGCCCCATTCTGCCCTCTTCTGTGCATGGGAATATCTGCTCAGCACAGGCCCATGTCTCCAAGGATTCCCACAAAAAATGAAAAAACTTGCAATTTAATTACACAGAACCAGCAAGGCAATAACTATGCAGTCACTTGATGATGATAATTGTTTTAACGTGTGTATTTTTTAAACTACAAAATACAGTTATCAATATATAAACACAATCATAAATGTTTTCTCCTATTCACAGGACAACCTGAGAAGGCCCTTCCAATTTATACCCAAGTTATGTACCTGTAAGTAAGCAATCCCCTCAACTTACAGATTAGACGTCCTGAACAGATCAGACATCCTGATTTGAAACAGACATATGCTCACTAACCAGAAACACTGGTCTCAGAGACTTGGCAAAGACTTTTCTTAAGATAACACTTAAACTAATCCTCGTCAAAACTAGAGAACAGGTTGGTTGCACATTTTTAAAAATGGCATTCAGTAAGAAAAAAGTATAAGAAAGAAGATACAACAGATTTAGCTGAAATGATTTTTTAAATGGCAAAATAGTAATTAAAACACCCTTGTATATCTAATGATATTCAACACTTAGTAACACCCAGGCTTGATATATCTAAATTAAGCCCTACCTTTTTGTGTTCATAAAATCAGAGGTGTTATTTTCATCTACAGGAGCCAGAAATTTTAGAAAATTTGGCACAGAGGAAGAAGAATGAAGTTTTTTCCGCAGGGCATTACGGTAGGAGATGCTAAGAGTTTGGTTGAAAAAAGAGTTTAGGATAAAGAAACATAAAAACACAAAGTATAAAATATAAGCTTCAAAATAAAAGAAACATTTTTGTTCTAATGCTAAGAAAAGAAAACTAGGTAAGAAATTAAAAGTAGTTCACGAATGAGATTTAATTTTCATTTTCACCAATAAAATTTGATTTTAAATGAATGGGATCAATAATTTTTTAAAAAAGAAAATCCATCCATTTTCCAAATAACTCTTCCTTTCAAACTGGGAAAAATAATTCCCCTAAATCAATCAGGAAGTTTCTGATATGGCACAAATTGCAGTGTACATGATCAAACACAGATGTTATCCTGTGTGTGTGTGTGTGTGTGTGTGTGTGTGTGTGTGCGCGCGCGCGCGCGCGTGTGTGTGTATATACGCATGCATGTAAGTGTCCACTAGGGCAAGGAAATGTGAAAATAAGTATAAAAAAACAATTTGCAGCAGGGTGCAGTGGCTCACACCTGTAATCCCAGCACTTTGGGAGACTGAGGCAGGCGGATCACTTGAGGTTAGGAGTTCAAGAACAACCTGGTCAACATGGTGAAACCCCATCTCTACAAAAAAAAATAAAAATATTAGCCGGGCATGGTGGCGTGTGCCTGTAGTCCCAGCTACTCGGGAGGCTGAGGCAGGAGAACTGCTTGAACCCACAAGGCAGAAGCTGCAGTGAGCCGAGATCACGCCACTGCACTCCAGCCTGGGGAACAGAGTGAGACCCTGTCTCAAAAAAAAAAAAAACAAACACAAACACAAACCAATCTGCCATTAAGATCTGTTTTCATAATAATCTTAAGAAAAGTCATCAATAGTAAAATTAACTTGGTTCAAATGACAGCTGAAAATAAGACAAAATATAAACAAAGACACACACGCGCGCGCACACACACACACACACACACACACACAGTGGCTCTGCTTCCTGCATGGACATTCCCCCCATTCAGCACATCCTCATCAGTGTGAACTCCCCAGGAAAACAGACAACACCAAACTTGCCACGTGAGTGTGCTCACCTCTTTGGCACAGCATTCCCACTTTGTTCTCCACTGGAATTATGTTTTAGGTACTTAAAAAAGTTTGGCGAGGAGGCGGAGGGGTTAAGACGAGGTGGAGGAGCAGGAGCTGAAGACTGACCTGGGCGGTGCTTAGACTCACCCACAGGTGAAGGATCCACACTAAACAGCAATCAGAGAAAGCACGGGGGGGTTAGCAGGAGAGGGGGCGCCGACAGGGACACGGAGCAAACAGGTGGAAGGAGCACACCGCTTTTGTCTCGTTGTTCCAGTAACACTATCAGAGTGGAGGACTTCTTCCACTCCTTTTCCTCATCTCTGCTCGCTCTCTGGCAAAGGTAGTTTTCAGTGAAAAACAGAGTATATTGACGGCCGTTCTTGACCATTTCCCACGTGTTTATGCTCCCAACAATACTTTTTTTTTTTAATAGGTCTCACTCTATCACCCAGGCTGGAGTGCGGTAGCACGATCACAGCTGACTGTGACCTTGAACTCTTGGCCTCAAGCAACCTCCCACCTCAGTCTCCCAAAGCTCTGGGATTACAGGAGTGAGCCACTTCGCCCAGGAACAATAATATTTCTTTCTCTATTTTCTTTTTCAGGAACTGGCAGGAAAAAAAATTTTTAATTAAAGTATAAACAAAAGCAAAAAAAAACTGAACTTTAAAAAATACATTTCCCTTTAAAATGAACAATATCCTGCCCTGAATTTCAATGTCTTATTTCCTGTAGATAAATCGGAAAAGAGCTCACAAGGGGGAAAGAAAGCAGAATGGGCCATGCTAGAGAGGCAGACAGACAGGCATCTCCTCATCCCTCCCATTACGGATGTGTGACATCATCTATTATAAAGCTACATTCTTCATGGAGAAAGGAAAAGTACTGATACTAAGTCCTATCAACTCTGGCTTTTGAGAAACAGCAGACTTCACAAGAGAACTAGGACTCTCCAGACAGGAATGTTTCAATGATCACTGAAAACGCCAACAACAGAGGAGTGGGCAGGCAGTGGTGAGGCAGCACAGAAGTAATGTGCAGACAGGGTGTTAAACACAAGAAACTTACACAGCTACAACCCAACGATGTGTGTCTCTAAAAGCGTGTATTTATTAAGCAGTACCTTCTGACATGTCCCCTGCTTTTGGGATCACCACTACCCCGCTGAATTCCAAAGAACCAAGAACTCTTTCCAATGGCTGACAGAAAACAAAGCTGGGAGGCTCTGCTCCATCATCCAGGACTGTTAATGCTCACACTTCTTTACTCAGAACATTCCAAACACTTCTGTACTAACTCACACTCTCAATGATCCGTGTATGAACTACACGAACACATAGGTCCTGGGACTTCTGCGGCTGCTGGTCAGAAGAAGGCAGCGACTGTACACAGGTGTGACCTTGATTCATATTAGGTGAGAGATTTTTAAAATTGTTTAAAGTTGTTTTTAAAGATAACTGTGTCCATTTATAGTCTCTGGCACACAGAGTTAAATGAATCACTAAGGGACACTTGGAAGGAATGGGGGGAACTTCTGATTACTCTTCTCCATAACCAGACGATTCTAACTGGTCACAGGAACCCAACTATTACAATGAATAAATCTTGTTAGAAGAATCTAGAATTCTTACAGTGAGAGATTTTAGAAAACATCTACTCCAATTTTGTTATTCAGAGAATTTAGCAAATTCGTCCAGGTCACAATTAGTTCACGGCAGAGCTAGGACCAGAAGCTGAAGCACCCCTGTCACCCTATGAGGCCAGCATACCTCTCTTGCTCTGCCTGTAAGGATCAGCGCCTCTCCCTCCCATTATAACCCTGCTCCAGGGCTTCAGATGGGGAGACTCATCCGCTTGCCCTCTTCCTCACAGCAGCAAAGTTCCACAGTCAACAACGTCTCTTACTTTGTTTGAGGAGTAATGACTATGCATGTTAGGTACCATTTTTGCTCACTTTCACTTGCTTCCTGACAATACAAGTACCCATTGCTTGTATACTCACAAGCAGCTCGAACGAACATGTCACTGCTTCCAGTTTTATCTCCAAACCAAGAGTAAAGCCTGACTCATTTCTCTCACTCAATAAACATACCTGGGATGCACATACCTGGCTAGTCACAGATATGCCCCAGCTATTTATGCAACAAATTTAAACAAATCTTACTTTCGTTCATGAGGCGTCTCTGTGCTCACTGAGTGATACCTCATAAGTTTCCTTTGCGAAACCCCCGGGGACCCCCGGGCAGGTTGTGGAGGTTCCTGGCATTCGATGGGGAAGTGACTCAGGGTGTTTGCTCGCCTCCTGAAGGCCTGCTGGGGCGACAGCGGAGCTGGCTCTTCTGGGAGATGACTCTCCGAGTCACTGGACAGGTCCTCCGAGGAGCCGAGGAGCTTAAAGGAGCTCTCAGAGATGGGCAAGGCCTCCTTTTCACACACAGATGGCTCCTGGGAGCAAACACACAGCAGATCAGACACACCATGGGGAATATGTGGGATTTATAAATCTCTAGTTCCTGCACGGGCAAACATTGCAGTATCTAAGTATGTGTTCTGATTATAATGCCATCTAGAAGCCACCACCAAAAGCAGAAGAAAATGAAGGTCCATTAAATAAATGCCCGCTCCTCAAGGACACACTGCTGGCTTGCTGGAGAAATGGGGAGACTGGCCAAGTGCAGGAGTGAAGGACATAAGCCACAATCTGTAACGTTCTGAACAACGCCATGAATAGTGCCCTCTCTCTAGAAAACAGGACTGTTTACTGCAGCTTCTAAGGGGTGTGAGTGCTGGAGAACTTGTCTCCACTGCTTAACCAAGTTCTTTATCTTTGCCACATGTGTTCACTCATGTTAAACCCACATTTTAAGGCTCTCTCCGAATCTGATCTACTGTTGAGATTCGACTTCATAATTTGAGATTAAGAACTGTATCAATATTCTTAGAATATGGAAAATCACTCTGTAGGCACTTACTGCTGCAATTCAGGGCAAATAATTTCTTTCTGCACCTCAATTTCTTCTGTAAGAGGGTAAAGTAAAAATGTATCTGAGTTTCAAGAACAAAGCAAGATGATACAACCAAAAGTACTTTTTATGTTGTAAAATGTTACACAAACATAAGTTATTGTTTTATTAGGTATGCAATAAATCTATGGAGTGAGTGCTCAAACATTTGTTGAGAATCATGACAATATTTTAAAGTTGTATGCCTTCACGATGCACGCTTTTTCAAAGGAATGAACTACTACCACTCAAGCAAACTGATGTTTAACACTGCACCCAGGACGTGGCTAGTGGCCAATATATTTTTAATATATTCAAAATATTCAAAAAGAGGAATTGTAGCAGCTTGCTCCTATTGAAATTGTTGGAAGAGAAAAAATAAATCAACAGGAATAGAGTAAACAAGAATGAATGCATCTAACAGTGGACTGGAGACTGAATTCTACCTGTTCATTTACACAGTTGAGTGCCTTTTAGGTAACAAGTATTGAGGGTTTTAATTTGAAAAAAAAAAAAAAAGAAATGTGTTTACCAAAGGGAGAAGTTACATACATTTAATTGTATAAGAATTAGGAAAAAATTCCCAACATACTATGAAATATTGATTACTTTCATAACTGAAGTTTTTCATTCTTCAGGACTCAACAGTTGTGAAGATTCTTTTAAGGATTTAAAAGTCTCTCTAAGACAATACATCACAGAACACAATCTCCATCATGCAAACCTGTTGATCTAAATTCTTACTAATATCCCTCCAAATCATATCAAAGAGCTAACCCTTAGCTTAATTGGACAACTGAAAGGGCCATTTTCATTTGTCAAGTTTCAGGGCTATTTGGTTTCTTTGCAACTCCTAGGTGATCAATTTTTTAGAAGGGATCCAATTACATAAAATAGAATATAGTAGTTTCTCAATTCAAGATGAATAAAAGAAAGATGTAAAGTACACTTAAACATATACAATACATACAAGCAGCTTCTGAAAAGTTGCATCTCTCTTAGAATGACTCTAGAAATTGCAATCTTAGACAGACTTTTAAATCCTTTTAAAAGAATCTTCACAACTATCGAGTCCTGAAGAATGAATATGTATATATTCCTAGATCTGCCTTTTGGAGAAAAATAAAAAGCAAGCAATAAGGCTTACTGGAAAGCCCACTGAGTGACATGAATGTCTTCATGGTATGTCTATTGACACTGGTCTGTCTAGAATGCCTTCTTCTCTGTTCACTTCCATAGGCACAATTCCTACACCAAGATTTAGTCCAAAAGCATCACTGCCCCCTCACCCCTCACCTTTTCCCTGGTTCCACTGACCAAACCTAACTTCCCTTCCCCTTGCTCTTCTGACACTGAAGTTACCAATGTCTCTTATTTGTAACTTCTGGGCTCCTACCACACTCTGCTTGATGCTGGGGCTGTTTCTGTATCTGTCATCTCTCTCCTCCTAGGTAACTTCCTACATGAAAGGGGCGGTGTGTGGTTCATCTGTACACAACAAATAAGCAAATAGCCTTCCCACACTTGCAATGAATTGCAGGGTGGGATCAGTGTGTATTAGATGGAGGCTGGACGACACTATGTTCCCCTGGATTTTAACTCAGAAACTCACATTTACAAGACTGCTGTCTAGGACCTCACTCCCCAGAGGCGGTCTGCAGACCAGGAGCAGCAGCATTGCCTTGGAGCTTGTCAGAAATGCAGCATTTCAGGGCTCCCCCCACCCTGCCTACTGAACCAGAATCTGCACTTTAACCAGTCTCAGCTACTCAGGAGGCTGAGGCAAGAGAATGGCCTGAACCCGGGAGGCGGAGCACCTGAAATTTGAGAAGCACTCATCCATCTAAGGAAGTGTTTCTCAAACTGCTCCCTCTATCATGTTAGTAGGTGGTACAACTGAGTAGTTTGCCATGAGCATTTTAAAAATAAAATAGAACAAAATATCAGTATGTATTGTATGTTGTTCACAGTAAATATTGTTTTGTGAACTTTTAATTTTGTGTGTGAATGTGTAGGTATGTGTGTTTGTGAACTACGCCACAATGTTAAATGTGCTTCTTACTGTAGGTTAGAAAAATTCTGAAAGCCATATGTCTAGGAGGGATGGCAGAGGACTGTAAACCCTGCCTGTGGTAAGGAGCTGGCCTCCACAAACACTCCCTCCCTCACTACTGCCAAAGAGAGTCCTCTGGTAGCAGAAGGGAAAGCTGGCCTCCCTAGCACAAAACCCAAACCCACTTTTCAGGAGTTATAAAGTTGAACTGACCAGGCTTAAATATGATTAAATGTCTAGAAAGCAAGTTATTAAAAGAAGGACATAGATACTTGCTTATTTAAATAAAACAGTAATGTTTCATTATAATCATAGAGCCAGCTACAGGATAAAGTTTCAGAAATTTAATTTCCCCACAAGTGGGGGAGAATGAAAGGGGGTGTGAAGGTTGAAAAATTACCTACTGGGTACAATGTTCACTATTTGGGTGATGGGTACACTAGAAGCCCAATCCCCACCAGTATGCAATATACCCATGTAATAAACATGCACATGTACCCCCAAATCCAAAATAAAATTTTCTTAAAAAAAGAAAAATTTAAGCTGTATACTTCTCTAAATTCACAAATCCACTTTCTGATGTTTTCCCAATATTAATTATTTTTTTAATAGGAAAATCTACTGCTTTTTTTTTTTTACACAGAGTCTCTCTCTGTCACACAGGCTGGAGTGCAGTGGCGTGATCTTGGCTCACTGCAAGCTCCGCCTCCCAGGTTCATGCCATTCTCCTGCCTCAGCCTCCCGAGTAGCTGGGACTACGGGTGCCCGCCACCACGCCCGGCTAATTTTTAATTTTTTGTATTTTTAGTAGAGACGGGGTTTCACTGTGCTAGCCAGGAGCGTCTCGATCTCCTGACCTCATGATCCGCCCGCGTCCGCCTCTCAAAGTGCTGAGATTACAGGCGTTGAGCCACTGCACCCAGCCCCATCTGCTCTTTTATGTAAAACTTTTATGTTATGATAGAACTGCATGACCAGTCCTCCACCTGTGCCAAGAAATTTGCAAGCAGCAAACGTTTTATGATTGGAGGTATGTAGACAGGAGATGAGCAAGACCTATTTGTTGGTTTCTTCAGGGTGTCGTATAAAGAGAAATGTGCTTACTTTGCTGGTGTTACTTAATGTACTAGACAGGGAGCTATCCAGATCCACACTGATGGAGTGTTCCTGCAGGCCTCTGGCTTTATTACCCTACATAAAGAAAAGGCAGTCGAGTTATGACTCTGGAGGCTTTTGCAAAGGCATCAGCTAGAAGCAGATTGGTCCATTTAAATAAGCTCAGGAAAAAAATGTTATCTACTGAGAAATGCTACTAAGGATATTTGTACATTAAAATAATCAACATTTCCATCATTTTTTTAAAAAATAAATAAGACACTAACCTAAACGTTCCAAAACACCTGGTGGCTAAGTAATTTGGCATGAGTGATAGGCAGGAAGACAAGACAATTCGTCTATAAGGAAAATCAAGTGCTCAAGCCCACTCAGCAACTAACTCCCTCCCCTGGGTCACAAGTCATCATAACGGCCAGCCGCATGTCACTCGGACAGCACTCTATCCCTTTGGGAGCTCTCAAATGCAGCCCCTCCCAACTCTGGTTTTGTAAATCAACTGTTTTTCATGATCTCAGAAGATATTGCAAAATTCTCAGAAACATCTTCGAAGAAAATAAAATTTAACTTTCCTTAATTAAAAAATAAAATAAAATCAGATGTTTCAAAAGAAGTGTGCCATAAAATCAAAAAGAACTATAATAAGATACTGCACACTCCAGAAAGGTGTGAAACTCTGAGGGAAAATCAGATTTGATTTCTCAGACGTGCCATCAGGCTATTTACACTCATGGGAGGGAGGGATAATTTCTTAAAGAACTCCCAGATTGATGTACATGTGTACTTTGTTCTTTCTATAGAGCTATATTTGGCAAACTTTTTCTGTAAAGGGCCAGATAGTAAGTGTCTTATGCTTTGTGAGGCATATAGTGTTTGTGGCAACTGCTGAAGTCTGCAAAAAAGAAGCCTTAGATAACTGGAAAATGAATGGATGTGGCGGTGTTTCAACAAAACTTTATTTACAAAAATAGGAGGTGGGTAGAATTTGGCCCATGGGCATAGTTTGCTGACCCCTACTATATAGCCTTTTAGATAGCTAACACCAGCAGCTGACAGTAACTGTTTTTTAAGTTATACATAGTGATAGTAGGGAGAACAGAAGCCACACTTCAGTGTATCTAATGCATGCTCTTTATAGGGACTGGCTAACAAATATTCTTTGGAGCGGCAAAAAAATCCCATTGGATATAATACAAAAGAGTAAGGAATATTTTTTTTAAACCTAGGCCAAATTAAAAACAATTTAAAATGTAGATAATACTGTTATAAGCCTGAGAAAACATAAAAAAAGGTTTTATACTTTTACCTTTATGATGAACATTGATGGAATAAAAGCATAGAACTCAATCTTACACTCTCCTAAAAAGTGATTTAACTTAAATCAGGAGAAATTATGCTACTTACCCGGGACAAAATACTTTCTAAAGACTCTGTTAAAGATCTCTTTGCTTTGTTTTTCAGCATATCTAGCCTAAATCGAGTGGCACTGGGTGGTAATTCACTTCCAATATTCTCTGCTGCCATCTGCGATGTCTAAAAAAGTGAAAAACGAAAAGTCATTTATCGCTCCCTTCTCTGCTTCTTAAAGGAATGAAAAATCTCTAGGACACATCTTTTTGGCACCAGGCCATCATTCTGATCCTGTCTGTGATCTCACCTCATCTGCTCCTTAGTGACATGGCTGCAAGTCCAGGAAATAATTTTGCCTCAGAGAGTTGCTTTGATTACCCCAAGTAAAATGACGAAATGTGCTTTGAAACCAATCAGTTGAAGTAGTTTATTGCTCAGACTCTGCAACTGGATCAGAGATCTGTCTTCACTAACCGTGGTCTTCGGCCAGTTTCTTACTTTTCTGAGCCTCAAACTTCCTCTTCAGTAAAGTGAGACCAATGGCAAGATCGAATCATAACACTGTGTTGTGAGACTCAAACAGGTAAAGTGTGTAAAACATTGAACACAGCGTGGTAGAAAGGTAGCTATCATTAGCTTTTCAAAATAAAACAATAACTTACCTTTGGGGGCATTTCAGAAGGTGAGACAACATAAATTTCTCAATTAAAGAACCTATTCTCTCTGCCTATACAATTCCTTCATCCCTTTCTACAGATCTCTTGCTTTCTTGCGTTTTCCTCTCTCCTACTTTTATTTTCCCATCATCCTTTCATTCTTCTCTGCAACCAAGCTTCTCTCCCTTAACTACTAGCCATAAAAACTGAAAATAAAAATACAATGGAGTTTGCTTGACAACCACTAAATGAAGTCTTAGTGTTACTTATTTACAAGGAGGTACTTTTTTTTTTTTTTGAGACAGGGTGCCAGGGTCTCACTTTGTTGCCCAGGCTGGAGTACAGGGCCACAATCATGGCTCACTGCAGTCTTGACCTCCCAGGTTCAAGCAATCCTTCTCCCTCGGCCCCCAGAGTAGCTGGGACTACACACAGCTAATTTTTTGTAGTTTTTGTAGAGACGGGGTTTCACCATGTTGGCCAGGCTGATCTCAAACTCCTGAGCTCAAGTGATCTACCTGCCTCAGCCTCCCAAAGTGCTGGGATTACAGGAGTGAGCTACCACACCCAGCCGAAGGTACATTTTTTTTTTAATATGCAACAAAAATCTCTGAATTAAATTGTTTCTTATGTGGATTCTCACCTGATTGCTTTCTGTTAGAAAATAATTTCGTTAGAAAAAAAAACGGCCAGGCGCAGTGGCTCATGCCTGTAATCTCAGCACTTTGGGAGGCCAAGGTGGGTGGACCACCTGAGGTCGGGAGTTTGAGATCAGCCTGGCCAACACGGGGAAACCCTGTCTCTACTAAAAATACAAAAAACAGCCGGGTGTAGTGGCGCACACCTGTAATCCCAGTTACTCAGGAGGCTGAGGCAGGAGAATCGCTTGAACTCAGAAGCCGGAGGTTGCAGTGAGCCAAGATCATGCTACTGCACTCCAGCCTGGGCGACAGAGCGAGACTCCATCTCAAAAATACAAACACACACAAGCAAATCCCCCATTACTCTAAATACTGATATATTCTTTGTTGCAGTTATTTCAAGCACACAGAAAAGTGTAGAGACTAATATAACAAATACCTTTGTATCACCACCTGGCTTTGTTCAAGTGAGCATTTGCCAGGGGTTGAGAACAGTGAGAAGCCCAGCTCTGGAGTGCAATGCCCAGGTGAAATGTTCCTCTGCTATTCCCTGGCTCTGTGGTCTTGGCCAGACTGTTACCTCCTGTCCCTTTCAGGTCCTCTACCTGCAGCCTGAAGACGTATAGTGAACTTTCCTCGCAGAGCTGTCATGAGGCTTAAATGAATGAATACAAATTAAAACACATATACCAAGGCCAGGTGCAGTGGCTGATGCCTGTAATCCCAGAACTTTGGGAGGCTGAGGCAGATGAATCACTTGAGGTCAGGAGTTCGAGACCAGCCTGGCCAACATGGTGAAACCCTGTCTCTATTAAAAATATAAAAATTAGCCAGGTGTGGTGGTGCACGCCTGTAATCCCAGCTACTTGGGAGGCTGAGGCAGGAGAATCGCTCGAACCCAGGAGGCAGAGATTGCAGTGAGCTGACATCGCACCACCGCACTCCAGCTTGGGTGACAGCGTGAGACTTGTCTCAAAAAATAAAAATAAAAAATGTAAACCAGACAATCAAAAAACATCAGATATCATGACTATTACCTACTCTATGAGCTTTTTTTGTTTGCTTGTTTTTTGGGATGGAGTCTCACTCTGTCACCCAGGCTGGAGTGCAGTGGTACGATCTTGGCTTACTGCAACCTCTACCTCCTGGGCTCAAGTGATTCTCATGCCTCAGCCTCCCGAGTAGCTGGGACTACAAGTGTGCGCCACCACATCTGGCTAATTTTTGTATTTTTTTTGTAGAGATGGGGTTTCGCCATGTTGACCAGGCTGTTCTCGAACTCCTGGCCTTAAATGATCCACCTGCCTTGGCCTCCCAAAGTGCTGGGATTACAGGCGTGAGCCACTGTGCCCAGCCTACTTTCTACTTTTAATGGGAACCACTGCAGACATCTTTGAAGCTTAATCACCACTACTTCCCCACACCTGGCCATATGCAGAAATATTTGGTGTTTATCCTATCAATTCATGTTTTCTGCTTTTATATGTATGTGTCCATAAAAGATATGTAGTTGAAACTAAATGAATGGTGTCATACTGTACACATCCTTCTGTAAATTAGCTTTCTTCTTTCAATATTATTTTTGAGATTTATTCCTGTTGACAAATTTTTTTTGATTCACTCACTTTAGTCAGAGTGCAAATATTCACTGCATAACCTAATTTATCTATGTTCCTATTGTTAAACACTTATTTGCTTTTTTTTCTTGCTCTTACAAAGGAGGCTGCAGTGACCTCTCTTATATAGAGCTCCTTATAGACTCATGTGAAATGTTTGGCAAGGGAAATAATGAGGAATGTCCTCACTGGGTCACAGGGACTGTGCCCCTTCAGACTACACCAGATATTATCAAGTTTCTCTTCCCTGAATGGTACAAATTCATGTTCCCAGTATCAGTATAGGAAAGTTCACCTTTATACGGTATTGTCACTTTTTAAAAATTTCTGCCAATCTAATGGGCATAAAATGTTCCTTGAATATGTCCTCCCCTCATTCTACTGCTGTTAGGTATTATTTTATTCAGTCATCTGCTGTTCGAAGACCTTATGTCTTCTTTGAATAATGAAATCCTAATTCACTAATGAATGCTACACATTTTTCAAAGCATAAAAGAGAAAGAATGGATTCTCATAAAAGCGACATTCAGCTTTGTCCAATTATCCATAATTGGACTCTCTATGAGAATGAGAATATGCATCAAAAGAATGGCTACTACCTTAGAAATTCCTTTGAGAAGGGGAACTATCATTTACCTTTGTGTTTCACACTATAGAGCGTACCCTGGACATGTAATATTGGCTTGTTCAAAATGAGTGAATGAGCAATGATCCCCAGGCAGGTCCACGGGAAATACACGCCTAAGGTAACAGACTCACTCAGCAAATAGTGACCAAGTGCCTGCTAAATGCTACGCGCCACAGGGAGGTGCACAGAATCTGTTGCAACCGGTTCTGTGCAATCACTGACCAAGTGTAAGTGCCTGTCCAGGCTCGAGGCAGCCTCCAGAGTGAAGGGAATTGCCCACAAAGGGCTCCCAGGGGCCTGCCTTCAACTCAACACCAGTTACAATGTTAAGAAAATGCAGAATTGCTTTCAAACTCATAATAAAGCTTTCATAAAAGTGAAGCAAGCTGAATTGTTTTGATATATAAAGAAAATATGAGCCAGGCGCAGTGGCTCACGCCTGTAATCCCAGCACTTTAGGAGGCCAAGGCAGGCGGATCACGAGGACAAGAGACGGAGAACATCCCATCCAACACAGTGAAACCCCGTCTCTACTAAATATACAAAAATTAGCTGGGCGTGGTGGCGCACGCCTATAGTCCCAGCTACTCAGGAGGCTGAGGCAGGAGAATCGCTTGAACCCGGGAGGCGGAGGTTGCAGTGAGCCAAGATTGTGCCGCTGCACTCTAGCCTGGCGACAGAGCGAGACTCTGTCTCCAACAAAAAAGAAAGAAAGAAAGAAAGAAAATATTAGCTAAAAGACTAAAGCAAGCAGCATCAGTTAGTAGATCCTAAGAGACAGAAGTGCATTTGTATGCATGTGTTTTTAAAGCAGGTCTGAAGAATCTCTGTGTACTTAATTCAATGTTTCTTCTGCTCTCCCCTACTATCAAAAAAGAGTCTTTTCCACGTCTATTGCCATAATTAAAATAAAATGTTTAAAAAATTGCATTTAAAAAATAATTCACATTTAGAAATGACTTGTTTCTTATTTATCTTAAAACAAGTATCTAGAAGTTTCTCCTTGGAAGATGACACTGGTTCTTAGACAATAATTTCTTTAAAAAAAAAAAACAGAGATGGGGGTCTCGCTATATTGACCAAGCTGGTCTCAAACTCCTGGCCTCAAACAATCCTCCCATCTCAGCCTCCCAAAGTGCTAGGATTACAGGCGTGAGCCACCGTGCCTGGCCCTCACAGACAATAATTTCTAATTTGGAGGCTCCACAGTGAATTCTATTGCAGTCATTATATTGCACATCCTTCAACAGATGGGGTAAACTCTAAGCATGAAAGTTTGGATTCAAGTATTCAAGCTTTAAATCCTGATGCTATACTGAAATTCTCAGTTCAGAACTCACCATCCCAGGCTGGCACAATGTATCTACCAGCAGCCTTATTCATAATCAAGCAGCTCAGAAGGAGAATGGAGAAAGAAACTCTTGACATTAATACCACAGAACAAAAAGGAACAAACTACTGATACAAGCAACTGATACATGCAACAACAAACTACTAATACATGCAACAATGTAGCATAACGTTTCTGATGAGTCTCAGAAACGTTATGCTAAGTGGAAGGAGCCAGAACTCAAAGAGTATGATGCCGGCCAGGCGCGGTGGCTCACACCTGTAATCCCAGCACTTTGGAAGGCCGAGGTGGGCAGATCACAAGGTCAGGAGATCGAGACCATCACGGCTAACACGGTGAAACCCCGTCTCTACTAAAAATATAAACAATTAGCTGGGAGTGGTGGCAGGCACCTGTAGTCCCAGCTACTCAGGAGGCTGAGGCAGGAGAATGGCGTGAACTTGGGAGGCGGGGCTTGCAGTGAGCCAAGATAGCGCCACTGCACTCCAGCCTGGGTGACAGAGTGAGACTCTGTCTCAAAAAAAAAAAAAAAAAAAAAAAAAAAAAAAGAGTATGATGCCATTTATAAGAAATTCCAGAACAGGCAAAACTAATCTAAGGTGAAAAAAATCAAAACAGTGGTTACCTGGGGGAAGGGGTAGTGAGGACTGACTAGAAGACGAATATAGGGCTACTTTCTGGTAGGATGAAATTTTTTTTTTTTTCCCGAGAGGGAGTCTCTCTCTGTCGCCCAGGCTGGAGTGCAGTGGTGCGACCTCGGCTCACTGCAACCTCCGCTTCCCGGGTTCATGCCATTCTCCTGCCTCAGCCTCCCTAGTAGCTGGGACTACAGGCACCCGCCACCACACCTGACTAATTTTTGTATTTTTAGTGGAGACGAGCTTTCACTGTGTTAGCCAGGATGGTCTCAATCTCCTGACCTCATGATCCGCCCACCTCAGCCTCCCAAAGTACTGGGATTACAGGCGTGAGCCACTGCGCCCGGCAGGATGAAAATATTCTATATCTTGATAGGGGTTTGAGCTACCTGAATGTAGCAGCAGTGGTCAAAACTCAACAAATGGTACACTTAAGATTTGCATAACCTACCATATGTAAATTTAATCTCCCCAAAATTGGAAGCAAACACTAAATTCTAGTTAATGATATACATGCTAAAGTGTTTAGGGATGAAGGGTACTGATATCACCTAATTTGAAAGGCATGCAAAAATAAGGTGGACTAATAGATAAATATATGATAAAGCAAATTAACAAAGTCTTTAAAACTGTAAAATCTGGATGGTGGGTATATGAGTGCTCATGGTATAATTCTTTCAACTTTTCTATATGTTTGAAATTTTTCATAATAAAATGTCACAAAAAAAGAAAGAAAATCTTATCTACTAGAAAACAGACCCAAGAAAATCAGTAAGTAGTTATATAGCATTAAATTTTGTTAAGCTCCTTAAAAAAACACACAATAATTAAGATAAAGTACTTAGACATCAGACAAAGTGGCTCCACTACTCACTAGTAACTGCTTGACTGCTCTTCCCCATTTCCTCATCTATAAAATGGGTATTTTACCACCTACCTCAAAAAACTTGTAGAATGAATGGAGTCATTTATGTAAGGAATGAGAACTCTATCTGGCACTTGGCAAACATTCAGTAAGTGGCAGCTGATTTCATACTAATTTTTGTACCACCTCTGTGAATACAGGTGGAAACGACAAGTCCATTGACTAAAACGTGACAGCCTCTAACTTAATGTATAAGTCTTGCCCAAACTGAACCCTGTTCTATAAGATCAAAAGACTCATTCAGGGTTTTTTCTATTTCACAACTCCTCTGACAGTTCTCCAGCACTATTCTTTTGGTCTTTGAAAAGCGCATATGGCCTCCCTGCCGACCCTGACACGCACAGCACTGAGAGAAGCGCTCACTGTCCTCTGTCCGCTTCTGAAGTCCTGTGGCCAGAGAAGTTCTTTGTCAAAGCCATGATCCTACCACGGTCTATGTCACATCTTCCCACATTTTCAAAAGCTTTAGAAATTTTTAGGTGCAACAAGAAGGTAATGAAATCCACGTGGCTAAACTGATAGCAGAAAACATGAAAAGGATCTATCAGTGAATCTCAAGGCTGTGCCTAATGGGTCTATAAAGCAGCTGCTGCTCTGAAAAACCCACTCCTCAGAGCCCATGAGAGTGTCCAGCCTGGAGTACACCAACCTCATCAGGGGATTAGGGCAGCTTCTTTATAGACGAAGACATGAGCCGTCTGGTTCATGATGTTTAGAAACCCCTAGTAAAAGTGTTACACAGATGCCAGTTCTGCTTGTAAGGCTCAGTCACTTCTACATTGAACTCTTATGTTTTTTTGGGTAAAAAAAAAACATTAAACACATTTCTCCATTGGATGATCTATGCCCAAATCATAAAAATATTATGCTGGTCCATAAAAATGAGTCTGCAGTTAGGTCAAAACTTTCCATTCACCATAAATGCTCAAAATGTTTAGTAAAAGAAGACTTTCCATCCACCGTAAATGCTTCATTCCCCTTTCTAGCAGTTATAAATTACTTCAAAATTATCAATTTCCTGTTGGAACAAGTCAGACTGACTCAGATAAAAGAAAATCAGAACAGGGAAAAAGCTATCAGTGGCACAAGAGGGGAAAAAGGGAGTGGAAAAGAGAAAAGAAATAGGCTGAAAAATGAACTCCAGAATTAACTGAAAACTTAGACCAACTGGTCCATCCAAAAATGAACAGGAGAGACACAGAACTTGAATGCTATCTTAAGGGTACAGGTTGGGAAGGGAGGAATGGCTACAAACCAAGACCACAAGTCAAAACCCCAAAAAACACAGGTCATATACTCATGTTAGAGTCACTGCTAAAGGACCTCATGGCTGGCCAATGAGATTAGAAACCGTGGCTGACACTGTACACCAGCCCAAGTGTTCAGGGAAGGCACGTGACTGCCAAAGCCACCTAGAAGGTAGAAACCTTATGTGGAGATTTGCTAAGTGTACACCCCATGAAAACTGCACACTTGGTTTAGGGTCCAGACGCAAAGGCTGCCGTAGGACAGGGCACACCACTGAGCACACAAGTGTCTTTGGAACACGTACGTGGGGAGTGTTCAAAAAGAAAAAGGGAACATACTTTTGGGAAACTGAGAAACTTGTACATCCTTCACTGATTTTTCTCTAGATTTCTGGCCAACAGGTAACTTTAGCAAATATAAAATGTGTATGTTTTGAAGCTATTAATGGTTCATTATGAATGGACTCACATGGAGTCCAAAAGACAAAGGAAATGGTCTGTGGTACCATGTAACATAGGGACTCCCAAACCTGAAGATCTTCCAAGGGAGAGATCTGCAGAGAGCCCCAGCTTCTGCCTTGAGACCCCACAAAGAGAAAAGCTAAATAAGGCTGTAGACAGTGGAGGAGGGGAGGGAGACTCTGTATTTCCACCATGCAAAATGGAATTAATCCAAGTTCTAACCTGAATAGCACATAAGTCAGGCTTGCCAACATTGTATCTGATTTGTGACCTAGCATTTATATCACAAAGGACGTTCAGGTACTTTTTGTAATTCCAAAGGCAGCCATGCAATGTCCTTCCAGGTTTACAAAGAAGAAAGGCGAGGTGACAAACCAGCTCCCTGCAAGCCAAGCAGCTCATCTTGGTGGCATCCACTCTTACACTCAATTCTTGCTGCTCTAAGCCAGTCCTCTTATTAGAGCAACTGTTCTGCCTCCACTATGGTGCAGGCAGAAACTTTTCTTATCTTCTCAAGCATACATAGTCTAACACTCCCAAATTTCCCCTCTATGTGCAACAAAGGAAAATAAAACATAGGGAGAAAAAAAGGTATCAGAGTTTCAGAAAATCCTCAAAACGTTGTTTATACAGAGACTTGGCAGAGACTTGGCAACAATTACAAGAGACAAAAATGCCATACCTGCTTCATCTCCCCAATATGGATGTGTTCTTTCTGTTTCTCTTCATATAAACATCTCAGAAAAGAAATAATCAATTCATTCTCTCGCTGCTCATTTCTCGGTCTCAATTTCTTTAAAACAAAAATCAGAAACAGGATTTATTTTTAATCGTCAACAATATTGCTAAGCCGTCTTTTTAAATGCTAACAGCTTCCATCCACTAAACTAGTGCTTTTACTCAATCATCTCACCAGGGGGCACCAATGATCCTAAAAGTAGAGAGAATTTTTAAAAAGGAACAGTGGAGCCAGTGGGCCAGATTTAGCTTTTCATCTCTGATGTCCTCCCATCTAAAAATGAATCTTTAATATCAGATAGAGACACAGTCAAAATGTTTAACAAATAAATAGTTTTTAAAACAAGAGGAAAAACACAAAATCCATATAAATACCCAAAGGTCAGGGGCCATGATGACCAAACATTGACAAACTCTTAGGGAACGGGCAAGGAAAACAGCAACGGGATTCAGTGTCATAATTTCCTATGTCGAATGTGTTCACCGTGAAGCACTCTGTGGAATCCCCATGGGGCACCCCCTTCCATACAAAACTTCATGGCATGTACATTTCTTTCTTCTTTCTTTAAAAAAAAAATTCTCTCTATGCCTTTTAACTTTTAGACAGGGTCGTGGCACAGCACACTGGACCAGAAGTCAGGACATGTAGGTTCCGGCTGCTGCCGAGAAGTGTGAAGCCAAGCCCCTTAATTCTAGCTTCCCTGTCTGCTGAAGTGAGGATGGTGCACAGAGGAAACTCTATGGTCTCCTCCTGCTCCCAAATGCTTTGGATTTGAAATGCCAGAGTGAATTTTTTTAAAGTCCACCTAATTTAATGTATGATTTTATCATATATGAAGAAAGTAAAATGAATTGTTTTGGGATACACAAAGTTTTTAGTCTATAAATTTTGAAAATACATCTTTTTTTATGTTGACAAGTATCCATTGCCTGTTCCTCCCCTCTCCCTACTCCAAATTTCCAGACTGTTCTTTAAAACAAATTCAGTGACATAAATGGATCAACTACACAAGGATCTGAATCTGGGTCAACACCACTCTTGGTCACTTCTTCCCCAGCTAACTAAGGAAGCAACTTTACCCTGCACATAATAAGCATTCAAAGCAAAGGTAACACTAACCCAGACTTTCTGACAGTCCTTTCTTAAAGAAACCCAGTCCTTTCTTAACGAAAAAGATTAAAGGTAAGTTGTTCTTGTTACTTAAGGAAAGGATAGTTAATGATTAGAAGGGTTTGTTTTCATTGAGGCCTTCCTGTTCTTTCAAATTTCGGACTGAAATATTAAATATTTTGGAGGCTACAGCAGACACTCTCAACCTGGACTCCAGGCTGTGAACCCCAATATTACAAAATTTTACAAGTTATATGCAAAAAGTGGATTTCTCTGGAGAAAGTGGGCATTAGATTCTCAAAAAGGAAAGTGGCAGTAATGCCACAATCCCAACTTAACACTGCTAGATCAAAGGGTTATGGGTACACTGAGCCCAAATGTCCACAAAACAACAAGAACTCCCATTTATGGTTGGCGGGGATGCAAAACAGTACAGCCACTTTGGAAAACAGGCCAGCAGTTTCTTGTAAAACTAAACACATTCTTACCACATAACCCAGCAATTGCACTCCTTGGTGTTTACCCAAATGAGCTGAAAACAGCATCTTTATTCACAATTATCAAAACTTGGAAGCAACTAAGATGTGCATCGATCGGCAAATGGGTAAAGAAACTGTAGTGCATCTATAAAACTGAGTATTATTCAGCAATGAGAAATAAGCTATCAAGCCATAAAGAGACATGGAAGAACCTTAAGTGCATATTGCTAAGCAAAAGAAGCCAGTCTGAAAAGGCTACTGTGTGATTCCAACTACATGACATGCTGGAAAAGGCAAAACTATGGAGAGAGCAAAAAGATCAAGGATTAGGGAGGAGGTGGGAGAACAGGCAGAACACGGGGATTTTTAGGGCAGTGAAACTATTCTGTATGATACCGTAATGATGGGCACATGACATTAAGCATCTGTCACAACCCACAGAATACAGAACACCAACAGTGAACCCAAATGTAAACCATGAACTTTAGTTAATATCAATGTACAAATATTGGCTCATCAATTATAATGAAGAAACCCTCAGTAATGCAAGATATGTTAAAAATCGGAGAAACTGTGGGGTGGGGGACAGTGAAAGCTAATACGGGAACTCTGTACTTTTCACCCAATTTTCCTGTAAACCTAAAACTGCTCTAAAAAAAATTAAGTCTATTAAAAAAAAAATGATCCAGGGAAACAGACAGGAATTATGAGGCCTCTGAGCAGGTACAGGCGCCTGATGGTTGGCCCACTCTTTCTTCTCCTGTGTCTTTAATTAAACCTTCTGGCTATCTCCACAAGAAAATGTATATTGTGCTTGGAGAAATTCTTCATCATCATCTATTTCAAAATATTTTAAAGGGCTAATCATATAGTAAGAGGAGGAGTATTAATATATTTTTCCCCTCAAAATACACTTTTAAAAGAAGGAAATTAGACCAACTGGGAACAGTATACTACCACAGTTGTTTTTCATTAAAAACTGATTAAGAATCAGAGACTGCGTCATGGAGCTTGTTAAACATCATACAGAAGTCACTAAAGCAGAGAAATAAACGTCGATGGTGTTATACACAATCAAGAAACAAATCTTTCCTTAATGTAATTCTGAAATACAATTAGTGAGGTGTCACCTCCCTAAAATCTCCCATGCAACTTCACCATCCTCGATAGTAGCAAATCATTAATTCTTTCTTTCTTTTTTTTTTTTTTTTTGAGATGGAGTCTTGCTCTTTCACCCAGGCTGGAGCTGGAGTGCAGTGGCACAATCTGGGCTCACTGCAAGCTCCACCTCCCAGGTTCACGCCATTCTCCTGCCTCAGCCTCCCAAATAGTTGGGACTACAGGCACCCGCCATCACACCCAGCTAATTTTTTTGTATTTTTAGTAGAGACAGGGTTTCACCGTGTTAGCCAGGATGGTCTTGATCTCCTGACCTCGTGATCCACCCACCTCTGCCTCCCAAAGTGCTGGGATTACAGGCGTGAGCCACTGCTCTGGGCCAAATCATTATTTCTTAAAGGTGATTTAACTTTATGAACATTCATTAGTCAGAGAGATAAGTCTTAGGAAAATAATGGGGAATCGAATTGGGTAACATCACTGTGCCATCAAAAATTACTTGCTTGTTCAAAATTAAACTATGATGTCAGAAGTCAGGATGATGGTTACCTGGAGGCAGACACAAAACAGGACTATGAGGCAATGGAAATGCCCCATTTCTTTCTTTTTTTGGGGGAGACAGCATCTCGCTCTATCCCCCAGGCTGGAGTGCAGTGGCACAATCCTGGCTCACTGCAACCTCTGCTTCCCAAGTTCAAGCGATTCTCATGCCTTAGCCTCCCGAGTAGCTGAGACTACAGGTGCGCACCACCATGCCTGGCTAATTTTTGTATTTGCCATAGAGACAGGGTTTCGCCATGTTGGCCAGGCTAGTCTTGAACTCCTGACCTCGGGTGATCCGCCCGCCTTGGCCTCCCAAAGTGCTGGAATTACAGGCATGAGCCACCGCGCCTGGCCAGAAATGCTCCATTTCTTAATCTTGGCACTGGCTGCACAGTTGTATATACCTTATAAAAATTCACTGAATTATACATCATTGATTTGTTTGCTTTTCTATATGCATGTCATACTTCAATTTATAAAAGAATATTACAAAATAATTAATCGCCTGTTAAAAGTAACAAAACTAAATTAGTTACATGTTTCTTAACCTATAAGAGGCTTATAAATTGTCATAAACGCAATTCAGATATAAACTGCCAGCTGGGCAAGGTGGCATGTACCTGCAGTCCCAGCTACTTGGGAAGCTGAGGTAGGACGATTGCTTGAGCCCATGAGTTCGCAACTGAAATGTGCTCTGATCACACCCTAGAATAACCACTGTGCTCCAGCCTGGGTAACAGAGTGAGCCCCTTTCTCTTAAAAAAAATTAATAAATAAATAAATCAATTTCCAACACTGATTGATGCATCCCAGAATGTTGAGAAAGCCCATGGTCTCCTAAGGGAACTACTTAAAAAGACAACACTCACTTGGACACTACAGTCTAACATCTTAAAACTCACTTGGACACTACAGTCTAACATCTTAAAACTTAAAGTTTTCAGTCTAACATCTTAAAACTACAGTCTAACATCATTTTAAAACCATGCAAAATCCAACTAAGCTGATATATATTCTTCAGAAAGTAAAAAGAGTCTCTTCTGACCATTAACCTTTAACTTGTGAAGTCATGTTACTTAATGAATTATCAATGTCTACTGAGTATAAATCTACTTGATTTATCTAGTCAGTATTTAATTAAGTCATTCCCTGAAACACACTCATATAGATTAGGAGAATTAGACTTGGAGATATTTTATTTACTAGCTCCACATTGGCTTCACAGCAATTCTTATCCTGAGATGATCAGTTTGGATTTAGTATATTCACCCAGTAACAGAGCATCATGGGGTCATCCTAACACATGCCCAGCTAGATATGTTTGAAAATGAAACATTTCAAAAACGCTCATAAATAAAAATATGGCTTTGCAGTGTGGTATGCCCACATGCCCATCTGGCATTAAGTTCTCAGAGTGCTCAAAATTAGCTTGTTTACAGTAGAGATAACCTCCAGCATCGTTTACACAGTTATTAGTGATTTCTTTATAGCTGTTAGAGTTCCATTTTTTGATTTAATATTCATTTACATGATCCTTAAATAAGGTATGTTTTAATAACTAAGTAATCACGTACCATTAATTTCAACGGTAATTACATTTCCCTTATGAAAATTTGCATGTAGAGGACTTTTTCCGAAACAAATTCCCCTCCAGGAAAGACTGAACAAAGGAAAATATTTACCATTCTATTTTATAAGGAGACTCAGGAAACTGCAAAGCCACCTTTTTCCTTACAACCTTTTTGAAATGTATGATTTTCAAGCACATTAGCTGGCACTGCTGTCTAAAATGAAACCAATGACTTGGTTTATAAAATGTTTTATAAAACCAAGAATGGTCATTGAGGACATAATTCAACAAGACCATCTAACAAGCCTCTAGAATAAAAGATCCATGCACAAATCTGTATCACTCAAGGAACAGCCACACTCACAGTGATGGAAGACAAGGCGAGAGCCGGCTTTTCAAAGTTGGTGAATACAACCTCCCTTTGGTGTCTGGAGCAGCTTAACAATTACAGAGACCTCTAGAACAACACACAGGATATTAACTGAAAGCTCTTTTTCTAAAGCAAACCTTAGTCGTAATCTACTCTGTTCTAAAGTGTCTTTACCATGATGTACTCAGTGTCTAAAAGCCTGCATGAGTCAAAGAGAATCTTGGAATCATATCCATTAGGAACATCTCATTGCTGCGGAAGAATATTTTGTGTATTACCTATACTGATTCATCACACTGTTTTAGGGAGAGCTACGTGGTGCTGTCTAGACAAAAAAGAAAACCCACATTATGAGAGGGAAGTTCCTCTTCTATTCTTGATAGAAAGATGGTTTCTTAAAGTGACAGGACAGCTCTAGAACAGTAAGTGGGCCAGCATTAGATGAAAAAGGCCCCAACTTGAATTGTAAATGCATTAACAATCAGAAGCATATTGTCCATTTTTGAATTCCAAATGCAAATCACAGTATATTTTCTAAGAGTATTGTGTACTTAGAACTCTAAAGATCTTTTAAGAAAAAACAAAGTAGCATGTCTCAAGTTGATTCAGAAGAAAACAAGAAAATGCAAAGACAAATGAAAATTGTGAAAATTACCCTCTAGGCTATTTGAGACATGAAAAAACATCTTTCTATGCTCTCTTCCTGAAGCATATGCCAATTCTACTGTAGAAGGAGAACAAGGGAATAAGACAAGACCTCTAACGTGATTAAAATGAGAAAGACGGCCAGGCGTGGTGGCTCACAGCTGTAATCCCAGCACTTTGGGAGGCTGAAGCAGGCAAATCACAAGGTCAAGAGTTAGAGACCAGCCTGGCCAATATGGTGAAACCCCGTCTCTACTGAAAATACAAAACTTAGCAGTGTGGTGGTGGCAGGCGGCTGAAATCTCAGCTACTTGGGAGGCTGAGGCAGGAGAATTGCTTGAACCCGGGAAGCAGAGGTTGCAGTGAGCCAAGATCGCACCATTGCACTTCGGCTCTGGGCAACAGAGCGAGACTCTGTCTCAAAAAAACAACAAAGAGAGAGAGAGACAATCCTTTCATTTTTTTTACACTAACAGAAAGCAGATCGTGGATCCTAGTATAGTCTTTTCCCAGTGAGGAAGGAAAAGCACTTAAACCCACCCAGTTGCTAGCTGTCTTGTTTTGTTTAATGGCTCCTCTATTTGTAGATCCTGCTGCCCGCCCCTCAAAAGGAGATATTTATTCTTTGATATGCTTCCCTCCCTAAAAAAGTGCCAGGGAATCATCGAAAATGCCCCTCAGCTAAAGCAGACATGAAATTTTGGATGACCTCATTAAAGATTCATAATGAACAGGCTACAGGCATGCCAGCACACACAGCATGGTCTCCCCGAGATACACTGCATCTAAATGCAAGGGCAAGAGCTAGCTTCCAAGTTTATTGCAGAAAGCTGATGAGCTTGAATTTTGTTTTGTTTTTGTAGGTTTGATATATTATCAGGTTCCAAGTAGACAGCATGACCTAAATTTATTTTCAAAAATGAAAAAAAAAGGTGTTGGGGGAAAGAAGGAATTCTGTTCAAGTTCATGTACCAAACATTGTCTCATTCGACTCCCACACTTAGGTCTGAAATCCTAAGCGGGAAGGGGCGGGCAGAGGTTTCCCAGGGAACAGATGAGTACATGCGGACCAGAGGCCGGACCTTCTGTCTCCCAGCCTGAGGCGCTTTCCATTTTATAATTTCTTCTCTCTTATTCTAACATTTGTTTAAGGAAGAGGCTTGCCTGTTTCATTTAGTTTTACTATCTAAGCTAAGGCCTGATGGGAATCTGCAATTCTGACCTGGACACTCTATGAGACTGTGAAAGCTTAAGCCAAGCATGTCCAACATGTGGCCCAGGGCGGCTCTGAATGTAGCCCAACACAAATTCATAAACTTTCTTAAAGCATTATGAGATTTTGGGCTGGGCGTGGTGGCTCACGCCTGTAATCCCAGCACTTTGGGAGGCCAAGGCAGGCAGATCATGAGGTCAGGAGTTCGAGAACAGCCTGACCAACATGGTGAAAGCCTGTCTCTACTAAAAATACAAAAATTAGCCAGGCGTGGTGGCGTGCTCCTGTAATCCCAGCTACTCAGGAAGCTGAGGCAGAAGAATCACTTGAACCTGGGAGGCGGAGACTGCAGGGAGCCCAGATCATGCCACTGCACTCCAGCCTGGGAAACAGAGCAAGACTCTGTCAAAAAAACAAACAAACAAAAACCATTATGAGATTTTTTTTTTTGCTGTTTTTTTTGTTTGTTTGTTTGTTTGTTTTTTTAGCAGCTCATCAGCTATCGTGTCTTTTATGTGTGGTCCAGGACAATCCTTCTTCTTCCAATGTGGCCCAGGGAAGCCAAAAGATTGGTCACCCCTGAAACCAAGACGAACTCAAGGCACCTTCCCCCAGGTTGGGACAACACTGGTTTGCTATTTTTTACACATAGCATTTCCCAGGTAAGCTGCCTGCCTTTTCTTTCCTTCTAGAAATTAGCAACTGTACTGTACCTGAACCTCTTCAAAAATAGTCGCCTGCTCCTGATTGGTTAATGTCGTCAGGTGCTTTTGCAGTTCTAGTTTTGTTTTGGAAGAATTCATTCCTATTAAGAGAAAAAAGAGAGGCATGAAAAAATTCTATATAAAAGTTGTGAGATAGGGAGTTAACCTCTTCCACACACATCCCCTTCACATTCTCTTCCACTTCAGACTTCCAAGGTTTTAGGAAATAAAAAAATATTTTATTTTTTTTTTTGACATGGAATCCCACTCTGTCACCCAGGCTGGATTGCAGTGGTGCAATCACGGCTCACTGATTATGCGAGCCTCAACCTCCCAGGGTCAAGCAATCCTCCCACTTCAGCCTCCCCAGTACCTGGGACTACAGGTGCATGCCACCATGCCCAGCTAATTTTTGTATTTTTAGTCTACTAAAAGACAAGGTTTCGCCATGTTGCCCAGGCTGGTCTCGAACTCTTGAGCTCAAGCAACACGCCCACCTCAGCCTCCTAAAGTGCTGGGATTACAGGCGTGAGCCACTGTGCTTGGCGTGGAAATTTTCATCGATAATAGTGTCACTGTTATCTTTGTCATCATCTTCTGAGCTCTGATGTGCTAGACACTGTATAATAGGCATTAAGCTTGCACCATTTAATTCTCAAAACAATCTGATGAAGAGGATGCTATTATCCCCAGTTTACAGCTAAGAAAACTAAGACCCAGAGAGCTTACGTCATTCCACAGACCAATAATTTGGACTCTACCTCAGGTTTGTGTGGCTCCAAATTACTTTCTCCATGTTAAAACACCTCACGTAATCAGAACCTTCTCCTCAGAAAATGATAAATTCTTGTGTTGATATGTAAACCTGACAACTTTTTCTTAGGAAAAAACAACTCCTATTCTGTTGGAAAACTGACCCACATTTCTCTTGCATACCAGGTTCCCATCACGGAAAATTGATGCATGTGGCTAACAATTTTTCTTATACCACCACATGCTTATTAATAACTTCATTAACATTACATTTAATTAATGTTACAAAGAGTTTTGAGGAAAAGTTATAAAAATAAAGTCATTACATAATTTTAGTACCCATTAGAACCCGATATTTCAAGAAGTTCCTTCCCCACACAAATACGGCTTAGAGCCTGCACTGCCTTTTCTTGGTATCCAGAGATAAATGTCACACATGATGAGACGGTTGATAATGAAAGGATATGCTGACCCAACTGCCATGAAAAGAAAAAAAAAGCATGGGTTATTTTTCTTCCAAGGGCAGCTCTTGCCTCACCCACCTGGCACTCTCTTCTCATCCTACCAGGGTGGCCCTGAGGCAGAGGCTTGGCCAAGGCTCTGGGCTGGAGAACAGTGTGCGAGGCACCTACATCACTACGGATGGCAGGGAGGGAAATCTGCTGAGCCAGGGACTTGGAAACCATGCCTTCATTTTACAGATGGATTTGCTGATGCCCAGAGAAGCCAGGTGACTTGTGAAAGGCCAGGAGGCCCATCGGCAGCCACGCCTGCCCAAAGCCACGGCTCCTCCCCTCCCACAGCAGCTGAGGCAGAGCCCACAACCTCTAAGTAGGCTGGGACTGTGGCAGAGGTGGCTGCTCCTATCACACTGTTGCAGCCATCTCTGCTTCCAGAAAGACATTCTTTTTCCCTTTTTTTTAACCCAGGAAAACCCTGAAGCCACCACAGAAATAATATTTAAGTGACTGCTACTATGCCACTTCACTTAACACTTTATGTGCATTATTCATTTCACCCTAAAATGAATATTAGAAATGGGCCTTTTTTTTTTTAAGTAATCTCAATGCCCACCTGAAGAAACTGAGGCACATCGAAGTATTTTGTCCAAGGTCATCAGCTAAGTAAGTTGCCTCCGGCAACCAAACCCTTAACTGCTCCACTGCCCTCCCTGACTAGCAGAGCCAAGTCGCCTGACACTCAGGTGGCTGCAATACAAGAGCAAGCTTAGAGGTGGGTTAAAGTGCAGGAAGGATGGCGCCTTTGTCAAAGTGCAATGCAGTCACTCTTTCAGCAAGCTGTCAGGTCACATGAAGCCAGGGAAACAGACAAGGCTTTACTGTATCAACTACTTAAATGCCGAAGCGAAACAGAGTTAAGATTTATGAATCAAATAAGCACTAAGTCATCATGCACTAAAAATCCCCCCCACATATGAAGGACATCTCTGACAGCCGAAGTATCATATTTTGGAAAAACGATATTGTTTCATGAAACATTCAGATGTGGAGAATAAACCCCAAGGCTTAAGAAGAGTTAGACTAACTCGACACTCTGCCAATCTCAGGTGAAATCACGAAATGCAGCTTATTCTTCGCTTCGGCAGCTGTGAAGCAATCCTCTGGGCAATTTCACCCTGTCTGCAGGATGCCTAATTCATGAGGTCCTTCTGGTCCCATCTCTAAATAGCCGGCCCGCCTAGGTCCGAGTTCCTCCCCCAGGGATTCTCACACAGCTAGCCCCTCCTGGGTGGTTTCTGTACACCCACTGAAAGCACCCTTCAGTTCCCCACTGAACGCATCTCCTCAGAGAGGCCCAGGTGATGCCAAAATGGCTTATGGAGGGAATGGGAAGCCAGGACCGAAGCAGAAAAGGTAACCAGCATCAAGAGAGTTTCCAAACTACAACCCCTCCTGGCTCCTCTGGTCAGTGAGGCCGCCTCCCTGGCGGTGCAGAAACGGCCCTTGTTAGAGAGAGCGGTGATGAATGACTGTGTTTTACTGAAGGAAAATTTGCTCTGAGAGCAAAAGAAAATCTCAGTTCAACTATTTTTTTTAATGAATGCTCCTCTTTTAAAATAAGCAAAATACTATATAAATACCACTGAGTTGTATATGATTCAAATACAGAACTGGGTAGAGCTGCACTTCTGATATGTTGCAATTAGAGCAGAGTGCAGCTAATCAACATCAACAGCGTTATTGATTCTATCTTATAGATTCTGGGGGATGACTTAACTACACTTACTGATTAAGAAAACATAGTCTTTTAAGTCTTTCTTTGTGTGGCCACATCACTAATCCTCTCCACAGTTTTACAGAGTTCTTGATCAGACCATATAACTTCCTGCTAGAACTACTTTTACACCAACATACAATGAGTTTTAACAAGCCACTTTATTCTACTTATTAGGAATACAATAACAAAAAGCAAGGAACCCTAAAACTGTTTATGTAATAACTAGCACTTCTTCTACTAACAATGCACTTCTTCTACACTTTTAGAAATGAGTTCCATCATGTAGGTAAAACATACCCCCACCAGACTTCTAATTGCACTATTTAAGAATGTTCTCATGTTAGTAGAGTTTTGTGCCTTGGTTGGATTTTATCAGGTGATAGATGGATCAAATGATTAATTCCAAAACGACGGCAGCAAAATCCCTACCCTGATCAAACTTTTCAGCTGTAACTTTCTCAAAACTAAGCCAGACCAAAGAAAGATTTATCAAGGGGAGCTCTGGAAGCATTCCAGTTCCTGCAGATCGTGCTCTGCTTTATCTTCAAGGCCAAAGTCACTGCTGGCTTTTTAATAAGCTCTTAAGGGGCATTTCTATCATCATTTACCTTATCTTGACAACCATTAAGGAAAGGGTTAGTGATCCTCTCAGTTGGGAACTCTAGTTAAAGCAAACATTTTCTTGTTCCCAGATATATTTTGTATAATGTCAGCAAATAGTAACAACGTGGAAAACACAGTTGAATATATTAATCATGTTTCTTCATTTTAAAGAGCACTGTAATGCTACAAATGACCCTTCCCAGACCTTAAGATGTCAATTGTTAATTTATCTCATTTAAAAAGGGAAACCAGATACCATTTCACATCTATCTCGATGGCTTTCATCAAAAACAAAACAAAACAAAAACAGAAAGTAGCAAATCTTGCGAGGACGTAAAGGAACTGGGGTCCTTACCCACTGCCAGTGGGATTGTAAAATGGTGTGGCCACTGTGGTACCATACGGCAGTTCCTCAAAAAAATTAAACATAAAATTACCACATACCCTAGCAATTTCATTTCTGGATATATAACCGAAAGAATTGAAAGCAGGAACTTCAACAGATATTTGCACGTCAGCATTCATAGCAGCATTATTAGTACAACAGTCAAAAGGGGGAAGGAACCCAAATGTCCACGGACGAGTAAATGGATCAACAAAATGTGGACACACTTTTGGAATGGAATACCATTCAGCCTTAAAAAGGAATGAAATTCAGACAACGCTACAATACACGTGAATCTGGAAAACATTATGCTAAGTGAAATAAACCAGAAACAAGAAGATAAATATTTTATGACTTTGCTTATATGAAGTTACCTAGAAACAGAACAGATGTTGCCAGAGGCTGAGAAGGAGCGGAGTTGGCATTTAATGAGCTTCAGTTTTGGAAAATGAAAAAGTTCTGGAGATGCTGGTGGTGAGGACTGTACAACAATGTGAATGGACTTAATGCCAATGAAGGGCATGCTTACAAAAAGGTTACGATGGTAAATTTTGTGTTACATATGTTTTTACTATATTTTTTTAAAAAGGAAAATTGGATCTAAATAACAATGCTTTCTTTGCAAACTTATAGCTTATAATAAATATTCCTTTTTTTTTTTTTTTTGAGACATCTCGCTCTGTTGCCCAGGCTGGAGCACAGCGGCACAATCTCGGCTCACTGCAACCTCCATCTCCCGGGCTCAAATGATTCTCCTGCCTCAGCCTCCCAAGTAGCTGGAATTACAGGCACACACCACCACACCCAGCTAATTTTTGTATTTAGTAGAAACGTATTTGAGATGTATTTGTATTTCGTAGAGACAGGGTTTCACCATGTTGCCCAGGCTGGTCTCGAACTCTTGGCCTGAAGTGATCTGCCCACCTCAGCCTCCCCAAGCGCTGGAATTACAGGTGTATAATAAACATTCTACAAACATGAGAAATGATCAAATTTTTGTTTTCTTTTCACAATAGCATGGGTTGTTTAAATCATGTGACCTCCACAAGTCACAAAAAAATTTTTAGAAATCCTCCCATAAACAGAACAAAAACACAAAATCAAGAACAGAGTGGTGAAAACTCCTTCACCTTCCAGATGCCTTCAGATAAACATATCACCACTCCCTTTCACTGTCACCTGGTTCTGTCCTCTCCCCTGGCCCCTCCCTGCAGTCACAGAGACAGAAACTCTCACTTCCTGCCTCAGGTGGACTCCCCACTCTTGTTCAAGAGGAACCCCCACCATTCCATTCGGATTCATTCGGCCCCTCTGGCCCCTTGGGCTCTGAATTCACTCAAACCCTCCAATTCTGAAAAAGACAAAGTTAGCTGCAATCCCCAGGTCTTTCTCCAGTATGGCCTTCTCCTGGAAATGGTTGGTGGCAGGTAACAGGGCTTTACCGCCTGGGGTGAATCATGGGCTCACTATACACTAGTTTATTCCTAGACATCTCTAATCCTCAATTTACTTATCTGCAATATGTGCAAAATAAATAGTCCCTTTTCCTCCCACAAATGTGATGAGGATTAAATAGATAACAGAAAGCACCTAATACACTTCCTGGCAGATCTTATTCAATACACGTTAGCTACAAATCATAACATTTATTACAGTTTCTCCCTAAGCCAGGTTTCTAGAAATACTGGTCAATACTAATAGTCACCGTTTCTTTGATTTCTTCCCATTTGCTCCTCAACTGCAACCTGTTTTCTGCTACCTCCTCTCCATCCAAACTGTACTAGCAGACGTTACTAATGACCTTGTAATGGAGAAACTGGTACAAGTTCCTTAGTTCTTATCTTTCTAGATATCTCTGCAGTGCCCAGTATGACTGACCACTCACACAACCTTGATAAACACTAGGCAACCGGTTTGGTAACCTGTTTCCCTAACTCCTCCTCCATCCTCAGAATACCTTGGAGGGAGGTGGCAGAAGGGGGTTCTGGGTTCTTATCTTTGTATCACCAGCATCCGGCACAATTCCTGACATACAGAAGACACCCACTGCACACTGAGAGTCCACCTACAATCCCTGTGACTAATACAAGCCTCTGTTAGGCAGAATCTTCCAACAGATGAGTATCATCTAAAGTTCTCCTGGGACCTTTAACTCCCACTGTGTTCATGCTGGAAAGGGTCCCCTACTCACCCTCTATCCTCTCACAGAGCTTGTGCAGGCTTTGCAGGGGGCAGCCCTCACACAGCTGGGCTGGCGCCTTAGCTGTCTGCTGCACTGCGGCCACCGTGAAGGCCTGTTTCAGGGTCATCATAATTTCATCAACCTAATCAAAGAGAAGAGAAGTTGTAGTCACCAAAAAGTCAATTTGAAATTAGCTGGGCTGAGATGTCAGAAAATCTTTGGAAAAGATTTTTTAAGCTTTAAGAGTTTTCTGTACTACTCTTCACAGGTTGACAGATAATAATTGGAATAACAGCTAGGATTACAGTCTGAAAATACTACAAGTATGCTCAAAGCTCTTAAAGCAGGTAAGGTAAATGATATGGTTTGGCTGTGTCCCCACCCAAATCTCATCTTGAATTGTAGCTCCCATAATTCCCATATGTCATGGGAGGGACCCAGTGGGAGGTAATTGAATCATGGGAGTGGGTCTTTCCTGTGCTGTTCTATGATAGTGAATAAATCTCACGAGATCTGATGGTTTTATAAAGGGCAGTTCCCCTGCACACGCTGCCCTGCCTGCTGCCATGTAAGATGTGCCTTTGCTCCTCCTTCACCTTCCGCCATGATTGTGAGGCCTCGCTGGCCATGTGGAACTATGAGTCCATTAAACCTCTTTCCTTTATAAATTACCCAGTGTCAGGTATGTCTTTATTAGCAGTGTGAGAACAGACTGATACAGTAAAAACTAAAAATACAAACTACTGAGAAAAAAGGCAAACTCCTTTGATCAGATGTCTAAAATGACATTGTAAAATGCTAGACCAGAAGGTGACACTAAACAAGTTCTTCAGAAATAAAAAATATAAAATGCACAGCCAATTAAGCTTCAGATGTGTATTAGCTGCTTACTAAATAGTCATAAGTAAATAACTAAAGACAAATAATGATATGTCAATGACCATCTGGTTTTCCCTAAGGACAGAAAAATCAGTGGAGCTAAAATTCCTTGTAAAGAAGGTTCCAAGGTAAGAATTGCTTGTCCTCTCTCACCAGAGCCTCATTTGTGCACTGAAACACGTAACAGACAAAATGAAAGCCGCCACCTCCGGAAGACTCCCGACAGATAAACCCAAAGTGGTCCACGTGTCTGATGCCCTGCCAAAGGGAGAGAACGAGATGTTCAGTTGTATCCAGAAGACGCACCATCCTCAGAAATGCACCTCAAGATTTATACAGCACAATTTATTTTACTTTTTATTATCTTTTTGAGATGGAATTTTACTCTTGTTGCCCAGGCTGGAGTACAATGGCACAATCTCAGCTCACTGCAACCTCTGTCTCCAGGGTTCAAGTGATTCTCGTGCCTCAGCCTCCTGAGTAGCTGGGATTACAGGCATGCACCACCACACCCGGCTAATTTTTGTATTTTTAGTAGATATGGTGTTTCACCATGTTGGTCTCGAACTCCTGACCTCAGGTAATCCACTCACCTCAGCCTCCCAAAGTGCTGGGATTACAGGCGTGAACCACTGCGCCTGGCCTACACAGCACAATTTTAAAAAACACTAGGAAATTACTATTTTCTCTGATATTTTAAAATTTCAAAAAGTCTAAAAACATCTCAAATAAAGTTGGTTTACTAGAATGTTCCTTTGATTACTCCCACAACAATAAGAAAAATAAGATCTGAAAATTCAAGTTTTAGTGCTCATTTTAGTATTTGTTTGTTGTTTTGTTTGAGACATAGGTATTAAAGAATAAAAACCACTCAAAAAATCAAAGGCAGACCAGAGATTCATGAAGAAACACAACTAAGCACATACACACCCAAAGGTTAAAAAAATATTTAAAATATATTTGTATTCCTAAAATAAGTAGGTAAATACTGAAGTGAACTGGAATAAAGAAAGAGTCAAAAATTACATGCACACAGAGTAGAGGAGCTTTTAAACATATTAGGCCAAGGCTCTACCATGGTATCATAAGAGCTATTTTTAATAAATATTAATATGTAAATGTGTTTTAAAATCATCAGCTATCAGAGGCACCTTAATACAGATAAAACGTCTGCCATAAATATTAATACATCAATGTATTCTGAAAGCATCATCATGCAGAGATGTGAGTGCTGATAGCTTAATGTTCAGGTAATCATATAAACTTGTAAACTACACTCTTTAGGAAATTATAAAGCTATCACACAAAAATGTAAACATTTAACATTCATATTTCAACAGAAATAGCAGCAAATCAGGATTAAAAACTCTATGGGTAATCTCACTTTCAGGCCAAATATTTTCCAATAAATGAGCAATCATTAACATGCTTTGCCATCTCAATTAATCTTCTCCAGTAGCAAGTTAAGCATAAGGCTACCACTTAAGGAAATATGATTTAGCAAAGCTTTTTCTTTGTAAATGGTTCCCTATTCAATCTGTAAAGAACATTCTTTATTTTCACATTTTGCAGAAAAGTCCCTTTTGAATATTTAAGTAGATCACATTATAAATCAACACTGACATTTTCATATTTTATCAATTATGAAAATGAAAAATCCAGAGTTTAAAAAAAAAAGCAAATATAACCTTAAGTGATCTCATATTTGTTAGGAAGATCCTGAGTAAAACTGGCACAGCTAATCTTAATTGATAGATTCTTCCAAAATCCCTCTATGAAACACCTGGAAGATTATCAAGAAAAAAGTTTTCAAGTAGACACTGTACTCTGAGATAAGCACTATCTATATTTGAAGGGAGAATACTGACAATTGGTACCTAAAAAAGTTATAAATTTTTGTAAAGTAGAAATAGATCTAATAAAAAGATATATTTGTGTGAAATGTGTAAATATATATGTCAAAGATAAGCACTATCTATATTTGAAGGGAGAATACTGACAATTGGTACCCAAAAAAGTTACAAATTTTTGTAAAGTAGAAATATATCTAATAAAAAGATATATTTGTGTGAAATGTGTAAATATATATGTGTAATATGCACAAAGACACACACATGTGCATCTGGAAGTCATGACTGTGGATTATTACTACCAATAACTGAGAAAATTAAAAGTAGATCTATTTTGTCCATTACTGTTGCTAAGAGCAAATTTCTTAATTTCAAAATTATATTCATAATTTACCTTAACATACCAAAGCAAAGAAGAAAAGCGAAACACAAATCAAGTACAGTACTTAGAAAACATACACCTTGTAACCTTTAGCATTTGTTACATGATAGATATTATAGAAATTCATTTAAAAATTCCATTGCAATTGAATAAAAAAACCCATCTCCATTTACCTGAGAGCAAAAGGATATCTCCTTAAAATTTTTCTCCAATGCTATTTTTTTGGTGTCAGGACTGATGAGGTAAACTTCAGACTGGCCAATCTTAAAAGACAAACAAAAAAATCTAGCTTTTCAAACTTTCTCATTTCATGACCTATGAAAATAAAGAATAAAAGGGACAAGCTCCTATAAAATTCTGACTCTATCATCGTAGAAATCATTTCAAAGGTCCCCTCTTATCCTCTGGATTTCAGGTCATAAGACACATCTATTAGTGCCTTCACCTAGATAAGACAGCCATCTTCCTTGAGATGAAAGAACCAGATATCCAAAAGTTAGCAATAGGCCTCAAGATCCACACATCCCCCTAAAAACTGAGGTCTCCGCATAAGTGAACCTTCCAGAAAACAGAATCTACTCTTTCAAAGCTTCCAAGATACTTTTGAATGATTTTTACTGACAAGTCTTTTTAAATTATTGTTAAAAGAATCTACCATTTGTTTAGTACATATTACATGTGAGGCATTCACATACACTAGTGACCGGACCTTTTCAAGTTAGAGTATGAGCATCAATTACAATCCTCTTACTGCCTTGGGACATGCTAATAGACATGCATTATAGGAGACTGCTGTGTTGCAATACCCAACCTACTCTGTGTGCACACGCCCCTGCAGGCTGTGAAAGGCTGCCTTTTAGACTCCTCGTCTCTGGAGCGCTAAGCTTCTTGGGTTTCAGTGTGTGTTGGTTTCTACAGCTTTAGTTTCTCCTCAGGACCAAGAAGTCAGTGGTCACATCCTGACGCTGCCATTCTTAACTCCCAGACCCATCTCCTCCTCTAAACTCTTTACGCTTTGATGTAAAATACAAATCAGATACACAAGCTTGTTGGAAACTGGGGTGTAAGTCAAGGGGAATTATACTCTCAATGAGGGGGCCCAAGAAACGTGCATTCTGTTTGGGGCAAGGACTTTGCATTCTGAATTGTTTTTGCACACTTACTGTTTCTGAACTGTATTTCAGCCAGCAGAGAGTGGCAGGTAGCCTTTTACTCTTGTCCTTCTGTGGAGACCAAGGATG
This sequence comes from Homo sapiens, assembly GCF_000001405.40. Taxonomy (NCBI): domain Eukaryota; kingdom Metazoa; phylum Chordata; class Mammalia; order Primates; family Hominidae; genus Homo; species Homo sapiens. Next base: position 38,017,375 of record NC_000004.12, on the reverse strand, counting down.
ATGAAAAACTAATTCATTTTTAACATGCAACATCTTTCTAAACTAGACTGTGTCTCTCTCTAGAGTAGGAGCCAACACAATATCCTCCTTATTTGTAAACAACGAATAAGTATCTATTTGGAGTATGTTTAGTCTCTTTAGAAGTCACTGTCTTTACCTACATAATGAAGATAGTCCTTACTTATTTTTAAAAATAACCTTTGAAAATCTCATAAGGTGAGAGGCTCCAAGGCATTATTACTTAGCTATGGCTGGGTTGTAAAGAGCAAGTCAGAATCCAAAGTTGGGTGGGGCTCCTGAGATCCCTCTCCTTCCCCATGGCATCCAAAGGATTGTACATCCCATTAATTTGACTTTCTGCATGTCTGTCCCTTCCACTCCCACTGCACTTACCACAACCCCACTATCTCTCACCTGGACTACTACAACAGCTTCACTCCCCTCCCCATCCTACTCTTGCCCTCCCCCAAGTATCCTGGCTCTGTAGCCAAAGATATTTCACACTGTGTTTTATAGCATGCAGTGACTGCCCACTCCTTTCAGGATAAAAAACAAAACCCTGACCAAGACCCATAAAGTTGTGCCTGATGAAAACAACTTTCATGGGGCTGCCTCCAGTCCCAGCCCCATCTCTACGCACCATCCTTCCTTGTTTTCAGTGCGGCCATCTGGAATTATTTCTCACCCAACAGCTGTGCTCTAGGCACTACCAACGACAGCAGTGAACAGAGAAATGAAAATCCATGCCCTCTTGAAGCCTATCTTCTTGGGGGCATGTGGGACATAAAATCTTTTACTTGTTTATTTGTAATTGTGTCAAATGGTAAAAATGCCATGGAGAAAAATAAAGCAAAAAAGCAGGAAGTGAGGCTGCTATTGGTCTTACTGATACGATTATTCCTCCATGTCAACATTTCAGCAGAGACCTAAAGGAAGCAAGAGGAGGTAAGACCGTGACAACTCGAGGGAAGAATGCTGAGCAAAGGAGGCAGTCAGGCCTCTGGGATTCTCCAGGCACCAGGCACCATCCCTGCCTTTAGGGCCTTCTCATCTGCTGCTCTGTGAGCCCAGAAGACCTTCCCAGGTGGCCACAATGAAACCTTGTGTTAGGTGAAAATCACTTTCTCAAAGAAGCCTTTCCTGATTACCCTGAGAAATGCTCTCAGGCATGCTGTACTTCTCCTCCACGGCATTTACCACAATTATAATTAGATAATTATTTGTGCACTCAGTTGCCTGTCTCCCTTACTGGAATCTAAATTCCATGTGGGCAGAGAACATACTTGTCTTGTTCACGGCTGCATTTCCAGCATGTGGCAAGGGACGTTAGCACAGCAGTCAAACAGTCAGTACTTATAAATAAATGCAGGGAGCAGCTTTCTCAATGTCACCAAGGAAGTTTTTTTAAAAGATGCAGATCACAAATTAAAGCACAAATCTGACTACTCTTTTCGGTACACTAGATCAATGGTCAAAAGATGAAAACATCAGCCCTATTTACCCTTGGGTGCACCCCCTTGGTTTTAAACCTGCACACATCCACACTGCACTAACCTAGGTAGCTGGTTTTTTACCCCCTGGCCATCTCACCTGTGCCCTGAATTAGACACAAGAAGGAGACTTTATATTTAAGATAATTTTGTTCTCTACAGAACGTCAGTCAGCATTAAGCCAAAGAGAAGGCCAAGGAAGAAACTAGCTCTTCCATTGTCAGAGACCGGCTCGCTGCCGGGACAGCTCCACATCTCATCCGTTCAGACCCAGGGGACTCCCAGGGAGGGCACACCCATTCAGAAGAGCCCAGATCAGCATGGAACCAGGAACCCCACCCACCTGGGACAGCCCCCCATGTTCAGTCCTTTTCTAGCATTTGGCTGTCAATTTAACACTTTTTTTCTAAAAAAAAAAAAAGCAAGCAAGCCATTGGCTAAATTAATATTTCAGTTTGGGTATAAATTTCAAATATAATGTCACTCACAAAGCCACTCTTCCTGATTAGCAAAGGGTAAATGTTTCATAAATAAAAATATTAATAGTAGAGAGGGTGTTTTCCAACTAAAAGATTCTGTTGAAATATATCATCTGAAATTCATATATATTTTTTAAATCTCTCTGCTGGTCTCATTTACACGTTTTCACTGTTCTTTCCACACTGAAAAGGTGTCTTTATAATTACCGGGTGAGATAAAAATTACACATGGGCATGTTTCTCCCTGATGACTGTAAAGGCTTATGGCTAAAGGAAGGAGCTTATCCTAAGAATAGAATTGTTCAGCATGAAAATATATGGATTCACACATAAATCAAAAGCAATTGACTAAGAATCTTCGCTCCATAAAGCAGATTTTCTCTTGAAAGCGTATGGCAGACTGGGGCTGTGCACGAGCTGGGTGATATTTTACCGTGAAGAGCATAGTTCGATTTTCCTCGATATCTGTGGGCTGCACAATATTGTGTCCGCTAATGAGGTGGTTCTCAATGTCGCTCTCCTCGAAGGAGCTGAAGAAGCCGCTGCTTCGGAGGCCCCCATCCTGCAGCTCCTTCCTAAAGGCCAGCGAGCGCAGGCCGGGCTGGGAGAAGGACTTGCGCATGGGCCTGCGCACAGGCTCCTGGCTCCCTGTGGGCGCGGCATGGGGCGGGTTGGGGCGGGGGCTCTCGGACCCCCGGCTGCCGCTGACGTGATTGAACTTCTCGATGCACTCGTCGATCAGGGCCGGCGGAGCCTTCTTGTGCGCCACCGTCACGCGGCCGCAGAAGAGCACCTCGAACTTCTTGGAAAACGTGTCGTCGAACTCGGACGGGCAGTGCAGCTCCTCCTGCCGGGCGATCTTCCCCGCCTGACGGATGGAGCTGATGATCTCAGGCACCTGAGGAGAGAGAGAGGCGTGTTATTTGGAACATGCAGTGTGGCTGGCACTCACGGAATGAATGCACCATGCTCTTTCGGGACGCCCCGCTGGCTACTCCACTGCGGAGCACTGGAGGAGGAGCCCACTGGAGGAGGAGCCCACGGGAGGGGACTAGGAATGTCTTCCCATGGGAGGTGAACACACAGCTTCCACAGAAAAGAGAAGGGGGACGACACTTATGAAGCACCTCTTACCTGCCAAGGGCTGCGCTGGAGGATTTACATGCCCACAGCACCCTGCAAGGTTAAACCACCAGCCCGGGAACACACACAGCCCAACCTAGCAGGCCTTGGATTCAAGCCCAGGCTGGTCCCACTCCAAAGCTAAAGGCCTCCTCTGGAGAAGCTGTCGCCTCCCAGAGAAGTCTGTCTCCAACGTGGTTCACAAAACATGACTCAATTATTCTAGATCTCATGGCAGTATACTTTGGAAAGTCTTCTTTAATAAATGGTGGGATGAAGAAGACAAAGGCTCTGAAATTATCTCATAAATTATTTATTCAAATCCCAGCACCATTATTTCCTTCCATGACAACTCAGTCCTATATTTCCTAGCAGGTGAATAGTGACTAGCAAGTCAACAAAGCTAGGAGGTTTTAATCAAGGACTGAGTAACCCATGACTAATATTATCACAGCAAACAGGCTCACCAGGGATTCTTCACATGGAGACTATAAAGCTTTTGGTTTCTAATGCTGAAAATCATGATTAAAAGAATGTAATAAAAGACCTCATCTGCCACGGTGTTGTCCCTACTGCTACATCCTCTCATCATTAACCTCTGAGAAGGTTCTTCAAAGCAGCATAGACATAAAGATGAATCCGCACGGCAGTGAATGAAACAGCTGTGCAATTGCTCAGATGATGGACAGCCACAACACTAATATTTGTGGCCAGGCATGGATTTAAACAAGGCCAAGGCAGGCATAAATTTAATCTTCAAAAGGGCCTACTTTTTGTTATGACCTAACACCTAAACCAATTTTTTCCATTTTTCTATATAAGGAAAATTCAATTTAAGGCCCAATACCCACAGGCCCTATGTCTTTTTAACAACATTATAGAGAAATTTTAAAAATCCCCCTTCCAATTCAGGTCAAAGATCAACACATACAGTAAAGGAGGTGGTTTTAAATTTTAAAAGTATCCTTATATTCAGTGTTCATGACATAATTCCCAAAACCAATGACTCGAAAGATTTTTCTCTTTGTGACTTCATATCAAATACACCTTAAAGATCTCTCTGTCATAAAGATTATGACTATTCTTTCAAGGTATTTTATCACACAAAGAGTCAAAAGATCTTTAGGAAAGTTTTACATTTTAAATAATTGATACCTGATGAGACCTAAATGATTTTAAAAGCCAAAATTTCAGCCAGGCGCAGTGGCTCATGCCTGTAATCCCAGCACTTTGGGAGGCCAAGGAGGGCAGATCAGGAGGTCAGGAGGTTGAGACCAGCCTGGCCAACATAGTGAAACCCCGTCTCTACTAAAAATACAAAAAATTAGCTGGGCGTGGTGGCAGGTGCCTGTAATCCCAGCTACTTGGGAGGCCGAGGCAGGAGAATTGCTTGAACCTGGGAGGCGGAGGTTGCAGTGAGCCGAGATTGTGCCACTGCACTCCAGCCTGGGTGACAGCACAAGACTGTCTCAAAAAAAACAAAATAGCCAAAATTTCAACAGGTCAAGCATCTGTCTGCACTGAGCATTTGCTTGGTTATAGCCCACTTTTATACTGCCAAATAATCATACATCATACAGAGGCCTAAAAACTGTTGGTCAATTATAAAAAGAAGACAGGACAGAGAGAAGAGAGCATGAAGTCTAGGTTTCATTCACATCTTTGCCAATGGTTCACAACAGAAGCCTGGTAAAAACTTAGCCACAGTTAGACTGGGCATGTTAGTGCACACCTGTAATCCCAGCACTTTGGGAGGCCAAGGCAGGCGGATTGCTTGAGCTCAGGAGCTCAAGACCATCCTGGGCAAAATGGCGAGACCTCGTCTCTATACAAAATACAAAAATGAGCCAGCCAAGGTGGTGTGCGCCTGCAGTCCCCACTACTCCTGAGGCAGGAGTATTGCTGGAGCCCAGGAGATGGAGGCTGCAGTAAGCCAAGACAGTACCACTGCACTCCAGCCTGGGTGACTGAGACCTTGTCTCAAAACAAAAAACAACAACAACAACAAAAAGCCATAGTTACTCTCCAAAAAGGAGTTTATAAGATTTTCCTGGTAAAAGTGATTTCTGTAAAGAACATTTGTCAAACAAAAATAATCAATTTATACAAGAACCTTGCCACTCTTCTAAGCAAGTGTGTAAGATTATTTTATCAAGTCACGTGAGTCTTCCCAATTACTAACCCCACTCTGAACAGAAAATTCAAAGCTTATTCAGTCCTCTGAGGCTTATGAAAATACCTGACATTTCTACATGCTGTGTCTTCTGCTGCATCTGAAGTGAGCAGTGATGTCTTTCATTATGTATCAAAGGAGAGAGAAAATGTGTGAAGTCACATGAATTTGTTGGTGACTCAGTAGTAAATGGTACAAACAAAAAGATGACACAAAGTAGATCACTTAACTGTCCCCTGGATTCCCAGGGTCAGAAGAAACTGAAGAATACCTCATAACTTGGTCACAATCGAGGTTGTGGTAGTTTTTTTTCCAAGGACCAATCTCTCCTATCCTTTACTCAGAATCTTAAAAAGACACACTTTAGTCAAAGACCAAAGTCTCTCTCTCCTTGCTCTGCTAAGTTTTAGTATTCAGGCATAATTGAGCTCAAGGTTCTCATGCTCAGGGTAAGGTGTGCCCCGTCATTCAGAAGCACCAAGAAGTTATGTGTAATACAGATATAAAGGAGATAATTGAGGTCTAACAATTTCAGAACATTTGAAGGCAAAGGGCATATTGCCAAATATAGTTTCAACAACAAATTGCAAATAGTTAAAAAGCCTAATTCCATTTAAACATTACTTTAAGTTAGTCAAGTATACTAAGAGACTAAATAAAAAATGGGTTCTATCTGTGTGTAAGTTTATAAAACCCTCTACCAGAATGGACCTGGGGCACTGTTTTTTCTTTTTTTCTTTTTCTTTTTTTTTTTTTTTGAGATGGAGTTTCGCTCTTGTTGCCCAGGCTGGAGTGCAATGGGGCGATCTCAGCTCACTGCAACCTCTGCCCCCCAGGTTCAAGCAATTCTCCTGCCTCAGCCTCCCGAGTAGCTAGGATTACAGGCATGCACCACCACACCCGGCTAATTTTGTATTTTTTTGGTAGAGATGGGGTTTCTCCTTGTCGGTCAGGCTGGTCTTGAACTCCTGACCTCAAGTGATCCACCCGCCTCGGCCTCCCAAAGTGGTGGGATTACAGGCGTGAGCCACTGTGCCCAGCCTCTGAGGCACTATTTTCTAAAAAATGAAGGCATAATGTCCACTCGTTATAAAATCCTGAATTCTTTATCCTTCTAACTCTGTCCTGGACTCACCTATTTGCATGGAGGACTTCAGTCATTTACTTCATTTTATTTCTATACATTTTTCTAGGCATCTCTAGATGCCAGAGCCAGGGATTCAGAAATATAAGATGAATGTAAATGAGTCCCTGCCCGGAGGAGGAGGTTTAATTAGGATCCTTTACGGTAATTGAGATGGGGCATGTTGAGAGCCTGAACTGAGAAAGAACTAAGCACTGAAGGCTGAGAGGAAGGCTGAGAGAAAGGCTGAATGAAAGATTCTGGAAGACAGGACTAACAGGATTTGGTGGTGACCTGGATAGGGGGCTGAGGATATTGAAGATGGGGCGTGGTACCCAGGGCTCTGGCTTAGGCTTCTGTGTGGATGACTGTGCCATTAGTTCACAGAGGGAGTGCAGAGTGGAGAAGGTTTGGGGAGACAGTGCAATGAGTTCTGCTTTTGTCTATGTTAAGACCAGGAGGACTTGAAAGTAAAGGCATCTAGCTGGGTAAGTGGGCCTAGAGTCCAAGACAGGGAGTCTAAGCTGGACATGAGCAGCTCACATCCGGGAGGGAAAGTAAAGGAAGGGAGTGCCAAGACAGGCTCCTGGGATACCCCAACATTTCAGGTGTAGAGAAACTAAGGAATCGCAGGCAGAGAAGATGGGGACCTGGGGGGAGGCAAGGATGAGGTTAGAGACGCCCAGAAAGGGGACACTCCATCTTCAAGAAAAGGAGTCAGCAACTTACAACAGGATAAGGGCTGAGAGAGCTGGCTGGAGCTTTGGCTCATACAGATAAGTAAAAATAAATAAGGCGGAAGACAATACTAAACCCCCAAAATAAACATGCCTAACTGAAAAATGTCCTCAAGTAAAACTTTATTTAGTCTAAAAGAACATATACTTCCAATTACAATATTTACTGCAAAACACAGATCCTTTTTGGGCAAATACACTGAGGCCAGTGGATTTATTCCCACTGATATGATCTGGGTACTTTTAGTGAAAATCTTTTTTTAGTTTTGTTGGAGCAATAGTATCTACGTCATTTCTGTTTGCAGACGAAGTAAATCAAAACCAACTATAGCACAAACAAGAACCCAAAAAGCATCTTATTGGGACAGATTCAATAAGGGTGTGGGGCTTAGTTTTAATTTTCTTTTAATGAAGAAACAGGCCTTATTTAGATACATAAAAATTAAACTCCTCTTCTGCCAACCTATTTGAGTTTATACTAAAACTCAATTTTGAAAGTAAGTCTGCATTTTGCTCACAACCAAAACAAGTTTCTTTGTTCACATACTAACAAATGCACAGTAATGTATGAAGTTTCTGAAGCATGCATAAGTGAATACTGTTTCATATGTAGCCAGATAATGACATCCCAAGAGAATTAGAAATATTCAGTTCTGTAAATAAAGTCCTTATTTAAACATTTGGGTCAACTTGCTTTTTAAGGATTTAGGGATTATAAAGGATTATAAATACACTGCAAGTGTAATTTTATTCACAAGGATTTAGGAAAGAGCTCCTGAAACAATATTTAGAATAAAAAGTCATTTTACTTTACATTTGCTGCTTTGTTTTTCTGTCAACAAGTAAGAAACAAATATTAAATAAGTCTGAAGCACTGTGTATTTAAAATTCTAGCATTTTTCCCGTTATATGATGGTAACACATTCTAAGACTTCAAAAATATGGCCGGACACATTGTGTTTTTTCCCTTAGATGAAATGCTTTCTCATTGTAAGGAGTTCAAATGAGCACTTCACACAAAAAAAATGCTACGTAATCATTGTCCAGAAGGAACAGATTTGTGGCTTGTTTTTATTGACAAGCAGTTATTTGTATTTGTTGGTCGTAAGGTATAAAGGAAGGGGGTAAAAACTAAATTAAACCAAGTATTTCCTCACTCTATCTTACATGCCTTAAATTTCATGCAAAACACTTGAGAAAATATGAGTGCCTATTACTTAAATCATTTAAACAGAAAATACCATCAGTTGCTATCTAGATAGGACACAGGTAAACATTCATATTATGCAGCAGCTCAGCCTGACAGGACTAGATTCAATCATGAAGATTTGAATATGCCTCCTACAATGAGTAAGACATGATTCCCTCTGACTTTAGGAGGCTCACGCATATGTGATTTCCAATATAAGGTGACAGGTGCCAGAACACAAACATGGGCGAAGGCACAGAAGGCCGCTCCTGTGCAGTGGTCTGTCTTGGCTCTTTTGCTTCATGCTGTGGTGATCTAATGCCTCAATGCCTGCTTCATGCTTACAATTAGACAACAGGTCAGATTAATGTGTTACATCTTGCCAAGGAGTGATCAGGTGTCCCTGTTAGCTGGCTGAGGAGGCATCTGGGCATAGGTGAAGTGCTAATGACTGTTAGCCCCTGACACAGGGGCCCCTTTTTCATCCCCTCTGCCTTATCTTTCTGTCCTTTGGGTCTTGATCTTTCATCCCATGTAAAAAAGAAGTAGCATTATTCAGCTTCCCTGGTTGTGAAATGGCAAATTGGATAAGCTGTTAGTAGCTTTTAAACCCCACAGAGATGGTCTATGCAAACACAAAACATAGTTTGTACTCCAAAATAATTGTTTAAAAGATTCACTACAACCTTCTGACTGACCAACACCTTTCTACAAACATTTAAAACTATGAAACCACAAAAGAAGTAATCGAATGGCTGTAGGAGCTAAAAGAGGGTGGGAGGAGGTGAGAAAGAAAAAGGAAGATTGCACTGTAAGGATACGAAATTATTTCGTAGGTTTTCTAAAATAGTTTTTAAAACTTAAAATGTTGGGTGGCCAGCATAAATATAGATAGACTTCATGGAATCACTGAATATTCAATCTGGATGAGAATATAAGTCCTCAAAGTCCAGCCCCTTCACTGAAAGCACTGATTCTCAACTCAAATGTGCCTGCACATGGGAATGGCCAGTATTTTCAAGCCCTGATGTCCAGGTCCACCCACCTAAATGAAGCAGCTTGTTTGGAGGTGGGGCCCTCACTCCCGCAGTTTTCAAAGTGCCCTACCCTGGCTGTTCTAACGGGCAGCCAGAGTCCAGAAGCCTGGCTTCATCAGCTGTCCTTTGTCACATCCCAGGGAAGGCAGGGCTTCATAGGAAGGCCTCCTCCGCATGCCACCCACAGCACCATCCTACCCAAATCCATTTCATTATGGAGGCCCTTGGCAAACTGTGAACAGCACGAAGGGCAGCCAAACTGCACAGATCCCTACCATGCTTACCGCAGAGATGAACAAACTGGCAAAGACAAAAAAGACTGAATCTGTCTAGACAGAGGGAATAAAGCAGCACATAAATGACTAAACAGGGTGGAAAGCAAGTGCTACAGAAGTACTAAGGAGGTTGAGGATAGAGAAATGCAAAATCTCAGTACAGGGTGCATTTCAAATAAGTTATTAAAAGCAGATAGGGACAGGGAGTAGTGGTTCACACCTGTAATCCTAGCACTTTGGGAGGCTGAGGTGGGTGGATCATTTGAGGTCAGAAGTTCGAGACCAGCCTGACCAACAAGGTGAAACCCCGTCTCTACTAAAGATACAAAAATTAACCAGGCGTGGTGGCAGGCGCCTGTAGTCCCAGCTACTTGGGAGGCTGAGACAGGAGAACTGCTTGAACCCGGGAGGCAAAGGTTGCAGTGAGCTGAGATCTCACCACCGCACTCCAGCCTGGGCGACAGAGCAAGACTCCGTCTCAAAAAATAATAATAATAAATTAATAAATAAATAAAAAAATAAAAAGTAAAAGCAGATAGGATGCCAAACATTTACCAAACCCCGCCCTTCTTAAAATAAAACCAGTCACCAGGTGTGGGTGAGGAAAGTCAAGTCCAGGGACTCCAGTTCCTTGCCACTCAAGAAATGTCTTCTCTTTCAGAATATGCCCTGCGCATGTCTCGTCTCAGTGCTCAGCTATTTGGTGAAGTCGCCAGGCCGACTGATTCCAAGTCTATGAAAATGGTGACACTGTTTAGTGAACCACCCTTGGCCAAGAAGAAGGAGACTTATGACTGGGTATCCAGATGACAACACTTACTCCACACTCATGGGAACACTCTGGTTTCTTGGATTCTGCAGAGATGAGCATCAGGATTTTAAGGATGAGCAAAGATGACAAAAGAAGCTTCGTGGAAAGGGGAAACCAAAGAAAGGAGAGGGGAAAAGAGCAGCATAAAAGAAATAGTGTTGGGCCAGGCGCAGTGGCTCACGCCTGTAATCCCAGCACTTTGGGAGGCCAAGGTGGGCGGATCACAAGGTCAGGAGATTGAGCCCATCCTGGCTAACATGGTGAAACCCCATCTCTACTAAAAATACAAAAAAATTAGCCGGGCGTGGTGGCACATGCCTGTAGTCCCAGCTACTCGGGAGGCTGAGGCAGGAGCATCGCTTGAACCCGGAAGGCAGAGGTTGCAGTGAGACGAGATTGTGCCACTGCACTCCAGCCTGGGTGACAAAGCAAGACTCCATCTCAAAAAAAAAAAAAAAAAAAAAATAGTGTTGGTCCCTCAAGAGGGAAAATTTCTTCCTCTGTGGCAGAGAGAAGAAAATGCATCTACTGTCTTTCCACATATTGGAGGAATGTCATCTTCCTAAAGGAAGGTTATTTGGAGGTTATCATCTCCTTGTTGAAGTCTAATCCAGTTAAATGGTGACTGGTTTCTTGAACACACTTTAACTGTGCAAAACTATTTTGGCCTTGGCTGTGTAATATAAGGTTTACCTAATTCTCTAATGAAATGAATACATAAAAAAAAAAGTCACCAAAGCCTCCTGGAATTCCAAACTGATTCTATTTTTTTCTCCATAAAAAAGGAGATTTAATAAAATTTTAGCTCATATCAAAAATTTTTAACAACCACAGCCAAACTGCAATTCATGTTTGAATGCTTGCACCTTATTCCCATGCCCTCTCTGCTCCCTGCTATGTAAAATGAGAAAGGGCTGTAATCACATACAATACAAGTGGACAAAGAAACAGGACCAAAAAACACGGGTAATTTGCAAAGTATCTACACAACGCCTCACACATGGGTCTAATGTGTCACTCAGAGGTGACTGTGCTTCTCTGGAAATGCGGTTTTCTACCATGGCATCATGTCTTCTCCATGTCAGTCCCCTGGCATGGCAGCAGTGGGACTGGAGTTGCTCCCCAGTGACTGGGGCAGCTGAGAAGTCACATGGCCTTGCTGGCTCTCTGGGGTTCACATCCAGCTTTGCTTACCTATAAACAGAATCTGCCTCAATGAAAAACACAGCAAAGGAATTTTTTGGGTTTTAGCCAGATCTCTGAGGGCAGGACTTCATTTCTAAGGTAAAAGATAAAGCTTTCCTCCCTCAGAGGAACTAAGGAGAAAAGAAAAGTTCCCTGTACGGGGCTCAGGCCAGAAGCCACAAGAAACAGAGATATCCCCCAGGAGGCTGCACTGCTGTCTCAGAAGCCAGGCTAGGGGATCACAAGCACACCCAGACATAAACACCAGGGAAGGAAAACATCTCTGAACACTCCCTACTGAAGCTGCAAACAGCCTAGTCTTTCAAATCAAATCATAACCTTAATTCTCACATAATGTACAATACCCAAGATTCAGGTAGAACTAGCCCCAGACAGCCAGCACCTTACGATCTCACTCTGTGTATTTAAACCACAACAAATGAGATCAATGTATCAGAACTGCAACAACTACTGAAAAATGTAAGCTTTGCTCTTGCATTCTTCCCTTCCCTATCCTCTTGCTTTAGGAGGAAAATAAAGCACACATTTATATCTCCGGAGCACCCTCCTCTTACACACCCTTTTTCCGCATCCTGGGGCCTCCAATCCAAACCAGCACCAGCAGAGGTGTTGTTAGGCTCAACAGAAAGGTCAATCATTTCATAACCAAGAAGATGCAAGACGGTTACGGCTGAACAGAAAGGCGGGGGAGATGGAAGGAGAAGAACACTTTGCTCTCTCCCTCCCCCTCCCTGCCAGGGAGCCAGGTCAGACCCTTCTTCTGGGCTCGTTAAGTTGCTGCTGAGGCATTTTGCCTTGGCATAAAAGGGCTAACCTCAAGAACCAAGGAAAACAAATATTCATGTTTTACCGTTTTTCAATAATCTATCCTTTTTGAACACAGCTACAAAATGTACTCTTTAATTATCTTCGGTTTCTAAAAATTAGTTCAATACACATCCACATAAAAGAAAAACAGGAAAACATAAAGTTGCCCATAATCCCTGGAAACATCTACAGTTAACAATCTGGCTTTTCTGTTGTGTAGTTCTTTGTGTACACTTAATGGTAATTTACCAATTTTTTTAAGTGGGATCATAGTGTTCTGCAACTAACTTTTATCATCGAGGGCATATTTCACTAGAACCCATATTAGAACCATCTCATTCCTTTCTGATAGGTAATTAAGGCATTGATTTCATTAACTGCAAACACTGTACAAAAAGAAAGTACAAGATTTCTTTTTTGTTTAAAAAAAAGGCATATTCAGGATCCATCAGGCACTCTGCTCAATAATAAAGCATTTTGGTAAATGTGTGACGAGTATAAATCCCAACCTTTGCATAAACTGCCAGGACTGCTAATTGCATTTCAGTGTAAGAAAATTGTTTAGTGTGTGCAGGTTGAGGGAGGGAGGGAAGTACAAAGATATGAGAGTGAGCCCAGTACTGCTTACTAGACCACAAACATTCCATCCGGAGGGAGCCAGGGATCTGGAGCAGTAACTAAAACAGAATAACCTTTAAAAGAGTAGAGATGAACTCTCGTTGCTGGTCACAACTATCAGGAGAAAGTCAGCCCTAACTGCTAGGCAGCTGAAGCTATGAATGTGTGATGCTGACAGAACCTATGGGGAACTCTGTAGCTTGGAATGCTGAAATAAGCTGCAAGCACTGCTTTGGGCAAGCCACCTGAGCTCTAGGAACCTCGACTCCTCTTCTACTAAAATGAGACATTACCAGCTACCTTGGAGGGTCATTTTGAGGACAAAATTAAATATGAAAGTTTAGCATAGAGCCTAGCCTATAATAGCTCCCAATAAATGCTAGCTGTTACCTTGATGTTTGTAAGGTAAGAAAAGGCCAACTCTTTTTTTTTTTTTTTTTGAGACAGGGTCTTGCTCTGTTGCCCAGGCTGGAGTATAATGGGCACAATCATAGCTCACCACAGCCTCAACCTCTCAGGCTTGAGCGATTATCCCATTTCAGCCTCCCAAGTAGCTGGAACTGCAGGTGCATGCCACCATGCCTGGCTAGCTTTTTTGTTTTTTGTAGAGATGGGTTTTCACCATATTGCCCAAGCTGGTCTTAAACACCTGGGCTCAAGGGATCTTCCCACCTCAGCCTCCCAAAGTGCTGAGATTATAGGTATGAGCCACCACATCTGACTGCCAACTTTATTAAAATATCAGTACCTAGAGGCAACAAGCTTCCATCTACCTTTCAGTACAGAACGAATAATAAATGACAAAAATAATTTCTACAATATCAGCAGGCAATAGATAATGCCAGTCATATTCAAACCTTTGACCAAATTTCCAAACACCCTGTAGGCAACAAAACTCTCCATCTCACCCCATCCTCAACTTTCCGGCAATCTCAAATATGAGTATGAATGTTCTGATTAAAATGGGGCTGAGGAAACAGAACATGTCCCCCTCCTTCCTTCTGCCAGCCCTAGACATCATAAACACCCACAGGAACAGAGTGTGAAAACCACTACCTTACAAAATACACGAGGTCTGTGAGTGGTATCAAAAGACACAATTGCAACAAATTTAGTTATAGATCTAATTGTATTTTATTCACAATTCATACATCAGGGAAGACTCCATTCTACCAAATCGAATGAAAGCTCCCACCAGGCAATGGCAGAACAGTAGGTATTGTAAGATGGAAACAAAGAAACAGAATAGAAAAACCTGACTGGTTAACATCAGGTTACTTCAGGCTACTTTTCTGTAAGGGCTAAATAAAGCAGAAGGGACTTCCTTGCTATGCTGACTCAGGTAGACTGGAATCTCCTGTTTTCAGGTCTGTTCTGGGATCCATCTGCTTTCTTAAACTGGTCTGTTCTGGGATCCATCTGCTTTCTTAACATTTCAGTTTGATTACATCACCTTTAGCATAAGTGACTCCATTTTGGTTTGGTATGTTCAGCTGGGGCCCAGTAGAGAAGCTCAATCTAAAATAATGGCCACCCATAATTTTTAAGAGCGTCAAGCAGTTTTTATGGCACGTCAAGGCAGCCCTCTAAGCCTCAGAGCACAAAACACCTAAATAAAGGTCAGCTCCCAGAGAGTAGGATTACTGTCTATTGTGCTACTTATGTAGGACAAAGTAAGTGCCTAGTACACTGTCTGGCATACTGCAAGTATTCAATAAGTCTGCTCAATGTATAAATGATTGCAATGCAAAACGATCTAATGACTTCAAAGTTTTTAAGTAATGAGAAAGACATATTTCAAATAGGTCTTAGAAGAGAAAACCACCATAAATCTGTAAATCTCCAACACAATGCCTGAGCATAGTGGGCATACAACAAATATTTGCAGAAGAAACAGATGCTGTAAAAATAATAAACCAGAAACACGGGGAGTAATTCCTTTTGTATTATAAGATTTTTCTAGACAGCTGAAGACTTTGTGTCTGGCTATTTTTATTTTAAATATTTTTGGATGGGAACTGCTTAGTATATTTTTTCAAAGCCTACAGAGAATGTAGTTTAACCCTTTCTTTTTTATGGTGGGTATATATTACAATGCCCCCAAGAGCGACTGAGGTTTTGTTAAATTGTGTGCTGCTGACTATATGGGATTAGTCTTAGGTGAGAGACAGCATCTCAATCACACACCCCACATTCCTACCAATCCTGAACGAATGCAGGAATGCTCTCTCTCAAGCACATCCCAGGGACTGAAGCAGAGATTCTTAAACTTTTCGTGCCACAGACCCCTCTCACAGCCTGGTGAAGCCTATGGACCCTGAAGAATAAAGTTCTCAAATGCATAAATTAGAACACAAGGGATGGCAAAAGATTCAATTATGCTGAAAGGGAATTATCCAAATAATTATGATATAGTACTAAGTGCTTACTGCCATATTTAACAAGATCAAGCAGCAAGTCAATAACTTACTGTAACTTAAAGCAGTGATGAGCACATACAGTATTTGAGAGATGTATAAAACTGTAAGGCATATGGAAATAACTGACATGATATCGCGATATAATAAGAACTATTTGGTCTTGACACAAGAGCATCTAAAACCCTTGGCATTTCCTGAGGGAACTGGGTAATATTAGGAATGCCTTATAATAAGGAATTAGGAATGCCTCATAATAAGCCCCTATCAACTGTACCTGAGTTTATGCTAATGAGGTGACTCTTTTTGGGTCCTAGATAGCTTTAGGATTGGCACTGGTTGCCAGAGGGACCAACTTTGTGATTAGAGGGTTGGGATTTACACCCTACTCCCCAACCTATATCTCCTGGGAGGGGAGAAAGGTGAATTAGTTACCAATGGCCAACTATTTAATCCATTATGCTCACATATTGGAACCTTCATAAAAACCCTTAAATGGTGGGATTCAGGGAGCTCCTGGGTTGATGAACTTATCGAGGTGTTGCTAGGTGGCAGGCCCAAAGAGGCATGGAAGCTCTAAACACCCCAAAACCCCTTCCATACCTTGCCTTACGTATCTCTTCCATTTGGCTCTTCTTGAGTGGTATTCTTTCTTTCTTTCTTTCTTTTTTTGAGACGGAGTCTTACTCTGTTGCTCAGGCTGGAGTCCAGTGGCGCAATCTTGGCTCACTGCAAGCTCTGACTCCCAGGTTCACGCCGTTCTCCTGCCTCAGCCTCCCGATTAGCTGGGACTACAGGTGCCCGCCACCATGCCCGGCTAACTTTTTGTATTTTTAGTAGAGACGGAGTTTCACCGTGTTACCCAGGATGGTCTCGATCTCCTGACCTGGTGATCCGCTCGCCTCAGCCTCCCAAAGTGCTGGGATTACAGGCGTGAGCCACCGCACCCGGCCTTGAGTGGTATTCTTTATAATAAACCAGTAAATGTAAGTAAAGAGTGTTCTAAGTTCTGTGGGCCATTCTAGCAAATGACTGACCCTGAGGAGGAGGTGGTGGGAACTTGATTTATAGCAGGTCAGTGGGTATCTTGGGGCAGTCTTGTGAGACTGAGCCCTTAACTTGTGGGGTCTGTGCTAACTTCAGGTTGTTAGTGTCAGAATTTAACTGATCACTGGAGACCCAGTTGGTGACCAGAGAATCAGAGAACTGGTTGCTGGTGTGGGGAAAACTCTGACACATCTGATGTCAGAAGTGTTCAGTGTAGAAACAGATCATGGTACTGTGATTTTATTGATGTTATAGTCACAGGAACTGCTACAGGCTGAGGATCCCTAGCCCAAAAATCCAAAATCTAAATGCTCCAAAATTGGAAACTTTTGAGCACCGACATGACACTCAAAGGAAATGCTCATCAGAGCATTTTGGATTTTCAGATTTGGGATGCTCAACTGGTGAGTACAATGCAAATATTCCAAAGCCCTAAATCTACAACACTTGCTGGTCCTAAGTATTTCGGATAAGGGATACTCCATCTGTAATGCTACTGGGTTTGCTGACTACATTCAAAATCAAAGAAAATATTAGATTTTCAGTTACTGGTTAGTGAAAATAAAGATGTGAACCAAAGAAGTCCAGAGGATGGGAGGTATCAGCTACATCTCAAAAATACAATCACCACCACCACGAGTCATGTCTTGGGACCATGGTGCATATGTATTGCATATATGAATAATGCAATAAAGCCAGCCCCACCATCCAATGCAAACAAATCCACTTGAAAATGAGAAAGCCTCGCCAGACGCTATAGTCATCAAAGAAATTAAAATCAACATGAAGAGCAAACTCTAATGGGGCAAAACTCAAGTGTCCATTAGTTAGAATAATGGAATTAATTTCTACACAGTATAAATTCTTCATCAATACCAGCACATTATAATCTTTTCAAATGTTACAAGTACTCAATTTTAGTCTGATGTGATTTATTGCCTAGCTAGTCCTTGGAATACAACAACTCAGTCCAATACAGAAACAGATGGAAAAGCATTTTCAACTGTCAACTTGGTATTATCACTGCCAATGGAAAAACAAGAAAAGCATACCCAATAAATACCTTTGATATCTCATTTCAATAAACTGTTAATTAGGTTGCAGCTCACATCTGACAACCACTGCAGGCAAGTGGGCAAGCCTTTCCTCTAGAATGTTCTTCCACTGACTCTCCTCCACTAGTGTCTGCAGGTTCTTCCAGATCCAACCCAAATGTCTCCTCCCCTCCCTCCCCCCACAGGCCTGCTCTCCCAGGTCCTGAGGGCACCTGGTCTTCTGCTGTAACACCTGTCATAGCCCTGAGCCCTTCCCCTACACCACGCGCTGGGGGCAGGATGCTGTTTGATTCGTTTCTGTGTACTTTGCGGGCCTACATCAGAGTATTTGCTTAACACACACACTTTAATGTGTGAGGCAGTTTCTGTTTCTCTAAAAGTGTAAAATTCATAATGTAACAGTAATTCACTTCGATTAAATATATTTACTTGAAAATACACCAAAGTGTTGTAGGTAAACTTTACCTACAACATGTAGGTTAAACATGAAAGAAACATAAAACCCTTCCACTTTCTTTTTTTCTTCTGTTTTTGTTTGTTTTGAGACGGAGTCTCACTCACCCAGGCTGGAGTGCAGTGGCTTGATCTCAGCTCACTGTAACTAACGTCTGCCTCCGGGTTCAAGCGATTCTCCTGCTTCAGCCTCCAGAGTAGCTGGGATTACAGGCGCCCACCACCACACCCGACTAATTTTTGTATTTTTAGTGGAAACAGGGGTTCACCGTGTTGGCCAGGCTGGTCTTGAACTCCTGAGTTCCCAAGTGATCCACCTGCTTTGGCTTCCCAAAGTGCTGGGATTACAGGCGAGAGCCACCGTGCCCAGTGGAAAAGCCTTCACTTTCTAACTTTACCTAATATGACGTAGGGAAAGTGTGACCAACAGTATTTTATATAATCAAATACACATGGAGGAACGTAAATTTCTGACACCTTCTCTTCAACCTGGTCATTTAAGTTAATACAATATCTCAGGCATCAATACCACTTATCAGGCCCACTGTGTGCCAGAGGCCATGCTTTCAGTGGATTACATCTCATTTAATCCTCACACCAACACTCTGAAGAAGACACCCTCATTCCCGTTTTACAGAAGGCAGACTATCAAGTCAGAAACTGTGCTGTGCGCTGGGCTGAAGAGTGGGGACAGACAGGTAACATGATTTAGAAAACAAGGCAACAGAGGCAAGGAGACTGACCACGTGCAAAGAGGGGAGGTCAGGAGGGGAGGGACAGAGAAAACCACCTAAGAGCAAGGAGGCCCGGTTGGTCAGGGGAGGCAGACGAGGAGGGAGGTGTGGAGGAGGCCCAGGACAGCCCGACCCAGCTGCCAGCAAACAGCTGAGACTGAGACAGCTGAGGACTGCGAGGTGGGGACTTGGCCAGGTTTGCATTTCCAACGGATCACCAGGGCTGCTGGGGAGAGAATGGGCTTGATGGACATAACAGCAGAGGAAGGATGACAGGCAGAAGGATGAAGTGGCAATGGCTCATTCACCTGCCTTCGTCCTCAAGAAGACAGTCGCTGGAGACAGGGGTCTTGTAACCCAGTGCCTGGCGCTGCCCCTCACACCCAGAGTGAATACATCACTGATGAAGGAAGAGACAAGCAACTGAGGAGAGAGAAGTGACGATCTCACCTAGGGCAGTGGCAATACAAATGGAGAGGAGAGGATGAAGTCAAGAACTATCTAGAAGGTAAAGCTGGCAAGAAGTGGTAACTGAACGTGACAGATGAGGGCTGAGGACGGGGAAAGGTTGGGAGGGTTCAGTGGCTAGATGGCAGAACCACTGTGACCAAAAAAAATCCAGAAATCCGAATACAGATTACAACTCAATATTTACTCACATGGGTTTTCTCTTCTCAAAGACATCTTATCCCTGAACAAAAAGTGGGAACTGTGCAGACAGTGAAACCAGGGTGTGCTGCACCTCAGAGAATAATCCCCTCGCCCATCCACCCTCAGTCTACTCTGGCATTCTGGCAAAAAATTCTCTTTTAAAAAAAAAAAAAGTAAATGTATATGAACAGCTGTTATTTCTTCTACTTATTTCCAGCAAAAGAGACAGAATTTTCAATAGTGCTTATTAATAAAACAGATCTGGAAGGGACTACGTGTGGTGGTCTCTGGGTGGTAGGAATATGTATTTGGGCTTATCAGTATGTTATTTTTCATATATATGTATTTTTGTAATCATAAAAAAGGTTATTTTTAATTTTTTTAAAAGTACATTTTTCTTAAACTTTAGTCTTTTCAAAGTTACCATCTACTGCTACTAGGTAAAAACTTCTAGGGGCAAAATCATTTGGAAAGAAGAAAAAAATCTTCATCTTAGGATAAACTCTTTTAATGTACAAGTGAAACGGCATACAGTTCTAAGTGCCCCCAAATGCTTCACGACATAACACACAAAAGCCTTTAAGTCAGGAAGCACAATACAGTACAAAAACAAACTTCCAAATAAACCCCAGAAACCAAAAACTTTAGATGGCAGTCTAAAAGCAATATTCAAAAGACTGCCCCTGCATTTGCATAGATAATTATCTAAGATGAAGATTTGTAGCTTAAATTAAAATTGTGATAATACTAAGCACTGGTCTGTCTCGTGAAGCTAATGGTTCAAGCTTGAGTTTAGATAAACCATTAGCGTGTTAACCAGATAAATACTCTTGTTCCTTCTCAGGAATTGCAGTAAAATAAATGTGATTCAAATTATTACATATGTGGACACAGTACGGAATCACCTTGACAGCACCAAAATTAATTTTTTAAAAACAAAATATTTCATAGTATAGGCTATGCCTCAAATATACAGTGCCTTTGTCCAAATCTTAAAAAGCCAAACCCCTGTTCTCCCCCTCACAGACAAAAACCCATGGGTGGCAGACTTTGGTAAGCCAAGTGTGGGTTGGATCTCAGTCCTTGCTTGTGCCACTGGCTGGGTGCCTTTGTGCAGCCCGCAACTTGCACAAATGTACAGTGTGGCCCAGCCACAGCCCTGTCACCATCTTTGAGGTCCATGGTCATTTCCAAATGAATAGAAATTTACACATTTCCAAATGAACAGAAAAATTACACTAATTCATGAGTGCCAGGCTCAATCACAGGAAAGGGCTCTGAGCATGTGTTATAACTATCAATTATTTACAATTTTAAAATATGCCAGACTAGCTTTACAGCACTAACTGCATTCTTGAGTAAAACTTATCACATGTGTTCAAGAACCCAGATCTTCATTCTGATCAGCGGTAGAAACAGGTTTTCCTCTCATACCATTTCAGTTCTTGAAATCAACTACACTCACCAAGTAACCACTCCCTTTCTTTAACTTTGATCAACAGGCAAATCAGAACTTTTGCCAATAAAGGATGTTAGTTAAAAGCAGTTTAATCCATTTTCCACTTTATATATTTTAGACTGCACACAATACCAAGGGTAACAATAACAATACTATTCATTGCTCCTTGGCATTCTCGGAGTTATAAATGTTAGATAACTTCAATATATATTTATAACAGTCAGGCTGTGAATGCGAAAGCCCGGGCGACTGGCCAGAAGACCAGAGATCCAGCAACTGAAGCTGCACGGCCAAGCCTTGTGGTGGGTGCCTGAGCAGGGAGGCCCACACCCAGGTACATGTCTTCAGGCAAGAGCTTTTCCAAGAAGCCAAGGAATTCCTCTACAGATTCTTGCCACAGAAAATCATATACCCACATAGGCCTTGCAAAAGGATTCCCTCATTGTAGCTGCCTGACCTCCCTCCGGGCCCCACTGGACATCCCCATCCCAGAACCCCCACCCAAGGATGAGGTAGAAACAGAGAGGCAAGAGAAGAAAGAAGTCCTTGAGTGTGGATTTCTCCCTGGGAATGAGAAGGTCCTGTCGCTGCTTGCCATGGTTAAGCCAGAAGTCTGGATTCTCAAAGAGAAATGCATTCTGGTGATCACATGGATCCAGCACCTGATCCCCAAGACTGAGGATGCAAATGATTTGGGGTAGCAATCCAGGAGAAGGTGCTGGAGAGGGTGAATGCAGTTAAGACCAAAGTGCAAGCCGTCCAGACAACCATTTCCAAATACTTCTCAGAACACGGGGATGCTGTGGCCAAGGCCTCCAAGGAGACCCATGTAATGGATTACCAGGCGTTGGTGCAAAAGTGAGATAAGACAGCCTATGGGGAGGTCAAGGCCAGGGTACTGGACCTGAAGGCCTTCTGTGCTGAGCTTTATCATATCATCAGCACCAACCTGGAGAAAACCGCAACCCAAAAGGTGAAGAGAAACCATCTGTGTACTGAGCCCAGGGCTGGAAGGAAAACAAATGATCTATACTTTGTGAGGGGGCGGGGAAAGAAACCTCAGGTTGTATCCTAGCATTTGATACCTAAAAAACAGAACTGAGTGGCAAATATTTTCTTCCTGCTTTTACAGATGAAGGAAATCAAAGAAATACTATACAGGACAAGAATGAAACAGTATGAAGTTGCACAGACAACGAAGTTTCCAAGTCTGAATTCGTAGCCAGTGCCTAACCCTCTGCTAACATTTTTGTTTACACCTTTATCTGTCCAGGCTCCTAGCATATGAGGAAGAAAATCTCATCTCCTTTTAGCACCCATCGCTCCAGGTCAGTTTCCCGAGGGCTGTTGTGTCAGTATCGAAGGAAACAAACTGCAGTACTCTTAAAATCACTTCTAGTTCCAAATTCTACTATTCTACAAAAATAAATTGGCTAATAGGATGAAAATACAAAAATAAAAAAATACCCACAAAACAAAACCAAAAAAATGCCAACATCAAGAACATGGTGATACAGGTTAAGTACGTAAGTTGCAAAAAAAACAAAAAAGAAGCCCTCAGCTCTAATCACCCATGGAGTTAGTCCCAGCTTGCCAAAAGTTCATGTGAAAAAGATTTAAGGATTGTAATTGACTGTAAGCCCAAAATAAGCCAGCAGAATGGCCTGGAGAACAAAAGAATGAAAAGGAACAAAAAGCCTAGGGCATTAGGAGAAATGTCATCCTCACACTAAGAGAGGGGTCACAGCCTCACCCTCCTTCTTGCTGATCAGGTCACACGGCAAGTTTCATTTTTGGTTTTAGGACACTTTAAAAGCAGCAGCAACAAGGGTCATAAAATGCATGAACAGAGGCTGGGGGAAGAAGACAAAAATGCCTTTGGCTTGGGTAGAAATCTGTCGCAGGAAAGAGGCATTAGCTCCACTCTTCTCAAAAATGGGAAAGAAAGAGGCTGGGCATGGTGGTTCACGTCTGTAGTCTCAGCACTTTGGGAGGACAAGGTAGGTGGGTGCTTGAATCCAGGAGTTCAAGACCAGCCTGGGCAACACAGTGGTGCACACCTATAGTCTCAGCTATTTAGGAGGCTGAGGCAGGGGAATCACTTGAGCCTGGGAGTTTAAGGCTGCAGTGAGCCAAGACTGTGCCACTGCACTTCATCCAGGTGACAGAGCAAGACCTCGTCTCAAAAAACAAACAAAAAAACAAAGTAAGAAAGATTTCCACTTTGAATATATTATAAAAACCTTTCTTTCAACTAGAGCTCATTCAAATGGTACAGACTTCTTGAGGAGTCAGGCATCCCTTAAAAAGTTTCGAGCACCACAGTCTAGGGCTTTAGGGCTTTATTTAATAAAGACAGGCGATGAGAGCCTGCCTCCACCTTCCAGGACCTCCTGAGCAGGTTCCCTCCAGGCAGGATTTGAAATCGGTTTTTACTCCCCCTTCAGGCCTCTCAACTTCTGGGAAGTGCTGACTTCATTTTCACGAGATCAGATATTTTACAATCAGGGAATTTCTGGAGAACCAACACCAAAACCAAGGCTGACAGGAGATAAAGACTGGCTTCGCCAGCCAAGAGCTGATGCTGGGAATGTGCTCAAAGCTTTGTTGTGGCCGGGCGCGGTGGCTCACGCCCTTAATGCCAGCACTTTGGGAGGTCAAGGTGGGTGGATCACTTGAGGTCCGGAGTTCGAGACCAGCCTGGCCAACATGGTGAAACCCCGTCTCTACTAAAAATACAAAAATTAGCTGGGTACGGTGGCGGGCGCCTGTAATCCCAGCTACTTGGGAGGCTGAGGCAGGAGAATTGCTTGAACCCGGGAGGCGGAGGTTGCAGTGA
This sequence comes from Homo sapiens, assembly GCF_000001405.40. Lineage (NCBI taxonomy): Eukaryota > Metazoa > Chordata > Mammalia > Primates > Hominidae > Homo > Homo sapiens. The sequence goes on along the minus strand of NC_000004.12, from coordinate 37,993,653 downwards.
GTTGAGATTGCGCCACTGCATTCCAGCCTGGGCAACAGAGCGAGACTGCATCTCAAAAATAAATAAATAAATAAAGCTTTGTTGTTTGCCCCATGCCAAGGGAGTGCTACTGTATGTTGAGGGGCTTCAGTGACTTGCTGGAACTGAACTTTGATCCACTCACCACAATGCAGGAACAAGAACTCCATCTACCAAGTGGGAATTGTAGTCTCTGAATCCTAATGACATTTTCAAAAGCAAGGCTTCATCTTGATTTAGTTACAAGAGGAAAAAAATAAAGATCAGCCTTAAGGGGAGGCGCAGGGTAATGAAATCTTACTAATGTAATTCTCTCCTTTAGAATGTATTTAGTAAAATCTTTCATTTCACAGACATCTTAAAAAAGATTCTTCATAGTGTTCTGATTCTCTCTCTCTGTCTCTCCCTCTCTCTCAGGATGGCATCTACTCCCCAAAAACTAAGAAAGATGGTTTCTTTCTCTACATTTCCAGCTCTGAATTCTTTCCTAAACTTCGCTAACATTTCCAATCACCTATTTAAAGAATCACCAGGCCGGGCGCGGTGGCTCACGCCTGTAATCCCAACATTTTGGGAGGCTGAGGCAGGCGGATCACCTGAGGTCAGGAGTTCGAGACCGTCCTGGCTAACATGGTGAAACCCCATCTCTACTAAAAATACAAAATTAGCTGGGCATGATGACACACGCCTGTAATCCTGGCTACTCGGGAGGCCAAGGCAGGAGAATCACTTGAACCCAGGAGGCGGAGGTTGCAGTGAGCTGAGATCGCGCCACTGCACTCCAGCCTAGGGGACAGAGTGAGACTCTGTCTCCAAAAAAAGAAAAAAAAAAAAAAAAGAATCGGCCAGGCATGGTGGCTCACACCTGTAATCCCAGCACTTTGGGAGGCCGAGGCGGGCAGATCACGAGGTCAGGAGATCAAGACCATCTGGCTAACACGGTGAAACCCCATCTCTACTAAAAATACAAAAAACTAGCCGGGCGTGGTGACAGGCACCTGTAGTCCCAGCTACTCGGGAGGCTGAGGCAGGAGAATGGCGTGAACCCGGGAGGCGGAGCTTGCAGTGAGCCAAGATCGCGCCACTGCACTCCAGCCTGGGTGATAGAGCGAGACTCCGTCTCAAAAAAAAAAAAAAAAAAACACCAGACTTCTAGTCCTTGACCTTAAAATATCCACATCAAGCTCATTCTCTTTTCCTTAAAATAGGCCTTTCTTCCTACTTCCTTGTTTCCCAAATGCCTTCTAGGTAACTGGGCTCAAAACCTGGTAAGTGGCTTCTGCTCTTCTTTCTCCTTACTCCTTCTTTCCCTCAGCTCTTTGGGTGTATATTCTCTCACCACGAGCCCAAAACCTCAAGCGCTGGTCCGGGCCTACACTTGCTTCAGCCAGACCCCAGCAAGACCTCTCCTCTGCCGCCTCTGGCATCTCCCTACATCCATCCTGCTATCCAGCACAGCCTGATCTTCTGGAAACACAGGTCTGATGGGGTCAGCCTCCTGCTCACAAACCTTCTAGGGCTCCTCTGCAATCCCTACCAGAACAAACACAGTCCTGCTAACCCTCAGGGTCTCCCACCAATGGGGCTCCACTCAACTCTTCCTGCCTTATTTCACCTGGCTTCTTTCTCTGTAAGTTCCGTTTGTACCAAACATGTTTCGAACACACCTCCTAAGCCTCTGTTCATTTGGGTTTCCACCTCCATACCTTTGCTCATGCAGTTTCTTCCACCTGGAATATTCTTTGTCACCCCCTGGATGGGACCTTTGAATCACTCACTCACCTTATTCACTTTCGGGATGAAATGCAGCCACAGGAGGCTGGAATGGCTGGCATCTGGTCACAGAGCCAGGCTAGACACAACTAGACCTCCCCAGTAAGGACTGGTTTTTTAGGCAACACTGGGTCCCTATGATTTGCTTTTATTTGGGATAAAATCGTCCAGTGTAAAATTTCCTTATTAGGCTAAAACCTCTAAGCCCACTAAATTTAAAAAAAAAAAAGAGAGAGAAGAGCTGCCAGTGCCCACATTTCCAGGGACTTGCAGGAATTCTCTGAAACTCACAAGCCTTACCAGGTCTGCATGCTCGTGTTCAGCAGCAGGTGCTAAGTGACTGTAAAGGGCTGTGGTGCCCACCCTGGGGTCTTCATGCAGGGCTTGAGGGTAGAGTCACCCTCTGCCCCATAGTGACAGGCCAGCTGGGCTCCACTGCCTCCATCTACTCAGTCAGGATTAGCACAAAAACTTGTTAGAGAGGTTTAAAGAGCCCCCAGATCAGCGGAGAGGTACTCCAGGACACTGTGGACTGTTCTTAACACCCACACCCAAGCCAAATCTCTGGCACCCAGAATAAAAATGATGTTTTTGAGAAGGACAATATCTAAGTTAACAGTGTATAGTCAGTTCTACTTATCCCTGATCAAAATTAACCGTGAGGTTGTAAAGTGGGATTTACTACATTTGGGAAATTATTACCTCTGTATACCAAGGGGCTACTCAGAGGTTTACAGTTCCCCACCTGCTTTCTGGCAGGCTGACTCTGTGACTGCCTTCACCACCTTCCCCCCACCCACCCCCGCCCCAGGTCAGCAGCTGGGTCTCTCTCATCTTGGCAGTTGTGTCTCAAGTGCCTGCCACAGAGTAGAGGCAAAAGAAATAGATTGTGATCAACACTGAGCTTGAAGCGGCCAGATTTCTTGACCAAGAACGTCTGGAAACACCACACTACTCCCCCAAATAGTGTAGTTATTGCAAAACAAATACAGAGTTGTGTGGTCTGGTGGTCTAGTACATCCAGCTCTTTCCTTGGGGAAAAATATCCAGAGACCACATTCTCAGCTGATTAACACACTAGAGAATTGACAAAAATCAAACTTTGGTACGATGTTCTTTCAGTTACACCAAAACTGGATGGCACAGACTTGAAGGGCTGCTTTTACTGAAACACTAGTGTGATAAAAATCCCTATGTATTATATTCACATATTTCTGGAAATGGAAGGAGAATCCCTTCCCTTCACCTGGAAATTCAGGAATACAGCTTTTTCTGGAACCGTAAGAAGGCTTTGGCCTTAGATGTACTAGCAATATTTCATGCTTATTATACAATTAATTGATTAATAATCAGTACACAAGGGGCCACAAACTCCTTACTCATAAGCGGGCTTTTGGTTGTGTTTCTGAAGTCAAATTTTACAAGTTCTAATACAGGGGTATCCAATCTTTTGGCTTCCCTGGGCCACACTGGAAGAATTGTCTTGGCCCACACATAAAATACATTAACACTAATGATAGTTGATTAGCTTAAAAAAAAAAAACTCAATGTTTTAAGAAAGTTGATGAATCTTTTTTGGGCCACATTCAAAACCATCCTGGCCTGTATGTAGCCCACAGGCCGTGGACTGGACACTTGCTCTAACATTTTAAACTTGGAAACTTACATATTTCTTTTAAAAGCCTAACACAATAGAGACTGTCACAATAGACCAGTGTAAATGTCCCTAAGCAAATAACGTCTCAAAAATCTGACAGTTTATTTCCACCTAATGACTGGTTTCCTTTGGGCCCACCCTTTAAAAAGAACTTCCGCAAAATACCACTTGGCTAATTCTCTGCCTTGGGCAGTCCTACAATTATAAATTCTGCTAAACAAATAAACTTCCTTCCTATTTTTAAAGTATTCCAAAATTGGAAACTCTGTGTCTTTGGTTGGCAAACTATTTTCTGGAGTCTAACAGCCTTAGCCATGAAGAAATTCTTCATTGCACTCTGAGAGACGAAAAAAACCAGAAACTGTCAAGGAGTCCCTCCCTACACCTATTTCAGGGAAGGGGAACTAACCCCACAGAGTTGTGACCTTGGGCAAGGTCACACAGGCTGCTGGTGGCAGAAGCCAATGTCCTCCTCTCTCCCCCATTTTCCCCTTAACTGATCTAAGTTACTTGTGGCCTAAAGAAAGCAGTTTGCTCTTGTTCTGTACTAGGGAACAGGGTTTATGTTTAATTCATGCAGAATGTGCTAGAACAACAGAAAGAATCTAAATATTAGTGTCAGCAAAAAGAATCAATCTCCGTAAAACATTTAAAGAGATTTATTCTGAGCCAGATGTGAGGACCACGACCCATGACACAACCCCAGGAGGTCCTGAGAACACGTGCTCAAGGTGGTCGGGGCTATAGCTTGCTTTATACATTTTAGGGAGACATAAGACATCAATCAATATATGTAAGGTGTACATTGGTTTGGTCTGGAAAGGTGGGACAACTTGAAGGTGGAGGGGAGGTTGCAAGTCATAGGTGGATTCAAATATTTTCTGAGTGGCAATTAGTTGAAAGCGTTATTATCTAAAGATCTGGAATCAATAGAAATAAGTGTGTAGGTTAAGACAAGGTCATAACCTGGGTGAAGACCAAGGTTTTTATCATGCAGATGAGGCCTCCAGGTAGCAGGCTTCAGAGATCTTATCAGACCTAACAAAAAATGTGCCAGACTCTTAGTTAATTCTCTCCTGGTTCAAGGAAAAGATCTGGAAAGTGAAGAGGATTCTTTAGAGAAAGTAGATTTTCCCCATAAGAGACAGCTTTCCAGGGCCATTTCAAAATATGCCAAAGAAATATATTTTGTGGTAAAATACTTCAATTTCTTTCAGGGCCTGCTATGTCAAGTGATGTCAGACTGCAGTTAGGCTGGAATTTGAGATCTGTTTTGGCAGTCTTAAGATCTCTGTTTTAATGTTTACGCTGGTCAGTTGTGCCTGAATTCCAGAGAGAGGAAGGTGTAATGAAGCATGTCCCCTTTCCCATCACGACCTGAACGAGTTTTTCAGGTTTCTCTGGAATGCCCTTGACTGAGGAGGGGGCGGTCCATCGGTCAGTTGGGGTGCTTCAAATTTTGTTTTTGGTTTCCATTTGAATGAGTGCCAGGTGATGCAAAGAGCTCTGTTTGGATCTTAGCTGTGGCTTTGGGAAAGACATCTCACCTATAGTGGGCTTCATGTTTCTTCATCCTTAAAAAGAGGGAATGCAGCTAAGCAACTACAAAAGTCTTCCTCCACCCCTAAATTCAATGATGATGATGGTTCACGAGTACTAAGTGCTTAATCTAGGTACTAAGTGTGTTATGTGGATAAATCGTCAACCGCTTAGAGGATAGCTGTTTATCATCCCCCCTTTAATGGATGAACACATTAATGTCTAGAGAAAAAAATAACTTACTTAAGGTCATCCCTCCACTGGTAACTGGTGGAGAGATCTGACCTAGACCAATGATTTCAGGGGCCCTTTCCTCCTTATCAAAGGTAGACAATCTAAGATAGTTGGCTTGACTTGCACTCACAGGGACACAGATTCTGAATTGAATACAACTGTAGCAATCATTTAACACAATGTTCTCATTTTATAGATCAAGGACTGAGGCCCAGGCAAGTGTAACTTGCCCTAGGTCAAAAAATGTATTGGAAACACGTGCTACACCCTGCTGTTCCTAGACAAGTTCATCCAAAAGAGTGCTTGACGGTTTACATGCACTTACATCAGCTCACGTGATGCCAAACAAGGCTACCTGATGGGCACCTGGCATTGATCATCTTTCCCACTGTCGCCTAGCCAAGGCTAAACAGCAAACACAGAGCACACTGGGACCTGCACCCCACGCCTGCTACTGCCTGCCTAGTGTGCTATCTATAGGCCGATAAAACATCCACAGTATGATGCTCTGGAGAGTCTATGCAGAATCGACTCCTAAAGAGAACTTTCCAGGTAAGCTGAATAACTATGAAACATGGTTCTGTGGTACTTTGAAAAGAATATCAGAGAATAAGTGAAAACACTCTAAAATCCACAACTCAAGTCAACGAGAAAATGCAATCTCATGTGGTCACTCAAAACTGACCTCTTTCGGTCTATCATTGAATTGTCTTAACCTCCTCCCAATCTTCACCTTCAATCTTCTATGTGATTTTTCTCTTATTTCCTGTTTCCTTCTCTCCCTAACTGAGAACATCACAAAATTCAGGGATTTAAAAAAATGTTACACTTCTTATATAGTTTCCATATGGTATATCTATTTTTAAAAGCAGATTAGTTGAATGTTTTATGTCTCTCACCTAAGAAAGGGGAAAAAAGTTCAGTTTCTCAGTGGAACAAGATATTTTTCTAAGCTCTGCTGCCCTTGTTTCACATATTGAACATGCGTTGTAATCCCCGTTACAGAGACAATGCAGGTACAACAGATAAAATATGAATTTAGAGCCAAACAAGTCAAGCTTTAATCTTATTAGCTAGGACACGGTACCTAGCCTTTCTGAATTTCAGTTTCTTCATATTTCTTTCCTGAAAAAAAAAAAAGTGGAAGGAGGAAATAATACCACTACTGCCACAATTATTTTGAGAATTAAATTAATTATGAGACTTCTAACACAATGGCTGGCACATATAAAGTTCTGAAAAATATAATCATCTCTTCCCTTGTTATTCATGCTAAAATAATTGTCCCTTCTATTAAATGCCATTTGCAGTCGATGTTTTTCTGAGCAAAGTCAATCTCTCATATTAGAGGGAAGAGATCCATTACACACACCTACCCCATCTCCCAGAGGATGCCTTCCGGGAAACAGGAGCACTCAGTGAATGGGTGGGTCACTGCAGCCCAGTGCTAGGGAGCTAAACAGCCACATTAGACATTGGCAACTTGCACTCTCTTCAAATACTCAGGCTGTGCTTCTTCTTGCACAGTTAACACAACTGGTTGGTCCTACCAGGCTGCAGAGACACCCTTCACATATCAAAGGATCCCCACCCACCCCAACCCGACTACTCAGGCTTCCTCTCCTTGCTCATTTCCCTGCAGGCATCTTGACCTGAAATTTGCAAGAATACACTCATCAAGGGGTTAAATAAAGTATCCTGGGTCAGGCACAGTGGCTCGCACCTGTAATCACTTGAGGCAGGCAGATCACTTGAGGTCAGGAGTTCAAGACCAACCTGGCCAACATGGCGAAACCCCATCTCTAGTAAAAATACAAAAATTAGCCAGGCACGGTGGCGGGCACCTGTAGTCCCAGCTACTCTGGAGGCTGAGGCAGGAGAATCACTTGACCCCGGAAGGCAGAGGTTGCAGTGAGCCGAGATCGCGCCACTGCAATCCAGCCTGGGCAACAGAGCAAGACTCCGTCTCAAAAACATAAATAAATAAATAAAGTATTCTGAAATACAATATATTGTTTGATAGATGTGCATAGTTTTGATTTTAGTAAAACAGTTTGAAGATGAAAGTGCAAACAAATCAGCAGAGCAATATTAACAATGTACCTCAAAAACAGGTGTCCAAGAACTTTTTAAGTTCTGCCATAAACTAGCTGTGTGATCTTGTTCAAATCAAGTTACTTCATCGCTCTGGGTGTCAGTTCCCCATGTAGAAAAGAACAAATGGAATTACATTCAAGATGACATTCTGGTTACACCGTAATTACATTACTAAATCCTACTAGAATGACCACCACCCTAAGCCACAATTACTGATAGGTATTTGAGGGCCATAGGCAGTGCTGGTATGAAAGAAAAGGTCTGAGTAATTTATTTATACTGATGTGCCTTCCCCAAGGTTAAAAATCAGTGGTCTCAAAAACAAGGCAAACAGTTGGAAAGCAACCTTGAATCATTCTGAAACATGCTAGAAAACTACCAGTAGTATTTCCTCACTATTCCTTTTCATAATCCACCACATCAATGACCTACAATTACCCTTGACTTCACTCAGACCTCATCTTCTAGTCTCCTCCAAAATCCCAGCTGAGTGATTCTTCGTGCATATATCACATTAAAATTAAATTATCTCCACAGGTCTCCCTCTCCCCATTAGACTGCAAGCTATTCAAGGGCTGGGCCCATGTCCTACTCATCTCAGTATCTACCCTGCCTAATACCACACATGCCATTAACTTAAACTGCCCATTCGACCATGTTTTAAATGGTTTACATCTGAAGATAGTCTTCACAATTTCCTAAGCAGATTTTGACATTAATGGATTTTAAAATAGGAACTATTTTTAAAAAGATAAATACAAAACAAGTATATATTAAGTTCATTTCAGACACAAGAAAACAGGCTCAGCAAAGTTAACTTAGCCAAGTTCAACCAATGTAAAAGAACAGAGCCTGTGAGTCTAATCCCATTATAACATGACAGATATAAAAATGATTTACAGGAAAATAACCAAAGTGCATGAAAATTAAGGTAATTTTTCTGTCAGCTTTTTCATATAAATTTAACAAAAGAGCACAGAGTACTTGTTCACCACTCTTCCAACAACAAAATCAGAAATCATAGAAATTTTAAAATGGAAAAACCAGATACTTAAGATTAGATTCATAAATATCATAAATATAGGCTGGGCGCGGTGGCTCACGCCTGTAATCCCAGCACTTTGGGAGGCTGAGGCAGGCGGATCACAAGGATAGGAGCTTAAGACCATCCTGGCCAGCATGGTGAAACCCCGTCTCTACTAAAAATACAAAAAAATTAGCCAGGCATGGTGGCGCGTGCCTGTAGTCTCAACTACTCGGGAGGCTGAGGCAAGAGAATTGCTTGAACCCGGCAGGCAGAGGTTGCAGTGAGCCGAGATCACGCCACTGCACTCCAGCCTGGGTGACAGAGCAAGACTCCATCTCAAGAAAATATATATATCATAAATATAACCAAATAAAGGTCTTCCTATAGGTTGTACAGATGTTCGTGAATATTACTGTGCATTCTAAAATAAAATTCAAAAGCACTAACATTTTCTTTTTTTTTTTTTTGAGACAGGGTCTCACTCTGTCACCCAGGCTAAGTGCAGTGGCACAATCTTGGCTCACTACAACCTCTGCCTCCCAGGCTCAAGGAATTCTCGTGCCTCAGCCTCCCAAGTAGCTGGGATTACAGGTACACGCCACCACACCCAGCTAATTTTTGTATTTTTCTAGAGATAGGGTTTTGCCATGTTGGCCAGGCTGGTCTCAAACTCCTGGCCTCAAGTGATCCACCCACCTCAGCCTCCCAAAGTGCTGGGATCACAGGTGTGAGCTAACACTCCTGGCCTAACATTATTTCTATTCCTTAAAAGTCAATCAAAAGAAAGGGAGTAGGACTACATCAGCTGTCATTAAAGAAACATAAATTAAAACATCTATGAGGTACCACTACACACCTATTAGAATAATCAAATTCCAGAATACAACATCAAATGCCTGTGAGGAGCAAAAGAAATTCTCATTCATTGTTGATGGCAATACAAAATGGTATAGGCACTTTGAAAAGCAGTTGAGTGCTTCTCACAAAAACAAACATAATCTTACATTACAATCTATCAATCATACTTCTTGATATCTACTCAAAGGAGCTGAAAACTCATATCCACACAAAAACCTACACAGAGATGTTTATAGTAGCTTTACTCATAATTGCTAAAACTTGGAAGCAACCAAGATGTCCTTCTGTGGGTGAATGGATAAACTGTGGTACATCCAGGCAATTAATATGATTCAGCACAAAAAAATGATCAAGCCATTTTAAAAAAAAAAGCACACAGGAAACTTAAATGCATATACTTAGTGAAAGAAGCCAATCCGAAAAGGCTACATATATACTGTATGATTCCAACTACATGACATTCTCTATAGGCAGAACTATATATACATGCTCTATAAATAGTATGAAGATTAGTGGGTTGCCAAAGGCTTATAGGAAGGGAGGGATGAATCGATCACAGAGGACTGGTAGGGCAATGAAACTACTCTGTATGATATTATAATGCTGGATATACGTCATTATACATTTGTCCAAACCTGTAGAATGTATATCACCAACAGTGAACCCTAATGTAAACGATGGACTTTGTGTGATAATCATATGTCAATATAGATTCATCAGTTGTAACAAATGCACCATTCTGGTGAGGAATATTAATAACAGGGGATGCTGTGCATGTGTCCCCTGTTCTTCTGTTTCTATCAAAACATCTGTGAGTTTACTATGAAAATCACAAAGCTTGAGAAGTTCAGTGGGGACAGGGGCTATATGGGAAATCTCTGTAACTTCCACTCAATTTTGCTGTAAACCTACAACTGCTCTAAAAAATAAAGTATATTTAAAGAAAAAAGGGAAGAAGAAAAAGCTGGGCACAGTGTGGTGACCGTACAAAGCATCATACAGAATGAAATACACAGCTATAAGAGTTTGGGGGAGGGATGGCGGACACAGTGGCTCACGCCTATAATCCCAGCACTTTGGGAGGCCGAGGCAGGTAGATCACGAGGTCAGGAGATCGAGACCATCCTGGCCAACATGGTGAAACCCCGTCTCTACTAAAAATACAAAAATTAGCTGGGTGTGGTGGCACCTGCCTGTAATCCCAGCTACTCGGGAGCTGAGGCAGGAGAATCACTTGAACCTGGGAGGTGGAGGGAGCCGAGATCGCACCACTGCACTCCAGCCTGGTGACAGAGCGAGACTCCGTCTGAAAAAAAAAAAAAAAAAAAAGAGTTTGGGGAAAGATCATCTTTGGCCCCTAATGGGTCTTCACTGCTCCAGAATAAAATACCAAAGGGGTCTGTATGCCATGCTCATCCTGGTCCTCATTCGCCTCTGCTACTCCCCCCAGCAGTCTCGCTCCAGGCCCACCAACCTCCTGTGAGTGCAGCTCCACCAAGGGGCCTCCAGGCCTTAGCATACGCTACTCTAACTGCCTGGCACAACCTGCCCTTCCCGTTATTCTCTGCCCTGCTTAGTACATTCGTCAATGAATGAATGATTAATCAGAGGTGCTTCAGGAAAGGAATGAAGGATGAGGAGAGTTTTGATAGAAACAGAAGAACAGGGGACACACATACAGGTTAAAATCAGATTAAAGAATTTGTCTAAGGAAACAAATTATACTTTATCTTTTTTTCTCATCAGGCATTGCTCTGGGCTGTGTTCTATTTGTGGATTAGGTGGGATTTCTATCTCTGCTCTCCTCCATTCTCTTTCAGTAAAACCAACCTACGCCCAAGTTCCTGGCACACTCTAAGCAACTAGAGTTCCCAAAGCCCAAAACACAGCTGCCACCACTACCAGATAAAAAGTGCTCCACAGGAACTCTGCTGAAATCCTGGTCAGGGTTATACCAGCTTTGCTTAGCCGAGGCAGCACATTTTTCAAATTCAAGGAATGGTTTGACTATGACAAGGAGTTCTCCCCTCCTTATTAAACTCAAGCATCCACTAATAAAATGTAGTATGAGTCTACAGAAGAAAAAAAAATTTTAAAACAATACATCACATTAACCTAGGACACACATCAAGGACAAACCAACACTGGACTGACTTCAAGCAACACAAGAAAATTGTTGCCTAAATATTTGCTATAGTCAGATTCACACCTTACATAGGAAGGCTGCTGTGCTGTGTGCTGGTAAACAGAAGGGCAACTCCTACCGCCTACCGGCACCCAAGGTGGGCTGGTCTAGTCTGCAGGAAACCTCAAAGGTAAATAAATAAGCCCAGAGTCAGGACAGAACTTTGCATGGAAGCTGTGCTTAGAAGAAAGAGATGATGGAAGGGCAAGTTGTACTCGTACTCAACATATAAATAGCAATTAGTTACTCGGTTATTTGCACCAAACACAGACAAACAAGATAGCAAAGCCACTGGGTCACATCATTTCAAAATACAGACAATGACTATCCACTGGTATTCCTTTCTTATTACTGAGGTCCAAGCTACCACTATCACCTCCTATCCGAACCAAAACCACCTCCTAAGTGGTCCCTCTGCTTCCATCCGAAATATACATCAGCTGACATCACTCCTCTTTTCCACATCTTTAACGGCTTCTGACTACACTTAAAAGCAAATCCAAACCCCATTCTAAGCCTATGGAGCCATAAACAGCCTGGCCCACCTTACCCCTCCCCACTCAAAGCTCAGTGCTGTGCACCCAGCTGGATATATTCCAGCCATACCTCCCTTCTCCCTGAGGCCTGCCTGGAGCATGTTTCCTGCCCTCTCACCAGTCAGATGGAATGCCACCCCTGCACCACCCCAGCCCGGAGCCACTTACTTCTCTTCCTCGCACTGATCACCATCTGAAATAATCTTGTTCACCTATTTGCTTGCTGCTTTGCTATCTCTCCCATCTAGAATTCCATGAAAACAGGGGTCTGCTTGTCGGTTGCTAAATCCCCAGCTCCTCAAATAGTACCTATTATAGGTAGGTTATCCATAAATATCTGCACTGAACACATTTGTTAAATGACCTGTTGAATGAATGGTGGCTAGATAAACCAATGTTTTAAAAGTAATGCCCAAATACGGAAAACCTGGTTTTACATAAAATATTAATTAGCAATCAGTTACTTGCTTTACAAAAGGATTCTGTGGGCTGGATGCAATGGCTCACACCTGTAATCCCAACACTTTGGGAGGCGGAGGTGGGCAGATCACTTGAGGTCAGGAGTTCAAGACCGGCCTGGCCAACCTGGTGAAACCCTGTCTCTACTAAAAATACAAAAATTAGCTGGGCATGGTGGTGTATGCCTGTAGTCCCAGCTACTAGGGAGGCTGAGGTGGGAGGAGCACTTGAACCCAGGAGGCAGAGGTTGCAGTGAGCCGAGATCGTGCCACTGCACACCAGCCTGGGCGACAGAGTGAGACTCAGGGTCAAAAAAAAAAAAGATTCCTTTTTTAATGCATCTTTAAATATTTAATTTACAAATCTCCAGGGTGCACACTTTTTAAAGGATAATCTATTGTGCAGAGTGAATTAACTCCTCCAGGACATAAACACTGCTTATATACAAAAAGTACCTAATAAAACACTTGTTGAATGAGCACTGGAAAATACACAGTTAAATGCCTTAATTAATACATTAAATACACAGTTAAGTACTTTATTCATAAGGTAAATACTTAATACACACCATAAACTATATGAAACTATACTTGGATTTGAAACACAGCAAACTTGGCTATATTTAGTTCTCATTTTCCATTTTTTCTCATAAACTGACATATGTATATTTAAAATCTACCAACTTGAGATACCAGCAATAATCTTAGCTACAAACTTTATAAGCAGGTGCAAATCCAAATAAATTCTGGAAGTTACTTGGCAGTTCTGCTGCAGTCAGTTTTGACTAACAGATACATGGAGGCATAGAAACAGTAGATATACTCAAAACTGACAGGTTGTTGGGGACATCTGTGAGTTTACTATGAAAATCACAAAGCTTGAGAAGTTCAGTTTTATTTATAAACTGCGTAAAAAGTCAAGTGTCCCCACTGAAAGACTAATCAAGAAATCACACTGCTATAAAGCCCAGCCACATTCTTGATGCAATGTACACCTGCCCTAATGTTCCAGATCATGTCCAATTTTTTTTAAAAGTACATCTTATGTTTTTCTTTCTTCTTTAAACAGATAATCTCTTTAAAACAAAACTCTCCCGTTTTGGCTTTATTCCTACATCATGAAATTGCCCACTCTACACATTCAATATTCACACAATACTAATGCATCGTGCAAGAAAAACACATTCATGCTTGGCCGGGGGCGGTGGCTCACACCTGTAATCCCAGCACTTTGGGAGGCCGAGGCAGGTGGATCACCTGAGGTCGGGACTTCAAGACCAGCCTGACCAACATGGAGAAACCCTGTCTCTATTTAAAAATACAAAATTAGCGGGGGTGGTGGCGCAAGCCTGTAATCCCAGCTACTCGGGAGGCTGAGGCAGGAGAATCACTTGAACCCAGGAGCCAGAGGTTGCAGTGAGCCAAGATTGTGCCATTGCACTCCAGCCTGGACAACAAGAGCGAAGCTCTGTCTCAAAACAAAAAAAAAGAAAAACACATTCGTGCTCAGGTATCCATGTGAATCAACCGACACCCACCCCTTCTCCTTCCCCACCAGGTGTTCAGCTGCAGTTGCAAAGGTCAAAATGAAAAAGGAAAAGGAAAGTCAGCTGCGTAACTGGATGTGCAGGTGTTTGTGTGAGGCCTGTGCTCATGTGCAGCTGTGTGTTTCTGAAGGGGCATTCTGAAGTCAAATATAACAACTTCAAGATTATTCACATTGTGTACATTATCTATGCCTTTTGTCTTTGTCTTTAGGATATTACCTAGTTTGTAATGTAAAGTGTGTTAATGACTTGCCTCTTCACCGTAAACCACATCAGTTCCATAGAACATCATTCTTACAATCTATAACTCCAAGAAATAAACTTCCAAAGACTAATTTCGTATTCTAAAATCTTTCACAGGATAACACGTTATCTATAAAAATCATTCAATTTCGGGATATAATTTGTAATGCATGCACCACCTACAGGAAATGAAATATAAAATAACCACATTTTAAAAATGTATGCTAAGAGGTATACATGAATTTGCTCCAAAAACATTTAATAGTTTTTCCGCTGTTGTCCTGTAATCGAAATAATAATTTTGAGGGCGGGTGTGGTGGCTCACATCTGTAACCCCAGCACTTTGGGAGGCCAAGGTGGGGGCATTACTTCAGCCCAGGAGTTCGAGACCTGCCGGGCCAATATGACAAAACCCCATCTCTACTGAAAATACAAAAATTAGCTGGGAGTGGTGGCGCACAGCTGTAATCCCAGCTACTGGGGAGGCTGAGACACAAGAATCGCTTGAACCTGGTAGGTGGGGGTTGCAGTGAACTGAGATCGCACCACTGCACTCCAGCCTAGGTGACAAGAGTAAGACTCTGTCTCAAAAATAATAATTTTGAAATAACAAGATTCAGAATCCAAATTAAGCTACCAGCCTACATTTCCTCTATATAAACTTTTCCAACGTACTGACACTCGGAGAAGGCTAACAATCGTCCTAAAAGTCTGTGATGGTTTTTGAAATGACTTTTTAATGACTCAAAACGTTTTTGAAAGTCATCTCATTTTACCACCAGCTATGTTTCAGGAAGTGATTCTAATGGAATGTTATTTACCTAGTAAGAAAATCTACCTAAAAACTTTTGCCCATCTAAAAACTAGTGTTATCTAGTTTCTGTGTCTCCAATTTTGTATCACTTAAATCACAGGCAAAGCCATACCTGCTCACAAACAGGTATTCATAAAAATGTAATTAAATAAGACTATAAAAGCATTGCATGATAACTCAAGACATAACCACCACCTAATTAAATTATTAATTGGTAAAGCCTCACAGTATGGCTAACGAGTTGTGAGCTTATTACTCAACCAGCCATACACAGGAAACAAGCCCTGGGAAGGCGCCGGCCAAGGGACTGAGTGCATGGGGTGACAGCAAGATGCCCTAACGACCAGCGAGCCTTTCAAGGTGGCGAGGGTCGCATCCTTTAAAACACATTCAGACACCTGGCACTGCAGGAGTGGATAAAAAGAATGCTATTGATGCTATTACTGTGTTCTCGAACTGGTGGGAACTCGGGAAATCTACACTTATGCCTTCCTGTTAGCAACAGTGCAACTGGCCTGGATTTGCACCACCCAGTTATCTCGAAGGCGCTGATGTTCTGAAAATAAAACTTTGTGGGAATGGAAAGTTAAAAACTTCTATTTAAAACTCAGACCTCAGAACATGCCCTTTGAAACCAGAGGGTTAAAAACGAAAGACAGACGCCCCTTGTGGGCACCAGCCTCTGGGCATCCTCGGCGCCCTGTCCAGGCGGCCCAGCGCAAGCCGACTTCTGCGAGGGAGACACACGAGGGCGACACCCGCGAGGGAGACACGCGGGGTCGACTTCCGCGAGGTCCCGCGCCGGGGAGGCACCGAGCGGCAGCTCCGCGGCGCGGGGAGCGACAGGGGCCGGAGGAGCCGCCTGCTGGGTTCGGGCTCCCGCAGGGGTCCCCGAGTACAGCCTCAGTCTCCCCAACTGTGAAATGGGCGCCGCTACCTCGCCCGTCCTCCCCACAGGGATCTGGGAGACTAATGAATGAGAAACGCGCGGCTAACGACCTGGTCGCGCCCGCCGCTCGCCCCCCGCCGCGCCTGGCCTCCAGCGGCCCGGCCCAGCC
This sequence comes from Homo sapiens, assembly GCF_000001405.40. NCBI lineage: Eukaryota > Metazoa > Chordata > Mammalia > Primates > Hominidae > Homo > Homo sapiens. The sequence goes on along the minus strand of NC_000004.12, from coordinate 37,977,609 downwards.
CCGGCCCGAAGGTTACAAATGTTCCAGCCCCGCGCCTGCCGCTCCGCTCCGGTAACGGGCGCCCGCCCGACGCCGCCTACCTTGGCCACCCAGCTGAACAATGGTGACATCGCGGGCCGGGCGGCGGCTCTTCGCCCGCCGGCTCCCGCTCACTCCCGCCGCCGGCCCGTGGGCCCGCGGGCGGCCGGGGGCGGGCTTGGGGAGCGGCGGGGCCGGGGCATCGCTCTCCCCGGCGGCGGCGGCGGCGGCGGCGGGCTCCACCCAGTTCGTCACTGCCCCGAGAGGTCGCGCCCGCGGGGCGGCCAGGCAGAGAAAGGGAAGTGGGAGGGGAGAGCGCGGGGAGGGGGTGGGCGGGGGGAGGAGGGGAGAGGAGGGGAGGGCGCGCAGCCGACCCCGCCCACCCCCGCGCTCCGCTGCTGGCGGGAAGTTGGGACATGCTGGGGTCGCCCCCTTCCGAGATGCCCAGGGCTGCGCAGGAAACCCTGGAGGCTGGGGACGCGCCTTTCCAGGCCTCTGGGGTCCGTTTCGCACAACTTTCAGAAATCTAAGAATTCCTCCCTCTCCGAGGTTCCACAAAAGCCCCAGAGTTGGAGCTAACACAAAGCCCGCCCAACTTTCCAGGGGTGACCCCCACCCCCAGGGCTTTTCTTCCTAAGCGCTTTAGATTGCTAGTAACAAAAGACCAGTGTTCCCCAGCCCCTAATACCTTTATATAATCAAAGGTGGTTTTCTTGGAGTCAGGAAACTCGGCCATTGAGACCAAAAGTGGGGCAGAGGAAAAAGAACCATTTAGCTCCTGCCTGCCAGGAGGCTTTAGCAACTTGAGAAATGTTGATTTCACCATAGTTTTCTTCTCTCCCAAGGCAAGATGATGAGACAAGGTGGTCAGTTTATGGCTACAAAGGTAAAGCTGAGTTTCAATCCCAGCCACTCCTGAGTTCCACGTTGAAAAAAAAAAAAGTCCAAAGGTTTAATCGCTGATGTGTTATGCATGTGTCAGGTGGAACCACTCACTGAGTTCCTCAGGCCAAATGGCCAACCCAGCCCAAGAATTCTGCTTCTCTTTTCCTTCTACTAATTGTGCATTATCTTCTTGAAGGACCATTGGGACATTTTAATGTTGTTCCCTAAATATCTGGCATCTGAGTTTAGTGAGGGTATTAGCTACCTATTGCTGTATAAAAAGTTACCCCAAAACTGAGAAGCTTAAAACCACAAACAACTTCTGTGGGTCAGAAATCCAGGAGCATCTTAGCTGGATGGCTCTGGCTGAAAGTCGCCCTAAAATTTCAGCCAAGCTGTTAACTGAGGCTGGAGTCATCTCAAGACTGGCCTGGGACTGAAGGATCCACTTCCATGCTCATTCACATAGGTGTTGCCCGTATTTAGTTCCTCGCAAGCTGCTGGACTCAGGGCCTCTGTTTCTTGCTGTTTCTTTCCATAGCACTGATCAGAAAATGGCAGTTTGTATCCCCCAGCACAAGTGATCCAAGAGAATGCACAAATCCAAAAACAGTGTTTTATGAATTAAGATGTGACATCCCAACACTTTTGCTCTATTACTGTTTGTGAAAAACCAAAGACATAAGTCTAGTCCACACTTAAGGGGAGGAGATAATATAAGGACATGAATATCAAAAGGAGAGGATCATGGGGGATTGTGGGCGGCAAGCCACCCAGCTGCCAAGGCAAGAGACCCAGGGCACGAGCTGTTCCAGTATAATAAAATATATAAAATAAGAATAGTTATACTAGATATAGATCTTAGATATGATTATATATGAATATCATTAATCATTAGTTTGTAGCAATTATTCTTTATTCCAATATTATAATAATCCTCGCTCTACAATCATAACCTAGGAAAAACCAGGCCATACAGAGATAGGAGCTGAGGGGACATAGTGAGAAGTGACCAGAAGACAAGAGTGCGAGCCTTCTGTTATGCCCGGACAGGGCCACCAGGAGGGCTCCTTGGTCTAGCGGTAACACCAGCATCTGGGAAGACGCCTGTTGCCAAGTGGACTGTGGTCTAGCGGTAGTGTTAGTGTCAACAAAAAACACCCGCTACTTAGCAGACCGGGAATGGGAGTCTCCCTTTCCCCGGGGGAGTTTAGAGAAGACTCTACTACTCCACCTCTTGTGGACGGCCTGACTGATGTCAGGCCTGCCCGCAGTTATCCAGAGGCCTAACCATCTCCCTGTGATGCTGTGCTTCAGTGGTCACGCTCTTAGTCTGCCTTCACGTTCCATCCTGTACACCTGGTTCTGCCTTTTAGATAGTAGTAGCAAATTAGTGAAAGTACTAAAAGTCTCTGATAGCAGAAATAATGTTGTAAGCTGTCTCTCTCTTTCTCTTCTCTCTCTCTCTGCCTCGGCTGCCAGGCAGGGAAGGGCCCCCTGTCCAGTGGACACGTGACCCATGTGACCTTACCTATCATTGGAGATGGCTCACACTCCTTACCCTGCCCCTTTGTCTTATATCCAATAAATATCAGCACAGCCTGGCATTCGGGACCACTACCGGTCTCCACATCTTGGTGGTAGTGGTACCACGGGCCCAGCTGTCTTTTCTTTTATCTTTTTGTCTTATGTCTTTATTTCTACACTCTCTCGTCTCTGCACACGGGGAAAAAACCCACCAACCCTGTGGGGCTAGACCCTACAGGGGATGATAGGGTTTCATCTTTTTTCCACCCTTGTGGTTTTATCTGGTGCATAGGAATAGATAAAACCGTAAAGGCATAGAGAGGCTGGGCGTGGTGGCTCATGCCTGTAATCCCAGCACTTTGGGAGGCCAAGGCAGGTAGATCACCTGGGGTCAGGAGTTCAAGACCACCCTGGCCACCATGGCGAAACCTCGTCTCTACTAAAAATACAAAAAATTAGCCAGGCGTGATGGCATGCGCCTGTAATCCCAGCTACTCAGGAGGCTGAGACAGGAGAATCACTGGAACCCGGGAGGCCTACGTTGCAGTGAGCTGAGATCATGCCACTGCACTCCAGCCTGGGGGACAGAGTGAGACTCTGTCTCAAAAAAAACAGCATGGAGAAAGTCAAGAGTAATATCAGGCCATGCATGGTGGCTCATGCCTGTAATCCCAGCACTTTGGGATGCCAAGATGGGAGGATCACTTGAGCTCAGGAGTTCGAGACCAGCCTGGGCAACACGGTGAGACCCCATGTCTACATAAAGGAAAAATAAAAATAAATTAGCTGGACATAGTGGCACACACCTGTAGTCTTAGCTACTCAGGAGGCTGAGGTGGGAAGATCATTTGAGCCCTAGATGTCGAAACTGCAGTGAGTTGAGATTCAGCCACTGCACTCCAGCCTGGGTGACAGCACAAGACCCTGTCTCAAAAAAAAAGTGACATCATTCCAACAGAGGCCACCCTTGAAAAGGGCCTTAGACGCATCCTAGGGAAGTACTATTCTCTCACTTTTAAGCAGTGATATTCCCTGCTTAATGAAGGTGGAAAAGGGAGTGCATTTGCAGCCATTTAGCCAAATCTTTCCCTGTTACCACATCACTTTCCCAAACACTTAGAAGAGATGGAGGCTGACAGTTCCATTAGAGCGAGAATGCTTGTAGACTCTACAACCTTACTATTCAAGGTGTGGTCCACAGACCAGCAGCCTCAGCAGCAACTGGCTGTTGGTTAGAAATGCAGAATCTCAGGCCCTGCCCTAATCTAGACCTACTGCATCATAACCTTCATTTTACCAAAATTCCAGGTGACTGGTATACTCATTAAAGTTTGAGAAGCACTAGTAGATGAGATTCATTAACATTGGTCTTAAAACGTTAATGATTAAAAGGTACTGACCAATAGGCCCTGGAGAAAGCAGCCAAAACTGTCCTGTGTTCTTGGGCTGGTATGAACCAGTTCAGCTAGAGAGCGACCTAGAGAGTTATCAGGCAACAACATAGTTTTGATGTGAGTGGATGGTCAGCTGAGGACCAGACTGGACAAGCTGAACCCAGGACAAATGTCATCATACTCCATCACTCCAACTCCTACACGAAACTCTCCAAAAATGCCCAGAACTTAGAAGCAATTCTGGGGAAAGGATGAGGAGAACCCAGAATTGACTAAGGAAATCTGAAGTACCTATGACTAAGATAAATTTTCCACCACAGAAAATAGAGATGCCAAAAAGTGAAAATTACATTAGGTTTAGGGGAATAAAAACTGCATTTCTTGCAAAAAAACAGGCCAAATCCTCAATGTAACAGTTAACAGCGGGAACGTATGCAGGCAGGTGAAATAAGGACATGAAGGGTTCATTGTTTAAACCTGGATCCAATTCTCAGTATATACACATCCAGGGTAGAGGCTCCTGCAGTCTGGGTTAGAATTTGTCTAAGGTTTGTGTTATCTTTTAGGCACACAGGGGTCTTTCTCTGATCCAAGTCTTCCTTCCTAATCCAGGAGTAGGCAGAATCACTAATCTCATGGGAAAGTAGGAGGAGCCTTTGAATTGGGTAGATTTGATAGCAATGTGTGGTGCTCTAACACCAAATATTTTAAGAAATATACGTGACAGCTCTTATTTTAATTCACTACCAGCATGTAGCTTGCCAGTCACACTGCACAAAGACATTTTCTGTTATAATCTGGAATTCCATCAAAAGGAAACTTAACATCAGAAAATCTAATCCTATACTCAAATACACTATTTTCTTTTTTTTTTTTTTTTTTGGAGATGGAGTTTCGCTCTTGTTGCCCAGGCTGGAGTGCAGTGGTGCGATCTCAGCTCACTGCAACCTCCGCCTCCCAGGTTCAAACAATTCTTCTGCCTCAGCCTCCTGAGTAGCTGGGATTACAGGCATGCACCACCACGCACGGCTAATTTTGTATTTTTAGTAGAGACGGGGTTTCTCCATGTTGAGGCTGGTCTCGAACTCCTGACCTCAGGTGACCCGCCCGCCTCGGCTTCCCAAAGTGCTGGGATTACAGGCATGAGCCACTGCGCCTGGCCTATTCAAATACACTATTTTCTGTAAAATACTACTCTCCCACCCATCTGAAAAATATATCCTTCCCACAAGGAACTGCATATGCTACCCTGAAAGGATTGTACGTATACTGGGCATCAGTAATCTTTTTTTTTTTTTTTTTTTGAAACGGCGTTTCCCTTTTGTTGCCCAGGCTGGAGTGCAATGGCACGATCTCAGCTAACCACAACCTCCGCCTCCTGGGTTCAAGTGATTCTCATGCCTCAGCCTCCTGAGTAGTTGAGATTATAGGCATGCACTGTCACACCTGGCTAATTTTGTATTTTTAGTAGAGACAGGGCTTCTCCATGTTGGTCAGGCTACTCTCAAACTCCCTACCTCAGGTGATCCACCCGCCTCAGCCTCCCAAAGTGCGAGATGACAGGCATGAACCACCGCACCCAGCCAGGCATCAGTAATTTTTAACATCTCCAAGGTGTTTCTCTCATGCAGTCAGAATTGAGAACCTCTGCAGACAGAATAGTCATTGCTCAAAGACACTGATAGTTTCCAGCCCTGATTGTCTATCAGAGTCACCTGTAATGGGAAGGTGGCCAAGTGAGAGAGAGAGTAGAGGGTCTCAGATGATTGGGCTGTTTTGGAGCAAAGGTCAAATTCTCAGAGACCTCAAAGAGCAAGCAGGTCATATAAATGTGTGAAGAGGGCAAGGTGTGAGAGGATAAAGAATGAAGTAACTACAGCATCTTAGAGAATGCATTCTCAATTATTAAAACACTCCACCTAGCCAAGTCAAATGTGTCAGCCCACTGAATTCAGCCACAGAGGTCATTATTGGTGTTGACCCATAATGTTGACTCTGGGTTTACTTAAAGCTTAGAAATATATTCTAGCAAGTGATTCTGATTATCAGCCAGGATCAAGAACCACTCTTACAGTTTTAGATCCTTTACTTTAAAATATATATATATAGTTGCTCTGTGGAAAGCAATAGGCTATCCAAATAGGACTGCAGAGATCTAAACACGATAGTATCTGATATGGTTTGGCTGTGTCCCCACCCAAATCTCATCTTGAATTGTAGCTCCCATAATTCCCATGAGTTGTGGGAGGGACACAGTGGGAGATAACTGAATCATGGGGGTGATTTCCCTCATCCTGTTCTCATGGTAGTGAATGAGTCTCATGAGATCTGATGGTTTTATAAGGCAAAACCCTTTTTGTTCGGCTCTCAATTCTTCTCCTGTCTGTTGCCGTGTAAGATGTGACTTGCTCCTTCTTGCCTTCTACCATGATTTTGAGGCCTCCCCAGCCACGTGGAATTGTGAGTCAATAAACCGCTTTCCTTTATAATTACCCAGTCTTAGGTATGTCTTTATTAACAGCATAAGAATAGACTAATACAGTATCCCTACAGAAATCTCAAATTGTTGTCTAAGTAACTTTAAAAGGATGCTTTAATGTCTCACCATCTCAGCACTCCTGAGACATTAACGGAGGACTTGAAAGGCAGGGGGGCCGGTCTGGGAACTGGAAGAGTTGCTTCCCTACTAAGCCTGACCATATCCCCACCAAAACAAACCCTGACACTCCTGCCCCAGCTCTTCTGCCAATTTCTTCTTTTGAGGAGGAACAAGAAGCAAGGGCGGCAAAACCTCCTGTAAGTTTAGGAGGTGATGCCAGGCAGGCTGCCCTCTAGTGGGGGGGGCCAGTGAGGCAGGGACACATGCAAAAGAATGACCTCACTCTGCCAGCTTGCTCCTCCCCACCCTAAGACCTGGTTAAAAATAGAGCCATTGTAATACAAACTCTACAAGGAAGTTCAACTGGGTTTCAAGTGAATCAGAACCACTTGGCAATGGATCAGGAATTCAGTTCACAAATATGAATATTCATTAGCACCTATTTTGGAAAGCCACAGAAGTCCTTGCAGGAAATAGCAAAATGGAGTCAGACCAGAATCCTGCCCTCAAGGGGCATAGAGGGTAGCAGGGAAGCTCAGGCAGGGAAAAGAGTGACAAAAGCCTGAAGTTATTTTCCCTCAAAGTCCAGGTGAAGCTTCGATGAGTTCCCAGAGGAAGGAAAATAACTTCAGGCTGCAAAGGAAAACCCAGCTTCCTGGCTGGTTTCAGGCCATTTACAGAAGGTGGAGAGGGAATGGGCTTTCCAGGAAGAAGGATCCGCATGGAGAAAGGCTTAGAAGATTAACGTTCTCTGGAAATCAGGCCTTGCATAGGAGGAGATAGGACAGAAATCAGAGCTTCATAGTGGAGAGGGAATGTTAGTGTAAGTTTGATGATATGCAATCATCTCTTACAAACAGAAAAATTTGTTTCCAAAGAAACCCATATTTGCCAAGGATAATACCAAATCCTGAAAATCTAATACTAAAAATCCCTCTGCATAAATTGAAAACATATATGCCCATGTAAAAATGTGTCCATGAATGTGCACAGCAGCACAACTCCCAAGAGTGGAAACAACCCAGCTGCCCTTCAACTGATGAATGGATCAACAAGATATGGTATATCCACACAATGGAATATTATTTGGCTATAAAAAGTAATGAAGTACTGATACATGCCACAGCACTGATGGACCTTGAAAGCACTATGCCAATTGAAATAAGCCAGTTACAAAAGACTGCATACTGTATGATTCTATTTATATGAAATATCCAGAACAGGCAAATCCATAGAGACAGAAAATAGACTAGTAGTTACCGGGGGCTGGAGAGAGGAGAAAATAGGGAGAGACTGCTAATGGGTGCAGGGTTTCTTTTTGCAGTGATGACAATGTTTTGGAATTAGATGGTGATGATGGTTACATTAATATACTAAATACCAAAATTTGTGGATTTACTAAATACCAAAATGTTACAGAATGTAAATTACATCTTAATTTTGGTAAATCCCGCTGTGTGATGATGATTGAATGACTTTAGGTAAGTTAAGTCACTGGGCCTTTGTAATAATGGATCCCACACTTAAAAGGGATAGTTTTGGCTGGGTGTGGTGACTCATGCCTGTAATCCCAGCACTTTTTGGGAGGCTGAGGCAGTGGATCACCCGAGGTCAAGAGTTCAAGGCCAGCCTGGCCAACGTGGTGAAACCCCATCTCCACCAAAAATACAAAAATTAGCCAGGCATGGTGGTAGTGGATGCCTGTAATCTCAGCTACTCCAGAGGCTGAGGCAGGAAAATCACTTGAACCCAGGAGGTGGAGGTTGCCATGAGCCGAGATTGTGCCATTGCACTCCAGACTGGGCGACAAGAGCGGAACTCTGTCTCAAACAAACAAACAAAAACACAGATAAAGCACTGGCCTATAGTAGATGCACAGCAAATTTTGGCTGTAGATGTAGTGGTGGTAGTAATAGTATTAGTAGTAGCAACAATGATTGATATTGGAATTATAGTGTGAATGATATGTCTTAAATGTAGAAGTAAAACAAATGATGGGCTGGAGGCCTCAAGCTCAGAGCTGGGTTTATAGACACACAAAATAGGACAGGACACACAGTTAAGATCAGAGAAGGGATTGTGTGTGAGCCAAAATTCACTCCAGCATGGTGGGCCTGCAGGATGTGTCTTGATATTTTCCTCTCCCTTTTTATGAGTTGCTGTGTCTAACAGCAAGACTGTGCTCCAATTGTTACTTTAACTCCATAAGCCAAGCCACAAATCGTCCAAGTGTCTCTGGTACATTCCTATCATACTAGCTGGGCAGAGACTTGGTACACACAAGCATCACTTGCCCGCCACACTTTCAACAGTTTAGAAATTCGTCCCCAGGCTTGGGTCCTGCTCACTCACACATGGAACTCACACTCCCTCTCCCAACCCCACACCTCCAATCCCTCCTTGCCTGTCTACATGGCTCACTTTCTCTCAAGGACACACCCACACTCACATTTTAAATCATGCCGGATTCAAGATGAATCTTCAGGTGACAAGACGGAGTATTTGAAGACCGTCTTCAGAGCAAACGGTGCTCAATAAATTGGTTCATGAAGGAAAGAAAATGTAGAGGAGAAGTAGAAGAACAAATTAGGTGAGGACTTATTGAGGAGTACCTTATAAATTCAGGTGGGTACCTCAAGAACATTCTACCTTGATATATCCATGTCAACATTTGAATCAAGGTCTCTAATTTTATGTTTTGATTTTCTGCGTTACATTGTAGTTTCTTGTTAGCCAGAATAACAGCAAGCCGACTTCATGAGAACATTTTTAGCGGCCCCAGCCACCTTCATTAAATGTATCCAAAAGCCTTGCAAAATTAATAGCTGGCTGCAGTCCCACCAGAAATACTAAGAAGACTGCAGGGTAAAAGGGAACCCCTGAACTTGCAACTCCAGAGGAGACAAGAAGATAGTAACAAAGCCCTTTGAGAGTAAAGTTCATACCAGCTTGGGGATGCCTTTTTTTCTCCTTGTAAGTAACACTTGCTGAAACAGAAATTTACTTATGACATAGGTCTATCTCTTCATTAGCAATCAATTCATTAAAATGCTGTGATATTTCAAAACCAGCTAAATTATTACATTTTGCTATTTAAACATCTGTTCTCAGTATGTTGTTCAATACGAACAGCAATCATGTTTACTTTTTAGCTTGTAAGACATTCCAAAAATAGAATCGGTGTTTTTCTATTTTTAGCTCAGTCTATAAAGTTTAAGCAAATAATCTTCTTTTCAAAACACTGTGCGCTTGTTTCAAATTCATGGAAAAACCCAGCAGTCCTGAGCTCATAAAAGAAAACACTGTAAAAATTTAGAGTCAAGATTTCGACACCCACACCCCATCCTGTAACTCAACATAGACTCTTAGCTTTAAACTCAGACATTTTGCTATAATTCATAGTGGAAACATTAGAAGCATCACTCGACAGAGCACTAATTTTATCAAGAAATAACTTTTTTTTCTAAACTGAAAGTTATATTTCTCCTTCAAAAATAAGACTGAAAAGAATCAACTCCTATTTCCTGATCAAATCTATTAGTGAATAAAAATCTGACCCAAACTTCCTCTTTCCACTTCTTCTATAGTAAATCAAAATTTTCTGTTTTTTATAAGGTGGTTTAGTTTACCTTCATTTAGGATAATTTCCCACTTCTAAAATAATTTCTCTTTTTTATCTTTTTTTTTTTTTTGAGACAGAGTCTCACTCTGTCACCCAGGCTGGAGTGCAATGGCGCAGTCTCGGCTCACTGCAACCTCCGCCTCCCAGGCTCAAGCGATTCTCCTGCCTCAGCCTCCCAAGTAACTGGGATTACAGGCACACGCCACTGCGCCCAGCTAATTTTTGTATTTTTAGTAGAGACGGGGTTTCACCATGTTGCCCAGGCTGGTCTTGAACTCCTGACCCCAGGTGATCCACCCGCCTCGCCCTCCCAAAGTGCAGGGATTACAGATGTGAGCCACTGTGCCCGGCCCTCTTTTTTATCTTAATAAAATTCCTTTAAAATTGCCAAGTTTTAAACACAAATGAAGCTCTTTGTGAATGTCCTCACTCTTTTCAAAGCCTAAATTTATGTGCTTCAGCACTGAATTTTGGATTCGAATTGCACAGCAAGCACCTGGAAAAAAAAATGGTGCCACAAACCTCTGCAGAAATGCACAAAACAATTTGAATTTTTTCCTTTGTTGTAACTTAAGATTCCTACAAAAAGTCCACCAAGCCACAGGTACTTGCATGTCAACAAGAAGAATGTGCCTGGTAAAACTCAGTGTAATCTTCAGGTGCACTGAGCAAGCTCATCTTCCAGAATATAAGACCCAAGTGCCGAATTCCTAGGCAAATGCCCCTCTGAAAACCTTTAGATAAAAGGTGTCTCCAGGGCAGGGAACATCACACACCGGGGCCTGTTGGGGGGTAGGGGGCTGGAGGAGGGATAGCATTAGGAGAAATAGCTAATGTAAATGATGAGTTGATGGGTGCAGCAAACCCTATGTATCAAACCTGCACGTTTCGTACATGTATCCTAGAACTTAAAGTATAATAATTAAAAAAAGATAAAAGGTGTCTGTATACTTAGCAAAGAAACTCATAGATTATAAAATAAACCACCATCTGCATCTTAGTCTCTATGCGTAGCTAGAGAAGGTACATAATTGAAAATGTCCATTGGCCTTGATAGGAGATGTAAGGGCTGAGAAAATATAAGAAGGAAATAGTTTAGCTTCTCTTTTCCATTTGTGTGGGGATCCCACTCAGTTTTTTAAACGCTTCTAAGTAGTGATGTCTGAGTCATTGCTCTTCTAACCTGGAATTTTCCAAACAGGACAGAAGTTTTGCTCTGGGTGAGGTGAAGATAAATTCAGCTTTCAGATGAGGGTCAGGAGTCATCTAAAGTGGGTCAATCAATTTGCACATGGATTTGTGGAGTCTTTCTCTGTGTGAGGCAGCCCAGGCTGTCCAGGTGCTTGCTGCTAGCCTATACCTGCTGGCAACCAGCTATGTGACCTCAGACAGTTCATGTCACATTCTCTGAACCTGTTTCCACCTTGTAAATTGTGGGTATTAGGCCCACGATCTCCAAGGTCCCTTCCAAGCTTCCCTCAGGCATGTTGTGAAATATACGCTAAATTAAATGCCCATGGCCAGGGGCGATGGCTCACACCTGTAATCCCAGCACTTTCAGAGGGTGAAGTAGGTGAATCACTCGAGGTCAGGAGTTCAAGACCAGCCTGGCCAACATGGTAAAAGCCCATCTCTACTAAAAATACAAAAATTAGCTGGGCATGGTGGCACCTGTAATACCAGCTACTCGGGAGGCTGAGGCAGGAGAATCGCTTGAATCTGGGAGGTGGAGGTTGTAGTGAGCCGAAATTGTGCCACTGTACTCCAGCCTTGGTGACAGAGTGAGACTCCATCTCAGATAAATAAATAAAATAAATAAATAAATAAATAAATGTCCATGACAGGTTTGCACCTGGCAGCCTTCGCTCAGGGTCAAGGTAGAACTAAACATATCTGCTCACCGATCTCTAGGTCATAATATCACAAGAGCCCCGATGCTCCTGGAACTTTTCCAAATATCTAGAGTTCTTGTTCTCAGGGACAACACAAGTATAAAAAAGAATGCCAACTCAGTGCAGGGATCACCTCCCTCCACTTCAAGGTACCCCTGCTCCAAGATCAAGGGTCAGGAAGGATGAAAACAATATCCGCTGAGTACTTACTGCATGCCAGATGTTTTCATATATTATCTATCTCCCAACCCTAGATGGTAAGAATAATTGTAATAGTAATAAAACATAATGTGTATTGAGTGCTTCCTATCTGCCAGACACTGCTAAAACCAGCAAACCTTCAGGCAGCATCCACCATGCACCAGGCATGGTTCAAAGCATTTACAGCGCATGAGGTCGAGAGTATGAGTACCTATTTTTGGATGGGGAAACTGAAGCACTCAGGTGGGAAAGGAGAAAACCAGAATCAGGCCCAGGCACTCTGCCAACTTAACCACTTTACTTCACAGCCCCTAATTATGTTAAAACCCTGCTGCAAGGTATTACTTATTCTGTTTTGCAGATGAGGAAACTGAGGTTCAGGAAAGTAAAATAATTCACCAAAGGCCTCACCTAGGCACAGTGGAGCAGTGTCTGCGTAGACCACCTGTCAGCATCCCTCCAAGCAGGTCCTAACTGCTACAAACACAGGGCTTCATGCTCTAAGATTTCAGGGAGCTGGCATGGCCAAGAGAGGTTCTCTAGACAGACACCATGCTCTGGCAGCTTCCTGCCAATAGCAGGCTCTGTCAGGGAAGGAGCTTGGCCTTTTTCATGAGGCTGGGGACAGAGCTGATGCTAGCTAGATGAGATACAAATAGACATGAAATGGCAGCAGATTCTAAAGAACAAATGAACGAATGAGGTAGGAAGGAAGGAAGAGAGAAAGGAAGCAAATTCTTGTTGGGTCTGAGGCAGCAGGGCCCTTCTCAAGGGTTCAGCCAGGCCAGGGGCTAATAAGAAAGTGAGACCCGCAGTAGGCTGCCCCTTGTCCCCATCCAGGCTACGCTGGGACCAACAGGCCAAACTCCATCTGAACCCAGGACAAAGCAGGAGCTGTGCTGCCGGATCTCGGGAAGGCAGGCACATTGGTCCTTTCTGTGAAAAACTGGTCAGGCTAGTGGACAGGAAAACCCTGACCTCAGTGCCTAGGAAATTCAGTGGCAGCGGGCTTGGTCCTCGCCACAGCCTAATGGGAACCTGAGTGTCCAGTTGGATCCTGAGTCTCGAGTTGGATGTGTCAGTGGATCTAGCACGAGGTTTAGAATCACCTTACATGAAGTACAGCGCCCCGACCCTCCTTTCCAACTGTGAGACTGTGGTGCATGCACTGAAGCCTAGGGGACTCCAAGAAAGGGGCACACGGCCTCTCTGTGCCAACAAATGCTGCTTTAACTAATTTCATCAAGTGGTAATTTCGCATATCCAACCCTGGCCCATGTGTGTGCAGAGCACTGAACTTAAGCCATTGCAGTCACCATTGCAGTAATTCATTCAGCCACTCAATATCTATTGCATTCCAGTCCTCAGGGATGCTATAGTAAGCAAGCCACCTGCCCCTGCAGGAACGTCTTATGGTCCAGCAGGCCCATACAGCAAGGAAACAGGAAATGGCACAACTGGGTGATAAATGCAGTGAGAAGGAAAAGAGAGGGTGCTATGAAAGCTACAGAGAGGGCCCCTAACCAACATCAGGGACCCTGTAGTCACCCTGGTGTTTTAAGCAGGCACCAAATGCCAAGTACAAATGAGCCATTGGGGGGAAAAAGAGCAGGGATATCATTCCTAATCTACAAGGGAGTAGAGTCCGATATTGGATTTTTTTATTACAGTATTCTTGTTTCTTAGGATCTTAAAAATTATTAAATGTTTTTAAAACATTTAAATAGCATAATATAAGAGACACCCATGTAATTACTACCCAGTCTTAGCAGTTTCAGATATTTTGTACGTAAGTACATAAATGGGTATTTTTTTGACACGGAATCTCACTGTGTCACCCAAGCTGGAGTGCAGTGGCGTGATCTCGGCTCACCGCAACCTTCACCTCCTGGGCTGAAGCGATTCTTGTGCCTCAGCCTCCTCAGTGAGTAGCTGGGGTTACAGGCATGTGCCACCATGCCCGGCTAATTTTTGTATTTTTAGTAGAGATGGGGTTTTACCATGTTGGCCAGGCTGGTTTCGAACTCCTGGCCTCCAGTGGTCCGCCCACCTGGACCTCCCCCCTCCCTCACCCCCCACCTCAACTCTTTCTTGCTCTTGCTCTGCCATGTGAGAGGCCTGCTCCCTCCTTGGCCTTCCGCCATGACTGGAAGCTTTGTGAGGCCTCCCCAGAAGCTGAGCAGATGCCACTGCCATGCCTCCTGTACAGCCTGCAGAACTGTGAGCCAATTAAACCTCTTTTCTTTATAAATTACCCAGTCTCAGGTATTTCTTTATAGCGATGCAAGAATGGCCTAATACTGTACTTTTTGTGAGTCAGTTTAAAAATGAGTGTAAGCTAATAAGTAAATATGCATAGCTTCAACTAAATGATTTTTATGGACTGTAGCAGAGGACCTGGCTTGTATTTTCTTAATGGTTTCATGTCTCATGCCAAGGCCATCATATGCAAAGAGACATCTGAAAAAAAGTTGATGTTTATTGCCAAAGAAGTACTTAAACTGACTGTAATGAAGATGTTAAAGAGCTTCAGAGAAGCTGTATACTATTTCCGTGGGCTGACCACAGACACACTTTAAATCAAAGGCCAGCTGATCATTGGACTTAGGGTGATTTTTAAAACACTTTCTTTTTTTATCCAAGTTTTTATTCAATTCCCTTGACTTATTTCAGTTTAGAATTTGACTTCTTATTATCCTTATAGTAATCCTGAAAAAATTACCAAGAATAAAAAATATCATAACTACTAACATAACTAAGTCCACAGGATATTAGAACTGCAAAGATACCATATAGCTAAACCTCTTTATTTACAGGTGATGAAACTGAAGTCTGAGAGGTTAATTATTCATCCATCTAACAAATATTTATTGAGTTTCTACTCTGATATCATTTAGATCCTTACTATGCTAATAACCATACATAAATATGGCAGTAAACATTTAGAAATTTAAACGTTTAGTGTCTCTATCAACAGCTATAAGAGTAAAATTTTAGATGTTACCGGCTTGCCCAAGGTTGCATATCCATTAAACAGAGGAAGCAGGGTTAAGACCCAGGGAGTCTGACTCCAGTAATACTTCCTGTCTTGCCATGGGATACACCTATGGTTCTTGAATCCAAAATGCAGAAATATGAATCTTACAGGAGAATGAGGCCCTACCATTTACAGAATGTGATGTCTTCCTTTACAGATGAAATTTAGTTCTTCTGGTGAAGAGGACAATGGCTGGGTAGGAGCTTATGCCCACACCTAATGGAAACTTATCCTTGACCTGCGTGGCTACTGGCCCAAGATAAAGATTACTTGGAGCAGCCCACCACAGAATCAGCTCCAAGATATGGGGGAAGTACTTGGACACCATAGTGAACAAAACAGAGATGGTCCCTGCCCTCATGGGGCCCACAGTTTATTTGGGAAGACAGGCAATGTACAAGTAAATTCTCAAATATTTTATGATTTGTCTTGAATTTTTAAACTTAAACCTTCTCCAGTTTTAAAATAGCATGGAAGCAAAAATCAAAATGGAGTGGAGCAGATCACAAAATTGTAACTCTTCTCTAAGGACCAGTATGACAGCCTAGGACTGAGACCTTGCATCTTTTTTGGAGGTCAGTTCTGACAGCATCCTTTGATTGAAGAGGGATTTGGAAACTTTGGCCTGTCATGGCCTTTGATGGTTCTTAAATAGCCACATCTAGTTGGCTTTTTGTGGAATAACATGTTCAGAGACATAACCACCACTCACTTTCAGTAGAAAGAGCAAAACCACTAACATGTATAATGAATAGCAGCTCCTGGCCTAGGAAACTCACTAAGTCTTGGAATTCAGGAACCAGAGAGGAAACCCTGAAGCCTCTCAGGTGATCTGGATTGACACCAGACATCTGTGACTCTATCAAAGCTTTGTACAGAATTCAAGGCATGGACATAAAAGTGCTTTAAGTTGTAAGACATTAGCAGAATAAGATACGGGATTTCATGAACATTATTTAGCCATATAGACATTTTAAGATAATCAGTGTTAGTCCTAGCTGCAAATATGTTCCCTATTTTTTTTTAGCATTCCACAAAATTCTCATTCTTTTAATTATCTCCCTTTGCTGCTAGGACCTCCTTAAGGCTTTCATCTGGTTCACACTAGGCTGGGAAGAAAAGATGTAGAAGTTCTTGGCCTGGCCCTGGCCTTTTCTCCTTTATCCTTTGCTATTTCCTGTCTCCTGTTTCTCTACAGAAGTAAATCATGTTGACATATCCCCAAAGAGTACGGGCTGTAGTATGGAAGAAATATAGAAACAAGGGACAGCTGAGACAGATGCACATAAAGAGGAATATGACCCACTTTATATTTATGTATTTATTATGTTGTTAAACAAATAATGCTTTATTAATACAAGTACACACAAACTCCAAAGCACTAAGAAATTTAAATATCTATGTCATAGCAAACAGCTGGCAATTCAACATCCAGGGTCGACAGAATGCTTGAAGGAGACTGCAAACAGATTGCATTCCCATGGTGGAGAGGGCATTTTCACAGGTGAAGGGGGGCCCAGCTGAAACAGCTTTTCAAGCTCTCCCTCCTCATCAAGGATCATGAGAGGCACTCCACTCAAGGGGAGGTGTGCAATCTGGCGCTCTTCAGGCAGGTCAAAACTCTCAAAGTCTAGAAGATTGAAGGGAAAGAATTTTTCTATTTCTGGATAGGCGTCATCTGAGGCAGGAACAGAACTTTTTGTTTTAACAGTCTTCTCGGTCATCTTTTTGGCAGAAAAGCTTGGCTGTTTTTGTTTTCTGGGTCCATTGGTCTTTACTGACTTTTCTGTAGCTCTGTTGACAGTGCCCAAAGCCTTTCTGGTAGCTTTAGGTAAGGCTGATGGAGCATCGTATGTTTTGCCAAAACGTCGTGTTAAAACTTGAGATATCCCATCTAATGCTTTGATTGAAGGTCTAGACTCCAGCTTCAGCACATCCTTGGCAGCCACACGGGTGCCTGGTTCTCCAATTTCCTTATCAACGTAGATCAGAGTAGCCATTCTGGATTATTGCCGCTCTCAACAGCCACATTCATCTAAGACCGTGGTCCCACTTTATATTTAGATAGAATGTTAACTATAGTGGAAATTGGTGTAATATCTAATTTTTGTGCCTAGCACATCATCTGAGAGTTAGCATGAACTCATATAAAGAGCACAGGCCTGAGGTCAGACAAACCTGGGTAGGAATCTCGGGAGTACCACTTTCTGTTAGCTGTAAGATTTGGGCAAGTTAGCTAACATCCAAGCCCTATTTCCACATCCATAAAATGGAGGTAAAACCCAACTCTTACACATTGTTAAATGGTCAAAAACCACTTAGGTAAAGGGCAGAGCAACCAATAAATAAATAGTTTCTGCCGTTATTGCATTTTCTAATTTATAATGTACTTTTGCATACATTATTTCACTTCTTACTAACCTTTAATAAATGCAAGTCTTCCATTTTTTACTAAAGCAGCACCCCTGAAGTTTCTCTAAACTGCAAAATGCTCAAATGTTTCATCCCGAGTTATCCCTTTTGCCAACTCTGATCTACTGGTGGCAGACAATCCAGCATGCAGTGGTGGGGAGAGCCGAGAGGCCCTCTCTGAGCAACGTGACTACTAATGGTGCTTGCTTGGGCAGGAATACTGGACTATGGCAATGACTATATACCTTTGCCAACCCAACCCCAATCTAGTCCAGGCTATTGATTCACAGCAGCAAAGGGTCACTTCTGTTTCTAAGGCCTAGAGATAAGTTGAGGGCACTTTTGCAGTGAGCCATTTCAATTCAATGATAAATATTCTTGTTGTCTAATTCATTCTATGAATCTTTGACCCAGTGACATATGTGCGTACGTATTTGAGCCCATATGCAAAAATATACAGTTGAGTCTTGAACAATACAGGATTGAGTCGCATGGATCCACTTGTTCTCAGATTTTCTTCTGCGGCTGCCACCTCTGAGACTGCAAGACCAACCCCTCCTCTTCCTCCTCCTCCTCAGCCTATTCAACGTGAAGACAATGAGGGTGAAGACCTGTATGATGATCTATTTCTACTTAATGAATAATGCAATATGTTCTCTTCCTTATGATTTTTCTTAATAACATTTTCTTCAGCTTACTTTATTGTGAGAATACAGGATATAGTGCATAAAACATACGAAATATATGTTAGTCGACTGTGTTATTGGTGAGGTCAACGGAAGACTATCGGTTAAGCTTTTTGGGAGTCAAAGGTTATAGGTGGATTTTCGACTATGCAGGTGATTGGCGCCCCTAACCCTCACATTGTTCAAGGGTCAACTGTGCCTGTTTATTTGCATAAGGCCACCTCAAATACAAAGGGCCATTCAAAGGTATCATTAGAAGTCTTGCTCTTAACCTGACACAGCTAGCTAGAAAGTGACAGAGCCATGACTTGGACCTGGTATATCAACTGATTGATGTAACCTCTATATGGAGCTTGTAAATTCAAGTGCCACCCAGAGTCAGTGAGGGAATGTAAATATATGATGTGCCAGTGGAAGACAATGGGGAACGGGGAGACTGGTGGGGTAGAGTGTGTGTGCCAATCTGCAGGCATTCCAATTGAATTGTTTTTCTTCAAACACTATGGTAGGCAACTTTTACAATAAAGTTTGCAGGCCACCTGTCTGTAATCCTGTCTCATTATACCATTAGCAGGAATTATTATTAAACAACTTCTTTCAACTCTTCCGACACATTCATTTTTTATTAACAGCCTTCTAATAGTACTCTGAATTGGGGCAGAAATAATTAAAGTAAAAGATGTCATATATGTGTCCTAAAGAAGGGACAAATAAAGGAGGTCTAGAGGTGTGAAAGCAAATCTAATCCAGGAACACTTTCTGGAGGAGGTGGCATTTGAGCTAGGAGAGATGGAATGCTTAAGTAAGAGAAGGAGCTAGGAGAGACGGAATGCTTAAGTAAAAGAAGAGGAAATCTCCCCAGGCAAAAGAAACAACAATGAACAAAACAGAGGAAAGCATGGCTACGAGGAAAAATTAACTGTCCCATTTTGCTGGAAAATAGAGTACACCATCTTGGAACAAAAATAAAAAATATGAAGAATCATCTGGGACCAGATATGGTCAAGGTTCTTGATTGCCAAGCTAAGGAATCTGGTGTTTATTGGTTAGAGATGAAAATGGCCTGCTCAGAGAATGGGTTTTCTAGGAGATGAATCTGCTTTGTTGATCTTACAGACTCTTTCTTAATATGAAGCATACTTTTTTCCTAGACAACTTCAAATCTGAAAAATGTGTTACTATTCTTAGCATATGTTTTTGAAAGTAAACTTGGTCGCCATAAACGTATATGAGAAAAGGGGCATAAAAACTGGCAGCAAATCCAGTAACTGTAGCCATCTGTGTTTCTGTTGTTCTAAGCAGAGATCAACAAAAATAGCATTTTAAAAAACATATAAGTATGGTTGAAGTAATATTTTCCAGTGAAGCTTTCCACAAGTGGCTGCTGATAATTTTATCTGGTATTTTAAAATAAAATACACTACCTACAGGACACCATGAAAAACTATCATCTGTTGCATTATAAATGGAAGAATAAAAGGAAGGAAAGACAGAAGGGAGGGAGGAAAATGATATGTAGTTTGTCAGGAAATGTAAATCACATGTCAGAATTGACCTTTTAAAAAGTAATAATGAGCAATAAGAAAAACATCAAACAATCTGTTCTGAACTTTTATGAAAAAGTGGTGTAGGATAAAAATGGAGTTTGGAGTCAGAAAGACTGTTTTGGAATCTCAACTCTCTTCTCTTTCTATATTATTTATTTATTTGTTTTTATTTTTATTATTTTAAGAGATAGGACCTTGCTCTGTTGCTGAGGCTGTGATCATAGCTCACTGTAGCCTCGAACTCTTAGGCTCAGGCAATCCTCCTGCCTCAGCCTCCTGAGTACCTAGGACTACAGGCACGCACCCCCATGCCCAGGTAATCTTTTTATGTTTTGTAGAGAGGGGTCCTGCTGTGTTGCTCAGGCTGGTCTTGAACTCCTGGGCTCAAGATATCCTCCTGCCTTGGCTTCCCAAAGTGTTAGGATTACAGGCATGAGCCACTGTGCCCAGCAATACATATTCCTGTCAACAGATAAATTCCTTGTCTCTAAAAAGTAGTGTTATTTATTACTTTAATGATTGTGAAGAATGAAAACATGTGTCATATCAGGTATCATACATTTGTCTCTTTCCTTCTTTTGGAAAGGAAGAGATACGTCTGCCACATTGTGTAACTGTGGCCATGAGTATTATACAAACTCATGAGGGGCTTATGTTCTCCCATCTCACGTAGGGAGTCTAAATGTTTATGTGGTCAGCTTGATCCTTCCTGTAAGGGGAGGGAGGCCATGGTGCAGATAATCCCAAAGACCGGATAGGAGTAATTCTTTAAGTTTCACCGTGGCATGCATCAGTGGCTTCTTTGGGGGAAATTCATTTCTACACTCCCTTCTTTTTTTTTTTTTTCTTTTGAGACGGAGTCTTGCTCTGTTGCCCAGGCTGGAGTGCGGTGGCGCGATCTCTGCTCACTTCATCTTCCACCTCCTGGGTTCAAGTGATTCTCGTGCCTCAGCCTCCCAAGTAACTGGGACTACAGGTGTGCTCCACCACACCTGGCTAATTTTTAGTAGACATGGGGTTTCACTGTGTTGGCCAGGCTGGTCTTGAACTCCTGACCTCAAGTGATCTGCCCATCTCGGTCTCCCAAAGTGCTGGGATTAGAGGTGTGAGCCACTGTGCCCGGCTACACTCCACTTTTCTTAAGTTAATACTAACATTAGTTGGCGTCCCTGAGCATATCACATGAGGTCAAGGGGAAAAGACACAGAATGGAAGTACAGGGAAAAGCCATTTGGTCATTTTAAATGTGTTAAAGCACAATGAGGATAGTCTGCTGGAAGTTTATTCACTTCACATTCAATATGTATTGAGCACCTACTGGGGGCCAGGTACTGTCTAGTCTGTGGCAACACATCTGTGAGCAAAACAAACCAAAACCCCTGCCCTCGGGAAACTTACATCCTAGTGAAAAGAGAGTCAGACAACGAATGAAACAAATTTTTAAATGGCATAGTGTATTAGAAGTTCATTAAGCCGGGTGTGGTGGCTCATGCCTGTAGTCTCAACACTTTGGGAGGCTGAGATGGGTGATCGCTTGAAGTCCAGGAGTTCGAGACCAGCCTGGGCAACACAGGGAGAACCCCCGCTCCCATCTCTACAAAAAATACAAAAATTAGCCGGTTGTCATTCCAGCTACTCAGAAGGCTGAGGTGGGAGGATGGCTTGAACCTGGGAGGCAGATGTTGCAGTAAGCCTAGATCACGACACCGGTACTCCAGCCTGAGTGACAGAGACGTTGTTTCAAAAAAAAAAAAAAAGTTTATTTGAAGCAGATTATATGTATTTTGGGGGAAGATATTTATTTTTTATTTTTTAAATAGAGACAAGGTCTCACTATGTTGCCCAGGCTGGTCTCAAACTCCTAGACTCAAGCAATCCTCCCACCTTAGCCTCCCAAAGTGCTGGAATTACAGGCGTGAGACACCACGGCCAGCCCTGACAATATGTATTATAATCTATATGCATAATAGAAAAATGAAAAGTGTAAACTTTGAGGTAAAGCTCTCTTAAACACTGCTTATTCTTGGACCACAGGTGCTCATAACAAAGGGCAGAAATTTTTGTAAAAAAGAGTCACAGTGGAAACTGCACATTGTAACACATTGTAATTTATATACAGTTGACCCTCTTTACCCATGGGTTTCGCATCTGTGGATTCAACCAACCGTGGATTGTAAATATTTGGAAAAAACAAAGGATGGTTGTGTCTGTACTGAACATGTACAGACATTTTTTCTTATAACTATTCCCTGAACAAAACAGTATAACACTATGTATGTAGCATTTACACTGTATTGAGTAGTATAAGTAATCTAGAGATGATTTAAAGTATATAGGAGGGTGGGCACAGGTTACAGGCAAATACTATGTCATTTTATATCGGGGGTTTGAGCATCCATGGATTTTGGTATCCACAGGGGTGGTAAAACCAATGCCCTCATCCCCACATACACTGAGGGACAACTGTATACACATAGAGAGGTATGTATGTGCAGTTCATGGGAATCTCTCATTAAGTCTGCGCTACCTTTGGAAAAAAACTGGGAGAGATACATGCTCCAGAAGTAAAATGAAGGGGTGATTTCTTTTTTTACTTTTTATAGTTTCTTAAATTTATTAGATTATACATGGTTTTTAACTTGTGTTTTACAACATTTTTCAAATAAAAATAAAAAGTGAGTTAAAGAAAGATGAGATAGTTCTACATGTACTGACAGAAATCGGTACATGACACATCAGGTGGAAAATCTAGATTACAGAGCTTTGTATCACCTGATTATGTATGTGTTAAATACATAGGTTTTAAAAAAATCTACTGCTAAGTGAGCCAAGATCGGATCACGCCACTGCACTCCAGCCTGGACGACAGAGAGAGACTCCGTCTCAAAAAAAAAAAAAAAGACTGTTTCAAAAAAAAAAAAAATCCACTGCTAAGAGTCATATGATACATAGATTTTTTTTTTTTCATGTCAGCTGTTCTGAGACAGCTGAGTGAGGGATCCCATCAGAGTTTCAGTGAATCACCCCGCCTCTTCATCGCCCACATACAGTATCACTAAGTAGGCACTTCCGCCTCAGAGCCGACCTTCAAAGCATCCCTTCCTCCATCGCAGCCACTATTATCCTAGGCCGGTCCTCATCATCTCTAACTTGAATCACCTCAAAGGTATCCTCACTGGTCTCCGTCCATTCTTGACATGACTTCCAAGACCCTTCCAAATCTGGCCTCAACCTACCTGTGACTGATATTAATTCTACCTAATAATGATTCTCCCATTTCCTCTTCACTAAAATAACCCTAATTTTGTTCAGACAATAGACGTAGACCTTTGATCTCAGCTGTAGCCCCATGGAATGCTCATGAGTTGGCACATAGTAGGCAATTTTTTTTTTTTTTTTACTGAATGAATGAATGTATAAATTAGTAATGTTAATCCTTTTATCTTCCCAAGTGAGTCATCTAAAAGTCAACATGTTCAGTACCATAGGAAAGGTTAAAAGAGAAAAAAAAGTCAACATGTGACCCACGTCTGGCCAATGAGATATTAGAAGACGTCTGCCCCTCCTCTCCTACCTAGAATGCACTGGTGCGAGGAGCCACAGCAGCCATCTTGGAATCCTGAGGCCACACAACAAAAGGCCAAAGTCAACATGCTAGGGATTGCAAAGTGGAATGAGACAAAAGCCTGTTATTGGTGATTTAGATCCAGCCACTCTGGAACTGCTTGCATTCCTATCCTTATTCTGTGAGATATCTAAGTATCTCTGTTTTCTAGACCAGAGTTTAATGGGCCTATGAATCGCTTGGAAATCTCCTTACAATGGGAATGTTGATTTTGCAGGGCTGAAGTGGAGCCTGATAATCTACATTAATAACGGGCTCCCTGGCAATGTTGTTAAGGATGTCAAAATGAGAAATGACGATACAAGCCACTATAAATTAGGCATTCTATTACTTTTAGCTGAACTCATCCTTATTTTCTGCTGTCCCTGGCCACATACCAAGCTAACCACAGTAACCATCCAATCTTCTCAAAATATACAAACTGTCTCCCAGGCGTGGCTCATGTTTATCCCTCCCTTGAAGGAGCTCTAAGGTTCTGTAGAATTTACCACTATTCTACACATCAACCTTAGTCAATTCTTCTACTCATCAACCATTTGCATTTTCCCAGATATGCTTTCTCCTGTCTCTTATTCAAGTCATGATTAAACAGTTATAGTGACATATTTAATAGACAAAATGATTTTAAAATACCTCAAGCTTAATTGCAAAATTATTGAATTCCCTAGTAGATTTTACATATTATACTACATAACTGGTTGTGTTTCATTTCAGAAAAGTGGGAATTAAAAACTACAGGAGCAGGATTCTATTACCAGTAATGACATGCAGTGCCTCTCCTTGATGAAGCTTTAATTGCACATGCCACTTTGAAAACGTTTTTAATAAAGTCTGATATTAAGATTTGTCAGTTAAAAACTGAGCTCAGAAGAATTACTCAGGATCACCTCCAGATTAAAAACACCATTTCTCTCTTATCTGTCCAAGAAATTCCTACCTGGTTCTATTCCATTAATTAGTAATATGCTTTTCATATCACACTGTGGTATTCCAAAATTTAGCATTCATGCTTTCATTCCAAACTTGTCGGAAAAGGCACCAAATTACTGGCTCCGAATGCAAAATGTCTGCATGCCACAGTGGGAGAGGAATGGAGCTAATGCATATGGATTCCAATTACCTGCAGCTGAGACAATACACGGCATATCCAAAACCACGTCATCAATCAGCACATCTAGCCGTGCACAATTTTGATCACACATCATCAATCAAATGTCTTGATTTGATTTTCACTGTAAATTAGCACAATTTTTCTGCAGCCCCCATCAACTCAAAACCATCACATAATCTGTGCAAACGACAGGGCCATGTGGGATAAGTAAAAAACCAGGATTCAAGAGATGGACATTTTATTTTTCCCTTTTGAAAAATTTTTATTTCTAAGTTTCAGGGTACATGTGCAGGATGTGCAGGTTTGTTACATAGGTAAATGTGTGCCATGGTGGTTTGCTGCACCTACCAACCCATCGCCTAGATATCAAGCCTAGCATGTATTAGCTGTTTTTCCTAATGCTCTCCCTCCCCTCACCCCGCCCCGTGACAGGCCCCAGTGTGTGTTGTTCTCCTCCCTGTGTCCACGTGTTCTCATTGTTCAGCTCCCACTTATAAATGAGAACATGTGGTGTTTGGTTTTCTCTTCCTTTGTTAGTTTGCTGAGGATAATGGTTTCCAGCTCCATCCATGTTCCTAGAAAGGACGTGATCTCGTTTCTTTTTATGGCTGCATAGTATTCCATGGTGTGTATGTACCACATTTTCTTTATCCAGTCTACCATTGATGGACACTTGGATTGACTGAGAGATGGAGATTTTAATTTATATTCCATCAGTGATTTAGCACAAGATTATCAGCCCTTTCCCCAAGTCAACAGAACTTTAAGTCACATGCTGAAAAGTAAAAAATCTAAAATCTAGCCTGTGATTTCCGCACAGACTCAGCGAAGATCACAACAAAACTTCCAAGCGCGTGTGAAGTCACAGGATAAATAGTCTCAGGGCCACTGGGATGAACTAGAAGCTGCTGGGTTCATCATGACTGCAGGCCTTGCAGCAAGCTTCACGTTGCTGACACTGGTGGTTCACTGTTGCTTTCCAGGCAGGGCTTTCTTCCTCACCTTCTCCGGCAGCTCTTTCAAAGGTCCCCTACAGTGATGATGAGCACTGTAATACAGGGAAAGGCTTATACATAGTCTGAGAACACATAGGTGTCAGTATGTAGGTTTGTACAGTCACAGGGAGGGACATGGTAAAAGTACATACCCATTATCACCTGAACTCCATGTCAGTATTGTAATAGCTAAAAATTGTATCTGAATGATTTACTCCTCTGGGCAAAGGCTGTGACCCCTCTACAGATTTTCAGTGTTTATTCTCCTGGACAAACACTATAACCATTTTATAGATCCTAAGTGTTTCACTGAACAAATACTCTGACTTCTTTCAAATGTTGTTTTGAATGGCCTTTTCAAATATCGAAAGTCCACTTCCCTAACTTGGCTGAGTGTCACCGCCTCTCCTCTTCCCTAGCAGAGTGTCACAAGGTTCCTTCCCCTGCTGTGACCACAGAAGATAAATCTCGCGGAGAGTCTTGGGCACAAGAATAAAAAAGAGCCTGTAGTTCTGATATGTTAACAAATTAGGGTGGTGGTCCCCAGGATGTAGCTGGAGATAATTCCCCTCCTTCCTTCTTATAATGCAGTTCTTATAGCAGCAAAGTTTTGTTTATAGATTCTGAGGCCATGTATTTTTTTAACCACCTATATTTATGGAAAATGTCAAATAGGAAAGTAGAGAGAATATTCTAATGAACTCCCAGGTTCCATCACCCAATTTCAACCAGTGTCAGCTCGGGACCAATCTTATTTCAGTATCCACACCCACTTCTCTTCCCACGATCATTTTTAAAAACAATCCCTGATATGCTATTTCATTCATAAATATTTCAGTATACAGTAAATAGCGCCCAAAGACAGGAATTCTTTGTGTTTTTTGAACACAAAGGACAATATATTTTCAAATCATCAAGGCCAAACTGGGGAAAAGTACATTGTATTGTTCAGCTATTTATATTTCTCACAATAAATAATTTAAAATGGTGAATAGGCCAGGCGCAGTGGCTCACACCTGTAATCCCAGCATTGGTGGGAGGCCGAGGAGGGTGGATCACCTGAGGTCAGGAGTTCGAGACCAGCTTGGCCAACATGGTGAAACCCTGTCTCTACTAAAAAAGAAATATAAAAATTAGCTGGGCATGGCGGCAAGTGCCTGTAATCCCAGCTACTTGGGAGGCTGAGGCAGGAGAATCGCTTGAACCTGGGAGGTGGGGGTTTCAGTGAGTCGAGATCACACCACTGCACTCCAGCCTGGGCAACAAGAGCGAAACTCCGTCTCAAAAAAAAAAAAAAAAGTGACTACATGTCATTGTACATTTGTCCAATTCACAGGATTTACAACACCAAGAATGAGTCCTAATGTAAACTATGAATTTTGGGTGAGAATAATGTGTCAATGTTGGTTCATCAATTGTAACAAATGGACCACTCTGGTGGGGAATGTTGCTATTGGGGGAGGCTGTGCATGTAGGGGGCGGGAGGGGAGGGGGCAGGTGGCTATATCTGTAGCCTCTTCTCAATTTTGCTGTGAACCTAAAACTACTCTAAAAAAATGAAGTCTTAAGAATTTTTTGAAAAATCCATTAACTCAATCCTATTTTTTTTTTGCAAAGACGGCATAAAGGGTCTTTCCATAAATGAATGAAAAACTTTATGAACCATTCACAAGTCTCTATGGCTTATAATAAGAAATCCTCTATTATCAGGCATGCTTCTGTTTTACACAAATTAACACATAAAATCCTCCTAACAACTTTTTTCAGTAGGTTCTGTGACAATACCCATTTTACAGATGAGGAAAATGAGGCACAAAGAGGTGAAGTTATTTGCCCAGGGTCATTCAGGTGCAGAACTGCGCCTCAGACTCACGCCACAGCCTCTGATCTCTTCATATGCATATTCTCAGCCTGGTGTAATATCGTATTGTCCTGGTTTGTCAATTTGGTTCCCCCAAAAACAGATCCTGAGAGAAGGAATTTGGGACAGGGAGTTTGTCTGGTTGGAGACCCCAGGAAGCAAAAATATAGGCATGTAAATAAAGACACAGGGAAGAAAGAAAGGCCAGTAAAAAAGGGTATGGTAACGAATGGGTTACCTCTCGGTGCAACTGGGGTTCAACTCCGTTAGGAATCTTCTAAGAAATCATGGAGAATAGGCGTCAGCAAACTACAGTCAGCAGGTCAAATCCAACCCACACAATGTCTATTTATAAATAAAGTTTTATTGGAACATAGCCAAGCCCATTCTTTTGGTACCGTCTATTGTTACTTTCATGCTAAAATGGCAGAGTTGAATAGTTGCTACATAGACTGTATGGCCTACAGAGTTGAAAATATTTACTTTCTGGTCCTAAGAGCAAAAGTTTGCTGACCTCTCATGTAGAACGTCTGGAAGGAAGAAGGAAAGCTGAGCATGTAGTCACTTCAACAGTTTAGGGTTGCCCTGGAGTGATTAGATCCCTAGCACTGCTAAGGGATTTTCAGACAGTCTGAGAAAGCCTCAGGCTGAGAAGCAGAGAGACTGGTGGTTAAAATGAGAAGCTGCCAGTACGCACCTGTGGGTGAACTTGGAGGCAGGCACCGCAGTACGTGCTACAACATCCATGTGCCTCAGAAGTCTCATTTATATTAAGGGTATTAAAACTGAGCACACAGAATAGTGTAAGAATTATACTGGAAAAAATACATCAACCTAATAGGAAGCACTCAATAAAAGTTATCAATTCCTTTGCAAACAATTTTCCTAAACACAAGTAATTAGGCAGCACTATCATTGATACCTGTAACCTAAGTCTAAGTTCTTTACTGCACAGAAAAATATGTCAAAAAAGTCTCCACATATTTTGTTAAATACAAAATGAACCAGATGATCTGCAAATAAATAGCCGTCTACTCAGATCGTATCTGTGCCTGTGATTGATATATGCCTCTCTCTTTACCAGTTGAAATAACCATTAGTTGTTGAAATAAAACTGATTGAGAATAGCAGCGTTGTTCAAAATAGCCAAAAACTGAAAGCAACCCATGGCCATCAACTGACGATTGGATAAACAAAATGCGGTATATCCATACAATAGAGTATTATTCATCCATAAAAGGAAATGAGTTACTGATATATGCTACAACATGATGAACCTTGAAAACATTATACTAAGTGAAAGATGTCAGGCAGAAGAGACCACATATTACATGATTCTATTCATGTGAAATGTTCAGAATATGCAAGTCTATAGTGATGAAAAGTAGATCTGTGGTTACGGCTGAAGAAGTAAGGGAGGAAGACGGGGGGTGACAGCTGATACGTACAGGTTTTTTGGGGGAGTGCCAAAAACACTGAAATTAACCTGTGGTGATGGTTGCACAACCCTGTGAATATACTAAAACCCACTGAACTGTATACTTCAAATGGGTAATTTTTTTTTTTTTTTGAGACAGAGTCTTGCTCTGTTGCCCAGGCTGGAGTGCAGTGGGTGAGATCTCGGCTCACTGCAACCCCCACCTCCCAGGTTCAAGAAATTCTCCTGCCTCAGCCTGTGGAGTAGCTGGGATTACAGGCATGCGCCACCACGCTCAGCAAATTTTCGTATTTTCAGTAGAGACAAGGTTTCACCATGTTGGCCAGGCTGGTCTCAACCTCTTGCCTCCAGTGATCCACCCACCTTGGCCTCCCATAGGGCTGGAATTAACAGGCGTGAGCCACCACGCCCAGCCTCAAATGGGTGAATTTTATGGTATGTGAATTAATGACTGAGTGAGAAAAGGCAAGTTCCTGTACTTGATACAAAATGCCCATAGAATGTTCTCAGTGGAAGCTCTTCTTCACACACCCACTGCCCTCCAGTCCGCCTTGCTGCTCCTCTGACATGGTGCCTCTTATAATCTTCTTTCTGGACCTGCCCGTTCTTCTAGCCCTGTCTTCACACTCTTTTTCCTACCATGGGGTTCAGGTCTTGCAGTTTGACTGCATCCTGGACACACCACCAGCTGACTAGGTGACCTTGGGCAAGTTACTTAACCTCTTGGCTTCAGTTTCCACTTTGTTAACTAGGAATAATCGTAGTACCTACCTATTATTATTATCGTTAACTGACATTTATTGAGAACTTACCATCTAGCAGGCCCTGTTCTTTTATTTGGGGGTACTACCTTTGTTTTAACTTTTTTTTTTTTACAATGAACTGTCCACTTGTGTTTTGACATATGAACATGTCTGTGAAACTAAAACACAATTTACCAAACACTTCCCGTCACCCCCAAAATTCTTGTGCCACTTTGTAATCCATCCTTCCCTCTACTTTGTCTCCAAACAACCACTGATCTGTTTGCTTGACTAAACATTAGTTTGCGTCTTCTATAGTTTTATAGAAACAGAAGTATGTATTATGCCTGGGCAACATAGTGAGACCCTGCCTCCACAAACAAAATTTTTTTAATTAATGAAGTGCAGTGGTGCTCACCTGGTGTAACCTGGGGAGGTTGGGACAGGAGGATTGCTTGAGCCCAGGAGGTCGAGGCTGCAGTGAGCTATGATCGCACGACTATACTCCAGCCTGGATGACAGAGTGAGAGACCCTGTCTCTAAAAAATAAAACATAAATAGGCCGGGCATGGTGGCTCATGCCTGTAATCTCAGCACTTTGGGAGACCGAAGCAGGTGGATCACTTGAGGTCAGGAGTTTGAGATCAGCCTGGCCAACATAGTGAAAGTCCATTTCTACTAAAAATACAAAAATTAGCCTGGCATGGTGGCGCACGCCTGTAGTCCCAGCTATTCAGGAGGCTGAGGCAGGAGAATCGCTTGAACCCAGGAAGTGGAGGTTGCAGTGAGCAGCAGTGGCACTACTATACTCCAGCCTGGGCGACAGAGCAAGACTCTGTCTCAAAAATAAATAAACACATAAATAAATGAATAAACAGAATTATGTAGCATGTACTCTTTACTTGGGGAGTGCGGGTAAGGGAGATGTCTGCGTTGTTTTGCTCAGCATAATGACTTTGAGATCTTCCCCAGTGCTATGTTCATCATCCGTCCATCCCTTTTTATTGTTGAGTCGCATGCCATTTACCACCTGTTGCCAGACATGTAGGCTGTTTTCAGCTTCTAGATTGTTTTCCATTTTTGGCTATTACATAAAAAGCGGCTAGGAACCTTAGTGTACAAGACGATGTGGACATGCATTTTCCTTTCTCTTGGGTAAATACCAAGGAAAGGAGTCCTGAGGCAGTCCTGAAATTTGGCATAGCCCAGGAGAAGATATGTCTCATGGCATGTAGGCAGAAGGACAACTACAATCGACACTGCCGCAACTCCCACTTTCTCATGCCTTCTCCAGACAGCCCCAGTCCCTGCTGCCACCACAACTCCACTTCTCCTCCCTGTGGTTTCACAGCCCGGCTTCCTCTTCCTGCAGGTCATGCCCACAGTCCTTTTCCCTGGGCCACTGTTGACCCTTCAAGGCCCAGGTCATGATCTAGCTTCTCTTTGGAACATGAAAAAATTATTGACTTCCTGCTCAGACAAAACAAGGGCATTATTTTAATAGATTCACACGATACTGTTTCTTCCCTTTTAGTGTTATAATTCTACATATGTAATAAGTGTACATATTTATGGGAGACGGAGTGATATTTCCATGCATGCATATGATGTATAACGACCAAATCAGGTACTTAGCAAATCCATCACCTCAAACATTTATCATTTCTTTGTGTTGGGAGCATGCAAAGTCCTCTCTTCTAGCTTTCTGAAAATATACAATAAATTACAGTTAACCATATTCACCCCACAGTGCTGCAAAGACCAGAACTCATTCCTCCTAGGTAACTGTAATTTTGTTATAGAAAAATGGTTTTTCCAGCATTTCTAGTCTGCTGAGTTTCATTTGTATGACAGTCAAGACAGTAAGGCAAGAGAAAATTAAATTTAATATCAAAGATCATTGCTTTTGCCAATTTTTAACTGTTACTTCTGTTCCTGGTACCTTCTTTTAAAGAGCCAATGTTTCTTTGTATCAAAATATATTATGGCTTTCTGTCATACTCATTGTAGCTTTGCTATAATCACCTTGTAAAATAATACTTTCAAAGGAAGGCCCTCCTCTGTTATCAGCACTCAGAATGTCCACATAGTTTCAGATGAATCACAGCTGACTTCTATTTTGGCTGCGACTTTAAACTAGATTATCTCAACTCACATTTTTAAAATTAACCCATATTTGTTCATTAGATTCTATCAAAAAGATTTAAAATTTATCCCATTTCATGAATGTAAAACAGAACTGCTACCAGTTTAGATACTAATACAGCATTGATTTCCAATAGAAAGGCTTTGTATGGGAATCCTGGATGTTATAAGCATATCTGATCTGCTCACTTCTGTGTATGAATACTGCAGACAGTTGTTTGGCAAAGAAGAAGCATACAACATCATCCAAGTAACATCCTTCTTTGACATAGAGCTGGGCAAAGCAGGTTGGACTGAAGTGCTGGCTTTTGCTTCTAGGCTTTTTTTTTTTTTTTTTTTTTTTTTTTTTTTTTTTTTTTGAGGTGGAGTCTCTCTCTGTTGCCCAGGCTGGAGTGCAATGGTGTGATCTTGGCTCACTGCAACCTCCGCCTCCCAGGTTCAAGTGATTCTCCTGCCTCA
The DNA here is from genome assembly GCF_000001405.40 of Homo sapiens. NCBI lineage: Eukaryota > Metazoa > Chordata > Mammalia > Primates > Hominidae > Homo > Homo sapiens. The sequence goes on along the minus strand of NC_000004.12, from coordinate 37,945,412 downwards.
GCCTCCCAAGTAGCTGGGACTACAGGTGTGCACCACCATGTTCAGCTATTTTTTGTGATTTCAGTAGAGATGGAGTTTGCCATGTTGGCCAGGCTGGTCTCAAACTCCTGACCTCAGGTGATCTGCCCGCCTCAGCCTCCCGAAGTGCTGAGATTACAGGCATGAGCCACCACACCCAGCCTACCTGTAGGCTCTTGAGAGGTCACATTGGATACCAGCTTGAGACCTTATACTTGGACCAAGAGCGATGATTTGGGTCAGCCCTGTAACAACCTGAACTGCATTTATCCAACTTTCTATAAGTACATTATTCTGTTTATAGCTGTGCCTTATGGTTTGTCATATATTTCTTACAAAAAGTCCAGTCCAGAGCTGGACTCTACTAAGATTTATAACCACTAGTTCTGCTTTCTTAAAATTCAAATCACGACTTGTTGACCCAAGATGGCCAAATAGGAACAGCTCCAGTCTACAGCTCCCGGCGTGAACGACACAGAAGACGGGTGATTTCTGCATTTCCAAATGAGGTACCGGGTTCATCTCACTGGGGCATGTCAGACAGTGGGTGCAGGACAGTGGGTGCAGCCCACCGAGTGTGAGCCGAAGCAGGGCGAGGCATCGCCTCACCTGGGAAGCACAAGGGATCAGGGAATTCCCTTTCCTAGCCAAGGTAAGCCGTAACAGACAGCCCCTGGAAAATCGGGTCACTCCCACCCTAATACTGCGCTTTTCCAAGGGTCTTAGCAAACGGCACACCAGGAGATTATGTCCCGCACCTGGCTCAAAGGGTTCCACACCCATGGACCCTCGCTCATTGTTAGCACAGCAGTCTGAGATTGAACTGCAAGGCGGCAGTGAGGCTGGGAAAGGAAAGCCTGCCATTGCTGAGGCTTGAGTAGGTAAACAAAGCGGCCGGGAAGCTCGAACTGGGTGGAGCCCACCACAGCTCAAGGATGCCTGCCTGCCTCTGTAGACTCCACCTCTGGAGGCAGGGCATAGCTGAACAAAAGGCAGCAGAAACCTCTGCAGATTTAAATGTCCCTGTCTGACAGCTTTGAAGAGAGTAGTGGTTCTCCCAGCAGGCAGCTGGAGATCTGAGAACGGACAGACTGCCTCCTCAAGTGGGTCCCTGACCCCCAAGTAGCCTAACTGGGAGGCACCCCCCAGTAGGGGCAGACTGACACCTCACATGGCTGGGTACCCCTCTGAGACGAAGCTTCCAGAGGAACGATCAGGCAGCAACATTTTCTGTTTAGCAATATTCGCTGTTCTGCAGCCTCTGCTGCTGATACCCAGGCAAACAAGGTCTGGAGTGGACCTCCAGCAAACTCCAACAGACCTGCAGCTGAGGGTCCTGACTGTTAGAAGGAAAACTAATGAACAGAAAGGACATCCACACCAAAACCCCATCTATATGTCACCATCATTAAAGACCAAAGGTAGATAAAACCACAAAGATGGGGAAAAAACAGAGCAGAAAAGCTGAAAATTCCAAAAATCAGAGTGCCTCTCCCCCTCCAAAGGAATGCAGCTCCTCACCAGCAATGGAACAAAGGTGGATGAAGAATGACTTTGATGAGTTGAGGGAAGAAGGCTTCAGACAATCAAACTTCTCCCAGCTAAAGGGGGAAGTTTGAACCCATCGCAAAGAAGCTAAAAACCTTGAAAAAAGATTAGATGAATGGCTAACTAGAATAACCAGTGTAGAGAAGTCCTTAAAGGACCTGATGGAGCTGAAAACTATGGCATGAGAACTATGTGACAAATGCACAAGCTTCGTAGCTGATTCGATTAACTGGAAGAAAGGATATCAGTGATTGAAGATCAAATGAATGAAATGAAGCAAGAAGAGAAGTTTGGAGAAAAAAGAGTAAAAAGAAATGAATAAAGCCTCCAAGAAATACGGGACTATGTGAAAAGATGAAATCTACGTCTGATTGGTGTACTGGAAAGTGATGGGGAGAATGGAACCAAGTTGGAAAATACTCTGCAGGATATTATCCAGGAGAACTTCCCCAACCTAGCAAGGCAGGCCAACATTCAAATTCAGGAAATACAGAGAATGCCACAAAGATACTCCTTGAGAAGAGTAACTCCAAGACACATAATTGTCAGATTCACCAAAGTTGAAATGAAGGAAAAAATGTTAAGGGCAGCCAGAGAGAAAGGTCGGGTTACCCACAAAGGGAAGCCCATCAGACTAACAGCAGATCTCTCGGCAGAAACTCCACAAGCCAGAAGAGAGTGGGGGCCAATATTCAACATTCTTAAAGAAAATAATTTTCAACCCAGAATTTCATATCCAGCCAAACTAAGCTTCATAAGTGAAGGAGAAATAAAATCCTTTACAGACAAGCAAATGCTGACAGATTTTGTCACCACCAGGCCTGTCCTGCAAGAGCTCCTGAGGGAAGCACTAAACATGGAAAGGAACAACTGGTACCAGCCACTGCAAAAACATGCCAAAATGTAAAGACCGTCAATGCTAGGAAGAAACTGCATCAACTAACAAGCAAAATAACCAGCTAACATCATAATGACAGGATCAAATTCACATATAACAATATTAACCTAGCCGGGCACGGTGGCTCACGCCTGTAATCCCAGCACTTTGGGAGTGCAAGATGGGTGGATCACAAGGTCAGCAGATCGAGACCATCCTGGCTAACATGGTGAAACCCCGTCTCTACTAAAAATACAAAAAAAATTAGCCAGGCGTGGTGGTGGGCACCTGTAGTTCCAGCTACTTGGGAGGCTGAGGCAGGAGAATGGCATGAACCTGGGAGGCAGAGCTTGCAGTGAGCCGAGATCGTGCCACTGCACTCCAGCCTGGGTGACAGAGCAAGACTCCGTCCTAAAAAAAAAACAAAAAAAACACCAATATTAACCTTAAGTGTAAATGGGCTAAATGCTCCAATTAAAAGACTGGCAAACTGGATAAAGAGTCAAGACCCATCAGTGTGCTGTACTCGGGAGACCCATCTTACATGCAGAGACACACATAGGCTCAAAATAAAGGGATGGAGGAAGATCTAACAAGCAAATGGAAAACAAAAAAAAGGCAGGGGTTGCAATCCTAGTCTCTGATTAAACAGACTTTAAACCAACAAAGATCAAAAGAGGCAAAGAAGGCCATTACATAATGGTAAAGGGATCAATTCAACAAGAAGAGCTAACTATCCTAAATATATATGCAGCCAATACAGGAGCACCCAGATTCATAAAGCAAGTCCTTAGAGACTTACAAAGAGACTTAGACCCCACACAATAATAATGGGAGACTTTAACACCCCACTGTCAACATTAGACAGATCCAAGAGACAGAAAGTTAAAAAGGATATCCAGGAATTGAACTCAGCTCTGCACCAAGCGGACCTAATAGACATCTACAGAACTCTCCACCTCAAATCAACAGAATATACATTCTTCTCAGCACCACATCGCACTTATTCCAAAATTGACCACATAGTTGGAAGTAAAGCACTCCTTAGCAAATGTAAAAGAACAGAAATTATAACAAACTGTCTCTCTGACCACAGTGCAATCAAACTAGAACTCAGGATTAAGAAACTCACTCAAAACTACTCAACTACATGGAAACTGAACAACTTGCTCCTGAATGACTACTGGGTACATAACGAAATGAAGGCAGAAATAAAGATGTTCTTTGAAACCAATGAGAACAAAGACACAACATACCAGAATCTCTGGGACACATTCAAAGCAGTCTGTAGAGGGAAATGTATAGCACTAAATGCCCACAAGAGAAAGCAGGAAAGATCTAAAATTGACACCCTAACATCACAATTAAAAGAACTAGAGAAGCAAGAGCAAATACATTCAAAAGCTAGCAGAAGGCAAGAAATAACTAAGATCAGAACAGAACTGAGGGAGACAGAGACACAAAAAACCCTTCAAAAAATCAATGAATCTAGCAGCTGGTTTTTTGAAAAGATCGATAAAATTGATAGACCGCTAGCAAGACTAATAAAGAAGAAAAGAGAGAAGAATCAAATAGATGCAATAAAAAATGATAGAGGGGATATCACCACCGATCCCACAGAAATACAAACTACCATCAGAGAACACTATAAACACCTCTGTGCAAATAAGCTAGAAAATCTAGAAGAAATGGATAAATTCCTCGACACATACACTCTCCCAAGACTAAACCAGGAAGAAGTTGAATCCCTGAATAGACCAATAACAGGCTCTGAAATTGAGGCAATAATTAATAGCCTACCAACCAAAAAAAGGCCAGGACCAGATGGATTCACAGCCGAATTCTACCAGAGGTATAAGAAGGAGCTGGTACCATTCCTTCTGAAATTATTCCAATCAATAGAAAAGAGGGAATCCTCCCTAACTCATTTTTTAAGGCCAACATCATCTTGATACCAAAGCCTGGCAGAGACACAACAAAAAAAGAGAATTATAAACCAATATCCCTGATGAATATCGATGCAAAAATCCTCAATAAAATACTGGCAAACCGAACCCAGCCGCACATCAAAAAGCTTATCCACCATGATCAAGTGGGGTTCATCCCTGGGATTCAAGGCTTGTTCAACCTATGCAAATCAATAAACGTAATCCAGCATATAAACAGAACCAAAGACAAAAACCACATGATTACCTCAATAGATGCAGAAAAAGCCTTTGACAAAATTCAACAGCCCTTCATGCTAAAAACTCTCAATGAATTCGGTATTGATGGGATGTATCTCAAAATAATAAGAGCTATCTATGACAAACTCACAGCCAATAGCATACTGAATGGGCAAAAACTGGAAGCATTCCCTTTGAAAACTGGCACAAGACAGGGATGCCCTCTCTCACCACTCTTGTTCAACATAGTGTTGGAAGTTCTGGCCAGGGCAATCAGGCAGGAGAAAGAAATAAAGGGTATTCAATTAGGAAAAGAGGAAATCAAATTGTCCCTGTTCGCAGATGACATGATTGTATATCTAGATAACCCCATCGTCTCAGCCCAAAATCTCCTTAAGCTGATAAGCAACTTCAGCAAAGTCTCAGGATACAAAATCAATGCGCAAAAATCACAAGCATTCTTATACACCGATAAAAGACAAACAGAGAGCCAAATCATGAGTGAACTCCCATTCACAATTGCTTCAAAGAGAATAAAATACCTAGGAATCCAACTTACAAGGGATGTGAAGGACCTCTTCAAGGAGAACTACAAACCACTACTCAATGAAATAAAAGAGGACACAAACAAATGGAAGAACATTCCATGCTCATGGATAGGAAGAATCAATATTGTGAAAATGGCCATACTGCCCAAGGTAATTTATAGATTCAATGCCATCCCCATTAAGCTACCAATGACTTTCTTCACAGAATTGGAAAAAACTACTTTAAAGTTCATATGGAACCAAAAAAGAGCCTGCATTGCCAAGACAATCCTAAGCCAAAAGAACAAAGCTGGAAGCATCATGCTACCTGACTTCAAACTGTACTACAAGGCTACAGTAACCAAAACAGCATGGTACTGGTACCAAAACAGAGCTATAGTCCAATGGAACAGAACAGAGCCCTCAGAAATAATACCATGCATCTATAACCATCTGATCTTTGACAAACCTGACAAAAACAAGCAATGGGGAAAGGATTCCCTATTTAATAAATGGTGCTGGGAAAACTGGCTAGCCATATGTAGAAAGCTGAAACTGGATCCCTTCCTTATACCTTATACAAAAATTAATTCAAGATGGGTTAAAGACTTAAATCTTAGACCTAAAACCATAAAAACCCTCTAAGAAAACCTAGGCAATACCATTCAGGACATAGGCATGGGCAAGGACTTCATGTCTAAAACACCAAAAGCAATGGCAACAGAAGCCAAAATTGACAAATGGGATCTAATGAAACTAAAGAGCTTCTGCACAGCAAAAGAAACTACCATCAGAGTAAACAGGCAACCTACAGAATGGGAGAAAGTTTTTGCAATCTACTCATCTGACAAAGGGCTAATATCCAGAATCTACAATGAACTCAAACAAATTTACAAGAAAAAAACAACCCTATCAAAAAGTGGGCAAAGGATAGGAACAGACACTTCTCAAAAGAAGACATTTATGCAGCCAAAAGACACATGAGAAAATGCTCATCATCACTGGCCATCAGAGAAACGCAAATCAAAACCACAATGAGATATCATCTCACACTGGTTAGAATGGCAATCATTAAAAAGTCAGGAAACAACAGGTGCTGGAGAGGATGTGGAGAAATAGGAACACTTTTACACTGTTGGTGGGACTGTAAACTAGTTCAACCATTGTGGAAGACAGTGTGGCAATTCCTCAAGGATTTAGAAATAGAAATACCATTTGACCCAGCCATCCCATTACTGGGTATATACCCAAAGGATGATAAATCATGCTGCTATAAAGACACATGCACACGTATGTTTATTGCGGCACTATTCACAATAGCAAAGACTTGGAACCAACCCAGATGTCCATCAATGATAGACTGGATTAAGAAAGTGTGGCCCATATACACCATGGAATACTATGCAGCCATACAAAAGGATGAGTTCATGTCCTTTGTAGGGACATGGATGAAGCTGGAAACCATCATTCTCAGCAAACTATCGCAAGAACAGAAAACCAAACACCGCTTGTTCTCACTCATAGGTGGGAATTGAACAATGAGAACACTTGGACACAGGAAGGGGAACATCACACACCTGTCATGGGGTTGGGGGAGGAGGGAGGCATAGCATTAGGAGATATACCTAATGTAAATGACGAGTTAATGGGTGCAGCACACCAACATGGCACATGTATACATATGTAACAAACCTGCACTTTGTGCACATGTACCCTAGAACTTAAGGTATAATAATAAAAACATAAAATAAAATAAAATGAAAAAAATTCAAATCGCTTATTTGAACAACCATTCTCTGTTCTTTGTGCAAAACTGTCTCCTATCAAAGTGTCTTATGTTTGCACTGTCCAACCACTGTGGCGCACCTAGGCACTGCTTCCTGGGCACTAAAAGTCACACATTTACCAACACAATGAAGAATATTACACCCAGAACTAGGTTTCCTGGCAATCAGTTGAGGATGGGTTAGTTCTAGAACCTTATTTCTTTAAAATCCCAGAAAAATATTATTTCAGATAACTTTTGTTTCCTCTTATAGGTACGTACATATAATTTTTTTTTAGACATGGGGTCTCACTATGCTGCCCCAGCTGCATTTGAACTCCTGATCTCAAGCGACCCTCCCATCTAAACCTCTCAAGTAACTGGGACTATAGGTGTGTACCACTGCACCCAGTAAGTTTTTGTTCTTTAAGAAGAGCAGAACTCTCTACAAGAGACATCCTAAACAGGAGACTGTCCCCTCAGCAATTTAAAACAATTAGGGCAAAGGCGGAGTGAATACCTTCCCTCCAATAGAACCCACATTTTGCTTACCCATCACAATGTTAGATGTCATTACATCCCTGATCAATCTCAAGCAAGAAATACCCAGTAATATTTAATGCAACACACAAAGCAAACAGCACCAAGAGCCAGTCTGCCTACAGTTTACTGGGCAGGTAGTCCCCTCCTGAGCGTTAGGAACCACCAGCAACACCACACATGGCCGAGGCTTCAGACTCCAAGCAGCCACTTTATTCCCAGGCAAAAAACTTCAAATTACAAGTTTTATATGTAACTTTCAAATACCCTATAGTGGCTAGGAAGTCCAGCAGTTTATGAAACAATAAGAATTGTTATTGTTTTTATGTAATTATTGTTTCTTGATGAAACAATTCTTATTGTTTCATAAACTGCACAGGGCTGGACTTCCTAGCTATTATAGGGAGCTTGTAATTTACATATAAACTTCATGAAGTTTCTTGAAGAAGTGTGTAAGAACACATTACCAACTAATACCAGTGGTTATTTCTTGGGGTGAAATAGAGATTGGGAAGTAGAGAGTGGATTTACATTTTGTATTTTGCACCCTTCTGAATTGATTGAATTTTTATCGTAAGCATTTATTATGCTTAGACACTTAAGAGTGCTTTTTAGGCTACCCAGCATTGAACGACCGTCTTCTTAGGGAGAAGATGGCAGCGTGGCCCCCTCTGCTGATGGGATAAATATTCACTCTCTCCCGTTTTCTGGCAAGTAATGAGCAAGCAACCCACCTTGGTTCAGACAATCAGGGATTCCTGTCTGGGACTCTCAGTCTCGAAGGAATAATGTCAAGTCACAGGGTCAGTGAGAGCTGACTCTCACAAGGAGGGCAGTGGTGACAGTGCCAGGGACAGCAGTGTCTGGCAGCAGCAGTGCCAGCGTGTTGCCCTTAGCAGGGTATTCCTGTGATGCAACCTTGGCTGTGGTTCTATCTGCCTGACTTCCCTTGGTTGCTGTTCATTTGCCAGGCTTGATTTTCTGGCTTTCAGAGTCTGTGAACTGCCCTATGTATGTCCAATAAATTCTCTTTCTGCCAGGGTTGGTCCTTGAAGTCAAAGAACCCTGACCTACAATTTGTTCATTCATTCATTCACTTGCTCATTAGTTCATTCAATAAAGTATTAGCTGCTTACTATGTGTTGAGAACTGTTTTAGGCCCAAGAATTCTGCAGTGAACAAAACAGATAAAAATCCCATCTCGCAAGGAGGTTCTATTCTAGTATATCTCACTTCTTCCCAGACCCTGCCCTTCCTTTATCTTTCTCCAGAAGTCTGTTGTACTTTGCAACTTATATTATCCTCCAGCCCTAATCCAAGCTACTCTTTCTCAGCTCCCCTGACATGAAGGAAGCAAGGACCTTTCTGGGTCTTTCTGGCCTTGCTTTTGAGGTCATGTCAACTCAAATTTTCAACTCCATGAATGGTCATTCATCATCATTCCATCCAATAGCCCCTAGACTATTCCAGGCACTCTGCTAGGAGGTGGAGATACAGTGTTGAAGTAGTCACTGCCCTCAAACAGATTCCAGTGCAGCAACAGAGAGAGACAGCAGACATTTATGTTGCGGTAACCCCCCCTTATCCATGGTTTCACTTTTTGTGTTTTAGTGACCTGCAGTACTGTACAATAGGATATTTCGACAGAGAGGGAGACTGCATTCACATAACTTTTATTACAATCTATTGTTATAATTGTTCCATTTTATTATTGTTGTTCTTAATCTCTTACTGTGCCAAATTTATAAATTAGACTTTATCACAGGTATGTGTACAGCAAAAAACATATTATATATGGTATGCGATTCAGTACTATCGTCAGTTTTAGGCCTCCACTGGGGTCTTGTAAAGTAAGGGAGGACCACTGCACGTCTAAGCGGTGATCTGTGCCAGAGTAAAGGAAGGACAGCATGGTATGTGCATGGGAGCATGTGACAGGAATACCTTACCTAGTTTAGGAAGGGCCAGAGAAGGCCTCCTGGGGGAAGTGATGTGTAAGCTGAGATCTGAGGGGTGAGTTAGAGTTAGCCAGCTGAAGAGAATATAGAAGACTCTGGTCAGAAGGAATAGCGCTGTCATATTCTAGAAGTAAGACAGAACATGGCACATTAGGGCAGATGGCAGGGGTTCAGGATGGTGGGGCCAGGAGATGTAAGCCATTGGGAGGGGTAGGATAATGGCGAAGGTAAGACTGGAGGGGAAACGGAGACTCTTATTAGCTTTCCACAGCTTGATTCTCAGACCAATCGGAATCCATGCAAGAGCTTAAACAGGGGAGACAGCAGAAAGGTGTACTGTCAGATCTGCAAATTAGAAAGATCGCTCTGGACGCTGGTGGAGTGAATTGGAGAGGGAGAAGATGGAGGCATGGAAGTTATTGAAGAGCCTGCCAAAGTAGTCCAGATGAGAAATACTGTATCTTGGGTTACCAGAGGTAGGAGAGATGAAAAGAAGCAGAAACATTTATTGAATACAATCAAGAAGACTTTCTGATGGATAGCTGGATCTGGGATGATGAAGGAGAGCAAAAAGTCAAAGACGACTCCCAGGTGTCAATAGCCAGGTGGACAGTGAGCCATTAATCAAAAAGAAACAAAATGTTGAAGAGAAAATGACTTCAGTTGAGCATGTTCAGTTTGAAGGAGAACTGCCTGATTGACAGCTGGATTTGTGGGTTTGGGTTTTGGTGCAGAGATCTGAGCTGGAGGAAGGAACCTAGGATCAAAGCGACAGTTACTGAGGTCGTGGGAGTAGCGAGATGACCCTGGAGCAAGTGCAATCATGTGGCGGACTATATTATTGCTACAAATACTCATTGCTCATTTCTGGGGAAGAATTAGATTTTTGCCACCCTGTTAATGTCAGGCTTGGCCATAAGACTTGTTTTGGTCAATGAAATGTGAGTGGAAATGACATGTGTCACTTCCCTTCTGTGCAGGTGCTCCAAGGCCAGCTCAAGGTTCTCCACGGTCTCTTTTCCCTCTGCCATTTCAAGCAGCAATGTTCCAGAGAGAGAGAGAGTCCACTCAGTCAGCTGGGGTCACAGAATAAAGATTACGAGGAAGCAAGCTGTAGCCAACTCACAGTGAACATGTAGTTAAAGCCAAAAATAAATGTTTGCTGTTATAAGCCACTGAGATTTGGGGGTCATTTGTTACTGCAGCAAAACCACGCCCACTCTGACTGATACAGGTGGGAAGAAAAGTGGGTCAATGACAGAAGTGGAAAAATGACACTGAAGGGTCCCCAGGGAAAGCAGAGGCTAGAAAGAAAGCCCCTCCTACACTGGTCTCTCCCTCACAGAAACCCCTGCAGACTCTCTCTGCTGGCCAATTCAGGTTTCCACTCCATCAAAAGCAAACCCTTCTTTCCTTTTTCTGCCCACTCTTCTATCTTTTCTTCTGTCAGAAGCCATATGCATCAACTCTCAGGCCTGGGACACAACCAGGACGGATGACGCAGAAGCAGCCCACCTTTCTCCCTCCTTCCAATCTGTCCTTGCCCTCGCCCAGCCTGTGACTTACTCTCTTCGCTCCCTCCCGTTTTCAAGCCATATCGTGGATACATTTCTGGCTACCTTGTTCTTGGCCTTGACCCTAACCCTGTGCCTGGGTTGTCTGGGGAGCCTGATGTCCACGTGCCTGGGTACAGCCTCTGGGACGCCCTGCACCTTGGCGGTCCATGCCCATTCTGACTCATCCTGAGCTTCTGGCCTTGGTCCCTGGATGTCGCCCCAGATGGACAGCTGTCAGCCAGTTGACCTTTCCAGATTCTAGTTGGTCTGACTCCTTTTTCCTCCACATTCCCTAGCCTCAGCCTCAGCATTTGGACCATAACACACTGGATGACTATGGCCAAATCTTCTCACCTATTAGCTGTCTCCCAGTCAGTCTGGAGGGCCACTGCTCACCCAGAACACACGGCCTGTGTAGGTGTCTTTATTTATCCTGAACATATGCAATACAGGTGCTTCTGCTCACTTTCAACCTGCAACAACAGGCTGCCTGGATCCCCCACCTTCCAGCCTCCTGAGATGTGTCTCTCCTTTCACAATCGATTAGGAATGAGACTGACGCTCTGCTTGAAAGTGCCTTTTTTTTCCCCAAATTAACAAGACTATGCCACTTTCCTTGGCTTAAGCCCAGTCCCCAAACCAGAGGGCCACCAGGCATCCCAGGCATGGTCCTACCAGCCTACCCATGGTGATTCCGATCAGTACGGAGGTGAAGACAATGAATCATATCTATCTTTTTTCAAGTTGAATCACTGTTAAACATTTTGTATATGTTGTTCACAATGGTAGCTACTCATAGTTACTGAAAGCTTATTAGATGGCAGACAACATGTTAACCACTTAACATATATTACCTATTTTTTTTCCCAGTTTACAAATGGTGAAACTCAGATTTTAAAAGTTTACATAATAAGGAAACACACCCAGTACCAGTTGGGTTCTATTCTCCGCCTGACTCCAGAGCCTTTATTTTTTTATTATTCTACTGTGTGTGTGTGTGTGTGTGTGTGTGTGTGTGTGTGTGTAAAACATATGTGTGTATACATATAGGTGAATATATACACAGGTGTGTGTGTGTACATATAAACATATATGTAGGTGCATTTATATATCTATTTGTTACATGTATATAAATAGGTAAATATGTTGTGAAGGTGTATATATGTGTGTAAATATGTAGGTGCGTATGTAGGTGTATATGTAGCTATATATGTAAATGTGTGTATAGGTATATATATGTGTGTTTGTGAGTATATATGCATATGGGTGTAAAACTGAAAGGGTCGAAATTTTATTATCTTAGGTGAGAAAATAGGTAATACATCCAGTTTTAACCAGTTGGTGTCACACCTATTATAATGCAACATTCTAATATAAGTTTTTTTTGTTTTTTTGTTTTTTTGTTTTTAAATGGAGTCTCAGTCTGTCACCCAGGCTGGAGTGGCACAATCTCAGCTCATTGCAACCTCTGCCTCCCAGATTCAAGCAATTCTCATGCCTCAACCTCCCAAGTAGCTGGGATTACAGGCACCCGCCGCCACCTCTGGCTAATTTTTGCATTTTTAGTAGAGATGGGGTTTCACCATGTTGGCCAGGCTGGTCTCCAACTCCTGACCTCAAATGATCTCCCACTTCAGCTTCCCAAAGTGCTAGGATTATAGGCGTGAGGCACCGCGCCCAGCCACAGAGGTTCTAAAATGCTTTTAAAATTATATTTTATGTGGAAGTTGTTTGGGAATGGCTCTGTGAGGAGAGGAGCACTGGGTTCTAGTCCCAGCTTTGCCACTGCCCAGCATGTAGCTTCTGAGTCAAAGGCTCCTATCTGTAAAATGAAGGAATTTGACTTGATGCCTTACCAGGGCCATTCCTGCTCTGAAATGACACAATTCAGAAGAAATAAAATATCAAATCATATCTCTCTTGAAATAATAACTACATATTTAATGTTGAATAATCCTTGTTCATAAGGGGTATTAGAATGTGCACTTTAAATTTTCTAGTGTCTTTTTCCATCCTGAAAGCCTTGCAATTTATTTTCTCTAAGCATCAATGAGGAATAAAAAATTTCATATGACTTCCAGTCAAATGAATGCATTAAAACAGAGCAATTATAAAACATTAGTGGTAATTCTTAGTTTTCTGCATAAATTAGAAGCCCCAAAATGAATCAAATTTTATACCCTCTCTAAGTTAAGTGGGATAAACAATGCATCATGAAAGGAATCAGTTTTAGAGAATGGACAGAAGCTATTTTTGTAAAGGCCAACTAAAGGAGCTCAGTGTGGACACATCCTTTAGAAATGACTGGGAGTTAGGTTTCATAGCTCTCACTGAAGATTCAGACTGTTTATTCTGGCAAAAGCCCACTAATTCCATCTTTAGCTGCTACTGGGGGAAAAACAATGACAGATGAGTTCAAGATTTTCTCAGATGATTCCAAATTTGTTAGTCAAAATCCTACCAAAAGAAGCTGGTAGGGAAACAGATACAGAATAGAAGGGTTTTAGATCTAATTCATTAATTTGAAATTTATTTCTCTATTCTGCTCAGTTACCAGCAACAGAGCAAAGTAAATTAGATTTGAGGTACAAGAAAGAGTAAAACTTGTTTCATACTGAAGGATGAGTTTGCAAAACTTCTTGTGTGAATGAATTTGAACAGAAAGGAATAAGAGGAATGGAAAGGCCGGGCGCAGTGGCTCATGCCTGTCATTCTAGCACTTTGGGAGGCCAAGGCGGGTGGATCACGAGGTCAAGAGTTCAAGACCAGCGTGACCAAGATGGTGAAACCCCGTCTCTACTAAAAATACAAAAATTAGCCAGGTGTGGTGGCAGGTGCCTGTAATCCCAGCTACTCAGGAGGCTGAGGCAGGAGAATCGCTTGAACCCGGGAGGCGGAGGTTGCAGTGAGCTGAGATCGCACCACTGTACTCTAGCCTGAGCGACAGAGCAAGAGTCCGTCTCAAAAAAAAAGAGTGGAAAAAGGTCAGGGAACGGTGGGGATAACAGTTCTTCATTCTCAGGAATTTTTTGAGATAGTAGCAAATAAAATACATGAGTACCAGCCAGGTGAGTTGGCTCACACCTGTAATTCCAGCACTTTGGGAGGCCGAGGCAGGTGGATAGCTTGAGGTCAGGAGTTCAAGACCAGCCTGGCCAACACAGCAAAACCCTGTCTCTACTAGAAATACAAAAATTAGCCAGATGTGGTGGCAGGCACCTGCAGTTCCTTGGGAGGGTGAGGCAGGAGAATCACTTGAACCTGGGAGGCAGAGGCTGCAGTGAGCAGAGATTGCTCCACTGCACTCCAACCTGGGTGACAGAGTGAGACTCCATCTCAAACAAACAAACAAACAAACAAAACAACAAAAACCAAAAAACCCAAAACATAAGTATCTATCGTGGTAAATGGCATACAGGAGACATGCAAGAGATGGTAACAACCATGTATTCTCTCATAAACTCAGTATCAAGAAGTCTCCTAATCCATTCTTTCTCCATATGAATGGGAGAGGACATTACTAACAGTATAATCCAGTAAGATTTTCTCTACCTTTCTCACAGTTTTTATCTTTTAAATGTCCCTTAATTTTTCAGCTTCTCATTATTTATCATTTAAAATAAGTATGTGTTATCTTAATATATGGAAAATATTTCTTTAGGAAAACAAACATATGCTTAGTATTTATTTCATGCAAAATAAAATCTTCAGATGGCTAAGGCAGATTTGCTTAAAAGTGTTACAGTCCTTCTAGAAAACTGTAACCACAGAACACAGCATTTCAAGGAAAAGTTTAATAACTTAATTAGTTTATCCTGACTTTAAAATGTTTAGCCAGGTGCAGTGGCACACATCTGTAATTGCAGCTACTCAGGAGGCTGAGGCAGGAGGATCACTTGAGCCCATGAGTTCAAATCCAGCCTGGGCAATACAGGAAGACTCTGTCTTAAAAAAAAAAAAATCCAAAAAGTTGGCCAGGCATGATGGCTCACACTTGTAATCCCAACACTTTGGGAGGCTAAGGTGGGAGGATCACTTGAGCCCAGGAGTCTGATGCTGCAATGAGCCATGATCACGCCATTACACTCCAGCCTGGGTGACAGAGTGAGACTCTGTCTCAAAAACTTAAAAAGCATGCAATCCTAAACAATACATCAGTTCTCTTCTTACTCACCTTGAAATTTAAATACATGGAGTCATACAGTATGTATTTTCTCCCATCTGATTTGATCAGCATTATGTTTTTAGAATTCACTCGTGTTTTTACACATAACTGTAGTTCATTTAGTTGCTTTTTAGTATTACATTGTATTTAACAATGTATCCATTCTACTATTCTACTGTTGATGGGTTGTTTCCAGTTTTGGGCTACTGTAAACCACGTTGCTGTCAACTTTCCATTCATGTTTTTTGGCAATAATGTGCACGAATTCTTAGGAATGGAACTGCCGGGTCATGGGGTGTGCATGTATTTACCTTTTGTGGACAGTAGCAAACCACTGTTCAGAGTGTGGCCATAGTTATTTTTCATTTCTCACTCCTCTGCCTTTTTTGTATTTTCCCATCTTTCTCCTCCTTTTTCTTCTCTTTCTTTCTCCCTAAGAGGCTTTAGCATCCCCTGACCAAAAGAAAAGTTTAGTTAATATCGTTTAGTTGGCTGCCACAGACTCATTGACATAGTTCACGTTAGGGAGGACTACAGAAGACATTTCCTTTCTGAATTCCTATACAAGTCAAAATCCTATTCAGCTATTCAAGTTGATATAAGCATAGTTACATCTTCATTGATACCATATGCCAAGGATGTTATCTCCTGCACACTAGGAAAACTTAGCCTTCATTTTTCATGTTGACTGCCAGAAAACCTGGAGCCAAATTTACCCATCTGCAGCAAGGAAATAGGTCAGTGCTTCTAAAGTGTGGTCCTACAACCACCTGCATCAGGATCACCTGGGGGCACGGGTTAACAATATAGGTGCCAGGGGTCCGAGGGTGGGGTTAAGGAACTTGCATTCTTAACAAATACCCCATGGGGAGTACAGCGGTTGCTAAATTTTGAAACTGCTGATATAACGCTACATGATCTTGCATTTTAACTTTCATTCTGACTTAGTATTATGATCTTATCATTGTGTTTCCTTCCTCTGTCACTCAGTTTTTAATCCATAGTACATTGTCATATCTTATATATACTTATAAATCACCTATAATCATTTCCAATTCAAGAGCTGGACTGGTAGATGAATAGACAGATAAATGCTAGACTGGCTATTTAAAAAGAAAAACTGTCTGGCATCCCTTAACCACAGATACCACTAGCCACTATAAAAGCATCAAAAAGAGATTAAGAAGATTACTAAATGCAGTTTGGCATTGAACCGTCTTGCAATTTCATCATGACACATTTAGAGCACCAACAAAGAGGGACAATGATGAGCTAGCTCAGACTAACAGTCCAAAAGGAAATTCTTTGTTTCCTCACCCACAGTTCCTAAGCCGAGCCTAGAGACCTTTCAGGGAGAATCTTCAGCACTGCCGAGAATTTTGCCTGTGGTTCATATGACCTTGGATTTCAAAAGAATTACTCGTCTAAAATGTAATGTAAAGAGGGAAATTAAGTGGCCATGATGGATTTTTCAAAGTTATAACGGCATCCGTTTCTGCAATAGAAAAGATTGAAATAGTTTGCAGTTGGATTTCTTATATTTTAACTAAATTTCTGGCCACCCACTGAGGAGCAGCCAGTCATAATTCCTCTGCCAAAGACCGCCTGGAAGAAAATTGGCATGGGTCGGCTGTTTATTGTGCAGACAAGCTGCAAAATCAAGGTCCAGATTTTCAAAAGTATACCCACTGCAAGGGCTGGCTGCGCTACAGCGGCAAGAGAGAAAGTACAATCCAGACAAGCTGTTCAAGAAGCAAAACAGAGCAGTGGATCTTGTCATGGGAATTAAGAAATTATAACAGAATCAGACTCACCAATCAGGTGTCAAAAAAAAACCTAAGCTTCTATTTACTACACTTACCTTGACTCTGATATCAACATATCCTGTCCAAGAGGGAAAATGCCTACAGTAATTCAATTACCAAAAGTGTGTAAAACAAAACAACATCAATATTTGCCGCTGTTGGACTTCATCACAATTAGGTTGGTTGAAGCATTGAAGAAGTAATACCATATTATAAAATGCATCCTTAAATTGTATCTGACTTCCAGAAGATAATCATATTATTTTTCATGTGATAGCTAACACTTTTAAACTAGTAGTTCCAACTATATGCCAGGCCCTATTCTAAGCACTTCACACATCTTAACTCATTGAATCCTTGCAAAAACCCAAGATAGTGATACTATTATTAGCCCCATTTTACAGATGGGGAAACTAAGGCAGAGAGATTCGGTGCTTTTCCCAAGGACCTTAAGCTAGTAGGTAACTCTAGAGTGCATGCTTTTAATCACATTTGCCATTGTCAGTCATTTCTGTTATTGTGAAGGGACAATAATGACCTGAATTTCAACTTAACAATTTTTAAAATGTGTTTTTCAGAAACAGGGATTTGCTATGTTGCCCAGGATGGAGTGCGGTGGCTATTCACAGGCACAACTAACTGTAGCACACTGCAGCCTCGAACCCCTGGGCTCAAGTGATCCTCCCGCGTCAGCCTCCTGAGTAGCTGGGACTACAGATGCTTGCTGTGCCAGCTAACCTAACAATATTTTTGAAAGTGCATTAACCAAACAAAAGCATAAGGATTTGTACTTAAGCCACTCAGCTTCACTCTGCATCACATATTTCCATAAAATTACATTTCATTTGCATAATGGCACAATGACTGTTTCTAACATGCAAAATTCATCCACCACTTCTAAGACACTGTAATTGCTGTTTTGGCTTTTATAAAAACATCACCATGGTAAAGCAAAAACCCAAGCTGCCTACAGCTGGAATCGTGGATCTTGGGATCTTGGCTCCCCAGACCAAAGAAAATATGAGTTAAACAGCAATAGATATAAGAGAGAGACTCTTCAGGAGTACCTTAAAAGAGAGAAACACTTGAAACCTAGTAGTCCTAGCAAGTGTAAGAACCAAGGCACACACAAAAAAATAGAATTGTAAAATCAATTTTGTAAAAATTGTAAAATCTCCTTTTGTAGAAGGAGAGTGCACTTTAGCTTCCAATGAAAAAGAATAAATTCGAAATGGGGAGAGTTTTGAGTGGGGTCATGGCTTTGGAAGATCTAAGTGATCTCTTCCCGCCTCTATTAGAAGTCTGTGTTAATTTGAATAGCTGTTAATACTTACAACAGTAATATTTCTTTTTTTTTCCTTTTCTTTTTTGAGACAGAGTTTCGCTCTGTCCCCCAGGCTGGAGTGCAGTGGCGTGATCATGACTCAATGCAACCTCTGCCTCCTGGGTTCAAGTGACTCTCATGTCTCAGCCACGAGAATTACATTGGGGTTACAGGCATGCGCCACCATGCCCGGGTAATTTTTGTATTTTTAGTAGAGATGGGGTTTCACCATGTTGGCCAGAGTGATCTTGAACTCCTGGCCTCAAGCAATCCACCCGCCTTGGCCTCCCAAAGTGCTGGGATTACAGGCGTGAGCCACCATGCCTGGCCATAACAGTAATATTTCAAGCACCTGTAGACAAAGCTACCACCAATAAATCCAGCTGAGACTTAGAGGACTGTTTAAAGTTCTAGCCTGTGTAACACAGAGTTGGTGGCAGTGGCCAAAGAGAAGGCAGGACCGATGTCCACGTCCAAGTAGCCTTTCCATGGGGACCAGGTTTGGACAGTAAGAGTTCAAAAGATATGTATTGAATTGAGGGCCACATCACCAGGGCTCACCTAGAAGTGGGGCCGCATCACCTCGATCTAGAATATGCCACAGCATCAGCACCCCCAGAGGAAGGGAAGCCTCAAAAAGGCAGAGCCAGGATCATTACATAGAGTTTTTGATTGCTGAACGAGGGTACCTGGACAAAGATGCAGGTGAAGAATGAACTCACCACCCTTCTGCTGACCAAGCGATGGAGCAAGGCCACCTCCTTTCACAGGAAGGAAGGGGCACTTTGTAATTTGTACAGAGGTGCCATATGGCTTGAGCAGCCCTATAGAGCAACGCTAAGGCATTGAGCAGCCACAGCAACCTGACCTAAAGTGACGGCAGGCAGAAAGTACCCTATGGAGGCACAAAGGGAGGGAATCCTTATCCTGGTGTAAATCCAGTGTCATTTCTGCCTCTGGCATTCGAGTTCAGACAATAATGTTTACCACTAGAAAGGTCTTCCTGTATACTTTCTCCATGTGGTAGCTTTCTTCCAAAGTACACATGTTCCTTCCAAATAGTTAAAGTTAATGCACACAGATTACGGAGCATTTTCTTCTAATGATGATGGATAATCATAGAGCCATTGCAGGGCACCATCTGGCAAGTTCTGTAGGATAAATGTCCTTCAAACAGAAAGACATAAATCTGCAGTAACTGAATTGAATAATTTAAATCTGTCAAAAGTAGATGGGGAAATATTTAGGGCCAATTTCTCTCTTTTGTTTTATTGAGTAAATTGATACCAAACTACTTTGATCTTTTCTAATTGATGATAACATATTATTAATTTATTTTAAACTTTTTTTTTAGAACAGTTATCTCAAGTGGCATGATTATAGGGTGGTTTCTGTTTTTTTTGTTAATATGTTACTATTTTTTTCCAAATTGTCTGCAATGATTATGTATTTTTCTTTTTTTCTCTCTTTTTTTTTTTTTTTTGAGATGGAGTCTCGCTCTATCACCAGGCTGGAATGCAGTGGCGCGATCTTAGCTCACTGCAACCTCCGCTCCTAAGTAGCTGGGACTACAGGCGTGCCTCACCATGCCCAGCTAATTTTTGTATTTTTAGTAGAGACAGGGTTTCACCATGTTGGCCAGGATGGTCTCGATTTCTTGACCTCATGATCCCCCCACCTCGACCTCCCGAAGTGCTGGGATTACAGGCGTAAGCCACCACAACCAGTCGTATCATTTTTATAATCAGAAGTAATATATAATTTTTTTTCTTCACTTGTTTCTTTGTTCCTTCCACCTATAGACAGCGTTGGTTCAGGTTAGGAAATGAAAGAGGCTGGTAAAATTGGTCACTGGCTTGGCAAGAATAAAACCCAGCAGTGTAAATGGCAAAGACAAGACACCATGTGTGAAAGGTAGACCTGGCCCTGCACCATCCATGCAGCATGCTACAGGGTGATCGCACTTTCTTCGAATTCACGGGAGAGAACACTAGGTATGACGTGTGACTGTGTGCCTCGGCATGGAGCCCAGGGCCTGGCAGACAGTGTATGCTGCATGTGTGTTCCTTCACGGCTTGGAGAGATGACTTTATGAGTAGCAGCAGCAAGAGCATAGCACAGGATGTGTCGTTGGCATGTTAATTTCTCTGAGTCTCAGTTTCCTCAGCTTTAAAGTAGGAATAATAATACCACATAGAGTTGTTGTGAATAGTAAATAAAATAATGCGCATAAAATACATAGCACATGCTTGGTTGACCCAGGAATTCCACTTCTTGGTATGTACCCAAAAGAATTGAAAGCAGGGACTCAAACAGGTATTTGTACACCCATGTTCACAGCAGCATTATTCACAGTAGCCAAAGGGTAAAAACAACTTACATGTCCATCGACAGATACATGGATAAGCAAAATGTGGCATATACATGCAAGGGAATAATACTCAGCCTTAAAAAGGAATACAATTCTGATACTGCTAAAACATAGACAAGCCCTGAAAATATTATGTTAAGTGAAATACACCAGACACAGAAGGAGAAATATGGGATTCCCCATATATAAGGTGCCTAGAATAGGCAAATTCATAGAGACAGAAATAAAAGAGGTTTCCAGGGTCTGGAGGCAGGGAGCAGTGAGGAGTTATTTTTAATGGCTACAGAGTTTCTGGTGGGATGATGAAAAAGTTCTGGAAATGGGTAGTGTAATGGTGGCATAACACAGTGAATATACTGATGCCACTGAACTGCACACCTAAAAATGGTTAAAATGACGGATTTATGTTATGCATATTTTACTGCAACAAAAAAGTATTGGGTTAGTGGTAGATATTTCTTCTGTCATTATTAATAACAGAAAAAATCAGTTCATACAAACAAAGTATAGGCAACCCATAAACTTGAACTGACTCATAGCACTGTGATGAGAAAATATCCCATGAGATTGTTTGGGGAGGGAGCATGGCAGGGGTGGTGTGGGGGAGGAGAGGGCTGGTATATGGCAGTGACACCAGTTAGAGCGCAGGGCTTGAGCCTCAGGAGCTGAGGCAGGAGCCAGCAAGGTGTAGGGTACCTAAGGAAGCCGAGAGTAAGACGACTGGGTCTGAAGCAAATTCTAGAGATTGCAAAGATCGATCACAGTGAGTCCCAGCAAGACACAGGAGCCAAATGAGGCTAAAAAGAGGTGACTATGCCGGGTGCATTGGCTCACGCCTGTAATCCCAGCACTTTCGGAGGCCTAGGTGGGTGGATCAGCTGATGTCAGGAATTCAAGACTAGCCTGGCCAACATGGTGAAACCCCATCTCTACCAAAAATACAAAAATTAGCTGGGCATAGTGGTGCACACCTGTAGTCCCAGCTACTTGGGAGGCTGAGGCAGGAGAATCACTTGAACCTGGGAGGCGGAGGTTGCAGTGAGCTGAGATGGTACCACTGCACTCCAGCCTGGGTGACAGAGTGAGACTCTGTCTCAAAAAAAAAAAAAAAAAAATGGGGTGGGGGTGCAGCAGGAGAATAATAGTTTAATAGTTAAGGCTTTTGTGGTTACAACTGCCACTCACCTCGATGGAATTAAACATACATGTGGACTTCATTGGCTTGTGCACTTGAAAAGTGCAGGGAGACTTCCAGCTCCAATAAGTTGGATCCCAGTGTGCAGAGGATATTAAAGAACCTTGCTTGACCCAGCAATCCCATTACTGGGTATATACCCAAAGGATTATAAATCATTCTACTATAAACACACATGCACACATATGTTTATTGCAGCACTATTCACAATAGAAAGACTTGGAACCAACCCAAATGCCCATCAATGATAGACTGGATAAAGAAAATGGGGCACATATACACCATGGAGTACTATGCAGCCATAAAAAAGGATGAGTTCATGTCCTTTGCAGGGACCTGGATGAAGCTGGAAACCATCATGCTCAGCAAACTACACAGGAACAGAAAACAAACACTGCATGTTCTCACTCATAAGTGGGAGTTGAACAGTGAGAACACATGGACTCAGGGAGGGGAACATCACACACCAGGGCCTGTCAAGGGGTGGGGGGCTAGGGGAAGGATAGCATTAGGAGAAATACCTAATGTAGATGATGGGTTGATGGGTGCATCAAACCACCATAGTACATGTATACTTATGTAACAAACCTGCACATTCTGCACATGTATCCAAGAACTTAAAGTATAATTAAAAAAAAAAGAGAGAGAACTTTGCCACCCCATCCATTAGCTGTGGCACCTCCTTATTGTCTTCGTTCACACAGGCAGCAGCCATAGGGTCCCCTGTGAGAGATTCTTTTTCCAGGATTGACTCTGATTTGCCTGGTTTGGATCACAAGCCCACCCCCAAACCAATCATTGAGGCCAGGGCAGCAGAATAGGCTAATTAGCCATGGGCCATCTCCAGTGGACTATATAGAGGTGCTGTTGATTGATTCAGTAGAATGGATGCCGATTGGACAAAAAGGAGGAATATTCTGTAGCAGGAGACAAAATTCAAAGTGTAGGAAGCTAGATAGAAACAGAAAAAGAACTGAGAATAAGCAGAGGTCATGAGTGGGAACAAAGCGAGGGAGTCTCAGACGAGTACAGATGAGGGTGGAGGGTCTGTGGTCTGGCTTACTGCCTACCAGTAACTAGCACATGATTCAGGACGGCTTAAAGGCACAGGCTCTTGGTTGCCTATGGGCCCAGAGTTCCTCTGTACTGAGTTCTAACAGGGTTGCCTGAGCCTCCCCAGTGTCTCCACCTTGTAGTTAGAGTTACACAATGAAAATCAGGAGGTTAGCTTCTAAAGCCAGAACCCCTCTAAACAGTGATGGAATAGGACATAAGCCCGAGCCTCAGTTTCCTCAATAGGACGGGTTGAATTACAAGGCACATAGGAATCTGTATGTCTGGGCCTCCATCCTAAACAACTGTAAATTAGTTATGATACCAAAACAAAAGATGGGTGAGCATATTAAATAAAGTGATACGTGAAAGTATTTTATAAATTACAAAGAACCATGCAAATTAGTTGTGGTTATTATTTTTAATGTCAGCAGACAGGGGAGGTAAAAAGGAGGAAAAAAAAGTGGAAGGGTATCCTATTTAAGAGTAGAGATAAAAACAGGAAAAGAGGCTGGGTGTGGTGGCTCACACCTGTAATCCCAGCACTTAAATAAGCCAAGGTGGGAGGATAGCTTGAGGCCAGGAGTTCATAAGCAGCCTAGGCAACATAGCGAGAAGCTGTCTCTACAATTTTTTTTTTTAAATTAGCTGGGTATGGTGTGCACGCCTGTAGTCTTAACTGCTTGGGAGGCTAAGGCAAGAAGATCACCTGAGCCTGGAAAATCACCTGAGCCTGGAAGTTCAAGGCTGTAGTGAGCTATGATTGTGCCACTTGTAACTCATGACACCCTAGCCCCCAAAAAACAGGACAGGCAAAATCAAAATTATATATATGGGCTGGACGCAGTGGCTCACGCCTGTAATCTCAGCACTTTGGGAGGCTGAGGCAGGCGGATCATGAGGTCAAGAGATCGAGACCATTCTGGTCAACATGGTGAAACCCCATCTCAACTAAAAAAAAAAATACAAAAATTAGCTGGGCATGGTGGCGCGTGTCTGCAATCCCAGCTACTAGGGAGGCTGAGGTAGAAGAATTGCTTGAACCTGGGAGGTGGAGGTTGCAGTGAGCCGAGATCACGCCACTGCACTCCAGCTTGGCGACAGAGGGAGACTCCATTTCAAAAAAAAAAATTATATATATGTATTTTGTATATATATGTATTATGTATATAATATACATATAAAACATATATGTTTATGTTTTTTTTTCCTGGGTTGGAAGTCACAGATGGCCTCTCCATGTCCTTGACACCATCCACTCCTCTCTGCAATCTGGCGTCTATGCCCTATTACTCCACTGCCAAAGGTCATCAGTGACCACCCGCACTGCCAGATCTGTGGGATGTTCATCAGCCATTACCTTTACAAAGTTCATTACTGCTCTTGACACTGTTGTCGTTTGTCTCCATTCTTTTTTTTTTTTTTTTTTTTTTTTTGAGACGGAGTCTCGCTCTGTCGCCCTGGCTGGAGTGCAGTGGCGCGATCTCGGCTCGCTGCAACCTTCGCCTCCTGGGTTCGCGCCATTCTCCCGCCTCAGCCTCCTGAGTAGCTGGGACTACAGGCACCCGCCACCATGCCTGGCTAATTTTTTGTATTTTTAGTAGAGACAGGGTTTCACCGTGTTAGCCAGGATGGTCTCAATCTCCTGGCCTCGTGATCGGCCCGCCTCGGCCTCCCAAAGTGCTGGGATTACAGGCGTGAGCCACCGCGCCCGGCCCCTTTGTCTCCATTCTTAAAACTCCCTACTGTTTTGGGACAATGCGGTCCCATAGGTCTCCTCCTACCTTCATGTTCCTTTGTGGACTCCCTTCCCTTACCCACTTCTTAAAACACTCACATTCCCCAGTGTTCCTTGCTCCCGGGATATTAACCTCTCTCATCGTTTTGACTCCCATGTGTATGCTCCACCTGCATGGCTCCAGCCCTGCCCACTCCGCTGAACTTCAGCCCATTGAACATCCCTCAAACGGCTCCAATACCCCAGAAATCTGCAGTGGAAGTCATCGGCCCCTCGCCTCCAAGTCCTTTTACTTCCTATTTCCCATCTCAGGCAGTGGCCAAGGACAGATGCCTACTCATTCATTCTCCCTCCTCTTTTCTGCACTCCCCAGCTCACACTGGCTCTGTGTTTTGTCTCTTTACCCGGTTCTTATTCCTCCTTAAAGATTTGGCTCCAAGGTGGTTTTGCAGAACCCCAGGTGGAAGAGAGCTCACCTAGTGGCCTGCACAGAACTCTACCTTACTACCTCTTACGAGATGACATTGAAGCACCTGTCTATGACTGTCCTTCAAACTACACCCCCCAACCCCAGGGCCCACCGGACTCTAAGTGCTTCAACGACACGGGCTTTTTGTTGGGTTTTTGTACCCACTAAGCCTAGCACACTGCCTGGCACACAGACAGTTAATGTTTTTTGTTGTTGTTGTTGTTTTGAGACGGAGTCTCACTCTTTGGCACAGGCCGGAGTGCAGTGGCGTTATCTCGGCTCACTGCAAGCTCCGCCTCACCGGTTCACGCCATTCTCCTGCCTCAGCCTCCCAAGTAGCTGGGACTACAGGCTCCCGCCACCACGCCCGGCTCATTTTTTTGTATTTTCAGTAGAGACGGAGTTGCACCGTGTTAGCCAGGATGGTCTCGATCTCCTGACCTCATGATCCGCCCCCCTCGGCCTCCCAAAGTGCTGGGATTACAGGCGTGAGCCACCGCGCCTGGCCACAGATAGTTAATGTTTACTGAACTAAACCAATTCTCGCCAGCTGTGGAGAAGCTAAATAAGAACATTCTGCTTGTGATGAAAATAATTTTACTTTTAACTATCAGCACAGATTATTTAATGTGATCACTTAGCATTGATAGTGTCAAAAGAGGAGGAAGCTCATATATCTAAACTATGAAACAGATGATACAGCAGATTCTGCATTTACATTACTTATTTTGAGAAATATGTATTTCTCTTTTTTTTAACCAGTGATCACATATGAGTCTTAAATAGGAGTAGTTGTGCTTTTCCCAGTAGTTAACTGCATAGAAACTGTGATCAAATTAAAATATATAACCTTAGCCAGGCGCGGTGGCTTATGTCTGTAATCCCAGCACTTTGGGAGGCCCAGGCAGGCAGATCACTTGAGGTCAGGAGTTTAAGAACAGCCTACCCAACACAGTGAAACCCTCGTCTATATTAAAAATACCAAAAAAAAAAAAAAACAAAAACAAACCAGCTAGGCATGGTGGCACATGCCTTTTCAGGTACTTGGGAGGCTGAGGCAGGGGAATCGCTTGAACCCAGGAGGTGGAGGTTGCAGTGAGCCGAGATCACACCACTGCACTTCAGACTGGGGGACACAGTGAGACTTCATCCCAAAATAAAATAAAATCTATAACTTTAAAATTCTTTGAGTTATTTCTTCTCCTGAACCTTTCATTTTCAAACTGTACATTTCCAGTTTTTTTTTTTTTTTAAAGATGGGGGCGTAAGTCTTCAAGCCTCCAGATAGGAATCATTTTCTTGCACAACTTTTCTCTGTGTTGTTGGTATTATATTATAAGGAGTAGAACATCATCTAAAACCTTAGAAGGAAATTTATTCAACAGTCCTCAGCAATTATGTTGAATTATGCTAATGAACATTTTCATAATGTTATACATACTAGAAATGTAGTAGGAAATTAAAATTAGTATGTGTTGTACAGAATACACATAATACATCATTTATAGTTGACAGGGGAACTGTACACTTGTACATCTGGTTTTAGAGACTAATTAAAAATTGTACGGCTAGGCTTACAAGGGAAATGCCAGGCCAGGCAGGGTGGCTCATGCCTGTAATCCCAGCACTTTGGGAAGCCAAGGCAGGCGGGCCACCTGAGGTCGGGAGTTTGAGACCAGCCTGGCAAACATGGTGAAAACCCATCTCTACTAAAAATAGAAAAATTAGCCAGGCGTGGTGGCGCACATCTGTAATCCCAGCTACTCAGGAGGCTGAGACAGGAGAATCGCTTGAACCTGGGAGGCAGAGGTTGCAGTGAGCTGAGATTGTGCCACTGCACCCCAGCCTGGGAGACAGAGCAAGACTCCATCTCAAAAAAAAAAAAAAAGAGGAAAATGCCAAAACACACCGTGATCACATTTGTTTGTTCACTGTTTAAAACATACATACAGGCCAAAAAAGAAAAATCTAAAATCGTATTTAGCATAATTTTATTTTCTTCATGAAGCACAAAGGCTACGTACAACTTTCTGATATGAAACATGCTTTTCTTTTCTTTTTGTCATTGTAAAAATCAGTGGTAGTCACCTCATTTATCATGAGCAGTCTGAGATAACTCATAATATGGTGGAAAGAAAAAGGCAAGAACAGATTTTAGGAATCCAAGTGTTATAAATCAAGCTTTGAGAATGGAAATCACATGGATAAGACATTTAATCACTTGCATGTACAATTTGCTTCCAGTTGTTTTTTTAAGCTGTGAATCCCTCTAAAGCATGCTATTATAATTAAAATGTAATCTCTGCTTTGAAATTTAACATCATGGAAGTAGCACAGGGCAACTATGGGCTCTAAGTCATGCCAGCTCCTCAGGGGATCATCTTCAAAATAGCTTCGTCTATTTTTTTTGAGGTGGGGAGCACTGTATCTATTAGTGTATATAAACTGACTGTATCTGTTTGGAAGCAGATGCAATATTTTTATTGCTGAGAAAAGTATAATAAAGGGGGAAAATTGGAAAAATCTAAATGATCATGAAGAGGAACTAGCTAAATTATGGTACAAAAGTATATAGTCCAGATAGCAGCAAGGGTTATTCTGTCATTCGGAAGATTTTAAATATTGGATCAAAATCCCTTCTCATGGGGAAAGAGAAGCCCGGCATCCATCCCAAACTCTCTAGGGGTTCTTGGGAGTCCACAGTTAGTCCAATTCCCTGCCCCAGTGAATCCTGGCTCTCTGCCCTGTGCGGCCTCCCATGGCTCCTCCATCCCCATCTACTGTGGACAGACACACCACACAGAGCCTTTCTTTGATGTTCACAAATAGTGTTTACACAACTTCTTTTATTTGTTTATTATTTTGAGATGGTGTCTAGCTCTGTCGCCTAGGCTGGAGTGCAATGACGCAGTCTCGGCTCACTGCAACCTCTACCTCCCGGGTTCAAGCAATTCTCGTGCCTCAGCCTCCCGAGTAGCTGGGATTACAGGCGCCTGCCACCACGCCCAGCTAATTTTTGTATTTTTTAGTAGAGACGGGGTTTCACCATGTTGGCCAGGCTGGTCTTGAACTCCTGACCTCACGTGATCCACCTGCCTCGGCCTCCCAAAATGCCGGGATTACAGGCTTGAGCCACCATGCCTGGCCCACACAACTTCTTATATGTGGTAAACTGTAATAGGTATTTGGGGAAATGAGCAAAGGGAGGCCACAGAGGAGGGAGTGAGATACTCAGACACTCTGTGGCAACATACAAAACATAGCAGCAGGCCAGGCATGGTGCCTCACGCCTGTAATCCCAGCACTTTGGGAGGCTGAGGCAGGCGAATCACTTGAGGTCAGAAGTTCAAGACCAGCCTGGCCAACATGGTGAAATCCCGTGTCTACCAAAAATACAAAAATTAGCTGGGCGTGGTAGCATGTGCCTCTAATCCCAGCTACTCAAGAGGCGGAGGCTGGAGAATATCTTGACCCCGGGAAGCAGGGGTTGCAGTGTGCAGAGATCATGCCACTGCACTCCAGCCTGGGCAACAGAGTGAGACTGTCTCAAGAAAACTAAACAAAACAAAACAAAACAAAACAGTAGCAGCTAACTAAAAGCTAAACATCAGCCCTCCCGTTGTTAAAAGACTAGTCATTCCCCCTGCTCACCATCAAAAATAGGAATTTGACTTTGGCTCCTGATTTGCATACTCTTGAGTCCTGACTTTCTCCAGAATCTTGTTGGTTGCTTATGCTAAGCAGATTAGACATCCCCAAGCACTTTCAGCCCATCCTGGCTGTGCTGTCTTTTCACAACCAAGATGGTTTATGAAAGCTAAATAAAGATGATGTTCTTGCCCAAACAGCAGCTCTGCTTCAGTCATGAAACTAGCCCTTCCTTTCCCCCTGCTTCATACAGGGGACAACTACGAAATTGCTAAAAACGATGCACCTCTATCACCATAAAAAGATGTTTAAAGTATATGTATATATATATGTATATATACACATATATACACACACACATACAGAGAGAGAGAACAAGAGAGAGAGCTGAGTTATAAAAGAAATGGTAGAAAAGGATATAAAAAATGATTTCATACAGAAACATTTGTTTCTACAAATAAGACAGTAAAATGTATAAAGATATACACCAGTCTCTTAATGTTGGTTTCCCTCTAGGAGATGGGAGTCAGGGGAAACTTGTGCCTCTAACTCTTTTGTATGAATGCATTTCTTACATTTAGCATCAACTCTTGTATAATCAGAAAAAGCATTTCAGAATAAAAAGATGGATGCCAAGAAAGTGGGCTCCAGTTGCATCTAAAAGGACTTAATCTACACGCAAGGGTTTTCTCAACAGTAAAGGCTGCTCAGCCTTCATGACATCTCTTCCACAACTGTCACCAATAAATGCCAAGAAAATTTTGCATTCATACAGACCAAAGAAGAGAATGGTGCAGATTCCAAAGAGCTGAGAGATGATGACCATTACCCCATGAACAAAACTCTAAGGGAAAGAAGCTCAGGAAGGATGGGGAGAGAGGGGTGGCTTCTAAGAACAAAATCCTGGCTGAACAACAGGAGTCTGTCCTGATGAAGGAGGAAAGGAAAAATGAGGAAATAAATTAATATGGGTGCACAGGGGACGTGATGATGCTTAATTTTGACTAAGCCATGGGATGTCCAGATATCTGGTTAAACATTATTTCTGGGGTATGTCTGTGAAGGTGTTTCTAGAAGAGATTAGCATTAGCAGGCTGAGTAAAGCAACAGCCCTCCCCAATGTTAAAGTATATATTTCAATACCTCAAGGTCTGGAATAGAAGAAAAAGACAGAGCAAGGTTAAATTTGCTCTCTACCTGATTGCTTGAGCTGGGACACTGATCTTCCCCTTCCCTTGGTTCTCCCGGCTCACAGACATTCAGACTCAACTGGAATCTATGACTTCAGCTCTCCAGCTCTCAGGCGTTTGAACTACACCACTGGCTTACCTGGGTATCCAGCTTGCAAATGGCAGATCATGAGATTTCTCAGCCTCCATAATCATGTGAGCCAGTACTTTATGATGTGTATCCTATTGGTTCTGTTTCCCTGGAGAATGCTGACTAATACAGGAGCTTCTAGATGATATCAGGTTAAAAAAAATAGAAAGGAAGAGTACATCCTCAAGAATTAATACAAAAAGGTAACATTCATTCATTCATTCATGAAGTATCTACTATGTGCCAGGCACTGTTCCAGGTGCCAGGGACTAGCAGTGAAGAAGACAGGCAAGAGCGTTGCTCTCTTAGAGCTCAGGCAGGTAAGTAGGTGGTTAACATGGAAGCATATGATTCCGAACGAGATAATTTGGACAATGATAATATCTGAACAAGATAATTTCAGATAATGATGAGTAATATGAAGGCATTAAAACTGGATGAAGTGATATTGCTTAGTGTGGGGCTACTTTTGAGTGGGTGGCCAGAGGGCGAGGTTTGAGCTGAGTCCATAGTGACCTAAGGAAGCAGCCATGCTTCCAGGCAGAGGCAACAGCGGATGCAAAGATCCCAGGTGAAGAATGAGGTTGTCATGTTTGAGCAATATAAACACCAGGGTGGCTGGAGTCCAGAGAGCAACGGGAAGGGTGTGGGAGATGAAGTCTACATGATAGGCCCCAGCAAAGATACAGGACTTTAGTCTAAGTACTGGGGAAGCCACTAGAGAGGTTTTGAGCAGGGGAATGGCATGATTTCATTGGGTTTTAGAAGATGTCTTTGGATGTCTGGTGGAAAGAATAAGCAGGAACAGAAACAAAGGGATGAGTTTGGAGACACTGCAGTAGTCCAGATAAGATATAATGGCGCCTCAGGCTTGGGCTCTGTAATGGAGCAAAGGAAGTGGTGTATTTGCAATGGGTTGAATAATTTGGATGAGGGATAATGGAAAAAGAGAAATCGAAGACGACTCCTAGGCTTTGGCTGCAGCAACAGTCATCACCACTTAGAGCTATAGAAGAAGACTGGGAAAGAAACAGATTGCAGGGAGTGGAATCAAGGGTTCTACTTTAGCCATGTTGAGTTTGAGATGTGTAGTTAACAGCCAACTAGAAAAGTCACAATGGCAGTTGAATAGAGAAGTGTGGAGCTCTTCGAAGAGTCTGAAGTAATAGATTAACAACTGAGAGTTACCATCAATTAGGTGGTAGTTAACACTGTAAGACTGGATGAGTTCATCTGGAAGGGTGTCCAGAAGAGAAATGTAGGAGACCAAGTTCTCAGGGGACATAAAAATCAGAATTGAGAAGAAGAGGTAGAAGCAAAGAAGACTGGGTAGAGACTACTAGAAAGTTGAAGGAAAAACAGGCAGGTGTGGTTCTCCAAGAGCCAAAAGAGAGTGTTTCAAGATAGAAGAAACATTCTCTTGCCAAACTATGACAAAAGCTACTGAGAAGTTGAGTAAGAAAAGTACAAAGAAGGGACCACTATATCTCACAAGCTCTAGGTGGCTCGTGACATTATAAGAGCAATTTTAGTGGAATGATGAGGTCAGAAGCCCAGCTGGTAAACCAAAGAAAAGGCAAGGGAGTGCAGGTGAAGGTAGCCACTATAACTCTTGAAGGAAAAAAAAAAAAAAATTGGGCCAGTAACTGGAGGGAGCTGGAATGGGATGTGGGGTCATCGGAGGGTGATATGGGAGATATCCCTATATATATATATACACACACACACACATATATATATATACACACATATATATATATATTTATTTTTTGAGATGGAGTTTCACTCTTGTTGCCTAGGCTGGAGTGCAATGGTGTGATCTCAGCTCACCGCAACCTCTGCCTCCTGGGTTCAAGTGATTATCTTGCCTCAGCCTCCTGAGTAGCTGGGATTACAGGCATGTGCCACCACACCTGCCTAATTTTTGTATTTTCAGTAGAGATGGGGTTTCTCCATGTTGGTCAGACTTGTCTTGAACTCCCGACCTCAGGTGATCCACTCACCTAAGCCTCCCAAAGTGCTGGGATTACAGGCCTGAGCCACCGTGCCCAGCCCTGAATATATTTTTTAGGAGGCTGAGCAAAATCAGGTTAGGAATTTCACTTCTATGTTATTTTTCATACCATTCCTTAGGAACCAAGCATATAAGCATCAATAGGACAGAGAATTAGGATCTGTCTGACTTTCTCTTCCACTGGAGACCAACAGACTATTAAAACTCTGTTGGGTATTGAGGGGAAAGTGATCAGAAGACATCAGCATGGACTCAGCAAGAACAAGCTACTTCCTAATTACACTATGGGTAAGATGCTTCTTGAGTTTTCATATCGACTACTGTGCTAGCCTCCTAACTAGTTTCCCTCATCTGTCTCTCATCCCTCTATTCCATCCTTCACTCCAAATTCTCCAAATAAATTAATCCATTTCACTTCCCTGATCAGTGCTTCTAATAGTAACTGTCTTCGTCTGTTTGTGCTGCCATAACAAAATACCTGAGACTGGGTAATTTATAAAGCACAGAAATTTATTTCTCACAGTTCTGGAGGCTGGGAAGCCCAATATTAAGGCTCAGGTAGGATTGGTGTCTGGTAGAGTTGAGTCTCTCCTCCCAAGATGGAGCTTTGTTGCTGCATCCTCACATAGTAGAAGAAGGAAGCAGGGCTTAATATGTTTCATGAAGCCTCTTTTATAGGATCATAATAGCATTCATGAGGGAGGAGCCCACATGACCTAATCATCTCTTAAAGACCCCACCTCTTAATACTATTACATTGGTCGTTAACTTTCAACACAGACATATTGGAGAAGACACATTCAGACCACAGCAGCAACTTTCTTTTTCAGGGGACTGTCCAACTCCTTCAGCAAGGCATACAAAGCCCTGTAAAATCTGGCCTTAGCCCTTCCTTCCTATCTCATCTCTGACCATGCAAGTTGTAAAACTCTAACCCAGCAGGCCCAGCTACAGTGGGCATCTCATCATTCCCCATCCTGCTATGGCATGGCACATACTATATTTTCTACTTACAGCATACATTCAATCCTCACCCAACCCATTGGCCTGGGAAACTGCCAGTAGTCCTTTAAAACCCACTCGAATGTCCCATGGAAAATAAATTACATTTACCCTGAGTCCTTTCAGAAGATACATCTACGATGAACAGCTAGATATTACAGGGAACAACTTCCCTTCAACATGAAATGAATTTAGGAGCGACTTTAGTTGTCTGAAACAGAGAGGGGAGCATTGTCAGGTAGGATATTCCTTAGACTGGGAAGTGTGGAAATAGAGAATGACTTGCGAAAGTCCTGAGACAAGATCCATCCATGTCCACTGTTCAGTATAACCTATGTAATTATTAGATGGCTATTATACTCAGGAAGAGCCAAAAATCTCTCTACAAATTTCTACTGTTCCTAGTTCTGCCCTCTGGAGCAATTCATAGTTCGTCTCTTGCTTTTTGTACATGAAGCTTTTCAAACAACTGCAGGCATTTATTACACTAGCCCTCCTCCTATTCTCCCAAATTTTTTCTTCCTGACTTGCAGATGTTTGCTAACTCCTGAAAATATGGCATTCAGAACTTACATTTGGCACATAAAACACCATTATAGTTCTTGAGGGCACAATCATGCGTTGTTTGGCTTTGTACCCCAGCACCCAGCAAAACACATGACCAACACATTGGTAGTATTTCAATAAATGAATGAACACCAAACCTGCAAAATTTCAAATACCTACATCACCTGATCTTAAGAAATGACAACTTCCAATGCATGGTCAGAATAAAAGCGGCCAGGAAAGGGTCCCTGCAGGATGGGCAGCCACCAAATCACTCTTCAGATGCACATCAGCAACCACACTCAAGTCCACCTCTTTCCCTAAAATCCTGCATCAGGCTCCTCCCCCAAATCTCAACCCCAATCCAGTGTCTTCTGAAGTTTTCCCAGTGCCAGGCTAGCCCGGCACGGCACCTTCTGTGGTTGTGGGTTGAAGCTGACAGACCACAATGAGTAGGGTGGATGCCTGAGCCTCCAAAGGGAGGAAAGGTATTCAGAAGAGAGAAAAGCGAGAAACAAGAGATTTAGCTACTTCAGTATATCCTAAAATGGTGGCCCACATGGCTCTGATCCACTGCAATATATTTCTAGACTTAAGTGACCTTTATGGAAGAACTCTGAGCAACATTCAGTCATTAACAAATGAAAGGCAGCCAAAAAAAAAAAAAAAAAAAAAAAGGAGGAGGGGAGAACCTACGGTCACTCTGTGATGAATATTCCTATTACTTCTGGAAATACTTTTTAGGAAGCTAGTCTAGTCCATGGCTAACAGGAAGAGACAGAATGCAAGCTACATACGTAGTTTAAAATTATCTAGTAGGCACATTTTATTTTTAAAAATTATATTTAAAATATCTTTTATTTTTAAATGTTGTGGGTGCATAGTAGGTATATATATTTGTGTGGTACATGAGATAGTTTGATACAGGCATACAACGTGTAACAACAACATCAGGATAAATGGGGTATCCATCACCTCAAGCATCTATCTTTTGTGTTACAAACAATCCAATCACACTCTTTTGTTTTAAAATGTACAATTAATTATTATTGACTATGGTCACTCCGTTGTATCAAATACTAAATCTTATTTATTCTTCTAACTATTTTTTTTTGTACCATTAACCATCTCCCCTCACTCCCCAGCCCCGACTACCCTTCCCAGTCTCTGGTAACCATCATTCTACTCCCTATCTCCATGAGTTCAATTGTTTTAATTTTTAGCTCCCATAAATAAGTGAGAACATGCAAAGTTTATCTTTCTGTTAGTAAGCATATTTTTAAAAGGTAAAAATGAAATAAGTAAAATTAATTTTAGTCATGTAATTTATTTAACCCAATATACCCAAAATATTATTTCAACATGTAATCATTATAAAAAAACTATTGAGATTTTTACATATTTTTTCAAATGAAGTCTTTAAAATCCACTGTGTTTTTTATACTTACAGCATATCTCATTTCAGATTGGTCACATTTCAAGTGCTCAGTAGTTGCAAATGACTACTGATTACTGTACGGGACAGTAAAGACCTAAGCTATAAATAAATCTCCCTAAGATGCAAGTCAACTTTAGGTGCAAGACACTTGTAAAGTCTATTCTTAGGGATGGATTTATTTTAAAAAATAATTATCAAACTCAAAGCCTTTGGTAAAAAATGCAAAGCTATATAAAGTCATATGTGTAAAACAATAAAAAGACTTTAAAAAATTAAGCATCTATCACAAGGTGTATGCTTCTGGAGCCCACAGACTCATTTTTCAAAGTCAAAAATAAATTAGGTAATCAATCTGGTGTTAAGAACCCAAACCTTCCAACAAATACTTCGGAGTTCATGCAGTCCCGGACATTCTTTTTATAGACGAAAAAATTCCTGCCAGCCCTTGCACCCAGCAACCAACTTCTGTCTAGTGTGACAGACAGTCAAGTGCTGATTAGCTGACATGGATACACTGCACTGAGTCATAGCTGCTGCATGGGACCCCAAATGAAAATTTACATAATAAATCAGGCTGGGATTAAAGGTGCCCAGTGGAAATTTAATATAGGTAAGAAGTCCTCCAAAACATACCTAACAAGACCCCCTCAGAATCATTACCTGTGTAGCAAAAGAGACAAATGTTTGAAGTTTAGAAATTATGACCAAATGTAGAAGGGGGAAGAGGTGAGAATATTTGAAAAATAATACTATGTTCTTCAAAATAATCACCCTCAGAAACAAAATGCTCTAGCTCTGTGTTGTAATCTTCGATCTTCACTCTAGCGAAGAAAGAAAGTAATGAGCCGGCAAATATAACAGCCAAGCAAGAGATGCAATTGAAGCCAGACTCTATTGAAAATCCTGAAGTAATGGTGCATATATTAAGTGGCCAACTTAAAATTCCAAGCAGACGGTGAATTATTAAAACAAATTAGTAATGGGTAAAATACAAAATGATACAAAGCGACACTCAAAAATAAGGTTTCAAAAATTTTTTACATTTAAGTAATAAAACTCAGCCAAGGCAACAATGGCTTTTGATACGGGGGATGGACTCCTGCTAATCACAAGAAAACAGCTTCAGACTGCCTTCTTGTTTAATATGCGAGGTAACATGCAGCCCAGAGAGGCTGGGTGAGGAGGCACAAGGTCCTATGCCGTTACTGGGAAAGGCGATGTGCTTACAGGGCCTCATGCAAGAATACACTGGTTCCTTACAGGAAATTTCAAAAGGAAACATTTATTGGTTTAAAATCAAATCTACAAAGAGTCAAGTAGTCTTAAAATTAGTGGTAAGGGAGCCCACACGGTTCAGTCTCAGATATGTGTCACCTTCAAGAAATGCAGCTTCATTGCCAAGAATCATAGAAAAGAAAACCCGTTTTGTCAAAGGACATTAAAAGGAATCCAAATACATCTTCTCCAGCGACGTTTAATAAAGTCGATTTCTACATGTCTGTTTCCCACGCAGCTGCTCTGTTTCACTCTCCCCCGCTCCACCCAGGCCCCATGCTCCTGTATCGCACTGTTCCCCCTCAAACTTAGCCTTTCTCCCAGCAAGAAATAAGACTTCCTTTTTGGGAGAGGGAGGAACCAGGCTAGCAATTACCAGATTCTTTTAGCAGGGTGGAAAAGGGGAAGGCTGCGAGCATTTTCACATTAATGACATCTGTCCCGTCACAGTTGTTAAACACCCACGCCGCGTTCAGAGTGGACACCAAATCCAGAGGATCACAATCTTATTAGAGTCGAGAACAGTGCTTGAAGAGCCATGACATATTTCGAGTGCGATAAGAAATGCCAGTTAAAAAACATTTGGCGTGGCCAGGCACAAGTGTCTCATGTCTGTAATCCCAACATTTTGGGAGGTGGAAGCGGGCGGATCACTTGAGGCCAGGAGTTCGGGACAAGCCTGGCCAACATAGTGAAAACCCATCTCCACTAAAAATACAAAAATTAGCTGGGAGTGGTGGCGGGCGCCTGTAATCCCAGCTACTCAGGAGTCTGAAACAGGAGAATCTCTTGAACCCGGTAGGCAGAGGTTGCAGTGAGCCAAGATTGCACGACTGCATTCCAGCCTGGGCGACAGAGAGACCCCCCAAAAAAGGCGCTTACACCAAAAATACTTCCATGTACACTGTCTCTGACTTACCCTGGGCCCGGCACACACTCTGCCCACTGCCCTCGACCACACACCAGCCTGCACTTCTCCACCTATTACCATCTCAAGAACCCCCGCCATTTCCCACTCAAAATCCCCTCTTTCCTTTGACTGATGTAAAACAGCACCATGTAATGTCAGAAGCCCCAGCCTAACACTTCTGCTACCTGCTCCTCAGTGCTGGAAAGTCCCTTTAAAGGAAGCAGAGCTTTTTCCTCCGTGGATAAAGAAAAGAATGAAAATGCAATTACTTTTATGAATGATCTAAAATGACAATCAGTATGAGGGGCAGATTGGATTTTCTTCTGAGTAGAGATTTTGTAGAAGAGACAAGGCTGAAGAACTGGAGAGAAGAAGAACCCTGAGATGATTTTCTTAGACTTGAGAATGTTTCTAGGTCTGAGTCTGGGCAGACTCTTGATTTCTTTGGGATGTGATGAGGTAAAGATCTAGTCAGGGTCACTCATGCAACCATCAGTTTCCAGAGTGGATATGTCCATTTACTTACCATGTTTACTTACCATGGACTCAAAGGCAACACTACATTTTAACCCAGGACCTTATGCCACTGTGTTCACACATTCTGAGGGACGTTCATGGGTGTTAGGAGAAAATGTAACCTATGGTGCATGTATGGTGCATGCCTGTAATCCCAGCTACTTGGGAGGCTGAGGCAGGAGAATCGCTTGAACCCGAGAGGCGGAGGTTACAGTGAGTCAAGATTTCACCATTGCACACCAGCCTGGGCAACAGATGAAACTCCGTCTCAAAGAAAAAAAAACTGCTAGATAGATCAATGGATTTTAACATAATAAAGTGCAAAAAATACTTTGATATAGTTTCAGATTTCATATTACAGCTAACCTTCTAAAAACTACCACTTGTCGAGTTGTAGCATTAAATAAAAAGATCCACAATTTTCTAAAAAGGCTATGGATATAGTGCTCCATTTTCCTACTATGTAGCAGT
This sequence comes from Homo sapiens, assembly GCF_000001405.40. Classification (NCBI taxonomy): domain Eukaryota; kingdom Metazoa; phylum Chordata; class Mammalia; order Primates; family Hominidae; genus Homo; species Homo sapiens. The sequence goes on along the minus strand of NC_000004.12, from coordinate 37,907,198 downwards.
GTGAGGCCAAATTTTCTTCATATATTCAATTAAACAATCCATCACAACAGAATGAATAGAGAATCAGCTATGAGAATCCAGTTATCTTCTATTAATTCAGACATTAAGGAGATTTGAAAAAATGTAAAACTCTTATTACTAAATATTTTTTGGAAGACATAGTTATTCACAAAAACATGTTAACATGTAGATGTTTATTACTTTTGTTTTTTAACAAATTAATATCTTTACAATATCTGAGTTTTAATTTCTAATAGAGTACATATTAGTAGATATAACCCAAATAAACCGATGGTCTTTGGGATCCTTAACAACTTTGAGGAGTGAAAAGAAATCCTTAGAACAAAATGTTTGAGATGCTGCCTTACTGCATTTGATCATGGAAGCTTTTCCATGTGGAGCAGTTTAAGTATACAAGGGGTCTTCAAAAAGTTCATGAAAAATGCATATTATTTAAAAACTATGCATGGATTTCCATTTTTTGGCACCAAATAAACTTGTATTAACTTGTAGCATGTCTGAACAGGATCTGGGATGAGGCTCTAAGAAGGATAAGACATCAGTTTGAAAAGACCCCCTATCAGAGAAACATGAATCCTGCTAAAATCAAAGCAAGAAGAAACATCAAACTTATGGTGAAGTTTGGGTGGAAGAATGGTGAAATCACTGATGCTTTACAAAAAGTTTATAGGCACAATGTCCAAAGAAATCAGCAGCTTACAAATGTATAACTCATTTTAAGAAAGGATGAGGCCAGGTGTGGTGGCTCATGTTTATAATCCCAGCACTTTGGGAGGCCAAGGCAGGTGGATTACTTGAGGTCAGGAGTTCGAGACCAGCCTGGCCAACACGGTGAAACCCTGTCTCTACTAAAAATACAAAAATTAGCCAGGCACGATCATGTGTACCTGTAATCCCAGCTACTTGGTGGGCTGAGGCAGGAGAATCGCTTGAGCCCGGGAGGCAGAGGTTGCAGTGAGCCGAAATCGGGCCACTGCACTCCAACCTGGGCAACAGAACAAGACTGTGTCTCAAGCGGGGGGGAAAAGAAAAAGAAGGGACGAGACAATATTGAAGATGAAGCCTGCAGCAGCAGACCATCCAGATAATTGTTTGAGGAAAATATTCATCTTGTTCATGCCCTCATTGAAGAGGACCAACTAGCCAATATCATAGACATCTCTGCTGGTTCAGCTTACACAATCCTGGATGAAAAATTAACACTGAGCAAACGTTTTACTAGATGGGTGCCAAAACCATTGCCCTCAGATCAGCTGCAGACAAGAGCAGAGTTTCTAATGGAAATTTTAAACGGGTGGGATCAAGATCCTGAAGCATTTCTTCAAAGAATTGTAACAGGTGATGAAACATAGTTTTACCAGCGCAATCCTAAAGATCAAGACAAATTTAAGCAATGGCTACTGAGAGCAGAAGTGGTCCAGTCAAAGCGAAAGTGGACTGGTCAAGGGCAAATGGTTGCAATAGTTTTTTGGGATGCCCAAGGCATTTTGTTTGTTGACTTTCTGGAGGGCCAAAGAATGATAACATCTGTTTATCATGAGAGTGTTTTGAGAAAGTTAGCCAAAGCTTTAGCAGAAAATCGCCTGGGAAAGCTTCACCAGAGTCCTTGTCCACCATGACAATGTTCCTGCTCATTCCTCTCATCAAACAGGAGCAATTTTGCAAGAGTTTCCATGGGAAATCATTAGGCATCCACCTTACAGGCCTAATTTGGCTCCTTCTGACGTCCTTTTGCTTCTCAATTTTAAAAAATCTTTAAAGAGCGCCAATTTTTCTCCAGTTAATAATGTATAAAAGACTGTATAAACATGGTTAAATTCCCAGGACCCTCAGTTCTTTAGAGACCGACTCAATGGCTGTTAACATTGCTTACAAAAGTGTCTTGAACTTGATAAAGTTTATCTTGAGAAATAAAGCTTATGTATATATGTGTTTTTTACTTTTTAATTCAATTTTTCCACAAAATGTTTTGAAGTTTCCTCATATTCTATGGAACATACAATAGAAAACAATCTCATGGCATGCTTATAAAATTGTTCCTTTACATGCCTCTTCTCCCAAGACATTACTCAGTGAATTAATTAGATGCTGGTCAAAGGGTTTCCTCGCAAACTGTAGTTTTGTGTTTATGATGCTGGCAGTAAATGCATATGTCTTCTCTGGCAAATGCAGTTAGTGCTGACCTCATCTGTTTAGAAGAGGCCTTAACCTGGAGAATTATTTCACCCAGCAAATGTTATAAGTAGTCAAGAGAATGCTCCTACAGCAGATAATCCTTCGCTATGAGATACAGTGACATTGGTGTCCCAAGAACAGAAAATCTATCACGCTGTTAGCATCATGGCCAGTGTGATTTACTGTTCTGTTTCCAACAACAAAATCACTGATTGAGGTATATACCTATACTACAAATTATTCTTTTATTAAATGAGCAGAGTAATGACAATTTGTGTTTGCAAAAATGGTATGCAAGCCAAAAATCACTTAAGAACTAATTCATATTTCAACCATGGGTTTTTAGCATATAGAGTAAGTCCAATTCTCTACTTGGGGAAAGACTGGAAGTCCCAATTACAGAATTTGGTTATAAATCTCTTTCTCTTGTCAGGCATCCGAATGACTGGCCAGAAGCCTATTCTCAGATGGCCGTAAAAGATTTTGGGAAAGAGTCAAATGTGTAAAATGCTGAACAACGATTCCACGCACAAACTCTCCCCAAGGAAATTCAGTCCAAATACTATATAGAGCTGGACTGAGGTACAGGCTGTTCAGTCCTCTCATTTTCATTCTGGAATTTGTCCAAATAATAGGAGCCATTAAGTTATACGTGTAGTTTTTAAAATGTTCCTCAAATATGACCAGAATCTCATCTTTGAAAGCTGAAGGCACTCATCTAGGTATCATGTTTCTTTTTACCTAAGACGTGAAATGAAATTAGCATATAATCTGCCTCTAGTAAAATTTTCTTGAATGAAAATGTTTTTATGGCTATAAATGCTTACTAAGTTTCAGGTCGAGTGCTACCTCATTTAGTCTTTCCAGCAACTCTATTGGATAAATACTGTAATTATCCCCATTTAACAGATAAGAAAACAGACTCAATTGCCTGAGGCCACCCAGTTTATGGGTGCAGAAGTAGGATTAGAGTACAGGAAGTTAGTCCCTCTGAATCTCCAAGCCTGATGCTGCCGTGCCCACTTGAGATGTGTGGACAATAACATGAAATGATTTATAATATGAGAGTTTGATTCTGTGAGTGAAATGGTGGTTTTGAGCTCCATATTAGCCTTTATTTCACAAAGCCTTCTCTACCCTTTGGGTGTGTGTTAGGCTCCCTTCTCAGTCCTTCCATTATGTCCTATACATAGATCACCTGGTCCTATTCCCCACTGATGCTCCTGCCTTCCTACAAGCCTCTGCTAATATCATCTCCAACAGTACCTGCAACAGCAATTCTGAATGACTAGAAGAACCAACAAATGAACAAGCAAAAGGGCATCTACTTGATACCAAGAATATTAATTTCTAAATAAGGTCCTTACACCCTAGAGAGTACATAAAATAACCTAATGGAGTGCAGAGAGAAAACTTTAGCATTTCTATCCAGATTTTAACCTTGAAAATATGAGAAGCTTTCAAGGCTTCACTGACAGTTAACAGGTGGATTGACACTCGCATCCTCGCCCTGTACATGTGGCAGACAGCTTGAATCACATGTGACTTGGCTTGCTTGGCACCCAAAACAACGGCAAGACTCCACAGTCCATGGGGTTAGCTGTGGAGCCCTGAGCCCAACTGAGAAAGTTGCTATTTGCATTATATTTTCAATTTTATCTAAGCTAATCCTCATAAAATGGGCAAGCATCTTCAAATGAGTCCTGCCCAGAGCTACAACGAATGCTAATAACAAAGCAAGCACAAATGAACGAGGAAAGAGCAGAACTTTTACCATGTCTCACATTTTTTTTCAGCCATATCATGTGATAATAACAAGCTAATCAGATCTGACCTGAGGTTTGCGAAAGAAAAAAACACAAAGAACCCCTGATCGCATCAAAACTTAGATGCATATCCAGCGTTCTTATCAATGACCTTTGCCTAAGTGAACATTATGCCTTGGGAAACTGGCCAGTAGCATTTTTACACAGTTTACGAATGACTATATTTTTCTTAATAGGATTACAAATGTGGAGATTTAGAACTTTGCCACTCAAAGTGCAACCTGCAAAAGGGCAGCATCAGCATTTCTTGGCAGCTTGTTACAAATGCAGTCTTGGGGTCCACCCCAGACCTACTGAATCAAGATTCACATTTTAACAAGATCCCCAGGTGACTCACAAGCTCATTTCAGTTTGAGAGGCATGGCTTTAGAACATTCATCTGAAATAATGTACATCTTAACACTTCTGCTCTTAATTAGTAGTTTTAGACTGATTTCTCTTGAATTTTTGAACTCAAAAACTGATAATTTCTCGTATCTGTTTTCAAATGTGCTTTAAAACTATAAACTATCACCATAAAACAAAAATTCAGCTAAGTAATCAATTTATAACTGCAGCATTAATTCCTTATTCATTTCAGTATACTTAAAATAAATATCCTGACCCCCATACAATAAAAACCAGCCAGCCACACCTTAGTCTTTTGGATCTCCATCTCACTTACTTTTGTTTGATCATCGGCTTTGAACACATAGCAGATACTCTGCCGGTGGACAGCGTCTTCCTTAATCAGACAAGCAAAGTAACTTGGGTCATGACTGTTGTGAATCAGTTTGTGAACACGCTGAGGCTTGCACTCAAAGATGCTGGAATAGATCAGGGGATCCCACTGTTGACTTCTCCCTGGCTCAGGTTCACATCTCAGTCCAGAGGGTGAAACGCAAAGCCGGACTTGCTTGGTTACAGGTTCCTTTCTGGTGGACTGCCTGCTGAGTCTTCGCACCTCAGCCACAACCCAGGGCAGCATGGGCATGGTGGTCAGGGAATGCACAGGCAGGGAGCCCACCAGCTGCAGGCCAAAATCCACCGAGACCTCGTTAGAAAGCAGATGTTTCCTTGCTGTGAATGTTATTGGTTCCATCTTGGGAAGGGTCTGGGAACTCAGCAAAACAGTTATCACTGTTTTTCTGTTTTGGATCAAGCAATCTATTTTACACACTTCATATGCAGAAACCTGGGGGAGAAAACCAGAGGCATTAGAATTTAATGAAGTCATAGCAATAGCTACCTTCAAAGGGCTATTATTTCAGAAGAACTCAAAAGCCTGAAACCCAAATATAATAAGAGGTTCAAATAAGCTTCTCTGCCTAGAAAGAACTTTCTCAAAATTGTATTCCATATAAAACCTGGTTATGGCATAACTGTCACACTCATTACAGGTAACAAAGAGCCCACTGGGAAACTACTATGAAACACAAACCTCCTAAAGCCAACAAAGGCCCCCATGATAGAAGACGATACAGTGCTACTCTGACAGCATTAAACCTCAGTTTTAAACAACTGATCTGGGACAAGTAATATCACTTAAGATATTACTTACATTTTAAAAGACTCGCCCAGGTAGTCTAGAGGTTCTGAATCACAAATCCACCTTCCATTAACATGTCTTCAGTGCCTATTATGTTGCAAACATTGTCTTAAACACTGTTTTATTCAGTTCATGTGCTATAAGCTATCACTCCAACACCTGGCTTCTTCTCATCAACAGATATCAATGTTAGGCCAGGTGCAGTGGCTCACACCTGTAATCCCAGCACTTTGAGAGGCCAAGATAGGTGGATCACCTGAGGTCAGGAGTTTGAGACCAGCCTGGCCAACATGGTGAAACCCCGTCTCTACTAAAAATACAAAAATTAGCCTGGTGTGGTGGTAGGTGTCTGTAATCCCAGCTACTCAGGAGGCTGAGGCAGGAGAATTGCTTGAATCCAGGAGGCAGAGGCTGCAGCAAGCCAAGATTGTGCCACTGCACTCCAGTCTGGACAACAGAGTGAGACTCTTTCTGAAAACAAACAAACAAAAAACAGAAAACGCTTCTACCAAACCCAAACCCAAACTCCCTTAACTACATTTCCCTGTCTATGTTCTTTCTTCCTTTTTTTTTTTTTGAGACAGAGTCTCGCTCTGTTGCCCGGGCTGGAGTGCAGTGGCACGATCGTGGCTCACTGCAACCTCCACCCCCTGGGTTCAAGCAATTCTCCTGCCTCAGCCTTCCAAGTAGCTGGGATTACAGGCATGCACCACCACACCTGGCTAATTTTTGTATTTTTAGTAGAGATGGGGTTTCACCATGTTGGCCAGGCTGGTCTCGAACTCCTGGCCTCAAGTGATCTGCCCACCTTGGCCTCCCAAAGTGCTGGGATTATAGGCATGAGCCACAGTGCCCAGCCCTTTTCTGTTTTCAACAACCACGTTTGATGTATCCTAACGCCTTCTTGTCCTATTGGATGACAAAACCCTTTTGTTCAAAGCTGAGTTGTCTGTGGGATCTCAAGCCCTATTCTTTACTCACTTGCTCCCTGGATCTTCAGTCTCTCCTGTATCCAGCTCCCTGCCCCTGCCCCACTCCCCTAGCATATGGACAGATGCTAAGGTGAAACTCCATGAAGGCAGGCGTTGCATCTGTCTGATTCACTGCTATCTCCCTCGTGTCTGCCATAGTGCCTGACTCAAAGTAGGGACTCAATACGTATTTTAAAAGAATAACTGAGGGGCTCAATAAGTATTTTAAAAGAATAACTGAGGTCTCTCCAATCGAAAAAAAAAAAAAAAGATATTTCCTTTGATTTCAAACTTCCCTTGGCCATGGCTCTTTCTCTTCCTTCCCTCCAAGGTAAGGTCTACACTTACTGTCTCCACTTCCTATTGACCATCCATTCCTGGTTTGTAAGGCCTGGTTTGCCCTAGGGATCCACTGAAATTCTGTTAAAGTTGCCGAGGTCCTCAAGGTTGTAAAATTTAAAGGAGGCTATTTAGCCCCTGACTGCCTTGTTTGCTCTGACGAATTTCTCAATCTTGGCCACACCTTCCTTACTTTTTTTTTTTTTTCTTTTTTTTTTGAGACGGCTCCTCGCTCTGTCGCCCAGGCTGGAGTGCAGTGGCGCGATCTCGGCTCACTGCAAGCTCCGCCTCCCGGGTTCGCGCCATTCTCCCGCGTCAGCCTCCCGAGTAGCTGGGACTACAGGCGCCTGCCACCGCGCCCGGCTAATTCTTTTGTATCTTTAGTACAGACGGGGTTTCACCGTGTTAGCCAGGATGGTCTCGATCTCCTGACCTCGTGTTCCGCCCGCCTCGGCCTCCCAAAGTGCTGGGATTACAGGCTTGAGCCACCGCGCCCGGCCACACCTTCCTTCTTGAATCTCTTCTGGTTCTTATCTTACCTTTCTGGTTGTTTCTTTCCACATACTTCAAAGGCTTTTCTTCCTGTGTTTGACTTCATCCTCTCCCCTCATTTCACCTGCTGTTTTGGGCAATCTCACCTAATCTTTTGGTGTCAAGCACCACATTCTGGTGATCCTGCTGCTGATGACAGCAGCTGACTTCTATTGAGTACCACGCACTTTGCCTATGTTGTCTCATTTAACCTTTGTAACATTTATCCGCTAGAGCCCACTATGATGAACTAGGAAACTGAAGCCCGGAGAGCTTCAGTCACTTATCACAGGAGATGGGGGGCAATTTGCACTTGAGTCTAAATCCCATCCCCTTGACTGCTGCACAAGAATGCATCTACCACATACACCCTAATGGTGCCCAAGTGTTCTGCTCCCACGGAAGCCTCCTTCCTGAGTTCCAGATCCATATAGGCCATTAAATATTTCTATCTGGATAGCCTATAGGCTCCTAGGCCTGAATTTAGTTATTTTAAAGCTAACTCGGTCTCATCTCCCTCCTTCCCAGAATTTCTTTTCCCTCCTATGTGCTGTATCTAGGTGAATAGCATCACTACTCACTGAATGGCCAAGGGGTCATTCAGATCCCTTCTTCATCCTATTACTACCTCTAACTGACTTCACCAACTACTCTTTCTTTTTCGTCCTAGAGAAAAGGTGCCCCATCCTTCAATCCACCCATCGCATATTTCCTGGAGTAACTTAATCAACACAAAATTTATCATATCACACCCCTGCTAAAAATTCTCTAATAATTCCCCCATACAATCTGAAGTCTTCTACCTGGCATATAAGGTCTCTCAGGAATCTGGCTGTGTCTATATCTCCAACTTTATATTCTCCCCTAAAATGCCCTCCTTGGTGCACCTTTTAAAGGCTCTGAAGATAGAGAACTAGTTATGGTTCCCCGTTTCTCATGCCTCTGAGCCATGGTGCATACGGTTCCTCTCTCCTCAGAATATAATCCCTGCCACAAACTGCAAAGGGTCTGAGATTTTACCTTACTTGCAAACTAACACGTTAGCCCGCCACAGTTATCCTGCTGGTAGAAAACATGAGACTCCTGGGTTGGAGACGAAGGACAATTTATTACTCAGGGCAGTCACAGTAGCCAGACAGTCAGCATTTCTCTTGGTTCCCTGACCCCCAATTCCCACAGGTCAGGTGACATCTGTATCATGGTGGGTTACAGGAAAGGCAGCTGAGTTTAGGGAGCCGGAATATCTTATAGTGGGAAGTACAGGAAGCAAGCGTGTCTGCCCTTTGCTCCAGAGGAAGACTCTATTTCTATCTTCCATGACTGTTTGCTGTAGAAACATGATGGAAAAGGTAGTTTGGAACACAGGCACTCAATGCCCTGCTTACAAGGTGTGTAGAAACAGGAAGGACCCATGGAGAGTCATCTACCAACAGTCTCCATCCTTGTCTTCTATTTCCAACTAGTACTTAAGTCCTACCTCAAGCAACTACCACCTCTTTTTTCCAAGGTGTTTTAGGGCATGTATCAGCAGGCTTTTCTGCACTTTCTACCCAATCACCATATTTAAGAGTTTGAATAGGTGTCCCTCAAGAAGACCGTAAGCTTCTTGAATTCTTAAGGTTTGGGGTTTCCAAAATCAGTATTCAAATTTTAAACCTTTTCTGAACAGGAACTGAAGTCTATTCTTTTTACTCTGTGTTTTTCTGTATAATATATATGCACAATGCTAAGAGCAAATTTTTATAATATAATTTGAACATAACTCATAGCTAATTTTTTATTTCAAATGTTCAAGAAATAAAAAATAAAGCAATACTTTATTTACAGCTCAGGCATTTCATGAAAGTAAAGTCCCTGACTGTCCTTTAAAGCACAGCTTCTCCTAATAATGAAAACGGACTTGAAGTTCACATAATCCCATAAATAATGATCTCTCTTTCTCTTTATTCTCTCTCTCACAGGTGAAAATGACATTAAATGTCTGGATCGACTTCTACTCCTGTAACAGAATCTGTTTCATGTTCTAACTGTTGACAGCTGCTAATCCCAAAACATGTTTAAAGAAGTACTAGAATTATTACAAAGGATAAATCTGAGCTCTATCAATTATTTTAGATGATGCAGTTATTAATATAGTGGCAACAAGCATAGCAGAATTACTTTCAATTTCCTTCTTAGAGTATAGATGTACACAGTACCAAAAATTCAGTCATTTAAATCAGTTGATAATAATCAGTCATCAAATGAGTCCTGCCATTTCATTGACAAAACATTTCAATGCCTGAAGTTTTTGTTTTTCAACCAGCTGTAGCATGTTCTTAGCTTCTCTGTAAAAAGTAGATTAGACCTTAGCACTGTTCATAAACTATCAAATAATAAGTTCTACATCCAACATAGCCATAATTATTTATAAGCAATTCAGATTCTGCTAATATAAGATTCAGGGTAACTTAGATCAGGTGAATATCTACATTACTTGTCAATAAAAACTTCCATAACAGAGATAAACTATGCAAATAATATTAGGGATTTGGTTTAAAAGTAACTGCAATTTTTGCCATTAAAAGGAATGGCAAAAACTGCAATTATTTCTGCACCAGTTTAATACTAACAAACCATTTGATTATTTTTTAAAGCCATCTCAATCCATGTTATTTGCACTCAACCTTTGACCATTCTTTAAGCCCCAAATAGAACCTCATATTCCAAGGAGAACTCTTATGTTTCATACCCTCAGCAAGAAATACTGTGATTCCAATAAGCTTCTAGTAACGTTCTTGTTAGTAGAGTTGTCTGTGTACACGCCCTATCCCTCTACAGCAAACCTGTGTATTCTGCACAACTCCCACCTAGCACAGTCTTTAAACATAGTAGCTACCCAAGACACAAAGATGTCCTTTATTAGAACAGTTTCAATAATCTTGTTAATGTGTCCTGCTATGCTACATATCTCTGGCAGCATACACTTAGAATCATAAAATTTTAAAGCTAACAAGCTCCTTTTAAGCCATTTAGAAATTTCCCTAATATTTGAAATGAGGCAACTAGATTCTGGAAAAGTTAAGTGGCTTGTCCAAATTTAGTGACAGAATTGGGACAATCCAAGTCCCTGACTCCCATCCAAGTGCTGCAGAGAACCCCAACTTCCTCATGAAAACACTTTCAAGTGTGAAGTTGAAAAAGCAAGTTACTCAGCTTCTCCAAATATTGTTTGTTCTTATAAGAGAATGGAACAAGATCATCCCCAAGTTTTCTTCCATCTCTAAAATCTGGTAAATCTTATTTTCATAATGTATAATACCAAATGTCCCCAACATTGTGTGGGGATGGAAAGCTGCTCCCTTCTTCCCTTAAAGAACAAAAATGTGGGGGAGGTACATGAAGAAAGGATGGGAATTATTGATCAGGAAGTGAGAGAAGCAAGGGTAGGTATTAGTAAGCTGCTTATTGGGAACCCCCTTTGTTCCCAGCCCCCTCCACTCCTTCACAGCAAACTACAGAGAGCAGGATGGGGACTTTACAGTAACTGACAGTACAACAGCCTCTGCAGCTTCAGCCCTCACCTCCTCAGAATGCTGGTGGGAGTGGGTAGGGAGAGAAGAAAGGATGAATGGAGGGGTGCTAGTGGCCTCTAGCTCTAGGTCAGATTAGGAACCGGCCAATATTGATTGGCTGTTGGGGACCCCAGAATGGACAGGAAGTCCCCAGGCAGCTACTCATATTGCTCTGTGAATCAATGGTTTAATTTCTCTGTTCTTTACGCCAGATGGAGTGAGCATGCACCTGAACAGAATTATACTGCAACCTGAAGTACTCTAATCCCATGCAGTAGGCTCACTGACTTGGCTACACTCTTCATCCACTTCCTCCACAGGATTCCACCCCAACGGGAGCAGTGTGTTCCTCACCCAGGAATCCCACAGGGAGCAACAACCCTTGGAGTAGAGGCTGTTTCACCATTGCATGGAGCTCCTGAAACCAGTGGTTCTAAATGTTTTCATCATCAAGGATGCTTTAGTACTGGGGTGTGCCTTTCTAATTTGACATGTAAAGTAATGATGCTTTTGAATGACTTCTTTCTCATATAAATTATTATTATTATTTGAGACAGAATCTCACTCTGTCACCCAGGCTGTAGTGCAGTGGCGTGATCTCAGCTCACTGCATCCTCCGCCCCCTGGGTTCAAACAATTCTTCTGCCTCAGCCTCCCCAGAAGCTGGGATTACAGGTGTGTGCTACCATGCCCGGCTGATCTTTGTATTTTTGGTAGAGATGAGATTTCGTCATGTTTGCCAGGCTGGTCTCCAACTCCTGACCTCAAGTGATCTGCCAGCCTCGGCCTCCCAAAGTGCTGGGATTACAGGCACGAGTCATATAAATTAGAGCCAACTCAAGGCTAGTCCTTTAGAATGGCACTGTCACTTCTTATACTCTTCATTGCACAGGAAAAAGGGTGGGAAATGGGCGAGTGTCCTAGCTGGCCCTCAGAGATTATGTATAACCCTCCTACCTGCAGTGTTCCTTTAAGTTATTCTGCTAAAAGTAAAAAGAATAGTTACCAACACATTATCATAGTGTGTTTATTAACTGATTTAACTTACAAAACGTTGGACAATAAAGGAATATTATCATTGAATAGTGGCACAGAAAAGTGAGGTCACCTGCCCAAGGCCATACTATAAGAAGTGGCAGAATCGGGATTTGAACCCAGGCCCTTTGGCTCCAGAGTTTGCTTGCTCTTAACCACTTTGCTAGAGCAATATCTGTTGACCACCTACCACTTCATGGACATTTTACATTCATGATCTTCTGTACGTTCACAAAGCTGAGAAGTAGGTTTTGTCATGCTCATTTTACCAAAGGGTTCCCTCACTAATAAATTGTGAAGGTGGCATTTGAATCTATATCTGTCTTATCTACAAACTTCTGTTGTTTCTCACAGATGATATCCAAAGATCCCATAGATCTTTAGATGGGAATAACCCTCAAATATCTTTCTAGTGGATTAGCTGGGTTGGTCTATCTAAATTTTGCTTGGCCTCAGCAATCCAAACCTAACATCAAAATTATACTCTAAAAGTATAAAATAAATAAACATAATAATAGCAATAAATAATATTGAGTGCTCACTGTGTACCAGGCACTGTTCTAAGCACTTTGCATGTATAAATTCACTAATTCTGGCAACAAACCTATAGGGCTTACCTAATTCAGAGGTTTAGATTTGCTGATTATATAAAATGTGCTGATAAATACACGCATTGTCTTTTGAAGAGAAAAATAGCTGTTGCTCATCTCAAAGGAGACAGGCACACTCAAAATTAAATGCCTCTTTGTTGGTTCTAAAATGTATTTCCTACATTCTGCACAGCTTCATAAAAACCTACATATCAAGAGTTTTTCAGTTGGCCCAAATATGACACATCTTTTTCTAAACATCTGAAATCTGAAAAGGGACACATTGCCCCTGCATCTAAGACCTCATCAAATGGAACTTTTGGCTTAGAAATGTCAAAAACTGGTCGGGCGCCGTGGCTCACACCTGTAATCCCAGCACTTTGGGAGGCCAAGGCGGGTGGATCACAAGGTCGGGAGTTCAAGACCAGCCTGGCCAAGATGGTGAAACCTCGCCTCTACTAAAAACACAAAATTTAGCCGGCCGTGGTAGAGCACGCCTGTAGTCCCAGCTACTTGGGAGGCTGAGGCAGGAGAATCACTTGAACCCAGGAGGCGGAGGTTGCAGTGAGCTGAGATCACGCCACTGCACTCCAGCCTGGGTGACACAGCAAGACTCCTTTCAAAAAAAAAAAAAAAAGTCAAAAACCTTGAAGCATGAAAACCTTCATGTCTTTCGTGAAGAATCTGGTCTAAAGATATTTTTTATTGGAATGTGGTGTTGGAAAGGAAGAAAAGTCAGTGAAGGAAATTGTAAGGTAACAGTTCTGACTGAAAACCTAAATCCTTCGTCATCACTACAGGGATACAAACCCCAACACTACTCTGCTGCTGAATGGACTCAGTGGCACGATCATGTTTCACTGCAACCTCCGCCTCCTGGCTTCAAGCGATTCTCCTGTCTCAGCCTCCCAAATAGCTGGGACTACAGGCACATGCCACCATGCCTGGCTAGTTTTTGTAGATCTATATTTTTGTAGAGACAGGGTTTTGCCATGCTGGCCAGGCTGGTCTCGAACTCCTGACCTCAAGTGATCCACCCGCCTTGGACTCCCAAAGTGCTGGGATTACAGGCATGAGCCACCATGCCTGGCCATGGACTCAGTCATTTTAATGAGCAGATTTTACTTCTCAAGTTTAATGACCAAGAGATGAAAACTGCTGAGAAATATATAAAATATTGAAACTAACGTGGTCATTAAACTTGAGAAGGGCAGCACGGTAGACTGGAAAAGGGCAAAACAAATGATCCTGAGGCACCCACACATATACAGGAAGTCCCCAAATGGGCCGTGATACATTTTCAGTCCTCTGGGAATCTGAAAAGAGCAAAAACTGGGGACCTACAGAGAAATGCTGTGGAGAGAGTAGGAAGGACTTCAGGGAGCTGCCATTCTGTCAGATCAAATTAAAAGCATGTTCAAAGACAGAATCCTCTTGAGCCCCTTGCTCTCCTCCCTACCATCTACTCTAGAAAGCTGGTGGCCAACAGAGCAGGCAGCTGTGGTGCCTGCTCCAGGCACCAAGACAACTGAAGATGCTGCTGTGAACACAGAAGAGGTAACAGCCATGCTGCTTGATTCAGGCTCCCCACTGCTTGCCAGGGTTACATCCTAGAAGATCCTAGAAGATCTGGACCACAAAAAAGCCACCCGCCCACATCTGGCTCTGCATAGGGGTACATCTCATTGTCATTGCAGCCTTCCTGGTCAAAGCTGTCTTCTAGGGAAGTGGGGGACAGGGATTATCACCAGCTGGATAATGAGGAAGAAGGGGCAAGCTCTGTTGCTTCAGAGTTGCACGTTTCCTCCTAATACCCACTAGTGTTTTGACAAACTGTGCCTTATGGGACACCAGGTCAACACTGCATGACTGCCACCCAACCAGAAATGCTGTCGTGGTGAAAAGGGGAAGCCCCAGCACTCTCAGTGGGGTAGATAACAATAGACTATGACAAGGAGACGCATTTGCAAAATTTTCCTTTGAAAACGTAATGTAATAATTTATAACTACACTAGTGATTTTTTTTCCTATTCTCCTGGTTTGCAAATGGCTGGACAAATCCACAGGAAAGAAATTATTTTAATTATCACCTGATGATTTTATTTCCTGCTTTGAACCACTTAGTCCCTTCCAGGTCTCCTTGCACTCAATAGTGTTAGAATGCTCTACTTGTGTTCACTTCAGAAAATGTCCCCTAAACTCTTTTTTTTTAAGAGATGGGATCTCACTTTGTCACCCAGGCTCCAGTGAGGTGGCACAGTCATAGCTCACTATGGCCTCGAACTCCTGGGCTCAAGTGATCCTCCTGCCTCAGCCTCCCAAGTAGCTGGGACTACAGGTGGGTGCCACCACCCCTAGCTCATTGAAAAAGTTTAGAAGTTTGAACTTGTACAGATAGCTGAGTTTCTTGGGTGTGACCTATTTAAACCAGGTCATTTTTAAATGCTCTTTCAAAGTCTGATTTTATTAATAAATGAAATCATCCCATCATAAGGGAAACAATGAGAAATCTATGAAGGGAAAACATATCCATTAATATGAGGCACCCTGAAAATTAAACTGTTTGGTGGAAGGAACAACCATCACTTTCAATTTCTTTTTAAAGCAACTTCCAGAGAATAAGCTATGTTAAGTAAAATCAAAACAGGAAAAGCCACATCTAGGTGGATTTCAAACGAAATGATACCTCTCTGAAAAAAAAGCAAAAACAAAACCTTAATGCCTGGTGAAGTTTGAGGGGGGTCTCATAATCACAGAGCCATCAGGAAGCGGCTAGAAACAATGAAGCAGGGTTTCAAAATGACTGGTACAGGATGTACCCATAGAAAGAAATGTTGCGCGCACTGGTGGAGCTGCCAAAGTTACTACTGCAAAGTACCCTGAACTTTTAAAGCGTGGCTTGGGGTCACTCTGACCACACTCTTTCCAATCTGGTCGCCTTGCAAACACGCTAGGATAATTGGCGGGAGGGGGGAGGGGAGAGATGCGCGGACCAGTGAGCTGGCGGGGGTTGGGGGAGAAGCCGGCGGAGCTCTCGGGTCGCTAGCAACATTAAGGTTTCGCTTTCGTCCAAGGGCGGCGGGGGTGGGGGGGTAAGGGGGGCAACGAGATGGCAATGAACTTCCTCCCCCGAGAGACCCTGGCCTCGCGTCCGTGGGCGGCCAGATGCCTTCCCCTCCGCGGCCAGGCGGGGCAGGGGCGTGCTGCGGGAGGGGGCGGCCGCGACGCCCCGAGAGGAGCCAGCAGGGTGGCCAGGACGAAGCCCCAGGAAGCGCCTTACCTGTGCCGCGGCGCGCTCAGAGCCCGGGGCCGGGCCGGGACGCGCAGGTGCTTGGGGGCATCCTGGGGACGGCCTGGGCGGGCGGGGAGTCCATCGCACCCGGCTGGCTGCGCTCTTCCCGCCGCGGGGGGACGGGGAGGGGGCTCCCCTCGGCTCGGCGCCCGCCTCTTCTCCACCCAGCTGAGGACACAGCAGGTCCCGCGGCGGCGGCAGCAACAGGCACCGGCGGACGGTGGCGGCACCAGGAGCAGCAGCCGAAGAGGAGGAGGAGGAGGAGGAGGAAGAAGAGGAGGAGAAGGAGGAGGTGTCTGCGCGCGGCTCTGGTTTCCTCCTCCCAGCCTGGGCGAGCGCGCTGGAGGCGAGGGGAAGACAGGAGCCGGGATCTCCCCACTCGGTCCCCGGGGAGCTGGGAGGGGGACTCGGTGTCCTCCTCCTCCCCACTGCGCCGTGTGACTGTGCCTGGGCAGCACGGCCCGGACGGGCGAGTCACACGCGAGCAACAGCTGCTGCACTGCGGGTCCGCCGCGGCCTCCCTCCCCTCCTTGCCACCCCCCGCCCCCAAGCCCGCGGGCCATCCTCAGCCAGTGTCTGTGGGGGGAATAGGGGGGAAGTACTCGGGCCGCCGCCCCATCCAGACCCCTGCGCAGGATCTGGGCACAGCGTTTCCCTGGGGAGCCGGGGGCGCGGGGCCCCGCGCGTGATGCAGGCCCTCGTGGCGGGATGTACAGTCGCACACCCTGTCCTTGGCGGCCTATTTATAGCAGGTGGCACTGCCCGCCGCTTGCTCGGCCTGAGTGGCTCTCAGCAGGTGGCACTGCCTGCCCGCTCTCCGCGCTCCCGAAGGCGCCTCGCCTCATCTGCACCCTCCTCTTCTCCCTCCGAAACAGACGTGGTGGAAACTGCACACAACATGGGGGGCGGGGGCCGGGGGCGACCAAGCCACCTTGCTCTCCCCCGCCTTACCCCTTCTCCCCGTCCTTGGAGGATGGCAAGAGGTGAACTGAGGCACGGATGCCCTATGGGGCGCTGGCATGCGAGGCAGGAAAATCAGGGACTCTGGGAAACAACGAAGGCGAAGTGCCCTCCCGGGATTAAACACCAGGAAACTCCATTTCTAACCAATTGCGGGAGTGACGCAGAGCCTGGATTAGGCGCTTTTTCCTGCCCCGCGAGCCCGGCACACGCGCAGGAACACACACCACACGCACACGCACACCCCAGTGTGCATGCCCCGATCAGGTCTGGGGACATTCCCAGCGGTGATGTAGAGTGCAAGGAAAGACGCGGAGATGTGAAAAGCGGGACAGAGCTCGCTCCCTAAGACTAGGGGATGGCAGTGTGCAAAAAACAGGCGAAGCTCCCAGATCCCTATCCCACCAGGCACAGAGGCGCAACGTCACTCGCAGGGTGGGGAGAGGGATCTGAGAAAAGTAAGAAGCATCACATCCTCTCCAGAGAAGAGTCCGCAGGGAGGGGAGAGCCGGGTGCTCGGAGGAGGCAGTTCCAGACCCCCAGGTGGCATCTTTCTGGATTTTTTTACTTAATGTAGCTGGGGGTGGACTTTAGGGAAGTGGCTGAGCGTTTGAGCTGTACGGTTGGACTTGAATCCAAATCCCAGCAGGTGTGGTTTAGGCAAGGTGCTGGACCTCTGGTCTTCATTGTCTTACCTGCTAAATGGGACCAATACACACCTTACAGGATCTTTGTGAGGACAAAGCAGGAAAGTGTAAGTAAAGTGGCCAGTGCAGTGACACAGACGTACATGGTCCTCAACTAAAAGCAGCAGCTATTATCAATATTACTGTGGCCCAGGAGGCAAATAGAGGGCCAGGTTTCCTCATCGTACCAAGAGCAGTGTCTTCCTTGAAGCCCACTGAGCTTCTTGTAGGCTTTTAGATTAGGGCTGTCTTATGGCATTCCCTGATTTCCCTGGATGCTTACATCCAGGGGAGGTATTTTTAAGTGGACCCAAGAGTTTTATTCACAGCTTGACTTAAAACTCTCACAATAGTGGTAGCTATTCTTTACGGAGGAGTTAGTCGATTTGGGGTATTGTGCTAGATACTGTCCTTATATATTGTTGCTAATTTGCTCAAAAACTCTGCAGGGCAAAGATTGTTAAATCCATTTGACTAAGGAGAAAAGTAAGAGGTTAGTGCCTACAGGGTTAGTGGGTGCTGGAATCTCCAAGATCCAAAGCCCTTTATAATATACTTGCTCTCTGGCCACTGTGTAGCCCTCAGCTCATTCTTTGTCATTGAGTAGTTATTTGTGTGCATAGCCTCAACTCTTTTTTAAGAAATATACAGTCATAAATACTGTAATGAGTAGAATGTTAACTGGGTTATGGAAATTATTCTTTAGGTTACAAGACCAGGTAAACCAGTTAAACCATATTGTTATCACTTGGGTCATATCCCAAATTATTTCATGTTTTTACCTTCAACTCTGTTGTAGAACTCTCTCTCCCTGTCTGCAGTGACCTGCTGCACACATTTACCTCCAGAGTGCTAGGAGGTCGAGAAAGGTACACTAGCATTCATTTCATTGACACTGTAAACTGCTTTTTGTATGTAACCCACCAGAGGATGGTTGAAACTGTTACCTAACAACCCTGCTTGCCAGGCCCTGCTCCTGGGAAAAGGGGTCAGGCCAAGGGGAACAGAGATAATTTGCTGGGCTCTGCTTACAGAACATCCTGGCTAGAGCCCCCTCCCATCCTGCCACTCCACTACCTTTTCTTTCCCTCACTTGCTCACCTCCTCTACCCTCTCTTCACCCTTACCCCTAGTCCCAGAGTACAGGAAGGCTTAAGTACAGGTAGGCAGCCAGGCGGGGTGCCTAACCAGAATACAGATGTAGGAAGTCGATGGGTGGGGCCCAGATGCAGGCCCAGGCCTCATATCTCTCAAAGCATTGACATCCAGCAAGTTCCAGCTCAGAGATTTATAATTTAGTGGCAAATGACCATTTGCCTTGACCCTTACCTAGGTTAGGGAGAGGTCATGGCCTTGTGAGAAGCAGCAATTTCTGCATCACTTTTCCAGCTCCCAGGACAGCTAGCACCCTAAGAATGATGAGGAGGGATTTTACCATACTTTCAACTTCTGGGAAACAGAACTCCCTCTATAGTATGCAATAAGGATTGTTGAAATTCTTTTTAAAATCTATACAGCATTATCTTAGAAATTAGGGGACAGCTTGCTATCAATCTATTTGGCCTTAGGTTTTCTAGCAGTTGTAGAACAAATAGTAAAGGGGACTTTGAAGCAGATGGTGATACCTGGTATGGCAGGATGAAGACTGTCAAATGTGGTTGGGGAGATCCATACTGGCCCAGTGCAGAGTGCAGAAGTAAGAGCTCACCACTCAGCTCTTACCTGCAGGTGCCATTGCTCTAGGAGGGAAGTAGCTCCTTCCCCTTGATATGTGGCCACGTGACTCCCAGGAGAGCTGGTACACACCATGGTAGAAGCGTGGGCCAATGGGGCCTTGGTGATGGCAACAGAGAGCTCCCTCAAGGCCCAGGAAGGTGTTCTGTTGGTCCCTCTTTAAGTCACCGATAACAAAAGCAAGCAGAGAATAGGGCCAAATGCTCCAATGATTCTGCTTCAGCTTCTGATTCTTCTGACGGAGTATGACCCAGGAACACAAGGAGTGTGGAGCTCTTCACCACCATGGGCATTTAGCTGACATCAGCTATGGACCCATTGGCTCAGCGAGTGAAAACCCTGATGCGAAGGCACCGACCATCATGGCTGCTGCACTTTTCCTGTCTGGACAACTTCCGCACCTCCAGCTCTTCCCAAAATCCTGCCATGGATCATTCTTTTAGGGCTTCTCCCATAGACTCTTTCCTAATTTAGCTATTTGCAGCATAATTAGTTATTCATTGCCAAAAGCCAGGAACATTAATATCAGCTTTAAGATGGCTGCAGAGCTCTAGAAAATTGTGAACCATCGATGCTATTAAATCACATGAAAAGCTCAGAGCCTGAAAGAAAACAGAGGCCACTTTACTTTTAAAAAGTTAAGGGAACCATGGGAACCATATATACATCTAGAATTAAAATCTTTCGTTGATGTAGAAAGAAGACCTTTAACAAAATTAATCATCATTAAATCCATCAGTTAGGTATTTAAATGCTCATATTAGTTAGGAATCCAAACTATTGCTATTATATATTTTTACTTAAATTCAAAATGTGCATAATAAGGTAGTGGGTCCATTTCCAAAAAATGGCATCAATAAAGGCAAAAAATAAGACTATACTGGCTAGAACCCTAGGATAGTAAGGTGGTTCACTGGGTATGCTTGTTCCCATTGATTGATAGTGACTTTCTGGAGCCCTGAGTGGACGAGGCTTGTAAGGCAAGTCCATGCTCAGTGGGAAAGGGTGCAAGATTGAGAAGCAGCACCTGCCTCAAGCATGGGAGGAGGCAGCATTGCAACACCAGCGCCAGGTAATTTGCCAACCCTGTCAATCCAAGGCATAACAGTTAGATCTAAAGAGTTTGTGAAGGCTGGGGTGGTGGCTTATCCTATAATCCCAGCACTTTGGGAGGTTGAGGTGGGCTGATCACTTGAGCCCAGGAGTTGGAGATGAGCCTAGGCAACATGACAAAACCTCTATAAAAAAATACAAAAAAAAAAAACTTAGCTGGGCGTGGTGTTGCACACCTGTAGTTCAAGCTACCCAGGAGGCTGAGGTGGGAGGATGGTTTGAGCCCTGGAGGTTGAGGCTGCAGCAAGCTGTGATGACACCACCACACTCCAATCTGGGTGTTGGAGTGAGAAACTGTCTCTAAATAATAATAATAATAACATAGAGTCTGTTAAGTTATGCCCAAATATCTTGTTTTCTTTCTTTTCTTTCTTTCTTTTTCTCTTTCTCTTTCTCTTTCTTTGTCTTCCTCTTTCTTTTTCCTTCCTTCCTTCCTAGCTTTCTTCCTAATTCTTTCTTTCTTTCCTTTGGTTTTGTTTTCTGAGACAGGGTCTGGCTCTGTTGCCCACGCTGGGGTGCCGTGGTGCCTTCGTGGCTCACTGCAGCCTCGACCTCTTGGGCTCAAGCTATCCTCTGCTCAGTGTTCTGAGTAGCTGGGACTACAGGCGCACACCACCACACCCAGCTAATTTTTAAGTGTTTTGTAGACACAGGATTTCGCTGTGTTGCCTAGACTGGTCTCAAACTCCTAAACTCAAGCAATCCACCCACATCGGCCTCCCAGAGCGCTGGGATTACAGACGTGAGCCACTGCGCCCAGTTCCCAAATATCTTAATTAACTATAAGAAATATTCTTCATGACAAGAAAATGAAAATCAAAGTCAGAGACTATATTACATCCAATTGTCTGCAATACTAGATCCCTGAAATTGCTTTCCGAAAGGCATAAGATTAATAAAATATGATGCAAAAAATTAAAATGAGCAGATAGCCAACATAGATTTTAGAATTTCAGCAATTGAAATAAACAAAAATTTTACTGCACGAAGAACTCACGCTTACAATGCAAGAGACAACGGTAAATCAATGCAGTGAGAGAATGGGTGGACTGTATACTTAAGCCCCAGAGTAGGCTTCTGTGAAGTATCTAATCTCCTTTTATGGACAAAGCAGATAAAACTCTGGGCACTGGTTCCACTTCCTTTTCCAGCAACCTCTCCTATTTGTCATTGCTCTACACAAGCAACTGCTCCACGCAGCTCTCTGACGATGTCCAGCCTTTACTTGGGGTTCTCACTTTCCACCCGAGCTGGTTCCGTGGGTCTGGGCACCAAGTACAAAGTTTGGCAAATGTTAGATGGCACGTCATTTTTAAATTATGATATCTAAATTTGTCTAAGGTCAATGAGAATTTTTTTGTAAATTGTCAGAGCTAGTTATGGATGTCGATGATTTTACTCAGACTGGGTAAGCTGACTAAGCTCTCTACCCTGCAGCAACCCCACTTCATTTTACCCCAAATGCCATTGGTGGTACCTAATGTGTAATCTCACCTAGAATGCAGGAGCTGCTAACTGGTTTCCCTGATTCGGCCCTCACCACCCTGCAGTCTATTCTTAACATAGCAGCCACTTGAATCTGCTAAAATATCATTTGGGCCATGTCACTGCTTGGCTTGGAATCCTCCCATGGCTTTCCAGATTCCCTGGAGTAAAAGTCAAAGTCCTTATAATGGTTTAGAGGGTCCTACAGGATCTTCTTTCTCAACTGCCACACCACTACCTCTGTCCTTTATCACCTGCTACCAGCCTTGACTCACTCTGCTCCAGCCACACTGGCCTTGCAGTTATGCAGAGCTGCCAGGCACACTCCTGCCCCAGGGCCTTTGCATTTACTCTTCCCTTTGCTAAGTGTACTCTTCCCTCAGATATTCACATTGGCCCCTCACTTACTTCACTTTGTTTAAATGTCACCTTCTCCATGAGGCCTTGCTGACCAAGTTTTTGAAAATGGAAACCACAGCTACGCCTACACACACACACACACACACACACACACACACACACACACCTTATCCCTTTTCCTGCTTTATATTTCTCCATAGCATTTACCTTCTAATGTACTATATTGGTTACTTGTATATCTTATTTGTCATTTGTTTCCCCCTCCGCCTTCCATGGGAGCAGAGAATTTTGTCTGTTTTATTTGCTGCTGTATCTTCAACTCACAGCATGGAGCCCAACACATAGTAGGCATCCAATGAATATGTGCTGAGTGAATGAATGAATGAAAAAAATAATTTGTAATATATAACATTTTTGAGTTCAATACATGTCTTTATATAGAAAGAGAGGAAAACCTAGAAATTCTAATCTAATAGAAGTACTATCTATTAGATTAGAATTTCTAGGTTTTCCTCTTGCTTAGAAATTCTAATCTAATAGAAATACTATTAGATTAGAAGTACTATCTATAGAAGTACTATCTATTAGATTAGAATAGAATCTAATAGAAGTACTATTAGATTAGAATAGAATCTAATAGAAGCGCTATCTATTAGATTAGAATTTCTATGTTTTCCTCTTGCCTAGAAATTCCAATCTAATAGAAATACTATCTATTAGATTAGAAGTACTATCTATAGAAGTACTATCTATTAGATTAGAATAGAATCTAATAGAAGTACTATCTATTAGATTAGAATAGAATCTAATAGAAGTACTATCTATTAGATTAGAATAGAATCTAATAGAAGTACTATCTATTAGATTAGAATAGAATCTAATAGAAGTACTATCTATTAGATTAGAATAGAATCTAATAGAAGTACTATCTATTAGATTAGAATAGAATCTAATAGAAGTACTATCTATTAGATTAGAATAGAATCTAATAGAAGTACTATCTATTAGATTAGAATAGAATCTAATAGAAGTACTATCTATTAGATTAGAATAGAATCTAATAGAAGTACTATCTATTAGATTAGAATAGAATCTAATAGAAGTACTATCTATTAGATTAGAATAGAATCTAATAGAAGTACTATCTATTAGATTAGAATTTCTATGTTTTCCTCTTGCCTAGAAATTCCAATCTAATAGAAATACTATCTATTAGATTAGAAGTACTATCTATAGAAGTACTATCCATTAGATTAGAATTTCTAGGTTTTCCTCTTGTTGACAGCTCATTAGATTTCTCAACTGTCCTAAGAGGTATGTCAATAGTTCCCCCCAAGGTGAGCTAAATGTTGAAGCATGTGACTCCTTCTTTAACCATCAACATAGACTCTAATTTCAGATATACTATAGAAGGACTTTAGAATCAGGAACAACTGAGAACTCATCAGCAGTCAAAGTTTGTTAGAAGTTTGGTTGAGAAAAATATGACCTTGGAGACCAGCATGAAAGATAATGCAGTTCAACTGGTCCTCTAAAATCTGGATCCCCTAAAATCAGTTCCTTATCAGATCAACCCAAGTGAAGATCCATTTGCCTGGAGTGTATCCAGAAAATTTTTTTTTACTGAGTTTCACTTTGATATTATTCCATTGGTCCATAGTGGGGGAATGCATTTTATAAAAATACTCTATTCAGTCTGAAGATATTATTGAGGGTGTTTATTAATACCTTACACAGTGTCCTTTTAAAGAGAATCCAAGAAAAAGTTTCTCCTAGGACTCCACTAAGAAAAACTTTTCTTTCCTTGAGCAACTGATTTTATCTCCATCCTTGCACTGACCGTTTGGGGTTCACTGCTTGGCAGGCATCCAGGACATTTTGTGTGCTAAGTCAGTGATTCACAAATGCCCTTTCCAAGCCATTGCCAGTTTGTGCCACTTTTCATCTATCCAAGACAAACTATAAATAACAATGTGTAACTTCATAAAAGCAAACTGAACTTCTCTGTCTTCTGAGATCATGTTCTTCCTACCTTATAGGTACTAACAAATAAGTATTTCTTTTATGAAATTACGGTGAGAACCATATGGTGAGATCCATTGCTTTGTGCTTGTTTTATAATGTCTTTACTTGGCAAAAGAACATTATAGCGCCCCCTTGTCAATTCCTAGTGTTTGGAGAAATGTTACTGGTTCAGAAAATCCAAAGTCTAGGAGCAGTGGTTTCTACCTAATTCCTAGCATCATTCTATCTCACCTACTACCCTCTCCTTTCGTCCTGTTTTCTTAATTCACTTTGAATCATTTTTTGTTTACAAAAAAAGTGAATACATTTAAGCCATCTTCAATCATTCCTGGGATGTGGTAGAAATATGAGTGAGTGAGTGAATGAATGAATGAATAAACAGACTTGTACAGGCAGAGAACATACCAACTCGCCTGCAGCTCCACACTACATCAAATGTTCTCACTCATTACCACCTTGTATGCTACCTGTATAGTGTGTACAGTGTGTTGTAATTTACAGATCTCATATTATTTAACCCTCTCAGCAGCCCTCAGAGGTAAACGTTATTTCTCTCCCTCATTATAGAGAGTTGGAGTTGTCCTAAGGCAGAAAACCTGTGGGGGAGAAATTGGGGTTTTAACCTGGATATTCTGTCAGCAAGCCTAATTCTTTTTGTCTATACCATATTACTGCCTTTCAAACTAATGTTTTTGAGGGTGATCATGTTTGGAGGTGTTTTGATTTGTGTGGGGGAAATGAGAGTCTGGTTATTTCCTTGGCTTTCAGAATAACATTCCTTATTGCGAGGTGTTCCTGGTTGGGCTGCGCTTCAGCTGGGGCTCTCTGACCCTTTAACTTCTCGGGAGCATCCACAGAACCAAGGTTTCCTTGATCAGCACACATTGAAGAAACGTGCTCCGGGGCAGTCTCTTTTTGCTCACTTTTCTATTGCATAATAATTCATATTGTGCCACAGCATTATAGTGGGAGGTTGCTTCATTACTTTGTAATTTCTTTTAACATTAAAGCTGAGCTAGAGACATTCAGCCTTCTCATTTTCTTGTTGGTAAATATGAAATGTAGGATGAAGTTCTCCTTTACTCAAAAGAGTGTGGGTCCTTGGATAGGAAGCTTAGAGAAATCATTAAGGGGGAGGTAGAATTTACCAAGATTTCCAAAGTGGCAGGTAGTTACCGCAAAGGGGTTAGTAGTCTTTCAACCAGTAGAGATGCATAGATGAGCTATTCTTTCCATGGCTCTGAACTAGGCACTGAAGTGATGCAAAGAAATATGAGACAGCTTCCTTGTCTTCAGCATCCTTACTCTCTTCTAATTCAGGGTTGACAAACTACTAAAAGCCCATTTAGTAAATATTTTAGGCATTGCAGGACATTCCATCTCTGTCCCACCTTTCAAATCTGTAGCAGTGGCCGGGAACAGTGGCTCACACCTGTAATCCCAGCACTTTGGGAGGCCACGGTGGGCGGATCACGAGGTCAGGAGTTTGAGACCAGCCTGGCCAATATGGCGAAACCCCGTGTCTACTAAAAATACAAAAATTAGCCGGGCATGGTGGCGCATGCCTGTAGTCCCAGCTACTCAAGAGGCTGAGGCAGAAGAATTGCTTGAATCCGGGAGGCAGAGGTTGCAGTGAGCCGAGATTGCGCCACTGCACTCCAGCCTGGGCGACAGGGTGAGACTCCGTCTCAAGAAAAAAAAAAAAAAAAAAAGTCTGTTGCAGTGCAAAAGCAGCCACAAACGCTATGCAGACAAATGAGTATGGCTGTGTTCTAGTGAGTATGGACGCTGAAATTTGGATTTCATGCATTTTCACATTGTCACGAAATATTCTTTAAAAAAATTTTTCCAACCATTTAAAAATGTAAAATCCATTCTTAGCTCATGGGTCATACAAAAACAAGTAGCCGGATTTGGCGAGCAGGACATAATTTGCTAACCCTGCTCTAGGGCAAAGGTTTTTAACTATTTTTATAGTATAGATCCCTTTGCCTGTGTAATGAAGCCTATGGAACCTTCCTCAGAATAATATTTGTAAATGCCTAAAATAAAATAAATAAAATACATTAATAATGAAGTTCATATGTTATGATATCATGCTTTTAAAAATATATGTTGATATCTGTATTTCCATGTAATTGGCTACAAATTATATGGAAGGCTGGGTACAGACATTCAGCCTTCTTCTCATTCTTTTGTTGCTAAATATAAAATGTAGGATGACATTCTCCTTTAAGAGAAGTTCTCCTTTAAGTAACCAATTATATAGCCAATTATATAAAATTCTCCTTTAAGTAACCAATTATATGGAAATACAGACATCAACATATACTTTTAAAAGCATAATATTGTAATATATGGACATCATTATTAATGTATTAAATAACAAGATTTGCCCACAGGTATAATAACTACCATGATTTTGAGAGTGATAAAAATATATGATATTCTGAGATACTTGTTACAACTGAAATGTGACATGAAAATCAATGATTTCTATTGATGACAATGTCATGGGGAGTGATAATACTATTATGGTTTGTCACCTAAATTTTTAAAGGCAGAGAAATGTAAATTGTGATTAGAACTGCTAGAAGTAACTTAAAAAATGTATTTTTATTTTCCACCCAAGTTCACTGACCCCTTGGAGTGTATGCACAGAACCATCAGAGAACCTTTGATCTTAGGTTAAGCACCCATGAGAAATCAGTGACAAGACTCCATAAATCTGTGCATAATCCCTCCTTAATGTTCTGGAATCACAAGAGGCTAAAGCCTCTTTAAATTTGAACATTTCTTGAAAGGAAGAACTCATACCTGTCTCACTGACCAGCATCGGATGGTCTCAGACCACTTCCTGGCTATGTGAACTTGAACAAGTTATTTTCACTGAACTCTGGTGTGTCTATGTGTCTGTGTCCCCCCGCTTTTTTTTTTTTTTTTTTGAGACGGAGTCTGGCTCTGTCGCCCAGGCTGGAGTGCAGTGGCGTGACCTCGGCTCACTGCAAGCTCCGCCTCCCGGGTTCACACCATTCTCCTGCCTCAGCCTCCAGAGTAGCTGGGACCACAGGCGCCCGCCACCACGCCCGGCTAATTTTTTGTATTTTTAGTAGAGATGGGCTTTCACCGTATTAGCCAGGGTGGTCTGGATCTCCTGACCTTGTGATCCGCCCGCCTCGGCCTCCCAAAGTGCTGGGATGAGGCGTGAGTCACCGCGCCCGGCCTATGTGTCCCCTCTTTAAGATGACGGGAATAAAAATAATAGTACTTATCTTATGTTGTTGATAGGGTTAATGAGTTAGTAAATGTAAAACACTTGGAACAGAACCTGGCATGCAGTATAGCACATCATGCTCATTGTCATTATTCAGTGATGTAATTCTCTCTTGTTCTTCCTTCTCTGGATGCTATCAGCTCTTTCATGTAGCCTTCTCTTCTCTTCCTCTTTCTGTAGTGGGGAACAGGAAGCTAACCCAAGAGGATGTTTTCTTTCAGGTAAAAATTCAAATAACTTCAATCTTGGCTGGGCGCGGTGGCTCACGCCTATAATCCCAGCACTTTGGGAGGCCGAGAAGGGTGGATCACCTGAGGTCAGGAGTTCCAGACCAGTCTGACCAACATGGTGAAACCCTGTCTGTACTAAAAATACAAAAATTAGCTGGGTGTGGTGGTGCATGCCTGTAATCCCAGCTACTCAGGAGGTTGAGGCAGGAGAATTGCTTGAACCTGGGCGGCGGAGGTTGCAGTGAGCCAAGATCGAGCATTGCCAAGATCGAGCATTGCACTCCAGCCTGGGCAACAAGAGCAAAACTCCATCTCACAACAAAACAAAACACCCTTCAATCTTTGGAAAATTAAGACTTCAGGAATTCAGCGGTTGTGCTGCTGCAGAAACACTACAATGATTGCTTTAAGGAAAAGTTTGGAACATTCTTCCTCCTTTAAATGGTCAACATTTTGCCAGGGAGGGCAGGGAAAGCTTATCCAAACTGAGTAACATTTTTAAAGTTAAAATTTAACAATGTAAGAAGTCTTTCAAACCCTGTTTCCCCTCCCACGATGAGATGTTGTAGGGAGCTAATAGGTACACAGGCAAGCACAGTCAGGGTTGGGCAGTTCTAGCAGGTGTGGAGAAGACTCACAAGTCAAATGGATATAATGCAGGATAAAATATAACAATTTTTTTTTCTTTTTTCGAGATGGAGTCTTGCTCTGTCGCCCAGGCTGGAGTGCAGTGGCGTGATCTCAGCTCACTTCAACCTTCGCCTCCCGGGTTCAAGCAATTCTCCTGTCTCAGCCTCCTGTGCAGCTGGGATTACAGGTGCCCGCCACCAAGCTCGGCTAATTTTTGTATTCTTAGTAGAGACGGGGTTTCACCATGTTGGCCAGGCTGGTCTCAAACTCTTGACCTCTAGTGATCCACCCACCTCGGGCTCCCAAATTGCTAGGATTACAGGCGTTGAGCCACCGTGCCCAGCCAACAAAATGTTTAAGAGGCACAGTTATACCCCCAAAGAAAGAGAGAGATGTTTCCTAGGTGCTTAAACTAGTGTGAACTAGCCAGGCGCAGTGGCTCACACCTGCAATCCCAGCACTCTGGGAAGCTGGGACGGGTAGATCTCTTGAGCCCAGGAGTTTAAGACCTGCCTGGCCAACATGGTGAAACCCTGTCTCTACAAAAAATTCAAAACATTAGCCAAGCATGGTGGTGCATGCCTGTAGTCCCAGCTACTTGGGAGGCTGAGGTGAGAGGATGGCTTGAGCCCGGGAGGTCAAGGCTGCAGTGAGCCATGATAGCGCCACTGCACTCCAGCCTGAGTGACAGAGTGAGACCCTGTCTGAAAAAAAAACTTTTTAAAATAGTGTGAACTAAGAGGAAGAGCAAAAAGCAGCAGCTGAAGTGCCCACGGCCTTGGAGAATGTATGAGACTAAGTGTGGCCTCTAGGACTAGGGGTTTAACATTCACACCTGACTGGAAACTGGCCCCAGGGCTGCTAAAAGGCAGGGAGTTCAAACTAACTCAGTTATTGTTATTTTTCAATTGAAAATTACTATTGGATTCTCTCTCTTTTTTTTTTTTTTTTTTTTGAGACGGAGTCTCACTCTGTCGCCCAGGCTGGAGTGCAGTGGTGCAATCTTGGCTCACTGCAAGCTCCGCCTCCCAGGTTCACACCATTCTCCTGCCTCAGCCTCCCGAGTAGCTGGGACTACAGGCGCCTGCCACCACCCCCGGCTAATTTTTTGTATTTTAAGTAGAGACAGGGTTTCACCGTGTTAGCCAGGATGGTCTTGATCTCCTGACCTAGTGATCCGCCTGCCTCAGCCTCCCAAAGTGCTGGGATTACAGGCGTGAGCCACTGCACCCGGCCTGGATTCTCTTTCAAGTGGCCTGTTGTTATTCATGGTGTCCTGTTCTTTCCCTTAGAGTGCCAGAAACCTGAGAGGACTGCCTACTTTATGAAAAAGGGATCTCGGATTCCCTGATACAGGATCAGAGAAGCTTGTACTTTGCTTGAGACTCTGGGTAGGGATTGAGTGGGCCAAGCTGGGGAGAGTTCATGATCAGAAATAAAAACTCCAAGCCTGTGTCACACAGAGGCAAAACATGTGATTTATGCTTACAAATTAGTGCCAGAATCCTAAGCTAATAAAAGCTACGTAAAAACACACCAGTAACTGTGTTAGTTAGAAAAGTTATAAATATCTTCTCCCAGATTGTCAATTGTCTTTTAAATGTTTATATGGTCTTGCTGTACAGAAGTTTTAAATTCTAATGTGGCTCTGTCTTTTGCTTTATGGCTTGGGCTTTTTGTGTCTTAAAAAATCTTTCTCTACCTTAATATCCTAAAGACAATCTCCTACAATTTATTCTAAAACATTTAAAGTTTGTTGCTCATATTTAGATCTTGAATTTAAATGGAATTTATTTATTTATTTTAGAGACAAGCTCTCTCTCTGTCACGAGGCTGGCGTGCAGTGGTATGATCATAGCTCACTGCAGCCTCAGCCTCCTGTGCTCAAGCGATCCTCCTGCCTCAGCTTCCTGAGTAGCTGGGATTACAGGCACATGCCACCACACCCAAATAATTTTTTTGTTTAACTTTTTGGCAGAGACAAGGTCTCACTATTTTGCGCAGGCTGGTCTCAAACTCCTGGGCTCAAGCAATCCTCCCACATCGGCCTAAAGTGCAGAGATTACAGGCATGACCTACCATGCCCGGCCTTGGGATTTTATTTTTGATGTCGTTTTGGATATGGCTTGAGGCAGGGATCTAATTCTAGCTTTTCCACTTGGATAGCTAATTGCCCCAGATTTTTGTATTCAATAGTACTTTTTCCTATAGACCTATGATGCCGTGTTTCTCTTATACCATTTTCCTTTCATATATATGCCTATTCGTTATTCTTTTCTATTGGTTTACTTGTCCATTTATTTGCCAGTTTTACTATGTCTTTATAATAAATCTTACTATTTGGTAGTATAATTTCGCTCTTCTTATTGTAAGAATTTTGAAGAGTCTGAGAATTTATTCCATTTGCAAGCTAACAATTTAGCCTGTCATGGATATAATAAAAAGATATGGGACTGGTGAGTCAGAGGCAAATGATTTTATTGCTCAGAGTACAGCAGTTAGTATAAGCTTCATGTTCACCTCATTTACCCTTGCACCCAAGTCCTATGTGTGACATGGAAGGGCTAAGAGGATGCTATATGCATCACAGTGAAGAACTCAAGTTTAGGAAACCCCACACTTGCTAGCAAATCTGCCGATCCTTTATCCAAGAGGAAGACATTTCTTCATTATCCTGGACAACAAACAAATCTGCCATTGCCCTGGAGGAGAGACACTACTTCTACCTTCCCAAGCTGTTTTCTGTAAAAACATCATTGAAAAATAGTACAGAAACACACACACACACACAAATCTGTCAATGCCTCTGCTGAGAAGATGTGCAGAAATACAAGAGACCAATGGAGAACTGCCTTCTAACATTTATTCTTTTTCTGTATTATTTTGCCTGTTTTGGCCCTTTACTCTTCTTTAGGAATATATAGATCAATTTTTATAGTTGTTTGAAGTAGCACTATGTTGCTAAATATAAATTTATAATTTAAATTCACATATGTAAGTTATTTAAGTGTGTTCTTTACAACCACATGTAAATAGTATCTTATAATTAATAATTGTTATTGTAGGTGTATAAAGCAATTTTAACAGTTTTAAAAAGACCACAAAACAAAACAAAAAGTTTTAAAAAAGCAAACAAAACAATAACAGTGACAAGAGAAACAAACTAGAAAAACGCCTGGGACCTTGCAGAAGCAAACACAAAATTGCTTTGTAATATCATTCCTGCAATGTAGGGCACGAAAAGCTCTCACAAGTTAAACAAACAAATAAAAAAACTTGCCAAAGATTAAAAACAAGAACGCTCACAAACACTAGAAAATAACTGACTCTGAGGGGCAGTCAATACGCACACCAAACTGCAGAAATAACATTTCAAGAACTTTAGGTTATAGAACAAATTGAAAGAATAAAAGAAGTATTTAGAAATTATTCAAAAACTGAAAGCAAAAACAGGAACCCTAAGAATGGATTTCGGCACTAATAGAAAAGAAAAGGAAGATCTGAAAACAGAGTGAATAGAACTTTTAGGAGTTCGTAAAAAGTCACTGAAATTCAAAACTCCCAAGAAAAGTTAGCAGATTAGAAGGAGCTACAGAGGCTGGGTGCTGTGGCTCATGCCTGTAATCCCAGTACTTTGGGAGGTGGAGGCGGGAGGATCACTTGAGGTCAGGAGATTGAGACCATCTTGGCCAACATGGTGAAACCCTGTTTCTACTAAAATACAAAAAATTAGCTGGGCATGGTGGCGCACGCCTATAGTCCCAGCTACTTGGGTGGTGAGGCAGAGGAATCGCTTGAAACCAGGAGGCGGAGGTTGCAGTGAGCCGAGATTGCGCCACTGCACTCCAGCCAGGCAACAGAGCGAGATTCCATCTCAAAAAAAAAAAAAAAAAAGAGAGAGAGTAGTAAACTAGAAGACTGCTCCGATGGAGTTGCCAAGAAAGTAGCACAGAGACAAAGAAGTGGAAAATCATAAATATGTGCCTAATAAAACTGCAAAACACCGAAGACTAAAGTCTTAAAGGCAATCACAGTGATCAAAACATACAGCCTCACTTATGTGAAGTTCAAGATCAGGCAAAACTGATCTATCTGTTAGCTGTCAGAATAGTGGTTATTTCTGGTGATTAAGGGGAGGGTTCCAACTGGGAAGAGGCATAGGGTATCCTTTGAGATATTGAGATTGTTTTATGTCTTCCTGGTTACATGCTCTATAAGTATGTAAAAAGTCACTGAGCTGTACATGCAAGATTTTGTGCACTTTATTATATGTATATTATAGATCAATAAAGATACTTTTTAAAAAAGTAATCAGAACAAAAGAAAGACTACCTATAAAGGTATAACAGCTGGATTAGCAACCCACTTTGGTCAGAAACAAGAAAGTCCAGAATGTTATCCAATAGTAACTTCAAAATGCCATGGAAAATAAACATCAACTTAGGTCCTTTACCTAACAGAACTGTTATTAGGTGACTAAAGACATTTTCAGACCAAGATTAAAACAACGTCAACAGATTGGTGAATCTACATAAGCATTAACCTTCAAAAATTGTAATTATAGGCCAGGTGCAGTGGCTCATGCCTGTAGTCCCAGCACTTTGGGAGGCCAAGGCGGAAGGGTCCCTTGAGCCCAGGAATTTGAGACCAGCCTGAGCAACAAAATACAAAAATAAGCCAGACCTAATGGCGTGTGCACATAGTCCCAGCTACTTGGGAGGCTGAGGTGAGAGGATTGCTTGAGTTTCAGAGGTAGAGGCTGCAGTGAGCTGTGATCATGCCACTGCACTCCAGCCTGTGTGACAGAAGGAAACCCTGTCTCAAAATTTTTTTAATAATTTTAAAGGGTTTTTGGATTATCCTGCATGCAACATGTGCGTGTGCACACACATACACACCCACACACACTCAACAGAGAGAGAGAGAGCTGTGAAATGATGCATGGCAAGATTATTCACGGCAGCACTGTTTGAAACAGCATAAATTAGAACCAACCTCAATATTCATCAACAAGGGAACAGATTAAATAGATTATATTACACCCATATACTGGAATACCATTTAGCCATTAAAAACAACAAAATATATTTTTGAGTATGATATACAATAAATGTATTTCTATATGAGTTAGATTTTCTGCATTAACAACTGCAAAATCCCAGTGGGTTATAACAATGAATTTCTCATACACTCCATCTACACAGGAGGAGAAAGTGAGTCATTGCAAACATCAAACATGATTTCACAATTGCTAGGTTAAACAACTAGAGTGAAGAACAGTGTGTACAGTGTCCTACCACTTGGATAAAAGAAATCAAGCCAAAATAATTCATCATATAATTGTTTTACATATAAGATCTCTGGAAGAATACACATGAAACTGGCAAAGATGTCTGCCTTAGTGCATGGGAACTAGGTGGCTGCACTAGGGATACGCTGGACTTATTTCACTGTTTACCCTTTGCACTTTTTGAACTTTATGCCACTTGAATGTATTATCTAAGAAAAAATTAAATTTCCTGTATTTTTTGGGTGGAGGCTAGAGATAACAACTTTAGACTTGATCCAGCAAGTACAGATGTTAAGATTTTAAGAGTAATCACAGAAAGAATTGGAATTGAGTATACCACTAAAATGGCACAGGAAACAGGGGTAAAAATACTCTCTTGGGCATGTAAAATATATATATATTTAAAAGTCATTTGTGTTTTTCTTAAACTATCTTTGAATCTCATTAGACTCTTTTTCTATTAGGTTATTACTCTTTTTTTTTGGCATTGATATCTAGGGTCTCCTTTTACATTAGGGAGATAAGCCCTTTGTTTGTGACACAGTTGCAAATATTTTTTCCTAGTTTGTTGCAGAGGATTTTATTGAATGTAGGCGAATTTTTCAGTCTTTAAAAAAATAACTTGAGTCATAGTTAGAAAGCCTTTCCCTCTTTAAGATTATAAAAGAATTATCTAATATTGTCTTTCAATACTTCCTGTATGAGTCTCATTTTTTCTCCAGCAAACTTTTATGTAGGCAGGAACAATAATGAGTACAACTGCATGTCTTTTATGTGGCCTAATATCTCCTGTGTGTTTTCACCAGTAGAGAATCCATTTCTACTGATGATCTTAAATTTTTCCCTAATCACTGATTAGTGTCCTCTATAATCTAAGGCAACTGAAACAAAAATGGTTTTCACAATGATTTTGAAAAAATAATTTGATTTTATTCCCATTATAGAGGAAGAAATTAAAGTTTAGAGATGTTAGAAAACTTGTTCAGTATTACATAGAAAGTAGTGGTATTGGAATTGAAACTGAAACTCAGGCTGAAATCTTAACTCCTACAGGTTGTGATGGGCACAACCTAGAAATGATATTTCTTTGCAGCTTTATTGAGGTATAACTGACAAATTGTATAAATGTAAGATATATAATGTGATGAGTTTTATACAAATACATTGTGAAATGATTACCACAATCAAGTCAGTTAACACACACTGATCACTGTATCTAGTTACCATTTTGTGTGATAACATTTGAGAGCTACTCTGTTAGCAAATTTCAAGTATACAATACAGTATTGTTAACCATAGTTGCCATGTGCTACATTAGACCCCCAGAACTTGTTCATCTTATAAGTGAAAGTGTGTACCCTTTGAACAACATCTTCCCAATCCCTTCATGGCCCAGCTTCTGGTAACCACCGTTCTACGCTCTGCTTCTATGAGTTTGACTTTTTTTAGATTCCACATTTGAGATCACGCAGTATTTGACTTTCTGTGTCTGGCTTATTTCACTTAGGATAATGTCCTCCAGGTTCATCCATGTTGTCACAAATGGCAGGATTTCCTTCTTTTTTTGTTGTTCTTTTTTTTTGAGACGGAGTCTCGCTCTGTTGCCCAGGCTGGAGTGCAGTGGCGTGATCTCGGCTCACTGCAAGCTCCGCCTCCCGGGTTCACGCCATTCTCCTGCCTCAGCCTCCTGAGTAGCTGGGACTACAGGCACCTGCCACCACGCCCGGCTAATTTTTTATATTTTTAGTAGAGATGGGGTTTCACCGTGTTAGCCAGGATGGTCTCGATCTCCTGACCTCGTGATCCACCAGCCTTGGCCTCCCAAAGTGCTGGGATTACAGGCGTGAGCCACCGCGCCCGGCCGATTTCCTACTTTTTTTAAGGCTGAATAGTATATCACAGTATCTCTATCCATCATTCATCAGCGCTTAGGTTCTGCCTTGTCTTGGCTGCTGTGAATAATGCTACAGTGAACACGGAGTGCAGATATCTCTTTAAGATAGTAATTTCATTTTCTTCGAATATATACCCAGAAATGGAATTCCTGGATCATATGGTAATTCGATTTTTAATTTTTTGAGGAGCCTTCATACTGTTTTCCATAATGGCTGTGCCAATTTACATTCCCACCAACAGTGTACAAGGGTTCCCTTTTCTCCACACTCTCACCAACACTTGTTACCTCTTCTTGTCTTTTTGATAATAACCATCCTAACAGGTGTGAAATAATACCTCATTGTGGTTTTGAGTTTTGCTGATGGTTAGTGACACTGAGCACCTTGTCATATAGCTGTTGGTCATTTGTATGTATCTGGAGAAATGTCTATGCAATTATTTGACCATAAAAAAGAATGAAATTATGTTATTTGCAGCAACATGAATGGAACTGGAGGTCATGTTAAATGAAATAAGCCAGGCACAGAAAGACAAATATCACATGTATCTCACTCATATATGGTAGCTTAAAAAGTTGATCTCCGAGGTGAGGAGATTGATACCATCCTGGCTAACATGGTGAAACCCCGTCTCTACTAAAAATACAAAAAATTAACTGGGCATGGTGGCGGGCGCCTGTAATCCCAGCTACTCAGGAGGCTGAGGCAGGAGAATGGCGTGAACCCGGGAGGCGGAGCTTGCAGTGAGCCGAGATCGCGCCACTGCACTCCAGCCTGGGTGACAGAGCGAGACTCCGTCTCAAAAAAAAAAAAAAGTTGATCTCATAGAGGTAGAGAGTAGAATGAGAGACACCAGAAGCTGGAAAGCGTGGGGGCAGTGGAGGACCAAAAGAGGTTGGTTAACTTCACAAACATACAGTTAGATAGAGAGAATAAGTTCCAGTGTTTGATAGCAAAGTAGGGTGACTATAGTTAAAAACAATGTATTGTATATTTCAAAATAGTTAGAAAAGAAGAAATGTTCCCAACACATAGAAATGATCAATACTCTAGGTAACAGATACCCTAAATACCCTGACTTGATCATTACACATTGTATGCATGTTATAAAATATCACATATACCCCATAAATATGTACAAATATTATGTATCAATGAAAAATTTTAAAATTCCATTCATGAATTTTGCCTGTTTTAAAGTCTGACTCTTTTTCACTATTGAGTTATATGAGTTCCTTATATATTTTGGATTTTAACCCCTTATCAGATAAATGGTTTGCAAATATTAGAAACGATACTGATTATTCTTTTCTTTCACTTATTACTGTCAATATCAGGAAACGAGGCAGCAAAAAATATATCAGTTTTCTAAAACAGAGCTGCACACACTAAATGGGGAAATTATGAAACATAGTTTAGAAATCTAATTTGCTCGTTTGTCCAATGATATACTTAGCAATTTATAAATTGTTCTCACATGGATTATCTCATGCCATCCTACAACAAAAAGATATTTCAGTTGTTAAAATAGCATTTGTCCTCTAGGAAAATGGGAGGAAAGTGACATATATACAATGTTATTCATAGCAACATTGTATTAGCAAAAGATTGAAAACAAATGTCTATCTTTTAACTAAGGGACTGAAAAGTGTTTGCAGAACAGTGTGTACAGTATGCTCCGGCTTGTGAGCAAATGCATAATACTTCAACTTCTTCATCCTTTCAAGTTTTCTAAATTCAAGAAATGGTATATTCAATATTTTTTTTTATCACTGTGATAGTCAAGATTCTCCCAAATAAAAGGATAGTTGGCCACAAGTTCTGGGTCTCTTTAGTCTACAGGATTAATCCATTCAACTTGAAGTACACTTCACTAATATTTTACGTTTCCACTCATTATCTAGGCTCTGGCTTGTGCAGCTAACTGGAAATTCTCAAAGAAGCAGAAGCCTCAAATATTTCTGCTATTGATGAGAGAGATGAAATTATGACAGAGGCTGGGCACGGTGGCTCATGCCTGTAATCCCAGCACTTTGGAGGCTGAGAAGGGTGGGTCACCTGAGGTTAGGAGTTTGAGACCAGCCTGACCAAATCCCGTCTCTACTAAAAATACAAAAATTAGCCGGGTGTGGTGGTACATGCCTGTAATCCCAGCTAAGGCAGGAGAATTGCTTGAACCCAGGAGGCGGAGGTTGTGGTGAGCTGGAATCGAGCCATTGCACTCCAGCCTAAGTAACAAGAGGGAGATTTTGTCTCAAAAAAAAAAAGAGGGCCAGGTGCCGGTGCCTCACACCTGTAATCCCAGCACTTTGGGAGGCCAACGCGGGTGGATCACAAAGTCAAGAGATCGAGACCATCCTGGCCAACATGGTGAAACCCCATCACTGCTGAAAATACAAAAATTAGCTGGACATGGTGGCGGGCACCTGTAGTCCCAGCTACTCCGGAGGCTGAGGCAGGAGAATTGCTTGAACCTGGGAGGTGGAGGTAAGCTGAGATCGCGCCACTGCACTCCAGTCTGGTGACAGAGCAAGACCCCATCTCAAAAAAAAAAAGAAAAAAGAAGTTGATGATAGAACATAGATGATAGAGAATAACACGGACCAAACTGTGTAACATCACAGATGTCTTTTGGAATCTTTTTCTTTGTCTTACATTGTGGAATCGCTCCAGCCTGTTGCTTGCCACAGAAATGCAGACTCCAGGGCAAACTCCATGGCCATCACACAGTGCAGTGTCCTTTCACAGAAGATCCTAAATGCATACTTTCTGTTTGGACTAGTCATACAATATAGATCTCAAGCAAGTCCATCCTCAAAAGCAGCACAAACTCACCCTCAGTTAAATCTCCTGGTGTCTTATCAACAAAAGTAATGGTTCCCGTTCCAGGCAGCACACCAGAGTTACACACCATCTGAAGGAATATTGCCCTGTTTCCTCTGACCTGTGGTTGCATCCAACACACAGCTGATCCACTCAACCAAAGCCTTCATCAGATCTCTTTGTGGATTCTCACAACTTGCTCACATTTCTTCCTTTGTTTGCTGATCTCACCTGACACAGAAATGTATTTTGTCCTAGAACAAATAATCAGCGAAAAGAAATCTCTAAGAGCCTAAGGTGTGACAAATCACTTTCTTTGAACCATTGAAGCCCCACAGAGCTATATGAGAGCATTCAGTACTCGTTCATCAAGCTTGACGTAAATTACCAAGCCTGCCTCAAATAGCTCATCAGCCCTTTCTGCCTGCTTCTGAGGGAGACCTGCCTCCATCAGTCTGACAGTATTCTGTGTGAGTGACACAGGACACATCGATTCATGTTTCCTTTTTAACTGATTCCCATTGCCATTGACCTGATTGCCCTTTCATTATGTAGGGCAAAGCAGAAGAGGGCACATTGGCCATTGATAACTGATCCTTGGCACTTTGAAAACAACTAGATGGTAGGAGTGCCACCCTCCTCTGCTCCCATCAAGTATTTTTGCCAAAAAAAAAAAAACCAAAAATCAAACCTGAATCAGATCATGCTTCTTGATTTAGTTGTACTAGTTCACAGGAAATCCAGGGCACAATAGAAACATGTTAAACACATCATGAGGAGACAACCAGAAAATCCAAAATGCAGGAAACTCCGAAGGACAAATGATTTGGTAGTTTGGAATAAATTACAAGAAAAATTAAAGAGATGAAGAATGTTTAGACTGAAAGAGATTTCAGAGGCTGTCCATCAAATGCAATGAGTGGATGTTATTTGAATCCTGATTCAAGCGAAGTGTAAACAAAACGTATGAGACAAATGGGGAAATTTGTACACTGACTGAATAACTGATGATATTAAGGAATGGTCAACGTTTTTAGGAGTGACAATGGTAGTACGGTTGTGTTGATGCAGGATTTTTGCTTCTTCACTCAGCTACATCTGGGTTCTTGTCTCACCATCAGGAAGAATTAGGCACGCAGACATCGAAGAGTGAGTGGAGTAGAATGTATTAAGCAAAAGGAAAGCTCTCAGGAAAAAGAGGGGATGTGGGGGGTGGTTCTCCTATCTGAAGACAGGAAAGTTTCCCCCAATATAGCTGAGCCCAGGGCTTTCTTATGGGCCCAGAATACAGAGCGTGTGCTGATTGGTTTGTGAGTATGCAAAAAAGATCAAAGCGAAGACTCTACTCAAAGGTGGGCACAACAGTGTAGGGGAAAAAGTAGGTATATGTAAAATAGGTGAAAGATAGGGACCAATCAGAGGAAAGCACATCAAATGGGAAGGCGGGTTCTCAATCCATTCTGAGGATTTACCTGGGACAGTTTCCAGCTTGAAGGTTGGGTTTCACTGGGAACCTGCCCCTATCTGCCTAGGCATTTGCCTGCCTCTCGCCTCTATCAGTGTGTGTAAACAAGTCCCAATCTTTTATATATACTGAAATATTTACTGATATAAATACTGAAATACTTACAGATATGATGACAGGCCTGGGATTTGCTCCAGAATTGCCCAGTGGAAAGATGGGGAGCAAGGAATATACAGATGAAACTAGATTGGTCATGAATTGAGTTTCGCTAGAGCTGGGTGATGGCTACTTTGGTGTCCATTGTACTATTGATTGTATAAGTTTGACATTCTCCATAAAAAGGATAAGCAAGAATACATTCTCAGAAGAAAAAGACAAGTGAAAAATCACCAAAGGTCCTGGGCAGGTGTTTTGAAGTGTCAACGAACAGAGTAGATTGCAGGATAGGGAGGTGGGGAACTGAGTGGGAAAACCTAACTTGAGGCCAGACTACATTTAAAGCAATTTGAGGACTTCCGAGTGGGAAAGTCCAAGTAGGGAAATGGCGATATGAAGATGGAGCTTGGGAGAGACGTTTGTAGCTCTGCACTTAGGATAATGAAAGCCACAAACATAAAGAAGCGTTCAGGGGGCAGAGATACCGTTGCACCACAGGGAATGAACCAACTAGGAAAGGAAAAAAAAGAAAGCCTGTTGAGCTCATAAAGGAGATAATTAGCCCAAGCTCCTACCTACATTTTACTTTTGTTTTAGAAAACCAATAAACACCTCTCAGAAATGGAGCTCCATTTCACTCTTGCCACCTAGAGACTTTAAAAAACTCGGTGGCTCACGCCTGTAATCCTAGGACTTTAGGAGGCCGAGGCGGGTGGATCACGAGGTCAGGAGATCGAGACCATCCTGGCTAACATGGTGAAACCCCATCTCTACCAAAAATACAAAAATTAGCCGGGCGTGGTGGTGGGTGCCTGTAGTCCCAGTTACTTGGGAGGCTGAGGCAGGAGAATGGCGTGAACCTGGGAGGCGGAACTGGCAGCGAGCCGAGATGGTGCCACTGCACTCCAGCCTGGGCGACAGAGTGAGACTCCGTCTCAAAAAACAAAAACAAAAACAAAAAAACTGTCTTTTTCCAGTTAAGGTGAAATAGTTCAGAACAATGTATTTTAAGGAGATAATCAGGCTCTGTCATCTCTGTAACTTGCAACCCTAACTTCCCTTTGGAAGTTGTGCAATGCTATTTTGAAATGGTTTCAAAAGCTGTTTAGACCTGAAGCTGGCTCTTTGGTCTGTGTGCCCAACTTCATTCCGCACCGGGTTTGGGCCAAACACTAAAGTGGCCTTCACTGGACTCAAGCAGGAGGTGGCTGACAGCTCTGCTTCTCAACAAGAATCCACACAAGGGAGCCAGGTGGGAAAACACCAGATTCTCCAATACTGTTCTCCATCCTGATTACCTTGAGCATGAGCACCATGGTGTTGGAGGGCCTTGCCTCTCCAGTATTCTTTCTCCTCCAATTAATTTGAGTAGTCACTATGCTTTGTGTGCATGGAGAAGTCTATAGAAGAAGTGATGTTATTTTAAACTTTGATTGTTATCTGCCTAAGAGTGCACATCTTGCTTTCAATGGTTGAGTTACTCTACACAAATATGCTTGTAGCAAGAATGGAACAAACGGATAACCCAGGGGAATGACACGCAAATAGCCTCCCAGAGCCATGTGGTTTTAAACACAAAGGTTAGGAATTTGAACTTAGTAGTCTTAAAATAGACAAGCACAGAAGGGGACATGGCAGAACTGCTTGCCCATAGTTCAAATACTTGACTATTTCAATGCAGCATACTATATTAGAATTATCTGTGTACACGTGTATTTCTTTTGCTAGGCCATATTTTAGATCAGGACTGCATGTTTATTGCCAGAAAAATGCCTGGCTCCTCACAGGGTGTCCAACATGACCCAATCAATAAACACCTAAATGAATGCACAAATAGCTTTGAAGATACAGTCTTTTAGGATGCAGAAATCATAAATACGACTGAGATGCAGGCCATCCTTTCAAAAATCTCTTCAAAACAGGACACACATATTCATTCCATCACTTAAAGCATTTGTTTTTAAAACCACATGGGATTCCAATGTCACTGAAATAGCAATACTTTCTCTTACTAGCATCATGATTGAGGAAAATCAATGAGATATAAATGAGAAGTACTCCCAATGTTCCCCAATGGAAAGAGGAACAGCTGCTATTTCAGAGACCACAAAGAGGAAAAGTAAAAATAGTTATTTCCTCCTGCAAGTCTGTCTCCTACACTTAACTCGGGGCCTGTTCTTTCCAAGGCATTGAGAGAAAATGGGCTGCCCCTTCTACACTCAAATCAACAGGCTTCCTCAAATTAAGTTCAGCAATTAGAAGGCAGAGTGGGCTGCTGTGACAGCTCTCAGTCCCGATCACAGGCCAGTGACCACGGCTCACGCCCCTGCAAAGCATTTTCCCAGCATCTGCATGCCATGTGCTTCTGTCTTGCTTGTCCCCATTCATCCCCTTCAGGCTTCAAGGCAAAGCAAGATAGGAACACAAGCCTGCCTTCTTTCGTACAAAGTATTTTTCCCACCTGAGATGTTAGATCTTAAAAGAGGGTGACCTGGCCGGGCACAGTGGTTCACACCTGTAATCCTAGCACTTCGGGAGGCTGAGGTGGGCGGATCACCTGAGGTCAAGAGTTCGAGACCAGTCTGGGCAACATGGTAAAACCCTGCCTCTACCAAAAACCCAAACAATTAGCTGGGCATGGTGGTGCATGCCTATAGTTCAAGAGAATCGCTTAAATGCGGAAGGTGGAGGTTGCAGTGAGCCTAGATGTTGCCATTGCACTCCAGCCTGGGCTGCAAGACTCAAACTCCATCCAACAACAACAACAACAAAAAGAGGGTGACCTAAGAATTCTGCCAAAGAGAATTCCCAATGATTTATTATTACTATAATTGCCCTTTATGGATTTTCATATAATGTAGAGACCTGTAGGATGAAATGACCTCAAAGACCATTTAGTAAAATATCTTATTTTTTTGAGACAGGATCTCACTCTGTCACCCAGGCCGGAGTACAGTGGCGCATCATGGCTCACTGAGCCTTGACCTCCCAGGCTCAAGTGATCCTCCCACCTCAGCCTCCCAAATAGCTGGGACCACAGGAACACACCACCATACCCAGCTAATTTTTTGACTTTTTGTAGAGATGGGGTCTCACTATGTTGCCCAGGCTGTTATTGAACTCCTGGGTTCAAGTGATCCTCCCATCTCAGCCTCCCAAAAGGCTGGGATTACAGGTGTGAGCCACCATACCTAGCCAATATCTTCATTTTAAAAATGACAATATTATCACCCAAAGTCTACAGTTTACTTTAGGGTTCACTCTTGGTGTTGCACATTCTATGGGTTTGGACAAATGTATAATGACATGTATCCATCATTATGGTATCAGGGTATTTTTATTGCCCTAAAAATCCTCTGTGCTTTGCCTATTCATCCCTCCCTCCTAATCCCTGATCTTTTTCCTGTCTCCATAGTTTAAGTGATAATGATGTGTGTAGGTTAATCAATTATACCAAATGTATCACCCTGGTGGGGGTTGTTGACATAAAGGGAGGCAACGTATGTGTGGGGGCAGGTGGGGCTTATGGAATTTCTCTGTACACTCCTCTCAATTTTGTTTTGAAATTAAAACCGCCCTTTAAAAAGTCTTTTTAAAACATGACCAAAATTGAGACTCTGAGAGGTGACCAAGGTCACAGAGCTGGTTCACAGTAGGCCAAGATTAAAACCCAGTGGCCTTATTGTTGCCAGCTTTATGCAGCAGGTGGGCTACCCTACATTCCATAACAGGAAGAAGTTGAGAAATACCTAATGAACAGCCAGGATGAGCTATTTCTTAGAAATACGGGCGACAAATAGAGTTCGGGCGCATCCCCTCTAGGTCCAGTGAAATCATCCGCTCATGTGAGTGGTAGAGAGGTGGGATGCATTCTAAAGTTTCCATCTTGGCTTCTGTTTTCGTCATCTCCCCTTGCTTCCCCTACCCCCACTTGCTACAGCCTCCACATTTTTGTCCGTGCTGTGCTCTCTGCTTGGAAGGCTTTCTTTCCCATCTTCAGCTGCTCCTCATCCCTAAGGGTGAAGCATTTCATTCAGCACCTCATCTATGAGGCTTTCTTTGGGCAGCATGAATCCCTCCCTCAGATTTCTGAACGCTGAATACTTGTAAAAAACACTATGATAGAATTTGTAAGTATTGCTGTTACTTATTAGCCCTCCAATCAGACTGAGTTCCATCATAGCAGGATTGGGTCATAATCAACTTCGTATTTCCAGAAACAAACTCCATGAGAGGGTGAAGGGTATGTACTCAAAAAAAATGCAGACAGAACACAGATCTAACATTTCTTTTCTCCACAGTACAGTTTGACACTAGAAAACATTATAAAATAAACATAAATATGGCTTCTACAATAAAGCAGTTTGTAGAATATATCGAATATTATAGATTTAAGAGTTCTGGTAGGATATAAGCGACATATGACTAAAATAGAAAAATAGTTACAATACTATCACATAGTATTGTAATTTTTCATTGTTCTGAAACTGTTCATAACTATTTAGGTTGAGTGTAATCATAATGGCAATCATTTGCTTTAAAAATCAGAAATAATGTAAAATATATAAAGTATATAAAGAAAGTTTGATCCTAGCTCATGGGTGCCCAACTGGAGTTATTTTGGAAGGCTGTAAGACCACGAATTATGAGAAGATAGAAGGTA
This sequence comes from Homo sapiens, assembly GCF_000001405.40. Lineage (NCBI taxonomy): Eukaryota > Metazoa > Chordata > Mammalia > Primates > Hominidae > Homo > Homo sapiens. The sequence goes on along the minus strand of NC_000004.12, from coordinate 37,862,547 downwards.
CAGATTAAATAATAAATCTATTTGTTATTAGAAATTGGCTTATAGGAAATCTATCATAATAAAGTCTAGTTTTAGATTTCAGACCACACAAGAACAAGAGAAAAAAACGAGGGTCAAGTAAATAGTTCTTGCTCATAGGTCTTGCTGCCTCCAAACCAGGAATTACATTAAATTGTGCTAATACAAATGAACAAACAACCAAAAAACAGAAAAATATGCTACTTTCAAGTTTCAAGTAAACAATTGGTTTTTCAAGATTTAAAAAGATGAGTTTCAACACATTAAACAAAGACACTGAAGCTGTTTTTTCCTAGCACGTGTACGATGTACTAATATCCTATGTGCATTATTAGAACTAAAAAAAATTTAGTTCAAAAAAACTTATCTTTTTAAAGCATCTTTGCTCTACTTCATAGGTTTCTGCAAATTATATTTTCCCCAAACATGAACACAACATTTGATCTATTCATTTATTTTACTTTCTAAGGAATTGATAGAAATATAAATGTACATATACCTAAAAAGTGGCTATCCTACATATGACAGCCCAGAATTTACTAACTCCATAGGTTTTCTGGATATTTCAAGCACACATTAAAACAATTACAGAGAGGACATACATTTATGATTTATGCAAATTAAGGCACATCAATTACAATCTATTTTTTTAAGTTAGTCAGTTTAAAAATCTTCACTTACAAAAATTCAAAATATGTCCAAGCTCAACTTTTTAGTAGGAATGTTAGTTTGTTGGGTTTGGCCATTTTCTTTTTTCACCTTAAAGGTCAAACATGAAACAATGAGGAATGTAGGTCTTTGTAAAACACATAAATACCTGTGATGTTTTGAATCATTTGGCCCTTAAAAATATTGCTTAACAAGTTAAACCCAGCTTAATTGTAGGTAAATGCAAGTATACCCAAGGCTGGACTATTTTAGTCTGCTTTTGGCTGCAGATTGTACTTCTGTGGCTGGAAAAAATGTTCTTCAATAGCACTGACCAGTTCATTCAGTTCCTTCTTCAGCTGCTCAGGATCACTGGAAAATAAGGGGGAAAAAAATCCAGGTCAAGGGATTATTCCAAAGCACAGTTTAAATGCTCCCCCCATTGACCAAGTGACAATGAAAATATAACCTTAAGAAGAGGACTAAATAGGAAAAAAAAGAGAACTCCAGAGACTTAAGCATGGAACACATCTATTGACTTAGACAAAACACCCCATGAGACAATATGCATTATTTTTCCCAAAGATTTTTCCAATGTCTGAACTATAAACAAAGTTATCCTTTGCTCTTCTCATAAGACTTTGTAAGAAACACAATTTTTGGCCTAGCATCCCTAAAAGATCTGTAATATTTGTACCTAAGGGTGTAGAGAAAGCTTTCATGTCAGTTGCCATTAAATCCTGCTAAACTTTTATAAACAACATCTCTGTTAACTCCTCAGTCTCCCAGAATACAGACATTTGTGATGATGTCTGCCCTCAAACTACTGGCACCTAAGCTCCAGCCTTGTCTATAAAGCCTTCCTAGAATGAACAGCAATAGGGAGCCTCCGGGTGGGTTTGAGGAGTCAAACACCAAGAAATCAGATCCCTGTGGTCATATCATAATGAATCTATTTCTTGAACCAAAGATTCACAACTGAAGTATAAACAAGAATCTGGGGAGACAAATCCCTTTAAGAAAATCAAGTTTTCAGGGCTGTGGGCAACACTCATTTATATACAAACATTTGAAAGGTTAAGTAACAGATACAGCTGACTTGCAGTTAAAGAGGTTTCCAGCATCTTAAGTAGCCTAGTGTGAGTACTGTAAGTACTTAACACCAAAAAGCTAAATTTAAAAATCTAAATCCTTTGTACTTTCCATTACTTCATACTCTTCATACCATCTTTAATATATGCAGAGTTTATTTTAATGGAAATCCCTATAATTAGTTAAAATCATTTCAACATTGTAATAGCTAAACAGTACTGTAATAGCTAAAGCAATCCATTTCATTGTAGACATTAATTCTGGCTCTATACTTACTAGCTCTGTGCCCTTGGGCAAGTGGCTTGGCCTCTCTAAGGCCCAGATTCCTCATTTGTAAAATTGGGATAAAGACTTTATCTTCTCAAGAGAGTTTCTGTACAGATTGCGATAAATTATATAAAGCAATTAGCACTGAACCTGGCCCAAAGACCTCAATAAATGTAGCTATCATTATAATTATTTTTATCCCTACTGGCAACATATAAAGTAATTATGCTTTTTAAGTACATATGAATTATATCAGTTTTCTTTTCCTTCTCCATAAATGTGCTTTGAAGAAAATAACAGTTCTCAGGAAGGCATGTAAGCTAATCATTTTTTAAAGTATACTTAAAACTAAAACTTGGTGAATTTACTGATTACTAATTTATTATTCAAATTTATTTCTTAATCATGACATGAGTGAACATTACGATTCATGTATGCAGTGATATGTTTTTGATATTGCATTTTATGTGTGAAAAAGAAATCAGTACCACCGTGTAAGGTTTAGTGGTACAATTCTTAAAACAAAAATTTTGTGTTACTATTCTCCATCCTAATCGATAACTGTTCCATTTGTTAAATTAATGCTTGAGAATATTTCATAACATCTTTAAAAATAACAGGACACATCCTATAATCATTTAAGCCAGGGTTAGGAATTCCTGTTTCTGAAAAGAATCTAGATGGATCTCTTTATCAGAATGTTTAGGAAAGTATCATTTTTCTCTAATCATCATGAAAAAACATTTAAGCTAAACGACAAGTAAATACAATGCAGTGTTCTTGATTTGATTATAAATTGGGGAGAAAACAGCTATTTTGGGGACTTTTGGGGATTTAGGTGTCAATTTGGCTAGGATAGTGTCTCCAGTTATTCAAACACTAATGTTGTGATGCTGTGAAGGTATCCTGTAGGTGTGATTAATATCTATCATCAGTTGATTTTAAGTAAAGGAGATTATCCTAGACAATGTGGATGGGCTAGATTCTATCTGAAAGGCATCAGGAATGGAACTGAGGTTTTCCTGAAGAATTCCACCTGTAGACTGTAACTTTAACCCATGCCCAAGAATTCCAGGCTCCCTTTCTGGACAGCCTGCCCTGCAGATTTCAGACTTGCCGAGCTGGCCCCTACAATCAATTGCACAGGTTGATTCCTTGCAAACAATCTCTTAATAGGTACATTCTACTGCTTCTGTTGGTCCACTGGAAACCTGCCTAGTACCATTATTATCTATTTGCCTTAATATTAAGAGAGTGTTCTTAAGAGATGCATACTGAAATATCAGGAGTGAAGCATCATGAAGTCTTATGATGTGTCATGAAGTATCACAGAGTGTTTCAAATGGTACAGAAAAATCTCAAATACATAACATATATGGTGAGAGAGCAAATATTGCAAAATGTTAGCAATTGCTCAGTCTGGATTGGGGTCAACAAACTGTGGTTCATGTAGTTTTACTGGAACACAGCCCTGCCCATTCCTTTATACATATGGCTGCTTTCTTACTACATTAGCAGAGCTGAGTAGTGGTGACAGAAATCACATGTCTGCAAATCCTAAAATATTTACTATCTGGCTCTTTACATACAAAGTTTGGTCTAAGTGAAGGGTGTGTGGGTATTCACTGCATTCTTATTCCAACATTTCTGTAGGTTTGAAACTGTTCAAAATAAAAAAGTTGGACAAAACTAAGGACATCTCCCCTGACAAAAATATATTTTTAAAGCAGCACATACTTGAAAAGGATTTTCCATTTTAGTTGATTAGAAGGCCATGAAATTCTATGAATAATTGAAATTTATGACATAAAGCATATTAATAATATTTAAGCTTTTCAGGAAAGAAGGAAATCTTAGTGAAGACATTATTGCTAGCCTGGTGCAGTGGCTCACGCCTGTAATCCCAACACTTTGGGAGGCTGAGGCTGGCAGATCACTTGAGGCCAGGAGTTCGAGCCCAGCCTGACCGACATGATGAAACCTTGTCTCTACTAAAAAAAAAAAAAAAACACCAAAAAATTAGCTGGGTGTGGTGGTGCATATCTGTAATCTCAGCTACTCAGGAGGCTGAGGCACAAGAATCGCTTGAACCCAGGAGGCAGAGGTTGCAGTGAGCTAAGATTCCACCATTGCACTCCAGCCTGGGCAACAGAGAGAGATGTCTTAAAAAAAAAACAAAAAACAAAACAAAAAAAACTTTATTGCTGTTGTACGTTAGGTATGCTGGTGCCTTGCTTAAGCCGTGACCACATATCCATCTACTGACATAGCGCTTAATGTCCCATTTAATAAATGGAAGCAATGTTTCAATGCATATAATAAAAGGACAAATTTTCAAGGTTTTTTTCACTAATTTATAAGCTAATATTTGAATTTAAGTCCACTCAATAAGCCATGTGAAAAATGTTAATACCATAAAGCCTTAAACATTTAAATAGTGTTATCATTACAAAGGAAAGCTTTCCGAAGTATAAGATATATTTTCATCAGATAATGAAAAGGAAAGGACAAGATACAGAAAAAACAGATCCTTAAGTTGGACTGTTTAGTTGGACTGTCCATTTCTTTTTAAAAGAATGAAACATAGAAATAAGAAAACACTAAATAAGCAAGAATTATAAAGAAATGTTTACAAAAAACTATATGCAATATAGCAGCAAAGAGCTTACTATCTAATGCACACGAAAACAAGATTCTTGCATAATATTACAATAAAATATTGGTAATCCAGAATTCTTAGAAAATGAGCTTTTATATGTTCACTTAATAGTTGAGTTTTTGCACTTTAAGCACAAAAAGGTTTTGAATGGGAATCCATAGTGAAAATATATTACATAGTCCCATGACTTCTTAAATATCTCTTTATTGAACATCTTGACATTTGAGAGCCATAAGCATGACTGTGTTGGAGTGGAGCTGTATTCTGGGCTCACTTGGGTGTAGAATGCTATTTCCCTCATGATAAACTCATGGAGTGGTGAGCTTTCTAAGTCCTTGTGTCCACGTTTTATAGTTTTGTTTTGTTTTAATATTTCCTTTCTTGCTATCAGCAGTCACTTCTCCTTGCCTAAGAAAAGTTTGTTATACTTCCCCATTCCTCTAATTTGCTACATTTAATCTGCTACTAGCTTGGCAATTTAAGATGCTCAGGAATTTTCATCTGCTTTTATTTGCACAAGTTTGATTCACGAGGCTGGAAAAACTCTTCTATGAGCAAAGCTTTGGTTTGTCTATGTTGTCACAATTACCTAGATGGGTGCTGTTTACTACAGCGGCCATTAGACACATGTGGCTACTAAGAACTTGAAATGTGGCAAGCGCCACTGAGAAACTAAATTTTTAATTTTATGAAGTTCAGTTAATTGAGTTCAAGTTTTAAAACTGATACTTGATTCAGTTATTAGAAAACAAGTATGTTTGGAATAATCTGGGTATTAAAATCTACTTTGTCTAATCTAAATTTTATTAACTCTACAGATCAAGTATTTCTGATAAAAATGGAGCATTCAAATTGAGATATGCCGTAAGTGTAAAATTACTGAATCAATTTTGAGGACTTTTTTCCAGAGGAAAAAAAAAGAATGTAAAACATCTCATTAATAATATTTATACTGATTATATGTTGTAATAATTTTTGGATATACTAGGTTAAGTAAAATACATTATTGAAATTAATTTCACCTGTTTCTTTTTACGCTTTTAAAAGGTGACAAGTAGAAAATCAAAATTGCATCTGTGGATTGCATTTTAGTTCTGTCAGACAGCACTGACTTAATTCACCTTTCACAAAAACTTTTCCTGATTTTCAACTGTATTCTGAATAGGGAAATGCTGGTTAACGGCATGTTGGATAGGCATGCAGTATCACACTTACACACACTAAGGACAGCACTGAGCTTGTTAAGGTGCAAAATGTTAAGTTGTTACAGAGTGACCAACTCAAACACTTTTTTGAGGTCACAGAAACTTGAACCTGAAGCTACCAGCCCATCAGTTCTTTGGCAGCAAGGACTCTCTCTGATGAGGCTCTCTGTGCCCCCTCCAGAACCCAGCACAGACCTGTCTACAATGGGTACTCAAAGATATTTCTTGAATGCATGTGGAATGGATTATAATTTATTTATTTATTTATTTTTTTGAGATGGAGTCTCGCTCTGTCGCCCAGGCTGGAGTGCAGTGGCGCAGTCTCGGCTCACTGCAAGCTCCGCCTACCAGGTTCACACCATTCTCCTGCCTCAGCCTCCCGAGTAGCTGGGACTACAGGCGCCCGCCACCACGCCCGGCTAATTTTTTGTGTTTTTAGTAGAGACGGGGTTTCACCGTGTTAGCCAGGATGGTCTCAATCTCCTGACCTCGTGATCCGCCTGCCTCGGCCTCCCAAAGTGCTGGGATTACAGGTGTAAGCCACCGCACCCGGCCCGGATTATAATTTATTTTATCAGAGACATGGGAAGACTGAAGTTTGAGAAAAAGAGAAAATCTCATTGGTGTTAGCTACCAATGAAAAGTGTTTAGAAAAAGGCACTTTTACTACTATACTGAAATAAGGATAAAATTTTCCCATACAAAGAAATTTAGGACAAAAGTAAGAAAGTAAAAAGTAAGCTTTTCCCTGGATGCTGAGACTGACTGTTAATACCAAAATATTAGTGCAGGTTCTGAAACAGCATTTCTAATTAAATTACCTATTAGAAAGATGGAACATTTCACTTGGCATTTGAATAGAACCAGTTAGGAAGTCTGGGGAGTAAAAATCACACCAGCTGCCATCCACATCATACCTGTTCCCAGGTGGGGCACACAGCTCTGCATAGTACTTGATTTTGGGCTCTGTCCCACTGGTGCGCATGGTGGCCACGCCTCCATTAGCAAAGGTGAAGGTGATCATTTGGCTGCTTTTACTAGTGGGAAGAACCTAGGAATTAATGCACACATTATAAATTTAAATAGTAACATTCTGGCCTAACCAATATCTTCTCTTGCATAAGTAAGAAAATAAATGCCAAACAAATCTATTGGTTAGAAAAGAAAAACATTCTGGAGGAAATCAGAAAATGTACTCCACATGAATGAAATACTAAACGATAGTAATTTATGAATATGTGGTCTACTATATGGAATACTATTCAGCCTTAAAAGAGAAGGAAATCCTGTCATTTGCAACAATATGGAAGAACCTGGAAGACATTATGTTGAGTGAAATAAGCCAGGCATAGAAAGACAAATACCGCATGATCTCACCTACATGTGGAATCCGAAAAGGTTGAACTCACAGAGGCAGAGAGCAGAATAGTGGTTACCAGGGGCTGACTGGGGAAGGGTGGGGATAAGGGAGGGGAGTTTGGGGAGATGCTTGTCAAAGGGCCTAAAGTTTCAGCTAGACAGAAGAGAAGTTCAAGAGATCTATTGTACAATACGGTGACTATAGTTAATAATGATGCATTGTATACTTGAAAATTGCTAAGAGAGTAGATTTTAAGTGTTCTCACTACAAATACATGATCAATATGTGAGGTAACACATTCTAATTAACTTGATTTTAGCTATCACAATGTATACATTTTAAAACATCGGATTGTACATCATAAATGTATACAATTTTTATTTGTGAATTAACATAACTAAATTAATTTTAAATAAAGAAAATTAAGTAACTTTGTGTATTAGCTTTTACTTCCCTAGTTCTATTGAAGTTATTAAAGTTTTATTTAAACACATCATTTCACAAGATATTGACTTAAACAGATTAATACACCACAAAAAAAAACCTCAAACTAGATTATATTTACTGTTATAAAGTGAATCTTTGCAAAGAAAATTCCATAAGGAGTTTTTTTTGTTTTTTTTTTTTAAATAAAGCTTCCAGGCTGGGCGCGGTGGCTCATGCCTGTAATACCAGCACTTTGCACTTTGGGAGGCCGAGGAGGGCGGATCACATGAGGCCAGGAGTTGGAGACAAGCCTGGCCAACATGGCAAAACCCCGTCTCTACTAAAAATACAAAAATTAGCCAGGCATGGTGGCGGGTGCCTGTAATCTCAGCTACTCAGGAAGCTGATGCAGGAGAGTCACTTGAACCCGGGAGGTGGAGGTTGCAGTGAGCCGAGATTGCGCCACTGCACTCCAGCCTGGGTAACAGAGTGAAACTATGCCTCCAAAAAAGAAAAGAAAAAGAGAAAAAAAAGGAAGCTTCTGTAAGAAAAAATAAATGCCATATAAATTTACTGGTTAGAAAAGAAAAATGGTCTTGAGGAAATGGTATATTTATATTTGATAGGTCCCAAAACTCCATTAAAATAGAGGTACTTTGAATAGCATAAACACACGGGCAAAGAGACAAAGAGGAGGTAGCAGCTGATGGGGCTGCCAACCGATCGCACAAGTCAGAAAACAGATGGAGGCACAGAACTGGTCTGGTGGGACCCAGAGAATGAAATCTGAGTGCCTGCGGAAGGAGACATGGATGAGAACTGAGGCAAGGTGCTCTGCAAAATCCTGGCCAAGCTCAAGAACCAGAGGCACCAGGTACTGCAAAAGGCAGATGTGAGGCAGGGGTGGAAAGCAGGAACAGGGTTTGAAAGAAGTTCTTAGACCATCCCGGTTCCTTGCCCTGAGCCCACACCGTCACAGAACCACCTCTTCTCCATTTCTGCAGGAGATGGTTTAAATTCTCTGGAGATTAAATCAGAAACATTCAGGAGTTGGGGAACCTGGGCAGGGCATGATGAAAACAGAGGGATCAAGTAGAAGTCCTCAGGCTGACACCCCCAGCTCCGCCCCAGTCATGCCTCCAGGGCCTTGGCATCTCATCTTATCATCCTTGGGTAGGTGATTAAGGTCTCATTAAATCAGGGGGATCCCCTTATAAAGTTAACTTGCTACCAATATCCTCTGAGTGAAGTATGTCATTTGATCTGCATATGTACACAGAGCTTCCAATCAGTTCTTAGGTGCCCAAAGGAAAATTAAGGATCATCAGACTTTTGGGGAAAGACATCATGTAAAAGACAAAGTCCAAAACAAACAGAATAAAAAGAACTTGGTGGAAATAAAGAGAATGTAGCAGAAAAAGAAGACATATATTTTTAAAAAACTATAATTAGGTCTATAATCCTTAGAGAGGTAAGATATTGTTTACATTAAAAAAAAAAAAAAAAAAAAAAAGGAATATCACCCTGGGCAACACAGCAAGATCCTGTCTCTACTAAACTAAAAAACCTTAGCTGGGCATGGCGGCACACACCTGTAGTCCCAGCTACTCAGGAGGCTGAAGCAGGAGGATTGCTTGAGCCCAGGAGATCAAGGCTGCAGTGAGCTATGATCATGTCACTGCACTCCAGCTTGGGTGAAAGAGCAAGACACTGTTTCAACAGGACACTATTTTTAATAAATTAGTTATAACTGAAACAGCCAACAGAGGCACTGAAAGCTAAAGCTAAGGAAATCTCCCAGAAAAACAGAAGAAGAAAGAAAGAAACAAGAAAAGTAGAACATCAGTCTTGGAAAGCCAGCATCTAAGAGCTCTTCAAGAAACAAAGAACTGAAAATGCAGGGGAGGTGATTATTTTAAAAAATAACCAATTAGCTCCCTTTCCTGATACATAATCAAGAAAACTTCTCAGAACTAAAATAAATGATTCTACAGACCAAGTATCCAGAAACATGAATAAAAAGGGACCCATACTATAGCATATCACTGTGAAATTTTAGAACCTGAAGTTTAGAGAAAAGTTCCTAAAATCTTCCCAGAGGAAAAAAACAAACAAAACAAGTTGCATGGAAAGGACTGAATAAGTATGGCATCAATAACCTTACATACAGCATACAGTAGGCCTTAACTATCTGCTGAAAAAGGAAGGATTGGAGGCTCAATAGCAATGCTGGAAGCCCAACAATAATGGAGCAATGCTTTCAAAACTGTGAGTCAGTGAAGTGTGAGGACAGAATAAGACATTTTCGGACTTAAATGCCACCAAAAACTTACCACCCAATTACTTGTTCTCAGAAAGCTATTAGAGGATGTGATCTAGGAAAATAAATATAGAAAGAGGAAGCCATGAGGTCTAGGAGCAAGGGACTCAATCCTGGAGAAGGGCATTCCCAGGATGACAGCTGTGCACCCAACCAGGAGGGCGGCCATTGGACATGGACCAGGAAAACCCTACTGAGAGGCATTTGAAGGATTTGGGAAAAACTGCTGACAGGACATAGAAATCCAGGCAAATGGAAGAACAAAGCAACTATTACTACATGAATTAAGGCAGGCGCAGTAGCTTACGCCTGTAATCCCAGTACTTTGGGAGGCTAAGGCAGGAGGATCACTTGAGACCTGCCTGGGAAACCTAGGGAGAGACTCGTCCCTCCAAAAAAAAAAAAAAAAAAAAAAAAAAGAGCTGGGCATGATGGCATACCCTTGGTCCTAGCTACTCAGGAGGGTGAGGTGGGAGGATCACTTGAACCTGGGAGGTCAAAGCTACAGGGAGCTGTGATCATGCCATTCACTCCAGCCTAAGTGACTAAGTCACACAGCAAGACCCTGTCTCCAAAAAAAAAGAAAACAAACAAACAAAAGGTACAGGAAATACAATTCTCTATACAAATTAGGGAAACCTAATCAAAATACACTACTTAGCTAGCAGGCAACAGCAGTTACTAGTCATAATAACAAAAGCACGGAATCTGATTTAACCAAAAGCTGTGGCATAAACGTACTGTGAGGATGGGGAGAAGAGAATTATTGAATGTAGAAAGCGTAAGAACTAAATCTTTATCTCAAAAATAGAAAGTCAACAAATTGTAAAACTGGTATATCAAAACATCACTATATGAGCACATGATTTACAAATCTAGTCTTGGTGACATGGCAATGAGGTGGCAGGGGTGGGACTGCCACGTTTCATCGTAAGCGTTTTCATACTATTTCTATTTTAAAAATATGCTGTGTGCAGATGAAAATGAAAAATAGAACAAAGAAAATATCAAAGAACGTGCCTAACATCTCATAAGGATATTCTTAACTTTCCTCCCCCAACCCCAACATAGAAAGCAACACTCTTCTGCTACCTTTGTGTCTTCTTTTGTCTCCAGTGAAAGATCTGCTTGGTGTAAAGAATGCAAACTCAGGCTTTACAGCCAACAGCTCCAATACACTCAGAGAACAGAGTACACTAACTAGAAAACAAACAGTGGTTCTCAAAGTGAGGACCAGTTGCATCAGTACCACCTGGGACCTTGTTAGAAATGAACATTTTTGGCTCCTACCCCAGACCTACTGAATCGGAAAGTCCAGGTGTGGGCTCCAGCACTCTGTTTCCCCAGCCTTCTTGGTTACTGATGCTCCTGCAAGTGTGAGAACTCCTGACAGGGAGAGAATGCTGGATCCTGAGATAGAAAACCCAGATTCTCCCTGGACCACCACCAACTAAGCTCTGTGTCCACAGACAGGTTCCACACTTCTGATCACTTATTGCCTAAGGTGCGAAATGACCACACAGGCTTTGATGACTAGTTCCTCTTTTTTTTTTTTTTTTTTTGAGATGAAGTCTTGCTCTGTCACCCAGGCTAGAGTGTAGTGGTGCAATCTCAGCTCACTGCAACTTCTGCCTCCTGGGTTCAAGCAGTTCTCCTGCTTCACGCTCCTGAGTAGCTGGGATTATAGGTATGAGCCACCACACCTGGCTAATTTTTGTATTTTTAGTAGAGATGGGGTTTCACCATGTTGGCCAGGCTGGTCTTGAACTCCTGACCTCAAGTGATCCACCTGCCTCGGCCTCCCAAAGTGCTGGGATTACAGGTGTGAGCCACCGCTCCCAGCCTAGTAGAGTCTCTTTCAGTTCTAGCCTGCGGTTTTTAACTTACCACGCCCAGCTAATTTTTGTATTTTTTAATAGAGACCGGGTTTTGCCGTGTTGGCCAGGCTGGTCTCGAACTCCTGATCTCAAGTGATTTGCCCACCTCAACCTCCCAAAGTGCTGGAATTATAGGCATGAGCCACCACATCCGGCTTCCATATATTTTTTATAGCTTATTTATAATCACGCCTAAGTGCCTAAAATCAGCTTCAATTAATTGTATGGTTAAATAATTTATTCAAATTATTTTAAAAGGTAAATAGAAAAGAGGTTAGTTGAAAAGAGAAGACATTACTTACAGCTTTTTTATCAGGTTGGCTATCATCATAGCCAGTTGTAAGGTCCCTAATGGCAGAAATTTCAAATTTGCCACAAGCTTTTGGATAATTATTTTTTCCATCGTAGTTTCTGAGGTTTTCAAATAATTTCTTAATGGTTTCTTGATCATGGCAGATAAAATAGGAAGCTTTAGTAATATGGTAGCCATACCTATCAAACAAATACAAATTCATGCACATGAGGAACAAATAATTTTGTAGGGTGGACACAGAACATGTACCAACCAGTGTATTCTAAAATAAATATGGCTGGGTGTGGTGGGTCACGCCTGTAATCCCAGCACTTTGTGAGGCCGAGGCGGGCAGATCACCTGAGGTCAGGAGTATGAGACCAACCTGGCCAACATTGAGAAACCTCGTCTTTACTAAAAATACAAAAATTAGCCGGGTATGGTGACAGGCACCTGTAGTCCCAGCTACTCCAGAGGGCTGCAGCAGGAGAATCGCTTGAACCCAGGAGGTGGAGGATTCAGTGAGCCAAGATTGTGCCATTGCACTCTAGCCTGGGCAACGAGAGACTCCATCTCAAAAAATAAAATAAAATAAAATAAATAATAAAATAAATGTAACAGCCAAAACTGACGCCAAAGGAATAATTTTTAAAAGACCATTAAAACAGAGGTCTAGGCCAGGCACAGTGGCTCACGCCTGTAATCCCAGCACTTTGGGAGGCCAAGGTGGGTGGATCACCTGAGGTTAGGCGTTTGAGACCAGCCTGGCCAATATGGTGAAACCCCTAACTCTACTAAAAGTACAAAAATCAGCCAGGTGTGGGGACACCTATAATCCCAGTTACCCGGGAGGCTGAGGTAGGAGAATTGCTTGAACCCAGGAGGCAGAGGTTGCAGTAAGCCGAGATCACACCACTGCACTCCAGCCTGGTGACAGAGCAAGACCCCGTCTCAAAAAAAAAAAAAAAAAAAAAAAAAAGAGGTCCAACAATCTACCCCAGGGATCACCAAATGACTGCCTGGTCTTCCGCCTGCATTTGCACAGAGAGCCAGGTCACACGCATTTCTGTATTCTCTTTGGATGCTTACGCACTACACTGGCAAGGCAGAGTTGAGTAAGTGCTACAAAAAAATGAATAGATGTATTATGAAGACATTCAATCTTTTTTGATACTGGACACTTAAAATCACATTCTTTCATGTTGTCATTTGTTAAGAATTAATGCGATCGGGAATAGTAATTACTAACTTGTTACATATCAAAAGGAAAAGGTGATCTCTTTAGTTTTTTTAAATTTTTTTTTTTTTTTTTTGAGACAGAGTTTAGCTCTTGTCACCCAGGCTGGAGTGCAATGGCGCGATCTCGGCTCACTGCAACCTCTGCCTCCCAGGTTCAAGCAATTCTCCTGCCTCAGCCTCCTGAGTAGCTGGGATTACAGGTGCCCACCACCATAACCAGCTAATTTTTGTATGTTTAGTGGAGACGGGGTTTCACCATGTTGGACAGGCTGGTCTCGAACTCCTGACCTCAGGTGATCCACCCGCCTCAGCCTCCCAAAGTGCTGGGATTACAGGCATGAGCCACTGTGCCCAGCCTTATTTAATTTTTATAAGAAATAGAATTCATCACCAAAATAAGAGCATTAGAAAGGATATTAGTATCTCATGCATAAGTATATAATAGAACATTTCAAAATATTATTTCAATCCAACAGAGTCAATAACAACTTACTCCACATAAATGGCCTTTAGTTGCTGAGACAAAGACAAATTCTTGGTTGCTAGGAAGCTAGCCAACTCTGCACTTATGACAGCGGCACTGACTCCATCTTTGTCCAGAACAAAAGGGCAGCACATGTATCCTGCAGAAACACACGTCATACATACATCTATACAATACTGTGTCAAACCACATATGAGTATGAATCCTGGCTATTGCATATTAGAGGTTGTACAGTGTTGCGTGTATGCACATTTCTCATTAATACCTTATGTTTAGGAATTTAGCCCAGTGCCTAGCCCATAGCAGGCCTTCAAGAAGTATTTGCTGAAGAACCTGCAAGATTTTCCCTCCTGGCCACATGGTGCTCAATCACTAGAGTCATGAAACTCCTTCCAGCTCATGAAATTGTTTCTAATTGTCCTAGTCAATACATATCTCTTTCTTCTCTGAATCCCAATAGTATTTGTTAGTTACATTATTCATTTTGACATCTGGCCTCTACTCTTGTGTGTGATTACTTAACTAAATCTATCTAAGCTGCTGTAGGCTAAGGTCAGTGCCATCCATTTCTTTTAGAGTCACTGAGTAATAGACATGCAATTAATACTTGATAAATGAAAGAAAATCTTTCTTAAAATAAAAAGCTACGGAAAGACAAGTCTGCCAAATCTGACAATAAAAGAGCAGAACCTGAGCGATTATGCTTTGATTAGTTAAATCATGTGTTAGTGTTGCAGAGAATATACAAATGAATATAAATAAATCTAATGCATAATAGTTTTTACTAAATTAATAGCTAAAAGCGTTTGGTACAATGTGAGTTTCAAATTTCTATAGCTAGTTCTCCTTTCTGTTCATTTATATTGACAGTTTAGGACAAGGGTTTTTCTGTCATTCTGGCTGGACCTGGGTCATCCTTTTGGGTGAGTATCATTCTGATGACAGCAGCAAACCATGCCTTCCTTCTCCTTTCCTCTGGCTAGACCGTAGCATAGATCCTCATTAGCACTTTTGGAGGAGGAGGGACATTAAATACCACAGTGTTTAGGCCTGGATATTAACCACCACAGTGGAGGAAACATCACAACTCCCAAAATACATGTACCGGCAGCCAAGCATACAATGTCACTGTTTTGAGTCATCCAGGCAAAGGATTCTGACATGAATGACTTAGTTGTTTTTAAGACATTCCTTTTGGCTGTAAATCATCTGAGATGTCAATTTTGGAGTAGGACAGTTCGACATTCAACCTGAGTGCTGGAGAGGCAAAATAAACCGTGTTTCACTGTGGATCTTTGAATCCCAATCCAAACCTTTTCCTTTTGCCTTGCAGCCAATTCCTTAATGTTCATGATCACTTCTTACCAATAGCTTCTTCAAATGCAAATAAAACAGTTTTCCCCTGGTCTATTAGCTGTTTGGCTCTGTTTCCCATCCACTTAAAGCCAGTTAATGTTTCCTAAAGGGATAATCCAAAAGAGAAAGACATGCCTTAGATCTTCTACAGAGCAGATGAAAGGAAAATGAGTGAGTCCCAGAAACACCCTACCTCAAAATGAAAACCTTCCTTTAAGGCAATGGCCCGCAAGATTTTGGAGGAGACGGTGCTGGACAACATGTACGTGTCTTTGAGAGCACTGCGATCCTGGTTCTTCTCTTTCCAAGATGTAAAAAGCCACCAGCCCAGGAGGGCCCCCAACTCATTGCCTGAAAACACCCTCCATTCACCACTGAAAGAAAAAAAAAACAACAACCACCATTCATTTCCATAATCTTAAGGAAGACTCTAAAGTGTCATGGGGATAAAACAATTTAGCAAACAAAGCATCTAAGTATTTTCTGCAAGGCTGTTCTTGTTATTCATCATCTTTAAATAACTGGTCAGAAATGTAACTGCCATTTTACAAACATCTGAGCAGCTACCATATATATCAGCCAGTTTGCCTGAACAGACATCCTGTCTTTGAAGACTGTATAAAATAAGTATGTCACACATGACACACAATGGCTCTATATTAATCTTTGGCAAAGCCTTTGGTTTTAAATATAACAAATATGCTGGCAAGATCCCCCATATATAGAGTAAGTTTTGCTATCTCAATTTCTGGACTGGTCAGTATTGCTGATTCTGAGAGGGGACAGCTCAGTACCCCTTAAGATCAAGCTCAGTCCTAAATGGTCAGAACATCAGAGAAAAGATGTGTAATTTCTGCTTCTCTTGGCAGTCCAGATGGCTAGAAGTAAATCTCACCTATCAGGACGTATCATCTTAGCTTAACTTTCTCAACACTGATATAGAATGGAACCTGTTTTATCACAATCTGAAAACCCTACCATTTCAGCAGCAGCACCCTCCTGCCCCCAAAACATCACATAGGCTACCTGACGCCCAAAATTGCTTGGGCCCTGCCTACCTTTCAACTTTAGCCCCACGTACTTACTTCTCCTTTGTACAAACTCTCTGGTCAGACTTGTCTTAAACACTGTGCCGATACCCCACAGGAATTCCTCCCTGGTCTGTCCAAACTAAATTCAGCATCTCCTTGAAGGTACTGCTCCCTCCTAAACCCCTCAGCAAATACTGAAGCATACAGCTAGCACCAAAGTGCTTTACCCTCATTAGACACTGAGACATTACTTATAAAAAGATCAATTACAAAATGAGAAGTTCCCAAATAGGAGTTTCAATTTGAAATATATACTGGGTTGATTTACTCTGCATTATGCTTGCCAATCACGTAACCTCCCCCCACACTAGATCTCTATCTTGCTCTCCATTAGAAGACTCTACAGGAGGTTCAGTGAAATGATCATTTGCAAAATAAATGGGAAATGTTTCCAAATAGGTCCCGTCTCCCCAGAAACATTTTACCAATGAAGAGATCATCCTTTATATGTTCTATAATATAGGTAATCACAATTAATTTTACCTGTCTTGCTTTTCTGCCACAGCAAGTCTATCAGCATCCGGGTCGTTAGCTAAAACAATTCTGGCCTTGGTTTTGTCAGCCAAAGCAAAAGACAAAGTCTGAAGAAGAATATGAAAATAAAAGATTATTTAATCAAGAATCGAGCATATGATAGTCTTTAAAAACATTCAGTTCCTTAAGAACTCAAGAGGTCTTTCCCCTCTTAGAAAGATAATATAGGACCAACCAAGACAGCTCCAGAAGTGAAATTTAGCAAACAAAAGCTGCAGCTGGTCTTGGTTGGTCACATAGTATCTTCCTAAGTCAGAGGTCAGATAATGGGAGCATCGGTGTGTGACCCAAGCCTACCAGTGTGCCTGCTGCACATGCGCCAGTAGGTCTGTGGTTGGACTGGTATTTCGGGGCATTGCTGTGTGATCAGCCTCACAAATAAAACAAAATAAACTGATTCTCTGAATGCCACTGCTACCCCAACCTTTAAAAATGTTACAGAAACCATAATGTAAGCAACACTTCATATCAGAAAAATGACAAGAAATAAAAATCATAACCTGCTAAAGTTTCACTCTATTACTGCTTCTTTTTGGCATTAAGGAGACACGGCAAATTAAATTAAATTAAATTAACTGAATTTGAAGCACCATTTAGAGCTCAGTTCTCATATCCTGATCCTGGGGTGTTTAATTTGAAAGATCCTTTAAGAAATTAATGACTAACAAATATACATACTTCTTGTTTTTTTTTTTTTTTTTTTTGAGACAAAGTCTCGCTCTGTCACCCTGTCACCCAGGCTGGAGTGCAGTGGTGCAATCTCAGCTCACTGCAACCTCCATCTCTCAGGTTCAAACAATTCTAGCGCCTCAGCCTCCCAAGTGGCTGGGATTACAGGCATGTACCACCACACCCAGCTAATTTTTGTATTTTTAGTAGAGACAGGGTTTTGCCATGTTGGCCAGGCTGTTCTCGAACACCTGACCTCAAGTGATCTGCCTGCCTTGGTCTCCCAAAGTGCTGGGATTACAGACATGAGACGCTGCACCCAGCCAAACATACATATTTCCATGCTGAAATTAGTTTTTCTTCAGCACAATGAAAACACATAAAAATGTATTTTACTTGACAGTAATAGTTTTGAATATAAAAGCAGATTTCATAATTTAAAAAAAAATTAGGTTACCAAGACACCTTTCCCCTCTTCGGGATTCGGGTATTTCACTGTTGGAAACTCAGGATCCGGATCTTTCTGTTCAGGAACAGCCTCAGGAGGAACAAGGTCAAAAGCCTTGAAAGCTGACTGCACAAAGCTATGACCCACCCCATGGACAGAGGTGTGCACAAACTTCACCTTTGTCTCCCTGTTCACGCTCCTAGAATCAGATACACAGTGGAAAATGATACAAGGCAGAAACAGGGCTCTCAAAACTGCAAGGTTTGCAAGAATGCACAAGACAACTGAACATCTTTCTAATTCCATTTCAGAAAAACAAAACGTATCCATTCTCTCCCAGATATATATATTCCTTCCCTCAACATACTCAAGTTTTAAATTCTACTCTGTAGTTATTTTCAGCAAATCTGATTATTTCAGGTTTTGTTTTATGCATCCCATCTAGAGTGAGATACAAAGAAGAACCTCAAGCTCATGTTCCCACACGAGACTCACTGCTGGCCTGACAGGTGCCCTGACAGTGCTACAGCCAGCCCGGGACAGTTCCAGGGCTCCACACACCCACACATCCCCAAAGCGACAGGTTCCCAAATGTCTTTTATCAGCTTCAGAAATGATTTTCAAAATGTCCTTTTTAACAAAATGTGTTGGGTTATCCCATACATAAAGATATAAAAAATAAAACTTTTACTTTGGGAGGCCGAGGCAGGTGGATCGTGTGAGGTCAGGAGTTCAAAACCAGCCTGACCAACACAGAGAAACCCCATCTCTACTAAAAATACAAAATTAGCTGGGCATGGTGGTGCATGCCTGTAATCCCAGATACTTGGGAGGCTGAGGCAAGAGAATCGCTTGAACCTGGGAGGTGGAGGTTGCAGTGAGCCGAGATTGTGCCACTGCATTCCAACCTGGGCAACAAGAGCGAAACTCCGTCTCAGGAAAAAAAAAAAAATAATAATAATAAATAAATAAAACTTTTTGTTTGCCAAGTAACAATCCTGTTTGATACCATGCCATGACTTAGGGACTTTATACAGACTAACAACAGATACCAAAATTAACAGGAGAAGTTACAGAAAAATAAAAGGCTTTAAAAACTTCCAGTGCTCTGATGGCTGGAATCTTAGGTTATTATCCATTTCTTTTGGGAATGAATAAATGAACAAGGTCTTATCTAAGAGAATTGTGGTTTAAAACAAGCATACCCTGAAAATAAAATGCATCTTGGAAAATAAATATGTAAGATTAGGGAAGAAAAATCTGGAAAAACAACTCTCTTGGATTTTAAAATACATAATAAACCTACAGTAATTAAAACAGCTTGGTACTAGACATAAAAAGGCAGATTAAAGGAACAGAATAGAGAGTTCAGAAGTTGATCTAATTTGAAATGGGAGATGAACACAGAAGTAATAATGCTGAGTGGTTAACACGCTCTGGAGTCAGACTCTGAATTTAAATCCTGGAGCTTTGCCATCTATAAGCTGTGTGACTGCTGGCTATTAACCACTCTTCCTTGTAGTTTTTTCATCTATAACATGCATGATAATATACCAGAATTTACTGGCATTACTCTGAGGATTAAATGAAATTACATGTTGACCGGGCACAGTGGCTCACTCCTCTAATCCTAGCACTTTGGGAGGCCGAGGCGGGTGGATTGCTTGAGCTCAGGAATACGAGACCAGCCTGGGCAACATGGTGAAACCCTATCTCTACAAAAAAATACAAAAAATTAGCAGAGCATGGTGGTGCACACCTGCAGTACCAGCTACTCAGAGGGCTGAGGCAGGAGCATTCCCTGAATCTGGGAGGTCAAGGCCGCAGTGAGCCAAGATCATGCCACTGCACTGCAGCCTGGGTGACAATGTGAGAACCTGTCTCAAAAAAAAAAGAAAAAAAATGACATGTGAAGGGCCTCCAGCAGTTATCTGATATATAATAAGCACTTGATTAATGTTAGAAATTGTTGCATAAAGGTGACCTTTCCAATTAGTCAAAAAAGAAAAAAAAGAAAGATTCTTCCATTGATGTTGGTACAACTGCAAACCTTTTAGAAAAAAATCTAATCTGCTTTCCTACTTCATGCCCCATATAAAATTAAAAATCACTAATGAAACAAAAGATTTAAATATTATAAAACACAAACATGATAGTTCTAGAGAAAGAACAAGGGAAATATTTTGCTATTACTTTAATAATTTTGCTATAGAGCATGTCTTCCTAAGCATGACATAAAACCCAGAAGCTATAAAATAAGACTAATAAATATTATACAGATTTTTAAACAGTTCAGCAAACAGTTTCAATAGAAAATTCCAAAGACAACAGAAAACATCTAAAAAATATATTTTATATATATAGTATATGCATATATGTATATATAATATGTATATATGTATATATATTATAAACAAAGATGTTTATAAATATAAAAGGTGAACAAACACATAGAAAATATAGGTTAATTAAAGAATACAAATAAAAGTGAGCTATTACTTTCAACTAGCAAATCAGGAAAAATGAGAAATTGGATCACAGAGCAGGAGGAAATGTAGGTATCATATGCTGTCAACATCTACTGTTGGTGGGAGCACCAACTGGTATATTTTTGGAGGTCAATTTGCTAAGCACTATCAACTTTGTGAATGCACATACAATTTTGATGCCAGAAAGTTACCTTACGGATACACATGCGCACACACATGCACGTGCATGCACGCGCGCACACACCCACACACATACTCAAGCAACTGTGCACAAGGGGAGTTAACTCCCAAGCTACCTGGAGTGGAAAAGCAGAAATGCCTCATTCTTCGTGAAGTTAAATCAGAGGGGCAGAGGGAAAGTTCACAGACGTATTTTGTCTGGACTACACACCATTGGAAAAAATGGTCCAACACGTAGGAATTAGGAGATTTCACACACAAAATCCAGGTTTCCAGTTATTTTGGGAAGAGGAGAACTCAGATGATCTGGCAACTGGGACCTATATTTTCATGTGGGCAACACTCAGCTGGCACGGCTGCTCCCTTCAGGCAGGACTGGGCTTTCATACTCTGCACTGGAGTGGGCACCATCAGCTGATCCAACAAATACAGTATCAAAGACAAACCTACAAGTTCAGTTTCTTTGAATCAGTGGTTTCTTGCTAGGGGGACAATCAGGAGGGGTGGGACCTACAGCATACTCAAGCAGACACTACTGTCACTCTGCTACACCTCTTCCTACCTGATGGTAAGGACTGAGTCTGTGTCACTGAGTTAAATACACCGGTGCAGCAGCCTTTAAGACAGAAAGTCAGGACTAATAGGGACTAACACAGGAAGGTGTCCATGACAAATTAATTGGGGGGAAAAGTGCACAGAACAAACCACACACACACACACACACACACACACACAAATATTCCTATTTATGGTTTTGAAGTATATTATACATATACAAACACACACACACACATATATATATATATATATATATATATATACGCTTGCATATGCACAGAAAATTTTTGGAAAGATAGAAAAATACCAGTGTTTGCTATTCAAGACTTTTGAGCAAGTTTTAAAAACATACATATATATATATATATATACACACACACACACACACTTACATGTATGAATATGTATGAATCACATACATGTATGGAATCTATAACAGGTCAGCAAACTATGGCCTATGGGCAAGCCACCCACTTCTGTCTGCACTCCTTCGCCGACATTTCATCTATGATGGCTTTTGTACTAAAACAGCAGAGTTGAGTAGCTGAGAAAGAGTCTGTGTGGACCTCAAAGCCAAAAATATTTACTATCTGTCCCTTTAAGAAAAGTTTGCCAAGGCTTGATCTACAGCCTCTAAAATCAGATGCAGCTGGGTGGGCGTGGTGGCTCATACCTGTAATCTCAGCACTTTGGGAGGCCAAGGTGGGTGGATCACTTGAGGCCAGGAGTTCAAGACTAGCCTGGCCAACATGCCAACACCTTGTCTCTACTAAAAATACAAAAAAATTAGCTGGGTGCAGTGGCTCACGCCTGTGATACCAGCTACTTGGGAGGCTGAGGCACAAGAATCGCTTGAACCCAGAAGGCAGAGGTTGTAGTGAGCCAAATCGTGCCACTGCACTCCAGCCTGGGTGACACAGTGAGACCCTGTCTCAAAATAAGTAAATAAAATAAAATAAAATCAGATGCAGCTGTAGTACATGAGCAAATTAAAGAGAAAAACTTCACAAACACTAATAGAATTTGGCTGAATCACATTAACTCACTTAAGGTCAGTGAAGACACAATTCATTTACCTGTGGAAACAGTACTTTTTAAGGTCTTCAAAGTAGTCATTATTGATGGAAGCACTCGGATTGTGGAGAAGTGGACTGCTATCAATTAAAGAATCGTCCCAAGCTTGAGGCCACGGTTCTAGATTTTCTTCAATAGCTTGAGAAATCCCTTTATCGTGAGGAGAAATGATCTGAGCTCCATTATCCCAATAGACCTAGAGGACCCAGGAACACATTCAGAAGGTTTACAGTTAATGGAAATAAGGCACCTATTACCTATGGTCCCAAAAATTACAGATACAGGATTCCTACAGAAGGATGTACGTGTGGAGTAGAAAAAGGAAAATACCTTATAACCATTATCCTGCTTTGGATTGTGAGATGCAGTTATCATGATTCCAGCACAAAGTTTCAAATGTGATACTGTGAAGGGCTGTAACATAGCAGGAAACAAGAACAAACAGTTTTTAACGAAAATAACCAGATATTCTTAAAATGTCTATTTTATACTGTTCATGCCAACTTGCTCCCTTTTAATAAACATAATATATAAATAGCATAATATTTTTGAGCCACACCCCAGCAGTATGCAATTACCCTTAGAATTAACTGGCTGCTCATAATTCCAGGATGTATTTCCTAATAAGAAAGGTGAGTAATTTCCTCAGTGCCTTCTCATTCCATCTTCTACTTGGTAGAGCTAGAAAATTCTTCAAACACAACGATGGTCTAAGCCTCCATTCCAATGCTTTCAATGCTTCTACCTGAGACAGAAGTTTGTGGATTCAGTTTACTCCCTCCAACTGCTTCTCCCTCTCCTCCTTTCTCATTTGCTTTTAAGGAAAACATTGAGGAAAACACTGAGGGGCCAGGGGTGGTGTCTCACGCCTGTAATCCCACCACTTTGAGAGGCCAAGACAGGTGGATCACTTGAGGTCAGGAGTTCAAGACCAGCCTGGCCAACATGGTGAAACCCTGTCTCTACTAAAAATACAAAAAAATTAGCCAGGCATGGGCGCCTGTAATCTCAGCTACTTGGGAGGCTGAGGCAGAAGAATCACTTGAACCTGGGAGGCAGAGGTTGCAGTGAGCCAAGATCCTGCCATTGCACTCCAGCCTGGGAGACAAGAGCGAAACTCTGTCTCAAAAAAAAAAAAAAAAAAAAAAAATTTGAGGGAATGGAGAATGCTCTTACAGGTTCCTCATTTATCTCTCACTCCAGGGTTAAATATTTATATTTCAACTTAGCTCCCATCTCTACTAC